>NC_000012.12:77460128-79960128 GCF_000001405.40 Homo sapiens | reverse complement strand
GCTTTGCTTTGCCATGGTTTCTTTTGCAAATTTCTGCCACAGGAACTTCTTGGAGGGGTGTTGAAGAAAGATCTGGGTATTTGTGTCCTGGCCAAAACACTCTCACTATAACAAAATTTTAACAAAAAATGATGAAAAAAAGAAAACAAAATTGGAATGCGTTTTCCTAGGCATTGGTTTTGGCTATGTAATGTTACTGAAGTTATCTCTTCATAGGTTTATTTCCTTCACTACAATATTAATTTTTTAAAGACAAGGATTGTTTGGGGTCTATTTTATATTCCTAAGGTATAGCACAGAACCAGGCACATAGTTAGCTCTCAAATGTTTGTTGAGAGGGACTATTTGTCCAGTGCCAGTTGTATAATTAGAATTTCTTTCATTCTTGCAGAGTTGGGAACAAAGCTGCAGTGACTAGCTGCTATTTTGAGATGCTGACTATCACGGAAATTTTCCCGACCTGCTTTGTTGGGATAGCCCAGCCACATGAGTTCTAGCCAATGTAAAAACTGTATCTTTTGTAAAACCTTGGAGCAGCGAGTGTGAGGCAACGCAAGGAATACCAAATTGGAAGTGTTCTAATCTTGGCTCTATTACTTATCTACTAACTGTGAGAAAGTGACTTCATCTCCCAGAACCTTTAATTTCCTCCTCTGTCTATTGAAGGGTTTGTATTAAATTATTCCTAAATTCTCTCCCAGCATTAACATCCAAATTAAATTTGTCTTTGTATTCCCAACACAGTGTTGAACTCATAATATGCACTCAATATTTATTAGTTGAATTAGACTGAAATTGCCCCAGGATCTCTAATACATTGCTTTACAATGTCTCATTTCAAACTGAACATTGCTTTCCATGTGAGGTTTAAAATTAAAATTTAAATGGTCTCAAGGAAAAGATAGTTTTTTTCCCCATTTTTCTTTTATCCAGCTTATATAAAAACATACAGAGTGAGAAAATCACATTAAGTCGACCTATACTTTAAAGAATCTGGGTTGATAAATTTTGCCTTTAATTGTGAGTAAAAGATTCTCTAAGAGAATAAGATTTCAGAGGGAAAAGGGGTTACTTTGAGTTTTCTGTTTTGTTTTGTTTTTTGAGACAGGGTCTTACTCTGTCAACCAGTCTGGAGTTCAGTGGTGTAATCTGGGCTCACTGTAACCTCAAATTCCCAGGATCAAGGGATCCTCCCACCTCAGCCTCCCAAGTAGCTGGGACTGCAGACATGTGCTAACATGCTCCATTAATTAAAAGAAAATTTTTTTGGAAAGACAGGGGTCTCACTATGCTGCCCAGGCTTGTCTTGAACTCCTGAGCTCAAGCAATGCTCCCACGTCAGCCTCCCAAAATGCTGAGATTACAGGTGTGAAACATCATACCTGGCCAAAAAAGAAAAAGTTTTAGTTGCACACGATAACTTACTTGCAACTGGTAAGTTAAAAAACAAAACAAAACAAAGTAGTAGGCTGGGCACAGTGGCTCACGCCTGTAATCCCAGCACTTTGGGAGGCCGAGGCGGGCGGATCACGACATCAGGAGATTGAGACCATCCCGGCTAACGTGGTGAAACCCCGTCTCTACTAAAAATACAAAAAATTAGCCGGGCGTGGTGGCAGGCGCCTGTAGTCCCAGCTACTCGAGAGGCTGAGGCAGGAGAATCACTTCAACCTGGGAGGTGGAGGTCTCAGTGAACAGAGATTGCGCCACTGCACTCCAGCCTAGGTGACAGAGCGAGACTCTGTCTCAAAAAAAAAAAAAAAGTGTTACTTATATGATAAAATATATTCCCCCAAAGAATTTATTGAATTTTAGACTATTTATAGTTATTAGATGAATTTAAAAGAAATACAACTATGGGCCGAGCGTGCTGGCTCACGCCTGTAATCCCAGCACTTTGGGAGGCAGAGGTGGGTGGATCACGAGGTCAAGAGATCGAGACCATCCTGGCAAACATGGTGAAACCTTGTCTCTACTAAAAATACAAAAAATTAGCCGGGCGTAGTGGCTGGAGCCTGTAGTCCCAGCTACTCGGGAGGCTGAGGCAGGAGAATGGTGTGAACCCCGGAGGCAGAGGTTGCAATGAGCCGAGATTGCACCACTGCACTCCAGCTGGGGTGACTGAGCCAGACTCCGTCTCAAAAAAAAAAAGAAAGAAAGAAAGAAAGAAAGAAGGAAAACTATCTTTACTTTTTAAAAAACCTGTAATTCATACTTTTCAATGATTGTCTTCCTTTTAACAAGCAATAAAATTAGTGTAGCTTTATGTAGTCATTTGATTACACTCAAAAGTATACAAAACTCTATCTGAATATGAAATGAAATCTAATGGTCATTGTTAATATGTTATGATTGAACACTCCAGTATCTCCACAGCATTAATGAGTACCTGCTAGGAGTAGGGCATCATTAGGAATGCTAGGAAGTAAGACAGATATTTTTTACCTGCTTACCATTGACAAGCACCTTGGATTATCTCACTTAACCCTCTCAACAACTCTGAGATTATCATCTCTATTTTTAAAATATTTAAATCATTGGTAAGGGACACTATTAATATATGACACTGCTGCTAATATCAACCACAAGAAAAACTGTGGTTTGTTATTTCCCCACAGTATATATTGCTATTAATATTTGATAGTTAACAGTGTGTATATATATATATATATATATATATATATATTTTTTTTTTTTTTTTTTTGAAATGGGGTCTCACTCTGTCACTCAGGCAGGAATGCAGTGGCAGAATCTCGGCTCACTGCAACCTCTGCACCCTGAGCTCAAGCAATCTTCCCTCCTCAGCCTCCTAAGTAACTAGGACCACAGATGTGTGCCACCATGTGAAGCTAAGTTTTTTTATTTTTGCTAGAGACAGGGTTTCACCATGTTACCCAGGCTGGTCTTGAACTGAGCTCAAGTGATCTGCCTGCCTAGGCCTCCCAAAGTGCTGGGATTAACAGCATATTGGGTCTCTCCCAAACTTTAGACCACAAATATTCTCTCTGAATAAGCATCTCAAAATATTTGTCAGTGAAGCTACTAGAAAGACTTCAAAAATATACTTTTATAGACCAGGTATAGTGACTAATGCCTGTAATTCCAGCACTTTGGGTGGCCAAGGCAGGCGAATCATTTGAGCTCAAGAGTTTGAGACCAGCTGGGCACGTGGCGAAACTTTGTCTCTACAAAAAACAGAAAAATTAGCCAGGCAGAGTGGTGTGCGCCTGTAGTCCCAGCTACTATATGCAATATATGTGTATATACACACTTTTATAATATATCTTCATATGTCTAAAAGATTAACCATTTCAAATGAGTTAAACAATAGTTGTGTCCCCATTATTAGTCATATAGTTGATGATTATTCAACAAGTATTTATTGATCTCATGCTTGGAGCTTGTTGTGCAATTCTGTTTTGGAAATTTTTTTCTAAAGAAAGGTATATGATGTTCAACTATACATTGTTTATAATAGAAAACATGTAAATGCCTTAAAATCAACAAAAAAGGATTGATTAAATAAAATACAGTACATGGAATGATATTTATATTATATGAATATATAGACCTATATTCATTGACATGGAAAGCTGTCCCTAACATATGGCTAAATGGAAAAGACAGTTATAAAACTGTATGTATAAAGTGATCTCATTTTTGTATTTTAAAAATGTATGCCAAGAGATGAACAGCAAGATGACAGAATAGGAGACCCCAGCTTATGCCCACCCTCCACACCAAGAGAAATAATAATTTGTCAGCCATCCATGGACAAAAGTGCCTTTGAGAGAACTTTGGGATCCTAGTAGAAGGTTGCAAAGAATTGGTGGAACACAAGACCAAGAGGGTTGCTTTGAGAAAACAGGCTCACATCCCAGTGGCAGGCTCAGTGACCATGGTCCTGGCTGCAGACAAGAAGCAGCCCTGTATCCCTGTGGACTTGGCTCCAGCCCCACTTTTCCACAGTCCTGCCACTAGCCCCTTCCACCAAGGGACCATGAAGGGAGGAGCCACACTCATCTGTGCCCCTGGTAAAAGGCCAGCCAAGCACGGACCTAACTAGACTGTGAAGGAGCCCTGTGACCTAGATCCAACTCTGCTGTACTGCAGTCCCAGAGCAGTCCTGCCCACTCAGCAACCCATCCAGAGCCCAAAAGGAGCTCACCCAAGGACGCAGCAGGAGCCACAACCATCTGTGACTCTGGTAGAGTCTTGCCATCTGTGGGTCCAACTGCAGACCAGAAGTGGCCTCATGACCTGGCTCCAGCCCTGCTTGACCATGGTTACAGAGGCAGTCCCATTCCTCAGGATACACACCTGCCTATGTCCCCAGTATCAGGCTCACCAATGGTAGACCTAAATGCAGACTCAGCAGCAATGACATGACACAACTCCACCCTTGGTAAACCATGATCCTAGGAGACAGTCCCATCACTTCAAGTCCACAGTAGAAGGAGGTCTGCCAAGCCAGCCTGTAAAGACTGGAAAAGACGTTTACTTCTTCAAGTTCACAGGCACCAACTCAAGGCTACACAGATCATGAAGAATCAAGCAAACACGATACCAGCAAAGCAAACTAATAAGCTCCAGTAACTGACCCTAAAGAAATGGAGATTTATTAACTGTTTGACAAAGAATTCAAAATAATTTTCTTAAAGAAGCTCAATGAGCTACAAAAGAACACAGATAAACAACTAAATGAACTGGGGGAAACAATATATGAACAAAAATAAGAAGTGCAGCAAAGAAAATAGAAACTATGTAAAAGAACCTAATAGAAATCCTGGAGCAAAAAGAATGAAAGCTCAATAAAAAGTTTAACAACAGACTCAGTCATGTAGAAGAAGAAGTCCATGAACTCAAAGACAGATTTGAACATATCTAGTTAGAAGAACAAAAGGAAAAAAAATGAAAAAAGTATAGAACTAATGGGGGACACCATCAAGTGAACCAATATACACATTATGGCCTTATCAGAAGGAGAAGAGAAAGAGAAAGAGAGAGAAAGCCTATTTAAAGAAATACTGGCTAAAAACTTCCCAAACCTAGAAAGTGGAATGAACATCCTGATTCATGAAGCCCAAAGATCCCCAAATAGATTGAAGCCAATGAGATCTACCATGAGACATTATAACTAAATTATCAAAGGCCAAAGACAAAAACAAAAAAGAATTCTTAAAGCAGCAAGAGAAAAGTGATTTATCAAATAGAAAAAAAAACCCAAATCAGACTTCTCAGTAGAAACATTACAGATCAGTAAAGTTCTCAGCAGAAACATTACAGATTGGGAAAGAGTGGGATTATATGTTAAAAGCGCTGAAACAAACAAACAAAAAAACCTGCCAACCAAGAAGACTTTATCTGCCAAAATTGTTTTTTAATAATGAAGGAAAGATAAAGACTTTCCCAGACAAATAAAAACTAAGGGAATTTGTCACCACTAGACCTGCCTTACAAAAAGTGCTAAAGGAAGTTCTTCAAGTTGAAATAAAAAGACATTAAACAACAGCATGAAAGCATATGAAAGTATAAATCTCACTTTTATAAAGGTAAACAACACAAACATATAATACTGTAACTGTGGCAATAAAATTACTGTTAACACTCATATATAAATCAGAATACAAAATTAGTCAGAATAACTATAACCACAAAAATTTGTAATGAAAACACAATGTAGAAAGAGGCAAAATCTGACATCAATTACATAAAGTGTGTGGAGGGGAAATAAAATATGCAGTATGTATGTATGTGATTGAAGTTAAGTGGTTATCAGCCTAAAACATATTTCTATATCTAGAAAAGGTTTAATGTAAACTCCATAGTAACCACGAAAAAATGTACACTAGATAGACAAAAAATAAGGAGAAAAGAATCAAAGCATACCACCACAAAAACGTTAGCAAACCACAAGAGAAGAAAGGCAACAAGAGAAGACAGGAAAAAGGTAACTACAAAACAGGCAGAAAACAATTAACAAAATGGCAAGAGTAAATTCTTACCTATCAAAAATTACTTTGAAGGCCAATGGGCTAAACTCCCCAAACAAAAGACATGGATTGGCTAAATGGATTTAAAAACAAAAATAAAAACAAGACCTAACTACATGATGTCCACAAAAGACTCACTTTAGATTTAAGGACACACAGGCTGAAGGTGAAGGGATGCAGAAAGATATCTCATGCAAATGGTAACCAAAAGAAAACAGGAATTGTTATACCAGCATCACCATACTACCAAAACCAGGATAACCATGATACCAGACAAAGACTCCAAGAAAAGAACACAATAGGTCAATATCCCCAATGAACACAAATGCAAAAATCCTCAATAAAATCTAGCAAACCAAATTCCACAGCAATTGAAAGGATTATACACCATGATCAAGTGGGATTTCTCCCTGAGATGCAAGGATGGTTCAGATGTTTGGTTTGCAAATAACAATTGGTATGGTATACCACATTAGCAGAAGGAAACATAAAAACCACATGATCATCTCAATAAATATAGAAAAAGCATGTGACAAATTTCAACATCCATTCGTAATAAAAAATAAACTCTCAATAAAATAGGTATAGAAGGTACTTATCTCAACACAATAAAGACATATATGAAAAGCCCACAGAAAACATCATAATCAATGGGGAAAAACTGGAAGCTTTCCCTCTAAGATCCAGTACAAGGAAAGAATGCCTATTCTTACTAATTCTAGTCAACATACACTAGTCATAGCCAGAGCAATTAGACAAAAAAAAAAAAAAAAAAGAAAGAAAGAAAGGAAGAAAGAAAAAGAAAATACATCCAAACAGGAAAGGCAGAAGAAAAATTATCACTGTTTGTAGATGACAGTATCATATATGTAGAAAACATTAAAGACTAAACAAAAAACTGTTAGAACAAACTTAAATAAGTTGTGGGATATAAAATTAACATACAAAAATTAGTGGCATTTTTATACACAAATAATGAACTATCTAAAAGGAAATTAAGAAAATAATTCCATTTTCAATAACAATAATAAAATATTTGCAAACTAAATATCTGATAAGGGTACAATATCCAAAATATATAAGGAACTCAGCTGGACACAGTGACTCAGACCTGTAATCCTAGGACTTTGTAAGGCTGAGGTGGGAAGATCACTTGAGCCCAGGAGTTTGAGACAAATCTGGACAACAAAGTGAGACCCTGTCTCTATTTAAAATTTTTTTTAATTTAAAAAAAATTGTTAAAAGCAAAATATATAAGGAACTAAAAAAACTCAATATCAAAAAAACAAGTAATGTGATTGAAAAATGAACTAAGACCTGAATACACATTTCTCAAAAGAAGATATACATATGTCCAGCAAGCATTTGAAAAAATGTTCAACATCACTAATCATCAGATAAATGCAAATCAAAACCACAGTGAGATAACACCACATACCTGTTAGGACAGTTAGTATCAAAAAGACAAAATAAAGCAAGTGTTGATGAGGATGTAGAGAAAAGGGAAACTTGTACACAGTTGATGAGAATAGAAATTGGTACAGCCATTAAGGAAAATAGAATGGAGGGTCCTCAAAAATTTAAAAATATTACTACCGTATGATCCCACAGTCTTACTTCTGGGTATACATTCTGTCTTAATCCATTTGAATAAGAAAATACCACGGGCTGAGTATTTTAACAGTAGAAATTTATTTCTCATGTTCTGGAAGCTGGGAAATCTAAGATCAAGGCATTGGCAAGATTGGTGTTTGGTGAGGATTGTTCTCTGCTTCCAGGATGGTGCCTTGTTGCTACATCCTCCCGAGAGGAGGATTGCTATGCCTTCATGTAGCTGAGAGGACAGAAGGGCAAGAGAGTACTCCCTTCAACCTGCAACCCTTTTGTAAGGATGCCAATCCCATTCACTAGGTCAAAGTCCTCATGAATTAATCACCTCCCAAAGGTCACACTTCTTAACACCACAATAATGGGGATTACATTTCAACACAGGAATTTTGGGGGGCATTTCACACCAAAGCATATCCAAATTAAAGATTAGTAACTCAAAGAGATATTTGCACTTGTATGCTCATTGTAGCATTATTCACAATACCTAAGATGGAAACAACCTAAGTGTCTATCCAAAGATAAATGAATAAGGAAAATGTGAAATGTATAGAATGGAATATTACTAAGCCTTAGAAAGGAAGGAAATCCTCTCATTTGGGACAACATGGATGAACATGGAGAACATTATGCTGAATGACGTAAGCTAACACAGAAAGACAAATACTGCATGATCATACTTATACGTAGAATCTAAAATAGTGAAACTTACAGAAGCAGAGAGTAGAACAGTGGTTGCCAGGGTATGGAAGGTGAGGAAAATGGAGAGATACTGGTCAAAGAATACAAAGTTTCAGTTATAGAAGATGAATAAATTCTTGAGATCTAATGTACAGCATGGTAACTACAGTTAACAAATCCATATTGTATACCTGAAATGTACTGAGAGGGTAGAGCTCTCACCACACACAAAAAAAGGTAACTACATGAGGTGATGGTTATGTTAACTAATTTGATTACGATGATATTTTCATAATGAATACATATATCAAAACATCAAGTTATAAGTCTTCAATATGTACAATTTATATTTGTCAATTATATCCAAGTAAAGATGAAAAATTAAAAAATTAACTGTGCATTTATTTACAAGTGTTTTCAAAGAAAAAATCTAGAAGATACTGTGTACCAAAAAATTAGTAAATCTCCAGGTAATGATATTACAAGTGACATTATCTTCTTCTTTATATTTTTTATTTCCTGATAATTTTGCAAAGATAATGATTAGCTTTATAATTAAAAAAAAACTATTAAAAATTACTCAGCTGAATATTTGGGGGAGCTTAATTTATGATTCTTGCCCAAAGAAATGGTTGCAATTTACATGTATGCAGCACATTTGGAAAGAATTATGTTTGCTAGGGTCCCACTTGCAAACTACCGTATCAGTCAGTTTATTAATCATAAGCATTTGTTGAGCATGCACAATGTGAAAAATATGATGCTTCACAATTCAAGAGGACAGAAGAAATTTGAGTCTGCCTTAAAGGATATTAGAACTAGCTGGGGAATGAAAACAAATCCACACTATTCATTCTTACAAGTAACTAGTTAGGAATATAAGAATTGCTAATTTATAGCTGGGTGTGGTGGTGCACACCTGTAGTCCCAGCTACTTGGTAGGGGAGGGAGTGAGTTGGGAGGATAACTTAAGTCCAGGAGGCTGAGGCTACAGTGAGCAGAGATTGTGCCACTGCACTCCAGCCTGGGCGACAGAGTGAGACCCTGCCCCCACCCCCCTACAAAAAAAAAACTTGCTAATTTATGTCCATGGACAGAAGGAAGTTTGTCTTTTAGCTACTTATTGGAACAGTTTCATTCTTGTTAGTATAGAATGATGTTAATGCTGATCTCCAATACTTTTTGTATCATTTAAAACTCTAATTTTAAAAGTGTTAGTGTGTTAGGATCTGTTGGATTCTACTGCATCAAAAGCTAGGGCATCTTATATTTATGTTTGGGCATCTTATACTTACGTTATGTTTCTTCTAAAACAATGAAAGAAAGTTAACAATTCAGCCGGACGCAGTGGCTCATGCCTGTAATCCCAGCACTTTGGGGGGCTGAGGCAGGCGGATCACTTAAGGTCAGGAGTTAGAGGCCAGCACCGCCAACATGGCAAAAACCCATCTCTACTAAAAAAAACAAAAATACAAAAATTAGTCGGACATGATGGTGGGCACCTGTAATCCCAGCTGTTTGGGAGGCTGAGGCAGGAGAATCGCTTGAACCCAGGAGGCAGAGGTTGCAGTGAGCTGAGATCACGCCACTGCACTCCAGTCTGGGCAATAGAACAAGACTCCGCCTCAAAAAAAAAAAAGAAAAAGAGAAAAAAAGAAAGTTAACAATTCAGCTTTATTTTTATTTAATATAATTAACTTTTCATTAAAATTCCCTGAAATGTGATTTTCCTCATATCCAAATTTTCTACATGTCTAGAGCTTATATTTTAAGCATCTTTAAAAAATATTTTATTGAAATATTTATAAAGAATGCTTCTGACTTCTGAAATATCTGAATAAAGTTTTATATTTTCTTCATAATTCATTACAATGAGTATCCACTTTGAGACTACTCTGTAATATGCAAAGGTATGTTCTGGACTATTGAAGTGTAGAAAAGTGTTTTGTTTGAGCCAACCTATACTTCTTCTATATTTTAAATTTATGACCAACAATTAAACCTAGGAGAATCAGAGACTGGATCAAGCAAAACACATTTGTAAGCCAAATTCGGCTATGGTTAGCCACTTTGCAATTTCTCCTATAAACACAGTAGGCCTGAACCTGTTAAAGCCCACTTAGAACTGGGGCCAGAGTTGATAACAGCCTAAGAGAGAAGTTAGGGGGAAAAAGTAGGCATCCTTCACAAGAGAAGGGTAAAAAAAAAAAAAAAGAAAGAAAGAAAAAAAGCACACATAGTAAAAATGATACGAGATTATGGAGAAATAGAAAAAGAAAGGGAGACATATAAAAAAAGGCAGAGGGAAGGGGAGAGGAAAAGAAGGGAAGAAAGAAGGAAAGGCAAAAAAGAGGGAAGAGGAGACAAGGGGATGAGGGATGAAGAGAGGGCAAGGAAAGTTGGAATGCTGTAGAGAGGAAGGAGGACAGAGGGAAGGAGGAAAGGAGGGATACATATAGGAGAACAAGAAAAGAGGAGTAGAGAAAATTAAAGCAGGGAGGAGAAGAAAAGGCATGGAGAGAATGAGAGAGACAGAAAGAGAAAAGAGATGCAGGGAGAAGGAGGTAGAGAAACAGAAGAGAGAAAATAATGAGAGGGAAAAGGGGAGTGAAGGAGGGAGGAGAGAGTACCACCTGACAACTTTCCAATTCCCAAGAACTCAGCTTTTTCTCTTCTGCGAGGTTTTATCCTTGCAATACAGCCTGTTTTTACTTAAACTACTCTGATTAGGTTTCACCTCCTTGCAGATAAACAGGCTCTGACCAAAAAAAAAAAAAAAAAAAATTCCCCAACTATCACTTCTTTACCATCTTGTTTGTATTAGAAGTTAGACTCAATGCGTTGTCTATATATTTCAATATCCTCACTTTATTAATTAAAATCATTGAGCTTAAAATTCCAGCAAATAGTATTCTGTGTCAGTGTAGCTGGTCCTAGAATATATGAGTTTGAATATGTTTCAGAAAAATAAAACATTAGTGTGTTTATTGTCTATTGCAATATAACAAAAATATTCCCCAAACTTAGCAGCTTAAAACAACAATGAGCATTTATTATTTCACAGTGTCTATGGGTCAGGAATTTGAGGGTGGCATAGCTCTAGGTCTATCATAAGGTCGCATTTAACACATCAATCTGCTGGGAGCAGTGGCTCACGCCTGTAATCCCAGCACTTTGGGAGGCCGAGGCGGGTGGATCACCTGAGGTCAGGAGCTCGAGACCAGCCTGACCAACACGGTGAAGCCCTGTCTCTACTAAAAAAATACAAAAATTAGCCAATCCCAGCTACTCGGGAGGCTGAGGCAGGAGAATCTCTTGAACCCGGGAGGCGGAGGTTGCAGTGAGCCGAGATCCTGCTACGGCACTCCCGCCTGGGTACAGAGTGTGACTCCGTCTCAAAAAAAAAAAAAAAAAAAAAAAAAGACGTCAGTCACGTGACGGCTTTACTTAGGCTTGAGGATGCCCTTCTAAGATGGCTTCCTCACAGGAACAGTTCCTTGCTCTGTGGACATCTCCATAGGGCTGCTTGAGTATCATTTCAACAAGGCAGTTGGCTCGCTCCGCAATGAGTATGTTACCCTGAGAGAGCAAAGCAGAAACTTTTAATGCTTTTATGGCCTAGGCTGAGAAGTCACACTGCCATTTCCTCAATATCCTGTTCCTTACATATATCACCCCCTTTCACTGTGGAAGTGCTCTACACAGGGGTGTGAACACCCCGAGGCAAGACGCACTGTGGGCCATCCTGCAGGCTGGCCATCAACCACACTTACTTAGTTAACCAATTTAGTACTGTTAACTTATATTCAAATGTAAACTTCTGAAAAACTAATGATTAGCGTGTAAATGGCTTTTGAGAACCTATTTTCTTTCAAAGTTTTGAAGATGAAAGTAGATAAGCTAAAACTGATTTATATAGAAGGTCACATCAGTAATATTTACTATAATAACAGGAAATGTTTCATGTGAATATGAATCTGACATTTGAATATGGCATAACAGTTTTTCCTGGCTGTGACTGACAGTCTTAGGTTCTCTCTCTCTTTTTAGTGAAACATAATTTACCCACAGTAAGCTTCAGCTTTTTTCATGTATAGTTCTGTGAGCTTTGACAAATGTATACTTTTATATAAACATCACCATAATCAATATCTAAAACAGCTTCATCGTGCCAAAATATTAGTTCTTTCCTCTTTACTTCTTATATTTGTCTTGCCTTCAGAATTAAGCCGATAGCATACCAGAAACCTTTACAATTGAGAAAACCATACTATGTCAACTTTTACCTCTAGAAATGAAATAAACAGGGTTGATCTGTAATAGGAATCTGGAGATAAAGGAAACCAGACAGGGTGTCACAGTAAAAAACACAAGAATAGCTATAAAAGTACAGGAATAATGTTACTGAGACAGGTTTTCAAGCTTTCACTTCAGATCTCAACTAATCTAATGCCATATAAACATTTCCTATTCCTGAGAGATTAGATATTGCAATGATTTTTATGAAAATGAACAGAGGAACGGCTTTCTTATCCACTCTAAAATTTTTCTTTAACCTACGCTAAAGAAAAGTGAAAATTAATTACTTTCTCAGACAGAAAGATCTTGGCTGTTTGCCTACTTAGATGTAATTAAAGTCATTCTCGTTTATAATTTCAACTCATTCATGTCTTACAAATCTGTATGCATGTGGCAAACCTAACCCTTATTCCTCTCAGTATGTTTTTCATATCTTCTTTTACCAACATAGGTGTGAATGAAACATGTACAAGCTTCTTTATTTTTATACGTCTATTGTGTACATTATATGTATATATGTATATTATGTAATTACTGGAGTAACTACATAATAGGGTATAAAAAGAATGTCATAGTTATAGAATTTTATCTATAATAATAAAAATAAGACATATGGATAAAATTCAAAAGGATGAATTTGAAAAATAATGAAAAATGAAAGCAAGTAAAATAAAAATTAAATCGTTTCCATATAGTATACTATAGAATATACATATATATATAGCGTGTGTGTACACATGTGTGCGTATGAGAAGTGAGAAATTATGAGTCAGAGAGGTAAAGATATATACAATAGGTGTAATAATATTGAGGATTTAAATAAAAGTCATATAGTTTGGGAAAACTAGAAATATCTAAAGTTCAATGGGTAGAAGACAACACTGTCACTCAATTAGTGACTGAAAACCAAATGAAAAAATTAAAAATGGAAAGTAAAATTGAAAAAGAGAAACTAGGATAATGTGGAGAATCATTTCAAAAATGGAAAGCTGGCCAGGAGCGGTGGCTCACGCCTGTAATTCCAGCACTTTGGGAGGCCAAGGCGGGCAGATCACGAGGTCAGGAGTTTGAGACCAGCCTGGCCAACATGGTGAAACGTCATCTCTACTAAAAATACAAAATCAGCCAGGCATGGTGGTGCATGCCTGTAATCCCAGCTACTCAGGAGGCTGAGGCAGGAGAATCGCTTGAACCTTAGGCGGAGGTTGCAGTGAGCCAAGATCGCGCCACTGCACTCCAGCCTGGGCAACAAGAGCAAAACTCCATCTCAAAAAAAAAAAAGAAAGAAAAAAGAAAAATGGAAAGCTGATACAGTATGAGAAATAATGTGTTCAGGTTAAAAAATGCAATGACTACCATGTACCTATCATGACAAAGCAGCTTAGAGAAGTTTTATTAATTGTGCCTACTCTCTCAGACTCTATCACTACGTGATCCTGACTTAGCCTAGCATTCTTAACAAAACAAACACACAAGCAACAAAATGATAAGCGAGCCTAATTTAGCATGGCTCATTTCTCAAAAAACCTTTAGTTGTTCCTAGTGATCGTTAAGTTCTTAAAATTTCCATTCATTTTGCATTTAATTATCTTTCCTAGAGTTTTACTTAGAAATGATGTATAATTGACTAATTTATAGTTACTAGGCATATGTGAAAATAGATCTAGTAAGCTAATCACTATGAAGGCAAATTTGTTCAATACAGAATAATTTTTTTATTAGTGTGATAAGTGAAGATTTTTAGCACCTTGTTCTCTTATCATTCACTTGGAAATTATTTTACATTCCTTCCAGTTTTTACATGCCACATACAATCAATGATTAAGCTTTATTGATTCCTGGCCCCTCCTTTTCATCTGTACTGTCATTGCTCTAGCTGAGGCCATCTTCAACTGTCACCTCAGTACTGCATGAGTCTTGTCTCCTCTGAGCTATCCCGCGGTTTAGGAGGATAAATGGTGTCTAAGGCAAAGTGATGTGTTTGTTCTCCCTCTGTAAACATATCCACTGTTACTCTAGAATTTGCATTCATTTCTTTAGGGCACTCTTCGCTATGCCCCGGTGCCTGTCCTCTATTTTTCTTCCAGAATGATCTTTCTGACCCAAATATCTGGTATTACTCTCTTGCTTCAATAATTTCTCATCATCTGAAGCAGAAGTAGCAACTGCCAAAGCTCTCAGGTGCCAGGCAGGTAGCAGAAGTGACAACGGAACAAAGCAGATCAGATGGGGACTATTGCAGAGTGGTGACATTAGAGCCTGTCAAATGCGGGAAAATGTGGCCAGAACTTCCAGTTCTTCAAAAGAGACTGGAAATCCAGATTTTATGTGAAACGGTTTAGCTTTTAAATGTCAACAAATAATTCATCACGTTTTAAAGCACGGCATAAGCCAAACAAGCCACTTGTGTAGTCTGTGAACAATCAACCTGTGAACTCTGACCTGATAGGATAAGATCCAGACTCCTTAGAATGGCATAAAAGATTCTTCATGATCTATTTTCTGCCTACTTTACCAACTATATTTCTTGCCTATTCTTCCTGCAAAAAAAAAAAAAGTATACTTCATCAATTCTGAGTTGCTCTCCACTTTTAGAAAAAAAGTGTAGCATTATTTTCCTTTGTGCATTTGCTTCTGTTTCTGCACATGGAGCGTCTTCCCTAACTCACATTGCATCACTTCCAAACACCTCATTCAATTCTCCCTTGATTAGTCGCCTAGCTTAAGTGTCACCTCCTCCTGGAAGCCATCTCTTTCCCTACCACTCTCCTCCCTTGCCATTTGGAATCCATGTCTCCTGGGTAGGTCCCTAAAGCATTAAGTAGATCCTAGTCATTAATTGAAATAAAGACTATAAGAGAAGCAAGTGTATGTGGGGGGATATTAAGTTCCATTTCATGTATGTTAGGCTTGAAGATTTCATGTCAGTAGGCAGTCGTGTAAATAGGTATGGGACTTAGGTGCAATATTTTGCCTTGAGGTGGGGATCTGAGAAAAATTAAATAGAAAAAAGAGCTAAAGATGAAATCCTGTGAAATAAGATGTACGCAAAGAAAAAGGGGGCTTATAATAGGAGTCTGAAAAAATTAGAGAGTTAGGAAAACCCAGAAGAAAGTAGTGTCATGGAAGACAAGGCGAAAATTTCCAGAGGGAGGAAATATTCACCGTGGTCAAATAATGTAAAGCACCCTTTGGATTTAGCAAAGATATCAGTGCTAATCCTGATAAAACTGGTTTTAAGGAAGGTGGTTGTTGAACCAAACTTGAGTGGACTGAGGAATGAATAGAAAACGTGGATATATGTAGAAAGCTGAAACTGGATCCCTTCCTTACAACTTACACAAAAATTAATTCAAGATGGAGTAAAGACTTAAATGTTAGACCTAAAACCATAAAAACCCTAGAAGAAAACTTAGGCAATACCATGCAGGACATAGACATGGGCAAGGACTTCATGACTAAAATAGCAAAAGCAATGGCAACAAAAGCAAAAATAGACAAATGGGATCTAATTAAACTAAAGAGCTTCTGCCCAGCAAAAGAAACTGCCATCAGAGTGAACAGACAACCTACAGAATGGGAGAAAATTTTTGCAATCTACTCATCTGACAAAGGGCTAATATCCAGAATCTACAAAGAACTTAAACAAATTTACAAGAAAAAAACAACCCCATCAAAAAGTGGGCAAAGGATATGAACATACACTTCTCAAAAGAAGACATTCATGCAGCCAACAGACACATGAAAAAATGCTTATCATCACTGGTCATTAGAGAAATGCAAATCATGACCACAGTGAGATACCATCTTACGCCAGTTAGAATGGTCATCATTAAAAAGTCAGGAAACAGGCCGGGCGCGGTGGCTCATGCCTGTAATCCCAGCACTTTGGGAGGCCAAGGCAGGCGGATCACGAGGTCAGGAGATCAAGACCATCCTGGCTAACACGGTGAAACCCCGCCTATACTAAAAATACGAAAAAAAAAAAAAAATTAGCCAGGCGTGGTGCCCGGTGCCTGTAGTCCCAGCTACTTGGGAGGCTGAGGCAGGAGAATGACGTGAACCCGGGAGGTGGAGTCTGCAGTGACCGGAGATGGTGCCATTGCACTCCAGCCTGGGCGACAGAGTAAGACTCCATCTCAAAAAAAAAAAAAAAAAAAAAGTCAGGAAACAACAGATGCTGCAGAGGATGTGGAGAATAGGAACGCTTTTACACTGTTGGTGGGAGTGTAAATTAGTTCAGCCATTGCGGAAGACAGTGTGGTGATTCCTCAAGGATCTAGAACTAGAAATAGCATTTGACCCAGCGATCCCATTACTGGGTATACACCCAAAGGATTATAAATCATGCTACTATAAAGACACATGCACACGTATGTTTATTGTGGCACTATTCACAATAGCAAAGACTTAGAACCAACCCAAATGTCCATCAGTGATAGACTGGATTAAGAAAATGTGGCATATATACACCATGGAATACTATGCAGCCATAAAAAAGGATGCAGGGACATGGATGAAGCTGGAAACCATCATTCTCAGCAAACTATCACAAGGACAGAAAACCAAACACCACATGTTCTCACTCATAGGTGGGAATTGAACAATAAGAACACTTGGACACAGGGCAGGGAACATCACACACTGGGGCCTGTTGGGGGTTGGGGGACTGGGGGAGGGATAGCATTAGGAGAAATACCTAATGTAAATGCTGAGTTGATGGGTGCAGCAAACCAACATGGCACATGTATACCTATGTAACAAACCTGCACGTTGTGCACGTGTACCCTAGAACTTAAAAGTATAATAAAAAAAAAGAAAGAAAACATGGATATGGAAGCCATGAATATAAATGACTCTTTATCAGGAGTACTTTTTTGTGAATTGGAGAACAAACATTAGAGTTGTATATAAGGTCAATGGAATATTTTTTGTGTGAGCTATTTATTGGTTTAATTTTAGTATTTCTCAACAGGGGAGTTATTAGCATTTTGGGAAGGGTACTTAGTTGTTGTTTGGAAAATTCCCACACATCACAAGTTATTTATTACTCACTTCCTCACTAAACGACAGTAGTGTTCCACAATCATTTTGATAATCAAAAACACCTCACCCACATGTCCAAATATCTCTGGAGTAATGGCATTGACTCTATTAGAGAATCACAACACAGTCTCCCCACAATCCATTCTTTTTCTCCCTCAATATTTCATTGTAAAAAATATCAAACAGCAAAGCTGAAAAAATAGTAACAGACACTTGGATACCTGTTACCTAAGTTCAGAAATTAAAATCTTGCCAAACTTGCACTGTCTACTTACATGCATTTGTATGTATTTATTTTTTATTTCATGAAATCATTTGAAAGGAAGTTGCAACATCATATTTAACATACTCATCTCCTTAAATTAAGGATACATTCCTACATAATCACATTATTACATCTTAGAACAGAAATAACAAAAATTCCTTAATATCATCTAAAACACAATCCATATTCAATTTTTCCAATAATCAATTACATACAACTTTTTTCCAAACCGGAACTTAATCAAAGTTTACAAGCTTAATTAGTCATTATGATTTTCAGTATCTTTTAATCTAGAACATTTTTATTTAAAATTTTTTATAACACTGACTTTTTAAAAGAAACCAGGCCAGTGCCCTAGAGATTATCCTACATTTCAGGTTTGTTTGATTAAGTATGTGTGGTATCATTTAATATGTTCTTCTATCTCCCATGTTTCTAGTAAAGTGATATTTGATCTAAAACACCTGGTTAAACTCAGGCTAAAATTTAGGTAATGCTTAGGCACATAATGGAGGTTGCTCTACTATTAATGCTGCTATGCTTGATCATGGAATTGAATCTTTGGCCAGTATATATTGTTGATTGCAGGGAATGAGTGTTTACATTGTTATAGTTTTAGCACTAGTACATACAGAGTACCAATAGGGTACTCATAAAT
Source organism: Homo sapiens (assembly GCF_000001405.40). Lineage (NCBI taxonomy): Eukaryota > Metazoa > Chordata > Mammalia > Primates > Hominidae > Homo > Homo sapiens. The sequence goes on along the minus strand of NC_000012.12, from coordinate 79,941,578 downwards.
ACCGGCTTAATGAATGGTGAATAAATGAATGATTTAAACTGATGTTAAGTGATAGCTAACAAAACTGAGAGCTGGGTTTTGACACATATTTTCTAGAATCCTTGGTTCTAGATCTAGCTGAGGAAACAAATTGAGTGTTTATACACTCAATTACTGTTATAGTTTTTTTTTTTTTTTTTTTTTGAGACGTCTCACTCTGTCGCCAGGCTGGAGTGCAGTGGCACAATCTCGGCTCACTGCAACCTCCACCTCCCAGGTTCAAGCGATTCTCCTGCCTCTGCCTCCCAAGTAGCTGGGACACCAGGCACATGCCACCACGCCCAGCTAATTTTTGTATTTTTAGTAGAGACGGGGTTTCACCATTGTTGGCCAGGTTGGTCTCGATCTCTTTACTTCGCGATCCACCTGCCTCAGCCTCCCAAAGTGCTGGGATTACAGGCATGAGCCACCACGGCCAGCCACTGTTGTAGTTTTAAATCATATATTTTATAAGGAGCACATAATTTTCTGTTCACTTGAGTGGACCCCTTCCAAGGCCCTGAAGTTAATTATTTGTAATTTTAAATTCTTTTTCTTGAAGAAGAATCTCTAAACTGTAATAATATCAGGTTCCAGAAAACCTGGATACACCCTCAGCTCAGATCTTTCCTGGTTAAATCCGTCTCTTCTCTTCCCCCACCCTTCACTGCTAGTAACTTCAGAAATTGTTTTTCGCTCTCTTTAGCCCAATTTTTTTCTTCACTACATTTAGCGGTATCTGAATTTATTCATTTAAAATGTATTCATTTTCTGTCCCTCTTTACTAGAATGTAAGCTCATTGATGGCAGGTACTTCATTTGTTTCATTTGCTCCTGTGACCCCAGAACCCAGAATAATGATTCACAAAGAATAGGTGCCAATCAATACATTTTCAATGACTGACCTCGGATCCACCAAACTGCTACATTTCAGCCATGTTTGTGGCACAGCTATGTTTGGCTACTGGGAGTCCCAGGCTTATGTTCCAGCCTCCATGAAGCAGCCATTCATTTTGAGATCCTGTCACATTCTGGCTACTTCCAGAGATCTGTGAGCAAATCCCTGCTGTTCAAGAGACCAACAGACTTCTCTCTCATTCTTTTGAGCCTTGGTGTCACTTATTATTCTCAGTGAAATCCTTCTTTCCCATGGAAGCACCCAAAGATGGCTTGGGTGAACCCCTCTGCTTGGTTCCACCCTAAGTAAAAATAACATTCCATGGAGTTATGGTGAAAATTTTTGTAAAGTGAAAATAAAGGCAAATTTAGAAAACAGTGCTATTTTTATTGATTTATAATGCTATGCAAATAGAACTTAAATAAGTTTCTAGCAACCTCATATACTAATTCCAATCAGATCACTAGCCCTAAATTCTTATTAAATAGAAATTGGTGGGTGGACATTTCAAGTAGGAGGGAAAATGTTTTGAAAGCAACTTCTGCTTTCTTCCTTGCCACAAACCTGTCCTGAGGCAAGGAAGCAGAGTTGCTATCAGCTTAAATAAGGGAAGGAAAAGGCAAATACAAGAACACAAATAAAATCTCAAATTTTTTTCTCTCTCACATACATTATTCATTTAATCTTTAAGACAACCACATGAAGTTGATATTCCCACCTGTCAAAATTGAGCACGGTCAGCATGTTTTGGTTCTCATGAATACCTTGTTTTTGCACTCTGGTCTGTGAAGGAATTTTAAAGCTTTTCCTAGGATTTGATTTGAAGGACAATTGAATGGATCCCTCAACTAAATATTAGTGATCCAAGATAGAACTCATGCACCTAAACTTGCCTTCCAGATATTGATCTTGTAATTTATTCTTCTAATTTCAGTGCCATGGAGAATGACTCTTATTTCTGAAATTCCTTCAGCACACAGATATTTTCATACAAATTGGCCTTCCTGCCAATGCCTTGCCTTGACACCTTGAGTTGGGGGTGCCACTAAGGCCTATCCTATAACCTTCACTTAATTAATCGTAATTATTATTACACATACTAATTAAAGTCAGTCAGTTTCCTAAAGTGTAGGACATGTAGACTGGTGGTACATGAGGTAATGTTATAAGGTAGATGTAACATTAAAACAACAGTGAAGCACTTAGCACAATATTCTTTTTTCACTACCTTTTAATCTTTCCGATTATGCTAAACTGAAAAATCTTAGGTTGATGCTCACATGTCCAACCCTTACCAATATCCCTTTTTTAACAAATTGAGAGCACAGCTTGGGCTCAGACCCTTGACAGACAACCTAACTAATGTTTTGTTTTCATTGTATTTGCTTTAACAGTCTTCTTTATGTCAAGTGGAAACGTTTTTCACTTACCAAAGCAACATAATGTTGCTTTAAAATAAATTTGTCTTAAAAAGGTTAAAGAAAACATTAAGCAAATACTAGTATTTGCGGTTCTTGAATTTGGCAATAAAACTGATAAAGTTTGGGAAACATTAATTCATATGAAAGGGGCATGTGATGTTCTGTCACATGATACAGGTTGGGAGTCATGTGCAATGGAGGTGAGTTATCTCTTTAGCAGTATAACTGCACTTTGGATTGTTGCCAGACACTCATCTGAGTCCTAGTTTTGGGGAACAAAAGAAGCTTTATGAGCATATTAGCCAGTACTTGTACTGTGATAGGGTTAGTTTCTTGAAATGGAGTCAGATGTGGCAGAAAATTTACCCTAAAGTAAATTAGAAACTCACCTTGTAATCCAGAGGCAAGGCAAAGATTAGATGCTATGATCTAGAAATCAGGATTGATCTAGCAATGGAGTCTGAAGCAAGTTAGGGTGGTTCCATGTTGGTTCTGGTCAACTCCCTGGGTAGGACTAAATAAATTATGATGTGAATGGATTGTAAACTTTTCTTCAAGTTCTTTTTTTTTTTCTTTTTGAGACAGAGTCTTGCTCTGTCACCCAGGCTGGAATGCAGTGGCACAATCTTGGCTCACTGCAACCTCCGCCTTCTGGTTCAAGTAATTCTCATGTATTCTCGGGTTCAGCCTCCCGAGTAGCTGAGATTACAGGCACGTGCCACCACGCCCAGCTAATTTTTGTATTTTTAGTAGAGACGGGGGTTTTGCCATGTTGGCCAGGCTGGTCTCGAACTACTAACCTCAGGTGATCTGCCCACGTGGGCCTCCCAAAGCCCTGGGATTACAGGCATGAGCCACCGTGCCCAGCCTTTTCTTCAGGTTCTTAAATAAAACATTGGAAAGAAATTATTATGCAATGGAAGAGAGTTTGGCCCAGGTGTAGAATACAGGAGACAGAAACAAGGTCCTTGTTGACTGTTCTATTCTCAAGTGTATAAATGTAAATTAGTATCTCAGGTTTAAATTAGGGATAAAGAGAACATAGATATATCAAAGTATTTATTAATATCTTATGTACATTTTTAACAAAGAGATTATAATAGCAGAAACAAATCTAAGCTGTGCATGTCAGCATTTCAAATATGTTTATAATTTAAATTAAGTTGATCATAATTAGCAAGCAAATTAATGGTAAGGAATGTCAGTAGTGTGATTAAACTTTGAAAAAGATATACACAGATCTCATTCTGACAATCTTGTGCATGTAATAAATAAAACCCCCAGCCAGGTACAGTGGCTCAAGCCTGTAATCCCAACACTTTAAGAAGCCAAGGCAGAGGATCACTTGAGCCCAGGAGTTTGAGACCAGCCTGGACAACATAGGTAGACCCCATCTTTACAAAACTTAAAAAATAAATTAGCTAAGCCTGGTGGTGCACGCGCCTGTAGTCTCAGCTACTTGGGAGGCTGAGATCATGCCTCTGCACTGCAGCCTGAGCGATAGAGTGAGACCCTGTCTCAGAAACAAAAACCTCCAATATGATTGATTTGGTGCAGCCAAAAATATATTTTTATATATACATATATGCAAATTAGTAAGTATAGTTTTATTTGTACTTCTATTTTAAGGCTTAATTTGCTTTAAAGGAGCTAAAATGTATCCTCACATCCCAATCTGTTTAGAAGCCATTAGGAAGTGAAAATATTTGCATTTTTTCCATTTGTTCTGCTTAGACAAATATGTAATAAAAGCATGTGTGTGTGTGTGTGTGTCTTTTTTTTTTTTTTTTGGTAAAGATAGGGTCTAGCTCTGTCGCTCAGGTTGTAGTGCAGAGAGCTCACTGCAGCCTCGAACTCCTGGGCAGAGTTCGCCTCAGCCTCTCAAAGTGATAGGATTACAGGTGTGAGCCACTGTGCTGGGACTGTGTGTGTCAATAAAAAATTTTGCTTGTTCTAGAATTAACCCAAGGTCTTCAGTACCATTAATTCACTAACAACAATTTAAAAAAAATCCTCCCTAAAGACAAAGTAGGTGGCAGTTTCAGAGTACTTTCAATATTAACATAGAGCATCTTGACCCTTAGAGCCACGAAAGAAGAAAAACTAAATTCAGTGAAATTTGCACATGATAGCAGCCCTCCTTGGTTGTTTTTTCCCTGACAGCTTCTGGGAACTGAATGAACTTAATTATGTTTTATTAATAAACTATTATTAATTTTGCATCCTGAAATAAGTGCTTGAATCAGGAATAGCATACTTCCCACTAAATTCCTTTTGCCTGAATGAAATCTTCAGATTCCCATCTATACTGCAAGGGCACTTTAAGAGCTACCACATAGGCCATAACGTTCTTGGAAAACAGGATATGCTGTCAGTTGCCTAGGTAGAGACAGGAGCTGACAAGGCAATCCTCAAGTTCCTTTCTTTTATTCTGAGAGCTGTATTCTGTGGATAGGGATTTTGTATTTTAGTGCTAACAATGTTTTTCAGTACCTAACACCATGAGTATTCAAAGGTCTGATGTTATCTTTAATGTATGTAATGAACATACAATGGTATATCTTATGAATATTACATTCATTTTCTATTCCTACAACGTTTTCAGAGGAAATATTTTTACCCTGACCTGGATTCTATCGCTATCCTAATAACTGTGGTTCAGAAAATTGTCTCACAGGCAGACAGTTTCCTAATCACGTTTTACTCAATTATTTTATTTCTCAATATGATAGGCTGTGAAGTAGTCCACTGGAAAAGGCATCATGCTGAGAGTAAGAAAAGCTTATTTGTTCACTGCTCTATCTCCAGCACCTAGAACAATGCCTGACCCAGAACAGGTGCATAGTATTTGCTGAGTGAATTCTAATCCTACTTCTGGGTAAAATTAAGTAAATTAATTAGTTCTTGAGGGACTCTGTCTAGATGACCCCTAAACTTCCATGGTAAGGTTTTGTGGTTTTTATCTTGGCTTTTCTAAATGCTCTAAAAATAGTAGTGGATGGTAACAATGCAGTGTTCAGTAAAATCAATTGGTGGAGATTGTAGATAGATGGCTCATAAGACATCAGTATTACAAATCCTATGTGTGTGCGCGTGTGGTCATACAAGGCAAAGTTAAAGTCTTTTTTTTATGACGATGATAAATTAGTCTTGTTTGGGCGACTGAACTCAAGAGGTGGTTCAAATAAATGTCATATTTTTCATTGTATCTTCAGTGCCTAGTACAGTTACTGGCTCATAGTAGGTATTCAATAAATAGTGGTTGAATTAATTGCCTTCCTTAACGTTCCGTTTAAATGCTAGACGCAGCTAGGTCTTTACCCCTCCTTAGAAAGAGATGGAGCTGTAACCAGAAATCCCTTAAAAGGTAAGGACCAGTAATCAGGCTGAGCTAAGCTCATGGGTAGTACGAGACAGGCTTAAAGCACTGAAGGAAGAAAGAAGAGAACCCAAGCGTGAGAGAAAGCAAAACAAAACAAGTAAAGAGAGGAAGAAAAACATTTCTAAAGTGGGGGTTGGCAGGAAGCCACAGCAATTACAGCAGGTCAACCCTTGTCAATAGGTGGTCACCTCAAGAACTTACCATTAAAACCCTCGGCCACACAGACCCCACTTTTAAAAGGTTATTAATTCTGACATGCCCAAGTTCATCTGAGTTCCTTAGAAAGATCAACCAGCAGCACCTACTTCACGACCTATCCTCCATTCCATTCAAATAACGCGGCCAATAGGAAAATCCTCCGCCCTGAGCCAACGACTCGGCGTAGCTGAGACAGCACGGGAGGCAGATCTGCCCTGTAGAGCCTTGCGGTTCCACTGCTGGCCTCCGGATTCCCGGGAGCCCCCAGCCCGACAGGACAACCTTCCTTCCCCGCTTCCTCCTTTCCAGGTCTGTCCCAGCCCCCGCTGCCTGGGCCACACCCGCTTCCCTCTGGTGGCCCAGCCACCACCGCCGCAGTTCGCGGGAGCGCTCTTCCTGGGGCGGGCACAGGCCCAGGGCGCATGCGCACTGGTCGAAGGGCGCCTCCCAGTCCGGATCTCGCGAAGTTACGTTAGATTGGCCGCCGGTGACGGGTGGCCGTGCTGGGGGCGGGAGGGCTTCTGTGGTAGGAAGGGAGGTCCGCTCGGCCGGGTGCGCCGCCCCAGTGCTCTGTGGGATACTGGAAGTCTCGAGCGTCGGCTCCGGGTTCCCAGCCCTCCTCTGGCCCGCACTCATAGAAACATTCACACACCCCCTGCCTCCCCTCTCTTCCCTCTCCGCCTCCCCCTTCCCCCCCTCGCGATAAGAAGACCCGGCGGCAGGAGAGGGGATGAAGATGGCGGACGCGAAGCAGAAGCGGAACGAGCAGCTGAAACGCTGGATCGGCTCCGAGACGGACCTCGAGCCTCCGGTGGTGAAGCGCCAGAAGACCAAGGTGAAGTTCGACGATGGCGCCGTCTTCCTGGCTGCTTGCTCCAGCGGCGACACGGACGAGGTCCTCAAGCTGCTGCACCGCGGCGCCGACATCAATTACGCCAATGTGGACGGACTCACTGCCCTGCACCAGGTCTGTGCGCCCCGCCGCCGGCTCTCCTGACCGTGAGGGTTCTCGTCGGCCTCCTGCTCGGGCCTGCCCTCAGTTCTCCACCTCTTGAGGCTGGGGGCGGCGGGAGACTCCCTGCTGCGGGGTGAGGGGGCGGTTTCCCCAGAGGGCGGGAGGGAGAGCTGGTGGAAGGGAGGGCGCTGGGCTTGAGGCCCCCCTTCAGAACAGTTGCTGGTGGAGTTGGGAACCGGGTGATTTCCGGGGCATAGGGGAAAAGGAACTGTGGTCGTTTGGGGCCCCAGGGCCATTCGTGGATAAGTCTGGGATTTGGGGTCGAGACAAGGAGGGGTGTAGTGGGGTTGTGCCTGGGCCCCGGTGTCAGTGGTATATTCGGAGGGGTGGATGCTGAAGGAAGAAAACTAACAAGGGGCATTACGGACGGTTAGGCAGATGAACATCTTTGACTTGTAGGTGGGCATTGGATTTGTTGCACTTTTTAGGACTTGATTACAAATGATGATAATAATAGTAATCTAGAGCCCTAAGCCGAGTGCCCTGAACGAACGATTTCCTGTTTTCTCATTTATTACTCTTGGTCACTGGGGAGGGGAAAACAGGGTGTAATTAGCTGATCTGCACCGGCTGAAAGGAAGGGGATGGAAGTGGGTAGAGTAAGGAAGCCCTCTAAAGGGCTTGCCCACCTCCGGACCGGAACGTGTTGAGTCTGATACTCGAAGTTTGCCGCAGTGTCAGAGATCCTTGAGCCCCAGGTCCTCGGGTGTGCACTGGTGTTAGAAAGAGAAGAATAAATAGGGGACACTCTTTTCAAAGCCGGTTACCAAGCTCTGGTTTTTCTTTTGGGGTTGGGAAAAAAGAAAGCTGGTCACAAACTTTTCTCAAAATGGATGCTTTGTGCATATTAAAGTTTTATAGTAGTCTGATTGGGATCTCTCAATGTTAGCCAAATAAGGAGAAACTATTGGCAATCCAGAGATAATGTTGCCTTGCCTTTAACAGGCCAAAAGCAACACAACCACGTAGAGTTATGCATAAAAAGCAATTTTTAAGTGACGGTAATAGGTGACAAAACATAGGCTTTTTCTATTTTCTTAGCGGGCAACTTGGAATAACTGTAATAGAAAATGACTTTGCAGCGATAGCTTCCCCTTAACAATGAAAAGACTTGTAAGCTATCTCAAAGTTGCCTTGGTTGTGTGTGGAAGATGCATAGCCTTATTTTGAATAATGTTGTAGTAAAAACTTGTTTGGGAGGTTGAAACTCAAGGCTTTATATTTCATGAATATTAACTTGATGCCTTTTAAAAAAAAGGTGTGTAGTGACATTTTTCCTTGTCCTGCTTACTGTTTAAGGGAGTGATGACCATTTTAAATTTTGTGTAATGGAATTCTCTTATCAGACTTGGAGTATAGCCTTTGTTTACAAAGTTGACTGGATATATTGAAATGATTGACACATTGCAGGACAAATATGGAATTAAAAATGTGGCACCCAGTAAAAATATAGCAGGGTGTCTAGCGCTTTCTCAATTTCATTAATTTAGATTCTCTAATGCATAGCAAACTTTTTATTTGGGTGAAGTTTATTTAAGGCATATCATAACTCGTAAAATTTTAAAACCATGGTGTTGAGAATGAAGGAAACTTTTGGCATTAAAAATGATAATGTAATTATATAAGATGAATCTTCAAATTTCTTTCAAGTGTACTTTACACGTTTTAGTGTGAAACAGATTTTGAAAGACGATTATTACTGTAGGAGGTCAGGATAATTGGATAATGGTTCGCATCAATATGTTTTATTCAAATTGTCAAATAGAAATTTAAAGTTACTATTGTTGTGGAGGAACCCAGTTGTATTGGCTTAGAGGAAGACGAAAAGTTTTGATATTTACATTATTGTGATACTGGTTTAGGGAGGAAGAGAAAATACATTTAACTGCCTTCTTAAGATCTTTTTTTCTCCTCTCAATATTCACACGTTACAAGAATTGTCAGACTTACCAATGTCTTCCTGATTAACTGAATTCAGTGGTCAGTTTGGTGTTGTGTAGATATATCTTTATTGGGTATTTTGTTTTAGTTGACAAACAGAAGTTTCTAAATTTACTCCATTTGCGTAATATCTTTCTGTCACTTTTTGTCACTGTGAGTGTGGGTTTGACCCGATAATCTCCAACCGCCTCCCCTTTTCCATAACATTTTTCCATATCTGCAAATGCCTTAAATCGGTGAAGCCAAAGTCTTTAAAATATCAAGCATTAAAAATTTGTGTTATGTTTTCTTCACTCTCATTTCTTATTTATCAACTCTTGTACTTTTTTCCCATTGTTACTATGAAAACAGGGAGTTCACTTTGGGCAAATTTAGGACAACAGTTAGTGAAAGACAATAAATAAAATTAAAAACCACACACACACAAGAAAATTTTAAGCCTTTAAGAAATCTCTTGAACTTAGCTTGTTTTCCATACTTAATTGTAAAAACTAAAATCACTGATTTAATAGTCCTTGAATAGTTCTTTAAAACTTTAACCTCTCAAAAGATCGTAGAATACCTAAAATGTATAACGGGGTTAATTGTTGATTGTTTTTTGAATATTCATTTACTTTCTGGTTTTGATCAAGTGTTCTAAATTTCATTGTCAAGAGAAAAGTTTTAGGAACATCACAACCCACAAATATGCTTTTGAAAATCGAATATTTTGCTTTTACTTTAAAGAGCTTATATTTAAAGGTTTATTAATTTGTTGAATGTGCTACCTCATTAGAAGTTATAAAAGATATCCAGTCTTCAGCTGTTCTTTTTGTATAGAAATGTGTCCTCTGTATAGAAGAAAAAGCAGCGTTTCTTGTCAAATTTCCTATCTTAGTCTCCAGAGTAGCCTTTCTCCCCCACCCACTCTACCCAGGACCTGACCCCCAAAGCTACAAAACAGCACAAAGTTAACCATAGATACAAATTTCTGGTTTTTCTAGAACCGAGGTCTAGAGTAGAATTTCATTATTACCAATGGGGCAATAATCAGCTTCTGATTTTATAGCTACCTGGTAGAGTTTTACAGTATGTGATTATATCTCTATTTTAGCATATTTTGTAAAGATTTAAGGAGATTAATAAAGTTATATATAGAATGCCTTATTGCTGATTCTTACTGATACTGGTGTGCATAAAATACAGGGCTGAGATTTTTCTCCAGCAGTTTTGAGTTTAGCCTGTTGATTTTAGCCTTAAAATCTTTTCTTTTTCCTCTGTGCCAGTGACTTCCAAGTCAGTTTACAGTTCCCTCATTTCTGCAAAGCTCCAAGCCTCATTTCCATTTTTTGGGGTTATGTATTGATTTGAAATGAAATATTAAATGTATTGTAATTTTATATTTAATAATGTCTTTTAAGTAGTAATATAGTAAATACAAGTTCACCCCCTTTGCCATAGAATGGCAACTACTGTATTCACGTTAACCTTTGTGATTTCTTCAAAGGATTTCTTATTGTTCAAATATAGATTTTCATAGTTGCAATTCAGTATTATAATTTTACGTTTATCCGTTAACATTAGAGATACTTATCTTTAGACTTTACCAGCATCCTTTTTAACTAATTATTTTAAAAGTATTATTAATTTGGTGGTAAGACAATTTTACATCGTCAGGAATTTCTTTAAATTCAACCTAAAACAGGTCTATCTTTCTTCATCAAGTCTACTCTTCTCATTGATGTTCCTGTTTCTGTTAATGATGTATTAATCTTTAGAATCAAGTTAAACATTTTAGTTATTGTTTACTCATTCCCCTTGTCTATGCATAATCCAGTCTGTCTTCTAGCTCAGTCTTTTCTTTACAATTACCTTGGCATCAGTTCTTTTCTTTGCCACTTTTTACTGGCAACCTAGTTCATACCTTTATTATTTTATTTTATTTTATTTTTTTGAGATGGAGTTTTGCTCTTGTTGCCCAGGCTGGAGTGCAATGGCGCTATCTTGGCTCACTGAAACCTCCACCTCCCGGATTCGAGCGATTCTCCTGGCTCAGCTTCCCAAGTAGCTGGGATTACAGACGTGTGCCACCATGCCCAGCTAATTTTGTATTTTTAGTAGAGATGCGGTTTCTCTATGTTGATCAGACTGGTCTCGAACTCCTGACCTCAGGTGATCCACCTGCCTCGGCCTCCCAAAGTGCTGGGATTACAGGCGTGAGCCACCGCACCTAGCCTTATTTTTATCCCTAGAGTATAGTAATAGCTTAATTGTTTTTCCTGCCTCTATTCTCTCCCTTATTTAATCTAGCATGCATATTGCTGTCATATTAATCTTTGAACAGTATCATTTTGATGGTGTTATTCCTCTCTCTAAATTTGGATATAGTACATTTTATCATTTAGCTTATGGTTGATACATCTCCATTGTGTTGTATCCTTTATAGAAATTGGTTAACTTGCTTACGTTTCAACTAGATCTTTACATTTTTTATTTCCATGCCTTTAGCCATGCCTTTTATCCTCTCTCCCTCGTTTGCCAATTAAAATTCTAGTCATTGTTCAAGATTCACATTCTCTTTTCTGGGGTGTTCACTGTACCTTATATTCTGCCTCTCCTGCAATAAAAACACTTTTTACTGAATAGTGTTTGTGTTTGTCTTCCCTTGTAGCCTCTGAGGACCTAATCTTCCACAATTTTTGTATTTCCAGAGCCTAGCACATAGTAGATGCTCACTAAAGGTTTATTGAATTTTTATCTTTTTACCTCATCAATAGGAAGTTTTAGAGTTATTTTTATGTTGTGAGATATATTTTTGAAACCTTCGCATCAGATACTTAGCGTATTGTTCTTGCACATAATGGAATTTGTGTGATTATGAAACAAATTAAAAACTTTGTTGTAGATTTCAATATATTTTAATATCTTGAGATTTTAAAAAAATCTTTTTTTTTTTTTGAGATGGAGTCTCATTCTGTCACCCAGGCTGGAGTGCAGTGGTGTAATCTTGGCTTACTGCAAACTCCGCCGCCCAGGTTCAAGTGATTCTCCTGCCACAGCCTCCCAAGTAGCTGGGATTACGGGTGCGTGGCACCATGCCTGGCTAATTTTTTTTGTATTTTTGGTAGAGATGGGGTTTCACCATGTTGGCCAGGCTCATTTCGAACTCCTGACCTCAAGTGATCCGCCCGTCTTGGCCTCCCAAAGTGCTAGGATTACAGGTGTGAGCCACTGTGGCCGGCCTAAAAAATTCTTAATATCGACCTCCTTTCTATTAAATTTTAAAGCAGTCTAGATATTGGTTAAGTGGTAGAAAAATATTATATCCAGTTGAGTCACTAATTAATTACTCACTTTGTAAGAGTCTGAGCTAGATCCTCTAGAGCGGGGGTTCACAAACGCTGGGCCGTGGACAGGTCGATCCACGACCTGTGAGGAACAAGGCCACACAGCAGGAGGTGAGCGACACACTGGCAAGCTAGCATTACTGCCTGAAATCCACCTCTTGTCAGATCAGCAGCGGCATTAGATTCCCATAGGAGTGCGGACCCTATTGTGAACTGCGCTTCTGAGGTATCTAGGTTGTGTGCTCTTTATGAGCATCTAATTCCTGATGATGATGTGAGGTAGAACAGTTTCATCCGGCCCCACTCCCCAACCCACATCTGTGGAAAAATTGTCATTCACAAAACTAGTTCCTGATGCCAAGGTTGGGTACCACTTCTAGAGGAATACAAAGTAGAATTAGTTCCATGTTCTATGCTATTAGAATTTTAAAATAGTTTTTCTTTTACTTTCCAAAACAGACAGACTTACAGATAGGTTTAATATGAAATCCTTTTGCTTTTAAAATACAAATTTGATCTACTTCTAAGGGAGCCATTTTAAGCATCTTTGTAAAATATGTGATCCTCTCGTCAGTAAAGGGAATACTTTTGTGTAGTCTTCTTAAGATGTGAAGTGTAAAAGAGACTGGAAGCAATTAATTTTGAGTTGCTTGTTAGCAAATAGTTTGATTACTATGTAAAATCTGAATTAAGAGTTTATAGTTTGTAACTGTTTACCCTTTTTTTGATGGAGAATGTTAAGATCTTGGAAGAACCTACTGGATAACTTTTAAAGAGCATTAAAATTTGTGTCTAAAAGAATGTGCAGTGTAAAATATTTCTCTGCATAGTTTTCTTTTTAGAAAAGCTGTAACACTTTATGCTCATGCCTTTCAAAAGTTTTTATTGAAATCATCCTAAATCCATTTTTAAAAACCTACCTAAACAAACAAATAAAACCCTCCCAACCCCAAACTGGCCCCTCACTTCCTACAAATAAGTGGGCAACCCTAGCCATATATGGGGTGTGCTGGTAGGGCACCAGTGCCCACACTGCTGCTGTTCTAATGCTTTTTCTGTAGTTGCTGCCTCTGTGCTTCCTGGCAACACTTTTGTGGTCTGACTTTGAGGTGTCATAACCAAGACCATCTTTCATGTGCCTCAGCTACAGTATGATTGCAAGCTGTGACTGAGCATTTTCTATAGCCAGGTAGAAACACTGGATGGAATAGAGGAAGTGTTTTTCATCATCCATTTGTTATTACCACATTTAAAAATTACAGTTCACATAAGAAAAGTGTTTTAAAAATCTTATTAGATGATTTTTAAAAGAAAACTATTTAAAAACCTTTTAATAGGGGGAGGCATAAAACGTTGTTTTGTTACTACCATAACATGTTACTTCTTGACACTATATGAAGTTGCTATTTTCATTGCCTCTGCCTGCAAAAAATTGCCATCTTTTACTCCACCCTTCTTTTGAAAGTTTGTGGGGCTCCACAATAAGGTTGAGAAGATGATGAGGTATTGGCATTTTGGTATACCTCTTTGAAAGGTTGAAGAACTCCAACAATTATAAGTTTATTCTCAGTTGGAGTCAGATATGTAGTAGCCATGACTTAATCAGTGTTTTATTGAGGAGCAGTGCTTTTCCAAACAATAGTTTAATTTTCACAACATGCTTTTTCACTTGCTCAAAGTTAACAAGAAAATAAATGGCAGAGCTGGAATTCTTATGCAGGTCTGTTTGATGCCGAAACTCAAACTTTACCCTATGCCAGGTATCTTCTTTGAAGTCTGAAGAAGAAAATATTCTTAAATCTTTTCATCATTATGGTGGTGTTTAGTAATTGGAGGTTTCTCTGTAAATTAGCTGAAAATCAAGTGAAACACACATATAATTTTTTTCTTCATCCACATTTGTTTTAGCTAGCCCATACTTTTAAGACCTTTCTATGGTAATTGAAGTGCAGTAGTACTGTATCTAAATTAATCTCAGAATTCGAAATTGTCCTAAATTTTAGGAAGTGCCAAGATTATTTTTGACTTACCATTATGTGCAGAATATATCAGCAGCAACAAGAAACACTCCTTTTTTCAGGACATAGAATTTAATTTTTAACTACCTTTATTTTTCTTTACCCTAATAGCAATTTATATCGTTTCAGTTGTTGGGTGTGTGTGTGGGTGTGGTGTGTGTATGTGTGTTTTGAGACAGGGTGACAGACTCTGTCACCATGGCTGGAGTGCAGTGGCATGAACATAGTTCACTGTAGCCTTCCTGGGCTCAAGTGATCCTCCCACCTCAGCCTCCCGATCAGCTGGGAATACAGGCATGTGCCACCACTTCCAGCTAATTTTTTTTTTTCTTTGACAGAGTCTCCCCGTGTTGCCCAAGCTAGTCTCAAACTTCTGGGCCCAAGTGATCCTCCCACCTCAGCCTCCCAAAGTGCTGGGATTACAGGCGTGAGCCACTGCACTTAGCCTGTTTTAGTTTTTTTTAATCATTTACAGTAAATTTTTTATACATACGTACATGTACATATTTGATTCTTTTTAGAGACAAATTGTAGGAAACTTCATACCATGGATACTGGGGGTGGGGGGGAAGAAGTCCCTTATATACCCTTAAGGTAGGGACTTTGATTCTTTTTTTCTTTAAATCTCCTTTTGTATCGGCATTTTGTTTTAGTAGGTACACAATAAATATTTAATGATTAAAAAAAATTGGACACAATGTAAACTAATATTTTGAAGAGCAGAATTCATAGAATATTAAATAATTGGGTAAGTGTAACACACTGACAAACTTTTAAAATGTCCTAATAAAAAAGCTTATATCAACCACTTACTTTTATAATACTTACAATGTAAAGGTAGCCATTATTACAATCAAAACATTTATTAGGTGGCTGGGTATGGTGGCTCACGCCTGTAGTCCTAGCACTTTGGGAGGCCTAGGCAGGCGGATCACCTGAGCTCAGGAATTTGAGATCAACCTGGCCAACATGGCAAAACCCCATCTCTACTAAAAATACAAAATAAAAATTAGCCAGGCATGGTGGCGCATGCCTGTAATCCCAGCTACTCAGGAGGCTGAGGCACGAGAATCGCCTGAACCCAAGAGGCAGAGGTTGGAGTGAACTGAGATCATGCCTCTTCACTCCAGCCTGGGCGACAGAGCGAGATTCTGTCTTAAAGAAAAAAATTATTGGGATGTTAGATTTATTTTTGAAATGAGATCTATTACTGATTATCAATAGACGCTTCAGTTTATGTAACTTAGTTTAAAAATTCTTTAAACAAATCCTTGAGTGTTCATTTAGAAAAGTAATCTCTAGGCTGGATGCAGTGGCTCACACCTGTAATCCCAGCACTTTGAGAAGCCAAGGCAAGAGACTTGATCCCAGAAGTTCAAGACCAGCCTGGGCAATATAGGGAGACGGTGTCTCTACCAATAAAGAGAAAAGAAAAGAAAGAAAAAGAAAAGAAATCTCTAGCATGGTAATATTAGAAATAATGCATATTTTCTGTTATTTTACTGATACTTTTTTTTTCCAAATAACATTTTTACTATGGCTCCCTCTATGTCAGTATTTTCTGACCTTATTAGTGTTTTGGTTGTTTATCTTTGCATTGTTATGCTGGCTAACCATAAAAAGACACGCTTGAGTTCTGTGTTACTGCCCTAAGTGTGCTTGCTGCTCAACTCAAATGCTCTTTCATGGGAGGAGACATTCCACATTGTCATGTGTTGTATAGGCATTTCTGAAATGACATTCAGTAGAAACCATGGAAAGAAGTGAAAGCATTCCTCAGCTGTCACTTTTTTAGTAGTCTATTTAAATGTTATGTATATTAAGTGAGATATTCTGCAGAGAGAGCTTCACTTAATAAAAAGCTTTACTTTAACTTGATGATTTAACTCACATTTGAGCTGAAATTACTATTTTCTTAGTTTAACATGACCTCTAACAATAAAATCATAAGATTGTACAAAGCTCATGTCATTTTCTTGAATACTGCATAGTGCAGAGGAGAATACATTTTGTGAGATGTCACTTGGCACCCTCTTAAAGATTAATAACCATGTGGGAAAGTATATTTTCATGGACTGTTACACACACACACACACACACGTACACGTATGCACTCAACCTTTACTTGTAATAAACATCCCAAATTATATATATTTTATTAGCCTTCAAAATTGTTTTAGATGGTTATAAACTTATTTGAATATTTATATTCTTGCATGGAACACTTCTAGAGCTTTTCTGTTGGAGTTTCAGCTCCAGAACATTTTTTTAAAATATCCTCAGTGTTGAGAGTTTTTTTTTCTTTCAGGAGAGTTTTTAAATTTTGAAAATGATATCATTCGAAGATGCATCTGGTGAATAAAGGTGGATCATGTAGTCATCATGGTTAATAAATATCCGTGATTACATGATATTTTCTAAAAAGCTTATTCTTAACTGGAATATGATCATAAATGTCACCTTGGATTTAAGTTAACTCTTTACGTTGTGTGGATTTGAGTATGCTTCAGAATTTGTAAACCTAAAGTACTGTTCATTTGTGTTCTAGATTTTGATGAAACAAGTCAATGTTATAGTTTGTGAACATAGTCTTTTTTGTATATGTTTGTGTTTTCTGCAAAAGATTTCGGTGCTGCCTGGCACAGTAGCTCATGCCTGTAATCCCAGCACTTTGGGAGGCCGAGGTGGGAGGATTGCTTGAGCCCAGGAGTTCAAAACTGGCTTGGGCAACAAAGTGAGACCTTGTCTCTACAAAAAATTTAAAAATTAGCTGAGCATGGCGACACGCATCTGTGGTCCCAGCTACTCAGGAGGCTGAGGCAGGAGGATTGCTTGAGCCCAGGAGGTTGGGGTTGCAGTGAGCTGTGATCACGCCACTGCATTCTAGCCTGAACGACAGAGTGAGACCAGGTCTCACATTTTAAAAAAAGGTTGTGATGCTGCTGGCTCTAGATCATGACACTATGTCATTAAGAACTATTGTTTTTCTCAAAGATATTTTAATTTCTACAGTTTTTCTTAAAAGGTTTGGACAGATGACATATTCAGCAATTTCTGTATTCCTTCCAAGTACATGGAATCTACTTAAGAACTCTGTAGCATATTCAAGATTTTTTCTTTTAAAATGCCTATTGCTGTTTAACTCTTTGAACCATCATTTTTTACAGTTAAAATGCCTTTATATTGTTGATCTTCTCAGTGTTTTCCATTATTTTTTGATATACATGAAAATTTAATAAGTAATTATTAAGTCTTCAGTGTCTTGCTTTTATATGGGTCATCCCCATCTCCTTTTTTTTAAATTTTATTTTATTTTTTGAGACGGAGTCTTGCTCTGTCTCCCAGGCTAGAGTGCAATGGCACAATCTCGGCTCACTGCAAACGCCGCCTCCCAGGTTCAAGTGATTCTCCTGCCTCAGCCTCCCGAGTAGCTGGGATTACAGGCGTCCACCACCACGCCCGGCTAATTTTTCTTATTTTTAGTAGAGACTGGGTTTCACCATGTTGGCCAGACCGGTCTCAAACTCCTGACCTCAGGTGATCCACTCGCCTCAGCCTCCCAAAGTGCTGCGATTACAGGCGTGAGCCACCGTGCCTGGCCTCTCCTTTTTATTTTTAAACATGGCTTACTTTTGTATGTTTAATGTTGTATGTGAATTTTATCCCAAATAAAAATAGTTGTAAAAGTTTAAGAATAATTATTTAATTAAAACACTAAAGACAAATGTAAAAAATAAAATGTTATCCAAAATTTCGGGACTGGACTTTGCTCCATTTAAAAGTTTAACATCCTTTTAAATATCTCTGTACAAGTATGTAATTTTCTATAAATGGGGTCATACCTAATTTTCTGGTTTATAACCAGTTTTGAAACATTATGTATTTTAAGAAACATTTCTGTGTTAAAGAATATTCATATACATTTTCCCTTTTAATGAGTGTATCGTATTCCATTGTGTGTGCATGTGCATATACATCTTGGAATTTATTTTCCTAGTCCTTTCCTGATGAACATTTAGTATATTTTCCACTTTTTATCATATGGTGAATATTATGTACATCTTATTTATTTATTTATTTATTTTTTTGAGACGAAGTCTCCCTCAGCAGCTCAGGCTGGAGTGCAGGGGCGTGATCTCGGCTGACTGCAACTACCGTCTCCTGGGTTCAAGCGATTGTCCCATCTCAGCCTCCCGAGTAGCTGGGATTACAGGCACCCGCCATCATGCCCGGCTAATTTTTGTATTTTAGTAAAGATGGGGTTTCACCATGTTGGCCAGGCTGGTCTTGAACTCCTGACCTCAGGTGATCTACCCACCTCGGGCTCCCAAAGTGCTAGGATTACAGGTGTGAGCCATCGCACCTGGCCTATACCATGTACATTTTTACTCGCTCATCACATTGTATTCCTTAGGATTGTTCCTTAGAAATCTTATCTGCAATCTTATGTTTTGCTCAAAATAACATGCCATTTAAATGATTGTTTATACAAAATACTTTTTAAAAAATTTTTTACTTTTAAGTTCTGGTATACATGTGCAGAACGTGCAGGTGTGTTACATGGGTATACTTATGCTATGGTAGTTTGCTGCACTTACCGACTCATATCTAGGTTTTAAGCCCTGCATGCATTAGGTATTTGTCCTAATGCTCTCCCTACCCTTGCCCCTGAGCCCCCGACAGGCCCCAGTGTGTGATGGTCCTCCCTGTGTCCATGTGTTCTCATTGTTCAACTTCCACTTATGAGTGAGAACCTGAGGTGTTTGGTTTTCTGTTCCTGTATTAGTTTGCTGAGAATGATGGCTTCCAGCTTCATCCATGTCCCTGCAAAGGACATGAACTCATTCTTTTTTATGACTGTATTCCATGGTGTGTATGTGCTACATTTTCTTTATCCAGTTCATCATTGATGGGGATTTGGGTTAGTTCTAAGTCTGCAAAAGGCATTTTTAATAAAGTTTCTAGTATATTGAAAATGGAAAACTAACCGTGAAAGTACTCATGTTGACACATCTGTTAAATTGATGCGATAATGTTATCCCCTATATGTCACCCACAGGCAGATTTTTGTTTTATTTATTGTTTTTTTTGTTTTGTTTTGAGATGGGGTCTTGCTCTGTTACCCAGGCTGGGAGTGCAGTGGTGTGAACACAGCTCACTGCAGCTTCGACTGCCTGGCCTTAGTGATTCTCCCACCTCAGCCTTTTGAGTAGCTGAGACTACAGGCGTGTGCCCACCACAACTGGCTGACTTTTAAAATCATTATTATTAGTAGTAGAGACAAGGTTTTGCTGTGTTGCCCAGGCTGGTTTCAAACTCCTGGGCTCAAGCAATCCTCCTGCCTTGGCATCCCAAAGTGCTTGGATTACAGCCATGCACTACCATGCCTGGCTGAGGAAAATTGTTTTATTGCTTTATTACTCTGTGTGTGTGTGTTTGTGAGAATAAAATTAGTTGTATTTCACTCAGAGAAGCAATTGGGGAAGACAAGGTAAAAAGTGTTCTTCCTTTTTTCTTTATGTAAGGTTTAGTTCTAATGTTTGAAAATTTTGAAGTTATTAAAATATTAAACAATATCTGTATTCATTTATATGATGCTGTTATTCATTTAAATTAGTGAATAACTCATTCATGCAAGAAACATAGAGAGATCACCATTTATCATATGTCCAGCACAGTACTAATCTCTAAAAACAGTGGTCCCTGGCTACATGTAGTATACAATCTAGTTGAGGTGGCAGCATGAGCCGATGATTACAATGTAAATAAGTGGTAGAGTAGAGATACAAGGTGAAATTAAAGGCTTTATTAGGCGGGCTTAACCCAGAGTATCAATGGAAGACATCCCTGAGAAAGCTCTGTAAGTTATAGGTAACTTATCAGCAGATGTTTTGAGCCTTTTATGACCCTATTCACTACTGGTTTGTCTTCTGAATGTACCTGTTTAGTGTACCTTTTTGTCAGTTTCTTTCTTGAAGATGAATGTTGCCAAGGTTCTCATATGTCTATTATTCTTTTTTGTGTTATTTATGTAGTTTCAACTTTCTTTTTATATGATCTGTCCTCCTTCTTACATGATCCATATCTTATTTTTTATATCAGTCTTCCATTTACTAAGCTAGAATCTCAGGGTCTTTTTCTGTTTTCTCCTCACTTGCATACAGTACATCTCCTCTACCATGCACACACCTAAAAAAAAATCATCTTTTGTATATTCATTTAACATATATTAAAGGTCTCTTCTGTGCCAGACACTACTAAGTGCTGAGAAGACACATTTTTGAGCAAAAATATACCAACAGTACCCTCATAGAGTCGACAGTAAAATGAAATTAGCCATTTGGGAAATGCAAATCAAACCCACAATGAGATACTAGTTCACACCTACTAGGATGGCTTTAATAAAAAAGAGAACAAGTAATGACTAGGATGTTGTATTAGTCCTGTTTTCTTTTGCTTATAACGGAATACCAGAAACTGGATTATTTAAAAAGATTTACTTATTACAGCTATGGCGGCTAAGAAGTCCAAGGTTGTAGGGTCAACTCTGGTGAGAGCCTTCTTGCCTGTTGGGGACTCTGTAGAGTCCTGAGGCAGCACAGGGTATCACATGGTGAGGGGGCCGAGTGTGATAACGTGCTCAAGGTCTTTCTTCCTCTTCTTAGAAAGCCACAAGTTCCACTCCCATGATAACCCATTAATTCATTAACCCTTTAATCCATGAGTGGATTAATCCATTTATGAGAGAAGAGCCCTCCTGATGCAGTCACCTCCCAAAGTCCCCAGCTATCAACAGTGCCACATTAGGGATCAGGTTTCAGCATGAGTTTTGGGAGGGATATTTAAATCACAGCAGATATGGAGAAATTGGAACCCTCATGCACTGCTGGTGGTAATAGTAAGATGGTATAGCCACTTTCAAAACAGTCTGGCATTTTCTCAAAAGGTTAAACAGAGTTACCGTATGACCCAGCAGTTCTACTCTTAGGTGTATACTCAAGAGAATTGAACATGTGTCCACACAGAAATGTGTATAGTAATGTTCATGGCAGCATTATTGATGATAGCCAAAGATGAAAACACAAATGTCTTATCAGCTGATGAATAAAGTGATATGTTTTGTCCCTGGAATCAGCGGAATATTATTCAGTAGCAAAAAGGGGATGCTGATAATTGCTACAAAGATGAATCTTAAACATGCTAAGTGAAAGAAGCCAGTCACAAAAGACCACATGGTGTATGATTCCATTTATATGAAATGTCCAGAATAGGCAAATCTGTGTATGAAGCAAGAAGGCAGATAAATGGTTGCCAGAAACTAGAGGTGTTGAGGGGAGTTGGTGAATAACTGCTAATGGGTACAACTTTTTAGGGTGACAAAAATGTAAAATTGTGCTGACAGTTGCACAACTCTGTGAATCTGTTTATTTGTACACTTTAAATGGGTTATTTTATGGTATGTGAATGGTATCTCAAACATTTAAAAAAGTGAACGTATATATTTATCAGTGTTTACTACTAAAAATTGAGGCACTGACAGAGCCAGAGTAATTATCTTCTATCAGTCCCCCAGCCTCAGCCTAGGCTTGGTATTAGTCACTATAATTATGATGGTGAACAGAACAGCCAGACATTGCCCCTGCCCTAACACAGCTTGTAGTCTACTGGAGTGTATAGATAATACACAGACAATTATAAATTTACATCAGTTATGTGTAATGATATGTAATGGTAATACAGTATGGAAGCTTATGAAGGCATATTTCACCTAGATTGGGGGAGGGGAGAAGACTTTTTTTTTTTTTTTGAGATGGAGTCTCACTCTGTTGCCCAGGCTGCAGTGCAGTGGCGTGATTTCAGCTCACTGCAACTTCCACCTCCCAGGTTCAAGCAATTCTCTTGCCTCAGCCTCCTGAGTAGCTGAGATTACAGGCATGCACCACCATGCCTGGCTAATTTTTGTATTTTTAGTAGAGATGGGGTTTCACCATGTTGGTCAGGCTGGTCTTGAACTCCTGACCTCGTGATCCGCCCGCCTCAGCTTCCCAAAGTGCTGGGATTACAGGTGTGAGCCACCGCGCCCGGCTGAGAAGACTTTCTGGATAAAGTTGATGTTTGAGCTGCTCAGCGATGAGTAAATGTTAGCCAAGGTTGTTAGGGAGGGAAGATTATGGGAAACTATTTCAGAGAGAGGGAAAATAGCATGTGTAAAGATCTGGAAGTGCACAGAAGTGCTGAAGGATTTTTTTTTTTAAGACAAGAGTCTTGCTCTGTCTGGAGTACAGTGGCGTGATCTCAGCTCACTGCCACCTCTGCCTCCCCGGTTCAAGTGATTCTCCCACCTCAGCCTCCTGAGTAGCTGGGATTACAGGCGCATGCCACCACGCCTAGCTAATTTTTGTATTTTTAGTAGAGACGGGGTTTCGCCGTGTTGGCCAGGCTGGTCTCAAACTCCTGACCTCAAGTAATCTGCCCGCCTTGGCCTCCCAAAGTGCTGGGATTACAGGCGTGAGCCACTGCACCTGGCCAGTTGAAGGATTTTAATCAGGTTAAATGGACAACCAATTTTTCTTTTTTAAGAAAAATCACTTTTGGCTGCAGTGTGGACAAGGCACTGAAAAGAGAGGACAAAGCTGAAGGTAGAGAGACATTTGAGGAAGTTGGGTAGTCTGAGAGAGATGACTATGAGATGAACTAGCTTAGCGGCAGGAGGGTTGGAAAATAGTAGATGGACTTAAAATATATTTATGAAATAGAATTGGTAGGAATTGGAGGTGGATTGGCTTGAGGGATTATTTAAAGATGTGCATGCACCTGTTTTCTGGCTTGGACAACTAGATGATGAAGGTGCTTTTCACAGCATGCAGTAAATATTGTGTGCTTACTGTATAGGTCAGCAGCAGAGTATTGATATTGCAGAATGATACTGGAGGAGACAGTCAAGTAAACAAGAAATGAAAATCAAGTGTAAAATGTACACTATAGGCTATCTGTACAGGATGTTGTGCACACATGGAGGAGGGGTGGCCTAACTATAACTAATACATGGAGATCATGCTTGGAGTGTGGTTTTTTCCTTGGATTTAGTCTGTTCTCTTACTTGCCTCTGATTCCCTGGAAATGTGAAAACCAAGTAGAAAACAATTTATGAACATACAGAAAAAACGCAGGATACAGATTCGTGATTATGTTTTTTTTTTTTTAAGGTTTCAGTGAACTGCCTAAAAATATATGCAAAATTTTGTTTTTCTGTACTTTTCAGTTCAGAAGAATTAGTAAAGAATTTCTAAGTAAAGCCAAATTTACTTTTATGATATTATGTATGTGGCAGAGGTGTATGGGGAGGAGTGGATCACAGAACTGTTGGAGAGGAATAAAGGAGTGGTAGTAGTAACGATCTACAAGTCTTTTATTGACTGAAATAGTATGCTATGAAAATAAAGTCACAGGTTAAGATAGGTGAGAGTACATTTTCTCAGAGCATGTTGGATTTTTCTAATTGTATAGTGAAAGAATTTTAACAATCTCTAACTTCTCTCAGTTTCTAAATTTACTAAATGGTATTTTTCAGGGAAAATAAAGGTAAAATATTAGTTACAACTAAGAAACCTAACACCTTTATACACTTTTTATGTCTAATAGATTTAATGTTTTTTCTTTTTTGCTCAAAATATTACAGGACTTGCTTTGAGTATTTGATTGAGGGTTTTTTGCATGTTTTAATATTTTTAAAAGTTGCAGTTAATGAGGAAAGTAGTAGTGTACAGAAAGGTTGGGTTATTTTGACTTTGAGTAAGCATCAGCAGATTTGTTTCAGCTTAAATGAAATAGGACATAATTGTTATATATTAAACTCTTTTTTTTTTTTTTTTTTTTTTGAGACAGAGTCTCGCTCCGTCACCAGGCTGGAGTGCAGTGGCACGATCTCGGCTCACTGCAACCTCCGCTTCCCAGGTTCAAGCAATTCTCCTGCCTCAGCCTCCCGAGTAGCTGGGATTATAGGCACGTGCCACCACGCCCAGCTATTTTTTCTATTTTTAGTAGAGATGGGGTTTCACCATGTTGGTCAGGCTGGTCTCGATCTCGTGACCTCGTGATCCACCCGCCTCGGCCTCCCAAAGTGCTGGGATTACAGGCATGAGCCACTGTGCCCGGCCTAAACTCTTAACTCTGTATAACATGGCATCTTTTTCCCTTTTCAACCCATCCTTGACATTTAGAGCCAGTCTTTATATGTGGGAATACTATATAAGTTTTTCTCGCTTTAAAAACACTCAAATGTAAAAAATGTTAATTGCAGGACAGTATGTATGGTATGAGCCCTTTGGGGGGTTATTTACATAGGGAAAAAATCTGGTAAAGTACCTCAACTGTTAACAGTGGTTGTCTCTGGGAGGGAAATACAGATTTTGAATTATGTTACTTTTGGATCTTTTACAACAAGCAGAAAAAAAAAAAGAAAAATCTCAATTGGAGAAAAATGCCTAAATGGCTATTCCCAGTAATATTTTATGGATTAAATATAGAAACATTGATATAACTAATGAATTTTAGTTTGCTAGTGTTTGGCCACTCAAAGAAGCTGGTGTTGATGGTTCAGTATTTATTTCTGTATTATACTTGCCTTTTCTCTGAACCTTTTATTTCATGAGGAATGACTGCTTGACGATGTGATGAACACCTTGGGAGAGTATTCTAAGCAAATAATGGAATTCTGGATATGGTTAGATGTATTTTGTAGCTTTTTGCAAGTGGACTACAGAAAGTTCAGAGAAAAGCTAAGTATAATTACCAAAAAGGCAAGTCATTTTTGAAGGACAAAGGGGTTTTAAAGGATAAAATTTGGGTTTTAGAATTTTAAACAATCCAATAGGAGATAATGTGAAGAAAGAATTAGAAAAGCAGTTTTATACAGTATGCTCTTTTGCCCCATTCTTTATGAATGTATAAAGCATTTGTCGATGAATATCTGTCTTAAGAATGAATTGAAAAAACAGCCCCAAGTCTCTTAGAATTAGGAATGTTGAAGCCCATAGTTACGTGAATTTTGTGAAAATATTTTTGAAGGCAGTGAAAAGAGGACTTTTAAAATTTATAAACCAGAACAAGAATAGGAAGATGGAAGGCAACTGATGGAATGGCTTTTAATTTACATACACATTTGTTGTTTATAGGTACATTTGTTGTTTATAGGTACATTTGTTGTTTATAGGTACATTTGTTTAAAATGGTCTTCTACTCTACACTGGCAAAATTCTAATATCCACTATTAAACAGATAGTTCTGGAAGAGACTGTGTTGAACACTAGATGTCAATTTGAGTTTTCTGAAAACAAGTTATGTTGACCTATCTTTACTTCCTTTTTGGTCAAGGTTTAGAAACATAACTGGGGGAAATGTTGCAAACAGTATAGCTTGATTTTTTTTGTAAAGCACATGGAAAGGCTCTTGTTATGTCTTTACGGTTAACATGACAAAAATTTGGCGTGAATATTATCAGGATTAGGCTCACTAATAGCTGGGTGAACTACTGTATACATGTCAGCCTGCTGATTGATCACTCAGTGTCAACCCAAAGGGAAGACTAACATAGTGGTCCTTGTGTTCTTAATCTTGACCCTATCCTGTGTAACGTTTAAGCAGATAAAGTTGTAGGAGCTGAGAGAGAACTTCAAAAAGCATAAAATAGTGGGTTTTAAATAATAAGATGAAAAGATAATGGGTATTAATTTAAAATTCCACATTAAAAATGGATGAGTGTAGGTTGGTAGAGATCATTTTTGACAGACATATGAGAAGTAAGTCATTGGAAGTTTAACAGCAAGCCTGGTGTCTGACAACAGTATAATAATTTTTAAATATACCAATTTAATGTAAAGCAAAAATAGTGTTAAGCCTAGATTTAAAAAAAAAATCTATTCTGCATTGTAAGATCACATCTGTAGAATGTGTCTAGGTTTTTAGATTTGTTTGCTGTTCAGCAGATCTTAGCAATGACCTGCCAAGGGAATGGCTTCATATAACAAAGTTAGTTCTACAGAGAAAAACAAACCTGTGTTCCAATTTCTTTTTCTAGAATTGTTAACAAATTTATACATAAACATGCATACATTCTCACACATAAGCAAGCACACGTACTTCACAGTATAGTAATTGGAGTCTTAAAATGCCCTAAGATTCCCAGAACTCCATCAACTCAATTATTTTCTTATGAGCCCCTTGAAAAACAAAAAGGAATCAATTTTCAAAGCCGCATACTTACCTACAGTGTTAGACCAACCTCTAGTAGGAAAATGGTAGAAGGATTTTGTGCATATATTAGTTAGGAGTCTTGGTTGTAAGTAAGAAAAGCCCATTGGAACCGGCCTAAATAATTTATAAGATTATAGTATCTCATAGAACTGGGGCTTCTGGAATGAATTAGAATCAGGTACTATATGCAACTCAAGAAGTTCTCTAAGTTTCTCATTATTGTTTCTAACAAATCCAGATTTTTTTTTTTAATAGAAAACCAGATTTTTTGTTTTCCCAGTTTAAAAAGGCAGAAAATAAGGTCACTTCCAGAGTTTACATTCTGGTCTAGTTATCTAGAGAGATTTATCTCCTCCTGAGTTCTAATTCCAGATTTCCAGGAAAGGGACCAAATGATCCATCTCAGGTTATTCATGTATCATACAAGGTCATCAATGGTGGCTGATGGGGCTGAACCCCTCTGAAAAAACATGCCTACTCTAACTGTAATCATGTATTTTGAGGAGATGATGGGGACATAAAGCTGGAAATAATAAGCGAGTTCAGAAAGATGCCAATATTGATTGTATAAATGTACAGTCTGTACAAATAAAAAAGTACAAACAAATGTTAAAGAAATTTTAAATCAGCAGTTATCAGACTTTTTGGTTTTAGGACCCCCTTTATAATATTAAAAATCAAGGACACACTAGCCAAATAAATAAAACTGGGTAAATATGAATATCAGTATATTATATCAATGTTAATATTCTGATTATATTATATTATAGTTTTGCAAAGTTTTACCATTAGAAACTAGACAAAGGGATATCTTGGTATTACTTCTTACAACTTCATGTGAATGCACATGACTGCAATAAAATACCATTTTGAATTTTTTGTCTGTTATTATTTTAATGCTAAAAAAAAATTGAGGAACCCAAAGAGGTTTTTGTTTATGTTGGCTGTCTGTATTTACCAAATTAGAAAATAAAGTTGAAAAAACTTTTAAATATTTATTTTAAAATAATAACCCATTACATTCCAACATAAATATTATGCTTATGAAAAATAGATGTATTTTACGAAACAAAAAGAGTGGCATCGTTTTACATTTTTGGAAATTTTTTTAAATGTCTTAATTAAGACAGCTGAATTCTCATATCCACTTCTGCATCTAGCCTATTGTGATGTCACATACAAGCTCCTGGAAAACTCCATCATATGCTTGTAAGAGAATGAGAGTATTAACCTTGTAGACTTCTGTAAGGGGCTAAGAGAAACACTGAGCTAAATAATTGAGGGGATATACTATGTTCATGGCTTGAAAGACTGTAAGTATTGTAAAGATGTTCTTCCGAAACCAATCACAGATTTAATACAAGTCCAAACAAAATCCCAGATATGTGTGCATTGTCTGTTTGTGTATGCATGTGTGAAAAATGGTAAATTGATATAAAGATGAAAAAGACCAGGCACAGCCAAGTCAATCTTTAGGAACAAGAAAGTGAGAGGACTGACCGACTCTGATGGACATTAAGACTTATAAAGCCACAATAATTAAGACAATGTGGTGTTAGTGCAAAATTAGACAACAAACTAATGAATCAGAATAGAGTGTGGAAAAAGATCCAGACAGATATGGACACTTGATTTATGATAAAGGTGGCATTTCAGAAAAGTGGGGAAAAGAGAGTCTTGTCAACCTGTCTATATGGGGAAAAAGTTCATCTTCATCTCCCCCGTACCTTATACCATACACAAAAATAAATTCCAGTTGGATTGTAGATCTAAATGTGAAATACAAAAGTAATAGATACTCTGGAAGGTAACTATGAGAATATCTTCATAACCTTCGGGTAGGGAAAAGATTTTTAAACAGGACACAAAAAGATTATTACCCATAAAGGAAAAGATTGTGTGTGCATATGCGTGTGCACATGTGTGTTTTAAACAACAAAATACACAGATGCATCACAAAAGAAAATATTCTATTGGTAATAAACATACAAAAAGTTATTCAATCTCATTCACCAGAGAAATGCAAATTAAGAGCACAATAGATATCAGCACATACCACTGGAATGGCTAAAATTACAAAAGACTGATGATATCAAATGCTGAGAAGGGATGTGGAGAAACGAGAATTCTCATACACTGCTAGTGTAAGAAGTATGTGAGATTTCTAATGTATTCAAATATATTTAAAATTTGTTTATCTCTTGCTTGGTTGTACTTATGCAGTAGCAATGGAAACGTACTCTATGGATTAACATACATTTTAAAGCTAAAATTCCACAGGAGATTGTTGAAGGTTTTTGTTAAAGTGATTGGTTATAAAAATGTTTATAGTTGATAGGGATTCTCTTATTATGATTAGGTGATAATTATATTATCAGAGATTCATTAATTTTATTTCTTCTTTTTTTTTTTTTTTTAAATCAGGCTTTCCTCTGTCACCCAGGCTAGAGTGCAATGGCACAATCACGGCTCACTGCAGCCTTGACCTCCTGAGCTCAAGCAATCCTCCCACCTCAGCCACCTGAGTAGTTGGGACTGCAGGTGCATGCTATCATGCCCAGCTAACTGTTTTTTATTTTTTTGTAGTTGGGGGTCTCGCTATGTTGCCCAGGCTGTTCTTGAACTCCTGGGCTCAAGCGATCCTCCCGCCTTGGCCTTCCAAAGTGTGGGGATTACCAGTGTGAGTCACCATGCCTGGCAGTGTTTCATTAATTTAAAAAATGTTTGCCTGCCTTGTGTGTGCCGGTCATAATACTGGGAGCTAAGGAATACAGAGATTAGCAAAACAAGACCCTCTTCTCATTAAATGTATCAATGCAAGTTGTATTAAGTATTTTGAAGGAAAAATATAAAGTGTTATACAAGAACAGAAGGTTTTGAGAGTTTGGATGGAGTCTGTGAAAGTCATGATTGAAGTGAGAACTGAAAGACCAGTAGTTGTAACTTGGTAAAGAGTTGATGGTCGAGGGTGGAGAGATAGATTCTTGGTGAAAGGTGGAGAAATAGGTTCTGGTCAGAGCAAAGCCCTTTGGAGAAAGCATGCTCAGCAGAGGAACTAGAAGGCCAGTGTGACTGGAGCACAGGGGGTGAGAAGAATGGTATAGCAAACAGTATAGAGATAGGTTGAGGTCAGATCTAGGAGGATCCAGGAGACCTTGATAAGCTCATTTTCACACTAGAACCCTAGAAATGCATTAAAGTGTTTTAATTGCTTTAGTGCTAATCAGATTTGCATTTTTAAGAGACGGCTGCTGGCTGTAGAACAGATTGGGTGGGGGGAATCGGAGGTGGAGAGGAGAGTTGTGCCTGGAGGCCAGTTCCAGAGGCTGATACGGGAGTAGAGGCAAGAGCTCTTTCTCAGATGGCTTTTCAGTCGAAAGCTGGTGCTTTACAAGATGTTAAAAGGCATGCTAAGTAAAAAAAAAAAATTATGATATGTTTGGGAGATGCTCCATTAAACAAGGTAAAACAGATATTTTGCTAGAATTTTTAAGTCTTAAAAAAAAACCTTTTATTTCAGGTTTCAGGGTACATGAGCAGGTTTGTTATATAGTTAAACTGCGTGTCATGGGGGTTTGGTGTACAGATTATTTTGTCACCCAGGTAATAAGCTAGTACTCAATGGTATTTTTTCTGATCTTCTCCCTTCTCCCACCCTCCACCCTCAGGTAGGCCCCAGTGTCTGTTGTTGCCCTATTTGTATCCATGTGTTTTTGTTGTTTAGCTTCCACTTATGAGAACATGCAGTATTTGGTTTGCTGTTCCTGTGTTAGTTCGCTTAGGATAAAATGCACTGAAGAGGAGAGAGGCTGAGGAAGGAGCTGAAGCCGAGTGATAGAAATGGAATCTCAGGGTGTTGCGCCTGGAGGGTTGTTGGTTTTAGGAAATGGAGAAAAGGTGTCTGAAAAAAGAGTGGGAGGATGGATTGTAGCAAGCCTGAAAGTGTAAACTTAATTCATAAATTGTGAATTTCTAACAGTAGATTAAATGAACTAAGGGCTACTGCAGAAAGATTAATTTGGTAGTAGGGGTAAATAGGTTAGGACATGGCTGCTAGCAACCTATTTCAGTAGTTCACCGTAGAGATAAAAATATCCCTTCCATTCTCTCTGATTTTGTTTGATGCTGTAAGTGTTCTATTTACTGAAGAAGTTATGGGGGTTTTTTGGTCAGTGATTTATATTGATCTTCAGAATTCTGTGCTTAAGTTTCAAGTGATTTGTGTTAGAAATTAAGAAGTTAGGGCTTTTTACTTTCCACTTTCCCTTTTCAAATCAGTAATACTAACTTTTTTAGCCACTAGCTATATTCTGTATTTTAATAGCTACATATACTTAACACTAAACTAGTAAATTACTAAATGATTTGAACTGTTAGTATTCATCTTTGTGTTATGACTAGCCTTTGAAATTAGATGTGTTTATGTGTGTTTGTTTACATATATACATGCATGTTCGAATAATGCATTAACTTTAAGGAGTGAAATCATAGTAGAATAAACTAGATTTAAAACATTTTAATTTTACATAGCTCTTATAAGATTGGAAAAGTTTTTTTTTTTAAGAATAAAGTCATGGGGATTATACTTTGAAGTATACTTTTTAAGGTTCTATTTATTTATTTATTTATTTATTTATTTGACGGAGTCGTGCTCTGTTGCCCAGGCAGTGGCGCCGTCTCGGCTCACTGCAACCTCCCACCTCCCAGGTTCAAGCAATTCTTGTGCCTCAGCCTCCCGAGTAGCTGGGATTACAAGCGCCTAGCACCAAGCCCCGCTAATTTTTGTATTTTTAGTGGAGACAAGGTTTCTCCATGTTGGCCAGGCTGGTTTCGAAGTCCTGACCTCAGGTGATCCTCCCACCTCATCCTCCTAAAGTGCTGGGATTACAGGCATGAGCCACTGTGCCTGGTTTTAAGGTTCATTTTAATTAGATATTGTAGTTATCCCATCCCATTATGTTTGAATTAGGTCTTTTAGACTAATTCAGATTGGCTCTTTTCTCATCCAGTAAACTGCTTTCTTCTTTATCCGCATCCAAATGATAAATGTTATTTGTTGTCAGTTTACAAAATGATTCCTCCCCTTTTTTATTATAAAAATAATATGACAGGCTGGGCGGGGTGGCTCAGGCCTGTAATCCCAGCACTTTGGGAGGCTAAGGCGGGCGGATCACCGGAGGTCAGGAGTTAAAACAGCCTGGCCAAGATGGTGAAACTCTCTCTCTACAAAAATACAAAAATTAGCCGGATATGATGCCTGGGCGACAGAGTGAGACTGTGTCTCAAAACATCGTCAACAACAACAACAACAACAACAACAAAGCAATATGACATTAAGCAGAGGCTGTAGTTGGGATGCATAATTTTTTTTTTTTTTTTTTTAAGACGGAGTTCTGTCACCAGGCTGGAGTACAGTAGCGTGATCTCGGCTCAGTGCAGCCTCCACCTCCCGGGTTCAACGATTCTCCTGCCTCAGCCTCCTGAGTAGCTGGGACTACAGGCACCCACCACCACACCCAGCTAATTTTTGTATTTTTAGTAGAGACGGGGTTTCACTGTGTTGGTGAGGATGGTCTCCATCTCTTGACCTCGAGATCTGCTCACCTTGGCCTCCCAAAGTGCTGGGATTACAGACGTGAGCCACCATGCCCAGCCGGGGTGCAGAACTTTTAAGTTCATACTGTAACAGATTCTAGTAACAGTTGTGGGAATTAATATCTGAGTCTTCAGAAGGATCTATTTGGGAATTAACATCTTTGAGACTTCAGAGGGAACTATTTGGTTGGAATAGTAAATAGTAAACACTTATATAATAGTATTTAAGGATATAACAGACATGCCTTAGGCGGTTACATTATCACATTAATCATATGAGGTATTATTCATTTTATTATTCCATTAGACCTGTGAAGAAAATGAGGTACAGATGTGACTGTAGGGTCACAACAAAGCTTATAAATTACAGGGCTGGGAGTTGAACCTGAGAAGTTTGACTGAACAGTGTTCTCACAAACGCTATGCCATAGTGCCTCTGGACTACTTGAATCACCAGGTTCCATCCTCATGGTATCCTTAAGAATACCTGGGTCTTAATTATAGGACAATTGATAGGCCACAACAAATCTGGTAGGTCAGTTATCTCCTAAAGCTACCCCAATGGGGTGTTCCAGAAACTTCCTGGATGCATCCAGGGTACACCAAGGTCTTACTCTTGCCAGCTAATGTGTTCTGTTGCTCCAGGGCTCACTGTTGATAATCATGGGTGGTATATAACAAGAAATTGAGAATCCTGTAGGCATATGGTTATTTAATCAGCCTTTGATTTTAAATAACTTTATCTGAACACTGTTAACATATAATGACTAAAATCTAACACCAAACTAGCTGGTCACAGGTCTTCTGTTAGTATTTTATATTTCCATTAACTTCTTTAAAATGTTCCTATATCAGAAGACATTGTGTAAAAGCCTTATTAAATGCTTCTGTTTCATTTTCAATTTAACTATATTAGATTATATACCTGCTTTTCTCCTAGCTTCTGCTTTCATATTAAGTCATTTCTTCCATTACTGAAATCTTGTTTGTTTTTATTGGATAATCTGATTCCAAGTTTAGAACTTCTATGTTTTAAAGGACTGTGGATGACAGGGAGATAAAAAATGAAAAGACTACAAGAAAAGCAGTTCCTAGTTTCAGCAAAAAATTCAAAGGCATTTGGGTCTTCTATTATTAACTGCTCTTTTCCTATTTTGGAATAAAATTAAAGCTAGAGTCTAGTTTAGGTATGGTAGTTATCATAGATGCTTCCACTACTACAAACAGTGTGTTCTTTGAAGATCTGAAATAATTAAATACAGTGCTTTGGATCCTCGCCCTGTTTTAAATAGAAATGAATTTTCAGAAAGGATTCTACTCTTTAATTACTGTGGAAGACACTGTAAGAGTTAACATTGTTTAAAGAAAGCCTTATATGGGAAAGATCAATTGTTAGTTAGTATCCTAACTAAACGTTTTCAACCCCAGATACCCATTCTTATGAAGAAATCTGTTCTTCAGAAATTTAGTGTATGTAGCAAGCCGTCTGATTTTTCCTTAGGCTAATAATGGAGGTCACTCCATTAAAAGTACTGTGAACCACTATTATATACCACAGAATACAGTATAGCAGTCTTCCAATTTTTAAAGAAACATAGATACATAGATTAATATATAGAGGCTAGGTCTTGCTTTGTCTCCCAACCTGGAGTACAGCAGCAGGATCATAATTCAATATAATCTTGAACTCCTTGGCTCAAGCAACACTCCTGCCTCAGCCTCCCGAGTAGCTGGGACTACTGGCACACACTACCACCCCGGCTAATTTTTACATTTTTTGTAGAGGTGGAGTCTTGCTGTGTTGCTCAGGCAGGTCTTGAACTGCTGGCCTCAAGTGATCCTCCTGCCTTGGCCTCCCAAAGCACTGGGATTACAGGCGTGAGCCACCATGCCTGAACAGATTTATTTTTATAAACAGTAATAAAGTTAGGTTAAGCCCAGATAGTGAAAGTAGGCAATTGTAGAGTGAACTTTCATCTTTGTAGGCACTTGCTCTGTTTATCAAGTTCTTAATTTTCATTCCCTCCCAAGAAAATATCCCACTTGATCTTTAATTTTTATTTTGTTTAACTTTTATATTTTTTAACCTTGATGATATTTTAGTATAGGCTAAATCTCTTAGGACACTCAGAAGTTTTTCCCCCCCAATTTTTAAAGAAGTTCCAGAGTTCCATTTTATCTTTCTAGTTGTCTTTTAAAGCTAAAATATGTTTATTGTAAATTGAAATCATGAGCAGATGAGTTTTAGTAGAGCTAAAAGAAGGACAGAGTCTGCCTGTTCTTAATAATCTTAGGGTGATTGGAAAATATATCAAAAGACATTTTAATTTTCTTATAATCTTTTTCACAGGGTCTTTCTTGTAGATGACAGCTGTACCTTTCCCACCTGCCTCTTTCTCTTACTAATATACCTAAGAGACCTTTTGAGTGAGGGGAGATAGAGTTATTATAATCTGTATTTATATATTAATGAAGTACATTAAAAAATTTATGCATGGATGTAAAGAGATTTACTGAGATAATTTATGTAGAATCAGTACAATAGGCAATTTGTAGGCCGGATGCGGTGGCTCACACCTGTAATCCTAGCACTGTAATTTGCCTGCCTCGGGAGGCCGAGGCGGGCAAATCACTTGAGGTCAGGAGTTCGAGACCAGCCGGGTCAACATGGCGAAATCCTTTCTCTACTAAAAATACAAAAAAGTTAGCTGGGCGTGGTGGTGGGCGCCTGTAGTCCCAGCTACTTGGGAAGCTGTAGCAGGAGAATTGCCTGAACCTGGGAGGCGGAAGTTGCAGTGAGCCAAGATCGTGCCACTGCACTCCAGCCTGTCCAGCCTGGACAACAGAGTGGGACTCTGTCTTAAAAATAAATAAATTTATAAATAAATAAATACATACATACATACATACATAAATGAATAAATAAACCAGCACTTTGTGTACAATAAGCAATTTAAAGCAAGCTGCTTTTTTTCCTGATATTGGCTAAATATGGATAATATTGATGTGTTTTAGCTTTTTAAAAAATATTAATGGTAATATATCTGCCGTATAGAACATTTAGAAAATAAGAAATAAGAGAAAAAATTACTGTCAGCCCTTTACTCTATGTTAATATATTGGTATACTCCTTTTGCCTAATTTTTATGTGTTTGTGTGTATTTTTATATACTTTGTGTGTATTCTAAATGTATTTTGTATATTTGTGGGTTAAAAACATTCTTGTGATTGTACTATACAGTTTTTTTAATCCCACTTATCATATAGCTGATTTTTTAAGTTTTTATCATTAATATTAATTTGGATGTTTGTAATTTTATTAACCATTCCAATTCTGTTTCTAGGTTTTTATTATTTGCAGTTCACTCATTCATTCATTTGCTTATTCATTCAAATAGTAAATATTTATTGTATGCTTGCTTTGGTGCTAATATTTTGATGAATATTTTGATGCATAAGATTTTTTTCATTTAAAGTAGGATGATTTCCTTAGCTGAGCATCTCCACACTGACTCTTCTGGGTGAAAATGAAGGAATGTATTAAACCACTCATTATAAACATTACCAAATTGTTTTCAAAGTTTCGCACCAGTTTGACCACTAAGAATGTGAGTCTGTTTTACTCTGTCCTCACCTGCACTGTACACAATAATTTACTTCTTTCAGTTTATTACAGCTATGGACAGTTTTCCACATTTAATGTATTACAGGTGGATTATATAAATTTTAAAAATGCATGTTAGTTTGTTCCACAATTCAATGATTTCTTCTACAGGAGATGCTTGATTCAAAATCATAATTAAAAATACATACATGGGTTAAGAGTGAAGCAAAGACTATCAAATGTACAAATAAAAATATGCGTAATTGGAAAGATAGTTATGATACCAAATAAATGACTCAAATTTAAGGCTATATATATAAGTAGCCTTAAATCAGAAAGTATCTGCAGCATCCTGCCTTCAGCAGGAAGGCAACTGAAAAGAACACTGGTTCTGTGTCTTAGGTTTAAATCCTTCTGTGCCACTTACTAGTTCCCTGTTTTTATTAACCCCTTTGAGTTTGTTTACTCTTTTGTGAAATGTGAATGGCATAAGAATGTAAAATGATTGCCAGAAATGACAGGGAAACAGATTTGGATGCCTCTCCTTCAAAAAAAAAGGGGTGGGGGGGGGCGGCAAAACAAAACATTCTAGAATAGGATATTTGAACAACTTTTCTTTATGTGGTTCACGCTCTAAATTAATTTGTTGTTAAGCTCTAGTAGTGCTGTTTTTAGGTTTAATGGGCTTTTCAATTTTATTTTGTTAGAATGTTTACTCAGAATTTTGCAGAATAGACTTTACAAAGTTGTTTGAAGGCTGTTAGGTATACTAAGCAGGAAAGTAATAGCTATAGTAAAACATGAATAGAATTAGTGAAGAAAGGTATTTTAATAACATAGCAGCTGGAAGAAAGATTAACCAAGCCATGCATGAATTGATTACAATATAAAGTGTTAAAATAGATTTTCAGACACGAATTTCACTATTTTAGGTTTTAGAAATGTTTTTGTATTTATATTTGAATTTACCTTTGTGTGGTTTTGGTATTCTTTTCCGAGTGAACATGCTTCAGTGTGTTTTGAATAATTGAACAACAGTTCTTTTCCCCTCTTGGTCTCCACTTTACTTCTACACCACACACACCTTCACTGAGAATAGATCACCTTTTGGCCTTTGTAAGCACCAGTCACCTAGTGCTGTTGCCTTTCAGAGTTGAATATGGAGCAAGTGAAATCTGCAGATGCTTTCACGTATATTAAGCAGCCAATTGCTTAATAAAACATTATATTGTAGGGTGTTATAGGTTCAAAGAAATAGAGAGCAAGTGAAAAATGTAGAGGGAAGAACTTGTACCACTGGAATGAGCTACTTTATGCTGTTTATATAAGAGTCTTTTCCTCTTCAGAGCTTGTTAAATGATAATAATATTCTGCAGCAAGGTTTTCGTCATAAGGATGAAATGAGAGGGATATGTGAAAGTACCTAGCACAGCCTTTCCCATTATAGGGAAAAGGGAGGTAATATTTGAGTAACCACTCCATTCAAAATGTTTTGTTAGGTAGTGGGGCACATACAGAAAGTGTCTGCCTTTGAGTTTCCAGTCTGTTCGGGGATACAGAATGAATGGATCTGAAATGACTTTAGTCATTTAGAACATTTTTTTCTGTTTAATTAAGCACCACATATAAGTGCCATCATTTTATTCCGGTCAAGCAGAATTGGGAGAAAAAAGGGATACACTCCTTTTTTTTTTTGGAGACAGAGTCTTACTCTGTCACCCAGGCTGGAGTGCAGTGGTATGATCTCAGCTCACCACAACCTCCACCTCCCGGGTTCAAGCGATTCTCCTGCTTCAGCCTCCCGAGTAGCTGGGATTACAGGTGCCCATCACCATGCCTGGCTAATTTTTATATTTTTAGTAGAAACGAGATTTCACCATGTTGGCCTTGCTGGTCTCGAACTCCTGACCTCAAGTGAAAAAGGGATACACTTTTACATAAAAGTAAACTTTCTTGATTGTAGATGATGTCAACAGGCAGATTTTCAAGGAAGATATCTAATGTGTTGGGAGGGAGAGGTAGAGTTACTGAGTAGGGGGAAAAATGGGTCAGCTAGACAGTAATAGTTGTATAATGTGGTTTTACATTTATTTATTTTTTTGAAGAGCTGTGAGTTCATGATTGTATTTATATTTACCTTTATTTTCTCAAATAATTAATTGTAATAAGCAAAATAGATAAAAGATAGCATTTATGCGTGAAACTAGAAAGCGAGACATGGACACAGTATCAAGATCCAGATTGTGCTATATAGAATACAGATTGAGTGTCCCTCATCCAAGATACTTGGGACCAGAAGAGTTTCAGATTTCACCTTTTTTCTAATTTTGGAATATTTGCATGTATTTAATGAGGTATCTTGGGGATGGGTCCCAGGTCTAAATAAGAAATTAATTTACGCTTCATGTGTACCTCATACACATAGCCTGAAGGTAATTTTATATGATTTTTTTTTTTTTTGAGATGGAGTCCTGCTCTGTTGCCCAGGCTGGAGTGCAGTGCTGTGATCTCAGCTCACTGCAACATCTACTTCCCGGGTTCAAGCAATTCTCCTGCCTCAGCCTCCCGAGTAGCTGGGATTACAGGCACATGCCACCACACCTGGCTAATTTTTGTATTTTTAGTAGAGATGGGGTTTCACAATGTTGGCCAGGCTGGTCTTGAACTCTTGACTTTGTGATCCACCCGCCTCGGCCTCCCAAAATGTTGGGATTTACAGACATGAGCCACCACGCCCGGCCTATATGATGTTTTTAATAATTTTGTGCATGAAACAAAGTTTGTGTACCTTGAACCATCAGAAAGCAAAGGTGTCGCTATTTCAGTCACTCGTGGACAGTGTGTAGTTGTTTGGCATCACCATTACTCTTGACTGAATTTATATGCTACTGATAAGCAGTCATTTTCTTACACGTACACGTGTGAATTTTTTTTTTTTAACCTTTTGTGGGTATGCCTGCATGGGGGAATTGGGGCATGCACGGGAATGATAATTGCATCTAAAGAGAGGAGGATCCTGTATAAATTATATGTTGTGTACCTACATTTTAACTTTGATCTGTCACATAAGGTCAGGTGTGGAATTTTCCACTTGTGGCATCATGTTGGTGCTCAAAAATTTTTGGATTTGGGAGTATTTTTGGGGATTCAGATTAGTGATGCTCAACCTGTAATATAAAAATGTAGGTTTCTCCTTGATTGTTATTTTTGGTAGAATTAGTTAAAAATGACTTTCTGAGGTAAACAGCATGGAAACAGGAAATTGTTTTTAAAAAGGAGTGAGTTTAATATATACACCTATGTACCTGTAAAAATTGAAATTAAAAAAATTTTTTTTTGAAGTTTGAAAGGCCAATATCCATTTAAAAAATCTCTTTGAAAACTGGTAACTTGTCTATGAGGTAAATGTTTGTTGAACTGAATCTCATTTAATTTTAAAATAAAAATATCACTTTTTTTCAATTTGAGGTGTCAAAGATTTCAAGACTCTAGCATAAAATTGCTAGAAAAATTGGACCAATTTATTGTGGGGATTAGATGAAATACTGTATGTATAAAATAATATATAAAACGCAGTACTAATGAAAGGGCTTAAGAAGAAATGTCATATTTTCAGGTTAAGCATCGGTACTGATATTATTAGTAACACTTGAGGCTTAGAGGAAATGGTGTTGTTTGTTAGAAACACTTACTATAGATTTGATACTGAAATCTGCTTTGGAATTCTACATCTCTCTTAAAATAATTGGAGATATATGAAGTAGTTGACACTCTTTAAGTTGAACCAAGCTGTTAGGGAATAAGATCTCAAATCTTTAACAAGACTTATCTGGATCTGCTGACTTTTGTAGTCTCTTCTCTTGTTAATCTGTATTCTAGCTACACTTCCCTTCAGACCCTTAAATATCCTGAGCCCATTCATATCTCCAGCTCTTATATTTTCCCTTTGCATAGAACAGTCTTTCCATCCCTTATCCTCACCTTCTCTTAACTCCTATTCGTTCTTTAAGTTTTGTAAAAGGGAAACAGGGAAAGTTTTCCCTGACTCTGTGTCTTATTCTCCAGAAACCTGTCTTTTCCTATTAGCGCCCTGTTCTTTCATGCCTCTTCTCCTAGGGTGTAATTACGTATTTATTTGTTTGTTTATTTGTCTAGCAGTGAACCCAAGCATTATCCTAGTGCCTGGCACATAGTGAGTTCTCAGTAAATAATTGTTGAGCAATTAAGTTAAAATATTGAGTAACTTCTCTTTGGATCTTAATCTAATTTTTGCTTTGCTTTTGCTTGCTTCTTCATCTTTTTGGGGTGCATATTCAGTTAATAGCTGTTATGATTATTGTGTGGTAATATTTACCTTTAAGGAAGCTGTGCACTTTTCACATACTTTTTTTTTTTGTAATGACACCATTCACAAACAAGGACCAAGTTAAGTTGCAGTAAGCTTACTTTTTTACCTCCAGAGAAATGAAAACATGTTCACACAAAAAGTTGTATGTACATTTTTATAGTGGCTTTATTTATAATAACCAAGAACTGAAAACAACTCAGATGCCCTTCAGGTGTCATGTCAACAACCCAAATGTCCTTCAGCTGCCCTTCAGTAATCAAAGGAGCCCTACTGAAAGGGATCACCTGGTCTGGAGAAAGCTGGTGTTTGAGTGTGATTACTACTAAAATTTTCCTTTGGAATTGATCCTTACTTTGCTGGCTCATGTAATCAGGCATCTCAAACAGTTACTTCTGCCAAAAAGCTTATCCTAATTGGTTCCCGATCTAGAGCCCTCTATTGTGTGTTCTTACATTCTTTCATATTTCTGTAACGGTTCTGTAATTGTTTATTTACTTAACTGTTCCTTCCACCCAAAATAGAAGTTTCTTGATTTTGTCTTTATAGCCTTCTCACCTAACATAGTACCTGGGACATTGATTGCTAGATATTCAGGAAATGTTTAATGGTATGAAGGATTCTCTTCACAGTAACCTGTTTCAAGGACTTCATCTTCGGGCCTTGAAGAGAATGGACACTTGGAAATTCTCCTCCTGATTTATTTGGTGCATGGATACCCAGATGAATAGTTAAACTGAGATTTTTAATAGATGGACAATCCTTCTATACTATGGTTTATGACATGTCATTGATTGCTGCATTGATTTTGGTACATCTGGGGTGACTATTTAGGAGCCTTCTCCTCTTAAAATTCGTTGTGTATACACCCCAAAGTCATGTAATTACGTTACAGAGAATTACCATTCTGATGGTGTGAAGATACACCTTGGGAAATACTTTAAAATCCTGGACAGAAACTGAAATATATATCTGAAAGATATGTTCATGGGTATTAGGTTTAAGGATGTTAAAGCTATAGCCTTGAAAAGCTTTGTTCATGATTTAAGTTCCCTGCCATTTGTTTCAAAGGCACATTTACGGAAATGTGTATTTTGTGTGTATTTATTCAGCAAATATTTGTGTGCCTATTACGTGGTGGACCCTAGAATCCATCAATGAATTCACAAAGCAGACAAAAATCCCTGCACTGGTGGAGTTTACATGGAGCTTATTTGCTGCCTCTGTATGTTTCTATATGCATGTGTGTAGATATGACATCATTATAGGACAGGCAGCATAATAAATTGTTATAAGGATGTTTTGTATTTTAGTAGAGGACTGATAAAATTGGAGGGCCATTGCTAACTCTTCATTATCTGTTACCTTATTTCACAGATCTGCATTTTGAATTTTTTTGCCCTGGCTTATCCAAACAGGAAAGGCAAAGAAGTTTTATTAAACAATTGAATGAAAGTTGTATTTATTGTTCTAGCAGGTGCAAAGCATTCTGCTGTAAATATTGCAGGGTGGAAAGGATGGCTAACACACAGTTCATAACTTCAGGAAGCATATAGTTTAATAGAGACAAGACAAATATATGAATAATATGCAAAATAACATGAATGGTACAACCAATGCCTATTGTATTCAAAAAAGGGGAGATGTTACACTAATCAGAAAGGCCAAAATGAAAAAACCTTTGATATGAGCATCATGAAATGCCTGCGATGATGTGGCACAATTGGAACTCTCATTGTTGGTGATGTAAATTGGTACAATTGCTTTGTAAAGATGTTTGGTATTTTCTTATAAAAGTCAGTGTATACCTGCTGAGAAATTCCACTCCTTATGTTTAGCCAAGAGAAAAAGAAAACATACGTTCTAAGAAGACTTATTCATAGCAACTTCATTCTTAGTAGTCAAAAACTAGAAATAGCCCAGGTGTTTATCAGTGGTGGAGTGGATGATCTATGGTATAGATATATAAGGGAATATTTATGCAGCAATAAAAGGGAATGAACTACTTGATAACCACAACAACATGAATGAATCTCATAAACATTTTGCTAAAAGAAGCCTTTCACAAAATAAAGATACGTTCTAAGATTCCATTTACATGAAGTTTTAGAATGGCCACTCATTTATTGTGGTGGAAAAAAAAACCCAGAACAGTAGTTGACTCTGAATGGGAGAGACAGACCAGAAAGGGACATGGGAAAATTTTCTGTAGTAATGGTATGTTCTGAATCTTGATACAGGTTAGGTTGTGTGCACTGGTTTATGCATTGATAAGACAGTGAATATATATATATATATATATATATATATATATATATATATATATATATATTTTTAAGATCTCTGCATTTCATTGTATCTAAATTTTGCATCAAAAGAAAATGAAATATATTGAACTCTAATTAATGACAAACATGCTGAGTTATTTAGGGAGACATGTACTCTACAGTTTTACTTTTTTGGTACTTTCAAAGTAGCTGTATTAATGTGTAAATAAATGACTGTGGATAGATAAGTGTGCTGAGCAAGTAGTAGCATATTAATAGTAGAATCTAGATGGTGATTATATAGGTGTTCACTGTAAAATTCTTTCAACTTTGCTATATGTTTGCACATTTTCATACAATAAAATGCGAAGGAAAAGAGGAATAGTATATATGGAAGGTAGCATAAGGAAATTTTAAAAATGTTTTTATTTAAGTAGATCTTAGGATGTAGAAGGATGGAAAAGATTTGTTTTGGTTGAGGGAGGGTGTGAGTTGGTATAGAGGCAGAGATGTCGGAAAGGCATTATAGGAGGAGGGAGTAGTAATAGGAGAAACAGCAGGTTAAGAATTGGACTAGTGATTGGTTTTGTTTGGCTAAAGTACAGGGCAAAATATTGCAACATGAAGATGGAAAAGTAGAAGGCATTTGTGTAAGAAATCATTAGAAGTTCAGTTTGTGAGTGGTAGACTATTTCTTCGTTTGCAGCAAAGGGGAAGGAAGATGAGGAGTGTGAAACTGTAAAAACTTATGTGGAAAGAATGAAATCTTTAGATAATAGCCGTTGACCATTTCCATTTTCTTCATAGTGTAAGGGTATAGCTATTGGATATTTATTTGTTTTTTGAGACAGAGTCTCACTCTGTCATCAGGCTGGAGTGCCGTGGCACCATCTCGGCTCACTGCAACCTCCACGTCCCGGGTTCAAGCAGTTCTTCTGCCTCAGCCTCCCAAGTAGCTGGGACTACAGGTGCACACCGCCACACCTGGCTAATTTTTTCTTTTTGTATTTTAGTAGAGACAGGGTTTCACCATGTTGCCCAGGCTGGTCTTGAACTCCTGAGCTCAGGCAGTCCGCCCACCTCGGCCTCCCAAAGTGCCAGGATTACAGGCGTGAGCCACCGCGCCCGGCCAGCTATTGGATATTTATTATAAGTGGGATTGTGGATCAGTGGGATTTGGTACTGATGAGATCTTAAGGCAAATGTCAGAGATTTGAGGTGATAAATAGAATGTGTTAGGAATTCTGGCAGTAGACATTTAAAAAATATCTGCTGGTAGAGTATTACACTGAGTTTAGTGTGAAGTCATTGAGGACCAAATCCACATAGTTTCTAAATTCTCCTAGCATTGTTTGACAGCATCTGTGTGGGAGAACAGAGCAAATTAATGGTATTACTCAGTCCTAGAGATTGGCAAGGGTTACCAAGAATCCTGAGGTGCAGTGAATGTGTAGTTGAAGTAAAGAGGAGGCAAGTAAAGCCTGTGAATGGTGGTAGACTGGAAGAGTTGGAATGAGTCAAGGGTCAGGAATTCACAATGAGGACAAAAGAAGATTCAGTTTAAAAAGGGTGGAGGAGATGCAGGATGTGGTACCACGTTCTTCTCTGCTGAATTTCAGAGTTCTAAGGTCTTCACAGTGAAACATTTGGAAGTAACTGGCATCATCCTCCACTTGATCACATAAACCTAGAACTTAGGAGGCTTGTTGTTTTTTTTCTTTTGTTTTGTTTTGCTTTTTGGTAACCTGATTTTCTTTTTTCTCTTTTTCAACTTTTATTTTAGATTTAGAGGGTACATGTGCAGGTTTGTTACCTGGGTATATTATGTGATGTATCTATTACCCAGGTACTGAGCAAAGTACCCAACAGTTTTTCAACTCTTCCCACTCTCCCTTGTTCCCTCCCCGACTCCCCACTGTTGTTGCCATCTTTATGTCCATGAATACAGTACCCAATATTTAGCTCACACTTATAAGTTAGAACATATGGTATTTGGTTTTCTGTTCCTGCATTAATTCAATTAGGATAATGGCCTTCACCTGCACCTTGCATCCATGTTACTGCAGAAGACATGATTTCGTTATTTTTTTATGGCTCTCTAGAATTCCATGGTGTGTATGTTTAATACCACGTTTTCTTTATCCAGTCCATCATTAATGGGCACCTAGGTTGATTCCATGTTTTTGCTGTTGTGCATGGCGCAGCAATGGACATGCAAGTACATATGTCTTTTTGGTAGAACAATTTGTTTTCTTTGGGGTATAGACCCAGCAATGGGGTTGCTGGATCGTTCTTGGGAAGTCTTTAGGAAGCCTTCTTGAAACTTATTCTCTTAATCTCCACCTCAACGAGGTTGTTTTAATTTTTGAATTTTTGCTGTGAGGATAATCTAAACTATATGAGAATGGATAACTAGATAGATGAACAAGATGAATTACTATT
Organism: Homo sapiens; assembly: GCF_000001405.40. NCBI lineage: Eukaryota > Metazoa > Chordata > Mammalia > Primates > Hominidae > Homo > Homo sapiens. The sequence continues at coordinate 79,896,856 of NC_000012.12, read as the reverse complement.
TTAGAACTGATACACTCCTTCTTGATTTCAGTTGCATACAATTGCATTTATGCTGTGAGTTGGTGCCAAATAGAATAGGTTTATTGTCATACACAAATGAGGAAAGATCAAGATGGATTTAAATCATCTTTGCAATAAGTGGGGGCCAATTCACAGTGAGATGGCATCACTCACCCCTTTACGAACTAAAGAGAAAATGGCAAGAAAATGTATAAATATATTTTGCACTGGCCTCAGTGGCTTACGCCTTAATCTCAGCACTTTGGGAGGCTGAGATGGGAGCATCACTTAAGCCCAGGAGTTTGAGACCAGCCTGGGCAATGTGGCGAACACCTGTCTCTACAAAAAAATACAAAAATCAGCTGGGAAAGGTGGCACGTCTGTGGTCGCAGCTGCTTGGGAGGCTGAGGTGGAAGAATCACCTGAGCCTGGGAAGTTGAGGCTACAGTGAGCTATGTTCGAGCCACTGCACTCCAGCCTGGGTGACGAAAGTGAGACCGTGTCTCAAACAAATAAATAAATAAAATTTATTTTGGTTTAGATATGCACTGAAACATATATAAAGGCCTAGGTTTATGTTATTAGCTATTTAAATAACTTTGTAACAAAAATAATTCTAGTCAATATTAGGGATGTTTTAGAAAGGTCTTATGTTACTCATATTTGAAAAATTCTGTTGTACCAGAATAAATTTAGGTCCTCCTAGCATGGTTTATAAGGCCAGTCACAACCCCTTCTTCTTATCTCTCCTTAATTCTCTCTAATCACCTACTTTTGTTTCTTGTACTTTATGACCCTTCAGCAATATTAAATGTTCTCTATTTGATATACTACTCCTCTTTTAAAAAAAAAAATTGTTTTAACCTTCACCATTTCTTTATCCTTAATGACATAGATCAGGTTTCTCCTAGAAGCCTTGCTCTTACTTAGGCTACTCCCTAATCTCTGAGCTCCTACAAAATACAGCATTTGCTGTATTATTTTGTTTTCACATTGAGTCTGTTAAAATCATATATTTAATAAGGCTCGGTATTAGTCATGATTCATTTTTTTGTATTCCCAGCATATAGTACCTTACAGATGATAGTAATTGTTGACAAAATCTGAACAGAGTAGCAGTGCTGGTGAAGGGCATTGATGTCAAACTGTGGTTTTCTGAAAGCTATTCTCTGGAAGAGGAAGTTTATTACTATAATAAAATAGAGGCTTGGGGTATACCTTTATGTCTTATGTATACAGTCTGTTCTCTTAAGATGAAATAGCTGTATCAGAAAATAGTGTTCCATTTGGATCAGACATAACTATTCCATTGAGCTTTATACATTGCTGTTTTGTAAGCTGAGCTGCTTCTATTTCCCTCCCCTTTTTTGGTTCTATAGTACTTAAAAATTACATCATACAGTGATTTACTAGTATATTTTAATTTTGAAGTCATGAGTAGGCAGAATTGTAAATAAAATGTAAATAATACAAAGATAAAGTATTAGCATATAATCTTTCTACATTTTCTTAGAGTTTCTCCTGTTTTTTTTTCCAGGAACCCTGAAATTATCTGCAGGAGTTGCTTCATGTGATTGCTCTTTTTAATTATCTCCATGTGAAGAAAACATTGCCAATAATGTTAGCTTGCTTTTTCTCAGCAGTAGTCAGTTTTGACATTACTTGCCTATGGGCTAGCCCTCTACATTTTACAGGGCATAATTTCTTAATAAACTTTTCCCCCCATATTGGAAACTTTATGACTTAAAAATATCTGGGAAATAATCATTACTCATAGAACTGACACAGAAGTTGTAGAATCCACACACGTAAGCATAAAGACTTTTATTTTACTAGGGAGAAGTCCTCACGTGATTTTTTTGTACTCTTATTTTAGGCTCTTTAAAAAAAATTTTGGCAAATTAAGAGTTGCAGATTAGTATGGAAGATAAAAAGTTGTCAGATAGTTTTAAGAGGAGACAGCTGAAAGCAAGACGAAAGGCGGACAACCTGCTAAAAGCAAACATAATTCCCAAAAAGCGTGTTAGGTGTTTTAGCTGCGTAAGCTATTGGTTATAAGGACATTGTTGTGTAACAGCAGAGTGTAATAACTGATGCAATAATGAGTTAATAGAAAAAAGTTAAATTACATTTTTGTATTTGTTTAAAATGACAAAGGAGTGCGTGATAGATTTTAGGAAGATTTCCAATAAAAGACTTTTTTTTAAGGCAATATCAACGATTTATATATATACTCCTTTTTGTGAATTTGATCATAATATTTTATAGGAACATTTTTGGGATCTATGACAGTATGTTTAAGTGAAACTAGAATTTAAAAATATGAATCCTCGGATGATAGCTTAGTACCTGTGTGTGTGTATTTTAAGATTATTAGATGTGACTTTTTCCTTGATCTTTCTATCCATGGGAATCCCAAAGCCTTATATGGTCAAGACTTAGCTTTTAGATTTCTAGTGAAATGCAAGGCACCACTCCAAAAAAGAAAGAAAAGAAAAAAACCAACTAGCTGTCTTTTACTCTGTCTTCAGTTCTGTCTTTTTGCCTGACTTTATTACCACAGTAGTTAAATTACTAAGAACCTTCTGTGCGTTGGTAGTCTGTCTTAGTAGAGGGAGGAATTCCTTTTGTGGCAGTAGTTTTATGCTACAGTGCTGTTATTTTAACAGAACATTATATGCTATTGGTTATGTAATTTTTTAAAGGAAACTTAAAAGCAGTCTCATTATGTTATGTCACTATAAAGGTAGAGAGGGGTTAGATCTTCATGTGGTGTAACTAGGAAGTGTAGGTTTCATTGATGGTAAATACTAGGGAAGGTGAAAGCAAAATTATTACTTCCTTGGAATCTTTCTGCCATGGAACTCCTGCTACCTGAATAGAGGGCACAGGTGATAATGAGGTGAACATTCAGGAGCAGCAGTGATAAGTGACAAAGGGATGCTAGGATAACTTACTTGTACTCTGGTATGTTCTTATTTAGCTCTAAGTACAGTTATCTTTTTGCCTTGAAGGATATGATTTTTCTGAGTGGTCATGAGTATCACTTATTTATACATTTAACTCCAAGATGGTTTAATAGTCTGTAGAAAATTTTTAGTATCAATTACACATTTTTCATGTAGGAAAAAGGAAAGTGTTATTTGCCTGTTTAACAAAAGAAAATTGGAAAAGGTTTTTACAATGTATCCATTCTCCTGTAGTAAGTCAGCTATGATACAGAAAAATTTCTCTGATCACAGTGATTTACAGGTGACAAAGTATTGGCAAACTATTTCCTAGTCCTACTAATGAAGCTAAATCATACTTGTAGACAAGGTTTCTTTCCTTCAGCATTTGATTACTGTCTAATGTGTTCTAGATACTGTACATATAGTAACAACTAAGATGGGTTCTTGCTTTTGAGAGCCTGTTTGAGAGCCCGTAGTGTAGTGGAGGCAGAAGGGGGAGAAAAGGGATGAATGTAAAGATAGTACATACGAGTAGATAATTATACAATTTTTAAAGTATGTTAGGACAGGTATGTTATAATATCACCGAAAATAGTGGGAGGCAGTTATTCAACCTTAGCTACATTAACATAGGCTGGAGAAGACATTGGAAATAAAGGCTTAAGGTGTAAAAGACTAAATTGAGGAGAAATCTGTAGGGTCTAACAGTGTGTCATCCATTACTCAGGGCACCCTTTATCTTCCTCCAGAGAAGTTAAAAGTCCTAAATTACTGTAGTTAATTACTTTTTTTTTTTTTTTTGAGACACAGTCTTGCTTTTGTCGCCCAGGCTGGGAGTACAGTGGCGCAATCTTGGCTCACGGCAACTCCACCTCCCAGGTTCAAGCAGTTCTCCTGCCTCAGCCTCCTGAATAGCTGGGATTACAGGCACTCGCCACCACTCCCAGCTAATTTTTGTATTTTTAGTAGAGACGGGGTTTCACCATGTTGGCCAGGCTGGTCTCGAACTCTTAACCTCAAGTGATCCGCCCACCTTGGCCTTCCAAAGTACTGGGATTATAGGGATGAGCCACCACGCCTGACCTCAAAGAGCATTTATTAACATTTGCCATTCAGTAGTTTCATGGAAACAGTTTGGAAATACTATGATAATTTTTTTTTTAAGTAACTTTACTCTCAGAAGGGCTCCATACTGACAGTTGTTTCAGGAGGCAGATTAAAAATTCAGGTGTTCTTATTTCTGCCCTATTACTTCCCCTTTTGACAGGATAGTGATATGCTTTGAAGAGGTGTTAAAACTTTAAATATAAAAGTACTAGCATCGAAGAAAATGATTGAATGAATGAATTATGCAGCAGAAAATTTATATTTCCCTCAATGCAAATGTATAAAAGTTGACATTTCTTTTTTAAAAAAATTATTGCCATTTGCCCTGTCTCCTCAAAAGTAAATATTAAACGAATAATAATTTTTATTATTTATTAGAATAACTCTGGTTAGACTGTTGTTTTGTATAGTTTTTACTTGTTAATCATGAGTACTGCCACATTATCAGACAATTATTATTTTTTGGTTCTCAAGTTATAATTTCGGATTGGGCATGTTTAAGAAATGGAGGGTGGTCTAGTGTTATTAGAGCTTTGAATTTGTGCAAGTGGAGAGAGAGGACTAAGTTTAGGTAACTCTTACTTGATGACATTTAAGAAGGGTGAAAATACAGGAGAAAAGACAGATATTATAAGTTGCGGAAGGGAACATAATGTTTGGATACACATAAGCTTAAGCAGTGAAGACTGGTATGAATACTTTATACATTCATCAAAATCCAACAGTATGGCCATTAGTTATCACTGCATAGTAGATTACCCCCAAACTTAAAATACCAAACATTAGCTCACACTTTCTGTGGGTCAGGAATGGATATGACTTAGCTGGGTGCTTCTGACTAAAGGTTTCTCATGATATTTTCCTCGAGCTATTGGCTGGGACTGCCATCTCATCTGAAGGCTTGGGTAGGGTAGGGTGGGGATCTGCTTCCAAGTTCACTTATGTTATTGGCAGGCCTTGCTTCCTTGCCACATGTGTCTCTCAACATGGCTGCCTTCCAGCATGACATTTGGCTTATCCCAGGTTGTGAGTGATCCAGGAGAGAGCAAGAGAGGAGGGTGCATGCCAAGATGGAAGCCATAGTCTTTTTATAACCTAATCTCAGAAGTGACATCTTATTACTTCTGTCTCATTAAGTTTGTAAGAAACAAGTCACCCAGTCTAGGGGAGGCAGTTACACAAGTGTGTGACTACCATGAGGTAGTGATCATTGCCACCTTAGAGGCTACCTACTATAAGCAAACTAATATAATATTTGTGGTATTTTACATTCTTCAATTTACATTGCCATGTACTTAGCAGTTGGTTCCTATTTATTATGCCTTAAGAGCTGCTTGTTATCTCCCTTTCTCACTATTCAACAAGATACTTGAATCAATTTTATCTTTGCTTCTTTCCCCTCTGCCCCCATCTAAATGTTCAGTGCCCCTCTTATTTTGTGACTTTGAAGTATTAACTCCTGTTTCCTCAACTCCCCTTATCAGTGGTCCCAGAAATGCAGAGTAACTTGGTTGTCTAAAATGGAAAATATTATTTAGTTAAGATAACCATATAAGATTTTTTCAATCCTTCATCATCCCCAGGATCCAGAATTATATATTCTTAACTTCATTTTTTATTTTTTTAAAAACATATCTGAATATAGCTGAATAATTACTAGGTTCTCAGTCTCTCTTATACATATCTTTGCTCTTTCTTTCTGAAAAGGATTCAGGAATGTAGTTCCCCCCTGCCTTCCAACTTTTTTTTTCTTTCCATGTCATGACATGACAAAAAAAATTTCCCTTCTCTTCCAAAACCTTTCCCCTTTTTCTCAATTGGAGAGAGAGAGAAAGAGAGAGAGAGAGTGAGTGAATGTGTGTGTGTGTGTGTGTGTGTGTGTGTGTGTGTGTGGGTGGGTGTGGGTGGGTGGTGTGTGTGTATTCTTGAGGTTTCTGAAGTTACCTATGTATACTGGAGTAAGGAGAATTTGAGATTAGAGAGTTAATATTAGAAATTTATCTATGTGTATGCTTATGTCTGATGGCCTATGAGTTTATTGCAGGCAAGGTTTGGCTCTCTTTTAAAACGGTTTTGAGCTAGGCCTCCATGCTTTATGTTAAAAAGTAAGTTGTTCAATTAATGTTGATTGTCCGTAACTAACCATTGTTTAATTAGAAAGCATCTTTTCAGAATCTCTTTATACAAATCCTTTGATATACTTTTGTTAAAAAGGATGCATATTACATATGCTTATTTTAATTAAAAAATGTTAGAAGACTGAAGTAACGGTTCAAATTTGGGTAAATTTTCCTTTACAACTAGAGAGAGTATTTTCTTAAGGATTTCTTTAAGATTTAGAAGATAGGCCTGAAAACATTTCAGTGGATATTTTTGTGTAGGATAATTTTTAACTACATTTCAATTTTGGACTTACTCAATTAGTTGCTTACTGGGGAAGATGAGGAAGTCAGCACTCATCCATTTTAATCTTCATCTCATTTTGTTAGCCATGTTACTATTTCTACCTTATTAGAGTGTATGATATTTAAATCCTTTCTAATTTACTTTGTATGAGTTTTTCAACCGTGCTTATTTTGTTGTTAAATAAGATTTATCATCCACCTTTGATCTCTTATTTTATTCAATGTTATTAAGTAGCCTCAAAATGTAGGGCATTTTCTTTGGTTTTTCAAGTTATGTCCTCTTCCACACTGCTGTCTCTATCTGAAGTTTTACATGCTTATATACTGCTATGGTCTGAATATTTCTGTCATGCCTAAAAATTCATATCTTGGATTCCTTACCCCAAGGTGTGATGGTATTAGAAGATGGGACCTTTGGGAGATGGTTAGGTCATGAGGGCAGAACCCTTTTAAATTGAAATTAGTGCTCTTATAAAAGAGGCCCAAGGGAGCTGCTTGCCCTTCCACCATATGAGGATACGTATATGAGTCAGGACGCAGACCTTCACTGGACATGGAATCTGCCAGTGCCTTGATCTTGGACTTCTGACTCCAAAATTATGAAATAAATGTTTGCTGCTTATAAGTCCCCCAGTTTATGATATTTTAAAAATGACAGCAGCTCAAACAAACCAAGACACATTAACCCCAACCCCACCATTTCTTTTTAATTTTTTCTTCCTGTAGTATGTGTTGTTCATAGTTGCTGAATTAGGTTAGACTACAGAGGGCTGATTTGTATTCAAGGATTGGCAAGAAAAGTTTAGAACCAGTGCAGAATTGTATCAAAATAGCAAGTGAACAGTACAAATGTTGTAAACCAGATAAAGATACAGGGATATGGGAGATATTATTTCCCAGTCAGTGTCTCCCTACCTCATGTGTTGGTGGTCATTGTGGCTCACTTGGCATGAGGAACCCAGTGGGGAGCAGCTCAGAGCCTGGATTTTGTTGTCTTTTCTATCACTAGGCTGGTGGAGAAAGAAGCAAAGTGAGAGCCCATCAGCTTTCTCTTCTGCATGTTACTATGTAGGCCATTCCTTGCTGTGACATTCATTTACTAGGGCTCTATTTCCTACTCCCTTATAGGGCCTTCAGTTGAACTGGACATGTTCTGTCACAATTGCCATAGTGTTTATTCTGTATCTTTTTAGAGATAATCCATATGTGAACAAATACACACACACAAAATATATCACATTGGTCAGAGACTACTCGTGTTTTACATTTGTTCTTTTCACTTTGCAAAATATCCAGGAATTTGTTTCATATTAGTCCATAAATTAGTTCTTTATTGATGGACATTTAAATTGTTTCCAGTTTTACACTTACCAGAACTTAGCAAATAATTCTGTACATGTCATTTTGCACATGTGATTGTATCTGCAGAATAAATTCCTAGAATGAAATTGCACTGTCAAGGGATATGTGCCTTTGAATTTTGATAGATAGAACCAAATTGTTTTGGGGTGTTATTTTACCTTTTGCTGCTGCTGTTTAGTTGTGTAGCCTATTGGTTAGGGGTACAGATGCTGAAGCCAGACTGCTGGGTTAAAATCCTGAATTTTGCCAGTTATCATCTGTTAAATGGTAGTAATAGTTCTCACTTACTGGGTTGTTGTGAAGATTAAATGAATTAGTATATGTAAACTACCTGGAACAGTTCCATGGCACGTATAAAAGTGCTATGTAAGTAAGGGTTAGTGTTTATTTAGGACATGGATTCTGTAAAATGTGGCTTCACTCTGCCATTTTTACTAGGAAGAACTTCTTATAATTCTATTTTCCATTTTCCCCTTGCTTCTATGTAACTGCATTTTATTTCTTTCCCTCCTGCCTCTTCAAGCTACTGCTTCTCAACCCTCTGTTGTTTCCCCTTTCTTAAATACTCATGCCCTCTGGGTTCTGATGTAGCTTTCTCTGATCACTTTTTACACATGCTGCTTGTGCCTTGTTATTTATTCCTCTAGCTTTGGTTACTGTGGGTATCAGTGGTTCACAATCTAATGTATTTTACAAGTTAGATGGGCAACTTCTTTAAAGAGGAAATTTCTGGGCACCACCTTCAGAGATTTTGATTTCTCCTCTCCCCCAAATATTGGTTAAGTACTTTAGTTAAATCCATAGCATTTATCATAGCTCTTTTTGTTGTTGTGTGTTTAGTTACGTGTCTTGTGCTGGACTCTAAGCTGTGTGAATTCAGGTATCTGGTCTGTATACTTCACCATTGTATTCCTACCAGCCAGCATAGTGTCTGGCTGTAGCAGACACTCAGTAAATAATTGTTGAATTATTAATCTGTTCTCTTTATGGCCCACTTGTTTTGCTGAACACTGTTTCATCAAGAAACAATTAGTTAACAACTATGTGTATTAACTATGTTAATGTTTTGTTTTGGAAGACTGTAACAATTTTATGTCCTTACTGTAGAGATGTTTTTGGGAAATAACTCAGTGACTTTAAGAGGTTAATGACTTAAAGTGTTAATTAACGCTTTGGTGTGTAGTCTTCCAGGCTTTTCATTAGACATTGCAACAGCAAGAATTGTGTCATATTATGAGTATTCTTTTGTAACTTGTTTTTTAAGTAAATAGTAAGTAGAAGCTTTTGTTTCCCTGAAACTAAAATTTTCGCATTAGTATATTTATTGAGTGTATTTATTGATTAAACCCCTCTAGCTGAGTTTGTGAACCACATCTGATAAACGATAGAATTCAGCAAGGAAACCTTTCTCTGTATCTGCCTTCCACCCTGTCTCCAGAGTGCAGACAGTAATGAGACCTGCATAACATTTATTTTCTCCAAAAAGTTTTCTTATAACTTATTTCCATTCACATATTGAGTTTTCCTTTATTTCGCTATATCGCTGTTAAATTTCATAGCATTTTTCTACTTACTTGCTTATCTTTTTTTCTTAATTGGGCATCCTGTGGACAAGATTGTTTATTTTAGTTCATCAACAAAAATTTATTGAAATAGCACTGTCAGGAATTATGGAATGTGTAAGGCAGTTTCTATTCTTAAGGAACTATAATCTAGCCAGGAGAAGAGTGGAAATACATAAAATACTAATAAAGTCAGCATGTCTTACACAGTACTTAATACAGTTTTATGTATACATACACACAGTAGGTCATAAATGCCTACTTATTTAAGAAATTAGTATTTTGGTTCACTACATATGTATTATGTATTTGCTGTATGCTAGGCATTGTGCACAAAGGAAACAGGAAAATATGCCCTCTAGTGTTGGTCTTTGTATCTACCAAAATGAATGACTTACTGCATTACGTTATATGTGGTAGGCAGTCAGTAAAAATTATTCATGAAAGAATGACCCTGAAGTTCAATTTATTTTGTATCCCTAATGACTAAACTCCAGAAGAAATTCTGTGCCCTTACTAAGTCCCCAAATAAAAGTGTTGGCTTCTAAAAATCTAGGTTCAATGTACTACTTTATAGATTTTTATCAGTAAAGGAAATAACAGAGCTATGTAACAAGAATAGATAAAGAGCATATTTTAATCTTTGGATATTTGTGGTTTCTAGTTTTTGGCATTCTCATTCAAATATATAGTATTTGTTGAATGAATATTTATACAGTAATTAAATTACTTTTTCTTTAGAAACTTTTGTGGGTTTTTTGTCTTGAATTGTTTTCGTCAGATTTTTTTATATCCTGTATTTGCTATGTCTAGTTCATTCAGTCAACAAATATATATTGTGATCTCTCTTTGTCAGACACTGTTCTTCTATAATTACTCTTAGATACTATATATAAGCCTCAACTTTTGTTTGTCCAAATGAAGAGTTCCCTATGGTCTAGCCATTGTGTATGTTTTGGATTTCTTGTTCTAGTCATCTTGTCATTTGAATCTCATTTGAATATTTAATTATTGTGTGGATAGATTTCTGTTTTTACATCTAGATTTTCACACCTGAGGTAGTAGAAAGGTGAGAAAAGGTCAATTTAAATGCAATGCTGGACTCTTTGTTTTCATAACTAAATATAGACGGCCTCCTAAAATTGTACTTGCTTTTCATTTGCCAGTATTCTAATGCAAGAGCTAGGTTTTTCTTTTTTATTATTTAGTATAGGAGTACTGCTTGGAGTTTTTCTTTGTCTTTCTTGTGTAAACCACACCCATAATTCCTCCTTTGAAATGTCCCACTTCAGTTTTCTTTAAAATAGAACAAAAACATTGCTTGGACAGTATCCAATTCAGTTCCTCTTTAAACATACTGACATTTATGTCGCCCTGAATGCTTGGGGCATGAAATATTTTCTAGTATATACACACAATTTCTGCTTGTACCAGTTGAGCTTGTCGTAAGAGTCATAAAGAATTGTTTCTGTTTGGCTGAATGTGGTGGCTCACACCTGTAATGCCAGCACTTTGGGAGGCCAAAGCAAGAGGATTGCTTGAGGCCAGGAGTTCTAGACCAGCCTGGGCAACATAGTGAGACACTATCTCTAACAAAAAACAAACAAAAAAGGAATTGTTTCTGTGAAGAGGAAATTGACTAAGAGAACTTCTGTATTCAAAGTAATTCAAACTAATTTGCCTATTACCTATCAATAATTAGCTGTTCCTAATGATTAGGCACAAATTGCAAGCATTTCGGGTAATGGACTATAATTTCATTTTCACCTAAATTGTTATAATTACATTTATACAACTCTTTTCTTTTGCTTTGCTCTTCTGAATCATATATAAACTTATGAATGAGTTTGCAGAAAAGTTTGTTTGAAGGATGTTTGTAATCCCTAAGATTTTCTTAGGGCATCTTTTAAAACTTAACCATCCTCTTAGAAACTTTTGGCAGGTGGGACTCTTACCTGCCACCTGCCACCAAAAGTGGCACTAAAAGGAATATTTGACAATTCTTTGCCATTTAACTGTTTCATAATTTATAGTGGGATAAAAATGCATTCTAGAATAATAATATAAAAAGGAGAAAATAATTTAAATGGGGAAGAATTAGCATGGACTATATAAACAATAGTGTTTAACTTTTTGACAGGTACTACTTTATGCGCTGTATATATTCATATATTTCTCATAGTAAACTTTTGAGGTAGTGGGTTCTATTATTATCCTCATTTTCAGGAGGAGACTGTGGCACACAAGATGGGAGTTTACCCAAGAACACCCAACCAGTAAATGGCAGAACTGGATTAATTCCAGACAGTCTGGCTCTAGAGTTTGTACTTTTAACAAAAATAATTTCAAGAAAAGGAATATAACAATGTTAGAATTTATTTCAAATGCTACTTGTTTTGTGATGGCAAGTTTACTCAATTTAATTATGTTTGTTTAAACATACTTGTTCTATTTTAGGAATGAAATTTAATGTTTTTTCAAGCTACACATCTCAAGATCTGTCTTTAAGTCATGGACTCTGTCTGCTTTGAGCATTGTATAAACACCTTGTTAACTCTTTGTTAGCAGGCTTCTCAATTTTTTCCTTATGAACATGTGTGGAACAATAAAAACTAAAGTTTTATGTACTTGAATCAGTTTACAACTCAAGTTGACAAAGCTGCCTGTACGTGGAATTAAATGACAAAACTGTCTTCACACAGCCATTTATTATTGGTAATTGTTCTGCATTTACATTCAAGAAAAACTTGAAGGTAAACCATGTCAGATAAGATTTTGAAAGTGTATTTGAGCCGTTCTGCTTCTTTCCTTATATGGTTCAGTAAACTGACCAAATTTAGTCAGAAATTTAAGTCAGCAAGTCTTGTTTTTCTTAATGTGCTACATGTGTTAGCTTTTGATTCTCCTAGCAACAATATTTTTATGGGCATGCTTTGCCAGTTTCTTGTATGTACTTTATAAATGTTGAGGACAACAGTTTGAACAATTTACACCACTAATTTGAGATTGATATATGATATATATTTTGCGGCAATGCTTTTAGCATTTAATTTATATTAAAATATTTCAAAAACATTTATAAACAAAAGAACAAGCAGATTTAACATTAATTGCTTTTGGTATTGGTATTTTGTTGGTGTTTCTTATGTCGACTTAAAAGTATATACATTTAAAATCAAAATTAGCAGTGTTTCATTTATTGGAGAATAGCTATTTCTGTGTGTTAATGTCTTTCAAAGAGCCAGTGTAATCACCTTCTTCAAATGGAGAAACTTTAAAAATTACCAATTTGTCATGAAAGTCTTTTATCTTAAGTGTCAAAGGATTACTCAAAAGATGGCAGATAAGACCCTATTCTGGATCTTGCTTACCTCACCGTATTTGGCTTTGCGTCTTTATATACCAGACCTGTTTTTCACTTGTTCTTATGTTAAACTCAAATATATGAATCACCTCCAGGAAATATTCCCTGACGACCACCATTCCTTCTTAGTTCTCCTTTTCTCAGCTCTCATAAAAACCAGTGGACGTGTCTGAAATTGTCTTACCATATTCCTTTTGATATAATCATCTATTTTTGTATTTGTCTTCTGTACTAGATGGTGTCTTGAACTTTCTATTTCTAGCTGTTTACTGACTAAGGTATCACAAATGTCTGTTTTCCAAGCACAATATCCTGATCATAATTTAATCTTACCCCTTTCCTTACTGTTTTCAAAATCACTTCTCTACACTCTTTCCCTGAATGATTTCAAGTCCCATTGTTTTATTACCTCAATGCAGATAATTCCCAAATTGACATTTTCTTCCCACATTTATTTTCACAGCTCCAGATCTATATGGTTAGATAGGTGTACAGACACCTATAAATTCAGCATATCCAAAACAAATAAAATTGTCATCTTTCTTTTCCCAGTCTGCTGCTTGAATCTGTGGTGTTTATCTTCATGAATGTCTTCTTCCTGCATCTTAACTCTTCATATCTTTCATTAAACCTTGAACATTTCCTCCTAAGCTTCCTTAATACAGTTTCATGAGTACAGGCATACCTTAGAGATACTGTGGGTTTGGTTCCAGACTACCACAAAAAAGTGAGTCACACAATTTTTTTTGGTTTCTCAGTGCATATAAAAGTTGTGTTTATGCTATACCGTAGTCTATTAAATGTAATGTAGCATTATATCTTTAAAAAATCATAATGCTGTAGTACATACCTTAATTTAAAAATGCTTTATTGCTAAAAACAAATGCTAGTGATTATATGAGCCTTCAGCCAGTCATAGTCTTTTTGCTGGTGGAGGGTTTTTTTTGTTTTGTTTTGTTTGTTTTTGTTTTGACGGAGTCTTGCTCTGTCGCCGAGGCTGGAGTGCAGTGGCACAATCTTGGCTCACTGTAAACTCCACCTCCCAGATTCAAGCAATTCTCCTGCCTCCACCTCCCGAGTAGCTGGGATTATAGGTGCGTGCCACCACACCCAACTCATTTTTGTATTTTTAGTAGAGATGGGGTTTCACCATGTTGGTCAGGCTGGTCCCATACTCCTGACCTCATGATCCTCCCGCCTCGGCCTCCCAAAGTGCTAGGATTACAGGCATGAGCCACCGCGCCTGGCCTAGTGGAGGGTCTTGACTTGATGTTGGCTGCTGATTAATCAGGGCAGTGGTTGCTGAAGGTTGGAGTGACTGTGACAGTTTCATAAAATAAGACAAGTTTCCCTCATCAACTGACTCTTCCTCTCATGAAAGATTTCTCTGTAGTATATGATGCTGTTTGATAGCATTTTACCCCCAGTAGAACTTCTTTCAGAATTGGAGTCGATCCTCTCAGACCCTGCCACTGTATCAACCAAGTTTATGTCATTTTCTAAACCTTTTATTGCTATTTCAACAATGTTCACAGCATCTTCACCAGGAGTAGATTCCCTCTCAAGAAACCACTTGCTTTGCTTGTCCATGAGAAATAACTCCTCATCTATTCAAGTTTTAATCATGAGATTGCAGCAATTCAGTCACATCCTCAGGCTCCACTTCTAATTCTTGTTCTCTTGCCGTTTATACCACATCTGCAGTTACTTCCTTCACTGAAGTCTTGAATCCCTCAAAGTCCATGAGGGTTGGAATCAACTTTCAAACTCCCATTAATGTTGATATTTTGACCTCCTTCCATGAATCACCAATGTTCTTAATAGCATGTAGAATAGTGAATTCTTTCCAAAAGGTTTTCAATTTACTTTGCCCAGATCCATCAGAGGAATCACTATCTGTGGCAACTAACTATAGCATTACAAAATGTATTTTTTAAATACGAAGACATGAAAGTGGAGATTACTCCTTGAGCTGCAGAATGGATGTTTTGTTAGCAGGCATGAAAACAACATTAATCCTGTACATCTCCCATCAGACCCCTTGGGTGACCAGGTTCATTGTTGTTAGCAGCAATATTTTGAAAGGAATCTTTTTTTCTGAGCAATAGGTCTCAATAGTGGGCTTAAAATACTTAGTAAACCATGCTGTAAACAGATGTGCTGCCATCCAGGCTTTGTTGTTCCATTTATAGAGCACTGGCAGAGTAGATTTAGTGTAATTCATAAGGGACCTAGGATTTTTGGAATGGGTAATGAGCACTGGCTTCAAACTTAAGGTCACCAGCTGCATTAGCCCCTGAAAAGAGATTCAAACTGTCCGTGGAAACTTTGAAGCCAGGCATTGATTTCTCCTCTCAAGCTATAAAAGTGCTACATGTCATCTTCTTCCAGTAGAAGGTTGCCGTGTCTACAGTGAAACGCTATTGTTTAGTTGTAGCCACCTTCATCAGTGATTTTAGCTGCATCTGGAAGATGCAGCTTCTCCATCAGCACTTGCTGCTTCACCTTGCACTTGTATGATATGGAGATTGCTTCTTACCTTAAACCTCATGAATCAACTTCCTGTTAGCTTCAGACTTTTCTTCTCCAGCTTCCTCACCTCTCTTGGGCTTCATAGAATTGAAGAGAGCTGGGGCCTTACTCTCTATTAGGCTTTGGCTTAAGGGAATGTTGCAGCTAGTTTGACCTGTCCAGGTCACTAACACTTTCTCCATGTCTGCAGTAAGGCTGCTTTGCTTTCTTACCATTTGTGTGTTCACTGGAGTAGCACTTTTAATTTCCTTCAAGAACTTTTCCTTTGCATTAACAACTTGGCTGTTTGGCACAAGAGGCCTAGCTTTTGGCCTACCTCAGCATACCTTTCTCACCAAGCTTAATCATTTCTAGCTTTTAATTTAAAATGAGAGACACATGACTCTTCCTTTCACTTGAGTACTTAGAGGTGATTGTAGGGTTATTCATTGGTCTAATTTTAATATTGTTATTTCTAAGGGAATAGGGAGGCCTCAGGAAAGGGAGAGAGATGGGGAACTGCCGGTTTGTGGAGTGGTCAGAGCATATATATAACATTTATCAATTAAGTTCACCATCTTCTATGAATATGGTTCATGGCGCCCCAAAACAATTGAAATAGTAACATCACAGATCACTGATCACAAATCACCATAACAGATCTAGTAATAATGAAAAAATTTAAAATATTGTGCAAATTACCAAAATGTGACACAGACATGAGGTAAGCACATGTTTAGAAAAGTGGCACCAATACACTTGCCTGACACGGGGTTGCCACAAACCTTCAAATTTTAAACAAACAAACAAAAAAATGCAGTATCCATGAGGCACAGTAAAACTAGGTATGCCGATATCGGTGGTTGTTTAGCTCAGGCCCTTTCCTCTTCTTATTGCTTCTGTGACCTTTCTGAAATACTGATCTGATCACGTCACCCTTCTTCCTAAAAACTCTAAATAAGCTTTTTCAAGCATCATCTTGAAATTCTAAAGTGTTTTTTTCTACTTTCTCCTACTACTTACTTGAGCCACCGTTACTGATGGGAACATAGCAGATTCTGTTCGTCTGTTGAGGTAAAAAGAGGTTGAAAATCATCTGTAGTACAACTACAGTCTTTGCATTATATTCAGATCTTTTACCACTTAGCCTTATCCTGTTTTATAACTTACAGATACTGTCTACCACTGGTTGACTGACTGTTTGTTTATTCCATGAACTTTTAAAATCAGCAGTGTCTGTGCTCAGTGAGGTTCTTGCCAGTTGATTTGGTACTTGAACTCTTATATAATCTTCAAAATTATGCTCAAATATGTAGGGACCCGTATGGACCCTCTTAGTCACAAAAAGATCTCTTTATGTCCTCCGTGATATTTTAGTACTTTCTACCCACTGCTATTATGGCCCTTATGTGATCATTGTTATTTATGGACTATCCAACTATATTTTAATGTGATCTTTTTCATACGATCTTGGCATATATACTTTTTAGTATATATAATATGAAAAATAGCTAAAGGAATTAGTGATATTTAGCCGTAAACAGAGAATATGCTAGAATTCTTGGGGAAAAAAATGTTTTCAGAGTATTTAGAGGTTATCAGTTAAAAGAAGGATTGCATTTGGTATGTGGAGCTTGAGGAGGCAAGGCATGGAAGTTAAAGGAATACATATTTTAAGTGATACATAGTAGTCTCAAATGGTAGCCTGCTTTTTTTTTTTTAACTTTTTAACTTGAGGTATAATTTACATTGGTAAAGTATACAACTCTTAAGTATACAATTCAGTGAAATTTCACATATGTATATCTCTATGTAAAAATCACCCCGACAAAGATAGGGACATTTCCAACTGTCCGGAAAGCCCCCTTGTGTCCCTCCTGTCATTCTCCCACAGATTTAACCCTGGTTCTGAGTCTTATCACCAGATCTTATTTTATCTGGAGACCTGCAGTATGTATCCTTTTGTACCTGCCTTCTTTACTCATTTATGTATTTCATTCATGTTGTTGAAGATAGCAGTATTTTGTTCTTTTTGTTCAATGTTCTTTTCTTTTTTAATCAGTTTATAGGATTCTGTTATGTGAATAGGATCTCCCTTTCTACACCTCACCCCACCCTGTGTATTTATGCATTCCACATAACTTTAGTAGATGCTATTAGATAGTTTTCTGAAGTGGTTGTGTGAATTTCATACTTTCACCAGCAATTTGGTTGTTTTCTTTTTTTTTTGAGACAGTCTTGCTCTGTTGCTCAGGCTTGGAGCTCAGTAGCGTGATCTTGGCTCACTGCAACCTCCGCCTCCCAGGTTCAAGCGATTCTCATGCTTCAGCCTCTCAAGTAGCATGTGCCACCGTGCCTGGCTAATTTTTGTATTTTTAGTAGAGACGGGGTTTTGCCGTGTTGGCCAGGCTGGTCTTGAACTCCTGACCTCAAGTGATCTGCCTACCTCAGCCTCCCAAGGTGTTGGGATTATAGGCATGAGCTGCCACACCCAGCCTTGGTTGTTTTTCCACATTACCGTTTAATGCTTTTTATGTAAGAAAGAACTTCTTGAATTTTTTACTTGAAACACTATTCATTGTAGACATTTTGAAAATAAAGGAAAAATTAAGGAAGAAAATAAAAGTGGGTCTCACAACCATTATTTTTAACCTTCAGGATGCATTCTTTTAGTCTTGTGTGAATTTTTTTAGTAAAGTTGATGTTTTGGCTGTGTTCCCACCCAACTCTCATCTTGAATTGTAGTTCCCATAATCCCCATGTGTTGTGGGAGGGACCCAGTGGGAGGTAATTGAATGAATCATGGGGGCAGTTACCCCCATGCTGCTGTTCTCATGATAGTGAGTGAGTTCTCACAAGATCTGATGGTTTTATAAGGGACTTTTCCTGTTTTGCTCGGCGCTTCTCCTTGCCACCGCCATGTGAAGGAGGAGGTGTTTGCTTCTCCTTCCACCATGATGGTAAGTTTCCTGAGGCCACCCCAGCTGTGTGGAACTGTGAGTCAAACCTCTTTCCTTTATAAATTACTCAGTCTCTGGTATGTCTTTATTAGCAGCATAAGAACGGACTAATATAAAACTTTAAATCATATTAGGCATTAAAAAATACATTGTGTGTTTTCTCCTATATTCTTTTATCCTTTTCCATTTCCATATTTGCATCCTTTTTAAAAAAAACTTGCTATACCACCTTGAAAACACCTGATCTCATCTAATCTAGGAAGCTAAGCAGGGTTGGATCTGGTTAGTACTTGAATGGGAGACTACTAGGAATACCAGTTGCATTTGGTATGTGGAACTTCAGGAGGCAAGACATAGAAGTTAAAGGAATAGGTATTTTAAGTGATACATAGTAGTCTCAAATGGTAGCCTGTTTTTTTTTTTTAACTTTTTAACTTGAGGTATAATTTACATTGGTAAAGTATACAACTCTTAAGTATACAATTAAGTGAAATTTCACTTATGTATATCCCTATCTAAAAATCACCCCAGCAAAGATTTGTAGTTTTGTAGTGTTGTAGGCTTAAAAAACAAAACAAACAAAAAAAAAACCTTCTTAATATATTGTGGGCATTTCCCCATATTCTTTTATAAAGAATCATTTCTTATTTGCTTGTTGATATTTTTCGGTTTAAAAGAATAATCATATTTGTATTACATATAATTATCAAGTAGGGTTTTATATTCTTATACTGAGGATAAAATTCAGGATACAGTTTTGGAGCCTATGGGATTTAAAAGAGGTTGAGAAAAAAAGGTGAACAGAATTTAATGAGTATCAGCCGGGTGTGGTGGCTCACACCTGTGATCCCAGCACTTTGAGAAGCCAAGGTGAGTGGATCACTTGAGGTCAGGAGTTTGAGACCAGCCGGGCCAGCATGTTGAAACCCCATTTCTACTAAAAATACAAGAATTAGCCAGGCATGGTGGCACACACCTGTAGTTCCAGCTACCTAGGAGGCTGATGCAAGAGGATCGGTTGAACCCGGGAGGCGGAGGTTGCATTGAGCCGAGATTGTGCTGCTGCACTCCAGTGTGGGCGACAGAGCAAGACTCTGTCTGAAAAGAGAAAGAATTTAATCAGTATGATTTCTCAAGGAAAGTGAATGATTATGCAAGTCACAGTAAGTCACTCTCTTATCTCAGCATTCTATAAACTACTTTCTAATACAATACACTTTTTATGTTTCTTCGTCA
This sequence comes from Homo sapiens, assembly GCF_000001405.40. Lineage (NCBI taxonomy): Eukaryota > Metazoa > Chordata > Mammalia > Primates > Hominidae > Homo > Homo sapiens. The sequence continues at coordinate 79,877,398 of NC_000012.12, read as the reverse complement.
TTAAATAGCTGTGATTCTCAAACCTCTTTCTTTTAACCACTGCCCTGTGAAAAATAGTTTTCTTGAGCAATATCTGTATCAACGTTGCCTATGTATTCTTTTATCATCTGTTATATGTAAGATATGTTCTAGGCACTTTGGAAAACTGCCGTCAGCTTGCTTATAACTTGTTCTAGAGGGAAGATACATAATAATTTTAAATATGGTAGGGAATTTTTATGATAAATACCCCCTCACACTTCTTCCCTCCACTTGAAATATAAAGACACCAACGTCCAAAAAGATTAAATTACTTGTTCACAGCCACAAAATTTGTGGCAGAGCCAGAACTAGAACCTAAAACCAAAAGCTGTGATTCCCTCTCAATGCTTTTACCCTTTTTTTTTCTGAGATGGAGTCTTGCTCTGTTGCCCAGGCTGGAGTGCAGTGGCATGATCTCGGCTCATTGCAACCTCTGCCTCCCGGGGTCAAGCGGTTCTCCTGTCTCAGTCTCCCGAGTAGCTGGGACTACAGGTGTGTGCCACCATGCGTGGCTAGTTTTTTGTATTTTTAGTAGAGACAGGGTTTCACCATGTTTCCCAGGATGGTCTTGATCTGCTGATCTCATGATCCACCTGCCTCAGCCTCCCGCTTTAAAACTTTTTGGGTACACTGTATAGTGCTTTTCTTGATAGAAACTTTGTCATTTTCTTCCTTAGGGAAATGCTGCTAAAAGCATTTCTTTTGTTTCTATGGTAGTTAAGGAAAATTTATTTCATGTATACAAGTAATACTTAGCCCCTAGAATGCGTGATATCCTGTTGCAGGTGAGAAATGTGTTGATAAACTAGGAACATCTGTGGAAAGCAGTGTGTTAAGTGTAGAAAAAGCTTAGTTTCTGGAACCTGAGCATCTCTGTGAGATTCCCAGCCCTATCATTTCCTGTCTGTGTGACTTATTCAAGCTACTTAATCTCTTTGAATCTTAGCTTCCTCCTACATTCATTAATTCATTTATTGAGCCCAAGAACTCAAGGTATTGTGGAAGCAGCCGAATTCTGCATGTCAAGAACTGTGCATGGTATTGAGGATGCAGCAGAATTCCTGCTCTCAGTAAACGCTCATTCTGGGAGTGGGTAAACAGATGGTAAATAAGTAAGCAAAGTATATATAGTATGTTGTAATAAACGGTATGGAGAAAAATAAAGTAGATACTCAGGATATAAAATGGTAGGGAGGGGGTTGTAATTTTAGTATGCTGTCCAAGAAAGGCAATACCAAAAAGGTGAGAGTTGAGCAAAGACTTCATTTATGAAATGTGGATACAGTCATATCTTATTTATGCATTGCTTGTGTATAATGCTGATCCATTATCTCTCATCAGCCAGCCCCAAACTGCTCTTTCTTAGGTTGAAGTGGCATTTAAGAAGCTCTTTTGTTTTCTCCAAGAGTTACAGTCTGACATTAATATCCTTTTTTGTTGTTGTTGATGTGTTTTCAGTCCTAGAAAATAGTTTTTTTTCCCAAATATGAACAAACAGGAACTTCCTTTGGTGGTTAAGTACTGTCTTGGTGTTTAAGCCTCTTTTAAGGGGATGGGTAGATAAAGGTAATGGTCTATGTGTAGCAAAATGTATTAGAACCACTTTTTAAATGGCACATCAATTTTTATTACTTTCAACAGCTACTTCAAATATCCTTCCGGATTCTTAATAAACTTGGGCTTTTTATACATTTAAATGGGTAGCACATGAATTTTCCAACAAAGATCTTTTGGCAATAAACCAAAGATGACAGTGTGTAAATTAATATGTCTACTGATCAGTTTATTAGAAACACTTTTAGAGTACAGAGATAATAGTCATCAGCCCACATACTCCTAGTTGTGTATTAGTTGTTTATCATAGATAGGAAATAGGAGCTAATTAGTTCATTTACTGGGTTTTACCCACATTAGAAAAAAAGAGGCCACTTGCCCTCTGGGCAAATAGTGGCTTTGTGTGAATTAGGACGGAAAAAACCTTTCACCAAGTTAAAGGCTCCTTGAGTGGATTTCATCCCACCTTCCCAATCCCCCAAGTCAAATACATGGCACAGACTTTACATTCTTGGGCAGGGGTCCTGGTAATACATGGGGATTGCATCTCAGGAGGGACAATATGATGATGATTATGAATAGTGCCAATTCCAGAAAGCCTCCCCAGGGTAAATGGAGTGTGTTTATGAATACAACCTATCTCATAGGACAGGTATAAAGTACTTATATTCACATACAGATATATCCCTAATCTGAAAATTATGGAGTTTACAATCTAGTAGAGGTAGAACATAGGTATAAATAAGAAAATTGTGGCTATTGATATTATTGATAATGTGATAGAGTACTAGGAATTACTTGAAAAGGATGACTAGGAGGGCCTTCCTGAAGAAGAAACATCTGCATTGAGATTTGTTTAATGAGAAGGAATCAGCATGCTTAGATCTGGGGGCAGAGCATTCCTGACAGTGAGAACTGCAAGAACAAAGGCTCTGAGGTATCTGGTCAAGGAATAGTAAGGTCCCTATTGTGGCTGGAACAGAGTGATTTTAGGAACAATTGTGGGGAACAATGAGTACCTTGGAGTGGGTTTTTGTGAGAATAATGTATGTAAATCATAGATAAAGCACCTTTCATACTACCTGGCACAAAGCAAGCATTTGATAAAAGTTCCCTTCTTATTTACTTTAGGGCTGTAGTTCTCAAATTTTTTTTTTATTTTAGGACTTCTTTATATTCTTAAGAATTACTGAAGATTCCAATGAGCTTTTGTTTCTGCAGGTTATATGTATTAATATTTATAGTCTTAGAGTTTAAAACCAGGGATTTAAAATACAATTAATTCATTTAAAAATAACAATGATTTACCCCTGTTACCAAATGACATTTTTTAATTAAAATAACTAATTCATTTTTTCTTGGTTGTATGTATTAATATTTACAGTCTTAGAGTTTAAAACTGAGGATTTAAAACACTATTTAAAAATAATAGCGATTTACCCATGTTACCAAATAACATTTTTTAATTAAAATAACTAATTCATTTTTTCTTGAAAGTTTATCATTGGCAACAAATATACTGTTAATTGCTTTTCTTTTTTTTTTTTTTGGAGACGGAGTCTTGCTCTGTTGCCCATGCTGGAGGGCAATGGTGCAATCTTGGCTCACTGCAACGTCTGCCTCCTGGGTTCAGGCAATTCTCCTGCCTCAGCCTCCCGAGTAGCTGGGACTAGGCGTGCTCCACCATGCCTGGCTAATTTTTGTACTTTTAATAGAGAAGGGGTTTCACCATGTTGGCCAGGATGGTCTCGAACTCCTGACCTCAGGTGATCTGCCCGCCTCGGCCTCCCAAAGTGCTGGGATTACAGGCGTGAGCCACCGCGCCTGGCGTTAATTGCTTTTCTTGAAGTGACAGACTCATTTTGTTCATTTGCAAGAAAAGATCTCCCAAAAATCAAAGTTAGACTAACTGTAGTTTGTCATTTAAGTAGACATAATGTTGCATGGAAAAGTGGCTAAGTCAGCTTGCATCTCAATGTCACAAGTGCTTTTCATCAAGACAACCATCATACTTGGAAGAGGTGCTTTAACATACACTTCCCATCTTGTTCCAGAGAATATAAAAAAGACCTGTATACAAGGGCCAAGATTTAATATGTACCGCTTTGTCAAAGACATATATGAGTGAAAATTGCTGCCCCCTAACCACCACTTTTTTTGGAGACAGGGTCTCACTCTGTTGCCCAGGTTGGAGTGCAGTGGTGTGATCATAGTTCATTGCAGCCTTGAACTCAAACTCAAGCGATCCTCCTGCCTCAGCCTCTCAAGTAGATGGGATTACAAGCATGAGCCACTGTGCTTAGCAATGTTTTTTTTTTTTTTTTTTTAAATTATGAGTACAAAGTGGTTGAAACAGTGACTGTTAATAGAGGTGGGGTTTTTTTGGCCACTGCCATTATTTGTGCTAAAACACATGCAGTTTTACAGCTGGTACTTTTATACCATCACGTGTACATGTCAACAAAGTAAAAAAGGGAAATGACATCTTAGTTTTTTCTTGAAAACAGTTTTGCCCTAATCAACTCCCTAAAGGAATCTACTCCCCCTTCCCCCAGCAGACAACATTTTTGGGAACCACTGCTATAGAGACTATTGTTAGTACTTAATTATAATGTCTTCATTTTAATAGGTACTTGTTATCCAGATTGGGTTGCCATAAAGAGTCTAGGCACATACACTACTGTTGTATGTGTACCTAAGCAAGGACCCTTAACAATTTAGTGTCATTAGCATGTTTGATGGAGTATAGTCAAGATAGCAGCAGATTTATTTACAGAGAATATTTATATTATAAAAGCTACAAAGTAGGAATTTTATTCTATTGATGTATTATTTGGAGTGTTAATTCGTATTTTTTCCAATCTTGCTTTCTGTTTTGTTTTTAGGCTTGCATTGATGACAATGTTGATATGGTGAAGTTTCTGGTAGAAAATGGAGCAAATATTAATCAACCTGATAATGAAGGCTGGATACCACTACATGCAGCAGCTTCCTGTGGATATCTTGATATTGCAGAGTAAGCCAGTTCTGTGTTTTCATTTTATTCTAATACTGTTTGACAGACCTGAATGTTTATTGAAGTGATAAAGATAAATGAGTGAACTCTTATATTACTTTAATTCATGAAAATTATTCTTTCCAAGAAAGAAAATAAGTGGTTATTGGGAATCCATATATTCTCAGAATCAGATCTTCTTTTTGTCTCCCCACCCTCTTTGGCCTTTGGTACTTCGTATTAACATTAGTAATTGTACACATTCTCTGTCTCCATCTTTTTTCTTTTGAGTACAGCTAGAGCATTTTCAAATGATTGAGGGTTAATACTTAGCAGTCTAACTCATTCCTTTATAATCATAAATTTGGCAACTGGGTTACATTGCTATAGGGAGAATATGATACATAGTTCTCCAGTGAGCCTGTTTACTTAGTTTTTCTGAAGATTGTCTTTTTTAAAAAATACATTTTTTAGAAAATTCAATGAGAAATAGTCATTGTATTCTCTACTACCTTTAATGTGTGGGTACACACTAAGAACATCTGATTTTTTAAAGCATTTAACAGTGGAAGTATAGATATCTTGAAAAATAATTTTTTCATTAAATTATTTTTCTTATTACTATCTATCCACACAGTAAACAGTTTTGTTGTCTCTCTGCTCATATATGAAAGCTTATCAATGAATAAATATTGAATATGGGAATTCTACTCTGTAAATATCTTAGTAAGCCTTCATAGTTTTTTGTCTACATTTTGCTTTTTTTCCCCATTTGTGCTGGAGATACAATATCTCAATTTCAAGGCAGAAACTGTATGGTGAAATGAAAAGTGCTCCGGCCTGGGAACGATAAGGTCTGAATTACCCGAATTTTATTACTGACTCTGCCACTAACTATACGACATCTTTCCATAATTTGTTTCCTCTTTCTGAGCCATGATTTCTTTGTATATAAACTGAGGAAGTCTTTTTCCCGTTGCAAAACAGCAGTGGTTGTTCAAACCTAACAATTGTGATTCTCAAGTTCTTTACTTCCTTTTTGTACTTTTCCCGCTCAATCTCGAGTTCTTTACTTCCTTTTTGGACTTTTCCTGCTCAACAGAAGACTTAGATCTCTTCATAGAAAAAAAAACCCAGATAATTGTGCATTTATCTTTAACTACACTTAATGATTAGGCTCTGGAGTTAATTGATATGGAATATGAATGCCTCCTCAGTCACTATCAAGGAGTATAACCTTGGCAAGTTGTTTAACTTTTCTAGGCTTTGGTTTTCTCTTCTATAAAGTAGTATTTCCTAGGTTTGTTGTGATGATTAACTGCAGTAATTCATCAAACGTAGGACCTGGCTCATAGGAAATAGTACATATTAACTTTTGACCATTACCTTTTGTATCTACACTGGGAAAATTAAAACTCAACCTCTTTCTTCAGATGTTTAATTCTTATGTTTCCTTTTTGTATTCATGTTTCTGAGTTTGAAAAGACAATATTAATTGTCTTGAATAATTTCTTTGCATAGACTTGATTGGGTCACAGACCTATTGTGTCAGTTGGAATGCTTTTAGCTGCAAGTGATAGAATACCCAATTTAAAATGACCTAAAGAATAATGGTACTTGTTATACAGGATAAAATATCATTTAGAGGAAGGACATTTAGGCTTATTAAGCCACTCAGTGATGTCAGCAAGGACCTGGAATCTTTCAGTTTTTTCTTCTGAATTTCCCAAAAATGGACTTTATTCTTAGCCTTCTCCCCTCTTGGTTACAAGATGATTGCCACAACTCTAGAATTGTGTTTTACATATCCACATCCAAAAGCAAATAAAAAAAAAATGGATTGCAAGTAGAAAATATCCTCCCTGTATTCTGTGTACATCAAAGAGGAAAACCTTTCCCAGAGAGCCCTCCAGTTGCTGAAGACATCCCATAATGGGACTTCTTTTGGCCTGGTCTTGGTCATTTGTCCATGTTGTAGCTAGGAAAAGTAAATATCTTGGCATATTCAGCTTTTACATGCTAGTATATAAGAAGTATGAGGAAGGGTAAGCAGTTTGTTGCAGTTGCTAATGTTATCAGTAGGGTGACTATTTTCAGTTTTTGGAGGGTGGGATATGGAATATATGCTTTACAGGACTTGTGCAAACAAAAGTGACCTTTTTTGGCCAAGGTTGACTATAGTTGCTAATCTAATTAGTTTGAATTTATGACTGTGCTATAAACTATGGAGTTTCCTTGAACCAGATTAAAATTAGAAGAATAAGTTTTCCTTTTTATTCTTTCTGCCACAAGATTCTTTTTTAAAATAATGACTGTTTTTATAAAAGGCAGTTTAACTCTAGCATATACTGGATGATTTGTTAAGGTGATGATAGCCCAAAATCCTTCCGAATGCTCATTTTTATCAGCATAATCTCTTTTAGCAGGTTGGGCATGGTGGCTCATGCCTGTAATCCCAGCAGTTTGGGAGGCCTTGCTTGAGCTCAGGAGTTCGAGACCAGCCTGGGCAACATGACAAAACCCCATGTCTGCAAAACATACAAAAAAATTAGCCAGTTACAATGATGTGTCCCAGCTACTCTGGAGGCTAAGGCAGGAGAATTTCTGGAGGCTAAGGCAGGAGAATTGCTTGAGCCTGGGAGGCAGAGGTTGCAGTGAGCTGAGATAGCACCATTGCACTTAAGCCTAGGTGACAAGAGTGAAACCTTGTTTCAAAAAAAGAAAAAAATACATTAAAAACACCTCTTTCAGCAGTTAATTTCACTAATGATTAAGTGAAATTAATGAAACCCTAGTTTTCTTGGGTATAGAAAAATAATAGTCTGGTGGCCTAATTGATAGGGTGAAGATAGTCCACAGATCAGTGTTTTATAGGCATGAAAGAAAGCACTTATAATAATAATAATAATAATAATAATAATAATAGAGACAATAGTTATAACCCAGGGGGTAAGAAACTGGGGCATATGGTCACTGTGGTAACTGAAGTATTTTGGAGTTAAATTTGTTGCAAATCCTAGTTCTGCCATTCACTAGCTTTGTGTGCTTGACCAATCTACTTAGTCTCAGTAATTTAAGATTATTTATAAAATTGGAAAGATCTAGTTTCTTCCTAAGTCTTTTTTCTCATATTGCATTCCACTTCACATTTTTCACTCTGTCAATACTGGACTACTTTTAGTTCCCCAACATTCCCTACTGGTTTACATCAGTGTGCCTTTCTTCGTAATAGTTTATTTGCCTGCTGTTGCATTACTTGAGCAGCTTCTACCAGACTCTCAAGATGCAGTTTGTATAAGGGTCATTTCTTCCAGGAAGAGTTTCTGATGTTCTTGGCAAATTCATCATCATCTCTAACACATCAGTTGTTTGTGTATATGCTTCTTTACTAACTGCATTTATGCACTGAATAGTAGTAATTCATCCCTATTGATATGTGCAGTTAAGCCTAGATTAGTTTACTCTGAGGATTTGAGGATGATTAGGATACATTGAGTTCTAAATTTTTAACCTCTGTTGGAAATAGTAGAACAAAGAATGTCAGATTACAGTATCATTTCTAGGCATTTAACAATTTTACATTTGGTCTGTAGCGTAATAGAAGCCAAGTGAATAGGTAGATGAATGATGGCTCTTCATACACTGGCTCAATTATCTCACCTTTTCACCAAAATAATTACCCTCAACTTTTGCTTATTCTTAACAAGGTAGAAGTCCTAGGGTAAACTAAAAATAGAGGTTGTTTAGTAATGTCCTTTCTCCAGAATGGAATGGAGGACAAATAAATGAAGTGAGTTTGTGGAGCCTGATTTTATGCTCAGCATATGCATTGTTTTAATAAATACTCACTGCCTTGACTTTTTCATTCTTAAGAATGTTACTACTTTGATTAACATGTTTTAAAAATTATGCAGTCAATAAATATGTAAGCACTTACTATATATATCAGGTCAGGTACTAAAATGTATGCATTAACATCATTCTTTTCCTTTGGGGTGCTGAATCAGTATTATGGGCAGAATAGTGTCACCCAAAATTCTTACTTGAAACCCTAACCTTCAGTACTTCAGAATGTGACTCTATTTGGAGAAGCGGCCTCTAAAGGGATGATTAAGTTAAAATGAGGCTGATGGAGTTGTTTCTCATCCAGTCTGGCTGGTTTTCTTATAAGAGGAAGACATTGGGACAAAAAAGAGACACCAGGGCCCCTCTCATAGACAGGAAAGAAACCATGTGAAGAAACAAGAAGGCAGCCATCTACCAACCAAGGAGAGAGGCCTATGAAGAAACCAAAGCTGCTAACACATTGATCTTGGACTTCTAGGCACCAGAACTGTGAGAAAATAATATTTCTATTGTTTAAGCCACCCAGTGTGTGGCATTTTATTATGGTAGTCCTAGCAAACTAATATAAGCAGTATAAACTTTCCACTATCACATCAAGGCATACTCTTCCTTAAAAATTACAGTGTTAATGTCATTGGCTATGGATCAAAAATGAAATGGAACAGTATGACTTTGGACATACTAGAAAAGGCAAATGATTTTAGAGCCCAAGAACCCATGTATGCAATTTATTGTTCCAATCTTGAATTATCAATTCATTATACATCTGTGGCATAAATTATAATTGAATTACTGTGTGCAAAGCATTGAAAACCAAGTTCTCTGACTGAAGAAATAATTAGATGAAAACATAGGAACTATACAATGGTAACATTTTAATTGTCATTCTTTTTTATTTATTAGTTGGAATATTTTTGTAAAAGAAACTTTCTCATCTCTACTATTTGGTTACCCTTTGTATTAGTCCATTCTCACGCTGTTGTAAAAAACTGCTCAAGACTGGGTAATTTATAAAGGAACAAGATTTAATTGACTCACAGTTCCACAGGGCTGGGGAGGCCTCAGGAAACTTACAATCATGGTGGAAGGGGAAGCAAACACATTCTTCTTCACATGGCGGCAGGAAGAAGTGCCAAGCAAAGGGGGGAAAGCCCTTTATAAAATCATCAGATCTCATGAGAACTCACTCACTGTCACAAGAACAGAAGCATAGGGGTAACCACCCCCAGGATTCAATTACCTCCCTCTGGGTTCCTCCTACAACACGTGGCGATTATGGAAACTACAATTCAAGATGAGATTTGGGTAAGGACACAGCCAAACCATATTACCTCAGTACAATTTTTATAGGGGAGACAGAATATATTCTTTATTATTTCTCCTTATGTACTGGCTTTTTAAATAATGAATTTCCTTGCTATCTACCTTCAGTAGGGACTAATTTTTTTTTTTCTAGTTTAAGTAATATTAGGAGCTCATGCATTTGAACATATTTTCTATTTTATTTTATTTGTATTATACTTTTAAGTTCTGGGTTACATGTGCAGAACGTACAGTTTTGTTACATAGGAATACAGATGCCATGATGGTGTGCCACACCCATCAACCCATCACCTACATTGGGTATTTCTCCTAATGTTATCCTTCCCCTGACCCCCCACCCCCCACAGACCCTGGTGTGTGATGTTCCCATCCCTGTGTCCATGTGTTCTTATTGTTCAATTCCCACTTATGAGTGAGAACATGCGGTGTTTGGTTTTCTGATCTTGTGATAGTTTGCTGAGAATGGTAGTTTCCAGCTTCATCCATGTCCCTGAAAGGACATGAACTCATCCTTTTTTATGGCTGCACAATATTCCATGGTGTATATGTGCCACGTTTGCTTAACCCAGTCTGTCATTGATGGGCATTTTGGTTGGTTGCAAGTGTTTTTCTATTGTGAATAGTGCTGCAATAAACATATGTGTACCTGTGTCTTTATTGCAGGATGATTTATAATCCTTTGGGTATCTACCCAGTAATGAGATTGCTGGGTTAAATGATATTTCTGGTTCTAGATCCTTGCGGAATCGCCACACTGTCTTCCATAATGGTTGAACTAATTTACACTCCCACCAACAGTGTAAAAGCATTCCTGTTTTTCCACAACCTCTCCAGCATCTGTTGTTTCCTAACTTTTTAATGATCGCCATTCTAACTGGCGTGAGATGGTATCTCATTGTGGTTTTGATTTGCATTTCTCTAATGACCAGTGATGATGAGCATTTTTTCATATGTCTGTTGGCTGCATAAATGTCTTCTTTTGAGAAGTGGCTGTTCATATCCTTTGCCCATTTTTTGATGGGGTTGTTTGCTTTTTTCTTGTAAATTTAAGTTCTTTGTAGATTCTGGGTATTAGCCCTTTGTCAGATGGATAGATTGCAAAAATTTTCTCCGATTCTGTAGGTTGTCTGTTTACTCTGATGATAGTTTCTTTTGCTGTGCAGAATATCTTTAGTTGAATTAGATCCCATTTGTCAATTTTGGCTTTTGTTGCCATTGCTTTTGGTGTTTTAGTCATGAAGTCTTTGCCCATGCCTATGTCCTGAATGGTATTGCCCAGGTTTTCTTCTAGAATTTTAATGGTTTTTAGGTCTTACGTTTAAGTCTTTGATCCATCTTGAGTTGATTTTTGTATAAGTTGTAAAGAAGTGGTCTAGTTTCAGTTTTCTGCATATGGCTAGCCAGTTTTCCCAACACCATTTATTAAATAGGGAATCTTTTTCCCCATTGCTTGTGTGTGTCAGGTTTGTCAAAGATCAGATGTTGATAGATGTGTGGTGTTATTTCTGAGGCCTCTGTTCTGTTCCATTGGTCTGTATATCTGTTTTGGTACCAGTACCATGCTGTTTTGGTTACTGTAGCCTTCTAGTAAAGTTTGGAAGTCAGGTAGTGTGATGCTTCCAGCTTTGTTCTTCTTGCCCAGGATTGTCTTGGCTATGCCGGCTCTTTTTTGGTTCCATATGAAGTTTAAAGTAGTTTTTTCCAATTCTGTGAAGAAACTCAGTGGTAGCTTGATGGGGGTAGCATTGAATCTATAAGTTACTTTGGGTAGTAAGGCCATTTTCACGATATTGATTCTTTCTGTCCATGAGCATGGAATGTTTTTCCATTTGTTTGTGTCCTCTCTTATTTCCTTGAGCAGTGGTTTGTAGTTCTCCTTGAAGAGGTCCTTCACATCGCTTATAAGTTGTATTCCTAGGTGTTTTATTCTCTTAGTAGCAATTGTGAATGGGAGTTCACTCATGATCTGGCTCTCTGTTTGTCTGTTTTGGTGTATAGGGATGCTTGTGATTTTTGTACATTGATTTTGTATCCTGAGAATTTGCTGAAGTTGCTTATCAGTTTAAGGAGATTTGGGGCTGAGACGATGGGGTTTTGTAAATATACAATCTTATCATCTGTAAACAGAGACAATTTGACTTCCTCTCTTCCTATTTGAATACGTTTTATTGCTTTCTCTTGCCTGATTGCCCTGGCCAGAACTTCCAATACTATGTTGAAAAGGAGTGACGAGAGAGGGGATCCTTGTCTTGTGGCGGTTTTCAAATGGAATGCTTCCAGTTTTTGCCCATTCAATACGATATTGGCTGTGGGTTTGTCATAAATAGCTTTTATTATTTTGAGATACGTTCCATCGATACCTAGTTTATTGAGAGTTTTTAGCATGAAAGGCTGTTGAATTTTATCGAAGGCCTTTTCTGCATCTGTTGAGATAATCATGTGGTTTTTGTTGTTGGTTCTGTTTATGTGATGGATTACGTTTATTAATTTGCGTATGTTGAACCAGCCTTGCATCCCAGGGCTGAAGCCGACTTGATCGTGGTGGATAAGCTTTTTGACGTGCTGCTGAATTCGGTTTGCCAGGATTTTATTGAGGATTTTCACATCGATGTTCATCAGGAATATTGGCCTAAAATTCTCTTTTTTTGTTGTGTCTCTGCCAGGCTTTGGTATCAAGATGATTCTGGCCTCATAAAATGAGTTAGGGAGGATTGCCTCTTTTTCTGTTGATCAGAATAGTTTCAGAAGGAATGGTACCAGCTCTTCTTTGTACCTCTGGTAGAATTCGGCTGTGAATCCATCTGGTCCTGGACTTTTTTTGGTTGGTAGGCTATTATTGCCTCAATTTCAGAACCTGTTATTGTCCTGTTCAGAGATTTAACTTCTTCCTAGTTTAATCTTGGAAGGGTGTATGTGTCGAGGAATTTATCCATTTCTTCTAGATTTTCTAGTTTATTTGCATAGAAGTGTTTATAGTATTCTCTGATGGTAGTTTGTATTTCTATGGGATTGGTGGTGATGACCACTTCATCATTTTTTATTGTGTCTATTGGATTCTTCTCTCTTTATTAGTCTTGCTAGCTGTCTATCTATTTTGTTGATCTTTTCAAAAAGCCATTGATTTTTTTGAAGGGTTTTTTTTCTGTCTCTGTCTTCTTCAGTTCTGCTCTGATCTTAGTTATTGCTTGTCTTCTGCTAGCTTTTGAATTTGTTTGCTCTTGTTTCTCTAGTTCTTTTAATTGTGATATTAGGGTGTCAGTTTTAGATCACTCCTGCTTTCTCTTGTGGGCATTTAGTGCTATAAATTTCCCTGTATACACTGCTTTAAATGTGTCCTAGAGATTCTGGTACGTTGTGTCTTTGTTTTCATTGGTTTCAAAGAACATCTTTATCTCTGCCTTCATTTCGTTATTTACCCAGTAGTTACTCAGGAGCAGGTTGTTCAGTTTCCATGTAGTTGTGTGGTTTTGAGTGAGTTTCTTAATCCTGAGTTCTAATTTGATTGCACTGTGGTCTGAGAGACAGTTTGTTGTGATTTCTGTTCTTTTACATTTGCTGAGAAGTGTTTTACTTCCAATTATGTGGTCAGTTTTAGAATAAGGGCCATGTGGTGCTGAGAAGAATGTATATTCTGATGATTTGGGGTGGAGAGTTCTGTAGATGTCTATTCGGTCTTCTTGGTCCAGAGCTGAGTTCAAGTCCTGGATATCCTTGTTAATTTTCTGTCTCGTTGATCCATTTAATATTGACAGTGGGGTATTAAAGTCTCCCACTATTATTGTGTGGAAGTCTAAGTCTCTTCGTAGGTCTCTAAGAACTTGCTTTATGTATCTGGGTGCTCCTGTATTGGGTGCATACATATTTAAGATAGTTAGCTCTTCTTGTTGAATTGATCCCTTTACCATTATGTAATGGCCTTCTTTGTCTCTTTTGATCTTTGTTGGTTTAAAGTCTGTTTTATCAGAGACCAGGATTGCAACCCCTGCTCTTTTTTTTTTTTTTTTTTTTTTTTTTTGCTTTCAATTTGCTTGGTAGATCTTCCTCCATCCCTCTATTTTGAGCCTATATGTGTCTTTGCACATGAGATGGGTCTCCTGAATACAGCACACTGATTGGTCTTGAGTCTTTATCCAATTTGCCAGTCTGTGTCCTTTAAGTGGGGCATTTAGCCCATTTACATTTAAGGTTAATATTGTTAGGTGTGAATTCGATCCTGTCATTATGATGCCAGCTGGTTATTTTGCCCATTAATTGATGCAGTTTCTTCATAGTGTCGATGGTATTTACAATTTGGCATGTTTTTGCAGTGGCTGGTACCAGTTGTACCTTTCCATGTTTAGTGCTTCCTTCAGGAGCTCTTGTAAGGCAGACATGGTGGTGACAAAATCTCTCAGCATTTGCTTGTCTGTAAAGGATTTTATTTCTCCTTCACTTATGAAGCTTAGTTTGGCTGGATATGAAATTCTGGGTTGAAAATTCTTTTCTTTAAGAATGTTGAATATCGGCCCCCACTCTCTTCTGGCTTCTAGGGTTTCTGCCAAGAGATCTGCTGTTAGTCTGATGGTTACCCTTTGTGGGTAACCCAGCCTTTCTCTCTGGCTGCCCTTAACATTTTTTCCTTCATTTCAACTTTGGTGAACCTGACAATTGTGTGTCTTGGGGTTGCTCTTCTCGAGGAGTATCTTTGTGGTGTTCTCTGTATTTCCTGAATTTGAATGTTGGCCTGCCTTGCTAGGTTGGGGAAGTTCTCCTGGATAATATCCTGCAGAGTGTTTTCCAACTTGGTTCCATTCTCCCCGTCACTTTCAGGTATACCAATCAAACATTGATTTCGTTTTTTCACATAGTCCCATATTTCTTGGAGGCTTTATTCATTTCTTTTTACTGTTTTTTCTCTAAACTTCTCTTTTTCCTTTATTTCATTAATTTGATCTTCCATCACTGATATCATTTCTTCTGCCTGATCGAATTGGCTATTGAAGCTTGTGTATGCTTCATGAAGTTCTCGTACTGTGGTTTTCAGCTCCATCAGGTCATTTAGCTCTTCTCTACACTGGTTATTCTAGCTAGTCATTTGTCTAACCTTTTTTCAAGGTTTTTAGCTTTCTTGCTATGGGTTAGAACATGCTCTTTTAGCTCGGAGAAGTTTGTTATTACCGACCTTCTGAAGCTGACTTCTGTCACTTTGTCGAACTCATTCTCTGCCCAGTTTTGTTCCCTTGCTGGTGAGGAGTTGTGTTCCTTTGGAGGAGTAGAGGTGCTCTGGTTTTTAGAATTTTCAGCCTTTCTGCTCTGGTTTTTCCCCATCTTTGTGGTTTTATCTACCTTTGGTCTTTAACGTTGGTGACCTACAGATGGGGTTTTGGTGTGGATGTCCTTTTTGTTGATATTGATACTATTCCTTTTTGTTTGTTAGTTTTCCTTCTAACAGGCCCCTCAGATGCAGGTCTGTTGGAGTTTGCTGGAGGTCCACTCCAGACCCTGTTTGCCTGGGCATCACCAATGGAGGCTGCAGAACAGCAAATATTGCTGCCTGATCCTTCCTCTAGAAGCTTTGTCCTAGAAGGGCACCCCCCTGTATGAGGTGTCTGTTTTCTTCTGCTGGGAGGTGTCTCCCAGCCAGGCTGCACAGGGGTCGGGGACCCTGTTGAGTAGGCAGTCTGTCCGTTTACAGAGATTGAATGCTGTGCTGGGAGAGCCACTGCTCTCTTCAGAGCTGTTAGGCACAGACGTTTAAGTCTGGAGAAGCTGTCTGCTGTCTTTTGTTCCAATATGCCCTGCCCCCAGAGTGGATTCAAGAGAGTCAGTAGGCCTTGCTGAGCTCTGCCCAGTTCTAGCTTCCCTGCCACTTTGTTTACACTGTGAGCCTAGAACCACCTACTCAAGCCCAGCAATGGCAGATGCCCTTTCCCCCCGCCAAGCTCCCACATTGCAGGTTGATCTCAGACTGCTGTGCTAGCAGTGAGCAAGGGCGTGAGACCCGCCGAGCCAAGCACGGGAGGGGATCTTTTGGTCTGCTGGTTGCAAAGACCATGGGAGAAGTGCAGTATTTGGGCAGGAGTATACTGCTCCTCCAGGTACGGTCACTCACGGCTTCCCTTGGCTAGGAAAGGGAAATCCCATGACCCCTTGCGCTTCCCAGGTGAGGCAACACCCCGCCCTGCTTCAGCTCGCCCTCTGCGGGCTGCACCCACTGTCCAACCAGTCCCAATGAGATGAAGCAGGTACCTCAGTTGGAAATGCAGAAATCACCCGTCTTCTGCATCGATCTTGCTGGGAGCTGCAGACCAGAACTGTTCCTATTTGGACATCTTGGAAGTAACTCCCGTTTGAACATATTGATGTGTTTCAGTCCACTGCAGCTATTATCCTTATCAGTTGGCAAATTGAACCATCTTTGGTCATTGAGAGGCTCTTGAAGTTGGCTTCCTAAGACCTTGGGACATGACCAAATAAAGTAGTCTTTAAAAGTTTCCTTACTCTTTGGTATTGCAAGATTTTCCAGACTAATCTTTTATATTCCTGCCCAAGGCCTGGAGTCCTCATTTCTCCAAGAAACCCTGTTCCTTAGGATGGCTACTGAGAGTGCTCATTACTATTGGGTTGGTCATTGTTTCCAGGTCGAAATCAGCACCAAAGTGTTTTTTTCTTTAACTTCTTCTAACCTGTGTCACTGTCTTTCCTCTCATACATTGCTGGGAAGCACAGGATTAAAGTAACACGTAATTACTAATTTGCTTCATCATGTATTACACATACGTTACACTGAGTATAATAATGCCGCCACCACCACCACCACCAGTATGATTACTGAAATCATTCAAAGTTTTGTTTTTGAGGGTTTTGTTTTGTTGGCATTTCTTTTTGTCCTTAGTATATTCAACTTGGAATATACCATCAGGTTACTATGTGTTGAATTCACTTGAGTTTACTTTTTAAAATTTTAATTTTGTTTTATAATTTACGTAAAATACTAGTTCCAGTGGCAATACCTCCTCTACCACCATATTTCATCCCATACCCTATAAAAAAAGTTTAAAAAACTATCTTCTAGTTTGCTAATAAAAGTATTATTTTTATTGAAGTATTAATCCCCCCATCTTTTGTAATAAATGATAGAATATCACACACGTATTTCTCCACTTTGCTTTTTTCACTTAACAGTCTATTCTGGAGATCACTATCTAGTGGAGTGTAGAGATACTCGTCATTGTTCTTTTCAGTTGTAGTACTCCACTGTGTAGTATTCATTATAGTTTATCATTTATTCAGTGTGTCCCTCTTAATTGACCAATGAATGTTGGTTAATTGAATGACTATAATTTTAGTCTTAGAGTTGTCCCTTATTTTTGTATTATTGCAAGTTATAGGAATTTTTATGTTTATAAAATATTTTGTATATGAATAAGAAAATGGAATGATTAACATTTTGGTTTCTGGTGTAATTATTTGGATATAATCTTTTCTGTTATTTAATTTTGCCACCACATTTGTTTTTTAGGCTTCCACTACAAATACTTAAGGCATGCTTTTATCTTGAATAGCTTTAGTGTTCAGTTTTCCAATCTAAGAGGGAAATTAGCCCTGTATTAGCCTAGCATTATATGGCTTCACAGTTCATGGAGTAGACTATTAATTGGTGCACTTAACGCATTTTTCTTCTTGTTTAGAGTGATTTTATAGACATTGCTGTTGGAGATTTCATATCCTATTATAAAATGCTCATAGAATTTTGTTGGTTTGTTTGAGACAGCGTCTTGCTCTGTCGCCCAGGCTGGAGTGCAGTGGGATGATCATAACACACCGCAGCCTGGACTTCCTGGGCTTAAGCAATCCTCCTGCCTCAGCAGCGGTAGCTAGGACTGTAGACTTGCACCACTGCTTCTAGCTAATTTTTTTATTTTTATTTTTTATTTTTGTAGAGACAGAGTCTCGCTGTGTTTTCCGGGGTGGTCTCAAACTCCTGACCTCAAGTGATTCTTCTGCTTCGGCCTCCTTAAGTGTTGGGATTATAGGAATCAACCATGAGGCCTGGCCCAGTGACATTTTCAGCATAGAAAAAAATTCATTAGCTTTGTCACTTGATCATTAAAGAATTAGCTATTTAAGGATATAACTTTGAAATATGTGTGGCGACTTACTTATGGCTTGGCTTTTCTTCTGCATTATAGCCTTTATTTTATAAACATCCAACAGAATCCTAAGATTTCTGTTGGCTCAGCTTTAAAATATATCCAGTATCTATTTCTCATTACCTTTTTCCATCTCTCTTTGATCCTGAGCACTGTTGTTTTTTTTTTTTTTTCTTTCTTTTTTTTTTTTAAAGACAGAGTCTCACCCTGTTGCCCAGGCTGGAGTGCAGTGGCACGATCTCGGCTCACTGCAGGCTCCACCTGCCAGGTTCATGCCATTCTCCTGCTTCTGCCTCCCGAGTAGCTGGGACTACAGGCACGTGCCACCATGCCCAGCTGATTTTTTTTGTATTTTTAGTAGAGGTGGGATTTCACCATGTTAGCCAGGATGGTCTCAATCTCCTGACCTTGTGATCTGCCCGCCTTGGCCTCCCACTGTTGTTTTTCACTGGAATTATTGCAGTTGCCTCCTTGTAGGCATAACTGTCATCTTTCCCACACCTATTTTTTTTCACAGTAGCCGCAGTGATCGTTTTAAATTATTTTGCGTTGTAGCCATAATGATCATTTTAAATTATTTTGTGTTGGGTAACATGACAGTTTTATTGAAAGCCTATCAGTGGATTTATGCTGCATTCAGGGTAGAAGCCAGAGTTCTGGTGGCCTACAGAGGTATGCTTTGGTGCCTTGTCACCTCTCTGACTCCATCCTCCACTCTTTTCTAGGCTTTGTGCTAAACCTACACTGGTCCCTTGGTTGAGCCTTTGAACAGACTAGGCATCTTGCCTCATGGCCTTTCCATCTATTTGCTGGTTCTTCTGTCTGGAATTCAATAATGCTGTTATTTTTGGTGCTTTGAAAACAGAAATTTCAGGAATTTCAGAAATTCTTGAACCTCACCTCCCCCCAGCAAGAAATATTATAGTATAGGAGTTAAGAGCTCAGGCTCAGGAGTTAGGCAACTCTGTTTAAATCTTAATTCTGTTAAGTAATTCTCGTCAACTTTGAATGAATTACCAGCTTCCCTAAGCCTCCATTTCTTTATCCATAAAATGGAAATATTAATACTTGTACCTAATTTATAAGATTGTGAAGATTAAATGAGATCATGTGTATAAGACACTTGGCACAATATGTGGCAAGTATTTCTATTCAGTAAATATTAACTGAATTAGTTGTTATTGTTTATAATATAATTTTTGGTTACCACTTTTCAGTGAAAAATAGGTAAGCTCTTGGGTTTCCCAGATTATTTAACAAAGGAAACTATCATTTTGTCTCTTGGTTTTAGGGCAAACTTATCTAGAAGAGAGGAGCAGAGGAGAATGAAGTAGTAATTTGTCATATTTTCATTCATATGTTGTTATGTGGGCCATAGGAAAGTTGGCAGATCCATGAATTTCAATTTTATTATATATTTCTTGTCAAGAATACTTTATTAGTACAAAGCATATCATGTATTTTGATTAGAAGTCTTAGAGAAATTAAGATCTTAGGAAAATATTAAAATTTTATTTGGGGTATTTATATCCTTGTATACTAATAATGAGATACATTTGCTGAAAGCTGTAGACGTTCCCATATACATTCTTACTTGGTTTTTCATGGAAATTTATGGGAATGTTCACTGTTATTCCTATTTCACAATCAGAACTGAACTCTCATTCTTGAGACGTAAATTCTGATGATTTTTTTCCATTATATCATAACTGATAGTAGCATTGGGCACTATGAGATTTGAAAATGACTGCAACATAGATTCTCATCTTCAGGCTTATAGATAGATACATGTGAAGTCAATTAACTCTAATACTTGGTAGACTAAATGGACCAGTATATAAGGAACTCTGAGGAAGAAGTGCTTAATTCTGTCTAGGCCAATTAAAGAAAGATTCTGGAGGAGGTAACATTCGTTTATTTTATTTTATTATTTTTTTATTATTATTTTTTATTATTATTATACTTTAAGTTCTAGGGTACATGTGCACAATGTGCAGGTTAGTTACATATGTATACATGCATTAACTCTTCATTAACTTGTCATTTAGCATTAGGTATATCTCCTAATGCTATCCCTCCCCCTTCCCCCCACCCCACAACAGTCCCCAGAGTGTGATGTTCCCCTTCCTGTGTCCATATGTTCTCATTGTTCAATTCCCATCTATGAGTGAGAACATGTGGTGTTTGGTTTTTTGTCCTTGCGATAGTTTACTGAGAATGATGATTTCCAATTTCATCCATGTCCCTACAAAGGACATGAACTCATCATTTTTTATGGCTGCATAGTATTCCATGGTGTATATGTGCCACATTTTCTTAATCCAGTCTATCATTGTTGGACATTTGGGTTGGTTCCAAGCCTTTGCTATTGTGAATAATGCCGCAATAAACATACGTGTGCATGTGTCTTTATAGCAGCATGATTTATAGTCCTTTGGGTATATACCCAGTAATGGGATGGCTGGAAAAGGATGAGCATAATTTTTGCCTCTGCGAGTTGGGAGCTGCCTGAGGAAAGTCATGTCATTCACAAATGAGAAATAATATATGATAAAGTTCTTTTAACTGGCTACCACTGTATTTATACTTACCATTTCTTTGTTAAAACTTATTGACTGATATCCATATGCCTAAACATTGCTGCTAATAGGCCACTTCTGCTAAGCTCACGGTTCTGTTTCCAACACTTGAATTGCAGACCTACCAAAAGTTATTTGTATGTGTTTTCTACCTGTTAATGCCTGTCATATGCAAAACCAGAATATTGTTGCTAAGATAACAAAGTTGAATACTTTGGAAAGACTCAATGGCAGTGCCCTAAAAGGATGGTTGTTTTTTAATTAGATGGGGGTGAGACAACTCAAAGACTGAAAGAAAAAAAGAACTAGAAGGATTGTGTACTCAAATTGCTTTGCTGTTGACTTCAAGTTTTTGGTTCACTCTAAAGACAGTTCGAAGTCTTAGATAACACATTACGGATATCATTTATGCAAGAAAGACAGCATGGATTTATAGTCATGAAGACATCATCCAAAGAAATAGACTAGTCTTCACTAAAGGATGGATAAATAAATATGCATTTATGTCTTGTATGATTAAATAAATGCATTATTTATGCATATGTGTTATATTTTATGATTACCTATTTCAGTCAGCCTATTTGGTTAACCAAGCAAATACTGGTTCTGATTGCATTAAACAGAAGGGCCTTATTGGAGCCATAATTTCTTGGAGAGAAGGCATTAGTGGAATATGGAGAGGGTAGCAGATAAGACTGGGCAAGTCAGCTGGGGTTACAACGTAAAGGATTTGTATGCCAGGCTGAGTTTGTCCTTTGATGGTGATGCAGTTTTAGGGAAGTGATGACCTTTCAGACTGTTTTTTTGGAAGATTCTTGACAAATTAGAGAGGTTGGGCAAGAAAACTAGGGCAGTGGCAGTGAGATTGGAAGTAGAGCAGATCTGAAAGAAATTTGGAGAATAGAATTGATAAGTCTTGGTGTGATTTACTGGATCTAAGTACTAAGGTAGGAAGAAAAATCAAAGGTGGTGCTAATGATGATAAATAGCTAACGTTTACCAAGTGCTTACTGTGTTTTTTTTTTTACTGTTCTAAGTCCTTTAGATAACATAATTTCAGTCATATAAAAATGTACTACTTCCCACAGGTCCTTATGCATAAACCTCCAAAACTGCAAAAAATGAAAACATAAATTTTAAGTTTGTTGTAGGCACATTTGGCAACAGATAATGACCTGCACTGATGGGAGGCTATTTGTAGTCTTTATCTCACTTAACTGTAAATGTGTGGTTTGTTTTTTTTTTGCAGAAATAATTTTGTGTTTGGTTATAGAGTGCTATCCCAGACCTGGTGGGAGTGTTACATAATCCATAATATTATCTTTCTAAAATATGAAAAACTTTTACTTTTCTTCTGCTGGTGGAAATGTAAATTAGATCAGCCATTGTGGAAAGCAATTTGGTGATTTCTCAAAACCTTAAAACAGTTACCATTTGACCCAGCAATCCCATTATTGGTTATATACCCACAGGAAAATAAATTTGTACCATAAAGATACATGCACATATATGTTCATCGCAGCACTATTCACAGTAACAAAGACATGAAATTTTCTTTGTTTGTTTTTCTCAGACCTCTTAGGGTGAAAAAAATATGAGCAATTTTGAAATTTGGGTGTAGGCGAGAGATAATAGACCTGTATTAATAATTATAATTTGGGGGCCAGGCGCGGTGGCTCACACATGTAATCCCAGCACTTTGGGAGGCTGAGGCGGGCGGATCACGAGGTCAGGAGATCAAGGCCATCCTGGCTAACACGGTGAAACCCCGTCTTTACTAAAAATACAAAAAATTAGCCGGGCGTGGTGGCAGGCGCCTGTAGTCCCAGCTACTCGGGAGGCTGAAGCAGGAGAATGGCATGAACCCGGGAGGCGGAGCTTACAGTGAGCGGAGATAGCGCCATTGCACTCCAGCCTGGGCGACAGAGCAAGGGTCCATCTCAAAATAATAATAATAATAATAATAATTGTTACTTGGTTGGGCACAATGGCCAACACCTATAATCCCAACACCTTGAGAGGCCTAGGTGGGAGGATTGCTTGAGGCCAAGAGTTATAGACCAGCTTCAGCAACATAGCTACCCCATCTCTACCAACAACAACAAAAAAATCAGCTGGGCCTGGTGGTGCATGCCAGTAGGCCTAGTTACTTGGGAGGCTGAGGTGGGAGGATCGTTTGAGCCCAGGAGTTTGAGGCTGCAGTAAACTATGATTGCACCTGTTCACTTCAGCCTGAGCCACAGAATGAGACTCCATCTCTAAAATTTAAAAAAGTCAAAAAAAAATAAAAATTATAGATGAAGAGACTGAGTCATAGAGAGAAATCACACAAAATATGTGTCAGAGTTAGGGTTTGAACCTACACAGTCTTAACTTTTCAAATGTGCATTTTAGATACTACACTATTCTGCCTCTCTTTCTAGCCTTTGTCATTGGGAAAATGATACCATTAAACTTATTAAGGGATCTAAAGAGCGGAATTAGGGGAAGCTGAAGAAGAGGGAGACAGTGTAGTAGAATATTAATTTAGATTGGTCTAATTTGAGCTATCAATGGAAAAAGTACAGTAGGAAGCCAGAAATATTTTGGATATATTTATAATGCACATACTGGATTTCATCAGATCTAAGGTGCCATTGTTGTAACATCATAAATACCGATTTTAAAAATTAAATAAAATTATGGTGCAGTATTTGTTTTTATCCCATAAATTTCCCCTGCCCCCCCGCCACACACACACAGTATCATTCTCTGTGCTGCTTAGAGTATATAACATTGCTTGCTTGGGATTTTCTTCTGCGTCACTGATAGGCATTCTGCAAGCTTTGATTTTGGCACTTTCTTGATCTTACCATAAAATATCAACATAAAGTTTTCAGACAACATCCAGAAGAAATTTTATGTAATAGTTAAGGTCAACAGATACGATTCCAACAACACACATAACTCAACTGAAGTGAAAACAATATGAATAGCTGTGACTGGTGTCACATGTGGATGATAATGACAACCCAGTCATGTCTGCCACCTGGCCAACATCAATTATACAAAGTCATTGATTTTAAGATTCATTGATTGTAAAAGATTTCAATGACATTAAAATGTGTAGGAAATGTGCATCTTAGAATTGTTAAACAATAAGTAGTACTTTTGCCTCTGAGAATTGGAAGTTGCAGTAATAAAGTAAGATGCTAAGGCATGTAAATGTTTTTAATAAATACATGGTTTTCAAGAGTTAATACATGATTGAAGAGGTTTAGAATCAATTCTCTAGGGAAAAATTGAGAGAAAGATTCTGTCTTGAGCATTTCCTATGTTTAAGAGTTACTTTATGAAGAAAATGTAAATACTTCCCCTGATTGTGAATTTATCTTTTATAAATGACAATCTAGGTGACCCATTTCACAAATAGATTAATTTCTCTCATAAGTGTTAGCTTGGTCTTTGTTACTGGTATAATTAATTGTACTATATGCTGAGTACAACTAAAAACTCTGAATATTATACGTAAAACACAAGAAGACTCTGAAAGGTGGAGAGAATAAGGCAGAGGAGCTAGGGATCTCAGGACCCAAATAATGACACTGCAGTAGTTCCCTGCCTTTTCTTTTAGCCTCATATATTCCATAATTAGAGCTAAAGAAGCTGATAACCCAGAAGTGCAATGGCCACAGACAAAGAAAGCGCCAGCAAAAGCCCAGTCTTTTAAATACTAGTAGAGGGACACCATAGCAAGACAGAAAACTTTTTGAGAATAACCATTCTACTTCAACCAAACACCACAGAAAAAAACATTGGTCACACTCATAGCTGCAAAGGCCAAGTAGGGATCCTAGATTTCCATCCTCACCAAGCTGTTATGAGGCACCCTAACACCTCCTCCACTGGAATTGTGTCAGATTAGGCCAGGTACAGAGTTGGGACTTTAATTCCCATAGAATGGTTAACTAGCCTTTCCCCAACTTGTAGTGTTACTGGAGACCATGTGGGAAGCTAAAACTTCTACGTTTATTTGGGAGTAAAGAGGAGCTTCTGTCCTTCCCTGCTAAGTGGCATCAGAGGAGTCCTATTGGAGAATGAATGCTTTCACCACTTCTAAGCAGTAAAAAAGCCTTTCTCTACCTATGCACCCCAACCCCCAGCACCCAGGGGTATTAGTAGAGGCTACATGGGAGCAGTAGCTTCTCAGCCAGAGACATGTCAGTGGAGGTGGAGTGGAGAGTCAGGATTCCCACCCAGCCCAGGGGAATCAAGAAGCTGCCCCATCTGTAGTGTAAATGGAGGACAAGTGGGGAACCTGAACATCTACCCCCAACTTGCCGAAATGAAATGGCACCTCACTATCTTCATCTGCTGGAGCAAAATCAAACAAAGCCAACTAACACAGAAAATTTAAGTAAGATCTAGAGTCTTATAATACCCAAAGTGTGCAGATTTTAATTAAAAATTGTCTGGCTGAGTGTGGTGACTCAAGACTGTAATCCTAGCACTTTGGGAAGCCAAGGTGGGTGGATCACCTGAGTCTAGGAGTTTGAGACCAGCCTGCGCAACATGGCGAAACCTCATCTCTACCAAAAAAAGAAAAAAAAAATTAGCCAGGCGTGATGGCACATGCCTATAATGCCAGCTACTCGGGAGGCTTAGGTGGGAGGATCACTTGAGCTGGGGAGGTCATGGCTGTAGTGAACTGTGATCATGCCACTGCACTCCAACCTGGGCAACAGAGTGAGACCCTGTCTCAAAAAAAAAAAAAAAGAAAGAAAAAGAAAAAATTGTCATACTAGGAACCTAGAAGATCTCAAATTGAGTGAAAAAAGACAATTAATAGAGATGAACACCAGGATAACAGATATTAAAATTATCTGACAAAGATTATAAAGCCAGCTATCTTAAAATGCTTCAACAAGCAATTATGAATGAGCATGCCTGAAACAAATGAAAAAATAGAAAGTCTTAGCAAAGAAATAAATAGAAGAACCAAATAGAAATTTTAGAGCTGAAAAATGCAGTAACTAAATTAAAAACTTCAATGGATGATAGGCTCAGTAGCAGAATGGAGGAAATAGAAGAATGACTCAGTAAACTGATAGAACAATACAAATTGCCAAATCTGAACAGCAGAGAGAAAATAGGCTAAAAATGAACAGAGCCTCAGGGACTGTAGCAAAAGAGCAAACATCTATGCCATCAGATCTCTCTGAAGAAGTGGAGAAAGAGGGCATGGCTGGAAAAGTATTAAAAGAAATGATCACTGAAAACTTTTCCCAAATTTGGCAAAAGACATAAACCTACAGATTTAAGAAACCTAGCAAACTCCTAACAGGGTAAACCAAAGCAGTCCACACCAAGACATGGCATATGCAGACTTTTGAAAATTGAAGATTAAAAAATCTTGAAAGAAATTAGAAACTATACCAGAGGGGGGATAAATAGTTTGAATGACAGCAGATTTCTCATCAGAAATCATGGAGACTACATGTCACATTTGTTAAGTACTGATAGAAAAGAACTGTTATTTTTAAGAAAACTTTCAAAGGTCTGAGGTCAGAACTTTTGTTTGGATTCATAATGTTACACAGTATCTTTCATTGGGATACAGAACTTTCAAAAGAAAATGGGAAAGTGCATTTCTACTAATGAGAAATAATCATAAGATTATTTACTATTTTGCATTTTGTTGCTCAGAGACTTGCTAATGAAAATAGCATTTATTTCTGAATAGTGTAATGTTCTGCTTAATCTTTGAATAGTTCAGATAGTTTAATTTTCATAATTTCTCCTAGGATGGCTTTGAGTAATTTTTTCAGATTTTCAAGAAGCATATAACTATTACAATGCTATTTTGCTGACTTTCTGATTTTTAAAACTTTGTATATTGGTTAAAATAACTTTTTAATACTACTTTTTCTACAATAATGTATTAGTCCAATCTTGCACTGCTATGAAGAACTACCTGAGACAGGGTAATTTATGAAGAAAAGAGGTATAATTGACTCACAGTTCCATAGGCTGTACAGGAAGCATGGCAGGGGAAGCCTCAGGAAACTTAGAATTATGGCAGAAGGCAAAGGGGAAGTGTGCACATCTTTGTATGGCCAGCAAGAAGAGAGAAAGAGAGCAAAGAGGGAGGTGCTCCACACTTTCAAACAGCCATATCTCGTGAGAACTCTGTCAGCACTAAGACAGCACTAAGAGGATGGTGCTAAACCATTAGAAACCACCCTCATGATCCAGTCACCTCCCACCAGGCCCCAGCTGCAACACTAAGAAATGCAATTCAGTATCAGATTTGGGTGGGGACATAGAGCCAAACCATATCAACTGAATAAGAAAATATACATTAAATTTGGACACTAAATATATTTAGCTCTTGCTGATAATTGCTTTCTTTGTCTCTCTTCACTAAGTTCTCATTAGCTTCTGGTTTAAAGACAAAGTTTTTCTTAAATTTTTTCTTAAAAGATGAAAATTTTTAAATAGCTATTTCCTTTTCTTAAATATTTGCTTCTGTGGTTTGGTTTTTGACAAAACTCAGAAGATAGTGGAGACTATCAAAATTTGTCTTCCAAAGTCAGTTAACCCAGAATCTCACCTGTTTATCTAATATACCATATTCACATTGCAACCAATAGCTTTGTTAACTTTATACCTTTTGTTAGATTTTCCAGTTAGCACATAAATAGTTTTGTAAAAATCCTTTTGGATCATGTCTTGATTTGGAAGCTTACTCATTTATCTATCTAAAATTATCAAATCAGAGTTTCTAGAGTATTATAAATCTCAATTAAATCTGTCAGATTACCATTTTTCATTTCTACAATTTGTTAAGAATTTAATGGTTGGGCCCGGTGGCTCACACCTGTAATCCCAAGGTGGGAGGATTGCATAATGCCAGGAGTTTGGGACCAGCCTGGGCCACAAAGGGAGACCCCATCCCTAAATTTTTTTTTTTTTAAATTTAGCTGGGTGTTGTAGTATGTTCTTGTATTCCTAGCAACTAGGGAGGCCGAGGCAGTTAGGATGGCTTGAGCCTAAGAGTTCAAGGTTACAATGAACTATGATTGCACTGCTGCATTCTAGCCTGGGCAACAGAATGAGACTGTCTCTTCAAAAATAAAGATAAAAAAGAATTTCATCCTGTACTAGGTGGCATCTCTTATGTTGACTACCTTTGATTTGCTTAAGGAAATTACTAAGTATTGTTAAGAAAATATAGGCCTGATTTTCTTTACCCTGAAGCACTCAATACGGTTGTTCATTTGAAAAGTAGCCCAGTCATCTAACTTTCAGTTTGGAACACCTGTGTGAAAATCTGTTTTTTTGTTTGTTTGTTTGTTTGTTTTCTTTCCAAGGAATCTTAGAATAACTATGGCATATTTTTCCTAATTAATAGCCACACAAGTAGCTTCTAATACCCCAGCTTTTGTTCTGAAGGAAATCTAGATGTCTGTTTTCAATATCTCCAGGGTCTTTCAAAGTGAAATTTTCATATTCCAGATAGCCTGTAGTTTGTTTAACATTATCTTAAACATTGCTTTCTTTCTTTTTTTTTTCCCCCCTTTGAAATGGAGTCTAGCCCTGTCACCCAGACTGGAATGCAGTGGCACAATCTCGGCTCACTACAACCTCTGCCTTCTGGGTTCAAGTGATTCTCCTGTCTTAGCCTCCAAGTAGCTGGGATTACAGGTGTGCACCACCACACCCAGCTAATTTTTTTGTATTTTTTTAGTAGAGTTGGGGTTTTGCTATGTTGGCCAGGCTGGTCTCGAACTTCTGACCTCAGATGATCTGCCCACCTTGGCCTACCAAAGTGAAACATTGCTTCCTAAATGTGATAATTTTGCATATGACAACAGATAGTACTTTAATTTTATTTTTAACTCATTTAAACCACATTGCCCAGTAAAGTTATTTTATAAATTAGATTTTAGTTAAGTTTTATATATATATAACTTATAACTAAATAATATATAACTACAATGTATTATACTCAACTATATCTTTGAATGTCACACAGGTGTCAACAGGCAGAGGTGGGAACTGAACCCGAAGTCTGCAGAGCATAAAAGTTTCTGCTTTTTTCACCCCTCCAACCTTTGAATTGCTTTTGGAGACTATTTATGGTAGATAAGAATTAATCCACCATAGGATTAATCAGTCCGTGAGATTTTGTTTATTATTATTTATTATTATTTTTTCAAATGTGCCTTTGTAACATTTACATTTGCAAGTAATAGTTCTAGAGTGCAGGAGAAGTTTGTGAATTGTGTGTTTGCATGCATAAGTACATACATACATATGTACATACACACGTACGTAATCTTTTGGCTCAAGGATTGCTTTGGGCGCTGCTTCCTGCCAGCAGTTTTGGTACTTTACTCTGTTAGTTTCTCTTAACATCCTTCCTGTTTATATAAATTCTGTATTGTCCGTATTTGGCTTTGACCTGGTATTTCCTTGAAACTCTGCTTTCTGTACTTCAAGCTGCAGCTAGTCTGAGATATTCCTTTTATTCTCAATCTTTGTATCCTTTGAATGATTTGTGATACCCAAGCAGAATAGATGTATTTTTATGTAAATATTCCTAATTGTTTGGAATTTTGCCTAGGAGAATAATTACATATTCTCTCAGAGCATAGCACAGCAAGACTCCACTATATCTTACCTTTCTGCTTTAGACTCATTTATTTATTTGTAGTATATGAGGAAATATTCTTTTTAGTTTTATATACATTTTCAAAACTATGAAAACAGGAAAAATTACCTCAAGTCTAACTTCTGTTTGTAGAATTTCCATAAAGATGATAAAACTTTTACAGCATATTTTTAAATTTAAAACATGAAACTACAAAATGATACAGTAGCCATTTTTGTGATCAGATACACATGTCCAGAACAAACTTATTACAGAAAACTTGGTTAACACACAAAACAACCAATACAAATCTCTCTTCCTCTATCTCTTAGAGGTACCCACTGTTAGAGGGAGGGTGTGTGTGTGTGTAAAAGATATAGAGATTGATCAGTTATTTCATTTATTCTAAGGAAAATGAACTGGGCCTCCATCTGGCTGTATATACTTCCTATCACAGGACTTTATTTTGTTCCTTCTCACCTACAGCACATTGCCCTTCTGTTCTCTTTTGTTAGCACCTACATAATCATCAGAGAATCCTTTTCTGACTTCACTAAATCCATTTTTCCTATTAATCCTAGACACTACCTTATTCTGTTACAGGACCTACCACAGCTTTACATTTATTTGTGTATTTAATCTGACTGTCTTACTAGACTATAAACTTTTTGAAGGGCAATTCTGTGTTTCTTTTTGTTTACCTTTATATTCCTGGTATGTAACATAGTGCCAGATGCATACTAGACACTCCATAAATATTGGTTGAATTAATGAATACGTTTGAAATACCAGCAAGGAATGTACATAAGCAGTTCATAAAAGGAGAAATACAAATGCCAGTAAATATATCTAAATATTTTCAGTCTCATGTGTAATCAGGAAATACAAATTAAAGCAATGACAACATGTTTTATCTTCATGATGTTGGGAAAATTTTTTAAAAATTGTGAATTTCAACTGTCTATTTAAGTGCACATCTATTAAGAGAATAATATTAAATGAAGGTATGAACCAGACATACTATGGAATATTTTTCAGGTGTTAGAAGGGAAGAGTTACATTATACTTCATTTAGAATAATCTCATTAATTTGTGCTTTACAAAAAGAACCCCAAAAGTGATGGTGTATATATGTTTACACACATATAAATTTATGGCAGAGGTACTGGAAAGATTTTTGCCCTACTGTTGATAGTGTTTATCTCTGGGGGAGGGAACATAATAGTAGGAGAGGAATAAAGGAGTTCCTTTTTCCCTCTGTGGACGTGTACTTTTTTTAAAAAACTATTTTATAATTAGAATATTTTTATATAGTCGAAGTATGAAGGAGCTAAATTGGTTAGGAACATAAAGGAAAAGACCCATTCTTTATATATGGAAAAATAAAACCAGGGATACCCAAATCAAATGGTTTAATTTAGAACTACAAGTAGTTCTATATTGTTGGTGCCTAAAGTGTGATGCCGGAAGAAGGAGGAGGCTGAAAAAGAAGACAAGGCCAGATCAGTGAGGGCTGTACATTATCTTTTCTCCTAGCATGGTAGAGCCATCGAAAAATTTTTTAAGTTAGAAATTGACTTGGGTAGGCCAGGCGTGGTGGCTCACTCCTGTAATCCCAGCACTTTGGGAGGCCGAGGCAGGCGGATCACGAGGTCAGGAGATTGAGACCACGGTGAAACCTCGTCTCTACTAAGAATACAAAAAAAAAAAAAAAAAATGAGCCACGCGCAGTGGCGGGTGCCTGTAGTCCCAGCTACTGGGGAGGCTGAGGCAGGAGAATGGCATGAACCTGGGAGGTGGAGCTTGCAGTGAGCAGAGATTACGCCGCTGCACTCCAGCCTGGGTGACAAAGCGAGACTCTGTCTCAAAAAAAACAGAGAGAAAAAAGAAATTGACTTGGGTAATAGATGGTTAGTTACATCGTTCAGTAGATGACTCTGGGAGATGTGCTGTTGACATGATTAAATAGATAAATAACCTTTTTGTATCTGAATACCTTTGGCAGGTTTGATGAAGCCTATAGATACTTTCTTAGAATTGTGTTTTGGATGCTTAAAATAAAATACAGAGTACACAGAAGCCAATTATATTGGAATGCACTTATCAAAATATTTAAAAAATATATTTGTAGTATAATTATCTGTCTGCTTCTTTAGTAAAATATTAAAAAGACCTAGTGGTGGGTTTAATAGCTAATTTTAAAATAATGATAAGCAATAATTTAATGTATCTGTGTTAATTGAATTTTTTATGAACCTTCTGAATTTTACCCATGAACCCCAGCTTAAGAACTCTTGTTTGCGGGATGAGATTGGGAGCGCAGAGACCAGTAAGGAAACCAGTCCATATGGAGATAATGAGAAGTCTCAGTGGAGGTGGATCCTATGAGACTTTCTAATTATTATTAAAAATTAACATTTTTGTATTGGTAAAGCAACGTGTGTACATTATAGAAAAATTAGGAAATATAAATTTAAAAAAGAAACATGCTCTAGATGGTTTTGTTTTTTGTTTTTTTGGCTTGATCTCAGCTCACTGCAAGCTCCACCTCCCGGGTTCTTGCCATTCTCCTGCCTCAGCCTCCTGAGTAGCTGGGACTACAGGCGCCCACCACCACGCCCGGCTAATTTTTTGTATTTTTAGTAGAGACAGGGTTTCACCGTGTTAGGATGGTCTTGATCTGACCTCGTGATCCGCCTGCCTTGGCCTCCCAAAGTGCTGGGATTACAGGCGTGAGCCACTGCGCCTGGCCTGATAGTTTTTTAAAATTTAAATAATGTATATACTGCCCTTTATTGCTGCTTTATATAGGAACTTTCCTCATTGGTTATGCATTTAGTTTTATTTCAATGATAATATCTTTTGCTTAACTATTTTTCCTTTGGTTTTACAGGTTTTTGATTGGTCAAGGAGCACATGTAGGGGCTGTCAACAGTGAAGGAGATACACCTTTAGATATTGCGGAGGAGGAGGCAATGGAAGAGCTACTTCAAAATGAAGTTAATCGGCAAGGTAAAATAAAAAGCAACCTAAATGGAAAAATGTTTTAGAAAGAATGTGATACTTTTCCAGCAAAAATATTTGTTGACATTGAAGGGCAATCATAATTTCATGAAAAAAATGAATTCAGCTTGCAAAACAATAGTACAGTATGTTTCTGTTTTCTAAAATATTCTCCACTCTATCTTTTAAGTATTTTTAAAGTTAAAAGAAATGTTAGAAGCAGCAGGATCAGGCATAAAATTATGTGGAAGTAAAAGTTTTGGAGCAAAATAAAGTAGGCAAAGGGGATAGAAAGTGCACAGGGTAAGTGGCACATTGCAAAGTTAAATAGTGTGGTCAAGAAGGCTCACTGATAAGGGGTCATTTAAGCTGAGATGTGAATACAATGAGGGAATGAGTCATGATGATCTGGGGAAAGAGCATTCCAGACAAGGGGAGCAATGAATACAAGAATGGGAGGTTGTCTTGTATATGCAGAGAAGCAGCTAGAGGCAGAGCAGAGGAAGAGGCAGGAAGGAGATGAGGTCACAGAAGTAGCAGGAGGTCATATCACCTTAAGGCCTTGTGAGCCATTGGGAAGACTTTGGCTTTTAACCTGAGTGAAATAGGAAGCCAATGGAGGGATTGAGGCAGAGGATTGACATGATTTGTTATACTTTTAGAAAGGATCTCTCTGGCTCTTGTGTTGAAAATAGATTGTAGGAAGACAAGGACAGAAGTAGGAGAAGGGTTAGGAAATAACTGACATAATCCAGACAAAATAAAGTGATTTATTTTTGACTGGTAGTAGATGAAGTGATGAGAAGAGATTGGATTATGGATATATTTTGAAGGTTTGGCCAAGAGGATTATTGAGTCATTAGCTAGAAGGTGTGAAAAAAAGAAGATTCTAAGATTTTTGGTTTGAACAAATGGATGGATGAAGTTCCTATCTGAGATGTGAAGATTGTAAGAAGAGTAGGTTTTATAGGGAAATATTAGGGCTTCATTTTCAGGCATGTTAAATTTGTTTTGCGTGTTAGATATCCAAACTGTTGAATATGCGAGTCTGCAGTTACAAAATGGATATGTAAATTTGGGAGGTGTTCATTTATAGATAACAGTGATTGCTAACGGGCACAGAGTTTCATTACTCAAGAGTGATGAGTATTCTAAAGTTGATTGTGGTGATGGTTACACCACTCCTCACATTTACTAAAAAAAAACCATTGAATTCTACACTTTAAATGCTATGTAAATGCTGTGAATTAGATCTTAATAAAGCTGTGTGTGTGTATATATATGTATGTATATATAAAATATGATCCAGCTTGGCAGCAGTGGCTCATGCCTGTAATCCCAGCACTTTGGGAGGCCAAGGCGGGCAGATCACGAGGTCAGGAGCTTGAGACCAGCCTGACCAACATGGTGAAACCCTGTCTCTACTAAAAATACAAAAATTAGCTGGGCGTGGTGGTGGGCGCCTGTAATCCCAGCTACTCAGAAGGCTGAGGGCAGGAGAATTGCTTGAACCCGGGAGGCGGAGGTCGCAGTGAGCTGAGATTGCACCACTGCACTCCAGCCTTGAGAACAGAGTGAGACTCCGTCTAAAAAAAAAAAAATGATCCAGCAACTCCTTTTCTAGAAATTTACCATATATCTATATCTATATCTATATCTATATCTATATCTATATCTATATCTATATCTATATCTATATTTTTTTTTGAGACAGAGTCTTGCTCTGTCACCCAGGCTGGAGTGCAGTGGCGCAATCTGGGTTCGCTGCAACCTTTGCAGTCTGGGTTCACTGCAACCTCTGCCTCTCGGGTTCAAGTGATTCTCCTTGCCTCAGCCTCCCGAGTAGCTGGGATTACAGGCGCCTGCCACCGTGCCTGGCTAATATTTTTGTATTTTTAGTAGAGATGGGGTTTTACCGTGTTGGCCAGGCTGGTCTCCACCTCCTGACTTCTGGTGATCCTCCTGCCTGGGCCTCCCAAAATGCTGGGATTACAGGCATGAGCCAGCACTCCCAGCCTACCCAAAAGAATTTAAAACAACTCAACTCTTTGAAATTGAATAATTTGTACAAACATGGGTGTACAAATTATTCATATTAGCCAAAAGATGAAAGCAAACCAAGTGTCATTGATGGATGAATAAATAAAATGTGAAATATATATACAGTGAAATATTATTCAGCCTTAAGGAAGGAAATCAAACATACGCTACAGCATGGAGGACTTTATGGTAAGTGACATAAGCCAGTGATCAAAAAAAACCAAAAACAAATGATTCTACATATATGAGGTACCTAGAATAGTCAAATTCATAGAGAAAATAGAATGATGGCTGCCAGGGGCTGGAAGGAGGGGAGAAAAGGGAGTTGTTTTTTAATGGCAGAGTTTTTCTTTTGCAAGATGAAAAAAGCTGTGTAGATATGTTACACAACAATGTGAATGTACTTAAGAACTGTACACTTAAAAATAGTTAAGACCTGTAATCCCAGCTAAGGGGGGAGGATCGCTTTAGCTCGTGTGTTCCAGGCTGCAGTGATCTGATCACATCACTGTGCTCCAGCCTGGGTGACAGAGTGAGACCCTTTCTGAAAACAAAAAAAAAAGTTAAGATGGTAAATTTTATTTTTATGTTTATTTTACTACAATTAAAAATTTATGTATGTGTGATTACTTCTGCAGTACCTTTGGGCAGGACTCACACACACACACACACACACACACACACACACACACACAAAGTGCCACATGTGATTTTTGTTATAGTCCATTAGGCAGTGATCAAACAGGTATTATTAGAGCTGTGTTTTACTGAGGTCAAATGATAGAGGAATGGTATGAAATATTGATGTAGAGGGCCAACTCCTGCTGAAATGTGCTTCATCAGAAAATAGAAACTAAGGATTAGAAAGGAATAGAAGGTAAATAAATTCCATGAAAGGAGATTTTTATTCCTTGGGATTAGGAAAATTCCTAATGACTGCGGGTTTGTTTTGTTTTGTTTTCGTTTGTTTTGAGACAGACTGGAGTGCAGTGACACAATCATGGCTCACTATAGCCTCAACCTCCCAGACCCTAGCGATCCTCCCACCTTAGCCTCTTGAGGAGCTGGGACTGTAGGCGCATGCCACCTCACCTGGCTAATTTTTGTATTTTAAGTAGAGATGCAGTTTTACTGTGTTGGTCAGGCTGATCTTGAACTCTTGAACTCAAGCAGTCCACCTATCTTGGCCTCCCAAAGTTCTGATATTACAGGCATGAGCGACCGCATCTAGCCAACTGTGGGTTTGTTTAAAAAAAAAACTATCTTAAGCATGAAAACTGAGAAAATAAATACCTAAAATAGAATTGAGGTGTTATAAAAAGTGATTAAATATAACTAGAGCCTAAAAAAAACAAGAAATGCAATAGAAAAGTGGTTATAAACTGGAGCCTGAATAAACACACAGAAGAGCTTTCAACAGCCATGTTCTAGACAAGTGTTTTAGAGTCATAGGATCTTCTAGAATTGAGTAAACTAAAGAATAAGTATAAAGCATCACAACCTAGCAAGAACTTCCCTGCCCATTTTGCTGTGATGAGTGCTCAGATAACAGTTTCCTGTCAAACAATGGTAATTCTTTAAAGTAAACATTTAAGGCTCCTATTTTTTATCTGATATTAGCAGTTGTTATGAACTAGAAAAGGCATGGAGTTGTACTGAAAATTTCTTGCATTTGGTTTCCTTCTGTATAAGGGAAATTGCTAGCGTAACTGTAAGCGGGGCTGATTTTAGTTTTAATGATTCATTTAGAACTGATTAATGTGCCAGCAAATGTTCTATGTGCTGGGTGTTAACAATAAAAAAAGCAAGACAATCCTTCTTAAGGATTTCACAGTCTAGCAGAAGTGTCAAACGAAGAGCTTCACAATACAGTGTGCTATGTATTAAAATATATAGGAACAGAATGTTGTGAGAGAATAGAAAAAGCTGTAGTGAGGAAAGGTTTCAGAGTGATGACATTTAGAGGGAGTTGGCTTGGCAAAGAAAGGAACTGGTGGACAGAAAAGGCGGGGTATCAAAATGTGAAAGAAAAGGAGTTGGAAGGCCAAGCACAGTGGCTCTTGCCTATAATTCCATTGCTTTGGGGGGCTGAGATGAGAGGCTTGCTTGACGCCAGGAGTACAAGGTTACTGTAAGCTACGATTGTATCACTGCACTCCAGCCTGGACAACAGAGTGAGACCTTGTCTCTCTCTCTCTCTCTTTTTTTTTTTTTTTTTTAAATAAAAAGGAATTGGAGACATACATAGCATATGTGGACTGGAAGACAGACACATTCATTGGGACTGGAATTGAGATTCAAAGTCAGGGCGGGATTTGTAGGAGATGAGGCCTGAAAAGATAGGTCAGAGCCAGATAGTGAAGGATATCTATTTTTGTAGACATTGGATAGATGCAGCAAATATCTCCAAGCAATAAATTAATTTGATTGGATTTGGTTTTTAGTATAAAGCTGATGGCAACTTGGAGGATGAAATAGAATGTAGGATATATGGTGACACGCATTCCTTGAAGAAGATTCTCAAATTAGTCCAGGTGAAAGATGATAAGAGCCAAAACCTGTTACATTTGAAATGAAGAACAAGGCTGTCTTGAGGAAATATTGAAGTAAAATTAGAACAGTTTGGTAAAGAATTGAATGCAGATATGAAGGAAGAATTAAGCCTAACTTACTAAAGTTTCCAGTTGAAGAAGTGATGATTAGATGAGTTCATGTAGGAAAGTGTGAGATAAGACAGAACCAGACTGAGGGACTTCATGAGTATATATTGGGTTTGTAGTACTAAAGGACATCTAGATGACAGTGGTTGGTGCATTGTTAGAACTTAGGATATGTAAAGATGTGAAAAGTAAATCTAGGAGAACCATAAGGAGGGGGAGTTCTGGGAACTAGTAGATGAGATGACCCTGGAGACGAAAAGCTAAGTGCTAACAATGATAATAGTAGTAATGACAATAGCTAACTGTTATTAAATGCTTATTATATGCCAGGCATTGAGCCAAGAGCTTCACATGCATTTCTTCATTTCATCCTCATAGCAGTTCTGTGAGGTTTATACTACTGTTACCCCATTTCCAGATGAGAAAATTGAGGCTTAGTGATTTACCCAAGATCATACAGGTAGGAAGTGGTAGTGCTATAGGTCTGTCCTAAACAGTAAGACAGATATCTTGAGCCCACATTCTGTACCACTGTACCATACTGCATTTTATTTAAAATGTCTCCCTAGAAAATACTTCATGATGTTCATTTGATACATATAATGGGAATGCATAAATTTATATAGCATATCTTAATTCCAAAGAAACAAAAGTATAGGGGCATCTCTAACAGATTTTAATAATTATAAAAAAGCACCCTAAATATATCTCTAGTTGTATTAGTCCATTCTCATGATGCTATGAAGAAATACCCAAGACTGGGTAATTTGTAAAGGAAAGAGGTTTAATTGACTTATAGTTCCACAGGGCTGGGGAGGCCTCAGGAAACTTACAGTCATGCAGTCATGACAGAAGAGAAAGCAAACACATCAGGAAACTTACAATCATGCAGTCATGACAGATGGGAAGGCAAACATATCCTTCTTCACACGGTGGCAGGAGAGAGAAGTGCCAAGCAAAGACCCTTTTAAAACCGTCAGATCTCGTGGGAACTCACTCACTATCACAAGAACAGCAGCACTGGGGGTAACTGCCCCCATGATTCAGTTACCTCACACGGAGTCCCTCCCACGACTTGTGGGGATTGTGGGAACTACAATTCAAGATGAGATTTGGGTGGGAAACAGACAAATCATATCATCCCACTCCTGGCCCCTTCCAAATCTCACGTCCTCACATTTCATAACACAATCATACCTTCCCAGCAGTCCCCCAGAGTCTTAACTCATTCCAACATTAACCCAAAAGTCCAAGTCCAAAGTCTCATCTGAGGCAAGGTAAGTCCCTTCTGCCTGTGAGCCTGTAAAATTGAAAGCAAGTTAATTACTTCCTAGACACAGTGAGGGTACAAGCATTGGGTGAATATACCTGTTCCAGATGGGAGAAATTGGCCAAAACAAAGAGGCTATAAGCCCCATGGAAGTGTGAAATCCAGTAGGGCTGTTATTAAACATTAAAGTTCCAAAATGATGTCCTTTGACTTCATGTCTCACATCCAGGTCATGCTGATGTAAGAGGTGGGCTCCCACAGCCTTGGACAGCTCTGCCTCTGTAGCTTTGCAGGGTACAG
Source organism: Homo sapiens (assembly GCF_000001405.40). Lineage (NCBI taxonomy): Eukaryota > Metazoa > Chordata > Mammalia > Primates > Hominidae > Homo > Homo sapiens. The sequence goes on along the minus strand of NC_000012.12, from coordinate 79,839,040 downwards.
CCCCACTCCTGGCTTCTTTCATGGGCCAGTGTTGAGTGTCTCTGTCTTTTCTAGGCACACAGTGCAAGGTGTCAGTGGATCTGTCATTCTGGGGTCTGGAAGACGGTGGCCCTCTTCTCATGGCTGCGCTAGGCAGTACCCCAGTGGGGATTCTGTGTGGGGTCTCTGACCTCACATTTCCCTTCCACACTGCCCTAGCAGAAGTTCTCCATGAGGGCTCTACCTCTGCAGCAGACTTCTGCCTGGACATCCAGGCCTTTCCATACACCCTCTGAAATCTAGGCAGAGCTTCCCAAACCTCAGTTCTTGACTTCTGCACACCCATAGTCCCAACACCACATGGAAGCCACAAAGGCTTGGGGCTTGCATCCTCTGAAGCGATGGCCTGAGTTGTACATTGGCCCCTTTTAGCTAGGGCTGGAGTAGCTGGGACACAGGGCACCAAGTCCCAAGGCTGCACACAGCAAGGGGGCCCTGGACCCGGCCCATGAAACCATTTTTCCCTCCCAGGCCTCCAGGCCTGTGATGGGAAGGGCTGCCTTGAAAGTCTTTGACATGCCCTGGGGACCTTTTCCCCTTTGTCTTGGCAATTAACATTTGGTTACTCGTTACTTATGCAAATTTCTGCAGCCAGCTTTAATTTCTCCCCAGAAAATTGGGTTTTCTTTCACATTATCAGGCTGCAAATTTTTCATACTTTTATGCTCTGCTTCCTTTTGAACACTTTGCTGCTTAGAAATTTCTTTCATCAGATACCCTAAATTACCTCCCTCAAGTTCAGAGTTCCACAGATCTCTAGGGCAGGGGCAGAATGCCACTGGTCTCTTTGCCAAAGCATAAAAAGAGTGACCTTTGCTTTAGTTCCCAACAAGTTTCTCATCTCCATCTGAGACCAACTCAGCCTAGACTTCATTGTCCATATCACTATCAGCATTTTGGTCAAAGCCATTCAGTAAGTCTCTAGGAAGTTCCAAACTTTCCTACATCTTCCTGTCTTCCTCTGAGCCCTCTAAACTGTTCCAGCCTCTGCCTGTTACCCAGTTTCAAAATTGCTTCCACATTTTTTGGGTATCTTTACAACTGTGCCCCACTACCCGATACCAAATTACTGTATTAGTCCATTCTCATGCTGCTATGAAAAAGTACCCGAGAGTGGGTAATTTATAAAGGAAAGAGGTTTGACTCACAGTTCCACATGGCTGGGGGTCCTCAGGAAACTTACAATCATAGTGGAAGGGGAAGCACAATCATAGTGGAAGGAGAAGCAAACACGTCCTTCTTCACATGGCGGCTGGAGAGAGACATGCTGAACAAAGAGGAAAAAGCCTCTTAAACCATAAGATCTTGTGAGAACTCACTCACTATCACAAGAACAGTAGCATGGGGGTAATCGTCCCCATGATTTAGTTACCTCCCACTGGGTCCTTCCCACCACATGTAGGGATTATGGGAACTACAATTCAAGATGAGATTTGGGTGAGAACACAGCCAAACCATATCATTAGTAGTGGTAACATTTCTCAAATTATCTAGGTATGAAAATTATTGTTTAATATTTTTAAGTTTTTTAATCATTCTTTTGGCTTTTCTTATTCCAGTACATTTGATCAATAACTAGTTATGCTTAAATAAATTGCCTTTGAAAGTAGTAATAATTGAACAGTAGCTGTAATTATTTTCTTTATTTATCTAGGGACACATTAATTTTTGAATCTGTTGCTGACTAAATTCCAATCTAATTTTATTTATTTTAATCTAAGAGATTTGATTATATTTTAATATTTACTGCTCTTAAATCATAGTGACAGATGTTAGTCTAATCACTTTGTTATACCCAATTTAGTTTTATTATATATTATTTTCATTGTTTAAAAACCTTGCAATTATAGTAGGTGGGTTAAGGACCAGTTAAATGCATTATAAGATTTTTTTCTTTTAAAACAGAAATCAAGAAAAGAGAAGCAGAATCATAGACTTTTCAAACTGATAATGATAATTAACACCTTAGTGTTTATCCCTGATCTAAAACACTTTATATGTATTAATTAATTTAGTTTTCAGAACAACCATATGGGATAGATATTGGCATCACTCCCATCTTACAAATGAAACCAGAGCATAGCATAGATTGTCTACCCTGAGGGAGTACAGCTAGTAAGTGGTGGATCAGAGATTCAAATCCAGCCAGTCTCGGTTCAGTATCTGTTTTCTTAACCTATCTTACTAATATCCAAAGAAGCTATGGCTTTCTCAGGATCACTGGCTAGTTAGTCAAAGCACTGAACTTAGAAAGCAAGTCTCCTAATACATAGTACAATTAGATTTTTTTTTCTTCAAGTTTTTGATGAGCTAAGCACGGTCTACATACTCTAATCGGTAGTATTTTAAAAATTTAAGAACAAGAGAAAGGTTTTTCTTTTCTAATTTAATTTTCTTAAACATAAGGAATTGCCCTTCACGTTAACTTTACACTTGGATTGTTTTTATATGTGAATCAGATGTGAGCACGATTTGGAAGCTAAAGAGGGTAATTGCTTTGTCATTAGATAAAGATAGCATGAAATTAGATAAATATAAAAGAAGTAGGTTTTTTTTAACTTGAAGTTCAAAGGAAACAGAATAGTAAAAGACAATAAAAATCAGAACGTTTAAGATTGTAATGAAAGGAGGGATAAAAATAATAAAAAGCTACCTGTTTTAAAAGACAGTAAGAGAGTAACATTAAAAAAGCAAATCTAAGATAAATCACTTAATAGAAAGGTTACTAACATTAGGCATATCTTAAATGGGCTGATTATCTTTTGGTGGGAAATTTTTGATACAAGTAAAACTGCTTTACTATAGAAATGGTGGCATTTGATTTTTATAAAAATCATAATAGGTTGTGTTCATTCCATATATAGTTTATACAATTTATTGTTTTCATAAGGTCTATTTGGAAAATCTTGTTCAAGTTTCCTTCAAATGCGGTAATGAGATATTATAATCTCTAGTTTGAAGATGACTTTTTCTATACATGTGTAATCTTGGAGTTTTAAAAATATTTCTGAATTATTGTCTGCTTTTTAAAAGCTGAGCTTCAGTTGAGTAATGAGCAGTTTAGTTGTCTTGGAAAAAATGGTAATGTGCTAATAAGCAGGCAAAATAAAAATACAATTCAGGTAGAGGATAGTAGCTGGCATGACAGCAGAGACCATGATGTACTTGGGGACCTATGTGGAGGTCTAGATGGTTAGAACACTAGATGATGGTAAGGGAGAAAGACTATAGATGAAGTTAAAAATGCACTGAGACCAAGTCATAAAAGGCTTTCTCTTGTATACTAAAGAGCTTGAGCTTTGTCTTACAGAAGCAGCCATTGACAAATTTTATATAAAGCAATGACATCATGTTTTATTTTTTCCAGTCCAGCAGTAGATTGAGGGATGAATTAGAAGGGACTAAAGACGGAATGAGTTAAGGGCTGGTAGCAGTAGTCAAAGTGTGAGACATAAGCTATGAACTAGCATAGTGATAGGGGCCATTTAGAAGACAGTCTAGAAGTGGCAACTCCAAATCTGGTAACTAATAGGATGGTGTATTAGTCAGGCTTCTCCATAGAGACAGAACCTGTAGGATATACGGAAGGGGATTTATTAGGAGCAACTGACACAGAATCACTGCAAAGTCCCACAATAGGTCACCTGCAAAATGAAGAACCAGAGAAGCTGGTAATCTGGCTGGCTCAAAGCCAGTAGCGTGTTTCAGTCCAAGTTCAAAGCCCTAGAAGCTGGGAAACTGACACTGCAGTGCCTGTCACGCCTGACAGCTCCCCAAGGAGCCACTGGTGCAAGTCCCAGAGTCCAAAAGTTGAAGAACCTGTAGTCTGATATCCAAAAGCAGGAGGAAAAAAGGTATCCTCCTCCTGAAGGGAGAGAGCAAGCAGAAAGAGCAAATCCTCCTTTTTCAGCCCATTTCTCCCAGGTGATTGGATTGTGCCTGTGCACATTGACGATGGGTCTTCCTCTCCCAGGCCACTGACTCCCATGTCACTTTCCTCTGGAAACACCCTCAACTGCACCCAGGGACAGTGCTTCACCAGCCATCTAGGAATCTCTCAATCCAGTTAAGTTGACACAATTAACAATCACAGATGGGGTGAGAGTAAGGTAAAGGGAGAAATTCAGATGACTTTCAGGTTGCTAGGTAATTGAGGGCACTTAGTGTAGGAAAACAAGACAGGCAGCAAATAGAATGGTTGGGGAAAAATTTGGTTAAGATTTTAGCATTGAGTTTGAGATGCCCATGGCATATTATTTTATTATTTCCCTAGTTCTCTCTCCTACAGGCTTAGATATGCAACTGATTACTTGATATCTCTGACTAGATATTTGTTAGGCATCTTAAACTTCACATTTCCGAAATTGAAGCTTTAATTTTTTCAATTGCTCAGACTGAAAACCTCTGATTGATTCTCGACCTCTCTTTTTCTTCTGTATCCAAACTAACAGCAAATTCTCTTGGTAAGCCTTGAAAAACCCAGAATTCAACCACTTTACTGTCTGCACTGCTACCACCCTTGTTCAAGTTACCATAATTGCTTGCCTAGATTATTGCAGTAGCCTCCAAGTGGGTATCTCAGTATCTACTCAACTTTTCATCCTAAGTGATCCTCTTAAGTCAGATCGTGTCACCACGCTCATTGTCCTTACTACTCTGTAGAGACCCTGTCCTTCTAAACAGAACATTCCTAGCAGGCTCCCACTTCAGAGCCTACTGGTACTTCCCTCTGCCTGGAATGTTTTCCCAGTAGTATGGCTGTCACTCACTTTATTTCTTGTAATGTCATCAAAGAAGCTATTTTTTACCAACCTATTTAAAATAACATCCCTTCTCATTACCCTTTCTGTTTCCTTTCCTTGCTTTATTTTTCTTCACAAATGAATCATCTTCTGCCATATAATAAGTTCACATCTATACCTGTAGCATCTAACAATGTACCTGGCAAAATAGTAGGTGCTCAGTATATATTAAATGTATGGATGGATGAATGAAAAATCTTGTCCAAACAGTTGTATACATGGATATGGATTATAGGAGAATCTTAGCTGAGGAAATGTGTGTGTGTGTGTTCTTGTTTTATATTTGTTCATTCATTGTTCATTTAGTGAACATTTACTGATCTCCCTGTACTTTGCTTTTTTTTTTTTTTTTTCCTTTTCTTTGAGGCAAAGTCTCACTCCGTTGCCCAGGCTGGAGTGCAGTGGCGTGATCTTGGCTTACTGCATCCTCCATCTCCTGGACTTAAGTAGTTCTCCTGACTCAGCCTCCCAAGTAGCTGGGACTACAGGCACCTGCCACTATGCCTGGCTAATTTTTTTTTTTTTTTTTGTATTTTTAGTAGAGACGGGGTGTCACCATTTTGGCCAGGCTGGTCTTGAACTGCTGACCTCAAATGATCTGCCCATCTCACCCTCTCAAAGTGCTTGAATTACAAGTGTGAGCCAACGCACCTGGCTCTGATCTCCCTTTGCTTTGTATCAGGTATTCTACCAGACAGTGGGGATAAAAGATAAAAAGGCCTATAGACTTGTGGAGTAAGGCAGATTGTAAATGCATTGCGGTGTGTGCTGTTTATTAAATAGCAAGTAGTCAAAGCCATAAGACCAGATGAAATCATTCAGGAATTTCAAGAGTATCTTTCTTTAATTTTTTTTCCAAGGTGTTGAGCTCTTTGAAGGTAGGAATTAGAGGGTCCTATTCATTTTTGTATTCTTCCCTTTTTTTGTTTTTTGAGACAGGGTGTTGCTCTCACCCAGGCTGTAATGCAGTGGCATGATCATTGCTCGCTGCAGCCTTGACCTCCTGGCTCAAGCGATCCTTCCACATCAGCCTCCCAAGTAGCTGGGATTATAGGTGTGAGCCACCTCGCCTGGCCTCTTTCCACTTTTATCACCTCAACCTAGGGTAGTGCTTAGAGTAAGTGCTTTTAAATGAATGAACATTTATATAACTTACTAAAATTATGAAAATAACTTTAATGGTATGAAGAATGTGTACTATGTTGGAAAAGGAAATGAAGGGAGTTTGCTAGAGAAATAATCTATTTTAAGGTATGATATATTTTAGATGAAGACAGGACCTCCAAGTTGAAGCATTCAGTAAACATTTGTACCTGCTAGGCTAGATTTCATAGAACAGATCAAAACAGTAGATAGAAATTTGAGACTTATTCATTATAATTGTTAAAAAAAAAATTTAGCCCAAAGGATGCTTATACCTTAGGAAATGTTCAAATTTTTAAAAAACAAGAAGAATAATCAGAAAGGAAAAATAAGATCAAAATAGTATTGTGAAGCAAAAACCAAGTAATAAGTAGAAAAAGTTAATACAAGGTCTACAATATCCCCACATTTTTTAGTTTAACCAACTTGTTATAAGCAGCCCATTTTAAAAAGACATACTTTCACTTTTAATTTTATTTAAACTTGACATGTTTTGGATAGTTTTATTTCCCAACATGGAACAATTTTTAAGCAAAAATAAAAAGAACTATTTTTATTTTATCAGGGGTTGATATAGAAGCAGCTCGAAAGGAAGAAGAACGGATCATGCTTAGAGATGCCAGGCAGTGGCTAAATAGTGGTCATATAAATGATGTCCGGCATGCAAAATCTGGAGGTACAGCACTTCACGTTGCAGCTGCTAAAGGCTATACGGAAGTTTTAAAGTAAGTATTGTTTTTTACAGAGTTTTTCTATTTTAGTTTGTCTTCTTTATTCATTGTTCCTTTTCTTAAAATACCTGCAAACGTTATTTTGAAGCAACATAAAAGAGTTCTTTAATGCCTGTTTTCAGGAAGAAAGAGAAAAACTACTTTGAATATGATTGCTTTTGTTCTAAAATTCTTTCAACTCTCTAATTATTACTATTTTTTAATCAGTTGTGATTTTCCAGTAAGTTGAATTTAAGTGTCAGTCACCTATTCTCTGTGACCTTTTGGCCTAATAAATCACTACAGAGAGTCATTTTGAGGTTCCAGATTGATAACTGGTTTGTGAGTCTTAAGAACAATGTCCTGTGAACATACCATCAGTTTTGAGAGCTTGATTCCTGCAGAATATTTATTTACATGTAACTTATCTTAAATACAGTTTTCTTTTTTACTACATGAACACTGGAACTTAGTACTATTAGCACACTATAAAATATTAAGCCATAAGCAACTTTGACTCTACAGGGCTGTATATTGTTTAGCAAATTTGCTTGGAACAAAGCTTCTTTATGTTGCAATAATATTTTTACTTCTGCAATGCAAATATTGGCAACTATATGAAGAAAATTATTCTGTGTATTATTCAATATATAAAATTATTCTTATATGTATGTGAAAGGAAGACCAGCACTTAGCAAAATCTACTGCACCTTTTATTAATATATTGCTTCTAATTCACTTGAGCTTCTAATATCAATCTTTCTTATTCCCACTCATTAGTAAAAGCAGTAAAGAATATATGAGTCACCTTTCCCAAGTTTCCTCCTCTTGGGTGACAGAGGCTCAGGCAGTCCTCCCACCTCAGCCTCTCTAGTAGCTGGGACTACAAGCATGTGCCACTACGCCCACTTAATTTTCATATTTTTTGTAGAGACAAGGTTCCACCATGTTTCCCAGGCTGGTCTTGAACTCCTGGGCTCAAGTGATCTGCCTGCCTCAGCCTCCCAAAGTGTTGGGATTACAGACTTGAGCCATCACCACCCAGCCTCCTCTTTTCAATCTCTATTCAACTTCAATAATTTAGGCCTTTTTCCTAAGAATAGTATGGCAGTGTTGCCTTTTTATTAGTTTTCTTGTCCACCTGTTTCTCTCTAATCCAAAACTTTTGTGAGTTGCCAACAGCATTTTTTTTTTTGAGAATAGAAAGTATTAAAGAGTATTACATAAAGGTAAGAATTGTTTCTTAAAGCACTTGTTTCTGTAAATATGTATATGAGTACTGAGTTATATTGCAAAATAGTTTCTGGATGGCTTCCAAATGATCTTTTTAATTAGGTTATCCAAGCTCCCAAAATCCTTTATTAGTTCTTAGGGGGGATCAGGATAAATTTTAAACTCCTTAACTTAGTACATAGATTCTTCATTATCTAGACACTGTCTTCCCTTTTAAGCTAAGCTACCACCATTGCCTCTAAAGTATGAATTGTGCCAGTTACATATATCTATTGAAGTTCTGTCATGATGTCTTAATGCCTTCCCTTGTTTCTGTCTGGATGCTTTTATTCACCATCTCTTCAACTTGGAGGCAAATTCTGCTCTATCCTTTGAATCAGTTAAAGGTCCTTAAGCATATGAAAAAAAGTGCTCAACTTCATTCATAATTAAGTGCAAATAAAGCTACAATGAGTTACACTTTTACATCTGTCGAGTGGCAAAGATCAAAACATTTGACATCCTGTTGACAGGGTGTAGGAAAAGGCACTCTTACTAGTAGAAATGACAATTGAGCAAATTCAATCAAAGTAACAGTTATTCTTTAGTTCCCTGATTCTACCTCTAGGAATTTGTTTTTTTACAGATATTCCCACTCACATGGGAAGTAAGATACGTGCTAGCAGCATTGTTTATAATAGGAATAAGAGAATGTTTTAATAAATTATGGTATATGCTTTCACTGGCATATTCTGAAACAAAACAAGAATGAGAAATCTCCTTACATACTGTTATAGAAAGAACACTAGGGTATATTATGAAATGTCAAAATCAAGGATCCAAGTATGTATCATTTGTATTTATTGTAAAAAAAATTAAAATTGTATTTGCTTATATATGCATGAAATCATTGTGTAAGGATCCAATAAAAATTAATAGTATGGTTATTTTGAGGTAGGGCAAGCTAGTTGGCTAAAAGTCAGCGGTGAGAGAGTGATGTCCCTATGTATCCTTTCATTCTTTTTTTTTTTAACTTTGTGAACATATTACTTATGAAAGTTAAAACATATATGAAATAAAAATCAATAGAAAAGATGTTTCAAATGTAACCTTCTTCACATTTTCTCTCCCTCCCAAACACACACAACTCCTTTCAATTTGATTTTGATGCTTTTCAGTTTTGTACTCCCATTGCATGTCTATTCATAGAACCTATGCTTGAGAGTTGGTTGTTGTTTCACTTCCAGTAAAAGCTCCTTGAATATAGATACTGTCTTTTTTTATGTTGAAAAAATTTACCTCTTTTTTTCTCGCCACACAGACTTCTAAGTACTTAAAAATGTTGCTCAGCATATTTAACATTATTATTGTTCATATTTCCTAATGGGGAACAGCGTTTTTCTCTTACATTCCAGTATTGTTTCTGCCTCTATTAATAAGGTTTCTGATAATATATATCAGTGGAGATATTTCTTTGGACTTATATCTTTCAGCTTTTCTTTAGATAATGGCTCTTAAATGTTGGTCTGCAGGCAGGTGATAGGCAATGATATGAAAATCATATGGGGGACTTATTAAGAATATAGATCAGCAGGGCCCATCTCTCCATATGCTGATTGAGTAGTACTGGGGTGAGCTGGGCAATCTATTTTTAAAAAACAAGCCCTTCAGATGGTTCCGTTACGGAGGCAGGATTAGAAACAGCTGTATTAGATATTGTTAGGAAATACCAGATTTGTTCTTAAATAAATAAAGGGGGATTATACATTAGCTGTCACTACCACCTCCTGTAGGTAAAAAGAAGGTCCTTCTCAAGCTCAACATCTTGGAAAGTGAGGTAAAGGTTAACTAGATTTCATGAGTTGTATTTAGTGTTCGTTCACCTGTTTGTGTGGGGCTATGCTATGTGCAGTTTATAGACCCATCCTTGCTGTCTGTGAGCTTAATGTCTAAATAAAATAAAGGTTGTTGTCAATATGTAGTTAGAAGGGCATACTAACATAATTTATGCAACTCTTTGCATTGTATTAAAATGTGTTTCTGTTTTAGCTTGTTGATGACTGGAGTATCTGCTTTCTACTGCTCAGAAAAATAGATCCGACTCCTTGGAATATGTTTTTTGCTTTGTTTTGTTCTTAAAAGATTGTCATTTTCCTTTGAAAATTTTCAGCTCCTTAATTTCAAGGCAACAGAAATATTACAAAACAAGTTTCTTTGATTCCAGTGTATTCTTAGAACACATTTAGCCCGAGATTATATATTATATGGAAACCTGAAGATGATAGTTCCTGCAATAAATCAGTTTTACATACAAAGTGATTCATCAGTTTTCGATTTTACATTGAAAAATTATGGGCTTTTCTGTGAAAATTTCACTTACAAGTCATATTAACAAGAATTAATCAGTGTCACACCAAACCATAAGACTTAGAGTCATTAGGAATTAATTAAAACTGCATTATTATGGCAATGACTCAAGATCCTCTTTTTCTGAGTTTTTTCTGAGAATTACTTTGTATTTGCCATAGTTAATTCATTGAGGGGGAAGGATGTAAATTCTGAAAAGAAATTAATTGAAAATTGTAGTTAAATTGCATGATAGATAGCTTTTGATCATGATCATTTATTTCTAGATTTTAATGATTGTCTAATTCACTGTAATTTCTTTAGACTTTTAATACAGGCAGGCTATGATGTTAATATTAAAGACTATGATGGCTGGACACCTCTTCATGCTGCAGCTCATTGGGGTAAAGAAGAAGCATGTCGAATTTTAGTGGACAATCTGTGTGATATGGAGATGGTCAACAAAGTGGTAGGCGTTTTAAACGTATTTTAATACTTTAACTTTTAGAAATATAGTTTTAGAAAGTATATTTAGAAATATAGTCTCAAAAGGTTATAAGGATTACATTATATAATTATATTTTTATTAACTGTATAAAACATTTTTTCAGCCAACTGACTTACTAATTAATGGTTTAAGTCTTTTCAGCTACCGTATGAGGTGGTTCTGGCCTTGTACTGCAAAGAAAGAAGTATTGCTCTTTCAGTAATCAGATTGCCATACATGTAGAGTAGATTTGGATACTTGCATTAATACTATGTTCTTAGGAATTCAGAAGCTAAGAAAACGTTGCATTCCTATGTGAATGTTTTCTGCCACCCCTTTGAGTTGGAACACACGTAGAAGTGCGTTTCTAATTCTTTAGCTGATGGTCTTTTAGCTTGCTTATAGAATTCTTTAAGTGACATGAATAATGAGGTCTTACAGCAGGTGATGACAGTAAATATAACTATAAAGTTTTATGCCAAAGGGGATCATTGAGATGCAACATCATCTAGTCTTCTAGTTTTGTAGATGAGAAAATAGTTCAGTTGAGTGAGGTAAATGATGTACTTAATACCACAATTACGTAGAAGGAGGGAGGGAGAAAATGTCATACAAGCGTTTTTCACAAAATCATGAAAAGATTCAGGTTATCAAGTTTCTTGTTAAACTAGACTTCTCTCCTCTACTCCTTTTTAGATACACTATCAGTCAATAGCCAGTCACCAGTATTCCTGCTAGTCTCTTCCTACTCTGTGTTGGTAGGTAATAAGTATCATGGAGAACTCAAAACACGTCTCCTCTAGTGGGTTTGATTACCTTTCCATAGAATGTTCCTTGTATATTGCATTTTATAGGATAATATCATAGGTTATGTAGCAGAGATTCATAAAATGACCTCATCTTTATTCAAAACAGGGCTAATTCTTTTGCTGTTTTTGGAGTAGAGTTCTAAATATCTTATTTTCATTAACTGATTTAAAAATATATTTTATATAAGAAATGTGCAGGCATGAAAATCATAGGAATTGGTAAAAGTCTTAAGGAAAGTAAAAAAATTTGGGGGAATGATTGGTTTGTACTTATATACAAATACAAAAATCTTTGGGTTGAATTTTTAGTTAAAACTTTCAATAATTTACTTTCTCTGTTGTTTTTCATCATAATAGTTGTTTTGTAATCAGCATTAGAAGACAAATAAATATTGATACTATTCAAGTAAAAGGCCAGCTAATTTTAGCTTCGCAAGTCGTGTTACCTCTCTTTTCATGTAGAAATTCCCCTTCAGAAATTTTTTTCTGAAAAGATTAGCAGGTACCTATTAGCCTCTGAACTCTGGTCTGCATTCTTCTCTCCCAAACAGTGACCTTTTACCACATGTCCATTCATATGGGCAGTGCTGATAATTGGTTCATTTAGTAACAGTAGCCTCCGGATGAGAACTAGATGAGAGAAGCTTATTAATTGAAATGGTTTCCAAAAAGGATTATTTCACTTACAAGTTGAAACATGGTGTGTTTCCCCTACTGAATCAGTATTCTAGTGAAACATACACAATATATTGTATGCATGAGAAAAATCATTTTATTGGCATCTGGCCAACAATTGTCTAATTCCTATGCTATACAATTTATCATAATTTTGCTATCAGAGAAGGAGTGCATGTAAAATTATTTTGCCTTATATCCTTTTTTAAAAAATTACTATAGTAGCAGCTCCTTATGTCACTCTAAATTTTATTTACTCCTTATCTGTCATTCGATATTTCAGTAGATCTTTATGTGATAGTAAAAGAATTGTGAGCCAGGCTTTGTGGTATGCACCTGTAATCCCAGCTACATGGGAGGCTGAGGTAGAAGGATCGCTTGAGTCCAGGAGTTCAAGGCTGCAGTGAGTCATGGTTGTGGCACTGCACAGCAGTGGGCAACAGAAGGAGACCCTGCTCAAAAAAAAAAAAAAAAAAAAAACCCGAAACAATTGTGCCTCATATTTACATAGAATTTAAAGGTTTTCAGCCTTTTTTACACATATTACCTAATGCAATTCTTTTAACGACCCTGTGAAATTAAGTTTTTTGGATTCAGGAACATGATCAGAGAAGTCAAGTATATTTTCCTAAAACCCTGAAATTGTTTTATCTTTTTATTCTGCTAAGTTCCTCTATAACTTCTTTTCGTTTTAGTTTCCTCATCTTTTCTTTTTCAAGATACTATTAAGCTATAAAAATATAAATTTTAATCAAAATATTTTTCTTTTAAAAATCAAGATTTTAAAGACTGCTTTTTATAGTGAGGAGCTACATAATGTCTATAGCATTCTAAAGGACTTTGTGCCATAAATATATCCAAATACAAGGCTTTTTTTTTCATTTGAGAAGTTCTATTTTAAGACCTTGATTTTTAAAATTTTAATTTCATAACTTTGCATGTATGAATTAGACTGTTTTTATTGTCTGCATTTTAAATTGTCATACATCATGTTCAGTCAAAATAAATTACTTTGTCTTAATTATGTAAGCCTGCCTATGTGAATTTATATTGTCATTGGATACCTTCCTTAGTACTTACAGATTGAAGATTATTACTAAATTGTTTTAAAAATGATATTAAAGATGTGCACTTAAGGTACTACCAGAGTTTAGATGAATTATTTAGTACTAGAAAACATGATTTGGGAAAATAATGTATAATATAGTAAGTGTAACAAATATATAGAAAATCTGAAACTTTCTACATGGAAGTGGGAGAAATGGTCTAAAAATATTTAGAGATTTCAGTTTCATTTCTTTAAATTATTTGCAAACTGTAATACATATTTACTGTCATTTTAATTCATTATTATAAATTATGTGATACAGACCTTAAATACAAAGGTTTTTATTTGCTTTCTTAATTTATTAAAATAATTGCTTTACTAGAATGTATCTAATATTGTTCTTTCTTTAAATATTGACTAGAATGCTTTTCTGGTTGGAATTTCTCTTACCAAATTAATACAATGGTTAGCAGACAAGTTTTTAGATTAATATAACTGTCATTATAAAGATTTAAATGAATAACAAAGCTATTTCTGCTATTAATGGACACAAGAATTTTTTTTACCCTAATTCCATCTGAATTTATTTTTATTTTTGATAAAGACAAAATGACACACTAGTAGAGACCTAGATTGTATTCCCACTTTCTCTTAATGACCTGTATGACCTTGGGCAAATACCATGCACGCAGACTGAGTTTCTTCATCTGTACAGTGAGAATCATTCTGATACTTGTCCCAGCTACATTATTCGTTGTTGTGAAGATGAAGAGGTTGTACCTAAAAAAAAATTTGGTTAGAATAAGTGAGTAAAGAAAAATGAAGAAACTATGAAGTTAGACTTATAATGTCTCTAGTGTGTTTGTGACTCTTAATAGACGTATTGGACTGATTTTTTTTTAAGCAGTTACTTTTAAGATAGTTCTCTTGATAAAGTTTTCATGTTCTCATACCTCAGCATTGTGTCCTCATTTGTTGCCTGGTTGCTTTGAGTGACACTGCTTATATACTATAAATGTGTTTATACTCTATCAATGAAGCATAATAGCCTTATAGTAGTTAAGAACCAAATAATGTTTATAACTTCATGACTGTTAGCTTTATAACTGTGCTGCAGATTGTTTAAAGAGCATGTTTAAGTTGATGAGTTAAGTTGATGAGTGTGCTTTTTTTGAAATTAGAAATTCTTATAGCCCACATTTTACTCTAATTTGATTGTGTATCAGCTGCTGTTTGCAAAGTAGATTCATTTATCAAGGGAGAAAGTGAAAATAAAGGTTAGTAGAGTGATCCAATTTCTTATTCTTAAAGAGGAGAGTTCCTTGATTATTAAAGTGACTCCATTGCATTTAACTGCTAGAAAAATTTAATTACAGTTCAAACATTTTCAAGGTGGGGTAGTTCATTCATGAGAAGGGTTGATAATGCTTAAAATGATATTTAAAAAGAAGTCACTGAATTATTTCCACATAACATAATCTTAAACACACTTTACATTAAATAAATAGCATTATTAACATTTTAGAACTGATTATGTAAAGCATATGATATAGCAAAACTAGAATTAACATGTATTTCTAATTTAAAGGGCACCTTAAGTTTTGAGCCAGTTATTTGATTTCAGAACTATTTATTCTTCAGGAATTTAAATTTTGGCTTCTATTTCCCAAGATTGAAATGGGAGGAAAGTTTGTTAAAACTAAAACTTTTTATCTTGGACTGAGTGGGAAAGGATAGATTGTCTCTTAAATTCCTACTGGTAAGACTTTCTAGCAAGAAAAGGCAAGTATGATAAGTATTTTCGAATCTTGTAAATTTATATACATACTCACCTATTTTGAAAAAGCAGTATTTTATATACTTTGAAGATATTCTTCATAGGGCTGGGCACAGTGGCCCATACCTATAATCCCAGCACTTTGGGAGGTGGAGGTGGGCCTGAGCCCTGGAGTTCAAAACCAGCCTGGGCAACATGGTGAAACTCCATCTCTACAAAAAAATACAAAAACTAGTCAGGCGTGGAGGTGTGCACCTGTGGTCCCAGCTACTCAGGAGGCTGAAGTGGGAGGATCACCTGAGTCCCAGGAGGTTGAGGCTGCAGTGAGCCACGATCGTGCCAGTGCACTCCAACCTTGGTAACAGAGCAAGATCCTATCTTTAAAAAAAAAAAAAAAAAAGATACCTTTCATAGACAATGGCTTTTTATTTTATTAACAGACAATGGGAAAACTAGCTCAGATATTGGCTAGCTTATAGTTTGTTTTGTAGTGTTTGGAAATTAGCTCCTTTCTGAATACATGTTAACATCCTGATGTTGGTATAGAAACGAGGTTTGTTGTTTGTTTCTAAACGGAAAAATTAATGTGATTTTAGAAGCCATTATTTCTTATCCATTCTGATCTTGTTGTGGATATAGGAATACTATTAAGAAATTTTAACTTTCTTTCAGAATTATATTTTTTGTTGCTAAAAACTTTTTTTTTTCTGTGAAAGGATCATATACTGGATAACATACAAAGAAGACTGTATTCTAAATAATGAACTTGTAAGCATCCTGGAAACTTGTACAGTAGGGCTATTATAAGGACTAATGCAGGCAGCAGGAAATATTCTTACTATGTTTAGTCAGCAGCTCTTTGAAATTTTTCTCTTTCACAGTGAATTAAAATGGATTGACATATGTTCATGTGGACTAATTTTAAAAATTAAGCCATACCTGTGGCTGGCTGAATGTTAAACAGCTTAAACATATATATATTTTTAGTTTTATTACTCTACCAAGAAGTTAATTAAGTTTTAGGAAGTCATCAAAAAGAAAAAGTCTCAAAAGGTTAAATTACCCAGTAATTTTGCCCTTAACTGTATGTTGAAGAAAATGAAAACAGGTGTCCACACAAAAAGTTGTATATGAATGCTCATAGCAGCATTATTCATCATAGGCAAAAAAAAAAAAAAAAATGCAGATGTCCACCTGATGACTAGATTAGCAAACTGTATATATCATGCAATGGAATATTATTCATCAAAAGAAATGAAGTGATACATGCTATAACATGAATGAACCTTGAAAACATGTAGAGTGAAAGAAGCCAGTCACAAAGAACCATATATTCTATGATTCCATTTATAGGAAATGCCTAGCATAGGTAGACCTATAGAGACAGAAAGTAGATTAGTGGTTGCCTTGGGCTGGATGCAGACAGTGACTACTAAAGGGTATGTTCCTACTTCTTAGGGTGATAAAAATATTTGAAATTGATTATTTTGATAGTTGTACAACTCTGAATATCCATAAAACCATTGAATTGTACACTTTAAATGAGTGATTTGTATGGTATATGAATTATATCTCAATAAAGCTGTTACCAAAAAAATAAGGGGAGATATTCTCAGCTTCTGTCTCACATAAATTTCACATACATTGCCTTAGAGTTGTATGTTTTTACAGTAGTTATTGTATCATAACCACTGTAAAAAATGTTATCCAACGTCTTTATATAAAATTATACAGAATTACTGAAGGCATTTTATGATTTATTGACTTTTGACCATCACCATCCCCCCTTGTTTCCTACGTAGGGCCAAACAGCCTTTGATGTAGCAGATGAAGACATTTTAGGATATTTAGAAGAGTTGCAAAAGAAACAAAATCTGGTATGTTTGATGACTAATAATTGCCTATATTACTTACCTTAATAATTTTGAATTTGAGACAATTACAAAAGTATTCTTGTGATGTTTTGTACTTTTTGGTTTTAAGTTATCCTTAAGTTTCACTAAATGATAGTGAAAGAGAATAAAGGATGGTGATATTTAGCCTTTTGTGTTGCTTATCCCCATTTCTATTTCCTCCCCTTCTCAAAATGAATACTCATATATGTCCTCAAGAATAACGTTTTTATAATTTCATTAGAGTGTTTTACTTAAAAGATGGAATCTATAAAATCTCATATATCCAATAGCAGGTCCTAGATAAGCAAGGAGTTATATCACTAGAAAACAGTTTTTTTTTTTTTTTGGAGATGGGGTCTCACTCTGTCCCAGGCTAGAGTACAGTGGCGCGATCTCAACTCACTGCAGCCTCCACCTCCTGGGTCTGAGCCATTCTCCTGCCTCAGCCTCCTGAGTAGCTCGGACTACAGGTACACGCCACCATGCCTGGCTAATTTTTTGTGTTTTAGTAGAGATGGGGTTTCACCATGTTGCCCAGGCTGGTCTTGAACTCCTGAGCTCAGGCAGTCCTCCCGCCTTGGCCTCCCAAAGTGCTAGGATTACAGGTGTGAGCCACTGCGCCCAGCCAGAAACAGTTCTTTAAGTAAAATATCCTCAGCCAGCCTAAGTGGTTAGTGGATCTCGACTTTTTCAGTAAAGTTGGAGGGATGTAAAAAATCCATCTTAGCCCTGCATGGAGCTTTTTAATTGTCTAGTCTATTTCATTCTTTATTCAAGCTCTTTCCTTTTCAGGTAAAACTTAATTTATTTATTTCTTTGTTTTGTCTTATTTAATGTCTGAAAAACTACTTTGTTATTATTTTAAACTCTGCATCTTAGTAATAGTATCTTAATAGTTTTCTTATTTTCCTTTGCATAACTTTGTACAAAGCTCCATAGTGAAAAACGGGACAAGAAATCTCCACTAATTGAATCAACAGCAAATATGGACAATAATCAGTCACAGAAGACCTTTAAAAAGTGAGTAAAATATTCAAGTACATTTGTTATTTTTGTTAATGAGTTGGCATAGTGGCCACAGGCATGATTATTGTGGATCTGGGAAGAATGAATATATTTTAACCTTTTGTATTTCTAATCATTTGAACACTGTTTTCCTTTAACAGCAAAGAGACGTTGATTATTGAACCAGAGAAAAATGCATCCCGTATTGAATCTCTGGAACAAGAAAAGGTTGATGAAGAAGAAGAAGGAAAGAAGGATGAGTCTAGCTGCTCTAGTGAAGAAGATGAGGAAGATGACTCGGAATCAGAAGCTGAAACAGGTAAAATTAAAAGATAAATGCATTTTCGTTGAATTTTGTGGCAGTGTAAAATAAGACAAGATGAGACGTAATTTTTAAATTTTTCAGACTGATTTGCTACTTGTTTAGATACCTGCCACACTACTAAATTATCTTTCAGTGAATGCTAGAAACTTACATATAGTTGTGAATTTATTATTATTTAATTATCTGGAGGCTGTTGTTCACCTCTGCATTTTGCCGACCTATATTTAAAGAAGTTGCAGAGGCTTCTAAGACTCCTTAGGTACAGATAGGTTGTGAGTGGGTTCTCAGCAATTGAGAAATGCTCCTGTTCCTTCTGAGGTCCAAACGTCCAGGATGCCGGTCCCAACAGCATCCCAAATTTTCCCTAAGAAATAGTAAAGTAGGAATGGAGTAAAAACTCTTTCCTGTGAGGGTGTGGGGGAATTTGCTTTGTTTTGAGAAATTTTAAAGATACAGAAAAGTATAATAAACAAACATTCATATTCCAACAACCTCGACTTAAGACTTTAACTACTGTGACATTTAATCATATTTACTTCAATTTCTTAAATGAAGTTAAAACATTATAGATGTCTTTTTTGGTCACCCACCCTAGTCTGCTTCCCTTTCCTTCCTTCAAAGGCAATCACTGTCATGAGTTTTTTTCTGTAATCTTCTAGTTCATTTTTATAGTCTTACATATGTGTATTCATATGTAACATATAACAATTATAATATTGTTTTGTGTTTTTTTCATATGGTAGGAATTGTTATACATCTTTTTTCACTCAAAAGTTATGTTTTTTATATTTGTCCATAAATCTATTTCTATAACTTGATCTGCATTTTTTTTTTTTAGCTATTGTATAGTATTCTATTAAATATGTCTGTTTCCATTCTGATGAACATTTACCTTATTCTCAAACTCCTGGGTTCAAGTGATCCTCCTCAGCTTCTCCAGTAGCTGGGACAACAAGCACATGTTACCATGCACATCTAATTTTATTTTTGTTTTTTGTAGGGTTAACTATTTTGCTGAGGCTAGTCTTGAACTCCTGTCCTCAAGCAATTCTCCCACCTCAGCCTCCCAAAGTGCTGGGATTACAGGCATGAGCCATTGTGCTCAACCTATAGCCTAAAGTTATTTTTATGCAGTTAATCTCCTCCCTGGGAGACATTACTTAGCTCTCAGTCTGTAGTCAAGTATATCATTACAAATTAAACTATGTGCACAAGAGAGCCAAGACTTGCACCCAGATCTCCTAACTTGTATTTTAAGTCTTTTACTACTTATGTAGTATAATTCAAGAACTAGAAGTCCAGGCATCTCTTTCAAAGATTTCTAGGTTTTTGTTCACTAAATTTTTTCTTCATTAGCCCTTGTTTGTATACAAGTCACTGTTCAATGTTAGACACCAAGGAACTATTTAAAACAAACAAGAGACCTTAGGCCAGTTTTACCACTAACCAGCAAATCTTCTGCTATCTTTTGGTTGAATTTCCTTGATTATAAAATGAGAAAAATCGGGCTATATGACCTGGATGGTTCTTAAAACTCTAGTATTCTATTAAATATAACTAATTACCATCAAATTGCATTGTATTTGTTCCCGGTTTGGAATTGAAACGTACTAATTGCTCTCTACTCAGTTTCTCACTGAGCTAACTTTAAATGTTCCTTTGAAGCATTGTACTATGATAATTTTGTTCTTCCTGTTGCTAGTGGCAGTTGTGCCAGGAAAATTTGACTCTGTCTCAAGAATTAACCCATTGTAAACGCTGTGTGGTTCCTTTCCTCTCACTCTCTTAATATCAGCTAGGCTTTATCATACTTTATTTGGAAAGCTTGAGAAAGCAGCCATTTCCCTGTAGAGCTACAGCTTAATTTGACAATTTGTAAACCATTTGTTCTTTCTACTTTTTGTAAGGTTATTTCCTTGGGAAACTATTTGACATAAAATAACTATTTTGCTGAATTTTGTAAAATAAATTATTTGCCAAAACAGTTTTTCTTCAGTGTTCTTTCTCTTCTCATAAAGCAGATAAAAATGAGAGTGCAACCATAAGTTTTAGTTACCTTTCAAACAATTTACAAATGTGAAAGTTAGTTGAGAAAATGAGAAAGAAGAGTACATTTTTGCTTTTAGGGTTCTTTCTTCTAGGACTTTTTTGTTCTTTGTTGAAATCAAATGGATAGAAAGACTACAGCAATATTAATAACATTTACAAAGTAAGTTGGATGGTGGGGCTGGGTGCTGTGGATCATGCTAGTAATCTCAGTAGTTTGGGAGTCCAAGTCTGGAGGATTGCTTAAGCTCACGAGTTCAAGACCAGCCTGGGCAACATGGGGAAGCCCTGTCTTTACAAAAAAAACACAACAATTAGTAGGTGTGGTAGCGCACACCTGTAGTCCCAGCTACTCAAGAGGCTGAGGTGGGAAGATCGCTTGAGCCTGGGTAACAGGCTTCAGTGAGCCAAGATCATGCCACTGTACCCCAACCTGGGCAACAGAACAAGACCCTGTCTCAAAGTAAATAAATAAGTTGGATGGTGGTACATGGGGTTTATCTTATTTGTTATTTATATCTCCTACTAGACTGCAAGTGAAGGTATTTTGTCTTTTCATTGGCTGATATATCCCTAGTACCTAGGGCACTACTTGAAGAATGGGGACACTTATTATTTGTTGATTGATTCTCTACACAGTTAGGTGGATTATTTTCCAAGAAGATGATATTGTGCCCATTTAACTTTAGACTTTTTAGGAGTGGGAAAACATGCTCTTTGGGACATTTAACCATACTGTTTGACAGGAATGTAAGGTAATTATTGACAAAAGCACTTTTAGATTTCCTTGATTAAAGAGGAACCATCAGTTTTAGATCAGTAATAATAGTTGTTTATCCATTAGAAAATTGCATAGCTACTGTTAAGGTTTTAGTTACATTGCATTCATGCATTCAAGTTTTAAATCTTAAATTTCTTTTTATTTTCTTCATTTTAAAAGTACAGAAGTCAGATTCTATTTGTGCATTTTATTGTCAGAAGCTTTGTTGTGTATCTTTATTATCTTAACTATTTATTTCAGCATATATATAGAGACAAGTCTAGAAGCTCCCTGAAAAACTGACTTGCGAAAAGGAATCACAGTGGGGAAAGACTTTTAGTTAACAAAACCTTAAACAAAAATGGAATATAAAATGATTTTTTCCCAGCCATTGAGACCAAATATATATGGAATCTTGACTCTTAATTGTTTGTCTTTAATAGATAAGACAAAACCCCTGGCTTCTGTAACTAATGCCAACACTTCTAGTACACAAGCAGCTCCTGTAGCTGTTACAACACCTACTGTGTCATCAGGTCAAGCAACACCTACATCACCTATTAAAAAGGTAAGCCAAAATTGTATTTGCTGAAAATACATGTATTCTATTTATGTACCACTTGGACTAACTCATTAAAGTAATTCTGAATTTTTATAGTCTGTTCCAAAAATATGTAAGATTTCAGAATATAAATATGTATTTATGTTTCTCAGTTGAATGAGATTTCTTCTGAATCATGTTTTTTTATCCTTTTTGCAATTGATATTACTGTTGATATTACAGTTGGTAGTTAACAAATATTACATACAGTTGATAGTTAATAAATGGCAGAAAGATAAAAATTTTTGTAATATTAAAATCAGTGATTGTATTAGTTTTTTTTTTCTATTGAACTTTTATTTTGAGAAGCTCAGGTTTTATATCCTTTATCTCTATTAAGTAGAGGTGTGCATGTTGATAATTTCACACACGGGTAAATTACAAATACTACTACCACAAGTCAATGAGAGAACTAAAATCTAAATTTTTTAAACTCATAGTACAAAGCACTAGGCAGGCAACTTTGGTATGTCAGTAGGAGCATGATCTCTGAGGTCAGATAAACCAGAGATGAGCTCCTGACTCTACCTTATTAGTTGTTATGACCTTGAGCAAGTTACTTACTATCTTCCTTTTGTATAACAAAATAAAGAGAAATACAGTTAATATTGTAAGGATTGGTTGAGATAGCCTGGCCAGTAAACTGAGTGTGTTTTCAAAATGTTAGTTTCATTTCTTTCTCTTCTTTCTGTTCTCTGTCTGTTCTCCATCCCTCTCATCTCTTCTCTCCACCGAAGCAGTGTTTTCCAGTTAGTGTGTTAATCTTTTTAAGACTTTACGTTTTCCTGCTTCTCTGGAACCTATCTTTCTTTTAACCCAAATTAACGATTAAGAGTTTTTGTTTGTTTATGTTTGACCTACTAGTCTCTTTTCAAAGATTTCTCTTCACCCGTCCTTTTTTTTATCTTTTTTTATCATTTCCCTCTCTGTCCACACATACCTTTTTTTTTAACCAAACCCTTGAAAAATTGATTGCAGTAATCATAACACTTCATGCCTAAATATGTCAGTATGTATCTCCTAGTACAAGGCTATTCTTCATTCTCAAAATAATCACACTTAGGAAATTTAACTTTGGTATAATACTATTATGTTATTAATAACTAATATACCCAGATTTTCCCAATTGTCCTTTGAGTATTTCTGTTTGTTTTTTAAAATCAGGGGTCCACTTGGATTGTACATTGTGTTTAGTTGCCTTTGAACTTCTTATTTTGTTGCTCGTTTGACATTATGTGCATGAGTTTAAGGACTGATTGGTTTTTAAATCCTCACAGCATTTCTGTTGTGTTGTCAGTCTTGCCAATATTTGGATTTGGCTTTAGGTGGTCAAAATATAGATCTTTTTGAAATCATAAACTGCAGAATAAAAAAAAAAATCCCTGCTGTTAGTAATAATCCTTCTCTCAAACTTCCCAAGGAAGGCAGTAATGTAAATTATTAGTGGTAGAAACGTGTTGGTTTCATTGGTACATAGTTTGAATATTGAGAAACTATGAATGACTTATCTTACCTTATATATTCCAAAACTGAGGGCTTCTTGAATTCAGTTAGAACTCATGTTCATATGATAATAATTATGTATGCTTCAGTTAAGAAATTCTCTAAAAGCAGTTTGTCTGCAAAATTTTGAAGACTGTTAATCATCCTATAACTAGCGTCACTATAAACTGCTTTAATTAAAGTTTATTTTACTTCTAAGACCCCCATGTACTTCTTCAGTGAATACTAAATTCATTCCTGCATCTTTTGATCTGTTTAGACTATAATGTTATCAGAAATTCCATCTCCCTGGAATACCTAGGCAAGAAACTGGCTATCTTTTTTTTTTTTTTTCTTTTTGAGGCAGTCTTGCTCTGTCACCCAGGCTGGAGTGCAATGGCACGATCTTGGCTCATTGCAACATCTGCCTCCCGGGTTTAAGCGATTCTCCTGTCTCAGCCTACTGAGTAACAGGGATCACAGGCACCTCCACCACACCTGACTAATTATATTTTTAGTAGAGATGGGTTTTCACCATGTTAGGGTATTCTCGAACTCCTGACCTTGTGATCCGCCCACCCAAAGTACTGGGGTTACAGGCGTGAGCCACTGCACCCAGCACTGGCTCTCTATCTTTTGGGTATTTGGCTAAGTAATCCCTTTCCTACTACAGTCAAATGATTACGGTAAACTTCCTGTGTTCAATTTTCTTTTTCTTTTTCTCACATATAGCCAACATTTATGGCAATGTAGTTCTCAATTTATACCTAATGCCCTAACTGAAAAGAAATACTTTATAACCTCTGTTAGTATAGTGGGCCAGTAATCTCTTTGCTGTAAAAGTTCTTATTCAAAATCACTCTTGATTCTGTAATTAAGCTAATATAATAACATCTGCTTCTAAATTTGCATATTTAGAAACTATTTTATTCTCAGTTTCAAGCACCATAACTTACTTTGAAGATTATATTGTTTCTTTGTTCTTAAAGTTTTGTAACCAAATTTTATTCAAAACGATCATGTGTAAAAATTTTGAATTTTTTTTTTTTTTTTTTTTTTTTTTGAGACAGAGTTTCACTCTTGTCACCCAGGCTGGGGTGCAGTGGCGCAATCTCGGCTCACTGCAACCTCCACCTCCCAGATTCAAGTGATTCTCCTGCCTCAGCCTCCCGAGTAGCTGAATTACAGACACCTGCCACCACACCCAGCTAATTTTTGTATTTTTAGTAGAGACGGGGTTTCATCATGTTGGCTGGGTTGGTCTCAAACTCCTGACCTCAGGTGATCCACCCGTCTCGGCCTTGCAAAGTGCTAGGATTACAGGCATGAGCCACCGTGCCTGGCCTGAAATTTTTTTTTTAATGAAGAGGGGGAGTCCTTTTTTTTTTTTTTTTTTTTTTTTGAGATGGAGTCTTGCTCTGTTGCCCAGGCTGGAGTGCAGTAGCACGATCTCGGCTCACTGCAAGCTCCGCCTCCCAAGTTCACGCCATTCTCCTGCCTCAGCCTCCCAAGTAGCCGGGACTACAGGCATCCACCACCACACCTGGCTAATTTTTTGTATTTTTAGTAGAGACGGGGTTTCACCGTGTTAGCCAGGATGGTCTCGATCTCCTGACCTCGTGATCCACCCGCCTCAGCCTTCCAAGGTGCTGGGATTACAGGCGTGAGCCACCATGCCCAGCCGAAGAGGGAGTCTTCTTATCAATACTGTATGACTTTTAAAACCTGTTATTTTCAGTGATTCTTATACTCCTGTATCTAATTTAGCATATTAGTATTTTTTAAAATTTTTTCAAGTTTATCTGTAACTTTAGTGACCTAACATTAAATTTCCTTAAACAGGTTGTTAATTTCTAATTGCATCTTAAAAGGTTTTGCAATTATCTGTTTTTAGGTTCCCAGTCATGACTCCACTTCTAATATTTAGATAAAGTTATCAAGTTCTCCAGCTTCCTACCCCAGTACATAAACTATGTATGTGTGCACTTGTGTTCATGGCAAGACAGATCACAAAAATGGAAGCACACGAAACAGTTTTACATGCTTATTTTCTTTTAATAACTTGGGGTAACTATGGTGAAAGATAGATGTGTTTACTTTAATTCCTTAACCCTTCCGCTGAAATTAAAGAACTGTTTCTGTAGCAATATCAAGCTGATGATTTGTGGAGATGTTATCTATAAAACCATCAGTTTGATTTTGTGCTTAAAATTGTTAACTAACAAGTTTATATAAGCCTCTCTGGTCAAAATAAATTTTGTTGGGATCTCTAAAGCAGATTATCTATTCTTCTATATGGGTGTACATTCCAATAAAATGTAAATGGCATTTTCTTTACTTGATGGTAAAAATTCAGAATTTTTATGGAATTAAGTGTTCTGGTTAATTGAATTCAATGTAATAGCTAATAATTTAACAAAAGACTGCTATGTGCTGTGGGTATATAAAGTAGTCCAATCGAAACGTACAGATGTAGCATGATTTAAAAGGAGAAGAAATTATATTTGACTTAAGGTAGTAGAATCAGGACATTTTAGATAAATCTTAAAGTAGGTAGTACTCCACCTGAGAGAAGAAGGGCTTGTAAACCTTGTTGAAAGGGAGAGAAGAAAAACAATATGAGCAAGTGGGGATAATATGGAATACTTTCGCAGGAAAAATGAATTGTTCCATTTGATTGATTTATAGGGTGCATATATACAAAGTAAACAGGAAAAGTAGAGCTATATTGCAGGATGTCTTCAACTGTAGGATAACACTTTTATAATTTATTTGATAAGTAGTAGTCGTGGAAGATGTTTGAACAATGCCATGAGAGGATTATTCTTTATAGAATATTATTCTGACAGCAGTGTACAGATTTGAAGATGAGAGGCTTATTGAGAAAAGGTTTATTAGAAAGTCATTGAAGTTGCCCACAATGATAAGAATATGAACTAGAGAAGTGACTCTGGGCTTATAAAGGAGAGGAGATTTAGAGACTTGACCTCTAATTTATGGATGGAGGAAAATGACAGAGAAGGTCTAACATAATTGTGAAGTTTGAAACATAGGAGATTGAAGAGATATACTTAGTGCCATTAACAGAATTAGGGAACTGAAGAAGAGATGGTTTGGAAGTAAAGGTGTTTTATTTTAGACATACTGAGTTTCAAGTTTTCAGTTATAGTTCTAGATTGTCCACTCTAGAATAGTGTGGTAGAATTTTACCTAGAATAGACAGGTAAAATTAGGACTGGAAATTTAGGAGACTGGACTGGAGAATAACACATTTGAGAATAAGCTGACTACAATTAATATTTAGCCTGAGGAAGTAAAGACCCTCCTCCTAACCCCCCAGGAGAAGAAAGTAGAAAGAGAATATGAGAGATCCAAGAGCAGGCTCTGGAAGGGCTAGCACAAGGAAAGTTGTACACACACACACACACAAACACACACAGCCTGTATAAGGAACGTTACACACACACACACACACACACACACACACGCACACACAGAGTCAGTCAAGAAAAGGAATGGTCAGAGTAAAAAGAAAAAGAAGGTGAAGATAGTGTCCAGTAAAAAAAGCCAAAGAAGAGAGTTTAATGGAGGAGGAGGTATAGTTAAGTATTTCAGGAAGGGTTTATTTATATATCAAGTAAAATTAAAAGGTGCTTTTAGACATATAAAGCAGTACTTAAATCCAAGTTCATGTTGGGCAGAGTGGAGGTATATCAGCCATTACAGTGTAACAAATGCCCATTTCAAAATTGATAGATAGTACTGCCTCGTTTTTCTCAACTCTAAAATAACAGTAATAGTAGTATTTCATTGGGTAATTATAAGGTTGAAACAGGATAACCCATGTGAAGCACTTAGCTGAGGGTCACACACTAGTAAATATTTGTTAAATGTTAGCTTCATTTATAACAATAAATGTTAGCTTCATTTATAACAATAAATGTTATCTGACTGACTGACTCTGGCTGTTTTATAATGGGGGAAAAAACGTTTGTTTCCAGGTTTTTTGTTTGTTTTTTTGTTTCTGTTTTTTGAGGAGGTGGGAGACCTAATGTGGGTGTTGGCAAACTATGGCTGGTGGGCCAAACCTAGCCCATTACCTGTTTTTGTATAGCAAACTGGTTGGAGAAAAAAAATAAAAAAAAGTCATTGTCCCTAAAGTTTTATTGGTTACAGCCACACTCAATCATTTGTGTATTAATATTATCTGTGTTCCACAAAGCCTAGCATTTACAGTGTAGCCCTGTAAACTCACCAATCAATAAGCAGCTGTCTCAGTACCTATCATATTGCACAGAATATTAGAGTTCGCAAACTTTCTTGGTCATTGGAGCCCCTAGTGTTTGGTAGGATTTTTTCACAGTGCCACTGGCAAAAGGAATTGCCTGTTTGTCTCATTAAGTAGTTTGATGGAAATGTGATCAAAATGGCAGTTTGTGCAGTGTCTATGAGATGTCACTGTGCTTCTCTCAAAACTTTAAAATATTCTACAGAGCCCCCGTGATTTTGTTGTGACACTCTGGAGCACTTTGGTGCACATTTTAGGAACTGAGGAATGCTTAGACACTATTGATAGCAATTCATTACTGGAAGTACCAGAGGTATATCTTTATAACAGTTTTGTCCATGAAGTGGCCCTCAAGCATCATCATGGGGGCTTTAACAAGCCCTGTTAACCTGCTAATTATAGCAAATGTTGGCAATAGATATGAAAGAAATGATTTTTAAAAAATTATTAATACCCTATGCTTGTGGCAACTAGTTAGTTGCTGTATTCACCAATCTATATAGTTAACTGTGGTTGAGTATAGAATTTCTAGAAGTGAAGTTGATGAAGTGATCTAAAGATAACAGAGGTTGCATTTTTAGGGTTGTTGGAAAGCCCTTAAAATAGCATAAATATTTGTACATAAAATTAGTTTTTATTATAGTTGAAATAGTTAATGTTTGGTGGGGAAATCAGTAAATTTAAGGCTGTGATGTTAAAAAAAAAAGTATTATA
The DNA here is from genome assembly GCF_000001405.40 of Homo sapiens. Lineage (NCBI taxonomy): Eukaryota > Metazoa > Chordata > Mammalia > Primates > Hominidae > Homo > Homo sapiens. The sequence continues at coordinate 79,810,876 of NC_000012.12, read as the reverse complement.
ATTGGAAAAATATCAGTTACTAGTTTTTGTTGATTATATTGGACACAAAATTTTTTAACCAGAGTATATACATGGATTAAAAACAAAATTCATGTGCAGTAGTTTGTTCAGTCACATGCTATATTATCTACTCTGTATGCCTTTTAATTGCTTTAGAAGTTTATTAGATTTTTTTCAGATTATCTCATGCTAAAATTAGAACTTGTTCCCAGTGACTTTTAAAGATTGGATCATTACCCAATTATTGGGGTTAATTATAAAATTATTTTCAAATGAAGAAAATATTTTTTGTTCATAACTTCCCTTTTCTGTTTTCATGCTTTCAATCTTTGTCTCTTTACCTGTCTTATTTTAATTGGCTTTAGTATGATTTCATTGCTCCTATCATGCCTGTGGTGGAATCAGTAGATCCTGCATCATGGAGGCAGGGCTTGCGCAAAACTGGCATTGTTCTTGTGCCCAGTAAGGGTGAAAAATCTATGGTGAGGCATTTCTATGTGCAAGAATTTATATTAGGTTACAACATAACAAGTTTAATATAAATTGGTTCCAAAGATGCATGGTTTTAAGTCCTTATGGTGTGCTCATTTCTGTTTTCTGTATTTGCATCATAATTTTTCTGTGTGATATAAAGTGTGTAGTGTGTTTTCTTAAGTCTAACCCCTAGGAAGGTAGTCTATTTCTTTAAAATTTTTAGATCTTTACATTTTTTACTAAGACATTAACCTATGTAGTAAAAGTGTTTTATCCTGAAACTGTAAACCATAATTTTAAATATATTATCTGTAAACTTATTGTTTCCAATTTAAGGACTGATCAGCTTTACAAATTCTTTTTTCTTTTCCTAAAAAATAAAATAAACACAGTTTCCAACCACAGCTACAAAAATTTCTCCCAAAGAAGAAGAGAGAAAAGATGAGTCTCCTGCAACTTGGAGGTTAGGACTTAGAAAGACGGGCAGCTATGGTGCACTTGCTGAAATCACAGCATCTAAAGAGGGTCAGAAAGAAAAAGATACTGCAGGTGTTACACGTTCAGCTTCAAGTCCCAGACTTTCCTCCTCTTTGGATAATAAAGAAAAGGTAATCTATTTCACAGTCTGGTTTCTATGAAAACTGTTATGATTTCTTTTCCAGGAACATCAAATCTGGTAGATTTTCTGCTAGTTATCTTTAGATCTAGGTATCAAGTTAATTAACCTTAATGAATTACATAAGACAAATGTAATTTATACAGAATTATAAATACTGGAAAGATCAGATGTATTTGCCTAAAACATAAATTATGGGACTATACTCCGTTAAAGGAATCTATTACCTTACTTGAGAATTTATAATAGAACTGTATTAAGGAGCAGGCTTATTTTGTTTATTATGATTCAAGAAACTTTCTGAAGTTTAAAAAACATAGGAACACATTTATTCTAGAATGTTAGTATACTCATAAGTTACATTTATTCAGTATCTGAAAAAAAATACCAGATTTTTCATCTACCATATTACAAGCAACTTTGTCTTAATGAGTAAATTTAATAACTATTTTGAGAGGTGGTATTAATACTGCATTATATAGGATGTACCACAGTTTATTCAATACTAGTATTTATTTCTACAGCATATTCAGTGCTTGAACTATTTTTTTTGCCCATACAGTTTTCTTTCTATACTTAGAAATGTTTCCTTATATCAGAAATTCAGATGAAATTTCTCATCAAGTAATTCTAATATTTTTGCTTTTTTATCAGTTTACTGTGCAGTTGGTTTCCAGGTATTTTATGCCAGCTTACTAGGAATGTATCAGAGTGTCATTGTCACTACACACTCTTAGCCATATTTGGATAAATATAATTTAAATAATATTTGTTTTGACTATTTTGATGTATTTGAGAGCATTGATTATCAAGGTTCTAAATAGCTTATATAATATAAATGCTTGAGACCTCTCAGTGAACAATATTTGAAAGTTTATTTCTCTGGAAGAAATAAAGATATTTCAGCTTATGACACAGTATTAATCTGTTAGAGAAGTTTTAGAAAAAGTCATTAAAATCTGGAGAAATTTTTTTCCTTTCTTAGTAAAATATTATCTGATTCCAGGCTAAAAGAGAAAGAAAACTAATTTGAACAGGCTGATTATTGATTGACATTAATTTTAGAGTTCAGCTAGGAATTGTTGAAATACTGTAAACTATGATAGCTATGTAATTATAATTATTGAATAACCTTTTCTTAATACTTTTAGCATTGCCTATAGTCAGTACCCAAATTAATTTTTACTTATTTTTTTCCCTGTTGTGTAGGAGAAAGATAGTAAAGGAACTAGGCTTGCATATGTTGCACCTACAATACCAAGACGACTAGCCAGTACATCTGACATTGAAGAGAAAGAAAACAGGTGAGTTTATTTTGATTTGCTTTATGCATTCACTATAAAATCTTTATTATCTAGCATTAGAGTTAATACATGAGCATTGTAATTATGTGCGGATATGTATTGTGGGAAGAGATGGAGGATATTCCTGAAGGAGAAAATACCAGGTACATAGTCCTGAGGAGGTGCAGGCTTGGTATGTTCATGAAATAATAGCAAAGAAGATGTGGCTGGAACAGAGTAAGGGGAAAGTGGGAGGAGATAAGGTCATGAACTAGTATGAGTTCTCTAAATATTTGGAACATTTAGGAAAGGGGAAAGAAGAAGGAAAGCCCTTACTTAATCATTTTAGTTTGTTTTAAATATTTTTGTTTAAATATTGTTTAAATATTTTAGTTTCTTCCTGTTTTTCAGCTTATAGAATTTTATTTTTTTAATTTAATTATTTTTATTTTTATTTTTATTTTTTTTGAGACAGAGTCTCGCTCTGTCACCCACGCTGGAGTGCAGTGGCGCAATCTCGGCTCACTGCAACCTCCACCTCTCAGGTTCAAGTAGTTCTCTGCCTCAGCCTCTCAAGTGGCTGGGATTACAGGCACCTGCCACCCTGCTCAGCTAATTTTTTTATTTTTAGTAGAGACAGGGTTTCACCATCTTGGCCAGGCTGGTCTTGAACTCTTGACCTTGTGATCCACCTGTCTCGGCCTCTCAAAGTGCTGGGTTACAGGTGTGAACCACTGCACCCGGCCAATAACTTTTTAATATACTTTTAATCATGTTATAATATCTAATTTTTTTATTTTTTTCCCCTAAGATCTCATAAGCAGTCTTCTATGTTAATATATATTTTTAATAAGCATTTTTTTTGTCGGCACATAACATACTATAAAGTAGATCTTCTGCGGTTAAAGTAAGCATCTCCCCTACTTTATATTTTGTGATCAAAAAGCATATTTCTATAAATATCTGAATTTTCCCCCATACTTAGGGGAAAAATTATACCTTAGGGTATATAATCTTAGTACTGAAATTACTTTATCTTCTTGATTAGTATTCCTAAGTGTCCTCCCAAAGGTTTTTACTAGTTTCAGCTTATACTAATATTTACTAGTGTACCGCTTTCTTAATCCTATTTTAAAATTATGTACCAGAATCTGAAGGGTGTTCTTTTAACAGAGATTCTTCAAGTTTGCGAACAAGTAGTTCATATACAAGGAGAAAATGGGAAGATGATCTTAAAAAAAATAGCTCAGTTAATGAAGGATCAACGTATCATAAAAGGTAATAATACTATTCTTAAGCGGTTTTTATGTATTCATTTATAAAAATATGAGGCAATTTGTTTGGAGCCCTCAGTTTAACATCATTTTAAACAAATATGTGTTTTTATTAAATACGAGTTTTTGTTGTTTAAAACTTACTCTAAACACAGGATATATATTTAAAGATAGGTGATAATTTGTTATGCCTATTATATAATTAAGCTTCAAATATTATGAAATGTTTTTTGGATTGTTACATATTTAAAAGGAACTCCTTTAGAAGGAACTCCTTGACTAGAACAACTTAAACAGGCCAGTGTCTTAATGGATCTAGTTGTCATTGTTGATCTGGAAAGATTTGGCTTGCCCTAGAACTCAGAGCTATGGAAATGCCTTCAGTTGGAATGTTGGTAGTATCATATTGAAGAGGAAAAAAAAGCCCTATAAACAATTTCTTTACTAAAAGCAACCAAAAAGAATAAGATGTGAACAAGTATCATGTAGGCATTGGTTACTTCCGAGGTATCTGACCCATTGCTGAAATAATTTCCTTCAAAAAAATGTCAACGTCTTGTTTTCCCTGGGTAATACAAAACCAAAGTGTGTTTTTCAGGCTCAGCCTGGCATGACCATATGGTGTGGAATAGTTTCAAAAATATGAAATATCAGATCATCTTTGTCTTGTTGAGAAAGTTGGGAGGAGGCACTAAAATGATACACTACCGAATTAAGTGAAATCTTCTAAACTCTAGCAAGTTGTAGATGCAACTCTTGGTGCTGGAGCTGGTGGTGTATTTAGGAACACAGTTTTTAAATTTTTTTTCTAGCCTTGTAATTTATATAATGTATAGACATTAACTATAGAATACACATACAAACACATCCTATATAGATATGACTCTTTTGTTTAGTTGCTCCTTTGGTAGAAGACAAGATGATTTGATTAGTTCTAGTGTTCCAAGCACCACATCAACACCAACAGTTACCTCTGCAGCTGGGCTTCAGAAAAGCCTGCTTTCCAGCACAAGCACTACTACAAAGATTACAACGGGTTCTTCCTCAGCAGGCACACAAAGCAGGTAAGTCACAGATACATTTTGTGCTCAGGTCTACTGTGTGCTTATGTATGTGCATGCGTTTTTGTTTAGAAGATTGTGGGGCTCTGGATTTTTTCATTTATCTTGTTAAATTTATTTGCAGACAAAAATTGGTTCCAAAATGAGGCAATTATGCATGTCTGGGGGAAATTTTAAGTTCCTGAACTATGAACTTTCCTTGAATTAGACTGCTTAAAATGTAAATTTCTCTCTTTGACAACTCTGGGTGAGCTTTTTGGTTCATAATTTAAGGATGTCTCACCTTGCGTTTTAAAAAAATCCATCCCTGTAGTCATGTGTTTTCAGCTGCTAGAAAGTGCTTTCATTGTTTAGCTGTTTTCCTTTTCTCTTTTTTGTGTTGCTGCTTATGATGCTATAGTACCTCAAATCGTTTGTGGGCTGAGGATAGTACTGAGAAAGAAAAGGACAGTGTTCCTACGGCAGTGACCATTCCTGTTGCTCCAACTGTTGTAAATGCTGCAGCTTCTACCACAACCCTGACTACAACTACTGCTGGCACTGTCTCCTCCACAACAGAGGTCAGGGAGAGACGCAGGTGTGTAAAGGTCATAACAGTACTGCTGATATATCTTGCCCAGTGATGAAAGTTGTTTTTTGTTTTAAAAAAGATCTTGTGAGGTTGATGGCCATCTCTCCAGTAGACTAATAAATGAAATACCCTGTCAGCTCAGAACTATGTAAATTTATACAACTAGCAATTATTTATATTTAGGCTTTGCGACTCACCTCTGACAGAATTAATGTTTTTTTGTTTAAAGTCAGTGAGCAAGACAGTTGTTTTCTTAAACATTTTAGTTTCTAAGGTGGTTTATTTCAAAAAAAATTTTTTGATGAAGAACTGAAAACACCACACACTTAGGGAAAATTAGATGCAACATGACAAAAACAGGTTTTATCATTCTTCTCATTGTTTCCTCCCATTATTAAGAAATTTGAAGGATGTTGAACTGTTTTGTTCCTGTTGATTTGGAGAATTTCTTCTCTTGGTAAGGAAAGACTTCTGTGCATAAGTGTAAGCCAAATAATTTTGAGTATGTTGAATACATTCATTTAATTTTATCTCTGATACATAGAAAGCACTTATTCAGATTTTTTCAAAGAGTCTGAATTTATTTTGTGTGCTTAAATATTTTTAAAAGATTGCTCACTTCTTTCTGTTGCTGCCTACTGGCATGGAATCATAGATGTACAAAGGAGCTTACTAACTATCTTTTGGGATTTCCTTGCTTTACCGAAGGAAACTGAGACCCAGAGATAATATGTGACTATTTTACTTTTGTATGCTTTATTGGTGTGAGGGCTGAGGCTAGCCCCAAGATTGCAGGAAAAGTAGTTCAGTTCTTTCTGCTATATTATGCATAGTCCCTAGCTTTTTTTTTCCTCTTGAAAAAAAATAAAACCTTAGGAAACCAAATGTGAGCTTTATTTTTATATTTTATTCTTGCAAAATTAAATGAACTATGTAACTAATTTTTTTTTTTACTAAAATACTGACCAGATTAACTTTGTTTTATTTCTGTCACGTAGTACTTACATACAGAGTTCTTTTTCTCTGTTGCCTACTGAAGTGCCTGGCCTGTAGTAGTAATGGCCTCACAGTAATATTTGTGTTTGAATATATGAAAAGTAATAAGTTAGTGTTAACTTTTTTTTCTATCATTGCATCTTTAGTTTTTGCCTATATTTAGGTTTTGTTTCTATTTCTATGGTGAAATTTAGTGGTACTTTTATAATGCCACTGCAAGTGGTTAGTATTTTGTGATTTGAGTACCAGTATAGGTCATATTATATTTTAATTATCTTCCCCTTTTTCCTATAAACTTAAGTCAGTTTTAGGTTGTTGTAGTGCTTCTCAGTAAGACCACAGAGCCAACAGAAATTAGTATCCATCATTTAATCAAACTTAAATAAGTTTGAGGGCTTTGCTTTTTTTGGTGGTGGGGTTGGGAGGGGTTATTGAAAGGAAGAAGGATCAGAAGTTCTTGGTTTCTTACTCCTTACTCTGCCTTGATTCTTAAGGTTAGAATTATCTTTGAGTCAGAAACTCTTCTGTTAAATGAGGTGTTTGATTTATATTATTTTTAACTTCTAGAATCTTTTCTATCTCTAGCATAGAGATTCAGTGCTTTTGAAAATTTCTCCAGTGACAAAACCTAATAAATGTCTCCCCAGAATCATCAGTTGTTTCAGAACAAATTATGATTCTTAACCCACAGATTGTTTATTCTGCTAAAGAGAATTGAGTTTTGACTTTTAGAATTAGTCCTAATTAGTTTTAATGGAAGACATTGAAGATTGAAAATTAAACGCTTGGATATATTTTTAAACAAACAGATTCTAATTGCATAAGAAAAAAATGTGGCAACATTTTTTCTCGTCTATATTATAGAGGTTTTTTGTTTGTCTTAACCTTGTTTCAATGATGTTTGCAGTGATATTGTTTGTGTTTTGTTCCATGTGAAATAATTGTTTGCAATCTTGAATACATTGTTGGCCTCTTCTCTTTGTCTTTTATTTAAATTTCGTCAGTGGTTCTGAAATGTATATGATTTAAAATTTGCCTAAAAAATGTATATATGTTGATTTGAGAATATACTGTGGCTAAAACAAAAAAAGTCAACACAGGTATACCCTTTGGGTTGCTCAGAAAATGGTAAGCATCTAAGGAATAAAATTATATACCCTATATAGTTCTAAGAAAGAGATGCAGTAGGTCAGTGTGATACAGCAATGATAAAGGCAACTATGGGGTTTGGTGGGTATATTCTACCATCTTTTAATGATCAGCTCTTTGCAATTAAAAGTACATAAAATATATAAATTATTTTTCTTCTCTATGTCGTATTCTTAGAGGTCTCCTCTAGATAGGTACCCCAAAGGAGGAGAAAGGAACTGAATATTAGGTGGTAATTATCAAATAAAGGAAATGTGTTTATATTACAAATTGATAAGCTATATTTTTATGCTAATTTGGGATGAATGTCATATGGAAAATTAAAATTATCTGCAGGTGCAGATTTTATGTATTTCAGTTAGTAACTTTTATCCCCCTAACCTTCATATGTGAAACCAGGTATGATAGATTTATTGACTTTCATGGCAATTTGAAACTATTGAAAAGGAATCCAGGCTCATAGGGAGAGAGTGTAGTGGTTGATAGTACTATTTGCCATGGTACTAAAAAAGAGCCAAGTGTCAATGCAAGTTTCTCTGTTATACACTAAATATGAAACATTTCACTGTAGTCAAATTTGACAGTAGTTCACGTTCATATTTAGTTTCAGAGCAGCTCATGAAATGCTAAAGTGATAGCATGCACCCTATCTGTCTTGCTATGAACTTTTTTTTTCCAAGACAGGATCTCTGTCACCCAGGCTGTAGTGTGGTGGTGTGATGATAGCTTCTGCAGCCATGACCTCCTGGGCTCAAGCGATCCTCTCACCTCAGCCTCCTGAGTAGCTAGGACTACAGGTGTGCCATCACACCCAGCTAATTTTTTAAATTTTTGTAGAGATGGAGTCTTGCTATGTTGCCTAGGCTGGTCTCAAACTCCTGGCCACAAGCAGTCTTCCCACCTTGACCTCCCAGCGTGCTGGAATACAGGCATGAGCAACTGTACCCAGCCTGCTATAAGCTTTGTTTAACCAGATTAACGATCACATTTAGGTTTCATCTCCTTTTATTTTTTCTTCTCTTCCTTTGGTAGAAGTCCAAAAAGTAATAACTTGCATAGGGCCAGTAGGTACATAAATTAAATGAATGAATGGAAAAAATAGCCATTGGACATTTTCCAGGCTGATGTTCTTAGGAGCACTTTTCTATATTTACTGAATATGCCACAAAATGGGTCAGGGGTGGAGGATTCTCTATTTAAATGGTCTTGGGAAGTACTGAGTTAAGCCAAGTTAATATAGGTTATATCTCTGATTGTATCACAGACCTTTCAATATTTTATTGTGATTTTCCTAGAGAAGGTTAGAATGTATAGCATTTCCCTAATTTATGCAATCATTTTCTATAACAAGCCCCTCTTATATCCCAGAATTAATGTTTCTTAAATTTTAATAACAAGATTATTAGTTATTCTCTTATTCCTTTTGAATTACTTGTCCCAGGAAACTCACTATAATAATTATAAAAACATAGTATCTGTTATATCTAAATAAAATTAAAGTCAAAGTATAATAGTGATGGAATTTTCATCTTAATATAAGTATGTTGGATGTCCCATTCAAGTAAAACTCCCTCTTGTAAATTTCTTGACTTAGCTACAAATGTAATTATGTGGAAACAGCAAGAAGAACCAGTTTTCTGAACTAATTTTAAGCAATAAGTAAGAGTTAATTGATGAAATTGAGGCAACTAAGATCTTGCGTGAGAAATTACCTGGTCATCTTAGGGTTAATTGTCTAAGGAGGTGAATGCTAAGAATAGTGTCATATATTCTAGTTTTAGAGAAACAGATTCCAAAAATTTCAGGGTTGTAGAAAGAAATATGATTTCCTTATATATATAAAAAGAATGAGGGCTCTCTAAAAGGAGTTTTGAAAAAATGGTAGATGATTCTAAGGATGTTTGAAGATACGCTATACTCGCTGAACTGAGAGCTTTAAAGGACACAGAGAAAAGGCATAAAACTGACAGTAAATTCAGAGGTTTGTTATGATTGTATGAATAGTGTTAGGCTAAAAAAATGAATTACAAATTGAGAAGAATGTTAAAGCTAACAAAAGAAAGAGGCTTTTTTTTTTTTTTTTTTTTTTTTTTTTTTTTTTTTTTTTGAGACAGAGTTTTGCTCTAGTTGCCCAGGCTGGAGTGCAATGGCGCAATCTCAGCTCACTGCAATCTCCACCTCCCAGGTTCAAGCAGTTCTCCTGCCTCAGCCTCCTGAGTAGCTAGGATTACAGGCATGCGCCACCACGCCCGGCTAATTTTGTATTTTTAATAGAGATGGGGTTTCTCCATGTTGGTCAGGCTGGTCTCAAACTCCTGACCTCAGGTGATCCGCCTGCCTCGGCCTCCCAAACTACTGGGATTACAGGCATGAGCCACCGCGCCCAGCCAAGAAAGAGCCTTTTTTAAAAGTAGCATTTGAGCTGGGCACAGTGGCTCATGCCTGTAATCCCAGCACTTTGGGAGGCTGAGGTGGGCGGATCACGAGGTCAGAAGATCAAGACCATCCTGGCTAACAGGGTGAAACCCCGTCTCTACTAAAAATACAAAAAATTAGCCAGGCGTGGTGGCAGACGCCTGTAGTCTCAACTACTCGGGAGGCTGAGGCAGGAGAATGGTGTGAACCCAGGAGGCAAAGCTTGCAGTGAGCCAAGATCGCGCCACTGCACTCTAGCCTGGGCGACAGAGCGAGACTCCGTTTCAAAAAAAAAAAAAAAAAAGTAGCATTTGAATAAAGAAAACTCACTAGATCATTGCCTGGGGTTTTGAGAGGGAGATACATGGAGTAAACTTAATAAATTTAAACAGCATAGAAGATAGAGATACAGTTGACCCTTGAACAATGCAAGGGTTAGGGGTGCTGACTCCCTGTGCAGTCAAAAATTTGCGTAAAACTTTTGAGTCCCCCTAATCTAAATTAATAGCCTACCATTGACTGCCAGCCTTACCAATAACATAAGCAGTTGATTAGCACATATATTGTATGTTACATATATTATGTACTGTATTCTTACTATAAAGCTAGCTAGAGAAAAGAATGTTATTAAGATAATCATAAGGAAGAAAATTGTATTTACTACTCATTAAGTGGAAGTGGGCCATCATAAAGGTCAGAATTCTCTTCGTCTTCACACTGAGGAGGAAGAGGAGGGATTGGTCTTGCTATCTCAGAGGTGGTGGAGGTGGAAGGAGGCAGAAGAGGCAGGCACACTTGGTGTAACTTTCATATAAGTGGACCTGCACAGTTCAAACTTGTGTTGTTCAGCAGTCAACTGTACTCTGGTTCTATAAGTGTTCTCTGAGAAATGTGAGCTAGGTGGTGTAATTTGATGAAGCGTTAATGATTGAACTTCCCAAGAAATATTGATTATCAGAGGAAAGTCTTTATGTTGTGTTGCAGGGCTCTGTCATATCTTTGCTTGTTTGACTCTTTAATTATTTAACTTTTTTTTTTGAGTCTCAATTCTGTCACCCACGCTGCGGGGTGGTACAATCTCAGCTCACTGCAGCCTTGATCTCCAGGCTCAGGTGATCCTCTCATCTCAGCCTCCCGAGTAACTGGGAGTACAGGCATGTGCCACATGCCTGGCTAATTTTTCTATTTTTTTGTAGCGACAGGTTTCCTCATGTTTCCCAGGCTGGGCTCGAATTCCTGGGCTCAAGCAATCAGCCTGCTTCAGCCTTCCAATGTGCTGGAATTACAGGCATGACCCACCACACCCAGCCCTACTTAACTTTTGACACAGATTACTTGCTATTGAAAAGGTGCATACCCCGTGACAAGAGGAAACATAGGCTTAAATTTATAAGAAGAAATTTAGTGAGGATAAATGCCAAGTCCTGTTCTTTATATCAGAAAATCAGTTACTTAGAAGTAACATGCTGATTTAAAAGCTGTTTATATATAAAAAAACACTGGAATTTTTTAGAGCACTCAAAAGTATGAACAATAATATGTTGTCTGACGTGTCATTAGTAAGAGCACACTGACAAGAATGCAGGGAGACCGGGCGCGGTGGCCCACGCCTTTAATCCCAACACCCTCTGAGGTCGAGACAGGCAGATCACTTGAGGTCAGGAGTTCGAGACCAGCCTGGCCAACATGGATGAAACCCCATCTCCACTAAAAATAAAAAAATTAGTCGGGCGTGGTGGTATGTGCAGGTAGTCCCAGCTACTCAGGAGGCTGAGGTGAGAGAATCACTTGAACCCGGGAGGCAGAGGTTACAGTGAGCTGAGATCGCGCCACTGCACTCCAGCCTGGGCGACAGAGCGAGACTTTGTCTCAAAAAAAAACAAAACAAACAAAAAAAAGATTTAGAAAGGAATTTGATACCTGTCTTCCAATATTTGAAAATACTGTAGGTAGAGAATAATTTAAAACCCCTTTTAGTAGGTCATTAAGTAAGATGCTTAGATTATCACTTTTGGGGGATGTTTTCAGGGCTGGAGAAGAGGACCTTCCTCAGTTAAAAACAGACAAAAAATTTACTCCTTATCCATTCTGCTTAATTGGGCTAAATGAAATCCTTCTATTTTTTTCAATAGAGCTAAAATTTTTAATCTTCAGTTCTCTAAATCCTTTTTAAAAATGTGGTTCCATCTTAAAATTAAATTACATTATTTTAAAAAATGTAGTTAGGAAGTTAAAATGTGATGTTAAAATATAATTATTAAAATATAACTAGTTCCAATCTAAAAAGAAATTATAAGATTGCATTATTGAATTTCAAAGACCATTTTCTGAAGACTTTTCCTTAAAACTTACTAAGATATTAAACCTGTATGTTTTATTCATATGCATTGATAGATATTTACATTCACAGGTATTGTATTTACAACTAACGATTTTTCAATTTACTACTGTAGATCATACCTCACTCCTGTTAGGGATGAAGAGTCTGAATCCCAAAGAAAAGCAAGATCTAGACAAGCAAGACAATCTAGAAGATCAACACAGGTATAGTTAATGTAATTAATATATAAAACTTACATAAGTAGCATATAAAATATATATACACACACTGACATAAAACAAGTTACCTTTCTCTTTTTCACTTTGTTGTGAAAATATTGATGTCAGTATATAGTGTGAGTAAATCCTTAAAAGGTAAAGGTTGCTGTAGTTATTCTAGTAATTCTAGTGTGAATAAATCCTTAAAAGGTAAAGGTTGCTCATAGCCTTTTGTATGGTTACACTGCTACTATTGTATTTCATCTAATTAGCATATGCCTTTGTGTCTTTTTGAGTATTTTTTAAATCCTTATTCCTAATACAGTGTCTGGCCCAGAGTATTTGGTTAGAATAAATTAATCATATGATGTCTAATAAGTATTTAAAAGTTCTATGAATATTTGGAAATCGGGGGCAGAGAATAGGCTCGTATATTAGGTATAAACAACTAATATGCAAGTATGAAGAAAATGTCATTCAGGCTGGCGATCTCCTTACCTCCGTTTTGCCATTCTGATTATGCTGTATATGATGTATACTTTTGTGTCTTTCTGCTTTCCCACAGTTAAGAAGCTCCACAGTCCAGATTCAGCTGTCTATCCTTACCATTACTTAGCTTTCAAGCTGAACTATTTGCTAGGGCCTTAATATACTTTTTCTGTCTTTATACTTTTCACTTCTTGAAATCTAACCTGTTCTTCAAGGTCAAATCTTGAAAAATTTATCGAAATCTCTTTTAAGCCTTAACAATCATCATGCATGTGTATATAGATACATATACACACATATATATACACACACACAGACATATATATAAACATAAATATTTATAATATACAAACAGTACAGATACTGGCTATTCTTCTCTAGTTTGAACTTGTGGGGAACATTTATATGCATAGAGTATCCAGTACCTATCGTTGTGCTTGCTAATGGTGATTCTTCATAGAATGAATGTAACTTGCTGTTTCCATTTGCAAACCAATTTTAAACATGCATATTTGACTTTTAATGCATTTGTATGTAATATATCTATTTCTAAAATATTCCTTGAAACAAGCTTTAATGCATCTCATAATTATATTGATCTTTTTGTGTGTGCAGGGAGTGACATTAACTGATCTTCAAGAAGCTGAGAAAACAATAGGAAGAAGTCGTTCTACCCGAACCAGAGAACAAGAAAATGAAGAAAAAGAAAAAGAGGAAAAAGAGAAACAAGATAAAGAGAAACAAGAAGAAAAGAAGGAGTCAGAAACATCTAGAGAAGATGAATATAAACAAAAGTACTCCAGAACGTATGATGAGGTAACAGTATATCAAAAGCACATTTAAGTCAAATGGTATGAATAGTCCTTATGATCCTTAACATACAAGAGATTTATATACCAACAAACCATATGCAAAATACTGTAAAGGATTTTAGCTGGAAATTTGAATTACTTTGGCGTGATTAGTATACTACTTTTTCTTTGAAATGAATTTTTAAGTATTTTTATGTTTTTAATTGTGTTTAATGTTTCAAATGGGTTTTGATCTTAATGTTTCACAGACTTACCAGCGTTATAGGCCAGTATCAACTTCAAGTTCAACCACTCCATCCTCTTCACTTTCTACTATGAGCAGTTCACTGTATGCTTCAAGTCAACTAAACAGGCCAAATAGTCTTGTAGGCATAACTTCTGCTTACTCCAGAGGAATAACAAAAGAAAATGAAAGAGGTAAGAATACCAAATTTTGAAAACACTTTGCTTTCTTCATATAATCCTTTGGATTAGGGTTTCCTAAATAATAATTCAACAGTAAAGGAACAGCATCCTAACTTGTGATTCATCGAACCTAAACAGAAAGAATATGAAGGTTGAGAATGAGAAAAGTAGAAAACAGAAATAGAATATGGCCTGCTGTTGATACTAATATTTTTATAACCTAATACTTCACAAAAATCTTCATGTCCACCTACAACGAAAAGTTAATATCGAACTGGTGGGTGACTATTTCTAGAAGCAGTTTACTAGTGTAGTACTTCTCAGATGCTTTAAGCTATTTCTTGCCTACTGTGTAGATCATATCATTTAAATGTTTTTTTGTGAAATTGTTGTAAACTAAAATTACTAACTACATGTAATGCTCTCACTAAAACACATTTTTATGCTTATTTCTTAAAAAATACATTTCTTTCTCAACTATATATTGGCATATTGATACTCATTACCATTTCCTATTATTTTATATAAACTTTCTATTTAAATTCTGAGTAATTCCTACTTTAAATCAGATATAAGTACTAAATATAGGCATTTCATATTTTAAAGCCTAAATCTTACAGTATTAGTCATGATAATATCAGTAGTAATGTAGAATAAACAGCAGAAAATAAAGTTTTTTCCCAATTTCCAGCTATATATTTTCTCATGTTGATCATTGAGATGTTTCAGTTCTTTAAACTTCTATGTGTGAGGCCTGCATTGTGTTTGTAAAAATGTTGAACCAACATTTAAAATTAGAGATACTCACTTCAAACTTCAGATTTTTGCCATTTCTTGAAAAGTTGGCTGACCTGGCAACACTGGATCTGAATTCTCACATACCAACAATTGGCTGGAGCTAAGTAGTAGCAGCTGCCTACCTTCCATCCCCCTAGATAGTCCCCTGGCCCATTTTACCCATTGTTTTTACAATTACCTTGCAAAATATTGTCAAGATATATTGCTATATTGTGGTTCATTGCAATCCTTAACAGAGGGAGAAAAAAGAGAAGAGGAGAAAGAAGGAGAAGATAAATCACAACCTAAATCAATCAGAGAACGACGACGACCAAGAGAGAAAAGAAGATCTACAGGAGTTTCATTTTGGACACAAGATGTGAGAACCTATTAAAATACATTATTTGATAGTATTCTTGATAGTATTCTTAATGTGTCCAAAAATACATACTAATAATTTCTTATATGCCTTAGATTTCATATTCCTTAAATCATCACTGTGTTTTCTGAGTTGTTAAATAAGAAAAATTATTTTTAAGGATAGTTAACTACTTAGATTGTTGGTACTACTTAAAAGGAGTGGTTCTGACCTAATTATGGAATAGAAATAATAATGTCTGAAGCTCAGAGTGCATGTATTGATTATTTTATAATAGGTAAACTGCTTCTTGTAAAAACATCTTTTAAGAATTTCTAAGGAGTCTATTTAATTTCATTTTCATAAATATCATTATAAGATCTACATTACAGATTACTTCCATCTCAAAGCATGCTAAATAGACACAGTGCTTTGCTTATCAAATTACAACAGTCTTGTAAAAATTAGTGTTTTCCTGGTCCTTGATTGTAGGCCTGACATTGCTATTCATTGATTTTGTTTCCATTTTCTAAAAAATAAACCTTTTATTGAAGTATGGCATGTTTAGAAACATAATTCATACATGTATAGCTTAATGGATTAGCACAATAGGAGCATATCTATGTAATCACCACTCAGAATGATGAATAAAAACAGCAGTGTAGATTGCCCCCATGTTCTCCCTCTCAATCCCTATCATCCTCATTTTCAAAGTCAGCTAGTATCCTGATTTCTAACACCGTAGTTAACTATGCCTGTTTTTGAAGAGCATATGACTAGAACTATAAATTTTATAACTGTTATGTTTATAAGATATATCTATGCTATTTTATGTAGCAGTACATTTACTTCTATTGTTATAAAAATATTTTTTAAAGAAAATTTCTAACTATTCTTTCACTGAAAGAACATGGAATCATCTGTCTTCCTGTTAAACTGACCCATCTCTCACTATATGTTCCTCTTTATCTCTAATATTATATCTGACCTTAAATTCTGCTTTTTTGAAAAGCTTCCTTTTGATTATCTTTGTATAATATATCTTTTCTGTTATTTTCAATTTATTTGTGTTTTTTTTAATAAACAACATATTTAGGTCAACTTTTTTCTGAACTTTTTTTTAATTGCAGTGTTTCAGTCCATTTTAATTTTACTTAATTACTAATTACTTAATTACATGAAACAAATAACATTGTCATTTGCAGTTTAAAATATATAAAGAGCTAAGGCATATGAAAACAATAGCACAAAAATATGGGAAAGTATTAAATGGAGTTGAAGAGTTTTAGTATCTTCGCATTGTCCATGCTGTGGACAAAATATATATTCAACTTGATGAATCAAGAGTGCATATGTCTATTTAAAAAAGTTTAAAAAGAGAGGGAAAATCATACATAAATGACAAAGAAGGGAAGAACAGATGGGGAAATCGGAAAATAGTTTTCTATTTTTCTTTTGATTTTTAATATAGAAAAGTTAAACATATACTTTATAGAAGTAACATAATAGTATAATGAGCCCTACCCCCAGTATTCATTTTTTCAGCTAAATTCCCACTCCATCTCCCAACTCCCATATTATTTAGAAGAAAATCCTAGACATCTCATTCTATCTACAAATGTCTCAATGTATATTCTGAGAGAGAAGGACTCCCAAAAATAATTTTAAAAAATAAATTTTGAAATTATTACTAAAATTTCCTAAAATATAAATTGGCAATCTGTTTTTAGAGTGATGAAAATGAACAAGAACAACAATCAGACACAGAAGAGGGATCCAATAAGAAAGAAACTCAGGTAAATACCATTACTTTTTGTATTGAGAAGTATTCATATTTTTTAATAATTACTTTTAAATTGCGTTTTATTATGTTTATTCATGCAAAGCAGTTATTGCATACTCTACCTACATGCTGGGTATGCAATATCAGTGTTTGCCTGGGGATCAGGATTAAAAGGACTGGGAAGGGTCACAAAATAATGTTTTGGAGGTGATGAAAATGTTCTGAGTCTTGATCCTAGCAGTGGTTTTATGGATATACAGAACTGCCAAAACTCACCAAATTGTACACTCTAAGTGGATGTAATTTAATGTATGTCATTTAACCTTCGGAGTTAAAAGAAAAAGCAAAAAAAGAAATAGTACCCTTGGCCAAAGGAAAATATCTAAAGGATAATCAGAAGTAGTGGAAATCCAGAAGTAGTAGGCTCAGATTTTATTTCTGTAGATTTTATTTCAAAGTTATGTTCTGGAGAATATAGGCATCTTTTAACTTTCTTTTACATATATTTAGAAATTTAGAGTCTCCAACAGATTTTTATGTTGAGAATCTAAAAGACATTTTTTTCCTCTCAGTACTGATGAAGGACCTAAAGCAAGTTTGAATGACAAGGCTGCACAGCCAGCAAGGGTTGAAAGTTCCCCCGACCCCCTTCCTGATTGTTTGGCTGTGTAGAAAGCTAAAAAATATTCAAAATATTTCTGTTCATATGAGGATAGAGCTGAACAACACGAGTCTAAACCTGGCACTGTCTAGCATGAAATAGCATTCTGGTCATATTAATATTATTTTCTTCATTTTGAGTTGAAGTTCCTTAATAGAGCTATTACATTTCTTTTTAGTCAGCAAGGATCTACAGTAATGTGAACAAAAGTTGGTTACCTGTGCTAGGTGACGGTGAACATTATTTTAGGGCCAAGTTTGCCTATTTTGACCCCACAATTTTATTTTATCTTTAGGTGGCCAGACAATGAGGAGTGAATTGGTTCTGAGGTTAAATTATTTGCAGGCCTAAAGCTTTAACTGTTACCTAAATTTTTTGGTTATCAGTTATCAGAACTCCCCAATTTACCTATGTCCCTTCTTTATTAAACAAGAGGGGAGGAAATTAGTAAACCATCCCCATCTGACACCTCTCATTGCCTTATCACGCAGACTCCAGCCCCCACCAGGCTGGAGTGGAAGGGAGATTGTCTGGCTTTTAAAGTTGTAATTTTGAAGCATATTGATGTATACTGTATTTTAAGTTTTACTGTTAAAATCATATGAGATACGTTAAGATGAAGAGGAACATTGTTTCTAAGACGAAAAGTTTTTTTATTTTCAATTTAAGTAGTTTTTGTTTACTTTAGATTGTTTAGAGTTCTTTTAAAGTAATGAATAACATATAAATAAATATAACAAATATAAATAACAATATGAAACCTAAGTCAAACTGGATTAAACAAAGAAAATGTATTGTACTCCAGTTATATTCTGCAGTCCTTTGTGTCAGCTTCATCCTCAGGCTGATGTACCTCATAGGGATAGGATTATAGTTGGCTTAGGATAGACAGGGCCTATCACTGAACTGTTGCAGCCATTTTGCTACCAACATGGGCCATGTGTCATCTCACCTAAACCTAGTAACTGCTATACCATGAGAAAAAGGAAGAATGGATGTAGATAAATAAATAAGGTGCAATGTATGTGCATAGATCAATATTTTCTATATTCACATAGATATTATGTGTCCAGAAAAGGTTGGTTAGATAACAGTGGTTATCTAGAGAATGGAGGGATGAGGAATTACACAGGAACTTTGTATACCATTATGTGAACTTTACAATACCATAGTCAGAAAGATATTTCTGAATATCTTTCTATATATTTTAATCTTTTTTATCTTTAAAAAGATATTTTTACTTTGGAAAATTAATCTTAAAATTTGGGGAACAAGGGCGTTATGCTAAATGAAATAAGCAAGTTACAAAAAGACAAGAACTGTGTGATTCCACTTATTTTATTTGGGTATCATAGAAACAGAAAGTAGAACCTTTGTTGCCAGAGCTAGGAAGAGGAGGACAAAGGAAGTTGTTCATTGGATATAGAGTTTTATTTTTGCAAGATGAAAAAGTTCTAGCGATCTTTTGCACAACAATATGAATATAATTAAAAATACTGAACTATATACTCTAAAAAATGGTTTACATGGTAAATTTTATATTACGTGGTTTTTACCACAATTCTTAAAAGTTTTTAAATAATGCTAGGCCGGGCATGGTGGCTCACACCTATAAGCCCAACACTCTGGGAGGCTGAGGTGGGAGGACTGCTTGAGCCCAGGAGTTCAAGACCAACCTGGGCAACATAGGGAGACACTGTCTCCACAGTAAATTTAAGAAATTAGTCGGATGTGATGGTGCATGCCTGTAGTCCCAGCTAACTAGGAGGCTGAGGCAGAAGGATCAGTTGGGCCAGGAGGTCGAGGCTGTAGTGAGCTGTGATCATATCACTGCACTCCAGCCTGGGAAACAGAGCGACACCTCATCTCAAAAATAGTAATAATAATCAGTGATAACACCATGATTTTTAAAGATAATGGAATTTGAGTGATTTCTCACTAGACTTTTTATTGTTAAAATTTAAATCAGTGAATGTAAGTGCAGACTATAAGGTAAGATGTATTATTTTTGTTTGATATGTAGACATTTTAGTTCAGGAATGGCCATTTTACTGAATTTGATTATCTTGAAAATTGAAATTTATTCTTTAAAATTGTTAGTTGTTGTTAAACCAAAGAATAAATCAATAAAAGAAAACATTACCTTAAAAAACAATGTAAGGAGCAAAGTTAAAATTGGTTTTGCAGAGGAAATTTACAGACTTTAGTAAAACATTTTTAGTCCAAAATAGACTTTAAACAATCCCAAAAGTAACCTAGTAATTTTACAGTATCTCCAAAGATAAATATAATGGGAAATCACTAATATTTAAATTAAGAAGTTTAACAAACCATTCTGAATAAATTATAGAATCAGTGAGTATTTCAATAGAAAAAGAAAAGGCTAAATTTGACTACTGAAAAAGACTACTTTGGCCCCCAGTAAGACTGTTTTACCTTATTAATCATTTCACGATTTAGATAAGACTTTCTGGAACTTCAGTGTAGCATACCACTTGCTTGAGAAAATTAAATTTCCTGTCACCTAATTGCTGACCTTAAAGGTATATAGCTAGATTTCGAGAAAGTAAATTTTAAACAAAATATGTATATACTGTTATGCATAAAGAACCTTAGGTGTTCATTCGTTTGCTTCTATTGATACTACATTAAATTTACTTATAATCATAGGTTAATAGTTTAATGAAAGCATAAAAATTTAGTATGCCTATGTTTTTCTCTTTCTTTCCAGACGGATTCCATTTCTAGGTATGTTTTATTTATTTTTTAACTGACATTTTTTTCTTATTTTTATCTTTGTTAAAAATGTGTTGCTAGGAATTTATGGATTTTGTAAGTTTATAGAATTATTTGATAATAAAAAACAAATTTTGATGGCCTTATCATTGTTACTAGCTTTCTTTGTTAAAGGCTTTACTTCAAGATCACTAGTCAGAGCAAGTAAGATTTTTCCCCAAATCTCTACAACAAAGGTATTCCAAAGTTTCTTAAGTTAGTTCAACTATCTCATTATTAACATCAGGGACTGATAAAACCCACACTTGGCCAGAAATGTATTTGATTAAGTATTCAGAATCTTCTCTTGTAGCCCTGCTTTAGACAAAAGAGAACCAGTGAAGACACTTTTAAAAAAGTGTCATCTAGCTCAACCCTTAATCC
Organism: Homo sapiens; assembly: GCF_000001405.40. NCBI lineage: Eukaryota > Metazoa > Chordata > Mammalia > Primates > Hominidae > Homo > Homo sapiens. The sequence goes on along the minus strand of NC_000012.12, from coordinate 79,790,055 downwards.
TAGCACTTGGGGAGGCTGAGGCAGGAGCATCACTTGAGTCCAGGAGTTGAAGACCAGCATGGACAACATCAAGACTCCATCTCTACCAAAAAAAAAAAAAATTTCTTAATTATCCAGGCATAACTGTATGCTCCTCTATTTCTAGCTGCTGGGGAGGCTGAGTCAGAAGGATCACTTGAGCTCCCAGGAGCTCAAGGTTATAGTGAGCTATGGTTGTGCCACTGCACTCCTCACTGGATACAGTGAGACCCTGTGTCTTTAAAAAAAAAAAAAAAAAGTGTCACCTAATTCAAAATTATCCATCTTTTCAGAGAACCTCCACTATATCCTTGATTTTGATCTCCATTCCATTTCTCTTATCATTGTTAACCACAGCCCTGTAAGACCAGTAATAAATTTCTGTCTACTGATGATTCTATTGAATTGAAATGCAGAGCCAATGGCATCTTTCAGAAAAGGTAACCTGAATTTCAGAACCAGATAATAAGAGAATTCTCCTTTACCAGTAAGATATGTTTTTCCTGCTTAGGACAAACCCATTACTTGTCACTTTGGATATACTTTATTTCATCAAATCTAAGACATTACTCATTTTAAAACACCATTGTGTTACCTACTACTGAAAAAAAGGAAAGGTGCTACCAATTAAACTATAATGCATCATCAATTGTAAGCCATTTTCTGGTTTTGGAAATATTAAAATGTGGGAGGAAGTGTACAATTTAAAATATTAATCATTATATGAAACCAGTTTTGGCTTTTAAACATGGAAATTTTGACTCTCTTCCTCAATTAATGGAAATTAGTAGTATTAAAAAAATAGGCTGGGTGCAGTGGCTCATTCCTGTAGTCTCCCAGCACTTTGGGAGGCTGAGGCATGTGAATTGCTTGAGCCCAGGAGTTCAAGACCAGCCTGGGCAACATGGTGAAACCCCATCCCTACCAAAAGTACAGAATTAGGCATGGTGGCATATGCCTGTAGTCCCAGCAACCCAGGAGGCTGAGGTAGAAGAATCACTTGAGCCCGAGAAGTCGAGTCTGCAGTGACCTGAGATCATGCCACTGCACTCCAAGCTGGGCAGCAGAGTGAGACCCTATCTAAAAAAATAAAATAACTTCCCACTTATTATATATCACAAAAATTAATCAGATAACAGAGGGAGACTGTGACCTACTCTTTTGAACTGTCAAGTTATATGTGTACTAGGATGTATGTTGTTATAATTGTAAAAGCCTATAACAAGGTTTTTTATTTAAATTAATCTTTTGAAGATATGAAACCAGTTCTACATCAGCTGGTGATCGATATGATTCCTTGCTGGGTCGCTCTGGATCATACAGTTACTTAGAAGAAAGAAAACCTTACAGCAGCAGGCTAGAAAAGGATGACTCAACTGACTTTAAAAAGGTACTTGGGTTATTTAGTTATATTTAATAAAAAGTTATCTTTTATGTTGAGATACTCATTCAAATATTATTTTAAAAACTCATAATGAAATGAGTATTTTGAAATAACTTATTTTCAGTTTTCGGCAAGTGATGGTTAAGTAGAATGTAAATAGCTGTTTGTTTATTAAAGGGAAGAGAAAGTCATCCAAGATGATTTTACATTTAAGTATCTCAAGTCATTGCTATGATTGAGCTGGAAAGGAGCGTTCAATAAATGGGTGCACACAAATGTATACACACTTTGTTTCTTGTTACTAGGAAGCAGCCAAACAGAGAAGATGGCTTTTCCTAAGATAATATATTGGTAGTTTTTCATAGGTAACTGAAAAACTTGGGGCAGCTCAAGTGCTATTAAGGATTGAAGTAATTAATGAATAAATCGCAGAAACTATATCTTCTTATTTTGTGCTTATAGTAAACATAAAGTCTGTTGGAGAAGGAGAAAGCTTATGGCATTTGTACATGTCCCCAGTTATCTGGCAGCTATTTGAATTACATACTTTTTTAAAAGCCAAGTTAGGGGAACGGGTGAGGGAGAGAATCATTTTACATTATGAGTAAGATTCATCATTTATTCAATAAAGAACTGAACTATGCTAAGTAGAGAGATTCTACTCATGGGTAAATGGAGATGAAGATACTATCTTGCTCTTGTGGGCATTTTCCATGTAGTGGAGAGAGACCTTATTACACAGTCATACTAATGACTGTATAATAAATAATGGAGACAGTTAACTTGAAGTAGAAAAGCAATTTTATAAAAGTATATAACAAAAGAAAGTAGATTGATTTCCTTGGCTGGGTGCAGTGGCTCACGCCTGTAATCCCAGCACTTTGGGAGGCTGTGGCAGGCCATCACCTGAGGTCGGGAGTTCGAGACCAGCCTGACCAACATGAAGAAACCTCGTCTCTACCAAAAATACAAAATTACCCCAGGTGTGGTGGCGCATGCCTATAATCCCAGCTACTCGGGAGGCTGAGGCAGGAGAATCACATGAACCCAGGAGGCAGAGGTTGCAGTGAGCTGAGAACACGCCATTGCACTCCAGCCTGGGCAACAAGAGGAAAACTGTTATCTCAAAAAAAAAGAAAGTGGATTGATTTCCAAAGGAAGTGTGGTTTCAGCCAAAAACGGAAGGATTACTAATAGTTAACGGGCAAAAATGGGTGAGAAAATTATTCCAAATAGAGTGGAATTACAAGCACATAGACCTGGTGGGGGGAGAATACATGATGCATTGGAATAAATAAATTTTAATTATAGCTAGTAGAGTGGAAGAAATATTCATTTGAGGCAGCAGTTGTATAGGCTGAGACCAGATCATGCAGTGCCTTATAGGCCATTGTAAGATTTTTCGTATGCTAAGAACACTGGGAAGCCATTCAAGAGTTTTTAATTTGTGGGTGGAAATGGAATGGTTGGCCTATGAAAATTATGAGATTTTCATTTTGAAAAGTTAATTTTAGCTCCTATATATAAAACAGATTAGAGGGTGATCAGGGAATTAGAATAGTTTAGATAAGAGATGATCATAGCCAGAATTATGGTGGAAGTAGTAAAGCAGGGATAAGGAAGAAGGAGTGTTAAGAAAGACGAAAAGCATTAGAAAAGGGGAAGGTCTTGGATTTTATCCTGGATTTGAAATATTTCAGGAAATACGTCATTTGCCTTTTAACTTTACTATAAGCAATGTAGAAGTATAATGATAAATACAGCTGGTACTCCGTCTCATTTTTGGGAATGCAAGAGAGAGTGATGGGCAGAAAATCTCACGGACTCCAAATAAAGATCACAGTGACTCCTTAGCCCTAGCTGCAGTTGCTGTGCAGGTATGTGGTCCCTCTTTATCAGATAACTGAATCTTTTTTAAGATAACCTGAAAAGTCCAATTTTTCTGTGAAGTCTTGATTTTTGAATACTGGAACTAATTTTAAGACTTTATATGGGACAAACACACTTGCATAACGAACAGTCTCTGCTTTGCAACCATGAAGGATTTTTTAAATGTATCCTTTATAGCTCATATGCTACATTAAGCTGTTTTAATATTGCAAAGTAATCAATGAGAAATTTTAAAGTAATAGGAGAGCAGAAAAGTAATTTGTTCTTTTACCCTAATTTTTATAGCTTTATGAACAAATTCTAGCTGAAAATGAAAAGCTGAAGGCACAGCTACATGATACAAATATGGAACTAACAGATCTTAAATTACAGTTGGAAAAGGCCACCCAGGTTTGTACCCTTTTCTTTTTGTTACTCTCAAGGTAATGGTTGTGATTTATCCCATCTAAAAATGGTATTAAAATTTTTTCTAATACTCTAAATAGAAGTTTGATAATTGGTAATAGAAGATAATGCTGTTTATGGATGATTTACTTTTTCTGGAGTAAATTTAAAAAATAGTCATAGTCAAAAGTCAACTTATAAAAAGCCTTTTAATACCAATGTTGTGGTATGTCAAGGTTTTAAATGTTTATTTCCAGAATACCAAATGTAGCAAGTCATTAAAACATTAAAAGCATCTATACAGAATCATCTTATAGCCATATAAAAAATTTTATAATAGTTTTTGTTTACTACAAATATTTTATGTTTGTTCAAGTAAAGGTTATTTTATATTATAGTGCTGGAAGAAGATAATTTTAATCATAACTCCTTTTGTAAGTTCCTTCTATGCAGCAGTCTAGAGAAGATAAATTTGGACAATAAAATTGGGATGGCCAAGCAAAACTCACAACCTTGTACATATGATCTAGCAATTGTTTCCCAAGCCACTTTTCCATTTCCATGGAACATTAGTTCTGGGAGACAGGAATAGGTACATCTTCTCCTCATTTCCCTCCTTTCAAAAAACAAAAAAAAAGCTTTGTGATCAAAGAAACTAGGGAAATACTACATATTTTACATGTTAAAGACTTTACAGGGTCTATTTATATGCTAAAGGCTCTAAGGCATCCTGTAATTTTTAAGAAAACAAATGTGTTCAATTTTAACCTGGGACTTTCTAGCATAAACGTATTTCTGCAGCACAACTCTTAGAATCCAGCTGAAAGCATGGATCTAAAAACAGCATATCCAGATCTGTGAATGGGACTATGTACTTTTTTTGGTCAGTCTTTACACTCATCTTTTTCTTAATTTTTAAAAATTAATTCTAAAAAAACAACAACAAAACAAAAACCAAAAAAGTTCATTCTGTTTGTTGAACTTAAACTTGTTACCAGATCCTTTTTTTAACCATTGTTGTGTTGTAAAGCGATTGTCTGTGCACGGTAGCTACTATGCCAAACTTCTAGGGTTCAGGCTAACCTCACCACTCCTCAAATTCCTTCATGTTAATGGAGGTTTTTGTAAAGATAAACAGAAAAGTAAAACAGAACAAGAATAGGTTTCATAGTGAGATGTCATAAAAACTTACAGTGTCATACACATTAAAACTACTACTTATATTTAGGCTTCATGGTAAACTGGAATGTTTAGCAGAAAAGTTAACAGTAAAAATACCTAAACTGATGTTGCTGTTTTTTAATCAGTGAACTTGTCATCATCCTTCAGGTTGCATTAGTATCTTAGTGAGCCTGTATACATAAAAATATAATGAGTTCTCTGAGCATAGCTTCAGCTCTAGGGATTTCATTATAATGTTCTAAGTAAAGATGTCCACTGCAGCCAGGCGCGGTGGCTCACGCCTGTAATTCCAGCACTTTGGGAGTCCAAGGTGGGCGGATCACCTGAGGTCACGAGCTCGAGACCAGCCTGGCCAACATAGTGAAACCTCATCTCTACTAAAAATACAGAAAAAATAGCTGGGTGTGGTGGTGGGCGCCTGTAGTCCCAGCTACTTGGGAGCTGAGGCAGGAGAATTGCTTGAACCCGGGAGGTGGAGGTTGCAGTAAGCCAAGATCGTGCCACTGCAACTCCAGCCTGGGTGACAGAGCAAGACTCCATCTCAAATAAATAAATAAATAAATATCCACTGCTCCCTACTATAGTGTTCTGTCATGGTGACTCAGCTCATCTGTGTCTCCGCTACTTAATGCCTTCTCTGTGTTCTGCTCTGCTGCCTACTTCATTGTCATGTAATTCTTCCTGTATGTCTCTCAGTCAAACCCTGCAAGAGAGGGGAATTGATAGAATTAGCCTGTTACTACCCAGTATGGAGCAGCCTGTTTTGTTAGTGACCATTTCATAGGTCACTGGACAGAAAGTTGCCTGTGGGTCAGGTACCAATTTCTGTTACCTGGCAAGAGAAGTAGGATTAAAAAATATCCCAGCTTCTGCCTTGGCAGGTACTCTGAGTATCGCATCCAGTATGCTGAGTTAATAATGAGAAGTATAATTCATAAAAGTAAAACTGATAAGCATTAAAGTAACTTTAATCAGGGGTTCAACTTTCAGGTATTTATCCTGAATCTACTGTGAACTTTTCCACCTTTTTTTTTTGGCATTGATTGACTTCATAACTATTCACAAATACACAAATATTTGCGTCAGATATTTGCCACAAATAGCAGTGGCAGTTTTGATAGTTGCATGAAATTAATCTTGAAGTTTAGGTCTGTTTGATACTATTTAGCCAAGAGACTCTGGAATCCTTGACTCTTGCCCTAGCCCAGGTACCCTCCTTCCCATATCATCTCCAAGGAAGGGAAAAAATATGCCAGCTTACCAGAACCAGTTTGCTGAATACCACTTTGCCAAATGACCATTTCACCAGATTTAACCATTGTGATTTTAACAGCTTTAACTGGAATGTTTAACAAGAAAGTTAACTAAGTAAAAATACTATCTAAACTGATGTTAATGTTTTCTAATCAATGAAATTGGCAAACCACATATAATTGCTAAAATCTTCCCATATGAAAAAATCTCCAGTGAAATGCTATTTTTCCATGTTTTGTTAATTTACATGTGTTGTTATTATTTTGGCTATTTGATTTTTTTCAGGTGCTTTTGAATGTTATTTAAAATTTTTTTGGTCTTGTAAAGAGTTTCTATGATTTATTTTTAAATCCTCACGTGGTGTATCAGCCTTTGTTTTATATTTCTAGCAATTAAATGTTTAAATTCAAAACCAAAAATAAATGAGAATTAACTAAGCAGTCTTATTCATATTTGAATTATTATTTTTTTTAATGGATACAGCATCTCGCTGTGTCACTCAAGCTGGAGTGCAGTGGTACAGTCAGGGCTCACTGCAGCCTCAATATCCCTGGCTCAAGCAATCATCCCACCTTAGCCTCCCAGGTAGTTAGGACTACAGGCAATGCCACCACACCTGTTTAATTTTCCTTTTTTTTTTTTTTTTTTGGTAGAGACGGGGTTTCACCGTGTTGCCCAGGCTGGTCTTGAACTCCTGGGCTCAAGTGATCTGCCCATCTCAGCCTCACAAAGTGTTAGAATTACAGGTGTAAGCCACTACACCCAGCCTCATATTTGAAATTCTGAACTGAATTTCTCACAAGAACCAATTGGAATATTGACTTTTATGTTTCCAGAAAGAGTAAGCACAAAAGCTTGAAGCCATTTTAAAATAAGAGAAAAAGTAAGAAAACCTAGCCATGATTAGTTCTTTAAATGTTACACACCATAACCGTAAAAATTGTGAAAGAGGGATCAAAAAGTGACTTGGTTATAAGTCCTAGAGATACTAAAACATGAATACTGAAAGGGTTGGCATAAAAGAAAATTATGTAAAGAAATATTTTTAAAATTACCACATTTAACAGTGAAATTGTGTTTAATCAATATGTTTTTAAAGCATATTTTGTGGTTAGCACTCATAAAGCATTCTTGTTAAAGTGGTCAAAAACCATTTTTGGTAAATTAGTAAAATTGGTTATTCAGCAAGTTGGCTTTTGAGGAATTCATTTTCAGCAAATTGACCAGGAATTCCAAGGGAGATGTTTGTACAGAGATCAATGTAAATAAAATCTAAGATGCCACTGTTTTTTTCTTTTTTTTTCTTTTTTTGTTTTGTTCTTAAACTGTGCCTGTGCTTAATGTCCAGAGCTCTCCAGTACAGGATACAACAGGTAGGCTAAAACCCAAGGTGCTTTTCCATCCCTTAAAGCCAAGCTTATATATCAGGATTTCATCAGCTTTGAGCTGGTCAGATAGTACAGGAAGTGGAAAAAATGAAAGGCCTGAGCTCACCAGCAGAAGAAAGCTGTACAGCTAGAATTTCTTATAAGTGAAAGTGGATGTGAACCAATTGTGGAGCATGGATGATTGGAAAAGAAACCTAGAGTGTGAGCCAAGACCAAGATAGCTGTGGGAGAAGATAAAAAGGCCAGTTTACTGGTCTGGCTGCATGGATACAGAGTCATTCAACCTGCTGATGAATATATTTCAATCAAGGTCCTGGAATCTGACCATTCTGATTAGCCACTCCTGATGGTGTAGGAAAGGAAAGAATTTGAGCTTCAGAAGGAAAGCTACAGTTTTTTTTTGTTTTTCTTCCACATACTCACTCACCCTCACGCCCAACTAAACTATGAAAGTTCCTGGGGAAAAGTGATAGAGAACATAAAATGAGAGCTCTGGTTACCATTCTATTTCTAAACATTCATTGCACTCTTTATTATTTTAATACAAATCCTGTTTTCTCTTTGCTTTACTCACGAACCTGTGTTTTACTCCACTTGAATATTGTGATTTAATACCTATTAAAAGAGAATTACTGTGGTCACCCCTGAACTTTTTTGCACTTATCTCTTTTATAATTTCTTACTTTGTTGCAGAGACAAGAAAGATTTGCTGATAGATCACTGTTGGAAATGGAAAAAAGGGTAAGTGTCCCACTTATTAAATAATTATTTTTTTCTTTCTTGTTTTAGGTAAACAATGGTAGGTTTTTTGTTTTTATTTTGTTATTATGGATGACAGTTTTAATTAGTTTAAATATTTATTGAGTTAATGTATTTTGCAGCAACTTCTTTATAGAATTCTATGGGGTTTCTCTAGGTATGAAATGACCTTGTTAAATAAAATTTAATTTACCACATAATTCTTTTAATGAATTTAAAAAAACTGTCTTGCCTTGATTCTGAAATGTACTATACACATTTTGATAGTGAATTTGATATTTTTGAAATGCCGTTTATCTCTTATGGCCTGTACCTAAAACGTTTTAATCATAAATACATTTATTTTAATTCTTTATAAACCTAAAATACTTTCGTTCTTGAAATAAAGTTTCTAAATCTGGAACATCAAATTTTCAAATTCTTTTTAAAGTTAATTTAATAATTTTTTAAAATTTTGAGTTTAAATATTTAACTTAAGTAGGCTATTTTAAACAAAAAAAAGATTACAAGAAAATCCTTATGCCACTTGATGTCTTTCTGCAAGTTTTTATTGATTGTAATACATTCACTTGTATTTCTCTTCACTTATTGTTGCTCAAAGGTCTAGGAGTAGTCATAGGAATAACTGTACAAGTTTAGCCTCATCAGTTGAAAATGTATAAATGATCCAAAAGTTAAAGGAAAAGTGCCCAAAGATTGTTTGTAGTGTAGCTGAGCAGTAGCTAGACTTGGTAGGGTTTCGACCAGAGAAGAAATGACATGCTGGTAGCTATGATCAAAGAGTAAATACTTAGGAGCTATTGATATAAAAACATTTTTCTTCCATTCTATTTTAAAATAACCAATTTGCCCTTTTCACCAAAAAAAAGAGAAATGGTTAAAAAAAAAGAATATAAAAATAGTGTTATAATGTCTGTCATTTGCTAGTTGTACCTTGCAATAGCTACCATTTTATTATGCTTTCTGCAAGTTTTAAAAATTAGTGTTCTGAGTCATGTTTTCAAAATGGACATAATAATTGCTAAAATATTGTTTTAATAAATTTAATATTATTATATCCTGTTAGAATATTTAACTGTTACTGAATTTTATCTCCAGGATAGGCAGAAATAATAAAATCAGTTCTCTGTTATACTAACGGTTGAGATGAAAGGCATGGATAACAAACTGTACTTAAAGTAGTATTTATTTTTCAAATACAATCACAATTTTAAATATTTAATTTTTCTTATGAAAGTAATATGTTTATTACAGAAACTTTAACAAAAGAAGACAATATTAAATTATCTGTAATCTGTCATGCAGAGATAGCTGATATTTTGATACTTTTTTTTTCTAACATACACATGATGCAGACACATTCATACTCTGACAAGCTCACCTAACCTCCTTTTTCTGCTTGTCAAATGCAGATAAATTACAAAGTAGCTAATCCACTCTCTATAATCATGGTATTAATAGTAACTGCTAACATTTATTCATCATTCTCTGTATATCAAGCAGGCACAAAATTAAACACTTTACATGCATTTTCTCTAAACCATATTTTTTTTCCTTGTGTTTTTTTTTTGTTTGTTTGTCTGTTTTTTTAAAGAGACAGAATATTGCTCTGTCACCCAGGCTGGAGTACAGTGGCACAGTCACCGATCACTGCATCCTCCAGTTCCTGGGTTCAAGCAATCCTCCTGCATCAGCCTCCAGAATAGCTGGCACTACAGGTGCATGTCTCCACACCCAACTATTTTTTTAATTTCTTTTTGGAGACAAGGTCTCACTTTGTTGCCAAGGCTGGTCTTGAACTCTTGGCTTTATGCATCCTTTCACCTAGGCCTCCCAAAGTGCTGGGATTACAGGCTTGAGCCATTGTGCCTGGCCAGTTATATTTTTTAATGTTAATATGTTTGTCAAACATAAGAAATTTCATATCATTTTACAGATGTCAATTTCATTGAGCTAATAGAATCAGGCAGTTGGGTGTAGTTTTCTTGTCTTACTTTACCACTAATTTAAAATCTTGAAGACACCTAATAAAATTGAGGCTCATAGGGAGATTACCTCTCAGAAGAAATATTCTATTTCTGATATTTTGCAAAGTGGTAAAGATCAAATATGACACTTTATGTGCTAGTATTTTGAGAAGTGTGATGATTTGTATGAATTTGTCATGACTGTATTATTTAGTAGAAGAAAGATCTATGTATTGAAAATAATGTTTCTGTCTATACAATAATGTTTAGGCATGCCGATGTTGGAATAACATGGTACTTAAAAGACGATCAGTAGGATTCTGTCTACTTTTTAAAATCACATACCCTAAAAACATTAACATTTACAGTAAATGTACTGCTTGACTAAATATCAGCATTATTTATTAATCTGGGAAAGAGTGTCTTGGAAATAGTTTCAGTGTGATTAAACTAAATTTAAATGGTTTGTATCTGAAAGGTGACCGGCAAGAGTCAGTATCTTCTGGGCGGTATGACCTAACCAGTTTTACAGCTCATCAATTACTGCTGCTTGCTTTTTGCATAACACCCCAGAATGCTTATCATTTAAGGGAGAATAAAACAGTACACTGCAATAATGTGTTGTGTGTTGGCTTTGCCTGTCACTCTTTGAAACAAGTTTAAAATAAACGCTGCAGTTGCTTTTCTATTACATTCACTGCATTAATGCTACACATAATGTCAACCTAAATACAAAGCTATAAAGTCAGTTGGATAAATAATGGCTAGTACACATTGTGAGTGGAGGAAATGAGCTTCTCTTACATTCCTCTGAAATTGCAAAGTACACATATTTTAGGCATGTTTGCTTCTTGCTTTTCTGCTTCTGTCACTGTAATATGATTGCATCTTTGTGTGAGTTTTGTTTTTCTTCTCTGTACAGTCTTCAGTCTTGAGTATTGATTCACTCTAAGTTTTACATGAACTCAAAAAGTAGTTTGAATATGTTATGTAGCATCTTCCCAGAAAGTCAAAGCTTTAAATTAAGAGCTTGTACTCTAAGGATAAAGATCTTCATATTTATTTTTGTCAAATTTTGGAAAGCTCTTTACATATCACTGGCATCACATCTTTTCTACACTGCTCCTGATTGGACCTTTAATTCTGAAGTATCACTATTTCACAGTATAGAAGAAGACTTAAGAATATAATAATTATATAACTAACATTGGTACCTTAAATCGATCTAGGAACGAAGAGCTCTAGAAAGAAGAATATCTGAAATGGAAGAAGAGCTCAAAGTAAGTAAACTATGTTACTTATGAGAGAGAGTGCTGTTTATGTATTAATGTTTAAAATACTATTATAGATATGGTTTACATTAATTGTTCTCAAAGCTGATTACCCAATTTGTGAACTGTCTATATCTGGTGCTTCTCTTTCTTCCTGAATCCAGGTTTTAGTGAGCCAGAAGAGGGTCTAAAACCCAAATCTTAACACCTATGAAAAGAAGGAGCAAAAATAAAATAAAAAATAAAACCCGAATTATTTTGATAATTAATTTGTGTAGCACTTTTGCTGTTCAGGTATAGAAAAAGTTAGACAATAATAATAAGATGTAGGATTTATTATTTATTCTTTATGTTTCTATATACTTTCATGTTTTTTGGCGAGTAAGTAGTGGAGGGGGTTACTATAAAATGTTCTCCTTTGAAAGTAAAGGACATTAGGGGAGTGAACAGGCAGAGCTGTATTTTATCAAACTCCATATTACCTATAGAAATAATTATGTTTTGAATGTCTTCACAAGTAGCATAGTTAATTGATTACCTCTTACCACACTGTCCTTCATAAAATCTTTATCACATTGTGAATTAATGAACCAGTGCATAGTAAGTATATTGTACCCACAGAATTAGAAGTTCAAGATTTAGATATTTCATTATTAAATTGTTTGGTTTGTTATTAGACCATTATTGAATGGCTTTGAAGATTGGAGACAAATCTTTTGTATTTTGTTTGCTTATGTATTACTTAGTTTGAAATAGAATTTTAGGAATACAGTGTTTACCTTTCTGAATCTCTTGTTCCTTTAAGACGTAATATTTTTAAAAAATTACCTGTGATTACATTCTTATTATACTCTTTTCCATTTTCTTATTTTTTATTCCTATTTCTTTATGTTCTGATTCCTGCAGAACCTGCACCAAATAAAGCAAATTCAATCTCTGAGGGAGTTAAATGAGCGACTGCTGACTGAGAATAGGGCCTTGACAAGAGTGGTAGCCAAGCGCTCAGGGTTCTATAGGCAACTGCAGTCTGTGAACCTATAATTTTTAGTTTCATCATTTCTTCTTGGTAGAGCCAGGCAGGTGTTTTTATATTAGTAGGCGTGTTTTGTAAGAGCTCACTTTTACAAATTAATGCCATTGTGTCTGGAGCATATCATATAACTAATTATGCATGGCTTCTTAGAATGTTAGAAATTGTCACTAATTGTATATTGCAATTGATGAGCTACATTAAAATTAGGGATGATTTTGGAATTTAAGTTAAAGACTTATCTGTACTTTTGTAAAGCTTTTGCACATTTTTTAGCTATACAGATATTTTAGGACTTAAAATATGACTATTATTTACAGTTCTTTACTAGAGAGAAAACCAACAGTATATAACATTTTACATATAATTAATATATTTTGAAGCTGAAGATTAAGCATGCATTATGTTTTTCAAAATAATGTCATTTGAAGTCAGAACCACATTAGTTTATATTTAAGTTTATATTACAAATATTCAAATGAATAAACTTAATATTACTATATTTTATATCTTAAAGATTCTGAACACAGATAAGAACATATTGGTTCCACGTAAAATTAAATCTTCTTAAAGATTTTGCTTTACCTAGTTTTGCAAATAGAAGTTTTACTTTTATCAAGTTAGATAAACTAATACATTTTGAAAACTGAGGAAAGAGGACTATTTTGGAAAGTATGGTTTAGGGACCAAAAATATGAGCTATTTCATTTCCTAGTGAAACTGGCAAAGAACATACAGTTTTAATCATCCTTAGTAGAGTATTCAGTTAACTTGTAATATTTTCACCCCTTCATCAATTTGTCTGTAAAACAACAGAAAATTGAGATGTGTTGTTTGAAGATATGAGGCTATTTGCTTCAAAATTGGTTATTTTTGTAATAGTTGGATCATAGATACAGACTTTCTACTTTAGCTTAAACATGATGCACTATTCTAATAATAGTAATTGCTTGTTACCATTTAATAAGCATCTATCTGGGATCGGACATTGTTTAGGCATTTTAAACTGAGCTACTGTAGGTGAATCGTTTAAGGAATTTTAATAATTTAGAACAAGTCTAATTTCCTCAATGTTTTCCTAGGTAGTTTGACTTTCTTGTGGAACAATATTAAGTATTATGATTTTAGGTCTGACATACATAAAAGCAAAAGTCTTTGGTTTAGGTGCTGACAGGAACCTCTTTTAAGAGCCTATCCTAACAAAAACAGGCTTGTCTTGGCTGCTGGAATGTGGTGTGCTTGTGAGTCATAAAATCAAGTGATTTAGTAAATTTCAATGGAAAATTTGGAGAGAATAAACCTTTCATTCCAGCATTTATGAAACTAATTAGCTTTACAAATCCAGGTGTGGTTTTTTTCCTTCTTCCTGATACATGTTTTAGATACTAGAAATATATATAACTGACAAAGCTTGATCATGTGTTTTGTGGTGAAAATATAACATTTATTAAGAATAATGTTTTATCTTTTAATATTGAAGGTAAAACTTGATCTTCAATTTTTCTCTTTATAGATGTTACCAGACCTAAAAGCAGACAACCAGAGGCTAAAGGATGAAAATGGGGCCTTGATCAGAGTTATAAGCAAACTTTCCAAATAAAAAAAAAAAAAGCAGCAAGTAATGGAATTGCACATATTAGTAACCCAGTGGACCATAATTGGCAGTCACTGGAAGTCTGGGAAGAATCCTTGGAGACTGTCATTTTCGGATATCCTGCCAAATGCCCTCTTATCTAGAATTTTTGTTTCATTTTGTTTAATTTTCTGGGGTGTTTTTGTTGTTGTTGGTTTGTTTTTTGTTTTTTTTTTTTAATCAAGACCATTGTTTCATGTTAATGCAGCTGCTGAGAAGATTTTTTTTTAATGACTGAGAAAACTTGTTTACAGCTCCAGCATATAAGGAAAGTGTTCAAGGCCAGATATGCCTCAGATATTTAACCAGTAAGCCTTAGTTGTACATAAATACTTTTGTGTCAACAAAAACTTTCAGCTCTCACAGAAGACAGTTACTCAACATTTTTTGATGTGCCACAGTTTCGAGTTTTTCGATATTTAAATTTTTTGGCTTTTCATCTAAGTTTGGGTTTGTATTTTTTCCTTCTAAACTCTTCATGTGGCAGAGTCTTCTATGTTTTCACAGCTTTTTCATTACAGAAAAGAACACTTGCTCTTCTGTGATTATTGTCATGTATTAGGCTAATGCTGTGTTGTCTCCCACCTGGAACTGAATTGCTTGGTGGAACATATGCTTTCACTGTTTGTGCAATATGCATTTATTTCTTATATGAATGCTTTAAAGTCATTTGAGGTTAGATCTTTTAATTCCTATTTTCTGCTTCATTGGTCACTTTTTTTTTATTGTAGTATAAGATGTTAGATTCTGTAATCTTCACATTCATTTTAGCAGGTACTGAGTGATGCTGTATATACAAATAAGTGTATTGTTTTGATTTTTAGACCACCACATGGCATGCTTGACTATTTCTTATTTCAAATGTCTGCTAATGCAGAGTAGGCTACTCCATGATAGTGTTAAAAAACAAAATTTGCTAACAATGTGATATAAAGACTTTAAAAGTTACACATTATGTGGAGCCCTATCTTTACAAAAGTTTCCTACTGTAAAGTGCTTTTATTTTCAGTTTTCACTTGATAGTACTCAACCATAATTAAAGTTGCATAAGATAATTGCTTTACATTTCACATACCTATATTTATCTGAGTGCTGTCTAAAACTGTTGTGCTAGCCAAAGTAATGCTATGAAATCATTTGCAGAATTAACCCGTGAGTTAATGTTAAATGCACTGTTATTGCCATGTGAAGAGGCATCGACTTTGATACCACCATCATGTTCAGACCATTTTATACATTTCAGTGGCCTTTTTTTTTTTTTAAGGAAAAAAAAGCGCAAAACCAAGTACATAGTGACGATGGCTTTTATTTGGACAAATAGCTTTTATATTTTCATTAAACCATGCAAAAAATACTACATCTTTCTGGCACATAACTGTCTCCTTAACCACTGAACAGTTCAGCCATTTGAATAAATTGTACATTGTAAAGCTTATAGTAGCTGATTGTATTATTGATTGTATTGTATACTATATTAAATGTGAATTTGTACCCCTTCATTTTAAAAGGTCATTGTGTTCTACTGCCTATTTTAGATTACTTTGGGGTTGGGGAAGGGTGTTTTGGTAAGCAGGATTTTAAGTCCTCTCTCTCTCGATTGGTTTTATGAAGATATAAGGTTATGCTCTTACTACCAAGCTCAGGATTCTTGATTTTAAAGGTACAAGGATAGTTGTGGGAGTTTTATTTTTGGTTATATTTGAACTGTATGAATGGTAGGTCTGAATATTGAGAATTTCCATGGTCTTATGTGGAGGTAAAATATACAGATAACTGATCAGTTTGAGTGACTGCAACATGTTCTGGTTGCACAACAGTTAGGCATGCTATGGTTTATATTTGTGAAGTTTGGATGCCTGTGAAGAATGATTAAATACATGTTTCTAATATTTTAGTGTTTTGTATTTAGGTTATTTATTCTTTGTATCTAAAACTGAACAGCTACTGTGCTATATTGATTTTATTGGTAGTATTGAGCAGACCTTGTTTCTGCATGAAACTAGTTGCAAAACCCACTATTTTGGAAATAAAAATGTATTTTGACATATACAAATAAAATGAATAAAACTATTTTAAATGTGTGAACTTTTAATGAAGACATTTTAAATTTTGTTCTGAGATATTTAAATTCTGCATGGGTATTTTTTCACTAATTGCTTTACTTGGATACCAATTTGAATAATTTCTGAAATTGTAATATTGTGATAATTTGCACAGCATTGTACATGCACATCTGTAAATGCAATCTTAATTGCCATATTTATGCAATCTGTGTACCAATTTGGACAAATGTTTATATATTTTACATAAAGCTGTCTGTATGCAGAATCTGAGAACTAGTTTTTTTATGATAATAAGTGGGTAAAAATTAATAACAGTGAGTTTCAGGGTAGTTGCTTTGTAGCACAAGATTTCGCTTCCATAAACATTGTTTTTTTTTTTTTTCTTAAAGTAAACCTGTGCTTTTTCTTATCTGCAAACATAGGCTTAGCGATACATATAAAGGTAATATTCCATTGAAACATACAGTTTACTTTAATATTAGATCATTTTCCAATTTAGATTTGTCCAAGGTTCGACCTGCTAACACATCTATAAATAAGAGGCACTTTTAGCCAGGCATGGTTGGGAGGCCCAGGCGGGAGGATCACCTGAGGTCAGGGGTTTGAGACCAGCCTGGCCAACAGGGCGAAACCCCGTTTCTACTAAAAATAAAAAATGAGCCAGGTATGATGGTGCAATCGCCTGTAGTCCCAGCTACTCAGGAGGCTGAGACAGGAGAATCACTTGAACCAGGGAGGCAGAGGTTGTAGTGAGCCAAGATTGTGCCACTGCACTTCAGCCTGGGCAACAGAGTGAGACTCCGTCTCAAAAAAAAAAAAAAAAAAAGGCACTTTTGATTTTGGAACTTTGATAGAGGACTGGTAGTAAGCCTAAATTAATACTATTGACTAAATTAATATTGACTAAATTAATACAACAAGGATTGAATTCTATTATTTCTATTTCCAGTACTTCACCTATTCATGCTCAGAATGGTAGGTTTTACTGTTATTTGTCCTCCATAAAAAAAACAAGCATTTTACATGCAAATACTTGAAAGCCAAATAAAAGCTACTATAGAACTCTAGAGGAGTATTCATATAAAAAAGTAAAGTAGATATTTTCTAATCCATTAGGCTAACTTTATTCTTTTGCTTAAAAGTATATTACTACTTAATCTTCCCTGGCTAATCTGAGACAGTCATGACTCCCAATCCCAACACATTTCCCATAGGGCATAATAAATGGCTTTGTAGATTATCCTTCACTTTGACATTATAAGCAGAACACAGAGCAAACTCCACTAAAAATTATTAACTATTCATTAGCTCTATCTTGTTAATGATAACCTTTGTTTGCAAAGACAAAAGCTGGCTGATGGAGTCTGCTTTGATGTTCCATGTTTACACTGTATGTGTGTGGTCTCTGTATCTGAATATGATATTCAGCAGGGATAATGTACATATGAGAACTCTAAAAGTATTGGGTTTAGAGTGAAATATTGATTATTTTCATATTTTATTAATCTCTGTCTAACTGAATCCATTTCTTGACTTTGATTTTGGAAAGGTTCTCTGGCGTTAATTGCCATACAAACGAGTGCTCTTTCTCTTAGGTAAGTGATGTGGAGAGTATTATATTGCTGTTCCTTGCCTATAAAATAACCAGATTACAAAAGTATTAAATATAAAATAAAATTACAGGAGTCAGAAGTGTGAGACTTATTTCTATAATGTAACAAATAATGGATTCTACCTTATTACTGTAACTTCAAAGTTTTATTAAAAGTTGTCTAAAGGTTATTAGAAGTAAGATCTTTTGAGCCAAGCTATCCCAACACGTCCCCGCTTAAATTCCAGTAAATGTCTGGGTCTCATAAACCAACTGCATTTTCATTTTTAAAAAGCTGAAGGAAAAGGGGAAAAGTGTGAAGAAATGAAGGATATTAGCAGATTCTGTCCTCAAAAATATATAACTAATAGAACATGTACTTGGTGGTTGTAGGCCTGGAAGAGTGACAGTGGAAAAGAAGAGATTTGTTTTCTTCCCCCCTTTCTCACTCTCAGTTTTTCTTACAGGTCTGTTTCAACAGCATATCTCATTTGATCCTTAAAGTGCTCCATTTTACAGGTGAGAAAGCTGAGGTTTACGGATTATTTGTTCAGCATCCAAAGCCTGGTACAACACAAAACTCTTAACCGATACTTTGTGGTGGTGGTTTTTCCCAACTGAATCCAGGACTTTTTTTTCATATACCAGTTAGTTGCATAGATTATTTTCATGTAATTGCGTAAGTTTCTTGAGTCTATATACTTAGGCTTAAAATATTTGATTATCTTGGAGAATGGCATTTCTTGATTTTTTTTTTTTTTTTTTTTTTTTTTGAGACGGAGTCTCACTCTGTCGCCCAGGCTGGAGTCCAGTGATCTCGGCTCACTGCAAGCTCCGCCTCCCAGGTTCACGCCATTCTCCTGCCTCAGCCTCCCGAGTAGCTGGGACTACAGATGCCCACCACCACATCCGGCTAATTTTTTGTATTTTTAGTAAAGACGGGGTTTCACCGTGTTAGCCAGGATGGCCTCGATTTCCTGACCTCGTGATCCGCCCGCCTCAGCCTCCTAAAGTGTTGGGATTACAGGCGTGAGCTACCGCGCCCGGCCTCTTGATTTTTTTTTTTTTTCTCCTCATTCTCTAATCTCACATCCTCACCCCTACACCTGCTATATTTTTCCTTCTTAGGGCTTACTTAATACCACTTTGCCCTATAATTTGTTTTTGTTTTTGTTTTAGACAGAGGAATGCTGTAATGCTCAAGCAGTTAGTTGATTTTCTGGTGCAAATTCTAATGATGGCCAGTAGTCCATTAAGATTTAACATACCTGCATGAAAAATTTCCTTTGCATTCTTCAAAAATAGATTTTTAAAAATTGGTGCTCAGAGCTTAATTCCTTTTTTATTCCCTAGTAAGATAAGCAACGTTATTAGTGCTACAGTTTTAACAGACTTTTCCAGTGAAAAATGTGTGGAATACCAAATATGTAAAACATAAAAATTGAATTTATAGAAACTCATAGATATGAACTTCCCCACCTCCCAAAACAGTAGCCAAAATGGGCCTCTATAAAACAGTTTTATGACAGCAGCTTGACTCCTTCACTTGTTACTGCACAATTCTTAGGTTGTGACCACAGCATTGCTAAGCAGATGCATCTGACTTAAACTTTTATAATATATATACTATACACATGCTCTAGTAGTATACTAGTTTATGTGAGTGAGTATGCTATTACTTTCCTCAACAGTGAAAAACAAATAGAGGTACAGAGTAGGAGAAGCCTCACACAAAGATAACCTGGCAGTACAAGTTAGTGCACTAGTATTCAATATTGTCCAAATTTTGCCTATATCTAAACATTATTTTTACAATTTCTAAAAATTAAAGCATTTTAGCAAAATTTGAATTTAAATTTGGTAAAATCCATTAAATAACTTTGCAAACCCTACGGGGACACTGATCTGTAAACCTTTGACATGGTCCTTTGGATTCAATCACATCTAGATAATAAATCTCAGCTTCATTTGATAAAAGTCAATTACATATATCCAAAGCATCTTGTTTTAAAAAACATGTTATTGTTTCTTCTTAAAATACCTTAAAGCAAAATTTTGGAATAATTTACTTGGTTACCATAAACACCTAATTTTTTACTCAGACCAGTAAGGGAGAAAGGTTTAAGAGGTGGATTTCAGAGGACTTCCTTGTCCCATTGGAAAGAGCAAAGTAAACCTCTGTAACTATGCTGCCACATCTGTCCTAAAGGACTCCAGGGACACTGACCTGCTACTCATATGAATCTGCTTTGTTTATGAACCCTAGTTGCTGTTACCAGAGAAGGAAAGATAGGGAAAAGTGGCAGGATGTTTATAGGCGTCATATGCAAAATGTGTTTGCCATAGAAAAGACAGGTGGTGTGGGCTAGAAAATGTTGTAATCAATACTTGATAATAGCTAATAATTATTAAGAAAATATTATAATTTGTTGGAATGTCAGGATTATCACTAACTGTGGATACTTAAAGTTTACGTAATGCTTCTCAAAATATCATGAGGTCATCTGGGCCATTTGTCAGCCTTCGGGGTCAGACTAACCTTGTTACATAATGCTCTTCTGCATAAGAATGTTATAATCTGTGATTTGTCCTTTTGGCTGAAGCTTTAGTCCTGCGTATCTCATTCTTTCTTTGTGCTTTACTGTCCCTCTAGTGTCTAGTATTTGCTTTACTGAGACTAGTAGTAGAAAAACCAGAGGGGAAAGGACCTAAATTTTAGTATTTTCTGTGTACAAACGCCTACACATATCTTGTATTTGTGTTTTTTTAAAAAAAGTTGTTTCCTTTATTTTACTATGAGCTCCAGGAAACATCAGAATCTCATTCATCTTTGTTCTCAACACTTAGCACAGTGCCTGGCACGTAGTAGGTGTTTACTAAATGTTTTGGAGGAAAGAGTAAATCTGAATAGTTGTGGTATGTGTTGTGGAAGAAAAAATCTCAGCTAGCATCTAGATTTTTAAAAAAGCTTTTTAAAGCTATTAAATATAAACACTCAGATTCTTGCATACTTTGTCTGTCATTCACAAGCTCCTGTTAGCTCTTATATGCCAAGCACTGCTGTAGGTGATGGGCATACATCCAAAAGCAAAACAGGCAAAAATAAAGTCCCTGCCTTGTGGAGGCTACTTTCAAATAGCAGAAAGACTGAAAATAATCCATTACATGTTACCTTACATGATAATAGCTAACTAGGGAAAAATGGGCTGGGCGTGGTGGCTCACGCCTGTAATCCCAGCACTTTGGGAGGCCAAGGCAGGTGGATCACGAGGTCAAGAGATGAGACCATCTGGCCAACATGGTGAAACCCCGTCTCTACTAAAAATACAAAAATTAGCTGGGCATGGTGGTGCGTGCCTGTAGTCCCATCTACTCAAGAGGCTGAAGCAGGAGAATCACTTGAACCCGGGAGGCAGAGGTTGCAGTGAGCTGAGATCGTGCAAAAACTAGGCCAGGAAAAGAATTCAGGAGCGAAGGGAGAACTAATTAGAGAAAGCCTCACTGAGAATGTAGTACCTGAGCCAAAACTGCAAGAAACGTTGGACAAAAATTATGCAGATGTCTAGGAGACCACCATTTCCATGCAGAGGAACAAAAGCAAAGGCCTTGAGGTGCAGATATTCTCATATGTTGGAGAAACAGTAAGGTTAATATGGTTATATTGGAGTGAGCAAGAAGTAGAGTAATAGGAGAGAAAGTCAGAGAGGCAACAGGAGAGCTAAACTCAGGACTTCATTTAGATATTTATTGACCATATGCTAGACTTGCTCCCTCAAAAACCTTATCTATATATCCTTTTCCCAAGAAGAATTTGTAATTCTTCTTAATAAAACCCACAAATACTGTATAACTATAAATATTTTTTAATAAAAGAATTATATAAGTTGTTAAGGATAATTATACTAGAAAACTAAGCTAAATCACCTAGAGGAAACATTCATTTAAATATAAAACATTTTCAAAGTCTCCAAGCAACCAAGCTAGGAATAGGAAAATTGATTATAAATGTCATTGTTATATTAAAAAATCATATCAGTTCATTGGGCAAAATAAACATTTTTAGAGCAGTTCTCAGAAAATGATTTTTCTCATGGATTTTACTATTGGTCTGTACACTTAACGTACACTGTCCTCATTTGTCTCTGCATTGTCTCAGCTAGAATATTGAGGTGTGCTTCCATAAATGTTGTGCTATCGTTCCAACAGGGATCATAGTAATATCATCCCAGTGTGTAATATTCACCATCTTTCTTGTCCTAGGAGTGTTTAGCTTAATTATTCCTCTGCAACAGTGGTTTTCAAACTTGAATCACCTGGCAAGCTTGTTCAGACACAATTTTGGTTGCTCCTGTTTCTAAGTCAGTATTGAGTGTCTGGAGTGGGGCCCATGAATTTGCATTTCCGTCAAGTTCTCTGATGATGTTGATATTGTTGGTCCAGAAACTGTATTTAGAAACTTACACTACCAATTGTCTTTTTTCTGAACGGAAATAGAGTTCATTAGTAAAATCACTTGTGAGAACTTAAAATGTAGGTATTCTATGTTAGTAGTTAGTTAAAAAAGAGATCATATAGATATCAAACCTTGGGTAACACGAGTAATAGTTAAAAAATAAAAGATCATGTGTTCAATCATATTACATATTCCCTGGCAAAGGAAAAATACACCTCCAAACAAATCTAATCTAGTGTATCGGGAAATCAAATTAGAAAAAGATTTTTTCATATGAGACAAGTAGCTGGATGATAGTCCCTTAACATTTGATCAGGAAAAGAGTAGCCAGTCTCCTACATCTCTTCTCTGCTTGCTAGAGAGAGAGAGAAAGCCAAAAATTCCAAGTGGGGAGGCAAATGTCCTACAATCTAGATCTCTTGCAAGGTTAAATTCTTAGGAAAACCAACACAACTGCTGCTTATCTTTGAGGCCCAAGCTTTCTGCATTCTATAAAGTGCATCATTACCATGGCACAGCATGATGTAGGGACTCTACTACTTCTAAAATATGCATCCATTTGCTGCATGACTTATGCAGCTAAATATGCCAGGACTGCTAGTTACTTGAGTACTTGGATTAAAGGAAAATAACCACTTTCTATTATTAACATATGAATCTATCAGTAATTCTCAAAATGTCATCTTGGGACCAATAGCATCAGCATCATCTGGGAATTTGTTAGAAATACAAATTATCAGACCACACCCCAAACCTACAGAATCAAAAACTGAGGATGAAGCACAACTGTTTTTTGTTTTTTTGTTGTTTGTTTTTGAGAAGGAGTCTTCCTCTACCAGGCTGAAGTAGTGTGCAGTGGTGTGAACATAGCTCACTGCAGCCTTGGCCTCCTGGTGGATCCTCCACCCAGGTCTCAACCTCCCGAGTAGCTGGGCGTACATCATCACACCCAGCTAATTTTTTATTTTTTGTAGAGACAGGGTCTCCCTATGTTGCCTAGGCTGGTCTCGAACTCCTGGGCTCAAGCAGTCCTCCTGCCTCAGCCTCCTGAAGTGCTGGGATTACAGGCATAAGCCTCTGTACCTGGCCCCAACAGTCTTTTTCAGCAACCTCGCCAAGGGATTATGATGCAAGCTAAAGTTTGAGAACTACTTGCCTATAGGTTTCAAATCTAGATCACCTGGGCTGAAGTAGAACTAAGGGTTGGAAAAAAAAAAAAGAATTCTCAAGGCTTTTAGTGAGGAGTGAAAAGAATTATCAGTGGGGTAACAAATCTCTAGCTATATTGGAATGTTCTGCTGATACCACTCCCACCATCTGAAAAATGCTAGGGAAGACCTTAATCTCCACAACTGGATTGGAGAAGTTCCTAATCAGATGAATTCATTTTAAGTTGAGCAGATTCACTTCAAAAATCTTTTTTAGGGAATCCCTACAGAAGAAACTGAACAAGAGATTTTTGTTTGGGGGGAGATAAGGTTATACTATTAAAATGAGGCATATATTATTCAATGCTTGTCAAGTTACAAGTGAAGAAACTCAAATTACCTAGAAATTTTGGGATGGGAGGATAGATAAAATATATTGGCTCAAGTTACCAGGAAGTTCAGAGGTCTAGCTGTCCTTAGACAAGACAGAATCCATCGGGTGTCACCTCTCTTCTCTTCTGTGCAGTGACCTCATCTGTCCTACTAAAATGGAGAAAACTTAGGACTATGAATGACTAACAACCGCAGAGGAAAGAAGTAATTTCTTATCCCAACACCTAATATATGAAATCCCAGGAAATGAGCTATTTTAATCCCTTGAACTAATCTGTTTTTCCATGGAGATGGAGTACTGATTGATCAGTCCTGGGTTTCTATTTACCACTCAAAGCAAGGGAGATGTAAAGTTTTATGGTTAGCAGCATTGCCAGAAGATATAAAGGATGTACAGTCCCCCCCAAAAAAGAAGGGGGCTATAACCAGAAGAAGGACAAAAAGCAAGCAAAAAATCAATGACAGGAATATCACCTAAAAGGAACCTGATCACTGAAGTTTAAACCTTGAAATGTCACCGCTTGTTTAGAATTGACTTGTAAATTTAATCAGAATCCATTGAAAATTGATGAGTTATTCAAATATTGAGTGCTACTATGTGTCAGGTGCTACTCTAGGTGCGAGGGATAAAGCAGTGAACAAAATTGACAAAACTCCACCATAATGAAGCTTATATGCTATTGGATGTAGGCAGAAAAAATATAGGGAGAATTACAAGTCCTTGGAGAAAAAGTAGGGATAAGAAAAAGCCTAAGGAATGTTGGGGAAGGGCATATTAGGGAGGAGGGTTTTGGTTTTAAATAGGTTAAGGAAAGCATCACTGATATGACTGAAGGAAATGGTAGTGTGATCCATCAAGATTTCTGGGAAAAAGCATTCCAACTATGTCTGTTTGGAACAGCATGCCCAAAGGCAGGGGGCAGAAGCATTTTTAAGAAATAGCAAGAAAGCCAATGTGGCTGAAGCCAAGTAAACAAGGACAAGTGTATGAGAGATGAGGCCAGAAGAATATTTGGAGGCAAGATTATGTATGGTCTTATAAACCATCGTAAGTACTTGAAGTTTTTAATCTGAGACTGGAAGCCATTTGAAGGATTTGAGAAAATAATATAATCTGACTTAGGTTTTTAAGGAATCTCCCTTAGACTACTTAGGACACTATTACTGCAATCCATATGGGAGATAACAGTGTCTTGGCCCAGGGAGATAACAGTGAAGGTGCTGAGAAGTGGTAGGATTCTAAATCTATTTTGAAGGTAGAGCCCACACGATTGGATTTGAAGTAGGAGAGTTCAGGATTATAGCCCTAGTAACTAGAAGGATGGAATTGCAATTAGCTTAGAAGACAGTAGAACAAGTTTGTGGTAGAAAGTATGAAGTTATGTTTTGGACATGTTAAGTTTGAGATGCTTATCAGTGTGAATATTTGTTAAACATCCAAGTCAAAATGTTGAGTTCAGAAGAGAGAAGCCAGAGATAGAAATCTGGGAGCCTGAGCATATGCCTGATAGGGAAATTCATGAGACTGAATGAGAGTAAAGGGCTGGGCACGGTGGCTCATGCCTGTAATGCCAGCACTTTGGGAGGCCAAGGTGGGTGGATCACGGGGTCAAGAGATCGAGACCATCCTGGCCAACATGGTGAAACCCTGTCTTTACTAAAAATACAAAAATTAGCTGGGCGTGGTGGTGCACACTTGTAGTCCCAGCTACTCAGGAGGCTGAGGCAGGAGAATCGCTTGAACCTGGGAGGTAGAGGTTGCAGTGAGCCGAGATCGCGCCACTGCACTCCAGCCTGGCGACAGAGTGAGACCCCATCTCAAAAAGAAAAAAAAAAAAAAAAAAGTCCCAGGATTGGGGCCTGGGTCGTCTAATGTTAAGAGATCAGGAAGACAGGAACCCAACAAAAAATAATGAAGGTTGGCCAATGAAATAGGAATAAAATAAGAAGACTGAGGCCCTAGAGAGTGAAGAAAATGTTTCTAGGAAGCAATGATTGCTGTTACCAGATAAGGACTGAGAACTGTCAACTGGATATTGCAATACGAGCAATTTAACTACAGTGATGGGGGTGAAATCCTGTTTGGATGAGAATGAGAGGGAAATAACTGGGTTTAATATAGATAATTTTTTCCAATGTTTTGCAGCAAGGCCTTGCGGGACCAGGATCCTAAAAAGAAGAGGAGCACAAAAAAAGTGAACCACACATTCAGCACCACTTTTCCCCAAAGACAATTTATAACTAGTGGCCAAGAGACTGAAAAACTGAGCAGCTGTATTATCACTCACACAGGGTGGGGGATTCAGAACATTCAGTTCATGGCCTGCCAAAGGGGAGGAACTGCATTAAATACCAGCTTTTTTTTTTTTTTAAGTGGGGATCCTTGAAGGGCTATTCCCTAAAAGAAAAGCATAAACCCAAAATAAGTAAGCCATCACAAAGTCTGAAATTGCTCAATCCTGAACAAGATTAAGACGATCTGTTCTTACCCTAACTCACTGCTGGATGTTAAAGTCCATCATTTTGGAAGAAGATAGCATCATCCAGACCCTAAAATTATTAAAATTTGGATACAAAGTGTCCAGCATTCAATCAAAAAATGACAAGGCATTCAAGGAGATAAAACCAACTGACTGTAAAAACAGAAAGGAAAAAGGATAATTAAAACAGACCCATAGAAAATTTTAATTTTTTAGTTATCTCTATTAAAGTTCAATCAGGGAAGCAGAACCAGTGTGAGTATTATGAAATAAGGAATTTATAGCAACAGATTTGACACAATTGTGGAAGAAACTGAAGAAGTAAGGATCTGAAAGGGTGAGCTGGTGGATAAGAGAAAAGTCATGAACCAGCCCTTCTGAAGCACAGGTATAGTTGGCCAAATTGGAGCTTGTCAGGGAAATTGAGAAGCCAGGCATATCCAGTTGCTGAAGTGAGCCTGCAAAAGAAAGCTGGAAGAGTTGTTTGAAGATACTGTCACTTCATTTGGTAGTGAGTCTTGGGTCATAATTGGTCAACAGGGTCTGCAGTTAGAAATAAAAGTTGGACATGGAGCAGGGAAGTACAAGGACAGATTGGAACCCACCAGCACCTCTGCAGTTGTATCTCACCACTTCTCACCACAAAGACCATCAGAGTATATTAGCTACTATTTCACTCTACCTTCCAAATCTCATGCATATTTTGATTTTGGCCAACTAATCCAGAACTAAACAGGGAATGAGATTCTTTGAAATGTAGTTGCAGCTTGGCCCGGGCGCGGTGGCTCAAGCCTATAATCCCAGCACTTTGGGAGGCCGAGGTGGGCAGATCACGAGGTCAGGAGATCAAGACCATCCTGGCTAACATGGTGAAACCCCATCTCTACTAAAAAAAAAAAAAAAAAAAAAAAAAGATTTGCCGGGTGTGGTGGCAGGCACCTGTGGTCCCAGCTACTCAGGAGATTGAGGCAGGAGAATGGTGTGAACCCGGGAGGTGGAGCTTGCAGTGAGCCGACATCGTGCCACTGTACTCCAGCCTGGGCGACAGAGCGAGACTCCATCTCAAAAAAAAAAAAGAAATGTAGTTGCAGCTTGTCCAAGGTGACAGTACAACTGTTTTATCAGAAACAAACTTTAAAATAGCTGTGATTCACAGAAAACTAAAGGTCTAGATGGTTTCTATATTGAATTCTACCCAAAATTAAGGAAGAAATAAAACATTTTACATGCAAACTCTTCAAAAAATGAAGGAGGAGGCAGAACTTCCCAGTTCATTTTGTAAGGTCAGCATTAGCCTGATACCAAGACCTAATGGAGACATTACAAGAAAATTACAAACCAATATCCCTCAATAACATAAATGCAAAAGTCTTCAACACTATTAACCAATATATAAAAAGGATAAATCATCATAATTAAATGTGGTTTATACTAGAATTGAGAGGTTGGTTTAACATTTGATAATCAATGTAATTCATATTAACATAGTAAAGGAAATAAAATATGAGCATTTCAATAGGCCCAGAAAAAGCATTTAACAGCTATAATACCCACTCATAATGTAAAACTCTCGGCAAACTAGAAATATAAAAAACTTTCTCAATCTGATAATGGCCCTCCATTAAAAACCTACACCCAACATAATGGTGAAATATTAAATGCTTTCTTCCTAAGATCAGAAACAAGTAACGGATGGTCCCCTCTTAGTCCCTTACTCATTCCATTCAGCGTGGTGTTGGCAGTCCTAGCTAGTGTATTAAGAAAAAACAAAAAATAAATATCTGAAAGGAAAAAGTATAACTGTATTTTCAGCTGACATATTGTCTGCACAAAAAATCCTAAGGAATCCACAAAGCAACTACTAGAACTAAGAATGAATTTATCAAGGTCTCAGGATACAAGGTCAAATTCAAAAATCACTTGCATTTCTACATACTTACAAAAATGTAAAATTAAATGATTTAGGGACAACATTATTGCTTAGAAATGAAGAATTTGAGTTTATATGAGTGAGCTAAGTGCCAAAAATAGCCAAGACAATTTTGAAGACTAAGGATAAAGTGAAGTTTTACCCTGAAAACTATCAAGACATTATAAAATCATAGTATTTTAAACAATGTTGAACCCAATAATACAAAAATAAACAATACATACAGAACTCCAAAAGAGACTCAAACTTATGAGAACTTAATAAGTAGCAGATGTAACATCATAAATGATTAGAGAAGAATGGTTGGAACGGTTGGTTATCTAAATAAAATAAATTGGATCTCTATCTCACCACACACACACACACACACACACACACACACATAAATTTCAGGCAAATTACAAGCCCAAATAAAAGCAAAACCTTAACATTTTTAATAGAATGTAGGAGGCTATCTTTTTGATCTAAGGGTAAGGTAAAAAAAATTTAAGTAAAACACAAAGATGACCATAAAGGAAAATACTAATATAGTATATTATATTCAACTTTAAAAATTTTCTGCATAAAAAACATACACAAAAATGAAACAAGTCACATAATGGGAGAAGATATTTGAAATACATAGTACTGATTAGTTCCAAGATTAGTCCTAAAATATGAACTATGAATATGCTAATATTGGCTGAGCATGGTGGCTCACGTCTGTAATCCCAGCACTTTGGGAGGCCGAGACGGGCGGATCACCTGAGTCGTGAGTTCATGACCAGCTTGGCCAACATGGTGAAACACCGTCTCTACTACAAATACAAAAATTAGCTGGGCATGGTGGCACATGCTTGTAATCCCAGCTACTTGGGAGGCTGAGACAGGAAAATCTCTTGAACCTGGGAGGCGGAGGTTACAGTGAGCCAAGATCACGCCACTGCACTCCAGCCTCGGTGACAAGAGTGAAACTCCGTCTCAACAACAACAAAAACAGCAACAAAAAAAACAGAATGGAGCCCTCAGAAATAATACCACACATCTACAACCATCTGATCTTTGACAAACCTGACAAAAACAAGAAATGGGGAAAGGACTCCCTATTTAATAAATGGTGCTGGGAAAACTGGCTAGCCATATGTAGAAAGCTGAAACTGGATCCCTTCCTTACACCTTATACAAAAATTAATTCAAGATGGATTAAAGACTTAAATGTTAGACCTAAAACCACAAAAACCCTAGAAGAAAACCTAGGCAATACCATTCAGGAAATAGGCATGGGCAAGGACTTCATGTCTGAAACACCAAAAGCAATGGCAACAAAAGCCAAATTGACAAATGGCATCTAATTAAACTAAAGAGCTTCTACACAGCAAAAGAAACTACCATCAGAGTGAACAGGCAACCTACAGAATGGGAGAAAATTTTTGCAATCTATCCATCTGACAAAAGGCTAATATCCAGAATCTACAAAGAACTTAAACAAATTTACAAGAAAAAATCAAACAACTCCATCAAAAAGTGGGCGAAGGATATGAACAGACACTTCTCAAAAGAAGACATTTATGCAGCCAACAGACACATGAAAAAATGCTCTTCATCACTGGCCGTCAGAGAAACGCAAATCAAAACCACAATGAGATACCATCTCACACCAGTTAGAATGGCGATCATTAAAAAGTTAGGAAACAACAGGTGCTGGAGAGGATGTGGAGAAATAGGAACACTTTTACACTGTTGGTGGGAGTGTAAACTAGTTCAACCATTGTGGAAGACAGTGTGGCGATTCCTCAAGGATCTAGAACTAGAAATACCATTTGATCCAGCCATCCCATTACTGGGTATATACCCAAAGGATTATAAATCACGCTGCTACAAAGACACATGCACACAGGTTTACTGTGGCACTATTCACAATAGCAAAGACCTGGAACCAAACCAAATCTCCATCAGTGATAGACTGGATTAAGAAAACGTGGCACATATACACCATGGAATACTATGCAGCCATAAAAAGGATGAGTTCATGTCCTTTTTAGGGACATGGATGAAGCTGGAAACCATCATTCTGAGCAAACTATCACAAGGACAGAAAACCAAACACTGCATGCTCTCACTCATAGGTGGGAATTGAACAATGAGAACACTTGGACACAGGGTGGGGAACATCACATACCAGGGCCTGTTGTGGGATGGGGAGAGGGGGGGAGGGATAGCATTAGGGGATATACCTAACGTAAATGACAAGTTAATGGGTGCAGCAC
This sequence comes from Homo sapiens, assembly GCF_000001405.40. NCBI lineage: Eukaryota > Metazoa > Chordata > Mammalia > Primates > Hominidae > Homo > Homo sapiens. The sequence goes on along the minus strand of NC_000012.12, from coordinate 79,759,591 downwards.
ACCAACATAGCACATATATACATATGTAACAAACCTGCACGTTGTGCACATGTAACCTAGAACTTAAAGTATAATAAAATGGAATTTCCACAAGGGATATAACTGTGAGGCTGTGAAGCAACTGGAACTTTCGTATATTCTTTTCTTTTTTTTTCTTTTTAGGAGACGGAGTCTCGCTCTTTCGCCCAGGCTGGAGTGCAGTGGCGCGATCTCGGCTCACTGCAAGCTCTGCCTCCTGGGTTCATGACATTCTCCTGCCTCAGCCTCCCAAGTAGCTGGGACTAGAGGCACCCGCCACCATGCCTGGCTATTTTTTTGTGTTTTTAATAGAGACAGGGTTTCACTGTGTTAGCCAGGATGGTCTCGATCTCCTGACCTCATGATCCACCTGCCTCGGCCTCCCAAAGTGTTGGGATTACAGGCGTGCTCCACAGCGCCCAGCTTCATATATTCTTAATGTGCATATAAACCGCCCCCACTTCTTTGGAGAGGAATCTGGGTTTTTTTGTTGTTGGGTTTTTTTTTTTTTTGAGATGGAGTCTTGCTCTGTTGCCCAGGCTGGAGTGCAGTGGCAGGGTCTCGGCTCACTGCAACCTCTGCCTACTGGGTTCAAGTGATTCTTCTGCCTCAGCCTCCCAAGTAGCTGGGATTACATGTGCCTGCCACCATGCCTGGCTAATTTTTGTATGTTTTTAGTAGAGATGGGGTTTCACCATGTTGGCCAGGCTGGTTTCGAATCCTGACCTCAGGTGATCCGCCCACCTGGGCCTCCCAAAGTGCTGGGATTACAGGCGTGAGCCACCACTCCTGGCCCAAAATAATATCATATTTTACTTATAGAAACATATGTAGCAAAAATATAAAAGGACTTGCAGGAGAACGATAAAACAAAGGATAGTGATTGCTTGCGTCTGAAGAATGAAAAAGAGGCATCCAGAAAGCTTCAATAATATTATGTCCATTTCTTGAGGTTAGTGATATATGTTCAAGTTTTATATTATACTCTCTTTTTTGTATGCCTGAAGTAGTTCATAGAAAATTAATTGATGATGCAAAATGGTGATTTTTAAACTTATTTTTCTTTTCAGAGCCTTTTTTTAAATTAAAACTTATGCAGAATCCTAAGAACCAAAAGAGACAAGTAAATGTTCTACTAGAAGAGAGAATAGTGGGCCAGAGTTAGGTTCAGCTTGGCAATCTCTATTCTCCAACCTCATGCAGAATAGCCCATGAAAAGTTTTCTAGAGTTCTAGAAATCTAGAAGTCTAGAGTTCTAAATCCTTAGAGTTCCCAGCAGCACATCTGAAAATCACTGTTCTAGAAGGGTATCTATTTGTAAAATATTGTTAATAAGAATATTTAATATTAAATATTTTGATAATATATTAATATATAATTTTAATAATATTTAAATTTTTTTAATTTTAAGTTTAAAAGCAGATTATAATGCTGTGTGAAACCATTTATACATAATAGGTGTAACATGTGTCTGCTTATGTAGTAAAAGTTCTGTAACAAGGATATAGTCCAAAGCTAACAGTGGTATAATTGGATGGTGGAATTGCAGGTAATTTTACTCTTTTTATTTAACTATCTATTATTTTTTATTTTGCTATACTGAATAAGTTTGATTTAATAAGAGAAAAACATTAATAAATTGTTAAAAGAATTAGAAATAGGGTCTCTTTTAGAGATATAGCTGTAGAGTGCTGTCTTAAACATAGGCTATTTTAAGTTCAGTGCTCTAAAGTGAAAATTATGTTACACTTTATATTTAAAAATTAACTTAGCAAGAATATCTAAGAAATTTTTGAAAAATAACAATAATGAGGATGGATGAAATGTCCCTCATCATTATTTACAATAAAGCTACAATTCATGTAACTGGTATGTGCATAGATTGACAGATTAATGAAACAGAATAAAAAGTTGAGAAATGAATCCAAATACATATGAGAATTTAGAATATGATAAACATGACATTTCAAATCCTTAGGAATGCTTATAGCTTCTGCCTAAGATCTAGAAAACTGGAAATAATTTTTAATTTTGCTAACAACAAGAAAAAATAATGTACAAAATCATAATTTGTCTTGAACCACCCCCCCTCAAGAACTGAGGTAAGGCACCAAAATAGCCTGATATTCTAAGGAAAAATAGGCATCTTCAAGAGGAGAGAAGATGAAAGCATTGATTTACCTGTGGCAGAGCATAAGAGGAAGGCAAGCCCACCATACAAGCAGGTAAGAAGCTAAAATATTTAACAAATTGCTAAAGGCTGAGTTTGTTCTAGAATGAAATCATGGAACCCTTGAGAGCCCTAGACCCAAAGATGGTTTGCATCCTTTTGCTGGTTTGTTTTCACCAACTTCGCTGGATACAGATGAGAAAGACAGGAGTCAGGGTGGGATTTCATAGGAAGCCACCTTTTGCAGTATAGGCCTGGAGAGGAGAATGGCCAGTTCTGTGGTAAACACACAAAGCTCCACCCAGACCTTCTCCCCTAAGAAACAAAATACTTATGTTGTTAGGGTAAGGGCAGTAAACCTATCTCCCCCAGAGCACAGGTGACATACCATTTTATCTGGGAGAAATACAAAGAACAAAACCCTCCAACTCTGGAGGAGGGGAAAGAAACTATTATGGATCCAGTCCAAGAGAGGTTTCCTGCCTCTGGGTGAGGGATACGATCACTGAGAAAACTCCACTCCTAGACCCAGAGATATAGGGTCTGACTAAGTCTGAGGCTGGAGAAGGACCACAGAAAGTTATCCTGCCCTCTCTCTCCCCATCCTACCCTCTAGCAAGTGCCAAATAACAAGCACCAGGCAACAAGCAACCAAAGTCTACTTTTGGGGAAGAGGCAAGAACATGGAGAACTCTGAGGCACACATTTATAGAGAAGGTATAAAGTTAAGGAAGAAGCAGGACATTGAGGAAAAAGCCTCTGGAAACCAAATCCCACCCTACGCACAAGGTATATCTAGTGAAATCTAAAACTGGTGGTACATGGAACATAAACATAGCAACAGCAAAAGAGAAACCCAGCTCAATTCCTGACTATACTGACTAACCCTCTAGAAGCCAACAGGAGAAATGTCATTTCCAGTAATAAATAGTATTTACTACTATTTATCTCAATTTCTACTGTTCTACCTACTCTGTGCAGCAAGAAATTTAAAAGTACAAGACACAAAAAAAACAAAAAAAAAAGTTTAAACCCATTTTCAAGAGACAAAGCAATCAATAGAACCAGATTTGGAGATGACATTGATGTTGGAACTATCAGATATGAAATTTTAAATAATTATGATTAAATTGTTAGCCTTTCCTCCTGGAAAAGAGGGAGAACATGCATGGACAGATAAGGAAAATCAGCAGACAGATAGAAGGTAAAAGATAGTCAAGTGGTAGAATTTAAAATCATGGTAACAGATATAAAAAGTGACTTATACAGACACATCCATACATCATTTGACACAATCAAGGAAAGAAACAGTGAAGTTAAAGATAGGTCAATGAAATGATCAAAAAGAAAAATAAGTGGCAAGAGCAAAAGAAAACAAATAGCATTCAAGAGATGTTGAACAATATCATATGGTCTAACATATGTGTAATTTTAATCCTAGAAAGAGACAATTGTTGAGAATTTTTCAAAAATGATGAAATACAGTTTCAAAAAGCTCAGAAAATGCCAAGAATTTAAAAACAAAAAACTAGATTCACCATGTTCAAACTGCTGAAAACCAAAGATACAGATAAAATCTTGTAGATGATCAGTGGAGAAAAAAAAAAGACATTATATACAGAAAAAGATGGTAAGAATAATAGCAGACTCCTCTTCAGAAACTATGCAAGCCAAAAAACAGTGGGATGGCATCTTTAAAGAAAAAAGAACTGTTGGTTCTGAATAATATACACAGCAAACTGGTTTTTTTTTTTTTTTTTTTTTTGAGACAGAGTCCTGCCCCGTCACCCAGGCTGGAGTGCAGTGGCACGATCTCGGCTCACTGCAACCTCCGCCTCCCAGGTTCAAGTGACTCTCCTTCCTCAGCCTCCTGAGTAGCTGGGATTACAGGCACCCATCACCACACCTGGCTAATTTTTGTATTTTTAGTAGAGACGGGGTTTAGCCATGTTGGCCAGGCTAGCCTCGAACTCCTGACCTCAGGTGATCTACCTGCCTCGGCTTCCCAAAGTGCTGGGATTACAGGCATGAGCCACCATGCCCAGCCAGGAAAGTATTTTGAAAAATGAATGACAAATGTTTTTTAAGAGAAAAATGGGAAATTCAATAGCAGCAGATTTATGCTACAAAAAAATGTTAAAGGAAGTTAGGCAGAAGGAATAGGATATCAAACTAATTTGGAACTATGCAAAGAAGAGAAGCTTTGTGGAAATGCTTAAGATATAGGTAAATATAAAGGACTTTTTGCATACTTAATAGCTCTTAAAATAAATGGCTAAATAAAAAATAGGAACAGTATACTAAGAGTATAACATATTTAAATGTAACTGTATAACAATAATAGCACAGAAGATTGAAGGGAAGAATTGAAAGCATATCATTGTTAGACTATGCCTATATTGGTTATAATGTGCTTTAATGGGTGCTCAATTCTGGGTATAGGTTAGGATAAGTACACAGACTTCATTTTCACCTGAAGTAAATAAGCCTATTCACACATATAAGGAACTGAAAACTCCAGCAAGATATTCATTATTTTTCTTTCTTTTTTTTGAGTTGGAGTCTCACTCTGTCACCCAGGCTAGAGTGCAGTGATGCAATCTCGGCTCACTGCAACCTCTGCCTCCTGGGTTCAAATGATTCTCCTGTCTCAGCCTCCTAAGTAGCTGGGACTACAGGCACATGTCACCACGCCTGGCTAATTTTTTTGTATTTTTAGTAGAGACAGGGTTTCACCATGTTGCTCAGGCTGGTCTTGAACTCCTGACCTCAGGTGTCCACCCACCTCAGCCTCCCAAAGTGCTGTGATTACAGGTGCAAGCCACTGCGCCTGGCCAGATTTTCATTATTTTTCTAGGAATGACAGGATATTCTCTCTCTGTCTCTCTCTCTCTCTTTTAAATAGAAAGCCAGAAGTCGTCTAGAGGCGTATCAGTAGCTCTCATCTTGAGTGTAAAATCAGACTGCAGCTCAAAGTTCTCAACCTGAGCAGATCTTAAAGGGACCCTACTCCTGTATTAGAAGGGAGGGAGAATACTGTTTAGCTGTATACTGAAGTTCTTCCAGGTGGTTTCAATAAAAAGCCTACTTAGTGATATCCCACCTCACTTGCATAATCAAGCAGTAGTGGAAACATTTCAAAATTTCCTTCTGCAACATGATTTTCCCAAAGATTCAATTCCCTTTAAAGTCTAAGAATTTTGTCAATTGAAATAAAAACCTTTTCTACAAGGTCTTGTAGAGATTTGGTCAACTGTTTCATGAGATAAAAGATGTCTGCTAAGCAGGTTCATTTCTGCAGCTATTCTGCATTTCAAAGCACTGAGCAAACTCGGGCACTTTATTTTCTTAAAAGTACTTCTGCAGCTGGGTGCAGTGGCTCATGTCTGTAATCCCAGTACTTCGGGAGGCTGAGTCAGGCTGATCCCTTTGAGCTCAGGAGTTCAAGACCTGCCTGGGCAACATGACTAAACCCCATCTCTAAAAAAAAAAAAAAAAAAAAAAAAAAATTAGTTAGGCTTGGTGGCTCATGCCTGTAGTCCCAGCTATTCATGAGGCTGAGGCTGGAGGAATGCTTGAGCCTGGGAAGTAGAGGTTGTAGTGAGCTGAGATTGTGCCACTTCATGCCAGACTGGGTGACAGAGTGAGACCCTGCCTCAAAAACAAACAAACAAAAAAAACCTCCTGCAAGGTTTTAAGTTCAAGCACTCTATTGAGAACTCTTCCTCTACTAAGCCCCTAGATTTCTGTATGTAGCAAGTGATTTACTCACTGATTTTCCAGATTTTCATGCAGTTTTTAAAAACATTCTTGAGTGACTTGATCTTTGTTTAACACAGTTAACCATTTTTTGGTAGCATCATCTGAATTTTCAAATTTCTTTCTTTTTTTTTTTTTTTGAGATGGAGTCTTGCTCTGTCGCCAGGCTGGAGTACAGTGGCGCAAGCTCGGCTCACTGCAACCTCCACCTCCCAGATTCAAGCAATTCTCCTGCCTCAGCCACCCAAGTAGCTGAAACTGCAAGCACACACCATTACAGCTGGCTAATTTTTGTATTTTTAGTAGAGACGGGGTTTCATCATGTTGTCCAGGATGGTCTTGATCTCCTGACCTCGTGATCTGCCTGCCTCAGCCTCCCAATGTGCTGGGATTACAGGCGTGAGCCACTGCATTCATCTCTAAGAGTTTTTGACACTAGCATCTATCTGTAAAGAAAACAGAGTACTGTGACATCAAAAACAGCATTTTCTTTCCTTTTTTTTTGTGTGTGTGTGTTTTGTTGTTTTGTTTTAACAAGAGGCTGCAGCCAACCATTGATGGGGCATCATTAGTACAGATACCAATAGAGTTTCTTTAAGACTGGCCATTTGTTTCCAGTTACGAGGACAAAACATTAAATGTATCTTGGGCTTTGCTTATTGCAGGCAGCTCTTTGCAGCAGAAAAAAAAGTTTAATATTTTACCATTAACTAAAAATCTTACAAATGGTACAGTATGACATATATTAATGACATCTGTTGCCTCATAAACCTAGAGAAGTTATTAATTTTCAATTTATTATAGAACATTTCTTTACCATCATGAGACATGTTATCAGTATGTCAACTTATTGTACTATTTGAGAATGGAACTTTTCAATTTCTTATGCTGCATCTTGTTCTAGCCTTTAACTCACTACAATTTTGAATAATGCATTATTATGTTCTCACCAAATGTGTGACTTTTCCTTTTCTGAGCAATAAGTTCTCTTATTAAATAAATTGCTGAGACTTTTCATAGAATGTGACTTTTTTAAAAAAGTAAAAGTTTCATTATGTTTTGAGGTTGAACTTGCCACATAAAGTAATCAGCATCTCTGGTCGTCAAATGGTAGTAATTTTTAAGTGTCTTTTCATTTTTGGTGGAACTACCGTTACATTTAGAAATTGGTGAATGCCAATGATACACAATGGAATAGGAAAACTTGGATTCCTAGTCCATGTAAAACCTATTGATAAAGAGCATTATTGTAAAGACAGACTTTATGTCCTTTGTTGCACTTGTGTAATGAAATGACTCTGAAGATTATAATTATTCATTACTAACATATTAGAATTTTAAATAAGTGTTGGCCTAAAATACCTCTCATCCTTCTCACACCTCTTCTTCAAAAGTCACCATACTAGATCATCAGGCATTTTTATAAAACATAAACTCTAATAAAATACGTAACAAAAGGGTATGATAACTAAGTGTGTAAATCACAAAAAAATGCCAAAATTTTCACAATGCAATTTACTTCTAGCCTACATAATTTATGTTTTCAACATTTATAACAACAGTGGAGTGGCCAGGGGGCAAGTAAATCTTATCAAATAAAATTCCTTCTTTAGAAGGAAAACTTCCTATTTGCTATTTCACTGACAGAGCTTGTTCACTAACGTAAGTCAGTGTGTGGCATGAAATAGAAGATTAGAGAAGGTAATTCAAAACTAGCAACATCTTGCAGAAACCTAGGTTCCATAGAACTCTATTTAAGAAACTTTGCTCTAGGGATGATAATATGCATCCCTAATATAGTCTGCTACGAGTTAATATGATACCACTTCATGTAAACTTACAGCAGTTTATCCTATTTACCCCCTTTCACCCCTTGTGCTATTGCTATCATACATTTTATATCTACTTATTTATTAATGCCAAAATACTATGTTATGATTTGTGCAATAACAGTTATACTTAAGAAATTAAGAGGAAAAAAAATTGGTGTAGTAGGCAGAATAATGCCCTCCCCGTGCAATAAGAAGTCCAGGTCCTAATCTCTAGAATTTCTCAATATGTTAGGTCCTATGGTAAAGGGAAATTAAGGTAGCAGATAGAATTACACTTGCTAATCAACTGCTGTTAGGATAGGGAGGACATTCTGAATTACCCAGAAGGTCTCAGTGTAATCATAAGGATCCTTAAAATGAAAAGAAGGATGCAGTAGAGGACCAATGCAAATGGTAACGTGAAAAGGGCTTGACTTCAAAGCCATTGGTGGCTTTGAAGATAGAGAAATGGGACTATGAGCAAGAATGCAGGTGGCCTCTAAAAGTTGGAGAAAGCAAGGACATTTGTTTTGCCCTAAAGCCTCCAGAAGTAACACTGCTCTGCTAACCCCTTAATTTTAGCCTAAGACAGACTCATTTCAGAATTCTGACCTCGAGTCATAAGATGAATTTGTCTTGTTTTAAGCCACTAACTTTGTAGTAATTTGTTACAGCAGCAACAAGAAACTAATATAGATGGTCTTTTGTGTTTACCTTTTGCTCCTGTAGATCCAAATTGTCATACCATGTCATTTGCCTTCGACATCTTTTTGTATTCCTTTTTGTATCCCTTTTTGTATTCGGCCTTTTAAACTTGTCATACCATTGTCTTCTGATCTCCATTGTTTTTGATGAGAATTCAGTTATAATTAATTGTTTTCCTATATGTAATTTTTTCCTTTCATTGTTTTAAGACCATCTCTTTATATTTGGTAGTACATATTGCGGTTTTCTTTGTCTTTTGGATGCTAGGCATTCACTGAGATTTTTGGATTTTTAGTTGATATTTTCACCAAATTTGAGAAAATTTCAGTCATTACCTTTTTCAAATTTTCCTTCTTCTCCATTACATTATTTCTCTCCTCTCCATAGATTTCAACTGCATGCACATTAGAATACTTAATATTGTCCAAATGCTCACTAAGGCTTTGTTCGTTTTTTCTTCATCCTGTTCTTTTCTGTTCTTCAGATTAGACATTTTCTGTTGACTTCTCTTCACATTCACTGACCCTTTTGCCACCTTCACTCTGGTGGTAGACCCATGCAGAGATTTTTTTAAATTTCGGATATTACACTTTTCAGTTCTAGAATTTCATTTTAGTTCTTTTTTTAATCTCTCCTGAGATTCCTTCACCTGTTCACTCACTATGGCTACATTTTCCTTTAAGTCCTTGAAAATATTTATAACTGCTTTAAAATTCTTGCTAATGTAGGTCATGTCAGGATTTATTTGTGTTGACTACTCTTTCTCTTGATCTTGAGTCACATTTTCCTGTTTCATTACATGTTTAATTTTTTTATACTAGACATTGTGGATAAAACATTATCTTCCTCTGAAGAATGCTGATTTTCATTCTAGCAGGCAGCCAAGTTTTTGGCTAATGACTTTGAACTTGTGTAAGCTTGGTTTTTATAATTTTAAGATGTATCTATTTCAATTTTATCCTTAGTTTTAGAATAAATCCTTAGTCCTAGGAAAGAGTCTTTACTCAAAGGTGTGGCTCCTCTCAAGTTTCTATTGAAAGCTTGAGGTGTTTACTAAGCCCCTTTTTGACTTTGTAGCCTTCAAACTCCAAAATCTATCTATCTTATGGTGAGCAACAACTGAAATCTCTGCTCAGCATTTTTGTTTGTTTGTTTTTGAGACAGAGTCTCACTCTTTTCGCCCAGGCTAGAGGGCAATGGCGTGATCTCAGCTCAATGCAACCTCTGCCTCCTGGGTTCAAGCGATTCTCTTGCCTCAGCCTCCTGAGTAGGTGGGATTACAGGCATGTGCCACCACACCCATCTAATTTTTTGTATTTGTAGTAGAGACAGGGTTGCACCATGTTGGCCAGGCTGATCTTGAACTTCTGACCTCAGGTGATCCACCCACCTCAGCCTCCCAAAGTGCTGGGATTACAAACGTGAGCCACTGCACCTGGCCTCTGCTGAGCACTTTTAACCTGTTACTTTACAACGGACTTTTTTTGAGACCATGCATGTGCAATTCAGAGATCATCCAAGGATTTGATGGAAAATTAATACACAGGTTTGGAAATCCCGTCTTCACGGCTCTCATTTTCAGAACTTTCCTCCTCAATTGCCAGCTGTTCTGGCAACCCCAAACTCTGTCCTTTCATACTTAAAGCCAATCAGACTTCAGCTTGAGTTCTAACTTCCACAGCATTAATTGGAAAATGCCCTCGGGGATTAATCTGTTTAAACATGGATTTTACTAAGTGGTGTTCCCTTCCTTTCCAGGTGTATTAGTCCATTTTCTGTTGCTATAACAGAATACCTGAGACTAGGCAATTTATAAAGAAAAGAGGTTGATTTAACTCATCATTCTAGAGGCTGGGAAATTCAAGATCAGGCAGCTGCATCTGGCTGTGACCTCATGCTGTGTCATAAAATGGCAGAGGGCATCACATAGCGAGAGGGCAGGAGCGTGCCAGCCCAGGTCTCCCTTCCTCTTCCCCCATCACAGGGGCCCCATCCTGATGACTTTATCTAATCCTAATTAGCTCCCAAAACCCTCACCTTCAAATACTATCAACATATAAATTAGCGGATTAAGTTTACAAAGCATGAAATCTGGGGGACACATTCCAACCACAGTACCAGGGTGGAGTCTTTTTTACTTTGTGATTACTTTTGGTAACTTTCCAGTGTTTTGGTTTTTTAAAAAATTTTGTCCAGGGTCCAAAATTGTTATCTGTGGAAAACAGTCCAATATAAGCTATTGTGCCATTACTGAAAACAAAACCTCTGTATTACTTTATTACTTTTATAATTTAAAAACTAGCTTTACAAAGGGCTAAAACAGATGGACTAAAAATCAATCTTTTATATTAATGATTAGCTTTATAGGTAATTTTTTGTCTTTATATTCCTAATTTTCTGTAATGTAATTGGTTTTGGGTTTTTTTTTTTTTTTTTTTTTTTGGAGACAGGGTCCCTCTCTGTCACCTAGGCTGGAATGGAATGGTGTGATCTCGGCTCACTGCACCTCCACATCCCAGGCTCAAATGATGCTCCTGCCTCAGCCTCCCAAGTAGCTGAGACTACAGGCATGCACGACCATGCCTGGCTAACTTTAGCGTTTTTTGTAGAGATGGGGTTTCACCATGTTGCCCAGGCCGGCCTTGAACTCCTGGACTCAAGCAGTCCACCTACCTCAGCTTCCCAAAGTGTTGAGATTACAAGCGTTAGCCACCACAGCCAGCGATTCTTTTTTCATTAAACTTTTCTCAGTGAATGAAATCTGCGTTGAAAATTAACTTATACACTTTCTACTCTGTGGGCTGCAGTGAAGGCAGCCCAGAGAGTAGAAAGTGTGTAAGTTAAAGTAAAAGGTGTGTTTGTGTGTGAAGAACATGAGTCATCTTCGGGTTATCTGTTGGGTGAGGGAGGATGGTTTTGCAGGGGTGGAGAAGTTTAAAGAAGCAAGGAAACTGGCCAGGCACAGTGGCTCACACCTGTAATCCCAGCACTTTGGGAGGCCGAGGCAGGTGGATCACAAGGTCAGGAGTTCAAGACCAGCCTGACCAAGATGGTGAAACCTTGTCTCTACTAAAAATAAAAATAAAAAATAGCCGGGTGTGGTGGCAGTAGCCTGTAACCCCAGCTCCTCTGGAGGCTGAGGCAGACAGTTGCTTGAACCCAGGGGGCAGAGTTTGCAGTGAGCCGAGATCACACCACTGCACTCCAGCCTGGGCAACAGAGTGAGACTCCATTTCCCCCCCCCAAAAAAAAAAAAAAGAAATAAAAGAAGAAGCAAGGAAACTCTACCATATACAAAGGCAATTAGCCACAACTCATTGCCAAATGCCTGGGTTATAAACCTACCAGATTACCTTACATAGTAGAAGAATCTGCCATAGATGACCTTTAATGTTTCATTTTAAATTTCCAGCTTAATATTAAATAAAAATGAATATACTATACATATACAACTAATATGTATGCATTAGAGCAAATCAGAAAGGGATATGGAAAAAGGAAAACAACTGATTTGTAGAATGATGACATTTGAGGATGATTTTTAAGGCAGAAGATCTCAAATACTTTTTCCCCCTTGGAAACACATACTGGATGACTATCACATTCCATTGTTTTCTACTAAATGGTGGCCTCTGGCATAGATAAGACAAACTGGAGATTATGGGAGATTCCCCTTCTAACTGCAGTATGTTACTCACCACCCTTCTTTTTCTCTACACACTCAGGGAAGTATATTAGAACTCAGGTAAGTAAGAAAAACATTCTTATCAGAAAACCCTGATTCTGCTCTAACTTATTAAAGTAAATAATTAGAAAACTTTATTCATTCATTTACAGATACTTTTACTGAATGCCTACTATGTGCAATACACTGTTTCTATTTCAACCATTATTGCAAATTACTTATTACACAGTTTCTGACTGGTTTAGGTAAGCCACCCATATAAGACAACAGAGAGACTGAGAGAATCTGTGTTTTAAATAATTTAGATTGTTGTAAAGCTGTTTGTAAAAATAAAAAACTTTAATAGCCTAGTAAACAGGTGTCAGTCAACACTCAATTCTTTAAAAGTCTTAAATTCAGACTAATTTCTCAATTGTGAGGATAAACAGAATGGCAAGTAGGAAAGTAAAGCAAAGCAAAGACCCAAAACTCTTGTCTTGCCTTTGTTCTCCGTATTCATTCATTGTCCAATTCCTTTTTTTCCTATTTTGCAAATGTATTCCATGTGCATCCCTTTCTCTTCGTAAGGGCATATCTTCCTGCCCAGTTTATCCTACATATCTTTATCATCTAACGTGTTTTCTTTATAACCTCCATGAAGGCAGGGATGTGTTTTATTCACTGCTGTATTGGCACAGTGTAGTACCTGGCATATAATGGGTAATCAATAAGTATTTGTTATGGAGTCAGTTATTCACCGACATTTTACTTTCACTCTCTCCTAATCCTCCTCAAGATAAAGTCTAAATTCTTCAGGCTTATTTTCAAGGGCCGCCTTTTGTAACCTTGCTATCAAACTTTATTATTCCCTCCATTCCCATGTTAACACTCTAAGCAGTCCTAGCCCATCCTATTCTCCAAAATACTGATTCGATTCTCCTGATTAGAAGGCTTCTTACCTTTGTTTATCTAGCCGCATTCCAGATACCTTTTCCATATTCTGCCTGCATGTTATCTGCTTCTTGTGGACATGTAGGCACCTTCAGCCCACACTGTCCTCTCTTTTCTCTTCTACAGGACTCACAATCTGTTGCACTCAGTACTATAACCAGTGATCTTTTTCTTACAGGTACTTGCATTCATATTTACTTATTTTTATTTTTTTGAGATGGGGTTTCACTCTGTCACCCAGGCTGGAGTGCAGAGGTGTGTGATCTTGGCTCACTGCAACCTCTGCCTCCTGGGCTCAAGTGATTCCCCTGCCTCACCCTCCTGAGTAGCTGGGACTACAAGTGTACCACCACACCCGGCTAATTTTTATATTTTTTTGTAGAGATGGAGTTTTGTGAGACTGGTCTTGGACTCCTAGACTTAAGCAGTCCTTCTACCTCAGCCTCCCGAAGTGCTGGGATTACAGGCGTGAGCCACTGTGCCTGGCCCATATTTATTTATTTATTATTTGTACAAATTTATGGGGTACATGTGAAATTTTGTCACATGTATGTAATACATAGTGATCAAGTCAGGGTATTTAGGGGTGTTTGTCACCCGAGTTCAATACATTTTTGTTGATTATAGTCACTTTACTCTGCTATCAAACATTAAATTTATTCCTTCTATCTTACCATGTTTGTACCCTTTAACACACGTCCCTTCATCCTCCTCCCCAACCCTTCTCATCCTTCCCAGTCTCTGTTATCTCTCTTTCTACTTTCTACCTCCATCTCATCCAATTTTTTAGCGGCTACATATAAATGAGAACATGCAATATTTGTCTTTTTTTTACCTGGCTTATTTCACTTAAGAAAATGATCTTCAGTTCCATCTGTGTTGCTTGCATTCTTATGTAACTGTTTCACATGTCCATGTCTTATCTCCCCACCTGGATTGTAAGCATCTGGAAGACTGAGAACTTCAGCTTTCCGCCATATACAACTTCTCTGATTTCCTCACACTTCCTTTTGCACATTCTGTTTCCTTGTTCCGAGATACTCTTCATCTTTCCTCTTCTGTTTGGCCAACTCATCTCTCAGGCCTGAGTTTGAACAAACTTTCCTCTAATAAACTTTCATCTACTAGAGTACCTACTCTTTTCCCTTAAGTAATATGCTCATCATTCTTCATTCTAACTCTCCCTGTTGAACTACAAGCTCTGTGACAGTATATCTGTCTTATTCATTGCTATATTCCCAGCACCTAGACTAGCACCTGACAATAAGATGTACCCAACAAATGTTTGTTGACTGAAAGAATATCTACTTATTTCTTTTGTTTCTACTTCATGCATAATAGTATACCATCTACATGCTAAGTACTTAATATAGTCCCATTGAATCAAGCAAAAGATGATAAGGATTCATGAAGTGTTTATTTGTAAGCTGGGAAATGAGTAAACATGTGTGACTGGAAGACAGTGTCCTTCAGAATAATTGGACATTGTATTCAAAGCCCACCAACTAGCCCCTTGCTCTCTCCTTTCCTTTTCCAAATAATTTATTGCGACCTACTATGTACTAGGCACTGGAGATAACAGTGGTAAGCTAAGTGAAATCCCTATGCTTGATGACTTAACATATAGCCTAGTGAAGGAGATAGAATATTGACAAATCAATAAAGGATGCAATATTGGGCAGTGATAAGTGCTATTAAAAAATCAAAGTAAGCCAGGCATGGTGGCTCACTCCTGTAATCCCAGCACTTTAGGAGGCTGAGTCAGGTGGATCACCTGAGGTCAGGAGTTCGAGACCAGCCTGGCCAACATGTTGAAACCCTGTCTCTACTAAAAATACAAAAGTTAGCAGGGCTAGGCCAGGCATGGTGGCTCACACCTGTAATCCCAGCACTTTGGGAGGCCGAAGCGGGTGGGTCACCAGAGATTGGAAGTTTGAGACCAGCCTGACCAACATGGAGAAATCTCATTTATACTAAAAATACAAAATTAGCCGGGTATGGTGCCGCATGTCTGTATCGCAGCTACTTGAGAGGCTGAGGCAGGAGAATCATTTGAACCTGGGAGGTGGAAGTTGCGGTGAGCCAAGATCATGCTATTGCACTCCAGCCTGGACAACAAGAGTGAAACTCCGTTTCAAAAAAAAAAAATGCCAGGCTTGGTGGTGCGTGCCTGTCATCCCAGCTACTCCAGAGGCTGAGGCAGGAGAATTGCTTAAACCCAGGAGGTGCAGGGTGCAGTGAGCTGAGATCGTGCCACCGTACTCCAGCCTGGGTGACAGAGGTAGACTCCATTTCAAAAAAAAAAAAAAAAAATCAAAGTAGAGGAAAGGGGTAATAACTGGGTATGAGAATGTGTTAGTCAGTTCAGGCTGCTATAACAAATTGCCATAGCTACTGGGTGGCTTAGAAGCAACAGAAATTTATTTCTCACAGTTCTTGGCTGGGAAGCCCAAGATCAAGGCACTAGCAAATTCAGTGTCTGGTGAGAGCCTGTTTCCTGGTTCACAGATAACCACTGATGCAGGAGTCCTTCAGATTCTCTTTTATAAGAGCATGAATCCCATTCATGAGGGCTCTGTTCTCACGACCTAATCACCTACCAAAGCCCCTACGTCCTACTACTATCACATTGGGGGGTGGGTAGGATTTCAACATATGAATTTAGGGGTGGGGGGACATAAACATTTAGTATATAACAGAAGGTGAGTATTCCAGGTAGCTTGGACAGAAAAAAAGACATCTCTCAGCAGGAGATATTTGACCAGGAACCTGAGGGAGGTGAGAGGTGGAGCTGCGTGTATATCTGAAAGGAGAATGGGATTAGCAGAGGGAACTGCAGATGCACATTCTGAGGCAGAAATGGGTTTCACCAGACAGTGGGCCAGAGCAGAACTAACCAGGGTGAAGAATAGTAAGACATGAGGTGAGAGGGGAAGCGGGCAGGGATTATAGGCGCTTATGAAGCAGGATATGGTCCTAGGGTTTTATTCCAAATGTGATGGGAAGATTTTGAGCAGAAGAGTGACATAATCCATCTTCTTTTCTTTCAACATCGACTGGGCATCTCTTATAAGCCAAGCACTGTACCAGGTCTGTTTCTTAAAATCAATCACACTTTGATTTGCCCCCCTCTATGCTCCATCCATATTTCACTCTCAGAGCAGGCCTCTAACTTTCCATGCCTTTACCTATAATCTACCTTGTTTCCAATGCAGCTGTCAAGAGCCAGCTAACATGGCACCCCTTTTGTGAAGCTGGGTTTTCTTTGGATTCTCATGGCACTACTTTGTGCCTCTGCCATAGTGGTTGTAATTGGCTTTGAGTACATCAATCAGTTCCTCCCACAAGACCATAAGTCAGCACATCTTATTTTTGTCTAAGGCCCTGAAATGAGTCATATTTTCCCCTTTATCCTTGTACAAATTAAATCCATTTTAGAGACCATTTTAACTACAAAAGCACAATATGTATAACAGGCAGCAAAACTAGTCCCGCAATACAGAACAAGATACTCATGGACTCTGACAAAAATTATGTTAATAGCTAAGGTTAATGAAGCAGTTTGTCATTTATAAAATTTAATACAAAACTTTAGTGAATTCTATAGAATTACAGAGTTAGAATTGATCTTGTAGCCTTTTTAGTCCTCCCCTCCTTATCAAGCTAGGGAGGTTGATGGCTAAAAAGCCAGCAGGTGGAAGAAAGAGTTATTGCAGCTAAATTCTCAGGCAAGTAAGCTAGAATGTCAGAGTCATAAATGAGGAAATGATGAGCAGGAGTGGAGGAGAATGGGTGCTAACAACTTACAATCATAGACATGAGAAAGCTCTTTCCATTCTCACACCTTCAGGGACTCCTTGCACAGGCCAGTGGCTGTCACTGTGGGGCACACCCTTACTCATGCCCTCTTTCCTTCACATCTGAATTTGGGGGATTGGAGCAACATTTAGAAGCTCCTATCCCCACTTCTTATGCTTCTTCCCCTGAGATAGGAAGGGAGAGGAGTACAGCAGGAGGACTATAACTGTGCTGAAGATGAGTTTAGATGACTGCCCCAAACAAAGAAATGCACTTCTAAGTGTTTCTCCTGCAGCCTTGGCTGGAATATGTGCACAGGGATACAGACAATCCAAACTCCTCCATATTGTGAGGCACACTCAAAACTGAGTGAATGACTGAATAACTAAACAGAATAATGTTAGATATATATCAGGAGATAATATAAATTCACAGAAAGCAAAGAACAGTATTGATGGGCTTAATGCTTGTGTTTTATTGTTGTTATTGTTTTGTTTTGTTTTTAATTGAGACAGAGTCTGGCTCTGTTGCCCAGGCTGGAGTACAGTGGCAGGATCTCGGCTCACTGCAACCTCCGCCTTCTGGGTTCAAGTGATTCTCATGCCTCAGCCTCCCAAGTAGCTAGGATTACAGGCATGCACCACCATGCCTAGCTAATTTTGTATTGTTAGTAGGGATGGGGTTTCACCATGTTGGCCAAGCTGGTCTTGAACTCCTGACGTCAGGTGATCCACCACCTAACCTCACAAAGTGCTGGGATTACAGGCGTAAGCCACTGCACCTGGCCAATTTTTTAAAAGATCTACTTGGAAAATATAAGGACCACAAAATACATTTAGTAGCTTAATAAGGGACATGTTAAACAAGATTTCAAATGGCAAAGTTATACATTTAACATGCATAATTAGGCATTATTCTCAAATATAATTAGTACTCAATATTTTACACTTTGAAAAAAATTTACATTATACTTTTACTTTAAATATTGCCAGACTTTTTTAAAAAGGGCTATATTTGCACTTTACCAATATGCCAACATTTTTTTTTCTAAGTTCATCAGTAAACCACTGAATGGACATGTCTGCAAGCACAGTTTATTAATGTGAGCCTGTGTGAGTATTGTTAGGGAGATGTTGAGGATCCATAATGTAGATACTGTATCTCAATAATGACATTTTGCCTGTTATAGCATGTTTATGTTTCTGGATTTGGGACAGGAAAAGCATTGGAAGGGGTAGCAAATCTTGCATAGAATCCTTAAAAATTATCATCTGTATTCATTTATACATCTTTGAAAATATTAATAGAAGCAAGAATATTTTTCTCAAAACTTGGTACAAAAATCTCTTTAGAAATCACTAATATTGGCTGGGTGCAGTGGCTCACGCCTGTAATCCCAGCACTTTGGGAGGCCGAGGCAGGCGGATTATGAGGTCAGGAGATTGAGACCATCCTGGCCAACATGGTGAAACCCCGTCTCTCCTAAAAATACAAAAATTAGCTGGGTATAGTGGTGCGCACCTGCAGTCGCAGTTACTTGGGAGGCTGAGGCAGAAGAATTGCTTGAACCCGGGAGGCGGAGGTTGCAGTGAGCCGAGATCACGCCATTGCACTCCAGCCTGGCAACAGAGCAAGACTCCATCTAAAAAAAAAAAAAGAGAGACAAAGAAAAAAGAAATCACCAATATTTCACATTTATTTGATACTGATCCTAAAAATAAAAGTGTTCTTTTTGTAGCCTACATGCTTATTATTGCCTTATTCTTTAAGAAGTTCCATGTTGGCTCCAGACTAAGAAATTTGCAACCTCAAGTCAAAATGGAACATGTTAGTTTTCCAACTTGTATTATTCAAAAATTTAAAAATATGTGTCACTAGGCACAAAATCTACTTGTTATAATTATGTGTGATAATAGATTTTTTGGGTATTAAGAATTTTATGTGAGTATTGTGAAAAACTTGTGACTTTTTGCCATTGCAAGTCTACGCAACCAGTGAAACCAAAAAACTGTGGGAAAGAACTTTGAAGGCTTTGCTGATTGCTTTGCTAAATATTATCTGGTATGTTTAGTTATAAATAAAAAAAGAAATTAACATTTCTTGATACCTTACTATGTGCCAAGCATTGATAAGCACTTTATGCACAGTATATCATTTAATCCTCACAACAACCATAAGAGGCAGTCTGGTTTTTCAGTTGACTGGGGTAAGAGGAAGAAATTGAATTCATGAGCTTAAGGCATGAGCAATGAAGCCAGGAGCTGAACAATATCTTACTTCATACCCATTCTACTTCATGTAATTTCAAGTCAACACCAAAGTTCTCATGTACTTTTCCTTCAAAACGTGCCGTTTTCTCCCACGTCTTCAACATTCAATCTAAACCACTGAACTAAAGAATTCTGAGGGTGTTCCAATGTTCAGATTTTCTTTGAGTATTTTCTGACATAAGTGATGACTGCTACCCACAAACTTCATGTCTGATCCTTGCCCTTGAAAGTGGACTACATTTGCATCATGTTTTCTTAGTAAATCTTTTTGAATTGTTAGTCTGAAAATATGAATCTAGTCAATGGTTTAAAATTTCTCAATTATTAAAATAAATGTAGCCAGGCACAGTGGCTCAGGCCACTTTGGGAGGTTGAAGCAAGAGGATTGCTTGAGCCCAGGAATTGGGACACCAGCCCAGGCAACATGGTGAAACCCCATCTCTACATAAAATACAAAAATTAGCTGGGTGTGATGGTATGCGCCTGTGGTGCAAGGTACTCAGGAGGCTGACGTCGGAGGATGGCTTAAGCACAGGAGATCAAGGCTGCAGTGAGCTGTGATTATGCCACTGCACTCCAGAGCCTGGGCTACAGAGTGAGACTCTGTCTCAAAAAAAAAAAAAAAAAAAAAAGAAAGAAAAAAAAAAGTCTCAAACACCTGAAAGCATAATTTGCACAGGTTGAGAGTTTTAAATGGACACTTAAATATGTTTTCCAAATTCCTCCCATTAGTTAAACTTTTTCAGTCCTGTTAAGTATTATCTCAGACCTTTTTCTCTTTTCTGGTGGTGATGGTGATATTTCATGTTTTTCTTCTTTCTTTTTCTTTTTTTTTTTTTTTTTTTTTTGAGACAGAGCCTTGCTCTGTCACCCAGGCTGGCTGACTGCAACCTCTCGGCTCACTGCAACCTCTGCCTCCCAGGCTCAAGTGATTCTCCTGCCTCAGCCTCCTGAGTAGCTGGGATTACAGGCACCCGCCACCATGCCCAGCTAGTTTTTGTATTTTTAGTAGAGATGGGGTTTCACCATGTTGGCCAGGCTGGTCTCAAACTCCTGACCTCAAGTGATCTGCCCACCTCAGCCTCCTAAAGTGCTGGGATTACAGGTATGAGCCACCACTCCTGGCCATTTTTTCTTAAAACCGTTTTCTGTTCTATTCCTGTCACTGATCCCATTCCTCTCAGTGGTCACCTTTGTACCCTACAATTCTTGGGTTTATTCAGGTTCCTTTTACAGACCAGTTAACAACATCCCTTTTCCTTGTCCGCCAAACATCTTTTGTCTACTTAAGTATTTAGTCATCATTGTCATAATTGTTCTGAAAATGGCTTTGATAAGTGGGCCAGCCCAGAAGACCAGCAATTTCTAAAGTTAATAACACCTTGGGCAAACAAATTATTTCATGATTCACTCCTTTCATGACCCCTCATAAGAGAAAAAAATTGTATGGTGAGAATAAAGATGTAATTAAGTGTTTTAGGTATTCGATAGTTGTACTGATGGGTTTGGTCTGCAGACAATTGCTTTGATGTTAGGACAAGGATTGTATCTGTTCAGTGTAAGTTTTCATTGAAAGAAATATATGCTCATTAGAAAACCTCACATGGTTAAAACCTTCTAATGATTAAATTGAGTACTTAATTCTAATTGTAGCCCTTATGACAAGTCTTTATATGGTCACAAGATTTTTTTTAAACACAGAAAAATACCTGATTTAGTAAAAAATCTGAATCAGAATTTAAAAAAAATTTAGTACTTCTAAGCACCTACTGAACCCAACTGTTCATTTTACAGGAATCCTAAGGATCTGTGCTAAGTGTCTGTTTTTCTGATTTAAGAATGAACAGTAATTAGCAGGTAATTTGAGTTTGAAAATAATTTATCTAAATAATTTACTCTATTAAGGAGAAAGTTTTTAATTAGTAGAGATAAATTACAGCTAACCCAAAACCAAGTCTCTTCTTTTGTATTCTGAAAAGCATTTTTCACCTAAAATGTTACAGAAAAAAAAGCGGCTGAGGTAGTTGGCGATGACTTTTAGTATACCTATTGATAAAGCATAAACAAAAGTGGGGTGGGGCATTGAAATGTCTTCTTAATTGCTACCGATACCTGCCACTCAAACCACTAGGTGGCACCAATAAGCTTTTCCGATATGTACAATAAATGTACCTATGTTTAAGGCACTCCTTGAACAATATCCCATACCATGACTACCAAAATGCTTAAAAATTCTACCCATATACTTAAGAATTACTGCACAAAGTTATGCCTCTAGACAACAATAAATGGTGTTGCTATTTGATTGTTGACAAAAGTATTGAGAAAGCAATCTAAATACAAGTCACCATGATTTAGTGGAAAAAACACTGGAGTGAGGGTCAATAGTCCTTGTTCTGTTCTCAGCTTCACCACCAACTACCTCAGTGTCTTGAGTAGTCACTAAACCTCTCTGGTTTCTATCTCCTGATCAGTAAAGTGAAAGATTGGGACTAGATGAGTTGGTTTCAAAATGTAAGTAAAAGCCTCTTTTCTTCTACAAAATCCCTCAGAATTCTAATATGGAAAACAGATGAAAGCAAGACTGAGAAGGGAGGGAAGCGTGGTTGGATGTTGGAAAGAGAAGAAGGTATGAGAAGCACCTTTTGCTCTGCTTCCCACCAGTCTCCTCAGTGTCCAACCTGTGGTCCAGAAAAAAAAATAATTTGGATACCAATGAAATAGAAAATTACTAACAACTCTGTGATCCAGAAGTCTGTAAATCCAAGTATGTAGCACTATGTCCAAGTTCTTAAGCATTTTCCAACTTTAGCGGCCCAATTCCAGGATATAGTACAGCTATTATTTTCTCCATTTTACAAATAAATAGTAAACTAAGGATGGGTAATTTAATAGTTTTCTAAAAGTCTCCTTTGAGATTCACTTGCAGTTGTAAAAAAAAAAAAAAGAAAGAAAAAAAAGAAAAAAGAAAACCAAGCAGAAATCCCATGTAAAATTTACCCAGTTTCCTCTAATGGGAACATTTTGCAAAATTATAGTATAATATCACAACTAGGATATTCACATCAATACAGTCAAGATACAGAACAATTCCAACACCACAAGAATCTCTGTTTCCCATTTATAGCTGCACACATTTTACTCCTACCTTGACTCTTTACTTAGCCCCTGGAAACCTCTAATTTGTTCTCCATTTCTACGATTTTTGTTATTTCAAGAATGTTATATAAATGGAATCGTATGTATGTAAGCTTTCAGGATTTATTTTTTCATTAAGCATAATTCTCTGAAGATTCATTCAGGTTGCTGCATGTATTAATAATGCATTCCTTTTTATTGCTGAGGAGTAGTTCATGGTATGGATATGTCACAGATTTTTTTTTTGGAGGCAGAGTTTCGCTCTTGTTGCCCAGGCTGGCGTGCAATGGTGCGATCTTGGCTCACCACAACCTCCACCTTCTGGGTTCAAGTGATTCTCCTGCCTCAGACTCCCGAGTAGCTGGGATTACAGGCATGCACCACCACGCCCGGCTAATTTTGTATTTTTAGTAGAGATGGAGTTTCTCCATGTTGGTCAAGTTGGTCTTGAACTCCTGACCTCAGGTGATCCGCCCGCCTCGGCCTCCCAAAGTGCTGAGATTACAGGCGTGAGCCACCACACTCGGCCTGTGTCACAGATTTTTAAGCATTCACCCATTGAAGGATTGAAGGACATCTAAATTGTTTCCAGGTGTTTGCTTGCTTGTTTGTTTTTGAGACAAGGTCTCACTCTGTTGTCCAGGCTGGAGTGCAGTGGCACAATCTCAGCTCACTGCAACCTCTGCCTATGGAGCTCAAGCTATCCTTCTACCTCAGCCTCCTGAGTAGTTGGGACCACAGGCGTGCACCACCACACTTGGCCAATTTTTGTATTTTTTTTTTTTTTATAGAAATGAGGTTTCACCATGTTGCCCAAGCTGGTTTTTAACTTCTGAGCTCAAGAAATCCGCCTACCGCATATGGCCCTCCAATTTTTGACTCTTATAAATAAAGCTGCTATAAATATTTGTGTACACCTTTTCATGTGAATATAAATTTTTATTTCTCTAGGATAAATGCCCAGGAGTGCAATTGCTGGGTCACTGTGTAGTTGCATGTTTAGTTTTTTCTTATTTTTAATTTTTATGGATACATAATAGTTGCACATATTTATAGGGTAGAAGTAATATTTTGATATAAGCATTAAATGTGTAATGATCAAATCAGGGTAACTGGGGTATCATCATCTTGAACATTTCTTGAACATTTATCATTTCTTTGTGTTAGGGACATCCCAATTCCACTCTGCTATTGTGAAATATACAATAAATTTTTGTTAACTATGGTCACCTTATTGTGCTACCAAACATTATATCTGATTCCTTCTATCTATATTTTTGTACCCACTAACCAATTCCTCTTTATCCCCCTTTCCCCACCTCTGGTATCCTTCCTAGCCTCTGGTATCCTTCCTAGCCTCTGGTAATGATCATTCTACCCTGTATCTTCATGAGATCAACACATTTAGCTCCCACATATGAGTGAGAAAATGTGATATTTGTCTTGCTGCGCCTGGCTTATTTCACTTAACGTAATGCCTTACAGTTCCATCCATATTGTTGCAAACAACAGAATTTCGTTCTTTTTTGTGGCTGAATAATTTTCTATTGTAGATATATGTACCACATTTTCTTTGTCCATTTATCCATCGATGGATACTTAGGTTGATTCCCTATCTTGGCTACTGTGAATAATAGTGCTGCAATAAACATGGGAGTGCAGATACTTCTTCAATATACTGATTTCCTTTTATATGGATCCTATACCCAGCAGTAGGATTGCTGGATCATTGGGTAGTTATATTTTTAGTTGTTTGAGAGGTCTCCATACTGTTCTCCATAGTGACTGTGCTAATTTACATTCCCACCAACAGTGTTGGAGGGTTCCACTTTCTCCCTATCTGCCCTAGCATCCGTTATTGCCTTTTTTATAAAAGTCATTTTAACTGGACTGAGATAGTATCTCATAGTTTTGATTTGCAGTTCTCTGATGATTGGTGATGTTGAGCATTTTGTAATATACCTGTCGGCCATCTGTATGTCTTCTTTTGAGAAATGTCTATTCATATCTTTCACCCATTTTCAATTTGAATTTTTTCTGTTGAGACGTCTGAGCTCCTTATATATTCTGGTTATTAATCCCATGTCAGATAGGTAGTTGGCAAATATTTTCTCCCATGCTGTGGGTTGTCTTTTCACTTTGTTGATTGTTTCCTCTGCTGTGATCCCATTTGTCCATTTTTTGCTTTAGTTGCCTGTGCTTTTGCGATCTTACTCAAGAAATCTTTGCACAAATCAATGACCTAGATAATTTTCCTAATGTTATCTTATAGTAGGTTCATAGTTTCAGGTCTTACATTTAAGTTTCTATTCAATTTAGATTTGATTTTTGTATATAATATGAGATAGGGGTTTAATTTTCTCCTTCTTCATATAAATATCCAGTTTCCAAGCACCATTTATTGTTCTTTCCCAATGTATGTTCTTGGTACCTTCACATGTTTAGTTCTAAAAGAAACTATTTTCCAGAGTAGGTGTATCATTTTGTATTCCCAATGGCAATGTAGGAGTGATAGTTTTTTTTTGCATCCTCACCAGAATTTGGTGTTTTCACTAATTTTTTAAATTTTAAAAAAATTTTAGTCATTCTCATAGGTGTGTAGTATTATGCATTGTGGTTTTAATTTGAATTCCCTAATATCTAATGATGTTAAACATCTTTGTATATGCTTTTTGATATCTGTATATTCGCTCTGGTAAAATTTATTTTGTCCACTTTATACTTGGATTTTTAAATTTTATTTTTTATTTATGTATTTTAAGTAATTTTTTATTTCTATAAATTTAAGGGGTATGAGTGCAGTTTTAATACACGGATATATTGAGCAGTGGCGAAGTTTGAGCTTTTAGTGTAACTATCACCCAAATAATATACATTGTACCTATGAAGTAATTTCTCATTCCTCACCTCCATCTCCCCTCCCCCGCCCTCCTCCTCTTCTGAGTCTTCAGTGTCTATTATTCTTTCCTTTATGTTCATGTGTACACATTATTTAGCTACCACTTATAAATGAGAACCTGCAGTACTTGACTTTTGGATTTTTTTTAACTGTTGAGTTTTGAGAGTTCTTTATATATTCTGAACATTACTCCTTGTCCTTTCATCTTTTTAATAGAATTTTTCACACAGCAAATGTTTTTAATTTTGATAAAGTTCAATGTGTCAGTTTTTCCTTTTATGGATCATGTTTTTCTTGTCAAGTCTAAGAACTCTTTGTCCATCTCTAGATCTCAAACATTTTCCCCTATTATTTCTAAAAGTTTTATACTTTTATATTTTACATTTATATCCCTGTACCATTTTAAGTTAATTTTTGGATAAGGTCTGAGGTTTGGGTTGAGATTTGCTTTTTAAAATGAATGTCCAATTGCTCTAGCACCATTTTTTAAAGGCTATCTTTCTTCCATTGAATTGCATTTTGTGCCTTTGTCAAAAATCAGTTGGAGGCCAGGCACAGTGGATTATGTCTGTGATCCCAGTACTTCGTGAGGCAGAGGCAGGCGGATCACTGGGAGGCCAGGAATTAGAGACCAGCCTGGCCAACATGGCAAAAACCCATTTCTACTAAAAATACAAAATTAGCCAGGCATGGTGGCCCACACCTGTAATCCCAGCTATTCAGTAGCTGAGGCATGAGAATTGCTTGAACCCAGGAGGCAGAGGTTGCAGTGAGCTGAGATTGCATGACTGCACTCCAGCATGGGTGACAGAGTGAGACCCTTTCTCAAAAAAAAAAAAAAAAATCAATTGGACATACTCGTGCAGGTCTATTCCTGGGCTCTATCCTATCTCATTGATCTATGTGTGTGTCCCTGTCCACCAATACCACAGACTTCATAATGAAGCTATATAATAAATCTTGAAATTGGATTCCCACTTAATTCTTTTTTTTCAAAATAGTTTTGTCTACTTCTTTTTTTTTTCATATAAGTTTTAGAATAGTCTCATGTATATTTACAAAAATCTGCTGAGATTTTGGTAGCAAATGGATTAAATTTGTCTATCAAATCAGTGAAAATTGATATCCTTACTATGTTGAGTTTTCCAATCCATGATCATGGTGTGTCTCTCATTTATTTAGGGCTTTCATTTTTTTCAGCAGTGTTTTGTAGTTTTCAGCATTAAACTCCTGTACCTGTTTTGTGATGGTTACATCTAAATATTTGAATTTTTTGAGCAATCATAAATGGTATTGTACTTTTAATATTGGTGTCCATGTGACAATTGCTAATATACAAAAATATAATTGATTTATGTAAGCTTATCCTGTGACCTTGATGAATTCATCTACTAGTAGAATTCATCTACTAGTAGGAGTTTTTTTATAGACTCCTTGGCATTTTCTATTTAGATAGTTATGTAATCTACAAATAGTGACAGTTTTATGTCTTTCTTTGTGATTTGTATGTTTTTACTTTCTTCCCTTGTTTTATTGCACTTGCTAGGACTTCTAGCACTATGTTGAATAAGAAGAGTGACAGCAGACATCCTTGACTTGTTCCTGATCCTAGTGGGAAAGCATTCACCATTGAGTATATTGTGACCTACAGTTTTTTTGGTAGATGATCTTGATCAAATTGAGGAAGTTCCCTGCTATTCCTGTATCTCTGAGAGTTTTTATTATGTAAGCTCACATAAATCAAGTACATATTCATTTGTCTCTTAAACAAATAAACAAAAACTGTCACCCAGGCTGGTGTACAGTGGTGTGATCATAGCTCACTGCAGCCTCAAACCCTGGGCTCAAGCAAACCTCCCACCTCAGCCTTCCAAGTAGCTGGGACTACAGGAGCATGCCACCATGCCCAGCTAATTTTAAAAAAATGTTTTGTAGAGACAAGTCTCACTATGTTGCCTAGGCTGGTCTCGAACTCTGGCCTCAAGCAATCCTTCCACCTCAGCCTCACAAAGTGCTGGAATTACAAGGTGTCTGTCAGCCACCACATCCAGTCCTCTGAGAGTTTTAAAAATCATATATGAGTATTGAATTTTGTCAAATTTTTTTCTGCACTGGTTGATATAATCCTATGATTTTTAGCCTATTAATATGGTGAATTACATTGATTGATTTTCAAATATTAAATCAACTGAACACCCCAACAATAAACCCCCTTGGTATGATTTATAATTCTTTGTGGATACATATACATATGTATGTATGCCTGAATTCTATTTGCTAATATTTGTTAAGGATCTTTGCATCTTTATTCATGAACGATATTGGTCTATAGTTTTCTCTCTTTGTACTATCTTTGTCTGCTTTTGGCATCAGGGTAATATTAGCTTCATAAATGAATTAGGAAGTGTTTCTCTTCTATGTTCTGGAAGAGGTAAGAGAAAATGTATACTTGGCATTAATTCTTTAAATGTTGGTTGGAATTCTCCAGTGAAAGCATCTAGGCTTGGATGTTTCTTTTTTTGTAAGTTGTTAAATAACAAATTCAATTTCCTTAATGGTTATAGGTCTATTCAAAGTACCTCTTTCATGTTGGGTGAGTTGTGATAGTTTTTCAAGGAATTCTTTTATTCCATCTAAGCTGTGGAGTTTATATGTGTAGAGTTGTTCAAATTATTCTCTTACTGTCTTTTTCATGTCTGCAAAGTCTATAGTGATATCCCTATTTCATTCATGATATTAACATTTAAACAAGTATATCAAATATATTAATAATTCATGTTTCCTCTTTTTTTTTCTTTTTCAGTCTAGCCAGAGGTTTGACTGATCTTTCTAAGGAATCAGTGCTTTGTTTCATTGATTTCCTCTATTGTTTTTTGCTTCCAATTTCATCATTTTCTCTATTGTTTTCTTTTTACTATTACATTTTTAAATTGACAGATAACATTGTACATTTTTATTATGTACATGATATTTTGAAGTACAGACATATTATTGGATGGTTGAATCTTGCTAATTAACAAATGTATTACCTCACAGGTATCTTTTTTTTGTGGTGAGAGCACATAATATCTACTCTCTTTACGTTTTCAAGAGTATACTATATCATCACTAACTGTAGTCACCTTGCTGTACAATACATCCCTTGAACTTAATTCTCCTAACTGAAATTATGTATGCTTTGACCAATATCTGCCCATTCTCCCCTTCCCTGCAGCAGCCCCAACCTCTGGTAACCACCATGTGGAGAAAAGGAAACTTATACACTGCTGGTAGAAATGTAAATTAGTACTGCTGTTGTGGAAAACACTATGCAGATTCCTCAAAAAATTACAAATAGTACTACTATACAATCCAGCAATTCCACTATTGGATATATATCCAAAGGAATTGAAATCAGTATATCAAAGATTTACCTGCACTCCAATATTTATGACAGCACTATTCACAAGAGCCAAGACATGGAATCAACTTAAGTGTCCATTAATGGATGAATGGATAAAGAAAATATAGTATATATACAAAATGGAATTATCATTCAGCCACAAAAATGAATGAAATTCTGTCATGTGCAACAACATGGATGATACTGGAGGACATTATGTTAAGTGAAAAAAGCCAAACAGAAAGACAAAATACCACATGATCTCACTCAAAGGAATAATCTAAAATAGTTGTTCTCTGTTGTTTTACTATTTTTGATTTTATTGATTTCTGTTTTTATCTTTATTATTTCCTTCTGCTTGCTTTGGTTTTATTTTGCTTTCTTTCTAAGCTCTCGAGATTCAATTATTGCTTTTAGGCTTTTTCTGTTTCATAATGTATGCACTTAGTGCTTAAAATTTTTTTAGCACTGCTTTAGCTGTGTCATACACATTTTGATATATTGTTTTGTTATTTTCGTTCTGCTCAGCTTATTTTTTAAAAAATTTTCTTTGTGGCCGGGCACGGTGGCTCACACCTGTAATCCCAGCACTTTGGGAGGCCAAGGTGGGCAGATCACTGGGAGGCCAGGAGTTCGAGTCCAGTCTGGCCAACATGATGAAACCCTGTCTCTACTAAAAATACAAAAATTAGCCAGGCATGGTGGCAGGCGCCTGTAATCCCAGCTACTTGGGAGGCTGAGGCAGGAGATTCTCTTGAACTGGGAGGCTAAGGTTGCAGTGAGCCAAGATCGCACCACTGCACTCCAGCCTGAGTGATAAAGAAAGAGACCCTGTCTCAAAAATAAATAAATAAATAAATAAATATAAAAATAAAATAAAATGCCTTTGTGACTTCCCCATTGACTCACTGATTATTTAGAAATGCACTGTTTAGTTTTCAAGTGTTTGAAGATTTTCCTGTCATCTTTCCACTGTTTATTTCTAGTTTGATTCCATTGTGGTCAGAGAACATACTCCATATAATTTCAACTGTTTTCAAATTGTTGAAGATTGTTTTGTGGCTCAGGATATCATCTATTTTGGTATCAAGTTCCATGGGCACTTGGAAAGAATGGGTATTTTGTTGTTGTCTGATGGAATGTTCTATAAATGTTGATTAGATACTGTCAGTCAATGCTGTTGTTGAGTTCTTCTATATCTTTGCTGATTTTCTGTCCAGTTTTTCTATCCATTATTGAGAAGGGTGTTGTATTCTCCACAACTATAATCATGAATTTGCCTATTTCTTCTTTCTGATCTATCAGTTTTTTCTTCACATATTTTGCAGCTTTGTTATAGAGTGCATAATCATCTAGGATTGCTAAGTCTTCTTGGTGAATTGACATTTTTTCATTTATGTTGTTCTTCTCTGTCTGGTAATTTTCTTTGTTCTGAAGTCGGCCTTATCTGATATTAATATAGCTACCACTGATTGTTTTTCACTAATGTCTACATGATATACCTTTTTCTATTCTTCACTAACAAGCTACCTATATTATTATATTTGAAATGAGTTTCTATATTTGGGTCATGTTTTTAATCCACTCTAACAATATCTGTCTTTTAATTGGTGTGTTTAGACCATTTATATTCAATGTAATTATTGTTATTTGGGGGCATAAGTATGCTACTTTGTTTTATTTTTCTT
Organism: Homo sapiens; assembly: GCF_000001405.40. Lineage (NCBI taxonomy): Eukaryota > Metazoa > Chordata > Mammalia > Primates > Hominidae > Homo > Homo sapiens. The sequence goes on along the minus strand of NC_000012.12, from coordinate 79,729,338 downwards.
GTTTGTTCTCTCCTTTTAATTTCTGTTTTTTTCCTTTCTGTGGGTTACTTAACATTTTTTAGAATTCCATTTTATCTACAGTGTTTTAAAATGAAAATGTTTATTTTTGTATTGGTTGCTCTAGGTATCACACTACATATACATAACTTATCACAGTCTACTGGTGGTGTTATTTTAACAGTTAGAGTGAAATGTGGAAATTTATCTCCCTTTATATCCTTTTACATATCCCCCATTTATATTACCTTAAATATTTTCTCTACCTGCATTTAAAACCACATCATACAGTATTGTAACTTTTAAATTCAACCATCAAACACAATTTAGAAAACTCAAAAAGAGAAAGAAATCTATTGTATTTACCCATATTTTTGCTTATCTTTGTTGTATTGTTCTTTCTTCTTTTCTGATGTTCCAAGATTCCTTCTTTTATCATTTTCTTCTTGTTTAGAACATTTTCATTAGCCATTTTTTAAGGGTAAGTCAGCTGGCAACAAGTTCTCTTGATATTCCTTCATCTGAGAAAGCCTTTATTGTTCTTTCATTCCTGAAGGATATTTTTGCTGAATTCTGAGTTGATGATTCTTTGCTTTCATCACTTGAAAAATGTTGTGCCACTTCCTTCTGCTTCCATGATTTATAGTGAGAAATCCACTGTTATTTGAATTGTTTATCCCCTGGTAATGCTGGGTAAAGTGTCATTTTTTTTCTCATTGCTTTCAAGATTGTTTGTCTTCAATTTTTAGAAGTTTGATTATGATATGTCTTGTTATAGATTTCTTTAGGTTTATCACATTCACTCAGTTTCTAGAATCTGTAGGTTTATGTCTTTTGTAAAACTTGGTAAGTTTTCAGTCTTATTTCTTTAAGTACCTCTTTATCCTCTCCTTCTGGCACTCTAATAACATAAAAGTTACATCTTTTGTTATAGTTCCTTAGATTTCTAAGGCTATGTTCATTTTTCTTTTTCCCAGTCTGTTTCTAACTCTGTTGTTCAGATTGGGTAATTTCTATTGCTCTGTCTTCTAGTTTACTGATTCTTTGCTTTGTCTTCTCTATTCTGCTTTTTCATTTTTATACCAGATACATTTTTTGTTCTAAAATTTCCCTTTGATTCTTCTTCATGTCTTCTATTTCTTTACTGAGATTTTCTATTTGCTGAAACTTTCTATTTTTTAAAATTTATTTCAGGCATGTTTGTAATTGCTCATCTAAACATCTTTATGGTGGCTCATTTACAATATTTTCCAGATAATTCTAAACTCTCTTGTCATCTAGGAGTTGATATCATCTTTTTTCATTCAGTTTGAGATCTTCCTAGTTCTTGGCATGACAAGTGATTTACTATTGAAATGGGGATTTTTGAAGCATTATGTTACGAGACTGAATCTTATTTAAACTTTGTTTTAGCTGGATTTCTCTGATACCACTCTAGCAGGGAAAGTGGGGTGGTAGAACATTACCTCATTATTACCAGGTAGGGGTAGGAGTTCAGTACTCAGCCTTCATTGACAGCTCAGGTCAGGGACTCCTTGTTCTTTCTGGGAAAGGCTATGTGTTCTGGCTTTACACTAGACCTCCTTGGCTTAGAGGAGTAGGAGTGTCTCAACACTCTCTTTGTATGTTTCTACTGACATCATAGAGGGATGAAAGAGTGTGGTCTCATTACTGCTGGGCAGTAGTGAAAGTCCTGTCTCTCCACCTAGCCTCCTCTACACCACCACAGTAGGGAGGGAGGACATCTCATTATTACTTGGTGGGAGTGGAAGACCAAGCCCCCCACATGGTTTATACGGTCATTGTGAAGCATGGCAGCTGGGGGCTCATTGCTGCCTATGGGCACAAAAGTTCCAGCTCCCTACTTAGTCTTCTCTGACACTATACTGGTGGGGTAGTTGGGGTGCTTTATTTCATTTCAGCCTGGAAAAGATGGAGGTCTAAGCCTCCCATTTGGCCTTTCCTGGTGTGGAGAAGGATGGGGCCAGTTTTTTCTATGGTGTTTGGCTGAAATAGATTGGTTATTATCTCAAAGTTTTCTGGCCTTTCAGGCCGCCCTATTCCTGGTTTTTTAGTTAGAGAAAGCAGGCTTTTTGAGGGGCTTTAACTTTTTGGTCTGTGCTTGTTGGGATTTGGATTATAGCCTTCTCCAGCACCCAATCCAGGATATATGAAGCAAAAAGAAAACCTAAATAATTCACTACCATGTCATTCCTTGGGTTCCAAGGTCCCTAGCTGGTCTGCCTTCTTCCCTCCACTTTTCATAGTCTATTTATGTTTGTTTTATAGATAATATCTAGGGTTTTAAGTTGTACTTAATGGAAGGAATAGGGAAAATTACATCTACTCCATCTTACCGGAAGCATTAGCTGCATTTCCAGTCTTTTTACTCCATTCATTGAGATAATAATCTACCATAGAAAATAATAATAAAGGTATTTCAAAGTATACAATTAATATTAAATGCAGAAGAGACTGTTATTGCTTAAGGATACTCCATGAAGCAAGAAAGACTTGAGTTCCCATCTTAATAAGTAAATGCCATCCTCTAAGTCCTATAATTCTCCAAACATTATATAATAAAGAGCTTAAAAATAATTATCATGCCTTTAGTTTTTACCATAGTTCCTTACATACAATTAATGCTCTCGACAATCAGATGGAATCAATATTATTATTATTACACTTTTTTTACAAATGAGAAAACTGAAGCTTAGAGACTTGAAGTACATAAGTCAGATGTGGATTTGAACTGGGTCTGTCTGAAACCTAATAATGAATTTTAATCACTTCGCTATACCGACTCATTCCTTTTGAAATCAGAACAAATGTATGTAGAAGGGCTTCAGGTACCACCTGCCTAATTCCAACCAAAATGAAACTGTTGCAGACTGGTAGAAATTGAAAAACACATGAGCATATGGTATATTGGAAGCAGAAACTTCAAAGTCAGGTATGGAGATATCATAGAAGAAATGAACAAAAATGTCTAATATAGGAGTGAAGATCTTATTTCTGACAATGTAACTTGCCTTCATGTTCCTTAGTTTTGCTCTGGGAAGATGATGTATAGAAACAGGCCCTGTTCTTTAATTGAGTGTGATGTAAGATGTGCCAGCATTATGAATCACAAGACAATGAAATATTTCATGTGGCTTTAAAGTTCTCGAGCCTCAGGGGAAAATACATTCCTAGTCAATGAAGTGTTTTGAGGTTGTATATCAATTTCTAACTTTTCAAGTTATATAAAAGCACATTTTCTATAACCATTAATGTTGTCCCTTCCATTAAACTAATGCATAGCCATGACATCATCTTTAAATTCATTCTTTTTCTCTTTGAACATATAAATCCCTAGGAGTGTCTTTCTAAACAAACTCCTCTTAAAATTATTTGAAGACTCAATCTGAGCTGATCTTTTCTTGTTCATGTTCTATCTGCTTCTCTCCCAAGTCTTCCAAGTCGATTTCAGCAACTACCCTTGATTTTTTATTACCATCATTTAAATTATATCATTTATAAGAATATGCTGGTTGGAAGAATATCTCCTTAGAATTGAGGCCTATGAATCACAACACCACTGTGTCAGGGCCATATAGGGCTATGAAAAGGGAAATAAAACATGACCTATCCCTTCAAATATATTGCACCCCCTTTACTAGGCTTCTATCAACCTTGTGTTGCCTCCTCTTCATTGCACTGATCAACAAAATATGCCTTTGTGTACCAGTTTGTTGTTTTTGTTTGTTTGTTTTTGAGACAGAGTCTCACTCTGTCACCCAGTCTGGAGTGCAGTGGCATGATCTTGGATCACTGCCATCCTCGTCTCCCAGGTTCAAGCAATTCTCATGCCTCAACCTCCCAAGTAGTTGGGATTACAGGTGTGTACCACCATGTCCAGCTAATTTTTGTACTTTTAGTAGAAATGGGGTTTCATCATGTTGGCCAGGCAGGTCTCGAACACCTGGCCTCAAGTGATCCTTCTGCCTTGACCTCCCAAAGTGCTGGGATTACAGGTGTGAGCTACCATGCCTGGCCTGTTTACCAGTATTTTTGTTTTGATTTTTTTTCTTTTTCATTTTTGCACATAGAACTTCACAACTAGAAACTGTGATTTTTTTTAACAGGTTAAGTAATATAATTGTTTTAATGTTTCTATGTGGTCCTTATTTTGAAATCTCAACATTGTTCATATATTATAAAATAGAGTATACCTTCAAAATGTATACTTTTTAATAATTCTAATTAGCTCTAAAAATTAAGTAGGCAATGGTTATTACAGAATATTCAAGAATAGATTTGTGTAATAAACGTTTTAAGTTCTTTTTTGAATTGGGTAATTTTAGGAAACTAAGAAGATACATCTGTAAAATACAGGTCAATGTAATTATTACGGATAGCAAGAGCTGCCATTTATTAGGCACTCTGTGAGCTTTCTGTTGAGGATTTTACATAACTAATTTCATTTACTTTTCACAACAAATATATGACTTAGTTATAATCTTTTGCCCATTTTACAGATGAAAAAGATGATGTTAGAAAAGGTAAATAAATTTCCCCAAAGAGAAACCCAGATGTGTTTGACCCCAAAGCTTCATCTCTCCTAATAAGTCTATAAAAATAATTAGGAACTCAAAATTCTTATTTGCCCCCATATAAATGACTGCTAACTTCATAGTTTCCTTTCTGACTGAAGAGGACTGATCGAAGTAACATCATTCATCTAGTAGAAACTTGGAATGTGCCAGGCACCATTCTAAGTTCATTATAGCTTTATCCCATTTAAACTTTATAAAAACCTAATAAAGTAAATAATATTATTTTCCTCTTTTGCAGGTGAAGAAACTGAGGCAGCAGAAATGAAGGAATTTGACAAAGATCATACAGTTAAGTAGTATAGGCAAGATTCAATTAAAGGAAGTCTGACCTTAAAACTCATATCTTAAAAGAATTACCACATGATCTAGCAATCGCATTACTGGATATTTATACAAAGGAAATGAAATTTGTATGTCGAAGAGATATCTGCACTCCCATGTTCATTGCAGCATTTTTCACAATAGCCAAGATATGGAATCAACCTAAGTGTCTATCAACAGATGAATGAAGAAAGAAAATGTATACACAATGGAGTAACATTCAGCCTTAAAAGCAAGAAAATCCAGCCTTAAAAAGGAAGGACGACCGGGTTGTCATTTGGGACTACATGGATGAACCTGGAAAACATTATGTTAAGTGAAATAAGCCAGGCACAGGAAGACAATACTGCATGATCTCACCCATTTGTGGAATTTTAAAAAGTCAGAAGTCAGAATCATAAAAGTAGAGAGTCGCATGCTGGTTACCAGGGGCTGGAGAGAGGTGGTGGTGGGGGGGTGGTGTTGGGGAAATATTGGTCAAAGGAGACAAAATTTCAGTTAGGTAGGAGGAATAAGTTCAAGAGATCTATTGTACCACATGGAGACAATAGTAAATAACAATGTATTATAGTCTTGGAAGTTGCTAAGAGAGTGGATTTTAAGTGTTCTCATCATATAAAATGATAAGTGTGTTCTGCAATGCATATATTAATTAGCTCAATGTAGTCATTCCACAGTGTGTACATGTTTCAAACATGTTGCATGTGATAAATATATACAATTTTTGTTAATTAAAAAACATTTTAAACTCTCGAGAAAAGAACCAACAGCTTAAAACATTCATATCTTAACCAGTATGCTACATAGTCTCTGGCTGATACAGATGCTGAAGGGCTGTTTTCATTTCTTTTGAGGCCTTCAGGGCACTAACATTGCATGAACGCATCTCTTATTTTAAAAATTACTTTCGGCAGCTGGACGCGTTGGCTCACGCCTGTAATCCCAACACTTTGGGAGGCCGAGGTGGGTGGATCATGAGGTCAGGAGATCGAGACCATCCTGGCTAACATGGTGAAACCCTGTCTCTACTAAAAATACAAAAAATTAGCTGGGTGTGGTGGTGGGCGCCTGTAGTCTCAGCTACTTGGGAGGCTGAGGCAGGAGAATGGCGTGAACATGGAAGGCAGAGCTTGCAGTGAGCCGAGATCGCACCACTGCACTCCAGCCTGGGTGACAGAGCAAGACTCCGTCTCAAAAAGAAAAAAAAAATACTTTCTTTTCACGTTTTTTTGTTGTGTGTGTGAGACAGGGTTGAAGTCTGGAGCTCACTCAATCCTCCCACCTCAACCTCCTGTAGCTGGGATTACAGGTTCATACCTTCAACCACTTTTTACTACAAAATGGCATTTTTAAAATGGCTTGATGTAATATAAATTGTCTTTCTCAAAATAATTATTTTCTTATTCCTCCCTTTACTTCCTGAATAGTCCTTATACTCCCTCTCATTGTTCAAACCTCTTATAACTCTGTAGACCACACAATTACAGTAATACCACATAAGAAGAAATTTGGGTCCTCATGCCTTCCCTGTAATATAGTCCTATTGCTTTCTGATCTTCTACTGCTTGAACATCACTTTGAATATTTATTGTGATATTTATATTGTAGTAATATAGGGGCATAAGGAAGCCAGTCATGATTTTAGTGGTTTGGAGACTGATTATGTTTTTCCCTGTTATTTATCCAAGTTTGAAAGGAACAAGCCCAAGGCAAAATTAAAGTTACAAAATTTTTCAAAGTAAGATTTTTCTTTCAACATTTTTCAATCAACATGTATTAAGTACTCACAAGGTCCTGGCACTCTGTGAAGTGCTATGGTGTAGAAAGATGTGAAATGGAAAGAAAATCATCACCTTGGCCTTAGAAGAATTTAAAGAACAATTTATACATTGAACTATTCAGTTTTCTTTGGAATTTTCTGATTTTTGACAACAATATTCTTAAGGGAGAGTCATAGAGAAAAGGTTTACAGGGGCTATTGCCCATTCACAGTATGGGTGAATAACTTTGAAAATTACCAATTACGATTTTTTGAAACGTTGATTGATATTTCATAAAATAATTTCTAGTGATAAGCCACATGGATCAACTGATTATAAATCTAGACTACTTTTGTTGAATGCAATGGTGGCTGACAAAAAGCCACCCCTACATTCTATGGTCACCCAGGTTTCTTTGCCTCACAAACTTACTTCAGGGACCACCGTAGCCACAGAGGGTCCCAGGATCAGGGCGCCATAGTACTCTGGATTCCATGCAAGAGCAGTGGGCTTTACAATGGGGGCTGAGAAAGGCGAGAGGGACCATGTCTTTCCTTTAGCCCTGACCCTCGCTTCAAAGTTGGAGTAATTGATATTTTTAACCTTTAGACCTCATATTATTTATTAAGGGTGATTTTTTTTTTCAGCTTCACATCATTTCCTTTTTTTTTTTTGAGACGGAGTTTCACTCTTGTTGCCCAGGCTGGAGTGCAATGGCATGATCTCGGCTCACTGCAACCTCCACCTCCCGAGTTCAAGCGATTCTCCTGCCTCAGCCTCCTGAGTAGCTGGGATTACAGGCATGTGCCACCAAGCCTGGCTAATTTTGTATTTTTAGTAGAGACAGGGTTTCTCCATGTTGGTCGGGCTGGTCTTGAACTAACAACCTCAGGTGATCTGCCTGCCTCGGCCTCCCAAAGTGCTGGGATTACAGGCGTGAGCCACCATGCATGGGCCACACCATTTCCTTATTAATGGCAAACATTTGGTAAGGGCCTACTTGTGTGCCAGGACCAATGCTGTGTGTTGAGGATGTGATGATATACAGATTATGTTTGTTGACCTTAAGGGGCTCACAATGCAGAAGGGCCAGCAATTATAACATTGGATAGAGGCTAAAGGAGGGGCCCATAAGTCAACTACTGTAGAAGAAAAAAACAGATCCTTAGAGAGTGGGTACAGAGGGCACCAAAAACGTTTACTAAGGAGGCAACATTTAAACCAATTATTGAAGGATAAGTACACATTCTCAAGGCAGAAAAGGCAGAAGGGGCTAGGCAAGGTGGCTCATACTTGTAATTCCAACACTTTGGGAGGCCGAGGTAGGAGGATCACTTGAGCTCAGGAGTTTGAGACCAGCCTTAGCAACATGGCAAAACCCCATCTCTACAAAAAATACAAAAATTAGCCAGGTGTGGTGGCATGCACTTGTAGTCCCAGCTACTTGGGAGACTGAGCTGGGAGGATTGCTTGAGGCTGGGAAGTCAAGGCTACAGTGAGCCATAATTGTACCACTACACTCCAGCCTGAGTGACAGATTGAGGCCCTGTCTCAAGGAAGGAAAAAATTAAAGGAGAAGGGGAAGCCACTACAGAAGAAGGTAATACATTTTTTACATGCTAGTTTGTTTGTATGTTCCTGAACCTACTTAAAAAGGAGGTAGAGGCCGGGTGTGGTGGCTCATGCCTGGTATCCCAGCACTTTGGGAGGCCGAGGTAGGCGGATCACCTGAGGTCAGGAGTTCAAGACCAGTGTGGCCAACGTGATGAAACCCTGTCTCTACTAAAAATACAAAAATTAGCTGGGTGTGGTGGTGGGCGCCTGTAATCCCAGCTACTTGGGAGGCTGAGGCAGGAGAATCGCTTGAACCCAGGAGGCAGAGGTTACAGTGAGCCGAGATTGTGCCATTGCACTCCAGCCTGTGCAATAGGAGCGAAACTCCGTCTCAAAAAAAAAAAAAAAAAAAAAAGGTAGAGACAAGATCAAGATCACAAAGTATGTTTAGATTATGAAAAGATTAAACTTGACCCATAAGCAAACTAGAGAATAATGAAGTTTTTAATCTAGTACTGTAATTATCAGATCCATATTTTGGATTATCATTCTGCTTTTAATGTGGAGAGTGACTTGGTAGTTAATAAAGTTGTTCAGGCTAGAATAGATATGAGCTTTCCAAGGTGAAAGATAAGGCAAGAATTTGTGAGATTTGGGAAGTAGAAATTCTAGTGCCTGGTTATTGATAGGATGTGGGAGTTGAGAGAGGGTAGCCTACAATGACCTCTAGGTTTCTGAGTAGCTGGATAATGACAAAAATACATACCTCATAACTTTTAAGAAGGACATATTTTTCACATTTTGATATCTCTGAAGTTGAAGTTCATCTTATATGTGATGGTATGTCTACTTAATTGGCAGTGTTGGTATCTTTTTCTTTCTCTGTGTTATACTAAATAATGGCACATCATTCTCCACATGATGACATCTTCGATTTAACATAATAAGAGAAATAAGAGCAGCAAAATCAGTTTTGAACAAGACGGCCCAGAGGGAGAAGGTTACCACCTATAAGAGATGAGGGTGATGGTGCCTTTAACCAATATTTATTACTTTATTATTTAAAACAAAAACCATATCATTTCCTGTTACTTAAGTCAGTCTCAGGACATTGAACACTTGATTATTCTAGGCAGATGAAATTTCCTACTCTGGTATCTGGACATTGTGGAATGGAGGTCAGGCTGATGCTGTGCAGGCTTGGAGCTCACCTAGAAATCTGGGTTTATGGAAAAATAGGGAAATCTATTATATTTTTTTACCATCCTTTGTTGAATTTTGCATCCTGCATTGCTAGATGTCAATTATCAACAAAGCTCTTAATATAAATGAGTATCTTTACATTTTCAATCTTATAGTCTTTCAGCAGTGCTAAATACTTCAATTTATCCCCAATTCTAAAAAAACAAATTGGCACAATCCAATCAGTGGACACAATGAGTCAATATGATCTATTACTATAACACCTTAACCAGTCTTCATACTTCTACTCCTGACCTAAGCAGAGGTGTCCAATCTTTTGGCTTCCCTGGGCCACATTGGAAGAAGAATTGTCTTGGGCCACACTTAAGAAGAATTGTCTTGGGCCACACATAAAATAAATTAACACTAATGACAGCAGATGAGCTAAAAAAAAATCACAAAAAATCATAATATTTTAAGAAAGTTTACAAATTTGTGTTGGGCCACATTCAAAGCCATCCTGAGCCACATGTGGCCCATGGGCTATGGGTTGGACAAGCTTGTTCTATAGTGTATTCTCCAGAAATTCACCACAGTGGTCGTTTAAAACTACAATTTCATGTCATTTCCCTGCTTAAAAACCCTTCAGTGTTTCCAGTCACCTTCAGAATAAAATCCAAACTTAGCTCAGCCTGTAATGTCCTCCCTGATCAGGGCTGCTTCCCTAAATGACCTCATCTTTCCTGTCTTACTCCTCTCTAGTCAGCCCTGCCTTCTTGCTGAACCCTCCAACATCACTTTTTTCCCACCTGAGTACCTGTGCCCTTGCTGTTCTCTCTGCCTGGGCTGTCCTTCCTCTAGATCTTCCCAAGGTTGTCTTTCTTCATTTGGGTCTCTGTCAAATGTCACTGGCCTTGTAAGACATTGCCTAAGCACCTAATCTAACACTTCAAACACCTCACATTGCCATGATCTTTCCCTTCACCCTGCTTCATTTCTCTTCATTTCACTTACCATAACCTGAAATTATAGATGTAATTGTTCACTCCATTAACATGTAAAATACAAAAGAAATACTTTGTCTTATCCTGGAACTGGGCCTGGCACATAGTAAATTTTCTATAAATAAATATTCATTAAATGAACATGATCACGTTTAAGATCTGAACTAAATGTCACTGTACTTGGTAAGAGTCTCTGCTGTTCTGAATGCCTATCATGGCCACAGCTCTTTCTCAACAAAATGGCCAAAGATCTTTGTGCACAGATTTCCATACTTTATACTAAGATTATTATTATTATTTGAGAAAGAGTTTTGCTCTTGTTGCCCAGGCTGGAGTGCAGTGGCGTGATCTTGGCTCACTGCAACCTCCACCTCCCAGGTTCAAGTGATTCTCCTGCTTCAGCCTCCTGAGTAGCTGGGATTATAGGCGCGCACCACCACGCCCAGCTAATTTTTGTATTTTTAGTAGAGATGGGTTTTCATCATGTTGGCCAGCCTAGTCTCAAACTCCTGAGGTCAGGTGATCCACCTGCCTCGGCCTCCCAAAGTGCTGGGATTACAGGCATGAGCCACTGCGCCCAGCCACTTTATAATGAGATTCTAAGCCCCTGGCCTTGGCTGATTAAGCCAGGGATTGGACCACAAGAACCAAAGACAAACTCCCTACAGGCTTACTTCTCACAGTGTGGGACACAGACTGGCAGTGTCAGCATCACTGAGGTCTGTTAGAAATGCAGTATCTCAGACCTACTGAATCAGAATCTGCATTTTTAATGAGATCCCCAGGTGACTTGTGTATACGTTAAAGTTTGAGAAACACTGATCTATAGCATTGTTGTACAAGCTTGCAGTTATGAAATCAATTCAGCATGGCATAACTAGCTAAATGAATAGAGTAGAATGGGACAGGATACAACTAATTAAGAACAGAAATTATCAGAGTGTAAAACATAGTTTGGCTAAGTATTACCTTAAGAAAGTATAAATGGCTGGGCACGGTGGCTCATTCCAGTAATTCCAGCATTTTGGGAAGCCGAGGCAAGCGGATCACCTGAGGTCAGGAGGGTGAGACAAACCTGGCCAACATGGTGAAACCCCATCTCTACTAAAAACACAAAAATTAGCCAAGCACGGTGGCACGCACCTGTAGTCCCAGCTACTTGGGAGGCTGAGATAGGAGAATCGCTTGAATCTGGGAGTCAGAGGTTGCATTGAGCTAAGATCGTGCCACTGCACTCCAGATTGGGTGATGGAGCGAGACTCCAACTCAAAAAAAAAAAAAAAAAGTATATGCATATATGCATAAGATCACATGTAAAATATATTTATTGCTGCAGGTTGTGGTCAAAATACCTGATAAATGCTGATCCCCAGGATAGCCAGGAATCTGAGGTGAGAATTAACCCATGAAGGAAAGTGATTCTATATTGTGACAATTGAATCAAACAATATTTTCCTTCTGGATTTTTAATACAATATATACCAGGAGACAGGGAGTAGTGAACTAGGATGGAAAAGTGGAGAGAGAAACAGAGGAGCCGATAAGTCATGAGAATGGAAGATTACTGAATCCACTGTTATATTTTACACTAGGCTTTAGTTCCCGAGGCCTTTTCTTTCAATTGCTACCATGGTTTCTTTTCTTCCTTTCTCATATCCTTTCAATAAATCTCCATCACCATACAGACAGACCCTGAGTATAAAGCTCTCCCTGGCAACCTGAAAGAGCTTTGCATACTGGCTACTGCCATATATAATGATGTGAGAAACTAACCTCTGATACATCTAGAAATCCCCCCGAGACCCAGGAATCCACACTCTGCTTTTAGAACTGCTGCCTTACGCTGACTTTTAACATTAACACATCATATCTACTTACATCCTGGGTCTAATCTGTAGAATGAGTTGTTGGACTAGAATTCATTTATTAAATAACCATGGGAATCAAACAAGTAGGAAAAAATTTTTGAGGCTGCTGGGCGAAAAGCCCAGGAGATAATATAGAGCTTAAGAACCTACAGCACCATTAGGTGCTTGACCCTTGTGAAGGGTTCAAAATCATATTTAGGAAAAAAAAAAAGTAATGTGCTGGTCAGGAAAAATCTGTCTGAAATCTACTAGCCACCAATTTGTGAGCCCTGTGTTAGGTGATGTCTAATGTTGCTTCTAATGTTCTCTGATCCTAGGATTCCCTTTAATGAATAAGTGATTAAGTGAATGTTGATGACCAGCCACCATCAAAATACTGCATAATATAGAAAACTTATTTTCTTTCATCTTATTTCTTAATTTTGTGGAAATTCTAAAATATTTAAGATGACTCAGGGCAAGGCATGGTAGCTCACACCTGTATTCCTAGCACTTTGTAGGGCCCAGGTGGGCAGATTGCTTGATCACAGGAGTTAGAGACCAGCCTAGGCAACACAACAAAAACCTGTCTCTACAAAAAACGTGCAAAAAAAATTAGCTAGGCCGGGCGCGGTGGCTCGCGCCTGTAATCCCAGCACTTTGGGAGGCCGAGGCGGGCGGATCACGAGGTCAGGAGATCGAGACCATCCTGGCTAACACAGTGAAACCCCGTCTCTACTAAAAATGCAAAAAATTAGCCGGGCGTGGTGGTGGGCGCCTGTAGTCCCAGCTGCTCGGGAGGCTGAGGCAGGAGAATGGCGTGAACCCGGGAGGCGGAGCTTGCAGTGAGCCGAGATCGTGCCACTGCACTCCAGCCTGGGCGACAGAGCGAGACTCCGTTTCAAAAAAAAAAAAAAAAAAAACAAAAAAAATTAGCTAGGAGTGGTGGCATGCATCTGTAGTTCCAGCTACTCAGGAGGCAGAGGTGGGAGGATCACCTGACCTGGGAGGTTGAGGCTGCAGTGAGCTGTGATCCCACCACTGCACTTCAGCCTGGGTGACAAAGTGAGACCCTGTCTGTAAAAGAAAAAAAAGTGACTCAGAAGGTAAATATGAATATTTTCCTATTTCAAATAAAAATGTTGAGTTAAGTTTTATGAAACATTTCTTTCTAGTGCTATATCAATAGTTGAATCTACTAATTCTAAGCTCCACAGCTAGGTAGGTAGGTAAGTTAGAATTCCAAAGAGAAAGATATACTGAATTTATGTATCCATTAATTCATTTTATTCATTTAATATCATTTATTGTCTAGCAATTGATTTGAAGATGAATTATTTGCATTTCCAGGATTAAGTCATTTTATTTGCAATGGCTCACATCAAATGACTAGCTAAAAAGAGTTTAAAGAATTAAACCAAAGAGATTGTTTTGACAAACCTTTTCCAGCCTATTAAAATTTTCTTAGTTTTGTCCTATCACATGTAGAGTAGTACATAAGTTATTCGGCTCTTTATTCGCACCACTGCAACATAAAAGAAAAAACAAACAGACACTAAAACATTGCAAAGTCAGCAATTTGGGGGCTTAGAAATGTCCTCACCTCAACATATGTGCGTTAATAAATAACAGAGGGTTATAGTGCCTTTTGGGTGTTTTAAAAGGAAAAGAAAAAATAAAATAGCAGAGGACAGAGTAAATTTTCACCATGATAGTTAATAAAGTTTCAGTACAAAACCAGTTGTTAGCAATCAACAAACATGATATTCTTATAATAATATGATATTTAGAAACTACATTTATCATCTTTCTTTTGAGACAGAGTCTCACTTTGTTGCCGTGGCTGAAGTGCAGTGGTGTGATCTCAGCTCACTGCAACCTCCATCCCCCGGATTCAAGCGATTCTTGTGTCTCTGCCTCCTGAGTAGCTGGGATTACAGTTGCCCACCACCACACCCAGCTAATTTTTTTTGTATTTTTAGTAGAGACAGGGTTTCATTATGTTGGCCAGGCTGGTTTCAAACTCCTGACCTCAAGTGATCCGCTCACCTTGGCCTCCCAAAGTGCTAGGATAACAGACGTGAGCCACCGTACCTGGCCACATTTATCATCTTTTAAAAACGAATGCATTTGTCAGACAAAAGTCTTTCATTGTTCAAAATACATTGCAACATATCACTAATATAAAACCACACACAGTGCACTAATTACGTGACATTCACTCATTCAACAGATCTTTTTTTTTTTTTTTAACATTTGTTATATTTGAGGCACCGTGGAGGATCAAAATGAAAGCCTTTGCACAATCTCTGTTTTGTGCAATGTTTTTAGACAAGAACTCTTGAGTATTGACAGATTAGTCAAGTGGGGGCAAATTTTTGTATGTTTGAGGAAAAAGTCTCCAAGGCCAAATTTTGGCTAATTAAGGACTGATGAGTTGGTGTACTATCAGGTCACTTGGATCTCGTAGTGCTTTCCTATTCTTGTTCTCTGGGAATTTCATTATTCACCAGTACATCCATTCAGGAATGAGTAATTTCAAAGCAAGAAAGTATAATTCCTATCAATTAAGTTTCCTTTCCTGTAACCCTTGAGGAAGTACATTTCAGACTACCTTACGTGTGTAGAAATGTGAGGATACTGTAGTGTTAGGATGGCAAAAAAAAGTGAGATGAAGAGTAATTAGCAACTATGCTGCCAAGGTTTTTTATCCCCCTCACTTTCCCAAACATTCTTATGATAAATCCCCATCACCAGAAAATACCTATATATAAACCTTTTCATGTTGAAAGACTTTGGTCCTTGATAAGCACCCCACGTTTGACGACTTAAAAACTTTTCATTGGAGATTTCTCCCTCTCTCTCTTTCT
Source organism: Homo sapiens (assembly GCF_000001405.40). Lineage (NCBI taxonomy): Eukaryota > Metazoa > Chordata > Mammalia > Primates > Hominidae > Homo > Homo sapiens. The sequence goes on along the minus strand of NC_000012.12, from coordinate 79,714,205 downwards.
CTGGACAGGGTCTCGCTCTGTTGCCTAAGCTGGAGTGCAGTGCATGATCACAGCTCACTGCAGTCTCAACTTCCTGGGCTCAAGCAATTCTCCCACCTCAGCCTCCTGAGTTGCTGGGACTACAAGTGCATGCCACCATGTCTGGCTATTTTTTTTTTTTTAAATTTCTAGTAGAGATGAGATCTTTCTATGTTGCCCAGGTGGGTCTTGAACTCCTGAGCTAAGCGATCCTCCCACCTCAGCCTCCCAAAGTGTTGGGATTACAGGCATGAGCTACAGCACCTGGCCACAGACTTTTGTTTCTAACTATAACAAAGAAGCTTGTAGCAGAGTAGCATTCCCATTAATATCAATAATAAGCAAAGGAGCTTCTTTATCACCATTGTTATTCAGCCAACACAATTAGATAACAGAAATAAATAAAATTGAAATTGGAAAAAGTAAAGCAAAATTGTCATTTGTTGATGCTATGATTATCTGGAAAACTAAAAAGAACCAAATGAAAAACTGTCAGAAACAATAAAATAATTTTTAAAAAGCTGAAAAAAAGACACGGCTGAACATGGTGGCCCATCCCTGCAATCCCAGCACCTTGGGAAGCCGAGGACAGCAGATCACTTGAGGCTAGGAGTTTGAGACCAGCCTGGCCAACATGGCAAAACCCCGTCTCTATTAAAAATACAAAAAGGCCAGGCGCAGTGGCTCACGCCTGTAATCCCACCACTTTGGGAGGCCGAGGCGGGCAGATCACGAGGTCAAGAGATCGAGACCATCCTGGCCAACATGGTGAAACCCTGTCTCTACTAAAAAGACAGAAATTAGCTTGAGCATGGTGGTGCAAGCCTGTAGTCCCAGCTACTCGGGAGGCTGAGGCAGGATAATCGCTGGAACCCAGGAGGCGAAGGTTGCAGTGAGCCAAGATCGTGCCACTGCACTCCAGCCTAGTGACAGAGTGAGACTCTGTTTCAAAATAAACAAATAGATAATAAAAATACAAAAATTAGCTGGCCACAGTGGCGCACACGCCTGTAATCCCAGCTACTTGGGAGGCTGAGGCAGTAGAATTGCTTGAACCAGGGAGGCGGAGGTTGCAGTGAGCCGAAATCACGCCATTGCACAGGCTGGTGACGAGTGAGACCCTGTCTCACAAAAAAAAAAAAAAAAAAAAAAGCTGAAAAAAATAAAATAGGAAATGTGAAAGATTCGTGTGAAGAAAATTAAAACACTACCTAAGGAAACACAAAAAAGATGTTTCAAAAGACCCATATTGTTCTCGTTCAGGAAATTTTAGCATGACAACCATGTCAATCTTCCTAAATCAATCTATAAATGTAGTGTAATCCCAATAAAAATACCAAATTATTTGGGAACCAGATAAACTGATTCTAAAGTTCAAACGGAAAACAAATAAGAAACGCCAGGAAAACTCTTTAAAAATAAGTAAAATGAGATGCATTTCTCTACCAGACAGTAAAATATATTTTATAAGCTAAAACATTGCAAAATGTGGTACTGATAATGTATAGAACAATGCCTGACACATTTAATACATATTTGTTGCATAACCGAGTAGTCATATCAATAGAGTTAAATAAAAAATCCAAATTGGACCAAAATGCTTATTTGAATTTGGCAGATGAAAAAAGTAGGACTTCAAAATTGCGGAGAAAAGATAAATTGTTCTATAAATAGGGTTGGGACAACTGGGTAGCAGTTGGAAAAAAAAGAATTGGAGCTGTATTATTCCATTCTCACACTGCTATAAAGATACTACCTGAAATTGGGTAATGTATAAACAAAAGAGGTTTAATTGACTTACAGTTCCGCATGGCTGGAGAGACCTCAGGAAACTTAAACTCATGGCAGAAGGTGAAGGGGAAACAGAGTACGTCTTACATGGAGACAGGAGACAGAGTGAGCAGGAAAAACTGCCAGTTTTAAAACCATCATATCGTTTCTGGAATTGGTGGGTTCTTGGTCTCACTGACTTCAAGAATGAAGCCGCGGACCCTAGCGGTAAGTGTTACAGTTCTTAAAGGCAGCGTGTCTGGAGTTTGCTCCTTATGCTGTTCGGATGTGTTCGGAGTTTCTTCCTTCTGGTGGGTTCGTGGTCTCTCTGGCTTCAAGAGTGAAGCTGTAGACCTTCGCAGTGAATGTTACAGCTCTTAAAGCAGCGCGTCTGGAGTTGTTCGTTCCTCCCGGTGGGTTCGTGGTCTGGCTGGCTTCAGGAGTGAAGCTGCAAACCCTCGCAGTGAGTATTACAGCTCATAAAGGCAGTGTGGACCCAAAGAGTAAGCAATAGCAAGGTGGATTGCAAACAGTGAAACAACAAAGCTACCACACGGTGGAAGGTGACCAGAGCGGGTTGCCACTGCTGGCTCGGGCAGCCTGCTTTTATTCCCTTATCTGGCCCCCACCCACATCCTGCTGATTGGCCCATTTTACAGAGAGCTGACTGGTGTGTTTTACAGAGAGCTGAGTGGTCCTTTTTGACAGGGTGCTGATTGGTGCGTTTACAATCCCTGAGCTAGACACAAAAGTTCTCCACCTCCCCACTAGATTAGCTAGATACAGAGTGCTGATTGGTGCATTTACAAACCCTGAGCTAGACACAGAGTACTGATTGGTGTATTCACAATCCCTTAGCCAGACATAAAGATTCTCCAAGTCCCCACCAGATCAGCTAGACGCAGAGCACTGATTGGTGCATTTACAAACCTTGAACTAGACACAGAGTGCCGCTTGGTGTATTAACAATCCCTTAACTAGACATAAAGGTTCTCCAAGTCCCCACTAGACTCAGGAGCCCAGCTGGCTTCACCCAGTGGGTCCCGCACCGGGAGCGCAGGTAGAGCTGCCTGCCAGTCCCGCGCGCCGTGCGCCCGGACTCCTCAGCCCTTGGGCGGTCAATGGGACAGGGCGCTGTGGAGCAGGGGGCGGCGCTCCTGGGGAGGCTCAGGCTGCGCAGGAGCCCAGGGCGTTGGGGGTCGGGGAAGACTCAGGCATGGCGGGCTGCAGGTCCTGAGCCCTGTCCCACAGGGAGGCAGCTAGGGCCAGCAAGAAATCGAGCGCAGGGTCGGTGGGCCGGCACTGCTGGGGGACCCGGCGCACCCTCCACAGCTGCTGGCCCGGGTGCTAAGCCCCTCACTGCCCAGGCCGGGAGGGCCGGCCAGCCGCTCCGAGTGCGGGCTGCCAAGCCCACGCCCACCCGGAACTCCAGGTGGCCCGCAAGCGCCATGCGCAGCCCCGGTTCCCGCCAGTGCCTCTCCCTCCACGCCTCCCCCCAAGCCGAGGGAGCGGGCTCCGGCCTCAGCCAGCCCAGAGGAGGGCTCTCTCGGTCCAGCGGCGGGCTGAAGGGCTCCTTAAGCGGGCTGAAGGGCTCCTTAAGCGCGGCCAGAGTGGGCTCCGAGGCCAAGGAGGCACCAAGAGTCAGCGAGGGCTGCAAGGGCAGCCAGCATGCTGTCGCCTCTCAATAGCTCATGAAAACTCCTTCATTATCAGGAGAATTGCATGGGGAAAACTGCCCCCATGATACAGTCACCTCCCACCAGGTCCTTCCCTCAACACATGGGGATTACAATTCAAGATGAGATTTGGGTGGGGACACAGAGCCAAACCATGTCAGGAGTCATGCCTCACACCTCATACAGAATGAATTTCAGATGAACTAAGCACATAAGTGTTAAAAACTGTGAAAGTACTAGAAGAAAACATTGCAGATTAAAAAAAAATTACGAAGCCATAAAAAGACTGTTTAATTGAACTACAAGACAATAAACGTTTTCTTCATGCATTGTAAACCTAGTTAAGAGAACTGACAAATTGGGTAAAATATTTACTACCCACATCTCAGACAAAGAGCTAAATTCCTTACTAAGTAGTTCCTACAAATCAAAAATGAAAAAAAAAAAAAAAAAGCAAACAAAAGCAATCCCCTAACACACACACACACACACACACACACACACGTGCATGCAAAAATTTGAACAATTTTTTTTAAAGAATATGAACAGAAAGCTTACAGAAAATAGAGCAATTTGGCAATATCTGTTAAAATTACAACTGCAGGCTGTGCGCGGTAGCTCACGCCTGTAATCCCAGCACTTTGGGAGGACAAGGTGGGTGGATCACCTGAGGTCAGGAGTTCAAGACCAGCCTGACCGACATGGTGAAACCCTGTCTCTACTAAAAATACAAAAATTAGCCTGGTGTGGTTGTGCATGCTGGTAGCCTCAGCTACTTGGGAGGCTGAGGCAGGAGAATTGCTTGAACCCAGGAGGTGGATGCTGCAGTAAGCCGAGATTGTGTCACTGCACTCAAGCCTGGGTGACAGAGCGAGACTGCCTCAAAAATCAATCAGTCAATCAATCTGCACAGACCCTTTGAAATGGCAATTCCACCTCTAGGATTTTAATCTACAAATATACTCTCAAATGTATCCGATGACTTGTATACAAATTTATCACTGGAACAGCAAAATATTAGAAACAATGTAAATGTTTATCAGAAGGAGGCTGATTATACAAATTGTGGTATAATCATAGAATGCTACTGGACCAATAAACAATAAAGTCTCTCGCTCGCTGTCTGCATCCTTTAGATCCTCACAGCCACTCTTCAACTTCTACTCTTCCAGCTTTATTTTTCTCCACAGCTCTTATCACAACCTGGCTTACTATATATATTTCATTGCTTATTCAGTTTTTGTCTGTTTTTCCTGCAACTTTTCTACTAGAATGTCAGTTCCATAAGACAGAGATTTAGCCTATTTTGTCCTCTGCTGTATCTTCACCACATGAGTGCCTGGCACATGGTAGGCATTGAGTAAATACTTGTCAAATAAATGAATAAAATAATGAATCAAAATGGAAAGATATTCAAAATCTATTTTAGAGTGAAGAATTCAAGATACATTAATATTCTATTCTCCATGTGAATAATTATATATGAAAAACTTACATACACACCTATGCACACACACATACACACATGCATACACGTATATGCTTGCCTATGTAGAGACTTTTTGGGAGGATGTGCAGGAAGCTGGTCCAGTGATTGTCTCAGGAAGCAGGAGAGCAGAACTGCGTGGCTAGCTATCGGGAATAGGATTTTTTCCACTTTGCCCTTATAGCTTTTGAATATTGTGCTACATACATGCATTATGCATTCAAAAACTTATTTTTTAAATTGCTGATTTAAAGAATGAACTGAGGAAAACTGAAGCTTCTGAAAGAGACAGAAAATTAATAGCCAGAGGTACAGGAGGCAAGTAAGGAGAGTTGAGTATTCCAGGGAGGTAGGAAAGGTCTCCTGCACCTCTGGCCCTGAAGAATTTAGACTCATCCTTATGCCCGTGTCTCCTCTAACCCATCTTTGTTCCCACTTCCGGCCTTCCAGGGCACCACCTTCCCCATTCCTTGTAGGCACTTTACATCTTTGTGGGCTTGCATGAATGGTTTCATCTGTTAGAAGCATTTCCCTATCTTGTCTATTTGAAAAAATCTATTTATTCTTGGTGAAGCCATCTCTTTTTTCATTCTGTGCTTCCCACAGTAATTTGTTCATATTTCTGTTTAGAACTGAATATCATTTTGTTTACAAGTCTTTTTTGTATAGATATTCTTTTATGATCTTGTTTTTATTTACATATGTGTTTACACACCTGCAAGTTCCTTGAAGTTGGAGCTATCATTCCTCTTTGTATGTCATTGCCTAGAACAGTAACTTGCATAGAGCAAGGCTGGCACACAGTAAGTATGCCCCCAAAATGTTTATTGAGTGAAGGACTGTAATTATTTTCTTCATGTGGTTTACATATTGACTTTAAAATTAGGAGCAATTTTCAATGGAAGATAAAGGGACTAGACCTCTTTTGAGTGGCCTTCAAAAATGTTAGTCATTAGTACACTAAAGTTATAGTAGAACACCCACCAATAAAATTGCCTTGGAAGAACTGAACTTTGAAAAGTTGAAAAAATGGATTTTACAGAGATATGCAAATTCACCTAAAAGAGATCTGACCAATAAAACATGACCATAACCAGACTAAAATAATTAGCATATACAAAGAATGAATGTGTTCATCGTAGCAGCGTTGGTTGGCCTCCTTAGCAAACAGTTGGATGGCAAAGGTCCTGGGGAGAGCAATTCTGCTCTATGCACTTTGGCAGGGCTTTCCTTATTTATGGAGATGGATGCCTTAGGCTCTCTTAGCTGAGTCCAGTAAACACTGGAATCCTCTAATCAACCCCTCTTGTTCATTCTTCATATTTACCAGGTAAACTCCAGTTATGCTTTCATTCCCATGTAGGTCTGCCTTCTTGGAGAACACATGCTGATCGTAACAACTTTAACAGTCCTGTGTTTCTGACCTTCATGTTTTTCATTATAGATCAATGAATTATTTGGCTCTGATATATCAGGCAAACTGTCAACATTAATGTAACTGTGTCCCTGAGCCATCAATAATAGGCTCTTCAAATGGATAAAATCAAAAGTTCTGAAGCTGCAAGACTGAAGGTCAAACACCGGCTATGGTACATATACCAAGGAATACTTCCCCACCACAAACTGCCCTCACATCCCAAGTACAGCCCTAGGAGACAGTGAGCTTGTTTCTGGGGCCGCCTCAGGACAGCCATCCTGATTGTATGCCATTTGACAAATATTTATACATATAGCACCTGCTGTACTCCAGACACTGTGATGCAAAAAGAGGGAGGAGAAAAAAAAAGAGAGAGAAAGACTCTTTAAGGAGCTCAAATTATGTGGTTTGTCTAGATGAGTGATTGTCTTTTGCTGATTATGAAGCCCTGAAATTTTGAAGAAATCAAAGCAAATCTTTTAGAGAAAAATGTACAGAAACTGTGGTGTTTGTATTCTGTGTATTTTATTGCCCAGAAAATTGATTCCTTTTATGTATAATCTAAAGATGGGCTCTGGAATCACACAAATGTGCTGAAATATTTGGCTTTATCATGTATTAGCTGTGTAACACAGGACAAGCTACTTAATCTCTCTATGTCTCACTGCTCTGATCAGTCCAAGAAAAGTAATACTAATGCTCCTCTCATAGGACTGTTACAGGGTTAAACATGGATATGGTTTGGATGTTTGTCCTCTCTAAATATCATGTTGAAACGTGATTCCCAATGTTGGAGGTGGAGACTGGTGGGAGGGGATTGGATCTTGGGGTAGGATCCCTCATGAATGGCTTAGCATCTTTGCCTGGTCATAGGTGAGTTCTTGCTCAGTTAAATCATGTGAGATCCAGTTAAGAGTCTGAGACCTCCCCCTTCTCTCTCTTACTTCCACTCTCACCATGTGACATGCTGTATCCCCGTCACCTTCTGCCATGAGTAAGAGCGCCCTGAGGCCCCCACCAGAAACCCAGCATATGCTGGCACCATGCTTCCTCTACAGCTTGCAAAACCATGAGCCAATGAAACATTTTTTCTTTATAAATTACCCAACCTCAGGTATTTCTTTATAGCAATGTAAGAATGAACTAATACACTATATATGCAGTGATTAGCATAGTGTCCTGCTTGTCGTAATCAAAAAATTACTGCTATAAATTATGTTATGCAAAATATTATCTTCAGTAATTTAAATTCAAGTGTGTCAATAAAAGGCAACCTTTACTTTGCTCAATAGTGAATTCCAGTGAAAAAATCCTTCTGATTTGAATCTATGTTTTAGATTAAAATCTAGATGTTACATCATCTATGTCATCCAGTTGTTTTTTTGTTTGCATGGCAAGAAGTACTGAACACATTGACTCATATAGGTCAAAACTCCAAGACTGAATTGAATTCATATCTCATCATAACCATTGTAAATCAATGGAGCCATCTTTGGTGAGGTACTCATTAAACATGAATCATCTGAGCACAAGTAACACTCAAAAGAATTCTGTGGTGTTTCAGGTGTTGAAGACATCTGCTTGCAGAGAAATGAATAAGACTTTCTCAATGGGCTTCAGACAATAGAAAGTCCTTCCTCCATGCTGGGAAGTTTATAACCCATCTCCATTAGGTAGGAACTAAAGAAACGATGGCTGAGCTATAAGAGTTGGTTCTTTTAGCAGCATACATAATACTCTACGATCTTGAATCAAAAAATTTATCTGAGTCTTGTGACCAAAAACATCTATGATGTAACAAAACCATGAAAGAACTCCTAAACCGTTCTGATCAGTTACCTGCTTTCCCTCTGCCCCCATGAAGTTCAGTTACATACTTTACCATTTGTTCCTTGGAAAGTCAGTAAACTATGTGCAATAGAGAATAATTTTCTACTGTGATCTTTTTTCTAGACAAAATTTCTTGAAAAGGCTGGGGTCAGGACTGGGGTCTGATAAAGTTGATGACTTTCACAGCAGTAGACAACACTTCTTTCAGAATTGCTTGCACAGCCCAATTCCTGTTGATGGTGAGAGCAACAAGTCACAATGTACGGAGTGTCTTCAGCAAAGCAGCCAAACCAGGTGTGTTACTGAGACTCTCAGGTGCTCAATCTGTGCCCAGAAAACCAAAACATTCCGTCTACAACATCTTCCTTGACAAAGACATGTTTTCACCATTTTGAAAATGGCAGTGGCGGCTGGGCGGAGTGGCTCACGCCTGTAATCCCAACACTTTGGGAGGCCAAGGCAGGTGGATCACGAGGTCAGGAGTTTGAGACCAACCTGGCAAACATGGCAAAACCCCGCCTCTACTAAAAATATAAAAATTAGCCAGGCATGGTGGCAGGTGCCTGTAATCCCAGCTATTCTGGAGGCTGAGGCAGGAGAATCGCTTGAACCCAGGAGGCCGAGGTTGCAGTGAGCCAAGATCGTGCCATTGCACTCCAGCCTGGGCAACAAGAGCAAGACTCTGTCTTAAAAAAAAAAAAAGAAAAGAAAGAAAGAAAATGGCAGTGGCTTGTCAAGTTTCCAAAAGGAAATCAGAACAATTGGAATACTTCTTCAGTGGCACCAGTGCACAAATAAAAGGTGACAATCAAGAGCTGGTTAAAATGAGAGGCATTGCAGTTTTGCCCAGCTGTATGCCTGTTGAAGTAAAGCAGTTTAGGAGCCAGTTTAGGGATCTGTTTCCAAATATTAGAAGAAAGATCAGTTATTCAAAAAGAGGTTATAACTTTAAAATTGGCATGGCTTCAGTTTTCTTCTTTTGCGCCAGGCCACAAACCAATTCAAATATTTCCAGGGCATGTGGTTTCATTAAATTTTCTCCAATTTTGTGTGGGTTTTTTTTTTTTTTTTTTTTTTTTGCTTGTTAGAAAAATACTGACATTTTAAGTTTGCCCCAAGACAAGTTGGGACAAGTTTAATTTTGTTAAAGTTGCAGCCTTTTAAAATACAATGTTTTCTTATGAAATGATTATTGTAAGTCCAGGTATTTTCTTTTATTATTTATTTATTTATTATTATTTTTTTGAGACACAGTCTCGCTCTGTCACCCAGGCTCCAGTGCAGTGGCGCGATCTCGGCTCACTGCAACCTCTGCCTCCTGGGTTCAAGCGACTCTCCTGCCTCAGCCTCCCGAGTAGCTGGGACTACAGGCACATGCCACCATGCCCAGCTAATTTTTGCATTTTTAGTAGAGACGGTGTTTCACCACATTGGCCAGGCTGGTCTTGAACGCCTGACCTCGGGTGATCCGCCTGCCTCAGCCTCCCAAAGTGCTGGGATTACAGGCGTGAACCACCGCGCCTGGCCAGGTCTTTTCTTTTAAACATTACTTTGAATCCTATATTTCAAACATACAAAAGTACAGAAGATAATATAAGTTTCAAACATACAAAAGTACAAAGATAAGTTTATGTACTTGCCCTATTCAAATTGAACAAATGTTAACATTTTACATTTATCTTAGAGCTTTCTTTTTAAAGAAATAAAACATTATAAACAATAAAACATTACAGCTCCTATAGCTTTTTCTCTCCATCTGTCCTAAGAAGCAACTAATAAACTGAATTTTGTGTGCTTGTGTTTTTATTACAAAAATATCTATCTGTCAACAATATTCATATTGTTTGTACATTTTAGAAATTTGTATGAATGGTATCATACTTTCCATATGCACTTGAAACTAGTTTTTAAACATGTTTCTGAGATGCTATCACATGTTCTATTTTAAAAAACTGTATATATCCATTCTAAAACTAAAAGTTGAAAATTCGTGCTACGTTTTTTGTTTTTTTTTTGAGATGGAGTCTCACTCTTTCACTCAGGCTGGAGTGCAGTGGCGTGATCACGGTTCACAGCAACCTCCACCTCCCAGGCTCAAGTGATCCTCCTGCTTCAGCCTCCCAAGTGGCTGGGACTACGGGGTGCACCACCACTCCTGCCTAATTTTTTATCTTTTTGTAGAGATGGGGTTTTGCCATGATGCCCAGGCTAGTCTTGAACTCCCAGGCTCAAGCAATTCTCCCGCTTTGGGCTGCCAAAGTGCTAGGATTACAAGCATGAGCCACTGTGCCTGGCCACAATAAATATTTATGTCCATGTGTCCTTGTGTATATATCAGGATTTCTCTAGGGTAGACATCTAAGTATGCAGTTGTTGAGTTGTTGGAAAATTACATCTTCAACTTAAGTATTGCCAAAAGTTTTCCAAAATAGTTGGATCAATTTATACTCAGTGCTGAGTTTTCCCTCCATTTGCCCACCATCACTTGGCATTATCAGACATTAACTTTGGATAATACAATAGGTATAAAAGGGTACTTTTTGTTTTATTTTGACATTTGTGTATATTTTCCTGTATTTATCTGCCATTCAGTTTCTTCTCCTATGAATGGACTATTCATATTCTTAAGTCAATTTTTTCTTTTTTTTTAAGAGTCAGGGTCTTACTCTGTCACTCAGGCTGGAGTGCAGTGGTGCAATCATAGCTCATCACTGTAGCCTTCAACTGCCTGGCTCAAGTGATCCTCCTGCCTCAGCCTCCCAAGTAGCTGGGACTACAGGCATGGGCTACACTACCCAACTAATTTTTAAAATTGTTATTTTTGGGAATGGGGTCTTGTTATGTTGCCCAGGCTGGTCTCAAATTCCTGGCCTCAAGCAATTCTCCCTCAGCCACCAGAGTCACTGGGATTACAAGTGTGATTAGACCATTTTTAAAACATCGTTGCTTTTTTCCTCAATGATTTGTTACAGTTCTTTCAATATTAATCATTCTCTTTATATTATATGCCAGGCAAATTTCTGCTTTCAATATGTGACTTGTCTTTTTACTTTGTTTGTTGTCAATTTTTTCTTTAAGTCAAGGTCTCGTTGTGTCACCCAGGTGTGAGTGCAGTGGTGTGATCTTAGCTCACTGTACCCTCAAACTCCTAGGCTCGAGCAATCCTCCCAAGAAGCTGGAACTACAGGCGCACACCACCACCTAATTTCTCTCTCTCTCTCTTTTTTTTTTTTTATAGAAACAGGGTCTTGCTATGCTGACCAAGCTGGTCTTGAACTCCTGGCCTCAACAATTCTCCTACTTCGGCCTCCTGAAGTGTTGGGATTACAGGCGTTAGCCACCACTGCCCTGCCTATTGTCACTTTTAAAAATGTAGTCAGGGCCAGGTGTGGTGGCTCACACCTGTAATCCAAGCACTTTGGGAGGCTGCAGCAGGCAGGGCACTTGAGGTCAGAAGTTGAAGACCAGCCTGGCCAATATGGTGAAACCATCTCTACTAAAAATACAAAAATTAGCTGGGCGTGGTGGTGCACACCTGTAGTCCCAGCTACTCAGAAGGCTGAGGTATGAGGATCGCTTGAACTCGGGAGGTGGAGGTTGCGGTGAGCCAAGATCACACCACTGCACTCCAGCCTGGGTGATAGAGCAAGACTCTCTCAAAAAAAAAAAAAAGAAAAGAAAAAAGAAAAAAAAAGTAGTCAAATTGTTCAGTCTTGGCTTTGATGCCTTAAGACATTTCCCCTTTTTCTGGTATCATAAGGAACTCTTATTTTCTTCTTTGGCTGTATACTTACAAGGTGGAATATGATCTTTTAGCTTTGTTGAAATCTGATTTTGTTGGCAAGAATCTTTCTGTATTAAAACTGCTATGGCTTTCGTGTCTCAGTATGTTCAGTGGTTATGTCAAAAGTTAAATAAGGGAGGCTGAGGCAGGAGGATCACTTGAAGCCAGGAGTTTGAGACCAGACTGGGCAGCACAGCTAGACCTTGTCTCCATAAATAATAATAATAATAATAACAATAATAATAATAATAATTAGCTGGGCATGGTGGTATGCACCTGTGGTCCTAGCTACTTGGGAGGCTGAGGCAGGAGGACTGGTATAGCCCAGGAGTTTGAGGCTGCAGTGGGCAATGACCATGCTACTGCACTCCAGCCTGGGTGATAGAGCAAAACCCTATTTTTCTTTTTTTTTTTTTTTAAAAAAGCAAACTCAAAGGATAAATTTCATTTAATACCCCCAATAATCTGTGAGGTAAATATTGTGGCAGAGAAATTAGGTAATTTGCCCAAGGTCATGTAACTTAGAAATGCCTGAAGTCAACGTTAACTGCTTTGGACCACCATAATCCTACCCGCCTTTGTAGAACCTTCTTTACTTTGATATTTTCCAACTTAAGCTATGCTTGATGTAAACAAAGGTAGATGCCCATTATTTTAAGGGCAGCATATGTTAAATTCCTAATAACAGACAGATAACATGATATCAAAATTGTATGCTCCTTCTCAGCCTCTGTATCTATTAGTAGTCTATTAAGTCATAAATTGACAATAAAAATAACTTTCTTTGTATTCAGACAAATTTAAAACAAATAGGAAGACGCCGAAGGGGAATCTAAGCTTTTTTTTTCCTTACTTGATTTGTAGACCTTTCTAAGTCTATCCATAGAACTCAGATTAAGTTGAATGCCTAATGTTTATCGCGAGTTACTGGTGCTGGGAATACAGCTGTGAAGGCAATAGGCAAGATGTCTGTTTCAGTATGCTTATATTCTAGAGTGGGAGAGGCTGCCAATAAACATATGAATAATTTCTAGTGGTGATAGTATTATAAATACTATAAAATGGCAATACAATAGTGATTGAGGTTTAGGGTGGAGAATTTGGCTTTTTTAGATTGGGTGATCAGAGAAGGCTTTTTTTGGGGAGGTGACAGTTGAACTGAGACCTCAATGATAGGTATAGCTAGATCTGGGGGCAAATGCTTCTAAGCAGTGCAGGAGCACCAAGGCAGGAATGAGCTTTGAATATTTTAGGAACAGACAAAAAGCTGAGTTTAATGAAAAGAGGGCGAGTCATCAGAATCAACATTAAAGGTGAAAGCAGGAACCAGATCATACAGGGTCTTAAAGGCCAATGAAAGGAATTTGGATTTTAAGTGAAATAGGGACTTATAGAGGGCTGAGAACAAGGGAGTCACATGGTCTGATTACATTTTGAGAAGAACATTCTTTTTGTTGTGAGGATCGAATATATTTTGGAATGGGAGCTGATAGAATGGTGAATTGGATTTATGGGGTAAGGAAGAGATGAATCAAAGAAGTCTTGTAGATTTTTGCTTGAACAGTTGGATGGATGGTGAGACCATTTACCAAGATGGGAAAGAAATGAGAGAGAAATAAGGTAGGGGCAGATGGAGAAATGGATGGAAGTTTTTTTTGGTCATGTTCATTTTGAGAAGACATCCATATGAAGATGTTTTGATGGTTGATATGGAATGTCAACTTGACCAGATTGAAGGATGCAAAGTATCGCTCCTGGGTGTGTCTGTGATGGTGCTGCCAAAGGAGATTAACATTTGAGTCAGTGGACTGGGAGAGGCAGGCCGCATCTTGAACTGGGTGGGCACCATCTAATCAGCTGCTGCTAGAATAAAGCAAGCAGAAGAAGGAAGAGCAGACTTGCTGAGTCTTCCGGCCTTCATCTCTCTCACATCCTGGATGCTTCCTGCCCCTGAACATCGATTCCAAGTTCTTCAGCTTTTGGACTCTTGGAATTATATCAGTGATTTGCCAGGGGCTCTCGAGCCTTTGGCCACAGACTGAAGGCTGCACTGTTGGCTTCCCTACTTTTGAGGTTTTGGGACTCAGACTGTCTTCCTTGCACCTCAGCTTGCAGATGGCCTATTGTGGGACTTCACCTTGTGATCATGTGAGTTAGTACTCCTTAATAAACTCCCCTTCATATATACATCTATCCTATTAGTTCTGTCACTCTAGGAAACCCTGACGAATACAGATGTCAAACTGGCAAATGGGATATGAGAGTGACTCCTAAAGCCATGGTATTCCATGGATTCACCTAGGGATAAAGTGTTGCATGAGAAGAAAAGAGGGCCAGTGATTAACTACTGAGAAGACTTTAGTTTTCACAGATTAAGCAGATGGGGAGGAGTGGGTAAAGGAGGCTGAGAAGGAGCATCCAATGAAGTTGGAGGACAAAATAAAACTTTTTTGGTGATTTTTAAAAAGTTACAAGAAGGAGGATTTTAAAAATGAGGGAGTCATTTGTGCTGAATAATACAGAAAGGTTAGGTAGGATAAAAAAGATATGAAGCTTATTGATAATTTTGACAGGAGTGGTGAATAATAAGTGGAGTGGTGAGGACTAATGACCATTTGGAAATTATTATAGAAAGAATGGTAAGGGTGGAAATATCAACAGTGACTAAAGATAACCCTTCCAAAAATTTTGACAGTGAATTATAACATTGACCAGATTAGATTCTGGAGTCAAGGGAAGTTTATTTCTTTAAGGGGGCATAGTAAGTAGATAATGGCCTCCAACAACTTCCAGACTATAATCTCTGGAACTTCTGAATGCATTAAGCTACATGGCAAAGGGAAATTAAGGTTGAAGATAGAATTATAGTTGCTAGTCACCTGACCTTAAAATAAGGAGATTATCTTGGATTATTCAGGTGGTCCCAATGATCCTTACAAGTAGAACATAGAGGCAAAAGAGAGAATCCTAGAGAGATGTGTCTATGGAAGAAAGGCCGAGAGATGCACCATTATTTGCTTTGAGAGAAGAGGACCACCAGCCAGGAATGTGCGTGGCCTCTAGAGGCTGGAAAGGGCAAGAGCATGGATTGTTCTCAAGAACTTCCACAAGGGAATGCAGCCTTGCCAGTTTCTTGGTTTTAGCCCAGTGGGATCCAGGTAGCACTTCTATCCTACAGAACTGTAAGATGATAAAGGTGGGATTTTTCTTTTAAAGATGCTAAGTCTTTGGAACTTTGTTACGACAACAAAGAGAAAACTAATACAGAGGGAATTACTAGAGCTCATTTGTATGCTGAAGGGAATGATTTAATAGAGAAGAAACTGATTATGCATGAGAGTATAATTGTAGAAGCAAAACCCTCAAAAGGGGAAAGATACAGGTGGCAGGACAGCCTTTAAGAGGAGCAGATAACTTCATTTAATTAAGAAGGCAGAGAGTAGATCTAGATGCAGGAAGATGGGTAAAGCTGTCTTGGGCAGATAAGCCCTACTCTGAGTGGTGCTATTTTAGAGTCAGTGAAGTGTGAAGGCAAGCTCATCAACTGAGAGTGAGGTTGGTATAAGGAGGTATTGGAGGCTTAAAAGACTGATATAAACTAGTCATTTTGGAGTACAGGAAAGCAAGCTTACTAGGATTGCCAGATAGTATGGACTGCCTAGTTAAGACTATGGACATGCATTAAAGTTGGGTTAGGAAGCATGCCATAGTGTTTTTAACTATCTTTCTTTAGGTGAGCAGGTATACACAGAAGAGGCTAATAATTATAAACTTTAGAACTAAAGCCTAGTAAGGAAGTTAGGACATGGAAAGGAAGGATAATGAAAAATTAGTAGGATCAATAGATCAAAAAATGGTTGGAGTGGGGGTATGAGAGGAAGTGTGCTGAAGAGTTAGGTGGTAGTGGTTGAAAATGGAATGTTCAGAACTGAGATTTTGAAGATGTACTTATTGATGATGACAAAGTCAAGAGATATCTAGCTGAAGAGGGGGTAAAGAGGAAAAATGTTATTTGGAGTGAGGAGGTCAAGTATCTGAGATGCCAGGAGACTGGATAAATTATCTTTGTAGATGTTATCACTAAGAACTGGACATAAAGAGGAGTGGGGAGAAAGAAGGTTAGCTAGCAGTTAAAGTCCTCAGTAAGTAAGAGTGACTTGGAAGTAGGCTGACAACAGGAACAATGAGTTGCTCCTTGTAGAGAGTGGTATAGTCTGATGGCACTAAAACCAGTCTGTGGGAAATTCTTCCAATCATGAGACATGTAAAATAAGCAGAGAATTAGGTTTTCATTGGCATTTGATATACTTTCCTATCAGGAATAGATATTCTTTCCTATCTGGAATATATGATATAATGCTGAGTATAAAATTATGAATGGCCTATACATTATTTTCCTTTTTGAAGTAGATTTTTTTTGATGTACAATTTATAAGAGTTCTTGTGTTTGTGATGCATAAACCTATATACTTGTACTACAAATAGTGGATATATCTGCATGTAAAGACATGTACTTTATGCATCAATAAGTAATAAAATCAATAATAAAATGCATACAAAATGGCATAGAAATATGTCAGAGAGTAAATGAATAGGGTTTTTTCCTGGATTTTTGTGATATTTATGGCATTTTTCAATTTGTTAAAATTTGTAATTTAAAAAAATTTCTCACTTATTCTAAATATTTATTTTCTTACGGATTATTTTTCTTATAGAAAGTCCACCAAATTATGTAAGCTTCAGGCACCATAAAATCTAGGTCTTCCCTGGATAGGCCAAAAATCTGGTCTAAGATTACCTACAGGCAATTGAAAACAGAATATTCACTAGCTATATGAAAAATAGTTTTACTATATGGTTAAAAAAAGTTCCAAAAGAGAACCACATCTATTCTTAATATGGATGTCAGAAATGTTTTCTAGGTTTTTGATAATAGGAATATATGTAATATAATGGGCCACACCTTCAAAAAAAGCCTACAGAAAATAAAACAAATTTTTAGAGCTCTTTCTTATAGTGTCAATCAATATGGGCTTATGATGTAAATCACTGAGGACAGAAATAAGATGTAGACGTCTCTGCTGATCTGGACTTATGGAGTAGATTGCAAAGTATCTAGAAATCTGCAAAACAGATGAATTGGACTTCCTATTAAATATAACAGGCTGAACACACGTGTTTATCTTTACTTCCTCAAGTAACTTCACTAAAACCAAAGTAAAATGATAAACCAGTAACAACAAAGAGGATGAACAGTAAGAACAAAATTTTGGAAGATGAAAGATAGAAAGCAGACAGGCTTTAGCAGAGCAGAGTAAGGTAAATTCTAACAACCTGCAAGAGACAAAGCCAATAAGAAGTAATCTTTTTTTGTCCTGCAGATCCCTGAAGAAAGGTTCAGAATTGGAGGCAGCAGCATATACCTCTGAAACAGAGTGAAGGATGGGGATGAAAACAGAAGGATTAGTTGAAAATCTACACAAGGAACAGTTAGATTCTCAAATCCCTTCTGCAGGGCTCAGTAGCAAGGAGACTATCTCTCCTGATCCTGGCAGAGGACTGGAAGTTTTCACATTGTACAGATGTTGAATTACAAACGCACTGAAATTGGGTACGTCAGATATACTAAGTATAGGGATTAAGTGAAAACCTGCGTATTGAGTAATGAGACTCCTCCAGTCTTCTTTCCCTACTTGGCACCTGAAAAAATTGGCAACTGACAACACAAGCAGAAATAGTTTTACTCAAGGAAAATTATTGGGCCAAAAGAGAAGCTCCATAGATGCTGAATTTGACACATGCCTCCAGAAAATGTCTGCGGCCAAACACCGGCTCCCTAAATGAGGCCCATCAGTCCAACAAGGTCTTCCTTTTCACATAAGAGCTTTCAATCAGCTTTGCAGTGCTTCAGTCTTAAATATGAATAAACTGATGAGGAAGTGCTCTAACATGAAAGATGAAGATTAAAACAAACAAAAAATGTAGGCAATTTGCTTAGAGGACAAAATGCTCAATATGTATCATAAGACCAAGATGCTACAGAAAAAAATATTTAGAGAACAAGAAAGAGATATTAGAAATAGTGTCCGAAACAGAAAATTCTATAGAAGAACTGGCATACAAAGTGAAGGAAATTTCACTAAAAGTAGAATAACATGCCAAGGAAATGAAAAATAAAAGAGAAAAGAGAAAAAATTTGTTAGAGAACTTCTAGCATTCCAACACCTACTTAACAGGAATTCCAGAAGGCAGGAACAGAGAAAGTAGAAGGAAAGTCTTATAAAAGAAAGAGAATAGGCCAGGCACGGTGGCTCACGCCTCTAATCCCAGCATTTTGGGAGGCTGAGGCAGGTGGATCATGAGGTCAGGAGTTCAAGACCAACCTGACCAACATGGTGAAGCCCCGTCTCTACTAAAAATACAAAAATTAACCAGGCGTGTGTGCCTGTAATCCCAGCTACTCAGGAGGCTGAGGCAGGAGAATCGCTTGAACCCGAAAGGTGAAGGTTGCTGTGAGCCTAGATCAGGCCACTGCACTCTGACCTGGGCGACAGAGCGAGACTCCATGTCAAAGAAAAAGAAAGAGGATAAGAAAATTTCCTAACTGGAAGGCAGATAGCTGATTAAAAGGGTCCACTGACTGCATAACATAATAATGATAAAAGACCAAATCAGAGCATATCTTCAAGATATTTCAGAGGATCTAAGTAAGAAGATCCAAAAATTTTGAGACAGAAAATACAATGCAATCAGAATGCCACTGGTCTTCTAAACAGCAACTCTGGAAACTAGATGATAATAAAGCAATGCCTTCAAAATTATGAAGGAAAATGCTTTCTAACCTAGAGTTCTATGCTCCACCAAACTATTAATCAAGTATGAAGATAAATTTAAAACATTTTCCAATATGCAAGGTCTCTAAGAATGAGTTATACTATCTTCAGAATATACTGAGGATATACTCTGCTAAAATGAAGGGGAGAAACAAAAAGAGAAAAGTATGCAATTCAGGAAACAAGAAGTCTACAGAGAAAATGATTCTCAAGGTGTTAGAGGAGCATAATCCCAGGATGACCACAAGCAACGAGCCTTAAAATCAGTCCAGATTAGGCCAGGTGCGGTGGCTCACACCTGTAATCCCAGCACTTTGGGAGGCCAAAGCAGGCTGGTTGCCTGAGCTCAGAAGTTCGAGACCAGTCTGGGCAACATGGTGAAACCCCCGTCTCTACTAAAATACAAAAAATTAGCTGGGCGTGGTGGCATGTGCCTGTATTCCCAGCTACTCTGGAGGCTGATGCAGGAGAATTGCTTGAACCCAGGAGGCGGAGGTTGCAGTGAGCCAAGACTGCGCCACTGCACTACAGCCTCACCAACAGAGCGAGACTCCGTCTCCAAACAAACAAACAAAATCAATCCATATTAAAGCAGGGGATGGAGGGCTCCAGAACAGATGTTTCCAAAAAGAGAATAGAACTGATAGCTTACCCAATGTGATTAACGTCATTGAGAGGAGGAAAATTTGAGTATATACTTGTGACTGGTATATAAAAAAATAAGCCGATGATTAAAGAAAAAAAAAGAGGCAAGTTTTAACTGCAGAAAAATGGTAAAGACAAAAGGTATAGTTGTGCAACAAGGAAAAACAGTTGTAAAAAAAAAGAAATGCAATCATATACACCACATGACTCAGCTATGAACAGTATTTGTATAGTCATAATACTACGGGCGTGTAGGAGTATGAAAAGTATATGTGTGGCCGGGCATGGTGGCTCATGCCTGTAATCCCAGAACTTTGGGAGGCCGAGGCGGGTGGATCACGAGGTCAGGAGATCGAGATCATCCTGGCTAACACAGTGAAACCCCGTCTCTACTAAAAATGCAAAAAAAAAAAAAAAAAAAAAAAAAAATTAGCCGGGCGTGGTGGCAGCCACCTGTAGTCCCAGCTACTCAGGAGGCTGAGGCAGGAGAATGGCGTGAACCCGGGAGGCGGAGCTTGCAGTGAGCCGAGATCGCGCCACTGCACTCCAGCCTGGGAGACAGAGCGAGACTCCATCTCAAAAAAAAAGAAAAAAAAAAGAAAAAGAAAAGAAAAGTATATGTGTTATTAGTGTATTAGAGCTAAATCCTCTTCTATATCTAAAAATGGAAAAATCAAGATGTACAATAGCAGATATGCACATAAAAAATAAATATGAAGATCTCTATTAATGGAAACAGTTAAAAAGTTCAAAGTTTTGGGTAGGGTTTTCAGAATGGATAAGGTAGAGAGGGGATTGCTGTTTTTTGTTATAATCCTTGTAGAACTAAAGTATGTAATTTTTTTATCCTATGCACATATAATATTTTGATGTTAGAGGATGAATTGCATATGTTCCAGAAATACCTGCATTGAAGGCAAAATGGCTACTTCCCAATACACTAGCTATCCATACATATAATAATACACTTCCTCAAAATCATTAAGACTAACATCTAGGTTTCACTCTGACATATTTAAATGAATCTGTTTTTGTCAGCATTATCATCATATTTCATTTTATTATTAAGGGCAAGTGAGTCGCTAAAAATTGGTTATTTTAGGCTAACTCAGAGGTGCTCAACCGGGGAAGAATTTTATCCCAGGGACCATGTGGCAATGTCACAATACAGGTGGGGGTTTCTTATTGGTATCTAATAGGTAGAAGCCAACGATGCTGCTAAACAACCTACAATGGGCAGGACAGCAAAGAATTATCCAGCCCCAAATGTAACAGTGCTGAGGTTGAGAAACCAAGCTCCAAGTCTTTGAGGATTATTTCATCAGAACGCTATACATAAAGATTGATGATATGCAAACATCTTGCAATTTAGGACTGACTCAGCTAAATACCTCGGTGCAATGTTGGAAGCAGTCTGGCTGTGAAATATATCTTCGGGAATATTGAGAATGGTAAAGACAAAAGGTATAATAAATGATAATAATAACAAAACACAGAGCTTTGTACCTCAATAATCTCTTTCATCCATGGTTCCTAGGGCACTTTATAGACTAATAATACCTACTCTGGTACTCACATACCACCTTTTATCTAAGGACTGCAGGCACTTTCACAACACTCTCACGATGCAGGAAGTATTATTATCCCCATTTTATATGTAAGTAAACAGAGGCACAAAAGTTAAGCAACTTGCCCAAAGCCACACAAGTCAGTAGCAGCCAAAATTCCTGACTCAGAACCTATTAACACTAAGAGAACTGGTCTAAGCCATGCAGTGATAAATTTATGTGGGGTGTTATCCTAGTTCATTCAAAGTCTATCGTTTTTAGGCTGATATTGTATATTCAATACCCCATCTGTTATAATTTCCTCTTCTCCCATACACTTCTTAGAGACCAAGGACTTTAAGCCCCTAGAAGGGACTATGTTTACTGAGTGCCTTCCTCGAATCAAGCACATTTTATGTGCAGTGTCAGTTCTTAAGACAGCTTAAATATAATGTAATTGGGAGGCTGAGAGCAGGAGAATTGCTTGAACTCAGGAGGCGGAGGTTGCAGTGAGCTGAGATCCCGCCACTGCACTCCAGCCTGGCGACAGAGCGAGACTCCGCCTCAAAAAAAAAAAAAATGTAATTTTTGCTGATTTTATAGTACAGAAAGCTGAGTACCAGATAATGTAAACATGCCCAAGATCTCTCAGCTAGCTGACTATACCCTCTTTCCACTATATCCTGCAGCCCTTCCAGGAGAAAAGTCCTCTGATAAGTTACAAAGCATATGAATGTGAATACGTTTAATGTCCCAGCCTCCCTTACTCTCCTTAAAACTCAGAAAACAAACTAATGAATATGTAATTGAGAAACTTCAGGTGGCACACTGGGGTTGGTACTAGCTTAGGTAAACAGCCGCTCAGCCTTTTAGACCTATTCCCAACAAAAGCTTTTAATTTTCTAAGGATTTTTCCAGAGCTCTCGCCATACGTTTCCCACAACAGCCAGACCAAAGACCAAAACTGTCTTTCCCTGAGAAATATAGAGCATGTGAATCACTTTCTTCTGTTCCCAGTTCTGTGGCAGGCAAACACTGATTGCTCACTCATCATGTGCTACCTGGGCAAAACAGGAATATTAAGTAGGAAGAAAGGTTTATGTTAGGTAAGAGCGTGACTTAGGGCTCTCCTACTTTTTTACAAAATGGAGACCTGGCATTTGTAGCCTCCCACAATGATGTGCCCTGACATTACTTGGATATAGAAAGGTCAGTCTTAGGTGCGTCAGTGACAGCCCACCCCGCTCTGATCCAGAAATTTCAGATGACTTGCATCAGAGGATAAGCCTCTGGCATGTTAATAATGAAAAAATAGAGACAATCACTGCCCCAGCTCATCTCAAATTAGCATCAGTGCAGCGTTAGTACTTTGGTAGGGAGCTTTGCTGCTAAATTCATTCTCTGTAAAGAGGAGAGGCAGAGACAGGGTTAAGGGGAAAACTCCAAGACTGGAATCGCCAATACAATAAACTGTCGAACTGAGTTTTTTCTCCCGCAACCCTAAGATACTAGTAAGTCCTTCCTCTTAGCCAACCCTTTTCACCAGGGCACCGCAGTTTTCTTAGAAGGAGGGTGCTGGGTTTGTCTCAGGTCTTTCTATTCTCCTGCCCGCTGCCCTAGTACATCTGAAAAGGGAGCAGCGACTAGGAAAAGAGACACGTGGGTATTTTCCCATCCTGTCTAGTCATTCCCTGAATCATCACAAGTTATCGCACTTTTCCCCTTAGCCAGCAGCGTTCGAGACTTTCTCTCAAATAATACGGTCTTGTACTTAAAAGGAAGAGTGGTGGGAGAAGAGAGAGGCGGAGAAGACAAGCAAGAAGGGCGTGGAGTGCCGTTCCCGCCCCGGAGTCGGAGGCGCCGGGAGGCCGGACGCCGCGAAGCTGCTAGCCCAGGAATGTGCCGTCTAACTCGCAGGCCGCGGGCGGAGCGCGGCGGGCGCGCTGTGGTCTGCGGCGGGAGCGGGGCAGAGGACGGCTGGCGCAGGGCAGGCTGCAGCGGCGGGCCGGACGCGACGCCGCGCACCTGAGCGCCGGGGGCGGGGCGTCAGCGGCCACGACCCTTCCCACCGCGCGCCGCGCCCCTCGCGCGCCGCCTCGGCCTTTTCCGCTCGTGCTTCGGCGCCGCTCGGCTCCCTTCCCGCCCCTGGCTCCCTCCCTCCCTCCCTCCCTCCTTCTTCTCCCTCCCTCCTGTCCTGGGATTGCCTGGAGCTCCGCACCGCGAGTTTGCCGCGGCACTTTCCGCGCGGCGGAAGAGCGCGCGCCAGCTTCGGCACACCTGGGAGCCGGATCCCAGCCCTACGCCTCGTCCCCTACAAGCTCCTCCAAGGTAAGGCGCTCGCTCACACCCGGTCCTTTCCACGCTCGGCGGGACAGCTGGGTCCCCGCCTCCTCTGCGAACCGGCTAGGAGCTCCGCGCCTCGCCTTGGGAGTGGGGTTGTAGCTGACGGGGACCTCGGACCGGCGGTGGCTAGAGCGCGGAGCAGGCGATACGACGAGCCGACAGGTGGCGGGTCTAGCCCTAGTATCTCGACCGCCGCCGGCGCGGACCTTGGTGGGGATGGGGCGGGCGGGCCGACTTGGGGGTGGGGTCAGTCCTCTCTCCTCCCTTCTAGGGGCGGCGATCGTCGGGGTCCGTACTGTAGGTGCGTGGGAGAAACTTTGCAGGGTGGGGACCCGGCGGCTGCTGGCCGGTAGTGACTGGTGGGCGCGCTCGAGGACTCCAAGGGGCGCAGCCCGGGGGCAGACCCTTGGGTCGGGCGGGGATCTTACGCTTCCCTTACCCGCCCCCTTTTGTCTTTCACCTCAGCCCCGCCGGCTGCTGTGGGAGCGGCGGCCGTCCCTCTCCTGGAGGTCGTCTCCTGGCATCCTCGGGGCCGCAGGAAGGAAGAGGAGGCAGCGGCCGGAGCCCTGGTGGGCGGCCTGAGGTGAGAGCCCGACCGGCCCCTTTGGGAATATGGCGACCGGTGGCTACCGGACCAGCAGCGGCCTCGGCGGCAGCACCACAGACTTCCTGGAGGAGTGGAAGGCGAAACGCGAGAAGATGCGCGCCAAGCAGAACCCCCCGGGCCCGGCCCCCCCGGGAGGGGGCAGCAGCGACGCCGCTGGGAAGCCCCCCGCGGGGGCTCTGGGCACCCCGGCGGCCGCCGCTGCCAACGAGCTCAACAACAACCTCCCGGGCGGCGCGCCGGCCGCACCTGCCGTCCCCGGTCCCGGGGGCGTGAACTGCGCGGTCGGCTCCGCCATGCTGACGCGGGCGGCCCCCGGCCCGCGGCGGTCGGAGGACGAGCCCCCAGCCGCCTCTGCCTCGGCTGCACCGCCGCCCCAGCGTGACGAGGAGGAGCCGGACGGCGTCCCAGAGAAGGGCAAGAGCTCGGGCCCCAGTGCCAGGAAAGGCAAGGGGCAGATCGAGAAGAGGAAGCTGCGGGAGAAGCGGCGCTCCACCGGCGTGGTCAACATCCCTGCCGCAGAGGTGAGCCGGGCGGGGGCCGCAGCCGGACCGGGCCGGGGCGGGCAGCTGCCTCCCGGTGTCTTCCTCCTGGGAGCTACCCGGGGCGCAGAGTTTACCTCCCCTGGCTCGTACTTGTCCCTTCACCGAGTTAGGCAGGCAGGGGGTGATGGAGTTTTACTCTGAACAAATGCTTCCTGGGAAGTTCCCCAAACTCAGAGTAGGACACGTGCTTTTCAGGCTTCCTGGCCAGGTCTCAGATCCAGGATCCTTTTTTACCGTGGTAGAAAGACAACTTATGGCTCCAGGACTTGCCCACCTGGACTTGGCTGACTTGGCCACCTGGACTTGGCTGTTTATGCTTGATCAGTTAGAAAAATTGATTAATGGTGACGACATTCTCTAGGGTCTCACGTGCCCATGTGAAGTTACCAGTTTATTTCTCCTTTCTTACCAATGTTTAATAACATCTGTAAAGAAAATGTTGCCTTAGCAATATCCAAGACAGCTTTATCTTACAGTGAGCTCAAGATGAGTATATCCAAATGAATACGTGCACTATTTTATATATAAATCAGCTGTTTATAAGTTGTGCTCCTAAACACACAGTGTTTTTCTGAGTGATACTTAGGACAATAGGGATGATTTAGTAACCCACAATTCTGTTCGCTAAGACGATCTCTTTTTGAGTACTGTGTCTGAAAAACATGTGGTAGGGTTTTTGTTTGTTTTGGGTTGTTTGCAGTTTGGAGCATTTTCGAAACGTTACAGGTAGCAGCATCTTCCATTAGAGTGACTGGTAAAACATTTTTACTAAGTGTATAATCACACCTCCCTCTACCAGAAACAAGACAAAACAATCTCAAACAAGTTTTGATTACTTTGATAGTAGCTCATGGATTTGAGGAAGTGGTTCAACTACCTTGTTTCACCTAAAATAGTTGCATCTTTTTCTCATTGACTGTTTAGCTTTCACTTTTTCTTCTCCTGGCTTTCTAATTTTACTCAACTTTAATTGTGGTTTAAGTAGAAGCATTTGCAATAAGTTAGGGTGTATATTAAATATACCTAAATTTTTAGTATTATGATTTCCATACCTGTTAAATCATAGTGTGTCTTTGTAGGACGTATTTATATGAGCGTTTCAGAGATTTTTATCAGCCAGCAAAACTGTCCTCTGCGGTTTGCTACTTGCACAAAAGATCTGTTATTCATTAAATTGCTTTAGAAGGAATTCGTAAGAGTGGTAATCAAATTTCTAGGTGTTTTTTTTTTTTTTTTTTTTAGTTAAAAATATGAAGATTAAGGGGAAATTGAAGACAAGGCTTTGGAAAAGCTACATTCCTCAACTTGATTTTTAAAAGTAGCTGATGATCCAAATAAAAGAATTTGTCATTTTCAATCTTTTCCTCATTGTTCATCTGACAGCGGTCTTATTTTGGGAAATATCTTGGCAGATGTTAAACTTCACTTTTTTTCTGGCTGCATGTGCTAAAATTATTTTTCAAGTACTTTTTTTTTTTTTAAACAAGGGTAATGTTTACTGGGGGAAGTAAGTAGAGTGTATCTTGTGAGATCCTAAGAAACATCTTTTGTTAATACCCCTGCTTTGAGTAAGAGAACATAGTGCTGAGAATGTAGATGACTTCCCACTACAATGGAGTCTAATACTCTGGAATGTTTTTCGTTTGGGTGTTGGCAACTCCTAAATTTAATCTTCCCTGAAAACAAACAAACCAAGGGTACCTTTTTTTTTGTCTGTAGAGTTTGAACCTTTTTATTGAATAGGGAATTGAGGACTGCTTTCTTTTAGTGGTAACTATGTCTCTGTCCGTTTCAAGCTGCAGGACCCAACAAAACAGTAATGCTTCACTACAGTATCTAATTAACAGACATACTTCTTGAGCGCCTCCTCCTCATATTTTCTTATTTTTCAAAACAACTTATGTATTTCAGATTATTTTAATAGTGGTAAAATATATGATGCAAAACTTTAAAGCTGAGCCATTTTCATGTGTTTATATTGTTGCTTTTTTAGAATTGTGCCATTTCTCCTGGTAGTTTCAACATTGAGAATACCAGTTGCTGTGGAGTTTCTTGTGTAATATTTAATTTAGCACCCCTGTTTTAAAAAGTCATACATATTTTGCAAATTTTTCGGGTATGAAAATAAGTAAAAAGATGAAAATGACCAATCTCTTTATATTCAAAAGTAGACTTTATTTTATCTAATGTCGAGTAAGACTCTTATTTTCAGACATGATTCCCAACCAAGTCTGTATTAGTAGATTAACATGTAGTTCATATGTAGAGATCTGGTTTTAATGGTGGATAAACATTAAGTTCCTTCAAGGAAGTACTTATGAAACATCTGTGTGATACATTTATTGTGACTTTCATTACCTCACTTTACTAGTTATAGAGTGTATATATAATACTGTTATAAAGGTATCTGACAGCAGCTAAAGATACCAGAATTGACTAGAAGATAGTTATAGGCAAGGAACCAGGTCAAAAACCGAAACTAGCTATTTGGGAGGTAGGAAACTGGGTGGTTACTGCATGTGATGGCTGAAGTCGATCTATCCAGAGCTTCTTTAATGAGATAAAATTTACTAAGAGTTTTAAGAAAAATATCCTTTTTTCTAAATTTTTACATTTTCTATTTTTTGGTAGTAATTCACCTGAACTGGGTAATTTGGACGTGGCATACTTCTTGCCAGTAATTTTTGTGTGTGTTTATCAGATCAGTCAAATGTGTATTACATACCTGTTAAAGACACTATCCTTAAGCAGTGGAGAAAATAAGAACACGGCAGTGTATATTCTCAAGGAGCAAGGCTATAATCTAGGAAGAAGGATAAGGCATAATTACATGAAAAAATTTAAGTACTGAGTTAACAGTTTAAAAGCCATCTTAATGAAGCATGTAACTATTTATTGGAAATAGTGTGTGTTTAAAAGGGGGAGATGATTGGGCTGGGAGAAGCTATTGAGGATGAGAATCTTGACCTGAGTCTTAAACTTTTCAGTACTTGTATATTTTTACATATGTTCTCACATATGTACATGTATACATAATTGTTTGTATAGTATATTAAGTACCGACATGCAGTGGTTCTTAACTTGAGCAGCACATTGATAGCATGTTAGGATCTTTAAAAAAATGTTTGCTCATGCTAATTCAATTCCGTGCCCTCTTTGTCCCTTCACCCCACCCTGTAATATTGAATGGGTCTGGGATGGATCCCAGGCATTAATATTTTTATAAGTTCCCCATTTGATTCAAATGTGAGTCAGTGATAACAACTGTTGGACTGCAGTCTGGGTATAGAAATGAATAGGACATAAGCCTTGCCCACGAGGTGCTCTCAGGTAATATAAGGAAATGTGAAAAGTAGAGTAGTAAGTATAGCTTAGTGCCTGAGCAGGGTACCTAACCCAGGGAGGAGGAGTGATAGTTGAAGAAAGCTTCCTAGACAGTTACATACTTGTTTCCAGGGGGTTTGTGAAGTTACTGCCATTGAGTAGGGTTGTGTGAATGGGTTAATGGAGATGGGTGCCATAGAAAATGTAATCTTTGAATAGGTAGAGGTGGCACTGAAGTTTTGGTTTAAGTATAAAAGTTAACATATACAGTATTTAAAACTTCTGTTTTAAAATAGTGGTTGGCTAAAGTGGTTTAGCTTTAGTGGTTGGCTAAAGTGCTTTATGTACTGAAGTTCACAGCAATCTCATGTGGTAGTTACACTGTTTATCACTATTTCCAGAGGAGAAAATGAAGACTTAGAGCTTAAATGATTCAAGATCACATAGAAAGTAACTGATAGAGCAATATTTTAAACATTTTTGTGTATTTTGTGTGTATGTATATATCTAGGGAAAGGGGAGTTTTTAAAAATTAACCTACTTTTCATTATTCAGCATATTTCCCTAGATTTTTACATAACTTTTTATTAAAGATTATCTTAAGTAATTTAAACATCTGAATGAGGAAAACAGTAAAGGTATGGAATTGAATAGAATTTCAGGTCAAATTTGTGGACTCAGAGATTGCCTCTGACCCTCTAACCTATAGAGTGGCAAAATTTTGAACACCAGGCTCTCGGCAAAACGTAAATTTATTTTTGGCTAGTGGTCAGAAAATGTGAATCTTTGATTTTACCTAAGTGATATATTGTTTTTCTATCAAGATGGGGTCATGACACCTACTCCATAGTTTGAACTCGTGTTGGTGAAAGGGAAGATAAAGGAGCATTTAACATATAGAAAGCACTTTTAAGTGAACACAGGTTAGGTCATAATTATTTAGTATGTTTATTGAACATTATATATAGGACAAGTTCCACTTAGTAAACTTTATAAATCCAGGTGGATTAAGAAATGCCTTTTGTTATTCCCATTATGCTCCAGACTGTCTACCTTTCTGTGTGATGAGTCAGGAGAGAAACTAATAATGACTCAGAGTTGGAGAAAATTTGATTCGTGAATGGGGTAGATATAGTGTAAACACTGAGACTGTTTAGTGTAAAACCTGGGCTATTAGCCCAGCTTTCCTAAATGTTTGAGCTCACTGGTAAAGTAAATTGAAATTTTAATATTATCAGGATTTGTACTGAGTTGTCTGAGCTGGGATGTCATTTCTCATAAAAATAATAATTACATAATTAAAGTAGATGACATTTATGGTGTGCTTATTAAGTGCCAGGCACTGTTCTAAGCACTTGACATACATTAGTGCATTTAATTCTCACCACAGCCCTATGGGAAAATGGGGAAGAGAAGGTATGTTACTTGCTTCAGGTCATACATGTAGTGAGAAGTAGATTAGAGATAGTTTGCACTCACAGTCTTGTGCGTAATAAACCATCTTACTACACTTCAGTGTATTACATACTGTATACCTAGTTTAAGAAATACAAAGAATATTTTAGTGTTAAATTGTTAGTATATGACTATGGAATTTAAAAATAGCCCTATTTATAGAACATAGATGAAGTGAGACTTTAATGGAAAATTTTGAGAACAAATGAATATATAAACACTGGCATTAAAATTCTTATTTAAAATCATTATCAAGCTAGTGGCCTGTTTATACTATTTTCTTTGTTTTTTTCTTTCTTTCTTTTTTTTTTGAGGTGGAGTCTTGCTCTGTTGCCCAGGCTGGAGTACAGTGGCATGTGGTGTGATCTCAGCTCACTGCAGCCTCCACCTCCCGGGTTCAAGCAATTCTCCTGCGTCAGTCTCCCAAGTAGCTGGGACTGCAGGTGTGCACCACCATGCCTGGCTAATTTTTGTATTTTTAGTAGAGATGGTGTTTCGCCATGTTGGCCAGGCTGCTCTCAAACTTCCAGCCTCAAGTGATCTACCCGCCTCAGCCTCCCAAAGTGCTTGGATTACAGGTGGGAGCTACCGTACCAAGCCTATCTATGCTATTTATTATTTCTGCATTTTTTTTTTAGCACCTATGATGTGTGCCAGAAAATAATTATGCCATTTAATAGCAAGGTTGATATAATGTTTTATAAGTATAAAATTATTGGCAAATATTAGGGTTTGACATTTTCTCTGTGCTTTTTTTCCTTTTTTAAAAATTGAGATATAATTCACATACAATAAAATTTACCCTTTTAAAGTGTACAGTTCAGTGGTTTTTTAGTATTCACACGGTGTGCTCTTAAGTGCTTTTATATTTTCATCTTTATTTTTCATTATGTTCTTAGAACCTCTGGTCCCTAAATTTTAGCTTTCCTTTCAGTAAAGTGATATGGTATTCAAATTATGAGAAGCCATTAACTTAAAATAATTTAATATCAGCCTTTCCCACTTTACAGAGAAAATGAAATTATGGTAGGATCTCCTCAATTTTAAGTTTCTTAAAACTTGGGCACCTACTACCATTTGTTTGCAGTGGAGTTTAGTATAATAGGTATTTATTAGGTTTGTGCAAAAGTAATCACAGTTTTTGCCATTGAAAGTAATGGCACCAGCCTAATAGTTGGATTACTTTTGCAAAAACCTAACAATTTAACTGAGTGTAATACTTTCACCTTAATAAAACTTTTACATATCTTTCATGGAGATCTGCAAAGCTCTGTCATCTAAACATTTGGGAACATTGATTCAGAGTTAAAAAAAAAAAAAAAAGGAGTTTCCACTGCTTACCACTTTAGTTACAGTACTAGAATCAGTGTCCTAAAAGATGTTTCTGGGGGGACCATCTCTACCAGTATCACTTTTGCCATTTATTTAAAATCAGATTTCTGGAATCCACCCCAGTCTGGGTTAGGGATGTTATCTGAGAGTCTGCATTTTAACTTGAGTGATTTTGGTACACACTAAAGTTTGGGAAGAACTAACTTAAATACCCTGTACTAGTTTACTGATCCGTCAAATGAAATGAATGCTGGTTATCTAACAGGATTGTTACATGAATTAAATAAAATGATGTTTGTGAAAATGTTATAAAAATGCCCAAATCAGAAATTGTAGTTACTGTATAGGTTAATTTCCTATGAGGTTGTTAAACATTTTCATTTTTTTCTTCCAATTTAAAACTGTGCATATTTTAACAGACAGGTTGAGCTACTTGGAAATTCAAAGTACTTTAAACATTTATGTAATGTCACATACTTAGTGCAAAATGCTCTGTCTGCTTTGCCTCTTTTCCAGAATTTAGACAAGTCTAGACTACAGAAACACCTCAAATAGTTAATGCGTAATTAGAACTTTACTTTCACTCATTTTTAATTTTTACATATCTTTAAGTGAAAGCATATACTTGTGTTTATAAATGTATTTGATAATTAGCAACTCAAACTTTTAAAGCATTGTGTTTGCCATCTTATCAAACTACTATCAAGTGCAAACATTTTTCCCATTGATTACAAATCTTACATGTTAGACCTATAGGCATCCTTGACTGGCAATTGATTTTGAACATATTTGGTTAACTGCTGAGTCAACTTTCTGTTTAGATCTTAGGCAAATGTGTTATAGCCATATACCTACATGTATAGAATTGAGCCTCAGCCACCTGTTACATTCTCCTTAGGCTATGTAAAAATACACAGGGCACCATGGCTGAACGACATTGTAGGAATATTTAAATTCTAAAAGCAGCAAAATCACACACTTCAAAGGTAAAAAGAGCTCCAGCAAGTTCAAATCTTAGCATGTCAGTTGACTAGTAAAATGTTTATTCTGTGATAGTTTTTGGAGATTTTGTCCAGCAAAATTTTGTGGGTCACAGTGTATTTTTCAATGATAGTCTCATTTATTTTAAGTAGTTGAAGAAATAGGGCAGTTGTATTCTGAAAATTAATATTTTGTTAGGTTTTGCTGAAGTGAACAGATAGGAGAGAATTTATATTGTGGATTACAATTCTGTGGCAGCTGAAACTTTGTTTTCAGGCTCTTCATAATAAATTCTGTGGGGCCAGGTGCCATAGCTCACACCTCTAATGCTACCACTTTGAGAAGCTAAGGTGGGAGAATCAATTGAGCCCAGGAGGTCGAGCCTGCAGTGAGCCGTGACTGCTCAACTGCACTACAGCCTGGGTGACAAAGTGAGACCCTGGCTCAGAAAAACTCAAACAAAACAAAACTCTAGGGGGACTAAGAGAATAGGATAAATAAACATAATAATATACAGTTTGAAATACAGAACTGAAACAGATGAAATTAACTTAAAAAGACATCTTTCAGACTAAGCTTATCTATGGTCATGTAAGCAAACTACTTAATATTTTAGAATTTGCAGGTTACATAAAGTATCAATTGATTTTCTATTATTTTGGAGTTTTTTCCAGAATATTTTTAGTAGTATTTAAAAAGAATGTAAATCTCAGAACAGAGTTAACATTCAGAAGATGGTGCTTGAGGAATAGGAATAAAAAGTACGATTGTATTAGCTGAAATAATCAAAGAAGTTACTTTTAGGTTTCAAATTCTTGAAAGACTTCTCCATATCCTATAATGTAAGCAAAAGTTGATGCAAATCAAATTTATGTAATCCTAATTTTTTTCTGCTAGTAGAAGTAATGTGTTAAAAAAAAGGCAGTGTGTTCACTGTAGTTCTCTCATGGAAATAAATCCAAGGAAAGGTAGAAAAACCTGTTATCTTATACATATTAATATTTGTGTTTCTATTCTTATTTTTTTGAATCTACTTGAGAAATGGAACCACACTATTGATTTGTGTGTATACTTAACCACTCATCATGAGTATTTTTATGATGTTATTCTATAACTTCAAAAATAGGGGTGGATGTGTATGTATCTTTTGTTGTATGTTTTTTAGAGACAGGGATCTTGCTTGTTCCCCAGGCTGCAGTACTATGGTGTGATGACTCAGCCTCAAACTCCTGGGCTCAAGTGATCCTCTTGCCTCAGCCTACCAAGCAGCTGAGAGTACAGGCATGAGCCACCATGTCCAGTTGGATGCATGTGTTTTGTGCTGTTTGATATTAAAATACTTAACCATTACTTCATTGGGAAAGGACCTTACTGCTTATCTGCCTTATTATGTGGCTTTTTGATTAGCCCATAAATAGTCTTAGATAAATAGCCCTTTCCTTTCCTTTCCTCCCCTCCCCTCCCCTCCCCACCCCTCCCCTCCCCTCCCTTCTTCTCCTTTTTTCTGAGACAGGATCTCTGTCACCCAGGCTCAGTGCAGTGGCACGATCATGGCTCACTGCAGACTCAACCTCCTGAGTTCAAGAGATCCTCCCACGTGAGCCTCCTGAGTAGCTGGGACTGCAGGCTTGCACCACCACATTGGGCTAATTTTTTAATTTGTTTGTAGAGATGGGGTCTCAGTATGTTGCTGGTCTTGAACTCCTACACGCAAATGCTTCTCTCACCTTGGCCTCTCAAAGTGTTGTTGGGATTACAGGTGTGAGCCACTCCACCTGGTCTATTTTTTTCTTTTCATATATTGTGTTTCCTGAAACATTGCTCAGGAAAAGTGTTTGTGCCATTGAAAGAGTCTCATAGGTTCAGATAATTGTGAAGGATGACCAGAGGTTTTTTCTTTTTTTAAACCTCTATAACCTTTGATTTCACTGGGAAGTTGGTGGTTGGAGCTGGAGTAATTATAAATGTATGTATGCTGTAGCTGAAATAAGTTCCTGAAACTCATCATGGTATGCAAAATTGTGCAGTAAAAACTGTAGGGCATATGTGAAAATGGAGTTTGGGGCATAACACTCAAAAACTTTGTCAATGGCATTTAAAAAGATAGAAACCTAATAAAAACTAGCAGTTTCACACATGTTAAATGCTTAATAAGTACATAAATACTACAACAAATATGACACTTTACTTTGAAAAATACCTAAACTTTTTGAAAAGTGTTAGAAGGATCCCAGCTTGTGAATTACTGTAAAATGGTAGGAGGAAGGTTATCTGAAATTGGAGTGAGAGTGTTACACCAGATGTGGATGGGTGTAGCTCATAACGTATGCAGTGAACTGACGTAACTGGCAGATGTTTGAGGTGTGTATGCATATATTTCTACGTGACTGGGTTGCAGTTATCTGTGCCTGCTGAGCATTTCTTGCATTTGAACATAAGCAAACACAAAATTAGTGTTATTCTCAACTTGTTCCCTAACATGTGTTCATATCAGTGGCATTGGGACAAATCCATGTTTTTCTAAACAAATGTTATAGTGCGTATATGTCTACCCATGCATAGATATCTGTATCCCCATCAATCTGTCTAAAATATGTAAAACGTTGTAAAAACATAGAAAACAATGGCTTGGGAAGATCAATCCAAGTAATGACATAGAGGAAAGGTATAGGAAGCAGAGAAATGGGAGTACTCATATAAGAGTATACTAATAATGATCGCTAGGGCAATAGTGGTAGAAAAGGAAAGAAAGAATAGATTTCAGAGATATTTCATTGGCATTAAAAATTACATAACTGGATGTTTTGAGCTGGAAAAGTGTTTAGAGATCATCTAGCCCATTACAAAAAACAAAACATTAATGTAGTCTTTCCAGAAAGCTTTTACCTCAAAACTTAAGTTGCATTTCAACCTCAACCTTTTTCCTCTAGCTGAGTCTAGCATATCCCCCACTGCTCCTGGCCCCACCAGGCTAATACTACTGCCGTATCAGGGATTTTATTTTATTACCTCTTACTTAAATACTCAGCCTCTACCTCCTGGTTCATCTTGTCATGCAGAAATGTTCCCTTAATTTTGCTTTACCTTCAGCTTACTGTTTTTTCTCCATAATTGGTCAGTTTCTTAAAGGCAACATTTTCACCTGCTGACTGTTCATTTCTTACTACAGTACTGAAATTCATCTCTCTAAGGTTGCCTGTGACCTTTTTTTTGTACCAGTGTCACCAAACTTGTGACCTCTTAATTGCCGAATGTGACAGCTTCTTTCATTCCATTTGTCCTCTCTGTAGCATTTGCCCTGTCACTCCTCTCATATGCTGCAGCATTTTTTATAGATTCTTTTATAAGAATCTATATGTAAATGTTTCTTCAGAAACATATGAATGCCTGTTGTGTGCCCCAGGCTCAGTGCTGTGTGATAGAAAATATTCACCAGTCTTTAAGGAACTTCTAATCTTTCAGGGAAAGAGATAAATAATTAGAGGTTAGTATAATAACAACTATGATGGAGAAAAGAGCAAAGTACTGAACTAGCACAGAAAAGGGGGCCATGGGCCGGGCACAGTGGCTTTCACCTGTTATCTCAGCAGATTGGGAGACTTAGGCAGGAGGATTGCTTGAGCCCAGGAATTTTAGGCTGCCGTTAGCTATGATAATGCCACTGCACTTCAGCCTGGGTGACAGAGTGAGACCTTGTCTCTAACCACCATCCTGTGCCTCCCACCCCCGCCAAAAAAAAAAAAAAAATACCCTAAAGGGAGCCATTAATTAAGGAAGTCAATAAAGGCTTTACATAACATGAGGTGGTATTATGCTTTAGGTCTCAGTTGGTAAGAAAGATTCTCCAAGTGAAGAGGGGAACAGGGTAACATTTCAGGTAGAGCAAATAGCACGTGCAAAGGCACAGAACTGGGAAGTAATAGAAATAATAACTTTATATTGCATGCCTGCTGTATGTCCAGAACTGCACAGAAGGCTTTCCATGGGTTACATCTAATCTTCACATTAACTCATGAGGTAGGTTTTTATTTTTATCATTTTACAAGATGAGGAAGTTGAGCCTCAAAGAAGTTATGACTTGCCCAAAGGCCATCCTGGCAGAACTTGGCTTTGACTCCAGATCTGTTTGGGTGCCAGTGCCCACACATTGGTTATCATTGTTGGAAATAAGCAGGATATGTTCTAACAGAGGAAATGGTGATGTTCAGAAAATTCATGATGGGGAGTGAATGGAGAACAGTTAAAGAGGATTGATATGGACCAATTGTGTTGGATTTTAATGCCATGCCAAAGAATTCAGACTTTATTCTGCTGTTCAGTATTGTTGACTGGGTACTTCCTTCCTCTGTCCATATCTGTTTATGCAACAACTCTCACAGGTTTTGGAAAGAAAACAGTTTTGTCTGCCTAATTTGAAATCATTAAAAGGATTGTCTTGTTCGGAGGCAGATATTCAAGAGTAGTAAACAACACAAAATACTGTGAAAATAACATATAGTAGAATAAATCAAAATTTCCATATGCATTAAAAAGAAACTAGAGGATAGGATCTAAACAAAGTTGTACCAAGTGATTTCTTTTGATGACAAAAATAATTATATAATGAATAAATTTGAGTGTTTGGGGGTAGAGGGCAGATGGAGTGGAGGTGGGGAACTCCAGTGATACTAAATTGCTAGAGTTTGATTCTAGTGTAATCATGGAGAAGTTTATAGCTTAACGTTATCCCTGAGTTTGTACTTTGCCCTGCACTTTAATATAAAACCAGTTTATTGCATTCTGATTCTCTAGTTCATTCTGTAATACAGATGGTAGGAATACAGGTGCTTAAGGATGGGAATTGCCTTTGAATTTTTCTCCATGTATTACTTGTTTAACTTCTACAAGTGTTTTCTCCCTCCATACTTCCCTCCTTCCTGGTAGTATCTTCGAGGAACTCAAGGGCATCTCCAAACCATGTTTTAGGAATAGTATTCAGAAAATTTGAAATAAAATAGCAAATCTAGGATTGTGCAAAAATCAGCTATAGAATATTACTTATAAATTTAACAAATTTTCTTCCATTTTTATTTTTATACATTGGGATTATATTCTATGTACATTCTTATAACCTGCCTTTAAACTTGACATTGTCTTATTATTTCATTTTAAGCTTTTTTTAAAAGGAGAAATGTTATTACTTTTTTTTGTTGTTTCATAAACACTTTTGTTTCATAATCATTTTCATTGGACAGTGATTCTGACTATCCAGTGATACTAGTACTTTATATTTTTGGAATACAATTATTTGAAGCCACCCACAAAATAAATGTATTTATCCAGAAATTTAATCATTCTACAGATATTGTTACAACATTTTTGTTATCACTATCTTTACAAACATCACAGATGTGTTATTCTTAATGTCTACAGAATATTCTCTAATTTGGATGTTCCGGTATAGCTAGCATACATTTACTACCTTGTTAGTACATGTTAGACACTGCACTAGGCCTTTTGAACGCTTAAGTTAATACAGCTGTTCTGTTACCAGCACTGCCAGGATTTGGACAACTCTGATTTTGTCCTTGAGTACTTTATAATCTAACTCAGAAAAACAAGATTATATAGGACAATTCTTGAACATTAAAAAATGAGTATAATAAAATGTTAAATGTTAGGTCATACTCTTAGTACAGATATTTGAGAGATTCCTGGAGGATTGAATGGTCCAGGTAATTTTGTGAAGGGAATGTGAGATTTGAACTGAATCTTGAAGGACTGATAAGAAATGCACAGGTGAAGAGGAGAGTTCTATTTCAGGCTGTGAAAGCAGAGTGGGCAGTAGTACAAAGATGAGAATTAGTAACCTGATTGGGGTAGAGGGCTTATGTTAGGAAATAGTAAGTGAAACTGAGGGAGCAGAATAGTGAAGGATCTTAAAAACAAGCCCGAAGGTTTTTGGTTTGATGTATCCGGCTACAGGAGAACTTGAGCAGGATATGTTCATATTGTGAGAGCAAAATTTTAATAAGATCAACTATCAGGCTGTAGTACACAGAGCAGACTAGAAGAAAGAGAGAATAGAGATAAGGAGATTAGTTGTTGCCATACTCTAGTTGGGAAGATACTGTGTGTGAAATTATAGAACACTATAGCAGAGAATACAGTTTATTAATGTTTTCAGTTTTATGACTATTTAATTGACTGTTAGTGTCTTCAGTTGGAGTACATAGGGGAGCTTATTATTATCTTGAGTCACATGATAATTTGAAAGATTGATTAAATCAGAAATTGCTTATACTACAAGCTGGCTCTTAGAATATTTTATTAATTATGGGTGAAGAAAGGTATTTGTATTTCTGAATAAGCAGGCCATATTAATGTGAGATTACACTTAAGTGCTTTTTGAGCCTGGTACTATTCTAAGTCCTTTACATGTATTAACTCATTAAATTTTTAGAACAGCTCTAGATGGGTCACTGCTATTATTATTATTATTTCTATTTTACAGGTGAGGAAAGCAAAGCATTGAGAAGTTCAGATTTCTGATTTGAGAAATTAGTTGCTAACTTTGCACTTGCCTCCATTCTTGATTTTTTTTTTTTCCTCTGTTTCCAACTTCATAATGCGATCAGGGTCACTTCTTTCTCCTGTGCTTCCAGCTTCACAATGGGGTCAGTGTCACCTTTTAAATACTAGCCTGAGCAAAACAAATATATTAAGCTTGCTGTTATTATTTTTTTTCTTTCCAACTTTTATTTTAGATTCAGGGGGTACATTTGCAGATTTGCTGCATGGGTAAATTTCATGTCGTGGGGGTTTGGTGTACAGATAATTTTGTTACCCAGGTAATCAGCATAGTACCCATAATATCCTTACCCTTCTCCCACCCTCCACTGTTAAGTAGGCCCAGTGACTATTGTTTCCTTCTTTGCGTCCATGTGTACTTAATATTTAGCTCCGTCTTATAACTGAAAACATGCAGTATTTGGTTTTCTGTTCCTGCATTAATGTGCTTAGGATAATGGCCTCTAGCTCCATCTATATTGCTGCAAAGGACATGACCTTGTTCTTTTTTATGGCTGTGTAGGATTCCATGGTGTTTATGTACCACATTTTCTTTATCCAATCAACTGTTGATGGGGATCTGGGTTGATTACTTATCTTTGCTATTGTGAATAGTGCTGCGATGAATATATGCATGCTTGTGTCTTCATGGTAGAATGATTTATTTTATTTTTATTTTTATATTTGAGAGACAGAGTCTTGCTTTGTCACCCAGGTTGGGGTGCAGTGGCGTGATCCTAGCTTACTGCAACCTCCACCTTCCAGGCTCAAGTGATCCTCCCCACCTCAGCCTCCCGAGTAGCTGCGAACACAAGTGCGGCACCACGCCCAGCTAAAATTTTTTGTATTTTTAGTAGAGACAGGGTTTTGCCATGTTGCCCAGGCTGGTCTTGAACTCCTGAGCCCAAGCGATCCACCCGCCTTGGCCTCCAAAGTGCTGTGATTACAGGCATGAGCCACCGTGCCTGGCCCTGTGGTAGAATGATTTCTAGTCCTTTGGGTATATACCCAGTAAAAGGATTGCTGGGTCTGGATGGTAGTTCTGTTTTAAGTTCATTGAGAAATCTCCAAACTGCTTTCCACAGTGGCTGAACTAATTTAAATTCTCACCAGCAGTGTTTGGGTGTTCCCTTTTCTCTGCAACCTCACCAACATCTGTGGATTTTTGGCTTTTTAATAGTAGCCATTCTGACTGGTGTGAGATGGTATCTTATTGTGGTTTTAATTTACATTTCTCAAATGATTAGTCATATTGAGCATTTTTTTCATATGCTTGTTGCTACGTGTATGTCATGTTTTGAGAAGTGTCTGTTCATGTCCTTTGCCCGCTTTTTAATGCGGTCATTTTTTTTTTGGCTTATTGATTTGCTTAAGGTCCCTGTAGATTCTGGACATTAGACTTTTGTCAGATGCATAATTTGCAAATATTTTCTCCCATTCTGTAGATTGTCTTTTTACTCTGTTGATAGTTTATTTTGCTGTGCAGAAGCTCTTTAGTTTGATTAGGTCCCACTTGTCAATTTTTGTTTTTGTTTGAATTGCTTTTGGAGTCTTCATCATGAAATCTTTGCCAAGGCTGATGTTCAGATGATATTTCCTAGGTTTTCTTCTAGGGTTTTCATAGTTGCAGGTTTTACATTTAAGCCTTTAGTCCATTTGAGTTGATTTTTTTTTTTTTATCTGGTGAAAAGAAGGGGTCCAATTTCAGTCTTCTGCATATGGCTAGCCAGTTATCTCAGCACTGTTTATTGAATAAGGAGTCCTTTCTCCTTTGCTTGTTTGTTGGCTTTGTCAAAGATCAGATGGTTGTAGGTGTGCAGCTTTATTTTTGGGGTTCTCTGACCTGCTCCATTGGTCCATGTGTCTGTTTTTATACCAATACCATGCTCTTTTAGTTACTGTAGCCTTGTCGTATAGTGAAGTCGGGTATTGTGATGCCTCCAGCTTTGTTCTTTTTGCTTAGGATTGTATTGGCTATTTGGGCTCTTTTTTTGTTTCCAGATGAATTTTAGAATTTTTTTTTCTAATTCTGCAAATAATGATATTGATAGCTTGTTAGGAGTAGCATTAAATCTGTAAATTGCTTTGGGTAGGGTGGCCATCTTAACAATACTGATTCTTCCTATCCATGAGCATGGGATGTTTTTCCATTACTTTGTGTCATCTCTGATTTCTTTCAGCAGTGTTTTGTAATTCTCATTGTAGAAATCTTTCACCTCCCTGGTTAGCTTATTCCTAGGTGTTTTATTCTTTTTGTGGTTGTTGTGAATGGGATTACATTCTAAGTAGAAGAATTTAACCTTGTGAAGTGCTTATATGAGGAATAAAAAATGCTACCATAAAGTATATTACCTATTTTTAGCTCTTATTTTAAGTTCTCACAAATCTCAGACCTCTGACAAGGGAGTGCTGTTTGGCTAGTATTGGGTTACTGAATTTGAAAGAGGAGCTCAGGCTCAGCTCTTTGAGGAGAGGCCTCCAACTGGCTGGTAACGGAGTCACTGAGGGGCACAATAAGGCTGGTTTCAGCTGTTGCTACTTGAATGAGTGCTGCTCTAGTGACTAAGCAAGGCTCAGGTGAAACTGACAGAACAGGAAGCAAACTTGAAGAACAAATCACTTCTTCCTTCTCCAGACTTGCAATTTCCTTTTCTCTCTTTGTATTGGTAGACACTAGAAAGAAATATGATTAATTTAGGGCCGGGCGCGGTGGCTCATGCCTGTAATCCCAGCACTTTGGGAGGCTGAGGCGGGCAGATCACGAGGTCAGGAGATCAAGACCATCCTGGCTAACACGGTGAAACCCCGTCTCTACTAAAAATACAAAAAATTAGCCAGGTGTGGTGGCAGGTGCCTGTAGTCCCAGCTACTCGGGAGGCTGAGGGAGGAGAATAGCGTGAACCTGGGAGGCGGAGCTTGCAGTGAGCCAAGATCACACCACTGCACTCCAGCCTGGGAGACAGAGCAAGACTCCGTCTCAAAAAAAGAAATATGATTAATTTGACTCACTTAATAATGGTTGTGGTAATTGAGAAATTTGACATCTAACTTGATATTTGATAATATTAAGTAATCATTTTTCATTATTTTCGTTGTGGTAGTGGTTTAGTGTGTGCTGTAGAAGAATTGTTTTAGAGATATATATTGGTATATTTAGAGAAGAAATGCCTGGGATTTGCTTCCAAATAATATAGGACAGATAGTGGTGGGAAAGTAATAGAAATATAAATGAAATTTGTACTTGTTGAAATTGCAGTAATGAACAAATTAGGATTATTTTATTTTCTCTACTGCTGTACATGTTTGAAATACAGAAAAAAATTAGAATCTTTTTTTTTTTTTTGGTGATACATTCAAGTTAATAAAACTGATTCTCGTTGAGGGGTATGGATGTGATCTAATACACACAATAAACTTGATGATAAGTACCTTGGAGAGGATAAAACAGGGAGATAGGCTATAGAGAGTAGAGGCTGCAAAGTGGTGGTAGCACTTTAGGGCTGGCAAGGAAAGCCTCTATATGGAGCAAGGTATTTAGTTGAGATCCAAACTTTGGAAGGAGCCAGTTAGGTAAAAATCAGGGGAAGGAGCTGGGGTAAAAATGTTCTAGGTAGGAGAATCGGAAGAGATTGTGGGGAGAAAGAAAACAAAACAAAAGTTCTAGGTGGAGGGAACAGACATTACAGAGGTTTTGAGGCAGGAAACTTCAAGTATTCAACTTAAAGCAAAAGTTGGGTAGGTGAGAAGAGATAAAGACCAGGTCATGGTAGAGTTTGGAGTTTAAGTGCAGTTGGGAGCTGCTTGTTGGTTGAAGCAGAGGAAGTACTTGATCTAATTTTTGTTTCAGAAAGATCAGTTTAGGTTGTAGGTAAAGAATGGGCTCTGTGTACGGGAAGGAGAGGGCAGACCACTACAGCAATACAGGAGAGAGTGACCAGGTGGGAGGTAGGGGCCATGGAGAGACGGGATTGCGTATGGAATATGTTTTAGAGGTAGAGCTGACAGCACTTTCTGTGAGAAGCAGAGCAATCAAAATGATAATTAGGTTTTCCTTTAGAGCAATTGGGTGGATGCTGATGCCATTAACTAACAATACTTTTCACTGCTATTCGTGCAGTAAAATGATGTCATGCAGAAGTATAGCTTTTTAATATTTTTATTTTTAGAGATAGGGTCTTGCTATGTTGCCCACGCTGGCTTTGAGCTCCTGGGCTCAAGTGATCCTCTTGCCTCAGCCTCCCAAGTAACTAGGACTACAGGTGCACAACTGTGCCTGGCTGTGTCCTTTTTGTAGAAATTATGATTGAGCCTCTTTATAAATAATCTTAACATTTTGAGTATATGCTAGGCATTGTTCTAAGTTCATTACATGTATAAGCTTATTTAATTATCATAAAAAGTTAAATGAACTATTTGTCTTTATATCCCTCGTATCGAGGAAACTAAACAATTAACATGGTAAACACATCAACAAGCTAAAGAAGAAAAATCTCATATTAATAGATGGAGAAAAAGTATTTGACAAGATCCAATACCCATTCACAGTAAAACTTCTTGGTAAACTAGGAATAGATGGGAATGGCCTCAGTTTGATGAATATCTACAAAAACCTATAGCCATATATTTGAATTTAGAGAAGCTACTTCTACGCTAACTACACATAAGGGCTATGTTTCTAGTACAGAATATTGATTAAAACCTTTCCTGTTTTGATTAAATCTAGCCACATGATTCTCCTAGTGAAGGGATTTAATCTTGAAATTGGTGGAATATTTTAGATGGTAAATTGATTAGAGAAAAGAGATTTCAATTATGTTGTCTAGTACTTTCCATTTTGTTGAATTAAAGTTTAAAACACCACCAAACAACTTTAGGCTGTAGTGGAATTTAAAATTAGTATTTGAATGTAATGTTTTCTTTCCTTTTTTTTTTTTTTTTTTTTTAAGTGCTAAGGTCTTGCTTTTTGCCCAGGCTAGACTCAAACTCCTAGGCTTAAGCAATTCTCCTGCCTCAGCCTCCAGCGTAGCTGGGACTAGAGGTTCGTGCTACTGTGCCTGGCTAATATTTTTCCTTTTTAAGCTAGGTTTTCCTTGACAGTCTATTTTAGTATCCTTAATACTTAGCTCAGTGCTTGACATGTAGGATTAAGAAGGTGGTCTGTCAACTAGGGAAATAATGAAAAAAAAAAACCCCTAAAAAAAAAGTGGCAAACATATTCTGATATGGAAATTATTTCATTTATAAATTGTGTTTTCTTCTAAGGTTTTGCTTTAAAATCACAAAATCTTGAAGTACACTTAAAATTTGAAGTTCAGCTTATGATAGCCTTTTTTTTATTGTGAACTGAAGTTTTAATATTTGATACTAGAGAGTATCTATTGATAAATTCGTGTAGTTATAAGAAAGGTTCAGTTACAGTGATTGCTATTACCTTGATATTTTGTAAATTACTCCCTTTGTAACATTTGCTGTCTCAGGAATTATTTTTTCTAATGTCAGATGGACTTTTCAGAATGAATTGAATGAGATATTTTTGGCATTTTGAAACCTAATGATTTTTCTATGAAGAATTTTTATTCTTATTCATTGCATTTTTTTTTTCCCCAAGAAAAAATGATGTATAATAGTGACACATAAGATAGACATTCTCCTGGTAAAGTATATTGCTCTTTGGATTTTATTTTGATTTCAGTAACAGATTTGATAATTTGGTTTTTTAAGCTTTCATTACCTAATT
The DNA here is from genome assembly GCF_000001405.40 of Homo sapiens. Taxonomy (NCBI): domain Eukaryota; kingdom Metazoa; phylum Chordata; class Mammalia; order Primates; family Hominidae; genus Homo; species Homo sapiens. Next base: position 79,670,329 of record NC_000012.12, on the reverse strand, counting down.
CTGTAATCTTTGAGGATACAATTCAACCAACCAACCAGCCTTTTCTATAATTTAGTAACTTTACTTGCATTTTTCTCTTGGACTTTGCTTATGTACTGCCAATTAGTTGCTTAAAACTTTTTGTCATTGTTAAAACTGTTTACATGGCTTTTTAAAATGGGGGAAAAACAATAGAAACATGCTGTGGTGCAACGAATGAATACAGTGTGATTAACAACTTAATTTTTTTTCCTGTTTCAAACATCCACCTATTTTTAGCATTTTGTATACCCATAGGTTAAAAATATTTACATTTTTCTTAGAAAAGTAACCTGTTTAAGAACAAAAAAGGCCAAGCGTGGTGGCTCACATCTGTAATTCCAGTACTTTGGGAGGTGGAGGAGGGTGGATTGCTTGAGCTCAGGAGTTTGAGACCAGCCTGGGCAACATGGCAAAACCCCATCTCTACTGAAAATACAAAAATTAGCCCAGTATAGTGGTGCACACCTATAGTATGTTTGAACCGGGAGGTGGAGGTTGCAGTAAGCCAAGATTGTGCCACTGTACTCCAGCCTGGGTGACAGAACAAGAGACTGTCTTAAAAAAACAAACCCAACAAACAAAAAAAAAGAATGAATAACTGTTTATTCATTATATAAATAACTTATTTAACAGTTTCAGTATATTTTGAAATCTTTTTCCATGTATCATTTGATTTTTTTCTTTTTTTAAAGAACACTTGAGAATTACTCAACTAAGTTTAGATTATCTAGATGTTTGTTAGAGTTGCTTTCGTTGGAGGACTTGAAAATGAAGTATGTATAATTTAAGATGGTTATTAGAAGAGGAGTTTTTTTAAATATATTTCTTAGTTATTTAAGGTCTGCAGATACGAAAATCATATGTCCCAAACCAATAATCAAGATATAAGATAATATGGCAAGTTGAAAAGATAGAACAGTGTATCTTGAAATTTGCATAGTCCTGAGAATAGACATGGCCCTACTCTGTAATATGGCTTATTCCCTCCATGCAGGGAAAGTTCTGAGGCCTCTCTAATTCTTAAATCTATTTTGCAAATTACTTTTTAAGTTCTATTAACATCATTGTACAAGAAACCCTCAATTTAATATTGTTGGTCTTATATCCCTAATCTTTACATAATCTGCACTGTGTGGGGAATCTTCTGCATAGCTCATGCCAGTAACTTTTAGGGCTATTTTTTAAATATCACCAAGACTGAAGTCATTCAAGCCAAAATGTGAAGACTAAAATCTTTGATGTATCTGAACAGAAAAAGATAAGTGAAATTATTTAAAAATGTACTTCATTCTTCCTTTCCCTAGCTTTGTTTGTTTTGAACTGTTTTCTTCATAACAGCACACAGTTGGAAGTGCATGTGTGTAAATATGTTTGTATTTGATTGGGATGAGAGTATTTCCTTCCAATAGGAATACCCCAACTTGTTGTCTGGATTCCTCTCCTTATATTTGTATTCTCTATACAGGGGTCCCCAGCTCCTGGGCCGTAGACCCGTACTGGTCCATGACTTGTTAGGAACCAGGCCACACAGCAGGAGGTGAGCAGTGGGCAAGCGAGCAAAGCTTCACCTGTATTTACAGCCATTCCCCATCGCTTGCATTACTGCCTGGGCTCTGCCTCCTGACAGATGAGCGGCACCCTTAGATTCTCATAGGAACACGAACCCTCTTTTGAACTGCGCATGTGAGGGATGTAGGTTGTGCACTCCTTATGAGAATCTAACCAATGTCTGATGATCTGAGGTGGAACAGTTTCATCCAGAAACCATCCTCCCCATTATCCCCCTGGTCCATGGAAAAATTGTGTCCCATGAAACCAGTCCCTGGTGCCAAAAAGGCTGGGAACCACTGGTCTATAATTTTCCTTACTTAACCAGTTGTTTTTGTTTCTAATATTTTAGAGGTAAAGAGTTCAGAAGTAAGATAAAAGAAGACCAAAGACAAACTACTTCAGGGCTATTTCGTGAAGCAGAAACAGCACTTCATCAGGTGGCTTTTGCGGGAGGAAGCACTGTTAATGCCCTTAGGCGTAAGGGTAAATGATTCAACTTACTTAAGGAAATACATTTTCTTCTAACTTGAAACATTAAAAACAAAAAATATCTACAAACTTTTACTATAGAAAGATCAAATGTGGCCAGCACTTTGGGAGGCTGAGGTGGGCAGATCACCTGAGGTCGGGGGTTCTAGACCAGCCTGACCAACATGGAGAAACCCTGTCTCTACTAAAAATACAAAATTAGCCAGGCGTGGTGGCACATGCCTGTAATCCCAGGTACTCAAGAGGCTGAGGCAAGAGAATCACTTGAACCCGGGGGACAGAGGTTGTGGTGAGCCGAGATCGTGCCTTTGCACTCCAGCCTGGGCAACAAGAGCAAAACTCCGTCTCAAAAAAAAAAAAAACAAGGAAAAATCAAATGAACAAAAGGAAATAAGATAGTATTATCAACCCTATGTGTGAACATGTTAACTAGCTTCAGTTATTTTTAATTTATGGCTCATCTTACTTTATTGATTTCCTCCAATTTTTATTGTTTTGAGGCAATACTGGATATCATTTCATTTGTAGATAGTATGAATTTATTAAAGATAAGGACTCTTATTTTTAAAAGATTACTCCATTCCACTATTACATGTAAATAATAATTCATTAATATCAAATGTCCAATCAGTGCCCAAAAATTTTCATGGGTATCTCATATATGTCTTTTATATTTTGTCCAAATAAGATCTATACATTATAGTTGCTTGCAATGTCTCTTAACTTGTAATCTTTACATTCTTCCTGTATTATTTTTTCACAGTTTATCTGTTGAATAAAGCTTGTTGTTTCTCACAGTCTAGATTTTGCTGAATGCATCCCCCGTGGTCTTGTTTAATGTAATCTTGTAAACTATTTCCTATAATTTGGTAAATTTAGATTTAAACTAGAGGTTTGATCAGATCCATTCATTATTATTATTATTATTTTGACAAGGATACATTATATGTGGTATTTTGTACTTCCATCCGAAGGAGTAAAAGTCTAGTCAGTTCTTTTTCTATGTCAGCAATCACTGGTAAATTGCCTAGATCAGCTGTCAACTCAAAATATTAATATCTGAGACAGGTGTCAGTCAATTTAGAAAATTTATTTTGCCAAGGTTAAGGATGCACCTGTGACACAGCCTCTGGAGGTCCTGACAACATGTGCCCAAGGTGGTCGGGGCACAGTTTGGTTTTGTACATCTAGGGAGACATATGAGACATCATGTAAGATGTACTTGGTTCCATCCAGAAAGGCAGGACAACTTGAAGAGGGGAAGGGGCTTCTAGGTCAGAGGCAGGTTTGCCCTAAGCAGTTCCCAGCTTCACTTTTCCCTTCAGCTTAGTGATTTTGGGGTCCCAAGATTTATTTTCTTTCACACCAAACTTTTCAGCCTTAAGATCCCTTTACATTCTTAAAAATTATTGAGTATCCTAAAGGGTTTTTGTTTATGTGTAAATATCACTGTATGTATGAGCATTTACTTTTTTAGAAATTAAAACCAAGAAATTTTAGAAATGCCTGTTATTAATTGGAAAAAAAGCCCACTGCATGTTTATATAAATAACATTTTTGTGAGAACTATTTTCCAAACAAAAATTTAGAAAATTGGTCCACTGTTTAACATTTTTGTAAATCTCTTTATTGTTCAGCTGAAAAGAAGACATCCTGTTTCTCCTATCTGCTTCATCCTTTAGTTTGTTGTAATATTACATATCATGTAACCGTTGGAAACTTTGTGTACACTCATGGGAGAATGAGGAGAGAAAAGGCAAGTAAGATTTTAGCATTCTAAAAATAGTTTGACCTTGCGGATCCTCTGAAATGGTCTTGGGGACTCACAGGGGTGCTTGGACTATGATCTATTTTATTATTGGTTGCAAAATGGTGGTATTCTAATTCATTCCTTTGTAATTTATTACCTGGAATATTTTATATAGAGAAATTTCCTTTCATCAGCTGTTTTAGTTACCTTGAGATACAATTTGTACAAATAAGATAGCCTAGATGCTTGATTCTTTTCCTTTAAGGAGACAGAAGCTTTATTGCATTCATTTTACTATGTGAGAAAGAGATGAGAAGACTACTTTTAAGCCCCCTTTGTACTAATTGAAACCGCCTCCACTTAACAAGTGAAGGAAGGACTCCACTAATACAGTTGGCTTCTTAAATTATTAAGATGCAGTTTGTATCTTAGAGGTTGCTTATTTTAGTACTATATCAACTAACACTATATAATCTCTTTAAGAAACTTGCTTGAGGAGTCTAAAAAGGATTGGAAGCTTTCAAGTTATCTGATGATACTTTCACCTATTTCCTTGTGAAAATGCAAAGTTAACAAGATAATGTCTGCGATTAGCTTAAAATGCTTATTTATTGTGAGATATATTACTATTAACTCCATGGAAGAGAAAAATCAGGCTCTGTTACGGGATATTGAGTTTTGCTGCAGTTTGATTTTATAAAACTCAACTAATTTGCTTCCAGAATTGCTTCAAAAACTTGAGCGCTCTTGAGGCAAGACAGGGAGTTGTAAGCTGTCATAAATGATACAACCCAGAGACTAAGACTTGGAATGGAATGAAGTCTGGAGAGAGGAGATGTATATCAGAGTAGTGTAAGTAATAGGTTAATTAGGCATAATGAAATTTCAGTTCTTGTTCTTAAACACAAATGAAAGGGGAAGTTCATCTTAATTCCTTACTTGTATATACTTGAGATGAAATGTGAAGTCAGTTTTCCTCTATGTAACAATTTTTATTTTAATTGACTTACGGAATTTTTATGATACAATAGAAATACGTTGAGACAAGTTTATTGAGCCAACTATCTATACATCTTAAAATATTTGGCAGTTTAAATAGTCATTTAATGTGGGTTAGATGTGGGAAGGATGTGAGTTGAAGGATGGAAGGAAGCTGGACCAAATAGCATAATCTGTCAGCAAAATAAATCTTTTCTAGTTAGACTTAATCTCTTGTTGTTTTTGGACCTGATGAAAATTGTTTTAGAGATTGGAACTTAATAGAATAGTTATGGTTTGAAGATATCTGTTTTAGTTATGTATTTGTAGACTATAAGAAAAGTAAATGGAACTAATTTTTGTCTCTATAAAATTTTCCTTAAAAATCAGATTTTTTTGGGAATCTTCTGAGTAGTACCATCATTCTATGGAAACATATCTCAGAAATTAAATCTTCATTGTTATAATCTGTTTTTTCATATTATTGGAGGTACATAGTAAACCTCACAGTTGAACCTTAAAATATAACTATTGTTGACTTTTGGAAAATGGTTTAGTGAATTGCTGCTCCTCCTTCCAAGTTGGAAATTGAAGAGATGTTGTGTAGTTGTAAATGCTGAATGCAGTGACTGAATGTTCACTACATTTTTGGTTTACAGCAATAGTAGATGTATTAACTATACTTGCACAATAATCACTATTTTATTTTTGTTCAAGTATAGGCCTTGGAACTTTAAAAAAAAAAAATAGCCAGACATGATGACGCATATCCGTAGTCCCGAGTACTTGGGAGGCTGAGGCAGGAGGATCACTTGAGTCCAGGAGTTCAAGGCTGGCCTGGACAACATAGCAAGACCACTCTCTCTCTCTCCTCCCCCCCCCGCCAAAGAGTCTACTTTGTCCTTAAAATAATTTGATAGCACATTTAGGACCTTATTTTTAATACTACCTTTTGAAACATTGACTTTCTAAAAAACAATGTGTGGCCCCAAACAAGATAATGACATGGGTTTAAAAACAAACAAAAATGCCCTTTCAGGGCATGTTACAGTAAATATAGGTTTAGTATAAAAACTTGGTATTAAAGTTTTTGGTAGTTAATGATCTGGAAGCATGGCATGATCCTAAAGTTCTAAAAATTAGAGAAGACTCTAAGTAAGATAGTAAAGAAATGAGTGTTTAATTTACTATATATTTTTTTTAATTGAGGGAGGGTTTTGCAGAGGTGGAGTGAAAGAAGAGGATCACTCCGATCATTGTCTTTTATTTCCAGATCTTTTTGAGTAATGAAAATGCACTTAAAAAAAAGTTGGGGTCTAGTTGCAGTCTCAACCCTTGAAGTGGTGGCCTCTGTTGACTGTCTCGAGGATATTTACTTTGTCCATCTTTTAAGAAAATAATCCTTTATGAATAGTGATAAATAATCCCACATTTCTCACTATGACTAGTTATTTTTAATGGGCAAATTTCTGTTTGGAATGTAAGATGGACTATTTTATTATAAGCTATTTCTCCCATTGGCACATTGGCAATTTCATATTTGCCAATACTCAGTACTTTTCCTAAAATGTATATTTGGCATATACTTTGTAGTTGGATTTATTTTTGTTTATTATATTATAAGCACATAGCCTGATTAATCTTACTCTTCAGTTAACTGGGATGTTAGTAAATCACTACATGTAATAAAACTTTTCATTTATTTCTCTTAGAAGTTTCTGTGTCAGAAGTTCACACTGTGCTTTTAAAATAAATAGGGTTTTTTTTTTTGGTTTTGTTTGAGACAGAGTCTCACTCCATTGCCCAGGCTGGAGTATAGTGGTGCAGATCATGGCTCACTGCAATCTCCACCTCCCGCACTCAAGTGATTGTCCCACCTCAGCCTCCCAAGTAGCTGGGACTACAGGTGTGCGCCACCACACCCAGCTAATTTTTTGTATTTTTTAGTAGAGCTGGGGTTTTGCCATGTTGCCCAGGCTAGTCTTGAGCTCCTGGGCTCAAGCGATCCTCCTGCCTCAGCTTCCCACGGTGTAAAATAAAAACAAATAAGTTTTTAAACTTTATTTGCCTAAGAATCACGAAGGGAACTTTAATGAATCTATGACAGGACTGATGAATCTACATTTAAAAAATCTTCCCAGGTAATTCTGATTAAGGTGTAAACTGTAAGTCAAAAGTGGCACCCATTTCTGTCAGGTGTATTCCTAAACGACAGAGAAGATAAAGAAATAGTCCTGAAATGTGTGCATCAACACTTAAAACCATAGACAAGATAGGAGAAGGAGGCAAAGCACCAATAAAAATCTCCATATCCCATGTACAAAACCTTAGAATACAGAGTAAGTAACTGGTGTTCTTTGGCCACACCAAGGGAGCAAGCCTTATGCTACTGAACACCTTATGCATTCATTATTTTCCCATTACACAAAAAATGAAGTTGATGAATTTTGGAGTAAGATAGTTACTTGTTGTGTAAAATTAGGTAGGTGGACAGGCTCTCATTAGTATAATGGAGATTGAACTGCCTATCTTTAGGCTTAGAATTAAATAAATTAAAAGCATTTACTCAAAATATCTGCCATGTAAGAGGTTCTCATTCTCAAAGGATAGCTATTTTTTGTTTTTAATGACAACATGTTACCATAGAATCATTTTAATTATTTCCTTGTGATTAATAATTAGCACTTTAAAAACAGCATTTTCTTGATGTTTCCTTACTCCATCTTCACATGCCAAGTGCTAAGAGTGCTTAGTAACCCTTAGAAATCTAAGAAAAAGTAGATAGGCTTTATGTGATTTTGTTCAAGCCTTTGTGTAAATGGACTTTATGTGATTTGGTTTAAACCTTTGTGCATTTCTTAGTCTGGAATCCATAAAGAGCTGGGCTTCTGCTTTTTTGTCTTTATGTATGAGTGATACTTTTGCCTTGTAGAAGGAAGTGAGCTGAACTGAATTCTAGGTCAGCTTGGCAGTGTGGTCCATTATTGAAGTGTCTAGAACTAGAATGTGAATGGAAGTAAGAGATTAATAATTGCAGGATATCTAGATTTCCTCATACAGTAAATACAGTAGAAAGTCACAGGCAAAGAACTAAAAGACTGGACTTTTCTGGAGCTGGATGATTCTGAGCAGTTACCTAACTTCTTTGATCCTTGATTATTTTGTTGTTAGAATACATCAAAGCCTATTCCCAGGGTGGTTGTTAGGGTTAAACAAGATGTTATCAGTAAAAACTGTTTTTTCAAATGTGAACTACAAATGATTTATATTACTGTTTCCTGTCCTGAAAGTTCTGGATCTTTTAAGCATTAGTATGCTTTTTTTTTTTTTTTTTTTTTTGAGAGATGTCTCAGTATGTTGCCCAGGCTGGCCTTGAACTTGTGGGTTCAAGTAAACCTCCTACCTCAGCCTCTGAAGTAGCTGTGACCACAGGCACATGCCACTGTGCTTAGCTAAATGCTACTATGCGTATTGACTGAGATTTTTCTGTCATTTAGGTAATATGCCCTGAATTTCAAGTTGAAATAGAGCTTTTTGAAAATACTATCTTTGGGTATGAGAATCTTTTTTTATCATTTATTAAAGTGGCAACATTTAGGTTATTGTTTGAGATGTTTTTATTTATTTTTACTTTTTGTTACTTTTCCATTTTACCTTCTGAATATGATTAAGCAGCTGTAACCCTACTATATTATAATTCCCTGAACTCTGTAGTCTCCCCTGCTTAGTGTATGGCCCCAGCTGATCATATTACCATTTACTGATGACACATAGACTTTTCATAGATGCCTATTGAAATAAGTGTTTGTGAGGATAAGGGGAACATGGTGTAGGGAGAGGGCTTTGGTCTAATGTATGTAATAATGTCTTTAAAATGAATCAAACTTTGAAGATTTCCTAGTTTTAATAGTTTTTTTAAGTGTAAAATGTTACTAACATAAAATTTTTGAGTAAGAAAACTATCTTCTTACGGCTTAAAACATTATCTTAAATGTAATAAATTAATTTCTTAAGAAAAGAGTGACATGTCCATGATAAAATTTCAAGTGGTGCAGACAGCCATTGTTGTTATTTCTTAAGTATCCTTCTGGAGATATTTTCTGTTTTTACCAAGAAATATGTGTGGATATCTCCAGAGATTTTTTCTTTCAAGGTTGTTAATGGCATAATGGATTTGAAATCTTTTGTTTGTAAGCTAAAAGTTTAAAATTTAAGTTTCTAAGGACAGATTGTAGAAATATTATGGCTCAAAGTTTACTAAAATGTAAGTTCTTTTTTTTTTTTTTTTTTTTGAGACAGAGTCTCGCTTCTTCGCCCAGGCTGGAGTGCAATGGCGCTATCGTAGCTCACTGCAACCTCCGCCTCCCGGGTTCAAGCAATTCCCCTGCCTCAGCCTCCCCAGTAGCTGGGATTACAGGCTAATTTTTGTATTTTTGTTAGAGATGGGGTTTCACCCTGTTGGCCAGGCTGGTCTCGAACTCCTGACCTCAAGTGATACACCCACCTCGGCCTCCCAAAGTGCTGGGATTGCAGGCGTGAGTCATTGTGCCCAGCCAAAATTGTACGCTCTTAAGGACAGATTTTTTTCTTAGCTATATGGACTTAATCTTTATATTCTGTAGTCTATATAATTATATACTTTAAAAAAAAATACAGTGGCTGGCCGCAATGGCTCTCGCCTGTAATCCCAGCACTTTGGGAGGCTGAGGCAGGTGGATCAGCTCAGTTCAGGAGTTCAAGACCATCCTGACCAATATGGTGAAACCCCGTCTCTAGTAAAATTACAAAAATTAGCTGGGCCTGGTGGCATGCACCTGTAGTCCCAGCTACTCGGGAGACTGAGGCAGGAGAATCACTTGAACCCGGGAGGCAGAGGTTGCAGTGAGCCAAGATTGTGCCACTGCACTCCAGCCTGGGCAACAGAACGAGACTCCATCTCAAAAAAAAAAAAAAAAAAGTACAATGAAATGTTTTTTTAGCCATCTTGCTAGATATATCACGTCTGGAGTTTAGGGAAGAGATCTTTAGAGGTAATGATGTGAACCTAGTCAGTTTGTCTGTGGCAGTGGTTCTCAAACTTTAGTGCATAACATCATTTGGAAGGCTTCTTATAACACACTTCTCTCAGTATAACCTCTTAGCACTTCTGTTTGTTTCTATTTGTCATCTTGAATTGTCCTGGGATACTTAATTCCTTTCATTCTCTGTCTCATAACATTTTCAGTTTATTGGGGAAGGAGGAGATTCCTGTCAGTGCCACTATGAAGATTGCCCTAGGAAAAAGGATTTTATCTGTGCTGTTACCTGTTTCCCTCATTTCATTTTCCTTGGCTACTCTTGACTGGGATAAATTTGTAAGAGACTTTAGACAGTTCACTGTAGCTGATTGGAAAGCTCCAAGTACTGTTAACATTTATAACCGACAATGTCTGTGGTATGTTTGCTCACTGCTTTTTAATGGCTAGTTTTATCTGCAAAACTGTTAATATGGGCCTGGCACTAACCATAGTGAGAGAGTGTATTGTTCTCAGCATTTTCTTTTTACTATTATTTCCTGCAGCCTTGTCTAGTATAATAGTTACTTAAGAAGAGTAAATCTTTTTTTCCATGTCTTTACTTCTTTCCCCACCCCCTTTAATCTCCCTTCTTTTGGACAAAAACTACTTTTGGGGAGTCTGTAGTCTTTTAAATCCAAATATTTCCTTTAAATATGAGAAGAGAAAAAAAATTAAACAGGATGGGCAACAGACAAAATATTTTCCAAATACCACAAAATAATTTTTAAAAACTTGGTTGATGTTGTTTTTATCATTAATAGGATTTTGAATTAATGTGAACTGTCAATCTACTATAGTTTATTTTCCTCTTTAGTTGTATAAGAATACAATAAATAATCTGAATAACTGTAGATAGAAATGTGCATAGTTGTAAAATGGGATTTGCCATGGAAAAATTTTATTAACACTTTAGCCTTATTTAGGGGTTTCTTGGTGCGGACAATGTATGCTAATGGGCTTTCTCTAGTCATGTATTACTTCTGTACAAATGGGGAATTGGCTGCTAACATGAGGAGGCCAGAGGCAGTGTTTTTAATGACAAGAACAAATAAAGCCTATTTATGTTAAAGTATATGATTAGATTTGGACTTCTATGTTTACTCACCTTTCCCGATGTCTAAAATGCCCCTGCCAAAATACATTACAGGGATATTTTTTTAGCTTGAATTTAGATTTTTTTTTTTTTCTTTGAGACTGAGTCTCACTCTGTCGCCCAGGCTGGAGTGCAGTGGCGCCATCTTGGCTCACTGCAACCTCCACCTCCCGGGATCAAGCGATTCTCCTGCCTTAGCCCAAGTAGCTGGGACTACAGGCGCCCGCCACCACGCCTGGCTCGTTTTTTGTACTTTTAGTAGAGATGGGGTTTCACCGTGTTAGCCAGGATGGTGTTGATCTCCTGAGTTTGTGATCCGCCTGCCTTGGCCTCCCAAAGTGTTGGGATAACAGGCGTGAGCCTCTGTGCCCAGCCAGATGTGTGTGGTTTTTTTTCTTTTTCTTTTTTTTTTTTTTTTAGTGTGCTAAGAGGCCAGGAGCAGTGGCTCATGACTGTAATCCCAGCACTTTGAGAGGCTGAGGTGGGTGGATCACTTGAAGTCACGAGTTCAAGACCAGCCTGGCCAATGTGGTGAAATCCCATCACTACTAAAAATACAAAAATTAGCTGGGCATGGCGGGTGCCTGTAATCCCAGCTACCCAAGAGGCTGAGGCAGGAGAATCGCTTGAATTTGGGAGGTGGAGGTTGCAGTGAGCTGAGATCATGCCACTGCACTCCAGCCTTACAGATTCATTCCAACTGAATCTGTAAACTTAAACAATTAAACAGCTATTTTATTGTATTATTTATTTTGAAGGATGAATATTCTCTTGAAATTTTAGTGTTATATAACATAAATCTGCATTTGTTTTGGAGATTGTTCACTACATTTAATTTACTGATTAAATTCTTATGTGTACTGATGATGTGCATCTGTATGTAAACATAAGTTTTTATTCAAACACAAGGCAAAAAAATCTTTTTTCTCTGCTTGGTTGTCCGATAAGAGGAACACAACCCCCTATTACTCACTAAAAAAGAAAAACTGGAAGAATTTCAAGTATTTAGTTTCTTATTAAATTCAGATGGGATGATAGACCTCTAAGTTGAACTTTTCCTTATCCTTAATGGGTTGTATGCATTAATAACTCTTAGCTTGATTCTGGCCTAATTTCTTTTAAAGACTCTTTAAGGACAATTAATTATTGTTTATATTGAATATAACATATTAGGAGGGTGCCAATGCCAGGTGCAAAGATCTGTTGGCATCTAGGATTCCTGTGTTTTTCTTAACTGTCAAATCTGAAATAAAAATTCCTCTAGATTTCTTAGTCTTTCTAGGTAAAGTGACACAAATTTTTGGATATGAGACTGCTTTGGTGCTCTTTCTTCCTGCACCATGATGCCCACCTCATAGTCTTTCAGTCATATGCACATTGGACATTTTAAGGCCTTATCTTGTTTGACATTATGGATCTTTCATATTTTCTCCTTGAGAAAAATTTTTCCCCCTTTGCTTCAATGACGCCATACTCCTCAGATTTCTCCTCCAATTCTTTGGACATTCCTTCATAATCTCTGTTTTATTACTTCCTTAAATGTTGGTACCCTTTATGGTTCTATTCGAGTCCTCCTTGAGAATCTTTTTTTTTTTTTGAGACGGAGTCTCGCTCTGTGGCCCAGGCTGGGGTGCAGTGGCGCGATCTCGGCTCACTGCAAGCTCCACCTCCCGGGTTCACGCCATTCTCCTGCCTCAGCCTCCCGAGTCGCTGGGACTACATGCGCCCGCCACCACGCCCAGCTAATTTTTTTGTGTGTTTTTAGTAGAGACGGGGTTTCACCGTGTTAGCCAAGATGGTCTCGGTCTTCTGACCTTGTGATCCGCCCGCCTCAGCCTCCCAAAGTGCTGGGATTACGGGCGTGAGCCACCGCGCGGCCCTTCTTCAGAATCTATATAGGATTTCTCAGCAATCTCAACCCACCCCCTTAACTTAGTTACTATATGTATCCTGATAGTTTTTTTTTTTTTAAATATATTGAAGTGTAGGTGACCTACAGTAAACTGCATTTTTTTGCAGTGTGCAATTCAACAAGTTTTGGCACATGAAACCACCACACTCAAGGTATTGAATGAACAATCCATCACCCCCACGAGTTTACCCGTGTTCCTTTGTAATCCTTTCCCCAGCCCAAGGCAACTGTTGATCTGCTTTCTGTTACAATAGAGTACTTTGAATTTTCTAGAATTTTATATAAATGGAAGCATACATTATGGACTCTTTTTTTCCCTAAAATCTAGCTTCATTGAGCACCCTTGTCTTGAGATTCATTCATGTTGCCTCTTCTCAGCTTTGTTTAGGTTTATTCCTTCAACCTTTCGGATGACTCTCCCCAGCCTTGGAGTATTTCCTCATGTGCGTAAGATGCTGTTCAATACTTAGATTACAGAGAGATCTCTGCTGTTTTTTTCCTCTTCAGAACTCTGACCTGAAAACTAGCTACCTTGGCATTCCTGGACTCCCATTTCCATCTTTTCAATTCAGGGAGAGTGCTGGTCTCTGCCCAGGTTCTCCCTCACTAAGCTGCAGTAATTTTAGAGCTCACCTGGTTTGTTTTCTGTCTCTCAGGGTCATTGTTTTGTGCTGCCTTATGTTTAGTCTCTGAAAACTATTATTTTGTATATTTCATCTATTTTTTGTTGTTATTTCAGGGATGGTGGTAAATCTGGTCCCAATTATTCCAACTTGGCCAGAACTGGATGTCATTATTGAATTTACTAATCTATATTTCCAGTCAATATTTTCCTCTTGAGCTTGAGACCTGTGTGCTAGTCTGCCTATTGGACATTTTCTGCTTTTTTCTAAATCATCATAATTTTCTCCTGCTAAACCTTCCTGTTCTTGTATTCCTAACTTGTGAGTAGTAGCACCATCTACCTAGTTTTTCCAAGTCATTGCCACAAATGTTCTGAATTGACATATGTCTTCCATATTTCCCCGCCTCACCCCCATGTTACGCATCCATTCACCGTATGTTGTCAATTTTAGTTCTAGATATTGCTCAGATTCATCTACTTCTCTCCCATTCTCATTACTACCACACTAGTTCAGGCTACCAGTATCAACCAGTTGAATCACTATAGTAGATCCTAATTAATTTATCTGCCTCTAGTCTGCTCTTTATCCTGCAGTTAGAACTAGTTTTCAAAACACAAATCTATTCATACAGTTTTCTGTTTTCTTTAGGACAAGTCCAAAATATATTTAAGGTGGTTTACAGCATTCTTCGTGTTTTCGTCTTTGCTCCCTCTGCCCGTTCTGTCTCACCTCTCAAATATTCTATCCTTCATATTCTTGGAAGGATACCTTGATACCTCAGATGTGATATGCTTTCCTTCATCTTCAGATCTTGAGATTTACTACCCTTTGCCTGAAGGAGTTCTATCCCACATTTGCTTATCTCTATTAGATATCACTCCGGAAATCTTTCTTGATCCCGGATCTGGGTTAGATACCTTCTATCAGCACTCTATTTTAATTGCTTATTTGTCTCTTTCACATATTTTACACTGTATACCCCACAAGGGTAGGAATTTTATGTCATATTTTTGTATTGACTTTGTCTAAAACAGTTTATAACACATATGTTAATATTCTGAATTGGAGGCAGTAATCATACTTGACTATAGAGAAAGATGCTCTGAGGGCAAAAGCTTGAAGTCTTTTTGACAACCTGTTTCTAAATTTACGGACCACAAGGGCAGAGGCTGAGTTGCTCCATTTCAGAATATTGTTGGAAATGTAGTATCTGAGGCCTTAATACAGACTTCCTGAAATCCGAATCTGCATTTAAAGGTTGAGAAGGCATGCTCTAAGTTTATTGGTTATCCTTTTTAGCTACATGTTAAAATCACCTGGGAAACTGATGACCAGTATTTAATCCTTTGGTGTAGGTAGGTCCTGGGCACTGATATTTTGGTAAAACTAGTGCCTAGGGAATTCTAAGGAGAGCCAGGAATAAGAACCTATGTTTTAGTTTGAAGTCCTCTCTCTTTTTAGTCTGGAATTTGAGAAATTGTCATTTCATATTTAGATTTTGAGCTGCTTTCACACATTCTTTGTAAAGCCTAAATGTTTGGAGAGTGGCGGCCTGGAGCTAATTGGGGCTGTCAGGTTGGCAGCTGTGGTCCCTAAAGACCAGTACTCCTCAGACTTTAATGTGCATACGAATCACCTGAGGCTCTTGTTAAGCTGCAGATTTTGTTTAAAGAGACTGGGATTTGTTTAAAGGCCTGACATTCTATTCTTAACAAGCCTCCAGGCAATGCATTAGAAAACTAAAAGAGATGCTACACCTAAGCAAATTTATACTTTCTCTTATTTCCTTAACTTTTCCTATAGAGTACCACAGCAATACCTGGCAGCTTAGCGAGCTGAAAGAATTCCTTCAATTCCTTGATTGTTATTGAACAGAATAAAGAATAAAGGGCATTTAACTGCTGGCAATCCCCAGTACCCAAGTGGTAACTCCCTCTGGGGTGGTGATATGGTTTGGCTCTGTGTCCCCACCCAAATCTCATTTCGAATTGTAATCACCATGTTTAGAGAGAGGGAAGTGATAGGATTATGGGGGTGGTTTCCTCCGTGTTGTTCTCGTGATAGTGAATTCTCACGAGATCTGATGGTTTTATAAATGGTAGTTCTCTACATGCTCACACTCTCCTGCCACCTTTTGAAGAAGGTGCCTGCTTCGCCTTCCTCCATGATTGTAAGTTTCCTGAGGCCTCCACAGCCATGTGGAACTGTGAGTCAATTAAACCTCTTACTTATAATTACCCAGCTATTATAAACTGGGCAGTTCTTTGTAGCAGTGTGAAAACGGACTAATACAGGTGGTAAGTCTCTACGAGAACTAGGCTTTATGAACAGCTTCCCATGTGAAGAAGGGAAGCCAGCTCTCCCAGAGCTTTGGTTGTTTGATTTATGGGAAGGAGCATCTCATTGCTTTTGGACAGGGTACAAAAAAAAAAGCTATCTTTTGAACCAGTGTGTTAGAAATGATGCAAAGCTTTGTATTTATATGGAAACACATCCCTCTCCATTTTAAAATTTATTGATCACATGTACTGCCTCATTGTTACTATTTTTAGTCACTATAACCATTAGATTGACAAGCCCATGTCTCCCCTAACTCCCCCACACTTTGCTGGTGCTTTGAATAGTATTGTACTTAAATCTTAAATGCAGTCATTTAAAATTTAATCATTTGATGTAACCAAACATAAGGCTAATTGGTTTTTCCCTGTCTCTTAAGGACCATCACTTCATTTTTGTTAACCTTTTTATCTTCCTCTCTCATGTTTACAGCAGCTGTTTTAACATGTTTTATGACTTTAAGCTGATCTGACAATTTGGCTATTATAGGAAGATTTTATATCATTCAGACACAGTAGTACCTCCAACTGGGCTTGATTTTTCTGTGATTTACTTCAGTACAAATAAGGATGCTATAAATCAGTTTGAGTTCTTAGGCCTCAACTAAAAGTTGCAGGATTAAATGAATTCCTGTTGTCTACAGTTAAAATAGTTTGTCTAACATTTTTCTAAAAAAAGAATTTGAATTTGAAATACAAATAAAATGAGGAGGTGAATTCTTAAAAAATAAGCACTGAGGGCAGGTGCAGTGGCTCACGCCTGTAATCCCAGTACTTTGGGAGGCCGAGGCGGGCGGATCACCTGAGGTTGGGAGTTCGAGACAAACCTAACCAACATGGAGAAACCCCGTCTCTACTAAAAGTACAAAATTAGCCTGGCGTGGTGGCGCATGCCTGTAATCCCAGCTACTCGGGAGGCTGAGGCAGGAGAATCGCTTGAACCTGGGCAGTGGAGGTTGCAGTGAGCTGAGATCGTGCCATTGCACTCCAGCCTGGGCAACAAGAGCGAAACTCTGCCTCAAAACAAACAAACAAAACACTGCAAACATTCACTGAAAAATATTTAAGAAAATTGAAATTGCAGCAATTTAAAAACATATCCTGCTTTTTAGTAGAAAGCTCCCATTTTTTAAAAGTAGATCAGGTAAGAGTTTCAAAATGAATTGAAACAGGATTTTTTGGGCTGGGTGCAGTGGCTCACGCCTGTAATCCCAGTACTTTGGGAAGCCAAGGCCGGTGGATCACCTGGGGTCAGGAGTTCAAGACCAGCCTGGCCAACATGGTGAAACCCTGTCTCTACTAAAAATACAAAAATTAGCTGAGTGTGGTCGTGTAATCTAAGCAACTTGGAAGGCTGAGGCAGGAGAATTGCTGGAACGTGGGAGGTGGAGGTTGCAGTGAGCTGAGATCATGCCATTGCACTCCAGCCCGGGCAACAACAGCGAGACTCTGTCTCAAAAAAACAAACAAACAAATAAAAAAACAAACACAAAAACAGAATTTCTTACAGTTGGAATATTAATTTATTTTTTTAACTCAAAGTAGAAATGTGATTTCAAATACTTTGTTGTTGTAGGCAGATAAAGCTATGACCATAAATACGTAGAAAACTATATTTTTAATTGAATTGAAGTTCTATATTATTTTATTACTTTACTGGTGATGGAGAACATAAATGTGAATTCATGATACAACATTTTAAATTCAGAAAAGAACTCTTTGTCAAATACTAAATCCAATTCTTTGCTTATAAGCCAGGTTTCACTCCCTCACAAATTAATTTAAATCCTCCCAGGAATGCACAGTGTCCCTGCCAAAGGTTTTCACATGGTGATTGATGAAAAGATTTGCTGAAGAATATGCATTCTTTTTAAATACATTTTAGGAGCAGTTTAATATAGAGGTTGGAAAATGAAATAAATTCATGATGCTCCATATTTTGATCATGTTTTGTGATTGAACTTTTTCCAAAGAACTTTTGAAAAAGACACATTCCCTTCAGAATTACAAATCTGAAGCTTCTTCACAATAAAGCTTTAAAAGTGACTTGTATTGAAAGCTTTTCTTTAATCTGCTCACATCCGCACATCTCAGGTTGTGGTCTGTATTGCAGGGTATATTTAGCCAATGAGTATCTTTGTATTACTTAGTAAATTAAATATTTTAATTCCACTAATGCTGTTGAAAGGTTTTTAGGGTCAGTTGTAAACTTAATTGCTTTCAGCTTTTCTTTCCTTTTTTATTAATGTGGTAACATATACGTATATAATATAAAACTTAGCATCGAACCATTTTAAGTGTAGAGTTCAGTGGCATTAAGTATATTTACATTGTTTTGTAACCATCACCATTATCCATCTCCAGAAGTTTTTCATCTTTCCAAACTGAAACTACGTATCTAGTAAACAATAACTCCTAATTTCCCACCCCCCTCTGGCCAACCACCATTCTACTTTGTCTATATTAATTTGACTACTCTAGGTACTTTGTAGAAGGGAGATCATACATATTTGTCCTCTTGTGAATGGCTTATTTCCTCTAGCATAATGTCTTCAAAGGTGCATCTATGTTACAGCATGTATCAGAATTTCCTTTTTAAGGCTGAATAGTATTCCATTATGTGTATCTAACACTTCATTCATTGGTAGCTTGGTAGATACTGGCTTGCTTCTTTTTCTTTCATGGCCTAGATTTAAAATACTGATTGTACCGTTGCCTTCTATCGGCTTACAAATGGTTTAGACATCTACTACAGAAGAGACCAAGGAATTTAAGCATCGAAATTCCCACCTGGCCCCACCCCCCCAGCCCCCGCCATTTTTTTGTGAGCCCAGGATGGCTTTGAACTCCTAGGCTCGAGCAATCCTCCCCACTTAGCCTCCAGATAATTACAGGCATGAGCTACCAGGCCTGGCTCATCTTCTTTGATTTTTCTTAATGTCACTTGAGTCTTTTGTGGCCCAGACTAGATAGGGGAATAGCCTGATCATCTGGCCAGATCTAAACTGAAATACCTGATGAGGCAGCTGTATTTGGAGAGGCTGAGCTGAGATACGGAAGATGAAGATCTGGTATTGAGGATTCAGGCTTGTAAGGGAAAGCTTCAAATGCAAATTATGCACCCTAATTTTTTTAACCGATTCTTTTGGTTATAATTTACTTTTTTTGGAGATTGCATTTATTTACACTGATTTGCTAGGTGTTTGTATTTCTTTTCTGAATTGCCTTTTCATCTTGGTGTATTTTTTTGTTCGGTCACTTAGAATAAAAATTCAAGTGTGAAGAAAGAAAAATAAAGTTTAGAAATGTAACCTTTTGCTTTATTTTAGAAATTTTTATTTATGTGATTATGCATTTCCTAGATACTAGTTCTTTCTGTTCAAGGCCATTTACTCCAGCACCCAAGTGGATTTCTTGATTGCAAATTTATTACTATAGGATGTATTTGTGTAGAATTATTTCTTCCTATTGTACTGGCCTTATTCACACTTCTGTGCTTTAATACAATGAAAAATTGTTTTGACATTGAAGTTCTGTATTGAGTCCCACAAGATATTATTCCCTTAAAGCACTTGTATGGTAACTTGCAAATTGAACATTTGAAATATCAAAATGAAAGCACGCAGTATAAAGGTCTGCCTTTGAAGGATAATGGCATGCATGTGGGGTACTGTTAAAAAGAAGATTAACTACATTAGCAGCACCTTGATTTTAGCACAGGGATCAGCAAATTAGTGGTTGTAGGCCAAGTCCGGCCCACTGCCTGTCTTTGTAAGTACCTTTTTTTTTTTTTTTTTTTTTTAATAACCTTTAAGCTCTGTTGAACTTGAGTAAGGAAAGTTTTACTGGAACACAGCCACACCTGTTCATATATTGTCTGTGACCGATAGATTTTGGTCTACAACAACAGAGACCTATGGTCCACAAAGCCTATAATATTTACTATCTGTTTTTACAGAGAAAACATTTGCCAACTCCTGGTTTAGTAGATCAAAGATCCTTTGATGTATTTTAGTAAGTTTTGCCCAATATACTGAGATGTTTATATGGAATATGAATCCTCATGTACAGTCCTTTGGCAATATACAGATGAGTCTGAAGGTCCAATATTTGAGCATGCACCCATTGGGAATAAAAAACCAAAAATTTAATAACTAGCAGTTTTGTTGATAACAAGGTACAGTGTCAATGTAGCGTGTAGCCTTCCTTTGCAGCTCAGCAGATATTGCAAGAATTCTAACAAAATTTGCTTAAAATGTGTCATAAAATGAAATGCTTTAAATATACTTTAATTGTGAAGTAGCCAATACATTATAGATCTAACCTCATTGTTTTAAATGGTTGCACACTACATTATCTTATGGATATGGAAATTTAACTCAGGGGTTCTCAAACCCTGGGCTGCAGACCCTACCAGGCTATACAGCAGGAGGTGAGTGGCTGGCAAACATTACGGCCTGAGCGCCACCTCCTATCAGATCAGCAGTGGCATTAGATTTTCTTAGGAGCACAAACCCTATTGTGAACTGTGCATGTGAGGGATCTAGGTTGCATGCTCTTTATGAGAATCTTAACTAATGACTGATGATCTGAGGTGGAACAGTTTCATCCCAAAACCTACCCCCTGCTACAGCCCAGTCCGTGAAAAAATTGTCTTTCATGAAACCAGTCCCTGTTGTCAGAAAGGTTGAGGACTGCTGATTTAACTATTTCCTTATTTATTTATTTGATACTAGGTCTCACCCTGTCACCAGGCTGGAGTCCCTTGGCGCAATCATAGCTCACTGCAGCCTCAAATCCTGGGCTCAAACCATCCTCCCACCTCAGCCTCCCAAGCAGTTGGGACTACAAGTGCACACCACTATGCCTGGCTATATTTTTAAAAATTTTTTATAGAGACAGTGTTTTGCTATGTTGCACCGGGCTGGTCTTGTACTCCTGGCTTCAAGCAATCCTTCTGCGTGGGCCTCTCAAGGTGCTGGGATTACAAGCATGAGCCACTGAGACTAGCTCTATTTCCTTATTGATGGGTATTTAGACTCTCCAACTTTTTAATATGACAATGCTATAATAAATATCCTAACATACATGTATTGTATGTTATATATATCCTTGACATATATGTTTTTGTATCTAGTGACCTATGGTATATTATATATAATATATCATAAATGTCCTTAACATAAAGAAAAAGCTGCCCTTTGTAATACCCAAACTAGACTAACATCTGAGCCTGTTGACTATTTCAATTAAATCTGACCTCTTCATATAGACTCAGAAATATGGTAAAAAGGAAAACATGTTTATGATGCTTCAAAGTATTAGTTCAATCCTTGAGTTTTCTGTGAAGGAGTAATTGAGATAATATGGCTGCCCTTTGCCCTATGTAACAAGGAGACTTTTAAAATTAAGATCGTGATTGGCTTCCAGTTAAGGAATCACAGTGTTCAGCTAGGGCCAGTGGTATTTACCAACTGAGTCTGTGAAAACATTCCTTTTTACCCTCAGATGCTCACTCAGCTTTCTGTTTTCCAAGTGACATTATTATAGCCTTTAGTAGTCAGAGAAATTAAAAGCACATTTTAAAAGCATGAATAGCAGAGTCTCCCTACAGTTTCACAAAATTACTACTTTTTATGATATTCCAAGTGTAGGAGGATTTCTGAAAACTTAGAGAAGTTAATTGCTAAACGACCTTTTAGGGTTTTTTTATTTTTTTTTTTCTAGCCCCTGTTAGAGCCATCCTGTTGCCCAGGATGGAGTGCAAAGGCATAGTCATGGCTCATTGCAGCTTCGACTTCCTGGGCTCAAGTGACCCTCCCACCTCTGCCTCCCTGGTAGCTGGGACTACAGACATGTGCCACCATGCCCAACTAATTTTTTTTTTTTTTTTTTTTTTAGAGACAGGGTCTCATTATGTTGCCCAGGTTGGTCTTGAACTCTTTTGCTCAAGCGATCCCCCCGCCTTGGTCTCCCAAAGCATTACTGCGCTCAGTCCCTTTTATGCAAATAATACACATTATAGAAGTTTAAAGCATATATCCAAATGTGTGTGTGGTTGTTGTTGTTTGGGTTGCTCAATAACTTCTGACTTTGTTTAATTGAAAAGTGGAAATGTGGCCACTTAAATTTTGGGTATGACTCTTCATTTACCGAACCAGCAATGTAATTAAGTCTTCAGCTAGGATAAGAGGAACATTAGGAATCCATCCTGTCAAATTTCTGGGCACAGTACCTTCTTGGAATGCTAAATGCACCAAATCTAATTTATTGACCATCTCTTAACCTACCAGTCTGCAGTCATCTTTAGTCATTTTATTTACTTTATGGATTTTATAAAGATTTTGAGGTTAGGAATGTTAGAACAGGGGTCGCCATTCTGTGGTCCTTGGCCTGTTAGAAACCAGGCCACACAGCAGGAGGTGAGCCGCTGGCAAGCAAGTTAACATTACTGCCTGAGCTCTGCCTCCTGTCAGATCAGCAGGGGCATTAGATTCTCAAAGGAGTGTGAACCTTATGTGAACTGTGCATGTGAGAGATCTAGGTTGCATGCTCTTTATGAGAATCTAATGGCTGATGATCTGAGGTAGAACAGTTTCATCCTGAAACCATCCCCCTGCCCCTGTCTTGTGTTCCATAGCACCAGTGCCTGGTACCAAAAAGATTGGGGACCGCTGTGTTAGAAAACTATATTGGGAATTTAATTTTGATACTTAGTTGGTTATCAAAGGGATTTTTGCCTTTATATTATACTTTTTTTCATGTTCAACTTTCCCTTCCCCAGAACTGGTGCTAGAAGTAAATTATCTAACTTGAATCTTAGATTTTTAATCTGTAAAAGGCAGATATGCATAAAGACTACCTATTTTGATGACCTAACTCTGCCTAGCATGTAGTAGAAGTTCAAACAAAATGGTAGTTCTGTCAGTATAGCTGCTAGTTATCCTCCTGTCTTATCTAATTGCTTTCTTGTTTCTTCATCTTGTCTATTAACTGTTTTTAGAACTTTAAACTTGCAGTAGCTTCAGTAATTAATTTTACCTGATGTTGATTCCTATCTTGGGAAAATTTCCCTGAAAAAGCATGTCTGTGGTCATCCTGTCTTATGTCAGTGTAAATCCCAAAAAACTTGCCCCTAATTTCAAAAAGTTAAACTTTGTATACAATAACATTTGTATCAATTTTTTAAAGTTTCCAGAATCACATTTAAAGGAATTATAGTTTAACTTTAAAGTTTAACTTTACCACCAAATTTAGTAATTATCTCTGCAGTAGTATGCCTGAAAGTTTAGACATTCACATACTACTGCCATTTCTTTCCTTTTCTTTTTTTTTTTTTTTTTGAAATGGAGTCTTGCTCTGTCACCAGACTGGAATGCAGTGGCATGATCTTGGCTCACTGCAACCTCTGCCTCCTGGTTTCAAGCGATTCTTCTGCCTCAGCCTCCCAAGTAGCTGAGACTACAGGTGTGTGCCACCACACCCAGCTAATTTTTGTATTTTAGTAAAGATGGGGTTTCACCATGTTGGCCAGGATGGTCTCTATCTCTTGACCTTGTGATCCTCCCGCCTCAGCCTCCCAAAGTGCTGGGATTACAGGTGTCAGCCACCGTGCCCGGCCAAAATGCCTATGTTAATATTTATTTGATAGTTTACAAACTTTGCCTTGCCTAAGCAATAATATCTGTGAAATTACAGGTTCTATATACTAGCTATATACATTTTTAATGTATATTAAAGTAACTACATAAACCATTTTGTTTGTGTACTACCTAATTGTATTGAATTATCTATTTACCGCTTCAGGCATCTCTTAAAAGATCATTTAACCTCTGAATATAATTCTCTTTCTCCTTTTTTCTCTTTCTATATAAAACTTGACCACAATTAAGTCTTTTTCTTTGATAGTGAGATATGGGTTTTTGGTGGACAGGAACCATTATAAAGATTTGTTGTATACAGTAAATCTGATAAATATGAACATATGGAAATATTTATTACACTTGTTTCATTTTAATATTTGGAGACATGTGTTGGGGAAGGGGACTGGAAATGCCAGTATTTTGTATGTAGACTTTCACTCCTTATTTCTCAAATGGTTTGTTCTTTACCTCTACTCTTGACTATTACTGATGTCTCAGAGTCAGACATGTCTTTAGTTCAGTATCTACAGAGAATAAACCATCTCCATGGGTGTGGGATAGTTGCCTGACTGAGGTGGCATACGGGGCAGGAGTGTCCTTAGTACTACTACTACAGCTTTTTCTTAATCAACTGAATTTAAGATTCACTAACTTCCTGCAGACTTTCATCATTTCTCCAGCTTTCCCCCATCCCTTCCCTTTGCCTTTGGGAGCTTCTCATTGAAGCATTTAAGATTTTGGATTTTTGGATTAGGGATGCTCAATCAATGTAATGCAAATATTCCAAACTCTGAAAAAAACACAAATCCGAAACACTTCTGGTTTCAAGTATTTCAGATAAGGGAGACTGTACCTGTGTTAATATAAAAATAATTCTTTTAAAAATGGTTGAAGATAATGAGGCTCAGGAGATGGAGGGACATGCCTAAAGTTACATGGTGACAGAACCTGATTCCAAAACACATGTTCTTAATTGTGAATCCTGGGCATTATCTACTAAAAGCTGTTGCTTCTTTGAATTGCTATAATCAAATCACCGTGAGCTGGCCCAATGGGCCTTCAGATTATACAATGAAACACTATAGTTAGGAGCTAATAGCTCTGAAAATATTTTTGGAAATGTTCCATATAATATTAATAATGTTATCATTGATAGGGTAATGTTACCAAGATCTCTATTAATTTATGAGTTTTAGATGTATAACACTGGATGTTTTTCCTAAGTACTGTTAAAGGAAGATGACTTTGTACAGGCCCAGATGAGAACAGAGGAGCATTTCTCCCTGGAGAGAGCTGCAGAGAAACTGGACTCCTTAGGCCACAGCTGGATTTCAGTTAATTAGCCCTCAGATATTTGTAAATAGAGTATACTAGCCCTTACACAGCACTAATGGCCTTTGGGTAATAATACAAGCTAGTCAGTTAATATTTCACCAAGTTTAGTGACAGTTCCAGTGTCATTTCAGTTTCTACCCATATGCTGCAAAGGTACCCAAACTTCCTCTGTTCATCACACTCTTAGTGGGCTAAGTAATCTTTTCATGATGTCCTTAGATCTAAAGAAATACCAGATAGTTTTATTTTCTTAGTAGTTTGGTCCAAACAGTATAAGTATTTATGTCCTAATAACTTAGTAGCCATTTGAATAAATAATATATGAATTCTTTGAAGAAATATTTTTACTTCATTCTTAAGTAACCAACATTTCTAATGGGATGTGTGCATCTCTTGGACACTGTACAACTTCTTAAAACTTGGAGTCCGATTAGAAGCTCTACCCTCATTTCCTATTCCACATTGATTTTTGTGTGTGTGTGTGTGTGTGTGTGTGTGTGTGGTGGGGGTGGAGGGAGCATGATTCTTCTTTTTTACATTACAGAGACTCAGTTTTGTAAAGATGTGATGCTATGGAAAGTATAATAGGATCTAATTTTGAAACTGGACTGTTGAGTTAGGGTTCATCAGTATTCTACAGATTACCTAAAATTACTTTGTTTCCCTCAGAAATTTAAAGTTTGTCTGAGGTGTCTGAGTTCACTGCACTTTGATGTGTTGTTTGGAAACTATCTTAGGGTTAGGACATGTAAATGCAAACCTGTTTAGAATCTAAGGGAATTTTAAAGCCTAGTTTCAGTTTAGACTTCAGGTAAAGTTGTATTTTCTTTACCTTGGATTTTTAGTTTTACTTTATGTGAAAATGTTTTTGCTAACAAAATAAAAAAGCAGGAAGCTTTCTATCTTTGCTCACAGATTTTTTTAAAAAAGAATCATTGACGAAAGTTTTTGTTTATTTAAAACTTTCTGAAGCACAGCACTCTTTACCAATTATTTGATAAAGGGAATAGGAAAACAACTGAGGTAGAGAGAAATGGAATGTTTACCTTCTAGTGTCCTATTTAAATCTTCCACTTAGGTGACTGGCTCAACAGTAACGTGTTTTGAACACTGAAGAGAGGTATGTAAATGAATACTTCATGGTTGTAATTGTTAGGCATATAATTTGATGCAAACTATGTAATGAGAGAGGCATATGATTATCATTCTTTAAAAGACGCTGCACAAGAGCATTTTTCAGTAAATGTCAAAGTTGAGACAAAATTAACTTGTTTTATGTAGACATTTTGTTTTCTGTCTTTCTTATAAAAGTCTTGTTCTGTCCTCCTGAAATGAGATCAAGAACTTTGGGTCCTTTTAAAATAAAGCAAAACCCAATGATACGGGATTTTGGCAATTTAAACAAATCTAAAATTTCAATTACAAAGAAGAGAAACCACATAATAAGCACATTTGTACTGAAGGAATATTTTCCCTTCTAAACAACTGATGTATGTTAATGTTTGATTTGACACATCTGAATCAATAGTGTTATTGTCTTACCATTTGCTTCATACGAACTTGTGCAAATTTATAGAGCAGCATGACACATAGCAGACCAAAATCCATGTTTGTTCACCTAGTAATTATTTAGTCCAATGTCAGTGAAATATTTTTTATTTTGTTAACATTCTAACCAAACATTTACATATTATTTTATTTTTGCTATGTAAAATTTTGATATTCCCTGACAGCTGAAAAATAGCAGGTAAGTGTTTGAGTATCTCTTTTCACATAGCTGTAGCTTACTTTGCTTTTACTTTTCCCTTTATAGATTAGAGCCACGAATATAAATAAACTGCAAATGAGCTGACTATTCAGTGGATGATTTCTGATTAGGATTTAGAGTAGGTTTTGTATGTAAATGCTGTGTTTTATGAAGGCTTTTTGGTGGAGGAGGAACTTCTGTAAAAATTTCTTGTTGAAACATCAGAATTAGCTAGTTTCAAAAACTCTGCTAGTAGACATTTTGGCAATTTTATATAGGCTTTGAAATGTCTTTCAAGTGTTGTCTTTGTACTTTCAAATAGCATTTAAATGCTCATTCACGGCAGGGGGTACCTGGACGTTTTGTTGAGAAGATTTTCTTGGTTTCTACTTTTAAAAGCCTTGATAAGAAGTTTGTGTTGTACCTTAAATTTGTTATGTATATTTTCATTACTTCTTTGACTATTAAGTATTTTGGTTCATATAATCTGCAGGGTGCCAGACTAAAGCAAATAAAAGTTAAGGGTACTATATAAATTGGTAAATATCTAACTTAGTTTCCTCCTTCCTCCCTACCTTCTTTTCTTTCCTCCCTCTGATATTTATTAAGTAGCTACTATATGCCACACACATTGAAGGTACTAGTGAGTAAAAGATAAATGGTGGTTCTTGTTACATAGTATAGAAAATAGGGTGCAAAAATTGCCTGAAAGCAAGATTTGCCTTTGTAATACGAAATGTGAATTGATTGGTATATAAGAATATAGCAGGAACCAAAAATAAGGACACTGTCTTAAGCCTTAAACAATTTAAAAGAATTCCTATTATAGTAATTAATTTTAGTCTCAAATGAAGAGCTGGTATGGTTTTGTTTTTTCTTTGAGTTGTTAATCCTAATGTAGAAATGACTTTACTGTTACCTCAACAGTAGCTTGCTGTTAACAGAAACGATGTTTTGCATTCCAGGTTCCAAGTGTTTTATTTTTGGTTCCAATAAGATCAGCTATTATGTTGTTAATGGACTAAGTTTTGTCTCTCTCAAATTCATATGTTGAAACCCTAGCCCCCAATATGAACTGTATTTGGAGATTTGCAGATATGACCTCTAAGTAGGTAATTGAAGTTAGATGAGGCCTTAAGAGTGAGACTATAAAGCCAGTATGACTGGTGTTCTTACTAGGAGGGGGAGAGAGAGACCAAGGATGCACACACACAGAAAAAAGGCCAAATGAAGATACAATGAGAAAGAAAGGTGACCATCTGCAAGCCAAGGAGGCAAGAGGAAAGATCAAACCTGCCAGCAGCTTGATCTTGGACTTCCAACCTCCAGAACTGTGAGAAAATAAAATTCTGTGATGTAACCCACCTGGTCTGTGGTATTTTTTAATGGCAGCAAAAGCAAACTATTTAGTAATACATCTGACCTAATGTAGGCATGTGCTTGATAAACCAATTTTTCTTGTTGTCCTGAAGTTCTCTACAACCATAGTTCATACCTCAATCTTGGGCTGGTGTCAAGTCTTTGATTTCTTCCAAATACATAGATTCCCAGAAAGTATAATAGCTTTCAAGAAATACTAATTTTCTTGTATGTAGTCTTATCTATTAAGCAGCCATATATTGAAGATATCTTTGGTAAGTCACTATAATCATTGATTTATTTATACTTTTATTCCCTTTTTATATACTAGTATATTTTAAATGATAATGTGTTACAGTTTGGCAGAGTTTCATTTCTCAGTGGCACATAAAATAATGGTATGTTTTCAATCAGTGGCATCTTAGATTGAATGAAATACATTTTTTACATTATATCCCACCTCTCCAGGTCCCCTTGTAGCATCTCAAATATTTGTGATTCTTCAAAACAATCAGGAAAGGAGTTATTATGTAGCTTTCTGTAGTAAATCATATGACTTTTTTTTTTTTTTTTTTTTTTTTTTTTTTGAGACGGAGTCTCGCTCGGTTGCCAGGCTGGAGTACAGTGGTGCGATCTCGGCTCACTGCAACCTCCAACTCCCTGGTCCACGTGATTCTCCTGCCTCAGCCTCCCAAGAAGCTGGGATTACAGGAACATGCCACTACGCCCAGCTAAGTTTTGTATTTTTAGTAGAGACAGGGTTTCACCATGTTGGCCAGGATGGTCTCGATCTCCTGATCTCGTGATCCGCCCACCTCGGCCTCCCATAGTGCTGGGATTACAGGCGTGAGCCACCGCGCCTGGCCAATCATATGACTTTCTTAATCCTGTTAATATTCTATAAAATATCTGCTGTATTGGAGAGCTTGTTTTATATAAGTAAAAATAGAGAATAAGCTAATTGTCATAAAACAGTAAATGTGGTCTCATAGTTAAGAGAATAGGCTCTTCGGACAGAATGTCTTGAGTTCATATCACAGCTCCATCACTTGTTAGCTGTGTAACTTTAAGCAAATGTTTAACTGCTTTCAAATCCATAAAGTAGGGATAAAAATAGTACCTATCTCATAGGGTTGTGAAGGTTAGAAGAGTTTTGCTCTGAAAAGCTCTTAGAACAATGGCTGTCACGTAGGTGCTATGTAATTGTTAGCTGCTATTGTTATTGTTCCTTTGAGTTAATGAATAGTGTTTTTTCTTAAACATTTAAAAAAAATACCAATTGCCTTTCTGTATAAGCAACAAAACCTGAGAATTCAAGGTAAAAATAGAATTTAATCTTATCTAATGAAAGTTAAAATGAACCTAACATTTAATGATGAGTGTGTTGTATGGTAATTAGATAAAATTAGGATTAAATTTTTAGTCCTCTGTTCATTTTCTTTAGTATGTAACCACCGCCAATGTAACAGAATATACAATTTAGTTATTTCCCTTAACTTCAAACTCTCAGATACACAGACACATAACTCACAAGCTCTCATCCAAGATCCTTACGCATCAAACTATTATAGGACATAGTTTCTTTAATATGTATCCCTGTGTTCCCAACTAATCAGTCTTCTCCTAAGTCCTTTCTCTTTTACATGCCAGGGATATGTGTATTCAGATTTTTATTTTTATTTTTTAAAGACAGGGTCTTGCTCTGGCACCCAGGCTGGAGTGCAGTGGCATGATCACGGCTCACTGCAGCCTCATCCTGGACTTCCAGGGCCCAAGTGATCCTCCTACCTCAGCCTCCCAAGTGGCTGGGACTACAGGCGCACACCACCATACCCGGCTAATTTTGGTATTTTTTATAGAGACAGAGTTTTGTCATGTTGCCTGGGCTGGTCTCAAACTCCTGAGCTCAAGGGATCTGCCTGCCTTGGCCTCCCAAAGTGCTGGGATTATAAGTGTGAGCCACTATGCCCAGCCTATTCAAAATACTAATCAGCTTGAGAAGACAGAGTCTTTCTTGGTCATAAAGGTTGAATTGCCTACTTGGGTTGTAGTATGATTGAAGGTCTGCAATAGAGGAATAAGTTACAGCAAATAGGACTGAGTCCTTGAGTCTTGGGGTGGAGGGATGGGAGAGAAGTGGAGGATTTAGGACTAAGGGATTGCTAAGGAAGGAAAATAAGGAGTCTTGCTCTTTGTGGGCAGGGAGTAGGCTCTGCTAAAATAGATTTATGGCCAGGCACGGTGGCTCAGGCCTGAAATCCCAGAATGTTGGGAGGCTGAGGTGGGAGGATCACTTGAGGTCAGGAGTTCGACAAGCCTGGCTAACATGGTGAAACCTTGTCTTTACTAAAAATACAAAAATTAGCCAGGTGTGTTCGCAGGCACCTGTAATCCCAGCTACTCAGGAGGCTGAGGCAGGAGAATTACTTGAACCCAGGAGGTGGTGGTTGCGCTTAGATGAGATCATGCCACTGCACTCCAGCCTGGGCGATAGAGTGAGACTCCATCTCTAGAATAGAATGGAATGGAATGGAATGGAATGGAATGGAATAGGAATAGGAATAGGAATAGGAATAGGAATAGGAATAGGAATAGGAATGGAAAAGGAAAAGGAAAAGGAATGGAATGGAAATCTCATTCATTTACTTGATATTCTTAAGTACTTATACAGTATGTGCCAGCCACTACTGCTAATTGCCAGTTAACATACAAGGTAGTTTTAGTTTGTTTTATATAGACCTAAACTTTTAATTTTTAGTGAGAGGAAAAATTCTTGAAAATGAAGGTATGCATTATATAAATTTAAATTATTTTTAGAGGAATATATGGGTAAAGGGAGAGGATGTGCATAGAAGTCCAGGGGACAAGGAAATTTAAACAAGAGTGTGAAGTTTCTTGAGAGGGACCAGTTGAGGCTAAAGATGAACTTTACAGACACTAAACCACAAACGTAGGTTCTGCAGAGAATTTGGGCACAGAGCTTTGTGCTGTGCATGTGGAAACCTAGCCATAACTCTCCACATAATTTATACATTAAGTAAAATGTATTGACATAAGTATTTTACTAGGAAAATATGTTGGCTGGGAGAAGCCAAGAAAATTTTAAAAGTGAATAATAAGAAAGAGAACTGGTATTACTAGATATTATTAACTTATAATGATAAAAATAATATGGCTTTTATGTAGATAAATTGGTGAAACAGTATTGAAAGCTAAAAATAGGGTGAGGTGGCTCACGCCTGTCACACCTATCCAGCACTGTGGGAGGCTGAGGCGGGCAGATCACGGGGTCAGGTGTTCGAGACCAGCCTGACCAACATGGTGAAACCCTGTCTCTACTAAAAATACAAAAATTAGCTGTGCGTGGTGGCATGCGCCTGTAACCCCAGCTACTCAGGAGGCTGAGGCAGGAGAATCTCTTGAATCCAGGAGGTGGAGGTTGCAGTGAGCTGAGATCATGCCACTGCACTCCAGCCTGGGCGACAGAGTAAGACTCCATCTCAAAAAAAAAAAAAAAAAAAAAAAAAAAAAAAAAATATATATATATATATATATATATATATATATATGACTCCATCTCAAAAAATATATGTATATATGTTTATATATAATACACACACACACACACACACACACACACACCCCAAATATAATGATAGCATTTGGACTTGATAGGGAGGCAATAGATCTAGAGTCCCTGGGTATGAACCCTGAGTGGGGCTGAGGGAATGCTGTACTCCAGTCGGAGCCATTATTCATACAACCCACTGCCGTTGTTGCAATTCTGTATTCTGTGTACATAGTTGAAACAATTGGCTGTTATCAAAGTAGAAACCAGTAGAGTCCAACTTCACTACACAACAAATTAAATATGAGATTAGTTAAGTTAAAAATGAGATAGTAAAAATAAGAAAATATGTGTTGATTAGATCTTGGAGTGGGAAAAACTTTCTTTTATAGAACCACAGGGAGAAATTGCAAAAGGGAAATTAAACAGAATTAAAAGGTAAACTAGAAAAAGACATTAACAATATGTTGGACAAAGATTACCATTCTTGTTATATACTGCTTTTAGAAGTACTAAGAAATGAAATTGACAGACAACATCAGTGAAGAAAATGAAGATACATAAATATATAAAGCCAATAAAAATATGACAAAAGTTTATCCTATTAATTAGGATTCAGTGAAACCCCTATTTGCCTAATATATTTGGTGAGAGTTGAAAAAATAAGGGTGAGACCAATCTTACACAAGCTTTCTGGGGCAATATTGGCAGTATTTTTTTTTTTTTGAAACCCAAAAGCTGTACTCTGAAGAATGACAGTATGTTTAAAGAGCCATAAAAATTAGAGATACACACAAAAATTTACGTGAAAGGCTATTTAACTTGTATGTCTCATGACACAGACAGGATTGAACAAATCACGTTGTATTCATAAGCTGATATAATACTATGCAGCTACTAAAATTTTTGTTACAAGAGATGATGTAAGTACACTTCAAAATGGGATATCCACAACTATTTGAATTTAAAAAAGAACTAGTTCTCATAGAAAGATGTTTACCACAGTGATAATAGTTGGTTAAGATTAAGAATGATTTTTCTTTTTTCTTTTTTTTAAGATGTTAATAGTTTTGAAAATTTGTACGTTTTAAATTTACTCAGTTCCCAAGCTTTCTAGTTTAGAGGTATGTTGTATGTGTGTGAGTGTTGGTGTGTATGTAGCAGACCGTAGCATATTAATCTATGTTCATTATAACATAGATTAATACGTTTCTTTCTGCTATCCAGTTAGAAGACGTCATTTGTTTATTATGCCCAGTTCTTTTCACATAGAGATACTTAATAATTTGACCTTATTTCAATTTATCTTTTTTTTTTTTTTTTAATGTTCAATGTTGTTGTTGTTGTTTAATCATCTCACAGTAACTTTTGGCTTAGGAGCCAGGGATGGAAGGTGAGGTAAAGCTAGGGCAGAGGTCGAGTGATGACAGAATGGTATATGCTAGATAAAAGAAGGACTAATGGTAGATGAAAAGGGTATTACCAGAGAAGGAGGCGGATTAAAGAAGTGGCATTACTGATAGGATTGACATGGTCTCCCTGAAGAAAATGAGTGGAATCTATTTTAATTTCCCTAATACCTTTCATGGTTATAGTAACTCATTTTGGAAAGCACAGGCACTTAATCCACACACATGGTTTGTAATTGTGTGATCCCAAATAGACTGCCCTGCCCATCCCCCTTTTAGGGAGCTCTAATTCTTTCCCCAAGAAGCTTTGCAAAGATTGCTTACCTGATTATTTTTTAGATGTAGTGGGCAGTCACAGTTTTTGAACTACATTTATATAATTTATTGTACATAAATGCAGTTGAACTTACTTGGCTGTTTAAAATCTGTATTTCATTTTAGTTCTATTGTAGTTATTTTTCTCATTCTGATTCGTAATTTAAAAGTTGTCATATTTTCCTTATTAGAGCCTTGTTGAGGAGTGTTTATACTTTGCAAAAATTTGTTCAAAAATTAAAACACCTAAGAAATTTGTGTGGATTCTTAAGATGTACATATGTTGTGTCTACAGGCATATTTGGATAGAAGAAAATGAGATAAAATTTTTTTAAGGATTCTGAAAATCGAAGGAACAAGCATTATAAGGAATGTCAGTATTATGTA
Organism: Homo sapiens; assembly: GCF_000001405.40. Classification (NCBI taxonomy): domain Eukaryota; kingdom Metazoa; phylum Chordata; class Mammalia; order Primates; family Hominidae; genus Homo; species Homo sapiens. Next base: position 79,636,753 of record NC_000012.12, on the reverse strand, counting down.
AAGGATTTTACGAACGGTTGTAAATATTTTCTACTTAAAAATGAATAAACTATTGCATTCATTTGTAAGACTTACTACTTATGAGAAAGAGCAAATGGGAAAGTAGAGAAAGGAATGTGAAACAATATCTAGTTGAATTCTTTCAAGAACTAGATAGTAGATCACAATTTAAGCTATCAAAGTATCAAAACTTTGGCTTGAGCACTTATTAAAAATTAATTTGAACAGTTCTTATGTTTTATGTTGAAATTTTTAACATTGTATTTTCTTGTTTAGTTAGTATGCATAGTTTTAGATAAATAGTAGCTGTGAATGATGATTGCCTTATGTGCTTAGGTTTACCCCTACTGTTCAAGAGTTGTTATTAATATAAGTAAAAGTTATACTCTTCTCCATATATTAGAAACATTTAAACGTGTTAATACAGTTTTTGTTTAATAGAGGCAAATGGTATATTGATTGCTTTTTCTGAACTGAGTTTTGTGGAATTCTGTTTTATAAAATTGATAGGAAAAAGCTGCCATGAGATGAATCTTTTTGTTATTTAGTCTATGAACTTATTAAATTTCTATATTAAAATCTTTGAGCTGTAGTAATAGAAATGTTAGTAGTAGGAAACTATTGCCTTTAAGATTTCTAAGTCAAGTTTATTTCCATATTTAACATATATATCACTGTAAGGTTAGTCTTTCAAAAGCAGCATGTTTTATCTCATTTGTTCAAGAAATACTATGATTGGCTGATTTTTTTTGTATTTATGACTTCATGTCCCAATTCCTGTTTAGCCACAATGTCTTTGTAATACAGTCCAGTCAGTCTAGTCTCTACCAAACACCCTAGTATTTAGTTCAGCAAACATTTATTGAATATGTGCAACATACACCATGTTTTGTAATAACAGGAGTGTGAAATACTGTGGTGATGATAATATTGTGATGGTGCAATCTGTTGCCCCAAGCAAAGTCATAAAACTATCAGAACATAGCAGTGGCTTTCAAACTTTTTTTGGACAGATAAAATTATGCTTTATTGGTGACACAAATATGAATAGTTTTACAGTTAATGACATTTTCCAAAATGGCAAGCAATTTTTAAAAATAAGATTATAAACAACATATTTCCTGGATTTTCAGGATAGCCGTCTTCTGGAAAAATCTTTGTATACATTTACAAATCCTGTACTTCTCCTGCTTTGTTTTTATAGGTAAGTGGTTGGGCTCAGATAATTATAAACTTATTTTTCACCTGCTGGCTGACTCAACATTACATTCTCCAGTTAAACAAGGTGTAGGTCTTTTCTTTCTTACCGGAACTGTGTTTTCAAATTGCAATGTGGGTAGCATTCCAGGTTTCTGCTCCATAACCAGTAATATCCCTCAGTCATCAAGGTGACCAAAATGCCTCCACAGAATTTCATAATACCTTTTAGGTATTATGAAAGAATCACTGAGCCCAGAGCATTATGGCCAAAGTAGAGACTTGCCCCAGAGACATACTTGGAGAAGATACTAACCCTACTACCAGGTCCCAAGCTATGAGGGGAATTAAATAAGTTCCAGTTGAGACACCACAGGGAGTCTTTTTCAGGGAGCCAGCCAGGTTTTAATCTGCATCTGACAATAGCAAGATGTTAATCACTGAGCAGGAATTTTAGGCAGTAGAATGGAATAATTTGGAAGGGAGAGGAAGAATGCAGTATTGGAACAGATTAGGATATGTGAGGTTATGTACAGAGCAATATAGTAAGTGAGAATCTGTACAGTGATAGATGAGACTTGGGGAAGCTGGGTCTGCTGTTAGTGACTGAGGTGTAAACTTGGAAATGAGACCTTATAGAATTCCTCCAGATAGCCTCTTTAAAATTAAAAAAAAATTATGTAAAAACGTTAACATACAGAAAACTACCAAGCCAAATGAATCCTTATATAACTGTCATCCAGCAATAATAATCATCAACCCATAGTCACTCTTTTTTTTTTCAGCTGCAATTCTCAGTAATTCTGTGTTCTACAAAGTGACTCAGTATACTTACAAGTAATCTGAAACAAAAGTTTGGAAAAGTGCTCACTGCTATTGTCTATTCTGTTCTTTTTCTTAAAAATTCTGGGTTGCAATGCAGTAAATTGATTTCATAACTAACAAATAGTTACACCTGGCAGTTGGAAAATTGAGTTCAGGTTTTGGAGTTAGACTGCTTAGGTTGGAGTTCTGACTGCACTATTCAACAAATGTGTCCTTAAGCATTAATTCTTATCTTGTCCCCTCTTCCTGAATGTACATTGTGTGTACCTCCTAAAATTTTTGTGAGAATTATGAGATACTGGATTTTAGTGCTTAGTAGTACCCTACTTTAAGTGTCAGACTGGGATCTGAATCTAGGTTTCCAGTTCTAAAATCTGAGTTCTTGTCTTGTAGTTGTGAAATCTAACACCCACTTTACAGAAGATTATTTTTTTAAAAAAGAAAAAACCAAGAGATAAATGTATCCTTATCATTCATACATATCTTTATATATTAAATTTGAAGCATTTCCCAACATTATTTTGAAAACTGTTTTCAGATAATATTCTATTCTCCAGAGGCAGAAGTGTTATGGTACAGATGAATAAAATATGTATTTACTTATAGTTATTTAGTCAAAACATAAATTTTATTGCATTTTTAAACTGTATTTGGGGATTTCAATCATATACAGATGTAAGGAGAATCATATAATGAAGTCTACCTGTACTCATCTTCAGTTTCAATAATTTTCAACTCATGGCCAGTTTTGTTTTATCTATACCAGCACACTGCCCGTCTTACCTCTTGTCTTATTTTGAAGCAAATCCTAGGTGGCATGTTATGTCATCTTTAAATACTTCAGTATACATCTCTAAAATATATGGATTTTTTTTTAAACCAGAAGGACAATGTCATTATCTCACTTGAAAAAGTTTTAAAAAGTAGTTCCTTAATCTCTCAAATATATATTCATGTTCAAAGTGTTTCTTAAATAATTTTTAAAGTAGTTTCTTTAAATAAGGATGCAAATGAGGTGAGTACCTTGTTGTTGGTTCTTATGTTCTTTGAGTTTCAAATTCATATATCTCCTTTCCCTTCTTTTCTCTTTGCAATTTATAAGTTGTAGAAACTGGGCCATTTGGTCAGCAGAGGCTTGTTTTTATATGACAGAGAGCCAAGAGTGGTTTTTATAGTTTTAAAGGGCTGTTTATAAAAGAAAAACAACAACAAAAAAACAAACAGCTGACTTTATGCTGCTAAATCCTCACCAACAATTGGTATCGTCAGTCTTATAATTTTAGTCATTCTGGTAGGTGGTTCATTATGGTTTCAGCTTGCATTTCCCTAATGACATGATGTTGAGTGTCTTTTCGTGTGTTTATTTGACATTTCTTTGGTGAAATATCTGTTCACATTTTTGGTCATTTTTAATTGGGTTGTTTTTTTAATTGTGTTCTAAGAGCTCATTATATGTTCTGGCTACAAATTCATCAGGTGTGTGTTTTTGCAAATATTTTCTTCTAGTCTGTGGCACGCCTTTTTATTTCCTTAACTATTTTTTGAATAGCAAAAGTTTTTAATTTTGATAGTTTTTTTGTTTTTTGTTTGTTTGTTTGTTTGTTTTTGAGACAGAGTCTCTCTCTTTTGCCTAGGCTGGAGTACAGTGGCACAATCTCAGCTCAGTGCAACCTCCGCCTCTCGGATTCTCCTACCTCCACCTCCCAAGTAACTGAGACTACAGACATGCGCCACTACGCCTGGCTGATTTTCATATTTTTAGTAGAGACAGGGTTTCACCATGTTGGCCAGGCTGGTCTCGAACTCCTGGCCTCAAGTGATCCGCCCACCTCAGCCTCCCAAAGTGCCGGGATTACAGCCATGAGCCACCGTGTCCGGCTATGATAGTACATTTTGAGCTTATTTTTGTAACTGATGTGAGATAAAGGACTGAAGTTAACTTTTTCCTTTTAGTGGGAGGGTATATATGGATATCTATTTGTTACAGCACCATTTGCTGAAAAGATCATCCTTTCCCAGTTGAATCTTCATGACATCTTTGCTAAAAATTAAAGGGCCAGGCTGGGCACATGGTATGCTGCACGCCTATAATCCCAGAACTTTGTGAGACTGAGGCAGGTGATCACTTGAGCCCAGGAGTTCAAGACTAGTCTGGGCAACAGCAAAACCCCATTTCTACAAAAAACTAAACAAAACAAAACAAGAATTAGCCAGACATGGTGGCAAGCACCCATAGTCTCACCTACCTGGGAGGTTGAGGTAGGAGGATGGATTGAGCCCAGGAGGTCAAGGCTGCAGTGACCCATGGTTGCACCACTGCACTCCAGCCTGGGCAACAGAGCCAAGACCCTGTCTAAAAAAAAAAAAAAATATATATATATATATATATATATATATATATATATATATATATATATATGTATGTATATATATATGTATATATTTCTATTTCTGGACTCTAGTGCATTCTTTTGTATGAATATCTTTACGCCAATAACACACTCTTGATTACTCTCACTTTATAAGTATTGAAATCAAGTAGTATAAGTTCTTTAATTGGTTTTTTTTGTTGTTGTTGTATTTTTTTTTTTTTTTTTTTGAGACAGAGTCTTGCTCTGTCACCCAGGCTGGAGTGCAATGGCATGATCTCGACTCACTGCGATTTCTGCCTCCCGGGTTCAAGCGATTCTCCTGTCTCAGCTTCCCGAGTAGCTGAGATTACAGGTGCACGCCACCATGCCCAGCTAATTTTCTGTATTTTAGTAGAGACGGGGTTTCATCATGTTCCCCAGGCTGGTCTCGAACTCTTGAGCTCAGGCAATCCACCTGCCTGGGCCTCCAAAGTGCTAGGATTACAGGTGTGAGCCACTGTGCCTGTCCAACTTGATTTTTCTTTAAAAATGTTTTTTCAGATTATTTTAGATCCTCTTCATTTCCACTTAAATTTTGAATCAGTTTGATAGTTTCTACAAAAACTGTTAGGATTTTGATTTTAGGATTGCCTTGAATTTATGTATCAAGTTGAGGAGAAATTATCTTATTGACAACATTGAGTCTTCAGATCCCCTAACATAGCATATTTTTCCATACTGAGGTCTTTTAAATTTTTCTTAGCAAGATTTTTATAGTTGTAATGTAAGGGTATAGTGTGTTTTTTGTATTTTGTTTGTATTTTAAATGGTATTTTTCTTCAGTTTGAATTTTCACATTTATTGGTTGCCATTATATAAAAATACAATTGATTTTTGTATCTTGCGATCTTCCTAAACTCATTTGTCAGTTCTGGTAGTTTGTTTTTAAATAAGTCCTTAAGATATTCTATATAGAAGATAATGCCATCTATGAATAAAGATATTTTACTTTTTCCTTTCCAACATGTATACCTTTTCTTTCTTATGCTTACCTTATTGTCCTGGCTTGGACTGGCAGTATGATAGATACTGAATAGAAGTGGTGAGAGCAAAAATGGTGAAAGCATCTTACCTGATTCTTGGTCCCAGGGGAAAAGATTGATTTCTTTTACCACTAAATGTGATGTTAGATATGGGTTTTTCTGATCAGATTAAGGCTATTCTCTTCTAAGTTTGCTAAGAATTTTTTTGTGGGTTTTATTGGCATGAGGGTTTATGTTTGTGTCATGCTTTTTACTAATGTATTGGTGATTATATATTTTTCTCCTTTGTAAAGATGATGAATCACTGATTTGAAGGTTAAACAAAGTGTTTTACTGGGATAGACCCCATTTTGGTCATTGTCCTTTTTTATATATTTTGCATTTTTTATGCTAAAATTTTGCAAAGGCCTTTTTGTCTGTCTTTACCAGATTACATTGGTCTGTAGTTCTTATTATTTTAGAATTTTTTTTTTTTTTTTGGTTTTGGTACCAGAGCATTGTTGGCCTCAAAATAAGTTGAGAAGTATTTCTTCCATCTAGAAGAATTTGTGAACAGATGGTATTTCTTTAAAAGTTTGATAGTTTACCAAACCATCTTGGTTTGATATTTTCTTTACTTTCTTTACTAGATAGAGAGCTGTTCAGGTTATATACTCCTGCTTGATTGAACTTTGGTAGCTTCAGTCTTTCACGGAATTTGTCAATTTTATCAAAGTTACCAAATTTACTGGCATAAGCCACACATGGTGGCCCACACCTGTAATCCCAGCCCTTTGGGAGGCCAAGGCAGATAGATTGCTTGAGGCCAGGAGTTCAAGACCAGCCTGGGCAACATGACGAAACCCCGTCTCTTATACTAAAAATACAAAAATTAGCCAAGTGCAGTGGTGCTCACCTGTAGTTCCAGCTATTTGGGAGGCTGAGGCATGAGAATTGCTTGAACCCGGGAGGCAGAGGTTGCAGTGAGCCGAGATTACACCACTGCACTCCAGCCTGGGTGACTGAGACTGTCTCAAAAAAAATATATATATATATATTAGTGGCACAAAGTTTTTCATAATTTTTCTTAATCTTTTAATATCATAGAATATCATTTATTTTTACTTATAATAGTGATTTTCTGTCTTTTTTGTTCAGACTGCCAAGAGGTTTACTAATTTTATCTATTACTTCTAAGAACCCACTTTTGGTTTCATTATTTTTTCTATTTTGTTTTATTGTATTTTGCTCTTATTTTCATTTTCTTCCATTTATTTTGGGTTTAATTTGCCCTTTTTATAGCTTTTTAAGATGAAAGCCTTGATCATTGATTTGAGACTTCTTTTTTTCTAAAATAAATATTCATTGTTATAAATTTTCTTCTAAGCTCTGCTTTTAGGTGGATTTCAAATTTTATGTTGTGCTTTTAAAATTCATTTGAAAATATTTTCTACTTGTGATTTCTTTTTTCACGTGATTATTTGTGAATTAATTTCCATATATTTAGCAGATTTTTCAGGTAGCTTTCTGTTACTGATTTTAAGTTTAATTGAGTAGTGGTCAAAGAACATTCTTGGTATGATTTCATCATCTTATGTTTGCACAAATCCTGTTTTATGTTCCACAATATGTTCTGTCTTATTGAACATACAGTGAGTTTTCGAAAAACAAAACAAAACAAAACAAACATATAGTTTATTTTTGTGGGGGGAGTGTTCTATAAATGTTGGGTCAAATTGACAGAATTGAAGTTTTTTTTTTTATATCTCTACACATTTCCCACCTTCATGTTGTATTAAGTACTGATAGAGAAGTGTTGAAATCTCCAACTGAATTTGTGGATTTGCCCATTTTTATTTTCAGTTCTTTTTGTTTCATTTGATCTGAAGCTCCTTTATTTGGTGACTACATTTTTAAAAACTGTGTCTTCTGGATGAATTGACCCCTTTATCATTATGTAATATCCCTATTTATTCATGATAATATTCTTTATTGTGTAATCTACTTCGATAAGACTGTTTCAGCTTACATTAGATATGTGTTTTATGATGCATCTTTTTTCGTCCTTTCACTTGGAACCTATTTGTGTCATTCTATTTAAATGTGTTTCTTGTTGACAGCATATATTTGGGTCTTGCTTTTATTATTATAACTTCTGCCTTTCAGTTGAAATGGTTAGATCATGTGCATTTAATAATTGAAGTGGTTTGGTTTAAATCTTCCTGCTTGATCTTTGTTTTCTATTTATCCTATCTGTTCTCTCCTTTTTTTTCTGCCTGCATTTGTGTTGAGTATTGTTTAATCATTCAATTTTATCTTTAGCGTTGCCTAAAAAGCTCTTTGATTGGCTTTTAAAGCAGTTGCTTTAGGGTTAAATATCTATATATATGTATTATACATCTTTAACTTATCACAGTCTGCTTTTATGTAATATTATACCATGCCATGTATAGTGTAAGAATCTTACACTGGTATACTTTTATTTCCTGCCTTTGTGCCATTGCCATACATTTTACCTTTCCATGTGTTATAAATATCACAAAATGTCATTATCATTTTTTCTTTAATCACTTACATGTTAAGGAGATACCAAAATAAGAAATAACAGTTTCTTATATTTATTCATGTATTGACCATTTTGGATGTTCTTCATTCCTTTGAGTGGTTCCACATTTTCTTGCGGTATCCTTTTCTTTACAGAGAAACTTCATTTAACCTTTTTTTATACTGAAGGTCTGCTGCTCAGTTTTTGTTATTTGTAGAAGTCTTTATTTTTCTTTTCTTTTTGAAACATTTTACTACATTTAGAACCTTTATTTGACAGATTTTTCTTTTTAGTGCTTAAAAGTTGTCATTTCGAAGGGTTTTTTGTGTCTCTATTTCCTTCAGTTCTGCTCTGATCTTAGTTATTTCTTGCCTTCTGCTAGCTTTTGAATGTGTTTGCTCTTGCTTTTCTAGATCTTTTAATTGTGATGTTAGGGTGTCAATTTTAGATCTTTCCTGCTTTCTCTTGTGGGCATTTAGTGCTATAAATTTACCTCTACACACTGCTTTGAATGTGTCCCAGAGATTCTGAATGTATGTTGTGTCTTTGTTCTCGTTGGTTTCAAAGAACATCTTTATTTCTGCCTTCATTTCATTATGTACCCAGTAGTCATTCAGGAGCAGGTTGTTCAGTTTCCATGTAGTTGAGTGGTTTTGAGAGAGTTTCTTAATCCTGAGTTCTAGTTTGATTGCACTGTGATCTGAGAGACAGTTTGTTACAATTTCTGTTCTTTTACATTTGCTGAGGAGTGCTTTACTTCTAACTATGTGGTCAATTTTGGAGTAGGTGTGGTGTGGTACTGAAAAGAATGTATATTCTGTTGATTTGGGGTGGAGAGTTCTGTAGATGTCTATTAGGTCCGCTTGGTGCAGAGCTGAGTTCAATTCCTGGGTATCCTTGTTAACTTCTGTCTCGTTGATCTGTCTAATGTTGACAGTGGGGTGTTAAAGTCTCCCATTATTATTGTGTGGGAGTCTAAGTCTCTTTGTAGGTCACTCAGGACTTGCTTTATGAATCTGGGTGCTCCTGTATTGGGTGCATATATATTTAGGATAGTTAGCTCTTCTTCTTGAATTGATCCCTTTACCATTATGTATTGGCCTTCTTTGTCTCAAAAACCTAGGCAATACCGTTCAGGACATAGGCATGGGCAAGGACTTCATGTCTAAAACACCAAAAGCAATGGCAACAAAAGCCAAAATTGACAAATGGGATCTAATTAAACTAAAGAGCTTCTGCACAGCAAAAGAAACTACCATCAGAGTGAACAGGCAACCTACAGAATGGGAGAAAATTTTTGCAACCTACTCATGTGACAAAGGGCTAATATCCAGAACCTACAATGAACTCAAACAAATTTACAAGAAAAAAACAAACAACCCCATCAAAAAGTGGGCGAAGGATATGAACAGACACTTCTCAAAAGAGGACATTTATGCAGCCAAAAAACACATGAAAAAATGCTCATCATCACTGGCCATCAGAGAAATGCAAATCAAAACCACAATGAGATACCATCTCATGCCAGTTAGAATGGCGATCATTAAAAAGTCAGGAAACAACAGGTGCTGGAGAGGATGTGGAGAAATAGGAACACTTTTACACTGTTGGTGGGACTGTAAACTAGTTCAACCATTGTGGAAGTCAGTGTGGCGATTCCTCAGGGATCTAGAACTAGAAATACCATTTGACCCAGCCATGCCGTTACTGGGTATATACCCAAAGGATTATAAATCATGCTGCTATAAAGCCACATGCACACGTATGTTTATTGCGGCACTATTCACAATAGCAAAGACTTGGAACCAACCTAAATATCCAACAACGATAGACTGGATTAAGAAAATGTGGCATATACACACCATGGAATACTATGCAGCCGTAAAAAATGATGAGTTCATGTCCTTTGTAGGGACATGGATGAAACTGGAAACCATCATTCTCAGCAAATTATCGCAAGGACAGAAAACCAAACACCGCATGTTCCCACTCATAGGTGGGAATTGAACAATGAGAACACATGGACACAGGAAAGGGAACATAACACACCAGGGACTGTTGTGGGGTGGGGGAAGGGGGAGGGATAGCATTAGGAGATATACCTAATGTTAAATGACGAGTTAATGGGTGCAGCACACCAACATGGCACATGTATATATATGTAACAAACCTGCACCTTGTGCACATGTACCCTAAAACTTAAAGTATAATAATAATAAAATTAAAAAAAAAAAGGAAAAAAAAAGTTGTCATTTCGGCGGGGCGTGTGGCTCACACCTGTAATCCCAGCACTTTGGGAGGCCGTGGGGGGTGGATCACGAGGTCTGGAGATCGAGACCATCCTGGCTAACATGGTGAACCCTCATATCTACTAAAAATACAAAAAATGATCCGGGCGTGGTGGTGGGCGCCTGTAGTCCCAGCTACTCAGGAGGCTGAGGCAGGAGTATGGTGTGAACCTGGGAGGCGGAGCTTGCAGTGAGCCGAGATCACGCCACTGCACTCCAGCCTGGGCGACACAGCAAGACCCCATCTCAAAAAAAAAAAAGTCATTTCATTGTTTTCTGGCTTGTATAGTTTCTGTTGATAAGTCTGCTTTAATTCTTCATTTTATATATATATGTATTCTTTTTTTTTTTTTTTTTTTTTTAAGATGGAGTCTCACTCTGTAGCCCAGGCTGGAGTGCAGTGGCACGATCTTGGCTCACTGCAAGCTCCGCCTCCCGGGTTCACTCCATTCTCCTGCCTCAGCCTCCCGAGTAGCTGGGACTACAGGCGCGTGCCACCACGCCTGGCTAGTTTTTTGTATTTTTAGTAGAGATGGGGTTTCACTGTGTTAGCCAGGATGGTCTCGATCTCCTGACCTCATGATCCGCCTGCCTCGGACTCCCAATGTGCTGAACCACTGTGCCCGGCCCATACTTTATATTTCTTATATACTTTTGTGTATAATCTGCTTCCACCCGTCTGTTACTTTTTTGTTTTGTTTTTTTTGAGACAGAGTCTCACTCTGTCGCCCAGGCTGGAGTGCAGTGGCGTGATCTCGGCTCACTGCAAGCTCTGCCTCCCGCGTTCGCGACATTCTCCTGCCTTAGCCTCCCGAGTAGCTGGGACTACAGGTGCCCACCACCACGGCCAGCTAATTTTTTGTATTTTTAGTAGAGGCAGGGTTTCACCGTGTTAGCCATGTTTTGTAGATCTCCTGATCTTGTGATCTGCCCGCCTTGGCCTCCCAAAGTGCTGGGATTACAGGCGTGAGCCACCACGCCCGGCCCCTCTGTTACTTTTTAAATTTTAATTTTTAATTTTTTAATTCTTCCTCTGTTACTTTTAAAATTTTCTCTTTATTACTTTGATTATAATGTGTATATGATTTCTTTTTGCTTATTCTTTTTGGACTTGTTGAGCTTGCATCTGTGTGTTTATAATTTTCATCAAATTTGGATAAAATTCAGCTATTATTTCTTCAGTTGCTTTTTTCCCCCTCATTTCTCTCTCCTTGCCTTCTGAGACCCCAATTATGCATGTGTTAGACTGCTTGATACTGTCTCACAGGTCACTTTAATTTATATATTCCTAATATATAAACAACTGAAAAATAAAAGATTAACCTATAGAGAAATGGAAAACTAGAGGTAGACCTCAAAAGAAATGCAAATGACTCTTAACCATAGGAACTGCTGCTAAAATTACACTGAGATACTTTTTTTCAATTATTATATTGGCAAAAACTGCAAAAGTATGAAAACTATTGGGAGAACAGGTAATGTCATACTGAAGGAAATGTAAAATGATACAATCCCTATTGAGTGGAATTTGGAAATACCTGCCAAATTGACATATTCATTTACCTTGTGAGCCAGCAATCCTAATACTAAGAATCTATCCAGGAAATCCATTGCATATATACAGAAACTATATATATAAGCCTTTCTAACACATTTTTCTTAGAGCGTGTAAAAAACCCAAATGTTCATCAATAAAGCTCTGATTAAAATATGGTAGGTACATCTATTTAATAAAATTATTATGCAGCTGAAGAAAGGAATGAGGAGAATCCACTTCTCTTAAGTATGGCAGATACAGGAATTCTCTTATTTCTCATGATTTCCGCCAACTTCTTCCTCCAGATGTATTTATCCCAGTTAGAAAAGATTGCTTAAGAATTTCTAGGATGCTTGTTATCAAAAGAACTGCACTGGTTGCTAGCAGAATTTTGGAGAGAAGTTGTGATTCATCAAGTAATCCTATACTAAAAGCTGCCTGGAACGTTAGATACATACTGTATCCACAGGGATACTATGTGTGATGAATAGGTTCCCAGTTCAGTGGATAGCAGTGTTGCCATGGGAAAGAGCATTCAGAATTTTAACTTCAGGTATCACAGTTCACCTTCCAGTTCATCTCCAAGATGATTTGTCTCATCTTGGTAACTCATTCATTGTTTTATGAAACATTTACCGAGTGTTTTGTTTCTTCCTTTCTTTTTTCTTTTAATATACTGGTAAGGGAGTCTAGTTGAGGGGGCAGGAGGAGGGAAAGTTAGTGTTGTGGGGCTGGGTCTCAGAAAATGAAAACAAAGACAAATAAAATAGCATCCCAGTGCTCTGGGAGTGCGTGGCTACCTGCCTCAACTTTTGCTTTCTGTTAATATTAATCTATGATAATTTAAGAATTCCAACTTTAAGCTAATGATGTTGGAGCCTAGGTGAGGGATTTTTGAGTCCATATGCTGGAGAATAAGTGATGATTGCTTTCACACAGTAGAAGACTAGAGATGAGACCATTCTTTATTCTTTTCCAGATCTCATACTTTTGCTTCTCCTACTGTTCATTAAATGATTGACCTCTCCTCCCCCTTTTAAAGCAACTCCTTGATTTAAAATGCCTTTTATGCTATTTTATTCTTTCTGTTCTAGGACCTCTATCAGGTATTTTTGTTATTGTAGTTTTATACATTTTAACATTAACTAGAGTGTTTGGTCATACCTCTTTTTTAAAAAAGTAATTTTTTTGATATCTTATGTATTTTTTCTTCCAGATGATGCACCACTACTTTCCAAATAAATTTCTTCATGATTTTGATTGGAATTTTAATTTATGTGTTAAGAGACTGTTGACACCTTCACAATACTAGATTTTTCTTAAGAGCAGGTTTTAATTTGTATTCTTCAGTAAAGTCTTATAGCTTTTTTCATGCACGTACTGTTTTTTAGTTTTTTAATGGTTGTTACTAAAAATTTTGTAACTGGCTATTGATGTTACTTTGGGAAATTTTTTGCTTATTTACTGAAAAAAATCTTAACTCATAATTCTAAAATGTTTTTGTTTTTTACAAAATCATTTCCTCTGATGGTAATTTTGCCTCCTTTCTAATGTTAAAATCGCCTATTCTTCTTACCTAGTTCTATCAACTAGCACTTTCAGAATGATGTTAACAATTATGTTAATAGTGGACATCAATGTCTTGAGTCTGATTTTACTTTAAATTTTGCTGGTATGTTGTCATTAAACAAGATATTGTCTAGTGATTTGAGAAAGTTTTTGAAAGTCCTGAGAGAGATTTTTTTTTTCTAATAAGGACTAATTTCTTAACACTTTGGTGTCCCATACCAGATTTCTTTCACTGACTCTGTTTCCACCTATGATATATCATTTTTCATAGGATACAATTGCCTATGTCATTTAACTAGTCACTTAACTAGTCTTTTCACTTTTGGTCTTGTTCCTGTTCTCTGCATTGCTATTTCCAGGTTCTTCCCAAAAAGAATTTTGATCATTCCTTATCCCAAGGAACTGTATAGCATTGTAACATCATTCCAAGCTATGGAGTGAGAAGTCTAAACTTCTTGGGTTATCTATTATTTATGTTCCCTCTATGCCTTTCGAGTCCTCACTTTTGTCAAAAACTGTAATGGCTTTGAGATCATACCCCACTTGCTGGCTAACACGTTAGCTTGTGTATGCTGGCAAAAGATACTAGTCTCCTGGGTTAGTTAGAGTCAAGAACAGTTTAGACTCAGCAATAACAGTAGCTACAGTATCATAATTTTCTTGTGCTGTTTCCCCAAGCCCCACTCTTGGCAGGTTGATATGACAAGGGCCAGGTGACACCAAATCTCAACCTGCATGCTCCTTTCATTTGCCCTTTCCATTTCTGTCCTCAGACTTCTCTGTATCATCCTAATGTTGTAAGACTCCATCTCAGCTAGAAACCATCATTCTGAGCAAACTATCACAAGGACAGAAAACCAATCACTGCATATTCTCACTCGTAGGTGGGAATTGAACAATGAGAACACTTGGACACAGGGTGAGGAACATCACACTCTGGGACCTGTCGTGGGGTTGGGGGAGAGGGGAGGGATAGCGTTAGGAGATACACCTAATGTAAATGACGAGTTAACGGGTGCAGCACACCAACATGGCACATGTATACATGTGTAACAAACCTGCACATTGTGCACATGTACCCTACAACTTAAAGTATAATAATAATAAAAAATAATAAAAAACACTCCATCTCAGACAGATGCTTTCTTCCATGTCCTCCATTGTAGACCTTGTCTTTATCAAGCTTGGTACCCCTTTCAGTATGTTCCTCCTATCTCCAAATATTCCAGTGCACCTTCTTGGTTTGCACAATGGCTTCAGTGTTTTCTTCTCTCTGCACAACTTTTTTTTTTTGTCCAATTCCTATTGTCTTCACTGCCATACTGTTATACTTTGCTGTGATCAGTTCCTTAGTGTCTCTACAAAGAGGTGTGTGGTTTTTTTTGTTTTTGTTTTTGTTTGTTTATTTGTTTTTGTCTGGAGGGGGTGTGAGTTCTCATGCAGAAACCTTTAGGGCAGTGTATTGGTTAGGAATGTATTCAGTTGCAAGGAACGGATAACCCAGCCCATGATGTGTATAATGGATAGAGATTTGTTTCTATTTTGTTTTTCTTATGTAGAAAGTGTAGAGTTAGATAATTTCTAGTGTTGCTTCTGTTTTTTAGCAGCCTTCTCTTGTAAGCTTTTCCAATATGCTGTTACATGTGTAATTCTCTTTTTTTATATATCTGCAATTCCAAATTGTAGCCATTCTTTAAATTACAAGATTTTTTATAGTCTTTTCTAACTCTCCAGGTAAAAATACTCTTCCTTTATATGCTCATAGAATATAAAGCTAGAAACTGGGCCTTTATCACTAAGTTATCTATCTATCTATATATATGTATTATCTTTCCTACTAGATTATAAATTCCATTTCTTTAATGCATCCTTTGTTACCTTCTGCAGAATGCCTTGTTTAAGGTAGACGTAGTTTACTTATTGAATGAATGATAAAGAATGAATAAACCTTTCCTTTAAGAAAACCCTGTCACTGATGTTTGGAGTTTAGGGAAAAGATTTGTTGGCAGTGGTGTGGATATGGAAGTACAAGTTTTAAGCAGATAATTTATAGGAATTAAATGTACATATTGCTGAAAGAAAAATACTTTTATTATGCAAACTAATTTCTGAATGCACAAATATTTCTTTAATACTATCAATATATTTTCACATATTATCGAAACAGTCTATTAATAGTAGAAATAAAATGGAAACTCTTTTTTTCTTTCAGTGCTTAGATGAGTACGAAGATGATGAAGCAGGGCAGAAAGAGCGGAAACGAGAAGATGCAATTACACAACAGAACACTATTCAGAATGAAGCTGTAAACTTACTAGATCCAGGCAGTTCCTATCTGCTACAGGTGAGTATTTAAAAATACCAGGAAGTCACTATCTATTTTAATGGCAATTTTTCAATTATGCCTCTTGAGTTGTATGTAGTAATATATCTCCCATTGCCTCCTTTCCTCCTACTTATGCCTTCCTTACCATAAGTGGGTTCTGACATCACATGTTGGGCTCACCGTAAGCATGAACACTCTCTTCACCCTTTTCCGGCTTGTGCATCCTTTGATAGGCTGTTCTGTAGGGCCTCT
Source organism: Homo sapiens (assembly GCF_000001405.40). NCBI lineage: Eukaryota > Metazoa > Chordata > Mammalia > Primates > Hominidae > Homo > Homo sapiens. The sequence continues at coordinate 79,620,841 of NC_000012.12, read as the reverse complement.
GTTTGCTCCTGCTGAGACTCGGAGAACTCATGTCGGATTGCTCCTCCATGGGGACTCTTCCTCAACTTGATTAGGTTTTGACAACTCCAGGCCAGACTGCCACTCCATGTGAACATTCACTTCATCCTGCCTGCGCTCTGGCACAGAATACCCCATGCCAGGCTGCCTCTTGGAGGGTAGACATTTTTTACCCTGCTAGAGCTCTATCACCCTTTTCTGAGCCACCCTCCTGTAAAGGTAAACTTCACATTCTACTTGGGACTCTGGCTGCCCCTTTATGGGACTCCCTTTCTGACCTTGCCTCACAAATGAGGCCTTACCTTCCCTGCTTTGTAGAAATCTTCTTCATTCTGCTCAGGCTCTGATTTCTTAGGTCAGGCTGAGTGAGCTGTGCTATGTGAGCAGTCTCCTTGGTTTGCTTGGACTTGAATTCTCTATGCCAAGCAGCTCTTCTTTATGACAGGTTCTGATACCCTGATCTGAGCCACTGTGTTTTCTCACGTTGCTCTGCCCTGCCTAATGGCTTTAGGACTTAATTATTCAGGAAAGGAAGGGGAAGGATGAGTTTTTCCTTTTAAAATATTTGTTAATTTGATAAAGCTCTTATTTTTCATTTTCTTATTTTATCAGTTATATATTAGAGAAATTTTATTCTGAAGTCATCTTCAACAATATATCATACTAAATTATACATGGCAACATAGATATTTTAAGTTAGTCCTGAGGGTCAGTTAGCATGTTATGCCATAATTTTACTGAGGGCTGTGGCTTTGTTGCTAGATTATTTGAATAACATCAGTATTACTTTGCTGTATTCATCTGACTTGTATTTGTCTGATCTTATTTCACCTATGCTGTTATACTTGTTTATACGTTAGAAGTTCTGATCTGCCACTGTACCTGTAAAGACTGTTTTCATGGGGATTTCCTTATTGATCTTTATAAGCTTGAATAAAGCAGAGCGTTTTATTTAAACTTACACAAAACAGTTTGTGCTTTGCCAACATTTTCTCAGCTCTACATAGATCTTTCCCCTTCCCTTTAGTAATAGAAACCATCCCATTGCAAGGAAGATTGTTTCAGAAAGAGTATATTTGAAATCAGTTGTATAACAGACTTAAGGATTTGGGGGAGATCTAATTACGTAGTCTTTGAAACTTTTAAGACCAGTACCAGTCTTAACAGTTGTACTTTTTACAAGCCGTTTCAATGATACTAGTATAGCAGTACCCCCATATCAAAGGGAGTTATGTTCCAAGACCTCCAATGGATGCCTGAAATCATAGATAGTACTGAACGCTATATATACTATGCACATATTTGTTTTTCCTTCCTTACAATTTCATGGATAGAAGATATGTTCTTATCATAAAGCTTAGCAACTTCAGGATATGATTTTTCTTTCTTTCGTTATTAAGCTGAGAATTTTCACCTTTTTACTTAAAGCAAGCACTTTACAGCTTCTCTTTGGCATATCAGAATTGCCAGCATCACTACTCTTGTACTTTGGGGCAATTATCAAGTAAAAGAAAAGTTAATTGAACACAATCACTGGGATACCACAACAGTCTGATAACCAAGGTGGCTCCCGAGTGACTAATAGGTAGGGAGCATAGACACTGTGGTTACATTTTACAAAGGGATGATTCAGGCCCTGGGCGAGATGGAGCAGGACAGCACCAAGTTTCATCATGCTAGTCAGGACAACTCACAACTTAAAGTTTATAAATTATGTCTCAAGTTTTCTATTTAATATTTTAATTTATTAATTAAAATACTAAAATTTTATCAATTAAAATTATTAAATAACAAATATTAAAAATTATTAATCTAGCTTTATTAATACCCATGGGTTGACCATGGGTAACTGAAACTGTAGAAAGTGAAAGCTTGGATAAGGGAAAAAGGACTACTGTATTTCTTCATTTTTTTTTTCCCTATTTAGTATGGAGTAGTAATTATTAAAGTGCCAAATAATTATATAGTTGTTTCTTTGCCTGGAAATTGTTGTGGCTACAGAAATATAGTTAAGACATCTAAGGTGACGTTTATATTTGTGTGGAATTTTGTTCTACCATGTAAGAATGTCAAGCATTTTCCTCGTTAAAATTATCAGGGACTTATTTCAGTGAACATAATGTCCTCTGCCGTCATCCATTTTGTCGCAGTGATCTCACTTATATGTGGAATCCAAAAAAGTCAAACTCATAGAAGTAGAGAGTAGAATGGTGATTACCAGAGGCTAAGGTAGATGGAGAAAGGAGAAACATTGGCCAATGGGTGCAAAGTTACAGTTAGATAGGAGGAATAATTTCTGTTTTATTGCACAGTAAGGTGATTATAGTTCATAATAATGTATATTTCAAAATAGCTAAGAGTATTTTAAATGTTCTTACCAGAAAGAAGTGATAAGGGCCTGGTGCAGTGGCTCATGCCTGTAATCCCAGCACTCTGGGAGGCCGAAGTGGGTGGACCACTTGATGCCAGAAGTTCAAGACTAGCCTGGCCAACATGACAAAACCCCATCTCTTCTAAAAATACAACAATTAGCTGAGCATGGTGGTGTTCACCTGTAATCCCAGCTACTCAGGAGGCTGAGGCACAAAAATTACTTGAACCTTGGAGGCGGATGTTGCAGTCAGCTGAGATCACACCACTGCATTCCAGCCTGGGTGACAGCGAGACTGTGTCTCAAAAAAAGAAACAAAAAAAAAAAGAAGTGATGAGTATTTGAGGTAATTCTGTATAGGTTGTTCTTTGCATTGCTATAAAGAGACACCTGAGATTGGATAATTTATAAGAAAAATAGGTTAAATTGTCTCACACTTCTACAGGCTACACAAGCATGGCATCAACATGTGCTCAGCTTCTTATGAGGCCCTCAGGGAGCTACTCATGGAGGAAAGCAAAGCGGAAGCAGGCACATCACATGATAGGAGCAGGAGCGAGAGAGAGAGCGGGGGCAGGTCCCATACTCTTAACCAGATCTCATTGGTGCTAAACCATTCATGAGAAATCCACTCCCATGATCCAGTCACCTCCCAACAGGCCCCGCCTTCAACACTGGAGATTACATTTCAACATGAGATTTGGAGGGGACATCCAAAATATATCAGACATATATGCTAATTACTCTAATTTGATCCTTCCATAATATATACATGTATTGAAATAAAAATATCACTTTGTGCCTTATACATATGTCTAATCATTATTTGTCAATTAAAAATAAAGCTAAAAAAATTATAAGGGACCTTTCACTGCACCATATAGGTTGATTTTTTTTTAACCTAACATTTCTAATTTAAGATATGCCCAGTTTTCTCTTTTTGGCCAGGATATAGAAATCACTTTAAACTCCACCTTTAATTGCCCATTTTTAACATGCATAAGAAGACTCCCACCCCTCCCAGTCTCTAATCATACTGGTATAATCTATCCAGTGTGGGGAACATTTTACTGTTAAAAGTTTTTTTTGTTGTTGTTTTTTGAGACGGAGTCTTGCTCTGCCACCCAGGCTGGAGTGCAGTGGCATGATCTCAGCTCACTGCAACCTCCACCTTCTCTGTTAAAGCAATTCTCCTGTCTCAGCCTCCCAAGTAGCTGGGATTACAGGCACTTGCCTCCAGGCCCAGCTAATTGTTGTATTTTTAGTAGAGACAGGGTTTCACCACGTTGGCCAGGCTGGTCTCCCGACCTTAGGTGATCTTCCTGCGTTGGCCTCCCAAAGTGCTGGGATTACAGGTGTGAGCCACCGTGCCCTGCCAAAAAACAAGAATCACTATAAAATAACATTCAGCTTCAAAATGTATAATCTCTAATAAAAGACCATATTCAAATCCACCAATAAGGAATAAACTCGTGTCGTCTGTGTGCTTCAAAATCTTAACTATTGAAATATTAGCTATATACAAGAAATAAGTATAGCTTAAATTCTGATTATTTGTATGTCTCAGACATGAGCATGGAATGACTGTAATGGCAAACCCGCAATTACTTTTCGTACCAACGTAGTATGTGGGAGTTCTAATTTTATCAACTGTATCAAGCTAGCAGTGTGGAAAATACTGTGTAAAACTTACTGAGTTATGTTTTAAGTGACTGAGTGTTTAAAAAAAAAACCCAAACAACTGTAGAGAAATGTAGAAATCTGATATTTTTACATGACTTCTGGTTAGCATACTTAACTCAAAACTTGTCTGATACTGACTTTTAAGTCATTTATAATTGGGTCAAAGTGTGAAATTATTGTAATGCCACTGCAATTTAGAGTTGCTGAAAATGCCCTCCATTTTACATTTCTGTTTTTGTTAAAATTCTACTCTATATCTCTATTACTCTAAGTTTTACCATATTACAGAAAAAGTCTATTTCAAGCCTCAGAAATAGTGTTTGTTGCCAAGTTATTCATACAATTTCAGTTGATATACCAGTAACCCACAAATTAGTAAATCTAGTAAGGGTTGCTCTCATTTAGCAATTTTGCTGACTTCATTTCAGTAAAAGGCAATCTGGGCAATCAAGCTGATGTGGCATGTTCTGAGATATTTCAAATATAACCAAAATGAGACAGATGTGAGAGAAATGATGTGTGATGTTTTAGAACTTTATTTTGGAGATTCTGGCATTTTTTCTCATGCATGTGTAGTCAGACATCATACGCCTTAGTTTAGTTCATATAGGGTAATATTAGGGAATTTAATAAAAGAAGCTCTTTGTAAAATGTTAATGCAAATACCGTTTGTGAAACTACCAGGGGAAAAACTTTTTTTTTTTTTTTTTTTTGAGACAGGGTCTTGCTCTGTTGCACAGGCTGGAGTATAGTAGTGTGATCTCAGCTCACTGCAACCTCTGCCTCTTGAGTTCAAGCAGTCCACCCACTTCAGCCTCCCGAGTAGCTGGGACTACAGGCACACGCCACTTCACCCAGCTAATTTTGTATTTTATGTAGAGATAAGAGTTTCACCATGTTGCCTAGGCTGGTTTTGACTTCCAGGGCTCAAGTGATCCACTCCCCTCAGCCTCCCAAAGTGCTAGGATTACAGGTATGAGCCACTGCACCCAGCTGGAAAAACTTCTGTATGAATCATTATCACTCATATTTAATAAAGTATATTTTGAGTGAGTATACATAAGCTTAATATTTCTTTCGACATTAAATAACCATCTAAATAAATAGGGGATCTGTTTTACGTGTTTGGTACAAAAGTGTAGATTCGTGGATATCTGCTTAATGACAAGCAGATAAGAAACTCTTTAAAGTTTGCTTGCCAGGTTTTGTTGTTGTCCTTGCTGTAAGAACAGCTGATGCTCAGGGATGGTTAAAATGTCTTTGTATCACCTGTCAAGGCATGACTTCCCCAGAACTAAGCGTGTTTATGGGGTCAAGCCCACATACACAGTCGCTCAAGTATCCTGTCACCTGGTTATTTCCTGCAACTGGTTACTTCCCAAATGGTACTTTTTTGTAACTGCAGATTACTAAGGAAGTTATTTCCCTAAGTTGTCAATATATATTTATTGCATACTAGGTGAGCTGGGGTTTTGGGGGAGAAAGAAAGGAATTGCTGGTGGAGGGTTCTTATTTGTCAGACACTTACATTTTACTTAGAATATAAGATATATACATGAAAAATTGAGATACAAATAAAACTAAGTGATATAGGCTTCTGTAATGAGAATTTATTGACTTGGAATAATTAAGACAGACTTACTCAAATTCCATGCAGAAAATTCAATTAAGATTTTTCCATATCCCAGTTAGTTTTCTGTTTGTGTTAGCTATCAAATTGAAATTGAAAGCCTGTTTGGAAGGGACTGTGCTAATTTTACTCACTTATGTCATTTTATCTCTACAACAACCCAATAAAATAGGCACTGTTATTCCATTTTAGAGATCAGTAGACACTGATAGAGGTTAAACCCATAGTCTCCTAGTCTCCTAGCTACGGAGTAGCCTGTCTGGTTGGAAACTTGATCCGATCCCTCCTCTTAATCATATGGTTTGCTGTACTGGTTCCCCACATTGCTAGTCTTTTATCGCATCATGCAGTCAGTATTTACTCTTTTACTCTGGAACTGGTTATCTTATAAAGGTAGCTTATTCTTTTACCTTAACCAGATGAGAACTTCTTTAATTGTAGGATCTCTCTTGGCAACTTAATGATTAATTAGGAAAAAAGTTATCAATTTTTAAAGACATCATTTGATTTTGACCTGTTTTATTAAAGTGAAACTGCAGAAGTATTTGGAGAACCTAGACTGTCAAAAGATTGAACAGAGACATGACTGCCTAGTTATTTGCAAGGTAACAATTTTTCTACCCCAATGGTTAATGTTAACTTTTAGCAACCTTTTTTTTTAGTAGCTTAGAATCAGCACAATATTAAAATGTACTTTTTCACTTTTCATTTTTAGCTGTATATGTAGTCTTTAAAAATAGGAACTAATTACTATATGCACACGGTAAGTTGTAAGTTTTAGAAAAATTGATGGCATAAAAAAGACAAAGGGAGATATATAAAGACTATAAGGCCGGGCGCAGTGGCTCACACCTGTAATCCCAGCACTTTGGGAGGCTGAGGTGGACGGATCACCCGAGGTCAGGAGTTCGAGACCAATCTGACCAACATGGAGAAACCCCGTCTCTACTAAAAATACAAAATTAGCCAGGCGTGGTGGCACATGCCTGTAATCCCAGCTACTTGGGAGGCTGAGGCAGGAGAATCACTTGAACCCGGGAGGCAGAGGTTGCGGTGAGCCCAGATGACACCATTGCACTGTAGCCTGGGCAACAAGAGTGAAACTCCTTCTCAAAAAAAAAAAAAAAAAAAAAAAAAAAAAAAAAAAAAAAAAAAAAAAATATATATATATATATATATATATATATATATATATATATATATATATAATGGTGGTACTTTTTAATGCCCCTTGACTTTCAAGAGGATTTAAGCTGAGTGGATGATGAGTGATGCCCCCGGCCTTGTCCATTTTCTGAGTTTTTAAAATACTTCTTTATTAAAAACATAATTTTAAAAAAGTGATTGATTTGGACTGAAAAATCAGATGTAGACTCCTGTTTTGTTTGACCAGCAGTGTGAATTTTTTAAAACAGTAATTGCTTCAAGTTGGTCTTTTTAAAATTAGGTATTCTCTATCAACTATTTTATATAATAAGTAATTGTGTACATACATACTCAAACTGATACATAATTATTTTTACTTTGCAGGAGCCACCTAGAACAGTTTCAGGCAGATATAAAAGGTAAGAATCCTTATGACTTAAACATATTGTAGACATGAATGTAATGTCTGTCTGACATTGACTTAACTAGAACTATTTAAAGCAGCTTTTTGAAAAGTAAGAAACTTTTCTACTGTGCTCTTAAAAATAAATTATATTGTAAGCAGGAGTATCATGTCTGCCTGACCATGGCTTATTCTGACATGCCGAAGTCTTTGAAAACTCACTGTGAATTTGCATGGGTCTGATGAACTTTGCAAAATAAATGCCTTGAATTGCTATTTCTCATGTATTTAAACATTGAAAATATAAGTAGACCCATCTGTATTAGTTAGCTCAGAGTGCCATAACAAAATACTATAGACTGGTGACTTAACAGAAATTAATTTTCTCACATTTCTGGAGGCTGCATGTCCACCATTGTCAGGTTCTGGTGAGGACTCTCTTCCTGCCTTATAGGTAGCCACTTTCTCACTGTGTCCTCACATGGCAGAGAGAAAGAGGGAGGAAGAGGGAAAGTAAGCTTTCTGAGGTCCCTTCTTTATAAAGGAACTAATCGCATCATGAGGGTCTCATCCTTGTGACCTCATTTAAACCCAATTATCTCCCAAGGGCTCCATCTCATTAAGGGTTATGGCTTCAACATATGAATTTTGGGAGGACACAGATCAGTCCGTTGCACCACCTGTACACAATGAGTAACACTTCTAACCAGAGAATGTGTTTGTGTATGTATATGTATAGGAAGAAAATCAGAATTGGGTACAAGAAGTTTTTCAGTGGAGGTGTCTAGGATATTCACTTCCTTCTTCCCTGTTGAGGCCATAAAGGTTGCAGAAGCATGTGGTCATACTTGCGCTAATAATCCTAGAATGATAAATATTATTGAGTACTTACTGTGTCCAAATTGCTTTACATAGAGTTCTTTCAATTCTCATGATTATCTTATAAGGCAGGAATAATATTTATTTCTCTTTTATAGATGAGAGACGTGAGGTTAAATAAGTAGAATAATTTTTCTGGGGTTATAAACCTAGTCAACAGTAAATTCTGGATTTGAACTCTGGCAGCCTGACTCTGGAGCCCACATTTTTATTAACTATGTAAGACCATCTGCCTAGATTTATACATGTAAAACACTTACTTTCATCTGTATGTTGGAGTTTAAAATATTTCAGCTGTTTCATCTAAAATAAAACATTCATTAACCAATATTATATAAAAATTTTAATTTTTGTCATGGGCTACAGTATTTATTAGCAATAGAAAGAGATGAGAAGGCCAAGATAATCAGAAGAGTAGTTAAGTCTGAAGTAGTTTCTGGCACATGAGAAAACACTCAATACATTTACTACTGTTAACTGCTTTTATTTTCATTTCTGGGTAATTTTGATGTAGGTATAATGAAACCTGCTTTCGTTTGCCATTAATAGTTTAAACTGGAAAAAATCCTTTTTCTCTTTCCAGAAATAATTATGAAATAGCCTTGATGTGGCCTGTTCCCATACCACATTCTCAAACCAAAAAATTTTTAGCATTAGTTTTTGGTTTGGAGACTAAAGATAAACTGTGGCAACTTATCAAGTTTGTTGTATTGATCTTATACATTTAGTTCTTATCAAGTAATAGTCTTAAAGTACGAATGACACTTTTCAAATTTGTGTTCTTTAATTAGAATCAAGAGGGGAATAATTTTATAAATCCTATCAAAAGCTTTATTTACATGTCATTGTGTTAAATCAGAAGGCAAATTTATTCTCTGTGAATTTTTGTGAAACTTTTGAGACCATTACTTGTGATATGTCCATGTGTTTGTACTTTTCTTACTTGTATTCTCATAGCCTAGAGCATGTGGTTTACTTTTCAGCTTTCAAAGATTTGCCCCTGTTTAATATTGTTATAAATATCTTAAAGTTTCCCATCATTTTTTATTGGTTTGGAGCTCCATTTTAATGCCATCTAAAAAGAGAAAAAAAGACAAAAACTTAAAAAGCCACAAAACCTAGAATCTGTATATGAAATTATCTCTTATCTAGTAGAAATGTGTTATACTTTATATCAACAGTTTGTTATTTTCATTAATCTGTCAGCAAGTTATAGCAATGACTAGAGAATAGATGTTTCTTAGTGAAGGTGTCTGCTGACTAATGGGAATGAAGAAAAGGGAGAATAGAGTAAAAGATAGAAATTTGGCATCACATGTAAGAAAATATTTTCAGTAAACCTAATAACTTATTTTTTATATATATATAACTGAAAATAGAAAATATTTTCAGTAAACCAAATAACTTCCAAGAAATTATATATATTTTATATAAATTATATATTATATATAAATATATATAATATATACTGTATAAGATTTATATATAAATATCTATAAGTTTTATATATAAATATCTATAAGATTTATATATAAATATCTATAAGATTTATATAAATATATATATATAAATTTTATATAGCTAGAAATAACTCTGAAAGTCATTAGGAGGTTCAAACACCCAGAAGATTCATTTGAATGTATGCTCTTATAAATTATGAATTAAATACTTAATTTTTCTCACAAATAAGAATGTACATTTTTAGCCTTGAGTCTGTTATGTGCTCAGTCTAATTATGCTGTATTTTAAAACTTGAATTGACTTTCGTGGAATGTGTCTTACATATTCCCGGTTTTCCTTATAAAAATGTGTTTAACTGTAGGGAACTATTTGGAGGTGAGGGTTATGTAATTTCTGAAACTCAAGATTTAGTAAAGATGGATCAGTGTTACCAATTTGTGGGTTTTTTTTTTTCAATGTGTAATTTTCTTTTTCTTTTTTTTTTTTTTAATTTTTGGTAGAGACAGAATCTCTCTATGTTGCCCAGGGTGATCTCAAACTCAAGTGATCCTCCCAACTCTGCCTCCCAAAGTACTGAGATTAGAGGCATGAGCCACTGTGCCTGGCCTCAATGTGTAATTTTACTCCTCACCTAATGTAACATGAGTATCTTCACCTTTTGAGTTCTCTAAATAATGGCTAGTATCAACTGAGTGATTTCTGCCTTTTAAACGAAGTGTAGCATAAATATACCAGAAATCCTCACTGTCACTGCTTTGGTAACCCGTAATTTCTGTCTACTTTATTTGAATAAAACATGACTATGATTCTTTTTCTTCAGGGTCAGAATTTTCTTGCAAAGTCAATTCTGCTATAATGCTTGCTTTCGAAATGCAAATTGGTCCTAATTGGTACATTAGGGAACAGTTTGACCCTAACTCAAATTTTACCTTTGCTTATATACAGTTTTGTTCACCAGAAATGCTAGGTAAATGCTGAAAACCTTACCCAGCTCAACCAAGCTGCATAGGAATACACAGAAGGTTCTCAGGCATTCCTGGCAAACATCTACCAGGTACCTCAGTATGAGCTACAGCTTTGCTTCTGAAGCAGAAAAGTTTCCCTGGCCCCTTTGCAGGCAGGAACTGGAGTGCACAGGTGCTGGACCTAGCCAGGCACTTTGGTGTGGCAGGGGCAAATTCCACTCACTCGAACCCACTGCATTCTACCCCTCGTGGGAGGGGGAGCACAGGTGAGCAGGTGCAAGAGCCAGGGTGAGCGCTTTTGGACCCTGGCAGGAATGAATTCTGTACTGTCCCCATGGCAGTATCTAGGGGGATGCCCACTACCCCTGAAGTCCCAGAAGAAGTGTTATAGTTAGTGCTCTTTTAGCTTTGCCATCCATGGACGGCTTAAGTGTTAAACAGTTCAGTGGGTCCTCTGCCTTTTCTTGTGAGGCAGTTGCTCTCTGCTAGTGAGAGCAGAGGGTCAGTATGACAGCCTTTAGCGTTTGCACCCATTCAGTGTCCAGGAAAAATCAGGTCACATGAACGAATTGAAGGGTGGTGAATATGGAGGATTATATTGCCAATGAAAGGGGAGCTGGAAAGGGGATAGAGTGGGAAGATAATCTTTCCCTGGTGCAGCATTGTCAAGCCATTACTCTGAAGTCAAACTGCTTCTCCTCTTCTCTTCCTCTCCTCTCTGTGGTGGCAGAGCCTGAGGTTTTTATGGGCACAGGATGGGGAGCAGGACGGGCCATGGGTGGTTTTGGAAAAGGCAACATTCAAGCAGGAAAACAGGGATGCATGTTCTCACTTTGGGCCACAGTTCAAGGATTGAGGGTGGGACCCTCACCAGGACCACCCTCTTCTGCCCAGAATTTTCCTGCCTCCTGTCCCTATCACTTCCATATGTGATGTTACAACTTCCAGTCTAATTTCAGATATCTTCTTTCTCACATTTCGTATTAACCCACAAGCTGCAACCCTTCTGCTGCCAACCAGCTTCTATAAGGAAACCTCACTACTTTTTCAAGATAAAATGCTGTATTTATTTATTTCTTAGCTGTTGTAACCTGTAAAACTGTACTACCACTTTATATTAGGCTACTGTATTTTATAATGTGTCACAGATGAAGTTTTAGAACATTGTCCTCCAACCCCATTTTCTGTATAATTGCCCCCCTCCTTTTGTTTTTTTGAGGTGGAGTCTCACTCCTGTCACCCAGGCTGGAGTGCAGTAGCATGATCTTGGCTCATTGTATCCTTTACCTCCTGGGCTGAAGCAACCTTTACCTCCTGAGCTCAAGTGATTCTCCTGCCACAGCCTCCCAAGTAGCTGGGATTAAAGGCACCTGCCACCATGCCTGGCTAACTTTTGTATTTTTAGTAGAGGTGGGGTTTTGCCATGTTGGCCAGACTGGTCTCAAACTCCTGATCTCAAGTAGTTCACCCACCTCAGCCTCCCAAAGTGCTGGGATTACAGTCATGAGCCACCATGCCTGGCCCACCATGTTTTTATTGAGTGATTTTTGCATAACACAGTGATTTTAGAAACACTTAATATTGTATTATAGCAGAACTAACTCTGGGTAGATGGTTCAGTAAACTAAATCTTTGCCATTGTTTAAATGATAAGACTTCTACATAACATAAATGCATTTAATTTGAGACACTGTGAATACTTTAAGCCAGGGGTCCCCACCCCTCAGGGTGTGGACTGCTACCTGTCTGTGGCCTGTTAGGAGCCAGTCCACACAGCAGGAGGTGAGCAGTCAGTGAGCATTACTGCCTGAGCTTTGCTTCCTGCCAGATCAGCAACGGCATTAGATTCTCATAGGAGCGCGCGAACCCTATTGTGAACTGTTCATGCGAGGGACCTAGGTTACATGCTCCTTTATGAGAATCTAATGCCTGATGATCTGAGGTGGAACAGTTTCATCCCGAAACCATCCTCCCTGCCATCCCCCTGGTCCTTGGAAAAATTGTCTTCTATGAAACTGTTCCCTGTTGCCAAAAAGGTTGGGGATGGCCAGTTAAGAACTTTAGTTCTCAACCTCATTCTCAAGCTCTTTCATAAGAAACCGACTAGAACCGGTTCAAGTTTAGAGATGAATAATTTATTTAGAAACATAGTTTTCATTCAAGATTTAAGATGTTGCAACACAACAATGTTAACTTTTTTTCCTAGATGGAACTTTATGATTTTTTTTTTTTTTTTGAGTCCGAGTTTTGCTCTTGTCGCCCAGGCTGGAGTGCATTGGCACAATCTTGGCTCACTGCAACCTCCGCCTCCCAGGTTCAAGTGATTCTCCTGCCTCAGGCTCCTGAGTAGCTGGGATTACAGGCATGCGCCCCCATGCCCGGTTAATTTTGTATTTTTGGTAGAGACGGGGTTTCACCATGATCATTGTTTTAACCAGTAGTTCTTGTTTTGAGAACCACCAAGTAGACACAAACTTCCTTGGTTTGTTGGTCAAGGGTCAAAACCAGAAAAATCAGCCAGATTATTATTATTATTATTATTTTTTTTTTTTTTTTTGAGACAAGGTCTCACTCCGATGCCCAGGCTGGAGTGCAGTAGTGTAATCATGGCTCACTGCAGCCCTCAATTCCCTGGCTCAGGTGATCCTCCAGCTTTGGCCTCCCAAGTGGCTGTAACTACAGGCATGTGCCACCACACCCAGCTAATTTTTAAATTTTTTGTAGAGACAGGGTTTTTCTGTGTTGCCCAGGGTGATCCTGAACTCCTAGGCTAAAGAGATCTGCCTGTCTTGGCCTCCCAAAGTGCTGGAATTACAGGTGCGAGCCATTGTACCTGGCCAGAAATCAGCCAGATTCTTTAACGGTGGGAAATCCAAACTAAAGACGACCAAATATATCTCTCAGTAGTTAAAGAAAGAGAGTCTTCTTGGGCTATATATGACCCTTTCTAAAGAAATCTGTTCCTTTCAAGATCTATTCTTTCTTTCTTTTTTTTTAAAGACAGAGTCTCACTGTGTCACCCAGGCTAGAGATGGGGTTTCACTGTGTTGGCCAGGCTGGTCTCAAACTCCTGACCTCAAGTGATCCATCTGCCTCAGCCTCCCAAGGTGCTGGGATTACAGGCGTGAGCCACCATGCCTGGCAAGATCTATTATTTCTATATTAGGATATGTTCTATATTTTACCCAATGCTGTCAGGCATGCAATAGCAGTGACCTTTCTAGTTAATAGATTTGAAAACAGTACATGAAAGTCATAAAATGATTATTTAAAATAAATTGGGATTCTTGTACATTTTGTGGACTGGTGAATTTCTGAACTTTTCTAGGTCATAAATATTATTAATATTTATATAATATTAGTGTGTACCAGGTACTATTCAAAGTACTTTCCATTTAGTTAATTCCTTGATAGTCCTAGGGAGATGCTTTTATTATTATTTTACAAATGAGTAAACTGAGGCACAGTGAAGTTTAATGACTTGTATGATTAAACAAGTAATAATTTGCAGATTGTGTCAGCATATGTTGCATTACCTCATGGTAGTAATGTTAATTTGCCTAGCATGGGTAGGAAATAGATACAGTGTGGTAGTTTGATTAGCTTATTTAAACTCCAAATGACTGGATGGTACCAGTAACTAGATTTTTTTCGAACATAGGGTTTTATTTTATTTTTTCCCGAAAAGTAACTTCTAGATATATGGCTCTAGATTTCACAAATCCACTCAGATCTTTACTTTGTTTTAGCTGTAGTACAATGTCAGAAAATAACTTGTTCTGAATTATGAAGTCTAACAACATCTAGAGTTTCTTCATTATAATGAAAGATAAACCATGTTATAGTATTTGGTGTCATTTTAAGTGCATTTTGTGCATTTATTTGGAAATTAACCACTAAACTGATCTTACTGTTCCCTGTTATTAAGATGTAATTCAAATGCCATAAAAATTCACTCTTTTAAGGTGTACAGTTCAGCATTTTTAGGGCATTCACAGTGTTTACTACCATCACTGCTGTCTAGTTCCAAAATTGTTCTACCCTGAAGGAAACTTCATACCGTTCATATCCATTCTTCCTCTGCCCCTAGGTCCCCCAGCAACCAGTAATATGTTTTCTGTCCTTATAGATTTGTCTATGTTGGATATTTCAGATAAATGGAATCATATAGTATATGGCTTTCTTGGGTTTTTTTGTTTGTTTGTTTGTTTTTAGGCAGAGTCTCACTCTGTTGCCCAGGTTAGTGTGCAGTGGTGCAATCTCGGCTCACTGCAACCCCCGCGTTGTGGGTTCAAGTGATTCTTGTCCCTCAGCCTCCCAAGCAGCTGGGACTACAGGTATGCACCACCCCACCCAGCCAATTTTTGTATTTTTAGTAGAGATAGGGTTTCACCATGTTGGCCAGGCTGATCTTGAAATCCTGGCCTCAAGTGATCTGGCTGCCTTGGCCTCCCAAAGTGCTGGGATTACAGGCGTGAGCCACTGCACCTGGCCAAGCATGTGGCTTTTTGTGTCTCGTCATTTGCTAAGCATAATTTTTTCAAGATGATTCCATATTGAAGTTTGCAGGATATACTATATTATGTTTTACCATTTGGAGTAACATAATGTTAGATTCTTTACACTTTTTGCCTATATGAAATATTATACATATAATAGGCAATACGCTGTGAACATTCATGTACAAGTTTTTGTGTGACCCCTATTCTTACTACACAGAAATTTTTCATATTGCTTAGTTGAAGGCTTTTTTTTTAAAAAAAAAAGAATGTATCTGTATATACACACATTATATGTCAAATATTGAATAGTTCAAAGGTGCAGGGTACTATGCCTGGCTGTTTAGGACACCCATGTTAAGATGATAATGAGGAATGTATAATTTTAGCTGTTTCTACTGTATATAATAAACTATATTTGGAGAGTGTTTTCTGGACTTGT
Organism: Homo sapiens; assembly: GCF_000001405.40. Taxonomy (NCBI): domain Eukaryota; kingdom Metazoa; phylum Chordata; class Mammalia; order Primates; family Hominidae; genus Homo; species Homo sapiens. The sequence continues at coordinate 79,605,344 of NC_000012.12, read as the reverse complement.
CTAGCTCTCAGGTGGTGAAATTTGAGCAGCCAGATATATTTGATCTCTTTAGGATAATTCACTATATTTAATATACCAGAAATGAATATGTATGATATTCCCTAACTGCAACAACTTAAATTTTTAACGAGATAGATTAAAAACTATAATATATTGCTATAAACAGTTATAATGCAGCCATTAAAATGATGCTATAGAAAAATAATTACATAAGAAAATTATTACCTGTTTATGTAAAATGGAGGAGAGAACATATTACAAAAAAGTATGATACAAAAAGTATATATAAAATATTATCTGAGAACTATTCATGTGATAAACTGCCAGAATTCTTTGTAAAAGAAGATAATGTTTATTTTTCTGGGAGGAGATATATATTTTTCATAAGATTTTTAAAAGGAATCTGATCCAGAAGGCTAAACATTTACTAATATGTTATAAAATGTTAATGGACATTATCTCTGGGTTAGTGGAATTACTGATGACACTCATTTGTATTTTCTGTTTTCTATAATAAATATGTATCAATTTTAATAAAGAGTTATGAGAGTTTAATATAATGGGAGTTGATTTTGATTTTTAGTTGTTGGTGTATGTGCTTATGTGTATGTTTGTATTTAAAGGAAGAGAGATAAACCCTACACAGAGCAAGGAGCTGTTACGAGGAGTGGGAGTGTTGGAGGGTGAAGAGAATGGGGCAGTGAAAGATACTAAAAGGATGGAAGCCAGTTAAGTAGTTGTTGGTTATTTGGGAATTTCAGAATATATCCTGTACTTCTGAATATTTGATACTTATTCTAAAAGTAGGATTTACCCTTGAGTCTTGTATTTCTTCTCATTGCTAAGCTTTATAATGTCTATTTTAGTGGAAAATTCCTCTAGCTATAATCTCTTAATGCTGCCAATCTCATTCTCATGATAGTTTTAGAATAATAGTGTAATTTTCCCCAACACAACACCCCCTGGTGTTTCTACATAAGATGCGAAAATTCCCAGAGGGGGAAAACTTCCAGTAAGGGGTGGCATTTATCTTTGATGATACTGTTTCTTTTCCCTTTTCTGAGCATTATAGTTCATGTCTTTGTAGCTAAGAGTGGAGGGAGGATTCTTTTTGGATCGTATTAGAGATTTATGTTAACATTCCTAAGTAAAATGTTAAAAACTTTTTGGAGTTAATGAACAATCTTTTATTCTGAGTATTTTGCACTGTGCATATCTGGCTTTCAAAATAGGTTAAATGGCTAAATTTGGCAATAAGATCAAGTAACACAATTCTTCACAATTATGACAGTATTCCCTAAAACATAATACATATTGGGAATGAAGCACTGATTTTGTTTTTCACTATTCCTTGCATTTGCATAATGAAGGCCGGGTGTGGTGGCTCATGCCTGTAATCCCAGCACTTTGGGAAGGCCGAGGTGGGCGGATCACCTGAGGTCAGGAGTTTGAGACCAGCCTGGTCAACATGGGGAAACCCCATCTCTACTAAAAATACAAAAATTAGCCGGGCGTGGTGGCGGGCGCCTGTAATCCCAGCTACTTGGGAGGCGGAGGCAGGAGAATCACTTGACTGCAGGCTGAGGTTGCAGTGAGCCAAAATAGTGGCATTGCACTCCAGCCTGGGCAACAGGAGCGAAACTCTGTCTCCAAAAAAAAAAAAAAAAAAAAAAAAAATAGCATAATGATGCCGTTTATGTATTGACAAGTCTAAGATGGAAGGTTTTAAAAATTGTTAATAAGTTAAACTTTTTTGAAATATTGTTTTAAACATGTTCATCAAGCAAATACACGATTACTAACGGACATCCATATTTCTGGATGGTTTGTTTGTAGCTGTCAGCATTATAGTTTCTACCTAAAAAGTCATGGATGGATGCAGAAAGTTGGACTTCTTTTTTTTTGTGAAAAATGGGTCCTTTAAAATGCTTCTAATGGTCTTCTATAATATGGTATGGCTTTAGTGATACCTTCCTCTGTTGATTTTCTTTTTACCACTTTGCTGGTATTTCCCAGTCTTATTTGTAGTTGTTTCTTTCCTGTATCTCTTCTTCATGTATTGGTATTACTCAATTTTTTTTGTTTTTGTTTCTTTTTACAGGGTTTCACCATGTCACCCAGGCTGAGTGCAGTGGCGTAATCGCTCACTGCAGCCTCAACCTCTTGGGCTCAAGCAATCCTCCTACCACAGCCTCCCAAGTCCCAAGTGCTTGGGACTCCAGGAACATGCCACCATGCCTGACTAATTTTTTATTTTTTTAATTTTATAGAGACAGAGTCTCATTATGTTGTCCAGACTGGTCTTGAACTCCTGGACCTAAGCAGTCCTCCTGCCTTGGCCCCCCAAAGTGCTGAGATTACAGGTGAGAGCCACTGTGCTCAGCCTACTCAGCTGTTAATCTTAGACTTTATTCTCTTTTCGTTTTGTGTATTTGTGGTAGAAATTTCATTCACTCCGATGACTTCACTTATTATCTATACATAATGCTGATGACTCCAGATCCAGAAGCCAGGAGTTTGAGACCAGCCTGGTCAACATAGTGACACGTCTCTACAAAAAAAAAAAAAAAAAAATTAGCCAGGTATGGTGGCATATGCCTGTAGCTCCATACCTGTATAATCAACAGCTATTAAATATCTGCTAAGCAAACTAAACTAAGCATTTTCAAAAGTAAACTTGTGAAACCTGATGGATTTCAGTAGTTGACATCAGCATCTACTTTTGCTGAAGTCAGTAGCCTGGACATTATTTATGACACTTATTTTTTTTTCCCATCTTGCCCTTATCCATTCATTCACCAAGCCTTGTTGAGTTTATCTTCTGAGTATCTCATTGCCATCACACCAATCTAGGACACCATCATCTCTTACATAGGTGATTACAATAGCCTCCACACTGGCCTCCCTGTCTCCGTTTAGCTCATCTCCCAATATATTTTATAAAAATGATACTGTTACTTTCTCTGCTTTAATGGCTTACCATTACCTTTAAATGGAGTCTGAATCAGTGGTCTCCAAAGGGGGGTGATATATAAGATAATCTGCTAGGGTGCAGGAGGAAAATATTGGAACTTTTATTCATATTTACCTTTTTATTTGAAAAACACTAAGGCATTAATATTTAAAAGCTACTACTGTGTAATAGTTATTTAGTCATTCCTTCTTTGCTCTATGTGTCAGATGGTCATTTGGTACTAAAGGTGTCCTGAGGGAAGCATGCTTTGTTCACTTTCTGCATGTTGCACAATACTATAATTTGAATGTCCATCTATGCGGATTTATGAGTTATCTAGTTTAACTATTACAAAATATGTAAGTCTGGGATTAGGGAATTTGTGGAGAAAATCAAGTGTTTAACTGCAAATAAGATCACATTGTTGTTCAGCTGGTAAGATATACAAAATCAAATCTGTTCTCATGAATTAAGAAAAATTACGCTGATTTTGAGGTTTTAAGTGAAACTTTTTAAAAAATTCTCATTTTTTTGTAAGGCATCCCTTTCTGCTTTGATAGCCATTAAAAATCAAATATTCAAACTGATGTTAGAACTAGATCTTTGAATCTCTGTATCACACGGTGTTAAGATCTTCAGAAATAATGAAGCATATTCAATATTTTATTTAAAATATTTGTGAGAACAAACTTTTGTACCATAAATAAAACAAATTTTAGTCTTTTTCTTATGCTCTATTTTTGGGATACAGACGATTATTTTATATTGTCATATTGTAAATCCTATAAAAATGGTAGATAAGTAAACATAGATACCAACATGGGTATGTAATTATGAATAATATTTGGAGATCTTTAGTTTAAATTCTTCCATAAAATAGCTTTCAGGGCCAGGCGTGGTAGCTCAGACTTCTACTCCAAGCACTTTGGGTGGCTGACGCAGGAAGATCGCTTGAGGCCAGGACTTCAGGACCGGCCTGGGCAACATAGCAAGACCTAACTTCTAAAAAATTAAGATAAATTAGCGGGCATGGTCGCACATGTAGCTACTCCAGAGGCTGAGGGGAGGATTGCTTGGGCCCAGGAATTTGAATTTACAGTGAGCTATGATTGTCCACTGCACTCCAGCCTGGGCCACAGAGTGAGAACCTGTCTCTTAAAAAAAAAAAAAAAAAAAAAAAAAAATTCAGGTTTCCTGCTTGCTTTTTCAGCCTCATATTTTATTACTCTTATGTTTACACTCCATGCTTTAGCCATATTGGAGTTTTCTGTTTCTCAAATGGGCCACAATTTATAGGTTTTTGCACATTCTTGTCCTTCTTTTTACGTTTCAACCTTCTCTAACATAGTGATACCCAAAGTGTAGTCCTTGAACTGTTTGTTGTCAATCCAAGACAAGAAAAGAACTTGAGAATAAGCATTTAGAAACTTGAATTGCATTTTGACTTGTCATCATCACATCCAAGTGCATGATCAGTGGATTACTCTGCGAACAGGATATAGAGTAGTTCAAGTGCCGTGGCAAGTTGCATGCTAATCATGCCCAGCAGGGCTGTTACAATGTGTGATATTTTGAAGTTAGTCATTTGTAACCCAAAAATGTGTAAGAATTAAGTAAAATGTGGCTGGCTTATGCCTGTAATCCCAAGACCAAGGCAGGAGGATAGCTTGAAGCCAGGAGTTTGAGACCAGCCTGGTCAACATAGTAAGACACGTCTCTACAAAAAAAAAAAAAAAAAAAAAAGCCAGGTATGGTGGTGGCATATGCCTGTAGTCCCAGCTACTTGGTAGGCTAAGGTGGAAGGATCACTTGAGCCTAGGAGTTTTGAGGTTTCAAGGCTGCAGTGAGCCATGGTGGCACCTCTGTACATCAGCCTGGGTGACAGTGCAAGACCCTATCTCCCCCCGCCCCCCCAAAAAAGCAAAGCATTTATTTTTAAAATCTCGTTAATTTTAATCACACTTCTTCTCGTCCCATAAATAATTTAAAAATATATAGTAATTTTAAAATGTAAAAATCTTTTTCATTCTTTAGAATTTTATGTTTTACAAGTATTATTTAAATCCTGGAAGCAAAATTTGTATTATTTATAAGTCAGATTTACTGATGACAAAACAAACTTTACTGGACTTTTTTGACAAGCAAAGATACACTTTTTTGAGTGCGATAGCAGTAGTAAACCAAATGATGACAATGGAAGTAATTTCAAAGAGATACAGATCAAAAGAATTTGTACTAGTTTTCTTGGAAAGTATTATGTGTCCTATGTTTAGTTTTTAGCCATAATTGATGGGCGAAGTGCTAAAACCAAAACCAAAGTGGGTTGTTTGGAGATACACTGGCTATTTAAACAATATAAAATGATCAAAATTTAATTGGTAGTTGCAGGCATGACATGTACAAAATGAATTCATCAAATATGTTCAAAACCAAATTCATTATTTGAAAGAATATTACAAAGATGACCGGAGCAGATGTTCAGGATTTCACATGTGATCACTAGTATTTTTGGGGTTTCTGATAGTCTGACTTGAGGTTGCTAACATTAAAAAAAACTGCATACAAATGACAAGACAAAACATGTTTGCTTGGAAATGTTGGATGAATCTGTAGTAAAGAAGATAGTTCACATACCACTTTCCAGCAACACCATGATAGCTTGATGTGTTTAGGGACAGGACAGTGATACGAAGACTAACTCTCAGACAAATAAGATCCTGCAAAGGAATTTTTGTTACAATTTGATGAACACATTGGTTTTGCTAACATAGGAAGTAACAATTTATTTTTCAGCTTCATTGCTGACATACAGCTTGCTCTGAACTATATAACACTTGCAAAGGGTTACAGTATCAACAAATGTGGTTTGGAGTTTTGCTTTACTTTTATAGGAATATATTCTAATTATGCAGGCACAGTAATAAGAAAAACATACTGAAGCTTGTACCAGAATGTAAATCGGTGTCCTGCTTCTTTCATTGAGAAAGTCTTGCTTTGCCAGCTGAACTAAACAGTGTTCTTGCTATATCAGCTGAATTCACAGTATAGTACACTAAAAGTGTGAATTTATTATTAAACACTAATTCATTACATTTGAGGTTTCTAAAAAATTAGATACTGTAGTTTGGGAGTTAGCTGATCAGCTGTTATCAGATGCTAGGGTGTACATTGGTCTTCAAACTGACCTTTTCAGTCAAGAGTATTTGAATTTTGGGATGAACTCTTGGTGTTTTTGCAAGACAAGAAACCAGTTTGGTCCCCAGCTTTTCAAATATGTGAGTTAGCTTTTTGTCTGATGGCCTTATTCTTTATTTTTTAAGTGATCTTAGCTTTCCATGCAAAGAAGGAATGTCAGTTGGCCGGGCGCAGTGGCTCATGCCTGTAATCCCTGCACTTTGGGAGGCCGGGGCAGGTGGATCACGAGGTCAGGAGCTCAAGGCCAGCCTGGCCAACATGGTGAAACCCTGTCTCTACTAAAAATACAAAAATTAGCCGGGCATGGTGGCAGGCGCCTGTAATCCCAGCTACTCAGGAGGCTGAGGCAGGAGGATCGCTTGAACCCAGGAGGCGGAGGTTGCAGTGAGCCAGAAGGCTTTTCAATGGCAGATAAGATCAGGTGACAAAAATGAAAGTTGGATTTTTGAGGAGAAAGTTACCTTAGCTGGTTATAAAGGGTTCTACGATATAGTAACAACTATCAGTAAAGTAGATGGTGATCTTGGTATTGCACATTTGAAAAGGTTACAATCAAATACCTTACAAATTTGATAGGACACTTTTATTTTCTATCACAAGAAAATTCATAGGTAAGAAATTCATAGATGAGGAATCAATTTTTAAAACGAGAAGTCACTTTCGATTTAACTGTAAATTTGCTGGATAAATTATTGGAAATGGATACCAGTCAGTGAAGGATTGAAAACAAATTTTGAAAAGCAAATTTTCTACATTTTTGACAAAAGTTTTTAAAAATGAATGTCCGAGCTTGTTGAAATTGCATTAAAATCACTGCTATTTCTGTCCTTTGAGACTGTTTTCTCTGATTGCTATTAAAACAAAACACAGAAATAGTTTAGATATACATTATCCCTTGTTGAGTAGCATTGTCCTCGGTCCAACCTAGATTAACAAATGTAGTAACTGGCTTTCAAGATAGCCCCCAGTGAACCCTACCTCCTGATGTTTGCACTGTGTATAATCCTCTCACACAACATACCAAGTTGATATGTGTGAACAATAGAATAAGGTCAGTGTGATAGTATGTCACTTTTGAGGTTGCGTTATGACCGACACTGCAGCTTCTGTCTCAGTTGCTCTGTCAGTTTGTCTCTGGAAGCCAGCTGCCATGTGGTGAACAGGCCAGTGGAGAGGCCAACATAGTGAGGAACTGAGGCTGTTGTCATCAGTCATGTGAGTGAGCCTAGAAGCAGATTCTCCAGCCCAGTTAAGCCTTCAGATGACTGAAGCCCCAACCAACATCTTGATTAAAAACTCATGAGAAGCCCCGAATCATAATCACCCACCTAAGCTGCTTCTAAATTCCTGACCAACGGAAACTTTGAGATAAGAATTGTGTGTAAGTTTGGGGGTAATTTTTAATAGAATAATACAGGAAACAAGAAGCAAACTCATTTGTTACATTAAAAACTTTAAATACTGACATATGTGCTGTTCAGAGGGTATGAACTGGTGTTTAAGGAATTGCTGTTTTACTTACAACTTTTGATTAAGTTAGAATTATGGCATAACAAAATTATCAATATGGTAGCAATTTTCTGTATTGATTGCCTGTATGCATACTTATAGTGGAGAATTTGCCACTGATGTAACTCTTTTCTTTTTTTCTATTTATAATTTTATGGGTCTGAATCTAATAAAACATTTGGACTTGTATTTTGTATGACCTTTTTAACTTTTATTTTTCCAGCAGTTCATTTTAATTTTACTTTTTAAAAGTGTTGGTCCATGAAAGATTGTAATTTTGAAGAAGGAAAGTGGTTTTTCACCACACATAGTCTGGGCGATCTAGGCCAGGCACAATGCTCACATCTGTAATCCTAGCACTTTGGGAGGCCGAGGTGGGTGGATCGCTTGAGCCCAAGAGTTTGAGACCAGCCTGGGCAACATGGTGAAACCCCGTCTCTGAAAAAAGAAATACAAAATAATTTGCCCGGTGTGGTGGCCACATACGTGTAGTCCCAGCTACTCAGGAAGCTGAGGTGGGAGGATCTCTTGAGCCCAGGAAGCCGAAGCCACAGTGAGCTGTGATTGCACCACTGCACTCCAGTCTGGGTGACAAGAGTGAGACCCCATCTCAAAAAAAAAAAAAAAAAAGATAATCTGGGAGATCTGTCCTATCGTAGTTCTCATAGTATCCATCACTGACCTTATTTTACTGATCATCTTGCTTTATTATTAGTTATATTCCCTTTTAACCAAAAGCTCTATGAAGGGCAGAGTCCATGTTTGTGTTTGCTGTTACGTCTTCAGTATCCAGAACAGTGTTCGTTACTTAACACCTATTCAGTAGATATTGGTCGAAAGAATTAATGGTACTTTTACATTTTTTTCATTGTGTGGGAATAATGATTAACTTCTACAGTTACAAATAAGTTGCTACTATAACCATATGTCCTTGGGGAATGTTAATTTTTTTAAGCTCAATAGAAAATATTCTTGGCATTTTTCTTGCTGAATACTAGGGATTTTAATAAAATGTTTATATTTCCACAGCACAACCAGTGTCTCTGAAGAAGATGTCTCAAGTAGATATTCTCGAACAGATAGAAGTGGGTTCCCTAGATATAACAGGGATGCAAATGTTTCAGGTACTCTGGTTTCAAGTAGCACACTGGAAAAGAAAATTGAAGATCTTGAAAAGGTATGGATTATAAGTTATTTAAGATTGATAAAATTAATATACCATTAGAATTCTTTTGTTTCATAGCAACTGAGTGAGAAAGGAAATAATATTCCTTAATATTTAATATGTGCGCTTTTCTGCCAACTGTTACCTTTAGTATATTAAAAGCCCTTGTTTTTGAAGTGGTTAGAAGTCTGAGCTGGCAAATATATACTACTGTGTATTTATTATATTGTCTGAATAGATTTTCATTTGTAACTTTACAAATTACAGGAGTAAATCTGAGTTAGGTCCATCTTTGGTGTTTGAAACAATTTTGTCTAAGAATATGCCTGTTTAAAAGTGTCTTTCAGTGCAAGTCAGATGACTCTTGGCATAAATTTATTAACCATAGGGTCTCAGGTTTGTGCCATAGACATTCAACCCCTAAAATTAGCAATGGTGTTGAATACTTTTGTAATTGTTGAAAATGTGTTTTGTTTTACTTGAGATTATTCTCTATATTATTAAAGATCTAATTTATATATGTTATGTAAAGAAATTTCATTTTTAAAACTTGTTTCTATTTTATAACATTTATGATTTTTTGAGGTCACATTTCTAAGCTTTAACAACAGTTTCTTCTTGGAATTATTATTTCATAGTTTTATTTATTTTTATTTATTTATTTAGTTTTGAGACAGAGTTTCGCTCTTGTTGCCTAAGCTGGAGTACAATGGCTCAGTATCGGCTCACTGCAACCTCCACTTCCCAGGTTCAAGTGTTTCTTCTGCCTCAGCCTTCCAAGTAACTGGGATTACAGGCATGCACCACCAAGCCCGGCTAATTCTTTTTTTGTATTTTTAGTAGAGAAGGGGTTTCACCATGTTGGTCAGGCTGGTCTTGAATTCCTAACCTCAGGTGATCCACCCGCCTCGGCTTCCTAAAGTGCTGGAATTACAGGCGTGAGCCACTGTGCCCAGCCTATTATTTCATAATTTTAAATTAAAAAGTTTAGACAATATGTAATCTAATAGTTTTGAAGATAGTTGCCCAGAAAGGCTTCGTGAGTTCCACAAGAGTTTGGATTGAATTGCTAGTAGTTGGCAGCAGCTAAGGGATATGGATGGTTGATTGCTCTGTAGGAGGTTTAGTAAGAAAGAAGCCAAGTTCTGGGCAAGGCCTTTTGAGCTCTGCTTCCCTTTTGCCCCCAAGGTGGCTGACCAAGCCCAGTGCCCTGGATTCTAAATAAGATGTCTTTGAAAAAGATGTTGCATTGTTTAAAGAAAAAAAAAATTAAAAATCAGTAATCTATTTTAGTTCCTTCTTTTTATCCATTATCAGTTAACTGGCAGAGCCAGAAGTAAAACTGAGGACCATTGTTTTTCTGTTTAGAGTTTCTATTGGGCCATCTCCTTTAAACTTTGTATTTTTAAGAAAAATTAATTTTGAATTATTTCAAACAAGATACCCATTAAAAAATAAGGTAGTTCATAACTTATAGTGGTGATAAGCTAAATAAGTTAAATCACAGGCCGGGCACAGTGGCTCACGCTTGTAATCCCAGCACTTTGGTAGGCTGAGGCGGGCAGATCACTTGAGGTCAGGAGTTCGAGACCAGCCTGGGCAACATGGCAAAGCCCCATCTGTACTAAAAATATGAAAATTACCCAGGCATGGTGGCATGCACCTGTAATTCCAGCTACTTGGGAGGCTGAGGCAGGAGAATCGCTTGAACCCAGGAGGTGGAGGTTGCAGTGAGCCAAGGTGCCATTGCACTCCAGCCTGGGTGACAAGAGTGAAACACTGCCATACATACATACACACACACACACACACACACACACACGAGGTTAAATCATTGAGTCTATTACATTAGTTTTGTTAAAGACTTGTATAAACATAGCTTTACTCAGGAGCATCCTAATATCTCCTGTGCATTCTCTGATTCCTTTTGTGGTGGGATCTTTGTTCCTTCACCAAATGTCTTAAGGGATTCATTGGAAATCTTCATGTATGTAAGATATTTTACCAAATTGGGGAGATATATGCCACTTAGGAAGATTATAAATAAACAATTACTTCCTAATTACTGGTTTTTAATTGTATCTACCAGGAAGTAGTAAGAGAAAGACAAGAAAACCTAAGACTTGTGAGACTGATGCAAGATAAAGAGGAAATGATTGGAAAACTCAAAGAAGAAATTGATTTATTAAATAGAGTAAGTATTTCACCATATTTCAGGTTTGGAGGGGTTTTTTTTGGCAATTGGATGAAAATATATAAATATGAAGAAATTATTAATTGCATTATTCACTTTGTTCTTTTGTTAGTGAAATAATAATTAGTAAGAGGTATCATTTTCTTCCAAAAACTGATTTCCTTTGGGCAGTTATCAGTTTAGCTCACTTAATTTTATTCTTTTGGAGATAGACTGATTTATGGATTTGTTCTCTGTTTTGTTAAAATCTGAGGGTGACAGGCGCTTTGTCACTACCATATGTAAGGGCACTGGCACAGAGTTGCCTCAAGAAATATCTAAAATTGGCCAGGCGCTGTGGCTCACACCTGTAATCTCAGCACTTTGGGAGGCCGAGGAGGGCGGATCACGTGAAGTCAGGAGTTCGAGACCAGCCTGGCCAACATGGTAAAACCCCGACTCTACTAAAAATATGAAAAATTAGCTGGGCATGGTGGTGGGCACCTGTAATCTCAGCTACTCAGAAGGTTGAGGCAGGAGAATTGCTTGATCCCAGGAGGCGGAGGTTGCAGTGAGCCAAGATTGCGCTGCTGCACTCCAGCCTGGGCAGCAAGAGTAAGACTCTGTCTCAAAAAAAAAAAAAAAAAACCCTAAAATTGGTACTCTTTATTATTATTATTATTATTTTTTGAGAAGGAGTCTCTCTCTGTTGCCCAGGCTGGAGTTCAGTGGCGCGATCTCAGCTCACTGCAACCTCCACCCCCCGGGTTCAAGTGATTCAAATTGATTACATCAAGATTTATTATTTTAAACTGCAAGAATAAATCTATAAATGTCTGCTTTTTTAACAGTAAAGAGTCTGTCTTGAAATAATGTTTCTTGTAACTAAAACTTATGGTGAATTTGTTTTAACCAGATGGTTGTGTGTTTGGGACAAGGATTAATACAGGGAAAAAAGAGCTGGATCATATGCTTTTAAAGCTGGAGAGCGAATACTTAATTTAGTGGCTTTGAATTAATTTTAGCTCTAAAACCTTTCCTTCAAAATGTCGTAGAAAAGTCCAACATACAAATTGATCTGGAGCTGAAAACAAAATTGATCCAGATCAAGATACTCCAGATCCCCTTTTCCGTAGGCCTCAGTTTTGTCACCTCTCCAGAGTGTTATCCCCATTGTACACCTTTAAAGATCAGACAGTGGTAGGAGTGCATCTAGAACTTGTACCTGCACCTTTTGATGACTAATTTGACACAAGGTTGCAACCTAGGGCTCAATACCATATATGGCTTGCATGGGTAGTTTTTTTTTTTGCCTCAGTTTTAGGGAGGGGAAGTGGAGTTTGTTTAGCTAAAAAACTAACTTATTTATGATGATTGAAAATTGGAAGATTCACAATTTTAAAATTCTGACTTTCGGCTTCCTTTGAAAAACTGAAAGATCTGTAAGAGTTGGCCTATACACTTGTTGTAAGAACGAAGAGTCAAGTAATGGATGCTCTTTTTTGGTGGGGCATATTACATCTAAAGTTGTTTTCAGAGCTTGCCCTCATTTCAAAATTAATTGGTTGTATGAATTATTTTTAATGTGTATTAAGTGTTTTCATCTCTCCTCAAATATTTTTAAGTATTTTTAAAGTGTCTTTTTTTTTTCTTAAGGACCTAGATGACATAGAAGATGAAAATGAACAGCTAAAGCAGGAAAATAAAACTCTTTTGAAAGTTGTGGGTCAGCTGACCAGGTAGAGGATTCAAGACTCAATGTGGAAAAAATATTTTAAACTACTGATTGAATGTTAATGGTCAATGCTAGCACAATATTCCTATGCTGCAATACATTAAAATAACTAAGCAAGTATATTTATTTCTAGCAAACAGATGTTTGTTTTCAAAATACTTCTTTTTCATTATTGGTTTTAAAAAAGCATTATCCTTTTATCTCACAAATAAGTAATATCTTTCAGTTATTAAATGATAGATAATGCCTTTTTGGTTTTGTGTGGTATTCAACTAATACATGGTTTAAAGTCACAGCCGTTTGAATATATTTTATCTTGGTAGTACATTTTCTCCCTTAGGAATATACATAGTCTTTGTTTACATGAGTTCAAATACTTTTGGGATGTTACCTTCACATGTCCTATTACTGATGTGTGCAACCTTTTATGTGTTGATGACTCACTCATAAAGGTTTTTGTCTACTGTCATTTGTTCTTTCCACTTATTCTAAGCATTTAGAGTAATAGAGTCATACTTTTTTATAACAGCAACCTTTTAAAAGGAAAGCTCTTATAAAGTCACTGTCATGTTTTAGTTGACTAAATATAAATTTAAGAGAATACTTGAATTGTGCTATAGTAAATAAAAATTTACTATTTTGTGTTTGAATATTGAAAAATTGAATCACTTTAACTCCTGAAAAACATACAATTGTAATTTCAATGTAAAATTTCTTATGTAGGTACTACCTTTTTTTATCGTTCCAAGGTTTGCTAGTGAACACAGGATATTTTAAAAGTTTTTTATTCTTCGGGCCTGGAAAGTGTACAAAGTCAGTGTAGGAGAAAAAAATCCATATTTTTATATTAGCATGCACACTAAAAACCAAAATATTATTCATACTTAAAACATTCATACAAAACAATATGTAAGCAGAAATAGTACTAAAATACTTTGCCTAATTTCTAAGTTGAAGAATAACACTGGGACACAGTTTTTTCATATGAGAGAATATTCCGCTATTTCAAATTTAAGGGATTTTCTTCCTAACATTGAAATTTTAAAAACAGAGTTACTTCTAAATAATTATACAGATTTTTTCTTCTATTAAATATTATTATTTAGAATTGTTTTTGTATTACATATTCATGTTAAGAACCCCGTCTTCCCTTAAAATACATTAAAATTATGACATTTTTGCTTTGTGATTGAATTTCAAATAGCAGTATGGTATCCTTTTATCTAGTTAATATATGAAAGTGGCTTGAATATAGTCAAATCCATTTTAGGTACTCTACTGACTTTTTCCTTCACTTGCCAAGCCCTTTTATTGTTCACTGTTAGAAAAATAGAGAAGGTGAGACAGCTGGGGGAAAATGTGGAGTAAATGATAATCAAATGTTGAATTCTAAAAGTCTCTACATTTACCTAGGTTGGCTTTCTCCCCCAGTTCAGAAGTTTCCAGCTTGGCCAATCATCAGAATCACTTGAGGAACTTAGAAAGAACTCCCTGGCTGTAGCTCCTATGTAGGTTTAGGTTGAGACTCTGGATTCCACAATTTTTAAAGGTTACCATCTGAGGTTTCTGATCATAGTCTACTTTTGAAGCAGCTGCTGCTGTTTCTTTATTCCATTGAACACCCTGGAATTGACATAATTTTATCTATCAGCATTTCTCCCCTTTTAGTTTATTTAATAATTAACCCGGTCTCCAGGGCAGTTTTCATATGACCATGTGTATATTCACTGCTCACGAAAAAGTTTAATGTTAGATTACCAAATTTAATATAGTTACAGAATTACTGCATAAGGGCTTCCCTTCTTGGAGACTCTTACCCAGCATGGGAACAGTGATCTGCCCACATGACAGGGTGGTATGCCAGGCATAGTTAACTGCTTTTGGTTGTGAGGTACTCATCTTCCTTTAGTTACCCTTAGTTATGTGGCACACATGTCCTTATTGCCTAGTTCGTCATCCACACTTTGGATCTTGTGAAAATGCTGTTAGTATCCAACCTTAAAATATATTAGTATATGGGTTTTTATTAAAAGAATTACTTTGAATTTTCTATTTAATTCATATGTAAATAAAGGAACATTTCATTTCACTTAAAAAAATTATATCAGTTATTAGGCTGGGTGCAGTGGCTCATGCCTGTAATCCCAGCACTTTGGGAGGCCAAGGCGGGTGGATTACCAGAGTTCGGGAGTTTGAGACCAGCTTGACCAACATGGAGAAACCCCGTCTCTACTAAAAATACAAAATTAGCCAGGTGTGGTGGCGCATGCCTGTAATCCTGGCTACTCAGGAGGCTGAGGCAGGAGAATCGCTTGAAAACCCAGGAGACAGAGGTTGCGGTGAGCTGAGATTGCGCCATTGTACTCCAGCCTGGGCAAGAAGAGCGAAACTCTGTCTCCAAAAAAAAAAAAAAAAAAATTATTAATACTTTTAAAGACTGAGCTGTTTAAGAATTTTTTGGGGAACATTTCTAGCAGTGATTTTTTTGGCCTTTAATGATAGCGTAAAGACAGGAGCCTTACAACTTAGGCAAAGCATTTCACATGCAGTCCTTCTTCCATCTCAAAATATGTACTTATTTTACATACAGAATTTTACACTAACCATTGAAAAATAAAGTAGGATCTGCTACAGTTTCACCTGAAAATTTATAAAAAGTGTTGAGATTGGTAGAAGGTAGTTTTTAAGTACATGTGCACTACCCTAAAAGACTTGTCTATTGTCAATAAAGTGTTAGTATTTGTGAAATTATTATTCCTGTTCAGAAATACTATTTCTTAAATCTCCTGGGAATTTGTGGCATAATAAAGCACATTCAAAGTTCTAATGTATTTATGAGCTCATTTTCAAAATAGTAAGTTTGTCATCTTTAAAATGAACATGACTTGCCTCCTTGATTTCTGAAATGAATTAATTGAAGATTGCTATAGTAATCTTTATTTCATCTTTCTAGAGTTGTTGACAATTTTATTATACAACAGTTACCATTAGAGAAGGAGGGAAGGGCTTTTGGGTGTGTATTTATAGGTACTAAGGGATTTACTAAATATAGTAGATTAGCACTGTCACACTTGTTCAAGTAGTTTCAAACATAGAAAATTAAGTATCAGGTATGTGGAGCAATGTAGTTTTTTTTTTTCTTCAGTTTAAAAAATTTTTAATTGTGGTAGAAGCAATGTATTCTTAAGGTGAAAAACCTACCTCGGTTACATGTGGTTTGTGTTTTTTGGATTAATCTGGATTTTATAATTAGAAATAAAAATGTAAGATTTTGAATCCACTTAATTTCTTGAAAATAGTACAAGTCAGTGTAATAGAGAAGCATTCATATATTCAACACTGTAAGACAAAACAGCAGAGACCTTGGATTTGATAATTGATCTGATATCCTGGACAGTATTCATATGTACAGTGATAGGTATCTTTCTTTGGAGTTTTTTTTTTGTGCATATGTGTATAGTTTTATGGGTTCTGAGTTGGTGACCAGTAAGTTGCATGTAGTGCTGGCACTTACTTAATAACTATTCATGATATTGTTAATAACTTGTTATAGGATTGTATTCCCAATTACAGTCTCTAAGATTGTAATTGATATTATCTGAGAGGTAGTGTGACAACTTTCTTTTGTTGTTACATTAAGCCGAAAACATAATACTAATAGACAACTAACAGTTTGCTTATCAGGCACATCAACTAAGGCACCTCCCCCCATGCTAAGTTTCTCCTGGATATATGGAAGTTGATTGTTTCCCAGTTTAAAAACTTGAACTAATATCTCCTAAGAAAATCTGAGTCCATATTGTTTTTATTTTACTTAGCTAGAATCTCATAGCATGTTAAAGTCATATCCTTATCCCCACTAAAAATAACTATGTCTATGTGAGAGGAATATAGTATGTGGGAGCTGTATTAAATACTATTACAGGTGTTACAGAATCTTTAAATAAATGGACATGGACCAACTTTCCATCTAGTAGTGTACGATCTATATAGTGCATGTCAGTAGCACAAAATGCAGTCTTAGCATTAGCCTGTCTAATCTGAATAGTTTACTCAAAAGTACTTCTTTGTGTTAAGTATTCAGCCACTGTTTTTAGATCTAGTTAATAGGTTCTATTTAATTTGCTACAACATTTACTGAATGGTGGAGTGAAAAAACTGATGCATACTGGGAAATATCTACCATTTTTTAAAGATAATGTTAATTAGGAAAAGAACACTTTTAAGGAATTTATAGCAGTGATGAAATGAATTCAGTTATATCAGATACACCAAACTGTTGATGGTATTTAAATGTGACTTCAAGTTAGTATTTCTGTATATATTATTGATTACTGGTTTGTTTTTAGATATGTAAGTCTGTTCTAATCTACAGTTCACATATCGACAGTTACTCTGGTAATAATAGAATGTTAGTGATGATCACTTGGTGGATGTTGATTAAGTGCCTGTGTTTTGTTTCCTCCTCTGGATACCAAATAGGTGTATGCTACTTTTTTGGTGAACTTATTTCTTGGAAGATTTGGCTATGCTATTCAGGGTTTTTATTCTTATGTTTTTCTTCTAAATTTAAGTAGCATCCTGCTGCTACCATATTAAAGCTAAAATTTAACTTTTGCTGAAGAATCAGCTAATTCAGGTAATCCAAATATTTGTGGAAAAACATCTGGATAATTTATTGAACACATTAGTATTGTGTTAGACAGCTTTGATCATTCCCATTTCATAGGTTTTTATTGTGGAATAGTCAACTTAATATAGATTCACTTTCAATTTGCATGTATAAAGTAATACTCAATAAAATTTTTTTCATTTATTTTTCAACAGTGGTTATTTTTTTTCTTCCTGTACTATCAGTAAAATCCTGACTATGAGTTTTACTTTTGAAGCTAAAGGATAATGCTGGTAATCTAATTATGTACCTCTTACAGAAACCATATGCAGCACTTTAAAAATCTTTATTTGGTATATTATTTTAGGTGGACAATGATTTAAGACTCAAAGCCATCATATTAAGGTCTAAATACATTAGTGGTGGGGTTTCTCGAATAAATGAGGAAGTGCACAAAAGTTCAGCCTGACTGAAAATTTTAATTGTGTTTTAAAACTACATGAATAATTTCTTGATTCAAAATCAGAACTCTTATAAACTAAATCTGATGGTGTCCAAAGAATTTCAGGTCCTTCAAAGTTTGTAAAAGATAAGTAGGGGCCTAGGAATATAAAAATTTAGACTTTTTTAGTAAATGGTTTACATAACCTTTTGTCTTAATTTGTCATTCTTCATACACAGGCACAAGCTAATCAGTCTTCTCTACTTCTAGAACTCTAAATCTTCTCAGTAATGTCATACAAGTCTAACAAGAGGAAAAGCATCCTTAAGTCAGTCTATTTAGATAAACTCTTCAAGTCCCTATATAAGGACGTATTCCACTAGCAAGCCAGTAAATTTTTCCAAGGTCACATAATCTTACATGAAATGGAACCTTTCATCTTAGACTTCATCAAACTCAATTTTTTCCCTTCTAGATTCACTTTGTGTTTATGCATGCATGCACGCGTGCACACAATTCTATCAGCAGCTGTAAACTACCCACATATTTTCTTAATCTCATTTTTTCAGTTTTTCTTCATCTTTAAAAGAGGTTACATTTCATTCCTGGTCAACTCTTAAAAAGAATTATGTAATGTTGGGCCTTCATATTAAAGAGAGAGACTGGTTATAAGATCCTTTACAGTCCATTCATTTTATTCTGATGTCTAACCAGATAGACACTAGCAAGCAAAACTTCCCTCTTAATCCTGGACCAAATGCATAATTTTACTGTCACTTTCAAAAATCTGTTATGACTGAATCAAAATCCTTTTAAAGAAAGGAAAAAGCTCCTTTTGTGTCAAATAGTTGAACAACATGAAAACAGTATGAGCCGGTTAAAGATAGATTGAATTTTTACTTTACACATATGAAAAACAGTAAGTTTTGACTGCTGTGTATGTTATTCATGTTAATATGTGCTCAGTTATTCACTATTGTTAATCCACATATAATCAGTTGCTATCCCTGGTTAGACACACTATGGAACTTGAAATGCACAATATTTACATTGTTAGAGGCTTCTATCCAAATATCTGCATTCCTTTAAAATGTGAACTATTTGCTGTGATTAACCAAAGGTAGATTATGTCATCAGTGGACATTTTAGCTTTATGGAAACAAATTATTAAGAAATGAATAGAAAGGTGTCTTTTTCTTTGTGTAGTGCAAAAGCCTAAAGCTATCAGTCAAAGGCCTAAGAAATCCACATTTGAAAAACGTAAATCATGATTGGTAAGAATACATTCATCTGATAGTATTGAGAAAAGTTGAAAAACTGTTAGCCTTCCATAACACATTAAACATTTTATGTATGGATGGCTGAAAGTATTGAGAAAAGCTGAAAAACTGTTAGCCTTCCATAACACATTAAACGTTTTGTGTATGGATGGCTTAGGACAATAAACAACATCATTAAAGTAAAATTATGTCAGTCTGTTCATATTAACTTATTTAAATCAATGAAAATTTTGATGAGATGACTAAATGGATGCTTTGGAAATGCAGGATTATAGGAGGCCTAAAAGTGCATCTTGTTTCTTGTAACCCTTTTAAAACCAATATGCCTGGCTAGGTGCAGTGGCTCATGCCTGTAATACCAACGGGGTAACACAGGGTTATGCCGTCTATACAAAAAAATAAATGAGCTGGGCAAGATGGCATGCACCTGTAGTCCCAGCTGCTTGGTAGGCTGAGGGGGAAGGATTGCTTGAGCCTGGGAGGTCGAGACTGCAGTGAGCCAAGATCACACCACTGCACTCCAGCCTGGGTGACAGAGCAAGACTCTACCTCAAAAATAAAAATAATCAATATAGTTTCAATGAAGCAAAGCATCTCAGGTAACAATTTGAGCATAACTTTAACCATAACTTATGATAGCATAATAACATTCATTAGTAATTCAGTAGCCGTATGTGCCAGGCTGTGTTAGGTGCTTTATATATTGTTTAATTTTTAAAAACTTGTGGAGTGTACAGATTGGTAAGGTGACATTGTATCACAAAGCTAGTCTTTGAGTCCAAAGTTTTGTGGTTTTATGTTATGATATACTTTTATCATGGAATTGTCTTATTAAATGTTTTGCCAGTGGTTCTTAAAGTGTGTTTCTGACACCAGTAGCATTGACTTCACTTAGAAACCTGTTAGAAATACAAATTATTTGGCCCCACCCAACACTTGAGTCACAAACTTTGCAGATGGGGCTCAATCTGTTTTAACAAGCGCTTCATGTAATTTTGATGCAGGCCTAAGTTTTTGAGCCACTGCAGTATGCATTTCTATTTTTAAGCAAAGATCTTGGTCTTTCTTTTTGGACATTGTAGAAATAACATGAACTTGTTTTTTGTTTGTTTTTGTTTTGTTTTGTTTTAAGCTCCTGATCTTTGTTGGTTATGTTGCAAAAGATTGTATCAGGAGAAGCCTCAGCATGGACATTGGCATCCTGACATAACCCCCATTAATTTAGTATTCTTTCTGAAACTCAAATGGATTCTCAAGTCCAAGAGACTATGGAATAAAATCATTGTTTGTCTGTGTTAAGTTTTATCTCTGTTATTGCCTGAAGACTTTTGGTAACAATAATGCGCTTTCATCAAACTTTTAAGACTTGATTGGAAAAAATAAATGTATGTTTCATCAGTTATACAATTTGTTTTGTATGTGTTTTGTATGGGTGGTCCCTGAGGAGCCTGAATCTTCAAAATATACTTTCTGTGAGCTCAGAAAATGAATAGCACTTTTGAGCTAATTGATCAGTGTGGAGAAATCACAGTGTTGCATCCTGATGAGTAAAGATAAAATTGACTCTTTATCGATTCAAGATCATTTTTTATATAAATAAATAAGCTACTCCTGTTTACTTTTTACAAACTTGAGAACAGTTTTAGATTTATAAAGTTATTGTGAAGATAGTACAGAGGGTTCTCATATGCCACCACACCAAGTTTCTCCTACTAACATCATACATTAATACTGTGCATTTATCACAGTTAATCGTCCAATATTTATGCACGATTATTAAAGTCCATACTTGATTCAGATTTCCTAAATTTTCCCCTAATGTCCTTTCTCTTTTCCAGTGTCCAGTCCAGGATACTACATTATATTTAGTACCTGTGTCTCCATAAAATTCTCTTGGCTGTGACAGTTTCTTAGATTTTCCTTGTTTTTGATGCCCTTGACAGTTTTTAGTTCTGGGCAGGTATTTTTCACTTTACTATGGATATTTCAGATACACAGAAAAGTACAGAAAATCGCTAGCAATATCCTGCTAATTTTTTGTTATCTGTCCTGCTTCCTTTTTCTTTTTTGTTGGGGTGTTTTAAAGTTAAACTCCAATTATCCTTTCACCTGCAGATACTTCAGTATATATCTCTAATAGTAAGAATTTAAAAGAATAACCACAATGTTATACCTAACAAAATTAATATTAATTATTTAATATCATCTGTTTACTTTGGGTTCCCTAAGAAGCAGGCATGCATGAGATTTATTGGGGGAAAACACTTGTGAAGAAAATTGGAGAGGGAGCTAGAGGAGGTTGAGAAAAGTGTCAGAACTTGATACAGGTCTGCCTGGTGAAGGGGAGAGGAGGATAGTTGGACAGGAAGTCTTAATCCATAGTTGTTTTAGTCCATTTGTATTGCTATAAAGGAATACCTGAGGTAATTGAGAAAGAAGTTCATTTGGCTCATGGTCTGCAGGTTGTACAAGAAGTATGGTGCTAACATCTGCTTCAGGTGAGGGCTTCAGGCCGCTTCCACTCACAGTAGAAGAGGAAGGGGAGCCAATGTGTCACATGGCAAGAGAGGATGGAAGAGAGTGGGAAAAGCAGGCCTTAATGCCCTTTTAAACAACCAGCTCTCATGAACTAGAGTGAGAACTCATTACCTTGAGCATGGCACCAAGCTGTTTATGAAGCATCTGCAACCATGACCGAGACACCTGCCACTAGGCCCTGTCTCCAACATTGGGAATAAAATTTCAACATGAGATTTGGAGGAGGTCAAACTACATCAGTAATTCTAAAAAAGTTTTAACGAGGCTGTTTGGGAGTCCTCAAACCAAATGTTCCCGCTCCTGAGCAGTCTCACATCTTGTAGTAATGGGCCTGCCATTGTAATCCTGCAATGCTCATTTGTTGGCACGGAGCAGCCAGTAGGAAGTGTGCCCTCAGCTGAATACCATGGTGGATTCAGACCACAGTGACTGGAACTGCCCGTCAATTACCCACCCTGAAGCTGGAGATCTGAGAGGTCCATTTTTTTTATGACTGTCACATCATCTAATACTTTGTGTTCAGATTTCCTCCAGATGCCTCTAAAATTGTCCTTTCAGTGTTGGTTAAGGATCCAAATGAGAGTCAACTATTGCATTTTATTAGTGTGTCTCTTGAGTCTTTTAACCTATAAATTATCCCTTCTTCCCCATTCTTAGACCATTTTTCAAATTGAAGAAATTAGATCATTTGCTCTACAGAATTTCCCACATTCTGGATTTCACTGTATCTATGGTATTAATGTATCCCTCTATCAACCTCTATTTTTTGGTAATTGTTAGATGTGACACCTTTATTAGATTCAATAGGTGGTGAGTGCTTCCGACTGATTCACATCAGAGGATGCATAATGTCTGGTTGTCTCACTTTTAATGATGTTAATATTGATAAGTAGATTCAGATGCTATCTTTATTGCTCTATTTGAAAGCTCCCCATCAACCTTTTGTGTAATAATTTTATCAAACATTAATGATTATTGCCCACATCCATTATATCTTTAGGTATTTCAAAGTGATAGTTTTCTAATTCTGTGATTAATTTACATGAGTAGTTGGAGTTCTTTAGAGAAACTTTTCTCATCAACTGCTTGGTTTCCCTAAAATACAAGAAAGATAAAATCATACTGATTCTTTACTAATTTTATAATAATGGGCTATAGCTTAGTAACCTCCAGAGGTAAGTAATGAGTTTATTTATTTCATGAGCTTTACTCCATTGCAGTAATTATTTTTTTATGTCCAAATCGTCTCATCTTTGGCCAGTGGAAGCCCCTTCAAGTTGGTTCCTGTATCATTTTGGTTATCAATAACTTCCTTGTTTTCTGGCATAAGACGTTCCAATCTCGTCTTGTACATTTTGTTTTCAGGACCTCCAGGTTACCTTCTTTTGCAGGTAATTAAAGCCTGATAACCATCTAAATTATTAGATGGTATAAAAAACAAGAGGGCATTTATGGAGTTGTTGTTGTTGTTGTTTTTGAGACAGAGTCTTGCTCTGTCGTCCAGGCTGGAGTGCAGTGGCACAATCTCAGTTCACTGCAACCTCCGCCCCGCAGTTCAAGCATTTCTCCTGCCTCAGCCTCCCGAGTAGCTGGGACTACAGGTGCCCACCACCACACCTGGCTAATTTTTGTATTTAGTAGAGACAGGGTTTCTCCATGTGTCAAGCTGGTCTTGAACTCCTGACCTCAGGTGATCCACCCAACTGAGCCTCCCAAAGTGCTGGGATTACAGGCATGAGCCACTGCACCTGGCCCATTTATGGAGTTCTTAACTGTAAAGTCTGTAAGGACTTTGAAATATTTTCCAACTTGTACTTTCTTTTTTTTTTTTTTTTTGAGACTGTCTTGCTCTGTTGCCCAGGCTGGAGTGTGGTGGTACTGTCTCAGCTCAGTGCAACCTCCGCCTCCTGGGTTCAAGCACTTATCCTGTCTCAACCTCCAAAGTAGCTGGAATTACAGGTGCCTGCCACCGCGCCTGGCTAACTTTTGTATTTTTAGTAAAGACGGGGTTTCACCATGTTGGCCAGGCTGGTCTTGAACTCCTGACCTCAGGTGATCTGCCCGCCTTGGCCTCTCAAAGTGCTGGGATTACAGCCTCCAACTTGTACTTTCACTGCATATTTAAGGTGACAGAAATATGCTTGTTTCTTTGCCTTCTTAAAATTTATTTTCTCACTTACATTCTGTGCAAGACAGCAGATCATAGACATATAGTTGGCTCTATATATCCATGGATTTTCAATCTATGGATTCAACCAACCATAGATGGAAAGTATTAGGAAAAAATTAAAATTACAACAGTTAAAAAAAGATACACATTTAAAAATACAGTGTAACTATTTACAGAGCATTTACATTGTATTAGGTATTGTAAGTAATCTAGGGCTGATGAAGTATGCAGGAGGATATGCATAGGCTATATGCAAATACTACACAGATAATTGGTATTCATAGGTATCCATAGGGGATCCTAGACCCAATCCCCCAAAGATACTGAGGGACGACTGACTCTATGTTGATTTTTTTTTTTTTTGAAAATTCAAATCTATACATGTATGTTAGGAACTTCAGGAGATTGACTATAAAAAGCAAGACTTTTTTTAGTAGTTGTGTTCAAATTAGGTAGTAGCCACATAACTATGTAAAAATTTATAGATATTCATTAGGTGTGAAAGGACATCAGAACTATGTAAATTAAATACATAATTTAAAAAGTGATGCCCAAATTGTGCTCCTGATTAGATACTTCATCTCTAGCCACATCTGAGTGAAGGTCTGTGTGGAGGTGCCAGTCATTGGTAAGTTTTCACAGCTGGTTGTGAGGCAGTCCTGATGAGGAAAGTGTTGGTTGATGGCTCAAAACAGGCTGTGAAGTTGCCCTTTTGACTGATGGAACCACCAGGACCCTCTGCAGTGCTTGGAATAAAGCCCAGTTACTGGCAGCCATCACCTGGGACGCCACTTCATAATTCTGGCAAAACCCTTCCTCTGCTCCCTGAGTACCTCCATCCAAAAGGAAGGGTCCACTGTTTTCTTCCAGAATGTGGAAAGCAACTGAAGCCTAAAATTCTTGCATTTTGTCTTTTGTATTGGTTCACAAATACTTATTGTGTGCCTACTTTTTGCTCTGTTCTAGGTACTAGGAACATAGTAGTGAACAAAAAAATCCTAGCCAACACCATTTTAATTTTTAGTTACCCAATGAAAGAGTGTTGACACAGAATTGAGGACTGGTTGTTAGAATGTTCTTTGATCCTTTCCAAAAGATGAGAATTGAACTCCACTTGTTTTTTGACAGAGATGGTGTCAATACATGTCATGGGTAATAATTTGTGATGAAAAAATTATGCTGATAGGTCTAATGTTTGGAAAAGACAGATTTATTCCCTTAATCTTTAGAAATTGAGAATGGGGATTTGGGGCACAAATTTATGTTTCCATTAATTTTTGTTAAATGAATTTTATTACTTTATTTGCACAAATACATGGAGTGCATTTGAAATTTTGTTATGTGTTTATAATACATAGTGATCAAGTCAGGTTATTTAGAGTGTCCATCACCTAAGTACAATACTTTTGTCTTAACTACAGTCAGTTTACTCAGCTATCAAACATTGAATTTATTCATTTTGTCTAACTTTATTTTTGTATTCTTTAAGCCACTTCTCTTTAATCTCTTTCCTCCCCCTCACCCTTCCCAGTCTCTAGTATCTTTCCATTCTCTATCTGCATGTGATCAAATTTTGTAGCTTCCACATATAAGTGAAAGTGTGCACTTTTTCTTTCTTTGTGCCTGGTTTATTTCACTTAACATAATGACCTCCAGTTTCATCCATGTTCCTGCAAATAACATGATTTTTTTCTTTTTTATGGTTGAATAATTTTCCATTGTGTATATATGCCACATTTTCTTTATCCATCTATTCATTGATGGACTCTTAGGTGGATTCTATATCTTTGCTATTGTGAATAGTGCTACAAAAAACATGTGAGTGCAACTATTGCTTTGATATATTGATTTCTTTTCCTTTAGTAGATACCTAGCAGTGGGGTTGCTGGATGAAATGGTAATTCTACTCTTAGTATTTTGAGAATTCTTCATACTTGTTTTCCATAATGGCTGTGTTAGTTTATATTTCCACCAACAGTGTATAAGAGTTCCCTTTTCTCTGCATCCTTGCTAGCATCAGATATTTTGTCTTTTTAATAATAACCATTCTGACTGGGGTAAGATGATACCTCATTTTGGTCTTGTTTTGCATTTCCCTGATGATTAGTGATGTTCAGCATTTTTTTATATACCTATTGGCTATTTGTATAACTTCATTTGAGAAATGTCTAGTCATGTCCTTTGCCCAATTTTTTATGGGATTATTATTATTTATTACTGTTATTTGAGTTCCTCATATATTCTGGATATTAGTCCCTTGTCAGATGAATAGTTTTCAAATATTTTCTCCATTCAACATGTTATCTCTTCACTTAGTTGATTGTTTCCTTTGTTGTGCAGAAGCTTTATAGTTTATAGTCCTATTTGTCTATTTTTGTTTTGTTGTTTGTGCTTTTGAGGTCTTAGCTCTAAAATCTTTATTTAGATCAATATCCTTGACATGATTTGGGTCTGTGGCCTTACCCAAATCTCATATCAAATTGTAATCCCCACATGTTGAGGGAGGACCTGGTGGGAGGTGATTGGATCATAGGGGCAGATTCTCCTCTTGTTGTTCTCACGGTAGTGAGTTCTCAGGAGATCTGGTTGTTTGGTAAGTATCTGGCGCTCCCTGCCCTCCTGCCACCATGTAAGATGTGTCTTGCTTCCCCTTCGCCTTTCACCTTGATTGTAAGTTTCCTGAGGCCTCCGGAACTTTGAGCCAATTAAACCTCTTTCCTTTATAAATTACTCAGTCTCGGTATCTTTATAGCAGCGTGAGAAAGGATTAATACAGTCCTGAAGTGTTTTCCTTATGTTTTCTTATAGTAGTTTTATAGTTCCGGGTCTTGCATTTAAGTCATTAATCCATCTTGAGTTGGTTTTGTATGCGGCGAGAGATAGGGGTCCTAGTTTATTCTTCTGCATCTGGTTATTCAATCTTCCTAGCACCATTTATTGAAGAAATGTCCTTTCCCCATTGTAAGTTCTTGTTAGCTTTGTCAGTTGACTGTAAACATTTAGCTTTATCCCATTTGTGGGTTCTCACTTCCGTTCCATTGGTCTATGTGTCTGTTTGTATACCGATACCATGTTGTTTTGGTGACTGTACCCTTGTAGTGTATTTTAAAGTCAAGTAATGTGATACCTCCAGCTTTGTTCTTTTTGCTCAGGATTGCTTTGGCTATTCAGGCTCTTTTTTGGTTCCATATGAATTTTAGGATTGTGTTTTCTAATTCTGTGAAAAATGACATTGCTATTTTGATACAGATTGTATTGAATCTGTAGATTGCTTTGGGCAATATGGTCATTTTAATGATACTCTTCAGTCCTTGAATATGGTATGTTTTTCCATTTGTTTGTGTTACCAATTTTTTTCATCAGTGTTTTTTGTTATCACTGTTTTTAGAGACAGGGTCTAGCTCTGTTGCCCAGGCTGGAGTACAGTGGCATGATCATAGCTTACTGCAGCCTCAAACTCTTGGGCTCAAAGTGATACTACCATCACAGCCTCTCTAGTAGCTAGGACTGCATCAGTGTTTTGTAGTGTTTTTTTTTTTTTTTCTTATTTGAGATGGAGTTTCACTCTTGTTGTCCAGGCTGGAGTGCAATGCTGCGATCTTGGCTCACTGCAATCTCTGCCTCCTGGGTTCAAGCTATTCTCCTGCCTCAGCCTCCCAAGTAGCTGGGATTACATACTGCCTTGGTCTCCCAAAGTGCTGGGATTACAGGCGTGAGCCCCACTGTGCCTGGCCTGTAGTTTTCCTTTACAGAGATCTTTCACCTCCTTGCTTAAATTTATTCCTAGGCATTTCATCCTTTTGTGTGTGTGTGTGTGTTTCTATTGTAAATGGGATTGCCTTCATTTCTGTCTTGGCTAGATTATTACTGGTGTATAGAAATGCAACTGATTTTTGTATGTTGATTTTGTATCCTGCAACTTTACTGAATTCATTTATCAAATTTAAGAGGTGTTTTTGGTGTAGTCTTTAGTTTGTTTTAGATACAAGATTGTATTATCAGCAAAGAGGAATCATTTGACTTTCCCTCTTCCAATTTGGATGCCTTTTATTATTTCCCTTGCATGATTGCTCTGGCTAGCACTTCCAGTGCTGTGTTGAATAGGAGTAGTGACTTGTTCTAATTAGGTTTTCCCCATTCAACACCATGTTAGGTATGGGTTTGTCGTGTCTGGTCTTTCTTATGTTGAGGCAGTTGAGGCATGTTGAATTTTACCAAATGCTTTTTCTGAAATCATTGTGAAGGTCATGTGGTTTTTGTTCTTCATACTGTTGATGTGATGTATCATGTTTATGGATTTGTGTATATTGAACCATCTTTGCTTGCATCCCTGAGATAAATCCTACTTGGTAATCATGTATTTTTTTGATGTGCTGTTGAATATGATTAGGTAGTACTTCATTGATAATCGTTGCATCTCTATATCAATATCAGGGATATTGGCCTGTAGTTTTCCTTTTTATTGTTACATCTTTGTCTGATTTCGAATCAGAGGGATGCTGGCCTCATAGAATGAGTTAGAATTCCCTTCTCTTCAGTTTTTGAAATAATATCAAGAGGACTTGTATTAGTTCTCATTTGTACATTTGGTATAATTCAGCTATGAATTCATGCAGTCTTGGGCTTTTCTTTTTTGGGAGACTTTTTATTGATAAAATCTCATTACTCATTCTTGGTCTGTTCAGGTTTTCTATTCCTGATTCTATCTTGATAGGCTGTGTGTTTTCAGGAATTTATCCATTTTCTCTAGGTTTTTCAGTTTGTCGGCATATATTTATTCATAGTCTCTGATGATCTCTTCTGTTTCTGCAGTATCACTTGTAGTGTTTCCTTTTTTATTTCTGATTTCGTATATTTGTTTCTTCTATCTTAGTTATTCTAGCTAGAGGTTTATAATGTTTAAGGAAAACCAACTTTTCATTATCTTTTGTGCTTTTTATTCTCTACTTCATTTATTTCTGCTGTAATCTTTATTATTTCTTTTCTTGTGTTAATTTTGAGTTTGGTTTGTGCTTGCTTTTCTAGCTCCTTGTGGTGCATTGTTAGATTGTTCATTTGTAATCTTTCTGCTGTTTTGATGTAGTTATTTATTACCACAAACTTCCCTTTTAGCACTGCTTTTACATATCTCACAGGTTTTGATAAATTGCATTTCCATTCTTATTTGTTTCAAGGCGTTAAAAGAAATTTCTGTTTTAATCTCTTCATTGACTCAGTTGTCATTCAGGAGCATGCTGTTTAATTTCCATGTATTTGTATAGTTTCCAGAGTTACTTTTGTTACTGACTTTTAGTTTTATTCTATTGTCTGAAAAGATACTTGGTATGATTTTGATTTTTAAAAATTTGTTGAGCCGGGCACAGTGACTCATGTCTGTAATCTCAGCACTTTGGAAAGCCAAGGTGGGTGGATCACCTGAGGTCAGGAATTTGACACCAGCCTGGCCAACATAGTGAAACCCCATCTCTACTAAAAATATAAAAATTAGGCCGGACGTGGTGGCTTACACCTGTAATCCCAGCACTTTGGGAGGCCGAGGTGGGCAGATCACGAGGTCAGGAGATTGAGACCATCCTGGCTAACGTGGTGAAACCCTGTCTCTACTAAAAATACAAAAAATTTGCCGGGCGTGGTGGCAGGCACCTGTAGTCCCAGCTACTCGGGAGGCTGAGGCAGGAGAATGGTGTGAACCCAGGAGGCGGAGCTTGCAGTGAGCCGAGATAGTGCCACTGCACTCAGCCTGGGTGACAGAGTGAGACTCCATCTCAAAAAAAAAAAAAAAAAAACCCAAAAACATATATAGATAGATAGATAGATAGATAGATAGATAGATAGATAGATTGATTAGCCAGGTGTGGTTGTGGGCATCTGTAATCCCAGCTACTTGAGAGGCTGAGGCAGGAGAATCACTTGAACCTGGGAGGTGGAGGTTGCAGTGAGCTCAAATCGAGCTGTTGCTCTCCAGCCTGGGCAACAGAGCGAAACACCATCTCTAAATCAATCAATCAATCAATCAATCAATCAATCGAGACTTGTTTTGTGGCCTAACATATGGTCTGTCCTGGAGAATGTCTCATATATATGAAAAGAATGTATATTTTGCAGTTTGGGGAATGTTCTGTAAATGTCTGTTAGGTACATTTGGTCTAATGTCCAATTTAAATCCACGTTTCTTTGTTGAATTTCTCTCTAGGTCATCTCTCTAATGCTGGGACTTAAATCTCGAAGTCCCCCACAATTGTGTTACAGTCTTTCTCTCTGTTTAGATCTAGTAATATTTGCTTTATGAATCTGGGTGCTCCTTGAGTTAGATGCATATATATTTAAAATTGTTATAACCTCTTGCTAGACTTATCCTTTTATCCTTACACAAAGACCTTTGTCTTTATTTACTGTTTTTGACTTAAAGTCGTTTTATCTGATACAAGTATAGTTATTCTTGCTTGCTTTTGAATTCTGTTTATGTAGAATATCTTTTTCCATCACTTTCAAACTGTTTCTTTAGTGCTAATGTGTCCGGAATTGGTGGGTTCTTCGTCTCACTGACTTCAAGAATGAAGCTGCGGACCCTCGCGGTGAGCGTCACAGTTCTTAAAGGTGGTGTGTCCGGATTTCGTTCCTTCTGATGTTCGGATGTGTTTGCAGTTTCTTTCTTCTGGTGGGTTCGTGGTCTCGCTGGCTCAGGAGTGAAGCTGCAGACCTTCACGGTGAGTGTTACAGCTCTTAAGGCGGCATGGCTAGAGTTGTTCGTTCCTCCCGGCAGGTTCGTGGTCTCACTGGCTTCAGGAGTGAAGCTGCAGACCTTCGCGGTGAGTGTTACAGCTCATAAAGGCAGTGTGGACCCAAAGAGTGAGCAGCAGCAAGATTTATTGAAAAGAGCAAAAAAACAAAGCTTCCACAGTGTGGAAGGGGACCGGAGCGGGTTGCCACTGCTGGCTTGGCCAGCCTACCTTTATTATCTTATCTGGCCCCACCCAAATCCTGCTGATTGGTCCATTTTACAGAGAGCCGATTGGTTTGTTTTACAGAGAGCTGATTGGTCTGTTTTGACAGGGTGCTGATTGGTATGTTTACAATCCCTGAGAGAGACACAAAAGTTCTCCACGTCCCCACTAGATTAGCTAGATACAGAGTGTTGATTGGTGTATTTACAAACCCTGAGCTAGATACAGAGTGCCGATTGGTGCATTCACAATCCCTTAGCTAGACAAAGATTCTCCAAGTCCCCACTAGACTCAGGAGCCTAGCTGGCTTTACCCAATGGATCTCGCACTGGGGCCACAGGTGGAGCTGCCTGCCAGTCCCGTGCTGTGCGCCCGCACTCCTCAGCCCTTGGGCGGTTGATGGGACTGGGCACCGTGGAGCAGGGGGTGGCACTCATTGGGGAGACTGAGGCTGCGCAGGAGCCCACGGCGGGTGGCAGGGGGAGACTCAGGCATGGCGGGCTGCAGGTCCCGAGTCCTGCCCCATGGGGAGGCAGCTTAAGGTCCGGCGAGAAATCGAGCACAGCAGCTGCTGGCCCAGGTGGTAATCCCGTCACTGCCTGGGGCCGGCCGGCCACTCTGAGTGCGGGGCCCACCAAGCCCATGCCCACCCGGAACTCGCGCTGGCTCGCAAGCACTGCACACAGCCCCGGTTCCTGCCCGCGCCTCTCCCTCCACACCTCCCTGCAAGCTGAGGGAGCTGGCTCCGGACTTGGCTGGCCCAGAAAGGGGCTCCCACAGTGCAGCGGCAGGCTGAAGGGCTCCTCAAGCATGGCCAGAGTGGGCGCCAAGGCTGAGGAGGCGCCGAGAGCAAGCGAGGGCTGCGAGGGCTGCCAGCACGCTGTCACCTCTCGCTAACATGAGTTTCTTGTAAGCAGCATAAAGTTGGATCATGCTTTTGCATTCATTCAGCTACTCTATATCTTTTAAGTGGAGAATTTAATCCATTTACCTTCAGGGTTATTATGTTCCTGTCATAATTGTTCATTGTTTTCTGGTGATTTTATATATTATTTTTCCTTTTTCTCTTATTGTTTGTCATTGTAGTTTGGTAGATTTTTCAAATGGGGCCATTTGAGTCCTTTCTCTTTCTCTTTTGTGTGACTGCTTTACCAGTGAGTTTCGTACGTGTGTGTGTGTGTGTGTGTGTGTGTGTGTATATATATATTTTTTTTTTTTTTTCGAGAGGGAGTCTCACTCTGTCACCCAGGCTGGAGTGCAGTGGCGCGATCTTGGCTCACTGAAACCTCCTCCCTCTGAGTTCAAGTGATTATCCTGCCTCAGCCTCCTGAAGTGCTGGGATTACAGGTGCCTGCCACCGCGCCCGGCTAATTTTTGGTATTTTTAGTAGAGATGGGGTTTCACCACCTTGACCCGGCTGGTCTTGAACTCCTGACCTCATGATCCACCCATCTTGGCCTCCCAAAGTGCTGGGATTACAGGCACGAGCCACTGCGCCCGGCCTGTACTTTTGCATATTTTCACAATGGTAAGTGGCATCCGTTCACTTCTAAGTTTGGGATTCCTTTGAGCATTTCTTGTAGTCTAGTGGTAATACATAAATTCTCTCAGCATTTGCTTGTCCAGAAAATACTTCATTTCTCCTTCATTTGTGAAGGATAATTTTCCTACATATAGTATCCTTGGCAGACAGTTTTGTCTTTTCAGCACTTTGAATATATTATCTCATTCTCTTCTTATGTATAAGGTTTCTGCAGAGGAATCTGCTGTAAGTTTGATGGGGTTTTCTTTAGAGGTGACTGGATGCTTTTCTTATGCTGTTTTTAGGATTTTTCTTTATCTTTGACTTTAGACAATCTGAGTACAATGTGACATGGAAGAAGAACTTTTTGCATTGTATCTACCTGGATATTCCTGAGGCTTCTGTATCTGAATATCTAAATCTCTTCCTTGACTTAAGCAATTTTCATCTATTATCTTGAAATTTGATTTCTTTCTTTCTTTTCTTTTCTTTTCTTTTCTTTTTTTTTTTTTTTTGAGATGCAGTCCACTCTTGCCCAGGCTGCAGTGCAGTGGCACAATCTTGGCTTACTGCAACCTCCACCTCCCAGGTTCAAGCTATTCTTCTGCCTCAACCTCCTGAGTAGCTGGGGACTACAGGCATGCACCATCACACCTGGGTAATTTTTGTATTTTTTGGTGGACATTGGGTTTTACCATGTTGCCTAGGCTGGTCTCGAATCCTGACCTCAAGTGATCCCCCCACCTCGGCCTTCCAGAGTGCTGGGATTACAGGTGTAAGCCACCTCTCCCAACCTAAATTTTCTTTCTTTCTTTTTTTTTTAACACGGCATTTTACTCTTGTTGCCCAGGTGATCTTGGCTCACTGCAGCCCCTACCTCTTGGGTTCAAGTGATTCTCCTGCCTTAGCCTCCCGAGTAGCTGGGATTACAGGCATGCACCACAATGCCCGGCTAATTTTATATTTTTAGTAGAGACAGGGTTTCTATATGTTGGTCAGGCTGGTCTCAAACTCCTGACCTCAGGTGATCTGACCGCCTCGGCATCCCAAAGTGCTGGGATTACAGGTGTGAGCCACCACACCTGGCCCTAAATTTGATTTCTTTATGTGGTCCCAAGTGTCACCTAGGCTTTGCTCATTACTTTTTATTATTTTTTCTTTTTTTTCCCCAACTGGATTATTTTAAAAGATTTGTTTTCAAGTTCTGAGATCCTTTCTTCTGCTTGACCTAGTTTATGGTTGAAGCTTTCTAATATGTCTTATATTTTCTTCAGTAAATTCTTCAATTCCAGAATTTCTGTATAGTTCTTTTTAAAAATTTCTATCACTTTGGTAAATTTCTCATTTATATCCTGAATTGTTTTTCTGGTTTATTTTGGTATTATTTTTCAGAATTGTCTTGTTTCTCACTGAGCTCTAAAATCAATATTTTGAATCTTTTATCTGGGATTTTGAATGTTTTTTTTTCTATTTCTGGAGTCAGAAAGAAAATTTTTTTGATTAAGAGGTATTGCTGGCTGGGCACAGTGACTCACGCCTGTAAGCCCAGCACTTTGGGAGGCCAAGGCAGGCAGATCACAAGGTCAGGAGATCGAGACCATCCTGGCCAACGTGTTGTAAAAATACAAAATTAATTTTGTAAAAATACAAAAATTAGCCCGGCATGGTGGTGTGCACCTGTAGTCCCAGCTACTCGGGAGGCTGAGGCAGGAAAATCACTTGAACCCAGGAGGCGGAGCTTGCAGTGAGCCGAGATCACACCACCACTGCACTCCAGCCTGGGTGACAGAGCGAAACTCCATCTCAAAAAAAAAAAAAAAAAAAAAAAGAAGGCTGGGCACGTTGGCTCACGCCTGTAATCCCAGCACTTTGGGAGGCCAAGGTGGGCGGATCACGAGGTCAGGAGATCAAGCCCATCCTGGCTAACATGGTGAAACCCCATCTCTACTAAAAATACAAAAAATTAGCTGGGCGTAGTGGCAGGCACCTGTAGTTCCAGCTACTCAGGTACTGAGGCAGGAGAGGTGGAGCTTGCACTGAGCTGATATCACGCCACTGCACTCCAGCCTGGGTGGCAGAGGGAGACTCCATCTCAAAAAAAGAGAGATATTGCTGGAGAATTATGATATTCCTTTGTAAGTGTCATATTCGTTTTTTCATGTTTCTTATGACCTTACATTTATATCTGTACATCTGCTGTAACAGTTGCTTTTTCCTATTTTTGAATTTCCTTTTTTTTTTTTTGAGATGGAGACTCACTCTGTTGCCCAAGCAGGAGTGCAGTGGCACGATCTTGGTTCCCTGCAACCTCCACCTCCCAGGTTCATGTGATTCTCCTGCCTCAGCCTCCCAAATAGCTGAGCTTACAGGTACGCACCACCACACCTGGCTAATTTTTATATTTTTAGTAGAGACAGGGTTTCACCATGTTGGCCAAGCTGGTCTTGAACTCCTGACCTCAGGTGATCTGTTTGTCTTGGCCTCCCAAAGTGGTGGGATTCCAAGGGTGAGCCACTGCACCCGGCCTGGATTTACTTGTGTAGGAGAGAATTTTTCCTTAAGATATATCTGTGGTGTTGGTTGTGTAGGGTAGTTTGGCTTTGATTTTTGATGTATGCAGTAGTGTACTCTCTGTGTTATTTCTTCAGCTATAAACAGCATTAGTAGTATCTGTGATTTCCTCTGTGGGTTAGTTTACTGTTATTAGTGAAGGCTGTGGTGAAGCTGTGTGCTGGGGACTGGGATGTCAAGTAAGCCAGTTTTCAGGCCTTAGTGGTAGCAGCAGTAGGTTGACTATGGCTATCTTTGTGTCCCAGGGTGTCGTACGCTGTCACTTGCGTTGGCAGTTACCAGTGGGCTGATTCTTGGTCTACCAGATGGCTTGTTTGTATTCCAGTAGTGGCAGCGGTGGACTAGGCAGGTGGGCAGATTTTCAGGCCCCTGAGCATTCAGCATTGTGTGGACAATGGCAGTAGCGGTGGCAGAACAATCTTCTGGGTCCTGAGCAGTTTCCTGTCTCTCGTTAGGAGTGTAGAGGTGAAATCAGGCTAGGTGGGCTTTTGCTGAAGTCCCCCAATGGTGAGAGTCGGCACCAGCCTTGGTGGACTGGAACCAGGTGATCTCAGGTCCCAGGCAGAATGCTTACATGATTAGTGGTAGCAGCTGCCCTGACACCCTGCCACTGGAGAGGGCGAAGCTGGCCCCAGTGGCCACAGCCTGGGTTGGCAGGTAGAGACTGCATCCAACTCATGGCCCAGTCCTAGAAGGGCACAGGACTGGCAGCTGCAGCTCATATCTCACTGGCTGCTTAGCCCTACCAACAGGAGTGCTCCCAAGTTTGTGCCCCAGTTCCAGCAATGACAGTCTCAGTTTCCCTATTTCATCAGTACCGGTGCTGCTTGGATCCAGCACACAGTGCAGTCTGCCAAAGCCCAGGTTTGAAAATGATGCCTTGCTGTAGCCACTTAGGGCTCAGAAGGTATGTGAGACAGCAGTTCTGTCCCATGGTCTCTTGGCTCTACTGTGGTCAGGAATGCATAATTCCATGGTAGAGATGTGTACTCCTAAATGTCTCTCACCTCTCCCCACACTGGGAAGTCGCCCATGGCTCCCAGCCAAACAGACTGCCTTTGTTCCTTCTCCTTTTGTGCTTTTATTATCTCATGACACTTTTCTGTTAAATTCTAGTATTCTCTTTTGGATAGTTTGAAGCGTGATTGTTTATTATTATTATTATTATTTTTTTTGAGATGGAGTCTTGCTCTGTTGTCCGGGCTGGAGTGCAGTGCTGTGATCTTGGCTCATCACAACTTTCACCTCCTGGGTTCAAGCAGTTCTGCCTCAGCCTCCCGAGTAGCTGGGACTACAGGTGCACGCCACTATGCCCGGCTAATTTTTGTATTTTTAGTAGAGACGGGGTTTCACAATGTTGGCCAGGCTGGTCTCAAAACTCCTGACCTCGTGATCTGCCCCACTCAGCCTCCCAAAGTGATGAGATTACAGGCATGAGCCACCGCACCCTGCGTATTTTGGTTCTTGTAACTGGAGGAGGCTAGCATGAAATGCTTCTAGTTGGCCATCTTGAAGCCCACCTCCTATACATGAATTTTATTTTTGCCCAGAAGTCATGTCCTTAATGGCCAGTGCTATTAAGTACTTGGTGGGCAGTGAGAATCCCACATTTTCTCATACATTCTGATCCTCTAAAGCATTTGTAATTGTTTACACTCAGTTTGTGTTCTTAATTTTGTAATGGATTTCCAAATATCTGAGTTCCTATAGCTCATAAAATTCCCAAAGTCACCCACAATTAAATCTATTTATTCTTCCTGTGTTTTTCCTTCTGAGATCTGCAATTGAGGTGAAAGTACAGTGTACTTGACAAGCTCTTTGTATCTAGTTACTTGAGAAACACTCCCACTATGGTTGAAATCATCATCCTTTTACTGTTTTGGTGGGTGGAGGGGGGAATTGAATGGTCAAGACACTTTATTCTTTTTTTTTTTTTTTTTTGAGATGGAGTCTCGCTCTATCACCTAGGCTGGAGTGCAGTGGCGCAGTCTCGGCTCACTTGCAACCACCGCCTCCCAGGTTCAAGCGATTCTCCTGCCTCAGCCTCCAGAGTAGCTGGGATTACAGGCGTGTGCCACCATGTTCGGCTAATTTTTTGTATTTTTTAGTAGAGATGGGGTTTCACCATGTTGGCCAGGCTGGTCACGATCTGCTGACCTCAGGTGATCCACCCGCTTCAGCCTCCCAGAGTGCTGGGATTACAGGCATGAGCCACTGCGCCTGGCCGACATTTTATTATTTTGTTGTGATTCTTATGTAAAGATTTATTTCATTTGAGGAGAACATGTTGGGGAATTAGATCCAGTTTGGGGGATTTACTGTACCTGGCTCATTTATTAACTTAGAATAGTATTTATTTAGCCTTTTATACATTGATTTTTAAAAACTCTTAAAACAACTTAAATTCCCTCCTTAGGATACTTGAGAAGTTTCTGTTATTTGGCCTCACATGAGTTTATAACGTCTTCCTGACTGTTTAGAAGTTGATCAATCTATTTGAAGATGGGGAAATAAGGCTGAGGGAGATATTTTATTTATTTGAGATCTCATGATGATATAAATTAAATCAGATATTTACCAGTACCTGAAAACTGAGGTATCTAACCACTAATAAAATTAGTCTGCAGCACAGGTCTGTTTAGAAGAAAGACTAGGGATTACAAAATACTATCAAGCCATATGGTATAGGAAGTTATAAAAACTATTTTTTGAGCAGAGTAGAAATTAATGCTTATTTATTCTTGCCTCTTTAGAACATGATTTGAATTCAGCATTACAAACAGCTGTTGGAGGCCTGTTTCTTTAAGTATGATATGGTCCTTTTACTTCTGTATGAGAAGCACCAGGAGTGCATAGGAAATCAGCCTGGTTCCATTCTCAAAAAAGCTTACATATAGAGAACAGAATGTGCACAAGCAAAGGAGAGAGATTAATTCGTTCCTTAAAGGACTAGGAGGGACTTCTTTAGGATCTAGTATTTAAGGCAAGCTTTGAAGGAATTGAGATGGAGAGATTGGTTTCAATCAGAGAAATATTTAGAAAAATGCATTCAACATCTGACTGAACCATGGTTATTACACCTGAGTGCTGTATTTAAGGCTGTTTGTACAAGCACCACCTAATGAAGTGGTAGCTTCCAAATCAGACACACTTGAGCACTAGCTTCCAAGTTAGACCTACTTGAATTCAAATCCTGGCTCTACCACTACTAGCTCTGTCAGGTAGGGCAAGTTGCTTTACAGTTTCCTCTTCTACAGCAAGGACAAAATAGTGCCTAACTTGGTTGGGTCATCGTGAAGAACAAATGAGATAATGCATGTAAATTGTGTGAAACAATGCATTTTCATGGATAATATGGTTTATATCAGTAGCGAAGTTGAGAAGATTGTAATGGTTGTCTTTCCTGAAAATCTTTTTTTAAAAAAAGGTTATAAGGAAGCTTCTGGACTATTAACAAAACTGCCTTCTGGTCATAAATTTCTGCTTTTCTAGGAAGACTCTATGTCTCTTAGAAACCCAATTGAAGTAAATCAGAACTCTGTTCTAAAAAAGAATGCAGTATGTATTGACACAGATGTAATCTCTACAGTCCCTGGTAAATTGTAGCTACTGAAGAAATATTGAACAAAATCTTGGGTAAAGGAAAACATCTTTTAGAAAGAAAGTTTCTTGAGTTAGTTTACTTGAGAAGCTTAAAATATTTCCCCGTTAGGTTTCTTTTCCTCTAAATCTCTGGGTTCACCCTGGGCCTGTTTTCCTAGTAAGAAATGTCTCTGCTTGGACTCCTAAACAAATACATTCCAGGGAAGTGTCATTAACCAAGCTGAAACAGGAACTAAATAAACAGGATGAATTAGCTTGAATTCACGTGGGTTGGCAACAAGTCATTTTTTTTCTCTACTTCTCAATTTGTTTTTTCAGTGATCCTGATTACTACTTACAGGTATGTCCTGATAGCAGAAAACAGGAAGCATACCAAAGCAGGAAGTTCCTTGTCTACTGACCTGCTCCTGT
The DNA here is from genome assembly GCF_000001405.40 of Homo sapiens. NCBI lineage: Eukaryota > Metazoa > Chordata > Mammalia > Primates > Hominidae > Homo > Homo sapiens. Next base: position 79,566,521 of record NC_000012.12, on the reverse strand, counting down.
TCCTGTACAACAAGAAGCATTTTTTATTGATTTGCATACGCATGCTTTAAGGCAGCAAGTATAGATGTTGGCAATAGGGTTTTTTTTTTTTTTAATCATTGCGGGAGAAGGTCACGGGGCACTTGAAAGGGTCTAGAACAAAACATTTTTTTCTGCTGAATTGCACAAGTTTGAAAGTAAGGTTTATTTTATGACCTAGAAAAAGACTTTAATTGGGAAGTGGATATTTTATTTGTCCAATTATATGTATTAATTTGAAATTATACACACAGGACAATTTCTTCATGTTGTATTTTTTCCTTATGTTGGATCTTATACTTACCATTATTAGACTCTACATATCTGATGAATACACTCTAGTAAGTAGGTCAGTACTCTTGTGTCTGGAATTGGTGGGTTCTTGGTCTCACTGACTTCAAGAATGAAGCCGTGGACCCTCACGGCGAGTGTTACAGTTCTTAAAGGCAGCGTGTCCAGAGTTTGTTCCTTTTGATGTTCGGATGTGTTCGGAATTTCTTCCTTCTGGTGGGTTCGTGGTCTCACTGGCTCAGGAGTGAAGCTGCAGACCTTCGTGGTGAGTGTTAAACAGCTCTTAAGGCGGCGCGTCTGGAGTTGTTCGTTCCTCCCGGTGGTTTTGTGGTCTTGATGGCTTCAGGAGTGAAGCTGCAGACCTTCATGGTGAGTGTTACAGCTCATAAAGGCAGTGTGGACCCAAAGAGCAGTAGCAAGATTTATTGTAAAGAGCAAAAGAACAAAGCTTCCACAGTGTGAAAGGGGACCCCAGTGGCTTGCCACTGCTGGCTCAGGCGGCCTGCTTTTATTCTCTTATCTGGCCCCACCCACGTCCTGCTGATTGGTCCATTTTACAGGGAGCCCATTGGTCTGTTTTACAGAGAGCTGATTGGTCCGTTTTGACAGGGTGCTGATTAGTGTGTTTACAATCCCTGAGACAGACACAAAAGTTTTCCACGTCCCCACTAGATTAGCTAGATACAGAGTGTCAATTGGTGTATTTACAAACCCTGAGCTAGATACAGAGTGCTGATTGGTGTATTTACAATCCCTTAGCTAGACATAAAGTTTCTCTAAGTCCCCACTAGACTCAGGAGCCCAGCTGGCTTCACCCAGTGGATCCCACACCGGGGCCACAGGTGGAGCTGCCTGCCAGTCCCACGCCGTGTGCCCACACTCCTCAGCCCTTGGGCGGTCGATGGGACCAGGTGCCATGGAGCAGGGGGCAGCACTCGTCGGGGAGGCTCAGGCCATGCAGGAGCCCACGGCGGGGCGGGGGTGGGGGAGGCTCAGGTATGGCAGGATGCAGGTCCCCTGCCCCACGGGGAGGCAGCTAAGGCCTGGCAAGAAATCGAGTGCAGGGCCGGTGGGCTGGCACTGCTGGGGGACCCAGCGCACCCTCCGCAGCTGCTGGCCCGGGTGCTAAGCCCCTCACTGCCTGGGGCCGCTCCGAGTGCAGGGCCCGCCGAGCCAACACCCACCCAGAACTCTAGCTGACCCGCAAGCACTGCCTGCAGCCCTGGTTCCCACCTGTGCCTTTCCCTCCACACCTCCCCGCAAGCTGAGGGAGCCAGCTCTGGCCTCGGCCAGCCCAGAGAAGGGCTCCCGCAGTGCAGCGGCAGGCTGATGTGCTCCTCAGGCGTGGCCAGAATGGGTGCAGAGGCCGGGGAGGCACTGAGAGCGAGTGAGGGCTGCGAGGGCTGCCAGCACGCTGTCACCTCTCACTCTGCTCAGCATAAACATGAGATGTTTACTTGTGATTATGTGAAATTTGTGGAATATAAGAAATAAAGTTTAATCTCTAAGTTCAGGGCCAGGCAGGGTGGTGCACACCTATAATCAATCCCAGCATTTTGAGAGGCGAACACAGGCAGATCACTTGAGCCCAGGAGTTTGACATCAGCTTGGGCAGCATGATGAAATGCTATCTCTAATAAAATTACAAAAAATTAGCTGGGCATGGTGGTACATGTCTGTGGTCCCAGCTACTCGGGAGGCTGAGGTGGGAGTATTGCTTGAGCCTGGGAGGTGGAGGTGGCAGTGAGTGGAGATTGTGTCACTGCACTGCAGCCTAGGTGACAGAGTGAGACCCTGTCTAAAAAAAAAAAAATTCAGACCTAGTAGGAACTATTTTTCCATGAGTGAGATTAAACAGAAGAAGCAGGAAACAGAGTCTTTTTAACTATTAATAAAAATATTGGGGACTTTTAATACAGATTGATAGGGATTACCAAAGATAATACAGATTTAAAGAGGTAGATGAATTTTCTGGACAGTGAAAAGATGACCAAGACATTAAACAGAAAAAGACATTTAAAAGGCACACTTTTTTTGAGACAGGGTCTTACTTAAATTGTCACCCAAGTTGGAGTGCACTGGCACAATCTCAGCTCACTGCAGCCTTCACCTCCCAGGCTCAAGTGATCTTCATGCCTCAGCCCCCACAAGTAGCTGGGACTACAGGCTCTTGCCATCATGCCCAGCTAATTTTTGTATTTTTTGTAGAGTTGGGGTTTCCCCTTGTTGCCCAGGCTGGTTTTGAACTCCTGAGCTCAAGCAATCCATCCACCTTGGCCTCCCAAACTGTTAGGATTACAGGCGTTTTGAGCCTCTGTGCCAGGCCTAGAAAAAACGCCTTTTAAAATATTATTCCCCATTGAAAAAAAATTCAGTGTCCAAAGGAAACAGCTATTTCTAAAATAGTTGCTGCTATCTCTAGAAATAAAACTAGAACATCCCTTTTTTCTTCTTGATTTGCATCCCTTTTGATGTATATTCCAGTACTACATTGGTAGAGGGAAGCTTTTCAGGACTGTCAGCTAATGGTACAGAAATAATTGATTTTTGTTATCTGAATGCATTTCCCTTGAGAAAGGCTGTAGGAGGTATTCAGATACCTGTTGAATAAGTGAATACAGGAATGAATGAGTGAGAGACCTTGTCTATTGTACTTATGCTGACTCATCTAAGTTTTATGACTTTTAGCAAGTTACTTTACATACTGACGGCTCTATTTCCTTGTCTGTAAGGTGGAGTTTATAATACCTATTGCATATTTAGTAAACTTTTGTTGAATATTTCACATAAGCACTAGATCAAACTCAGATCTACTGAGTCGTTTTTTGGGGTGTGGGTTATAGATCTTTGTTCTCTTAATAGATCTTTGTCCTCTTAATAGGATCTACTCAAGGTTCTCATGCACCCAAAGTTTGAAAATTACTCATTTAAACTCTACTATTTATTGGGCAGGCAACTATAGATGCCCAAGGCAGGACTAACATGAATCAGATTGTTTCTGTCTTCGGTAAGTTTACATTTAGTCAGAGTATAGAAATAATGTGAACAAGCACAGAGTAAGAAGAGATTATTTCCCTTAAGGACTAGCAGGACTTCTTAACAATCTAGGATTGGTAAGGATTAAGTAAAATAATAGATTTTAAAAATGCATAGCCCAATATAAATCACATGGTAAATGCAGAACTATTGCTATTATTTCCACATACGCTTTTGTGTCCAGAATTGGTGGGTTCTTGGTCTCGCTGACTTCAAGAATGAAGCCGCAGAACCTCGTGGTGTTACAGTTCTTAAAGATGGTGTGTCTGGAGTTTGTTCCTTCTGATGTTCAGACATGTTTGGAATTTCTTCCTTCTGGTGGGTTCATGGTCTCGCTGGCTTCATGAGTGAAGCTGCAGACTTTTGCGGTGAGTGTTACAGCTCTTAAGGCAGCACATCTGGAATTGTTCATTCCTCCCGTCCAGAGTTGTTCATTCCTCCCGGTGGGTTCGTGGTCTCACTGACCTCAGGAGTGAAGCTGTAGACCTTCGCAGTGAGTGTTACAGCTCATAAAGGCAGTGTGGACCCAAAGAATGAACAGCAGCAAGATTTATTGCAAAGAGCGAAAGAACAAAGATTCCATAGTATGGAAGGGGACCTGAGTGGGTTGCTGCTGCTGGCTCGGGCAGCCTGTTTTTATTCCCTTATTTGGCCCCACCCACATCTTGCCGATTGGTCCATTTTACAGAAAGCTGATTGGCCAATTTTATAGAGAGCTGATTGGTCCGTTTTGACAGGGTGCTGATTGGTGCATTTAGAATCCCTGAGCTAGACACAAAAGTTCTCCATGTCCCCACTAGATTAGCTAGACACGGAGCACTGATTGGTGCATTTACAAACCTTGAGCCAGACACGGGGTGCTGATTGGTGCACTTACAATCCCTGAGCTAGACACAGAGTGCTGATTGGTGCATATACAATCTTCTAGCTAGACATAAAAGTTCTCCAAGTCCCCACTAGATTAGCTAGACACAGAGCATTGATTGGTGCGTTTACAAACCTTGAGCTAGACACAGGGTGCTGATTGGTGCATTTACAAACCTTAAACTAGACACAGAGTGCTGATTGGTGCATTTACAAACCCTGAGCTAGACACAGAGTGCTGATTTGTGCATTTTCAATCCTCCAGCTAGACATAAAAGTTCTCCAAGTCCCCACCTGATTCACGAGCCCAGCTGGCTTCGCCTAGTGGATCCCGCACCAGGGCCACGGGTGGAGCTGCCTGCCAGTCCCATGCCGTGTGCCTGCAATTCTCAGCCCTTGGGTGGTCGATGGGACCAGGCGCTGCGGAGCAGGGGGCGGCACCCATCGGGGAGGCTCGGGCCATGCAGGAGCCCACGGTGGGGAAAGCAGGGGGCATTCTTTGGGCATGACGGGCTGCAGGTCCTGAGCCCTGCCCCGCAGGGAGGCGGCTGAGGCCCGGCGAGAATTTGAGCACAGCTTGGGCGGGCCAGCAGTGCTGGGGGACCTGGCACACTCTCCACAGCTGCTGGCCCGGGTGCTAAGCCCCTCACTGCCTGGGACCGGTGGCACTGGCCGGCTGCTCCAGGTGCGGGGCTGCCAAGCCTGCACCCACCCAGAACTCACGCTGGCCCGCGTACGCCACACGCAGCCTGAGTTCCCGCCCACGCTGCTCCCTCCACAGCTCCCTGCAAGCAGAGGGAGCCGGCTCCAGCCTTGGCCAGCCCAGAGAGGGGCTCCTACATTACAGCGGCAGGCTAAAGGGCTCCTCAAGCGCGGCCGGAGTGGGCACCGAGGCCAAGGAGGCACCAAGAGTGAGCAAGGGCTGCCAGCACACTGTCGCCTCTCACTTTGACTACCTACTCCATATGTTACTTCTTAATTTGTAACTTCTATTATATATTTTCAAGAAATCTTCTCCAGCCAGTCAACTTATGAATTTCTTTGGGTGACTAGACTGCCTTTTCTGAAAGATTTTTGCAATTTTTTTTTTTTTTTTTTTTTACGGTTTTGGTGATGGGGTTCCCACGGGTGTGTTTTTTCTTTCACTTTTTGTAAATCAACTTTAGCATTTCCTCATTTTTGTTTTGTGATTCTGGCTATGCAAAAAATTTCATGAAAATAAAATTTAATCACAAATTCACGTTGTGTCTTGCTGTTATATCCTGAGACTCATTATGTGATTGAAGAAGATTGAGTTTCTAAACTGTAGACAAGAAATCCAGCCAGGCACAGTAGCTCACTACTGTAATCCCAGCACTTTGGGAGGGCCAGGCAGGAGGATCACTTGAGGCCAGGAGTTTGAGACCAGCCTTGGCAAAATAGCAAGAACTGTCTCTACAAAGCAAAACAAAACATCAGACCGGTGTGGTGGTGCATGCCTGTAGACCCAGCTACTCAAGAGGCTGAGGCAGGAGGATCAGCTGAGGTGGGAGGATTGCCTGAGCCCAGGAATTTGAGGCTGCAGTGATCCGTGATTGTGCGCCTACCCTCAGCTTAGGCAACAGAGTGAGACCCTGTCTCAAAAAAACAAACAAATCCACTAAAAAATCCATTTAGTTAACTCTTGTCAGTCAGGTTTTTCTGGTTTGTGGATTATCCAGATGCTGTGCTCTGCTTTTTACGGCTTTTCTTTTTTATTTCTTTGCTTATTAGGCATGAATAGAGGAAGAGAAAGAAGCAGATCTGATAAAATTCAGCATGGGAACTGAAGGAAACTGATAGCTAAAATAAGGCTCAGCTTAGAGAATTCTGCTGACGTTAAAGAGACTGTCACAGTTCTGTCTTGTTAGCAGTGGATGATCCTGGCATGGTTAGGATATCGATCAGATATTTTGACCTTTGATTCTGCCATTAACATACTGTGTAACCTGTGCAAACCAGTCTATTTGTGTAATAGGGAAAATGGCTACATAATATTGGATTCAGGGTCCAAAGGGATATCAGTAAAAAGAATTTAAGGAATTTAATGAATGTGTACACAATATTCTAGATACTAAACAAGCTTTAAAAAAAGTACCTTGTATGTTAACTATTGCGTGAGACAAAACTGAAATGAACTTTTCCTCTCTTTTTTCAGAATTCTTATACCAGTAGTACTAGGAAATATATACCAATTTTAGATTTAATGATTTTGTACTGGTTATAACATTTGAAGGACAATTTTTTATACCCATTTAATAGTGTATACAAACTGAGACACAGAATTTGAGAGATTTACCCAAGGTTTTCTAGTTAAGTAATGCTGAAATGGGGACTAAAATCATTTTTCTAATTTTCTGCTCATCAAATGACATGCTGTAACTAAACAGTGAACATTTTTGTTCTATTTATTGAAGTCTAATGTATTTATAGTCTCATGTTTGTATTATGTGTTTAATTTTTGTTTTTAAGCCAAATGGGGCAGATGATCTGTTCTTAAAGCAAAACCAAAGATTGAGGACTATGCAGGAATCTCTTGAATCATAAGGAGGAATTTTTTTTTTTTTTTTGAAACAGTTTCGGGCTCTGTTGCCCCAGGCTGGAGTGCAATGGTGCCATCTTGGCTCACTGCAACCTCTGCCTCTGGGGCCTAAGCTATCCTCCCACCTCAGCCTCCGAAGTGACTGGGACTACAGATGCACACCACCATGCCCAGCTAATTTTTGTATTTTTTTTGTTGAGATTGGGTTTTGCCATGTTGCCTAGGCTAAGGAGGAATTTTATATATGTGTACAGCTTTATAGTCCCAACCCCTAGAACAAAATACACAAAAGCTTAAATTTTAAACTAAATATTAATTGAGGAAAAGTAGAAAAGAACAGTGATCAGATAGTCTTAAGATTTGAATTCACCACTTAGAAAAAGGGACTTTGGACATATCATTTCCCTTTCCTGAGCCTCCACTTCCTGATCTTCAAAGTGGTCATAATAATTCCTCTCTTATTTCATGAGGGTGATTTGTGTGTGTGTGTGAATTTGTTTTTATTGGGGAACTGGACATGGTAGGAAATGTCGTCTTGGGCTATGGTATGCCCCGCCTCCCAGAGAATGTCCATTTGCATTCTAATCTTCCTGGGCTTCTTTATGGAACATTTTCTTCTTGGAGCTGCTCTTGCTGCCAGCAGCCTCTTCAGGTCCACTGCTGACAGGCTCCTCTTTGGAGAATTTCGTCTTTTTCTTGGAGACACTTCTGTTGCCTGCCTCTTCGGGGTCATTAACTGTTTCCGTCTTGGGTGAAGACTTCTTCCTCTTGAGAAGACTGGTGCTGCCAGCAGTCTCTTCAAGATCACTACTCATCAACTCCTCCTTGGAAAAAGATTTCTTTTTCTTGGGTTTGGAGAAAGAGATAGATGGGTCTTCTGTTTTCTCCTGAGGAACCTCCTGGGGCTTTTGCTTTTTCTTCTTTTTGGGTTTTTCACTCGTCTCCTCACACCTCTCTGGAGTACTACTGCTGTCAGGGTGATTTTGAGGACCAAAAACATTGTGAACGTTTGTCACATAAGCTGTAACAACATTAGTGACTTATCACTGGTATAAGACCATATGTAGCTATTATATTAGCTCTTTCACATTGTTAGCAAACAAAATTCTTTATTCTTTAGAAGTAAACCTTGACTTCAGAAGGTCTAAAATCCCTTGGATTAAAAGAATCTAAAAGCTACTCGTTGCCAAAATTAAAGGGGATGTTTTAAATTCAGCTTCCAAATTACCAAAAAATAAAAGCAGATAAAAACTAAAGTTTATGTTCACAGATTTTACAACATACAGAAAAAATCCTGTGGTAATGGGAGACTGGCTTCAGTGCAGAACTGAGCACCAGAAAGCAAATACTCTCCTGAAGTTTCTGCTGTTGTTAAAACTCATGACTATGAGAGGTCTATGTATAATTGTTGAATGAATGAATGAGCGAACGAATGATGAGTGAATGTGAATGCATCTGCTTCTCTGTTGGCTGCTTTTCCTGTTAGGAGACTTGATCTTTTAGCATTCAAATTCCACAAGAAACATCTTAAGCAAGTTATGTCTTTGGGTGAATTTGTTTCCAGGCTTGCATGTGTTTTTCACATTCTTTTTTTGGCCTGCAGTCTTACTCTGTGACCCCTTTCGTAGCTTCCAGTAGGTCATTCAGTTGGGACCCAAGGAAGTCAGTAAATTAAACTTGATTTGTAATGGAATACATAGGGTGTGTGGCTTGGATTAGAATCAAATTAGGTTTGGCTAATCTTATTTTGGTTTAATCTATGTGGGAAAGAATAGAACTAGAGGAAAAACAAATAAACAGAAAATAGGGAAACTATTCTTGTATAATGATAAGCAATTTTTGTAAGGAATAGTTCAGGGCCAAAACCTAACTTATTTTTATTGGAAGCCTGGGGACAAGATTCAGCAGAGGAATTTAAATTAGTTTCTCCAGTCATCATAGTTGGTATTTACTTTTCTAGCTTTCCCAAGCCAGGATCTCTAGGCTTTTAAAATGTGGATGCTCTATAGAGAAGGCACATTATTATTAATATAGTTCATGTTTTCAAATTTTTTCCAGGGCTCTGGAAATGGATAAGCCCAGTTTTTGGAAACCTTAGCAAATAGGCAGGCAAAAAACATTCTGATGCTGAGTTTATAGTTGAATTATCCAGACTTGGTCTTGAATTTCTCATGCAGGCCTAAGTAGAAGAAATGTTGAGAAAGTGCAGAAAGGTTCTATACTAATAATTTCTTTAAGGTGATCTTTTTTCCCCTCTTCAGTTATTTGCAGCTTGCAAGGTGTTAGACCATGGAAGATTTAACCTTGGTGTTCAGAGTTCAGGAAATCTCCTCTCTGACCTGGGTGAGCACATTTGAATAAAAAGGGAAATTTCTTCAAAGCTACTGGGGAAGGAAGAAGCAAGTGAAGCCATAAAGAGTGAGAGCCCTTTAATTTAGAGTTCTCACTGGGGCCTGGAGAAAATCATGAATGAGAATCCTTCTTGAAGAGAATTCCCTGTGATTGCTTAGTTAGTGCTTACAAAAGAAAGACTCAAGACTAAACATTCAGAAGGTGCTGGAATGTAATAACATTTGTTCCTGACAATTGAATTTCCTCTCTCATGGAAGTCATTGTTTTGCTCATTTAATAGAGAAAACTGAGTTTCAGTTAAAAGGGGGAAAAGTCATTACATTATTTCTAATTTTACATATTTTGACCTGTGGATTAAAGGTCTGAATTAAGGTCAAAAGACATCCGGAGATACAGAATTTTCCCCATACTTGACAGGGTTCTGAGCACCATCTTCCATTGATGTTGGCTTTATTTTCCTGAGCCCATAATAGAGGGGAATAATAATGGCTTTTCACCTGTCTAAAGCAGATGACTAGACCAAATGATTTTATACAGTTGTTTTTGGCATTCAGGTTGATTCCAAAGTAGCAAATGAATTATGGCTTTGGTTATTTTTCCAGGGGCAAATCTAGTTGGTAGCAATCTTTTAAAAGTATAAATAACTTTTGACTGCTACCACAATACTTAAGTATTTTTAAAATTATTTTGTTATATTTTCGACATATAAAATGATTTTCTAAACACACACTGTAGATATAGGTTTGTAAAATAAGAAAGGTCCAAGTACCCACAGGCCAGTGCAAAAAGTAAACAGGATAGCATCATTTGATTCTGTTTTGGAATAAAATGTTATTTCATTTGTTCATGTCTGATTTTCTCAGATGGCTGTTTTTATTTGTTTTTTGTTTTTTGAGACAGAGTCTCGCTGTCACCCAGGCTGGAGTGCAATGGCGTGATCTCGGCTCATTGCAACCTCCGCCTCCCGAATTCAAGTGATTCTCCTGCCTCAGCCTCCTGAGTAGTTGGGATTACAGGTGCCCACCACTACACCTGGCTAATTTTTGTATTTTTAGTAGAGACGGGGTTTCTCCATGTTGGTCAGGCTGGTGTCGAACTCCTGACCTCTGGTGACCGCCTGCCTTGGCCTCCCAAAGTACTGGGATTATAGGCATGAGCCACCGCCCCCAGCCTGTTTGATTTTTGAAATGAGATCTTAAAATGTAAATTTACTGGCTCAGGTGTCATTGATAATGTTTAACTTAAAACAATCATTGCTAATGGGAAAATGGCTAGATAAAATTAGCCATGTTCTAATCAGTGATCTTTTGAAAATGTTTATAAAAACATGGACACATGCAGATGCCTTAAATATTTTTTGAAACAGAGATGTTTGACTAAAGCAGATTTGAAAGTGCTCCCATTGTTAGAGTTTAAAAGGGAGGATATAAAGTTGCATATCTGATAAAATCACAACTAATAATTGTAGTAGGAAGAATTAAACATTTGTCCATATGTCTCAGTAATACAATCCCCTTTCCTTTTTCTACCTGTCATATTTTCAAAATTTTATTGAGCATGTTTGTTATGATGAAAAAGTACTCATTTATTTTTAAAAATAGAGTTGCTGCCATTTTTATGATGTTCAAATTGCTGTAGCCTTTATTCCAGTTGGATTTTTAGTGTGCTTCTGCCACCTTGTGCTTTCTGAAATCCACTGCAGTGATTAGCAAAGAAGGAAACAAACTTAACAAGGTTATTTCTTTGGGGTTAAATATTACTTCATAGTATGGGAGGAGGGGGAGAGGGATACATGAAAGATATAAAATGTGTGTGTGTGTAGAGAGAGAGAGAGAAATCTTTCCAAAGTTCTGACGATTGTTTACTATATTAGATCAGTGTTAACATTATATTTTATCTCTAGGAACTGCATCCTGGTTAAGGAGGAGACTAAAGACTGGGTTTTAGCGCTGATAGTAATCAACTCCTTCAGATAGGTTTTAAAACACATTTTGATACCTTCGATCCTTGCCTGTTTTTAAACTGTTTCTGTCTGCATAAAAACCTGAACAAAACACTTGTACCTAGAAAGCTCTAGGTAGCTTTTAAAACATGTTTCTTTACATTAAATGGCCTGCTGTGTTAACATGAACTCTTTCCACATTATCATTCCAGACAACATTCCATTTGTTCAGAGCATCAAACTATTTATATGGTCTGCTGCCTTGCAGTTATGCTGATTCTAGAAAGGAGAGCCTTTACCTGGAACTTTGGCCTTCCTGCTTGAGCATAAACAAGCCTGATTTGATGACTTGTCTGAGGAGCTCTCAGATCTTTCCTTTTAGGAATTAATTTAAATAAGTCTAACTTTTTGGTTTTGTTTGTTTGTTTGTTTTTGAGACAGCGTTTCACCCTTGTCACCCAGGCTGGAGTACAATGGCGTGATCTTGGCTCACTGCAATCCCCGCCTCCCGGGTTTGAGCAGTTTTCCTGCTTCAGCCTCCTGAGTAGTTGGGGTTACAGTCACCTGCCACCATGCCTGGCTAATTTTTGTATTTTTAGTAGAGACAGGGTTTCACCTTGTTGACCAGGCTGGTCTCAAACTCCTGACCTCAGGTGATCCACCTGCCTTGGCCTCCCAAAGTGCTGGGATTACAGGCATGAGCCACTGCGCCCAGCCCTAAATACATTTGGCTTTGAAATGGTATTTTAAGGAACCATGGATACAAATAACTTATGTTTGTCAACTAGCAAATACCTATTTCTAGGAAAATATGGAATAGTCCTCCTAGCTCACTAAAATTTTGACAGTAGCAGGCCTCACCCTTTGGTGTCATGCTTGCATTGAAGAATTATGATTGTGAGAGGTGACAACGTGCTAGCAGCCCTCCCTTGCTCTCAGCACCTCCTCAGCCTCGGTGTCCGCTCTGGCCACACTTGAGGAGCCCTTCAGCCCATCGCTGCACTGTGGAAGCCCCTCTCTGGGCTGGCTGAGGCCGGAGCCGGCTCCCTCTGCTTGCAGGGAGGTGTGGAGGGAGAGGCCCAGGCAGGAACCGGGGCTGCACGTGGCGCTCACAGGCCAACGTGAGTTCTGGGTGGGTGCAGGCTCAGTGGGCCCCGCACTGGGAGCGGCGGGCAGCACCGCTGGCCCTGAGCAATGAGGGGCTTAGCAACCAGGCCAGCAGCTGCAGAGGGGTCACCGGCTCCCCCAGCACTGCCAGCCTGCCCGTGCCATGCTCAAATTCTTGCTGGGCCTCAGCTGCCTCCCTGTGGGGCAGGGCTCAGGACCTGCAGCCTGCCATGCCCGAGTCCCTGGCCTGAGCCTCCCCAATGGGTGCCACTCCCTGCTCCACAGCGCCCCGTCCCATTGACTGCCCAAGGGCTGAGGAGTGCAGGTGTGTGGCGCGGGACTGGCAGGCATCTCCACCTGTGGCCCTGGTGCAGGATCCACTAGGCGAAGCCAGCTGGGCTCCTGAGTCGGATGGGGACTTGGAGAACTTTTATGTCTAGCTGGAGGATTGTATATGCACCAATCAGCACTCTGTGTCTAGCTCGGGGTTCATGGATGCACCAATCAGCACTCTGTACCTAGCTAATCTGGTGGGGACTTGGAGAACTTTTAGGTCTAGCTTGAGGATTGTAAATGCACCAATCAGCACTTTGTGTCTGGCTCAAGGTTTGTAAATACACCAATCAGCACCCTGTGTCTAGCTCAAGGTTTGTGGATGCACCAATCAGCACTCTGTATCTAGCTAATCTGGTGGGGACTTGGAGAACTTATATGTCGAGCTAGAGTATTGTAAATGCACCAGTCAGCACTCTGTGTCTAGCTCAGGGATTGTAAACGCACCAGTCAGCACCCTGTGTCTAGCTCAAGGTTTGTAAATGCACCAATCAGTGATCTGTGTCTAGCTAATCTAGTGGGAACTTGGAGAACTTTTACATCTAGCTAGAGGATTGTAAATACACCAATCAGCACTCTGTCTGGCTCAGGGATTGTAAACGCACCAATCAGCACCCTGTCAAAACAGACCAATCAGCTCTCTGTAAAATGGACCAATCAGCAGGATGTGGGTGGGGCCAAATAAGGCAATAAAAGCTGGCTGCCCCAGCCAGCAGGGGCAACTCAGTCCGGACCCTTTCCACACTGTGGAAGTTTTGTTCTTTTGCTCTTGGCAATAAATCTTGTTGCTGCTCACTCTTTGGGTCTGCACTGCCGTTATGAGCTCTAACACTCACCGTGAAGGTCTGCAGGAGGCCAGCAAGACGATGAACGCACCGGGAGGAATGAACAACTCCAAACGAGAGGAACGAACAACTCTAGACGGACCGCCTTAAGAGCTGTAACACTCACCGTGAAGGTCTGCAGCTTCACTCCTGAAGCCAGCGAGACCACGAACCCACCAGAAGGAAGAAACTCCAGACATGTCCGAACATCAGAAGGAACAAACTCCGGACACGCCATCTTTAAGAACTGTAACACTTACCACGAGGGTCCGCGGCTTCATTCTTGAAGTCAGCGAGACCAAGAACCCACCAATTAGGAACACAATTGTAACTATAGGATTGTGATGCAAAGAGTACAGAGACTACATTTATTGAGCACCTACTAAAGGGCAGGCCTGGTGCAAGGCTTTTTTACATCTGTAATCACATATAATCCTTAGCACAAAACTGAGATATGTTACTATCTTCCTAATTTCACATTCAAAAAACTGAGATCAGAGGTTAAGTATATCTTATCACATAAGCTTGGAAATGGCAGGGCAGGAATTTGAACTTAGGTGCTTCTGACTCAAATCCATACTCTTACAGTAGACTATCTCTCTGTTGCACATGGTGAGGATCTTTATGTTCATTGTGGAGGGAAAAGGGAGCCCAAGTCTAGAGATTGAGTATAAAGTTTGGGCCAAAAGCAGGAGTAGAGTCTGCTGGAAGACTCGCTAGCAGCCTTAGCATTGGCACCACCTCCTTACTAAAACCACATCTTGCTTCCTGGCAGAGCCTAGTACTGTTATAGTTGGCAGAGCATTACAGGGAGCTTGGAAGAACTTCCCCGGTACCTTCCAATTTTCCCTATTTGGTCAGTTCAGACTTGCGTTAGTGCAATAACCTCCTAACCAATCTCTTGGCCCCTATGCTTGCTTTACCTCCAGTCTGTTCTTCGCGTTGCACTTAGAACAACCTTTCCGAAGAACAGACCAGATCTTGTCATTCCTGTGCTTTAGCTCTTTCAAGGGTTTCCTGTTATAATTAGGATAAAGTAGAAATTCTTTAGCATGGTTGGTTTGCTCCTTCTATCCCTAGCCTTACTTCTCTCCACTGTGAACACCATGTTTCAGCCCAGCAGGACCACTATTCCTCCAAATGTACCATGTGCTCTCTCCCCTCTGCCGTGGGCATATTCTGCTGTTCCTTTAACATTGATCCATTCTTCCTCCTTTTCCTTCTTACTCCTACTTGTCTTCTGTGATCACTGCTTAAAAGTCATTTTTTTCAGAAAGCTTTTCTGAACCTCTTCTCCAACACTACCCCCACACATGTAGACTAGCACGCTCTAATATGGCCATCATCTTATTGTATTATAATTACCTTGTCTTATTGATATAATTTACATAACATAAAAGTCACTCTTTTAAATTGTACAATTCAGTGGTTTTTAATATATTTACAAGGTTATGCAATCACTATATAATTTGAGAACATTTTCATCACTCCTAAAAGAACCCACATACACACCCATTGACAGCCACTCCGTGTTTCCCCTTCCCCCAATCCCCTGACAATTATTAATCTACTTTTTATCTCTATTTATTTCCCTAGTCTGGACATTTTATGTGAATAGAATCATACCATATTTGTCCCTTTGTGTCTGTCTTCTTGCACTAAATATGTTTCTAAGGTTCATCCATGTTGTATTATGTATCAGTACTTCATTTCATTTTATGGTTGAAATATTCCATTGTATGTATGTACCACATTTTGTATATCCATTCGTCAGCTGATGGACATTTGGATTGTTTCCACTTTTTGAGTATTAATAAATAATGCTTCTATTAACATTTGTGTACAAGTTTTTGTATGGCCATGTTTTCAATGGTCTTGAGTATGTACCTAGCAGTGACACTGCTACATTGTATGGTTATTCTGATTCTGTATTGAGCTTTTGGAGGACTTTTCTAGAGTAGCCGCATCATTTTACATTGACACCAACACTGTATGAGGGTTCTGATTGTTTAGTGTCCTCACCAACACTTCTTTCTTTCCTTTTTTTCCTCCTCTCTCTCTCTCTTTTATCATGGCCATGCTAATGGGTATGACGTTACAATTGCCTTTTTACTGGTTTGTTTCCTTCATGACTCTGAACTGTGAAGGCAAGGACTGTGCTAGATCTGGTTTATTATTGTACTCCAGTGCCTAAAACATTGGGTACTCAACAAATATCTACAAAATGGGTGAGAAGACCTACAGCTTTCCTAGTTGCTTTGCTTCTATAAATCCAGGAAATATAGGGGCTAGAATTGGAAAAGATATTCTGGCTGCCAGTCCACAGCACTGTTCACCAGAGTGCCATAGGATTTTAATAACCACACTAAGTAAATGGTTCCATGGCTTTAATAGTTTTACCTAAGAAGTTCCCTGTGTGGAGAATGGCGTGAGTTCTCATTTAACTAGCTCAAAATGGGGAAGAACATACTCAACTCTGCTGGCATTTTAATCTGATTCCGGGGAGTCTTTCTATTCCAAACACCTTTTCTGAGGGCATGCGAACATTTCCTAATGAGAAAGCCATTCCTTCTGAGGGAAAGTGGGGGGAAAAAAGCAAAACAAAAGTTCCTTTACTGGAAACTGATGGCCACATCAATTATACATTCAGAATAATACAGATTGAACTCAAGTTGTCAGGTACTGAAACAACTCTATTTAGCCAAGTTACAAATGGGATCTCATCGACCCTTTCATAGCTATGTGTTTTTATTTGTCCCAGTGTACCAAATCTTGGATTCTAAAAGTGATCTGGAAGAGAAAAGATGCCTTTTCCTTGATTTCCTTGATTTGTCCTGTAAACAAAGTGCCTGTAAAAGAAAAGGCCATGATGCTTTCTTGGTAGCGTCGTTGGCGCTGTGATTAGGTGACAGGTGCCCTCCGTAAAACTCTTGAATTCATCTCCACCTTCAGTCCACGTTCCACCTAGTCGGGTTTTGCTCGGTGAGGAGTAGTCTTCCATAGCATTTTCTTCTATTCACTGTGCACCCTCCTGTACCATACTTCCATCCTTGTTTGTTTTCCTGTACTTTTTCTCTCTTCACCTGCTGTGAAATACAGTGTTGGCCCAACAATAGGAGTCTTCTATGAATTGTAGTCTTTAAACCCTGGGACTAGTTTTCTGCTCTATCTTCCTTCTAGTAAATGCAGATTTGGTGAATTACAATCCCCACTTGACTAATCTCAATAAACTTTTCCTCTATTATATTTTTTCCTTCAGAAACATAGAATGTGTTCATGAACTTTTGAGGGGAGAGAATGGGAAAGATTTGGGAAAGTCTTAGGTAAATAGTACTGACCTTGTGTAAAGAGTGTTAATGTTATTATATAGCAGTGAAAATACGATAGAAAAAATAACATAGTAATCATTGTCCAAATATGGCCCACTTGAACTCTGGATGGTATTTCAGCACTGTAGGAAAATTCCAGAAATCTCTCTGCCTACAAATATTTTCCTCACCTTATCTGCCTCTGCTGATAAATGGAGGATAAGCTTGACATCAGCAAATATTTGAAGAAGTACTGTACTTGAAGAAGTACACCACCAGTGCTGGAGGCAGCAGTATTCCAGTACATGAATTGCCTGTTATGTGCTTTACCTGATTTATTGAATACTTTCTGATTTACATTTTTACCCAGATCTTCAGTCTAACTTCAATAGGTTAGTTTGCATAAATTCTTGAAATACTAATCTCAGAGAAGTCTGATGCTAGTCTGCCCCTATACAGGAGGCAGAGTGTATGCCTAGGAACACTAGTTGAACTCATAGGAAGGGAGATTCTGCCCAAAAAGTTCAAGGAGTTCTAAGATTTCTTTTTTTTTTTTTTTCTTTTTTTTGAGAAGGAGTCTCACTCTGTCTCCCAGGCTGGAGTGCAGTGGCACGATCTCAGCTCACTGCAACCTCCACCTCCCGGGTTCAAGCGATTCTCCTGACTCAGCCTCCTCTCCTGCCTCAGCTGGGATTACAGGCTCCCGCCACCATGCCTGGCTAATTTTTGTATTTTTAGTAGAGACTAGTTTCACCATGTTGGCCAGGCTGCTCTCCAACCCCTGACCTCAGGTGATCCACCCGTCTCGGCCTCCCAAAGCGCTGGGATTACAGGCATGAGCCACTGCACCCAGCCGAGTTTAAGATTTCTAGCAGCCTTCTTTTCTTTTTTCTTTTCTTTTCTCTATCTCTCTTTCTTTTTCTTTCTTTCTTTCCTTCTTTCTTTCTCTTTCTTTCTCTTCCCTTTTTTTTTCAGACAGAGTCTTGCTTTGTCACCCAGGCTAGAGTGCAGTGGTGTGATCACAGCTACTGCAGCCTCAAACTCCTGGGCTCAAAGGATCCTCCCACCCCAGCCTCCTGAGGAGCTGGGACTACAGGTGCACACCTGTATAATAGTACATACCTGACTATTTTTATTTTTTTAGAGATGGGGTCTTGCTATGTTGCCCAGGCAAACCTTGAACTCCCAGCCTCAAGTGATCCTCCTGCCTTAACTTCCCAAAGTGTTGGGATTACAGACATTAGCCACTACCCCTGCTAGCTTTGCTTTCTTTGGTACGCCCCGGCTAGGACCAAATTTACTGGGACCCCGTTTATACACATAGTTTCTCAAGCAGTGAGAAACATGTGCCCCTGCTCCCCATATTTGCATACATGACTAATCTACTAATAGCTTTTGACCATTTGGGCAAACCCTGCATTTAAGCAAACCAAATATTTGTAACTTGAATATGGAAACAAAACAGAAATCCTGTACAAATGGGCTGTGCTGGATTATTTAACTTTTCATTTCTTTGAAGGGCTCCTTTTGCCCTTAGAGATAGCATTTGAGAGAAACTCCAAAATTCAGGCAGAAATTCAGGACAAAAAAGCAAGTTTAACCTCTGGTTTCTGAACTGTGGTGCATATTAGGCAAGACTGTTCCGGATAGACCAGAAACTTTGGCCTGTGCAATTCATGCTGCATGTCGCTATGATGTGCATCTGGATGTATTCACCCTGAGGTTGTTTATTTACAATGAGAATTGAAGGAAAAGTTCAGAAACATCCTGTCACAGGATGTGTGGATAGGCCTGCTGAATGCTGAAGCCAGAGGAAAGCAGGAAAGTTTCAGCAATTAGTGATGGCATCGCCCTCTAGTGGTTTGTCCGTGGCTTAAAAATGAATATACTGCAGGTGTATCCCAGTTCTCCAAAGAATTGTCCCAAATAAACTGTCAGATTGTGTACGGAAAAGAGAAAAGGAGGGGAAAGAGGAAGGGAGCAAGAGGGAAAGAAAGGAGGAGGGAGAGGATTCTTGCCAGGATAGCCCATCTCAGCAGCTAGGAAGCTCTAGGAGCCAGGCTTTCTGTAGAAGCCTTCTGACATCCAATTAGGCCCTCAGTGAAAACATTTTTTTCCCAAGCTTCTGGCAAGTGATTCTAGCTAAAAGTCACTATTCACGATTTGTAATAGGGCCCTGGGTTCCTTTCCAGCCTCCACAGCTTTGTACCAGCTTCCCCTCCCAGGTCCACATTCCATTCCTAGGTAAGTCATCACACGTGCTGAGAGGTAGAACTGTCTGCAGGGCAAAGTGTGTAGGTAGACCAGGCTTCTTTTCTTGCACCCCCACCCTTCTTTGTTTCCTTTATGCCTCATTGTCATCTCCCCAAATACTTTTGCTGCCCTTTATACTTAATTTCCTGTTGGCTCCCCACAGAAGAGCTGGTGGCCCAATTCCTCAGGTGCCTGAAAGAATGTTTAGAGAGCTGCCTCAGCCTTTAGGGAATGACAGGAATGCTGAGAATTTCAGGCAGTACTTTTCAGACCCACTGGAAAGAAAGTTTTGGCCCAGAGATGGGGCGGGGTGCAGGGGGTGGGAGGGATGGGTTTGGGGGGTCTGTGTGTGTAAGAGGAGCTTCAAAACCACCTCAGATCATAATTACCTAAGGCTATGGACTTGTCTGAAGCCTGGGAGTCTCATCGTGGAGTCATCTCGTGTTTGTTGACCTATAGGAACAGAGGCCTCTGGGAAAGTGGTTGTTTGTGTAGCAAATTATAGATATGTGAAATTAATTTGGCTCTGAGTCTTGAGACATGAGTTATTTCTCATAATATTTTAGTCATAGTCCCCATAGTTGGTAAACAGAGTAAGAAAACTTTTCAGTGTTGAAATGTAGACTATTATTCCTGGGTTTGTTAAATCCTGGAACTTCTCCTGAGTCTAATTTCATTACAGGAAGGAGGGGAAATCGTGAAGGTTTGACTCAGAACTGTCACCACAGTCTTTCTGATTCTCTATCCACATAAAGTTTTTTATTTGGTTATTTTTGAATGCTTTTTATTCAACTCAGAGCAACTTCGTCTTAAATGGGGGGGCTAGGTAAAATAAGGCTGAGGCCTACTGGGCTGCATTCCCAGACAGTTAGGAATTCTAAGTCACAGGATCAGATAAGAGGTGGGCACAAGATACAGGTCATAAAGGCCTTGCTGGTAAAAACAGGTTGCAGTAAAGAAGCCGACTAAAACCCACCAAACCAAAACCAAGATGACGATGAGAGTGACCTCAGGTTGTCCTCACTGCTACACTCCCATCAGTGCCATCACACTTTACCCTATATGGTCTAAAAAGGGGAGGCATGAATAATCCACTTCTTGTTTAGCATATCATCAAGAAATAACCGGAAAAGTGGGCAACCAGCAACCTGTGGGGCAGCTCTGACTATGGAGTAGCCATTCCTGTATTACTTTCCTAGTAAAAAGCCATTACTTTCCTAGTAAACTTGCTTTCACTTTATGGATTCGCCTCAAATTCTTTTTTGTGCAAGATCCAATAACCCTCTTTTGGGGTCTGGATCAGGACCTCTTTCTGGTAACATGAGGACAGTCAAAACCCACATCACAAACACAACAACCTTTGTGACACTTAGAGGAATTTCAAATGAGGAAGATGATTTGGTTGGTTGGGACTTAGTCTGGTAATGAGAGGCCTCTGCTTTAAATTATTTATTTACCTGTTATTCTAAGGCATGTCTGGCTCTTGATGAAGACTTACTGTTACCTTCAACTGTTGCATCCACTTCACGGGACTGTCCTTCTCCACCTTTTGTCTCCATGAAAACCACCTTGGAAACATAAATGTGTTACTTAGGAGAGGCAACACTTCAACTTACATTCAAAGAGTGCAAACATTACCATGCTTAACCAATTTAGTGAGAATCTTTCCTTATGTTAAGGTATAAACACAAAAGGATCTTATTTTTCCCATAATTGCTACTAACTGTGTTTTTTTTAAAACTCTGCCTGCTGGGCAGTAAGCTCCCTTAATGGTGTCTCAGCCTAGTTCTATAACTTATGTCACATCCAGTTTATTAAAAATGCTCTCATTGGAATCTTAAGACTCAGAAGTGTTCTTTTAAAAAGTGTAAAAATCATTTTCTATCCAAAAGTCTTCTTTCTCCTCTATCTACCCCCAGAATAGTCTAGTAATCTTAAATACTGGAGGGTGGAGTGGGGGGTCTTGGTCTATTCTTTCACATCCTAGTCCCCTTTCCTGTGGTTACTTTCATGCGTGTCCGTGTGAAGAGACCACCAAACAGGCTTTGTGTGAGCAACATGGCTGTTTATTTCACCTGGGTGCAGGCAGGCTGAGTCCGAAAAGAGAGTCAGTGAAGGGAGATAAGGGTGGGGCCGTTTTATAGGATTTGGGTAGGTAAAGGAAAATTACAGTCAAAGGGGGTTTGTTCTCTGGCGGGCAGGAGTGGGGGTCGCAAGGTGCTCAGTGGGGGTGCTTTTTGAGCCAGGATGAGCCAGGAAAAGGACTTTCACAAGGTAATGTCATCAGTTAAGGCAAGGACCGGCCATTTACACTTCTTTTGTGGTGGAATGTCATCAGTTAAGGTGGGGCAGGGCATATTCACTTCTTTTGTGATTCTTCAGTTATTTCAGGCCATCTGGGCGTATACGTGCAAGTCACAGGGGATGCGATGGCTTGGCTTGGGCTCAGAGGCCTGACATTCCTGCCTTCTTATATTAATAAGAAAAATAAAACAAAATAGTGTTGAAGTGTTGGGGCGGCGAAAACTTTTGGGGGGTGGTATGGAGAGAGAATGGGCGATGTTTCTCAGCGCTGCTTCAAGCGGGATTAGGGGCGGCGTGGGAACCTAGAGTGGGAGAGATTAAGCTGAAGGGAGGTCTTGTGGTAAGGGGTGATATTGTGGGGATGTTAGAAGAAACATTTGTCGTATAGAATGATTGGTGATGGCCTGGATACGGTTTTGTATGAATTGAAAAACTAAATGGAATAACAGAAGGAGAAAAACAGGTATAAAAGGTCTAAGAATTGGGACAACTCAGGATATCTGATTAGAGAGTGCTTAAGGAGATTCGGCAGAGTCCTGCCAGCAAAGATTATTTATTTACTTCAAGAGTTAAGAGTGGCAGTTTGGGGATAGCACCAGGAGATATCAGCTGTGATGGCTTGGAAAAACAGTGTAAACCGGCAGTGTAAACAAGAGCAGGGCATGTATGAGTAGTTCAGAATGGTGAATAGGAGTATGACTAGACAGAAAATAGTAGGATGACAAGTTTTTTTTTGGGGGGGGGCGGGGCACAGTCTAAGTTGGTCTGTTGTCTGGAATGAGACTGGGGCCTAATAAAAAGGAGCATCTATACAGGAGCTTAAATGGGCTGTACCCTGTAGCATTCTGAGGACAGGCCTGAATTCTGAGAAGGGAAAGTGGTAGAAGTATTGTCCAGTCTTTTTTAAGTTGGTGGCTGAGCTTGGTGAGGTGTGTTTTTAAAAGACCTTTAGTCCATTCTACTTTTCTTGAAGATGGAGGACCATAAGGGATATAAAGGTTTCAGTGAATACTAAGAGCCTGAAAAACTGCTTGGCTGATTTGACTAATAAAGGCTCGTCTGTTATCAGACTGTATTGAGGTGGGAAGGCTAAACTGAGGAATTATGTCTGACAGAAGGGAAGAAATGACTGCGGTGGCCTTCTCAGACCCTGTATGAAAGGCCTTTACTTATTCAGTGAAAGTGTCTATTTAGACTAAGAGGTATTTTAATTTCCTGACTCGGGCATGTTGAGTAAAGCTAATTTGCCAGTCCTGGGTGGGGGCAAATCCTCGAGCTTGATGTGTAGGGAAGGTAGGGGGCGTGAATAATCCCAGAGGAGTAGTAGAATAGAAGATGGAACACTGAGAAGTTATTTCCTTGAGGATAGATTTCCACGATGGAAAGGAAATGAGAGGTTCTAAGAGGCGGGCTAGTGGCTTGTACTATAGAATAACCTGCCTTTGCTGGTGTGTGGCGATTAGGCCTGGTGGAACCGCCATCAATAAATCAAGCGTGATCAGGGTGAGGAACAGGAAAGAAGGAAATTTGGGGAAATGGGGTGAATGTCAGGTGGATCAGAGAGATACAGTCATGGGGGTCAGGTGTGGTATCAGGAATAATGTGGGAGGCTGGATTGAAGTCCGGGCCAGGAACAATGGTAATTGTGGGAAACTCAACAAAGAGTGAGTACAGCTGAAGGAGCCGGGAAGCAGAAAGTATATGCGTCAGGTATGAGGAAGAAAATAGATTTTGGAAGTTATGAGAACTGTAAAGAGTGAGTTGAGCATAGTTTGTGATTTTGAGGGCCTCTAAAATTTTTAAAGCAGTGGTAGCTGCTGCACGCAGACATGAGTGCTAGGCTAAAACAGTAAGGTCAAGTTGTTTGCACAGAAAGGCTACAGGGTGCGGTCCTGGCTCTTGTGTAAGAATTCTGACCACACTAACTATGCCTAGGAAGGAAAGGAGTTGCTGTTTTGTAAGGGATTGAGGTTTGGGAGATTAATCGGACATGATCAGCAGGGAAAGCATGTATGTTTTTATGAGAATTATGCCGAGATAGGTAACAGATGAGGATAAAATTTGGGCTTGACTGAAGTAATGGGGGCTGTCTATGAAGCCTTGCGGCAGTACAGCCTAGGTAATTTGCTGAGTCTAATGGGTCTCAGGGTCAGTCTAAGTGAAAGCAAAGAGAGGCTGGGACGAGGGGTGCAGGGGAATAGTGAAAAAAGCATCTTTAAGATCAAGCACAGAATAGTGAGTTGTGGAGGAAGGTATTGAGGACAAAAGAGTGTATGGGTTGGGCACCACAGGGTGGATAGGCAAAACAATTTGGTCGATAAGGCGCAGATCCTGAGCTAACTTGGAAGGCTTGTCTGGTTTTAGGACAGGTAAAATGGGGGAATTGTAAGGAGAGTTTATAGGTTTTAAAAGGCCGTGCTGTAGCAGGTGAGTGATAACAGGCTTTAATCTTTTCAAAGCATGCTGTGGGATGGGATATTGGTGTTGAGTGGGGTAAGGGTGATTAGGTTTTAATGAGATGGTAAGGGGTGCATGATCGGTCGCCAAGGAGGGAGTAGAGGTATCTTATACTTGTGGGTTAAGGTGGGGGGATACAAGAGGAGGACACAAAGGAGGCTTTGGATTGGGCAGAAGGGCGGCAATGAGATATAGCTGTAGTCCAGGAATAGTCAGGGAAGCAGATAATTTAGTTAAAGTGTCTCGGCCTAATAAGGGAACAGGGCAGGTGGGGATAACTAAAAAAGGAGTGCTTAAAAGAGTATTGTCTAAGTTGGCACCAGAGTTGGGGAGTTTTAAGAGGTTTAGAAGCCTGGCTGTCAATACCCACAACAGTTATGGAAGCAAGGGAAACAGGCCCTTGAAAAGAAGGTAATGTGGAGTGGGTAGCCTCCCTATTGATTAAGAAGGGGACGGACTTACCTTCCACTGTGAGAGTTACCTGAAGCTCGGCGTCCATGATGGTCTAGGGGGCTTCCGAGGTGATCCGGCAGTGTCAGTCTTCAGCCGCTAAGCCGAGAAGATCTGGGAAGGAGTCAGTCAGAGAGCGTTGGGCCAGAGTTCCAGGGGCTTTGGGAGTGGCTGCCAGGTGAGTTGAACAGTCCAATTTTCAGTGGGGTCCCACACAGATGGGACACGGCTTAGGAGGAATCCCGGGCTGCAGGCATTCCTTGGCCCAGTGGCCAGATTTCCGGCACGTGTAGCAAGCTCCTGGGGGAGGAGGTTCTGGAGGAACACCTGGCTGCTGCGGTTCAGGTGTTTGGAAGTTCTTGTGTGCTGGAGATGTGGCTGGGGTTTGTCTCACAGTGGAGGCAAGGAATTGCAACTTTTTTCTGTTATTGTACACCTTGAAGGTGAGGTTAATTAAGTTCTGTTGTGGGGTTTGAGGGCCAGATTCCAATTTTTGGAGTTTTATTTAATGTCGGGAGCAGATTGGGTAATAAAATGTATATTGACAATAAGACGGCCTTTTGACCTTTTAGGGTCTGGGGCTGTAAAGCGTCTCAGGGTTGCTGCCCATGAACTGGGCTGGATTTTTATATTTGATGAAAAAGAGCCAAAACGCTTCTGATTTGGGATAAAGAAAAAGGAGCATTAACCTTGACTATGCCTTTGGCTCCAGCCACCTTTTTAAGAGTAAATTGCTGGGCAGGTGGGGGAGGGCTAGTCACGGAACGAAACTATAAGCCGGACCAGGTGTGAGGAGGGGAGGTGATAAAAAGATTATAGGGTGGAGGAGCAGAGGCTGAGGAAGAATTGGGACCTAGCTCGGCCTGGCGAGGAGCAGCCTGGGGAGGAAGGGAGAGGTCAGATGGGTCTGTAGAAAAGGAGGATTAGAAAGACTCAGCAACGCTTGGGGTTGGTACTGAGGGGACAGGCAGGAGGGAAAGAAGGATGATTTGGGACGAGTTGCACTGGGCACAGAGACTAGGAAGGGACTGATGTGTAAAAGAATGCCTGGATGTCAGGCACCTCAGACCGTTTGCCTATTTTACAAGAATTATTTAGATTTTGCAGGATGGAAAAATTCAAAGTGCCATTTTCTGGCTATTTGGAACTACTGTCGAGTTTGTATTGGGGTCAAGCGGCATTGCAGAAGAAAATAAGGCATTTAGGTTTTAGGTCAGGTGTGAGTTGAAGAGGTTTTAAGTTTTTGAGAACACAGGCCAAGGGAGTAGAAGGAGGAATGGAGGGTGGAAGGTTGCCCATAGTGAAGGAAGCAAGCCTAGAGAAAAGAGAGAGTAGAGAAACGGAGGGAAGGGGTTTGGGGGTTCTTACCTTCCAGAAAAGTGGGAAAAGGGGTTGGGGTGCAGAGATATGAGGTTGGGGTGCAGAAATAAGGGATTGGGGCACAGAGATATAAGAGGTTGGGGTGCAGAAATAAGGGGTTGGGGTGCAGAGATAAGAGGTTGGGGCATGGAAATAAGGAATTGGGGATTCTTGCCCCGTAGAAAAGCGGGACTTGCCGCTAAGGGTGAAGGAGAAGGGGTTGAGGGGTACCTGCCCCTCTCCCAGAAAAGAAGAGAAGGGGTAGAGACAAGGAGAGAAGGAGTTGGGGTACTTGCCCCTTCCCCAGAAAAGCGGGACTTGCTGCTAAGGGTGAAGGACAAAGGCAGGCGTCCCTGCGTGGTCTGACACCCTTGAAACGTGGGTGTATAATCAGAGAGGCGTCCCTGCAATGATTAAACACCAAGGGAAGGCTGCCTTCCCAGTCCGTGACTGGCGCCGGAGTTTTGGGTCCACGGATAAAACGTGTCTCCTTTGTCTCTCCCAGAAAATGAAAGGAATTGAAATTAAGAGAAGGGAGAGATTGAAGAGTGGAAAGGAGAAAGTGGTTGAGGGACAGTGAGAGAGGTTGGAGAAGAGAGTAAGAAGAGGCTGCTTACCCGATTTAAAATTGGTGAGATGTTCCTTGGGCTGGTCGGTCTGAGGACCTGAGGTCATAGGTGGATCTTTCTCAAGGAGCAAAGAACAGGAGTACAGCGGATTGATCTCCCAAGGGAGGTCCCCCGATCTGAGTCACGGCACCAAATTTCATGTGCGTCGGTGTGAAGAGACCACCAAACAGGCTTTGTGTGAGCAACATGGCTCTTTATTTCACCTGGGTGCAGGCAGGCTGAGTCCAAAAAGAGAATCAGTGAAGGGAGATAAGGGTGGGGCCGTTTTATAGGATTTGGGTAGGTAAAGGAAAATTACAGTCAAAGGGGGTTTGTTCTCTGGCGGGCAGGAGTGGGGGTCGCAAGATGCTCAGTGGGGGTGCTTTTTGAGCCAGGATGAGCCAGGAAAAGGACTTTCACAAGGTAATGTCATCAGTTAAGGCAAGGACCGGCCATTTACACTTCTTTTGTGGTGGAATGTCATCAGTTAAGGTGGGGCAGGGCATATTCACTTCTTTTGTGATTCTTCAGTTACTTCAGGCCATCTGGGCGTATATGTGCAAGTCACAGGGGATGCGATGGGTTGGCTTGGGCTCAGAGGCCTGACAGTTACCCTCTGATGTAGAAACTGAGGCTGACATTGACTCCTCTTACCTGCCTGCCTCTAGTGAGGTTGTCTTGTCCTCACTTCTCTCCGTAGGTTGTGGCTGTTTATTTGGCCAACAGACTGTCTTTTGGTTGAATCCATAGGAAGGAGTCTGAATGTGGTCTCTCTTGAGACACATATGCTGGTTCTTCAGTGGACTCTATAGGATATTTCTGACCAGGCTTCAGGTGGAGACCTCTCTCAGGTGTAACAATCTTCTTCATACCATAGTACCCAGTTTCATGGGAAAGCACGAAGACTTAAGCCTCCCGCCACCTTCCTTGGTATTTATCAGTGCCATGCGAAACCCTTTATTCTTGCTACTCCAAAGAGTGGCAATGCAGTCTGTCCTCTGGCACTTCTCAGCTTCAGCACCTCTCTCCTCCCTCTGCTCTCCCAAGGATCAGGTGCTGTGTCAGGTCAATGATGTGACAACTTTCAGATCAGAGCCAATCTCCAATCCCCAGCTTAGTGGTGTTGGTGGGAAGCACATTTTAGTTCATGTGGAATGCCTAGGTCACATTCTAACTCCCCAAACAGTAAGAGATGGTGGAAGGGATAGTCAGCCCTCCACAAAATGCATCTCCCTAAGAGATAACCCCTGTTTTCTTTCTTTTCTTTCTTTCTTTCTTTTTTTTTTTTGAGACAGGGTTTCACTTTGTCACCCAGGCTGGGGTGCAGTGGCATAACTTGGCTCACTGAAACCTCCGCCTCCCAAGTTCAAGCAATTCTCCTGCCTCAGCCCCCCAAGTAGCTGGGATTTCAGGTGTGTGGCATCACACCCAGCTAATTTTTCTTTTCTTTTTTTTAAAGTAGAGATAGGGTTTCATCTTGTTGGCCAGGCTGGTGTTGAACTCCTGACCTCAGGTGATCCGCCTGCCTTGGCAGTGATGGGATTACAGGTGTGAGCCACCCACCCAGCGTGACCTCTGTTTTCTCCAAGTCTTTAATCAGAGAAGTGAGTCTGCTGAAGTATTAACTGCCTTTAATGCCTGCATGAGGATGTCTGTCCCATACATCTGTAACTTCTTTAGACATAGAACGTGAGGTAGAGTTTTATTCTTAGCTCCAGGCCTTCCTCTGCGATTCTTGATGTTTAGTCCCCAGTACAATGAGTTAGTGTTTCTCAGTCTTGGCTTCATATTAGCTTCAATTGTTCTTGGTATTGTAGTTTTAGGGTTTTGTTTTGTTTTGTTTTTTAATCTAATGATTTTGATGCAAAGTGAGGATTAAGAACCTCACATGACCAGTGGAGAGAACAAGACTCTGAAAGGACAGGATTTAGAAATAATTATAGAGATTGGTTAGTATATCAGTCTCCTGAGAAACATGTGTTTCTTGAGGTGCACCTGAAGAAAGCAAAACTCCTGTATGAGTAGTTTGACGGATGAAGAATTTGGGGAAGGGATCATTGAATAGTTCCATTTCCCCCCAAAATTTTCATACTAATCATTTTGTTTTTCTCACCATCAAATACTCAATCTCACTCTTAGGAAAAAAAAAATGGAATTTTTGATCTTAACACTGCCAGTTGGGCTGGCCAAGGTGCTGTGCTTGTGGTTTTGCTTTACACTTGGTCCTAGCCCTATAACATAGTAAGGAATAGGGATAAGATTTCTGCAATTAGTTATCATGCAAAGTAATTGGTCTAGGCCTTTTTTAAAAGGTTTAGCTCCTGGCCATGAGAAGAATGGTACTTCCTCCTATGGCATTTAAAGTCTGTCTACTCAGATACCTTTTTCTTTCCAGGCCTTCTTTTCCATGTGCTAAAATAATATCTACTGCCTTATAGTAAGCCCACTCCAAAGTTCAGCGAAAGAGAGGGAGCATCTCTTCTTTATGTCTCCAGTTTAGGAGTGAGAAAACTTTCTCAGAAAACTTCCCACTTCCTTCTGTGTCTCATTAACCAAGACTGAATCATATGTTCACTTTTGAAGCCAATGGCCAGTCAAGGGAATAGGATTCTCATTGGTGGATTATACTGTCCGCAGGGAGTGGAATGAATATTGGAAAGTCAACTTTTATGAACACTACACGTTGCTTACCTCTCTCATAGCACTTTTCACACCATTTTGTAGTGTTCTCTTTATTTTTCTCTTTTCTGTAATAGGTTAAGGATCCTGTCTTATTTATTTATTTTTTCTCTCCAGGTCCACCAGGAGTTTATAATATGATTAGCAATATAATATCAATTCAGATATGAAATACACACACACACACACACACACACACACACACACACACACACACACACACATACACTTTAAGTAGATGCATTTACATGCTGCATTGTGTCTTTGAATTGGGGTGCCCTAACTGAATCAGCAATATAAAAGGTCATGATAGCAAAGTCCACTGGAAATGCCTTTCCACTGAAAAACTACAGTGACAGTAGTTTTTCCAGTCTTTTCAGATCCCCTAAAGTCTGATATGCCTCCATCTATGTCGTCCTATAGCTCCATATTCACATGATTTTTGGTCAATCCTCCTTGGATGCAGTCATGTTTATGAGGGTTTTCGTATAGTCAAAAGATCTTTACAAGTCTCTTATTCTCTTTATTCTCTGTTTCCTTGAAGGTACTTAGAGCTGCAGTAAAACAGGTATTTGAAGGTCTCCTGTGGTACAGCACCATCATTTGAACAGTTTTGTCAGGCATTATTGGTCAAAATGGTTGGCTAGAACATAAAATAAATGGAGAGAGACCATACTGGAATAAACAAGATACTTAGGGCAGCATAGTAGAGTGCTCAGTGGCTGACAGAGTATAAAACAGTCTACTGCACTCATGGCAAAACAGAAAATCTATATCTACCAATGAAAGGAAAAATGCATATGAACAATGATTTATAAAACATTTTTGGAAAATAATTCAGACAAATAAGCTTAAAAGGAATAGATGCTACATAGAATGATATTAGATAAGGGCTGGGCGCAGTGGCTCACACCTGTAACCCCAACACTTTGGGAGGCCGAGGTGGGTGGATCACCTGAGGTCAGGAGTTTGAGAGCAGCCTGACTGACATGGTAAAACCCCTTCACTACTAAAAATACAAAATTAGCCAGGCGTGGTGGTGGATGCTTGTAATCCCAACTACTTGGGAGGCTGAGGCAGGAGAATTACTTGAACCCAGGAGGCAGAGGTTGCAGTGAGCTAAGATCATGCCACTGCACTCCAGCCTAGGCAATAGACTGAAACTCCATCTCAAAAAAAGAAAACAACAATGACAACGATGTGCTGTACTACCATTTATTATATGCTAATATAGCAAATGGTAGCATAGTAAACTAGTTTGGGATGTCTATCAGCCCATATCTTCTTTTTCAGATGTGAATCAATAGCCCCTGCTGAAAGGATAGGTTTAGGTGGCTAGGTGTGTACCATGGAACCCACATCTCTGGCCCCACAGATTGCACCAGGAATGTGAATACCTGACCTAAGCTGAACAAGTTATATTTTCTTTCTCAGTTTCCTTAATGACCCCAAAACTGTATTTAGATAGTGTTGAGTTGGGCCTAGTGCCTCAAATGGGCTTTAGTTACAATTAAATTTGGCTTTGAGGGGCAGAAAGCAAAAATTACAATGCCTAAGCAAGATGGTAACTTATTTTTCTCTGATGTAAATATAGGCAGTCCTGAAGGCTCATCTGGCTAGCCATTTCATGATCATCAGGGACTCAGACCCCTTCTGTCTTATTGCTCTACCATTTTCAACATGTGGCTTTTACCCAGTCGCAGGCTGGTAAACTGGCCCTCTGGGGGGGAAAATGGCATAATTTGTAGCATTTGCCTGATTTTCATGGTGGAAATACTCCCACCATGGCCAATTTCAAGCTACAATGGTTTAACAACCAGCTTGCAGAATTCCTCAATGTTTAATCATCTGCTCTCCCAAGCTCATATAAGCCAGATCTAGCACACCTCTGTTTCTCTGTCATGGTCCAAAATGGCTGCCCTCGCTCCAGACATTAGAATTGCATTTCAATCAATAGAATGGAAGAAATTGGAAGAAAAGATCAAACTCCTTCCCTTTTTAGGATATCTTCTGGGAAGTGTGCACAGCTCTTCCACTTAAATCTCATTGGTGAGAATTTTAACACATGTCCACACCTAGATGAGAAATGTATTCTTTATTCTGGGCCACCATTCACCACCTATTTGGGTGTTCTCTTAATAAAGAAGCAGAGGAGATTAAATTTTGGTGAAAATTAGTAATCTCTGTCACTAATAATAACACTAGTTCCATATAAAAGCCCAAGTTAGTGAGGAACCAGAAGATCCAGTTAAAAAGAAGTTAGTTTTCAGAGTGAGATGAATTGGAGTGGATTACAGCAGAAATCCTAAATATGCAGCTTCAGATAGAGAAAAGATCAGTGCCTATTATCTAAATTTTAGTGTGACCATTGATAACACCCCCTTTTTCATCTCCTGAGTTCCAAACCAATTGAGGGACAGATAATTAAGTCAGGCACATGGAAATAAAAGTGTCACCTAAGCCATTTGGAGGACAACTTTTTTTTTTTTTTTTTGAGATGGAGTCTCGCTCTGTCACCAGGCTGGAGTGCAGTGGCCCAATCTCAGTTCACTGTAACCTCTGCCTTGCGGGTTCAAGCGATTCTCCTGCCTCAGCTTCCTGAGTAGCTGGGCCTACAGGCACATGCCACCACGGCCAGCTAATTTTTGTATTTTTAGGAGAGATGAGGTTTCACCATGTTGGCCAGCATGGTCTATCTCTTGACCTTGTGATCCGCCTGCCTTGGCCTCACAAAGTGCTGGGATTACAGGCATGAGCCACCACACCCAACCAGGAGGACAACTTTAATCTTGCAGTATCAAGGGGCTTACCAACTTCACTGCAGAAATAAACTTATCTACCTAATCAAAGGCAGACTTGGAAAACTGCAGTGCTGCCCACCGTCCCATCCTGGTTTTTCCCTGCTGTGGGGACCTGCCCTTGAACGCCCCATTCAGAAGATTCCCAAGGAGAAGAAAGGAAAGGGCTGCACAAAGCATGTGTAGTTTCTTCCTTCAAACTCACCAGTCAGATAATTGATTAAGATTGATTGAGGGTTAAGGAGAGAGGCCAGTATATGTCTATTCATATTGCAACATGAGGAGTAAGTGCTCTTATCTAATACTTAAGACTTTCAAACCTGTTGAGGTTTAGCTCATTATCCTGCAATTGGATTATGGGAAATCCATCCGAATCCTTACCACTATCTACACTTATTTAAGCTAACACAGATGGGTTCTTTTACAACGAAACAGTCCCTAAGACAGAAATGTAATTAACAGCTACATTGTGTGAGTCAGAGACTTAAATGTTGTGGGAGTTCATAAGACAGTTATAAGAAAGGGTTGGAGCAGACAAAGGATTTTTTATGTAAGTGGTGGAATGTAAGCTTAAATCTTAATGTCTGGGCAGGATTTTTGATAGGTGGAGGGAATGCAAAGTGTTACGGTCGAGGGGAACTTCATGGATGAAATGGGAATGAGGGAAATGGACATGGCATGGTCAAGGCATGGAGAGGAGACTACAAAGTCTAACTGAGATGCCTGTTGAAGAGCAGTGGAAAATCAAGTTAGGCAACTTGGGAGCAAGATTATGTACAACTGTAACAGAGGAGTATGTAGTTGATGGGGAAGGAAATTGGGAGTCATTGCAAAAATGTGGTGTTTTTCACAGATATTCTGGAGAAAGTATTATTCCCTGAACTTAATAGTTGTACAGAGCACAGATTCCCTTTTTTGCTTAAACCAGTTAAACTATATATCCCTGACTAATACATTTCACTTATAGGGTATAGGGAAGTAATTCTCAAACTTCTACATGCACTATAATAAATTGGAGGATTTGTTAAAATACAGATGCTGGGCCCTACTACCGCAGCTTCCAATGCAGTAGATCTGGGATGGGACTCAAGAATTTTTTTTTTTTTTTGGTTGGGCACAGTGGCTTACGCCTGTAATCCCAACACTTTGCGAGGCTGAGGTGGGAAGATCACTTGAAGCCAGGAGTTTGAAACCAGACTGCACAAAAAAGTGAGACTCTGTCTCATAAATAAATGAGTAAATAAAATGAAAAAGAATTTTTACTTTTAGGAAGGCCCAGGTGATGTTAATGCTGCTGGGATTATACTTTGAGAGTCAGTAAGATGAATGCTGGCCTAGGATGAATCATTTTGAGTTTTGAATAAGTGAATGAATGAAAATGAATTCCCTAAATCATAAAATGAGAAATCAGATGAAATGGCCTCTGAGGTCTTTTTGAGTCTATGCTCCTGTGATTCTAAACTACAGAATACCCCATTCACATTTTTTTCATATAATGAAATCTCAGTGTTTACTAAGATTGCTTTCATCTTTTGTTACTGCATTCATTTTACATGAGAGGCTCATATCATTCCGTAAGTGGGAATCTCAAGGCAGGTGTTTGGACTTCAGATGTTTTCTTGAGAGAGAAGGACCTCTTAACACGGGTCCTCCATGCTTCTGCACTCAAGAAAATAAAAAAGGAAAAAAGAAAAGCAGCAGTGAATTCCAATCTTGCCCATACTGCTTTAAAAGGTTAAAAGTGAGAGGATGAGACTTTCTAAAGGAAAAGTGTGGTTGACTCCCTACCTGAAGCTTTGGAGAGCATTTACCCAAACTGTTAACATTTCAGCCTTAAGAAAATATTTACCCAATTCATAATTGTCCAAAACAATCAGCTGGATATCTGGCCAAAGGAGTCAAGGCTTCCTGGTGAGCTCAAACTTTCGTCACGGATGACCGGGCAGGCTGATTTAGCCACAGGGGGAGGGATATTTGTCAACACTTGGAGCAGAGCTCTCCTTACTCTAACAGGCCTGCATACTGTTAGCTGAGTAAAGGCTGGTCTATGGTCGGGCGCGGTGGCTCACGCCTGTAATCCCAGCACTTTGGGAGGCCGAGGCGGGCGGATCACGAGGTCAGGAGATCGAGACCATCCTGGCTAATAAGGTGAAACGCCGTCTCTACTAAAAATACAGAAAATTAGCTGGGCATGGTGGTGGTTGCCTGTAGTCCCAGCTACTCGGGAGCCTGAGGCAGGAGAATGGTGTGAACCCGGGAGGCGGAGCTGGCAGTGAGCCGAGATCGTGCCACTGCACTCCAGCCTGGGCAACAGAGCCAGACTCCATCTCAAAAAAAAAAAAAAAAAAAGTCTGGTCTAAGCAGCTGCTGTCAGCCATACGGGGAACTATGGTCCGATTGGGGGATTTGATGAATTTCATTTTGACTGATCTTATGTTATTTGCATACATTTCTGTCTAAACCCATTATATTGTAAACTGCTTTGAGGTTGGGCTGTACCTTACTCATCATTGTATTCCACACAGTGAATATCCATCAATAATATTCTCAATACATATTTATGTCCTAAAACTGAACACTGATAGTTGTAAGCAGAGTTCGTAATACTTAAGGTCAGAATCTTCTGGAGGGGGAAGAGAGGTGAATTAGAGTCCATGCTACTAATATAATGCTTTTCAGTTCACCTTAGCTTGCTCATTTTGATCCCATTGCTTAAAATGTCCTTTAACCACAACCACTGACAAATTCTTATTCATTCTTGGAAACCAAGCTCAATTATTGCCTCCTCTGTAAAACTTAACCTTTTTTTGTACTAATTCTGTCCTTTAAATATCCTTGCAATTATTTCATAAATGAAAATTAATTGTTTACTTGTCTGAATTATGAACGACTTGAGAGAAGAGTCTGGTTTTGAAGTTTTTAACTGAATTGACAACCACAGTGTAGACAAAGCAGACAGCTGCTGTGTGGTACCATTTTACAGGTTCAGGTAAAACTCCCCTATCATCTCCCTACCTGTTCTCTTTTTCTGGAAAACATACTATAATTCAGAGCTCTGATTCCTGTTCGTTTCCTTAGCTCCTTGAGAAAGGTCATCCTTGAAGCTTCTAGCGAACATTTATTTTAATGCTAGGGAGTTCTGATTTCTTGCACAGAGGATGTTTTGATAGGAAAAGAACTTGAGCAACAGGAGCATGGGGGAGAGTGGAGATGAGGGTTTATCTTGCTTGAGTCACCAAAGATAAACTTTGCCTAGTTTCTAATTTCACCAACAGCTGAAGCCTTCTAATGGGTTAGTCCAATGAAAGACCCAGTAGTACATAGTGGAGCTCATTCTACCCACTGAAGCTAGGGAAGGAAAGAATTCTACTATTTCCATCAGTCATTTGTTGAAACTGGGTCTGAAATGGTTTTAAAGTCTTCAGCGGTAAACCAGTAGAAGCTGCGTAGCTCTTTGTTTGAGTGTTGCTGTGTTACTAGAAATCAGACTATGCTTTGGTGCCTTGAAGACCCAAAATTGCAATGTATGAAATCCTAAGAAATGTTAAAAATATTTCTGAGCCTTTTGGGAAGAGATTATTAACTTATCTCTGCACCTGATCTCCTGGAAACTGAGCCAGTTGGACATTGATTAGGTCTTGATTTAGTGTCACTCGTAATGATTGACAGTTTTATGAAGGATCTTTTTTCCTAGGCAAAGGTCAAGGGATGCAAGTCAATGGAAAACATTTCTTTTCAGAAAAGAGAGTGCTGCCTCTGCTAGTTTCCATAGCTGCATCTCTATGTATCTACACATAGGGAATTATTTGCTTTAAATTGTCTCATTTCTGGATCTGACTAGAATGAATTTTGTGTTTTGTATTTGTGATTTTTATACATGTCAGAGTGTTTACTGACAGAGATGCAATAGTTAAAAGCGAAAATTGCTGAACAGCTTCAAGCGTGCTATGGAAATAAGAGGCGGGAAGATGGGAAAGACAGCATGTAAATAATCAAATATTTATTGGCCCCTGATTCATAATTAATTTTTAGAAATACCATATCCAATCTAGATAAGAATAAAATACTCTTTATCATTCTGATATTTTGTGCATATGTTTTTACAGATTATAATCTCTTATACACACTTTCCCAAATTTTCTCACTGGTCACTTAGGTAACATACCTATATTCTATTGCCTGTCTCCCTTGTTTTTCCACACAGTGGAGCTGTAACTGCACTAAGATGGAGCAAACAGATTTCCAAAGATTAAGATTCAGTAAATTATAGTGAGAATTGACAAGAAGTTTCTGTTTATCCATTGACCAGAGAAGGGAAATAATTCATCAAGTTTAGTTTGAAGGTCTCAGGATGTTGAAATCAGACTTTTACATCTTAATCCAGTGAGAATGAAAAATGAACTACTTATAGTGTCTGCCCATGACAAGTCATTTCTTTGCTTAGGGATGCAAATCGTATCACACAGTGGTCTGAAATATTCCTTTCAAAGAGATAAGCTGTTTGTTTTTCAAAATGGAGCTTCCAGGTGTGCTAATTCTGAACACGAAGCTTTGTTATTTGGAGAAGAATATCCTTTTATGGTGGTACTAGGTTAGTTGGCAAATATTTACTAATGCATACTTTGTGCTAGGAACTGTTGTGTTCATGAGGACAGAGAAAAGAACAACACAGATGACTCCTTGTCTGTACATAGCTTCCACTTTAGTGGGAGGAGACAAATGATAAAAGTGCAGCCATGAGAAGATAAGATAAAGTGATGCATTACAGATTGACTAAATTGGTTAAGGAAGATCTCTCAGAAGAGGCCAGGCGCGGTGGCTCACACCTGTAATCCCAGCACTTTGGGAGGCCGAGGCACATGGATCATGAGGTCAGGAGTTCAAGATCAGCCTGGCCAAGATGGTGAAACCCCGTCTCTACTAAAAATACAAAAAATTAGCTGGGCGTGATGGTGGGCGCCTGTAATCCCAGCTACTCGGGAGGCTGATGCAGAGAATGGCTTGAACCTGGGAGGTGGAGGTTGCAGTGAACCGAGATCGTGCTACTGCACTCCAGCCTGGGCGACAGAGCAAAACTCCATCTCAAAAAAAAAAAAAAAAAAGATCTCTCAGAAGAATGATATCTGAATTAAAGTCTGAATGTTGGGGAAAAGGCAACCATTTGACAATTTTGAGGGTAAAGAGATTGAGCTCAGCATGTCTGATAGAAACAAGACCAGTAGATTGGGATGGGTGAACAAGGGAGAATGCTCAGGGAGATGAGGCTAAAGAGGAAGGCAGAGGCTGGGTCACTGAAGGCGTTTTTGGCCATGGTAAGGAGTTTGGAGTTTATTCATGTTGCAATGAAGAGTCATTGAGTGTTTTATGCAGGAAAGGGATGAGGTCTGATGTAATTAGAAAAAATTAATTTGTCTGCTGTGAAGAAAATGGCCAAATGGGTTGCCTTGCCAATGTGATGGCACATGTGATGTCAAGGAGACCTGTTAATTGCTTTAAAATAGGGTGGTAACAACGAAGGTGAGAAATGGTCAGTTTAGAGACGTTTGTTGTAGCCAGGGCTCTCAAGACTTATAAATGAATTGGATGTGAAAGAGAAGAACTCAGGATGACTACTAGGTTTCTAATCTGAGCAATGAGTAGATGGTGGTACTATTATTAAGGCTGCTGGTGGCATTGGGGAGAAAGGGGGATTTTATAGTAAAGTAATTCTCTAGAGTTCCCTTCATATTTGTGCAAAGGAATTAGTCATTCTGCTGTAAACTACTTCATTACTGTAATTAGAAAGCTGCATTAATACCTTTTTAACTAGTGGTATCTATTCAGGAGACGTTTTCAGATGACAGTTTGTTTTCCGATACCCAGTAGTCTGCAATTTGTGGCCTGGGTGATACATCAGTACCAGATATCTGTGATTTCTTTTCTTTTCTTTTCTTTTCTTTTTTTTTTTTTTTTTTTTTGAGAAAGAGTCTTGCGCTGTTGCCCAGGCTGAAGTGCAATGGCGCGATCTTGGCTCACTGCAACCTCTGCCTCCCGGGTTCAAGCTATTCTCCTGCCTCAGCCTCCCGAGTAGCTGGGATTACAGGTGCCCACCACCGCACCCGGCTAATTTTTGTATTTCTAGTAGAGATAGGGTTTTGCCATGTTGGCCACCTAGGCTCTATGGCATGGCCTTTTGTTCCTCAGCTACAAACCTGTATAGCATGTGACTGTACCCAATCCTGTAGGCAAATGTAACATAACAGTAAGTATTTGTGTGTCCAAACATAAAATGGTGTGGTAAAAATACGGTATTATAATCCTATGGGACCGCCATCATTAATATGATCTGTCATTGATCAAAATGTTATGTGGCACATGACTGTATGTGGTTTACCATTTACACTAACAGCCTCTTCTTTTCATTCCTCTACATCCTTTCTTATGGGCTCAAGCAAATGCAGCTGTGAAGATTTACTTGTAGTAGACTCCAGATGAGGTTTCTCTTCAGGGTTTAAAGCACCCTTTCCAATTAGCAGCATCTATGCTCTAGGGAGATATGGGATGGGGTGGGGGGGTGTTATTTTGTTTCCTTTTCTTCTGTTGATCCTGAAGGCTGGTTTTCTGGAAATGACTTGGAAGCACCCTTCTGAATTTTCTCTCTGATGACCTATGTCTCTTTCTATTTGTAGGATATATAGACACTGTGACTCAGGTAGCAGTGATCCCAGGCAGAAAGGTTAAAGGTAGATAAAAAAGGAGCAGACATGTTTCCAGTTTCTACTCCATAGCACTTGTATAATATCAAGAAAAAATAATAAGATAACTTGTTTTGATAATCTAGCTTGTCATTCATTTTCTCAGCAACTATTAATTGAGTTCTTCAGTATGCCAGGTAACACCAGATGCCACTCCTACCTTCATGGCTATTTTGGCATGGGCTTGGAAAATGTTTGCTATGCTCATTAAGAAAAATAATTAATTCTTTAAAACTTTAAAGTCATTAGATTTTACTCTGCTAGTTTGTTTAAATGTTCATTTATTAATTAATTCGCCAAATACGTTTACTTTGATTAATTATCATAGAAAGATTCTTGTGCTAGGTTTCAGGATTTGAGAAAGAAAATCAAATAAAGATGCAGCTTTCAAAGAGCTGTGGAGACTGCTGCATTTCGGTGGATCCTGTGGTGTCAATAAATGCATCAGTAGAGTTAAATCCAATATAATAACCAGCAGTGGTTTGAAACACTCATTTGAAATGTCCTGGGGCTAGAATAAATAATGAATCATTATTATGAAGTACTAGGTCCCTGGAGAGTATGATCTTTGGACCAGCCAGAGATGGGATGAAAAGCACTTCTGGTCACTGAAACTGTGTGGGAATACAGCATCAGTAATAAATTCAGTTATGTCTCAGGATACACAATAGGGGACAGAGCTACCTCCTCTCTGATGTCTAGTGCATTTTCCCATTTCTTATTTACTATGCTTTGCATTTTCTAAACCCTACTGAGTTTTCATCTTTTGCTGTAATGAGCATTTCCCTGTAAAAATTGTTGGCCACTGTCTGCCCGATAGAGTTGCTAACAAATATTACAAATTCAAGGCCAGGAATGACAAATCATATGCAAGTAGAGCTGAAAAAGATATTAGAGTTAAATGATTATGAGTCTGCAATATTTTTTATTTTGTTAATGTACAAAACATAACACCACACCTGCAGGATATTCTGATACATGAATACAATCTTAGCTTTTAGAAGTCGTGAGGTAATCTTCAATATTGAAGATCCCTGATCAGGTATCAAGTCTAGAGAAACCTAGAGAATTTGGAGAGACTTCACTCAGGTAATTTTTGAAAAACAGATTGAAGGTAGGCCGGACGCAGTGGCTCACACCTATAATCCCAGCACTTTGGGAGGGTCAGGACCATCCTGGCCAACATGGCAAAACCCTGTGTCTACTAAAAATATAAAAACTGGCTGGGTGTGGTGGCACATGCCTGTAATTCCAGCTATGCGGGAGGCTGAGGCAGGAGAATCCCTTGAACCCGGGAGGCAGAGGTTGCAGTAAGCCGAGATGGCCCCACTACACTCCACCCTGGGTGACAGAGCAAGACTTCGTCTCAAAAAAAGAAAAACAGATTGAAGGAGAATATAAGGAAGGAAGAGTATGACTTTGAGTACCAGAAGACATGGTGGCTCATGAAGGACAGTTTTCTTTAGGAGGCGAGTGTGATGAGTAGAAGAAGAGGGATTTGTTGAAGACTGGGAAAACTCTTTTGATCCTTTTTAAACACTTTGATCCTTTTTAAACAACTCTAAAAGGTAGGTTTTTTAGATCCCCATAGTATGCTATTTTCATTTACAAATGAATTTGAAATGAAGTGATTGATTTAACTTAGATGTATGTGCCTAATAGCTCTAGTATAGTGTTAGGAAGAACATTAGCTTTCCACTTAGGTCTGCTTTCCAGTCTATTATCTTGGCTAGGCTACTTTCTAGAATTATGTGATCTTGTTTAAGTTATTTTGTTTTCTTATCTGTAAAATGGACATAACAGAGCCTGTGCTGTTAGTAGAGGAGTAGATAAGTAACTGTATGTGAATTACCTACTATATTATACATCTGAGCCTTTTGATAAACAAAACTAGTATTATGACAAAATTACAGAAGTTTGTAAAATCTTTATCTACTGAAGATATTGAAAAAACTGGATATATTTTTATTAAATTGTGATATTAGGAGTGTCCTGGAAAGAAGGATTGATAACTTTCTCACATTCCCAACAGACGAATTTTATTTTTTCCCTTGATGCAAAATAATGCATGGTTGATATGGTAATTCAAAATATTCACTAGTATATAAAGTAAAACTCGACTGTGCTCTAATTCCATGCACTGAGATGATCATCATTAATAGTTTGTTATATACCCTCTCATACCTTCCCTCAGTTATATGAAAAAAGAATGCATACCTTTTCTTAGAAAAATAGAATGAAATTGGGCACATATTTCTGCAACTTGCTTTTTATATATGTAACAACATATCATGAACGCCTTTCTCTGTCAATTCATGGAATTCTATCTAGTTTGTTTTTGATTTTATAGCTGCATGATATTCCATAAGGTGATTACATCATTATATATTCAATTAGTCTCCTGCTATTTGACTTTCAGATTGTTTCCAGTTTCCGTTTTAAGTTTTGCCTCAAGAAAAGATGCTGCAATGTACAATATTGTATGTTTTTCTGAAGGATATATTCATAGAAATATGCATGGCTAGATAAAGACATATTTAATATTGTAATAAGTTAAAGAAGACTTCAGTAGATTCAGGTTAGGATTTATTTTAACTGACTTTAAACCAATATGTATGGCTTGCATTACTGAAAAACAACTTAAAGCAAATGGCCTATTGACCAGTGGGTTCAATGGGACATCACTAAGTGAATAAAGTTGGAAGTTAAATGTTTATTTCTCTTGGACTTTGGAAGTTATAGGATTGTCCTCTTCCTAGAACTTGTTTTAGTAACTCTGTTCTCCTGAGAACACAATTGTAGCTTTGGAGGCTTTGGGATTTATTGAAGAGGAATGTCTGGCTGATTTAAAGCACTGCTGGTTGCTCAAGTTAGGGCATTAGTACCTTTTAGTTAACAACGTCAAACAGGTGTGGGAGATCCACTTTGAAGGGTGATCTGTGTTCATATCCCTGAGGAGACTGTCAAGATAACCAAGACAATTTTCTGTTGTAATTTTAAGAGTGAAATTAGTTTGGAGAAAATTGGTGGGAGAAATCCAGCATGCTGAGTTATCTAATTCATAACAAAATGGAGCTGGATGCTGTGGTGCACACCTATCATCACAACTATTCAGGAGGCTGAGGTGGGAGGATCGCTTGGGTCCAGCCGTTTTGGGCTGTAGTGTGCTATGCTGATAGAGTGTCCACACTATGTTTGGCCACAATGTAGTGACCTCCCAATTCGGGACCACCAGGTTGCTTGAGGAGGGGTGAGCCAGCCCAGGTCAGAAATGGAGCAGGTCAAAACTGCCATGTTGATTAGTAGTGGGACTGCACCTGTGAATAGCCACTGCCCTCCAGACTGGGCAACATAGTGAGACCCCTGTCTCTAAAACAAACAGGCAGACAAACACAAAATGGAATC
Organism: Homo sapiens; assembly: GCF_000001405.40. Taxonomy (NCBI): domain Eukaryota; kingdom Metazoa; phylum Chordata; class Mammalia; order Primates; family Hominidae; genus Homo; species Homo sapiens. Next base: position 79,524,839 of record NC_000012.12, on the reverse strand, counting down.
TGAGAATCTGTGTCATTTGCATTATTTGGATGGGGAGAGAAAAACGGATTAGACTGTAGCTAGGGGATTTTTATCTTTATTTGCCTTCCAAGCTCCTTTATCTCTTCCTGTTTCAAACACTTTCACTGCCAAAAGCCTAATCCACATCTGCACAAAGAGAACGCTACTGCGCTAATAGCACAAGGAAAAGCACTGGAGCCCTTGGAACTCTTCCTAGGTTAAAAGCACTTCTATTAACTTGCTGATTTGTCTCAGAGAAAAATTCCTATTTTCTTTCTTTCTAGTGCCTCCAGAAAAGGAAATTAATTTGTGATTTTAAATTCATTTTCTTTTTTATGTCAATTTTAAAACTTTTATCAAAATAATACATGCACATAGTTTAAAAATAAAATAGTGCAAAAGGACTTAATAATGGAAAGCAACGTTTACCCACCACTCCCCTCCTCAATTCTGGTCCCATTTTTAACTCCTGTTTATTTTGATGACTACTTCCATCTCTCTAAATAGTATTATACCACTACTTCATTTCCTTTAAAAAAAAATCAGTTATATGTCTATTATCTACTGACTTTCTACTATTTATGTGGAAGTTTTCTTCACTTGTATTTCCTCCCCCATCTTTTCTCCTTCCTTCCAGTATAGTTAAATCATCATTTTTAATTCCTCAGTGGTTTATCTTATGTAAAGGTACATTCACTGCTAGTAATTGAAAATCAATTTCAATATTTAAGCAGTAAGGAAAATGTATTTTCTCGCAATAACACATCCCAAGATAAGTCAGCTATAAGATTAATTAATTCAGATAATGTCTAAAAGAATATGAGAGGCTGTTTCTTCCTTTCTAGCACTCCTGGAAGCCCAGCGCAGATTCCTCCTCATGTCTCCGACTAAAACCAGCCATATACCCACTATTCATGACTGACAAGGGGTGTGCCATTACCATAATCTACAATAATCATGATTTACCTCAATCCTTCTGAGCTCATGACCCGATCGCAAAGAATAATGTGGAGACATGAGTAAAAACTGGCCTCTGCTAACAATAACAACAACAAAAAAAGCAGTAGGAAGGGAGGAAGAAGGGGGGGTAGCAATAGGACAGGCACAAATAATGTCTGCTATAATTAACTCCATAGGTTTAATTTATTTATTCCTTTTTTAATTCTTCCATTGACCCTAGAAATTATTTCTTGATTCCCCAACCCTTCCCATGAACAATGATTCCTGCCTTCCACTTCCCAGACTCTGTCATCTGTGTTTTTACATTGTCACGTTTGTTAACATTCACATGCTGCCCTGTGTGTTTTTATCGAGTTGAAGTTTTGTGTATAGATAGACCCTAAAAATTGAAAATCAATAATGAATGCTTGTATTAGTGTGATGTATAATTCTTCAGAATCAGAATTCTACTTTCCTCCAATGATTTGGATTTACTTATTACCATTGTGCCTGGTGCATACCAGCAACTTACAGATGTTTACTGAATGTAGAATAAATGTACCTGAGTTGTTTATAAATGGATTCTACCTGTAACATCAAGTTCAACAGGATGGAGAGAAGGTGGGAAAGGGTGAGGAAATGGATGTAAGAACATACCTAAGTTTAGGAACCTGACCTTCTGACGTTGGGTTCTGATGTTAAGGTAGTTAAAGCCTTTGGAATGGGGGAAATCTCAGGTAGCATATGTAAATCGCCATACTATGTGATTGCTCTTCTCTAAGAACTGAAGACTGTCTTCCAAAGACAGTGAGAGGGCATGTGTTATTGCCAGCTGGTGAGACTTTTTCATTTCTGTACTGGTGCACCCTGTGTGCAGGGTGCAAAATAATTTCCTTTGCTCAGTGCTGGAATCAGGTTGCACATAGGAGAATATACAGGCTTTCAATCGGGATTTACCTCAACAGGCCACCTTCCTGTGATAAATGACCCATAGGGAAAGACAAATGAAGCCTGGCACTGGGCAAGCTGTTCTCTGAGAATAACTCTGCTCTCCAGGTATTGTCAGTGAGAATTCTTGGCCAGGGGAAATGGATTGTGTTCCAGGGAATAAAAAACATACACAGGAGTGAGCACTGCCGAGAGGACCGTGGGGTGAGGTGGCTTCAGGGAAGAGTCAATAACAAGTGGAGAGTTAGAAATGTAGGCTTGTATATAGGAAATCTTTGTAGCTCTAATTAGAGGCAGAATATAGATTCAGCACAGCAGGCAGATCTGAAACACTTGCCACTGTATTTCGCTATTCATGCAGTTCACATGATTTAGCATATCCACGGGCAGGAAACCGGGTTACAATAACACTAATTAGAGTGTCTTTACCCACACGTAGTGGACCATTTCCCTGGCTTTGCATCTCAAGTAGTGAATGGAAAAGGGAATTTTAATGATGTCCTATTAAGACAACTAAAGAGTGCAACAAATAGTTTCAGTTGCATGGCATTGTTAGGAAAATGATTTATTCTAGTAGAATTCGAGTTCCTTAACAATTGGGAGTTATTGTTGGCTCTCAAAATACCGCTGATTCAGATACGTCTTTGTATGGGTGTAGGCGGAAAGGAAGGAAATTTTTTTTTGTTTGCATACAGGAGAGGAATAATTTTATTCCTTTATTGAAATTAATTTTTTTTCTTATGATGATTATTTGGAAATAATTTTCTCCTGCTGTGGGGCCAACTTAGGGGTAAGTGTGGAAATTCAATTACAGAGAAATGGTGAGCCGAAATTCCTGCATCATTGAATTTAGTATAGAATAATAGCATGAGTACTGTTAGTGAGTAGCCATTTAAGCAGCCTGCTGCTATTTCAAACCAAAACAAAGTTGGCCTAAGTTTGGACTGACCCCTGAGATTAAAAACCTATTGAATTTGGAACTTAGAATTTCTCTGACATGGATACTGACACCTCCAGTCCCCAACCCTGCCCCAGTTACCTCAGGCTGAGTCCATATTAACCCTTTTGGGTTACTCCAACCTAGGTCAGACCTCTTGCCTTTCCCGAACTTGAGACCTGAGGGTGTGGGTAGGTCATTTGCTGGAACAAGTCTGATTAAACTTAGTGGTGAACAGCAGGGCTGTGGGTGAATGGCATGATTCACCCCAATGCCAGTCTTTCAATATGAAACTTTTCACTCTGAGTAGCTATGTTGCTTTCTCTCCTTTTTGTTGGCAACTCCAGTGTGTCAGGTCTTCCATCAAAATAGCTCTATCCCAACCATAATGGCAATGGCTGCTGTCTCCCTGAAATTAGTGGGGGATTGGGCTGAAAGAAAGCTGAAGATTTTGTCCCATTGGATGAGGTTTTGAATATAGTTTCTTTTGCTCTTTTATTAACAGTTGAATCCCCTCCCCTTTTAGGACCCATGCCTGTCATCAGGGTTTTTAATCTATCATCCTTCTCTTTTATTTTTTCAGTCTTTCTCTCTTTGCCCCCTCCCCTCCTTTCCCCTCCCCTCCCCTCCCCTCTCCTTTCCTTCTCTCTTCCTCTCTCTCTTTCTTTCTTTGAGACAGGCCTCGCTCTGTCCCCCAGGCTGGAGTGCAATGGCACGATCTCTTTAGACCTACATATGTGTTTAGCTTTCCTTTAGAATTAGCCGAAGTAGGCTGGGCAAGGTGGCTCATGCCTGTAATTCCAGCACTTTGGGAGGCTGAGACGGGCGGATCACGAAGTCAGGAGTTCAAGACCAGCCTGGCCAATATGGTGAAACCCTGTCTCTACTAAAAAATACAATTAGCCAGGCGTGGTGGTGCACGCCTGTAGTCCCAGCTACTCAGGAGGCAGAGGTTGCAGTGAGCCAAGATCGCACCACTGAACTCCAGCCTGCCTGACAGAGTGAGACCCTGTCTCAAAAAAAAAAAAAAAAAAAAGAATTAGCCAAAGTATGTTTATTTTTGTATATATCTATGTATTTATATCTACTCTTTATGCTTTCTCAACCCGATATTCCATTGAGCTATGGCCCACATTCTTGAGTCATGCTAGACTCATTGCCTTCATAGTTCTTCACCCATGCACTCCTTGATCCTTTGCCATCTGTCTTCTCTCCACAGCAGTGATATGGCTTCCATCAAGGTCACTAGTGACTTTATTTTATTTTTTTGAGATGGAGTCTCACTCTGTCTCCCAGGCTGGAGTGCAGTGTCATGATCTCAGCTCACTGCAACCTCCACCTCCTGGGTTCAAGCGATTCTCCTGCCTCGGCCTCCTGAATAGCTGGGACTACAGGTGTGTGCCACCATGCCTGGCTAATTTTTGTGTTTTTAGTAGAAACGGGGTTTCACCATGTTGGCCAGGCTGGTCTCGAACTCCTGACTTCAAGTGATCCGCCCACCTCGGCCTCCCAAAGTGCTGAGATTACAGGCGTGAGCCACTGCACCTGGCTGACTTTTTTTTAAATTTAAATTTTGTATTATAAAAATGTCAAAAAAATATAAAAGTACAGATAAAATTATTCTTCTCATTGAATTCCTGGTGATTTTTTTCTTGTGATACTTCTTTTAATAATCCTGACTCCCTCCATCTCATTTGCATTGTGGGCCAAATGTATAAATTAAATATAACTATGGAAACTGAACTCTCTATTTCTAATAAAGACATTTTAAAAATTATTATTATAAAAATTGTAACCATAGCACACACAACAAAATTAACACTTCCTTGATATTATCTAATCCCCAGTAAATGTTCAAGATTTTTAATGCTGGTTATCTTTTAATTGTCAAAAGTGATCTTTTGTCTTTATTCCTTTGATTTAACAGCCATCGTAGGCCTCAGTAAGGTAATATTAAACTCTGAATATAGTCATATCCTTGCCTCTACTCTAACTATCATTATGTCTCCTTTTCTCAGGTGGAGGTTGAGGGGATAGTATGATCATCTCAGATATCCTTTCCAATTCAGCTGTACATCTCAGAGGATGTAACATCTCAAGGAAGCCTTCCCCATCTGCCTTTACCCAGCCAGTCTCAATCCAAATGTTCCTTTTCCCTATTCCCATAGCATCCTCTGTATACTGCCATCATTCCCATAGGTTCCTGAATTTGTTTATGTGTCTGTTCTGGACAGTGAGCTCATATTCTTTCTTGCATGCCTAATGCTTAGTTGAATAGTACTTGAACTCAACTAATTAGTTTTTAATTTTAACATTACCATTACTGATACTTAACAGCTATTGGGCACTTATTATGTGCTAGGTATTATACTAAGTACTTTACATGATTTATTTCATTTAATCTTGATAACTCTGAATGAAGCCCTATCATTGTTATTGTTACTTTACAGATGAAGAAGCTGAGCTTTAGTAAGTTGTCACTTGACCAAGGTAGGAAAATAGCATGGTATAGAGATGTTGTATGGCATGGAGGACAGAGTAAAGGGCAAAGTTAAAGCCAGAAGACTGAGAATTGAATTCCAGGCCCACTACCCTTGGCTGTCAGATTATGGAGAAACTTTGTTAAACTATGTGAGCCCTCTGCTTCATAACTAATATGAAGGTTGTTAAAAATCTTTGCCTCACAGAATGCTGAGGACCAAATGGGATAATGCATTTGGAGTCACTTGAAAACTGTTGCATTTGTGAGAAAATTATGTGTAATTTTTTAAATGTAATTCACTGTTCTTATTTAGATATAACTGCCTTCCATTCTTTCCCCTCTAGTCACATAAGGCACATAGTTGTAATCACAGCATGCATTCAATTTTATGGCCAACTTTTCCAGTTATGAATATTGTTTGTTATGTGTTTTTTTCTTTTTTATTGTAAAGTTTGTGAAGTATATCACACATGGAAGAGTATATAAAATGTACATATCTGTGTGTATATATATATATACATGCATTTTAAAGAATAATTAGAAAATGAAAAGTTGGCCGGGCACAATGGCTCATGCCTGTAATCTCAGCACTTTGGGAGGCCAAGGTGGGCAGATCACCTGAGGTCAGGAGTTCGAGACCAGCCTGGCCAACATGGTGAAACCCTGTCTCTAATAAAAATACAAAAAATATTAGCTGGGCATGGTAGCGAGCGCCTGTAATCCCAGCTACTCAGGAGGCTGAGGCAGGAGAATCGCTTGATCCTGGGAGGCGGAGGCTGCAGTAAGCCAACACCGTGCCGCTGCACTCCAGCCTGGGCAACAGAGCGAGACTCTGTATATTAATAATAATAATAATAATAATAAAATAAAAAGGAAATGAAAAGCTGTGTATATGCCAACCAGATCAAAATATTACTGACACTTTAGAAAAAGCTCTGTGTTTCTTCCTAATTGCATTCATTTTTTCCCTTCCAAAGGAAATGCTATACGAGTTTTGTATTTATTATGATGTTTTTCTGTATAGCTGTACCACCTATATTTGTATAATTTAAGAAAACATTGTTTAATTTTAAAGAAACTAAGTAGCAAGCACAAACTTAGCTGTGTAAGGAAAAGTCAATATTGCCACTATTAGATGAAAACTTCCAAGGAAACAACTTGTGCAGAATCACTAGACTATAGCCTGGCCTCAGCCCCTTTTGGGATGTCAGGGGACACGGTCATGAGTGAATGCAGTGAAACAGGGTTTAGCACAGTTGAGGTATCTGGAAGGAATGTGGATGTTCAGGTACTGGATGTCCAATAGGAATAGGGGAAAAGGCTGCATTGTATTTTCTGCTTACGAGCTCACTATGGCCTACCTCAAACTTTCAGGAATAGGTCAAAGCAAAACATTTCACGGGAGAGAAATTAGTATTCCTAGCTAATCCAAGAGTCAGGGTGTGGAGCGAAGAGATGCATCTGCACATGATTCAAATAAGCCAAGTATATATGAAAATCTGGGCCAGGCTTTATTTGGGCATTCAGTCCTCAGATTAAAATAATAGCAAAAAGGAAGCAGAATCTTGCTCATGATACTTCTTAATATGACAGTCAATTGAATAACACTGTTCTGATTGGACTCTATACTTACTGTATGACTGTAATCTTGGGATCATCCTTCACTTTTTCCTGGGTATTCCATTTGCTTCCCTTTTGTGTTGGATCTCCTATTTTCCTAAATATCCTGTTTTCCTCTTTCTTGATTTACTTCCTTGTTTTGGTAGAACACATTCATCAGTTTCACTTAATGTTGAGTTAATGGGATATATATATATATATGTTTTGAGATCTTGAATGCCTAAAAATGCCTGTATTCCACCTTCATCCTCTTGCTTGGTATTTGGTTGGGTATAGAATTTTAAGTTGGATATCATTTGAAGTCATTTTTCCATTGTCTTCCAGCTTCAGTATAGCTATTGAGATGTCCAATGTTATTCTCATATCAGATTCTTTGTATGGTCACCACATTCTTTTCCTCATCCTCACTGTCCTCTTTGTCCTCTTCCTCCTCCTCCGTCTCCTCCTCTTCCTCTCCCTTTCTCTCTGGAAACTTACGGAATCTTCTCTTGGTCCTAGTGTTTTGAAATGTCACCATAATATGTTTCATTCTTATTTTCATCCACTGTATTGGGCACTCATTGGACTCTTTCAATCTAGTATCTCAGTTTTGGGAAATTTTTCTGAATTATTTTGTTGATAATTTCCTCCTCTATATTCTCTGTTTCTGAAACTCCTACTATGTAAGCACTGGATTTTTTGGATTGGCTCCATTATTTTTTTTTAATCTTTTTTTTTTTTCCTCTTATTTCCCATATCTTTGTCCTTTAGTGTGTGTGAGTGTACAACTTATGGGAACTTTTATCAACCCTTCTTTTGTTTCTTGGGGTTTTTCTTGTTGTTGTTTTTTTTAACTTTTGTGATCACATTTTAAATTTATGAGAGCATTTTTTTTTCTCAGAAATGTCTCTTTTAAAAAATAGCGTCTTCTTTTATGAATGCATTATCTTCTCTGATCAAAAACATATTGTTTGGCTGGGTGTGGTGGCTCACACCTGTAATCCCAGCACTTTGGGAGGCCAAGGTGGGCGGATCACCTGAGGTTAGGAGTTCGAGACCAGCCTGGCCAATATGGCAAAACCCCATCTCTACTAAAAATACAAAAATTAGCCAGGCATGGTGGCGGGCGCTTACAATCCCAGCTACTTGGGAGGCTGAGGTAGGAGAATTGCTTGAACCTGAGAGGCAGAGGCTGCAGTGAAGCTGAGATCGCACCACTGCACTCCAGCCTGGGTGACAGAGCGAGACTCTATCTGAAAAAACAAAACATATTGATATTTTCTGTTTTTGCATGGTCTCTCCTTCCACTAAGTTACTTTTTTTCCTAATTTTGTGCTTTGGGTCTCTGTATTCCATATTGGGTTGAGCATGTTTTCATATGTGTAAAGGCATTTGTATTTCCTATTCCGATCACTGCCTATCCATATCCAATGTTTTAAGATTGGCAATCACTGGGATTGTCCTGAATGTAAGAAAATACTCTCCAAAACTCCTTTTTTTTTCTTTGTTTTTGCGATGGAGTTTCACTCGTGTTGCCCAGGCTGGAGTGCAATGGCATGATCTTGGCTCACTATAACCTTCGCCTCCTGGGTTCCAGTGGTTCTCCTGCCTCAGCCTCTCAAGTAGCTGGGATTACAGGTGTGCACCACCTTGTCCGGCTAATTTTAGTAGAGACGGGGTTTCTCCATGTTGGTCAGGCTGGTCTTGAACTCCTGACCTCAGGTGATCCACCCGCCTTGGCCTCCCAAAGTGCTGGGATTACAGGTGTGAGCCACTGCACCCGGCCCGAAAATTCTTAAAATATAAATTTGTAACACTTTTTCTGGAGAGCAAGTAGGCAGTATTCGCAACATTTGAAATGCGTATACTCTTTGATCAAGAATTCAGCATCAGAGAAATGTAAATTAAAGCTACATTGAGAAGTTTCTGACCAGGGTGGAATAAATGGAAAAGATTTTCTTTCTTACCTTACCTAAAAATCTGGGCAAAATATATATGAAACAACAGTTTTCAGACATTGGATAATAGGCAGCACAGAGATATATTTCTGGGAGAAGGAAAACAAATAAGGTTAGATTTGTGACTGTGCCAGCTTATTGCCTGGAGGCAGTTTCCAGGACACAGCACAGGGAGGGGGCCCAAATAGAACCTGGCACTCTCCATTAAGTGAAAAGACAGATTACAGTTTGGGGAGGCCAAAGTAGCAAGAATCTGTGGGTCAGAGTACCGCAGAGAATGGAGTTGCAGAGAGGGAGAGACAGAGAGAGGGGAGAAGGGAGGGAGGGAGGGAGATGATACGAGCAAGATGGTGAGATAAAAGGTCCCATGGCATCTCTCCCCGCCCCACAAAAATGCAACTTGAAACTACTCCAAGACAAGAATACCATCCTGAATTTACCAGAAATCAGGGGAGAAGCAGAAAAACCTCCTGGGCCCACAGACAGAGAGAATCTATGACTTGTAAGAGAAATGGTCATTTCAGACTGTGCTGCCCCTCTGGCAAGCCTGCATAACATCACTTATAGAGAATTTCCCAGGTTAGAGAAGGGAATCAGAGGTGGACATTTGATCTCCCACCAGTCTGGAAATCTTCAAGGGAATCCTACTCAAGTCCTGTCCCATAGGAATCACTGGGGTGCAAGGAGGGCTGAACCACCCAGAGTGAACTGCACACAAAGAGCAGGACACAGATTGCAGCAAATAGCATGTGGATTTTGATGGATACTTTGTGCTCCCATCAGCAGGGATGCCATGATAAAGAGACAGGCTGGGGCCATAGTGCCACAGGGGGCACAATTCACAGGAAGGCCTCAATTCCCTGGTCAGAGTTTTCATTAAGCCCAGGTTCTTGTGTGGAGCCTTTCCCTGGCCTAGAAACAACTAAAAGGTCAGGATTAAGTTCCAGTGCCCACTTATTCTTCCCCATCCTGGAAAACAACGACAGAGCAGCAATATATTTCTGGAGCAACATTAAGTTCTGGTGCTCACTGTAAGTCTTCCCCAGAGCAGGAAATAACAACAGGACAATGAATCACTTCCACTGCAGTGTTTTAGTTCTGGTGCTCATTATAGGTCCTCCCTAGAATGGGAAGAGACAACAGTCCAAGATTTTAAGTTCTGATACTAATTAGTAAAGGTCTAATACTACCAAAGAACACCTACAAAAACTTGAAGGGGTGACTGTCTCCTCAAATGCACTGCCATCAATGTAAAGGTGCAAAGATTGTGAAAACTCAGGGAAATATGACACCATTAAAAGGAACCAATGGACCTAGAATTGAAGATGTATACAATGACAGACAGAGAAGTTAGAATAATTCTCTTAAAGTTCAGGGAATCACAAAAAATATGGATAGAAAATTAAATGAAATTAGGGAAACAGCCCAGGAACAAAATACTAAATTTAATAAATAAATAGAAACAATTTTTTAAACCAAATAGAAATCCTAGAAATACAATAACTGAATTAAAAAATTTATTAGAAAGCTTCTACAGCAGACATGATCAACCAGAAGAAAGAATTAACAAGATCGAAGACAGAACATATAAAATTACCTAATCAGAGAAGCAAAAGGAAAAAAAGAATGAAAAAGAGTGAAGAAGGCCTACAAGAATTATGAAACACCATCTAGCTAACTAACCTCCTCATAAAAGGAATTCCTGTTTGGGCTGGTGGCTCTTGCCTGTAATCCCAGCACTTTGGGAGGCCGAGGCCCGTGGATCAGGAGGTCAGGAGATCGAGACCATCCTGGCTAACACAGTGAAACCCCATCTCCACTAAAAATACAAAAAGATTAGCCGGGCGTGGTGGCAGGCGCCTGTAATCCCAGCTACTCGGGAGGCTGAGGCAGGAGAATGGCGTGAACCTGGGAGGCGGAGCTTGCAGTGAGCCGAGATTGTGCCACTGCACTCCAGCCTGGGTGACAGAGTGAAACTCTGTCTCAAAAAAAAAAAAAAAGGAATTCCCAAAGGAGACAAGAGAGGGAAAGGCATAGAGAGGGAGGGAGAGAGAGAAAGAAAAAATGAAAGGGAGGGAAGGAAGAAGAGGGAAGGAGAGGCTGAGCTGCAGAGGGGTCCTAAGTATTGATTTGTACATGTGTGAGAAAAAAATTCTCCAAGACCAGAATAACAACCATCAGAAAGGAGTAGGAACAATCGTGGCTGGAGCTCAAGGCTAGGAATAGTTCATCTGCCCACCAGACATAGTGGAAAGATTTCATTATATACAACACATTGGGAAGAAACCTCTAGAGTGTTATCTTAGTATTGGAATTAAATTAGCCTTTGATTGGCCGGGTGTGGTGGCTCATGCCTGTTATCCTAGAACTTTGGGAGGTCAAGGCGAGTGGATCACCTGAGGGCAGGAGTTCGAGACCAGCCTGGCCAACATGGTGAAACCCTGTCTCTACTAAAAGTACAAAAATTAGCTGGGCGTGATGGTGAGTGCCTGTAATCTCAGCTACTCAGGAGGCTGAGGCACGAGAATTGCTTCAACCTGGGAGGTGGAGGTTGCAGTGAGCCAAGATTGTGCCACTGTACTCCAGCCTGGGCAACAGAGCAAGACTCCATCTCAAAAAAAGAAAAATAAAAAAAAAAAGCCAGGTGCGATGGCTCAGGCTGGGAGCGGTGGCTCACACCTGTAATCCCAGCACTTTGGGAGGCTGAGGCAGGCAGATCACGAGGTCAAGAGATCGAGGCCATCCTGGCCAACATGGTGAAAACTCATCTCTACTAAAAATACAAAAATTAGCTTGGCATGGTGGCACATGCCTGTAGTCCCAGCTACTCAGGAGGCTGAGGCAGGAGAATCGCTTGAACCCGGGAGGGGGAGGTTGCAGTGAGCCCAGATCACGCCACTGCACTCCAGCCTGGCGACAGAGCGAGACTGCCAAAAAAAGAAAAAGAAATCACAGAGTACAAGAAGCCTTAAAAAAAAACAACAGAGCATCATGATCTGTGGGACAATATCAAGCAGTCAAAACTACATGTAATTGGATTCCCAGGAAAAGAGGGAGAGGGGAGAGAAAAATATTTGAAAAAAAAAAAAAGACTCAAAATTTTGCAAAATTGATGAAACTATAAACCTATAGATATGAGAAGCATGACAAACACCAAACATAAGAAACACGAATGAAGCCACATCAACTCATAATAAAATTGCTGAAAAGTGGTAGTGATGAGAAAAATCTTAAAAGCAGCCAGGAAAAAAAAAAGAAAAGACACATTAGAAAAAAAAAAAAAACAAAGATATGGGAAGGAGTCACAGAATAGTCCGAAGGGGAGAAACCGGACTGAAACCCACTCAGTCCTGGCCCAGGGTGCCTCACCTGGATGATACTTCCAGCTCAGGCTGTTCCCAGTCCTGGGAGAGAGCTTAGGACATTTCAGAGAGGAGATTCTGATGACCATAATCATGTTAGACCAGGTCCAGACTTGAAGTGCCCTGCATGGAAGACACTGTCTCTGGGCAGTTCGAGACACCAGGTTTAGAAAATGTCAAGGAAGATGCTCCAAAGCACAGGGATCCCGGAGTGGCATGACCCAGGAGAAAAGCCTCACTTGCCCTGGTCTAAAGGCATTACTGCTTCCTCCCTTTCTTCCCAGGGAAATACCTAAAATTATAGTTTAAAGATGTCAGAGCGTCCATCAAACTGAAGGAAAGCATGCAACAGCGCCCCCATCTTGCAGCTCTCACTCATCCTTGCGGCTGATTGCACATGATACAAGTGGGAGAAAGAAGCGTCTATTGTATTAAACCAATGAGATTTCAGGATGTGTTTGTTACAGCAGCTACCCAATAATTTCCACAACTATTCATCCCAGCTCCTCCATGTTTTAATTACCTGTGAACTTGGATAACCTCCAGAAGGGCTGCATTCTGCAAGGTAGAGGTCTTTTTCTGCACATTCTTTTGAGTATTCTCCATCAATCCAGTGCCGTGTGATTTTTATAGTTAAAACATTTCACAACATTCCTACTCTGCTGGTGGCACTTTGTTCTATTTTCTTAAAATCATGCCTGTCGTTTTTGGGATTTGAGGTTCAGAGAATAATTAGATTTGTGTATTTAATTCACCATCTTGACACAGGCACCCTCTCTCATTGTGTTTTAATTTGCACTTTTGATTCTTTGTAAGCCTACATTTTTTCCGTGTTCTTTTACTAATCATTCCCTAATTTGTTAATTTGCCACTCATACTCTTTGCTTCTTTATTCATTGTAATATTCATTTTAAAGTAAAATACTGCTCAGCTGCATGCAAATTTATAATTCTAAAACATTCCCTGTGCATTCCTGTTTTCCTATATGTATTCATGTCAGTCCATGTGTTCAGTGATTCCCTGCCCTATTCTTGTTTAACTTGGTCCTTCACAGCCGGGCGCAGTGGCTCACGCCTGTAATCCCAGCACTTTGGGAGGCCAAGGTGGGAGGTTCACGAGGTCAGGAGATCGAGACCATCTTGGCTAACACGGTGAAACCCCGTCTCTACTAAAAATACAAAAAATTAGCCGGGCGTGACGGCGGGCGCCTGTAGTCCCAGCTACTCGGGAGGCTGAGGCAGGAGAATGGCATGAACCCGGGAGGCGGAGCTTGCAGTGAGCCGAGATGGTGCCACTGCACTCTAGCCTGGGCGACAGAGCGAGACTCCGTCTCATAAAAAAAAAAAATAAAAAATAAAAAAAAATTGGATCCTTCACAACATCTCTAAAAAGACTTCCAATGCAGTTGCAGAGCCAGTCTTCAGTTATTGTTCCTCTAATAATTTTTTATAATGGGTAATATTTATCGTGTACTTACTCTTGCCAGACTTCATAAGAAGCATTTTACATACATTATCATATTTAATCCTTACAACATCCTTGTGCAGTAGGTACATTTCTTACGTCCATTTTACAGTTGAGGAAACTGAGGCATAGACAGGTTGCATAACATGCCTCAAGTCACAGAGATGAAGTGGATGGAACAGGGATTCAAGCCTATTCTGTTTACAGAGTTCTTGGCATGGCACTCTATTTATTTATTTATTTATTTATTTATTTATTTATTTATTTTGAGATGGAGTCTCGCTCTGTCACCCATGCTGGAGTGCAGTGGGGCGATATGGGCTCATTGCAAGCTCCGCCTCCCGGGTTCATGCCATTCTCCTGCCTCAGCCTCCCGAGTAGCTGGGACTACAGGTGCCCGCCATCACGCCCGGCTAATTTTTCGTATTTTTAGTAGAGACGGGGTTTCACCTTGTTAGCCAGGATGGTCTCGATCTCCTGACCTCGTGATCCGCCCGCCTTGGCCTCCCAAAGTGCTGGGATTACAGGCGTGAGCCACAGCGCCCGGCCTAGCACTCTATTTATTATGTTGGATTCATGTAGTCATTTTGGCTGTGTCACTTCGATGTAGAATACTTAGTCTATGTATCATTATTTTTTTCCTGTATTTGTTTTATATTTCCTTTTCTGTTATAAACTTTTTAAAGTTACATACTTTTGCCATATAAATGTTTTTTGTATTCTTAGCATAAATCTCAGTGATAACAAATAATAGGCACTCAATAGAGTTTGTTAAACTTATTAATTGCTCAGAATATATTTTGAGTCAATTAATTACTTACCTAAAGGAGATTGCTTTTGCACGCAAAGCTAAGAGGCACATTCTTTGTAATTTATTTGAGGTGACTCTTGCCAAAGATTAAGTATTTCCCTCTTTGATCTTTCTCTCTTTATGGCAGGTTATTTAGAAGGCTTTTAAGTGACAGCCTCAGCATTCCATAGAATTCCATTTGCAATTATGAAGAACTAATATGCATGCAAATTTCAAGAATTGGGCTTGATTTCCTTGGCTTTTTTTTTTTTTTTTTTTTTTTAAATGAAGTTTTGCTCTGTTGCCCAGGCTGGAGTGCAGTGGCATGATCTTGGCTCACCACAACCTCTATCTCCCAGGTTCAAGCGATTATCCTGCCTTGGCCCCCCAAGTAGCTGAGATTACAAGTGCACACCACCATACTCGGCTAATTTTTGTATTTTTAATAGAGATGGGGTTTTGCCATGTTGGCCAGGCTGGTCTTGAACTCCTGACCTCAATGATCCGCCCGCCTCTGCCTCCCAAAGTGCTGCATTACAGGCGTGAGCCACCTGTCCCGGCCTCCTTGGCCCTTTTTCAATCAGGTGAAACTTCCTAAATGAGCCTGGATTCTGTCTCATCACTTTTCCACAGCTAAAAATGTCAAAGTCTCTATAGTTACCTTTGAAAATCGCAAGGCAATTTGCCGTAACTGCAAAGCAACTCATCTTCAATAGAACTTGGAGAGTGGTTTGGATTATTGCCTTTCCATTCTTGTGTAGACTTATAGAATTCAATTTTATCTCTCATCCCAGCCAGTGAATCTGTGTCTAAAGAAGAGAAAAAGATGGCAATTCCATCAAGATGATGATAATACTTAGCAATTTAAATCCCCTTCATTTTACCTCATATTTTAGAGCTATCAATTTCCCAGCATTCCCAAGTCTGGTTGTGCTGGGAACTGGAATGAAGTCAAATTTTCTCCATGAAAAGAGACAAAGTAGAAGTTACAGATATGTATCTGGTTTCTGGCATCCCAACTTCAAGAGTATAATACTTAAGGGTGGTGATAGTTTTACAAAGGGTAAAATAAAATTCTCACCAGAAAATTTATTTTCATGTATTTAATTATGAATGGGAACATATTATAATTTGTAGGAGATGATTGCTAAAAAATAAAAAAATAATGGTTTTAGATTTTTTGATCAATATTTTGGTTTAGAAAAATCATTGCAGGCCACTTGTATTTTTATTTCTAATTGCTTTTCTACAAAGTTTGCAGTGTAGAACATATAAATATAAGTATTTTTTATTGATTAGGTACACCCTACCTACTTTCAAGAAGGGCTTGAGGTGATAGTCAATAAAAGTATAAGAATAATAAATCCAAAACATAATCAACTAATTGCAAAGATAAAAAATTATGTAAAATGTTATAAATGTGACTGTTGGTTAGGAATGTGTTTGTTAAAATTGAAAGAAGACTTAGCTTAGATAAGAAAGAAGCTTATTTTTCTGAAACAAAAAGAAGTTCTGGAGACTTGGCAGCTCAATAACGCCATCAGGTGCCAGGCTGTTTCCATCTTCCTGCTCTATTCGCTTTAGAGGGTGGATTTCAATCTCATAGTTGCAAAATGCTGGCTGTACCTCAGGCATCATGACTGTGTTCCAGGTAGGATAAAGTGACAGAGACAAAAGGCAAAATGGACACATCAATAGAATTAGTACCTCTTGAATTTCTTTCCTATAAACTGTAGGCTCATTACTTCAGCTTAACTCTAATTTGCTAAAACTTGGTCACAAGATCATAAGGAGATCTAAGTTAGATGAGTGTTTTTAGCTGAGCACATTTCCTCATTGAACAAAACGGATTTGTTTTGTTTTGTAAAGACAGGTAGAAAAATGGATATAAAATCTAATGTATGCTCCTGCTTCTCTAGTTCTTTTAAATGTGACGTTAAGGTGTCGATTTTAGATCTTTCCTGCTTTCTCTTGTCGGCATTTAGTGCTATAAATGTGTCCCAGAGATTCTGGTACATTGTGTCTTTGTTCTCATTGGTTTCAAAGAACATCTTTATTTATGCCCTCATTTAGTTATTTACCCAGTAGTCATTCAGGAGCATGTTGTTCAGTTTCAATGCAGTCGTGCGGTTTTGAGTGAGTTTCTTAATCCTGAGTTCTAATTTGATGGCCCTGTAGTCTGAGAGACTGTTTGTTATTATTTCCATTCTTTTGCATTTGAAAGCTAGCAGAAGGCAAGAAATAACTAAGATTAGAGCAGAACTGAGGGAGATAGAGTTACGAAAACCCCTTCAAAAAGTAATGAATCCAGGAGCTGGTTTTTTGAAAAGATCAGCAAAAGAGATAGACCACTAGCCAGACTAATAAAGAAGAAAAGAGAGAAGAATCAAATAGATGCAATAAAAAATGATAAAGCGATATCACCACCAATCCCACAAAAATACAAACTACTATCAGAGAATATATAAACACCTCTACACAAATAAACTAGAAAATCTAGAAGAAATGGATAAGTTCCTGGACACATACACCCTCTCAAGACTAAACCAGGAAGAAGCCGAATCCCTGAATACACCAATAACAAGTTCTGAAATTGAGGCAGCAATTAATAGCCTACCAACCAAAAAAAGTCCAGGACCATACAGATTCACATCCAAATTCTACCAGAGATACAAAGTGGAGCTGGTACCATTCCTTCTGAAATTATTCCAAACCATAGAAAAAGAGGGAATCCTTCCTAACTCATTTTATGAGGACAACATCATCCTGATACCAAAACCTGGCAGAGACACAACAACAAAAAAGAAAATTTCAGGCCAGTATCCCTGATGAACATCGATGCAAAAATCCTCAATAAAATACTGGCAAACCGAATCCAGCAGCACATCAAAAAGTTTATCCACCACAATCAAGTCGGCTTCATCCCGGGGATGCAAGGCTGATTCAACATATGCAAATCAATAAACGTAATTCATCACATAAACAGAACCAATGACAAAAACCACATGATTATCTCAATAGGTGCAGAAAAGGCCTTTGACAAAACTGAACAGCCTTTCGTGCTAAAAACTCTGAATAAACTAGGTATTGATGGAACATATCTCAAAATAATAAGAGCTATTTAAGAGAAACCCACAGCCAATATCATACTGAATGGGCAAAAGCTGGAAGCATTCCCTTTGAAAACTGGCACAAGACGAGGATGCCCTCTGTCACCACTCCTATTGAACATAGTATTGGAAGTTCTGGCCAGGGCAATCAGGCAAGAGAAAGAAATAAAGGGTATTCAATTAGGAAAAGATGAAATCAAATTGTCACTGTTTGCAGATGACGTGATTGTATATTTAGAAAACCCCATCGTCTCAGCCCAAAATCTCCTTAAGCTAAGCAACTTCAGCAAAGTCTCAGGATACAAAATCAATGTGCAAAAATCACAAACATTCGTATACACCAATAACAGACAAACAGCCAGATTATGAGTGAACTCCCATTCACAATTGCTACAAAGAGAATAAAATACCTAGGAATACAACTTCAAGTTATGTGAAGGACCTCTTCAAGGAGAACTACAAACCACTACTCAAGGAAATAAGAGAGGACACAAACAAATGGAAGAACATTCCATGCTCATGGATAGGAAGAATCAATATCGTGAAAATGGCCATACTGCCCAAAGTAATTCATAGATTCAATCCTATCCCCATCAAGCTACCATTGACTTTCTCCACAGAATTGGAAAAAACTACTTTAAATTTCACATGGAACCAAAAAAGAGCCCGCATAGCCAAGGCAATCCTAAGCAAAAAGAACAAAACTGGAGGCATCATGCTACCTGACTTCAAAACTATACTACAAGGCTACAGTAACCAAAACAGCATGGTACTGGTACCAAAACAGATATATAGACCAATGGAACAGAACAGAGGCCTTAGAAATAACACCTTTTGATTGGTTTCTGTCATTCTCCTGCATCTCAGTAACCTTCATTCCTATTCATATTCTGAATTCTATTTCTGTCATTTCAGCCAGCTCAGCCTGGTTAAAAATCTTTACTGGAGAGCTGATGCAGTCGTTTGGAGGACATATGGCACTCTGGACATTTGAGCTACTGGAGTTCTTGCATTGGTTCTTTCTCATCTCTGCATGTGGGTGTTCCTTTAACTGCAGTATACATTGAGTACAATCAATAAACTTCTTTTCTGGATGTTTTCACAGGGCTGAGGCTTTGTGCAGGGTCTTTATTTGTAGCTAATTTATTGTATTTGCTTTCACAGGGGCATAGTTAGCAAGGTATTTTGGTGTTGAAGCTTTGCAGTGTAATCTAGTAGGTGGTGCTTAGGCATATTGGTCAGTTGGTAGGCTCTTGCTCAGTTGTGTGGCTCCCCTATATTTCCTCACAGTTGCCACTATGCTCCCTCTCAATGCTCTGAAATTATGGACTCCTCTCCCACTTGAGTGCTGGTTGTAGATCATGGCTTGGTGCTCCTGGTCCTGTCTACCACAGCTCTGGGAAAACCTCAGGGTTTATTTTCCTTCCCCAACTTGGAGGCAGCAGATGAAGGGACCTTAGTGGTGGTTGTGGCCAAGGGTGTTTTGTTTGTTTCCTGAGGGCTCCACCTCGGAGAGATGAAGGTCAGAAGTTGCTCAGTGCAATCATCCCAGGATAGAGCATGTGTGCTGTGGGCCCAAGCCAGGGATTTCCTATCTGGTGATGAAAGGGTGGTGGTGGGATGGTACCTGTGTAAGGTGGACTGGCCTCCTTTCCTTGGGTTGACTGCAGCTTATTGGAGGTGTGGTTAAGGCACTTACAGTCTTTGCTTTTTCATTAGTCCAAGAGTAGCAAGGGCAGTTTCACTACAGGGGTAATGGCAGAGAATCTTTCAGTTGCCCCTGGGGGCTCCACTTCCAAGACACTTGGAGTGGCTATTGCTGGGAGTGTTAAGCTAGTGTGGCAGGGTGGCTGCACTGCTCATGTGAGCTTGGGGTTCTGCTTGTTGAGGAGCAGGGGGTCAAATGTTCACAGGGAGGAGATTGATCTCCTCTTTGTGTGGTGGCTGTGCTGTGCTGTGCTGTAAACTTCGGTGTAGTCCTCAGGTTCTTTGTTTCTTTCCCAGATCAAGGGCAGGAGGGATAGAACTGTTACTGTGGCAGTGGCAGAGGGGCTGTTGTATGCCTCCGGGAGCCTCTCCTGGGGGAAACTCTGAGCCACTACCAGTGAGTATGCTCAGTTATGAGTGGAGTGACTGTTCTGCACTCATGAGCTGGGGATCCTGCCTGGTGAAGAGTGGGGGTGGGGGTTCCCAGCAAAGAGAGGCTGGACCCCTGTCTCTATGGTGGCTGCAGTGTGCTGGAGGTGCCAGTGTAATGACTAGGACCTTTGTTCCTTCCCAGTTCGAGGGCTGTAACAGCTGTACCTCTGAAAACGTGGTGGTGGAGCGGTTGTGGGTTGACTTAGATTTCCTCCTTGGAGAAATGCTGGGCTGTCTCTGATTGTGGTGATCAGGTGGAGACAGGGTGATTGTTCTGGAGTCCCAGGTCAGGCCACCCTGCTCAGTGAGGAGAAGTAAGGACTGGGATCTGCATGGAGAACAGTCTGGCCACTTTTCTGAGAGGCGGTTGCTTTGTGCTGGGAGTCCGTATCAGTCTCTGGTGCCTGCAGACTCTCCCAAGCCTGGAGACAGCAAGGGCAAGGGCTGCAAGACAGTGAAGATGGCAACCCACGCCTCCCATCCTGGAGTTGTGTCCAGGAAGTTGCAGAGCTGCTACTGGATTGTTAGTTTCGGCAGGGGGTGGCTGGAGGCCCAGGCCTGGAGGACCTTCTTGGTGAGAAGATATGGGAATGGGCTTCCACTTAACAGTCTGGCCACTTCTCCGTAGGGCTGCTGTGGCATGCTGGGGGTCTGCTCCAGTCTCTAGTTACCTTGGATTTTCCAGTACCTGAGATATCAACAGTAAAGGCTGTGAAGTGGCAAAGATGGTGGCCTGCTCCTCCCTCTGGGAGCTCTGTCCCAGGGAAGTATGGGCCTGTTGCCAGCCTGAATGCACTTGTAAGAGGTGGCTGGAGACCCCATTCGGGAGGTGTCACCAGTAAGGAAGAATGTTATTGGTGACCTGCTTTAAAAAGCAGTTTGGGGCCGGGTGCAGTGGCTCACATCTGTAATCCCAGCACATTGGGAGACCAAGGAGGGCAGATCACGAGGTCAGGAGTTCGAGGCCAGCCTGGCCAACATGGTGAAACCCCATCTCTAC
Organism: Homo sapiens; assembly: GCF_000001405.40. Taxonomy (NCBI): domain Eukaryota; kingdom Metazoa; phylum Chordata; class Mammalia; order Primates; family Hominidae; genus Homo; species Homo sapiens. The sequence goes on along the minus strand of NC_000012.12, from coordinate 79,504,111 downwards.
TAACAATACAAAAATTAACTGGGCGTGGTGGTGGTGCACACCTGTAGTCCTAGCTACTCAGGCGGCTGAGGCAGGAGAATTGCTTGAACCTGGGGGGCGGAGCTTGTAGTGAGCTGAGATCGTGCCACTGCACTCCAGCCTGGGCAACAGAGCGACTGTCTCAAAAAAAAAAAAAAAAGCAGTTTGGCCACATTCTTGTAGGACAGCTGTGTTGCTCTGGGGCTCTGCTCCAGCTCCTGGTTGTCTCTGACTCTCCAAAGCCCGAAGGTAAGAATGGCTAAGTCAGCCAAACATCAAAGATGGCAGCCTGCCCCTTCCTCTGGGAGCTTCATTCCAGGGAGGTCTGAAACCTCTGTTGGCCAGAAAACGATGGGTAGCTGGAGACCCCAGTCTGGAGGTTCCACCCAGTGGGGAGGAATGGGATCAGGGACCCACTTAAAACAGCAGTCTGGTCACATTTTCGTAGAGCAGCTATACTGTGCGGAGGTTCTGCCCCAAACCCCAGTTGCCTCAGACTTTCCAAAACCAGAAGGCAAGAATGGCTAAGTTGGCTAAACAGCAAAGATGGTGACCCACCCCTCCCTCTGTCTCAGGGAGGTTAACACTGCTAATGTTAATGGTGCTAATGTTAATGTTAATGGTTAATGGTTAATGGTTAATGGTGGCTGACTGGAGTTCCAAGTCAGTGGATCTTATCCTGCAAAGTGCCGTGGAAGCGGGACCTTTAGCCTGTCACTGCTCAGTCTTCTGGATTCAGTCCCTTTTTCCAGGGGTACGTATGGGGGTCTACGTACCCCTTTGCCAGAGTTGCAGCTGCTTTTGCCAAGAAGCCTGGGTGTCTAAGTTTCTTGGGGCTCTGCATGTGCCTGAGTGGCTGCTCTGCTGAGACTCCACATAATTCTGTGTGTCAGACTGAAGACCCTTGTGGAGTGAGTTCATGAAGGTACGTCCTCATTCGAGGGTTGCAAAGATCCATGGGAGAAGTATGGTTTCCCAGGGCTGCTTACTCACTCACCACTTCCCTGGACAGTGTAGGTTCCCCCTGCTCCACACTGCTCCCAAGTGGGTGGTCACCCTGCCTTGCTTTTCTCCATTCTGTATGGGTTGAGTTGTATCCTTGATTAATCCCATTGCACATACCTGGATATTTCAATTGAAGGTGCTGTTTTTACTCACCCCTTCCATTTCTCTTCACGACAGTGGTGCACAGCAGCTGCTTATAGTCAGCCATCTTGGCCACAATCCCCTGAGTGAGTTCTTACTCTGTTAATTCTCTTTTTGTTATTTTGTTGTTGTTCTTGTTTGTCTGTATCCTGCTGAATAACTCTATTAATTCTTATGAGAACTAACTGTTAGAAAGAGCCTGGCATCTCCTCCTCTCTCTGTTTCCTTCACTCTCACCATGTAATATGTGCTCCCCTTCCCCGTCCTCCATGATTGGAAGCTTCTTGAGGTTGTTAACAGAAGCAGAGGCTGGTATCATGCTTCCTGCACAGTCTGCAGGACAGTGAGTCAAATAAACCCTTTTTATTTATAAAATACTCAGCTTTAGGTATTCCTCTATAGCAATGCAAACAAACTAAGACAAATGCTTACATAAAAAAGTAGAAAGATTCCAAATAAACATTCTAAAAATGGACCAAAACGAATGAGAAAAGCAAGAAGAAGCCAAACCCAAACTAATAGAAGGAAGGAAATAATAAGGATCAGGTCAGAACACACTGAAACAGACTAAAAATCAATATAAAGGATCAACAAAATGAAAAGTTGGTTCTTTGAAAAGGTAAACTAAATTAATAAACCAGTTGTGAGACTAGCCAAGAAAAAAAGAGAGAAGACTCCCTCCTCCAAAAAAAATCAGAAACGAAAAAGGAAACATTACAACTGATACCATAGAAATACAAAACATCAGAACATTGCATACCTGTATCAAAACATCTCATGTGCTCCATCAATATATATACATATCATGTACCCACAAGAATTAAAAAAAATATATAATCAGAGACTATTATGAACAACTATACACTAACAAACTGGAAAACTGAGAGGTAATGGATAAATTCCTAGACGCATATAACCTACAAAAATAAATCACAAATAAATAGAAAACCTGAACAGACTGATAATGAGTATTGAGATTGTCTGAGTAACACAAAGTCTTTCAACAAAGATAAGTTTAGGAACAGATGGCTTCACTGCCAAATTCTACCAAAGTTTCTTTTCTTTACATAAAATTGTTTTGAGACAAGGTCTTGTTATGTTGCCCAGGCTAGTGTCAAGTTCCTGGGCTCACAAGATCCTCCTGTTTCAGCCTCCTGAGTAGCTGGGACTTCAGGAACATGCCACATGCCTGGCTCAAATTCTACCAAACTTTCAAAAAAGAACTAACACCAATTTTTCTGAAATGATTCCAGAAAGTTTAAGAGGAAGAAATTCTCCCTAACTCATTCTATGAAGCCAGCATTACCCTGATACCAAACCACACAAAGACATAACAAAAAAAGAAAACTATGGGCTAGACCTACCCAACATTCCTGATGAAAGTAGATGCAAAAATTATCAATAAAATACTAGCAAACCAAATCCAACAGCACATCAAACAAACAAAAAATACACTATAACAAGTGGAATTTCTTACAGGGATGCAAGGGTAGTTCAACATATGCAAGACAATAAACATGATACATCACATCAACAGAATGAAAGACAAAAATCACATGATCACCTCAGTAAATACAAAAAAAGCATTTGATAAAATCAACATCTCATCGTGGTAAAAACTCTCAACAAACTAGGCATAGAAGGAACATGCCTCAACATTATAAAGGCCAGATATGACAAACCCATGACTATTATCATATTGAATGGGGAAAGCCCGACAGTCTTTTCTGTAAGAACTGGAACAAGACAGAATGCCCATTTTCACCACTTTTATTCAACATATTACTGGACATTCTAGCCAGAGCAATCAAGCAAGAAAATGAAAGAAAAGGCAAAAGTCCACCAAAAAATTCTGATTTGATTTTTTAAATTTAGTAAAGTTGCAAGATACAAAAATCAGTAACATTTCTATACACCAATAATGAAGTACTTGAGAAAAAAAATCAAGAATGCAATTTCATTTACAATAGCCACAAAAGTAAAATACCTAAGGATAAATTTAACCAAAGAGGTGAAAGATCTCTATAAGGAAAACCAAGCACACTGTTGAAAGAAATTAAAGCAGCCACAAACAAATGGAAAGGCATCCCCTGCTCATGGATTGGAAGGATTATGATCATTAAAATGATCATACCGCCCAAAGCAATCTTCAGATTCAAAGTAGTCTTTATCAGAATAACAACGTAGACTTCTCTACGTCTTCTGCCCCTAGAGATACAGCCTCTGTGGCCTGCAGGTGTTGGGAGATCCACAGCTAAGACACCTTGACCTCCTGGAAGCCTAGAAATGGGACCAGTGACATTTATGGATGTGGCCATAGAATTCTTTCTGGAGGAGTGGCAATGCCTAAATACAGCACAGCGTAATTTTATAGAAATGTGATGTTAGGGGCCAGGCACGGTGGCTTATGCCTGTAATCCCAGCACTTTGAGAGGCTAAGGCAGGCAGATCATGAGGTCAGGAGATCGAGACCATTCTGGCTAACACAGTGAAACCCCATCTCTACCAAAAAAATACAAAAAAAAAAAAAAAAAAAAAAAGCCAGGTGTGGTGGCAGGTGCCTGTAGTCCCAGCTACTCGGGAGGCTGAGGCAGGAGAATGGCGTGAACCCAGGAGGCAGAGCTTGCAGTGAGCTGAGATCACACCACTGCACTCCAGCCTGGGCCACAGAGTGAGACTCCGTCTCAAAAAAAAAAAAAAAAATGATGTTAGAGAACTACAGAAACCTGGTCTTCCTTAGTATTGCCGTCTCTAAGCCAGACCTAATAAACTGCCTGGAGAAAGAAAAAGAGCCCTGGAATATGAAGAGACATGAGATGGTAGTGGAACCCCAAGATAGGTGAGCCTGAGTGCAACAGATGACACAGATGAGAGGTCCAAAGTTAAAAAAAAAAAAAAAAAAAAAAGCCAGGTCAAGGTCTGGCGAGATGAGAACTATGTGATGGTTAATACTGAGTGTCAACTTAATTGGATTGAAGGATACAAAGTATTGATCCTGGGTGTGTCTGTCAGGGTGTTGCCAAAGGAGATTAACATTTGAGTCAGTGGGCTGGGGAAGGCAGACCCATCCTTAATCTGGGTGGGCACAATCTAATCAGCTGCCAGCATGGCTAAAATATAAAGCAGGCAGAAAAATGTAAAAATAGAGGCCTCCCAGCCTACATCTTTCTCCCATGCTGGATGCTTCCTGCCCTCGAGCATCAGACTCCAAATTCTTCAGTTTTGGAACTCGGACTGGCTCTCCTTGCTCCTCAGCCTGCAGGAGCAAGCCATTGTGGGGCCTTGTGATCATGTGAGTTAATACTTAACATGATGAAATAAAATGATGAATTCAGGGATTCTAAATCCCAGCTTCAGAAACAGATGATGAGCCTCAAATCTGTTAAGATTGCTCTGAGTGAGAGTCTTATCTTCTGTAGAGAAAGAGCTGAAACTGTGGAAAAACAGACACAAGCTCTTATGCAAGTGGCTGGTCTGCAAGGAAAGGTGCATGCACAGCCTCACTAGGTGTCAACTTTAAAGTGAGGGCATTTATTGGAAAAGAATAGGACCCTGCAACTTGGGATGGGGACATGTGGGAAGACTCTGATGAAGTTGGGAACAATGAGTTTGTAAACTCCGATGAACCTTTTTTTTTTTTTGCCAGAAGAAACAGCTTCCCCATTCTCAGTAGTGGCAACATCCCCTCCCTGACCCATGCTGTCATCAGCCTTTCCACTTTTATCTGAGGAGATAAACCCTGCACTGCCTGAGGCAATAGTGATGGCCTCCCCTGAGGCAGTTGCCAGGCAAGATAATGTTGATTCTCCTCAAGAGCCACCCACAGCACCCCTGTTTGCTTTTAGACCTATAACTAGACTAAAGTCCTGGCAGACCTCTAGAGGTGAGGTTGAGAGTGTGACCCATGAGGAGGCGCACTACACTTGAAAAGAACTGCTTGAGTTTTCTAATTTATATAAACAGAAATCTGGAGAACAGGCATGCAAATGGATGTTAAGGTTGTGAGATAATGGTGGAAGGAACATAGAACTGGGTCATGCTGAATTTATTGATTTGGGCCCACTAAGTAGCGACTGCGCATTTAATGTTTCAGTTCAGGGAGTTAAAAAAGGTTCTAATAGTTTATTTGCTTGGTTAGCTGAAGTATGGATTAAAAGATCTGTGAGTGAGCTGGAAAAGCCTGATCTCCCTTGGTTTAACGTAGAGGAAGGGATCCAAAGGCTTAGGGAGATTGGGATAGTGGAGTGGATTAGTCACTTTAGACCTACTCATCCCAAGTGGAAGGGTCCAGAAGATACACCCTTGACCAATGACTTGTGAAATAGATTTGTGAAGGCAGCACCTGCATCTTTGAAGAGCCCTGTACTTGCTTTTCTCTGTATGTCAGACCTAACAGTGGGGACCACAGCCACTCAACTACAAAATTTAAATACAGTGGGAATAATTGGATCCCGAAGTGGCAGGGGCCAAGTGGTGGCACTCAATTGTCAAAGGCAAGGTAGGCATAGCTACCGTAATGGACAGCAGAGGCAAAGCAGCAATCAGAATAGTCTGGCTCATGTAGAGCCCTGGCATTGGCTAATTAATCATGTTCCTAGAAGTGAAATTGATAGGAAGCCTACTGCATTCCTATTTAATTTATATAAGTAGAAAACTTCTAAGTCAAATGGACAAAAGAATAATTTGAAATATAAAAACAGAGAATCATGGCCCCTCAATCAGTTTCCAGACTTGAGCCAGTTTACAGACCCAGAACCCCTTGAATGAAGGGGAAGCAAAGTCTCCTTGAGGAAGGACCTTACTACATTACTGACATTTTATGCGTGAATCTTTTTTCCCATCCTTCCCCAAGAAGACCTCTGGTCTTTTACCAGGGTAAGTGTACATTGGGAAAGGGAAATGATCAGACATTTTGGGGACTACTGGACACGGGCTCTGAGCTGACATTGATTCCAGGAGACCCAAAACGTCATTGTGGTCCTCCAGTTAAAGTAGGGACTTATGAAAGTCAGGTAATTAATGGAGTTTTCACTCAGATCTGACTTACAGTGGGTCCAGTGGGTCCCTGGACTCATCCTTTGGTCATTTCCTCAGTGCCAGAATGCATAATTGGCATAGACATACTTAGCACCTGGCAGAACACCCACATTGGCTCCTTGACTAGTAGGGCAAAAGCTATTATGGTGGGAAAGGCCAAATGGAAGCCATTAGAGCTGCCTCTACCTAGAAAAATAGTAGGGCCAGGCATGATGGCTCACACCTGTAATCCCAACACTTTGGGAGGCCAAGGTGGGAGGATCACTAGAGGTCAGGAGTTCAAGACCAGCCCGGCCAACATACTGAAACCCCATCTCTACTAACAATACAAAACAATTGGCCAGGCATGGTGGCGCATGCTTGTAAACCCAGCTACTCTACTTGGGAGGCTGAGGCAGAAGAATCACTTGAACCTGGGAGGCGGAGTTTGTAGTGAACTGAGATTGTGCCACTGCACTCCAGCCTGAGCAATAGAGTGAAACTTCATCTCAAAAAAAAAAAAAAGAAAAGAGTAAATCAAAAACAATATCACATCCCTGAAGGGATTGCAAAGATTAGTGCCACCATCAGGGACTTGAAAGATGCAGGGGTGGGTGTGGCTGGCAAGATGGCCGAATAGGAACAGGTCTGGTTGGCAGCTCCCAGTGAGATCAACACAGAAGGTGGGTTATTTCCAACTGAGGTCCCCGGCTCATCTCATTGGGACTGGGTAGACAGTGGGTGCAACCCATGGAGGGTGAGCCAAAGCAGGGTGGTGCATCGCCTCACCCAGGAAGCACAAGGGTCAGGGAACTCCCTCCCCTAGCCAAGGGAAGCCATGAGGGACTGTGTCATGAGGAATGGTGCATTCTGGCCCAGATACGCTTTTCCCATGGTCTTCACAACCTGCTGACCAGGAGATTCCCTCAGGTACGTACACCACCAGGGCCCTGGGTTTCTTTTCTTTTTTTCTTTCTTTTTTTTTTTTTTTTTTTGAGACGGATTCTTGCTCTGTTGCCCAGGCTGGAAGGCAGTGGTGAGATCTCAGCTCACTGGACCAAGATCTCAGTTCTGGACCAAGCGGACCTAATAGACATATACAGAACTCAAATCAACAAAATGTACATTCTTCTTAGCACCACATTGCACTTATTCTAAAATTGACCACATAATTGGAAATAAAACACTCCTCAGCAAATGCAAAAGAACAGAAATCATAACAAACTGTGTCTCAGACCACAGTGCAATCGAATTAGAACTCAGGAATAAGAAACTCACTCAAAACCATACAACTACATGGAAACTGAACAACCTGCTCTTGAATGACTACTGGGTAAATAATGAAATTAAGGCAGAAATAAATAAGTTCTTTGAAACCAATGAGAACAAAGATACAATGTTCCACAATCTCTGGGACACAGCTAAAGCAGTGTTTAGAGGGAAGTTTATAGCACTAAATGCCCACAGGAGAAAGCAGGAAAGATCTAAAATCAACATCCTAACATCACAATTTAAAGAACTAGAGAAGCAAGAACAAACAAATTTAAAAGCAAACAGAAGACAAGAAATAACTAAGATCAGAGCAGAACTGAAGGAGATAGAGGCATGAAAAATCCTTCAGAAAAATGAATGAATCCAGGAGCTGGTTTTTTGAAAAGATTAACAAAGTAGATAGACCACTAGCCAGACTAAAAAAGAAGAAAAGAGAGAATAATCAAATAGACACAATAAAAATTACAAAGGGGATATCACCACTGATTCCACAGAAATACAAACTACCATCGGAGAATACTATAAACACCTCTACACAAATAAACTAGAAAATCTAGAAGAAATGGATAAATTCCTGGACACACACACCCTCTCAAGACTAAACCAGGAAGGAGTTGAATCCCTGAATAGACCAATAACAAATTCTGAAATTGAGGCAGTAATTAATAGTCTACCAACCAAAAAAAGTCCAGGACCAGACGGATTCACAGCTGAATTTTACCAGAGGTACAAAGAGGAGCTGGTACCATTCCTTCTGAAACTATTCCAAAAACAGAAAAAGAGGGACTCCTCCCTAACTCATTTCATGAGGCCAGCAGCATCCTGACACCAAAACCTGGTGGAGACACAACAAAAAAAGAAAATTTCAGGCCAATATCCCTGATGAACTTCGATGTGAAAATCCTCAATAAAATACTGGCAAACCAAATCCAGCAGCACATCAAAAAGCTTATCCACCACAATCAAGTCAGCTTCATCCCCGGGATGCAAGGCTGCTTCAACATACACAAATTAACAAATGTAACCCATCACATAAACAGAACAAATGACAAAAACCACATGATTATCTCAATAAATGAAGAAAAGGCCTTTGATAAAATCCAACATCCCTTCATGCTAAAACTCTCGATAAACTAGGTATCGAAGGAACATATCTCAAAATAATAAGAGCTATTTATGAGAAACCCACAGCCATTATCATACTGCATGGGCAAAAGCTGGAAGCATTCCCTTTGAAAACCGGCACAAGACAAGGATGCCCCCTCTCACCAGTCCTACTCAACATAATATTGGAAGTTCTGGCCAGGGATATCAGGCAAGAGAAAGAAATAAAGGATATTCAAATAGGAAGAGAGGAAATCAAATTGTCTCTGTTTGCAAATGACCTGATTATATATTTAGAAAACCCCATCATCTCAGCCCAAAATCTCCTTAAGCTGATAAGCAACTTCAGCAAAGTCTCAGGATACAAAATCAATGTGCAAAAGTCACAAGCATTCTCATATATCAATAATAGACACAGAGAGCCAAATGATGAGTGAATTCCTATTCACAATTGCTACAAAGAGAATAAAATACCATTGACTTTCTTCACAGAATTAGAAAAACTACTTTAAATTTCATATGGAACAAAAAAAAAACCCATTTAGCCAAGACAATCCTAAGCAAAAAGAACAAAGCTGGAGGCATCATGCTACCTGACCTCAAACTATTCTACAAGGCTACAGTAACCAAAACAGCGTGGTACTGGTACCAAAACAGATATACAGACCAATGGAACAGAACAGAGGCCTCAGAAATAACACCGCATGTCTACAACCATCTGATTTTTGACAAACCTGACAAAAACAAGCAATGAGGAAATGATTCCCTATTTAATAAATGGTGTTGGGAAAACTGGCCAGCCATATGCGGAAAACTGAAACTGGACCCCTTCCTTACACCTTATATGTTAAGACTTAAACGTAAGACCTAAAACCATAAAAACCCTAGAAGAAAATCTAGGCAATACCATTGAGGACATAGGCATGGGCAAAGATTTCATGACTAAAATACCAAAAGCAATAGCAACAAAAGCCAAAATAGAAAAATGGGATCTAATTAAACTAAAGAGCTTCTGCATAGCAAAAGAAACTACCATCAGAGTGAACAGGCAACCTACAGAATGGGAGAAAATTTTTGCAACCTATCCATCTGACAAAGGGCTAATATCTAGAATCTACAAGGAACTTAAATTTACAAGAAAAAACAAATGACCCCATCAGAAAGTGGGCAAAGGATATGAACAGACACTTCTCAAAAGAAGACATTTATGTGGCCAACAAACATATGAAAAAAAGCTTATCATCACTCGTCATTAGAGAAATGCAAATCAAAACCACAATGAGATACCAGATACCATCTCACACCAGTGAGAATGGCAATCATTAAAAAGTCAGGAAACAATAGATGCTGGAGAGATGTGGAGAAATAGGAATGCTTTTACACTGTTGGTGGGAGTGTAAATTACCTCAACCATTGTGGAAGACAGTGTGGCAATTCCTCAAGGATCTAGAACCAGAAATACCATTTGACCCAGCAATCCCATTACTGGGTATATACCCAAAGGATTATAAATCATTCTACTATAAAGATACATGCACATGTATGTTTTTTGCAGCACTATTCACAATAGCTAAGTCTTGGAACCAAGCCAAATGCCCATCAGTGATAGACTGGATAAAGAAAATGTGGCACATGTACACCATGGAATACTATGCAGCCATAAAATAAGATGCGTTCATGTCCTTTGCAGGGACATGGATGAAGCTGGAAACCATCATTCTCAGCAAACTAACATAGGAACAGAAAACCAAACACCACATGTTCTCACTCATAGGTGGGAATTGAACAATGAGAACACATGGACACAGGGAGGGGAACATCACACACCAGGGCCTGTCGGGAGGTGGCGGGCTAGAGGAGGGATAGCATTAGGAGAAATACCTAATTCAGATGACTGGTTGATGGGTGCAGTGCAGCAAACCACCATGGCACATGTATACCTATATAACAAACCTGCACATTCTGCACATGTATCCTAGAACTTAAAGTATAATTAAAAAGAAAAAAAGAAAGATGCAGGGGTAGTGATTCCCACCTCATCTCCGTTTGACTCTCCCATTTGGCCTGTGCAGAAGACAGATGGATCTTGGAGAATGACAGTGGATTATTGTAAGATTAACCAAGTGTTGACTCCAATTGCAGCTGCTGTACCAGATGTGTTTTTATTGCTTGAGCAAATTAACACACCTCCTGGTAACTGATATGCAGCCATTGACTTGGCAAATGCCTTTTTCTCCATTCCTATCCATAAGGCGCACCAGAAGCAATTTACCTTTGGCTGGCAAGGTCAGCAATATACCTTCACTGTTGTACCTCAAGGGTTATATCAACTCTGGCTTTGTTTCATAATCTTATTCTGAGAGATTTTGATCGCTTTTGCTTCATTACATTGATGACATTATGCTGATTGGATTCAGAGAGCAAGAAGTAGCAAACACACTGGACTCATTGGTAAGACATTTGCATGCTAGAGGATGGGAAAATCCAACTAAAATTCAGGGAACTTCTACCTCACTAAAATTTTTAGGGGTCCAGTGGTTTGGGGCCTGTCGAGATATTCTTTTTAAGGTGAAGGATAAGTTGCTGCATTTGGCCCCTCCCAAAACCCAGAAAGAGGCACAATGCCTAATGGTCCTATTTGGATTTTGTAGGCAACACATTCTTCATTTGGGTGGGTTACTCTGGACTATTTATTGAGTGACCCAAAAGGCTGCCAGTTTTGAGTGGGGTCTAGAACAGGAGAAGGCTCTCCAACAGGTCCATGCTGCTGTGCAAGCATTTCTGCCACTTGGGCCATATGACCCAGCAGATTCAATGGTGATTGTGGTGTCATTGGCAGATAGGGATGCTGTCTGGAGCCTTTGGCAGGCTCCCATAGGTGAATCACAGTGGAGGCCTCTAGGATTTTGGAGCAAGGCCCTGCCATCTTCTGCAGATAACTACTCTCCCTTTGAGAGACAGCTCTTGGCCTATTACCGAGCTTTGGTGGAAACTGAACATTTGACTATGGGTCATCAAATTACCATGCAACCTGAACTGCCTATCATGAACTGGGTGCTTTCTGAACCATCTAGCCATAAAGTGGGTCATGCTTAGCAGCATTCCATCATCAAACAGAAGTGGTATATAGGTGATTGGGCACAAGTAAGTTACATGAGTAAGTAGCTCAAATGCCTATGGTCTCCACTCCTCCCACCCTGCCTTCTCTTCCCCCAGCCCGCACTGATGGCCTTATAGGGAAGTTCCCTATGATTCAGTTCACAGAGGAAGAGAAGACTGGGGCCTGGTTCACAGATGGTTCTGCACATTACACAGGCACCACCTGAAAGTGGACAGTTGCAGCACTACAGCCCCTTTCTAGGACAACACTGAAGGACAGAAGTGAAGAGAAATCATCCCAGTGAACAGAACTTTGAGCAGTGCACTTGGTTGTACACTTTGCATGGAAGGAGAAATGGCCAGCTGTGTGATTATATACTGATTCATAAGCTGTAGCCAATGGTTTGGCTGGATGGCCAGGGTCTTGGAAGAAGCATGATTGGAAAATCGGTGACAAAGAAATTTGGGGAAGAGGTATGTGGATGGACCTCTCTGAATGGTCAAAAACTGTGAAGATATTTTTATCCCATGTGAGTGCTCACCAACAGGTGATCTTGGTGGAGGAAGATTTTAATAATCAAGTGGATAGGATGACCTGTTCTGTGGACACCACTCAGCCTCATTCTCAGCCACCCCTGTGATCACCCAATGGGCCCATGAACAAAGTGGCCATGTTGGCAGTGATGGAGGTTATGCATAGGCTCAGCAAGATGGACTTCCACCCACCAAGGCTGACTTGGCTATGGCCACTGCTGAGTACCCATTTGCCAGCAGCAGAGACCAACACTGAGCCCTTGATATGACACTGTTCCTCAGGGTGATCAGTTAGCTACCTGGTGGCAAGTTGATTATATTGGACTTCTTCCATCATGGAAAGGGCAGAGGTTTGTCCTTACTGGAATAGACACCTACTCTGGATATGGGTTTGCCTATCCTGCACTCAATGCTTCTGCCAAGACTACCATTCATGTACTCACGGAATGCCTTATCCACTGTCATGGTATTCCACAGAACATTGCCTCTGACCAAGGCACTCACTTTATAGTTAAATATGTGTGGCAGTGAGCTCTTGCTCATGGAATTCACTGGTCTTACCATATTTCCCATCATCTTGAAGCAGCTGGATTGATAGAACGGTGGAATGGGCTTTTGAAGTCACAATTACAAAACTCCAACTAGGTGACAATACTTTGCAGGGCTGAGACAAAGCTCTCCAGAAGGCTGTGTATGCTCTGAATCAGTGCCCAATATATGGTACTGTTTCTCCCATAGCCAGGATTCAAGGATCCAGGAATCAAGGGGTGGAAGTGGAAGTGGCACCACTCACCATCACCCCTAGTGATCCACTAGCAAATTTTTTGCTTCCTGTTTCCACGACATTCACATTGCTGGCCTAGAGGTCTTAGTTCTAGAGGGAGGAATGCTGCCACCAGGAGACATGACAACAATTCCATTAAACTGGAAGTTAAGTTTGCCACCTGGACACTTTGGGCTCCTCCTACCTTTACGTCAACAGGCTAAGAAGGGAGTTACAGTGTTGACTGGGGTGATTGATCCAGACTATCAAGATGAAATCAGTCTACCACTCCACAACGGAGGTAAGAAAGAGTATGCATGGAATACAAGAGATGTGGGAGGATCACTTGAGCCCAGGTGTTTAAGTCCAGTCTGGGAAACATAGTGAGACCCTGTCACTAAACTAAAAACAAAAATAAGTATTGTTCAGAATTTGTGGAGGGGTGAAATTAAAGACTTTTAAAACTTAAAAAAAAAAAAAAGATCCATTAGGGCATCTCTTAGTATTGCTGTGCTCTGTGATTAAGGTCAATGGGAAACTACAGCAGCCCAATCTAGGCAGGACTACACATGGCCAGACGCTTCAGGAATGAAGGTTTGGGTCACTCCACCAAAAAAAAAAAACAACGACAAAAACAAAACAAAACAAAACAAAAAAACACGACCTGCTGAGGTGCTTGCTGAAGGCAAAGGGCGTACAGAATGGGTAGTAGAAGAAGGTAGTCATCAATACCAGCTACGACCACGTGACCAGCTGCAGAAACAGGGACTGTAATTGTCATGAGTATTTCCTCCTTCTTTTGTTAAAAACATGTTTGTGCATGTATACACTTGTACTAGGAAAATACCTTCATTTTATTTCCTTTCTTCATTATCATGTGACATAAGATTTATTGACTTCACATCAGCATTAAGTATTGTTAACTTTATATAATAATATTTGGCTTGGGGATTGGTGCGTTTCCAGTAGTACGAAGGATAGTTGTTCTTTTCTTTTTTTTTGGGGGGGACATATTTTTGGAATGTCGTCAGCTGGAGATGAGTAGTATATCAAAAATAACTTTAATACAAGGTAAGAAAAAATGAAAAGTTCATTTAAGTACTAGTACATACAGGAGTGCATCTGAGTGAATTTCACTTTGCTTCTCGATAGATATATCTTATTTTTACCGTGTTACTTTTACATTTCCAAACATAGTGATCTATAAAAAAGCTAAATAAAAGTGAAAAAAATGTACCCATTACATAGGTTCCCAAAAAAATCACTATGCCAAAAAAAAAAAGAGTAGAAATCTGTATAAACAGTAAATCAGAAGTCAGTAAAAACAACAACTGAATTCCTAAAGAGAATGAAGACAAAGAAATATGGCAGAGAAATTTAGAAACCAAATAAGAGAAATTAAATTCTCTGGCAGTTTTGGACTCTAGATTTTTCTAAAGCAGGTTAAGTGTATTACACAATAGAGAAGGTGGTTATAGAGAGGGTGGATTTTTAAGTTGCATGAAAGACAGAAGTATGTATTTGATATTGATATATGTGATTGACGATCTGATTGGCTACCAAATACCCATTTCCAATGCCCCTTCCCTTGTCCATTGCCTATTGCAGAGACTGAAAAATCAGATACTGGTTTAACCTTCATCCTCTGCAGCAAGTAATGCTCATGGACTTAGCCTAGCCAATGAGACACAAGAGGAATTCTTCTGGGAGGCTTCTAAATAAAGAATGTTAGTCCCTGATAAAAGGAGAGAGGCACTAAAGCAGAATGCTCTCTGTCTCACTACCCTGGCCCAACTTTACCTCTTGCCTTTGCTGTGTGATGACTTGACATCGAGTTCTGATAGCCATCTTGGATCACTAGCAACAAGCCCAAGAACAAAAAGCCAGCCCACTGAGGATGGTGAAAAGGAAAAATGTAGAGCCTGGGTATTTGAAAACATCTTTACGGCATTAAACCAATCCTGGGACTTTCTACCTTTGGACTTCATGTTAGGTAATATGCGACATCTTTATGTATTCAGCCTCTGTCAGCTTGCGTTTTGTTACTTTCAGCCAGAGCATTTTAAACTGATGTAGAATTTAAATTTTTTGTTTTTCAACTTATTGGACAGTTATAAAACACTCTTAAACATCTACTGAAGGCCAGGCACAGTGGTTCACATCTGTAATCCCAGCACTTTGGGAGGCTGAGGTGGGAGGATTGCTTGAGTCCAGGAAGTTAAGGCTGCAGCGAGCTGAGATCACGCCACTGCACTCCAGCTTGGGTACAGGGTGAAACCTGTCTCAAGACAAAACAAAACAAAACAAAAACTACTGAAATGGCTACTTTCCCATATACTAAATTCTTATATATATTTTTGGTCTCTCTGGACTTTCTTTTCTATTCTGTTGGGGTATCTGTGTAGTGTGGTGACCATCTAACTTTCTAATATCTGCTGGAGCAAGAATTAGTACTGTCCTAATTTATGGATTATGGGTTTTTTTTTTCAACTTTTTAATACTCCTTTAGGTCCAATTTCATTGTAATTTTTAAAACGATTCAGTAGAACAGCTCCTTCTATTTTTTTTTTTTTTTTTTTTTTTGAGATGGAGTCTAACTCTGTCACCCAGGCTGAAGTGCAGCAGCATGATCTTGGCTCACTGCAACCTCTGTCTCCCAGGTTCAAGCGTTTCTCCTCTTTCAGCCTCCTGAGTAGCTGGGATTACAGGCACGCACCACCATGCCCAGCTAACTTTTGTATTTTTAGTAGAGACAAGGTTTCACCATGTTGGTCAGGCTGGTCTCAAACTCCTGACCTCGTGATTCACCTGCGTTGGCCTCCCAAAGTGCTGGGATTACAGGAGTGAGCCACCATGCCCGGCCTCCTTCTACTTTTTAAGGTCTTTAAGGGCCATAGGACTGGTAAGTCATTGGGCAAAAATGTAAACATTAGTTCAAGGTTTTATGAAAAGAAGATAAAGGCTATTGGTAGTTTGGAAGTTTCTTTAAAACATTGCAATACCGCATGTAGACAATAGTGTCGAGTGCAATGTGATTTTAAGAAAAATAAAGCAAAAGAGGATTTCATTTCAAAGTTATAAACATCTGGTATTGATATGGGTTGGGGAAAACATGCAATTTGAAAGTTGAAATCAACAGCTCCAAAAAATTAGCCAATAAGGGGATAGAGTTTTACACTAGTAAGAGAATATAATGCCCCATTCCCATTCTGCATAAGTGATAAGCAATTAGCTTGCTTTCTGAGACTTGCAATGTGACAGGAGCCTCAGAAAAGCAGGCTTTTTAAGTTTGCTAACTGAGGCTGTCAGTTGGGACGGACGTTTTGTTTGACAGTTGATTAGGGACTAAATGAACTGAAAAAAAATCAGTAACTTTTGCTGCTTTTCCATTTATTATAACAGCAATTATCTGCATTTTTCTCCGGTCAGTTCTAAAGACTAGATTGAAACAATTATCTTTGTAAAAAAAAAAAAACACTGATCTTGAATAGCAAAAGGGCAACTAGGATTTGAAAACACTAGCTCTTTGGTGGATAAGACTGTCATCTGAAAATTGGCAAACATGGTTGATAATTTGCCTTTAAATATCTGCCAAACTAAATAATGCAGTTCTGGGAAAAAAAATATTGAACACATGGTTATCTAGGTTATTCCTAATTATTCAGTCTAATACTACTAATTCTTTTTGAGTGAGATAGTTCATATATTTATTGGTCAGCATTTACTGAGGGCTTACAATGCCAGGCAGTGTTCTAGATACATGAGATATAGGAATGAACAAGCAGTTGAAAGGCGTAGTCCCCAGGGTTTGAGGAAAAGAAATAGGCAATAAACAGATACCCAAGAAAATATTTAGTATGTTAGATAGTGATATTTTATGAAAAAAAGCAGGGTTTGGGAGCCGAGGCGGGTGGATCACCTGAGGTCAGGAGTTCGAGACCAGCCTGGCCAACATGGCGAAACCCCGTCTCTACTGAAAATACAAAAATTAACCGGGCATGGCAGTGCACACCTGTAATTCCAGCTACTAGGGAGTCTGAAACAGGAGAATCACTTGAACCAGGAAGGTGGAAGTTGCAGTGAGCTGAGATCGCACCACTGCACTCCAGCCTGAGTAACAGAGCAAGACTCTGGCTCAAAAAAAAAAAAAAAAAAAAAAAAGCTGGGTGGGGGATAGAGGATGATGGAATGGGGATACTGATGAGTTGATATTTGATCAAGGACCTAAAAAAGTGAAAGAATTATATATGGAGCTCTTTGGAGAATGACTGTTGAATTAGAAGGAAAAGCAGGTGCAGCAGGTGCAAAGGTCCCGAGGTGGGAGTATGTTGGCATGTCTGAAGCTAGGGAAGGAGTGCTGTGTAGAGAGGTCAAAGCAGTGGCCAGAGGGTAGACCATGTAAGGCCTCGTAGAACTTGGTAAAAAATTTGGCTTTTCTCCTGAGTATGATGGAAATCCACTGGAAAATTTTAAGATGAGAAATGACACAATCTGTGTGTTTTAACACAATAACTTTGGCTGCTGTATTAAATATATACTAAAGGGGAGAAGGTGGAAAGCACAGAGTTCTGTTAAGAAGCTGTGGCACTAATTATTGTGAAATACAACAGTGCCTGGGATCAGGTGGGAGGGGTAGAGGTGGTGAATCGTTAGATACTGGATATATTTCAAAGGCAAGGCTGACAGAGCTTGCTGATAAATTGGACATGGGTCATGAAAGAAAAAAGAGTAGTCAAAGTTGTTTTTTGCCTTACTGAGATGGGGGAAATAATATGAATAGTGGGTGGGGATGAAGAGCGGCAGGGGTGCTGGGGAAGAGCAAGTGTTCCCTTTGAGACACATTCCATTTCAGATGCCTCTTAGACATCCAAGTGGAAACATTGAGTAGGCAGTTGGATGTGAGGCTAGAGTTCAAGGGTGAGGCCTGGGCTAAAGATAAACATTTTGGGGTCATCAGCACGTAAATAGCATTCAAGTCAGCTGGGTACAGTGGCTCATACCTGTAATCCCAGCACTTTGGGAGGCCAAGGTGGGAGGACCTCTGGAACCTAGGAGTTCAAGACCAACCTAGGCAACATAGCGAGACCCCATCTCTCCAAAAAAAAAATAGAATAAATTAGTCAGGCATGGTGGCATACACCTGTGGTCCCAGCTACTCAGGAGGCTGAGGTGGAGGATTATTTGGGCCCAGGAGATTGAGGCAGCCAGCAGTGAGCTGTGGTGTTGCCACTGCACTCCAGCCTGGGCTACCGAGTGAGAACCTGTAACATCAACAACAACAACAACAACAACAAACAACAAAGCATTAATTAGACAGGATGAGATCACCTAAGATGAGTGTGGAAAGAGAAGAGGTCTGAGCCCTGAGGCCCTTCAAAGTTCTTAGGGGCTGGGTGTGGTGGCTCACACCTGTAATCCCAACACTTTGGGAGGCCAAGGTGGGTGTATTGCTCGAGTCCAGGAGTTTAATACCAGCCTGCACAACAAGGTGAAACCCTGTCTCTACAAAAAAATTAAAAATTTAGCCAGAAGTGGTGGTGTATGCCTGTAGTCCCAGCTACTCAGGAGGCTGAGGCACGGGGATCACCTGAGCCTGGGAGGCGGAGGTTGCAGTGAGCTGAGATAGTACCACTGCACTCCAACCTGGGTGACAGAGCGAGACCCTATCTCAAAAAACAAAAAACAAAAAAAAATCCCCCACCAAAGTTCTTAGCATCATTATTGATGTGATATACAACTTTTGACAAGCCCCTTAATCTCTATGCTTCTCAGTTTCTAATCTAGCATTGTCCGATAGAAATATATTGAGAGCCACAAATGCCTGCTACATATGTAATTTTAAAACTTTTCTTGTGGCCACTAAATGTGGCCACTAAAAAGTTTTTTACAGTGTGAAATTAATATCAATAACATATTTTATTTAACCCAATGAGGTAGGCAAAATAATGAAAGATGTCCAAGATCCCTGAAATGTGAATATATTCCTTACATGGCAAAGGGACTTTGCAGATGTGATTAAGGCTAAGGGGCTTGAGAAGAATAGAGTGTCAAGAATCATACAGGTGGGTCCAATCTATGGTCAGGGAGATGCGAGGATGGAGAAGGGCGAGAGAAGAGATACTGTTGGCTTTGAAGATGGAGCAAGGAGCCACTAGCCAAGGAGTGTGGGAAACCTCTAGAAGCTGAAAAAGGCAAGGGAACGAATTCTCACCTAAGGCCTCCAAAAGGAATGCAACCCTCCCAAAACCTTGATTTTGCCCAATGAGACCTGAGTCAGACTTTTGAACTACAGAAATGTAAGATAATAAATGTGTTGTTTTAAGCCACTAAGTTTCTAATAATTTGTATGGTGACTCTAGGAAGCTAATAGACTCCATATACTCCCCAAATTATCATTTCTAGGTGAAATCTATATAAAGATTATTAATGAGATATTTTACTTTTTTGTACTTAGTCTTCAGAGTCTAGTGTATATCCTATGTATACAGCACCTCTGAACTTGAACTAGCTCCATTTCAAATGCTCCATTAGCACCACGTGGCTAGTGGCGATCGTATTTGACAATATAGTTCCAATTAGTTCATTGAGAATGGGGCAAAGAAGTTTAGTTCAAGAATGACATGTGTGATGGTTGATTTTATGTGTCAACTTGGCTAGGCCACATGCCCAGATATTTGGTTAAACACTATTCTGGATGTTTCTGTGAAGGTGGTTTTGGATGAGGTTAACATTTAAATCAGTGGACTTTGAGTAAAGCATGTTATCTTCCATAATGTGGGTGGGCCTCATACAATTCATTGAAGGCCTGATTAGTACTACAACAGACTTCCCCAAGAAAGAAGGAATTCTGTCAGCTGGTGGCCTTTGGACTCAAACTGCAACTCTTCTCTGTCGCCAGCCTGCCAGCTTAGCCCATAAGATTTTGGACTTACTAAGCCTCTACAGTGGCTTGAGCCAATTTGTTAAAATACATTTCTCCCTCTCTCTCCATCAATACGTATACACATTCTGTTGGTTCTGTTTTTCTAGAGAACCAATACAACATGCATGAGACAAAGGAAAGACACACACCATATCTAGAACCCCCTACTCCACCTCCCTGCCTCATTTCTAGAGTCCAGAGTTTTGCAGAATAGTGATCAATCTAGGAAGAGAAGTATGTGCATTGGGAATGGGTAAGTGAGGCAGGAAAGGTGCTATATTGTCCAGGGGGTAAGAGGAAGGGAGCGTGAGAAGTGTGGAGGAAGGGAGCGTGAGAAGTGTGAAGGAAAGGGTCTATGCTGACTTTGCAAGAGAGAGTATATTCTGTTTCAAGAGGCCCAGAGAGATCTGATCTACAGTCCTAGCAAAGCCAGTTTCGCTTGGGTTGAAGCATTTTTAATTCTGTCAAGGGCCAAATAGATGGGTCCTGAATTTGTCTGCCAAAGCCACCATAACAAAATACCACAGACTGGGTGACTTAAACAGAGAAATTAATTTTCTTGAAGTTCTGGAGGCTAGTAATCAGAGACCAGTGTGCTGGCAGGTTTGGTTTCTCCGAGACCTCTGTCCTTGGCTTGCAGATGGCTACCTGCTTGCTGCCTCCAAACAGTCATCCCTCTGTGCCCAGGTGCCTCTGGTGGCTCACTGGGTCCTAATCACCTCTTGTAATAAGGACATCTGTTGGGTTGACTTAGGGCCCACCCTAATGCCCACATTTTAACTTAATTACCTCTTTAAAGGCCCTATTCCCAAATACAGTCACCTGCTGAGGTACTGGGCATTAGGACTTCAACATATGGATTTGCAGGGAACATAAAATTCAGTCTATAACAGGCTCCAAGTGACCCCACCTAGGTCTGCCTTAGACTCCCAACCAAATAATAGGCACTTAGTTCAGAGCAAGTGTTCAAAGACTAAATAGGTAGAGATGGCATACATATTCCTAAAGAATTCTCAGCAAACTAGGAGAATCTTTCAGAGTAAAAATGCAGGCCGGGGTGAGCTCAAGTCACAGTGGCTTCTGGGGTTGGGGAGGCAAATGAGGATGCCTTTATCTTTTCCTCTCCTGGCCATGAGACTCCAGCAATGATGGTAGGCTGAGGCAGAACAAAGGTGAGTCGTGTAGCCCATAATTACTGTCCCAAACCTGCCTAATTTGAGTCATCTGGGTCTGAGTCCTGGCTGTGAGAAGCCCAGAAACACATATTTTTAGGGAAATGTGAGAAAATGAAGCAACTGTGGTACTTACAGAAAATTAGTCAGGGACCTATCTTCTGATTCCTTTCTATAATTGATAAGGCATCCTACTATCTCACATTTGCTGGAGAAAGCATCACTTACATATTCTGAAATGTGTTTCTTTTCCCCTGAATTTTTTTAAAAAATTCTGCAGTGTGTTCAAGGAAAGTGGTGTGTCCTTCAGGCATTGTTGCTCTAAAAAGCATTGCTGTTTACCTAAGGGTCAGAAGCATCTGGAAGTGAAGGAAACAGCCATTTGTGGGCTAGAAGAACATAGCAATAATGAACAAAGCCTGAGAACCTGGGCTGTGCTTCACAGAGAGAGTGGCAGTGCAGCGCAGTTGGAAATAAATGGCACGTCTGTCTCCTCCCCCAAACTGCCTGAGCACCTCCCCACCTTCCCTTCCTCCCCACCTCACTCACCAACCTGGAGGACTTTGCCAGGAAATTTCAGGTGGAAGGATGGCATTATAAAGGCATGGAGATGTGAGAGCATGCAGCTCGTTTAGAGAATTTTGTTGCTAGAAAATGGGGCAGGGTTTGAGAGAGGGAAATAGCTAGTACCTGGGGATGGCCTTCAGCATTCTTGCGATGCTAAAGAATTTCAATGTTAATCTTTAAGGATTAGGAAACGCTGAAGCTTTTTTAGAAGCAGAGTGACATGACTTGAATCTAGGCAGCAAACTACAGCTGCCTGTATTTGTGTGGCTGGTGAGTTATGAGTGGTTTTTATATTTGTAAGGATTGGAAAGAAAGGAAGGGTGGGCTGATGAACAGACAGAAGATGTGGCAGAGAATGTATTGCCCACAAAGCCTGAAATATTTACTTCTGGCTCTTTACAGCTAAAGTCTGCTGACAGCTGGGCTAGATTTAGAAAGACAATAACTACCATTTATTGAATGCTTATTTTATAAGGGTGTACACCCTCTGTGATATCAGGAGAGTAATATCTCTGCAGCATATTATGAATCATATTCCAGGGTGTACACACATGGTGTACACCCTCTGTGGTATTAGGAGATTAATATCTCTGCAGCACATTACGAATAATATCCCAGGTTGTACACAAATGTTTTGCATCCACTGTGGTATTAGGAAAGTTATATCTCCTCAGGATATTACACATAATATTCAGGGTGTATGCACATGATGTACACTTACTGTGGTATTGATACTAATATCTCCCTAGGATATTATGAATAATATCCCAGGGCGTACCCACATGGTGTACACCCACTGTGTTATTAGGAGTAATATCACCCCAGGATATTACAAATAATATCCCAGAGTGTACACACATGGTGTACACCCGCTGTGATATCACCCCCAGGATATTATGAACAATATCCCGGGGTGTACACCTGCTGTGGTATTAGGAGTAATATCTCCACAGAATATTATGAATAATATCTTTGGAAGTACACCCACTGTGATATTAGCAGTAATATCTCTCCAGGATATTACGAATAGTATCCCAGAGTGTACACCCACTGTGATATTAGAACAAATATCTCCTTAAGATATTACGAATAATTTCCCAGCGTGTACATTCACTGTGATATCAGTAATAATATCTCCGCAAGATATTATGAATAATATCCAAAGGTCTACACTCACCGTAATATTAAGAGTACTGTCTCCCCAGGATATTACAAATAATATCCCAGCATTGACACACACTGTGATATTAGGAGTAATTTCTGCCTTAGATATTATGAATAATATTTCAGGGTGTACACACAGCATGTACACCCACTGTGATATTAGGAGTAATATCTCCCCAGGATGTTACAAATAATATCACAGGGTGTATAGCCACTGTGATATAAACAGTAATATCTCCCAAAGATATTACAAATAATATCACAGTGGGTGTACACACACTGTGATATTAAGAGTAATATCTCTTATGATATTATGAATAATATCACAGAATGTACACCCACTGGGATATTAGGAGTAATTTCTCCCTAGGAAATTATGATTAATATCACAGAGTATACACTCACTGTGTTATTAGGAGTAACATCTCCCTAGGATATTACTAATAATATCACAGGGCATACACCCATTGTGATATTAGAAGTAATATCTCCTTAGGATACTATGAATATTATCACAGTGTATACACCCTCTGTGATATTAAAAGTCATATATTCCTAGGACATTACGAACACTATCACAGGGTGTACATTCACTGTGATGTTAGGAGTTATATCTCTCTGGGATATTACAAATAATATCACAGAATGTACACACATGGTATGGTGTACAGCCCCTGTGATATTAGGAGTAACATCTCCCTAGGATATTATGAATAATATCACAGAATGTACATACATGTTGTATACCCACTGTGACATTAGGAGTAGAATCCCCTTAGGATATTGTGAATAATATCCTGGTACACACACTGTGACATTAGAAGTAACATCCCCTATAATAATACTAATAATATCACAGGATGTACACACATGGTGTACATGCACTGTCACATTAGAACTAACATCCCCCTAGAATGTTACAATTAATATCACAGGGTATACACACATGGTGTACACTCACTGTGACATTAGGAGTAACATCCCCCTAGGATATTACGAGTAATACCACAGGGTGTACACACCATATGTGTACACCCACTGTGACATTAGGTGTAACATCCGCCTAAAATATTACGAATAATATCACAGGGTGTACACACATTGTTTAACTCACTGTGACATTAGCAGTAACATTTCCCTATGATATTACAAATAATATCACTGGTGGTTTACATACATGGGGTACACTCCCTGTGACATTAGCAGTAACATCACTTTAGAATATTATGAATAATATCACAGAGGATGTGCACACATGGTGGACATCCCCTATGACGTTAGGAATAACATCCCCATAGGATGTTACAAATAATATGTGCGTACATCTGCTACGACATCAGGAGTAACATTACCCTAGGATATTACGAACCGTATCATAGGGTGAGCACCCCCTGTGACATCAGGAGTAACATTCCTCTAGGATATTAGGAATAATATCACAGGGTGTACACCTTTTGTGACCTCAGGAGTAAAATCCCTTTAAAATATTATGAATAATATCACAATGTGTACACCCTCTGTGACATTAGGAGTAACATTCCTCTAGGATATTAGGAAGAATATTGCAGGGTGTACAATCCCTGTGACATTGGTAGTAACATCCGCCTATGATACTATGGGTAATATCACATGGTGTACAGCCCCTGTGACATTACAAGTAACATTCCCCTAGGATATTATTAATAATATCAATGTGTGTACACACCCTGTGACATTCGAAGTAATATTCCCCTATAATATTTTGAATAATATCTCAGGGTGTGCACCCTCTGTGACATTCAGAGTAACATTCCCCCTAAGGTATTACAAATAATATCACAGCCTGTACACCTCCTGTGACATGAGAACTAACATCTTTTTAGGATATTATGAATAATATCACAAGGTGTACACCCCTGTGACACTGGGAGTAACATCCCCGTAAGATATTATGAATAATATCACAGGGAGTACACCCCCTGTGACATTAGGCATAACAACCCAGTAGGATACTATGAATAATATAACATGGTGTAGACCCATTGTGACATTAGTAGTAACATTTCCCTAGGATATTACGAATAATATCACATTGGTGACATTAGGAGTAACATTTTTCTAGGATATTATGAATAATATCACAGGGTGTACACTCCTTGTGACATTAGGAGTTACATCATCTTAGGATATTACGAATAATATCACAGGGTGTACACCCCCTGTGACATTAGGAGTAACATCCCCCTAGGATATTACCAAAACTATCACAGGATGTATATCCACTGTGACATTAGGAGTAACATCCCCCTAGGATATTGCCAAAAATATCACAGTGTGTACCCTCACTGTGATATTAGGAGTAATATTTTCCTAAAATGTTACAACGAATATCACAGGGTGTACACCAACTGTGACATTAGTAATATCTCCCTTGGATATTATGAATAATATAGCAGGGTGTACACCATATGTGTTTTAATTAGAAGTGAACACCATACATGTGATATTAGAAGCAATAGCTCCCTAAAATAGTATGAAAAATAACACAGGGTGTACACCCATCGTGATAAAAGAAGTAATAACCACCTAGGATACTACAAATAATATCACAGGGTGTACACATGTGGTTTACACCCACTGTGATATTAGGAGTTATATCTTCCTAAAATACTATGAATAATATCACAGGGTGTACACTATGTATGTACATCCAGGTGGATATTTGAAGTTATATCTCCTTAGGATATTACAAATAATATCACAGGGTGTACATCCCCTATGACATTAAAAGTAAGCAACATCTAGAAAATTACGACTTATATAACAAGGTGTACACCCCTTGTGACATTATAAGTAATATCACCTAAGATATTACAAATAATATCACAGGAAGTACAACCCCTGTGACATTAGGAGTAACATCCCCCTAGGATATTACAAATAATATCACAGGGGGTGTACACCCCCTGTGACATTAGGAGTAACATCCCCCTACGATATAATGAATAATATCACAGGATGTACACCCCCTGTGACATTACGAATAATATTCCCCTAGGAAATTACGAATAATATCACAGTGGGTGTACACAGACTGTGATATTAGAAGTAATATCTTCCTAGGATATTATGAATAATATCATAGGTTGTACACATAGGTAGGCTGTACAACCACTGTGATATTAGAAGTAAAATCCTTCTGAAATATTATGAATATTATCACAGGGTGTACACATATGGTTTACCCCCAGTGTGACATTAGAAGTAACATACCCCTATAATTATATGAATAACATCACAGGGTGTACAGTTACTGTGAAATGAGGAGTAACATCCCCCTAGGATTTTATGAATGAAACCACATGGTGAACACACGTGGTATACACCAACTGTGACATTAGGAGTAACATCCCCCTAGGATATTATGAATAATATCATACACTCTATACACATAGCGTACACTTACTGTGACATTAAAAATAACATTTGCCTAGGTATTAGAAATAATATCACAGGGTGTACACCTGTGACATTAGGAGTAACATTTTCCTAGAATATTATGAATAATATCACAGAGGGTACACACATGGTGTACACCCACGGTGGCATTAGGTATAACATCCCCGTAGGATATTACAATTAGTATAACTAAATGTACCCACACATTGTGTTTACTGACTGTGACATTAGCAGTAACATCCCCCTATGTTATTATGAATAATAACACAGGATGCAAAAATATCGTGCACACCCACTGTGACAGTAAGAGTCACATCCCGCTAGGATATTACAGATAATATCACATAGTGTATAACCACATAACATCCCCATAGGACATTACGAATAATATTACAGAGTGTAAACACATGTTGTACACCCAGTGTGACATTAAGAGTAATATTTTTCTTGGATACTAAGAGTAATATCACAGATTGAACATGCATGGTGTACATATACTGTGACATTGGAAATAAAATCGCCCTAGGATATTACAAATAATATGACCCACCAGGCTATTGCAAGTAATATCACCCTCTGCCCCCATGGATATTGCAAGTCATAGCACGGGGCGGGGTGTACATCCCACTTGCTATGGCGAGTAATATCACCCTCTCCCCCCTGGATATTACGAACCATAGCGCAGGGGTTGTACACACAATGTATTTACTATATTGGGAGTAATATTAACTTCCTTTTTGATATTAAAAACAATATCACAAGGGGGTGTACACGCCCTGTGTTAATGGGAGTAATATCACCTTCTCCCTCCTGTAGAATAGAAACAGTATCACAGGCGGCATGTACATTTCCTGCAATCTTGGGAGTAATAACATCCTCTCCCTCCCTCCCTGGATATTAGGAACAATATCACACTGTGGTGTACACACCCTGCGATATTGGGAGTTATATGCTCTTTCCCCCGGATATCAGGAACAATATCACATGGCGGGTGTACATCCTTGGGATATGGGGAATAATATCACCCTCTTTCCCACTGGACATTAGAAACAATATCACAGAGGGAGGTGTACATTCCCTGCAATATTGGGAGTAATATCATCCTTTCCTTCCCTTGATATTAGGAACAATATCACAGAGTGAGGGTACACCTTTTGCGACATTGGGAATAATATCATCCACCCCCCCCCCCCCGATATTAGGAACAATATTACGGTGGTGGTGTACACGCCTTGCGATATTGGAAGTAATAGTATCCTTTCCCCACTTGGATATTAGGAGCCATATCACAGCATGGGTGTACATCCCCAGCGATATTGCAATTAACGGCAAACTCTCCCCCCTGGATATTAGGAACCGTATCAAATGGGGGTGTACACCCCTTGTGATAATGGGAATAATATTATCCTCTCCCCTCCTAAACGTTAGGAACAAATACCAGGGAGGCTGTACATCCCTTTCGATATTGGGAGTAATATCATCCTCACCACCTGGATATTAGAAACAGTATCACGAGGCGGGTGTACACTTCCTGCGATACTTGAAACGATGTCTGCTTCCCTCCTGGATTTTGGGAACAATATCACAGAAGAGGTGTGCACCCCCTGAAATATTAGGAGTAATATAAGAATCTCCTTCCTGGATATTAGAAAAATATCAAGAGTGTTGTAGAACCCCTGCAATATTGAGAGTAATATCATCCTCTCCTTTCCCTGGATTTTATGAACAATATCATAGGGGTGGTTTACACTTTCCGTGATATTAGGAGCAATACCGTTTTATCCTCTTCTGGTTATTAGAAACAATATCACTGTGGGGTGTACACCCCCTGCAATATTTTGAGCAATATCATCCTCTACCCACCTGGATATTAAGGACAGCATCACAGAGGGTGTGTATACCCCCTACGACACTGGGAATAATATCATCCTCTACCACCCTGAATATTAGGAACAATATCACAGGGCGGGTGCACATCCCTGGGATATTGGGAGTATCATTCTCACCCCCAAAACATTGGAAACAATATTACAGGGAAGGTGTTCACTCCCTGCGATATTAGCAGTAATATCATCTTCTCCCTTCCTGGACATTGGGAAAAATATCTCCGGAAGGGGGGTGTATACCCCCTGTGATATTGGGAGTAACATCACCCTCTCTCCCCTTAGATTTTAGGAACAATATCATGGGGTGGGGGTGTGAACGCTTCCTGTGATATTGGGAGTAACATCATCCTCTCCCACCCTGGATATTAACAACACCATCACAGGAAATGTGTACACTTCCTGCGATACTGGGAGTAACATCATCCTCTCTCACCTTGGATATTAGCAACTCTATCACATGGGGAGCGTACACTTCTGCGATATTGGGAGTAACATCATCCTCTCCCCGCCTGGATATTAGGAACAATATCACAGGGGTGGGGTACAACCCCTGCAATATTGGGAGTAATATCAGCCTCTCCTTGTTTGGATACTAAGAACAGTATTATATGGGGGGTGTACACCATCTGCAGTATTGGCAGTAATATCATCCTCTCTCCCCCTGCATATTAGGGACAATATCACAGGGTGGATGTACACCCCCTGCGATATTGGAAGTAATATCAGCCTGTCTCCATTTGGATATTAGGGACAATATCACAGGGGTGGCGTACACTCCCTGCGATTTTGAAAGTAATATCATCCTCTCCCCCCACCCCCGGACATTAGGAACAATATCACAGAAGGGTGTACACCTCTGTGATATTAGGAGTAATATCATCCTCTACCTCATGGATATTAGAAACAGTGTCACAGGAGGGCTGTACACCCCCTGATATATTGGTAGTAATATCACTCTCTCCTTTCCTGGATATTAGGAAGAATATAATATTACACTTGGGGTGTACAGTCCCTGCAATATTGGGAGTAATGTCATCCTGTCCTTTCCTGGATATTAGGAACAATATCACGGGGGGGTGTCCACACCCTGTGATATTGAATATAATAAAATCCTCTTCTCCCCTGCATATTAGGAACAATATCTCAGGGGGGTGCACACCCCCTGCGATTTTGGGAGTAATATCATCGTATCAATTCCTGGATATCAGGAACAATATCACAGGAGGAGGGAGGTGTACACCCCCTGTGATATTGGGAGTAATATCATCATCTGGCATTCTGGATATTAGGAACAATATAACAGAGGTGGTGTACACCTTCAGCGATATTGGGAGTAACATCATCCTCTCTCTACTGGGATATTTAAAAAAATCACAGTGTTGTACACCTGCTGTGATATTGGGAGTAATATCATCCTCTGACCTGCATATTAGGAACTGTATTACTGGGGAGTGTACACCTACTGTGATATTAGGAGCAATATTATTTTCTCCTCCTTGGATATTAGAAACAATATCACAGTGGGGGTGTACACACCCTGCGATATTGGGAGTAATATCATCCTCCCACCCGGATATTGGGAACAATATCACAGGGGGGATGTACACCTCCAGCGATATTGGGCGTAATATTATCCTCTTTCCGCCTGGATATTAGGAACAACATCACAGGGTGGGTGTAGACTTCATGCTGTATTAGGAGTAATATTCTCTTCCCCCATGGATATTAGAAACAATGTCACAGGATGGATGTACAACCCCTGCGATATTGGGAGTAATATCATCCTCTCCATTCGTGGATATTAGAAACAATATCAAAGGGGGGCTGTACACCTCCTGCGATATTTTGAGTAATATCAGCCTCTCCCCCCATGGATATTAGGAACAATATCACCGGAAGGTGTACACCTGCTGCGATGTTGGGAGTAATATCATTGTCTGCCCCCTTGGATATTAGGAACAATATCACGGAGGGTGTACACTCCAATGCGATAGTGAGAGTAACATCATCTCCTTTCCCCCTGGATATTAGAAACAGTATCACGGGGGGGTTACACTCACTGCTATATTGGGAGTAATATCATTCTCTTTCCCCCTCAATATTAAGAGCAATATCACGGGGGGGTGTACACACCCTGCAATATTAGGAGTAATATCATTCTTTCCTTCCATGGATATTTTAAACAATATCATTGTGGGGGAGGGTGTACACCCCCTGCGATATAGGAAGTAATATCATCCTCTCTCTCCCTGGATATTAGGAACAATGTCACAGGGGCGGTGTACACCCCATGGGACATTGGGAGTAATATCATTCTCTCCCTCCCTGGATATTAGGAACAATGTCACAGAAAGAATATACACCTCTGTGATATTTTGAGTAATATCATCCTCTCCCCTTGTGGATATTAGGAACAATATTAGGAAAGTGTACACCTCCTGCGATATTGAAAGCAATATCATTGCCTCTCCCCTGGGTATTAGTAATAATATCACAGGGAGGGTGTACAGCACTGGCGATATTGGGAGTAATATCATCCTCTCTTCCCATAGATATTAGGAACAATGAGGCAGGAAGGGTGTACACCACCTGCGATATTGAATGTAGTATCATCCTCTCCCCCACTGGATATTAGGAACAATATCACAGGGGAGGTGTACGCCCCCTGCAATATTGAAAGTAATATTATTCTCTGCCTCCTGGATATTAGGAACAATATCACAGAAAAGGTGTACATTCACTGTGACATTGAGAGTAATGTCATCCTCTCACCCCATGGATATTAGGAACAATATCACTCTGCGATATTGGAAGTAATATCATTTTCTACCCCGCTGGATATTAGGAACAATATAACAGGGTGGGTTTACATCCCTTGCAGTAGTGGGAGTAATATCATCCTCTCCCCCTTTGGATATTGGAACAATATCACAAAAAGTGTGTATGCTCCCTGCGATATAGGGAGTAATATCATCCTGTCCCCCTTTGATATTAGGAACAATATCACAGAGGGTGTACACACCCTGCGATATTGAGAGCAATATCATCTTCTTTTCCCCTTGATATTAGAAAAAACATCACACAGGGGGCTATACACCTCCTGTGATATTGGGAGTAATACCATCCTCTTTTCCCCTGGAATTAGTAACAGCATCACGGGGGCGGAGGGTGTACTCCCACTGCAATGTTGGAAGTATTATCATTCTATTTCCTCCTAAATATTAGGAGCACTAGGGGAAATGTACACACCCTGCGATATTGGGAGTAATATCGTACTCTCCTTTCTTGGATATTTTGAACAATATCATGGGGGGCGGTGTACATCCCTGGCAATATAGAAAGTAATATCATTGTTAGGAACAATATCACAGGGGTGATGTATGCCCCATGGGACATTGGGAATAATATTACCCTCTCCTTCCCTGGAAATTAGGAATAATATCAAAGGAAGAGTGTACATCCCCTACAATATTGGGATTACTATCATTTTCTCCGCCAGTGAATATTAGGAATAAAATCACGGGTTGGGTGTAAACCCCCTGCAATATTTGGAGTAATATCATTCTTTTCCCACACTGGATTTTAAGAACAATATCACAGGGTGGATGTACACCTTCTGTGATATTGGGAGTAATATCATCCTTTCCCCCAATGCATATTAGGAGCAATACTACATGGTGGCTGTACACCCCCTGTGATATTAAGAGTAATAACATTCTCTTCCACTTAGGATGTTAGAAATAATAACACCGGAGTGGTGTACAGCCCTTGTGATACTAAGTGTAATATCATCCTCTCCCCGCCAGGAGATTAGGAAAAGTATCACTGTGGGGGTGTACACCCCCTGCAAAATTGGGTGTAATATCATTCTCTCCTCACCTGAATATTAGGAACAATATTACAGGGGTGGTGTACACCCCATGAGATATTGGGAATAATATTATTTTCTTTCCCCCAGGATATTAGGAACAGTATCAAAAAGGGTGTGTACACTCCCTGATATATTTGGAGTAATGTTATATTTCCCCCCTCTGGATATTAAAAACAATATCAGAGGGAGTTGTCTATGCCCTGCAATATTGGGAGTAATATAATCTGTCCACCTGGATATTAGGAACAATATCACAGGAGGGGTGTATACGCCCTGTGATATTTTGAGTAATATCATCCTCTGCCCACTGGGATATTAGATACCATATCACAAGGGTTGTACACCCCGTGTGATATTGGGAGTAATATTTTTCTTTCCCCCTCTAAATATTAGGAACAATATCACAGGGGGAGTGTACACCTTTTGCGATATTGACAGTAATATCATTGTCTCTTCCCCTGGATATAAGGAACAATACCACAAGGAAGGTGTACACCCACTGCGATACTGAGAATAATATTATCTTCTCGTGTATATTAGGAACAATATCACGGGGGGGTGTACACCAACTGCGATATTTGGAGTAATATCATCCTCTTTCCTCCTGGGTATTACAAACAATATCACAGGGCTGTGTATACACCCTCTGTGATATTGAGGGTAATATTTCCTCTCCCCTTCTGGATATTAGGAACAATATCACAGAAGAGGTGTACACTTGTTGCGATATTGGGAGTAGTATCATTCTCTCCCTTCCTGGATATTAGGAACAATATCACAGTGGTGTGTACACCCCCTGCGATATTAAGAGTACTATTCTCTCTCCCCTGGGTATTACGAATAATATCACAGGGGAGTGTATGCCCCAGTGATATTTGGAGTGTACACCCCCCACGATATTAGGAGTAATATTACTCTCTCTCCTTCTGGATATTACCACAGAAAGGTGTACACCTCCTCCTATATTGGATATTATGAACCAGATCACAGGAAGGTGTACACCCCCGGGATACGGGTAGTAATGTCACCCTCTCCCCCACTGGATATTACAAACCAGATCACATTGGGATTTATACCCCCCCACACACCGCCACGTGACATGGATAGTAATGTCACCTTCTCGAATCCTGGACATTACGAACCAGATTACAGGAAAGTGCACACTTCCCGCGATATGAGGAGTAATATCACTCTCTGCCCCCCGGATATTACGAACCAGATCACAGGATGTTTTACACGCCCTGGGATATGGGTAGTAACATCACCCTCTCCTTCCATGAATATTTCGAACCAGATCACAGGGGAGTGAACACCCCCCGCTATATTGGGTGTAATATCACCCTCCACATCCCTGGATATGATGAACTAGTTCACATGGGTGTGTACACCCTCCGCGAAATGGGGAGTAATATCGCCCTCTCTCCCCAGTGGATATTATGCAACAGATCACACAGAAAAGCACCCTTCCGCGATATGGGGATATTACGAACAATATCACAGGGGGGGTCTACACCCACTGCGATATTGGGTGTAATATCGTCCTCTCCCCCACGGGATATTAAAATCTATATCACAAGGGGGGTGTACACCCCTGCGATATTGGGAGTAATATCATCTTCTCCCCCCCGGATATTAGGAACAATATGACAGGAGGTTTGCACTCCCCCTGAGGTATTGGGAGTAATACAGTATTTTTCACCCCTGAATATTAAGAACAATATCACCGGAAGGGGTACACCCCCTTCCATATTAGGAGTAATATCATCCTCTCCCTCTCTGGATATTAGGAACAATATCACAGGGAGGATGTACATCCCCTGCTATATTGGGAGTCATATCCTCTGCCTGCCTGGATATTTGGAACACTATCACAGGGGTGTGTACACTTCTTGCGATATTAAGAGTAATATCATACTCTCCTGACGTAGATATTAGGAAAGATATCACATGGGGGGTGTACACCTTCTGCGATATTCGGTGTAATATCCTCTTTTTTCATTGATATCAGGAAAAAAATCATGAAAATTTTGTACACCCCTTGTGAAGTTGGCAGTAATATCATCCTCTCCCCTTCTGGATATTAGGAACAATATCAGAGAGGGGTCTACACATTCTGGGATAATGGGAGTAATGTCATTCTCTTCCTCCGTGGATATTAAAAACAATATTAAAAAGGAGTGTGCACCCCTTACGATATTGGGAGTAATATCATCTTCTCCTTTTCTATATATTATGAAATTATCACAGTGTGCGTGTACATTTCCTGTGATATTTGGAGTTATAACATAGTGCCTCCCCCCTGGATATTAGGAAAAATATCACAGGGGAGGTGCACACCCCCTGCAATATTGGGAGTAATATCATCCTCTGCCCCATGTGATATAAGGAACAATATCACAGCAGGGATGTACAACCCCTGCTATATTGAGAGTAAAATCATCCTCTACCCCCTGGATATTAAGAACAATATCACAGGGGTGTGTACATTTCTGCGATATTGAGAGTAATATCATCCTCTCCTTTCCTGGATATTACAAACAGTATCACAGGGGGGTTTTACACCCCCTTAGATATTGGGAGTAATGCTTTCCTCTTCCCCCCCGTATATTAAGAGCAATGTAACAAGAAGGGTATACCTCCCCTTCCATATGGGGAGTAATGTCATCCTCTCCCTTCCTGGATATTAAAAACAATATCACATATCACAGGGAAGATGTACATCTCCAGCTATATTGGAAGTCATATCATCCTTTCCCCACACGGATATTTAAAAAATGTCACAGTGGGGTGTACACTCCCTGCAATATTAACAGTACTATAATACCCCCGCTAGATATTAGGAACAATATCACGGGGAGGGGTTGTACACTATTTTTGTATTGGGAGTAATATAATTCTCTCCCACCTGGGATATTAGAGACTGTATCACAAGGAGGGTGTACATCCCTGCAATATTGGGAGTAATACTATTCTCTCCCATGCTGGATATTAGGAACAATATCACAGGGGAAGTGTACCCCTCTCGAGATATTGGGAGTAATATCGTCCTCTCTCCCCCTGGATATTAGAAACAATATCACGAGGGAAGTGTACATCCCCTGCAATATTAGGAGTAATATTATCCTCTCCTCACCTGGATAATAGAAACAATGTCACAGGAGTGGTGTGCACCCCCTGCGATGTTGGGACCAATATCTTCCTCTCCTTTTATGGATATTAGGAACAATATTATATAGGGGTATATATAACCATGCGATATTGGGAGTAATATCATCCTCTTCCTTCAAGGATATTAGGAACAATGTCACAGGGATGATGTACACTCCCTATGATGTAGGGAGTAATATCACCCTCTCCCCCACTGGATATTAGTAACAATATCACAAGGGCGGTGTACATCCTCTGTGACATTGGGAGTAATATCATCCTCTTCCCCCCCACCCCCGGATATTACAAACAATATTGCAGAGGGTGTGTACAGCCCCTGCAGTGTTGGGAGTAATATCATCTTCCCCGCTTTGATATTAGAAACAATATCAAAAAGGGGGTGTACACACCCAGGGATATTGAGAGTAATATCCTCTCCCCCTTGGATGTTAAAAACAATATCTTAGGGCGGGTGAACAACTGCTGCGAAATTGGGAGTAATATTAACCCTCCCCCCACCATGATATTAGGAACAATATCATGGGGGGGTGTACACTCCCTGTGATATTGATTCTAAGATCGTCCTCTCCCCCCTCTGGATATTAGGAAACACATCACAAAAAAAAGCTGTACACTTTTTGCGATATTGGGCGTAATGTCATCCTCTCCCCCACTGGATATTAGGAACAATATCACAGGGGAATGTCCACCTTCTGTGAAATTGGGAGTAATATTATCTTCTACCCACTTGGACATTAGGAACAATATCCCAAGGAAGGTGTACACCCCCTGCAATTTTGGCAGTAATATCATCCTCTCCGCTCAGTGTATTAGGAACAACATCACAATGGAGGTGTACACCCCCTGAGATATTGGCAGTAATAACAGTGTGTTTTCTTTTGGATATTAGGAGCAATATCATGGGGGGGGGTGTGTGCACCCCCTGCGATATTGGGAGTAATATTATCCTCTCCCCCAGGGATATTACGAACAATAACACAGAAAGTGTGTACACACTATAAGGTATTGGGAGTAATATCATCCTCTCCTCTACTGGATATTAGGAAATATATCACAGGGTGGGTGTCCACCCCTGCCATATTGGGAGTAATATCCTCCCCCAGCCTGGATGTTAGGAACAATATCACATGTAGGGAGTACACCCCCTGTGGTATTTGGAGTCATATAATCCTCTTTCCCCCTGGGTGTAAGGAACAATATAACAGAAGGGGTGTACACCCCACGATATTGGAAGTATTATCATTTTCTCCTCCAGTGTACATTAGGAACAATATCACATGCGGGATGTACACTCACTGTGGTATTAGGAGTAATTTTTCCCTAGGATAGTATGAATAATATCACAGAGTGTACACCCACTGTGATACTAGAAGTTATATTTTTCTAGGATATTATGAATAATATCACACAGAATACACTCACTGTGCTATTAGGAGTTCTATCTTCTTATGATATTATGAGTAATATCACAAGGTGTACAACAATTGTGACATTAGGAGTAACATCTACCTAGAATATTACTAATAATATCACAGGATGTACACCCACTGTAACACTAGGAGTAACATCTGCCTAAAATATTATGAATAATATCACAGAGTGTACATGCACTGTGACATTAGTAGTAACATCCTTCTAGAATATTATGAATAATTTCACAGAGTGCACACACACACAGTGACATTAAGAGTAACATCTCCCTAGGATATTACGAATAATATCACAGAGTGTACACCCACAGTGACATTAGGAGTAATATCTCCTTAGGATATTACGAATAATATCACACACTGTACACACATGGTGTACATTCACTGTGACATTAGAAGTAACATTCCCATAGGATATTACAAACAATATCACAGAATGTACATTTTCTGGGACATTAAGAGTAACATTATTCTAAAATACTTTGAATAATATCACAGGGTGTACAACCCCTGTGACATCAGGAGTAATAACATCCTCCTAGGATATTAGAAATAATATCACAGAATGTACACCTTCTGTAACATTAAAATCCCTTTAGAATATTACAAATAATATCACAGGGTGTACACCCCTTGGGACATTAGGAGTAACATTCCCTTAAAATATCAATAATAATATCACAGGGTATACACTACCTGTGACATTAATAGTAACATCTCCCTATGATATTATGAATAATATCAGAGGGTGTACAGACCCTGCGAGATTACAAGTAACCTTCCCCTAGGATATTATGAATAATATCATGTGCGTACACCCCGTGTGACATTAGGAGTAACATCCCAGTAAGATACTATGAATAATATCACAGAGTGTACATTCATTGTGACATTAATAGTAATATTCCCTTAGGATGTGAAAAATATCACAGGGTGTACACTCTCTGAGGCATTAGGAGTAACATTTTTCTAGGATATTATGAATAATATTACAGGGTGTAAACCCCTTGTGACATTAGGATTAATATCCCCCTAGGATATTACAAATAATATCACAGGGTGTACACATTGGGAGTAACATCCACCTAGGATATCATGAATAATATCACAGAGTGTACACCCCTGTGACAGTAGGAGTAACATCCCTCTAGGATACTACCAAAAATATCACAGGATGTACATCTATTGTGACAGTAGGAGTAACATCCCCCTAGGATATTACTCCTAATATCACAGGGTGTACACCTACTGTGATATTAGAGGTAATATCTTTCAAGGATATTACAAATAATATCACAGGTTGTATACACAGTCTGTACAACCACTGTGATATTAGGAGTAAAATCCCCCTAAAATGAATATTATTGCAGGGTGTACACCATATGTGTACATCCACTGTGACATTCAAAGTAACATCCCCCTGTAATTATATGAATATCACAGAGCGTACACACATGGTGTATACACTTACTGTGAAATTAGGAGTAACATCCCCCTAGGATTTTGCAAATAATACCACAGGGTGTACACACATGGTGTACACCAACTGTGACATTAGGAGTAACACCCCGCTAGCATATAACGAATAATGTCACACACTGTATACCCATAGTGTACACCCACTGTGACATTAGGAGTAACATACCACTAAGAAATTGCATATAATATCACAGAGTGTCTACACACGTGATGTACACACACTGTGACATTAGGTATAACATCCCCCTAGGATATTACGAATAATATCACAGGGTGTACACCCACTGTGACATTAAATGTAATATCTCGCCAGGATATTACAAATAATATCACAGGGAGTGTACACACATGGTGTACACCCTTTGTGACATTAGAAGTACCACCCCCCTAAAATATTACAAATAATATCACAGGTGTTTTACACACATGGTGTATACCCCCTGAGACATTACAACATTCCCTTAGGATTTTAAGAATTATATCACAGAGAGTACACCACTTGTGACATATTTGTATAATACTACAGATAATATCACAGGGTGTATGCACATGCTGTACACCGACTGTGAAATTAGGAGTAACGTTCCCGTAGAATAATAGAAATAACATCACAGGGTGTACACACATGGTGTACACCCACTGTGAAATTAGGAGTAATATTCCCATAGAATAATAGGAATAACATCACACAGCACACACACATGGTGTACACCCATAGTGACATTAGGAGTAACATCCTTCTAGGATATTATGAATAATATCACACAGTGTATACACATGGTATACACCCACACTGTGACATTAAGAGTAACATTCCTCTAGGATATTACAAATAATAGCACAAAATATACACACATGGTGTACACCCACTCTGACGTTAGAAGTAACATCTTTGTAGGATATTACGAATAATATCACAGGGTGTACACCCACTGTGACATTAGGAGTAACGTTCCCCTAGAATCTCATGAAAAATATCATAGGGTGTACACACATTTTGTACATTCACCGTGACTTTAGGAGTAACATCCCCTGAGATATTACGAATAATATCACAGGGTGTACCTGCAGGGTGTACACCAACTTGAACATTAGGAGTAACGACTCCCTAGGATATTATGAATAATATCACAGGGTGTACACATATCGTGTAACCCACTGTGACATTAGGATCAACATCCCCCTAAGATAATTACAAATAATATCACAGGGTGTACACACATTGTGTACACTTACTGTGACATTAGGAATAACATCCCTCTAGGATATTACGAATAATATCACAGGGTGTACACCCACTGTGACATTATAAGTAACATCGTGCCAAAGTATTACAAATAATATCATAGGGGTTGTACACATGTGGTTTACACCCTTTGTGACATTAGAAGTAACATCCCCCTAGGATATTACAAATAATATCACAGGGTTTGTACACATGTGGTTTACACCCTTTGTGACATTAGAAGTAACATCCCCCTAGGATATTACAAATAATATCACAGGTGGTTTACACAAATGGTGTACATCCCTTGTGACATTAAAAGCAACATCCTCCTAGAATATTAAGAATAATGTCACAGAGGGTGTACACACATGGTGTACACCCCCTGCAACATTAGGAGTAAAATCCCCATAGAATATTACAAATAATATCACAGGGGTTGTACACACATGGTGTATATGCCTTGTGTCTTTAGGAGCATAATCCTAGGATACTACGAATAATATGACAAGGGGTGTACACATATGGTGAACACCACCTGTGACATTAGGAGTAACATCCTCTTAGAATATTGTGAATAATTTTACAGGTTGTACACCCCCTGCAACATTAGGAGTAATATCCCCATAAAATATTACAAATAATATCACAGGGTGTACACCCCCTGTTACATTAGATTTAACATATTCCTAGGATATTATGAACAATATTACAGGGTGTACACCCACTGTGACATTAGGAGTACCGTCCCCCTAGGATATTACGAATAATATCACAGAATGTACATTCCCTTTGACATTAGAAGTAACATCCTCCTATAACATTATGAGTAATACCACAGGGTGTACACCCACTGTAAAATTAGGAGCAATATCTCTCTAGGATATTATGAATAATATCACAGAATGTACACTTATTGTGACATTAGGAGTAACATTTCCATAGTATATTATGAATAATAACACAGGATGTCCACTCTCAGTGACCTTAAGAGTAACATTCCCCTAGAATATTACGAATAGTATCACAGGGTGTACACCCCCTGTGATGCTAGGTGTAACATATTTCTAAAATATTACGAATAATATCAAAGGGTGTACACCCCCTGTGACTTTAGGAGCAATATCCTTCTAGGATATTATGAATAATATCATATTGTGTACACCCTCTGTGACATTAGGAGAAACATACCCCTAAGATATTAAGAATAATATCACAGGGTGAACACCCCCTCTGACATTAGGGGTAACATCTCTCTAGGATATTACAAATAATATCACAGGCTGTGCACCCACTGTGACATTAGGGGTAACATCCCCCTAGAATATTATGAATTATATCACAGGGTATACACCCACTGTGACATTAGGAGTGGTATCTCCCTGCGATATTACTCCTTATATCACAAGGGGTACAACCACTGTGATATTGGGAGTAATATCTCCCTAGGATATTACTCCTAACGTCACAGTGTAGCATACACATAGTGTACACCAACTGTGATATTAGAAATAATATCTCCCTAAGATATTATGAATAGTATCACTAGGTGTACACCCACTGTGATATTAGGAGTAGTATCTACCAAGGATATTATGAATAATATCACAGGGTCTACACACCTGTTGTACACTCACTGTGGTATTAGGAGTAATATCTTCCTAGGATATTACGAATAATATAACAGGGTGTAAACCCACGGTGATATCAGGAGTAATATCTCCCAAGGATATTACAAATAATATCACAGGGTGTATAACCACTGGGATATTAGGAGTAATATCTTCCTAGGATATTACAAAAAATATGACATGGGGTGCACGTGCTGTGATATTAGGAGTAATATCTTAGTAGGATATTATGAATAATATCACAGAGTGAACACCCACTGTGATGTTAAGAATAATTTCTCCCTAAAATAGTATGAAAAATATTACAGGGTGTACACTCACTTTGATATTAGGAGTAATATCTTTTTAGGATATTATGAATAATATTACAGGGTGTACACTCACTGTAATATTAGAAGTAGTAGCTCCCTAATTATGAATAATATCACAGGGTGTACACACATGGTGTGCACCCACTGTGATTTTATAAGTAATATCTCCCTAGGATATTATGAATAATATCACAAGGTGTACACTCACTGTGATATTAGAAGTACTATCTTTCGAAAGTATTATGAACAATATCAGTGATTGTCCACACATGGTGTGTACCCATTGTGATATTAAAAGTAATATCTCCCTATAATATTACTAATAATATCACAGTGGGTGACCACACATGGTGTGCACCCACTGTGATAATAGGAGTAATATCTCCGTAGAATATTATGAATAATATCACAGTGGGTGTCCACACATGTTGTGCACCCACTGTGATATTTGGAGTAATATTTCCCCAGGATATTACGAATAATATCACAGTGGGTGTCCACACATGTTGTGTACCCACTGTGATATTAGGAGTAATATCTTACTAGGATATTATGAATAATATCACAGTGAGTGTCCACACAGGGTGAGCACCCACTTTGATATTACAAGTAATATCACCCTAAAATATGAATAATATCCCAGGGTGTGTACCCACTGTGATATTAGGAGTAACATCTCCCTAGGATATTACAAATAATATCCCAGGGTGTGTATCCACTGTGATATTAGATGTAATGTCTCCCAAGGATATTATAAATAATATCCCAGTGTGTACACACATGGTGAACACCCACTGTGATATTAGGAGTAATATCTCCCTAGAATATTATGAATGATATTTCAGGGTGTATACACATCGTGTACCCCCGCTGTGATATTAAGTGTAATATCCTTTCAGATATTATGAATGATATCCCAGAATGCTCACACATGGTGTACACCCACTGTGATATTAGGAGTAGTATCTCCCTAGGATGTTATGAATGATATCCCAGGGTGTACACATGTGGTGTACACCTGCTGTGATGTTAAGTGTAATATCTTCCCAGAATATTACTAATAATATTCCAGGGTGTACACTTATGGTGTACACAAACTGTGATATTAAGACAGTAATAACTCCCCAAGATATTACAAATAATATCCCAGGATGTACACACATGGTGTACACCCACTGTGATACTAAGAGGGTAATATCTCCCCAGGATATTATGAATAATATCCAGGGTGTACACACATAATATTCCCCCAGATATCACGAATGATATCCCAGGTGTACACACATAGTGTACCCTTACTGTGATATTAGGAAACTAATATCTCCCCAGGATATTATGAATAATATCCCAGGGTGTACCCACATGGTGTACACCCACTGTGATATTAAGAGTAATATCACCCCAGGATATATTATGTATAATATCCCAGAGTGTACACACATGGTGTACACCCACTGTGATATAAGGAGTAATATCTCCCCAGGATATTATGAACAATATCCCAGGGTGTACACCCGCTGTGGTATTAGGTGTAATATCTCCACAGGATATTATGAATAATATATTTGGGTGTACACCCACTGTGATATTAGGAGTAACATCACTCCAGGATATTACGAATAGTATCCCAGAGTGTACACCCACTGTGATATTAGAAGTAATATCTCTCCAGGATGTTATAAATAATATCACAGGGTGTAAACCCACTATGATAATGGGATTAATATCTCCCTAGAATTTTATGAAAAATATCACATGGTGTACAACCACTTTGATATTAGGAGCAATATCTCTCAAAGATTTTGCTCCTAATATCACAGCAGGTGTGCACCACAGTGGGTGTACACACCCTGTGATATTAAGAGTAATATCTCCCTATGATATTATGAATAATATCACAGAATGTACAGCCATTGTGATATTAGGAGTAATTTCTCCCTAAGATATTATTCCTAATATCACAGTGGGTGTACACCCTGTGATATTAGGAATAATATCTCCATAGGATATTAAGAATAATATCACAGAATGTTTACCCACTGGGGTATTAGGAGTAATTTCTCCCTGGGATATTACAAATAATATCACTGAGTATACACTCACTGTGTTACTAGGAGTAACATCTCCCTAGGATATTACAAATAATATCACAGGGTGTACACCCATTGTGACATTAGGAGTAATATCTCCTTAGG
This sequence comes from Homo sapiens, assembly GCF_000001405.40. Taxonomy (NCBI): domain Eukaryota; kingdom Metazoa; phylum Chordata; class Mammalia; order Primates; family Hominidae; genus Homo; species Homo sapiens. Next base: position 79,460,700 of record NC_000012.12, on the reverse strand, counting down.
ATACTATGAATATTATCACAGTATGTACACCCTCTGTGATATTAAAAGTAATATCTTCTGAGGATATTATGAGTACTATCACAGGGCCTACATTCACTGTAGTGTTAGGAGTTATAACTCACTGGGATATTATGAATAATATCACAAAATATACACACATGGTGAACAGCCCCTGTGATATTAGGAGTGACATCTCCCTAGGATATTACGAATAATATTACAGAATATACACACATGATGTACACCCACTGTGAGATTAGGAGTAGAATCCCCGGCTGGGAGCGGTGGCTCATGCCTGTAATCCCAGCACTTTGAGAGGCCGAGGCAGGCAGATCACGAGGTCATGGGATCAAGACCATTCTGGGTAACACATCTCTACTAAAAATACAAAAATTAGCTGGGCGTGGTGGTGGGTGCCTGTAGTACCAGCTACTCGGGAGGCTGAGGCAGGAGAATGGCATGAACCTGGGAGGTGGAGCTTGCAGTGAGCTGAGATCGCACCACTGCACTCCAGCCTGGGCAACAAAGCAAGACTGCATCTCAAAAAAAAAAAAAAAAAAAAAAAAAAATAGTAGAATCCCCCTAGGATATTACAAATAATTACAAATACGCACATGGTATACACCCACTGTGACATTAGAAATAACATCCCCCTATAATAATACGAATAATATCACAGGGTGTACACACATGGAGTACAGGCACTGTCACATTAGAACAGACACACTCCTAGAATATTATGATTAATATCACAGGGTGTACACACATGGTGTACACCCACTGTGACATTAGGTGTAACATCTGCTTAAAATATTACGAATAATATCACAGGGTGTACACACATTGTTTAACTCACTGTGACATTAGCAGTAACATTTCCCTAGGATATTATGAATAATATCACTGGTGGTTTACACACATGGGGTGCACCCCCTGTGACATTAGCAGTAACATCACTTTAGGATATTACGAATAATATCACAGGGGGTGTGCACACATGGTGGACATCCCTGTGACATTATGAATAACATCCCCCTAGGATGTTACAAAAAATATGTGTGTACACCTGCTGTGACATTAGGAGTAACATTACCCTAGGATATTATGAACTGTATCATAGGGTGAGCACCCCCTGTGACATCAGGAGTAACATTCCTCTAGGATATTAGGAAGAATAGCACAGGGTGTACACTCCCTGTGACATTAGCAGTAACATTCTCCTATGATACTATGGATAATATCACACGGTGTACAGCCCCTGTGACATTATGAGTAACATTCCCCTAGGATATTATTAATAATATCACCGTGTATACACCCCCTGTGACATTGGGAGTAACATCCCCCTGAAATATTTCAAATAATATCTCATGGTGTGCACCCTCTGTGACATTCGGAGTAACATCCCCCTAAGGTATTTTGAATAATATCATAGCATGTACACCCCCTGTGAAATGAAGACTGACATCTTTTTAGGATATTACGAATAATATCACAAGGTGTACACCCCTGTGACACTAGGAGTAACATCCCCATAAGATATTATGAATGATATCACAGGGAGTACACCCCCTGTGACATTAGGAGTAACACTCCAGTAGGATACTATGAATAATATAACATGGTGTAGACCCATTGTGACATTAGTAGTAACATTCCCCTAGGAGATTATGAATAATATCTCAGGGTGTACACCCCCAGTGATATTAGGAGTAATATCTTTCTAGGATATTATGAATAATATCACAGGGTGTACACTCCTTGTGACATTAGGAGTAACATCACCCTAGGATATAATGAATAATATCACAGGGTGTACACATTAGGAGTAATATGCCCCTAGGATATTATGAATAATATCACAGAATGTACACCCTTGTGATATTAGGATAACATCCCCCTAGAATATTACAAATAATACCACAGGATGTACACCCCCAGAGACATTAGGAGTAACATCCCCCTAGGATATTACCAAAATTATCACAGTGTGTACACCCACTTTGATATTAGGAGTAATATCTTCCTAGAATATTAGAACAAATATCACAGGGTGTACACCAACTGTGATATTGTGAGTAAAATCTCCCTTGGATATTACGAATAATATAACAGGGTGTACACCATATGTGTTTTAATTAGAAGTGAACACCATATGTGTGATATTAGAAGTAATAGTTCTCTAAAATGTATGAAAAATATAACAGAGTGTACACCCACTCTGATAAAATAAGTAATAACTACCTAGGACACTACAAATAATATCACAGGGTGTAAACACATGGTTTACACCCATGGTGATATTAGGAATTATATCATCCTAAAATATTATGAATAATATCACAGGGTGTACACTATGTACACCCAGGTGGATATTTGAAGTTATATCTCCTTAGGATATTACAAATAATATCACAGGGTGTACATCCCCTATGACATTAAAAGTAACCAACATCTAGAAAATTATGAATATATATAACAAGGCGTACACCCCCTATGACATTATAAGTAATATCACCTAAGATATTACAAATAATATCACAGGAAGTACAACCCCTGTGACATTAGGAGTAACATCCCCCTAGGATATTATGAATAATATCACAGAGTGTACACCCATTGTGATGTTAGGACTAACATCTGATGAGGATATTTCCAGTAATATCACAGGACATACACCCTCTGTGACATCAGGGGTAATATCCCCCTATGACAAAAATAATAATATCACAGAATGTACACCCCCTGTGACATTAGGAGTAACATCCTCCTAGGATATTATGAATAATATCACAGGGTGTACACCCTCAGTGACACTAGGAGTAACGTCACCCTAGAATATAACGAATATCACAGGGTATACACCACCTGTGACATTAGGAATAACATTCCCCTAGGATATAACAAATAAAATCACAGAGTGTACACTCCTTGTGAAATGAAAAGTAACACCGTCCTAGTAAATTACGACTAATATCACAAGGTGTATACCCCCTGTGACATTACGAGTATCATCACCCTAGAAAATTACGAATAATATCACAGGTTATACCACCTGTGACATTAGGAGTAACATTTCCCTAGGATATTAAGAATAATATCACAGTGGGTGTACACACACTGTGACATTAGGCATAATATCCTCCTAGGTTATCAAGTCATCACTGTGATATTAGGAGTAATATTGCCCTAGGATATTACAAATAATACCACAGAGTTTACACCCACTGTGGTATTATAAGTAATATCTCCCTAGGATACTACAAATAATACCACAGAGTTTACACCCACTGTGATATTATAAGTAATATCTCCCTAGGATATTACAAATAATATCACAGGTTGTACACACAGGTTGTAATACCACTGTGGTATTAGAAGTAAAATCCCCCAAAAATATTACGAATATTATCACAGGTTGTACACTATATGAGTACACCCACTGTGACATTAAAGTAACATACCCCTATAATTACATAAATAATATCACAGGGTGTACACACATGGTGTACACTTACTATGAAATTAGGAGTAACATCCCCCTAGGATTTTATGAATAATATCACAGGGTGCACACACATAGTGTACACTTACTATGAAATTAGGAGTAACATCTCCCTAGGATTTTACGAATAATACCACGGGGTGAACACACATGGTGTACACCAACTGTGGCATTAGGAGTAACACCCCCCCAGGGTATTATGAATAATATCACAGATTTTATACGCCTAGTGTACACCCACTGTGACATTAGGAATAACATCCGCCTAGGTATTACAAATAATATCACAGGGTGTGCATACATGGTGTACACACATGGTGTACACCCACTCTGACATTAGTTATAACATCCCCCTAGGATATTATGGTTCATATCACTAGGAGTACCCACACATTGTGTACACTCACTGTGACATTAAGAGTAACATCCCCCTATGTTATTATGAATAATAATACAGGATGTAAAAACATCTTGTACACCCACTGTGACATTAACAGTCACATCCCCCAGGATATTACAGATAATATCACATAGTGTATACCCACGTAACATCCCCATAGGATATTACGAATAATATTACAGAGTGTAAACACACAGTATACACCCACTGTGACATTAGGAGTAACATTTTTCTAGGATACTATGAATAATATCACAGGGTGTATACACATGGTGTACACACACTGTGACATTAGAAATAAAATCACCCTAGGGCATTACAAATAATGTGTTAATAATTATTACCATAAATATTAATCGATATTATTTGTAATATCCAAGCAATATTAATATTACTCTTAATATCACATGGGGTGTACTCCCATTTATATTATTTGTAATATCCTACTGAGATGTTACACCTAATGTCACAGTGTACACCTAATGTCACAGTGTAATGCTTGCTATTCATAGTATCCTACTGAGGTGTTACTCCTGGTGTCACAGTGGCTGTACACCTTGTGATATTATTGGTAATATCGTAGGGAGATGTTACGCCTAATGTCATAGTAGGTGTACACCCTGTGAATTTATTAGAAATATTCTAGGAAAACGTTATTCCTAATTCCAAGGTAGATATTACATAGGATTGTACACCTCCAGTGATATGGCAAGTAATATCACCCTCTCCCCCACTGGATATCATGAACCATATCACAGGGCAGATATTATCACCCTTTCCCGCCCGGTGACAGAGCAAGATCCTGTCTCAAAAAAAAAAATCTGTTAAAAGATATAGCAAGTGATTGATTTTCCCGGCAATAAATAAGAAAGTAAGTGGAAATTTTCAGATAATTGAAAGGTGGTACACACTTTTACAATTTCCTTTCTAATAGTGTTTTTAGTAAAAGGAGGAGTGACCAGGATGCTGTTATCACCTGAGTTTGTCCCTCCTCTTAGGGCTGGTGGTATACCAGGAATCAAAGTGTAGCTGTTTGCTGTTTTTGTCTGCCTGGTATCTACTTTTCTTGTTTGTTAATATCATTTTTATTTTCTTTTGAGGAGCTATTTTTCCCCTATCTCTTTGGCTCTGGGTCTAGAGACATGGCCTAGTTTTGGCTGAAGTAAATACTGTATCATCATCTGGCTATGGGGATTGTTTTAAGAACATGTGACCCAGTCATACAAGTCAGGTTTGGGAATTTTGGTGGTATAATTGTGAAACAAACACTCCCTGCAAGCCTGCTAAGCTGGAAGAATATGTGTGAAGCTGCCAAGGGTCTTCCCTGTTGCTACATGGAGACATAGCAGCTTGGCAATGAAGTCAATACTAAGGATAGCAGAGTTTATGGGGAAGGAGAATGAGAGAGAAAATGATGACACTGTGGCTTTTGATCCAGCTGTTCTTAAAAGTAATCATCCGCGTTGAACTTCCTGGTTTAGGTGAGCCAGTGGTTTATCTCTTTCTCTAAAGCTTCCTACTTTTTTACCTTTCTTTCTCTCTTTTTTCCTTAATACCACTTGATTTAGATTTCTTCCATTTGCAACTCAAACATTCTTACCTATAAAAGGTGTCAGCACTTCGTTGCAGAGTCCAGAGGAGGTAGGAAGTTGACAGAGTTAAAGTGGACAGCTGAAAAGGAAGTGAGTCCCAACTTGCTAAGTATAAAATACCTCTTAACCTTGTGTGTGCCCTGGTAGGGGCAAGAATATTTTGCACAGGGGATAGGCTTGGCTGGCAGGATAGTTACTGTCAGGGAAAGATGAATGTGACAACTTTGGGGATATTCATTGGTGGGAAGAAGTGGGGAGGGAAGAAATCAATACCGTTGAAATGCGGATTTAAAAATGTATATAACAGCCTTAGAACTTAGATTCCACAAATCATCAGCATGTTTGCATGGTGCTTTTATTTCTGGGTCTCTCTTGATGGCTCCTCTTGCATAATTCTTACTCTGTATGCTTTGGAAAATTTTTTTGTACATTTAGTACCAGGCTATTTCTCATTTTTATTTTCCTGCTTTTTCACCTTCTTATTCCAAAGTCACCGTGTGACAGTTTTATGGTAGAGATTTGTGTGCAGCCTAAATCAGTTGCTAAACATCAAAGAGTCCTGTGCATATGTAATAAAGATGTGTTGCAGTCGGGGTGGAAGGTAACTGCAATCATGGTTGGAATTTTCAAATCTGTTAAGAGTAAACTCTCTGCATAAATAGAATAAGAATGTGATTTCCTATGCATGTTTTATCAGGTGGGGGATGACTTGTGTGACTCAGAAACATCTGACTCTTCTGTGGGAAAAATGAAAGCACTTAAAAAGTGTTTGCCGCTGGTAACAGGTTTCCTAATGCACTGATCATTTGCTGGCTGTTCTCATTCCCACCTTTGTACTCTGCTATATACTTGGGGTGGGGTCTGAGCCTTTGCAGACTATTTTCCTAGAATCCCTTACCAGCTGGTTCTGCCAATGGGAAGCACTGGTTGTAGTGGAAAGGAGAAGAGGAGAAGAGATTATCTTCCTGCATTCAGCTTCTATCAATTTCCTTCTAGCAATAGTGAGCAGACTGGATCAGCGGTTTCTGGGAGTTCCCTCACCTCCAGGGTGGGCCTAATACCCTTTTGTGGTCCTAGAATCATGGGGTCTCCATGCAACCTTCTCCAAGATTCCAGCCCCTCCTTTCCAGTCTCGGGCTCCATGAATACTACATTTTCTCTTTTCTTCTCCCAGCCCCAGAGTTGCTATGTACTAATCTCTGGGTTACTCTACTGTCTCTGCTTTGCTTTCTCAGCTCTCCCTTATGCAGCCACTTTCCTATCTTAAAATCTCTCACTGAAATATGTGAAATGGTTTTGTTTTCCTGGCTAGTACACCGAATAAATATCTTTAATGTATTTATATTAGACCTTCAAACCTTTTGGGAAAATGACATTGAAAAAGGATGAAGTGAGTTTTTTCTTTTTGATAATTCATTAAGAAATATTCTTTAAATAGTTTTGGATCAAATTTCAAGAGCATTTTAAGAAACAGAATCCTCACCATTGAAAACCAAACGATTGTGATTGTTTAATGCTGATTTTTTTTTTAAATTTCTAAACCAGTTGTGCCTTAAGTTTCATTTTATAAACTTAGATTTTGAACCCTTCGCCAGCAGCTTCCTCACAGTGTATAGTTATTAAGTGATCTTTCCACTGGTTGTCTTAGCAGTTTGGGTTTAGTTCCTATTTTTATTTGGCCATGACTGATAGAGCTGAGTGAAGGAAGTATAATACAGCCAACCTCAAAGACTCCATCATGAATACACTTGTCAAGTGAGATAAATTTTGCAGAAGTCTTGCTCACTCCCTTACTTGGATGACTCCTGCCAGTTCCTTTAGTACTTCGCTGTGTTATCCTCTCTAGAAAACTCTTCTTGATATCTCCTCCCCAAAGAATGTGCTGTGGGATGGGATCCCCAGGATACAGATTCTGAGATGAAACTGTACATGAAGGGGTTTTATTGGAGGAAGTGCTCTTAGGAGCAACACCTGCAAAACACTGAAGAAAACCAACAGGGCAGAGAAAGAAGTTGAACTGCAGTGCAGTTGCGAAAGCAGTCTCCACTAACTCCTGGGGCTATGAAACTGAGATGGCGCTTCAGAGATTCCGAAATCAGCAGCCGATTGTGGGCTGCTCCCAGGGAGGGTGCATAAACTTAGGTGAGACAGCTTCCTTCTGTAGAGCGCAGAGGAACACAGCTGTCAGCTGTCAGCAAGCACCACTTCCAGCAGCTGCAGCAAGAGTACCTCTCTGCTGAAGGGGGATCATGGTGATACACCATGGTATCTACTACGATTGATCCAGTAAAAGTCCTCAGGGATAGGCCGGGCACAGTGGTTCACGCCTGTAATCCCAGCACTTTGGGAGGCCGAGATGGGTGGATCACGAGGTCAGGAGATGGAGACCATCCTGGCCAACATGGTGAAACCCTGTCACTACTAAAAATACAAAAATTAGCTAGGCGTGGTGGCGGGCTTCTGTAATCCCAGCTACTCGGGAGGCTGAAGCAGGAGAATCGCTTGAAGCCGGGAAGTGGAGGTTGCCGTGAGCCGAGATCGCACCACTGCACTCCAGCCTGGCAACAGAGCGAGACTCCGCAAAAAAAAAAAAAAAAAAAAAAAAAAAAAAAAAAGTCCTCAGGGACCCAACACCCTTACTTTTAAGCCCACATCACAGTGCATTGGGATAGCGTATTTACATCAGCCTGAAACTGTGGGCTTCAGCGTCCAGTACAGTAGGCACTTGATAAATGTTAAATTTAGTGGAGGAAAAGTATTTACTTGTTTCCCATAGCGATCGTAGTAGGCATAGAATTTAATGTGTCATACTGTCCTCTGAAACTGGGGTTTAAATAGTTTTGTTTTCCGTCCCATTCTGGAGAAGCTGTGTGACTTGGGTTCTGGAGTGAAAACCCTGAAGGACACATGCTGGGCAAAGTGAAAAGCCTCAGAGTACGCCAGATGAACTGATGACACACAGGAATAGAGAAACACATGTTGAGAATGACACTGCCCAGGAACACCACGCGGTCATGGCCAAATGCTCCCGGGTGTTGTTTTCCCTCTAGCTATTCTGTACTCAGATGTGACTCAGATGCTGGCATTCAGTGCAGTTTTGTTTAGCTGCTGCTGCTTCCAGGAGTCCCCCAAAGTCAATAGGCCATTGGCTTACCACCAGAGTCAGGCAAGGAAAAGAGTGGGAACGCAGCAACATCAACAGGAAATAAAACATTTTTATTGAATATCTGTGTAATATGTTAAGTCATTTTTAACAACAATCAGAAAACTACTGTGGAATTCACTACACAAAGTGAAACAAAATTTAAATCACCTCATCAAAAATGAAGGTAAAATACAGCTGAAATAGTTGGCTCGCAGGCCACGAGCCATATGGCAGAGGAAAACACCCCAACATTTCTACAAGATACAGGGAAAACCCACACATAGAAACACTCAAGCAGGCAGTAAATATACACAAAGGCAACTAGGATCTTTCTAGAGCATCAGATTCTAATACTTTACACAGCTTTGTCAGAAGGGTACATGTGGCTTATTTGAGGATGAATCTTGGTCATAAAGCAGGTTCCATCACTGACTTGTGAAAGAGTGAAAGATGGCATAGTACCAACTAATTCTATGGTGACAATCCCATGTCTGGCAGTGTTGCAAGAGAATGCATTAGTGGTATTTTAATGCAAGAAATAATGTCTATTCAGCAGCTTGAACCTGCTTGTTTGAAAGTGTGGTTTCATTGTGAACAACTTAAAGCTGAATACAGTGAAATTAAATGTCATTTGTGGTATTTAAATACTTTTTAAAAGCCAGTCAACTCCCTCTCTTTGGTAGGGTTTGGCCCTTTAAATTGGAAAGAGTCTTGTTTGAATTTTCTGTTCAAACCATTATTTAATTTCACATTCTGACTTGTGTATATTTTCTATTACCTATGTTTTTTAAGAAGTACGGACCATCGGCAGACGGTTATTTTCCTTTTATCCTTTATGTCTATGCCAATTATAAAGCGTTTGCTATGTCTGGCCTAAAAGGCAAAAGAGCTTGCCCCTTCTTTGATAAGGAAACAGTAACGACAGGAATTCCAGTTTTACTGGGAAACAGCCAACCCCATGTTCAAAGCCTACCATCAGCCCTTTTTGAATTCTCTTTAGTTTTTGAAAAGACGTGGTGTGATATCCTGAAGACTGAACATGAGGCCAATGCTTAGTTTTCCTCCATTTTGTTTTGATATTTGTGAAGACAAACTTTCATTTCAGAGCATCACTACTGTCTTGTGGCCTGGAAATTAAAATGGATCACAGAAGTGAATGGGACAAAAGGCTAGATGCAGTGTGGGATAATAGGCTGCCCTTCCACGAAATGGTTGTCTACCATAGTGGGGAAAAATATGGAATATTGCACAGTGCTTGACAAAATGCTGTGTTCCACCCCATTCTATGTATCTTCCTTGTCCTATGCATAGCTTTTCAGTTCTGAATTGGTCCTTTGTAATGAGAACTGTTTGTGCTACACACACCTTGGGCAGTGCAGTAGAAGGGAATGGCAGTATTGTTACAATATCACTACGGAATAAATTGAGTGCTATCCACTGAGGAAACTACGGGTCTAAGCACACACGGCAGTCACAGTGTTACACAGAGCAGTCCTTTAAGACTCTTATGGAATGACTAGTAGCTTCATAATAGTGTCATTTACTACATAATAACATTGAAAACGTTTAAAAACTCCTCCTAAATCAAGCATCTAGTATACATAAGAGGTTGCTTCAGTTTTCTAGAACTTGTTCTTGGTTTGTTTCACCTTTTTTTAAAGGACAAATTAAAACTTAAGTAAAAAGAGCATATAAAAAGATCACTAGCTGTCTGTTTTGGCTTAATTGAAGTGCATTCAGAACTATGGCTAATTGTTGTTGGTTTTTGTTTTTGTTTTTCTTTCATCTTTTGATGGGATTACAATACTGTCTGTTTACCACAAAGTAATTTTGTGTAATAAGCACAGATTGTTGTGTTAAAAATATCCTGCATTCCTTCTAACCTGGTTTTATATAATAAAATATTTTGTTACAAACTCTAATGTGCAAACCTTTTGGAATTATTGTAGGTGTGAAATCTGGAACAGAATTCACAGGATGTACATTTTGTATAAAGGTGATAATGGAGAGCTACTTTTTTCTTTTTAAATAGTCAGGCAATATTTCATAAATGTTGACTTCTCCCCTTAGCTTCTTCTCCCCCATCCCCAAACAAATGTGCACACACACACACACACACACACACACACACACACGGAACACCTTGTTGTTATTCTATATGCAGTAATATGAAATCATTGACTCCTGTTCAGTTGCTTCCTCAAATATAAGAGTGAAGCCATTATTTTAGCTTTGTAAATATGTACAGACAGGTGCTATTCTGTTTTGTGGCTATGCTTCCTTGAGGTCAGCCTGGATGCTGCTGCTCAGATCATGCTATTTTGCCTGTGTAGGAATTCTACAAAATTGGATTCACCCACCAAGTATGTGGTGTAAGTTTATCTTGGTACTCAAATGATTCAATAGAAAGCTCAGGTTTAAGTTGTCCTTTAAGATGTCAGTTTAACTGTACTAGTGCCTTACGAGTTGATATTTTTGCTGGAATGCAGACGATACTATATTTACCGTATAATATATTATCAGCTCTCCTATATCTCAGTCAATTTACATAGTTTAAAATAGAACATCTTATTAAAAACATCTAGATATACACAGATTAGGAAACGCTTACAACATACAAATACACAAACTAGAAATAAATCTTTAGCATACTGGTATATACAACAGTGTGATACAATAAATAATTTCATTCATGCTCTATCTACACATCATATTGCTTAAAAGAAGAGTAGATTTGGAGGGCAGTGGTATGATGAAGGACTTAGGGGCTCTCTACATTTAAATTTGTGCAAATTAAAACAGGATTCCAAGTACCACTGAATTGTGTTAGGAATGCATGGCTGGAAAAATGAAAGGACCCATATTACTGAGGTATTTACAGATACTGGCTAAAGAGCACTATATGGGCAAATGCAGAAAGGCTTCTTCTTTCCTTTACTTCTTGACGGCCAGCATGGCATCAACTTCCTCCTCTACCTGCAGGGTGTGCCACTGGGCAATAGGTCGCCTGGGGTTGGCCAGCATGTCTGACCAGTGTCGCAGCTCCGCGCCGGTGCTGTTGTAGCCCACAAAGACTTTGCCGATGGCATCGTTCTTGCCAATCTTGTCATAGTCCAAAACAGTTACCACCACCTGCACTTTCTGAAAGAAGCCATGAAATGAATATGAATCATCTAGCTCTAGAGATAAGGCCCGACTATAAAGCGTCCTTGAGCGCTAAAGAATTGGAAATAGAAGAATCAATCTCCAAGCACTAGGATGAGGATGAAAATGACTTGAATCTTAATACTCAAACGTTAATTTTTATTATATACTTTGCACTAAGTCTTTTACATGAATGAACTCAGTTACTTCTCATAATAGATCCTATTAATATTGCCATTATACAGGTAAGGATGCTTGAAGCTCTGAGAAGTTATATAACCTGTCTGAGGTTGTTTAAGGAATGAGTTGTTTGGTTTTCAGAGCCTATGCTGTGAACCTCCATGCCATGGAGTCTGTGTCAACTTGTGCTAACCTCTAAATTCATTTGCTTCAGTTGTCTTATCAGTGAAAGTTCTGGCATTGGTGTTCAGCCCACTCTATTTGATTACAATTCCCAAGGCAACCATGTGCAATAATCTGATTTTAAGGGTGGGGGGACAGCATGTTACAAAAAAATTAATATAGAATTAATATAGAATTTCAACTAATCATATGATTGTGAGCATAAAACATGATAGTATAGTGAAAAGTATGGTTAAAAAGTAGTAATAAAGATATTTTTTTCTCATCCATACGTTCTCTTAGTAAACATTTACTGAGTAACTACAATGTATCTGGCATTGATATCAAATGGAAATATCAGTTTAGGCTACACGGGATTTATTCAATGATTCCATCAGATTTTGAAAGTTTATTTGATGACTTCCTTTTCTGAATGATTGAACTGATGAAAGCAAACCTATACCATTATGGTATAAAATATATACTTTTTAAAAGCAAATTTCAGTTCTACTTCCTAAGTAATGAATTTACTTAGCAGAATATGTGATGGTTTCAATCTAGCAGCTGAGTGTAAAGGTAAGAGTTTAAAATAAATGGAATATGTAACATTTATTGCCAGAGTTGAAAGTAGCAGAAAATGTAATTATAAAAGCTAGGGCCAGATTAAGAACCAGCTGAGTTAGGGCCCTTTAGTGGACTTTATATGCTGGAGACTGGTTTATTATATTAATGAAATGAGAAATGTCATTGATATACAGCTTCAGAGCAGAGAAAACAATCACTTCTGCAAGTGGAATTTAGAATGTGAAATGCAACACATTGTCAATAAAACGGACAATCTTCCCTTGGAGTGATTCCATTGTGAAAGGAATTAACTATCCACTGGATAGTTTCTGGAACAAAGAAGAGGGCTATACTGATTCTTAGAGCTTGTTCTAAGCAAATTTATCAGGAAGCAATCATATTGTAATGAATGGGGTGGGGGACATGACACACAAAGGTAACAGAAGTTTTTAGAGTTTGATTATTCCACTTAGGAATGCATTGATTAGTAGCATTCAAGACAAAATATCCTTGTGAAGCCTTTGGATTAATGTTTCCAGCTGCATATGTAGTTTATTTCTACATTTGGGGGAGAAGGGCTTACATTCTCACATGCATTTGGAAATTAGCATATTTTGCTTCTTTCATAATACATTTCATAGGGATAGAGAAAGACAGAAGGACAGGCAGATTGTCTTATAACCTCAGGATAAGGCAAACTTAAGACCCTATTTTAGCATGTGAAATACTCAATTATTTTTTTCTAGAAAAAGGTGAAGACTAGAAAAGTTGCCTCCTATAAAAAAAGGAAAAAAAAAAGAACAAAGTGACTCAAGGAGCAGAGAAAGAGGGATACAGTCAAAGGAATGCTCATTATTTCCATGTCTAATGTATTCTATATTGGGCATAGTTTCTGTCTGTCCTGACAAAACGCTATTGCCTCTGAAATGCTGCCCCAGAAACCTAGCATGTGTCTTATTTTTAATGTGCTTCACTTTCAATATACCTGCATTTTCTGCAGTTTGTAGTTGAAAAGGATATTTATTTTAAAGGCATAGAATTGTAGCTCAATGGGAGTTTTCATCTCAATGCCTTGCTTTATATTTATTTTGTGGAATTAAAAAAATTAAATGCCAGGAGGTGTTAGTTTCCATAGGAATAAGGTCTTAGAACTCAAAAAAGTTCACTGAATAAATATTGCAAAATAAATCGTTGGAAAAAATTGATGTCTTGAGGGTTTGTGAGTGGGTCCAAAGCAGGGGGCCCGCTGGTTCAGGCTAGTGAAAAAGTTATTGGGAACAGGGAACCAGTGTCCTCTGCATTTACTTATGTAACAGATGTTGAAAGTAAATAAGTATGTATAATTTGACACCATGTGAAAATTTATATGATAAAGGTTGTATTTAAAACTATCAACCAATACAAAGATGGTAGAGTTATTGGTTATTTTTGGTCATTTAAGACTGCCCTATACTACAGAGTAGCTACCAGCCACATCTAGCTATATCAATTTAAATTTAAATACATGGAAGTTAAATAACGTTCCTTGGTCAAATTAGTGACTGAGGTGCTCATTGGCCAGCTGTGGCTATCATATTATTGGACAGCATGGATGATAGAATATTTCAATCATCACAAAGTTCTATTAGACAGCACTGATTTATATACTGATTTAATCTTATTGTTAGATCTATTTTCTAATAAAATGTTAACTTGAAAAAGAGAGGACATTAGCATGTGAATAATAATGATGATGATGACAGGACCATTTACTGTGTGTTCCTATGTATTGGGCGCTGTTCCAAGTGCTTTTATATGCATAATGTCACTTTGACAAGGACTGTTATCATTCTTATTTTACATGTAAAGAAATTCTAAGCCTCAGTTTTTTCACATATAAAATTAGGATAATAACAATAGTACTTTTCTCATAAAGTTCTTCTAAGTATGAAATGAGATTACATACATAAAGTGGTTAACTTGGACCTAGGCATAATATATATATATATATATATATATATATATATATATATATATATGTCTTTGGATTAATGTTTCCATGAAGAAAGCTAACATAATAGCTATACTTATTTTATATATGTATATATTATATAGCTATACTTATTATATATATAAAATATATATTTTATATATATAAAATAAGTGTAGCTATTATATTAGCTTTCTTCTTGGAATAAAGCTGTGATTAATTCATAAGATACTGTCTTCTAAGAATAGATTAAAGGTAAATGAAGACACAATTTGGCATATTAAGAGTGGTATGGCACTATTCACAACAGCCAACATACAGAATTAACCTAGGTGTCCAACAACAGATGAATGGATAAATAAAATGTGGTACATATACACAATGGAATACTATTCGGCCATAAAAAAGAATGAATCCTGTCATTTGTGGCAATGGATGGAACTGGCAGACATTATGTTAAGTGAAATAAGCCAGGAACAGAAAGTAAACACTGTATGTTCTTACTCATGTGGAAGCTAAAGAAAAGTTGATATCATAGAAATAAAAGGTAGAACAAAGGATACTAAAGACTGGGAAGGGGAAGGTAGGGAGAGATTTGTTTAAGGATATAAAATCACAGCTACATAGGAGGAATGAATTCTAGTGTTCTGTACCACTACAGGATGGCTATAGTTAACAATAACATATGATATAATTTCAAATAGCTACAAGTAGGATATTGACTGTTCCCAAGACAAACAAATGATAAATGTTTGAGATGATAAATATGCTAACTACTCTGATTTGATTACAATACATTATATATATGAAAACATTACTATGTGCCCCATGAATATGTACAACTACTATTTGGCAATTAAAATAAATAAAATAAAATAAATAAAGAGTATTTGTTATTCTGGACCTTTAGAAGGTTCTTTGTTGTAGGTTTGATGTCTGCTCTTTGTTTTTCCTTCAAGTTATGGGCAAACTTGTGTATCACTGAAAATATACACCTGCGCCAATTATTTAATAAAATGTAAAAATAGTGTTGCTTTATGCAGTTTGACTCTCTGATGCCCATTAAAGATTTGCAAGAAATGGCCCAAAATTATTGGATATTATCTTTAGATTCTTATAGGCTAACTATGGAGATGGGGTGAGAAAATGTAAATATTTTCAAAAACCCCTAAATGATAAGATTGCATGTTATCATTGTGGCTACATATAGCAACTTAATATGAACATATTAACTACAAGGATATTTAATAGAATATTTCCCTTCATAATTATTGTCTGGCATATTAAGGCTCCATTTTTAATAAAATAGCCATCCATTCCAACTCAGACACAGGAAGCTGGATTTAAATAATTGAAAACACAACTTAGCCTAATTTTTCTATTGTTAATCATCTTTTAATAAAGACTCAATATGCTGCATATTTAGCATCAACCAAAAATATTTCTCTTATCACTATTTTTTGCTCTAAAGATCTCATGGGGAGACTTATTTATGGCCTGGGAGTAAATAGTGAAAGCTCATAGTTTTCTCTGGGCTTTTTAACTTTTATAGATGCACTTTTTGAGTTAGCAGAGTTGTTCTGTTGATTTTCTTTTTCCTACTTTATTTCTGCTCAACACAGTGCCAGCTGTTTTGGGCTGATGAGTCAGCACATCCTGTGCTGTATATTTTATCCTTCCTGATGTAGCTCAAGCATCAAATGTGCATGGGGAGAAAGAATGGCAGTTCTAATGAAGGCATGTGCACTGATAACTTACAAGGTCTGTGTGTATAATTTATGTGGTCTGAAGGAATGAAATTGAGTGGGAAGACAAAGTTATGTTTGACATTACCTGGATTTGTTCAAAAGGTACTTCAAAGCTGAATGACTCATTGTAGTAGGGGTTAAGTGTGTTCTTTTTAATTGTTGTCTTTTTCTTCTTCAGCCTCTTACCATTCTGCATCAGATGAATCTTCACATAAGGATCTGAATGAAAAACAGGAAACAAACTTTAGGAGATCAGAGACACATATTTTAGATTATAAGTTAGCTTATAAAAGAACTATTTCCCACAGGTAAATAATTATATAGCATGTATTTAATATTTTTTAAATTCAATACTTTTTTATTGAAATATTTTAAATAACCTATGGGCATGATTTTGCATGATAGCTCAATATTTATAGTTTGATTTAGAAGATGAGAGTAGAGGTATGCTGGTAAACCAGCTCTTTGTGGGAATAAAAAGTCTTAACATGCAGCATTTCCCTATGTCTATGGTATATATATACCCCAACCAAGGCCAATGTCAAGCCACTAAGCTTAACAATTGGCTTGCAAAATCCCTGAAAAATTAACCGTTCACTCTTGTGAGCTGGCAAAGGGCTTGCCTGCAGCACAACACTGTATGGGAATAAAACACTTAACAGAGAGAGGACAAAGGAGCCATTTCATTCATTCATTTATTCATTTACTCCATCAATATTAGTTGAGTATCTATGATGTGACAGGCACTGTTAGGCCCTAGGAATATAGCCTCAACACAACAGACTATCCCTGTCTTCACAATGAAACTTCAGACTGTGGGGGAAAATAGACTAAGTTTATATAGAAACAAAAGACATGAAACTACAAGTTGACAAGAGTGCTCTGTAAGAGAAAAGCAGAATAGAGATAATATAGGAAATACCAAGGATGATATGGTGAGTAGTAAAGTAGGAAGGGAATTTAGGTTTTAGATTGCTCTGTTAAGGCATCTATGGAATTAACATTTAAGCTGAGATGTGAAGGTTGAAGGGTGAGATGAGGCCAACTGAGCCTAAATATTCCTAGGTGGAGAAGAACTTCAAGTGTTCGAGGAAAAGAGAAGAGACCGGTACACACTGAAGTAATGGGAAAAGGAGCATAAAGATCCCCTGAGCAGGTTCCCTAAAGCCCCATTAGGCAAAGATTAATAAGTCACTGGAGAGGCAAGACAATTCCCATTTACAGCTCCCATTACTAATGGATGAATGTTGTACCTTCAGGTCACTAGAAACCAATGCTCACGGTTGAAAGGAAAATCTCTACTGTTTTTCTTAAACATTTTTTCATTTCATATTGTAATGCATGTTCATTATAGAAAAAATATCAGAAAGCAATGATGACCAAAAAGAAAAAAAAATTTAAATCTAGGATTTTACTTCCCTAAAATAACTACTGCGAAGCCTTTCAAATTTTCTTTCCTCTCTCTCGGAACATGTAGAGCTAGGAGAAACTTTCCAGATGATCTAGTCTAATGCCCACCTATTTTTAGAAGAGAAAACTGCAGATGAAAAAAGGGTATTTTTATCACCCTCTCCCTATCCCCAGTAGAACATAATTCCTAAGGGACAGACACTTTGTCTGTCATATTCACTATTTGAATTTGCTAAAACAGTGCCTGGCACATATTCAATTTTTGTTGAATAAGTGGAACTTATTTAGGGCCTCAGCCTGGGTCTTGTGACTCCCAGTCCTGACTTTTTCCCACTACCCCAGAGACTGCATTACTAGGATATATGTTGTTAGGAGATTTTTTTAAATGTTACATCCAGTCCAGGAGATCATAATGAAGATTTTCATCAAAATTAAGAATATCTTTAAAAACCAGGCCTAGAGATGTAAAACCAACTCCACAAACTAAAGAGTTGGTCAGTTAAAAAAAAATCCACTGTAAACAGTTGTAAATGGAAGCAAAAAATGTCACTGATAATCCATGTTACTGTTCACAGCCAATGTTGATTTTTGGTTCAGAGACCTTGTGTGTTTTGTAAAGTTCCCTAGCTCCCCCATCCAACGCCTTGCAATTTTATAAAGCTAGTCATGTCGCCAGTTGTTCTTTGGGACTGATGAAATACATGTATATACTATATATGCCTCCTGTGTTCATGTGTTGAAACTTTGTCAACCTAAGTGAGGCATAGGTTTTCTCAAGAGAAGCACTCTGAGTATCTTGATTCATTTAACACAATAAGTGATAAGAAAAAACCTTGCACATCTGCCATTTCAGTAAGCAAATTAAAACCCAACAAGATAGTTTCAGATTTTGCTAAGAGCTCTGACATGATGTTATTAATGCCTTGGGGAGAATAGGGTAATTTAAAAAAGGTTGATCAGGAAAGTCCTCATTGAGAAGGCAACATTTTAGCCAAGAACTGAAAGACAAGAAAGAACCAGTCATTTGGCTGTATGGTGATGCTTGTACCAGCCAGAAGGAGCAGTACCTGCAAAGGCCCTAAGTTGCACCTCCTTCTGCATGTTTGAGAAACAATGAAGGCAGGGGGAAGAGAGGTAGACGGTGAGGTCAAAGCGTTAACTTAGGACCTGCTGATCTGTTGCTTTTGTAAGCAGAGGCTGTCAGTTCTGATGACTCAGATGTATTCTACTATTTCATGATACATAAAAAAGAGAACAGAGGGTTGGGGGCTGGGTGCAGTGGCTCATACCTGTAATCCCAGCGCTTTGGGAGGCCGAGGCAGGTAGATCACCTGAGGTTAGGAGTTTGAGACCAGCCTGACTAACATGGTGAGACCCCATCTCTACCAAAAATACAAAAATTAGCCAGGCGTGGTGGTGCACACCTGTGATCCCAGCTACTCCAAAGGTGAGGCAGGAGAATTGCTTGAACCAGGGAGACGGAGGTTGCAGTGAGCCAAGATCACACCACTGCACTCCAGCCTGGGCAACAGAGGCAGAATCTCACAACAACAACAACAACAGCAGCAGCAGCAACAACAACAACAACAACAACAAAACAGGGCTGAAAGCGGAGCAGGTTTGGAACTGCTATAAACGGGAAGTCTCGGTCTTTGCCTTCGCAGATTGACCCTGATACAGGTACCAAAGCACTTACGTTGCAGGCAAAATTCCCAACTTAGTCAAAACAAAAGCTGGAAGAAACTTAGGGTTCTTTATCAGCTTTTGTGCCTCGATAAGCCTAGACTATATGTTATGTACCTGGGATGGGCACATTTGAGCATCTTCTTAGCCCAACAATCTGAAGTCTTAGATTGAGTCTCCATTTTCTCCAGTCTTGATTGCCAAGGAACTAAGTGTCTTCTAGTTCTTTCACTGTATTGAAGTCTCGTCC
This sequence comes from Homo sapiens, assembly GCF_000001405.40. Lineage (NCBI taxonomy): Eukaryota > Metazoa > Chordata > Mammalia > Primates > Hominidae > Homo > Homo sapiens. The sequence continues at coordinate 79,440,948 of NC_000012.12, read as the reverse complement.
TGAACTTGGGTCCCTTTAGCGATATCCCTAATCTCTTGCTTAGCTTGTTCGTAACTTTTTCTGAGATCTAGACCTTGCTCCTATATCCTCAGCTACTGGTTGAGTTCTCTAAATGGAAATACACCTGCCTATGAGTCACATTTGTGCTTTAAGAATACAATTTTAAAAATTCTAAAGCAAAGATTACCTCTCCTACAAAATAGGCCTCTGGATAATTGAATTTGTTCTGTTTTAGGGGTTGTTCTGCAAAGCGAAATCCTTGTCAGTCTCTTGGTGGCTTAGAAGTCCTTGTGATTGCATAATAAAACACAATTTTATGGAAATAATAAAATAAGATGTAATGAAACTCACAAATGTTGCTCTTGCTTTTCCTGAGTACAGCTGCTGGACAACATGCATAGCATCTAAACATTCACTAGGTTTTCTGAAACATGTAAATAGCATAGGAAACCTGCAACCAAAAAATTGGGCTACTGTCTCTAGGCACTCTATATCTCTGTAACTGTATGGATTCATTCTGTTCCCCAAAACAGGAACTCATGTATGGATTCATTCTGTTCCCCAAAACAAGAACTCATGGAAACCTTCATCATCTAAATACTGACACCCCGTCTTCAATGTCATTTAGATAATCCTTCTTGCCAATGAAATAGATGCAAGACATGGGACACTTCACTTCTTTTGTTTAACTTATCTTAAAAAAGTAGTTGAGTCTCTCTCTCTCTTTTTTTGAGATGGAGTCTCGCTCTTTCACCCAGGCTGGAGTGCAGTGGCACAGTCTTGGCTCACTGCAACCTCTGCCTCCCAGGTTCAAGCGATTCTCCCTCCTCAGCCTCCCAAGTAGCTGGGATTACAGGCACATGCCCAGCTAATTTTTGTATTTTTAGTAGAGACGGGGTTTCACCATGTTGGCCAGGCTGGTCTTGAGCTCCTGACCTCAGGTGATCCACCTGTCTTGGACTCTTAAAATGCTGGGATTACAGAAGTGAGCCATTGTGCCCAGCCAGAAAGGCTGATTTTTTTTTTTTTTAAAGAATTCAAGCCAGTCTATCCTGACTCCAAACCTGCTGCTCTTTGTGATATGTCAGAGAGACAATTTAGTACAGTGTTTACAAGTACAGACTCTAGAGCCAACCTAACTTGGATCTTGGCTCTGCTTTTTTCTAGCTGTGTGGTCTTGGAGAAGTTATTTCACCTCTTTGTGGCATAACTCCCTCAACTGTAAAGTAGTGAAAATGATAATGCCTAGCTCATAAAGTTGTTAAAATTAAATTGAGTTACCACATGGAAAGTGATTCAAAGTGTGGCTGGCACATTTCATTGTTAATTATTACTATGGTTTTATGAGAGGGCTAACATCTAAGTCAGCATCTGTGAATCAGACTCTCCTTCAACTCACTTTGCTGAATTGGTAACCACCATTAGCAAATGGGAAAGAGTCTTCCCATTTGCTGCACAAGTAAGCCAAGCTATCCCAGTACCAATTTATTTCTGGAAAGAAGCATACCCGCTCTAAACAACTGGTTCATTTTGAAGAATGTCATCATGTATGAGATAAAAGACAAAGGGAACATTTCTTTCATTACCACCTATATGAGGTGGTCTCGCAGCGTGAGATGGGAAACTGATTCAACATCCTGTACAGTTTGCTCCTGTTCCTGACATCAATAGATCAAATTACACACAGCTGAAAAGTTAAACTCAGAGTTCCAGGTGGAATCTTATTACTGAGGCTGTAGGATAGTGTAAATCAAAACTGATTTACTGAGCTTCTTTCCAGATTCTGAGGCCAGCTAATGTTGATACACTTAGGCATATTATGCCTGAAGTATCTACTTTCCTTATTCTGCTGAAAATGAGGAATTAGAGAAAAGGAATCCCTCAGGCTTGAGGTTTATTTTTGTTAGAGATGTGGTAGTATGTATTGGTTGTTGGAGTGAGGTAATATCCATACCTCTTCCCTTACTTTTTCTCGTGACTCCTTTCTACTCTGAGAAAACTCTATACTGTCTGTTTTCTTCTTTCTGGTTTCCACTTAGCTGTAAAACTACCCTGCACCCCAAACTCTTTCCTATTCAGAATGAGGAATAGGAAGTCACTGTGTTAAAGCTACGGGGATATGACTTACCAAATCAAATCAAATTGTTCCTCAGCTCCAAGACAGTGGAGACCTAGAACACTGACTATGCCATGTGAGAGGGAAGCAGAGGATCCTAGCATGGTGACCAGATGACTACTTTGGTCTCACTAGCTATTTTCAAGGAAGAGGATATAGACCTTGTTTGACTGGTTTTGTAATTACTTGATCAGCTCCAGTCTATGAGCAACTCTAAAGATGAACTAGCAATTCTACAACTCTGCCAAATGGGCAGCCCCTTCTGAATACAATTCATGGGGCAGACACCTGCGGCCTGGTGCCATTCTTTTTTGTTCATTTAGTCCTATTCTGGCATAAACTTTGAGTGAAACATAGATCTCTCATATTAATTGGTAGGAGTTTCATTTCTGAAGGGTTCCTTCCAGCAATCAGTACCTAGCACGTTGATCTAGCCCTGATGCTCCAATATCTAGCTCTAGGTGGCATGAACTATCACCTCCACCTAGTCCTTCAGGCATGGCATTCCATCCTACTTGCCTCCATCAGTATATCCTGGATACAATGAATCTGCCATCTTTTTTTTGGCCAGGGAGTAAGAGGAGATGATATATGATATACAGGCATATATGGCATATGAGATATGCCTCTGTTTCCTTACTGTTCCAATTACTGTCCTTCTCCATCACCTACCATGCTATACAAAGGCTTGGTTGGTTTGATGACTTCAACTGCCTGGATGGAATAGAAATAAGGAAGTAGGATGTGGATCAAAAGACACCCCAGAAATTCTCTCTTTTCCAGATAATTCCTGATCCCACCTTTGCTGGCGTTTCCACAGTACCCTTCCTGCGAAACTCTCCTTTGCTCTCTTCTTTTTCTCTCTTTGAGCATGAGATGATCCTCCTTTATTCTCTCCCATCCCTTCCTCTGCCCCAAGATGTTCAAGGGCATGTTTTTATGAGTATATCAGATTTGACATTATTTTAACACATGTTTGATAGGATTTTTCTCTGCACCCCTTTTCTCAGACACTCTACAATGCAACCTATGCTTCCAATATTATTGCTACCTCTGTTAAACAAAATTTCTGACCACAGAATCTGGCACTGGAATGCAATGTCTTCACCAACACTGGTGTTAGAGGCACAGTTTCAACATGTGGAGCTATATCCCAAACAAATAATATAAAGTAAACTTGGAGGAAGACTGGAACTAGGTACAAAATTCAGTAAGTGATTTTTCTCCAATTATAGGGACCCCAATGGGCAAGCTTTGCAGAAATGTAAATGTAGCCCATATGCTATACGATAAGGCCATGACCACCTTAACTCTTCTCTTATCCTGCAGACAGATACCTACTGAGCTCATTCCTTTCCTTTTAAGCCTATCCTTGTGCCATGATTCCAACCTCGTAGACCTAAAAATTTGGAGCCATATTTGATTCTTTCTTCTCTACCTCCCATGCCAATTTACCTTCACGTTGTTTCTCTGGTGATTTCTCTCTTTCTAACCCACTGCCATGTCTCAAGATCAGAAATCCAATTCTCTTGCAGTAATGTCCTCAATTTCAAAGCATTCTTCATGTAATTATTAAAGCTATATTTGATCATACTATCCTCCTCATTAAAACTCTTTAGTGGCTTGTGGACTAAAAAAATCCAAACTCCACCATACATTCACAGCCCCGTCCTAACTTATTGTCATATCTCCATAAACCTTATGCTGTACTCATGGTAGGCACTTACTATTCCTCATGGAGAATTTTAAATACTGTGTCTTTGAACTGGCCGTCCTTCACCCTGAAAGGCCCTTTCTCTCTTTCCTCATCTAAAGCTTAGTTTAAAAGTCACCACTTCCCTGAAGATTTTACTAATGATTTCCTCAGTCTGAACCTTCAGACAAATCTTCCTTTGCCCTGCAGCATTTTCTTCTGTACTACCGTAAAGTACATGTCTCTTTCTTTTCTGGTATTGGAGGACTCCTGTGCTAATCTAATAACTTAAAAAAATAAGATTCCTATGGCAAAATATGTTTTGAATTCAGAACTGTTGGCTTCGAGATGAACTTTGGAAAGGCCATTCACTTCTAAAATCAGAGCTTCCACCATCACTATTCCATACCCTACTTCAATACACTAGAATGTTATCACCACCCCCCTCTTCTCAGGCAGTTCTAATCTCAAATTATGCTAACTTCATAGAAATATAATTGCCAAACAGCTGGCTGTAAGCAATGATCCTTTTGTGTGAGATATAAGGGAGCCACTAAACGCTTTTTGTATTTACAATGAGAACTAGAAAGTAGCAGTTCAAAGCCAAATAATGCAAGATGCCTGCAGTTTTCATTTTGGTAATTTAGCATAATTATATTGCCTTTTTTCTTAACTACTACAGTGACCGTGGGCTCCTGTGACCATGGCCTTTCCGTTTCTACCATATTTCTCTTGATAAGAAACAGCCTCATTTCTGCTGTTTTGTTCAATCCCTTCTCAGCCAGTACCCAGCTTCTGAGTATCTTCAGGTATTATTCCTTTTATCCTTTTTTCTTTGGATAATGTTCACTATTTTCAACTTACAGTGTTGGATAAAGATAATAATACTGGTATCAATTAGGGCTCTGAACTTCAAGTGACCGAAAAACCTATTCCAAATTGTTTAAATTGTAAAGGTAACTTACTGGCTAATATGATAGAAAGCTTCAAAAGTACAGCTGTGTGGAAGAGATTTTGAATTGTCCCCTAAAATTCATTTTCCCTAATTTTTTAGCAATAGAGCCCCTGAAATTGTACCTGGGCAAAAGTTCACCCAGCTAGAAATATTTCTCCCAGACTGTCTTATGACTCAGTGTGTCCACATGTTATCTTCTGACTCTTACAGGGAAGTGATATGTATAACTTCCATAGATATCCTTAAAGCAGGGGTTCTCAGCGGGGGGCTGTTTTCCCTCCCAGACAGCTGGCAATGTCTGAGACATTTTTGATTGTCATTACTAGGAGAGAGGGAGGGATGCTATAGGCATTAGGCACTAGAGGCCAGGGATTCTGCTAAACATACAATATACAAGACAACCCCAAACAGAAAATAATTACCAGGCCCAAAATGTCAATAGAGCTTAGATTGATAAGCCCTGCATTAGAAGAAGCTTCTTGCCCTCCACTATTCCTTTCTTTTTTCTTGTAACTGAAACAAGGCTGTGATGGGAGGGTGGTGAAGCATCACTGGCTTTGCAACATGAAGACAATACCCTAGCAGGACAGCAGAACAACAAGATAGGAAGATCCTGGGTCCCTAACTGACCCCATGACCCCAAACTGCCTATCACTCTTGGCCAGCCATATAGTTATGAGGTAGATAGACAGAGACGTAAGGAAAATAAAAAGTTTAGCAGGGTGCAGTGGCTCACTCCTGTAGTCCCAGCTCTTAGGGAGGCAGAGGTGGGAGGATAGCTTGAGCCCAGAAGTTCGAGATCTGCCTGGGCAATATAGCAAGACCCCATTCTCCACTAAAAGGAAAACAAAAGACAAAAAAAGAATCTAAAAAGGAAATTTTATCTTTTTCAGTCCCTGTATTTTAGAATCTCTTTGTTACAGCAGTTTGGTCTGTTCCCTATCTAACATAAATCCAACAGTATCAGCAAGGTCCCAGCCATTGCTTTCCAGCCATTCTAGGCTTTCCTCTTATGGATGCAAATGACTGCACCAGCTACAAGTCTTATATCATCACACTATACCACCCAAGGGAAAAGACAGTCTACATCCAGAATTCCCAGGGCAAGTCCTAAGTGTATTCTGATTGGACTAACATAGATGAAATGCTTATTCTATATTAATCCCTGTGTCTAAAAGAATGTGATGAGCTAGGTTGAGTTATGTGTCTATCTTTAAATCATTAGGAAGGCCAGGTAGACCTACCTTTGGAATTGGGGGTAAGCTCAATTTTATTCTAAGCACAAGGCTAGAGTAGGATAGGGTGGTTCCTCAAGCAGAAGCCAGAAGTCTCTACCTAAAAGAAGGCAGGATGGAAGGTGGGCGGCAACCAACCAATATTTATAGTTTCTCAACCTAGAGTCACTAGAACACCATCTCTGCCTAAACTTGTGTGTGCCTGCACTTATTTGCAGAGAGACATCTTCCTCCCACATTAGATCAAATCCCTAGGAATGAGCCATCAGGCACTTGTATAAGTGGTCCAGTAGTAACAGAGACAGAGTTAAACCATAATAAATTTAACATTCAGAGTTTCTTTGCCAACTGCAAGTTTTCTTGTTCACTTATTAAGCCTTAGTTCATCAGTAAGCCAATCATTTAATACTATACAAATAATTAAGTATTAATAGGGCTCACAGAGCAAACAATTTCTGTTTCTACCACTGGCAGTTTCAACACATTTACTTGAGGGGGTCTTTATAAATAATTTACAAGTACTTAGAGAAGACTACATTAAAGCATTTAAGTGTCTTTATAGTTTAAAATGTCTATATAGAATAAAATACTCCCTGTAATGCTGTTGAAAGGATGCAGCATTAAAAATATATTTGGGGAAAATTTTCTGTGTAAACACACAATTTAAAAATGAATTTACATTAGTTAAGTGCAGGGTTTGCTAGAAGAAAACAACATTATGCAAGTGACTACCACAGAGAAAATCAACTCCATTTTAATGAGACAGATCATAAAATAGCAAAGGCTGATTTAGTTCATTAATGGTGGCAGAGGAGTGCTTTGAAACAGATAAAAAACATAAATGCAAACTGTTGTTATTATGAATTAAATGAAAAGCATTTTTCTTAGTGGTGGGGGAAACCATTGAATTCCAACAGTCATTTCCAACATTGGCAAATGGACAGCATGTGACTGCCAGCTTCTTGACTAAAAATGTAGGGATGCATATACAAAAGCTGGAAAACAAGGATATGGCAAAGAAAGAATTCTCAGGTGGGGCATGGTTATGGGCAGTTGACATATCAGTGTGAGGGTTGGAGCACCACCCTTAGTAGAGGGGCAAGTACAATACGTTTGTATAATCTGGATGTTTTTTGTTCAGATTTTATGGTGAAATTCTTCATGTATAATTCAAGCCTGTTTCTCCTTTTCTTTGGAAAATCTTTCAGGAAGGGTAAACAAGAATGGTAGTAATAATGTCTGATTCTTTCTAGATGACTGCAAAGAGCTTGGTGGAATGACTGAGGATAAACTGTTTGTATGAGCTGACTAACAAACACAGAGACAAAAACAAGTCAAATGATTCAGTAATGCAAACAAAATTACAAGTGGTAAATTTGACTTGATTTTTTTTTTGAGATATAGGTTAAGCCTCTTATTTACGTCAGATGAAAGGTCACTAGCGAGATTTTTCTTTAAAAATAATTCAGCATTTCTAATTGATGAAATAATATCAGTAACACTGTTACTTGGTAACATTGCTGCTAGGATTTTTAATAAATGTACATGTAATATGACAAATTAATGCTACTTCTTATCCACATAGAGAGAGTCCCCAGACAATTTAACATGAGTACAAAATGAAAACAATGTGAGAATAGAGGGTATCTTATACGTCATATGACTACACGGGTTCCTGGTCTTCAGTGGCTTACTCAGGCTCACTCAGTTCTACAATTGGTTTGGCCAGAATCAATTTTACTTTCATTAACTCTCTATTCCTTGAACGCACTTGCTTTAAGATATCTGCATGTTTTTTAAACATTCTGCCATCTAAGAATTAGGCAGTGTATGGACTGAGATAATCTTAGGATAACTGAGGGAGACCTGGAAATGCTTCTAAAAAGTGAAAAAAATCACTCTCATTTCCTCATTTTGAACTATTTCTAGTACTTTTCAAAGTTTTTGAGTATATTTCCTAGGGGGTTGGGTAATGCTTCTAAGTTTTCTTAGCTGAAAACGTCTCAGTGCTTCTTTCTCTGCTTAAAAAAGAAAATAGGGCTGGGCATGGTGGCTCACACCTGTAATCCCAGCACTTTGGGAGGCCGAGATGGGCGGATCATGAGGTCAAGAGTTCGAAACCAGCCTGGCCAACATGGTGAAACTCTGTCTCTACTAAGAATACAAAAATTAGCCGGGTGTGGTTGTACACGCCTGTAATCCCAGCTACTCAGGAGGCTGGCCCAGGAGAATTGCTTGAACCTGGGAGGTGGAGGTTGCAGTGAGCTGAGATTGTGCCACTGCACTCCAGCCTGGGTGACAGAACAAGACTCCCTCTGGAAAAAAAAGAAAAGAAACTTATTTTTTTAAGGGAGTTTCTTTCCCTGTGCTACCCCCTTCCTAACCTTAAGTGACTTTGTTGAGCCTATGGACTTGGAAGAGGATGAACAATGCAGTTGTTTTCTCCCATTAGAAAAAGTGATAATGTTCAAGGACAGAAAACCAAAAACCGCATGTTCTCACTCATAGGTGGGAATTGAACAATGAGAACACACGGACACAGGAAGGGGAACATCACACACCGGGGCCTCTTGTGGGGTTGGGGGGCAGGGGGAGGGATAGCATTAGGAAAAATACCTAATGTAAATGACGAGTTAATGGGTGCAGCAAACCAACATGGCACATGTATACATATGTAACAAACCTGCAGGTTGTGCACATGTACCCTAGAACTTAAAGTATAATAATTAAAAAAAAAAAGAAAAAATGACAATTTTTTTAAGATCTATAATATCTGGTTTGAAATTTTATAGTATTAATAATGTAGGCCCTTTTTTAAAAAGAGAAACCTTGAACATGTTAGTTGGTTTATTATTAAATTTTTATATTTGAATGTTGATTTTCCTTATCCTTCCAGAGAGATATTTCATTTTAATTCATTGATGACCAAATGTGATTCTCTTTCATAAAGCTGCAAAATTCTGTTTAAAATCAGTTTGCATACTGCACATCAAGGAGATAAATAGCTTTGAGGGAGAGATCAACTTCTACCTTGGTAATCTAGTTTTCTTACAATATTAGAAGGAGAAAATAAAAATAAACTATGGGGCCAGGCATGGTGGCTCAAGGGCCAGTCATGGTGGCTCATGCCTGTAATCCCAGCACTTTGGGATGCCGAGGCAGGGGGATCACCTGAGGTCAGGAGTTCGAGACCAGCCTGACCAACATGGTGAAACCCCGTCTGTACTAAAAATACAAAATTAGCTAGGTGTGGTGGCACATGCCTGTAATCCCAGCTACTTGGGAGGCTGAGGCAGAATAATCGCTTGAACCCAGGAGGCAGAGGTTGCAGTGAGCCAAGATTGTGCCATTGCACTCCAACTCCAGCCTGGGCAACAAGAGTGAAACTCCATCTCAATAAATAAATAAATAAATAAATAAATAAATAAATAAATAATAAAATAAAATAAAATAAACTATGGCTTTAATATTATACCATATATAGGAAAATGACATGGAGTAATATAATTCTGTGCTGATTCCACAGACTTTTATGAAGCAAATTTGTGATTAAAGTCAATCACCACACATTCGTATTTCAGATCTCAGTAAAAAATACAATAATATTTTGTATACACTGATTTCCTTGACAAAAGAAATTTCTTGACATACACTGCTCTGTCTCTGAGAAGTGAGAGTGGGGGTATTAGTTAAATTTCTTATATAGAAAATTTGGTTTCTATGAAAAGTTTTAATTCTTTGCAAGATTCTAGCACCACATACTAAATAGTCATGGAGATGATCCAGAGGAACAAATGCTAGGACTGTCTTGTTTTCCCCAGATTTTCTAGAATTGTGGGCATTCTGCCAGGCTGACATCTTTCACCTTGATAACTTCGGATGTAAGACAACTTAAATGGTGATTCCAGTTTTCTTGATATTTTCTCTTAACTTTGTGGTACAGAATTCATTCATTCATTTATTCACTCACTCACTGAGTGTCTGTTATGTGCCAGGTATTTATCTTTCAGCCAGTGTCTTGTTCAACTCTGTATCCCCATGCTTGACACAGAGCCTGGCACATGGTGGGAATCCAGTCAATATTTGCTAGATACCTGAATGAACCAGTTAAGTATAAATACCTACTGAGCGTCTCTTTTGTTGTTGTTGTTTTGTTTAGTCTTGAGACAAGAGTCTTGCTCTGTTGCCCAGGCTGGAGTGCAGTGGCACAATCATGGCTCACTGCTGCCTCAACCTCCGGGCTCAAGTGATCCTCCCACCTCAGCCTCCCAAGTAGCTGGGACTACAGGTGCACACCACAACACCTGGCTAATTCTTTTGATTTTTAGTACAGATGAGATCTTGCTATGTTGCCTAGGCTGGTCTTAAACTCTTGAACTCAAGTGATCCTCCTGCCTCAGCCTCCCAAAGTCCTGGGATTACAGGCATGAGCCACCATGCCCGGCTTTCCTAAGCAACTCTTAGGGGCTGCAAGAGAATGAAGGCATACAGAAAACAGCAGATTCCAATTTGTTCTTCAAAGAACTTATAGTTCAGTTGGGAAGAGAAGACATCAATTCCTAAAAAAGTTATATTTAAATTAGTCCATATTTTTTGTAGTAGGAAAGATAGCCTAAGACCGTGTGTGTTTTCTTGCCAAATGACTTATGTACAGCAATAACTGTGACAGGAACTCAGAGCAGGCAGGCACCTTTCACTCAGCTGGAAATGCTCAATTTGAATTTGAGGCTTTATAGTCAGGGAGTACAAACAAGTTTTACAGCTAGAGAACTAACGTTTTGTTAATTCTAAACATCATCTTTCATGTTTTTTTCTCCTTCCACCTCTACATAGAGATATACAGTTTCATAAGACATACATTCAGTGATATTTGGATAGTGGTATGCTTAGGTAGAGAGGGAAAGAGGTCACTAGAGGGACTGTCTTCCTTTGAACTTACTATTTCCCTTGGCTTTCTCTAGTCTTCCTGTGCATAATGGAAATTCGTGATTAACCTAATGTGATTTTCATAAATAGGAAATCCATATATCTTAAGATGGTTTAAATGAAATGGAATTCTCTGATATGTAGACTTTTGTAAATCACAGGCTCAGACCTCCCTGTTTTACTTGCCCAGATTAACACTACAAATCCAAGTCCATGTGCCATATGTCTAATTGTTAAAAGTTATAAATTAAAAATCCACGAGGTCAGGAGATGAAGACCATCCTGGCTAACACGGTGAAACCCCGTCTCTACTAAAAGTACAAAAAAATTAGCAGGGCGTGGTGGTGGGTGCCTGTAGTCCCAGCTACTCGGGAGGCTGAGGCAGGAGAATGGCGTGAACCCGGGAGGCGGAGCTTGCAGTGAGCCGAGATCGCGTCACTGCACTCCATCCTGGGTGACAGAGTGAGACTCCAGCTCAAAAAACAAAAACAAACAAACAAAAAAATCATAATAAAAATCCAGGCTGGGCATAGTGGTCTGTAATCCCCACAGTTTGGGAGGCCGAGACGGGCGTATCACTTGAGGCCAGAAGTTCAAGACCAGCCTGGTCAACATGGTGAAACCCCATCTCTCTAATAAAAATACAAAAATTTGCCAGGCGTGGTGGCTGGTGCCTGTAGTTCCAGCTATGTGGGAGGCTGAGGCAGGAGAATCGCTTGAACCTAGGAGGTGGAGGTTGCAGTGAGCCAAGATCACACCACTGCACTCCAGCCTGGGCAACAGAGCGAGACTCCGTTTCAAAAACAAAAACAAAAAATCCAACTGTTAACATATGTGATATAGTTTGGATATTTGTCCCCTCCAAATTTCATATTGAAATTTAATCCCCAATGCTGGAGGTGGGTCCCAGTGGGAGGTGTTTTGGTCATGGGGTCATGGGGGTGGATCCCTCATGAATGACTTGGTGTCATCCTATGGTAATGAGTGAGTTCTTGCTCTATCAGTTCCCAAGAAATTTGAGTTTTAAAAAGAGCCTGGCACTTTCCTCCCACTCTCTCTCTTGCACCTTCTCTTGTTGTGTGATTCCTGCTCCCTTTCTTCTACTACAATTGGAAGCTTCCTGAGGTCCTCAGCAGAAGCAGATGCTGGCACTATGCTTCTTGTCCAGCCTATAGAACCATGAGCCAAATAAACCACTTTTCTTTATAAATTACCCAGCCTCAGGTATTCCTTTATAGCAATGCAAGTGGACTAAGGCAATAGGTATTTTCTGTTCTCATATCTTGACAAATAAATGTTAATAATGACCAGAGAATCCAGCTTTACATTTATAATTCTCAGACTGTGGTCCCACAATAGAACCTGGTAGTGTGGGTAAAGTTTATTTCTGGCCCTGTCCCGTCCCCCTCCTCTTCTCACACTAAGCTACAACGTGCATTGCAAGAAGTTTCACATATACATTTGAGGACACTCTGCCTGTATGTACAAGTGCTATTCACCACTGCTCCCTAGCCACCCCTCAGACATGGGGTATGCATCTGTCTTCAGATGGTGCATGCTTGGGGAAAAGACACTTAAAGGCCTCGTGAATCATCATGGGATCATTTTGGTAGGAAACTTTGGGGTCTCAGGTATCCAGAGCATCATCTAGAATACAGAGTTCAGTGTGGCCTCCAGGTGAGTGTATTCTGTTGGACTTGAAGACTCTCCACCCTTTGAGAGTGTAGCTAGGCGAGAACCAGAATAGGGCCCTCTAAACTCTGGGTTCCAGGATAGGGTTCATTCTTTCCCAGGTATAAGGGCTGTGCTGCATATTTCTTCTAATTTTTAAAAGGCTTTGACCAGGCACTGTACCATCCAGTCTTTCCAATTTATCTATGAAGACTTAGTGGCTACCCTGAGAGGTAGGTACTATGACCTCCATTTTACAGATGAGGTACTTAAGACTAAAAGTTATCACTCCACAGTCACACAGTTAATATTAGTTATCACAGAAGTCCTGTGACTTTGAACATTCATTGTAATTCAACATTCATAAGCATTATCAACTTAGATTATACACATTGTGTAAAGAAGGATTAAAACATTGTATAACTCCTTATATTGTTTTTAATCCAGTAATTATACCATAAGTTAAATGCAGACATGTCTGAGCTAGACAAATAGAGCCTGAATGATCTGGCTCCTGCTCTACCTCTCCAGTTTCTTCTCTCAGGACGCTCCCACTTGCTGCCTCCACTCCAGCCTCAGTGACCTTTTAGCCCTTTGAATGTGTTCCACTCCTCATGCCTCATGCCTGGGATGCCTCCTCCTCATGTCCCTTTCCCATACCTCTTCAATTAAGCTCAGCTCCAACATCATTTATTCACGGAAACTCCTTTGACTCCTCATTCTAAAGCAGAGTTTACTTTCATAATTCTTATAAAATGCCAATTCATTCTTTCTATTTGTGTGACTTATAAATGTCTTTTTCCCTCCTAATCTCTAAGCCTCAAAAGACAGGAACCATTTCCGTTTTTATTGTTTTCTTCCCACCATATCTTTAGCACTAGCTGAGAACCTGATGGCACACAGTGGGTCCTCAATGATCACTTCTTTAATGAATACATGGTTTTTGGTTTATTCTCTTAGCATGTTGGAGTGAGGGCGCTAAACCTTATGGGGACTTCTTGGGCACAGGCCCATAAGAATTGTCCCTGGAAATCTTAAATGGCATAATTTACTCACTGAACACTAACATAATGGTGAATGAAACTTGTAAACAGCTGATTTATCCAGCAGTGCCCTCCCTGAGCTTCTCATCAGGAATACCCTAACAGGTACTGTTCCAGATTGGATAGAACATGACAAAAATTATTAGCTGGAATAACTGTAGTGAGTTAATATGTATTAGTCTGTTTTCACACTGCTAATGAAGACATACCTGAGACTGGGTAATTTATAAAGGAAAGAAGTTTAATTGACAGTTCAGCATGGCTTAGGGAGGCCTCAGGAAACTTACAATCATGGCAGAAGGGGAAGCAAATACGTCCTTCTTCACACGGTGGCAGGAAGGAGAATTGTAAGCAGGGGAAATGCCAGATGCTTATAAAACCGTCAGATATCTTGAGACTCACTCACTGTCATGAGGACAGCATGGGGGAAACTCCCCCAATGATTCAATTACCTTCACCTGGTCCCACCCTTGACATGTGGGGATTATGGGGACTGGAATTCAAGATGAGATTTTAGGTGGGGACACAGCCAAACCATATCATAATATATTTACATTAATTAGAAACCTTTTAAAAAATGTTATTAGAAACATAAATATTAACATTCTGTTGTGTGGCTGTACTTTTTTCACTTGGCTTATCATTTTTTTGATAGCTTCCTGGAGTGAGCAGTTCTGCAGGTTATCAATATTAGATTATCGCTATCATACAATATTGCAAGACACATGGGGTGTTAATCATTTGCTTTGGATAGCTAGCAGTTAAGGACATGAATTTTCTTAGAGAAGAGGGAATAAAGCCATGGAATGTTTCTGGAGAAAAGTTATTCCACATCATTCTTCTGAAGATTGTGTTCTATTCACAAAGCAAGTTTATCTAATTAAAGGCTGTGAAATATGTTTTTTTTTTCCTTGAATAATTGCCTGTGGTATGAATAAGGTTAGAACACTCTGCTCTCATTCTTCCCAGTTTAGCTTCAGGGTGGGAAGGATTGCAAGTGCTAAATGCTAAGCACTATCATTTCTAGGAGTGAAGATTAGACAAAGAGGAAATACTCTAAAGCAAGCTCATGATTTGCCTTCCAAATCCATTCAAGAGAGTGCAGAGTGAATTAATTTAGTGGAATTGTTGGGCAGAGTCAGAGTTCTGATTCTGAATCTTGTCTGGAACTATTCTGGGTGATTAGGACTCCAAGTCTGGTTTCAGAAAGGCTATTTTTTTTTTTTTTAATCAAACAGTGCTGGATGTGAATATGATTCAAACAACTCACAACTTTTTACTTAATTTGAAGGCCACTTTAGAGGGAGAGTTAACAATCTTTATTGAATAATTGAATAAGAGAGTAGACATAATATTCTAAGAGGAGCTACCATTTATGGGCTCTGAGTTACATGGAAAAGCTCTCTGTGTCCTTCATGCCTCTTTTAGGAAATGGTATAAATGAGTCAAAGGCCATACGCCAATAAGTATTATTAGTGCTTTGCAGGTAAAACCGTTCCTATACAACTGTGTTAGATGGACAGAAGTCAACATTTTACACTGACTGTGTAGTTGACTACTTAAATATATTGTGCTAGACTCTTTGGAGTTAAAATTTAAGTAAGAACTTGTTAATTAAAATGTCAATGTACTTCTAAAAAATATTGAAAGAGAAGGAGTTATATTTAGTTGAAGAAAATTTTTTCACACTAAGATTTTTATTGGGATTTACATAGCATTCAGACCAGCCTAAGAATATTAGTGAGGTGATTAATATGAATTTGATATTTGCCCTCAGTTCAGAGCAATGTGATTTTGGGCATAAGGACAAGTCTATGGTATAGAAATTGAAAATGGGGCCAAAATTAGTTAATTGACTTAAACCCAAAATGTTCTGTGGAAAACAGACTGCCTGTACATGGTTTAAAAAATGGAGATTCCTAGACTGGAAGGCCATTGTGAACATGAACAGACAAAAATGGAGTTTATCTGGTTAAAGAACTTTTGAAACTTTTGAGGTTATATGAGGGGTCAGGTTTATTAAACATCGATTATCCAGCACTTTGCTAGATGATATGAAATAACAGCAGAAAATATGAACATTCCTGCCATTACCTTAGAAGAAGTGACAGTGGGTGGAAGGATGAGAGTAGAAAAAGGAGTGTGCCTGAAAATACAATAAGAACAAATATAAAAATGCCATAATACACGACCTTCATAGACTGGAAGGAAAATATTAGATCTGTTTGACCTCTTTGGGGTAACATTTGGCTTATATTGTTATTTGCTGCTTCTATGAACATAATAAAGGTTTAATTTTTATCACTGAAATTTTTACAAGTGCAAATTAAATGTCTCAAAAAAAAAAAAAAAAAAAGAAGAAGAAAAATCAAAAGCAAAACAAAACCAAAAAGGGCAGCAGCTGAAAATCAGTCTTTCCTATAAGGAGCAGGGCAATGATTAATGGATAACAAATTTAAAAACTTAAAAAAAAAACAAAACACTAGGTCTGCATACAATCACACACAAAACTATTTTATAGAAAAATGGGAGACCAAACAGAAGTTAAGAGAATATTTCATGACATAATTTTGAGAAAATCAAAATAGTCATCAAGTAGTCATAGTGTGTTTAGGAACTATTAATGGCCAATCAGTTTGTAAAAACCAGTCTTTACCAACCACCTGCCAACCACATTCCAGCAGTCCTTAAAAAGCCTCAAAAAGCAGTGGATGAGCAAGAAAAACTGTACAAATGAAAGAAATGTTAACATTGCTGAGAAATCAATACAGCCATGGCCATGCATTTCAAATTGTAGGAAGAGGACAGATGTCTATATGCTTATGCCTGTTGTTTGTACTACCCTCTCTACTCTTGGCATGCCTAAAGACAACTGGAATTTCACTAAAACCTTTGCAAATACAAATAATGAACAAATCCACACACAGCACACAAACACAATACATCCATGGCATTTGTTTGTAAAGGCACTTTCAGAGAAAGAGCATGATTCATTTGAAAGGCTCTCTCTGTGGTTATTTGTTTTCTGGTGATGCAGAAATTCTTCTAAATAGGTCATCATAATACTGATAATCATCTCCACGGTAACCAGCTTTCAAGGCAACTGGCTGAGGGTTACATTTCTAGATGGGGGAAATTGCATTAGAGGCATGGTAGTGACACAAGAAGCTGTAAGCTAGTGCCATTCGAATTCCCTTATACGTACAGCATTTATCAAATACTCTCTTTATAATCTGAACTAAGTATGACTTGTTTGAGGGACATTTGTAGGTGATGCTTCATCTCATTTTTAGGTAATGCTCCATCTATTAACCTAAATAGAAAAAAGAAATAACCAAATACTTGTTGGTTATTTCAACAAGTATTTGGTTATTTCTTTTTTCTATTTAGGTTAATAGATCCAGGTGCTTAGGCCTTCTAATGCTAACCCAGAGCCGGTATCTTGGGAGATTTCAGGAACAAGTGTTCACTCTCACCTTCCTCTCTCTGCTTGCCTCCATCTGTATAGGTGTTCGGCATATTTAGGAGAGGGACTAGATTTCTGTGGGATTGTGCAATAACATCTCGACCATAACATATCATGAAATTGAAGAATTTTTCTGATAAATGGGTTTCTTAGATCTGAGGCAATCCATTTTGCAGTGTCCAGGGATAAGACTAAGCAATTTCTTAGAACTATTCCACAGTTTAAGTCCTTGAAATGTTTTTTAGCCAAGAGTAAGAGGCTAAGCTGGCAAGGAACCCAACCAAACCACCTCAGCTTTATGTTTTTGTTTTGTTTTGTTGTGTGTATGTGTGTTTGTCTATGTCTTAAAGTACTTACAAAATTCTGAGGGCAGAGCTACTTCACAGCTGTCTTATACTTGCAGACTCTAAGGCTTAATTAGAGTTAAAAGAACTAGTTGAGGCCTCCAGGCTCAGGTGATAGAATGAAAGCAGATTATAGAGTCTCTCTCTTTCTCTTTCTCTCAGAACTAAAAACAAGGGATACCAACAATGAAAACCACTAGCTCCCTCCTTTCTAGTAATAAGTCAGCAATGAAATAAGGAAAAGACTGTAACCTAATAATATGGACATTAAAACAAAACAAAGCATGCATGCACGTGTGCACACATGTGTGGGCGCACAGACACACACACATACAATGCTGGCTCACAAAAGAACAGATCTTGGAGTGGTACAGTGTAGCTTCTAACCCTGAACTCCCTTCCTGCCCCTGGAACCTTACTGGTGAATTACTGAACTCTCAAGACCTCACTATAGTCTTCAGATCTGGAGAGAAACTAACTAAATGACTATCCTTATTTTTCTCATTTTTGTCTGAAGGGTAGTGGATTGGCTATTGGACAGAAGTGGGCTGCTTCTTTCTGACAGAGCATGTATCGGTAAAGATACCACATTGCATATAAACTCATTAGAAAGGGGAATCGTCTCATTTGTTCACACAGCTTACTTCCAGCACCTAGATTAGAATGTGCCTTGCAAAGGAGAGGGGCTCAATAAAAATTTGCTGAATGATTTTAAAAAATCCTAGAGTGTTCCCCTTCAGGATGGATATGTATTCTGATTAAAGAGAGGGATTAAAATGTAGTTCAAAGTATCTAACAAATCCCAGAGAGAGAGAGAGAGAGAGCACGAGCAACCAAAAGTGCAGAGCCCAGGAGTTCTAACTCAGATGTCACACAGCTTCAGCAGAGCTTTCCCTTCCCTCTCTACTCCCTGCACCATTTCCTTAGGCTGCAGTTAAGTGGATGGTATCCAAAATCAAGTTCTTTAACCATAGCTTTGGGGAAAAAAGTTAGAGTCTATGGAAATTGAGTCAATAAGTCACCTATACTAGATAGAACAGAGAAGATCCAGATAAAGCGTTCAGGTATGAGTAAGATGGGGGAAATCAGTGACAAACATCCAAACATGCTAAGGCAATGCTCCCAAATGAAAATAAACAAAACCAATCAACCTTAAAAGAAAGGAACATAGCATGCAAAAGAAAGATGAAACTCCCTCTTTTAAAGAAAACATAGTCCAAAGAACAAAACAAAATTCCTCAGAAGTGCTTTGTACTATGAATCAAGTTAATGAGAACATGAACTCAGAAAAACAAGAGCTCAAAGATGAGTTGACAGAACCCCAGGAAGGTTACAGAACTAAGGAGGCTGAGTACAAAAACAATATTATAGAGTGAATTTTTAAAAGGTGACAGAGCAAGGAACAAAATAAACATGGCTGCAAATAAAATTACCGGCCTCGAGGAATGGCTTGTAAATACAAGGGAACCAAAGGAATTAGAAGGTGACAGATTGGAGTTCAAAAGCACTTAACATGAGGAAATTGATGTCCCTGAAGGAGAAGTTTCAATAAATGGAACAGGAAAAGTATTCACAAATACCACACAAGGAAATTTCACTAAAGAGAAAGAATAACCACATTTATAGATTGAAAGAACATACCATGTTCTAGGAAATACTGGTAACAGAATGCTTAACACAGCCCTGATTGAATACTTACAATTCAAGTATAAAGACATTCCTTGGGAATTTGAGAAAACAAACAAACAAACAAAAACACCCACCACCACCAACAATAAAAAAAAAAAACAGAAAACAAAAAAACAAAAAAAGTGTCACATTGGATAAAGCAAAAATTAGACTGGCTTCAAATGTCTCCATAACAGCATTCAATGCAAGAGCAATATGTATACCAACCAACATGTCAAGACAGATATTCTATCATGAAAGAATTTCAGTCAAGATGACATATAATTGGGTCTTGTGAATTTCTGGCCAGAATGGTTAGTAATGATGGTGTAGCCACCTTTAGAATAGCTATGCTAGCATTTTTCCAAAGTGTGACCTTTGAACTCCAGTGAGGTGTTCCTTGAACAAGGAAACTATGGTCAAACAGTTCAGAAGCACAGACTCTCTAAATGGCGCACCTTAGAAATTTATAAAACACACCAGCATATAAAAGAGTTCAAGACAGTAATGAAAAAGCAGCAGATCTCATTTGGAGGAAGTTTCATCTACCACAATGGATGGGAAAACAATTTAATAACTCAAAATAGCAATCAATTCCAAAACAATTCATATTTATTTTTCTACTTCCTCCTCCCCAAAATAAAATGTTATTATTTATTCATTCATTTATTTTAAAGCAATACGATCTTAAAATCCAGTTCAGGAATAAAAAAAGCAGAGTGGTGTTTTTAGGTCTACTTTGAAAGTACTAACAATAAATTCCCTCCTAAAGCAGCCATGTCAAATCTTTAAGCATGGCTCAATTTCACATCTGCTTTGTTTAAAGGAAAGCATCTTTGTGAAGGTTGCATTCCCACTGTGGAACTCTGGAAGTGGCAGGACTTTAGCTTGGTATTAAACGAGAGAAATTCTAGGAGATGTTCTGAAGCTGAACACTTTTTTTTTCCTTAGGGAACCAGGAACAATGTAACTGAGAAGGCAAAGGAGTAAATATCTTTTATTCTAGAAGAAAAACAATGCTACTACCACTTTGCAATACTTTTTCCTACTTCTCAGTATTTCTCCCATTTACATAAGCATAGTTTTTGATAGTGTGCAATGCCCTTCTATTTAGATTACAAACCACTGCTTTAGAATGGTGGAAGACTACTCTCTACTCACATCATATCTCTCTTGTGCTACTTTGAACTGGAAAAAGTGTTTTAATTCCAGACTGACTTGTTTCTGTTTCCCTACCTCCTCCTTGTCAGAGGACAGAAGTGTGCCAGGAATGTGGAATGAAAAAGCTGGAGGTAACTTTCAGCTTTGAGATAGTGTTATATTGTCTGTCCTTCTAAGATACTGCCCAGAGCTGACTGAGGTGAGAGAGTGGGTTGAAGAGTAACTGAGGTCAAAGGATTTCAACCAGTAAAGAAGGGAGGGACCCATAAACTGGAATGCAGGTATAAGATGCAGCAATTACCAGGATATGCTGCCCTCTTCAGGGTTTTTAAGGGAAAACTCACCAGTTAAAATTGGCTGAACATTTAAAAGTCTAACAGTGCCAACATGGCAAGGATATGAGCAATAGGAAAGCTCACACACTTCTGGTTGGGGTGTTATTTAATACATCTAGGAAATTTAAAAATTGTGCATACCCTACATTCCAGCAATCCCACTCTTATGTAAATATCTAGAAATACTCACCCACATTTGCACAAGGAGCTATGTTGTATTGTCTGTGACAGCAAGAGATTAGAAACAATTCAAAAATCCATTAGCTGACCAACTGGGGTATTTACCTACCATGGCATGTTATACAGCAATAAAAAGTAACAACGTTACTTTAATCAACACAGATACATCCCAAGAATGAAATATGGAGTCAAGTTGCAGAAGGATATATGATACAATTTATATAAAGCTTGAAAATGCACAAAATACATACAGTAAAGTGCCATTTATATGGCTGAAAACATACAAAACCAAAACTGTGTGTGTCATAAAAACATACATTGGAATGACAAACAAAATGAGAAAACAGGGTTGGGAATCATAAATTCAAGGTAACAGTTACCTCTGAGGAGAGAATGAGAGAAAGGAGATAAAGAGGACATAGGCTATTTTGATTATAGATGTTAGGTTTTATTTCTTTAGTGTGATAGGTACAAGAGTCTTCATTATATTATTATTTATACTTACTATTGTAGACCTCAAATATTTCATTAAAAAAATTGAGGTACTCCGAGTCAGATTCAACTAAAATGTATGAAGCACTTGCCATGTAGATAAAGCAGTGCTTTTCCACATTGGGCAGTGTAACAGCCAACACTGGAGAAGTCTATGCTTAGAAATGTAATTGAATCCCATTATCTGGCAACTTCTGCATTGTACCCTCAGATCCTTTGTTAGCCAGTGTGATCCCACCTGACCTGCTGCCGGATACTGTGAGCTTACCACTATGACTGATGAATTCATGGAGAAAGGGTGCAGTGGAAGGAGAAGAAAAGCAAGGTAGATTATTAAGATTTAGAAAAAAGGAAATTAAGCTCATTTGGAATTCTCTTTTCTAAATGAATTCAATTTCCTTCTTTCTACACCTCACATTTTTTCTCAACTTACCAATTTCTCAACAACTGTGTGATGGGAAATGTGAGTAGAAATTTAAAAATTCTTATAGAATCATTAGTCCCTTCTACATAGAGAAAAGGCAAAACTTTCTATTGGTTTCGTTTTGCCTAAAATAAGTAAGACTCAGTGGTCAATTAGTGGGATGTGTAAGCTGAAGTTAGATGTTCACTTCTGAGGCACCTATAGGGGAAGAAGGTACTACCCTCTATCAGTGGTTGTTAACTCTGGCTTCACAGTATAATCACCTGAGTTTTAAAATCTACTGACCCCTTGGCCATTCCCCCAGAAATTCTGAATTAGCTGTTCTGGGGTGGGGCCTCAGGTGTTCATATTTTACAAATATCACTTCCCAGGTGATTCTAACGTGCATACAGCATTGAAAACCACTCTTATCTCTCGGGCTCTGATATACCTGATATTGAACACATTTCAGGGCCATTGGTTACCACGGTTGGAAGAGTTACTGCTGGCCTTTCTTGTCAAGTTCATGACATGATGGGAGAGACCTTGGACAGATGTTTGTTTCCACTAATTGTCTCTCTACTCAGACATCTTTAAGACTTCTTGCCCAAACTCTCTGCTGGAGAATATTCTCTGTGCCTTGGCTCTTTCTTCATTCTTTTGTGCAAGGCCAGGTGTTTTGGAAACAGGCAGGGCTGTGCTATGCAGTGGGGGTGGTGAAGTCACCCACAAGGTCACAAAGATAATTGGTTTACTGTCTAACAGGTTCGGGCTCTTCAAACTCTTGGCCAGCCTCTTGACTTACATGTTGGTTAAAAGAATCATAAATCAATTACTTTTAAGCCTCCCCCTAACCAAAACCCCATTGGAGAGATTGTCAATAACATAAAGAAAAACCACGAATTTGAGAGCTAAAAAGTTAGTGTAACCTTCCATCCAGTGGACATTTTTAACAACACCTTATGAAATGATCATTCGGGCACCAAGTGAAAAATTTTCGCTAATTTCCATGCAAAATACTTCTAGGAAATTCCTATACATCTGGACCAAATGTTAGCGCTGGGACTACAAGGAGCAGCAGTCACTGTTCCAGCCCTTGATGATGGACAAGTGATTACAGGGACAGACCTATAACCAAGTAATTAAATAAGACATGAGACATCTAAGAAGACCTGTACATGTTCTATATACAAGTCATAAACATTAGAAAGAGGACGCTTTGTGTAGATCAGCTTTGCAGGAGAGTTTTTCACAGAGGGAGTAACGGTAGAGTAAGGTTTTTCAGCTTTGTCTTCAATATGTGTTCCCAGCATTGCCTGGGAACTGATTAGAAATGCAGAACATCGGGCCCCATCTTAGGCCCACAGAAGTAAAGTCTTTTTAACAAGATTCTCAGGACATGATATGCAAAAGAAAAACAGAAAAGCACAACTTTAGAGGTTCTCCAGGTTGAAGTGGGGGGTGGGAGTGGGGGGATACTATGATGACAGTTCAGGGAGAGCACTGACACCCACAAAACCTCCCCTGTGTGAATGCATAGTGTTATTACTGCTGGAGCATAGGGTAAATGATGCCATTTACAAGTGATGCCATTTGGAGAGGCAGGCCTGGACCTTGTCATGAAAGGGCTTGCAGAGCATTCTAAGGAATTCGAATTTCATCATGAAGGTAGTGAGAAGCTAATTAAAACCAATTAAATATTTTAAACAGGAGAGAGGCATAATGAGATTTTTGCTTTAGGATGAGGCCATTGGTAGTAACGTCAAGGCAGGAGCCAAGGGGGCTGGGCTTTGAGAGGCTGTTGTCATCAGTAGAGAAGTGGTGAGGGCCTAAACCAAGGCAGGTTGCGGGAAAGGAGGCAGAGGTGGAGATAAGAGAGAGATTTAGGAGGAATGAGCAACAGGGCATATTACTACATGATATTCCACATTTCCTTAAAAATCCTTTTAGAAATACATTGTATGCAATTGGATGAAGAGAAACCAACCACCTGGCCACCTAAGCAATCAACTAGCAAACAGAAAACGCAAACTCTCAATCACCAAATCCTAAATAAAAGTACAATTTAAGAAAATATGATTAGGAGGAAGACACAGGTTTCAATGACAAATTGTAAAAGCAGGGAAGACTAAATGAACATGTTCATTGTTTCTTTGTTTTTTGCTACCTCAAATTTTCAGAGACACTTTTGATAACTGACAATTGATACATGCTTTGCAATTCAGAGTAAGTTACAAATATATCATTGTTAGATATTATAGGAATCTTGAAGAAGAGAAAACACACACACACACATATTAGGATTTTCGTTGTATTTTTGCTATTTATGACTACACAGGGCTTCAGTTTTCTTACTGGCCAAAAAAGAAGCTATTCTTTTATGTTTCCTTGAAAGTGCAATCATTTTTAAGAGTATATTGTACCTTTTATATCTTCTTTCTTTATCAATAGTGTATAATAGAACTTGTTCATCTCAAATTTTCCTTTCAAAGCAGAAATGCATTTCAAATAGTTTGCTGTTTGAAATATTAACATGGCTGATTACTTTTTACTCATTCTTTTAGCAAAAAAATTAGACTTAGCCTTTTCTTTCCATTCTTAGGTTTTAATCAACAATACAAATTATGTATGAGAAGCCTTAGTGTATTATTAGCTGAGTTTTTTAAAAGATATTTGACAAAGCCCAAAACTAAATTACCAATGCTCGCATTTTTCTGAGTCATATTTTTTAATCTTTGAAAAAATAGTGATCATCTGTTATTTTACTACAATAATATGAATATAAACCTAAACTCTATTTAGAAGAGGATCTATA
Organism: Homo sapiens; assembly: GCF_000001405.40. Lineage (NCBI taxonomy): Eukaryota > Metazoa > Chordata > Mammalia > Primates > Hominidae > Homo > Homo sapiens. The sequence continues at coordinate 79,416,445 of NC_000012.12, read as the reverse complement.
CATAAAATGTCAAAATGTTAATGCCAATAAGGTTGTATGTTTCTAAGAAGCATTTGGACATGAAATGAAAATGGCAAAGATGTTCAACTTTTTGTTTTTGCCGTCTGGTCTTGCTGCCATCATTTCCTAAGGGACTTCCAGGCAAATATCTACCATACCTTTTGTTTCATGATCATATGACTGTGATCATGTGACTGTGACACCGTTTCTTATTCAATTCCCTGAACTTGTTTCTCTGCCTTGCCTTGTTTCTTTCTATCTGCATTGCTGTCAGCAGCTCAGACTTGGCCTTCGTGGTTCCCTCTCTCTTATTAGTTTTCTTCTCAATAGAATGTTCTTTGGATTTGAAATGGAACTCCTTTAATAGTAATTTACACTCCCACAAGCTAAAACAAAAATGATTCTCAATGTAAATGGGACTATGCCACTCCACAGTTTAGCTGGATTACTAATGTAAACAGCTTCGTTATCAAAAGCTCAGAGAAAGCTGAACATGTAAAGCCTGGCTTGGATCCTAGTTGCAAATGGGTAGGTAGACTTTGAAACTTAAGCTAGCAGAACTAGTTCTGTGGCCGCATTACTCAGCACTTTCTTTCTACAAGGAAAGCCTTAAGAAAACAACATCCTCTCCCATTAACTGCAAACTGGAAAATTGGCTTAATTTTGGCAACATCTATTAACATTTAAAATGCATATTCCCTTTCAGTCAGGAATTCTGCTTATAGGAATTATGTTATAGGTTCCCTTGCCTAAGTATAAGCTTTGTACAAAGGGATTCAAAATAGTATTGTTTATGAAGGCAAAAACTCTACATATAATCTGCATGTCTACTGTTGGGGAATGATCAATAAATTATGGTCCATTCACTCGAGGGAATCGTAGGCAGCTATTTATGTGCTATCATACAAAAATGTTTAAGTGGTAAAACCAAGGAATTACTTGCTGGGGCTTTACTGTCTCCACTTTCCAGCACATTCCTTTCTTTGATATGAACAATTGATATTCTATTTTACATAAGTGTTTTGCAATGGAGCTTCAAGACCATCTTTCCAACCAGATTGCCCTGGTGGAGTCCCTTTTATACCAGCATTATGGTGCTATCACTACAGCAGTTACATGAAAAAGTAAAATAGTGTGATAATATTTATATATAACATAAATCTATGCTTGCACATGTATGAAAAATTTCTGAAAGGATGCACATGCAACACTTTAACATTGGTTATCTCTTAATGGAAGGACTGGGTAGGGCAGGGGAGAGAGAAACTTTATACTTCTGGTCTGTTTTTACTTCTCTGTCATAAACACATATTACTTTTATAATTTAAACAAACAAACAAATTGTAAATAAGCAAGCAAATAATTCTATATAAATAAATAAATAAAATGGAAAATATATAAAGGAAGAGTTACCTAAATCCTTTGGGTACAGGTAACCTAACAAGGCCCTGCAAAAAAATACAAGTACCTGTGTTTTCTGTGGTGAGCCATGAGACCAGAGATTTGTCTGTTTTGCACATCACTATATTCCTTTTGGAGAAATGGTTTTTTGAGTCCTATTGCCACTTAATTCTTGAGGACCCTGAAAATTATGCTTTACATCTGGCAGGGACAGCAAGTATCACCTCCTCCCAGGAGCCTGTTGTGATTCTTGTAGCCCTCATTCATCTCTGCTTTCTTTCCACTCCTATTACAAAATTTCATTGCCTTAGAGTCAGTGCCTTTCTGCCCTTTATTTATATTAATTGTATTCCTTTTATCTTCAGGCAGTTGATGCCAAGAAGAAAGAGGTCTTCAATTCCATTACAGCTGCTCCCATCATAGTGTTCCCTTTATTACCCTGTAGATCTACTGATAAGGAATACAGGTTTTACTTCTCTAGCAAGATTGCAGGTATAGGACTTCTTTGTGCGATAAAGGAGAGAAGATTACACAGAGTGTGCCAAATTGCATAGACTGGGATCCTCCTGGACAGTAGCTGCAATTCTCCTGGGAGAGCTATGCTTCAGGACAAAGTACCAACTGCTTAGTACAACATACAAGGATCTAATGTGTCCCCACCTGCCAACACACACACATACACACACACAAACACACTCAGAATCCTCATCTGCTGCCACTTCCTGGTACACACCCATACTCCGGCTTCACCAAAATACTTGTCTTCCTGGTAGGCACAATGCATTCTTATAGGCCAGTAATTTGTACCAACTGCGGTTCAGTTGCATTCAGAATGCAATTAACCCACATTCAATTTCTCCTTCCTTTGCATTTTGATTTAATGATGCTTGACTCTAAATAGCTTCTCCTATAGAGGAAGAAAAATAGACTTCAGCAAGACAATTGGAGGATGGGCAAACCCCAATAATGTTTTATAATTTTATGGGCATGGTGTTCTGTGTTATTGCCCACTAAATTTTCATTGGGGTGTACTCCAGGTGAGTCACTGTAGCAGTCCCAGCCTAAATTGTAAACAAAAAATGCATATTTGCCTTCCTTACATATATGGAAAAGAACTGTTAGGCTTATAGAGGAAAAGAGAGTTATGGTTCAATATTTAATTTTTGATTTTGCTGTTAGAGGATTATTTTTTTCTTCCTGTTTTTATTTGTACCTTACTATTTAGGCATGCAATTACCTGAAGTTTTGTCCTGATAATCTAACTGGGAATTAAGAGAGAGTATTCAAACTTTCTCTTACATTAATTCTTGATTTATGATTTAGCTTTTGACCATGAGGAAAGGTTTAAAAACTTGCAAAGAATTAACTACTCCAGAGTATTTTATACAACACAGAAGCAAGAAAATATATCATCCCATTCACAAATAGAATGTGCCTAGGGTATTTGAAATTCTCTACTTAGCAAATATCAGGAAATGCTACAAACAGCTATTTGGCATATTGTGATCTGGCTACTTACTGTATTGGCTTTAAATGTAGTGAAACATGACACAACATCAGATATTTAAAGGCACAAAGTTGTTTTCAGCTCAGTTACACATTTAGATGGGGAGTATCCTATTTGGTATGAAAATAGTTGAGCAGACAGATCTTGTGGTTTATTGACTACTTGAATTAAATTTGAGCCCCTTGGAATATTTTCACTTGCCACTCTACAGAGACAAGAGCTTGACAGTCAAGTCAAGGGAAAAACTGTGCTGGGAGAAAACCCATAAATCACATATGAAGCAGTGTCCTTCAAACTCAACACAATGCGAGCCAAGATCATGGTGGCTTCTTTCTTCAAAGGAGGAAAATATCTGGGTACCTTATTGGAAGAGGTCAGGTGACAACTTCATTGACTGCCTCTTGAAATGGAAGGATAACCTCTCCTTTTATGTTGCCATTCTGAGTTAGCATACATGACTTATCTTCAGAACCAGAGGCTTTTTCCTTTCAGTCTGAAGTTAGTGTTTCCAAATTTGAGCCCATGAGCTTCTTTCTCTCCTCTCATATCTTTCCACAATAATAAAAAAGGCTAAATATAAAGGCAGGGGAAATGTTCCACTTCAGTAGTGATCAAAGGCATAGTTAACCTGAGGCTGATGTTTTGGTCTATTGAATCGGTAAAGAATTTAAAAAAATTATATGATGTTTATTGCTGAGCAAAAGTATTGGCATATACTCAGATAGTAGGGTAACAATGTAAAACGTTAATTTTTCTGGAGAGGAATTTGGCATATCAAAGCTTTAAGATATGCATATTATTTGATCAGAAAAACTATCTTCTAAAAGTAATTGTGGATATGAACAAAGATTTAGTAACAAAGATGTTAATTGCAGTGTGGTTTATAATACAGAAAAACTCAAAATGATTAACAATAGTGTTACAGTAGGTGGCTGGTCAGACATGAGCAGGACAGGAGAGACCATCGTCCCGTCCCCCACCCAGGAATGTCAGGCAACCATCAGATGATGGTCAGGCAATTATTAACTGACTCTCTAAAATAATAATTGGTTGCAGCCAGCCCCAGGGAAAGTAGTCTCCCAATACATAGAAAAACCTGAGACTAGTGATCAGCTTCCTGATAAGATCTCAGGAGTTGGGCGAATGGGCTGAAGCATGCAAACTAAGAGGCAAGATGGTGGAGTTTAACTGGTATATTACCTTATAGGGACACTTGACTGGTAAGGGAAGAGTGCCCCAAGTAAGCATGCATACAACTCCAGTAAACACACTCTGCATGTGGCTGGCTCCTCCTAAGCACTGGCGGGCCACTGTGCATGCGGACAGCCCACCCCAAGGGAAGAATCATGGCAGAAGGGACACAAGACCCAGGAAGCATGCCAGTGTATAAAACCCCAAATCAAAAGGTCAAACTGTGGACTTGATCTCTCAAGTCACCTGTGTGGCCCTCTTCCAAGTGTACTTTACTTCTTTCTGCTCTAAAGCTTTTTAATAAACTTTCTACTGCCCTGTTCATGTCTGACTAGCTATCTACTGTAACATTTCAGACCTGTACAGACTCGCCATGCCAACAATAGGACGTTGGTTAAATTGTGGAATGATATCATGAAATGATCTATAGCAATTTAAAACAATGTTGAAAAGAATATTGGTGCAGAAGGACGCCTCAATATATCATTGCTAAAAAAAAAAGAGGTTAAAAATGATGTGCTTTGTATGTTTCAATTGTATTAAGAGAAGTATATAGATACACATGTGTATATGAAAATCAACCTGGAAAAATGTACCATAAAATTAACTGCACTTATTTCTGGGTGGTGAGTTTTATGATTGCTTAGCACTTTTTTCTAATTATCTACATTTCAAAATTTCTACAATTACATATATATTTCTATGTAAACACATATATTTATGTTTGTTTCAAATATTTATATTTATGTTAGTAAAACACAAAAGGTTTGATTTATATAAATAAATATGAATATGCATGGAAAGCTAAGTCACTGTATGATCTGACAATGATAGCAAGTCAAGGAGCCAGAGAACCTGACCATGACCAAAACTAGGTGTTGCCTCCTTCAGTACCCATTTCACCTCCTTCCCTTAGTTTTAGCACCCTAATTTTTAGCTGGGCACATTGCCACCTACAATAAAAGACTACATTTCCCAGCTTCCCTTGCAGGTGGTCAAGACTAGATTCATGACCATCGAGATGTAAGTGGAAGTACTATGTGGGACTTTCAGTAAAGGACATAGGTTCACACTTATTTTTCCCTTTTTCTCTTCATTGTCTGGAGCCTCATGTGCCACACAGGTCCATGGCATGAAAGCCATATGCTGAGGACGGCAGAAGAGAAAGACGGCAGCTTAGGTTCCTTGTGATAGATGAAGACCCCATGTCAGCTTTGGACTGCTTATCTTTACATTATTTCATATTCCAGAGAAATAAATTTCTATGTCATTTACATCATTGTTATTTTGAGGTTTGCATTATTCTTCAACCAATCTCGGGCTTATCTAATATACTGACTAATTGTGTTTGTGGTTGGTTATTGCTGTCAAATCAGAACTGTTTACTGAAGGGCTCCTTAAAATAAGTTATCCAGAAAAAGAAAATATTTGGAGCATTATGAAAACCACACTTTCACATCTACACTAGCATGCTGAATTTCTTGGATTTGTAGATGATCTCTCATTAGTGACTTTTTTTTGATACAGCCCCCAATAAGCCTACAAATACATGACCTTAAATGTTGATATAGTCAGTTTTGAGGGCATAACTGCCAAATGTAATGCTTAATTATAGAAAAGTAACACATTAAATGGATGTGAATAATGGTGAAAATAATGAAGTTTTAAAACCAGTGAAAATATAGCTTATTAAAATACAGAGGCCTTCAGTAAATACATTTAGGGAAAAGGAGCCTATTACTAGAGGAAAGTTCTTCATCTGAGATGCATACGAGCTTGTATAACCTGCTTTATTTTGTTGTTATTATTGTCGTTCTGTTTTTTTTTTTTTTTTTTTTTTGACTTTGAACAGCCTGAAGCCATGGTTTTAAGTCTGCATCTGTAGTGATAAGTGGAAAAGAGAGATGAGGAAGGGGCTTTACTGGCCCAACCAGAAACACAAACTAAGAACCCATGACTGAATTCTCGCCCTTGAACACCCCTGATTCTGTGAATGGCTTTATGACCCTGAGAGAAAAACTGTATTGAACTCCAACACAATCAATAGATGGATAGGCAAGTAAGGTATTTCTTTAGTAATAGTTCATATTGCTGCAAAATTAAGACAATGTAATTTGTACCCTGTGAATATACATGATCAGCCTATTATTCTCTTTTAGCAACATGAAACTTATTCTCTCAGTTTTCTTCATGTGGCTAATTTGTAGAACAGAGGGATAGGGTGCTTCAGGGATTCAAACCTTGATGATGATGAAAACTATTTTGTTAACACTGCCTCTGTAAACACACTCAGCATTTCAAAATAATTTTTGAAATGGCCATGAAGATATGAGCAATAAAAGAACACACAGCATTAATTCCTCCCACCCCCAAAAGTGTAAGACATTATTAGAAGTGAAGTGAACAGAGTAAGAAAAGGAAAAAAAACAGTTTAGAGTGATACTTTTTCTTTCTTTCCTTTTTCTCTTTAATCAATGCAAATGTTCATGTTTTCATCTCTGTAGGATTCTTTCCTTGCTGCATTCCACAAGCCCAGAGAAACTCGCTGGAACTCATACAAAATCCTCTCCTACTACCATATTAGGAATCAAAATGTGTAGCAGAAACCCACTGCCAAGCCGAGATAATCAACAGGGAATGTCTATGCCTTCAAGCCAAATGAGTGCAGAAAAATGATCAAGGCAGCAAAGTAAATAATAAAACTGAAAACTGGCTTTAGATTATGGTCTTGTCATGCACCCCACTCTCTAATAAGGCTGTTCTGGAAATTTCTCTACCTCTAGGCCATTCAGGTATAAGAAGCTAGTAAGGTCTAATTTTGCTATGAATAAAATTCACTCTAGGTCACAAGCAGAACAAAGCGAAGTAATATATCTTTGCCTTATTAACGATATCAAAAATTTTGTGCAGTTGCATGGCTTATAAATCCTCTACCATAATACCAAACTGATACTGCAATACTTTAAAATTTAGACATACCTTTTTTCAAATTTTGAAAAAAGTCTGTGAGTGTGTGGCAGTTACCAGAAAACTTTCCAGTTACATTGTTTTTGCTCCAAGTGAAATTGGTTAAGATTAATTATATTTTCCTTTTTTAATACATGGCACTTGATCCATCATATTCTTGGCTAGAAATAAATTTTTAATTAATATTTGCACCAAATTAATAGATGTTTCAAACCACAACATGGTGGTTCTGGAATTATAGCAAGGGACAGTATGCTGGGTTATATAATTAAGGCTTAGCAATTATCTAGTGGATTAAACAGACCATTGTGGAACTAACTGCTTGCTTTATTAAGACGGTAATGATTACACCTGAGAATGTAATGCTGGCCCGATGAGAAATTTGACCTTGCTGCCACATTTCTTGAGTTTTAAAGGAGGCAGAGGTAAGAAATGAGGAGATCAGAGAACAGAGGTTCCATAAATCAGTACCACAGATGACAGGAGCATGGATAAGTGCATAATTGTAGACTCAGGATAAAGCAAAGAATTTAGAGCTATTACAAAGTAATTTGTGTGCCATAACTCTCCGGGAAATTATAATTATCAGAGAAATAATAGACTCATAGTCAAACAGCTTCTGACCATATTACTTGGAAAAAAAAAAAAAAGAAAGAAAAGGAAAGAAAAAAATGTGGTCTAGGAAATTTGGAGGCGCCAGGACAAATTCAAAGAAATGACCTAAAACCAACCAAAATGTCCTTCTTGTATTTTTATAGCATGTCATAGTTTACAAAATGAGTTTTCCTGGCTGTTATCTTACTGAACCCTTTGTAAAGCCTGTGAGGAAGACTTCTTTATTCCCTGAATCCACATGAAAGCATGGGCTGAATCACCTCGCTAAATGACTTGCTCAAAGTCTCAGTAAGAATGTGCACTGTATCTCCGATCCTTGCTCCTTCCAATAAACCCACTAATGCCAATCTAAGTGGGCATATCTGTTTGTTTTCTGGAGGCCTCCTCCCTTCCTCTGTAGTGAGACTTAGTAAAAGCTCCCCACAGTGTTCACTTGGTCGTTCAGCCTTCAATTTGAGCAATTTCTAATTCTTCAATAGTTGTGAAATTCAGCAAGGTCTGGGATCTTGGGCATATTATTTAGCCACCTTGGCTTTGGTGAGGCAAAACTGCAGTCCAGAATCGACAATGAACCAATAGGAAATCCCCTCTGTTAGGACTAGAAAGGGCTGCCCAAATCCTTGGCTGCTACTGCCATCTCCTGTTCAGAGTAGCTCACCCAGGATTGCCTGTGCATACATTTGCTTTAAATTCAAGTGTAATACCCAGGATAAACTGATTTCAATGAGACTCAGGAATATTCCCCATGCATTTAAGGTTCTCCATTCAGCCTCTTCTCGAAGCAACATCTTTTGGTGGTGGTCAGTGTTAGAAGGCAGTTTGAACAAGATTAAGAGGATAAAACTGTTGTTCTTCTGGGAAGAAGAGGTCACAATACAGTAGTGATGTGATCAAAGATGGAAGGAAAGAAGACAGCAATGTCCTTCTCCTGTGAGTATACCAGAGTAAGGACAGCCACATCCACTCTAAAACTATAATGTTCTTTGCTTGGACTGTGCGTAAGAGAGTTGCAAAAACCACAGCAAATTACATCCTCTTCTGATTTCAGGAGGGGCCACCAAATAGTCTTTGATGTATCTCAGAGTCACAGACTCTGTGCTGTAGATACATCCCACCTAAAAGTGAGGTCAAAAATTGGGATGGAGGTGATTCACAAAGAAGACTGTATCTTCTCAGAGCTTAGTATTTGCATTTCTAAGAATGTGACGATCAGAGCTATCCCAATGGTATGACAAATGGGGACAACTATCCCAGGTCTCAAACTTTTCTTTGACTTCATGCCTTCCCAACAAATGGTGGTAGCAACTCTAGAGGGTGGCTAGATCACTCAGTTGTGGTGGGGAAGTGAGACGAAGGCATGGTGGTACTGTCATGGTCTTACCTCCCTCATCAAGACCTTTACCATACTTGTAGGATGGCATCTTTTCTTCTCAAAACTGGAAGAGACTACTCTTATGAGTCTATTTTCCTTTCAAGGTAGTTCCTGATGCTGAATTTAAGTTTGTTTCACTCAAATAATATTAGTGGTATAAGTACACAGAGTATGATTAGTCATAAGTAACAGATCATCCCGGGGGAGTTCTAGTGATAAACCCAGAGAAAAGAGTGTATCATGGAGGATAAAAAAGAATACAAATTACTTATTTGTCAGGGCCTGTGCTAAGCACTGTCACATGCCATCTTAATACTTGCCATAGCTTGATGAAACAAGCATTATTATCCCTTTTTAACAGATAAATAAACTGAGGCTCAGAACCATGAATTAACTTGTCCAGGGCCATAGGGATAGTAAGTGATAATGGCAGGATTTGAATCAAGGTCTTTATGACCTCCAAAGCAGGGTAGTTCACCTCTACACCAGAATAATAATGGCTGCAGTAATAAAAATAGCAGACATTCCGGGAGGGCTGACATGTGCCACACACTTTTCAAGGACTTTCAAATATTAACTCACTTTCTTTCTCACTACAATTCTGTGAGGTAGGTGCTATTGTGATCAATATTTTATTGAAAAATACAGAGAATTTAAGCACTTCCCCAAGATTACACCACTATCAAGTAGCAGAACTGGTATTCAAACCCAGATAATCTGACTCTAAGCCTGTGCTAATTGGTGAAATTTATCAGAAGCAGCAACTAGAGATCAGAGTGAGTGACACTTAGGTGCTCAGTGTTCCTAACATCAGTTTTCTATCACTGACTAATGTGGACAAGACTTTAAAAAGTAGCATGAGAATAATGATAGTGCTGGATCTGGTTCTAGCTTTATTTCTTGGTTCTCTTCAAACCCTTTTGGGCTAAGTTAAGGTTCATTTCTGCTGCCACCAACTTGGGCATGAGGTTGATTTATGTAGCAGAATCTTTGGAAGTTTCAGAGAGTGTATAGAATAAGGTGGAAATCAGACCTATAACATGTAACCCTTAGAAGCTCAGAGGCACTATCTTGCCCCAAGGGTCACCTCTATGCTTGAGATAGTGCTTAACCTGCAGCTACAGACATACCAGTCACCACAGTGCAGTGCAACTTGTGACTGTTGTTTAGGAAGTATCTGACCACCTGTCCATAATGTTTTTTCTTTCATGAAAGGTATTACAAACTAAGCCATCATAAGAGGATCCATTACCTAGACCTTCTTGTTCTTATGACAGAATTATATTAGCAATGCTCCACTTGGTCTTACTGACTCCCTTTCTCCTCTTTCATTTCCATATTAATTTTTTTAAACCATTACTTTCCTGTCATTCTTGTACTTAAAAGCCAGCCATGATGATCTTGTCCCATTAGTTCTCATTTAGTCTTTTAGATAAAAGTGGCCCTTTGACTCTCCAGTTAATAAGATCTAAGGAAAGTCTGAGTGGGATTTCTGAGAAACCCTTTGCTTTACTGGTAAAGAGGAAAAACTTGGTTGGGACAGCCACTGTCTTCAATTGCACCATGAGGAGACAATCATGGAAACAGAGGCCAACATACTAAGGATAGAGGAGCTGAAAAGAAGGAAAAAACACAGGTCCCTGATGGCATCATAGAGTAGGCAAACCAAAGGTTGCATTCTGACTTCTTGTTATGTGAAAAAAGTAATTCCCAAGTTGCCTACTCTACTGTTTACAGAGGATTTTCTGTTACTTGCAGCCCAATGTGTTCTTAACTGAAATAGATATTGCTTAGGGTATATCCCAACTGTGAAGCCTTGAGGGCAGGGGTCTATGATTGTTTGTGGTCAGACGTTTATTTGTCAAACTTCAGTATAATTCCTGAGATATAGCAAGAGTCATAAAATGTTTGTTTAATGATTTATTTTTGTATTTCCCATAGCTGGGTTGATATTACTCTAAATCTTCTAAAATTCTAGATAAATTAATCAATATTTAAATTATAATCTTTTGATTAGGAAGGCATTCATTGAAAAATCTGCAAGAACTCTAGGTAATATTTATTTCTGCCTGTTTGGAATTTTGGGGTTTAAAAATTCTTATGAAAAGTATACTTTTGATTCTATGAGCTTCTATGATTTAAGTAAGTGTTAAGATTGCACAAGAGTATATGGAGGCTTTGCAGATTTCATTTGATCAAGAAGAAATAAAAGCAAATCCAGATCAGATATCTCCAATACTTTAGAAAATGCTAATGACAAACATTCTGTTTATTTAAAAATGATAGAGCACTAGCTTCCAGCAATGGGACTGCCCTTGTTCATGTGGAAAAAGACAAACATCAACTTCCCAATCAATGGCCTGCTGGTATAATTGCTCAGTGTGAGAATGTTCTCTATTCCATCTGGACACAGTTAAATAATGCAATTTTCAAGTAGTTCTGAAGCTTCACTCACATACAGGCTGCCTTAATGTATTAACCTCCAGGTTGTCATTATGTGACAATGTCACAAAGAGGGTACATCTAGATCCAAGTCCAATAGTCAAATATGCTCCTTGACAATCTTTTTCGTGATAGCTGATATAAAAAATTAGGCTCCGCAAATAAACATTTTTTCCCTAAAGGCCTGGGAAATTCTTGCCATATAATTTACATAAGTAATTATGAGTGTTAGCTCTCGTTGCATTATGCAATCTGATCTAGCATCTTATGTGCTGAAACCTACGCTACGCAAGTCGCAAGTCACGTAAGCTTCCTGGATGTAGGCTTTACCTTTAGTTACATGTACTTGACCACTAAGTAGAATATATGCTCGGATGAAGCTGACTTCTCCAGATAAGTTGGTTGTGTGTATGACTGTTCACAGATCTGACCATCCAGCAAGACTTGGAAATAACTCACAGGTGAATTAAAACTTCTTGCTCCTGTGTACTGTAGTTTCTCAAAGAACATGGGGGAGAGGCTTGTTTAATGCTGGTGTATTTGCAAATGCTACTTTTGTGAGGGTGTGGAAGGTGTTTTGGGACATAATATAAATTACATTCTTGCTCAAAAGTGGCCACTCAGTAGTTCTATTTATAGTTTTTCATTTTTAAGAAGAGGGTAGAATGAATTTTATTAAGTACCACCATTATAATTTAGTCTGCCATTCATGGGAATTACATAAGGTAATGGAGGCTTCCAACCAGACAGACAGCAATTAGACTGCTCTGGTATTTGATATATTAGCTTTATTGGGTACTCACAGTTTTGCTTTTACCCTGTGAAATCTGTACTCAGAGGCCAAGTTTCTTTGCAGTGTTGTGGTGCTTATCCTTGGAGCTCTGGCTTTGTTTTCAATTTATAAGAGTAAAATAGATCCAAGGCTCACTTATAAAATATGACTTATCTTGATATATTTAATGAAAACACACAGATTAAACGATATTTACACCCATGTTTGTTGGAAAACTTCTTAGGTGGCGTCATTCTTTTAATAAAGCAACTTCTAAGAGAGTTGTTTTCAAACTTTAGCCTTCATTGGAACCACCAGGAAGGAAGGTTTATTCACAAATTCCTGGGCCCCACTTACAGACTCAGCAGATTTGGGGTAGGGGCTGAGAATTTGCATTTCTAACCAATTCTCACATGATACTGATACTTCTGGGCCTGGGCCTATACTTTGAGAATCACTGCTTTGAGAAATACATCTGCTATTTATCAACCTCCCCATGTCTCTGTCTCTGTCTCTCTCTCTCTTTCTAATATCTAGATCATAATAAAACCCACTGAGGTATTTTATGGGTGAAATTGTGTCCCCTTAAATTCATATGTTGAAGTTGTAACCCTTAGCACCCCAGAATGAGATTGTATTTGGAGACAATGTCTTTAAAGAAGTAATTAAATTACAATGAGGTCACTAGGTGGGCTTTATCCAATCAGTTAGAAGCCTTAAGAGAAAAAAGACCTCCCCTGAAGAAGAGGGAATTTTGCCAGCAGAGTGCCTTTGGACTGAACATCAAGTATTTCCTGGGTCTCCAGTCTACTGGGCTACTCTGCAAATTTTGGACTTGCCAAACTCTAAAATTGAATGAGCCAGTTCCTTAAGATAAAGCCTCTCTCTCTTTCTCCCTCTCTCCCAACTGCCTCTTCCCCTGACCCCCTCACTATTGGTTCTGTTTCTCTGGGGAATCCTGTATAATAGAAGGTCTTATTCCCATCTGGGTTTTGGCTGAAGCATGAAGATACATCTTTCCTTATGAATGTCTTCCAGAAAATAAAAGCAGTGGGGACCTAACTTAGTAAGTTTGGCTTTTCTCATATACACCCGTCATCTAATGACTTATTATCATTTATTCAGATGTATTAGATATTCATGGTATATGGGGCTATCTTTCCTCCTGAAGAGGACCCAACTGGTTCTTCATTATGGGAACCATGCTTTGAATTGCTTTTGCAATAGGTTTGTTCGTGGTATTATGAAAAATAAAACAAAACAAAAACTAACTGTATCTCTCCAGTATGTAACTGTTAATCTGGACTGTGGTTTAACCAGAAGAGCTGATTCAGGTCCTTAATATGCTGAGGAGTCACATGGAGTTTCCTTGGAGGATTTTAACTAATGAATGCTTTGCAAATATGTCAGTATGGATGGATATGGTGTCTTATTATCCCTATTTCTATTTTTCCCTAAGCCCTGCCTCACACACTGAGGATTTAATGAGCTTTCACAGAGATCTCTACATCAAAACGGCTCTTGAGCAGTCCTCAGCTTTACTGAGCTTGCTCTCTTTTCTTCTTTTGTTGCAGTTTTTTTCCTGCCTCTGGCATCGATGTGATTGAATGTAGGGGGCTATTTAGGTTTGCAGCACAGAGGAAACACCTGCGAAAATCTGTTTCTTAGGCTGCCCATCCAAGAGTGGTATTGTTCAGGCTGCCTTGTGTTAAATTAGCTTGAAGAACAGAAATTAGAGCCTTCAGAATTGATCAATCCTAGATAACTACTGTGAAAAATATTTTATCAAACTTGAAACCCAGATTTTATCTCCCAAAGCTTGAAGCTTTGATTTTGTATTGAGACTGGGAAATTGCACAAGTTTACATGGCAGCACTTACTGGCCACGTGGGACATGGCAGCTTCAGAAAGTAGCCTGCACTTCCAGGCAAGAGAGGAGCTACTGTTCCCTAGAGGTTTGCGTGTAGCATTATGGAAACTTTTTACGGGAGAAATTTCTACTATCTGAGCTTGCGATGGGTGGAGTGTAGACTGACTCAAGCCAAAGGGTCAACTCCTGTCAGAGGATCTGTGAAGGGCTCTGAGATTCTGAAAGTGCTAAAACACTCACTAGGCCAACAATGCTGGCTTACACAATCAGTAAGTCCCAGGGCAGCCCACCTTCTTAATCTCTTTCTTCCTAAAAACGTTTGAGTTTTGGCCTACAAATGTTTGAGTTTTGGTGGCTTATGCCTCTAATCCCAGTACTTTGGAAGGTCAAGGTGGGAGGATCGCTTGAGCCCAGGAGTATGAGACCAGCCTGGGCAACATAGCAAGACCATGACTTTACAAAAATGAAATAATTAGCCGGACATGGTGGCTCCTGCCTGTAGTCCTAGCTACTTGGGAAGCTGAGGCAGGAGGATCTCTTGAGCCCAGGAGTTAGAGGCTACAGTGAGCTATGACTGTGCTGCTGCACTCCAGCCTGGGTAGCAGGGTGAGACCTTGTCTCCAAAAAAAAAAAAAAAAAGTTTGAGTTTTGTTGAGTTTTAATTATTATCTTTAATATCATTCTTCCATGTGGTAATCTCCTTTATCAAAATGAAGAAAACTGAAAAGTAAAATTCTTTCTACAGAAATTCATTAGCCAACCAAAGCACTCATAAAATACATTTGTTCCAAAGTAGAAGGGGCCAACTTTGATTTTGTAATAGGCTGTATTATCAAGGGGGCTTATGTTACTAGCTTCATGAATACGAAGTGAAAGCATTATGAGATTATTATGGCACACTTTTTTTTTGTAATTGACACCGGGTCTCGCTTTGTCTCCCCAGCTGGAGTGCAGTGGCACAATCATAGTGCACTGCAGCCTGGAACTCCTGGGCTTAAGGAATCTTCCTGCCTCAGCCTCCCAAAGTGCTGGGATTACAGGCATGAGTCATTGTGCCTGGCCTTATGGTACTTTCTTGATATTCGGTATGTTTGAAAGCTGATAATTGACTTGATTCTAGTTACTAGTGCTATTCAACTTTGTCACCAGTATTCCATTGGCCCTTGTTTGACATTTTTATTCTACAATGCAATTTGATATGTATTATAATAACAATGAAAGGCAGATTAGCCAGGCAGCATTATGTCCACCTTACAGATGGGCCATAGACCCAAGGCACTGAAAAGGTTTATTTAAGATCATATTGTTCAATAGAGCCAATGCCCAGATGACATGTCCCTAACTGCTAGTACAGGGTCTCTCAATGATTATTTGAATCTAAAAATTACTGTGATATTGTTTAAAAGGGTGAATGAAACTACAAGAGATCTGTATTCTGCTTTGGGATTAGATGTTTTGTTCTTTTAGTTCATGGATGGACTCCATGGAAACCAAATGCACTACTGAGGCTTATGAAAACATGGCAATAGCCCAGGCAACAGTGAGTACAAAGGTGATCAGAACAACACCTGCCTTTCAGCAATGTGCCCTCAGTCTAAAACTTACTATCAGACATGGCGTGGTCTCATTTGTTATGTTCTGCCGGATGTTGTGTTTCACCAGAGGTGATTAAGACAGTTACAAATTTCCATAGCTCTAATTTCTGTCCTGCTACTTTCTGGCAAGCAGCCATCAAATTATCCCCTTTGTGTTTTTCTGCCTTCTAGAAAACTGAAAATGCTGTCTGATATGGTCACTTTTTCAGTTTCCGTCTGATACACTCTAGGATTAGCAGGGAATTTCATGGAATGCAGTTGACAGGGAGATCAATAACTGTAGAAGCCAGAAGTTCTAGGAAGATAGGAAAAAACTTAATTTTGCAGGCAGTAGGAGGGGAGACGTCCTGAATACTGGGTATGGTGCTTGATTCTGTGCATATCATCTCATTTTTCCATCCACAATAGCCAGAAGTAGGTACTATTACCTTTACATTTTGATGAAATCGTGGCTCAACTTAATGACTTGCCATGGGTCCTAGTACCTACTTTTTTCTATAGTTTATACTATGTCCATAAACATAAAGGATAAGTTAGGCATAGAGGAGTGAGAAAGCCGAGTAGGAAGTTTGAACTTGAAGGAGAGGGAATGACTTGTGTATTCTTGGAGAAAAAGTGAAGTTCCAAGAATAGGACTAGGTATATTCCAGTCATCTTGGCTTTGGAGAGAAAGATGCTCAGATAAGCTCTTTGCATTAACTCAAGTCAATTTGGTTTGTCCAGCAGAGCTGTATATGAATATGGTTAAAGATCTCTAGAAGCTTCTCTTAAATGATATTGTACTTGTGGATATAACTGATTAGCTTGAACAATTTTATTCCTTAAGAAAAGCAGAGAACTGATGAGCATCATTTTTACAAGTGGTACTCAGGGTGTGGCCCTATACCAGCAAGGTCAGCATCAGCTGGGGACTTGTTAGAAATGGAAATTCTTGGGCACCACCCAGACATCTGGGAGTGGGAAGGGAAATCTGCATTTTAACAAGACCTCCAGATTATTCAGAAACCCCAATGTTTCAGAGCTACTTCTTTACTCTGTAATATCTTCTACATGAGAATTTTAATTTATTTGTATATTAAAAGGTGCCTTTAAAACTAAATCCATCAGCAATCATCAAATGAGTATACTTGACAACACTTAGTCTGCTTTTTCCCCTAATATGTTATGGAAGATGGGATAAACGTAGTTAACATAGACTGTTCCGACTATAAACAAAGCCAATTTAAGTTTGATTGGAATTATATTTTTGGAAATATATTTGAAACATATTTGAATACTTTGACTTACAGGAAAATTAAATATAACCTCTAAATAACAGGAATATCATATCTGAATTTTTATGTTATCTTTTATCATAATATTCCTTGGGATTACCTACTGAAGACAGTGATTGGAATTTTGAAAGGCAAAAAAAAAAAAAAAAATTCAAATTACTGCAGATGACTTGTTTCAATGTCATATAACAATCTGCATCAAAAATAACAATATTAAAAACCCTTTTAAAACTTGAAAAGAACAAGGAAAAGATGAATATTCCTTCTTATTCATGCCCTAATCCAATCCCCTAAGAAAATAAATGTCACTGAAATAATAGGATTCTAAAATTGTAGCATTTCAAAGGAAACCAGGGACAACAATACTGGACTATGTATTAATGTTGTCAACATTGACTGACTAAGCAGACAGAAATATAGAAGACTTTCTGAGACTACATGATTTATTTTCATCTACTGTACTGGTTATTCGTATGGTCGTGTTGAGCTGGACAGTGACTTGGAGCAGGGGTTGGAGAAGAATCAGCTACAAGGGCCATGGCAAAAATACTGTAAAAGGAATTACTGTTGAATAGAAAATTGTTTGGCCCCGATATTAGATTCTGTACCCTCTCCTACTCAAAATGCATTATTTAAAAAACATGTCCATTTTATATATTACAATCATTTTCCTTCTAAAATAGCAATTTAGATGTTTTCCCAGAAAATTTTCCTCATCAATAAATCCTATTTGCAAATGTTTTGATACATGTCTACTGTTGACAAATTTTATATATGTTGATTTGTATAAGTTAACATTTATCATATTTTAAATGCATTTTAAAGTCTAAAGTATAAGGACCTTATTCTTGACTTCTAGAGTCAAGGACCATAATAAGGACCATATAAGGACCATATTCTGTTAAACGTTTACTTTATTCGGCACCTATTTACTGACTTCCTATTACATATTTTATGTCATAATAGGCTTAACACACATGGGCCCCATATAATACCTACTCCTTGTTATCAGGAAATTTAAAATTAAGTTGGCTAACAGTACAAAGCCAGGATAAATTAAGAATTAAACATAATAATTCAGAAGATATTTTAAGACAGTATTTAAAAGCCAAGTCAATTATTAAATATGAGATAACTACTGCTATGAACTCAGAGCATGGCCCTTAGTATTCTGTCTTCTTAAAGTATGGAATTCATTCAATAGCATTTGATCACATTTTCCCTGTTAGTTCAGAGGAGCTCAGCCTATGTTACAGCAAGAGCCCTCCTACCCTTATTCTGTGGATCAGACTGGCCTTTCATACTGAACACTTTTCCTGAAACATAACAAATGACAAATGGAATATAATTGGTGGAACAGGAAAAACATATGTAGAAATTAATTCAATTAGAAGGTTAACTTTCAGCTTTAAGCAGTGATTTGGAATCTAATGTTTGTAGCATGAACATAACCTAACCTCATTCGGTTACAAGACTAAAAAGCTGCACCAACATTTTCTGAGAAACACAAAAATGTCAGGAACCTCAGTTCTGCATAGTGATATGGAATTTACAGTGGATAGTGGAGAGCATGATGGAAACTTCCTGGATGAAAAGCTGTTTGGATTAGGAGTTCACATATACTCGGAAAAATCTATCAGGATGCTTCCTTTTTATATGAATCACATCCTCCCCACATCTTTAAGTCTTGTAGCATAGAGCTTTTGACCTAAAAGAATGATAAAGAAAAACCATTATTTGTAAGACTTAGGTCATCAATTAGAATCTTCCCAGTACCCAGGTACCATCATTTTGCAGCATCAGGGATCCTGCCTCCAAAGTTGACCTCCTTCTTCAGGCCAACTTCCACACAGCAACCAGAGTAACATTCCAAAATGCAGGCAGATCTCCTTTCATTTAAAAACCTCTGATGGGCCACGCATGGTAGCTCAAGCCTGTAATCGCAACACTTTGGGAGGCTGAAGTGGAAGGATCACGTGAGCCGGGAGTTCGAGACCAGCCTGGGCAACATAGGGAGACTCCCCTCTCTACAGAAAAATAAAATTATCCAGGCATGGTGGCACAGGCCTGTAATCCCAGCTATTCGGAAGGCTGAGGTGGGAGGACTGCTTAAGCCCAGGAGATCGAGACTGCAGTGAGCCGTGATTGTGCCACTGCACTCCAGCCTGGGCAACAGAGGGAGACCCTGTCTCAAACAAAATAAAACAAAATCTCTGATGGCTAGTTCCCTGGTGCAACTGGAATACAAGCAACCCCCTTCCAGTGGCCTCCAAACCTCTACACCAGCTGGTTCCTGCCTGCCTCTGAGACCTCATCCCTTTCACTCTCCCAGTGCTGGGCCAAGTTCTGGCCATTCCAGCTTCCTGGATATTCCTCGAACATATATAAAGTTTCTTCCCATCTCAGGACCTTAGCATTCACATTTCTTATTGCCTGAAACCCTCTTCCTCTAGGTTTTCATATGTTACCTTTTTAAAGAAACTTGTCTGTTCACCAGAGCTAAGTCCACCCCTTCATTTACCTTTCACATTATTCTATTTGTCTTCTTTGTTGCACTTACCAGCACCCAAAATTATTTTATGTTTATTATTTAACTCTCTCTTCCAGAATATAAATTGCTGAAGGGAAAATATCATGTTAATCTCTCTATTCCTAGTACCAACATTATAATGCCTGGCACCAAATAAATGCTCAATAAATATTTGTTGACACACTGTCAGAAAAATATCATCCTTCAATCAAGTCACACAAAGTATTTGAGTCACAGTTTTCTCCACTTAACCTATGATTATGTCCCCTTAGCCTAGATATAGAATTTATAAAACTTCCATTCTTTGAATGGAAGCTCTATTCCTTTATTCTGACAGAAAAGGACTATGATGACTTCATTTAATCCTGTTTTGTACTGGATTAGTATCATCTGGGAAAACTTTCAAAAAATAATTATTTCCTATGACCTTCAACTAACTGCTTCTCTTGGGATAGAGCCCTGGCATCTGTATTTTAAAAATCCACTAAGGTGATTCTGATGTACTGGGAGGGTTGAGAAAGACTGGATTAATATTTAATTTAATACTTATACATTTAATATTTAAATTAATATTTACTTGCAATATGCTGAAGAATTATCAACATATTTTTCTAAATTTGTATTCAAGTGAAATAGTTTCAGTTTAGGGCAGACATGACATCAACCAATCCTTCTGCATTGAGGGTGGTCCCAGATGAAAATTGGCCATCATTATAAAAATTTCTTGTTCTCACCTGGAACTCCATTAGCATACTCTTTGGACCTTATAAAATGGTCAGCATACTAAATACCTCACTCAATTTCTAAAGTATTAAAATATTCTGCTTAGAAATGGTTATAGATAATTTTGTATGTAAGCATTAAGCAATTAAAAATTATATTCCCAGGTGTAGTAACTAATTTAGGATACAGAGTATTATTGGGTATATTGCAGCCATAGTATGATAACAAAATAGTCAATGGCTATCTTATAAACTATAAAGATGTCTCCCTAAATTTATTAATTTAGAAAATTAGGAAAATCTGGATAGTTCTTTACTGAGTATGTTATTTTAAATTTATTTTGATATGATATGCATCAGTTTAAATCAATTTTTCTCTTCTTTGATATTTCTATATTCTTTTCCCCCTTTTATTATGCTCTAAGTAAAGTGCTTACTACACATAGACTAGGAAAGGAAATATCTTTATGAATCAAGTAGACTACTATCAAAGTCTGTAATAGTCAGGCATGTTGGCTCATGCCTGTAATCCCAGCACTTTGGGAGGCCAAGGCAGGAGATTTGCTTGATTCCAGGTGTTTGAGACCAGCCTGAGCAACATAGTGAGATGACGTCTCTACAAAAAACAAAAGCCAAAAAACAAAATCCGTAATAAATGTTGAGCTCTGGGGCTAGGCATGGTGGCTCACACCTGTAATCCCAACACTTTGGGAGGTCAAGGCTGGAGGATCACTTGAGGTCAGGAGTTCAAGACCAGCCTGGTCAACATGGTGAAACCTCATCTCTACTAAAAATACAAAAATTAGCTGGGCGTGGTCGTGGGCCCCTGTAATCCCAGCTACTCAGGAGGCAGAGGCAGAAGACTTGATTGAATCTGGGAGGCAGAGGTTGCAGTGAGCTGAGATTGCGCCACTGCACACCAGCCTGGGTGAAAGAAGTGACTCCATCTCAAAAACAAAAACCAAAAAACCAAAAAACCAAAAAAGTTGATCTCTGTAATGAATTCATAAATCATTCAGAGGAATTTTTAAATGCAGCCATGGTTTATTCATGTCTCTTCTACAACCAGTCTTCCTCTCTACCTCTTTCCCTTCCTCTTTTTCTCTCATCTCTTTGACAAATGTATTTAAGGCTTATTATGTATCAAGTTCTTTAAAATTATCTTGGCCTTAAAAAATAATATAAGATAATAAAATTATGTGTGTGTTGTGTGAAAATAGTTTTCAAACTTTGGGATTCTCATGAAATTTATCAACTTAACCTTAATTCTATTGGTAATTATGGAGGTAACTTTAGGTAAACAGGGTAATAACCTAATGTATTTAATAGTGAAAAAACTGTATTGTGTAGCTATTTCATTGGAAGATTAAATTTACAGTCCAGATGTTTTAGCATTTGAGTAATTAATAAGCGTAAAACATATCATCTAGTTTGTTGAAATGTTGCAGTAGAAACCTGTTTTTGATGAATTCTAGTTAGGTATTATATTTTATTGATGTGAGCTGAAACAGTTTTCTTTAACATAAAATAAGCCAAATCAATTCCTATCTTAAAAGTTAAGCATCTTTAAATGTATAAATTTTGAAATGTGTTAACCTTTAAAATGAGACATAAGAATAAAGGGTGGGTTATGCATCATCAACTTCTGGTTGGTATTGATCTTTATTAGCTTAAATGGGTTCACATTTGTATACTGAATCATCCTGAGGACTGTTTTATATGCTGTCATGGCCATCTGTCTTTATCAGTGTTTGTCAGTTGCCTACACAGGTTAAATCTAAAATACTATAGCGCTTCTGCCTGTAATTTTTTTTGTAGCTGCATTTTTACTGTTTTCAATTTTTTCTTCCCAGTAAGAGCAATATTATTTCCATTTTAACAACTGCTTTGGTAATATCCCAAATCATTTTCATATCTGCTGGTCCATTGCAATTCAAGTTAATACCCGGCTACATACCCCTAGCATTTACCAGGTGCTATCACCGAGCTATCTGGGCTATGTGAAGAGTTTATGTATTTGTCTGATTTTAAGTAATACATGTGACCAGATGCCAAAGCATTAGAGCAGATTACAGACAAATGACATATTATGTCTTTAATGCAGCCCCTGCTATAGCTTCTAGGTTAGTCAGAGACAAGGTGTAAATTGACATAGCAGCTGTTTCTGGTCTTCTCTGTCCCAGGAGGGAACAGCACAGGATGCTAGTGCTTAGTAGAGGGGTATATACTGATGAAATTGCTCAGTCTTCATTTCTTCCCCAGAAGGCAGAAGAAATCAGAGAGAAGGATGGAGTGGGGAAAAGAAGAGGGAGGCTGACAGAGAAGCTTAAAGAAATGCTTTCAGATGGCAACAAAAGCCAAAATAGACAAATGGGATTTAATTAAACGAAAGAGTTTCTGCACAGCAAAATAAACTATCATCAGCGTGAACAGGCAACCTACCGAATGGGAGAAAATTCTCACAATCTACCCATTTGACAAAAGGCTAATATCCAGAATCTACAAAGAACTTAAACAAATTTGAAAGAAAAAAAACAATCCCATCAAAAAGTGGGCAAAGGATATGAACAGACGCTTCTCAAAATAAGACATTTATGCAGCCAACAGACATATGAAAAAATGCTCATCATCACTGGTCATCAGAGAAATGCAAATCAAAACCACAATGAGATACCATCTCACGCCAGTTAGAATGGCAATCATTAAGAAGTCAGGAAACAACAGATGCTGGAGAGGATGTGAAGAAATAGGAACGCTTTTACACTGTTGGTGGGAGTGTGAATTAGTACAACCATTGTGGAAGACAGTGTGGTGATTCCTCAAGGATCTAGAACTAGAAATACCATTTGACCCAGCAATCCCATTACTGGGTATATACCCAAAGGATTATAAGTCACACTACTACAAAGACACATGCACACGTATGTTTATTTTGGCACTATTCACCATAGCAAAGACTTGGAGCCAACCCAAACGTCCATCAATAATAGACTGGATAAAGAAAATGTGGCACATATACACCATGGAATACTATGCAGCCACAAAAAAGGATGAGTTCATGTCCTTTGCAGGGACATGGATGAAGCTGGAAACCATCATTCTCAGCAAAATACCACGAGGACAGAAAACCAAACACTGCATGTTCTCACTTATAAGTGGAAATTGAACAATGAGAACACATGGACACAGACAGGGGAACATCACATGTGGGGGCCTGCTCGGGGGTGGGGGGCTTGGGGAGGGATAGCGTTAGGAGAAATACCTAATGTAAATGAGGAGTTGATGGGTGCAGCAAACCAACATGGCACATGTATACCTATGTAACAAAACTGCACGTTGTGCACATGTAACCTAGAACTTAAAGTATAACTAAAAAAAAAAAAAAAAAAGAAAGAAAAATAAAGAGTTGTGCTTCAGAAAAAAAAAAATGCTTTCAGGATTGCCTCTTCAGACATGGTTACAATACATATACTCAGTTTTCTTTATTAACTGGACCAGATTAATCTTCATTAAACTGACTGAACTAGTAATCTTTTAATTTTATGTCATCAGACATAAACATTTGTCTTTTTTTTCGTTTTGCATTAGCTTAAATTGGTTTACCTCTCCTGATAGTCTCCCTATACCCTTTTTCTTTGTCCTTTATACTCCAAGTAAATCATATACCATATGTGGGATCAAATGGGGAGTAAAGTATCCTCCATCCTCCTGTCCTCATTTGCTGTAAACCGGTGTAAATTCTTACTTGTGCATCTACAATCTGTATTATTGGGTATGTTCTTAATGTAATCTTTGTTCAGCTGATAGTTTATTTCAAATTATGAAATCTGTTTATATCATTACTTGTTTTTCCTATGACATGTAGTTTTTCACAATAGCAAAGAGTTGATGTGATTTTTGTAGATATGCTAGAAAATAAAAACTTTTTAAATAACATTTTTCATAGTTATTTGTTTGCTTTCAAATTGCCCAAAGTATATTGCCATGGAAACTTGCCTATTTAGGATATTTCAAACATATATTTTAAAAATATTGAAATGTGGTGGTCATTAAGATACTCTCCCAAAACCATATCTAAACTCTTCCTTCTTTGGAGAAACAATGATTAATAATAGGTGTCTAGTGGTACCTACGCATTCTTCAAAGAACACTATTTTTGTGATGATATGTGCTGTTCATGTGGTGTGGATGTGGCACATTTTTTACTAAGGTTTACAATATGAATTGGACACCTTTCAACAATGGATTGATATTTGACACACATCTTGCAAAATTACCGTGATACTGGCCTCATTTTTAGTTGTGACATCCAGTATTCTACCCATTGTCTTACAAACCTCATATGCAGGTTTGTACTCAGTATTTTAAAATCCTTTGGTTTCTGATCACAACAAATCAGTCATTCTGAACAAAAATAAATCTATTTATTCCTTTCTCTGGCTTTTCTAAGTGGTGTAATCATTTGTAATTCTTACTGTCTACTCAAAACTGTTGGGGGGCGGGAATCAACTAAAAATTCTATTTCAATGATTACAAAAGATAATGTCTTCTTTTCTTTGCTTTTGGCAACATCTTTTCCACTTTCAGAAAATAATAAAAATGGGCCACTTTAGCTCTTCGCCATCTTCCTAATACATGATTTGAAGTTAATGACCTATGGACTGTGTTATTCTTTATTAAATTAGTTTTTTTAAAATTCCTAGGGAACTTTTCAAAAATCTTAAGCAATATATTTCTGGCATCCCCCAATGTATACATTTTAGAACTGGGAAGGGATTTTTGAAAGCTTCTTTTACTGTTGGCTTTGAAAATCACTGCTGACTTGTTATTTTTGTTTTATATCTTTGAGCTGGTGCTTCTTAAAAAGTGATTCTTCAGGACTTTGCATCAGAATAACCACCAGGTATTTTTAATATTCAGATACACCCTATTTCAGAGCTATTGAATCAGGATCACTGGGGTGGGCCTGGGCACCAGCATTTTTAACAAATGCCCCCCAGAACTTCTAATGCATTCTGCCAATTGAAAACAACTGCTTTAACCACTGGGTCAAGAGGCTATGACTAATCTTAAAAGTAGTGACACAATTAAGGTGAGATGAGAGGACTGAGGTTTGGAGTTGTTAAGCAGCTTTCCCAAAGTCACCTTGCAGGCAGTTAGTTACTACTGGATGTTTGCCACCAAGATGGAGCCAACACTGAAAGAGGAAGACATTAGAAGCTCCCACACAGATGGCAGGAATCTCCAGGATGAGTTAGAGAGCAACCAGTCTAGACTGTAGCAAGTCAGGTTCTGGGGAAGGCTACTTCATAAGGATGAGCAATTTGAGAGAGATTTAGACAATCAGCAGTGAGGTTGGGATTGAATTGGTAATAAACACATGAAAATTAAGCCAATGGGACAATTAAACAATGCTAGATGAGAAAGGAAAAGTGTTGAAAGGTTACTATAGGGCTCAATTGTGCAGTTTCCACATAATCCCAATAATGTGAATTGAATATTGAGCTAGACAAAATTATGGCATAACTATATTGGAAATATGTGTGTGCATAGAAAAGAGCTAAACCCTCATTTTCCATGGCGGGGAGTCAGTGGGTAACGCTGAAACAAAATTCACCAAGCAGCGTATCATCTAGAGACAAGAGGGTAAATTGAAAATAAAAAAAAAGCTAAAAGAGGTGCCTGCAAGCACTGTGAGGGGAGTGTCTGCTTTTCTTATCCTTTTAAAAAAATTGTAGAATTGTTTGATTCTTAAATCTATGTGCTTGTATGCATAACTTTAATAAAAATGAAAACAAACAATAACAAAAAGCCTTTGTACCTATCAATATTACTAACGTCGTTTGACCCAGAAATGTTACTTCTAGGAATTTACCTTATAAATAAATGATTTGGCAAAATAATGGAATCCAAGGTAATTCAATACAGCACAGTATATAATAAAGAATTATTGGAGGCCGGGCGCGGTGGTTCACGCCTGTAATCCCAGCACTTTGGGAGGCTGGGGCGGGCGGATCACAAGGTCAGGAGATCGAGACCATCCTGGCTAAAACAGTGAAACCCCGTCTCTATTAAAAAGACAAAAAAATTAGCCGGGCATGGTGGCGGGCGCCTGTAGTCCCAGCTACTCAGGAGGCTGAGGCAGGAGAATGGTGTGAACCCAGGAGGCAGAAATTGCAGTGAGCCAAGATCGCGCCGCTGCACTCCAGCCTGGGCAACAGAGCAAGACTCCGTCTCAAAAAAAAGAAAAAAAAAAAAGAATTATTGGAAACAAACAAGTAGTGACTATTCCTTTGTTCTTAGTGACATAATTTGCATTGGGTAGCTAGAGTGAAACACATTAAAGACAATGAATTTAACCTACAGAGCTGGGAAATTGAGCTAAATAATCTTGGATACTTCTAGAGCTATAGCTAAAATTGCATGCTACTGCTTATGGTAGAACTGAGAGTTGAATCTCCTCAACCATTAAGATGGGGTGGCAGCATTTTATGGTGAGATAGCCAAAGAAACCTGAATATAAATGTACTGGTAGGTGGTGGTATAAAAATATAATTCAGGAGCCAGAAAAACTTGGTTTGAATTCTAGCTCCACTTACAATTATGGACAATTAAGCTTTTAACATTTTAGTTTCCTCCTCTGTAAAATAATATTAATTACAGTACCTACCATATAGGGTTACTGTGAGGGTTAGATGGGCTACTCTCTATAAAATTCTTAGCACAGTGCCTGATTCATATTAAATGCTTAGCAACTGGAAATATCTGACATTATTTTCTTAAATTAACTAAAAATGGTCTCAATTTCTTTGGGTGTATTATTTAATTTAGGGTTTTTACATAGGATACAATGCTGGGAACGTATAGATAGCTCATACTCAAATTTTTACAATGTAATATAGATTCAGTGTCTTAGTACAGAAATTACGGCTAACATATGTTTTGTTAAAAGATCTGATTAGTAAGACGTTCTATAGTACAGTTTATTAAAAATGTTCCTTGATGCAGAGAACTGATATTACCACATTTTTATTTCTTGTCAGGGTTTGTTTATGTGAATGAGAACAACTGATTACATATAATTCTGTTGTAAGTAGAGAGAGAGTACCTATGGAGAGTAACAAACAAGTGGAATATATCTACTTATTAAGCAGATTTTTCTAAACATCATGGGATAACAAAGTTTCTTGCATTGCAGATACTCATCCTTAATGACATTCAAAGATGGGTTACTTTGGAGTTGATTTGTTAAACAGCAGGGTTTAAGTATGTGTCACAGGCTTAGACAAAGAGGGCTGGACTCATGTGTGATGTAATGATGTAGATCATGTCCTTATAGAATAATTTCCATGACGTAGTTAGCCCTAGAAGTTGGGGTTTAAAGTACCTGCTTGTTCTGTAAGTTTTTCTATGAGTAGAACATGGAAATCCCTGCTTAGAAACTTCTACCACTACAAAATTTATTTATTTATTTATGGAGACAGAGTCTCACTCTGTTGCCCAGGCTGGAGTGCAGTGGTACGATCCTGGCTCATTGCAACCGCCACATCCCTGGCTCAAGTGATCCTCTGACCTCAGCCTCCCTTGTAGCTGGAACTACAGGTGTGTGCCACCACACCTGGCTATTTTTTTATTTATTTTTTATTTTTATTTTTAGTGGAGATGGGGTTTTGCCATGTTTCCCAGTCTGGTCTTGAACTCCTGGACTCAGGTTGTCCACCCACCTCACCCTCCCAAAGTGTTATGATTACAGATGTGAGCCACTGTGACTGGCCAAGTATTTTATTTGAAAACACTTTTTCAAACACATAGTCCCTCACCTGAATTAGCAGACTTTTCCCCCTTAAAGAAGCAGGAAAAAGTCTGTGTGTATATAGGTTGAAGAGGAAAAGGACATAGGTAAAGGCACTCGTGATGCATAGTAGTGACCAAGGAACTAGAAAACTATTGTAAGGCTACTGTAGACATTTTCTGGCCCAGCTCCAGCTACAGTTTCCTGAAGCTATACACACACAGGTTTAAATGTTTGTACAATGCAGTAGAAGAAAAAGTATGTATGCATAGGATGTACAGGCCCTTCTGTTTTAATTGAACAAAATGACATTTATTAAGTGTTTATGACAAACTGGTCTTCATGAGATAGCAAAGATTTGGGATTAAATATATAACCTAAAAAATAAATGTTCATATAACAAAGTAACTTTTAAAGAAAAAGGTTAACATATGTGCACTTAATTGCATGTATTGATCAAACCATTCTAACTCCCAGCAATTATTTGTATGCCAAACATAAACAGTCTGGATCTATACATAATTAGATATTATAGAAGTTTTCAAAACCATCTACTGGGAATGTTATCCTCTTTACAACTGTTGCCTGGCGTTATAAACAATTTCTAAAATAAACAAGTTAAAGAAATCTTAATTGGTATCCCCAACAGAATGCATATTAAAAGAGAATTCTGTGTTATCAACTTTAATCAAATGCTTATAGGAAGAATAGAAAGACTGAGAAAGCAGTGATTATGATTGACTAGAAATATTTAAAAATTGCCTGCACAGTTGACATTTAAATAGCTTCATATTTGAAATGTTATTTAACTATAATTTTTATATTCTTTACAGTGATTTCATTTGATGGGTCAATGTTCTACACCTCATTTAGTAAAAAACAATAAAATTGATTTAAACATAAAAGGGGCCATATGTGTCAAATAGCTTAGTTTTTTCATTGAGAGATTGATGCCCAGACAAGTTAAATGATTTGCCCATGATTATGGTTCTAATTATGGTAGACTTGAGACTAGAACTAAGTGTAATGCCCTCTGCATTAAACTTGGCTAAGGTAGAAAAGAGAGGCAGATGTTGACTTATGAATTATCACTACATTTCTAGTCTCTTTTCTGGGCCATTGCTGTCTTGGAGGGTTACTGTCTCTTCAACTGAAAGTGCATAATATGTGCAAAAATATTCCCTTTATGAAGGGTATCAGTTAGATATAGTATTTGAAGATTACAAGGTGGGTAAGAGAGGGTAGAAAGAGCAGAAATGCTGAAAATGAAGATAAACAGAGATAAATTAGGATAAAATCAGGTTAAGATATTAGCCTTGATTGTGGTTTGCAATAATATATCTATCTCCAATCTCAAGCTCATTTCCTGAATAGGCAGGTGACAGGCGGACATCTCTATGTCAGATATGTTTAGAATGGCTCTATTAAATGCTGGAGTAGGTTATTCTTCCCATAGAATGTCTTTCATATATGTGAATTTAACGTTGAGAGAGAAAGCAAGAAAGATAAGGAGAGTGCACACCCGTAGAGAAGTGAAGTAGGAGGTCACAGGGAAACTGAAGTAGCAATGAGAATGCTATAGGCGCAACTACAGACCCATGGATGCACGAGGCTAGGCATTGAGGAGACTTGGAAACTAATAACTTCAGGAACAGGCACTGAGACGTTTTGAAAAGCGTTATGATGTTACAGAAATTATGGTTCTAATAGGTGTGTAAAAGATCGAAACACCAGGGAATACCAGGAATACAGATTTCTTATTTTTAATAAAAGCAAAATAAGCATGGAAGATAGTTCATACAATAGAAAACTAGTAAGTGGGAGTTGAAAAATGAGAACACATGGACACAGGGAGGGGAACATCACACACCAGGGTCTGTGGGGGTTGGGGGGCTAGGAGAGGGATAGCATTAAGAGAAATACCTAATGTAGATGATGGGTTGATGGGTGCAGCAAACCACCATGGCATGTGTATACCTATGTAACAAACCTGCACGTTGTGCACATGTACCCCAGAACTTAAAGTATAAAAAAAAGAAAAAGAAAAAAGAAAACTAATGAATACTAAGGAAGGAAAAAAAAAAACCCAAAAATGTATTTGGGGAAAACCCTGGTAATTTTCAAAGGAATCTTATAATTGTGAATTTTTTGTTGGAAATTTATTATTTAAATAAATATGTGTTTTTGTAAAGAATCTAATAACTTCTTCTCTGGAGAAGGATGTGGTACCTTTCTTTAGGAATGGTTTAAAGTAATTTTAAAATAGCAGGGTAATGCACCATACAACCTTTAAGGGGTAATTCAAGGCCCCAGATGAGCCAGTGTTGGTTTAAAGTAGCAGCTAGGCAGCACTGCAGCAGTATTAGAGACTGCAGCAATGATATTCACCAGCACTGCCATGCACCACCTTCTGTGGGCCAGCCTGAGTATACATAACAAAGTTTGTTTTCCTTTTGACTACAAGATTTTTCTAGCTTTTTAACTTAGTCATAGACCACTTTATCCAGCTAACTGACAATAACAATTTTAGGGGAGTTATGAATCTTGGTGTATGTTTTCACCTAAGACACCAGTGGCACATTCTATTAATAGCTTTATTTCCTTTATTTAGTATATTCATATACAACACATTTTCCTGAATTAAAAAACAACAACAACAACAACAACAATGGGTAATTGTATAACCACAGTTGGTTGATGCTCCCTTCAGTTGGTAACTCTGGCCTAATACACTGATTTGTTCTAAATCCTATGATAAACTGCATATACAAAACCAGTTTAGTATATAATGTGGCTCTGATACCATCTTGAATTATAAATTATAGCATGCTACCACCAGTAAGTTTGGTATCATAATTTTAATTTTAATTGTGGCTGACAATTTTGGGGGGAATAAACACGCATAACTAGGGCAATCAGATTTGAAAAAAATCAATGAATATACATAAAGCTTGATTGAGCATCCACAAATACATAGAAAATAAATTATGCAAACAATCCTAAGAATGCATTTCCAGTAACTGATTATACAATCCTTATCTATGTAGAGTTTGGAAAAAAAAATCTTTTTTTGATAGTAGTTTTTTCCATATGGAAATCCAGTGGTCCTGCCCAGAAGCAGTGGCTCATGCCTGTAATCCCGACACTTTGGGAGGCCGAGGCTGGCAGATCACTTGAGGGCAGGAGTTCAAGACCAGCCTGGCCAACATGGTGAAACCCTGTCTCTACCAAAAACACAAGAATTAGCTGGGCATGGTGGTGGGTGCCTGTAATCCCAACTACTAGAGAGGCTGAGGCAGGAGAATCACTTGAATCTAGGAGGCGGAGGTTGCAGTGAGCTGAGATCATGCCATTGCACTCCAGCCTGGGTGACAGAGTGAGACTGTCTCAAAAAAAAAAAAAAAAAAATCCAGTGGTCCCTTCCATTAGCTGCTTATTATAAATTGCTTGGTGGGAATAACTACTAGCAAAAGATAGTAAATAATCTAACAATAATTCAAAGATTTGGGTATTAAACACCCATACATAAACAGATCAGGAACATAACATCTTACGTAACTCAGGAGAAAGCCAACCAAACCTATCATATAATAAGTGATGACGTTTTTTCACATCGGCCAACAATAGAAAATCAGCTTTCATTCTTGTTTTCTGCTATGCTTCTATTCAAGCCTTGAAACAATGGAACTATAAATTTAGATCATTTTGGCTGTCAGTGGATGGTGCTCCGGATCTCCCAGGTGAGAGTGTCAAAAAATGTTTGTCAAAAGTAGTGATTCATCTCAGTGCCATAACTTTGTGTCTATAACATACATAGCAATGGAATGTAAAGTCATTTAAAATATGTTTTGCTGAATTCACATACATTTTACATGCTAGTGTTAAGCTGAGTATTAAGCATTTTTGTACCTAGTTCAGGTACAGCCACTCTGATTACGTGCCCTCATAAGTAATGTAAGTTGTCACTTATTTTAATACTAAACTGTTCAAATAGTCTTGTTTTTGATATCTAAGAATTACAGAATTATATATATGAAAGATTCTTTTTGGCATATAAATCTAATCTTACAAAATTTTTTATATTTTGTGTATAAAATATAAAGCCTTTTACACAAAAGCTTTTATATTTGCAGTTGCAAATGAGCATATGTTTAAGAGGTTGTTAGGCCAAATAGCAATACTTGAATCTGCTGGATATTTTCAAAGCTTGTTTTCAGTTCCTTGTTTATTGTATAGTTCAGCACTCAGTACAGAAACATGATGCATGTGGAGAATTTGCTGTAACTATTAAACTCAATTTCCTTAATTTATGAAAAATTTTCCAGATTAACGTGATCACCTCTCAGCCTACTCTCAATATTAAGTTTCCTAGAGGAGGGTAAATCATCCACTTAAATAGTTAGGACACAAATAATACTTCTAAAAGATTCTAGTTTCCCCACAGAGTTACCAAATAATAGGTATGATCAAGGACAGGTTATATGGTTGGCGCCATTTTTCACAATTTAGTTTTTATAGTGTTCTAGAGATGAATTCATCTTGTTAGCTCATCAAAATAATAAAGAGTGATTTGCATCTTTTAGAAAGGCCCAAGTGCTTTACATGATGAAGAACTGAAATGCAATGTGAACATTCTTCTGTAGTTTTTTATTTTCATGTGTCTGTGAGTAATCTAGGGATTCACTCCCTATAAGATGAAAGAATTTGAAAGCTGTTTCAACAACAAACAAATCTAATTAAATTCTGATCTTCCACTGTGTGTTTTGTCTAATACTGTAAATTCTGCAAGGGACAACAACAAAATGGACATAAAGGGTAGTTAGAAAAGCAAAAGGAGATTTTCTTTTGTTTTGTTTTTAGGAAAAAAACCCACTTTTTATTTAAATAACTATATCTTGAATAGCCATCTATACTATATAAACTTATTTTGCCATTGTACCATATTGAACAGCATGAAAATATTCATAGTTAGGGAGGAAGTGGAAATACAAGAATGTTTTGGTCAAGGATGAACCACATGTTCTATGGTGGTCCTGTAAGATTATAATGATGTGTTTTAAATGTACCTTTTCTATCTTTAGATACACAAATACTTACTTACCTTTGTGTTTCCACTGCTTACAATATTCAGTACAATAATATTCTCTAAAGGTTTGTAGCCTTGGAGCAATAGGCTATACCCTATAGCTTAGGTATGTAGCAGGCTACAACACCTAGGTTTGTGCAAATACACTCTATGAAGTTCACACAACAATGATGAAATTGCCTAACTGTGCATTTCTCAAAACATACCTGTATCCCACGTGACTGTATATGTGTCTGTTCCACAAAGCACTATAAGGCCTCTATTAGCATGTCATGCCAATAAATATTTCAACAGTTACGTTTAGGTGTGGATAAACTTCCTTCGAGCATTCATAGAAGACATGGCAAACAAGCCTAGATTTATTATCTACAGTTTCACACACGACACAGACTACTTGGGAGAAAAGTTTATGTTGTATGAGCAGTCAAGAAATGCCTGCCTTTTTACAATATTTGAGTTTGTTTAGTAATTCAAAGTGGGGACTGCACTATATTTTTATATTTCATCACAATCCAAGAATCTCTACTCAGCGTTTGGAGCACGTAACATTTGCCATCATTTAAAAAGTGAAAAACCTAGCTTTCTTCCAAATTCCCATAGGTGTAGCAGGACTAAGAGGTAAGCACTGAAACCACATCATTTAATAAGATGGATCATTTCAAGAAGGGCAGTACGTGTACACTATCGCATTTTTGTAAAAGCTTCATTTAGTTTTTCTTTTCTTTTTTTTAACTTCCTTTCCTCTCTGGACTCTCTGATTTTCTGTCTTTTTTACCCCTAGTATATATTCTTTATTATCTATTAGTAAATAACAAGGGGAAAAAATCATTGCCCCTTTTTCCTGGCAAACTCAATTAGGTTACGGGAGAAGGGAGAAGAGTGCATGTGTTTGTGTATTTTTGAATATAAATTCCTTGAAGTCAGGATACCTCCTAAACATTATCCAGAATTGTGTAGGAACTTGAATCTGACTTAGCTGGGGAAAATAGTCTTTCAGGGAATGAAGTATCATACAGAAAGCAGCACTCTCTTTCACACTAGGGATCAACTTTAGAGCATTATAGGCAAAGGCATCATATTTTCAAGAAATGCCTTCCACTTCAACCTGAGAAGTCTCTTACCATTTAGTCACTTCCCTAAAGCAACAGACTCGCACGACTGAGAATCACTGTGTCATTTTCATCTGTAGCGTTTCTTTAACCAGGGGTGGGTACCCTGACGACTGATTGAAAAACACGTTGACTAAAATGGTCTTAATAAGCATACCGCATGACCTTCCTCCCCCGTGGTCTCATCAGCAGGCAATAAACTAGGCTCATCATGCTCCATTCTCACGTAAAAACCTATCTGTCAGGGAAGTAATTACCTAGCCAGATAGACGCCCCTCTGAGGCAAGCCCAGAAATCATTATAATACTCTATAATTAGTGTTTATTATTTTATCTGTTCATGTCAGTAGAAGCACAAAAAAAGCACCCCTCAGCTGGACAATCCTATCCTAACAAGATGTAGAAAACATTAATGTAAAAGCTGCTCATTCTCTGCATTTTCTTTGCCATGGCAACTTAAAATCAGCTTGCTTCCACGCAATTTGTAGCTCAACCATGCTCCCTAACACTCACACAGCAGACCTGGAATTTCATCCAGGACTATCTAAATCTTTAGCCTGACAACAGGTGTAGGTATTATCTCGACAAAGACCTGAGTGATAAGCTCATTTTTCTCTACAGGTAAAAGTAGTACATTCAGGGCTTATTCTTGGCAGATGTTATTCTAACAGAAATTCAGAATTCAAATCCTTCAAACCCCCTGCTCTCCTGTGTCTAAGATGGGAAGTAAGTACACAGAGATGCCTCTTGCATTTCAATGAAGTGCTGTTAACTGGGCCTTGGCTTTTGTTGCTCTGTACTTTGTAACAGTGGTGGTCCTTTTATCTTTTTCAAGGGGATCTGATAACAATTATCTGATTCAACAGGAACTTGAGACAGTCTCAACTACAGAGTTTTACAAAGTTTAGGTGTACAGTTTTACCTTTGAAGAAAGAATGTGTTACTTTCAGGCAAGCAAGAGATGGATCTATAATCTTTCGAAAATGGAAATGGTTGTGTTTTAAAGTAGGAATCAGGGAATTCAGCATAATAATATAGTAGGCCATTCGTTGCCAATGTTTCAAGGAATAAAAACTACTAAATCCTAGGAGAAATTATGGTGGAGTAGCCAAAGGCATGGACTTCAGATTTCAGAGTCTCTAAGCCCTATCTGCAAATTGTTGATAATGACAGTATTACCTAGTTTTGTCGTAGGAATTAAATGAGGGAAAGATTGTCAAGTGTTTAGTATCACATATTGGTGCTAATTCTCTTTCCTGGGCTTGCACACTAGGACACAGGTTACACTCCTCTGTCTAAATTTGGAATCATACATATGGGGTTGCCATAGCTCAAGGAACCCCAGGAAACTCCTAGGGCTTCCAGGAAGGAAGAAGGCATGAATAGGTGTTTCTAGGAGGTGGAAGAATTGAGGGGAGGAGGACATTTTGCAAAGTCCACTTGGGGAATTGCAAGGGAAGCTTATTACAGTCCTTTTAAACAAGCCCTCTTCACTTTTAGGGAAGAACTTGTTTAGCTGGGCATGATGGCTCATGCCAGCAATCCCAGATACCTGGAAGGCTGAGGTGGAAGGATTGCTTGAGGCCAGGAGTTTGAGACCAGCCTGGGCAATATAGTGAGACCCCCATGTATTAAAAAAATTAGCAGAGCAGGGTGGTGTGTATCTGTAGTCCCGACTACTTGGGAGGCTGAGGCAAGAGGGGAGTTTCGAGGCTTCAGTGAGCTATGATCATGTAGCAGGCTACATCACCTAGGATGCAGCAGCCTGGGTGGCAGAGCAAAGTTCTGTCTCTAAAATAAATAAACAAAAAATTCTTCATCCCAGGCACAGCCAGATTTGCTGATTGTGAATAAGGTATAAATGGCAATGAATGTGCTTGAGGAACACACTCAAATTGCATCTTTGTCAGAGTCTCTCTAAACTCTGGGACTTGTTTTTCAGAGCATGCTAATTTGTTTCTGCAGTTAATATTTTCTCAAAATATCTAAATGACAGAAACTGCATTTTCTCTTATTTTTTGGTGGGGGTGGCAGTGGTGAAGAAATGTTGAAAGAAAAGCCAAGATTAGCTTTAAAATCTCTGGTTAATCTTCAAAAGAAATGGAATCTTTTTCAGTAAAATACGTCAATTCTAAAAGAAGGTTTCTAAAAATGTCAGATTGTTTCTGGAAAGGGGGTTTTAGAGCCACAAATCAGAAAAGATGACCCAAATGGAGTTAGAAGGCCTGGGTTAGATGATTGGTTCAGTTGCTTGCTCTCGGGTGTAACCTTCAGCAAATTATTTAATTTCCTTAGGCTTGTTTCCTCATCTTTTCAAGAAGGCAAATTAGTCGTAATAGTACATGTGAAG
The DNA here is from genome assembly GCF_000001405.40 of Homo sapiens. NCBI lineage: Eukaryota > Metazoa > Chordata > Mammalia > Primates > Hominidae > Homo > Homo sapiens. The sequence goes on along the minus strand of NC_000012.12, from coordinate 79,379,851 downwards.
TATTAAGCACAGTAAGTAAACTCTCAGCAATATCTATAGTTTTTTATGCTCATAGTCTTTTATTTGGGTAATGAATTCCCTTAAATTACCTTATGGGTAATTTTAGTATCCTCTTAGTAAACATAGTTATCAAAGCTAGATTTCTATTGGATGATTGATTCTTCAGTATATAAACATATACACGATTACTACATGAAGAGGCAAAAGACAAAATGGAGATGTTTATTTGAAATCAAAGCTTTCAGGAGTTTGCTACTGAGCTTGGAAATAAAGATCTGAAGCAAATCCAAAAAGCTTGGCCTAAGTAGGACTTGCCATAAAATACCGGGAGGCTTCATGTGGATTTCGTGTATTATTGTGTAGCACAGACTGCTCTTTGAGATTTTAAAATGATTAACAAAAACCCGTATGTATTTTCAGGGTTCTCAGAGGACTCCTTGGAATGGTACACAGCTGGTACATTTTGGTAACCTTCAAAAAGGCCAATTTTCTTCATTCCTTGAATCATTACCCAGAAATATTTTCGACCGAGGTTTTAAAAAACGACAGGGTTTCAATTTGTGGCAGTCTTGTTAACCTAATTAAGTAATCAAGTGACTTGTTATTTCAAGCATATCCCATTGTTTTCCTCATATTTTGATTAACTTGCTAAAAAATTCTCTGTTGATATGTTTATTGGGTCTGAGGACTATTTACTAAACCATGCTCTCAGAACAGAAAATGAGGATGGAAATTCTCAAAAACATGATAGGAACACTAAAATGAAATGAATTTCTTTTCTCAGGAGGAAATTACTATGGAAGATTTTAGAGGGTAACACATCCCCAACTCCCACCCCTATTTTGAAAAGAAACACTTTGACCCAAAGTCTGTTTTCAAACATGTACTAATTTTTCTATCGATTTTGGAAGTCACTGTCACGTCTTCCATAAATTTCCTAAGTTCTGTATGCAAGTAACTGATAGAAAAACTTTCCTAATTTGGGCTGTAAATTCATCTAATGGCCATTTTTATTTATGACATTTAATGCTTCCCCAAGTAGGGTCCTTAGGTTGTTTCATTCCAGCCTGTTCCTCGGATTAATCACTACTGACCTAGATTCCAATCTTTATACTTTTGTTTTTGGCATGAGTTAGCAATTTAATGCTAGTGTCTCATCAGAAGCCTTTACCCCACTGGGGGTCATGTTTTGTTTCTTTTTATAGCCAATGAGGCTAGTAAATTGTGCTTTTGACCTTCACAAGTGGTTCTTGAATCAGAATAGTTTGAAAATCCCTGCCAAATCAGGAGCAAGATTTGTTTTTAATGAAGTCTGTGAGGCCACTAAACTAACCTCTCTTCAGTTGATTCTTTAAAAGCGATTTTCTTTACAAATTCATTTCTGTAAACTGGCTTCATGGGCTACGTAATCTAGCCTGTTTGGTAGTAAGAAGAATCAAAAAGGTTGTTTCCAGTGGACTGTTCTCTTTGAAATTTTAAGAGTTGTGTTTATGTGACACAGATTACATAACCACAATAGAAGATCCTTCAAAAGTTGGTCATATCTGTGATATTTCGGAAGGTTTCCAAATTTATCCTGGAAAAAGGCACACATCTGTAAACTGGGGTTGGATTGGAAGGATTGCATAAAGGAATCAAGACTTGAGCTTCTTCCAGTTAGTGAGGCAAAGATTTCTAATAGAAGAGAATTTGAATTTGATAATCTAGCAAGTGAATTAAAAATAAGGATGAGTGAAAACTCCATGGCTTATGGCCTGCATTTTATATAGTTAAGAGCTTTAAGAATTAGATAGTATGAGGAATAAGTGAGAAACACACTCTAGCTAACACCTTTTAAATGTATTGGGAGTGATAAATATGAGAAATTTGTCATGGTTGAGATAATGAAAAAGGGACTATTCCATGGCAGTTTGAAAAACTTAAGAAATAAGAATATAATTTTGGTGGACTAACTGCATATTAGACATCTCCATTTGTTGTCTTAATTGGTGTCATAGGCTTAATATGTCCCTAACCAAGCCCATGCTCTCCTCTCTTCCTGAACCTGGATTCTCCCTAGACCTGGACTAGGTCTTCCTGACCCTGGATATTCTCAATCTATAATTAGTACTAAATAATTCTAGAACAAAAGGGAGAAAGGGAAGCTAAGTTGTTTATACAACAAAGACAATATGGGCAAAGCCTGAATTTCCAAAAGCAACTCTGCCTGAAGTAAATGTGATTAGATTTCAGGATGCAGATATATTCTCTTGGAAAGCAGAAGGATAACAGAAACACCACACAGTGCTTCTTAAAATCTGTTTATAATTTAAATAGCCCTGAGAATTTTTATATTTTGTCCTGTCACTACAATTGCTAGAGCTTTTATCTAGGCCACAATTACCAACACATATAGAAGAAAAAAATAAATTGGTGGTTAAGATTTAAGCTATTTAGAAAATAAACACCTTAAAACACATGTTACCGTAATCCTAGAACTTTGGGAGGCCAAGGTAGGCGGATCACGAGGTCAGGAGATCGAGACCATCCTGGCTAAAACGGTGAAACCTCGTCTCTACTGAAAATACAAAAAATTAGCCGGGCATGGTGGCGGTAGCCTGCAGTCCCAGCTACTCGGGAGGCTGAGGCAGGAGAATGGTGTGAACCTGGGAGGCAGAGCTTGCAGTGAGCTGAGATTGCGCCACTGCACTCCAGCCTGGGCAATGGAGCGAGACTCTGTCTCAAAAAAACAAAACAAAACAAAAAAACAAAAAATGTTACATAAACATCTCTAAAAGGGAAGATTTAACAATACATGGCACACAGTAAGCATTCAATAGATACTTGTTGAACGAATGAATGAAATTGAACAATAAGGAGAAATATGAGCTAAAATTCAACATGGATTTTATTGCTTTCTTGTTTGCCCTAGAATAAGAGTTCTGGAAATCTAATGAATAGATAAGTCATATATTTACAATTTATAATGTGATATCGGGCAGTGAAATATAAAGGTATTTTGGCAATTTAGATAAGGAGGCATGCAGACGTTTGTAAATCATTAATGAAATGGGCCATTTACCCTACCTGTGAATTTAAGTTAAAAGTTAGCCTGAATTATGCATTGGAAAGATTTTGCTTCATTTCCAGCTCACTGCAATGTAAACTAGAAAATTGCCCATTTATGTCAGATGTGTGTGAACCAGAGCAACTCCATCTTAAATAGGAGCTGGGTAAAATGAGGCTGAAACCTACTGGGCTGCATTCCCAGACGGCTAAGGCATTCTAAGTAACAGGATGAGAAAGGAGGTCAGCATAAAATACAGGTCATAAAGACCTTGCTGATAAAACAGTTTGCAGTAAAGGAGCCAGCCAAACCCACCAAAACCAAAATGGCGCCGAGAGTGACCTCTGGTTGTCCTCACTGCTACACTCCCACCAGTACCATGACAGTTTACAAATGCCATGGCAACATCAGGAAGTTACCCTATATGGTCTAAAAAGGGGAGGCATGAATAATCCACCCTTTGTTCAGCATATCATCAAGAAATGACCATAAAAATGGGCAACCAGCAGCCCTCGGGACTGCTCTGTCTATGGAGTAGCCATTCTTTTATTCCTTTACTTTCTTAATAAACTTGCTTTCACTGTGCACTGCAGACTCGCCCTGAATTCCTCCTTGCACAAGATCCAAGAACCCTCTCTTGGGGTCTGGATTGGGACCCCTTTCCTGTAACATTTAGATTAAGAAAGTTTCTTGGAGGAAGTGCGTCTCAGTGGAAGAAGGAAAAGCCATGTGGCAAAATGAAGTGTAATGAGAACTTGCTCAAGAAAATAAACATTATGGATAAGATAGATGTATAGAAATGATTAATCATTTTTCTTTATGACTTTATTCCAAGTTTTAAATAAATGATACAACATATTTATCCTTGTAAGGCAAGAAGCAAGCATGGATAGTGATAGAACTACAAGGTGGGAGATGGTTGGCTTTATCATTGTGAGTTGATTTTTTTTTTCCATTTATTCATCAGGTACTTTTGAGTCAGGCGCCCTGCTAGGTACCTGGTTTATATGGATGATGACATGGCCCCACAATCTAGAGGGGGCATCAGTCAAATAACAAGTTAGCAATGAAATTTATATTACCAGTTGTGACACTATGAGCAATAAGTGAAGCAGACAGGTACAAGAATAGAGAATAACAAAGAGCAAGGTAGGGATTATCTTTGGTTTTCAGATGATGGAACTGATATTTGAAGAGGATAAGAAAATGATTTGAATTCAGATGCTTGGTGAGTGGCAGAACTGGGATCCTAATCATGTCAGTTTGATTCCACAGCCTGAGCTGGAATTAATGTTACAGTTTGCAGCACAAACTCCCTGCTTAAATCCCTGCAGTGGCTACTCACCACCTCTGGAACATAAAGTTCAACTTTCCTGACTGGGCTCTGCCTCTCTAACTTCATTTCTTAGCAGCTCCTCTACACTACACGATCTGTTTTGTACAACCAGGCCTTAGCTCTCACTGTCCTTTTGGCCTATCCCTTTGCCCTGCACAATCCCTCAACCCGGTTCTTGGTTTCTCCAGGAAGCGCCCACGAAATCTCCAGTGGAGGTTAAGTACTCTTCCTCTGAGCTCTTGTGAAATCCTGTTAATTAGCTCCCGGCAGGTTACTACCTGTGGACCAGATCTGGCTGCTGCATGTTTCTGTAGGTCGTAAGCTAAGAAAATGTTTACATTTTTAGAGTTGAAAAAAATAAAAAAGATTAATATTTCATGACATATAAAATTACATGAAATTTGCATATCAGTATCCATAAATAAAAAGTTTGATTAGAACACAGCTATGTCTACTCCTTACAGACTGTCTGTGGCTGCTTTTGTGTTGCAATAGAGTTGAATATTTAGTTGCGAGAGACCATGTGGCCTGCAAAGCCTAAAATATTTACTATCTGGTCCTTTACAAAAAAAGTTTGTTTACTCCTAATCTAAATCACACAGTATTTTAAAGTGGATCTCCCTGAGCTCGTTCCAAGCTCTTTGTAGGCAGGTATCACAAAATCCATCTCACTACCACCAGCTCTCCAGCTCCTCACTGTGGCACTTAGTAAGTAGGCATTTAATACATATTTGCTGAATATGTGATTCCATACTTTTGTCCACAGGGTAGTTCTTCAAATCCTTGTGAGCAGCCATCCTGCTACCCATCCAGTGTTTCCCTTTATAGGTGCAACATCCAGCCATTCCTATCCTTCTGGTGACATTGAATGTCCTGAAACTAATCTGGTTTAGTGCCTCTTTACATCATCTGTTTTTCTTTTTAAAACCCGGCATTATTTTTGAAAATTATGAAGAAATTACCATTTGTTAGAATGTGTACCCTTTTAAAATAAAAATTAGGTATCACATTAATAAATAACAATGATCTGTCCTTCTGGTTAATGAATAGTTGGTCTATAAAGACAAAACTTAATCAACATGATATCATCTTTTTCTCTTTGGTAAGAGAAAGGAAAGGAAAATGTATTTGCTGGCCGACTTTTGGTTTATAAACTTGAAACCTTTAGTTTCTCTGATCTCCAGTGTGGAAAAAATAAAGTAGAAATTCAAATATTTACTTCTGGCACCCCAGAAGAAAATACCAGAGTTTCTACTTTATTTTCTTCTTCTAAAAATAAAGGATTGGAAATTTACTGAGGTCTGATGTACAGTATCACAGAGGTGCCCCTGTTCTGGCATGATTCACACGCAGTACTCAAGGTTTCCTGAGGGTGGCATGGAAGCGCCACCGTGGGGTGGGGTGCCAGAGGGGCCTGCACTTTATTTGCTGTTAGCATTTTTCTATGTATTGCGCTTTATGTGAGCCCAGTTAAATTGGTTTATAGATTATGTTATTTAATTGTAACCAAACTACTCTTCACAAAATGAGCATGTTGCCTAAAATGAGTCCTGAACAACAACTGTGGCTTGAAGAAAACTTGATAATGCAAACACGAGTGAGAAATGAGAATATGACCCAGCTGGTACCTCTTCTTCAGCTGTGCTCTGTCAGTCATGCCTACAGGTAAAAATGATCATCTATTTCAGGTTAGAGAAGCTGGCTAAAAGCTTCTCTAAAAGTTTAAAAGTTTTAAGCTTTTAAAAGTTTTGATTTAAAAAAAATAAAAAACTTCAGTCGATGTGATATATTGACATATTTTCTGTAAATTCCAAACTAAGTTCATATTAAATATTATGAATATTGTGCATTTGTGAGGCATTTTTTTGATGTGACCATCTATAAAACTAAGTGTTGAAATAAATGGAATCTAATATTATGCTTGTGAATTGCTACATTACAAAGTTAAACAGATATCTTAAAGAAAAGTGAGGCATATTTATTATTAACAAATTAGTAATTATATTTTAAAGGGAGAATAACATTTTTATCATTCATAAAGCAAATTGTAAAATGTTTACTTTTGCTTTATCTTTTACATTTTTTGACTTTTAAGTTTATAATGTCCATTTTATATTACTATAGTGGTCTATATACACTTACAAACCTACAAGTAAATGTATAAAGAGGAATGTGCTCCCAAAGTTTTACTGATAGGTGAACATCATCAACATTAAAAGATGTCTGATCTCATCGGACAAACCTAAGCTAGTTAAGCACAAATTGTAGGAGAGGATATTCCTCTCTCCCCCAATCATTTTCATTTTTACAAAATGCTTATTTATCTGGTTTACCAATAATTACTTTTTTTGATGAAAAGAGATATAATTTTGAGAAAAGAATTGCCTATACTCCTAAATCAGAGTCTACATTTTTGGATGAGGGAAATATCTTGTCATTTCTCTCTTTCACAGCCTGATAGAATTTGTGATCATTTATGATTAATATTTTTGGTACTTACTTATTGTTGGTCTCCTTTTTGAGAAGTTAGGACCCAAAAGTGGAGAGATAATGTTCATGGTATTGACTGAATTTCAGGTGCCTAACACACAGCTGAACTCAGATGGGGTGCACAGTGCGTGCTGATGGACAACTATTTAGAAGCTAGAGATAAGAAGAGAGGGGAGGGATGAGGGGCTGTTGTGGGTATGGTTTCCTCTCCCTCTGAGATCACAGCAAACCATGGACCAAGAAGGTGACTTAGCCCTGGAAATGAAATTTTAGATCTACTTGTTGGGGAATCCTCCTGTATAATCAACAGCTTCAGTTCACTTTAAGCATCATTTGCTTGTTCAGAAATACTGTCAGCCTTCCGGAGTTTGGTCTACATTTCTCAGCCAATACACAGTGATTTAGACTGTGTCTACCCTTATGGCCTCAGCTTAAAGAACTAGCTGTAATATTGGGCCTAAAGGCTGCTGACCTTTCTATGGTAGTAACATAATGGGCAATCCTGAGTGTCCATCATAGGAATCACACAACAACATAGCTAGGCTGTGCTAATCAATTTTTCTACAAATTATAAATATAATCTGGATAACTTTATCCAACATAATAATGTCTTATAATCATTTCAGTTCATTTTGATTTGTTCTGATTGAATTTAATTCACTTTACTTCAATTCAGTTCATACTATATGTTAAACACTGGGGATTAAGTGAACTATTCGAGTTTTCATTTAATTTAATTTCTTCATGGGGGCCTACAATGTGCTAGGCGATGCTAGATGACGGTTATGCAAAAGTGAATTAAGTTGGTCTCCTTAAAGGAGTTCACAGAGAAAGAGCCACGAATACCTACAGTGTGTGATAAATCATGGGACGAGATAACTCCAGTGCACCATGGGAACACAGAAAAAGAAATAATGAGGGTGTTGGCAACCCTGATGATTAAACAATTCATTCTCATGAATGAGAAAAGGTATGTACAGAACACAGTTGAAGAAACACAACAGTCAGTGATCAAGTGAAAAAACGTGGACAGTATAAAGGTAAAGAAGAACAAAGATGGGTTTAGGATATGTGGGAAGTTTCCTGGAGGAGCAAATACTTAAACTGGCTCTTCCCCCTCCACCTGTTTTTCTGGACTACATTTTACCAAACTAAAAAAGGAGGGGCAGAAAAGAAAAAGGTAAGATGCTATGAAACTTTTTATCTCAAACCTCTGAGGCATGACTTCTGAAATGATTAAAAGTAAATTAAAACTGCCCAGGAAGTCACAGGCTGCATGTGAGTGTCTTCCCACCAGGAAGCCACAGCTCACTGTTTCACGGCCACTCTTTTTTGTATTATGTAAACTTGTAAACACTAACCTTCCTCTTTTTTATAGTCATTGAATAGAACACAAATTCCTTCTGGACATTATTTTCCAGCAGAAATAAGAAACACACTGAAGAAAATGAATAAAGAGCAATTGTTTCTTTAGCTCATTAGGGCATTTGCTGTTTATGAAGTCGCAGGGATTTGCATGTGTTGGCATTTGCAGGCACAGTTGGATAGCGTTACTTTGTCAAAATAATCTATAGAGAGTATTCATTGTGAGTCAACTGATGATCATTTTGCTGCTCAAGAGCATTCATTATCTTCTAGAGTTGAGGTTTCTATGATTTGGGGATTATGGCCAATTGAAATTACAGTGTGCACTGTCTAGGTGGGGGAAGCTGTGAGTAAGTGGGCAGGCTTAGGTAACAGATGCAGCTGGAGTGAGGAGCTGGGCCTTTGCCATTTCTTTACCTTGTGACCTTGAGCGAGTCTCTTTTCCAAACCTTAGTTTTCTCATTCATATATGGGGATAACCATACCTACCTCATGAGAGTATGAATAGGATTAAACAAGACGAAATTAGTAAATGCACAGCAGAGAAAGCACTGACTAGATTATAACTATAATTATTATTAGCAGTAGTAGTCTTTCATTCGTATTATCTTAAGGAAAAAATAAAATAATCACTTTTGGTGAGGATACATTTGTCTTTAATAGATGTGCTCTTCCATGGGCTGATGTTGTCTTTAGGCTGGGCATGATCTTTTAGAGTTTTAAAATGAAACTTTAGAAGATTGGAGGGATTTAATAGGTTAATTCCCTAACCTATGGCAGGTAGGTAGGGTACCATCCCTAACTCAGTATTTCTTTTATTTTTATTTTTTATTTTTATTATTATTATTTTTTGAGACGGAATATCGCTCTGTCGCCCAGGCTGGAGTGCAGTGGCGCGATCTCTGCTCACTGCAAGCTCCGCCTCCCGGGTTCACGCCATTCTCCTGTCTCAGCCTCCTGAGTAGCTGGGACTACAGGCGCCCGTCACCATGCCCGGCTAAATTTTTTGTATTTTTAGTAGAGAGGGGGTTTCACCGTTTTAGCCAGGATGGTCCCGATCTTCTGACCTCGTGATCCGCCCGCCTCAGCCTCCCAAAGTGCTGGGATTACAGGAGTGAGCCACCGCGCCCGGCCCTAACTCAGTATTTCTGATAAACTTTCCTCTAGCTTTTGTTTGGGAACTAAAATGGGAAGAACCAAGTATGGATTTCCATCACTTATACTCATGGATCCCAGTTCAGGTCTTTATAGTTAATAAGAGTAGGTTCAATTCTTTTCTCACATTTTTCAGACAGTTATGTCCTCTTTGAATTCTGTATTTTGCAGCTTAAACATCTCCAATTGCCTGAACTGTTCCTTAACTGAGACTGTATCTGCCCTCTGCATGACCCTGATTTCCTGCTGAATTTGCTTCAGAAAGTTAATGTCTCTCCTCTTAAGTGTGTTTTCAGAAATGAATGCAATATTCCAGATCTCTCAGCATAGAGTATAGGAACTCTGTTGCCGGAGACTCATTTTTGAAATAAATAATCTCGGTAATAAGATTTCACAGTTGTTTTACATTTAAGATTAAATCATTTTGAAATTTAAATGGAAAGTTAGAGAGGCAATGATAAGAACCACCCATATTAATAGCACACAGAAATAAAAAGAAATATCTTTTTGCTCACTGACCCACCCAAGATAAAAAAGATTCCATTCTTGTTATCTTGCTTGTAAGCAAATACTAAATTCTCATAGTTTGAATAACTAGTTCCTCTTGCAGCATGCAAGATGATTGGACTAATTTAGCTTTAAAAAACAAAATTTCAAGTGACAGTTACAAGAATCAAAATCTGCATGTGCTATAAAAGTATGAGGCCAAGTCAATTTTAAAAGATATATCTGCCTGTCTCAAAAAAAATAAAAAAAGATAAAGATACAGGTACATCTACATACTGTATGTAATTTGGCTTGAGAATAGTATCTTTCTCTTTAGCTTTGGGCTAAACTTACACATACTTTCAATTCTATTGTATTGAATCCTATTGTAGAAATACTAAACATATCTTTATTTAAAAAGAAAGCAGCCCTTAATCTCAATATGGATCAGGCTGAAATGTACCTCTTAAATTTATCTGACACTTTCTTTTTCTTTTCTTTTTGAGGCAGAGTCTCGCTTTGTCACCCAGTCTGGAGTGTGGCAGTATGAGTGATCATGGGCTTGAGCCTCCTGGGCTCAAGCAATCCTCCTGCCTCACCTTCCCATGTAATTAGGACTACAGGCATATGCCACCATGCCTGGCTAATAATTTTTGTAGAGACAGGGTTTCACTATGTTGCCCAGGCTGGTCTCAAACTCCTGGTTTCCAGCAATCCTCCTGCCTCAGCCTTCTAAAGTTCTGGGATTACAGGGATGAGCCACCATGCCCTGCCAGCTCTGACACTTTCATCTCCAGAGACTGAATATAGATAGGTTTCAGGTTTATAGCTTCATAGAGGATGTTTCCTAAGCAATTGGTTCAACCTCAGATCAGTCTTGCTAGTTGTTTGAGGGAGGCACAGTTCAACATGACTGATATGGGCAAATTTAGCAATTAGTAAAATGACAAATCAAAGTGTTATAAAAGTATCATCTCATTACCATTCAGGACATAGGCATGGGCAAGGACTTCATGTCTAAAACACCAAAAGCAATGGCAACAAAAGCCAAAATTGGCAAATGGGATCTAATTAAACTAAAGAGCTTCTGCACAGCAAAAGAAACTACCATCAGAGTGAACAGGCAACCTACAGAATGGGAGAAAATTTTTGCAACCTGCTCATCTGACAAAGGGCTAATATCCAGAATCTACAATGAACTCAAACAAATTTACAAGAAAAAAACAAACAACCCCATCAAAAAGTGGGCGAAGGACATGAACAGACACTTCTCAAAAGAAGACATTTATGCAGCCAAAAAACACATGAAAAAATGCTCACCATCACTGGCCGTCAGAGAAATGCAAATCAAAACCACAATGAGATACCATCTCACACCAGTTAGAATGGCAATCATTAAAAAGTCAGGAAACAACAGGTGCTGGAGAGGATGTGGAGAAATAGGAACACTTTTACACTGTTGGTGGGACTGTAAACTAGTTCAACCATTGTGGAAGTCAGTGTGGCAATTCCTCAGGGATCTAGAACTAGAAATACCATTTGACCCAGCCATCCCATTACTGGGTATATACCCAAAGGACTATAAATCATGCTGCTGTAAAGACACATGCACACGTATGTTTATTGAGGCACTATTCACAATAGCAAAGACTTGGAACCAATCCAAATGTCCAAAAATGATAGACTGGATTAAGAAAATGTGGCACATATACACCATGGAATACTATGCAGCCATAAAAAATGATGAGTTCATGTCCTTTGTAGGGACATGGATGAAATTGGAAGTCATCATTCTCAGTAAACTATTGCAAGGAAAAAAAATCAAACACCGCGTGTTCTCACTCATAGGTGGGAATTGAACAATGAGAACACATGGACACAGGAAGGGGAACATCACACTCTGGGGACTGTTGTGGGGTGGGGGGAGGGATAGCTTTAGGAGATATACCTAATGCTAAATGACGGGTTAATGGGTGCAGCACACCAGCATGGCACATGTATACATATGTAACTAACCTGCGCATTGTGCACATGTACCCTAAAACTTAAAGTATAATAATAATTTTTTTTTTTAAAAAAAGGTATCATCTCTGCTGTAGGACTAATAAGCAATATTTTTTTTTCACATTTCTTACCTAGGTTCTTAGTATATGTTTTAACTGAGCTACTTATCTGAGATTCTTAGTATATGCTTTAACTGAACTATTTATCCTACCGGCAAGTGGAGCAATTCATCTGATTTAAGGAGAAGGCAGACGTATAATCCAACCAGGTTTTTCTATTTTTTTTTTGAAATGCCAAGATGGGCACAGCCTGGAGATATGTTTAATATGGAAAATGAAATTTCATCGAGAGGAAAGCAAGCTGAAGAGAGTCAAAGGGTGTTTGGATGCAAGCATGTAGAAATTTACATGGGTAACTTTCTTGTTTTTAATGTTGACTACTTGTGGAGATTAAGAATTTGTAGAGACAGGTGAAAGATGAAACCTTGACCACTCAATTATGTAGCAATGAACAACAAATACTGACTCATATTGCATCAATTAGGTATTTATTACCTGGGGCAAAATTATTTGGAAAGACAACCAGGAGCTGCTCTGGGACCAGGTCCTGCCACTTCTAGTCAAATTAACATTGCAACAGCAGGTTCCAACTTGCGGTGGTTCATTTTAGAGAGAGGGAGAGTTTGTCCAGCAACCAGGCATTAACTTGATAATTAGGATGACAGAGGCTCTGTTCTTCCTCTTTGTCCCTACTTGTTGCCCAAATTAGCTGTGTCTGTCTTGGATCTGTTATCATAAAAGAAGTACTTGGAAGACAACTCGGTGTCTTAACTCAAATAAATAGCTTAACAAACTGAAGATCGTAGAAATATACTACTGGTCTGATTTCTTATAAAATATGCTGGGTCTTGTGGCCACAAGTTACAGGAGATGGGAGGAGGATTTGCTGTTAGCTTCAGGATGCCAACATAAGTTAGCCAAAGCAGTTAACTGCCATCCAAATAATGAAGAGGCATTCTTTGAACACACACACACACACACACACACACACACACACACACACACACACACACACAGTATTATTTATATCAGCCATATAGGAACACACATTCTCCTGGAGCCAGGATATGGTGACAAAAATTAAGAGTTAACCAAGAACTGTCTTTTGCTTAGAAATAACCAATATTTATATAGTGCTTTCTACCTGGAGCTTTCACCTAATGTTATCTCATTTGTTTATTCAACAATATGGCTGTCTCTAATACCCTAGTTTTATAGATGAACAGACTGAGGATCAGAAAGGTTAAAGGCTTCCGATCCAGGCTTTCCAGGGCCAGTTGCTGCTCCCTTTCTGCTGCGCCCTGCTGTCTCTCAGGAGAGGGCCTGTTTATGGCTGAGTTGCAACTCCACTGGAGGCCAAGGAGGCAGGGACAAATGCTGGCATTTTCAGATAGGTATTTATTATTAGGCTTTGCCTTGTAGTAACTGTTAAATCATGCCTTAGGCCTGCCTCTTGGCAAGGTCAGGGCACATATAAAGCATTTCTATAAAGTTAAATTCCTGATGGGAGGCTTTTAAGGTTTTTATATTTTAATGGAGTTATTAAAATGAAAGTTCAGACTTGCATAATTCATAAACATTCACTGCCTCTTTTAAAATCTCTTCTACTAAGCTATTTTTAAAAAATTTTGGTGAAATCCTTATAAACATAAAACACTAACATATCTTTCAGGTAAGATTAGAATAGATTCCTAATTACTGTAACTGGAGATATACTGTGATATATTATTGCCCTTTAGGCTAGTTTCATTTGCAATATTTTCACTACATTAAAGACAGTGCTGTAAAATGCAGGAGTGTTTTCTAGATACACGAATTGGCAACTTTTAGTAAAAGTAGCTTTCAGATGCTTAATTGTTTTTATAAAGTCTAGAAATTGGGAACTTCCCTTCAAAATGACTTTCATAGCGGTATGTATTTTTACTTTGACTTTTAGTGACTGTCACATATCTTTTCAAGTTGTTATCATAATAATGCTGCTGGATTGAGTGTTTTAATGGATTCAGACTCCTGCAAATATAGTTGATGAAAATATGAAAATCTACAAGCTAATGACCTGCTTTTTTTTTTTTTTTTCTGGTACTCTTTGCAATCAGTCTAGGCTGTCTTTTTAAGCAACACATTTTTAGATTTTGAACTTAGGGTAATTGCATCTTACTTTAAAATCCTTTCTTATTTAGATGCATAATGACATTGTATAAATGTAACATTTTACTTCTCAGCAACAGCAGCCAGTAGTAGAAGCAGCAGCAAGTAAATTTTAGGAACATTAATAAAATAGAGACTTTCTCCTATTGCTTTTCTTTCTCACTGATATGTAGAAACTCTTTGTATTACAGGGATATTAATACTTGATCTGTTTATGTGAGGCAAAGCTTTCTTTTCGTGTGTTACTCATCTTTCAAATTCATTTATGGCATTTATTTGGGAAGCATGACATCTTTACTATATTGTTCCCTATCCAAGAGCATGTTATTTTTCTATTTATTTAGGTCTCATTTGAAGTCTTTCAGTGAATTTATATAGTTTTTCTCATAGTTATATTTATAAGAGAATTACTAAATATACCATGATACATTCGAACAAAGGGATGCTATGCAACCACTAGATATGGCAGATCTATATGTTGGCCCAAAGGATCTCCATTATATATTGGTAGGTTAAAAATAATTACAGAATAATGTGTTTAAAATCCCATTTTGTAAAATGTATATATATTTGTATATATATGTATAGAATTGATATAAGCAGAAAGAAAACCTGGAAGGATATGAAATTTCAAATTATTTCCTTGAGTCAATTAACTCTGAGGAATGGGAAAGGATTAGAGGGGGCTGATTTGAGTTACTTTTTTACTTATGTATGAAAAGAAGTGGTGGGGTTGTGGATTAACTTTATTTCTTGAGCTTTCCTATAATTTTAAAACTAAAATTCTAGATAAATATTTAAACACAGGGCTATTTGTGAAAGCATTTGTTTCCTTAATAAGGATATGGAAGTTCATAATATTCTCTAAAAATGACAGCTGCGTCAGTAGATTACTGAGTAATCTTGCAGTTTCATATGTATATGTAGTATATGTAGTAATTCTGCAAGTGCACTATCACGAAATGTGCATTCGGCTCTTTTTGTTTGTTAACGGGACACTTTATTAGTTAATTACACTGTCATATTGTTGACTGAAATCAGTAGTTTGAAATCTATTAATTTCTTAATCATGTTGCTTTAGTTTTGGCTAAAAGCAGTTTCAGTGGTTCTGAGGATATAAAATAAATGCGCTTAATTCTTTTTTTAAGTTAAATAAAATCATTTATTTCTGAAAGAAAAAATTATAGGAAGCCTCCTAGTTGTCCAGTCATCATTGAAAATGATGTACCGCAAAATTTAGGCCATTAGTAATTTAAAAAGGCTGTCAGCCGGTATGGTCTTTTGACTTCCTTTGATAAGGAGTTAGTCTTTAAAACAGTGGACAAGTAAGATGCTGAATCATTGCCTTATCTGTTCATGCTGGGCAAAAGGTGACCAAGGGATCATTCTCTGTCTTTACTTTTTCCCTTGAAAATGCCTTTATGACTGTCGTTGAGGTATAACTACAGTAATGTGTGCATTTCTGTGTCACTCTCTTTTATCTCTTGGAGATAGTCTGTTTTTCTTTCGTTTAACCATTAAAGGGGGTGGGGAGGGGGGAAATGAAGGAAGGAAGTAAAATCTTCTGAAAATGATGGCTAAAATAACCAATTGGTTTTAAGAATTCCATTGTCTGGTTTTTATTTATGAGCCGATATTTCTATTATAATAGGATTACTACTATATGATGCCAAAATAATTGCATTAAGTGATGAAATTAAGTCAGATCATTTGGAAGATGAAGACAAAATAATCAGTTAGATTAGTGGAATTTAAAAATTTAAAACTGATTGTTTAGGCAGGGTATATTAAGGTCTGTTTCTTCAGCATATATGCTAGGGGCTCTGAGAACACAGACATAAGTAGACACAATCCCTGCTCTCAAAGTAGCTCATGGTGCAGCAAGTGGCAAGACTATGGTGAAAAGGGAACAAGAATGATATTTTTATAACTGAGATTAAGAATAAGGGATTAAGGAACCAAGTAGAAACAGTATATACTTTTGGAAGCAGAAGTGATTATAATAAAGTACAATTTTTTTTTTTTTTTGAGACAGGGACACGCTTTGTCACTCAGGCTGGAGTGCAGTGGCACAATCACAGCTCACTGCAGCCTTGACCTCCTGGGCTTGAGAGATCTTCTCACCTCAGCTTCCCATGTAGCTGGGACCACAGGTGTGCGCTACCATTCCTGGCTATTTTTTTTTTTTTTAATTTTTTTTGTAGAGATGGGGGTCCCACTATGCAGCTCAGGCTGATCTCAAACTCCTGGGCTCAAGCGAGCCTCCCACCTTGGCCTGCCCAAGTACTGGGATTACAGGTGTGAGCCACTGCACCTGGCCAGTACAGTTGTTTTTAAAAGACTGTCTTTGATGTTTCCATTTCTGAGCATTATTATAGTGTTTGAGACTCAAAACTTTGCATGCTTTTGTCACCTATTATAGGCTTTACTAACAGGAATCTTATACCTTTGTAAAAGGAAGGGGGAATAGCACCGACTTTTGCTACATGTTTCTAATAGTTTTATTAGAAACTCCCAAATATCTCCTGAAAGAACCCACTAAACATAATTTTTAAAAATAGGAATTTGTGGGGACTCTATTCCTCCCAGTGCAATTACCTATTAGAAATTCTGACCCTCCTTATTTTTTTTTCTGTATACTGAATGAAGAGAAGGGAATAGAAGTGGCCAACTGAAGGATGCAAATGTAAGCATTCTGGGTTGGATTAGTGAGATATGCAGCTGTGGGCTATTTATGGTTACCCATGGAAAGGCATGAGGGGTTCCTACAAGACAACACAAAGGTTTAGAGATGTCTCCTTGTAAGCCTATAACACAAAACAGACCTACACTTATCTCAGTCTTATATTTCAATCTGTTCCATTTCCTAGAGCAACACGTATTTACAACCCAAATGTAAAGTAGTAAAGAAAATTTGACAAAGAATTTTTGAGTAGAAAGGTGCCTTTGAGATCATCCTGAATAGCTATCCCTTTTATCTATTCTCTTTCAAACATCAAGGTGACTTCCTGATTCTAGTATTGTGGGATGTGATAAATAGGTAGGTATTACTCTAGCTCTACCTTTCATGATTTTCAGACTTTCATCATATCCTTTTCAGACCACAAAGTCCCGCTGTTCCTAGCCTGTCCTCACACACGGCCCCTTCATCCCTTTATTGTAGCTGCTTTCCTCCAGCAGATAGTCATCTAATACCACTGTCTTTTCTGAGGTGAACAACCAAAACTCTGTGTGTTGTACACATGAATGAGCTCTGGAATTGGACAAAGGTAGGAGATTTTCCCTCCCTTTTATTTATAAAATCTTCTGTGACAACATCAAGCCTTTTTTGGGGTAGCAAAAAAGACATGTTCACTTGGTGAATGTCTTCAATGGATGGTTCTATGTGACATTTTTCTTGATTTATAATTGATCCTATTACTCTATACTCTAAATTGGGTCACGTTTTCCTTTTAGTGTATTATTTTTTAGCTTGACCCAAATGAAGCACATCTACCACATTTTTTGGCTTACTCAGCTTAGCTAGATTTTTTAAATTTACCACTGAGCTTTGCATTTCAATGGCTGGAAACGTTTATCTTATCTTCAGAATTATGAGTTTTAAGGTGACTGGTGAAAGTGCCTTAGAACAGACCTCTTTGGAACTCCCTGTTTCTACTTCTTCATCTGTAGATTTCTCTTGTTAAAATTATCTAGCTGACATGTGTTTTCCTGGTAAGTTGTCTATTGCAATTCAAATTTCTTTAATTTTAGTATTTATATATGTAATTTTGACCCAAAGAGTCCCATAACAATTTACAAGGGTAGTAAGCTTTTGTACTCCTACATCATACTGCCCCTCTCCCAATAATATCACATACTCCTTTACAGAATTAGCCCTTGCTAAAATTTAGTTGTAGGTAAAATTTTTCTTTAATCTCTAAAAGGCACTCAAATCCCTTAAACTTGGACTCTCTTCTACCATGTTCGGCAACCTCTCTTCTGTACCACAGATACAGCTGAAATGTCACTGTTTTGTGTCTCATCTTCTTTTGTGTGTGAAGAATAAGTCACTAAAATAACATACCAATCTGTACATTAGGGAGAAACTGATACAGTCCTTTCCAGCATAAAAATCATCTATAACTATTCAATGTCTGGTGTTATGGACTTGTTGATCTCACCTTTGCTGTCTAAGTAGCTGAAGAACTAATTAAACAGTCAACCAACTGATTTATGTTAGTGAGTTCCATGATAGAATTTTAGCTTGAGTATAGAGGATATTTGGAATCAGGTCACTTTTGGACATCTTTCAAACTGCAGCATGTAGTTATCCACCTGTTCTCCAGGTTGAACCTGCTGAGCAATGATAAGGACCTAGACATCAGGTTTTATTCATTGGAGTCTGAAGACAGTCTGCTTGGGTTGACATCCTAGCTCTGTCAAATAGTAATCCTGTGACCTTGGGTAAGTTATGTACCTCTCTGTCCTTCAGTTCCATCATCAATAAAATCACATTAAAAATAGTATCTACCTCATAGGGTTGTACTGGGGATTAAATCAGTTAGCCATATGTAAAGCATTTAGAACAGTGTCTGGGCTCACATTCTGCTATGCAAGTGTCTGCTGTTTTTACTCATATTCTCAAGGACTGGCATGGTGCCTGGCACAGAGGAGTTTTCACATGATGTTTGTTGACTGATTGGATATATACCTGCTGGCTAAAGAATCTACTTAGGAGTTTTTGGGCTAACTCTTCTGAACAAATACATTACAGCCTATCACTTATTTCTCTTGATTTCACATCTGCTCATTTCTCTAAAACTTTTAGTCCTTCAGGCAGAGCATTTCTATCCATTCTGTGGATAACTGTGCCTGGGTCCCAACTTGTACCGGGCTTGGCTATAATCCTTTCTAATTACTCATTTTCTAGAATGATCCAGTTTCAAGACTTGTCATTTGTTTTTTAGACCAATCTGTTCATGTTTTACGAATTCAGATTATTTTATCAATATTGTAATTAAGCATTTTGAAGTATCCCAGAATTGATATTATATTGTAACATTCATGCCTAAAATTATGATGAAGCTTCTGACATCACAGCCAAATTATTATGCATATTCCTGTCCCATTAGCTCAATAAGATGCCAGTTTATTTGCATATTATTGCTTGACCCTGATATCATGGCCAATTAATTTGCATATCCCTGTCTAATTGGTTCAAATAAGTTTTTGCCATTTTATTTATTGGCCCGGCTCCCAGACTGGTGGCTTTTAGTTCACATCAATTGAATTTGGAGTGTTTTTCTTTGTTGTGCTTTCAGCACCAGTGGAAGGACAGATAAGGGTGGTAGTCAAGGGTACTAGGAAACAACTTCAGAATGTACAAAGGAAACATCTATTGCTTTTATTTCCTCTTTCAGTGGAGGAGACTCAAGAAAAAAAGATAATAATTTAGACATGTGGGCCAGGTATTTTTCAGGGAAGAGGATACTGGACTGATGAAAGAAATAGAACTTCTTATTTGAGGAAATTCCATTATATAAAGCAAAAGATGTATTCTATGTTACTGACCCAAAAAAAAAAAAATTCTAACTTGGAACTTGGCTGACCTAGGCCTCAGTTAAAATTATGACATAGCATTTTAAGCCTCTGAAGTGTAGTTTTCAAATTTAAGATGCATAAAAATAACATGGGTATGTGTGTATGGACGGGGAGGACCTGTTTAAAAGGCAATTTCCAGGTTCCCACCCCTAGATACTCAGTCACAGCTTGGTTTGAATTAGTCCTTGAAATCTTAGTTTTTAATAAGTACCCTAGGTGATTTTGATGGGGTTATGCAAAATATCACATGTTGATAAATATCGCCTGAGGGAATGACCTACCTCTGCTGGTTCATGGTTTCTCCTTGGAATCTAGTAGTTACCTGAGGTTGGGTGAGTTGCTCTTTCCTAAATGATCTCAAATATTTAAATCTGGCTGCATTTCCCAAATTACATTTCTAGGACAGTAGAAAAGGAGCTAGAGAAAAGACAAACCCATGATTAACATTTAAAAAATGGCATCTTCCAGAAAACAGAGTGTGTGTGGGTGGAGGGAGGGGGACAGGGTAAATTTTGCTCGCCTAGGTCACAGTAGCTAATCCACACACTGGCAGTGTGACATATAGTGATGGTGACTCCTTCATCACCACGAGTCCCCTGTTCCCTCTCTATCATTTCCCTCAAGTAATTGCTGCCACTTTCAAACATTTCATTTCCCTTTTCTTTTGGAGACTTAGAGATGTTTTGGAGGAACTCTCCTACAGCCCCAAATGTTGCTTTTCACAGTACAGGTTTCATTTCATAGTAACAAGGCAGGACTAGGGATGGCCAGGAAGAGGACTAGGGATGGGTCATAGAACACAGAGTGAAAGGGACAGAAAAATGATGAAGGAGAGCACTTTGCAACCATTGTTGACCTGATCCCACCTCCTAGCCACCTCCCTAGCTCCTTGATGTTCAGGAGGCTGCTGGAATAGCTACATGTGATTTCAGCCCTTTACCATATGGGTTTCCAGCTTGCCCCCATGCTTGACATACTTTTGTTATGTTCCCTACTCCTCCAATTTAGGTGAATGCAAACCACATCAAACGAGCAGAACTGCACACTTTTTACCCTTGTTGATTTGCCATGGCTACTAGCAGTACAAACACAGAAAAAAGTCTCAGAAGAATTAGGTGCTAGCTTCAGGGAATGAGGGAAGTAGAACATGTCTGTGAGATCACATTCTGTTTCATATTGGGCCAGGCAAGAAGAGGAATCTGCCAGAAACCACAAGTGAAGCAAGAAAATCAATTTGTGGTTCTGAGAAGGCAAGAAAGGGGGCACCCTGGAGCTATTTGACTAGGAGTATCCTTAAGGGTTTACAGTTACGAACATTTTCCCCAGTCTCCAAGAATCCCTCCATTTCCAACAATCCATGAAGACTCCATTTCTAGTCTTCCCTACTGTGACGACCTCATCTTGATGTTTCGGCTTTGGGCAGGGGAGGCACCTCACGCAGGTTAGAGCTGAGGAATCCTTGCTCTCCCATCTTGAAGGTAGGGGTGTGGGCAAGGCTGAATGCTATATTAGAAAGTCCTCTGCATTGAGAACTGGGGGGATCTGAACTTCAGTCCTACCCTCAAATCAGCTGAGATCAAATGTCAGTAGTGATAAGAGCAATTGCAAGTATTGAACACCCCCATCTATGTGCCACATGCAGGAAGATAGTTTATGGACATTGTCTAATGTCTCTAAGCTTCAATTTTCTCACTGGTAAAATCAGAATGCTATCTTCAGAAAGTATCTCACAGGGCTATCATGAGAACCACATGAGAAAACCAAGTTAAAAAATATTTCTAAATTAGAAAGTGTTCTATAACTGATAATGTGACTTTTTAACAGTTAAAAATAATTCTCAGATTGAAGTAGAAAAACAGAATTTCTACGGAATAGATCAAAATTTAAAAGCTATAATCACTTCAATTTTTGCTTATTTTAAAGTTTAGTGTTTCCTTCTTTAAACGGCCATGTCCTTAAATAGAAAACTTTCAGAATTTCATTTAATTTACAACAGAAAGCCTAAACTAAACTTACAGTGTTGACATTCCTCATTAAAGCTGTACTCAGACGTGTCAAATTTCTGAGATGACAAAAAACAAAACAAAACACCAAACTTGAGGAAAGTGATTGCTATGACACAAATAGGGACAAGTAGCAACGTATCTGATTAGTCTCTGACTTAGGAGTTTACACAGGTACAAATTTAAGAATAAAAGTTATATACTTTAGCTTAAAACTATGAGACACACAGCCTCATACCTTTGGGAAGCCTCAATGTTTCCAATGCCTTTACTTTGACCTCTTTATTCTCTTCCCCAATTTTCCCAAATAGAAAACATTTCTTATTTGAAGGAAGATTTACTCCACACAGAGATGTGTAAAAGGCAACGAAGCTATTGAGACATGTTTAAGAGGCAGAAGTCTTGATTGTCTCCACGTATAAGGCAAAAAGTCCTACACATGTTCTACAGCACCAACTTGCTCCTGAAGAACAGTCTTGCAGCCTGCAAGATTCAAGATCTCAATACAAATACAGTCATGCCCTGTGTAACCACATTTCAGTCAAGGATGGACTGCCTATAGAATGGTGGTCCCATAAGATTATAATACTGTATTTTTGTTGTACCTTCTCTATGTTTAGATACACAAATACAATTACCTACAGTATTCAGTATGGTAACATGTTGTATAGATTGGTAGCCTAGGAGCAATAAGCCATACCACATAGCTTAGGTGTGTAGCAGGCTGCACCATCTAGGTTTGTGTTTATGATATTTGTGCAATGATCAAATAACCTAATGATACATTTCTCAAAATGTATGCCTGTTGTTAATCAACACATGACTGCAGTTAAATTCAGAAATCCTCACTGTTGCTCACAAGCATTTGAAAGTTGGGATATTAAGAATGCAAATGCAAGGATCTACTGTAGAGATGTGCATAGTCCAATTAGGCTTGTCACTGTAAAGTATGAAGGGCTGAGATTTGCATTTTTTGCATGTGGATATACAATAGAGGCCAAATCTTTGTGCAATGCATTTTGAATGAATACTGCAGGAAGGAAATAACCTTGTTGGAGAGCAATAAGAAAATTATTTTACATATGTTTTCATGTTTTATTTTCTCAAATGTTTTGTTAATTATCTTAATTCACTATAGTGTCTATGCAAAATGTGGGCCTACTGATACGTTTGCCTGAATTAATCAGCTAATTCCATCAAACAATAAGATAAACTTTTTTTCCCCATTGAAGCAAGTAATTGGTTAAATCATCCATTGGTTGCTTTCCCATGTTGCATATTTATCCCAAGATTTGATAAAATTACTAATAGAAATGACTACAATAGTATTTAGTGAGTACTTAGTTGTGCCAGGCCCTGTGCTTTCATTTATTTCTCATAGCATCATCAACAAAGTCCTCTCATTATTCCCACTTTATAGATAATGCAGCTGAGGCTTAGAAGAGTTAAATAAATAACTTGTGCAATGTCAAATTGCTAGTTAGTGGCAGATGGAGTTTAAACTCTGGCAAAACAACCCACTTTGGTTCCAATTAACTAGTCATTTCCAGCAAATGTACTTTGGCATTTGAATTACCTGGAATGATCTTATTATATAATTTTGGTCTCCTCGTACATAGGTCAACTTACTTTGAGACAGACCATCCAAGTGCTTAAAGTTATTTTAATGGTAAGTGGGTTAGACACATTTGAAATGCAAGACTTGTTTTTTCAGGCCATAGCTCCTTTGTAAATAATTCATTATTCATTCAGCAGCTATGCTTAGTGCTACCCATCACTGAGAGCATTGTGGGAGGGATAAATACAGAACACAGTCTAGTGAGAGAGAAGCATGATGTTTGAGGGGTGTAAACAAATGGCTAATGGCATTTAAAAAAAGGCAAAGATTTGTTCTACTGGGATGGATCTTAAAACCATGAGGTCTTAAGACCTCATGAGTAGGTGGCATTTCAGCAACAACCTGGAAGAAGTGAAGAAGTGAGCCACGAGGTATCTGTTGTCTCTCCCAGACACCCCATGGCTGTTCTCTCTCCCAGAAGCCCCGTGGTTGTTCTCTCTCCCAGACGCGCCGTGGCTCAATTCATCACTTCTTCCAGGTTGTTGCGGAAATGCCACCTACTCAGAGGTCTTCTTTGAACCCCATTTAAGATGAATCCCCAATATTCCTTATCCTACTTCCTGCTTTACTGCTCCATAGCACCTGTTATCTCTTGGTAGACTCATGCTTTTGCTATCTGTTGGCTTCTTTTCTGTTTCCCTACATTAGAATGCAAGCTGCAGGAGGGGAGGGTCTTTTGCACTGTTTTATCCACAAATGTAAACCTAGTGCTCAGAACAATGTTGACTTAAAGTAGGGACACAATATATGTTTATTGAATGAATGGAGGAGATAATACTTAAGCTGGGCCTAAAGAATGGGTAGGAATTGGCTAGACATTGTTGGAAGGAAGAGAATTCCAGGTGAAGGAAACGACCTAAGCAAGTAATAGAGGCAGAAAGTTGTATAGTTTGTTTGCAAAAGAGTGTGTTGGTCAATTTGGTGAAAATGAGATATGGCATGACATAGGCTGGACATATCTACATTATGTAGACTCAAGTGATTAGAGTGATTATGGCTTAATTCTACAGGCAGTGAGAAGCCCTTAAAATTAGGGCTTTTCAGGATATTTACTCTTTAAATATTCTTACTTAATAATTAAACTCCTTCCAGGTAATTCAAATGTAGGGGTGAACCCAGGTTGTGAGGATCCTGAAGCTAATATGGTTTTGCTGGTTCTCTTCAGAAACAAAGAATATAAAATTATGAATACAAAATTAGGTATGACCTTTGGCCTTTCCTTATTCATTTCACAATGCTGAGTTAGTTAGTGCATTGCAGGTACCCTTCCTTCTTTGGGATAGCTAGCAATAACCTCACTATACATTATATGACTGTAAGCCCCATAAAAATAACCTGCTAGACCTAACTTCCCTTAGCCAAGTTCCAAAATGCCTGCAGCCAGCCTCTCTGATGCCACTGAACGAGAAGGGGACAGACGGTGGAGAAGTCCTAGTGGAAACAGACAGCAAACTGGGATGAACAACTCGTGGTTGAAATATCTCTCTATGATGATGGGAACTCATTTCTGGGACCCCGGAAGAAGCCAGGACAAATCCTATCTGCTGAAGCAGATAGGATGACTTAGGAAGACTAGCAGAGTACTAGACATAGGTTATGAGGGGATGGTTGGCATGGATATTTGGGACAAAGCATAAGAGACAGGATACAAAGAAATCATGTCATGATAGTTGGCTGTTGAACCAAAGGACAGGGAAATGTTAAAGGTGTCTGAAGTTACCTTAGGAAACTAAGTAATAATCTAGGAGGGAACTGTTATTGTAGTTAAAAATTTCTCTGCATGTTTTTCACTTATAGTCACATTAAATACTCTATACTTCTAGAGAACACTGTGCTCTTTGCTTCAAATTTGCTGTGTTACACTGCTAGGCACAATAAAAACAGCAAGTTATTAAATAGGGTCTTAATGACATGAAAGAATTAGTACAGCTTCCCCAGGTGACTTATTTATAAAGAGAAATACACTCAGGTACCAGGAGAATTTGGTCGACAAATTAGTGGGTAAGTGAGGGGAAGCTCAGCTGTAGCACTTTTTAGCTGTTATGCTTTAGAATAAAAAATCACCATGCTGCCTTAGGATGACCTTTTGAAGTTTGCAATATTTTTATTAAAGAAAGTGTTGAATAACCAGTAATGTTAGTTGTAATTCCACAGCCACAAACAATGACAACTGCAGTCAATTTATGATGACCTTGTGGCATATCAAGAAAATTCCTCACACTTTAATGATTTAGCGGAAAATTAAAAATATAATTGATTTAATCATATGCAGAAGAAGAAAAATTATGTTCAACCGTGGAAGTGACAAGTCCTTGAGTTGACTTTGCTTTTGAGCCAGGGTATACTTTATCCACCACGTTTTACTAAGGTTGGGTTGTATGGAAATTTCAATCCCCACATCTCTCCCATCCTCAATGTCAGCTGTGGAATTAAATGCATTACCATAGGGGTTCACTCTGAAACAGAGATTTCATTATGCATATATATTGAAATGCTGTGTCTTTAATAAATGGTATCGTAGGAACTATGTTAGGCTATCAAATACCTAATAAATAAGTCTCATGGAAAACATTGTTTTTTATATCGTGGGTGAATTTTGACCAAAAACCCCCTCTAAGCTCAACAAAATTATAATCTGTCATGAACACTCTCTTTCAGAAAAGAAGCAAACATTTTCAGCTTTCAATGCCATTAAAAAGACAATTGATACTTTGGCTCCAAAGAAGGAAAATAGATTTCATCTTCTATGCTAATTCCTATGAATTGAGAGTGGCTTCCTGGGGCACTGTGTTGGGATGAATTCTGAGACTGCTTCCAGGCTCCATAGGAAAGAGAACTGTGATCAATTAAGAAGTGGGGAGTCGCAGCATGTGCGCCATGCATTTGGTATCCACGACGAAACAGCATTTGAAAAAAATCAATAAACACTGCAGGCTTACCGGATAAGCCACCCACATCCATCTTCTTCAGGTTCTTTGCCTCCAGAATGACAACAGTCAGCTTACCAGCAGTAGGTACGTAGCGAAGGGAGAAGCAGATATCACCCAATTTCTCTTGCTAAGAAAACCAATAAGAAAGTATTAGCAATTTTTCAAATACAAGTAAATAGAGTTTTAACATATATATTGTAAATTCTTCAAGAGGAGGATTATGTTGATTAGAATTTGAAAATTGTAGGTCCATTGGCATTTACACAGTGGCCTTTCATTGACTAAGGTATCAAGAGTGATAACAGCTTTTTTTTTTTAAGACCATCTATTTCAGTTTTTAACAAAGATCATCTATACTTTAATGTTCATCAAAATATATCTATAATTCAATGGTGCAGGAAATGAGAACAACATGACTTTTTAAAGAGACTTTGTGCTCTGAATAGCACTGCAAAACTCTTGGCAAAATTTTCATGTTTTTATTAAACAGCTTTGAAATAAGCCTAACACTTTAGTTGAATCAATCGACCTAAATTTTTGTCCTTTTACATTTCAAATAGGATTACCTCTAATACTCTAGGTTTTTGGGAAAAGGACTTGCATTTGTGTGTCATTAAATTCTATTTATTGATGAGAAATTCTGAATTCCTGATAGCTGAAATGTAACAAAGTATAAGGTTTCGCACTTTTAGTATTACTCATCTTAAGTGAGGTCTAACTTTTATTCCTAATTCTAAAAATCTGAGCAGCAGGCTAGAAAATTGAAACCCATAGTAACACAATGCAAATGCATCTCATAACTTCTCATGTTATTTCACTGATAACCATACTTTAGGCCCAAAGAACATTCAACAGTCCTGTACTCAGGCATTTTTGAACAACTGATCAAGTGTTTACAATGATGATGGTATAGAGAATTTTACTTTTTTTTTCGGAAAAGACTCCTACTGATTCTCCTGCCTTAAGTGTTTTATTTTCTAGGGTGATTAATTAAGAACCAAATTATTGTTCAACATAAGTAGAATTTGCATTCATATTTATAAGCATGAGATAGAGATAGAGAGAGTGCAAGAGAGAGAGTTTGTTGTATGCCCCTCAGATACTGGAGGCTCTAGAGTGCTTTCTGACATGCAGAATTAGCTATATGGCAAATCAAGACTTATTTTAGTGTTTCCCACAATAAAATGTGAATTCTGATTCTACAGAAGGCAACAGTTATGTCAGACTTCTGCAGATAGACTTTTAACATAGGAATGAGCTACAGAAAGCCATATACTAAGGCACTTTCAAGTAATACCCTTATTATGACTATATGTGTCTTTATCTATAACTTGACATATATGTTAAGTCAGCCAGAGTCTCCAGTGTGGAAATAGGTGCCTAGATGTAATTTAACAGGTAAGAAAATGTAATTCCCCCCCGTTTTTTTTTTGGGGGGGGGGTGTATTCATTATATCCATTTTTCAAAAGAGAAAGATTGTAATTTTTCTATAATTGAGAGGTAATACATTCAATGTGTGAGGGAGAAATAGTGCCTCTTTCTGCTAAAGTAATGTCTGTGCTGGAAACATCACCAAATATGTTTATGGCTCCAAGTGTTTCATTTCTTGAGTCCCCATAGCATTTTACCATACATCTCTATGTTACCAAGAACTCTGTTTTTGTCTCAGTGTGTATATGTCTTAATTCTCCCACATGATTGTAAACTCCTTGAAGACAGGATCCATCATTAAATTATCACTTTCCACACAGTTTCAAAACTTAAATAAGTGGAAACTTTAGAAAATACCTGTTTTGAATTATCTAGGTCATAACCCCCTTTCACTAATATAAATAATAAAGAGTTACTTCTAATGTGCTGAATTCACCTGATGTGCCTACTCACTCCTAGGAATTAATTTATACAACAGGAGAGGCTAGTGGAATAAATTACTCTTCAGAGTATCTGAAAATAATGAATGGGAGACAATATCATGGAAATTAATATAAAATATGGACAAATTTATCTGAACTTTATGGGACAAGAGAAATGTAAATGAACAAAATTGCTGTTCAAAATGCTCGTTAGGAGGAGGGCTCTTTTTTTTTTTTTCGCAGAATTCTGTCTATTTTCCACAATAGCCTCCTTGGGGAACTGATTGTGTTGCAGGATCAGGTTACTCTAACTGTTCTAATTAGGAATTTCAGACATGACTGCTCTCTCTTAAATAACATCTCCCTTTATGGGCCATAATCTAATTCCACGATTAATTTAGGGGCATTGCAATTGTGTTGAACAAAGAAATGTCACAAATGTCTTCTTCCAATACCTTTTATTCCTCAATCTTATGACACATAGGAAGTTTAAAAGATTTTACATAATATTTATCTTCAGAAGAGAGTATTTGTACAGTTTGAAAAAGCATGCTCGGAAGCAGGAGAAATCTGTGATGTTACTTGTAATTTTAAAGTTATGGGATGGGAGAAGAATGAGTGTTTAAGAGAAAAATATGGGCATTTTGGGAGAAAGAAAAATATGGAAAAGTGCTTTTTTAAAGCACCCTTTACAGATCTACATTTGCTTCATTAGTTTAAGAACTTTAACATGTAAAATTTCATTTGCTCATAAAATTATTGTAATTGATATGCCAAATTGAATGTGTAGTTTATATTAATTAACTGAAGTTACTTTTCAAAAAGTTTTAGCATTTTATTACTTCTGGATCTCCAAGATATTTGAAAGCTAGTCCTTGATTTTCCTGAAATTTGTGTCCTTTATGGGCATCAACAAGATAGAGAAAAACTCATTTCCAGAAAAAGGCAAGGAAAATATCCAATTTATACTAACCATTTTCTTGTTAGTGAAATTTTTGGAGGTTTAAGTATATGCTTTCCCTAATGCCCTAAGAATTAGCTTTAATAATTGTCTACCAAAAGTTTGAAAATTAGGGCAGCTTTCTTTTACTACCTGGTGGTTTGATCCAAGATTAATTGATCTAGGATATTTGCAAATATGATTGTCATGTGTTTCTCACATGTTGGGGAGGATGAGGGACTTGAAGTTTATGTGAAACAAGAGCAAGAATATGCATCCTGAGGGCCGGGCGCGGTGGCTCACGCCTGTAATCCCAGCTCTTTGGGAGTCCGAGGCGGGCGGATCACGAGGTCAGGACATCGAGACCATCCTGGCTAACACGGTAAAACCCCGTCTCTACTAAAAATAGAAAAAATTAGCCGGGCATGGTGGCGGGCGCCTGTAGTCCCAGCTACTCTGGAGGCTGAGGCAGGAGAATGGTGTGAACCCGGGAGGCGGAGCTTGCAGTGAGCCGAGATCGCGCCACTGCACTCCAGCCTGGGCGACAGAGCGAGACTCCGTCTCAAAAAAAAAAAAAAAAAAAAAAAAGAATATGCATCCTGGGGAGGCCCTGATACTGCCCGCAAGAAGGACCCTCACGGCAGGACGATCTGGACTTCTGTGTCATCCCCACAAGGTGTGTTCTATTCTGCCCCAGTCAAAACAAGGCTTGTGTTTGTGGCTTATATAGTAAGCCAGTGTTGTTACCCTGAATCAGATTTAAAGACTCATGCCAGTACGAATTTTTGGAAACCAATATTTTCATTTCCTCAGTGAAGTCTTTCACTGAACTTCTGTGATGAGAAGAAAAGCACTTCTGTCCCTAGAGTCTTGTTCTAGCATGTGAAGCTTTTACTATATCTCTTGTCCATCAACATAGAAGAATTAGAAGAACCCAATAGTTTTATATGAACAGTTTTACATCAAACTCTAATTTCATAGTTTTGGCATGCCAGTTTGGAAGAAAGATGGCTGCATAGTAATTTATAAACATTTAATATAAATATTTTATTTATCACTCTAAAGTTCTAGAAACCAAGATTTTCTAAATTAAAAAGAATGTTTTTCTTTGGTGGGATTATGGTGATGGGGACTAAAAGGGTTCTTGGAAAATTTGCAAAGAAAAAAGAAGATACCCAAGTCATATCCTTGCTGCTCCTTGACAATTTTGTCTACTTTTTTCTAGAATAGCCCTGTGAACGAGGTACTGTTATGTCCATTTTATATATAAAGACTTTGAGACTGAGAGGGTGTAGGTTACATAGCTGTCTCAGAGAGGAACTGGGGCAAACTCTTTTAACTCAAAATCATGAGTTTTCTTTACTAGTACACTGCTGTCTGGAATGATAGAAACTAATATCCCAGCTGGCCATCCACTTGGTTATTCCACTCTTACTTTATATCTGTAACTAAATTAATGTTCAATACCAATCCCTCCCCTCAACTATTCTTTCCAACATCTTTCTGTCAGGGTCACTAACTCATCTCCATTTCCTTTCTCTTTGTTTTCCTTTATTCATTTAACCCACAAGTCCTGATATTTCTCATTTTGTAAATGTCTCTCAAGTTAGATCCTTCCTTCCATCGTTCCTTCCTTCCCCTTCCTTCCTTCCCTCCGTCCCTTCTTTCCTTCCTTCCCCTTTTCTTCCTTCCTTCCTCTTCCTTCCTACCTTCCTCCCTTCCTCCTGTTTGTCCGTCCTTCCTTCCTCCCTTCCTTCCCTCCCTCCCTCCCTCCCTCCTTTCTTTCTTTCTTTCTTTCTTTTTCTTTCTTTCTTTCTTTCTTTCTTTCTTTCTTTCCTTCTCTCTTTCTTTCTTCCTCTTTCTTTTTCTTTCTTTTCTTTTTTTCTTTCTTTTTCTTTCCTTTCTTTCTTTTTTCCTTTCTTCCTTTCTTTCTTTCTTTGTCTTTTTTCATCTGTCTTTCTTTCTTTCCTTCCACTTCCACATCCATGTCAATATGAGCACCATCTCTATATGATACTTGTCACTATCACTACCACCTTCACCATCCTACACTATGACCTCTGCTACTACCAACACCACCATTTCAATCACCTCCACCTCCATTTTTACCATCAGTTCCATTGTGGTTAAGCCCTAGTGACATTTCTGTCATATTTTCTGAAGTAGTCTGATTAAAGACCTCTTTAGTTATAGTCTCTTCAAAATTCAATGCATACTACATACTAATGCCAAGTGAATGTTTGAAAGGTCTGAACCCCTCTTCCTGACTTTCAAGAAGTTTTACATTTTGCCTCTGTCCTAAATGTCTAAACCATTTGCTCTTGTTTCACTGCTTCTTCAACCCTTAGAATATATTTTGAACCTGACCACATGCCTTCATTCATAGGGTTATTACTCTAGTCCAAGTAGGGTGACCAAACATCCTGATTTGTTTAAGATCCTCCTGGTTTAAGATCTAAAAGTCCTGCATCCTGGGAAACCCCTCAGTCCCAGGCAAGCCATGACCAGTGGCAACCTTAAGTCCATGTCATTGTCACTTCTGACCTAGACCTCTGTAATAGCCTCATAATAGCCTCTCTGCATCTCTTCTTGCTCCTTTCTAGTTTCCTTCTCACATAAAAGGCAGCATGATCCTTTTAAAATGGAAATCTGATCATGGGACAATCCTACTCAAAGCCCTTTGAGATCTTCCCTTTTTACTTAGAATAACATCTGTTCCTTACACTAAAAGGCCTGATATGATCTGCCCCCTTCGTATCCTACCACTGTTCTCCAGATTTCACTTCCTCTTTCCAAAACATGCCAAACACACTTCTATCTGAGGATCTTTGCATTGCTGTTCCTTCTGTCAGCAATATTCTCCTAGATACTGGTATGAATTGTTTCATTAGTTTATTCAGCTTTCTGCTTGCATGTTACCTCTTTAGGGACTTTTTCTGTGGCCACTCTATCTAATGTAGTCCAATGCAGTCCTAAACACAAACATTACCTCTCCTCTTGCCCTGCTTCTTTTTTGTCTTAGCACCCGTCATTACTTGACATTCTATTATGTCTATTTAGGTTTTCCTCACCAGAATATCAGATCCATAAGAGAAAAGACTTGTTTTTCTTACTGCTGTGTTCCCAGCATTGGAATAGTGTCTATGCCTACTGAATGAGAACATGCAGCTTTCTTACAACTGAATAAGTCAGGTTGGTCTTTTCAGCATCTTCATTTGTCATATGTTGAGTTCTCTGAGGAAGCAGACTCAGGCAGATTTTCAACATGAGGTTTATAGGGGTGTGTCCTTTAGATCAACCCCTCTTTGGGAGTGAGGGAATCAGGATTACACAGGTTGAGAAGTTGGGCTGTGATACAGTTACATCAAGACCTCAGTCAATTCTATGGGGAACTCTGGAGCTGGGAGAGTTCTTCAAAGATATTTGGAAATGGGGCAACAAGGATGAGATTTTATCATCCTGAATCCCCCAAACATTGGATGTGGGCTGCTCCTACATCTTGGGTGAGCATCTTTTCAGCTGAGGGTGATGCCAGGAAGGGGGAACTCAGTTATGAGCTATAAGCCATCAACACTCCTGACAGCCCAGTTAATAAATGCATTGGTCATGAAGATGGTACAAAGATTGGGAAGTTTGCTACAGCAATCACTATTTCTCTGTGAGCTATATTCCTTCCAGTTACCAGACTTTTGCTTAGTTGGAAAATCCATCTGCAATCCTTTATTCCCTTCTGCCTAATCAAATTACTCCTAACCATTAAGCCCTAGTCCATGTTCAAAAAAAAAAAAAAAAAGAAAAAACAAACACACAAACAAACAAAAAAACCTCCTTACTATTCTAGCCCACTTGGATTTCTGCTAGCAATTGCTTTATAGCTGGTAGAATGGTGCCTCGAGATTACTTTTTCCCTATTTATTTCTTACACGTGAGCTCAACTCACCTTAAACTCCAGAAGAGCAGGGACTATATACTACTTTTCTATGCCTAGCTCCAGGCACATAATAAAAGCTTCGAAATAATTGTCAGTTGACTGTATTGAAATGAGGTCCTCACCAGTCATCTGCTTTGTAAATAGCACTGATGTTAGTGCTTTAACAACAGTGTCTCCATTTTAATCCAGTCAAGTAACGAATTTTGTTTGGAGCTCCTCCTTTGTACCTAGTGCTATGGACACTGTCATATTAGCCCTGTCATGAAACTAGAAACAAAACCATTTCTGGAGGTATAGCTTTTATAAGATAATTTCAAGACCCTGTAGGGTTGCAGCCAACACATGAGTGCTTTTGCTGGTGTGATTATCTCATGAAGGGGCCTTATTACTATTAGGAATTTCAGCTTTATGTGTAATTTATTTTAGTCAATTGCCTTGATCACTAGGTGGAAACTGCCAGTTAGTGTTAGAAAAGTTCCAGCTGTGAGATTCAGAGAAATTTACCTGCTCTTTTAGAATATACAGCTGACAATCAGAAGGCAGCTTTGTTCTGAGCAGCTTGATAATTTCATTATTTTTAAAAAAATGCAGCCATTGAATAGACACAAATTAATGATTTACTAGACAACGACAAAAATACCTTTCCTTTTTGAAAAGCATTATAGATAATTAGAACAGAGGTCATCTCCAATGGATAAATAAAAAGCTTGATTTAAAATGAATATTTATTTAATGGCTCTGTAGCCCCATACATCGTTTTATGTGGAAAAAGATGGGTTCATTTTAGTGACCTTTGCAAATGGGGCTAAGTTCATACATTTGATGGAAACACTGTACTCTTGAGTGAGTTTTTCAAAAGTACCTGAATTAATGCTGTGACATTTTAAAAGGACATTCTATTTATGTTAATTGTAAGAAGATTTTTCTATGTGTTAAATTGGCAACAGATTCTTTGATGAGTAGATGGTTTTTCTCTGAGGTTGGGAGTCTTGTTTAGAGGTGACATACAAATGGAGACCCAATTATCTCTCAAATGAAAATTCAGACCATTTGCATAGTCCCCATTAGTAAAAATACTAAAACAGTCTTCACTTATATGAAGGACAATGTTAGGTTTTTAATTTTAATAAGATAATATGTGGCTTTAAATATATCTTTTGGGTGGTAGCATTTTTCAACTTCATTTTATTCCTGCATTACTCTCATACTCCTGAAGTATCTGCCAAATCGGTATTTACATCTAATGGACCAGATGGTCACAGTGTGAAATGTTGCTGTGTAATGTGTTCAGGCTAGAAAGACTGAATCTGGCCTAGTCTACAAATGTATAGTAAATTGTTCAGGTGAAAGAGAGTGTATCTTTGGATGCTTATTCTTTAGGCATACTCTGTAACTCATTGGTTTATATTCGTTCATTTCTTATTAAAAAATAATTACTGAGTTCCACCACAGACTCTTCTAGGTTCTAGTCTAGGCTCTATGGATACCTAGATGAGTAAAAATATAATGCATTGACTGTACTACAGAAGTGGCACAAATGCTATAGGAGGTGAAGATTGAAACCTTCCAGGGTCTAGTAACTAAGGAGAGGGGGACTTTAGAGATTTATTCCCTCAATAATCGTTATAAATTTCTGCAAGCCACCCCAAATGCATGTTCTTTGTAAAACCAATGTGCTGGCCATGCAAATGTAGCTTTAAGACAAGCCTTCTAGTTTTCCCCTTTTAACCAGAGCTGGTGTCTGTGGGAGGAGGAGGAGGGCAGGGGACATATAGGTGTCCTGGAGGAGCGGTTACCTGAGCTGAGATAAGGAAGGTTCGGCAGGAAGTCAGGATGAACCCTGTCCACAAGAGGGCATGAGTGTTCTAGGCACAGGAATGCATGTACACAGTACTATACCCCTTGAACAGCTTAAACCAAGTTACTCTTCTGTAAGTGTAAAATTCATGTAATTTAATTGAAAATGGATTTCCACTTTATGATTTAGAAATTCAAAATTTCCTCATGATGTCCATAATTTATATTTTGATTAACTGATACACTTGTGGTCCCATTAGAAATAATAATTCACAGAAAAGCAGATATTCTGATGTGATCAAAATAAGGATGAAAATAGAAAATCAAAATGCTTCTTAAAAGTGACAGTAGGCCGGGTGTGGTGGCTCATGGCTGTAATACCAGCACTTTGGAAGGCAGAGGCGGGCAGACTGCTTGAGCCCAGGAGTTTGAGACCAGCCTGGGCAACTTGGTGAAATCCTGTCTCTACAAAAAAATACAAAAAAATAGCCAGGTGTGGTGTGATGCGTGCCTATAGCCCCAGCTACTCAGGAGGCTGAGGTGGGAGGATTACTTGGGCCCAAGAGGTGGAGGTTGCAGTGGGCAGAGATCGTGCCACTGTAGTTTAGCCTGGGAGACAGAGCGAGACCCTGTCTCAATAACAAAAACAAACAAAAAGTGACAGTAAAGTACAGTATAGAGTGGTGGAAAGAGCACTGGACCACCATGTGTATTCATTCACTATTTTTTGGTATAACTGATATTTATTGGGTACCTCCTCTGTGCCAGGCACTGTTCTAGGCACTTGGGCACAGTGGTCAGTAAGACACGCAAAGTCAACAAAATAACAGTAAAATAAAAGGCATGTTTGGTGAGGTATGTGCTGTGGAAACATGTAAAGTAGGTGGGGAATAAGGATAGCAATTTGAAACAGGAAGTTCAGGGAATGTCTGTATAAGAAGGATTTGAAGGAGGTGAAATGTGGTCAACTGCTTAACCATCGGGATCCACCTTCCTTGTCTTTATAAAACAGGTCTGGATAACACAGTCCTGAAGGTTCTTCTGGCTGGGAAATCATATATTTCCATGATTTTACTTTATTAGAGCTACCTGTCTAGTTTTTCTCTCTGTTTTACTGGACTGAACTAATAAATGGGTGTTTTAAGCCACGGAGTTTGTGGAAATTTGCACATGTAGTCGAAACCAGTAAATGCACTCAGTTCTTTTTCTCTATCCTTTCCCTCTCTTCTTTAGTTATCTTCATTGCAGATTTCATAAGATAATCCATTGGAGTATGAGAAGACAATATTAGACCTTCTATTTATATTTACTTTTATCCCATATTTTCAAAATTGTGTTTCATTTATATGTTTTATAAAACACATCATATATTGGTATAGCACAATATATATATGATTTATAGAAAGACAGAAATATTGGGAGTATGTGCCAAATATTTTATTACTGACAAAAGACAAAATAACATTTGAGATCTTTCTTTCAACATTAAAATATGCTTAGAAGATTCCTCAGTGACTTTGTAACAACATGGACTCTATAGTCAGGCTACTTAGGTTCAATTCCCAAGTCTGCTTCTTATTACCTACTAAGCCTCAGGCAATGTACTTTCTCTTCTGTGCCTCACTTTTCTAATCTCTAAAATGGAAGAATAGTGATGGAGTCAGTAGAATTACATCAGTTAGTATGTAAAAAAGGAGTTAGAAGAGTTCCTGGCTCACAAAATGTACTGTGTGAGTGTTCGCTATTATCATAACAAAATTCCTATTTCAACTATCCTCTTTTCTACATGTGCCATGTCTCTCTGCTCCTTTGCACAGCCAAATTTCTTGAAGAAATTGGTTACAATCACTGTCCCCATTTTTTCATGTTCCATTGATTTCTCTCTCCATCATTTTATTAAAATAGTTGCTACTAAGATTTCAAATGACATCCATATTACCGAACCATTAATATTTTGCAGGTCTCATTTCCATGAACTTTCAGCAGAATTTATTGACTCCCTTTCTTTCCTTGGATTCTATAATACAATGATTTCCTGATTTTAGTTTCTCTGCCTCCCTGGCCACTCACTCTTGGTCTCCCTTTGCAGGGTGTAGTTATAACTAACTTCTTTTCTTCATAAACTAATCTTATCCCAGTATATGGTTTTAGTTATAATATGGAAGTGATTCTCCAGTTTGTATCTCTAGTTTAGATATTTTCTCTAAGCCCCAGACTTTTATATCTAACTGTCCACTAGTCATTGAATATCTCACACTCGTTTTAGACTCGAATGCCAAAAACTGAATTTATGATCTTTCTTCTAAATCTGGTTCACTCGATTTCAACAAATGATATTAGCATCCAAGGGGTTGCTTAAGCCAGAAAACTGGGCATTATCACTGATCGTTGATCATTGACTTCTTTTGAGTTCTGATTTTATTTATCATAAAATCTCTCAATAAGTTCACTTGTTTCCATCCTTATAGTCTTCACCATGTGATCAAATAATCTCTCATATAGATTACTCCAATACCCTCTTAATTGGTTTCCTGAAATTTACTCTTAGAATACAATTGACAGAGTCACCTTTTAAATAACAGGCATCGTATCTCACTCCTATAATCCCCGCACTTTGGGAGGCCAAGGAGGGCGAATAGCTTGAAACCAGGATTTTGAGACCAGTCTGGGCAATGAAGCCAGACTCTATCTCTACAAAAAACAAAAAAATAGCCGGGCATGGTGGTGCATGCCTGTGGTTCCAGTGACTCAGGAGGCTGAGGCAGGAAGATCAGTTGAGCCCGAGAGTTTGAGTCTTCAGTGAGCTATGATTGTGGCACTGCACTCCAGCCTGGGCAACAGAGCAAGACCCTGTCTCTAAAAAACAAAACATCAAAAAACCAAATCTTAAAATCCTTAAGTAGGTCTCCTATCTCTCTTGAGTTAAAAGGCCCAAATTCTTATGATCATTTAGAATAATCTTCAAGTTCTATTTCCTACTTATTCCTCTGCCTCATCAAATGCCTCTTTCTCCCTCTGCGCAACAGCCACAAGGGGAAAGCCTTCTTTATATCATTAACTGTGCCACGCCACCTACACTTTCAGAGGCTTCACATAAACAGTTCCTTTTGCTTGACATTCTGCCCTCTTGCCACCCTCCCGTTTACTTAGTTAACTTTCACTCATCTTTCACATCTTTCTGAATGACGAGGCGGGTGGATCACGAGGTCAGGAGATCAAGACCATCCTGGCTAACACGGTGAAACTCCGTCTCTACTAAAAATACAAAAAATTAGCTGGGCATGGTGGCGGGTGCCTATAGTCCCAGCTACTTGGGAGGCTGAGGCAGGAGAATGGTGTGAACCTGGGAGTTGGAGCTTGCAGTGAGCTGAGATCATGCCACTGCACTCCAGCCTAGGCAACAGAGCGAGACTCTGTCTCAAAAAAAAAAAAAAAAAAAAAAAAAAGAATGAATGTATTTATTAAGTATTCCACTCTGGCAGAGACTGCCAGAGTCTCTGTAGTTTACCAAAAGTCCACGCTCTTCTTCCTGAGAACACAGCTAGACTACATTTCCCAGCCTTTCTTGTAGTTAGATGTGGTCTTGTGATTGGGTTCTAGCTAATGGAATGTGAACAGAAGTGATGTGCACCACTCCTAGACCCAGTCCCCCAGAACTCCTACCCATGATTTTTTTTCTTTTCTATGTCTGTGATAGTGACCTCAGAGTGACCTTGGAAGCTACATGCTGAAATGCTGAAGATGGCAGAGGTTCAGTGAGACAGGATCCTTGAAGATTTAATAAAGCAGAGCCCTACCTGCCAAGACTTCTCTTTTGCAGAACCCATTACGTGTTTGGGCCTATTTGTTATTGTAGCCTAGCCTGAAATAATTAATACTAATAATAAATAAATGACTTCTAAACAGTGTTTTCAGAAGTATAATTAGTGATCCACTTAAAAATCTGTGGTTTGTAGAAAATGAGTAAAGCTTAGTCTTATATGTCAAACCCTTATGTTGGGTTTTCAATATGCCAGTCATGCTACAAAGAACTAGAAACAAAGGATGATTAAAACATGTCTTTGCCCTAAGAAGCTTTTTCAATGCTGGCATGAACAGGCATATAAACAAAAATTCAACATAAAATTGTAGGTGTCATTATAGAAACATGTATTAGGAAGGACCACTATAGAGAAAGTAGAGGAATTTGTAAATAATTACTACTGTGACTTTTTAGTGGAGAGTAGGGAAAAGTGAATTCCAAAAGTGTCCTTGTCAAAAGATTCTTTATGCTATAGTGTGCTGAGGTACTTGAAATTCTACCATTTATTACCTTTAGCTAAAGCTTTAGATCTCTATGGGTCCTTTAAAACAATATGAAACACTGTTTCACCCCCTAATGGGCAACATGGCATCCATCATGGTATGAAATTGTAGTTGGCCAGAGGGCAATCAGGCAAGGGAAAGAAATAAAGGGTATTCAATTAGGAAAACAGGAAGTCAAATTGTCCCTGTTTGCAGATGACATGATTGTATATTTAGAAAACCCCATTGTCTCAGCCCAAAATCTCCTTAAGCTGATAAGCAACTTCAGCAGTCTCAGGATACAAAATCAATATGCAAAATCACAAGCATTCTTATACACCAATAACAGACAAACAGAGAGCCAAATCATGAGTGAGCTCCCATTCACAATTACCACAAAGAGAAAAAAATACCTAGGAATCCAACTTACAAGGGATGTGAAGGACCTCTTCAAGGAGAACTACAAACCACTGCTCAAGGAAATAAAAGAGGACACAAGCAAATGGAAGAACACTCCATGTTCATGGACAGGAAGAATGAATATCATGAAAATGGCCATACTGCCCAAGGTAATTTATAGATTCAGTGCCATCCCCATCAAGCTACCAATGACTTTCTTCACAGAATTGGAAAAAACTACTTTAAAGTTCATATGGAACCAAAAAAGAGCCCGCATTGCCAAGACATCCTAAGCAAAAAGAACAAAGCTGGAGGCATCACACTACCTGACTTCAAACTATACTACAAGGCTACAGTAACCAAAACAGCATGGTACTGGTACCAAAACAGACATATAGACCAATGGAACAGAACAGAGCCCTCAGAAATAACACCACACATCTACAACCATCTGATCTTTGACAAAACTGACAAAAACAAGAAATGGGGAAAGGATTCCCTATTTAACAAATGGTGCTGGGAAAACTGGCTAGCCATTATGTAGAAAGCTGAAACTGGATCCCTTCCTTACACCTTATACAAAAATTAATTCAAGATGCATTAAAGACTTAAATGTTAGACCTAAAACCATAAAATCCCTAGAAGAAAACCTAGGCAATACCATTCAGGACGTAGGCATGGGCAAGGACTTCATGACTAAAACACCAAAAGCAATGACAACAAAAGTCAAAATAGACAAATGGGATCTAATTAAACTAAAGGGCTTCTGCACAGCAAAAGAAACTACCATCAGAGTGAACAGGTAACCTTCAGAATGGCAGAAAATTTTTGCAATCTACCCATCTGACAAAGGGCTAATTTCCAGAATCTACAAAGAACTTAAACAAATTTACAAGAAAAATCAAACGACCCCATCAAAACGTGGGCAAAGGATATGAACAGATACTTTTCAAAAGAAGACATTTATGCAGCCAACAGACACATGAAAAAATGCTCATCATCACTGGTCATCAGAGAAATGCAAATCAAAACCACAATGAGATACTATCTCACAACAGTTAGAATGGCGATCATTAAAAAGTCAGGAAACAACAGGTGCTGGAGAGGATGTGGAGAAATAGGAACACTTTTACACTGTTGGTGGGAGTGTAAATTAGTTCAACCATTGTGGAAGACAGTGTGGCAATTCCTTCAAGGATCTAGAACTAGAAATACCATTTGACCCAGCCATCCCATTACTGGGTATATACCCAAAGGATTATAAATCATGCTGCTATAAAGACACATGCACACGTATGTTTATTGCAGCACTATTCACAATAGCAAAGACTTGGAACCAACCCAAATGTCCATCAATGATAGACTGGATTAAGAAAATGCGGCACATATACACCATGGAATACTACGCAGCCATAAAAAAGGATGAATTCATGTTGTTTGTAGTGACATGGATGAAGCTGGAAACCATTATTCTGAGCAAACTATCACAAGGACAGAAAAACAAACACTGCATGTTCTCACTCATAGGTGGGAATTGAACAATGAGAACACTTGGACACAGGGTGGGGAACATCACACACGGGCCTGTTGTGGGGTCGGGGGATGGGGGAGGGATAGTATTAGGAGAAATACCTAATGTAAATGACGAGTTAATGGGTGCGGCAAACCAACACAGCACATGTATACATATGTAACAAACCTGCACATTGTGCACATGTACCCTAGAACTTAAAGTATAATAAAAAAAAAGGGAGGGAGGGAGGGAAGAAGGAAGGAAGAAAGGAAGTAAGGAAGGGAGGGAGGGAGGGAGGCAGGGAGGGATTGAAGAAAAAAAAAAGAGAAATTTTAGTTGGTCAGGTGTGGTGGCTCACAGTTGTAATCCCAGTTTGTTGGGAGGTCAGGGTGGGAGGATCACTTGAGCTCAGGAGTTCAAGACCAGCCTGGGCAACAAAGCGACTAAAAATAAAAATTAAAGAAAATTAGTGGTGGTGTATGCCTGTAGTCCCAGTGACTTGGGAGGCTGAGGTAGGAGGTCGGGGGATTGCCTAAGCCCAGGAGTTTGAAGCTGCAGTGAGCTATGATTTGTACCACTGCCCTCCAGCCTGGGTGACAGAGTGAGATCCTGTCTCAAAAAAGAAAAAAAAAAAGGAAAAAGAAAAAAGAAAAAAAAATTAGTTGACATTTTCTTGGAATATGGATGATTTCTCTAAGTCAATGGAAATGGTGAAAAATGGGGAAGATGGTAGGTGAGCCCCATAGCTTGGGTGCTGCTCTCGGTAGAGGGCTAAGTAGGAATCCAGGCAAATGGCCAATTGCCTAAGGACATGCGAAGTGGAAAGAAACTAATGGAGAACAGTTTGGGGATGGCGTCCAAAGACAAACCTTTTACCAAGTTGCTTTGTCACTTTAACATTCTCCCTCTGTCAACCACATGTCCTCGGTTTTCTGGGTCAAATCCAATTTTAAACATTCTACTTTCCTGTCCTCACCTGACTTTGAGGCTCTGGGATAAAGCTGCCTCATAGTGATTTGGATTATGGGAACCAGTATTATCTTCTGTTAAAATGTAAATGTAAGTGTGGATACCAAGTAATTTTGAAATATGGGCAACATGTATTTCTAAATAACAATGCAGATTTGACCTGCACAGTTAGAAAGGAGGCATTTTAAAGCAATATGCCAGAAAGTGTGCTCTTGATCCTGGAGCGTTCATGAAAAACAGTGGCAGATAAACCTTGGAAGGCATTGTTTAGTACTTTTAACTCTGAGAAGCATAATCTTTAGTGGCAGAGATATGTATCTGAATGATTTATACACAGGCTTCCTGACAGAGCAGCATTACCTTTTTACTAATGATACTCAATGACTGCAAGGACTTTGTATCCTGAAGTTCTGTCACTCTGTAGCTACTTCTGCTAGTGCATCCTAATTAACTTGAGAGGACATCATGGGGAAAATGGGGTCTTGATGCAGAAAGCTCAGAAGCTAGGATGTTGTTCTATCCAAAGAGTATTTTTCTCTTTTTAGTTCTGGGACAATAGTATCCAAGAAGAAATCTCTGGAGGGAATAGGAATGGCCACGCAATTTGGAGATGTCATTACCCAAGGAAAGTTTTCCTTCTTGTCAGGGAGCTGTCATAAAAGAGGAGCTGTGGGGAATGCCCAGCAGACCTGAGTTCTGCCACTAATCAGCTCCTAGGTGCACTCTGAGCATGTTCTCCTCCCACCATTAAAATGGATAAATAATATCTTCTTTGTCTACTGCAATATTGACTGTAAATGTCTATTTACCTATCAGTGAGGATGGCACACAATCTATCTGTGAGCCAAGGGGTCCCAACACTGGGGGGAGGGGAACCAAAAAGGAGGACATGAAAGACATGGGATAGACTAAGGCAAGTCACACAGAAGATGGTGAGGAGAGAAGAGCTATTTAAAGGAGTGTTAGGGGCTGGGCACAGTGGCTCATGCTGTACTCCCAAAATTTTTGGAGGCTAAGGCAGAAGATCTCTTGAAATCAGGAGTTTGAGACCAGCCTGTGCAACAAAACAAGACCCTGTCTCCACCCCCCAAAATAAAAAATAATAAAAATAAATAAATACATAACATGAAATAAAAAATAAATAATTGGCCCAGCATGGTGGTGTGCACCGGTCATCCCAGCTATTCCAGAGGCCGAGGTGGAAGGATTGCTTGAGCCCAGAAGTTATAAGGAGGCTGCAGTGAACTATGATTGCCACTGCACTCCAGCCTGGGTAAAAGACTGAGATCCTGTCTCAATGAATGAATGAATGAGTGCAGTGTTAGGGAGGTCAGAGGGGGCCAAAGCCAGCTTCTCTACTTTTGGCTCTAGCTTGCCATGGCCTCTGTCAACAGCAAATGCAAATGGGACACTTAAAAAAGGAGAGAAGACACAAAAAAAGGCAAAGAATTGCAGTTAGAGAGGCAAAGCCGTAGGAAAAATAGAGAAAGATATAGAGGAGAAAAAAGAAGCTTGAGGAAGAGAATAAAGGGGAAAAAGTGCCAATTTGTCTATTTTATCTTCCATTAGGAAGAGGACAGAAAGAAGAGAGAAGATAAGGAAAATCAACTCAGGAATCGTGGGGAAAGCAGTGGAAGGATTTTGAAAGACTTTTTTTGTGGACTTACTTCATAATGGATGAGAGCTGTTGCCTGGAGAGGGACTATGTGGCAGGACCCTAATTATCAGTTCAATTGGGAAGAACCCAGGAGACATATTTGCAGTAATTCAAATCCACAGAAATAAAGAGTTTGATGTGAACCTCAGATGATAGAGAAAATGGATATATTTTGTAGGCTGTATCAGGAGAAAAAGCAGTAGGCACTGGTGATTTCCCCAAGCAAGTTAAAGCCAAAGGCTGTTAGTTCTCTTCAAGACTGTAACACAGGAGATAGGTCATATGGCAATTTCATTGAAAAATCCCATTATGATGTAGTAAAGTTTCATTAACAGCAGCAGAGAAATTTGGCATTAGGATAGGGAAACATAAGTATGGAACAGAAAGCTGTCAAGGTGAACATGGGCATTCTACTTTCCAGCTGCTTTTAATCCAGAACAGAAACAAGTTCTGGCTGTTGCTGGAACAGCCAGAGATGTCCTTTATATGTGTGTTGACAAATCACATGAGAAGAAAGTGCTTGGAGAAAAGTCTCAGATAAGGAAAAGGTAGCATGAGAGGTTTAGCACAGGGTATGTGTTTTTGAATGGATGGACCCTAAAAAGAGGTTGTCATTGGGTATTTTGGGTATGTGTGTGTGTTGGTAAACTATTGTTGATTGAATGGAGGAAAATGTTATCAATGTTACATATTATTTATACTTCTCTCAAAATGGATTGAAAGGTACAGCAGGAATTT
Source organism: Homo sapiens (assembly GCF_000001405.40). NCBI lineage: Eukaryota > Metazoa > Chordata > Mammalia > Primates > Hominidae > Homo > Homo sapiens. Next base: position 79,335,546 of record NC_000012.12, on the reverse strand, counting down.
AAATAAGCTAGTCGGAAGAGCAAGAGCCAAGATAAAGGTGCCTGGAGAAGATGGTTCTTGCAGAGGAAAGGGAAACCACTGCCTTTTCAAACACGGACCTGTGTTTGAAGTCCACAGAAGATTAAAGAAAAGATTGCGAGTAAAAAAAAAAAAAAAGCATCAGAGAACACAAGCAAAGGCATACAAGGAAAGGAAAGGCATAAGAACACACAGAAGAAATACGAGGAAAGGCTGGAAAAACAGACAAACATAACAGGCTTTCTGTGGATAAAACCCAAGTTCCAGGAAAAAGGACTATCTGACAAGAGGAGACATTAGATTCCAGAAAGAAAGATCTAGTTGAAAGGGTCTTGGGGGACTAAATAAAATCGTACAAGTGTAGGAAAGCACTGCTTGCCGTGTTGGAAGCAGAATGGAATTTACTATTAAGCACAAGCACTTTACTATAATGTAAAGAGGGAGGTCAACACACCTGAAGGGATAGGCTTGGGATGTTTTGATACTCATCAGTAGGGGAAGAATGTCACCTGGAGTGGGGGAATGAATTGTGGGAGAAGGAAAAAGTGAGTTAGATGTGTCAATGTGTCGTGAGAAATAAAAAAGACCAGCTTTGTGAATGTTCCTGGCTCTCCTAATATTTACAAGCAAGAAGGATTAACACAGTAGACATGGGAGGGTCCTGGTTAAACATAACCTGACCTCTTGACAGGCTTTTGGAAAAGGTGATCCCACTTGAAAAGATTTTTAAGAATACAAAGGGCAACCTATGAAGATGATGCCAGAGTAGAGGATGAAGTCTATGGACATAAGAAGAAAAATGATGAAAGTATTATCAAAGAAATATCAAAGGAGATTAAGCTTACACAACAGAAATCTTACTACGTGAAAGCAAATTCATATAGGGTTGCAGGAAATAGAACAAGGAGAGCGGATGCGTGCATGTTCTCGATTGCACCATGTTCTTGTGCCTCCAAGCCTTTGAACGTGCTGCTTCATCTGCCTGGTACAACTTCCCTTCCCTTGTTTTCCTACTGGTCTCCTACTTATTTCTCACTGTCATATCCTCGCCGAGCCTTTCCCTGACCATTCTCGTTCAAGTTTGGCCCTTCTTCTTTCTTTGCATTTCTGTAACACCTTCCCAAACCCTCAGTATAGCACTTGCAATATTGTGCCGTAAATATCTGCTCACCTTTCTCCCTCTTTCATTAAATATGTCCTGGGTTTTAATCGGTTTGCCTAACAGTGTGCACCATATGAATATAGAGTTACAGACAAGAGAGATTTTTTTTTTTAACTGTGGGAAAGGCATAGGACAGAGAAAATAGTCATTCTTAGTTTGTACCTCAGTAAGAAAAGTTTGGAGTTAGTTGGTCAAGACCATGAGGTAAAAATGAAAAACTAAGCTACAGGCAATAGTGATATTAAAAAGAAAAAGCTGCCTAGCACATAGCGTATACTCAGTAACTTTTTTTTGAAGAGTTAAGATACATTTGGGTTTCTCATTAAAAGCAAAGGTAAAAATATAAAGTAGGATTTTGGGTATCAATGTTTCCAGAAGGGGAGCAATGTCACGGACCATGTATAAAGTTTATTGGAGAATTAACTTGGCAGGAAAAAATGTAAACAAGACAAAGAGAAAACAATCACAATTTGAGAAAAATGAATAGGTTTGAAAAATGATACATAAACAACATTGGGAATTTGGCTGGTTTGTTGTTTGTTGTTAGATTTATAAATAATAATGTAACTATCTTTTATAACAAAGAGCTGGTAGGAATAAACAAGTCAAAACATAAAAGTGTTGAGAAATTAAACCTGTTCTATAAATGAAAGATGCCAATATTTTTTTTCTTGCTAGTTTAATGCCAGTAGAATAACCCTTTCTAAAAAGCGTTTTCCTGACTTTGCCTCATTATTTTTTAAAGACATTGAGTGGCTGAATCTTGTAAAGATGCAAAAAAACCCTCTTTAGATTTAGATTTAGATATGAGTGAACCTTGTAAAAATGCAAAAAAGCCCTGATTACTTGATGACATAGTAGCTGAGGTGGAATATCTGAATTTCTGAATAGGTACACTGTGCTGTGAATGTTTGTGTCTCCTCCGCAGAATTCATACATTGAAATCCTAACTCCCAAGGTGATGGTATTAGGAGGTGAGGCCAATGGGAGGTGATTAGGTGATGAGGGCTGAGTCTTCCTGAATGGGATGAGAGTCCTTGTAAAAGAGGCCAGAGAGAATTCCTTTGCCCCGTCTGACATGTGAGGACATGGTGAAAAGACCATGAGCCAGTAAGCGGACTTCATCAGACACTAAATTTGCTGGCACCTTCATCTCAGACTTCTCAGCTTCCAGAACTGTGAGAAATAAATTTTTGTTGTTTATGAGCCACCCAGTTTATGGTATCTTGTTATAGTAGCCTAAATGGACTCAGACAAGATATAAAACCTAATGATAACTATGGCCATTTTAGTCACATCTGGGGAAATTATAACCCTCTGTAGATGGAATGCTATGAGAATTGTAAGGATTCTTTACTTGAAATAAAGAAGAAAGCACAATTTATCTTTTGTGTGACAAACATGTTGCATCTACTGGATAGTTTCATAATGTCACTGTGAAAATAATATAATTAGATTGTGGGTAATAGAAACAAAATCTTTTTCATGCACAGTCCATTTAATTCCATTTTGGGGTATAGGTAAGAGAGTGTGTGAAGTAGAAAATGTAGACACATAGATTAAGAATTTGAATTCAGATTTTCATATAACTAGCTAAATGACGTATTTGAAACAATGTAAAGAAACGTGCTTAATGAGTTACCTCCTTCACAAAGCAGGTTAAAAAGAACCAATTCAAAGATGACAAGGGAATACCTCCCACAATATCTACATTAAACTCATACTTTCTTAGTGAAGATGTCCCATCTGCATATTACTTCTTTTTCGGAGTTACTGACTTTTATTCCTTTGATGGTGATCTTCTGTTCTCATTCATTTCTGCATAAAGGTTATGCAACTAATTAGTGTATTTCCCATGTAGGCCTTAAATGCATTGCATGTTGTGGTAGAGTTACAGAGAAAGTCAAGATCATCTCTAAGTATATTTGGAATTCAATTTGCCAAGATTTCACAAATCGTTCATTCTGCAGAAACGATTTAGTTTCCATCTGGTTTGCCTAGGGGAAAGTTCACTGGTGTTCATTGTTAAGAAAATCAGAACATCATTAGGGAATTCAATGGTCCTTTGCATGAAAATGTGATGTCACTAAATCACACAATGCAAAAATATAGTTTATCTGCAAATGTATGATGTGAATTTGAATGAAAGCCATCCTTTTCAGACAAAGAAAGAAAATAGGTATATCTTGTTTGTTTCATTTTGCATGTATTCACACTGACAGCTGGAGTGACCCTGCTGAGATACCAGGGATTTTTTGGTTATGTAAAGTTCATCACAGATTTTTGTGAGAAATGACTAATAGAGGATATATTTTTTTAACAGCATATGTTATGCAATTGTAACTTTAGGCATTCTAAACTACGACAATTTTCCTCCTTATTTGTGATGGCATTCTGGCTTTCAACTTTTGAGCATCACATTTTGATGAAGAAAAATTAATAAGTTTCTAGAAAAATGTAAATGAGAAAAATGATCCATACATTGCTAATCAATTTCACCAGATAACTTTTATCATTTTTTATGACTTTATTTTTTTTTGTGGCTTTTACCTATAATTTTATTATATGATATCCTATTGGGCAGAGATCAAACTAAACATTCTTAAAAAGTTATTTTTTTCCACATGTGGAATCTCATAAAAGCATGTTTACTACTAACACTGTAATTTAAAGAAGTTTGTAGATGTCCAGGAAATCTGCTTCATAAAGGTAGTAACTATTGTCTAATAAATTCTGCAAAGGGATAAAAAATGCTGCAAAGGGACAAATTATTTCTATTGCTTTAAAATGCATATTAATTCTTGGCAAAATAAAAGAAGAAAATAACTCAAAAGACATAAATTTAAAAATTCACACAAATTTTAGATGTCCTAAAAAGTCTTTCAACTAGGAGAATATGAAAAATCTAATGGACAGTATTTTGAATTTAAAGCTGAAAAGAGTATATGCACAATTGTGTTATCTGAAAAAAGCCTTTAGGCAGTTGAAGTCCTTGAATATTTCAGACCATTTGGCTGAAGGAGATGAATCATAGATATATATGACCACTTTTGCAAGCTGTTAAGAAAAAAGAAGAATCTTGTAGGTTTATGTTGTGGGAAAAATTTAAAGAAAATGTGTAAAATTACAAAAGGTGACTTCTAAATTTATCCAGAGTGAAATTCAAGGTAGAGAAATGAGCCAATGATGTCGCTTATAGGTGAGATTGGTACAGTTAGGTGGGAAAGCTTTCTGAAAGAAGCTGTTGCTGTTATAAATTAAGAACACTTCTCAATTGCATGTGAGGGTAAAATTGAACAGGTTACAGAGTTAAGCTGGGGCAATTTTTCCTGGGGTCACTAAGAAATATTTCCTAGGTTTATGAATAAGGAACTGCAGGAAACGAAAATGGACTGGAAGTTAAGTCTGTATGCCTGAAAGATGTTAGGTTCCCAAGATGATTTTAGAGACAGTGAGTGCCATAATTAAGACTACAGTTAGTCTCCTGGGTTCAAAAATTCTGGCTTACCACTTACTAGCTATGTGATCTGGTAATATTCTTAAACCTTATGGACCTTCATGTCCTCATCAGGAAAATCCAAATGATAATAGTACCTAAGTGAAAGGACCGTTCTGTGGATTTAACGGATTAATACATATGAAGTGCATACAACAGCACCTGGCATATACTAAGTGCTCAATAAATGTTAGTCAATGTCAACAACAGGCTATCACTTATGGAACAGCTTCTATATGCTAGGTATTTCACGTAAGTTATTTCATATCTTCACAGCCCTGAAATATAGTTATTATCTCCATTTTGTGAATGAACAAATTGAGAGTCAGCCCTGTGAGGTAATTTTCCTAATGTTATTAGAACTCAGAAAACAGGTCTGTTAAGCACAGACATCCATGCTCTTTCTTCTATGTAGTGAAAGTTTCTGAAATTTTAATTTTCTTCTTATACTGGATCATTATTTAGGAGTACTCAGCATCATGCCAGTACGATACTGTTAGCACAAGGTGCTGATCTGGAAGAGAAATCACACAGCAGAATTTCCCTGGTGCAAGTGTTCACAGCCAGATTCTTCATCTCTAATATTATGCATCATCTGTTAAGCAATTTGTAATTGCTTTCATGTCTTCCTGAATGCACAGGAAACAGCAGGCTACAATTCCTGAATGACCGTCTCAAGGTCTTCCATGGAAATCTGTAGACTGTTGAGGTGAAAGGGTTTCTCAGAGGAGCAGAATCATGTCCAAACACAAGCTTCTGATTTTCCTTTACATTCCTGAGGTTGCCTGAGTTAAACAGATTGACTAAGAGGAGATGTATTACAGTGCCTTGACTCAGGAGGGGTAATAAAATTTATTCCTCTCTCCTTATAGGGATTTAATGAGGTCAAATACGATAAAATAGGTGGAAAGATATGCTTTCTGCAAAAAAGAGGGATAAATGCAAGAAAGGGATTATTTTAAGGAGTGAATTAGAAAAAGATAAAAGCAAGCCACCTTCTCTAAACAAGCAATAAGTGCTATCTTCTCCGTTTCCATATGGCTGAAGGTCAATGGATACAGTGTAGAGATGGCTGTGTGAGTGAAGCACCTGTTAGGTTACACAGAGTAGGAGTTTGCAGCTGAAGCCTTAAGTCAGACAGACACAGCTTGGAAACTCTGGCTTGCCACTTACTAGATAGGTGACCTTGTGCAGATTGTTTCATTTCTCTAAGCTTGTTTCCTATTGTATAAAATGGGGATAATAATTGTACTGATCTCACCTGGTTGTGAGGATTAAATGAGATGAGATGAGATAAAGTGGTCAGAACAGTGCCTAGAATGTGGAAAGTGTACATGCATGCTAGTTATTTCATTATTATTCAAGTACAGTAGCATTCCCATCCATAGGTAATTAAGAATAATTTTAAAATGTTTTATCCAACTTTGTGTATTTCGTGCTCAGCTAGTGCCTGGCACATAGCAGACACTTATATTTTCAGTATATTAATTAATGGAAAGATAATGTCATGTAAGTGTTCATATAGAGACATTCCCCTAAGTCAGCTCTCTTACCAGGTTTTTCTTAGACACACAGAAGAGCACATGGAGTGAGGCCTTGTAAGACATCTATGTGGAGGTGTGTATCTTACCACACTTGGGCCCTTTCCAAGGCTCTCCTTCTGCAGGGTTGCTTACGGCCTCCTCACCCAGTGGGTCTTTCAGAGCTGAAGTCCACTGAATCTTGTGCTTGGATAACACAGTTTGGATTTCATTTTCCACTTAACCCCTCTGTGGCCATGAGCTTGGATCAGCACAATAAAGAGCGGATGATTGTAGCGGTTTGTTATACCTGGCTGCTAACTGGGATGTGTTGAAATGGAAATCACAAAGTCCATGAGGAAACCTGAAAATGCAGCATCCTAAGCTGCAAAGATAAAGGCCATGCTTGCTATTCTTCAGGGCATTTTTTTTCCTTTGGAATTCTTTTGAAAGAAAAAAACATGGTTTTATGATTTCTTTGTGAGTAATTTTTTTTTTTTTTTTTGAGATGGAGTCTCGCTCTGTCGCCCAGGCTGGAGTGCTATGGCGTGATCTTGGCTTACTGCAAGCTCTGCCTCCCGGGTTCAGGCCATTCTCCTGCCTCAGCCTCCTGAGTAGCTGGGACTGCAGGTGCCTGCCACCACGCCCGGCTAATTTTTTGTATTTTTAGTAGAGACGGGGTTTCACTGTGTTAGCCAGGATGGTCTCGATCTCCTAACCTCGTGATCTGCCCGCCTCAGCCTCCCAAAGTGCTGGGATTACAGGCGTGAGCCACCGCACCCGGCCATGAGTAATTTTAAAGAAGTGTTAGGTTGGTAAAGAGATAGTGGAATCAGATAAATTAAATAATGCTCCTTGACTGTGGGTATGGTACTATTTAGGAGAACATTAAATACTGCATATAAAACATTAAAACAAGTTGTGGTGGGGTAAAAAAGGATGTAATATCATCTTAAATAGAAATGAACTCTGTTTTAATGAACATGTCCAAAACAGAACTTAATGTTTTCCCTTAAAATTAGTGCATCTTCCTGTAATTTCATTTATTGTCCTGTTTGCTCATTTCTCAGTCAACCAAACTAATTGAAATTATTTTCAATAGCTTTCTCTGCCCCTCACCTCTCTATCTGATCAGTAACAAAATTCTGCAAATTCTTGTTTTGAAAATACTTTTTCAATTTTAGTTCACATTCTGTCTTCACAGCCATATCGTTCATGGACTCCTAAATGGAGGCAAGAGCCTCCAATTCATCTTCACACTGCCAAAAAATTGGCTTTCTTACACACAGAGCTGATGTGGCCACTGACAGCTTTAATATCCTCCCTGCCTCCCAAATGTGAGACTTAAAATGTTAACTCCCACCTTCAAGGCCCTAAAATATTACCCTTATTTATTTTTTCTGGCTTACCCCTCACGCCATTCCCCTCTCACATGTACAGTACTAGATTATAATCAGATCTGGACATCTTGTTCTTTACATGTTCCAATGCTTTCCCTGCTTCCTCTTCTTGGAAGCCCTTATTCTCAATCAGTTGAATTCCTAGTCATCCTTTAGAACTCATTTCAAATTTACATTCTGACCATCTCTTCTGAACTCTCTTCACTTCCAGATAGCATCATCCCTTCCTCATCGCCTATGAAGTCCTTGAGCCTAGCACTGTCTAATTCATCTTTACATCACCAGTGCCCAGCATGAAATGATCTGAAGATGTATGTTTGTTGAAGTGAATCATCAGATTAATGCAAAATCTTCCAGAATAAGCCATTTCCTTTGCTGGTGCCTTTTGATTTGAGATAGTTAAATGCAGAAGCTACAGAACATAGTTGTTTACCATAGAAGTCACAGTGGATTGGTTGCCAGAAGGAAATAGGGCATGGGTATTTTTGGCTATATGTTACCTAGAGCACAGGCTTTGGAGTGAAATTGATCTGAGTTAAAACACAGATTCTGTGACTTAACAGTCCTATAGCTTTCAGGGAATTCCTTTACTTTTCCTTTGTGAAATGAGGATAACAATGCTTTCATATCATGTAGGATTGCTGTGGATACTAAACAATATGCAGAGCTCTGAATATAGTGCTCTTCATTTTATTAAAATAGAGAAACTTCTATAGACAAATTTAAAAATTGTTTGTTGCATGTGTAGTACTTCTGAACAGACAAAAATATTGTGATACTAGATATATGAAAGAAATGTAGAGGCTCATTACTATGGGATGTTGCCTAAATTGTCAAGTTTAACATATGAAGAGGTACAGAGCCCCTTAAATTATTATCCAGTTCTTGTTTACGGTGACTGCCTTAATAGGAACATCTCCATTTTTCTTATAATTTGATTTCTGATTGCAGTAATCAAAATACTAGAACTCAAGTGGAAAAGGGCTTGTCCAGCCATTTGGTAAAAAGTATAAAACTTATTACACCAGTCATTTTGGTCATCTGATCCCTGAGTCATCCTGAGGTGTTTTCTTCCTAGGTTCAACCTGTATCTTTTAACTGTTTACAGACAGCATATTTATTTGTTCTATTTGCAGGAGGTATATGCCTTTGTGTATGGTGGTGGTGGGGAATCTGAAGAAGTCTCTGAAATAAACACAACCATTAAGACTTTAAAATGCCACTGTTTGGTCATTAGTTTAAAAGCTATTACCAATCAGCTGCCTCTCGCAGGCAGAGAAAAAAAATCTGTGGGTTGAAAGACACTTGAAATCAGTGATTAGCAGGAAGATGGTCTTTCATTTCCAAACATGGAGAGCCTGGATGTCAAACATCTCTATTTTTCTCTAAAGACAAAAATCAGTATTTTTTTTCCAAAGGGCAAAATGAACTGAAAGAACAACCCCCTAAGTTTGCTGTAATAATATCCTGCACCTCTTTGCCTGCACTGACAAATGCTTGCAGCTGGCTGCTCTGCTCTAATGACCGCATCTCATTCTGCCTTGCCACTTGGCTCCTTCTCAGCTTCTGCCTGATCATATTTTGAAATGTCATTCACATTTATGCAGGCCAGTGCACAAAACAAAATTAATTTAACTCACAAAGGCGTGTTAATATTATTACTTTTGACACCATGGAAGACTTATTAACTATAGCTTGTCACAGGCCTCTCTGAGTGAATAGCCTAACTACAACATTGAGAGGAAAAGTAATATGATCTAAAGGTTTTCTTGATCACTAGATATTGTAAAAAGTCAGAGTAGCTGAGTTTTTTTCAATAATTATGCTAAAATTCACAGTCGTCCTGTGAATGGGCAAGAAAATGTGTTCCATTTTGCTGTACTACCCTTTAAGGAACTATTTTACGGCACATGCTTTAAGCTTTGTATATTTTCCCCCCATCAATAAATATGGTCTGTATTTTAAAGAGGTAGTAGGAAATTAAAGTTACAGAATGAGTTAATGTGTAAATTACAGTAGCCCAAGAGCCTGGAAGAAGGAAAAGAGGAAAGGGAGCTAATATTGACTGCATACTTGTTAGTTTTGGGTGTTTTTGCATATTGCATCTCATCTAATCCCTACAATAACACTGTGATGAGGTTTTATATTCTCTATCTTATGCATGAGAACATTAAAGCACAGGGAGGTTAGCTGTCTTCAAGTTTGCATGGCTCATGAATGGCAGAGGCAATCCGAACCCAGGTCTGACTACAAAAACCTTCTTATTCCATGAACCTTATCTGTAGCCATACTAAATCAGTGTAAAAGGAGGAAATCATAGGCCTTACCTGAAATGGGCAAACCTTTCTCTGTTTTCCATAAACTGTAAGTTTCACAGAAATGATTTTATATAAATTTTTGAATTACTCAAAGCTGGCATCTATAAATAGATCTGAATTTGGCATCTAAAAGGCAATTGAAAGCTTAAAATAAATTCTCTATATATTTTGTGTATGAAATTAAGTGCTTAACAGTATTTATTCTTTATTCAGTATCCAAATTGTTTGTTTTCCCACATCCACCAAGAATAAGAGTATCTGCTTCTTTTCTTTTCAGCCATAACATAGCTTTTTCCTACCTAGGAAGGTGTGCTAATCACATTCTGAAACTGATTTAAAAAGTAACACTGTAAATACCAGGAACTCTCATTCTCTGAGCTTCTGGTAGGCTAGCCAGAGAGTTAGCGCTCCTTAACCATGAGAAGCTGGCCAAAAGCCTTGTTAAAATAAGCAGATGGTTTGGCCTCCCCCTGCAACCCCCATGCTTTTCCTGGGAAGATACTTGAATAGGAATCGGATATTAACAGCAGAGTATCCCAAGGTTACCAGGTTTTCTTGTAGTAGAGCAAACTCACCAACTACCAAAGATTTTTGGTAGTTGGCCAGGAAAAGGAAACAAAAAATCTGATGGCTACTTATAACACAGCCCAACTGGCATTAAAAAGTCAAGCTTTAAAAATCCATGCTTCAAGGAAGTATTTTGGATTAATATGATTATGTCATGGTATCTCAAAGGTAGTGAAAACCTTTTAATAAGATATTTTCTGCTGTGTTATTCCAGGGTATAAGTCTTTATGTATTTATTTTTGTCCCGTTCTTTGTAGGTTATGGAATATTCACAAAAAGCTTTTTTTTTTGCCAGTCATGGTTTTTTCCAGCAACGTGGCTCTTCTTAGCTGTTTCCAAATGTCTCAGTTTCCTAGTGATATTTGTATGATGCTGCACATCTCAAACCCCACAGATGCACCGCAGGGGTGCTATAGGTCTTATTTTTAAATGCTAATTCATTTTGACCTCCCTATTTTCTCATTTCTTAAAGACAAATATTAAATGCCTCTCTTGAACAATCTGCTGGATAATTTTTGGAACAAACTAATTTGGAAGAAGAAAAAGAATCTTACCAGATGGATCTAAGTTACAATGGCCCACTCAGTGTGTGTGTTCTTGCTGGCAGAGGTGTTAAGAGGAGAAAAGGGAATGAAGGCGGGGTCATGTGGGTCTATTGACTTTTTCTGATAACTCGTGGCAGAACACTTAATGTAAGTCTGTTCTTCAACCATAATATACTGGACTGAATTCTGAAAGCACGGTCATTTGTTACATCAAATGTGTTATCTCCCTGTGTGTGTGCATTTGTATTTTTGTATATTGAAAATGGAAACAGGCCAGGCGCGGTGGCTCACGCCTGTAATCCCAGCACTTTGGGAGGCCGAGGCAGGCAGATCACAAGGTCAGGAGTTTGAGACCATCCTGAACAACATGGTGAAACCCCGTTTCTACTAAAAATACAAAAAATTAGCCAGGAGTGGTGGCGTGCACCTGTAATCCCAGATACTCAGGAGGCTGAGGCAGGAGAATCGCTTGAACACGGGAGGTGGAGGTGGTAGTGAGCTGAGATTGCGCCACTGCACTCCAGCCTGGGTGACAGAGGAAGACTCTATCTCAAAAAAAAAAAAAAAAAAAAGAAAATAGAAACAAAAATACCATAATCTTAGCCTCCTAAAATAATTATTCTCATTTCATGGATTCCCAAATTATTTTTATACATATGCAAATATTTTTAAAACCCACTACAAAAGCATATATATATAATTTATATATAATTTTATATTTTGCTTTTTCTATTTAACATACTAAAACATTTTTCCATATAAGTATGCCTAATGGCTATCTAATATTCCATGAAGTCATAGTATCAGTAACCATTTTATTATCATTGAAAATTGAGCCTATTTTAATATGTAAAATTATGTTACAGCATGTTGGCATCCATGAATATGTGTATGTATAGTATTTCAGATATGACAGCTAAAGGCTCAGTTTGTTAGTGTTTCTATTTGCCATAATTCTTTATAATGTAAGATTTCACATCTCTGGACTGACGTTTTCGGTGTTAAGTAAACTTCATTAAAATAAAAGATTTATAAAATGTTGTACCTATTTTTTCACAAGGTACCTGATAGGAAAGTCAACTTATGACTGTTGTTTGTGTTACATTTATCCGACTTTCCATTGGGAGTTTGTGCCTGTGGGTACTTGCCCAGGAATGTCAGCAAGGGCTGATATATGGAAAACCCACTCTGGTAAATCAGATCCCCAAATCTGTCATTTTAGTTCATAGCTTCAGGAATCAGTTTCCTCTACTTTTCACTGTCAAAAATAGATTACTTTGGAAGACATTAAAAACCCAAGTGCTGTTACCATTGTTTGTCAAAGTAATTGTAGAGAGTATGTCCTGCTGTGATAGGTCTTACAAAAAAGCAGGGAGAGATTAGAAGTGAAAAAAAAAAAAAAGAGAGAAAATGCATGTAAGGCTTGATTTAGATTGATGCTACTGTTCTCTTTCCCCCATGGCTTTGCTTTTAAATACCTTCTTTGATGAATTACAGGGCTGTTAGATCCCACGGGAGATCACCTTGTCTATTCCCTTGCCTTGAAGCAAGACTACAAATCCATGCCCCAATTCTTATTTTTAAAAATCCTCCAAAGAAGTTGGTTCTTTCAGATATCGTTTCAACATTTAACACTTTCAGGAGGGTCTTACTGGGTTTACTTTTTCTTCCCACATTTGAATGTCTTTCTTTTTATTTGGATTTTAGTGTCTTCAGAAAGTCATTCCCAGCTGCCTCAAGTGGAGGCTTTTCCCTTAATTAATAAATACTCATCACTGCGCTCTCTCACTCCAAAAAAGAGATTCTGGTTCTATTTTAAGAGCCCCAATCAGATTAGAAACTGCCATAGACGCCACATAATTGAGGAAATGCCCAACGCCCCGAGAGTTTGAGGGAGGAGAGAATTTGGTTCAGAAATACGGGGCTGGGTTCCAATGGCTTCCATAGCACATTAAAGTGTCCTGCAAATGTGAGGCAATATTAATAATATTCACTGATACACTCATAAGAACAAAGAGAATGTAAATCTTACTTAAACTTATCACTTGTATGATGACCCACATTTGGAGGACAAAGATGAACTAATAAAAACAGAAATATATGGAACATGAAAGTTAATCCAAACAGATGCAGGCATGTAAGTGGTAAATCTCAGAGTTTTTTTTAAAAGGAAAGATAAGGTGCAGAAGATGAGGCCAGCGGCAGTTTCCATTTGAGGATAGATGAGTCCTCAATTTTCACAGTCTCAGAATACGTTTGAATAAGTTATGCGTTAAACTCTTTAGGAGATTTTAGCTTACTATATATGAAATTTTTGTTTAGGCATGCCAGAACTTGCATTTAGGAAGAACCATTTTCGTTCTCAGTTCTGAAGTCAAGTGTATGTGATTTCAACTGGAAATGGGGCATGCTGAATGAATCATTTTCTTAGGGAACATTGACCAGACTGTATACTGAGAATGAGAGGGGCGGTGGGAAACGGTGGGTCACTTCATCTTGGCCCTGAGAGGAACAATCAACTGCACTCCCCTGTTACGTTCCCAGCCTCTGCTTCTCTCCTCTCGTCCGGGCACTCTAACTAATGGCTGGGCAAGTGGCTGTGCTCCACTTGGAGGAGACCACACAATATCTGAAGCATTATCTTCCTATAGAAATTACACATGATGAACTGGTTTCTGTTCCCAGTTACTTAAATTCTAGCCCAGGGCACTGAATTCATTATGTGCTCAACATGAGGATCTGAAAGAAGGTTTGGTCCTTGTCCTTGTGTACTGAGTTTTTCCATGAATGTATCCCCTGATGACTTGTATAACATATTTTGGTAAATACTAGTCTCAGACTCAAACCCAGTGCCCTGAACAGCAGCCCTGGCCTAAATGATCCTTGTTAAAATTCAGCTAAGTCCCATTCCTTTTCTACCTTCAGGTTCAGTTCAGGTGTCTATGGAGTAGCAGTCACTGGGATAAACCATTTCCTTCCCTTTAACATACTAAAAGAGGAAGAACTAGAATTCAAACTGCCTGTATGCTAATTTAAATAGGCACCTTTTAAAGTTATCCCTCATCACTTTTTCAGGAAACCTTCAATCCATTTGTTAAAAAAGGAAAAGTCACCATATTCACATGATACATTTCTTTCATAAGTTCATTACCAGGGACCCTCATGCTTTTCTTGAACATTTCCTGAACTCCCAATACTAGGAATTTAACATGAAGTCCCTGCTTTAACAGAACTTTAAAATAGTAATTAACACACACTTTGGAGTAAGGCAAACTTTTGATTTAAATTTTTGGCCATTACTTCCTTAGTTATATGATTCCAGATAAATTTCTTAGCCTTTCTGAGTCTCAGTTTCCTAATTTGCAAATTTGTCTTAATAATATCTGTAACACAGTTTGTGAGATTTCATTGAACTAATCAGTTATTTCAGATTTAAATTAAGTTTGTCCATTGTTTTTCCTCTCAAGGGGACTGAACAGCAACTAGAATCACAAAATTAGGAAAGTTCTGAAGAGGGAGCACAAGCCAGCAGGTAGAATGGGTTGGGTTTGGGGGTTTGCAGTGGTGGTGAGAATCAAGGTCTTCAGAAATTACCCGAGAGGCCAGGTGTGGTGGCTCACACCTGTAATCCCAGCACTTTGGGAGGCCGAGTTGGGCCGATCACGAGGCCAAGAGATAGAGACCATCCTGGCCAACATGGTGAAACCCCATCTCTACTAAAAACACAAAAATTAGCTGTGCCTGGTGGAACATGCCTATAGTCCAAGCTACTTGGGAGGCTGAGGCAGGAGAATCACCTGAACCCCAGGAGGCGGAGGTTGCAGTGAGCTGAGATCGCACCACTCTGTCTCAAAAAAAAAAAAAAAAAAAAAGGGGAAAAAGAAAAAAAGATAAATTACCCGAGAGAGGTGCTGCTGATAGAGGAAATCAGAGCCATAGCACCAGCTGATATGACGTTTGGAGAGTCATAACTGAAAATGACAACTGTTCCTCATCTAATACAGACTAGTTATGCTCCAAGATTCAGATCTAACACAAAAATTTAGCTAAGTTATATGTAAAATTGGTCAAAATGATTCCTATGAAGATGACATAAAAACCTCAAGGCAGAAATGCTGCAATTTATTCTTTAAAATATTAAAGATTTGGATTTCAAGAAAGGATAATTTGGGGACCAAATGACAAGCATTTAGTAACTATCTGGTTTTGTAAGATGCAGCATGTGCTTTTTTCTCCCTATTTTTCTCTCTCTCTTTCATGAGAAGCAGGGTTTTGGGATGGAAATTTGGGAGAATGGTCAGTGCTGCAGTTCACATCGCAGTACATTTTAGGGAATCATACATTTTTTGGTAGCTTTTTTATTCTTTAAAAAGTTTTAAATTTTGGGCAATTCTTCACAGCTCAATATCTTATCTCAGCCAGAGGGTACTAATAAAGAGCTTATATTGCATTATGAAACACAAGGGCTTAGAAAACTCTAAGCACGTAAAACATTTACTTTGCAAAGACATTTCTCATATATTCAAGTACCCCTAATTAAATACTATTTGGAGAACATTAAAATACACACTTCACTGATCTTTAGTGTTTTAGGTATAATTACAGGGATGGATATTCTACTCCATGCTCCTCATCCTATTTGGTAAAAGGGAAGGTGATGAAAGAGATGGAAGACATTATTGCGTTTTTCCAGGAACTTGCACTATTGTGGAATGGAATAAAGCAAAGGATGGGGAATAGAGGGACTTGAAAACAGAAGCATGTGAATTTTATATGAGATTTTTCATGCATATGTATATCATGGAAAGAGTGGCCCAGAAATCTTGGGAGCAGCTAAGAGACTTGGGAGTGGTGTTGAATGGATGCTGGCTGTTGCAGCCCTCCCTTGGTACTGTGTGGTGTTGCGGTGTTGGCAGAATTGCTGGGAGTTTGGAGTAAAGAAACAGACAACTATAGGGCATGTGTGGAGTGTATGTATTGCAGACCAAAACATCATCCCTTGCATAGGCCCTGTGACCTATTTCTAAGTTAGAGTAAATTTAACATGATGGATAAGAACCTTATGGTCAGACAAAATTCTGAATCTCAGCCCTTCCATTATTAGCTACTTGGCCACGTGGAATTCCAACTTCTCTGAGTTTCAGCTTCTTTGCCTATAAATTGGGGATAATAATGGCGCCTACCCCACAGTGTTGTTGTGAGTAAATGAGTTACACACTGAGCACAGTGCTTGACTTAAGCAGATACTCAATGGTGTGACCTTAAACATGAGTAAAGGTAAATTTGCACTATACGTGATTTTCCAGGAAATAGAGAGCACTGTTTACCAAAAAGAAACAAAAATGGCATTTTTTAAACCAAAATTAGGTAATCCTACTGCGACACATAGGTTCCATTGCCTTTATGTCATCTTCAAACATGGCAGCATGGCTTCAACATAAACAGAACATCAGTGTGACACAGCTTGGAAAGTTGATGACCTTGAAAAGAGGCGTACATCTCTCCTCTGATTCTAAGTTAAATATTAATGTTTATTTTATATCAGGCGGGCATTTCAAAGTCTGCTTTCTATATTCCCTGTTTATGACTTGAGAGGCTATCCAAAAATACGTTATAAAATAAAAACATAAAATTCCACACTCTCTGCCTATTTTAATATTCTAATCTCACTCTGTTTTTGTTTTTTGACACTGAGATACGATTAAGAGCAGACTATTTCTGACGCTATGTTGGTTTCTGAAAAACATTTTTTTCTCCTATCTTTAAAACACTAGCAGAACGTTAAAATTCAGGGAAGCACCTTGTCGGAATATTGATTTATTCATGTAGAAATCACAGCTTAAAGTGAAGAGCAGTTGGTTAACTTGTGGCAAATCTCAACCTCTGACTACATTCCAGAGTATCTGCAGCTTAGAGAATAAGAAAAGTTGACTAGAGATAGTTTCAAATTTTCCTTTTTGTCCTCATCTAGAATTGTACGTGGGGCCTTTCGCTTCACTCATAAATGTTTCTGTCTGTATTCTAGTGTTATCCAGGGCCCAGAAATTTATTCTTGCATATAACATAGTTATAGTTCACATGAAAAGAGAAATATTGATGTAGAAGGCTTTCAGAAGGGATGCTGGAAGCAGGGTTCCATTCGAGGACAAACCAGGTCACAGAGGAGAGTGAAAATCACCTGGTGACCATTGAAAAGGCCCCGGAGACAAAAACTCCTTATTTGAGGAATTTAGAAGAGAGTACGGGTCACCCGGTGACTATTAAACAGGCCCTCCGGAGGCACAACTCCTTATCTGGGAAAATTAGAAGTAATTAGACTTTCCTAATATCCAAAGTTGGCCTCTGGTTCCAGGCCTTTTTCAATCTTTCTAAGTAATTAAAATTTCTATACATCTCTTTATATAGAAATGGAAATTTAGGAGAATGGTCAGTGCCATAGTTCCCATTGCAGTACATTTAGGGAACCATACATTTTTGGTAGCTTTCTCATTCTTTAAAAATTTTTAAATTTGGGGCAATTCTTCACAGCTCAGTATCTTATATCAGTAATGCCATTCCAAAACTCATTTTACAACCCTTGCTGACATTAACACACCAAAATGTCTACAAACTTGATCATTTATCATGATCTATGTGACTAATACGGTCCAAATTACCCTTAAGCTCCCGCCTTAAGGTCCATGAATACCCCTAAGGAAAAACCCACAGCAGTGCACTCAGTCCTCTCACTGCGGTGCACTGCTGCACTCTTCTGCAGTGTTCTTTCTTTCCAATAAACTTTTCCTTTTCAAACCTATGCTGTTGTTGGTAAATTCTTTTTACCAACACGTGAGTTGAGCACTTCCTGATGCCAGGGCTCTGACACTTCGCCCGACAGTCACCTCTGACAACAGTGCCCTATAAGCATTTTAAAGTTGTGAGTAGATAGCTTGACTTGAGCTGGGTTTGTGTGCCCCGGGTTCTCCCACTGTGCAATGTCCTGCTCTTTTTCAAGCCAGAAGTCTGCCAGCTCCTGAAGCCCAGGAGCAAGGCGCCCCAGTGAGTACTTTGCCATCTCTTGTTCACAATCTTGCTGTGGCCCGTCCCAGGGGGAAAATAATTGCATATGATTAATGATTTGAGAGACATTTAAAGTAGAGCAAAAAGTAAGAAGAGTGGAGATATGGTTGGCAGGGTGACAGCCAGTGCCGGAAGTTGTTTTGCATAAAGTAGGCTGACAGGGAATTATTCCATCAGCTTTCGAAAAAAGCTTAGGGGTCATTCTACTTTGCCTTCGGGCACTTGAAATCTGGGAAGGATGGAAGGAAGTGGTGACAAAGATACTGAGATGTTCACTAGCCCTGCAGTGAGAGTGAAAATACTCCTAAACTTTTTAAACGGTTCTGTAAACAATGGATTGTTTTCCCCCCATAAAATAGTGAAAGTGAATAGCTACTCGATGTATCCGATTGTTTATTTTAGGAATTCATTTGGCATTGGACAGACCTATGCTTGAAAAATAACTTTTAAATTTCAAACACATAGGTATATAATTTATTTTACATTTTTTCAATAATATTTAACATATGTGGAAATGAGGCTCAGAGAGTTGATGTGACTTGGACTCCGAGTTCTATGCTCATTTGATCCATGCCATACTTTCTCCTAAGAGCTAATTACTGTGATGTGCAAAAGTGCTAAGATGCTTTCCTCACTTATAAGAAGCTTATGTTCTACCTATCGAGACAACGAAACAGGTAAACAAGGCATCTTTTTATCTAACAGCATTGTGTGGGTATGCACCTACACTTAGAGAATAAACGTGTGTTATGAGGTGCCAGTTGTACGGTGGACGATAGACAACATAGTGCCCAGGTCAAGAATCAAGGTGGTACTGAGCATCATCGTGGAGGCTAGTGAGAATGAAAAGAAAACATGACTGAAGCCTGTACAGTAGGTATCACAACACATTCCTGTATAGACTATTACCTGGGGTCCTGGTCATTTTAGCTTTAAAGAAGTGTGATACATACACCTACCTATGAACCAGCAGTTCAGGAGAAATGAAAGCATATGTCCACAGAAAGCTGTACAACAGCTTTATTCCTAACAATCTCAAACTGGAAGTAACCCAAAAGTCCACCAATAGGAAAATGGATAAATCTTGATATATTCACATAATAGAATACCACTTAGCAATAAAAAGGAGTGAAATATTACTGTATGAAGAATCTCATAAACATCATCTTGAGCTGAAGAAGCCAGACACAAAATAACATGATTCCATGGTATATAGTTCAAAACAGGCAAACTAATCTGTGGTAAGAAAAATCAGAACAGAAGTTACCTCTAGGAGCTTGCACTAAGACACATTGGAAAGAGGTATGAGGAACTTCTTTGGGGATAAGAAATGTTCTGTAGCTTGATTGGTGTTACACTGTGTATAGCGTTGTCAAGACTCATTGAACTGTACACTTAACATCTGTGCATTTTATTGCATGCCAATTTTATTTCAATTTAAAAAGTCACGATGTTAGTAGGAAAAAGGTCTGGAAAAGAGCAACTTGGGGGAATCTCTGAGAAGCTACAGTATGAAAACAAGCTGCAAAAAGATTGGTTCTCATGTTTAAAACTTTGTTTTTACATCAGGAGAATTAGGCATAAACTTCTTGTCTTAAGGGAGAGTAGACTACTAGAAAATGGCTGTGGAATCAGAAAAACTGGCATTTACATCTTGAGCTCTCATTGGCTAGCATATGTCCTAGGCCTGGGTTCCTCATCTCTAAAAAGTGAACCTTAGTACTGCCCTTATATCAATAGAAATGGTAATAAGGAGTGTGATTTTGGAGACAAGTGTTCTACTTTAAAGAGAGACTAGAATATTTTCAGCGAATATCCCAAAACTTTTGAAACAGCCCCAGGAAAGACATTTCCAGCACACCTGAGGGCTGTTTCACATGGAACCCCAGTCAGCCTGGAGCATCATGCTTTGATGTTTAGGATCTCTGTCCCTGAAACTTTTTTTTAAAAACAGATTTAGGACTGGCTGTGGTGATCCACAGGTTATGAGGCTTAGGTGAGAGGATTGTTTGAGGCCAGGAGTTTGAGGCCAAACTGAGTAACATAGTAAGATCCAGTCTCTACAAACAAACAAACAAAAAATATTAGCTGGGCATGGTGGTGCCAGCCTGCAGTCCCAGCTACTCAGGAGGCTGAGGTGAAAGGATTGCTTGGGTTTGGGAGTTTGAAGCTGCAGTGAGCTATGATTGTGCCACTGTACACTGGTCTGGGTGACAAAAAGAGACCCTGTCTCAAATAATTTTTTTAATTGTATTTAATATAAAAATAATAAAGAAAATAAAAAATAAGAAACAGCTTATTGAGAAAAATGGTATTTATTCACATACCATAAAATTCACCCATTTAAAGTGTACAGTTTGGTGGATTTTAGTATATTCACTGGGTTATGTAACCATCATTGCTATCTAATTCTAGAAGATTTTCATCACTCCAAAAGAATCCCATACCCATTACCTGTCATTCCCCATTTCCTACCCTAACCTTACCCTTAGGCATGAATCTACTTTCTGTCTGTCTGTGGATTTGCCTATTTTGGCTCATGAGTGTTATAGCATGTATCAAGACTATTTCTTTTTACAGCTAAGTAATTTTCTATTGTATGGATATACCACATTTTGCTTATCCATTCATCACTTGATGAATATTTTGGTTGTTTCTACTTTTTTGGCTGTTATGAAAAATGCTACTACTGTTGTTGTACATTTTTTTTGGTGTGTATACATGAGTTTCCATTTTTCTTGGGTAGAACTTAGTAGAATTGTTGGATAGCATGGCAACTTTATTTAACATTTTGAGGAACTGTCAAACTGGTTTCAAAAGTGGCTACATCATTTTACCTTCCATTAGCAACGTATAAGAATTCCAATTTTTTCACATCTTTGCCAACACTTGCTATTGTCTGTCTTATTTTAGCAGAGCCTGAAACTTTGAGTTCCTTTGTGGGGTGTCAGAGCTTAGAGGAATTAATTGGTGCACAATCACTGAGGTCACACCATGGTAGCACTATCTTCCACTCACACGTGCTGAGCCTTAAACTGGGTTCGTCTTTGTGCAATCTTTTCACATCCCACAGACTCTCGCACATGGTATCTAGGCTCAGATATCCACTTTTTTATTAAAACCATGTATGACAATGCCTTCTGAACACTTAGGCTGTCCCACTGTCCTCAAAAAAGGAAGGATGTAAATCTAGTCATCAGAGCAATGCTTTTCGGCTGGCAAGGAAATAAGGGCTCTGACCAATGTTTTTAATAACAAAAACCGCTAATTTTTTTTTTTTTTTTTTTTTTTTTGAGACGGAGTCTCGCTCTGTCGCCCAGGCTGGAGTGCAGTGGCGCGATCTCGGCTCACTGCAAGCTCCGCCTCCCGGGTTCACGCCATTCTCCTGCCTCAGCCTCCCGAGTAGCTGGGACTACAGGCGCCCGCTACCACGCCCGGCTAATTTTTTGTATTTTTAGTAGAGACGGGGTTTCACCGTGTTAACCAGGATGGTCTCGATCTCCTGACCTCGTGATCCGCCCGCCTCGGCCTCCCAAAGTGCTGGAATTACAGGCGTGAGCCACCGCGCCCGGCCCCGCTAATATTTTTTTGAGAGCTTCTCTGGTGCCAAGTATTGTTCTAAGTGCTTTACATTAATTATCTCATTTAGAGTGTGTCACAACTCATGGAGGTGAGTAAATACTAATCCCATTTTATGAAAGGATTAAGCAACAAGCCGAAGGAGACATCAGTAGTAAGCGGAGTCATGGTGATGCATATAGGCTGAGCTTTAATCTACCCTGTAGTTCTGTCTCACCATTAATTTTTAATTGACTAAGCTTAGCAGGTCTATCTTTTATTTTGTTTTTTTTTTTTTTTGCTTTTTAAAACTGTATTTCAACATAACTATGCTTACGGAAATACCCTCTTATTGGTTAATAGAATGCAATTTAAGGTTAACTTATCCTACACAATTTGGACCAAAAACTTGGTACATGGTTTAAGATTTTAAAAAAGGATTTGCAATCTGCTTCATTTTTATCTGTTACAAATGTATAAAAGATCCTCCCTCAAATACTGCTAAAGAAGGCAGCAAGAACCTTGAGAAATTTACCTTTGGTCTGCCTCAGAAAAATAACACGTATTGCACGGCATAAGTTTATAAAATTGGTGCAACAAAACACTGTTGTAATGTTTCAATAGAATTAGAAAGTTCAATAACTAATGGGTATGGAAGGGACTGGGAGGGAACCTATGTACACATGTGAAACTGTAAAAGCTATCTGATTTAGTTAATATTGCATGTAGATTGTAAATCTACACAAGCCAAGATTCAGATAATTTCTTCAGTCTGAATTAACACTATCTGTTCATTTCATCTGCTGGAGTCAACCAGGAAACTGGGAACACCAGCTGTAAGTTTTTCTGACTTATGCAAAAAAGAAAATTAAGTTTCTTCCTCAGCTTTTCAGTCCAAAAGTGACAGTATACCACAGGCAAGGTATTCCTTTCATTGTCAACATTCATAGAGTGACATGCAATGAGGTCTATTTGGGTTTTAATTTGTAGCAGCAGTCATATGCAAAACAGTCTACAAAGTTAGTTACACATGACTTTATAAGTGACTCTGAAAAATAAAATGGCCTTTCTTAGAAGACTAGAGCAAAACATCCAGCCATAGTTACAAGCCTTATCAAAAAAAAAAAAAAAAAATGCAGCCCCTTGTGAATTACACAATAAAAGAAAAAAGTGGTGCCAAAATAAGAAGCAGCTCTGAAGAAAAAAGGAAAAAATATAACTTAAAAAATCTTAAAAATCAATGTGAATATAGTTTCAAAAGATAGGTAAGAGATTCGTTTTCATAAGACTACCTAAGATTAGGCTTGTCATGTATTCTAGTGTTTCAAGTTTATCACTAGATACTACACATCAACTTACAAATAACATGTTCATTTTTTGTTCTTTTATCAAAAGGGAAAATTCTAGCTTAAATTCTATCCAGTGTGGGGGAGTGGGACTAGAAAAGAAAAAGATGAAAACAGTTCCATGCAAATATCACATTTTTCAAATGGAAGAACTTCCAACTGGATCAGAAGTTCATACTGCTAATGTACTTTTCACTGAAATAATTTCTGATAAGTACGAATACATGGCATTAAGGTTCAGAACCTAATACAGGCCCTGACAATCAAGTCCTTATTTTCTGGAAGAAGGCCTCAAGTCCAATAAATTTCCAGTAACAACATTTTTACAAATCGATTTAATAATAAGGGGTTTTAATTTCCTTCATGTTTTTGTTTTTAGCATTTTAGTCTTAGACTAGATGAGAATTTAGCTCAATTCCCCAGAAGGCAAATGGTTTTACTTTTGCAGTATGAAAGAATCCACAAAAAAACATTTTCCCCAAACTAATTCCTTTTTAAAAATTAATTAATTAATTAATTTTATTTTTTATTTTATTATTATTACACTTTAAGTTTTAGGGTACATGTGCACAATGTGCAGGTTAGTTACATATGTATCCATGTGCCATGCTGGTGTGCTGCACCCATTAACTCGTCATTTAGCATTAGGTATATCTCCTAATGCTATCCCTCCCCCCTCCCCCCACCCCACAACAGTCCCCAGAGTGTGATGTTCCCCTTCCTGTGTCCATGTGTTCTCATTGTTCAATTCCCACCTATGAGTGAGAACATGCGGTGTTTGCTTTTTTGTCCTTGCGATAGTTTACTGAGAATGATGATTTCCAATTTCATCCATGTCCCTACAAAGGACATGAACTCATCATTTTTTATGGCTGCATAGTATTCCATGGTGTATATGTGCCACATTTTCTTAATCCAGTCTATCATTGTTGGACATTTGGGTTGGTTCCAAGTCTTTGCTATTGTGAATAGTGCCGCAATAAACATACGGGTGCATGTGTCTTTATAGCAGCATGATTTATAGTCCTTTGGGTATATACCCAGTAATGGGATGGCTGGGTCAAATGGTATTTCTAGTTCTAGATCCCTGAGGAATCGCCACACTGACTTCCACAATGGTTGAACTAGTTTACAGTCCCACCAACAGTGTAAAAGTGTTCCTATTTCTCCACATCCTCTCCAGCACCTGTTGTTTCCTGACTTTTTAATGATTGCCATTCTAACTGGTGTGAGATGGTATCTCATTGCAGTTTTGATTTGCATTTCTCTGATGGCCAGTGATGGTGAGCATTTTTTCATGTGTTTTTTGGCTGCATAAATGTCTTCTTTTGAGAAGTGTCTGTTCATGTCCTTTGCCCACTTTTTGATGGGGACGTATCTCAAAATAATAAGAGCTATCTATGACAAACCCACAGCCAATATCATACTGAATGGGCAAAAACTGGAAGCATTCCCTTTGAAAACTGGCACAAGACAGGGATGCCCTCTCTCACCACTCCTATTCAATATACTGTTGGAAGTCTGGCCAGGGCCATTAGGCAGGAGAAGGAAATAAAGCGTATTCAATTAGGAAAAGAGGAAGTCAAATTGTCCCTGTTTGCAGATGACATGATTGTATATCTAGAAAACCCCATTGTCTCAGCCCAAAATCTCCTTCAGCTGATAAGCAACTTCAGCAAAGTCTCAGGATACAAAATCAATGTACAAAAATCACAAGCATTCTTATACACCAATAACAGACAAACAGAGAGCCAAATTATGAGTGAACTCCCATTCACAATTGCTTCAAAGAGAATAAAATACCTAGGAATCCAACTTACGAGGGACGTGAAGGACCTCTTCAAGGAGAACTACAAACCACTGCTCAATGAAATAAAAGAGGATACAAACAAATGGAAGAACATTCCATGCTCACGGGTAGGAAGAATCAATATCATGAAAATGGCCATACTGCCCAAGGTAATTTATAGATTCAATGCCATTCCCATCAAGCTACCAATGACTTTCTTCACAGAATTGGAAAAAACTACTTTAAAGTTCATATGGAACCAAAAGAGCCTGCATTGCCAAGTCAATCCTAAGCCAAAAGAACAAAGCTGGAGGAATCACACTACCTGACTTCAAACTATACTACAAGGCTACAGTAACCAAAACAGCATGGTACTGGTACCAAAACAGAGATATAGATCAATGGAACAGAACAGAGCCCTCAGAAATAACGCCACATATCTACAACTATCTGATCTTTGACAAACCTCAGAAAAAGAAGCAATTGGGAAAGGATTCCCTATTTAATAAATGGTGCTGGGAAAACTGGCTAGCCATATGTAGAAAGCTGAAACTGGATCCCTTCCTTACACCTTATACAAAAATTAATTCAAGATGGATTAAAGACTTAAACGTTAGACCTAAAACCATAAAAACCCTAGAAGAAAACCTAGGCATTACCATTCAGTACATAGGCATGGGCAAGGACTTCATGTCTAAAACACCAAAAGCAATGGCAACAAAAGCCAAAATTGACAAATGGGATGTAATTAAACTGAAGAGCTTCTGCACAGCAAAAGAAACTACCATCAGAGTGAACAGGCAACCTACAAAATGGGAGAAAATTTTCGCAACCTACTCATCTGACAAAGGGCTAATATCCAGAATCTACAATGAACTCAAACAAATTTACAAGAAAAAAACAAACAACCCCATCCCCAAACTAATTCCTGATAGCCAATCTGTGCTTAAGATGAATCTTTCTCTATACAATGTTAACAGTACCTTAGGTAAAATGTACCCATGAACATTAAAACTAGTTGTTAGAAAGATTTAACTAGCTTTATAATTTAAGTTTTAAAGCATAAATATTTGCAGCTTGATCTTCTGTTGACAGTGATTATCGGAGCCTAGAATTCAACATTTACAATTTCCATTCATGCACACAAAACACACACCATTATCACATAACTTATTCCTCAGGTCTTAAGAATCTTCTGCTTTTAAAAATCTTTGGCCTCCCAGTCAATTCCATGTTCAAACAACTTTTAACTCAAACTTTACTCTCAGATTTCTAATAAGTTTTCCACCCACAGATTATTAATGCTTTTCCTAATCTTTCATGTTGTACCACCAAAATCTGAAGCTGGCCTCAAAGAGATCATCAGATAAAAAAAAAAAAAGAAACATAAAGTGGTTATTTCAAAATAGAACATGGGAGGTCAGAATTCAAGATTCCCTACTGGGATCATATTTTATTTCACTGCAATGAATAACTGCTATCAGTAAGAAAAATCCTACATTGGACTCTTTCGTACTGTTTGGCGCCTGGCCAAAGAACCTACAAAAATGTTTTGGAGTACATGCCCTTTTTTCATACAAAGTGCCCCCACAGGAACACCAGGATAGCTGCAGTTCATTTGAGGCCTCACTTGTAGAAAGAGGCTATCACACAGACAGCCAGGACACCCTCCAGTTTGTGGAGATCCTTGAGAAAGTATGATTTTTAAAAATCTGGCCTGTACTTGTTTCACCGGCCTTTTTCACTGTATAGGAAAGTGGCAGCTGGTCTGCCAGCACTCATACTACTGCTCTTATCCTAGGTTTGCCATGTAATAGCTATGGTTTTGGAATCTCCCAAGTGATATTCTATAAAACTTGAAGGAATAGTTATGTCTCCTAATTCCAGGCTTACAGTTTCCAAATATCGTTTACTGTTGTGTATGTGCAGATGATACACTTGTAGACTCGCTCATTATCCCCAGCTCTGGTGTGGTGTTTCAGGTGTGCAGTATAGGGACCATATCGATTGGTATTGTAGCCACAGTGGTCACAGCGAATACAGACCTTGGAGAAATCTCCCTCTTCTGCAGTGGAAGAGCCAGATTCCTTGTCTATTGCTTCCTTCTCTTTTCTTTCTTTCTTTCTTTCTTTCTTTCTTTCTTTCTTTCTTTCTTTTTCTTTCTTTCTTTCTTTCTTCTTTCTTTTCCTTCTTTTCTTTCTTTTCCTTTCTTTCTTTTTTCTTTCTTTCTTTCTTTATTTCTTCTTTCTTTCTTTCTTTTGACGGAGTTTCGCTCTTGTTGTATAGGCTGCAGTGCAATGGCATGATCTCGGCTCACCGCATGCAAGCTCCGCCTCCTGGCTTCAGCCTCCCGAGTAGCTGGGATTACAGGCATGCGCCACAACACCGGGCTAATTTTGTATTTTTAATGGAGACAGGGTTTCTCCATGTTGGTCAGGCTGGTCTCGAACTCCTGACCTCAGGTGATTCTCCCGTCTCGGCCTCCCAAAGTGCTGGGATTACAGGCGTGAGCCACCGCGGCCTGCCTCTCCGCACTTCCACAAAAAATTTCTTGGCACTGTGCACTCTGATGTGATGCACAAACTGTTCTTCAGATTCTGCTTCATATTGGCATGACTTACAGCGAAAGGATTTGGTCTTCGAGTTCTTGCCTCTGTCCTCTGTTCCAGGTGTTTCAGGAGGAAGATCTTTATTTGAGCTGTAAATCTCTGGAGCAGCTGATGCTTCAAATGCAGGCTGAAGTTCTACAACGCTGAGTTCCAAACGTCTCAGCCCATGAGGTTCACCTTTCATTTCAGCACTCTTCGAGGCCTTCTCCTTCTTCACTATCTGAAAAGCTGTCATCCCCAACAGGCATCAATTTTGCCATCTGTCTTTCTTCACCGACCAGGTAATCACAGCAGCTGCCATTTACTTTCCCACTGAAGGCCGCATTTGCCAGCAAGACAGGATGAGGTGAGGCCAGTTCAGCTTTAGAGAGATCATGCAAGTCATACATGCCGTTAGGCAAGGCCATTCCAATGTTGCCATTGCCGGTAAACAGCCCTTCTCCTCCAGAAGACTGCCCCATCTGGGTGGCCATGACTGTAATCGCAAAGGCTTCGTTCGGGCTCCTCCTGCCGCCCCCCCCCACGCCCCCCCACCCCCACCCCCAGCCCTTCCGACCATCCCCGGGCTCGCCCAACGCCCAGGGCCAGGCGCCCCGGAAGTCTGCAAATTTCATTCCCCTGTGGCTCCTGGGAGGACTCCAGCCTCAGCCCCGCCAGCTCGGAAGGTCAGGTGGCCGAACGTGGGGGTCTATCTTATTCACCACTGTATTCCCTGAAGTTAGCACAATACCTGGCTTATAAAAGAGGTTTAATATATGATGAAATCAGTGAAAGAATGAATAAATAAAATTAATTTACAGTATTTAAAAGTTCTTGTTCATAATTGGCAAGAATTTAATCATGTTTAAAGCAAGTAAGTTTGTGTGTCTGTGTATGCTTCCTCTCTCTCGCATTCTTTAATTATTTAAGCTCTTGTTTTTCAGCGAGTCCTCATTCTCCTCCCTTATTCTGTAGTACAACTAGTACAAGTCAATCACTGACATTTCATCTAATTGCAGAGTAACAGATTGTAATGGATTAAAGATTTTACAGCACAAACATTTGGCCTGCTCAAAGGTAGGTAGGAGTAAGACAGAAGGTAAAAACATCTAATTTTAAGATTCACAAACAAGATAAAAAATATTGCTCCCAAGCATATGATGAACTCAAGAGAAAAGATTACATTTGAATAGGTTTAAATCTGTGGAAGACAGAACAAAACATTCTCCTGTGTTGCTCACATTGCTTCCCACTCAAAACCCTTTTCATTATTTCAGTAATATGAAAAACCAGATGTAAACAAGGCTGCTCTTGTCTACATCATTATTCTCATTCTCCTTTTGTTTTATATTTGTTCCCATTTCAACTCCCACTCCTCACTTTCTGCTCTGCCAGCTTATACACATGAAATCCAGGCTCCCAAATCCACTTTGCTCTGCTTTATTTAAAATTCAGCTGAAAACTCTCGGTCCTTTTATTCTTTGGATAAAAAGAAAACCTAATACTTACATTGATTTCTATTAAAACAATTATATTTTCTTGGTACTATGTGTATCAGAATTTATATCTCCTAATGAGAATTTTCCCCATAGCAAACCATTTGAGAGACCATGTAATGATGTTAATGCTCAAAGCATTTAGGACAGAATCAGAATATAAAACTCACAAGAACATCCATCTCATCACTTTCCCACAGTAATTACAACTGTTTTACCCAATTCGATCATCAACTAATAGCCTATACTTGACCCTACATAGTTATGGCCATTTCAATGAGATTTACCTTTTCAAAGCAAAGACAAATCATTATTGAGAACAGATAATGTATTATACATTGAGAAAGATACTTGGAGAGAGGGACTGGAATTCAAAAATATTTTAGGATACTACAGTGCAACTGGAATGACTGGGTATCTTTTAAAGATGACTCTCTCAAAGGTGATAGAACATTAGAATGCATATTTGTTAAATTCTAATTTGTTCAACCAATCTACTTGAAAATATTTATTTAAGCACTTTGGATGTTGCAGTCACAGTGCAATGTGCTGGGCCTAAGTAGATAAACAAAACAGACAATATCCTTGCACTCTCTTAGTGGCAATATGGCAGTGTAGAGAGAAAATGGGTTTGGGAGCCAGACAGACCTGAAAAGACCAAGAGAGACTCTTTAAAGAAAATGGTGTGGGCCAGGTGCAGTGGCTCACACGTGTAATCCCAGCACTTTGGGAGGCCGAGGTGGGTGGGTCACTTGAGGTCATGAGTTCGAGACCAGGCTGGCCAACATGGTGAAACCTCATTTCTACTAAAAATACAAAAAATAGCTGGGCATGGTGGCAGGCACCTGTAATCCCAGCTACTTGGGCGGCTGAGGCAGGAGAATCGCTTGAACCCGGGAGGCGGGGGGTTGCAGTGAGCTGAGATCACACCACTGCACTCTAGCCTGGGCGATAGAGTGAGACTCAATCTCAAAAAATGGCAAGTGTAGGCTTTTAGACCTGTGTTTGAATTGTAGTTATGGCATTGCCCGTGTAAACTTGGACACATTACTTAAACTTTCCTGGGTCTCAGTTCCCTTCCTTCCCTGTTTTGTAAAACAGATTTGGTAATGCCAATTTTGAAGAATGTTATGAGATTTTTTTTTTTGTCAGCATATAGTAGACTCTCAGTAAATGATAGCTATTATTTGTGTTTATAGGATAGGTAGAGAAGTTAATATAAGCTTTAATGAAGATGAACTTTGGAAGCTAGAGAGCCAGGCTGTGAGACCAGACCTTTGGGTGGTTATCACTGTGACAAGGAAGGCAGGTGCAGTAGGCTAAAGTATGACAACGTGAGGGAGAACAATGGAAGGTAGCCAAAGTGCATTTTGAAAATGTCCAGGATCTCTCCTTGCTTTAATTCTTGCTTCAAATTAGAGTCTAATTTATATTACTTTTCTAGGGAATTTAAAATAAAAAATATTGGATTTTTGTTTAGAAACTCTAAAGTGAGAATTTGGATTTCTTTTACCTCTGCCTGAAAAGTCTTTTTAACCAGAAAGGCAAGCAAATTACAGTCCTACATACTAGAGAGATATTTCAAGTTATTTGCTTTTTCCTATCATGTTCTTGGAAACCACATCACGAAGTGGATAACATTTATTATACATAAGAATACAATTATAATTGGTGACAGAAATTCTAACCAAAGACTCAAACTCAAATAAACCACAGCTATGACCCAAGATACTGTAAAAAATAAAACACATCTATACTTCTGTAGCAGTTTAAAGGGAAATCAATATGTTCCAAGTCCCATGATATGGACGCAGAGATACTAGGTACACTAATATATATTATAGTTTTAATATACTATAAAATAATTCAATACTACTAAACTATATCTACTATATTATAAAATTGATTAACAACAAATATTCTAGGCATGATAAACTTAGATTTTATTCCTACTCTTTGAGTTCTCCCTAGAACTAATTCTTTCCCATTTTCCTCTGGATCAATTTCCATGATGTAGGCAGAGACTTACACCATAGCTTTCAGTCTTACATTTAAATAAAAATTAAGGTAATCTATGAGCTCCATGTGCATTATGGAAACAGGATGAAAAAGAGGGTTACAAAGAGGGAGACACTAAATAAGCCTTTAACAAACAAACAAAAGTTGTTGAGACAAAATCTATTATCATTTTCAAAACCAAAAACAAAAACAATAACAAGGTTGATTTTGCTAAGCATCTGTACTGCCTCTATCTTTAAAGAAACATACCAAAAAAACCCAGAAAGGCACTAAACTATCTTCAGCATTCAGAGCTAGGACATTTTGCTGATTAGCTTTCAGAATACTTTAACCTTCATTTGTAAAATATGAACACAATGACTATTAACACGGACTTTAAAAAGGGCGTTTGGACACATTTCTTACAATACAATAAACATCTCCATTCATTCATTCAAAAATAGTTTTTCACGCCTATTGTGTTCTTGCCTCTGTGATTACACTTGGTGAGGAACCATAGACATGGTTGCTGCCTGGATGGAGTTTCAGTCCAGTGAGGAAGATAGACAATGAACAAGTAAAGAAAAACAAGTATAATTCCTGAAATGCTATGGATGCAAATTAATGTTTTTGTTGTATTTCTCAAATGTGATAGGTTGTGAATGAATGACCAGGAAGGTTCTTATTGGCATCCATGTTTAAAATTCCAACAATTAACCTTTTATAAGGATTTCCAATCAGGGCATTGATCGTTGGGTGGAGATTCTTGGAGAGCATAGTTGCCGTCTGATTGCTAAATGTACTTAGAAATAGCATCACTTCTTTCATGATCCTTGGGCATAAAAGATGCCATAAGGAATAATGACTTTAACTCATTCCAAGGAAGTACTAAGGAATTGACCATTGGAAGTTAAAAAACTGTTGCCATTTGATTGAATATGTATTCTTCACATGCTTTTCTGTGAAGTAAATCTTTTTCTAATTAGGCTTAAAAATGTGAAATTTTCTTGCAAAATTGATTTTCCATTAAAGCATTAAAGTAGTTTCTCTTCCCTTCTGCTTGGATACTAATTAAATTATGTTCCAACTTGTTTTAATTCTGCAATCAATTTTTTTCCATTTGCACTAGATTACAGAATCTCATTTAAAAATCACTCTTTACCAAATTTTACACAAAGCCGAGGTGATAGACTTATTCTCTAATGGAAACAAAACAATAAAACAGTACTGCTCAAGTCATGAGAGCTTGCAGCATATCAGGGCGGAATGTTAAAAAAAAAGGCTTAGTTTTTTTTTCTGGTGCTATCTATTCCTTATGCTGTTTTTAGAGATAACAAATATCAGTAGAAGGCATGGAGATAAAAATAAACTTTATAAATAGGAACAAAATGTTAAAATAAAAAGAGTTTAAATACTTTGATGATATACCTGATCCTGGGGTGCAGAACTGAGACAATTTTAAAACTGCACATAAGTGAAATTTATAAGAAGGGAAAAATGGAGTCATAGCTGTTGCTTGTAATGTTTGAAATAATTAAGTCAAAATATTAAATAGATTATTCTAAAAAGATAAAGATTGGTTTCAGGTTTGACTTGTGTATACAATAAATACTTATTTTTTGAAAGATTAAAGAGAAGAAAATCTCAAAGATTCAGCTTGGGGCTATACATATTGGTAGCCTTTTGCACACTGAAGAATTATATACTGATTACCAAGGATGATTTTGAAGCCATATACTGAGAAATAAAAAAATTAAGAAACAACAGTTTTATATATAACCATCTCTAGGAACTCAGAGGATACATATTTCTGTTTTAAAGAAACAAAAACAAGAGAAATGTTGACCTGTCTCCAAGGTCAAATTCCACCTTCATCTATTAGAAGGTGGGGAAGTGGAGGAAGAAAGTAGTCGACCGTGCATCACTGAAAAAACAAACCGGCAAGTGAACGGAAACCAGTGAGGTGGCTTTGATTGTGTAAATTTGCGGAACACGATCAAGCCAAATGGAAACCTCACCAGTGATGTTTCCACCTGGGGATAGAATCGAATAGTGGGAACAATGTGCTTTTGTTGTGGCTCTTCCTGGTACACCTTATCTCTTCCACATCACTTCCTTTTAAACATGGGCCTAGTCACTTCCAAATGAGGCTCTTACACTATCCATGTTCCTTCCCATTTCTTTCTAAATTGCTTGCACATTATTTGGTCGCTAAAATAGTACATAATCCTTTAAGTTACACAATTACTTCATCATCTTATGACTTATAGTTGTCAACTTTCTGGCAATAAAACCTTACTCCATTTAATTAACATCACAGAGTTGGCTGTCAGTGGGTTTGATTTAACCTCTTTAAATCCAAGTCTCCGGCAGAACAGCTTACTATGATTAGCAGTACTTGTTCTAGATTCCAAAGCTGTTCCTTGAACTCCTTTTTCTCACTTTCTTTGATATCTTTCATCTCATTATGACATTAAAAATAATGCTTAACACTGCTAGATGAAAGCAAAACTAAAATCATGAACAAAATTGCTCATGTAAAGTGGAAAAACAATTTCTTTAAAATCATAAAACTAAAGTCAATCTAAGACTTCAATTTATTCACACAATTATAATTTTCTACAATTAATGGACAGTGGCATGAAAAGTTAGAGCAGATATCATTGAGAATATGTAATTCTTCAGATATAAAATGCAAGTGGAATCTTACTTCCTTTATAATGAAAAAGTTTCTAACTGGGTCTAGTCATCCAGAGATACTTTGTAAGCTAGACATCTGTCTTATACAGTTTTTTATAACCTATACCTTGATAAAGAGAAATAGTCTAACTGAAAACCAAAAATTTCTATTCCTGAGTAGAAATCAAAGAGGAAAGTCTCTAGAGTTTTACGAGTGTAATGATAAAATTAATATTTCCCATTAATAACTCCTACAGATACTCAGTAAGTGCAATGGTGAGAAAAAGGATAGCGAAGTAGATAAAAATAGAGGGAAGAGACACAACAAATGAGGAGATGAACACACAAAATGGGGAAAGAGAACACACACACAAAATTAACCAAGAAAAAGGTATGAGAGACCTCTCACTTAGTGAACATTTACCATATGCCAGACTCTATGCTGGGTACTTCATGTTCTATTCTATTTCATCGGTAAGTAAGATAAGGGGTAAATCATGTTAGGCCACTTTCTAGGTTAAAATTCTGAATGGGCAGTTTACCTAAACCCCTAGATTCTAGAGTGAAACCCGTCAGCCTGGTGTTAAGTTTCAAACTCTGCTCGTACTCAAAGATTTCTGAAAGAGGAAACTTGCTCAATGGTCCACATTCCCTTAGCTCAGAAAAAAACATTGCACAATTTTTCAGAAACCCACTGGGTGTGATCTTGGATGTCATTACCACCTGATAATTATCCAGGTGAAAGTAACAAGTGTGAACCATGCACCCTGCACAAGTGGGCATTGTGAAGTACCAGTGGTTCATGTTCTCATATTCAACCAACAAGCCAACCAAACACCAGTCAATTAATAAAACCAATCAGTTAATAAACATTTCTTATGGTCCTACTTTATCACCCAAAAAATTTACACAAAGTCAAACACTTCAACAAAAAAGTCAATGAAACATCCCACTACTTTGTTAAATAATTATAAACATTGTAACTGAATGATCGAATTTTTTTTTTCATGAAGATGTCTGTAACATTACTATTAGTTCACTTATAGGAAAGAACTATCCATAAAATCATATAATTTTAAAACTCGGTATTTTTCCTGGGTATTCTTGAATATCCACAGTAGGGCTAAATCTGTGTCAATGTCTAAGAAAGGTTAGTCAACATTCTTAGATATTGAGACAGTAAATATATATATATATATATATATATATATATATATAATAAGTATACATGAATATTATATACAAAAATACTTAAGCTCTGCTCTCTTTTTTGGAAAGTATAAGTATACATACTTTTTTCCAAAAAAAAGAGCAGAGTTTAACTTAAGTATTTTTGACTCATTTTGTAAAATCAAATAGCAAACAGCAATGTTAGAGTGAAAAGTTCAATTTCAGCATGGGAATTAATAGGCCTGTTCTAAAACCTCATTTCATCATATAGGGGGTATAAAGTTCATAGCCTCAGATTGGTCACAGAAAACCTTAGGCTGAGAGGATTCCCAGGTGATGGACTTGATTGAGTTTCTCTGAAGGCCTGACGTTCTCTCTGATCTCCCTGGTGACCCCAAGAGGCCAGGGAATCCTAGGGACCTGGAGATCCTAAATGACTGAGCTGTCAGCAATCTCTTGCGTAATTACAGCCTTACGTCAGGAACTAAAGAGTGACTGCGAAAGGAGTTGTTTTAGGAATTTGGAGAAGCTAAGGGTTGTTTGCTTTTCTAGTATTGGTCTACTGAAATGTTTGCAGAGAAAAATGCTGGTGCCAGGCAGGCATCGCATAATCAGATACAATTGATTATTATGAAGCTTAAATGCACTAAACATATTGAACTTCCCTTTTCAAGTCATGGAAAAATACTGGGCTAAACTATTAAAACTGGGAATAAACAATGTGAGGAGTAGCATAAAAATGTGAGTCATTTAAAAAATGGATTTAATATCAGGCTTTGTGAATTATATTTGATGTTTGACCAATCATGCTCTCGTATCTTTAGGAGAAACAATGAACTGTCTGTGATATGCAGAAACAATCAAGGAAAAAGTACCATTTTATTTCTGTGTAATAGCTACATAACCTATGCAGAAAACACAAAATGATTGTGGAAAAATGAGAAATAAAATAATTTTTCGTTGTCATTTTAAAGCAGTAGTTTATGAGTGTGTGTGGCCTTTTGTAAGCTTTTAGAAAGAGTTCCTGTGGGCATGTGTGTTTGTTTGTGTCCAGGGTTGCTGTTTCTAGATCCAGTACACAAATGTCTCTCTTCTTTCAGATAACACCCAGAAGACCTGTACACTTTTTAACGAGGTGGTGCAGTGCCCTTGACCCTATTTTATCAGCTGTCAACAACTAGAGGCCCACATCCCCCTTTGTAAAGAGTATTTCTCAATAAGTTATTATATGAGCAGCAACTGGCGAGTACAGCTTGTGATGTTAGAAATGCTAGTAATTCCCTTACCTCTTCCTTCTCAGCACTTTGCAGGTCACGCCATTCCTCAGTTACATGGCCAAAATCCACTGTGTTCATAGGGACTTTAAATTCTCCAATGATGTCATGCTTAGAGAAACGATCAAAATCATATACAGCCATCACTAGGGTTTTGCCACCCAATTCCGAGTATGGTACCTAAATTAAAAGACATGAGGATAAAATATCCAGTCACAAAAATGCTTAAAACATGTTACTTGTTCATGGTGCTTAATTTAATATTTACGTTGCATAAACAGAACAGGGAGATAATTTTGTTTTTGGTTATTTTTTAAATTCAGACTTTTGACAAACTGCTTGAGGCTAAAATTACTTGAGAGAAAATGGGAAATTTTAGTGATTTATTGCCTTATCTCAAAGTTCTAGAAGCTGTTAGCATTATTAATAATGGATCCTGCTGTTAGTTATACTATAAAGCCTTAAGATTAATAAAACAATAAACAAGCCAATTGCATTTGACTATAAGTAAGTTTTTCTTGTAGAATATTTTGTTGTTATTGTTGTTTTAAGTTGTATTGTCAGGGTGTAACTTACTGAGGGGCAAATAACTTATTTCAAATGCTCCATTAACTCTTTCAAGGCATTTAAATGCCACAGTTCAATGGAGCAATGATTTATTAAAGGCTATGCTAGGAGTCTGAAAGGATTGAAATGATATTCACAAGTGCCTCACCTACTCCCTAAAATAATTTGCTGATTGACAAGAACTGACTAGGAAATTGATGTTTTGAATATAAGAGGTGCATTATAATATGGGTTTTGAAGTTCATTCTTGGGTATGACATGCCTTAGGATGAGTGGTGGCAAAAGGCCAAGAACTGATGAATTCTCCAGCTGTTCAAATATATCTGGGACAGATGCTATGGGTTGGGATGTTTATTAGTGACATTTTTAATATTCAGTGAAAGCAGTGCAATCCAAGTAAGCTACACTTCAGTAACTGGGTAGAAATACCTAATTAAGAAATTGTTTAGACTTGTCTTAAAGGTTTGATCAATTTTCATACACTTCCTATTATTTTATCAGTGTAAATGGTTGTCTTATGCTTCAGCAAACATTTCTCAATTAACTCTGTATATTAAGGAGGGAAGAAAAGGAAGAATATTGGGCCATCTACATACAAGAAATTTTAGTTTTCCAAAGAGTTTTTCTTTTCTGTCATTTATTTACCATCTGTTTGGAACCTGATTATTTTATTAAAATGATATGATTAAAAAGTAAGCATCATCCTTTTTCCATTTTAGAAGGAATGGAAAATAAACCCTTCCAAAGAGCTGACTCTCAAAGAAAGAAACAAAATTTTTTAGAGTAAGGATAAACCCTTGAAAATGTTATTGTATATCTAAAATCTCTCTAGACTTTCTAGTGATTGTACTCAAAGAGCAACAGTCAAAAACCTGGACTTGGGGTCAGACAGACCTTGTACCAGATTTGGACTTTCCAACTAAAGGGCCTGGGGCACGTGATTAAACATAAGTTTATTCATCTATTAAATTGTGATAATACTGTAATAATGGCTGCTTCATGGGGCTATTTTAGGGATGAATGAATATATGTAAAACACCTAGCACAGAAGAAGCACTTAAAAATATTTATTGTTTGAATGATTAGTAGCTCCTTCAGATAACTGTTTTGGGGGAAAAGAAGATGAATTAATTTGGGGCATGTTGAGTTCCTGTTAAGTGATTTAAATCCATTGTAAAGCCAGGCTTCTTTAAAGTCTTTTATACTTCCATTCCTGTATCATATTGCCTCTTGGCATTTCAAGATGAGTAATCTACAATGTCTAACCAGTTCTCTAGAAAAATTGAAGTATTTTTTAATATAGCAGAATATATTATACTTTGGATTTATGTATAGTTTGATCAACCTTTCTGAAATAAAATGAAACTTGATAAAAATGTATAGAGAATTCAAAAATTTCAATAATTATACTTGGTTTTATAGAAATTACTAATAAAATTATTAGCATTTTTTAAAGAAATAATAATGTAGGTAATGCAATACAAAACAAAGCCCCAATACATTAGCTCATATAATTTAAGAATTTCCTTACTAAGTTTTGGTCAGAAACTGCTGACCTAAGTTAAGGTTAATAAATAGATGAATAAAACAACTGTGATTACTATTACAATATTTTTAAAATTTTATTTCCATTTTACGTTTCGTAGTATGTTGACTATAGTGATTAAGCTTCATGAGCAGATACTCTTCATGAACTGAGTATTTCCAGAATGTCTTTACTGCTACTTTAAATTCACTGCTTAGGTACAGAAAAACCAGATTTTAAATAAGATTACTGACAATACATGAGGGACCTTTGTCTTGAAAACTCAGAAATTTTAGAGTGAATAGAAAGACACTTCCCCTTTACATAATTGAAAACAAGGTTTGAGAAAATGACTCATGCCCTCATTTTCAATTTATTTCATCCCAGAATGTTTGCCAACACAAGGCATATGCTAAGCCTGGCTGATGGACGTGGTGATTTTGAATTAGCCTGCTGGCATATTCACAGATATTTCATTTTTCAGAAACATATTGTTCTAAGTAATGCATTAAAAAGTTTTTTTCGCACGTTAAAGATATCCACCAAAAGAATTGTTTTTAATGAATGATTTCAAGCCAAGATCCACGAAGATCCTGGAGACCTGCAGGACATGTTTTCCTGATGAGATATTATATGGCTGGAATCTCTCTGTTGTTTGTCAACTGAGGTGCCTCAACAAGATGAAGAACATCAGGGCAGAACCTAGAGTAAAGGAAGAAGGCTAGAAATGCAATAAAAAATATGTTCATATTCCTTTTATTGATTAGTTAAGAAGAATGACTTTGAAGTGCTCAAATTGCCCTCTACACACACAATTTTGTTACAAGAGTCATGTCTATTTGTACCATTTAAGCATTGGGACACAGCTTACTTAATCCTGGGATTGTAACAGATGTACTTATTTTCACAAACTTTGAAATTCAGAAAAATAATGATTTCATTCCTTTGGCTTTATTTCAGGGAGGGATCTCACTTTTTAGATGTGACTATGACATCCTAGTCATGTTCTAGTCCATTCCATTCTGAAATGACTGAACCGAATCCTACTCTGAACACGCTGAAAGGCAATATCGAATGTTGACTGTAGTGAAGATAAGAATTTTGCATATTCTGACTGGAATTATTGTGAGTGCCTGAACAAGCATTCATGTGCATGTCTATGTATGTGTCAGGATGAGATCAGTCTTTTAAGTAAAACAACAAAGGAAAGGTTATAAATAAATGTTAACAAATACCTTGAAAGTAAATTGCTCATTGAAGACAGGATTAAGGGTTTTTCGGTGGACTTTTGTCTCAAATTTCTTCTTCTTATCAGGTAGCAGAAACACTTTCACGTAAGGATCAGATGTGCCCCCCATGTCCAAGGCGGGCAGTTCGGCAGCCTGAATGATCCCTACCAGCAGCTGAAATAAATGACAGAATACAGCATACATAAATATCAGTGGACATTTTGGAAAAGATCGATTTGTTCACAATGCTGCATATTGGGATTTCTCCCTCTTCCTATTTATTTTTAATAAAACTCTGATTCTCTTATGAATCTGAACACAGAAGGCAAATGAACTGAGCTATGTAGACTTCAGAAACCCAATTATGACTGATGCAGGCTCTGGGAAGCCTGGTTTTAAGCACAAAAGA
Source organism: Homo sapiens (assembly GCF_000001405.40). Lineage (NCBI taxonomy): Eukaryota > Metazoa > Chordata > Mammalia > Primates > Hominidae > Homo > Homo sapiens. The sequence continues at coordinate 79,295,833 of NC_000012.12, read as the reverse complement.
GGCTTTTAAAAGGTTGCTGATTGCAGTTAAATATGGAGTTCATTTTTGCAAAAGAGTTGTAATCAAATAACTTTCCAGTTGCTAAAAGCTCTTGTGCATTGTTTTTCTTTCCAGAGCATGATTTGTAAGTGAAAATGCATTGTTAAGCAATCACAAGTTTGTAATTACAAAGTGGGAAACTTTTATTCTTTATCAAAGCCTCAGGCTAGCTGAGTAGAAATTTCTTAGAAATTGGGTAGCATTTTGAGATAAAAAATAAGATCTTCTAGTTTCTATTATATTTGACCTTCACTGGTGTGCAGACTACATTTATTTTAACTTACAGTAGAATGATTATTATCTATGAGATTCTGTGTTTAAATATAGGACACGGAGTAAAAGAAATGTAATTTCAGCTTCATAGAAAGCAAGGGAGATTAGAGGTGAGGTTTTTTAATGGTGAGTAACTGTGTTTTTTATTTTTTCCAAACACCACAGAACTATTACATTTCTTTAAGTCTGTTTTCTTACTGATGCATTCTTAAGCCTCATTATGAATATTAAGGTATTATGGTATGGTTAATATTTTTGCGAAGAAAAAAAGAGGTGTGAGTAGACTATCATAGATACTCTGCCATTAGAGATTTTGTGTCAACAGACTGATTTAGATCCATATAGGTAACAAAGCAGACTCTTACTGTTATTCAAGGTATATGCTATTTTGTAAATGCAGTAACACCATAGGTTTTTACATCTCAGCCTGAAAAATCTGAGTTCATGCCTTTTTAGCTAGTAGAGTAAAAAAGCAATTCCCCCTCTTAAAAAAAATGCATAACCATTTTAATTGTGACCCACCGTGTACTTAAGTGCATTTTGGCTAGGTGGCTCAACTTTTAACATGGCCCAATAACCTGAATGATTATGTTGTTTCTATTTTAATGCTTCAATATCTTTTTTTTTTTTTGTGGAATCATGATACAACAGTGGCAATAAGAGTGCTAGATTGTAGGTAAACAAAACACAGACAGATGGTCAAAAAACAGCTAAAATAGGCATCGGATTATAAAGACATGATTAGTAAAGGAAACAGTCTGTCTCTTTGTTTGCTAAGTAGGTATTTGGTATTTACCTTTATGTAGTAATGCGAATAAGTAAGATTCTACTTCCTCATCCTCACTTTTTATAACCAATTTTCTTTTGAGCAGAAAAAATGCTAGAGAGATGGCTTAAACTCTTTAGAAACTAGATGATTTATAATTTAGAGTTTTTGGATATTTTGTTAATAAAGAATGAGGTTACTTTTTACAACCTTGTTCTGACTTCTGCCTAAGAGATAAATATCACATTTCTCTGTACCATGAAAGCGTCTTAATTAGAATATTTTAGGGTTGTCTTTTAGTTTTGGTAAACATATATTTGATCCAAACTTTATGAAGTTTTTCAGACTTTAACTTCCTGCTTCTTAGGAATCACTTTATAAATCAAATTAACTGAGAACATTTGGGAAAAACCAATGTGTAATATTTTAAAAATTCATCAGTTTCTCAGAATGAAATAACTTTTTAGATTTGATGTTTGCTGAAAAGGGAACAGTAAATGTACTCTCACTATATTTTAGTAAAAAAATTCTCAGTGTTATTATTTATTTTCTTAAAAATACTACTTTATAAAATGATACTTATAGTATTAATAATTAAAGCTAACTTGAAAGCTTCAAAATTATGACTAATCAGAATGAGACACCACTAGATTTCCACTGGAAAATATGAATGGTCAATATGATGAAAAAAATACTGGATGCATATAGAAAGCCAGATTAAATTTTTGGAAAATATGTTATATATTAAGACCAATATAAGTTGTCCTTGATCTTTCCTAGAATATATAAATAAGAGGTTTTGCTCCTAACCAAATCCTGATGCTCAAATTTTCATAGAAGTGATAGAAATGACCACAAATATCAGATGTAATTAACTAAAAATGGTATAACTACAAACCTGAACCTGTAAACCAATAATGTAGTTTTCTAGAATGTATTATGTAATAACTAGCCAGGGCTATAATGAAGCTGATCAAAAAATTATTTTTAATATGACAGTATATTTGTACATCCTTCATGAGGAACCCTCTGGAAACTTTAGAAAGTGAAGACATTATTAGAACTGTCAATTCCTAAATAAAGCACAGAATTTCTGCAACTGCTTAGAGCTCTCACAGCATTACTGACTTTGGATGTTAGTTATCAAAGATGAGCATTAGTGTTTCATTTATTTATTGTTCATTTCTCATCAAACTGGAAATCATTAGCACATGCTGCATTACTAGTAACTGTATTTATTTTACATTCATCAGTTCTTTACCCAAAAAGATGAGAGAAGCAAAATGAACTGGAGAGGTTTAAAACTTTCCTACTTGGAGAAGGGCTATGTCTTACAGATTTTTTAATTTTATTTTATTTTATTTTATTTTATTTTATTTTATTTTATTTTATTTTATTTTATTTTATTTTATTTTATTTTATTTTATTTTTTGAGATGGAGTCTCGCTCTGTCGCCCAGGCTGGAGTGCAGTGGCACGATCTCGGCTCACTGCAAGCTCTGCCTCCCGGGTTCACACCATTCTCCTGCCTCAGCCTCCTGAGTAGCTGGGACTACAGGCGCCTGTCACCACGCCCAGCTAATTTTTTTTTTTTTTTTTTGTATTTTTTGTAGAGACAGGGTTTCACCGTGTTAGCCAGGATGGTCTTGATCTCCTGACCTCGTGATATGCCTGCCTTGGCCTCCCAAAGTGCTGGGATTACAGGCCTGAGCCACTGCACCCTGCCTGTCTTACAGATTTTTAAAAACCTGGTCTCTAACTTAGCCTGTTCCCCTAATTCTTATCCAGCTTTCACATTTCTTTAACAATTCAGAAGGTGAGGAACATTTTCATCAACGTTGTGGATCCTGGAATGTCTTCAAATGAAAAGCGATTTTTAACAGTTGTCTTTCAGCAATCTCTATTTTATTGACAGGCAGTCAATAAAAGGTAGCCAATATTATCATTCATCTAGGTGACATTTCATGACTTCTTGAGAAATTGAAGCAAAAATGTCCGTTTTGTTACCTCCTTTAGTTCCTTGTCACTTTTTGGGCAATATTCCTAGGCACTAGAAGTAAGTCTCTGGTTTTCTCACTCTTTTAGAATTGCTGTCTCATTAGCACTAGGAGTTTCACCTAGTATCATATAAGGCCATCCTGCTTTTAAATTTAATGGACAAGAATTAATTTTTCATCTTCGATCCCTTATCAAATCATTATATTATTTTTCAAAAATTTGGCTAGAATAGCGGCCCAACTCAAAAGGCCCCTAGCCCTGTCTAGTTCTAAATCTGTAAAGTCCAAGGAAGGTTGCTGCAGCTCAGGCTGAGGAAGCTGAGAAGGTGAGACTGTGGCTAGAAGCTCTCAGAAGCAGACCGACTGCTTCAAGTTAATTTGTATTCTGTCTGCCTGCTGAAAGTGCCACAAGTAGATGTAATCGGTTGAATACTGTGAATTCTAATTACCAGAAGTTAAATTAGCAAGTAGGGGACTGCCTGTTCTTAGAAATTATTTCATCCATAGCTTTGATAATTGCATTTTCCCCTCACAGCAAACAAAATATTTTAAGAGGTATCTTGCTGCAATTTCTACTTGGTAATTTCAGAAAATGTAATGGAATTAGAAGACATTTCTCCACTTCAGACCTGGTTATTTTGGAAATCATAATCCAGTGAATACTGAAGTTTTCCCAGTTTCTCCTCTTCTTTGGGTTCTTCTTTTTCTTCTCCATCTGTCAATCCAGTTTCAGCATCATCATCCTTGAGGGCCTATGTATAGAGAAAGGATCACATGTGAATTTCAGAGTTTTCATCAAAACTCAAATTGAACTGGGCCTGTAGTTACACTTCCAAGCTGTTCGAAGCAAGCACTAAGATGCTGGAAATCTGTTTGTCTGACACACATTCACATTTGCTGCTTACATATTTTTTAAATTCCTTTTGTGCACGGAATTTCTTTCCCCAATCAGCAAGCAAAATGGAAGCGATGGAAGAAGCCCCTCAGAATATTGCAAGCAAAAAATGTAACATTGTTGCAAAGAAAGTGTCAACTTGGTGTTGTATTTGGCTCTGATAAAACTGCTGCTTTCAGAGGAAAGATAAACATGCTACTAACCAGGCCAAGTTTCACATTCATGTAGTTTAAAGAGATGCTCAGCATCATATAAAATATCATCGCTACATGCAGTGGAATAATTAATATAAAATGCATGGCCTTTTGTTGCCTTATTTCCTATGAAAAAGATAGTTCAGTAATGATCCTCAGAAAATTTAAATTCCCTGTGTTTCACATATACATTTATCATGGTATGAAAAAGAGGAAAAAAACATACCACCAGCAAATCCGTGTTTAGAGAAAAGTTCACCCCACTTCCAATTTCAGTTTACCACTTTATTTTCATAACAGCTCCACCAAAAGCTAGGCTGAATTAAATTGATTAAGAGTCTGTTTGATATCAAAAGATAAAAAGAGTTAAGTTTGCAGTTCTGTCAAAAACAAATTGGCATAAGAATTCGTTTTGTATTTAAGAACAAAATCAATTGTATTGAACTCTCAAAACTCAGTCTGACCAATTGAATACTCTTTATAACCTAAAACTTAAGTGTACTATAAATGGAAATATTAGAAAGCTCACTAACTCATAAGTTTCATTCAAATGCTCTTCTTTTTAAAAAATCAAAATATATAATGTGTTTTTCTAATATGCAAACATTTTGCTAAAAATATCAAAGGTTATAAGTACATGAAGTTTTGTTTCTAGGGATGTGTAATTCTTACTGCTTTAAGTAATTAGAATAATTAATTAGAAATCTATACACAGTCATTATTCAAAATTAAAAAAATACAAAATTACATTTTCCTGAGGTTGAAAAGATTACAAACTTTTACATTAACCATTTGTATTTTTTCTTCTGGGGACTGCCTGTACATATCCTTTGCTAATTTGTCTATGTGTTGTTTGCCTTTTTCTTATTGATTTGCAAAGGCTCTTTGTATTTTGATGATTTCAACTTCATTGTTGTGTTATATATCACAATTATTGTCTCCTGGTTTTAGGTTATAGCATTTTCATTGCTATTTTTGTATATGTGTATGCATGCATGTATTACTGTAGAATCTCACAGAAATCAAAATGGATAAGCCAGTGGTAGACTGTTTTATATCTCTGATAAAGTAAAGGAATCTTAACTCTTCTTAGCTCTCAAATTGAATCTAAGAATTCTCATAGAACTCAAATGCAAGAAGTATAACCAGGCTGTAGATAGGCATCAGTCATCAGACCGCAGTTCCTCCACTCTGCTACCCCCACATCCAAGACTACATGGTCTTTTTTCTTTGCTGTGTTCAGCATTCTCAGGAAGGAGATTCTCTGTTCAATCCACCCACTTACTCAGGGATCTTCAGTGGTGCTTCAAAATGGCACCCTCAGTCCTTGAAATTACAAGATTTTCTAATTTGGCTTCACCCGGTTAACTCCAATTTGATTCTAAAAAACTGAGACTCAGCTGTATCACAGTTTAATAGAACTCATTCAGGTGGGAAGGTCATATAAACAGAATTGAGCTGTTGTCAGTGATGCCTCCCCTTTGTTTGCTGGAAATTTCTTAGGAGCCTTCAGTGAGTTTTGAAAATTGAAAATTGCCATCATGATATACATCGGTGTAGAAACATTATCAAATTTGGTTAGCTACAAACCACTTAATTTGGAAAGTTTAATCTATGCTTCATTGTTTCTTTGAATGTTAAAATGTTGACTTACTAATAGCTAAAGGCAGGAAACAACATGAAAATATTTTAAAATTTATTTTAATTGTTTAATTTGTGAACAAGGGGCTTGGTCACTAAAGGTAACGTGATAGTAAAGTGACAAAAAAAAAAAAAAAAACTACTGAGTTTAATTAGAGAACTTCAGGCAGTGGAATCCCTTTGCCCTTTCAAAACCCTAGCTGTGTATAAGTCTTTAACACTGTCTTAGGTGTGCTCAGGAAATTGCAGCTTCGGTAATTTGCCTCCCTATAAGATTTTGGTTTTTAAAAAATAATAACAAGCTATTTAACATCTACTTCTGTTTGATAAATCTGCATGTTGCTCTATTATTATAATGAAAAATTCATTGATTAAAATACCTTTTTCAAAAGTCTCTTTCAGAACTGAATTTATGTATCATGTTTCAGCCCAATGCAATTTGAAATAGCTGATATATTAAATCTCCTTCTCCCTAAGTGGTTTTTACCTGAATAGAAGGCAGGACCATCTCTGCAATTATTCTGCATGAAATAGGGCTAAATTTTTGATAATTTCTCAGTGCTACTGTTCATCACTGAAGTGATTAAGTCTATTCCTGTCCCAAAGGCTGAGCTTAAGCAAGACATTTTCTGTACCATCATATTAAATTCAGACCTATTAAATCAGTAGCTATTATAATATCTCAAGAGCACTATTTTCCTCTTCATAGAACAAAATTCGGAAGAAAAAGCTTGTAAACCTAGCAGTACTGAGGTTTGATAAATTGCAGTAGAAAAAGCTGGGTTGGGAACATCAGACCTTATCTTAAATTTCAAAGATTAAGTGCGCATGCATATGGTTTGCTTTGACATTCAACAGGTGCTTTGTTTGCAACCATCAAAAGGAGCATTTGTTCATTCTCAGTTACATTGTTCAGATTTGGATTTAATAAGGCGCACTAGAAAAGTAGCACAAGGGACTGAATTTCTTTTTGTGTCCATCAACTTAAAACTTGAGCTTTCTAATACTGTTATATTTAATCTGTTAGCGTGTTTAAAATGAGAACACCTTATCTTTAAAAAAATCAATTTAGTTCAGCCTCTTGATGTGTGTCAGAATGATATACCCTCAGCTGTGGAGCCCCAGGTGCCAGGCCACTAAATGTATCTGAGCGTTGACTAGGGATGTCTAAGTAGCAGAGGAAACCTACCGCAAGGGACAGTCCAGAACAGTCATGAGACACAACACAGATAAGGACATAGAAGGAAGAAATAAAAATTAAAATATCCACACACATTAGTGAAAACCGTGGAGAAATGACCTTTCCAGACCTATGACTTTACATGTGAATATTTTCCCTCTGTCTGGTTAGTGTTCTCCAATTTTAACACATACAAAAGAACACATAAATATATATCTTATGCAACATAAATGTCTATACTTTTTGTAGTCATTGCAGAATATTTAAAAAAATCTTCCTTGGTTGCAAAACCTTACTATAGAGACATGTAGCCATGAATATTGAAATTGGAATTTCTGTGAATTTGATATGAATTAAAATGGTAAAAATGTATTGATTGTCCTAGAGCCTTTATATCTTGTATATAGAGCCTATATATAGATATTTCTTAAGATTAAGAAATTATATCTAAAATGCCTCTCACATCTGTCTTGTTTTTAAACGAGAAGGGCATAAGCCATCTTTATTTTCTTCCCCATGTTCACTTCAACATTCTGCTGAAGATATTTTGAAAATATAATTATTTAATAATAATTTTAATTTGTATTCATGCTGTTTTGAATTTTGGGTGATCTGGCGATCATCATGTGATGAAACATCCTCTTAAAATCTGCACATTCTATTTTGCTTTTTTAGCCTTCCTCTTCATAAAATGATGGAACCCATGATTAGCTACTTTTGTCTGCTTCAAAAAGTAGCATAAGCTATGGTTATATAAACGTTTATCCCTGGAGTGTATATTCATCTGTCCAAATTGTACCTTATTCTGTGAATTTAATTGTTCATAACTTACAAAAATTGAGACCTAGCTAATGTCCTATGTAGACAAAGTGCTCTACCTAAAATAACTGAAAACATCTTTTTGAGTGGTTGAAATTCTAAATAATTTGCAATAACAGATTAGTATAAACTATCACTGACTTCTTAATATTTCTTTGTTTGAATCATTTTCTCTGTCTCTCCCCATCCAAAAAATAGATCATCAATGAAAAATTAACCCCCATTAATTCTCTATATTTGAGATCTTGGTCATTTATCCAGGTCATAACAGGGGTAATAAACACCACCACTATGCTGTAAATTATAATTTTACATCATACAGAACAAATCCCACAAATATTATAGATTTATTGTCCTAGGAAGAAATGCTATCGTTATCACTTAACATTATTCAGTAATTTTAATTAGTTCTAGAACACAGGGAAACCACATTCAAATTTTATGATAATTATGAAAAAGATAGTGATCTATTGTCAAATTATTGTTTTCACAATATTGATAAAATTAACATACATATTATTCAGTCCATGTCCATCTAGGAGGTTATTTCCACACTTAATCTCCCAATAAGTTGTTTAAAGAAATCTTTATCAAGTCCTGCTTGCTATGAAAAGTGTGGAAATAAAGTAAGACATGCCTGGAAATTTTAGTTTCTACTTAAATTAACTGAAGAGAAAAATCTTTATTAGACACCTGTAGTTGAACGTTTATGCATTGGCTTTTGTGACTGTGATTAGAAATTGCCAGAAAAATCAAACCCTTGCTACTCCGAGCTCAGGCCAAAACTCTCTGAGTATGAGTACAGGCATTTCATCCATTCCATAGCTCCAAAACAGAACAAAAATGCAGGGAGTAAAACATGAGCCTTTGTGAAATTATTATCAATAGATACTATAGTGTCTTTGAGGAAAAAGAGTTTAAAACTGAAGCTGGGAAGGGGAGTTAATGTCCCTGAATGTGTAATGAACTAGGAAACAACGCAAATGTACTTAAAATGCCTGTTGTAACACCTGATTAAATTGTTCTTAAGGAGATTCAGGTTTAAGAGTTTGATTAATAGTAATTAATAGTATAAGAGGAATTTATAAAACTGCTTATATATTTTGCTATTTGGGAATAAATAAAACTTTTGTATTTGATGAAAACATTGATAATTGAAAATGTTAATTCTATAAAAAATCTGTACATTTACATTTTAATTTTAAAATATGAATTAAATATTCTTTAGAGATATTCAACATGGATATTATTTCAAAAATGAAGAGGCATTTAATAATTATCATTAATAATAGTAAACATTATCTTGAACCAAGTTGTCCAATTAATTTAGCCAAAAACAGATAGCAACATAAAGAACATCCAAATAGCTTTTTTGGGCTTGGAAAGATAACCCAGCCAGATGGATTTTATAACCAGTGTTATGGTTGTAATTGTCCTTATTAAATTGAAATGAGAATTTTGTCTTATAAGAAATAAGAAAGAAAACTTTTTCATAAGGCAAAAATTCTATCCTGTCGTGTTCTTTAGAACTGGCTCATATTTCTCTCCCTTCTCCCATGTAACTCATTATTCTTGAGAATTAATTTTTCAGCTGGATGGACATGTAGGAAAAGCAGCTTTCATCCAGTTTGATGAACAGCCGTAAAACTCAGTTATTTAACAGTGACTATGAACAGTAGAAATTAGAAAGATCCCCTGCCCAAATGCAAAACACTCAGGCACTTTTTATCTGATTTTTCTAACTCTAAACGCAATGAAGACTGGTTAAACAGATGTAATCAAAATATTCAGGCATCATTCTCATATGCCAAACCCATCAAGATGGGCCTGATGATCATGGATGCCCTTTTCTGTTCTATATGCTCAGGAGATTGGAAAACCCTGCCAAATGCTTCCATTATGCTTTGGGATCTTGAACAATGACTGAAAGGTTTGCAAAGCATCTCAAAAACGATATGGGTCCAGAAGTTGTTTATTTCTGTAATTATATGGCATAAAATAATACATTTGTTTATCTTTTTTAAACAAAATAAGAAGAAATGTAGAAAGAATACATTACCTGATCTTTCATCGTCTTCCCTAAGTCTTTTACATCTTTCATGTTAATGGCATTCTTCCCTCCTTTTTCCTTTCCCTTCTTCTTGTTTTTCTTTTTGAACAAACATTTCTTACAGATACAAAAGCAGCAGGTCAGGACTAAAAGGACTGCGACTATGGCTATTGCAATTAAGGCCCACGGTGGCACTGAAAGAAACACACAGAGAGCACTAGTCATACAACACTTAGATGTGGAAAACCTTTTAACTCATGGGCTATAAAGATATTCATTTTTTTCATTTGCATTTTTGAGCACCTGTTATGCTGCAGGTACACCATTCCTCAGTACTTTATCCATGTTGTTGTCTCCCTTGAGTGTATTGTTTCCTTTCTTTCCCACTTTGCCCTTCCAGATATGTCAAATGTCATCTCCTCCCTATTACTTTTCTTGACTCTCCAAGCTAGATTTCTAGGAACACATCTCTTCACTCATTCAGAGCCAAGCTTTGGAGTTCAGCCATTGAGTTTAAATCCTGGCTTCACCATTTACTAGCTGTGTGATCTTGGGCAAGTCATCTAACCTCTCTCTGCCTCACTTTCCTCATCTCTAAAGTGGAAATAAATTGGTAGGTACCCCATAGATCTTTCTGAGTATTAAATAATAAGATGCAGTGCCTGGCACATGGCAAAAGCTTAATAAATGGCAGCTGCTATTACTCATCTATAAAATACTAGGTGTTGTATTCTTATGTTCTGGCATGGTATGGGGCAGATATTAGTTGTATATATAGAACAACAAATGTCAAATCATAACAATAGTGAAGGTTAATTAAAAGTACTTGGTGATTTGAAAATCAAGCATGGGGAAAATGTATGCACTGAAGTTCTCCAGATGTGGGTGATGCTCATGTGTTCGGTGGCTCTTAACCCAGGTTTAGATTTTGGCTTCGGCCACTTAGAGGCTGTGTGACTCTACTCAGATTGCTTCACTGTTCTGAGTTTCTGTTTCCTCCTCTATACAGTGAAGATTACAGTGGTACCCATTTCATCTGGCTTAAAGATGAAAGGGATTAATATGTTAAAAAGCTTTTAATGCATCTGGAACATAGCAAGAGCTCAATTAATGTTAGCTATCAATTCTTTTTTTTTTTTTTTTGAGATGGAGTCTCGCTCTCTTGCCAGGCTGGAGTGTAGTGGCACGATCTCGGCTCACTGCAAACTCTGCCTCCTGGGTTCAAGCAATTCCCCTGCCTCAGCGTCCCGAGTAGCTGGGACTTCAGGCACACGCCACCATGCCCAGCTAATTTTTATATTTTTTTTAGTAGATACGGGGTTTCACCATGTTGGCCAGGATGGTCTCGATCTCCTGACCTTATGATCCACCTGCCTCGGCCTTGCAAAGTGCTGGGATTACAGGCGTGAACCACCACACCTGGCCAAAGTTAGCTATCATTTCTTTATAGTCAAGGCATGGTGGGTAAGGCAGAGAGCTCAGGACATATGAAAAAACATAAACTACTCACACAAGTAAATACCTAAAAAGCAAGATAAATACACAGAGGGGAGTTTAGTGAAAATGCAAAGGCAATGAGAGGAGGACGGATGATTTTTAGATAAGAGGAGAGGCTTAGGTTTACAGGCTGTTTAAAATAATAGAACATATATACATAAATATACTAAAATAAACATTGAGTTTTCTATTACAGTTGTCTCTCTGATAAAAGTTAATATATTTTCTTATTTGGTATGCCTTACACCATGTGCTTATAAAAAATAAGGTGACATGGAAACATTTATGATTTCAGTTAGATTGGAAGGGAAGTATTCATAATCCAAATCACAGCTATTGAGATTAATCAGAAGTAATTAGATTTGTCTGTTGTAATAAAAAAAAAAGATACTGGGCACTGAAATGATAAGAAAAAGCCAAATAAACATTACTAGAACCAATGATTGCTGAACACCAGTCAGGAATACTTTGATAAAGTAAAAACACTTAAAAATTAACCTCTCTTCAAAATTGAGAAAATCTACTCTCTTTGCTTTTCCTCTGCATTTAGTATCATTGTGCAGAATACTTACTATGCATAATATTCTGGCTTATGACTGGATACTAGATGTTAACCTAAGGACATAAAACTACAACTTTTGAAATTGTGTTTTCTACCAAAGAAATACTTATGTGACAGTTACAGATAAACCCACACCTAAAGAAGTTTTCTTCCAGTTCTCTAAATTTATTAAACAAGGTAAAGATTACATAAAAAGTAAATTATTTTATGTAACCAATGATATCATTCATAATACTTCATTTAAAAGCATCTATCTCCATTGATTTAGTTAAAATCCTGTCATGCATGAACAAGAGAGTGTATGTATTCATTGCGGGAAAGACAGCATTCATAATGACCCTTCATTTTGAACCTCATAAATTATTCTCCCAGTTGGACTTGTGTGGTGATAGTCGCTCAGAGAGCTACATAAAAGTCTCTTAAATTGTACAAGACAAGACAAAGATGATTTGACAAGTTCACAAAAAGAAAATAGTGAAAGCAAAGGAACATCATTTAATCAAAGGGAGTTAAAGAGCTAGGAACATGAGATTACAGGAAGAAATTTGAAATAATGCAACTTGAAAGTAATTTATAACCACTGAAAAACTTTTGTTTTATGACTTTTATTTCTTAAAGCACTGCTGTCTTTTAGATTTGCCTTCAGTTGATCTTCTGAATAACTTTAAGTTGGAATATGCTGTATTAAATATAATGAAATTAACAGAATTTTCTTCACAATGTATTGGCACCTTTAGATAGACAAAATAAAAAATGCTTAACGTTATCATTTTGTATAGCTATAGGATAGCTTCACTCATTAGTCATATATCATGTAAAGAAACAGCCATTTTTAGTAAATAGAGTTACTTGGATGCTCATGTTAAAATTTTATTTAATTGTGTAGAGTAACCAAATATTTAAAATTTGGCAAGTTTACTAAGAAACAACACCCACAGTATTATTCATCTGCAGTATTTGTAGAAACATGTTTCAATATTGGTCAGCAAATCTTGTGGAATATATTTTGGATCAGGCTAAAAGTTTATTGAAGACCTACCTACCTGTTATGGCCCAGCAATTTGGCTACAGTTATAGATACATTATCTTATTTATTCTTTGCAGCAGTTTTGTTCAGTATCACTGCAGTTTTACAGAGGAAAAACTATAGGTTGAATAGTTTGAGAAATTCAAATTTATCTTTAGGTCGTTAGGTTAAAAATGTGAATATTAAAAATGTATACGGAGAAAAAATTTGTATCTAGCTTTAAAGTCTCTTTAATAGAACATATTAAATTAAATAATTCAGTGAAGCAAATAACAGCATAAAATGCAGTGATTTTTTAAATACAAAATAAGAGTTTCAGTCAAAAATAGTCTCATCAAAATACTGCTACAGGCAGAAAACTATCAGTTTATTGTTATTGCTACCCAACTACCATTACATGGAAGTTTATAATAACAATTTTAACATTCAACTTAAAGGCCTTTCAGCAGAAAATAATTGACTAGTATAAAAACTCTATTAAAAATTTTATTTTCATTTTCTAGTTAATGAATCAATCTCACATATATTATCTGACCCAAAGGTAAATTGATACATAATAATTAAGTACAAGGCAAATTAATTTAAAACTGCTTCTGATGTTTTAATTAATACCTTGTGGTAGACATGATAATGGCCCCTCCAAGATGACCACATCCTATTTTCTGGAAGCTGTGAATACCTTACCCTGCCTGGTAAGAGGGACTTTGCAAGTGTGATTAGATTAAGGATCTTGAGATGGGGAAATTATCCTGAATTATCTGAGTGTAGACTCAATGCAATTACCAGAGTTTTTATAAGTGAAAGAGGCAGGCAGAAATGTCAGAGTCCAAGAGAGAGAGGGAGATTTGAAGAGTCTCTGTTGCTGGTTTTGTAGATAAAGAAAGGGACCATGAGCCAAGGAATGCAGGTGCCTCTTGAAGCTGGAAAAGGCAGGGAAATGGATTCTCCCCTACACCTTCAAGAGAGAATTGGCCCTGCTGACGCCTTGATTTCAGCTCAGTGAAACCAATTTCAGATTTCTGACCTCCAGAATGGGAAAATAATAAATGTGTGTGGCTTTTATGACAGTAAACTTGGAATAATTCATTATAGCAACAATAGGAACTCAAGTGATACAAAGAAGACCTCAAGAGATTTGTAATATATGCTGTATATAGGTAACTATACATTAGTAATATTCATGTGGGCTAGTCATGTATTTTCTGCTGTCTTTTCATTTATTTATTTATTTTAGTAGCTCTAGGGGTTTGGTTAAATGGATGAATTGTATAGTAGTAACGTCTGGGCTTTTAGTGTACCCATCACCTGAATGGTGTACATTGTATCCAATAGGTAATATTTAATCTCTCATCCCCTTCCCACTTTTGAGTCTCCAGTGTTCATTATACCATTCTATATGCCCATGCATACCCATAGCTTAGCTTTCACTTATAAGTGAGAATATGCAGTTTTTGGTTTTCTGTTTCTGAGTTACTTCACTTAGGATAATAGCCTCCAATTCTAACCAAGTTGCTGCAAAAAGACATTATTTTGTTCTTTTATTATAACTGAGTAGTATTCCATGATCTATCTATCTATATCTATCTATATCTCTATATCCGTATCTGACATTTTCTTTATCCACTCATCCATTGATGAGCACTTAGGTTGATTCCATACCTCTGCGTTTGTGAATTGTGCTGCAATAAACATATAAGTGCAGGTGTCTTTTTGATATAATGGCTTCTTTTTCTTTGGGTAGATATCCATTAGTGGGATTGCTGGATCAAATGGTAGAACTGTTTTTAGTTCTTTGAGAACTCTCCATACTGTTCTGCATAGAAGTTGTACTAATTTACCTAATACATCAACAGTGAGTAAGAGTTCCATTTTCACAGCATCCATGCCAGTATCTATTTTTTTTTTTTTTACTTTTTATTAATGGCCATTCTGACTGTAAGGTGGTATCTCATTTTGGTTTTAATTTTTATTTCTCTGATGATTAGTGATGTGGAGCATTTTTTTCATATGTTTGTTGGCCACTTGTATGGCTTCTTTTGAAAAATCTCTCTTCACATATTCCCACTTTTTATGGGATTATTATCTTTTTTTCTTGCTGATTTGAGGTCCCTGTGGATCTTGGATATTAGCCGTTTGTTGGATGTATAGTTTGTGAATATTTTCTCCCATTCTATAGGTTGTCTATTTACTCTGTTGATTATTTATTTAGCTGTACAGAAGTTTTTTAATTTAAGTCCTATTTATTTATTTTTGTTTTTATTACATTTGCTTTTGGGGTCTTGGTCATAAATCTTTTACCTACACCAATGTTGAGAAGAGTTTTTTTCCCTAGGTTTTCTTTTAGAATCTTTATGGTTTTGGGTCTTACATTTAAGTCTTTAATCCAAGTTGTGTTAATTTTTTTTGTATATGGTCAGAGATAGGGATCCAGTTTCATTCTTCTGTATTTGGCTATCCAATTTTCCCAGCACCATTTGTTGAATAGGATATCGATTCCCCAGTGTATGTTCTCATCGGCTTTGTTGAAGATCAGTTGGCTGTAGAGACGTGGCTTTATTTCTGGGTATATTCTGTTTCATTGGTCTATATGTCTACTTTTATATTACTTTTATTTTACAACCATGCTGTTTTGGTTGCTAGAGCCTTGTAGTATAATTTTAAGTCAGGTAATGTGATATTGCCAGATTTGTTATTTTTGTTTAGGATTGCTTAGGCTATTCAGGCTCTTTTTTGGTTCCATATGAATTTTAGTGTTTTTTTTTCTAATTCTGTGAAAAATGATGTTGATACTTTGACAGTAATTATATTGAGTCCGAAGATTGCTTTGGATAGTATGGTCATTTTCACAATATTGATTCTTTTAATCCATGAACATGGGATGCTTTTCCATTTGTTTGTGTCATCTATGATTTCTTTTATCAGTGTTTTGTAGTTCTCCTTGTAGAGATCTTTCATCTCCTTAGTTAAGCATATTTTTAGGTATTTTATGTTTTTTGCAGCTATTATAAATGGGATTGAGTTCTCGATTTGATTCTCAGCTTGATCATTATTGGCATATAGCAGTGGTACTGATTTACGTACCTTGATTTTGTACCCTGAGACTTCATTAAATTCATTTATCAAATCTAGGAGTCTTTGGGGTTTTCTATGTATACATTTATATCAACAGCCAACAGAGACAGTTTGACATCCTCTTTTCCAATGTGGATGCTCTTTATTTCTTTATTTTGCCTGATTGTTCTGGCTAAGACCTCCAGTACTATGTTGAATGGAAGTGGTAAAACTGGGAGCCCTTGTCTTGTTCTGGTTCTTAGGGGGAACACATTCTACTTTGCCCTCATTCAGTATGATGTTGGCTATGGGTTTGATGTATCTGGCTTTTATTATTTTGAGTTATGTTCCTTTTCCTTCTATTCCTAGTTTGTGGAGAATTTTTACCAGGAAGAGATGCTAGATTTTATTGAATGATTTTTCTACATCTATTGATACGATCATATGGTTTTTATTTTTAATTCTGCTTATGTGGTGAATCATGTTTATTGACTTGCATATATTTATCCCTCCTAGCATCCCTGGAATGAAACCCACTTGATTGCGGTGAATTAATTTTTTCATGTGCTGTTGGATTTGGTTTTCTAGTATTTTGTTGAGAATTTTTGCATCTATGTTCATCAGGGACATTTCCTATTCGGCTGTGTCCTTTTCTGGCTTGGTTATTAGGGTGATACTGGCTTTGTAGAATGAGTTAGGGAGGATTCTCTCCTTCTTGATCCACTGGAGTAGTTTCGGTAGGATTGATGTCAGTTTTATGACTGGTAGAATTTGGCTATGAATTCATCTAGTTCTGGGCTTTTCTTTGTTGTGAGGTTTTTTTTTTTTTTTTAGTATTAATTCAATTTCAAGACTTGTTATTGGTCTGTTCAAGAGTTCTATTTCTTCCTGATTCAGGCTTGGGGGGGCTATATGTTTTTAGGAATTTATCTATTTCCTCTAGATTTTCTAGTTTGTTTGCTTAGAGGTGTTCAGAGTAATCTTGAATAATACTTTACATTTCTGTAGTATCTGTTGTAATGTCTTCATTTTCATTTCTGATTGAGCTTATTTAAATTCTCTTTCTTCTTTTTTTGGTTAATCTAGCTATTGGTCTATCGATTTTATTTATCTTTTCAAATAACCAACTTTTTGTTTCATTGATCCTTGTATTTGTTGGTTTCAATTTCATTTAGTTCTGCTCTTTATTATTTCTTTTCTTCTGCTAGGTTTGGGTTTGGTTTGTTCTTGTTTTTCTAGTTCCTTGAGGCATGACATTAGCTTGTCAATTGTGATGTTTCTGTCTTTTTTGTGTAGGCATTAAGCATTGTAAACTTCCCTCTTAGCTCTGCTCTTGCTGTATCCCAGAGATTTTGATACATTGTGTTACTGTTATAATTCCTTTCAAAAATTTTTAAAAATTTCTGTCTTAATTTCATCATTGACCCAAAGATCATTCAGAAGCAGGTTTTAAATTTCCATGTGTTTTTTATAGTTTTGAGAGCTCCTCCTAAAATTGATTTTTAGTTTTATTCTGCTGTGGTCTGAGAAGATACTTGGTAGGATTTAAATCTCTAAAAATTTATTGAGACTTGTTTTGTGGCCTGTCATATGGTCTATCTTGGAAAATGTTCTATGTGCTGATGAGAAGTATGTATATGCTGCACTTTTGGGGCAGAATGTTTTGTAAATATTTGTTAGGTCCATTTGTTCCAGAGACCAGTTTAAGTCTAGTGCTCCCTTGTTGACTTTCTGCCTTGACAATCTGTCTACTTCTGTCAGTGGATTGTTGAATTCTCCCTTATTACTGTATTGCTGTCTATCTCTTTTCTTAGGTCTGGTAGTATTTGTTTCATGAATCTGAGAGCTCTGATGTTAGATGTGTATATATTTATGATTGTTATATCTTCTGCTTGAATTGATTCTTTATCATTATATAATGACCTTCTTTGTCTTTATTACTGCTGTTGATTTAAAGTCTGTTTTCTGTGATGTAAGAATAGGTACTACTGCTTGCTTTTGGCTTCCATTTGCATGATATATATTTTCCCACTCTTTTATCTTGACTCTGTAAGAATCTTTATGTGTTAAGTTGGTCTCTTGAAGGAGGTAGATATTTGGATTATGTATTTTATCAATTCTGCCAACCTATATCTTTTAAGTGGAGAATTTAGAACATTTACATTCAAAGTCAATATTGATATGTGGGTAACTGTTCCATTCATCATGTGGATCATTAATTGCTTTGTATTCTCCACTGTGTTATTATTTCATAAGCTCTATGAATTTATAATTTTGAGTGTTTTTATACTGGTGAATATCAACCTTTTGCTTTGATGTTTACCATTCCTTTGAGCATTTCTTGTAGAGGTAGTCTAATTGTGACAAATTCTGTCAGCATTTGTTTGTCTGGGAATGACTTTACTTCACCTTTATTTATGAAATTTAGTTTTGCAGGATACAAAATTCTTGGCTGATAGTTCTTCTGTTTAGAAGACTAAAGACAAGACCCCAAGGCCTTCTGGTTTAGAAGGTTTCTGCTGAGAAGTCTGCTGTTAGTCTAATAGGTTTTCCTTTATAAGTTATTTGATTTCCTTTATATGTTATTTCTTTTATAAGTTATTTTGTCTCACTACTCTTAGAATTCTTTCCTTCACATTGATTTTATATAACCTGATAATTATATACTGTGGTGATATCCTTTTTGTAATGTATCTCCCAGGAGTTCTTTGAGCTTTTTGTGTCTAGATGTCTAATATTCCAGCAAGACCAGGGAATATTTCCTCAATTGTCCTCTCAAATAGGTTTCTAAACATTTTATTGTTGTCCCCTTCTCCTTCTTCTTCCTCTTCCTCTTCCTTTTCTCCTCCTTCTCCCTCCTCCTCCTCCTCTTCCTCCTCCTCCTCCTCCTTCTTCCTTCTTCTTCTTCTCCTTCCTTCATCATTTTTCCTTCTTCTTCTGGATTGTTAGGTTTTGACATTTTATGTAATGCCACATTTCTTGGAGACTTTATTTCTTTTTGTTTTTGTTATTTTTGTCTGATTGGGTTAACTTAAAAGCCTCATCTTCAAGCTCTTAATTTCTTTCATCTGCTTGGTCTAGTTTACTGTTAAAATTTTCAACTGCGTTGTGTAATTCCCTAAGCAAGTCTTTTATTTCTAGAAGTTCTGGTTTTTTTGTTTTTTTTTTTTTGATGGAGTCTTGCTCTGTCACCAGGCTAGAGTGCAGTGGCGCGATCTTAGCTCACTGCAACCTCTGCCTCCCGGGTTCAAGTGATTCTCCTGCCTCAGCCACCCTAGTAGCTGGGACTAGAGGTGTGTGCCACCATGCCCAGCTAATTTTTGTATTTTTAGTAGAGATGGGGTTTCACCATGTTGGCCAGGATGGTCTCGATCTCTTGACCTCATGATCTGCCTGCCTTGGCCTCTCAAAGTGCTGGAATTACAGGCATGAGTCATTGCGCCCCACTAATTCTGTTTTTTTTGTTTTGTTTTTTAAAGAAATATTTGTTTTTAGATAATTTTTCATTTATATCCTGAATTGTATTTTTTGATTTTTTATGTTGGTTTCCAACTTTCTCTTGGATTGCACTGAGAAACTTTGCAATCAATTTTTTGAATTCTTTATCTGGTATTCCAAAGATTTCATTTGATTTGGATCCTTTGCTGGAGAGTTAGGGTGATCTTTTGGGGGTGTTATAAAACTGTTTGTTTGTTTGTTTGTTTTATATTGCCAGAATCATTTTTCTGGTTCTTTCTCATCTGGGGATATTTCTTCTTATTATTTAAAAATTTATTTTGATGGAGCTTTGAGGTTGTGACTATAATGTGTATAGTTTATGATTGACTAGCTTTGGCTCTGGGTGCTTTCCATGTCAAAGACTCTGTATGAGTTCCTTAGATATAGAGAATCTTTGTGCAATGACTTTCTCACATGCTGCTTGTAGTAGCTATGTACTGGATGTGTAAGCAGGTTTACTGTCTCCTGTGGGGCTAGGGTGGCAGAGGTCTCATGAAGCTTACCTCATTCCCCAGTCATGTGTACTTCCCTCCCCACACCCTCAGTATTTTTTCACTGGGTTGAACAGTTCAGCCTTCAGGCCAGTAGAAGCCACCTAAGGGTAAGAACTGCCTGTGGCTGAAGCAGCTGGGTAAATGCAAAACCCAATAGTGGGCAAAAGTCCCAGCTCTGATAGAGGCGGCTGGAGGAGCTCCCAGCGAAATACATTGAAATCTTTACAGGGGAGGGAGGGAGTCACCTCAGCTCCACTATGAGGCCAGCACAAAAGTGACCTACCTTCCTATCATGCCCCCATCCCAGGATTTTTTATATTCAGATCAGATAGGCACCTCGGTCCATCTGCAGGAATACTGATATTCATGTAGAGGGGGAGTGGAACTCCACCCCTCTTGCAAGCCTGAACCTGGAGGGCACACCTCCCTTGGGGACGCAGTCACCCCCAAATGTTCCAGAAAGGCTGTGTACAGGTGCACTCTCACTGAGTTTTCACAGGAGAATTCCTGGGTGTGCCTGCAGCAATGGCCAAGGGAGACAAGAAGTACCCTTCTCCAAATCTCTTCATGAGCACAGGGGCTGCTTGACTGCTGTGCAGAGCCATAGTCTTCCTCCACTGAGCCCAGCACTCTGCCTGTGCCTCTGCTTAAAGAGATGCAGCTGTTCTTTGCCCACAAGCAGAAAGTTCTGGAATAGAGAAAAACTCTCTGGTTTCTTTTGTCCTGTGGGGTGCTCCCTTGGTGTGGTGCACTCCCTTTTCCCCTAGGAGTGGCAGTCCCTTAGGGTCAGAAGACTGTGAATTCTCCTGCTCCTCTGGATCTAGCCACCTGGTGGGGCTGCCACAACCCATGCTGGTGGTGGGTGGAGCTGGACAAGGCTGATCTGTCCTCTGGTCTCCCAGTGGCAGGTGCAAGCACCAGCTCTGATGGGGGTGACAGGGAAGTGATGTATCTCTCTAAGATTTCCTTGGTTATAAATAGCCTTAGTGTGGTGGCTTTCTCAATTGCCAGCTACAGTGAGCATGTTCACTATGAGTACTATGTTGTGTCAGCAGATGTTGTAATTGGCTGTGCCAGTTGACCTCCTGCCAGGAGGTGACACTTTCAGGAGGGAGCCAGCTGTGGCTGTGGGATTTATGCATGGCCTAGGTTACCCAGGAAGAGTACTCAGATATCCCAGGAGATGGGTGGGGCCATCGAACTCTCAAAAGTCCCTATCCATTGTCTGCTACCAAGGCATATAAAGGAGGTGAAGCTGTGTGGGGGTTGGGTGAGCCAAGTTTGCGCTGCGGCTGCCCAAGTGCAGATGCAAAGCAGCGGAGGTTGAAAGGAAGTTTCCTGGCCACTGGGGTAATGTTCCAGAGAGGAGTGGAACCATTTCTGCTGCACAAAACAGTCTGCACAGGAAGAGAGGGGCAGCAGACCACAGTGAGACCCACTCAGCTCTCATGCCCCTGACATGGTGTGTCTCACACCTGCAGACTTCAGCAGAAGAAAGCTGTAACTGCCAGCGGAATCTCAGGCAGTTCATGCTCAGAATACAAAACTGACCCAGGATGCAAGACTTCCCACTCAAGACACAAACAATGGCTCTCAGGCCACACCCTTCCTGGATTGACCCGCAAAGCAGAGGTGTCCAGCTCCCGCACCTGTGGCAAGAGCACACTTCCCACTTGTGCTTAGCTCTGGCCTTCGGGGTTCATCCCCACTTGAGATTAGATCACGAATCTCATTTGGGAGTTTCTTTCTTTCTTATTTATTTATTTTTTCAGACGGAGTCTTGCTTTGTCGCCAGGCTGGAGTGCAGTGGCACCATCTCGGCTCACTGCAACCTCTGCCTCCTGGGTTCAAGCGATCCTCCTGCCTCAGCCTCCCGAGTAGCTGGGACTACCAGTGCGTGCCACCACGGCCAGCTAATTTCTGTATTTTTAGTAGAGACGGGGTTTCACCATGTTGGCCAGGATGGTCTCCATCTCTTGACCTCGTGATCTGCCAGCATCGGCCTTCCAAAGTGCTGGGATTACAGGCGTGAGCCATCACGCCCCACCACAGTTGGGAGTTTCTGGCAACCTCTAAGCGCTGGCTGAGTTTAACTTGCCAACTTTTGGAGGATTTTACGAGTTAGGATCAGGAATGTCTTCCTTCTGTTTCACTGGGGTCTAGGAGTGCCTGCAAAGTGTGTCCTGATGCCGCTCCTCATATCCTCCTCGCTGCTCACAAAATCAGCTTCAGTGCTGGGTAGGGTTAAGGCGCTCCCCTGTGGCCTGAATTGCCAGGCTCTGCAGTGGAAATGAGAATCATGGTGATGGTCTCTCCCTCTTTTGCCCTTTGGAGACTCACAGTTTTCTGCCTCACTGCCTACTGCTCCTTTGAAAGTGAAGTTTCTTTCACTTTTTCTGTTAAGTTTCTCTTTTCCTTCTTGGATAAAAGTTCACAATGTGTGGCCAGGCATGGTGGCTCATAACTATAATGCCAGTACTTTGGGAGGCTGAGGCAGGAGGATCACCTGAGTCCAGGAGTTCAAGATCTAGGCAACATGAGACCTTAGCTCTACAAAAAATAATAAAAAAAAATAGCTGGATGTTGTGCATACCTGTGGTCCCAGCTATGTAGGAGCTGAGGTGATAGGATCACTTAAGCCCAGGAGTTTGAGCCTGCCATGAGCTATGATTGTGCCACTGCACTGCAGCCTGAGTAACAGAGCGAGATATTGTCAAAAAAAAAAAAAAAGAAAGAAAAAAGGTAACACACACTATTTTGCTCTCTCCAAGTGGCTGAGGCACACTAACAAAGGCTCCAATCCGCTATCTTGGGGGTAAAAAACTGTCTTTTCTTCTTATCTACCCTTTCTATCTATTCATTCTGCAACCAGTCTCAAGACTCTAACATTGTACTCAGGATTCTCCAAAAGATAATGAATAGCTTTTTTTGGTCAAACCCAAACAACACTGTCTGTGGTATTAGAAAATCTTGATCACATAATCCTTCTTAAAATTTTCTTCTGCTTTTATTTTCATGTTACTGTTCCCTACCAGCATGTTCTGCTACATCTCTACATTTTTCCCCTCTCCTTCCCTTTCTATTCTCAAGGCTTGAATGTGGTTGCTACTTAAGGTGGTTCTCAGCCCCTTGGTTATCTTCCCATTCACTCATTGTTGAGCACATGCTTTCCCATGCCTCACTACTCGTTCAGTTACTCTATTCTACTCCCTATTCTATACTCCAGGAGTGTATTCCCAAAGTCTATAGAATGCTTTGTGCATCCTTTATCTCCTTCCCAAACCAGTTCTCCAAAACAGCTCCATGGCTCTGTCGGTGCTTCTGTCGTTTCCTACCCCATTGGAAAAATGGGGAAATACATACTCCCAAATCCAACTGGTTGGTAAGCTTTGCCATTTCTCCTTCAATGTGTTTTACTCTTCTTTTATGTCTATTTATAAGGTGTAGACCTGATATTATCTCCCATCTGATCTCTTTTCCCATCAATTATCTCCTCTGTCCATTTTACCCGTTCATTGTAATCAGATAAAACTTTCCAATATATAATTATCAATTATTTTGTGCACAGTGTTCAAAGTCCTCTGTCATTTAGCCCATCCTACTTATTTGTGTTTATTTCTCACTGTTCCCCCACACTCACCTCTATTCTCATCAGACTGGGTAAGTTGTTCCCTGCTCAATTCTACTCCTGTGTTTTCTAAAGTGCATTCTTTCTTTTTTCAAATGCTATTCTTCTTCCTCTCCAGTCATTTAAATAATACTTCCTTTTCAAGGCTTACCATATGCCTCACTTAGCATTGATGGATTTTTCAATAAAAATATCGGATACATCTGTTAAAATCTGCTCCCCATTGGTAGAAATATTGACTATGTGATACAATACATTGAGTGGTTTATGTTAGATGGGTATAAAAAGATGCATTAAGAAAAAAAGAGATAAATGTGTGCAAATGTATAAAATGTATCTTAATAAACTCTCTTCCCATACAAGAAATGTTTTTCTCACCGACTTAAATCTTGGCTCTCTGTAGATTATTCATGACACAAAGCACTGATATTAATACAAACACAATAGAAATACTTGGAATCATTTAGAAATAAATTAGTATTAGCAAGTCTTTTGTTGAAAAAAAGATCTTCCTTTATCAAGAAAGCCTGTTTTTTCATGACAAGTAGGCATAAATTGAGCAGTTAAAAATTGTGCAAAGAAAAATATTTATTGAGCATCTACTATGTGCAAGGCATTTTTCTCAGGATTGGGATACAGTGCTAAGGATGGTTTGTGCAATCATGAAGCTTATTATTTATTTCCCAGGTGTTAAAATCTCAGTCTTATTTATTTTACTAAAAGAACTCAATTTCTCATATTTGCTAAACTCAGCTCTTAGAACATAATACGGTACATTTTTCAAATGAAATCTACATGGCCTAATAGGCTCCTGTATACAAATTTAGTGCTTCAGGGATACAACTATTGTGAAGCCAACTAACAAATATTCTTTCTACAATAAAAATATAACTCTCGGATGGAAAAACGTCATTATTTCTTCTTCCAGGGAGTTTTGGCACTAAATAAATTTTTTAAAAAATTATTTACTTAAGGAGTCCTGACATATATATATTTTAAAAGTAAATGCTCCAAATATCTTTCTCTTTAATTGAGCATTGTGAAAACAAAGATGAAATCTTCACCAAGAGCAAGGGTGTTGCAGAGTATACATTTTAAAAAGGAAAATCTTTGGTATTATAGACTAGCAGCTGTGCATGTCAAGTTCATGCTTCCAAATCTGAGGCCTGTTCATCAGACATTCATTGAATCTCACACCTACTGAATGAACAATTGGGGAGGAGCCCCTTTTCTAATTTATACAATGTGCCCTATGGCTAAGGGGAGGCAGGCTCTATGCGGTTCTACGCATTTATTTCCCAATGGATCTTTTTTGCAGTCCCTAAAATGCCTGAGTCAGTGCTCAATAAATATTAGATGACTTGAAGGAAACCCACATAGCCATGTTCTTAAGCTCAAGTAGAAGTAGAGCGGACAGTCTTTGAAGTACGCCACTATCTCAAGGGGCTTTTCCTTAGCACTGATTCTCTTCATCCTCATTCCCATTCATAGTCAGCTATTTCTGTCCCCTAGGCTGGAAAACTTTGGTAGATTTACTCACTGGGATCTTGGTTTAATCTACGGCATAATTCATTGTCTTTTGTATTTCTGCCTTGGTTTCACTTTTAAGGGCAGATTTGTATTATTAGTTCCATTGGCATTTATCATATTAAGAAACAACCTTAAATCCATATCTTTTTCACAGGATGAGCTATATTTTCATCCCTGGAAAAATATAAGCTTGTACATTTGTAACAGTCCCAGATATTTCAGCCAAGAGCCTCAAGACAATACAGGTAATACCATTGCTATGGTCACCACAAAAATTCAGCAGTAACTTCAAGCATTTTCTACCTTCAACATATCTCTATTTTGTCTTATGAATGCTTCACCACTGCACTAATGTGTGCATTATTCATTTTATGAATAATCTACATGTTTCTTCATTCTTATATTTACTGATGCTTTTTGCCAATTTCTAGTTTTACTCAAAATAATCCATCATCTTTCTAGATCATTATAAGTAGATGCAAGGTGCAGAATATAATATGGAAATAATTATTCTGCTGTTAACTAGCACAAAAAATCTTTTTCAAAGTCTTGCTTTTGGGGCTGTTTATGAATAATTTTCAAAAACACACAAGGATAATCATTTTTCAAAAATCAGCAAAAATAAAAACAAGCTTTTTCTAAATTATACAATACAAATGGAAAAAAGTTCTGGAAATATGTGCATTAATACACTCATTAGCCACCTCTGGAGACAGAACATTAAATGCATATTTGAAAAAGTATGTAAAGTCTCATAGAACATAATTTAAGATTAAATCAATCAGAGGTCCAAATGAAGAATTTCTCATTATAGCCTAAAATGGCTTCAAAGACTACCAATTCTTGGCCCCAGGGTACTGAAGTATCTTTTTTCCTTTAGAATGATAGTTCTAAACCTTTTTTGAATCATATGTCCAGTTTAAAATATGATAAAAGTTGTGGACTCTTCATGGGAAACTGCATATATCCGTGTGTGCATTGTGTGTGTGTGTGTGTGTACTTTTTCATACAGTTGGTAATATGTGGTACCCGAGTGCAGATTATTGTTCTCCAGGTCTGGAAGACAACTGGACTCCAAATTAAAAACCTGTTTCTCAGAGCATCAAGGCAAGACACACCAAGGCCAAAGGAAAAACGTATTCCTGCATCAGATCATTTAACCGTTCATTTCTTTCCTACTGACAATCTGCTGTGTGTTTAAACTATACAGGGGTGGAGTGAGAGAACTTATGCAGAGGTGGAGTGAGAGAACAGAGAACACAGAAAGGATGGTTCCCTTTCCCTAGGAGCTTAGAAAGACTAACTCCCAGAAAATAAAACTAGAGATAGGAGGCAATACAGTTAAGCACAAAATTCAGTGGAGCAGAAAGGATTTATAGGTAGCTGGTTAGAGAAGGGCAAGATATATATATAAAGCTCATGGAGAGGGACTTTATTTACAATAAAAAAATTCTCTGTTTCACAGTTTTCTACCTGTAAATTAAGAGAACACTACCTGCCTCACAGGATTGCTGTAAGGATTAAGCGAACAAATGTATGAAAACATTGAGCCCAGAATCTGGCATTCAATAAATTTATTGATATTCAATAAAAAAAAAAAAAAGAGAAGGGCAAGATAAAAGGGGCCTGGAATTCAAAAACGACTTCATGGAGGAGCTACGTTCTGAGGTATGCTCCAAAGCCCTTCTTGCTCCACGGTGAAAATAGTATTTGGAAGACACCGTTTCTTTTCCTACCTGCCTCTCTTTCATCCTTTCTCTTTCCTTCCTTTCTTTCCTTTGGTTTTCAGACTCCTTTTAATCTAATTTGTCAGCCAGTGATTACTCTGTTAAACAGAGCTTTCAATATGATACAGACTTATCAAAATCTGCATTAGATTTTTCTATCATAGTAGATGAAAAGATGTTTCCTTGTAGTAAATTCATGTAGCCTTCTCCAAATAGCCTTCAGAATTGTCTCCTTAAGAATACATGTCACATTCTCCTCCCACATAGCTCTATTTCTCTTTTCAATTTGTGTTCCTGACAAAGAGGAAACTGGAATATATGTCTGTGCAAAAATACTGTAAAAATGCTCCAAGCCATTGACTTGGGTCAGTTACCTGTGACTTTTTAGGGCAGATAAATTGTGGTTAACAGTAATCTAGAAGAGAGACTCATTCATTCATTCATTCACTCATTCATTCACTCATCCATTTGAACAAGTTTGAAATAATTTATTAGTTTACAGTCTGCTTGGGCAGATTTGACTAACATATATGAAATACTGTGAAAAATACCACATATCATCTTAATTCCAAATTAAAGGGTTAATGATTAATCCATGGTTAATGGATTTTGATTCTGCTATATAGTCACGGCAAACTTATTTTACATGTCAAATGAATACAATTTTTTCGATGATTTTTTAAAAATCCTTAACATTTAATAGAATCGTAAATCTGCCTCTCTTTGCCCATAAACTCAACTGTCAATACATCAAAACTTTAGTAAAGTATATCATATTGTTTTGATATACACAAAGTCACAATCTATGCTTCGATAAATTTTTACCAGATCCTCTACCCTTTGATCTGATTTCTGTACTTCCTGTGCTGTTGAACAAATTCACAGTCCCTACTGAATAACTTATTAAGGTTACTGATGTTTCTCACTGCAGGCAATGATTAGTCTTGATGATGGAAGTTAGTTGAATGAAGGACGTTTTATCTGCACATGTATTGGTCAAATAATTAATTTTATAAAATGCCTATAATAATATTAGTCTGCTTTAAATGATAAGGCAAAGCCATCTATATCTTCACAGTATTGGAATGTCTGACATTTGACATGCAAAATGATGGGTCTTCAGGCAGAGATAAACCCCAGCACAACTTTCAGAGGATTTAGATAAGCCTCCACAGTCAGCCCAGGAGCTTGCTGTCTGCAGGCTCCAGGGAGAAGTGCGCTGGTAAACGTAAAGGATGCCAGGTAAGTTGGCAGAGGTGAAGGCAATTCACAGGCTAATCATCTGAAGCCTTTGGAAGTTTGTAACAGTTTTCATTCATGCTGTGGACAACACAATATTGTGGTTAAAGGGAAATCCATTCATCCTATGAAATTTTCAGTATGTCTTTCTTGAGTTCTGATTTCTAAGTTCAAAACTAAAAACACATAACCTCTTAGTCTTTTTTTTCTTTTGTCAAGGAAGCTAACTTTCTTTTCAACTTTTACGTTAGAAGACTTCACAATAGGCAGCTCTTGGATTCTGACCCAATTTGTATTTGGCTTTATTTTGACACTTTCAATTTGGTTAACAATTTTGTTAACCTGTTTTCCAACTTTGGCAAAGATGCCTGAGAAAAAGAAATTCATTCCAAGAATTGAACATGGCCCCTGTTGATAGCTTCTGAATAATTCAATATCTTAATATCTACTTTGTTTCTTTTCTAAGCAATTTAATGTTATTGAGATTAAATTCAATTATGATAAAAGATTATCAGCTAAAGGGGCAGATATATTCCCTGATATTTTATAATTTAAGGCCAACAGCTATAAGCAATAAGTAAACAAAAATGCCTTATTACTTGTTTTTTGGAAGGATTTTTTTTCCTCCACTACCTTTCTTTTAAGATTCTAGAAACAAGTGAGGACGTTTTTAGAATTCTCTGTAACTTGGAAAGATTTGATTGCATTGACAGCAGAATTGCATGGCTGCTATGCTTGGGTGGAGAAGAACAGGGCGTTTGAGTCTTTACAGTCATGAAAGGGAAGATTCAGGCTCATTAATTTCATTACTATACAAAGTGACAGGTAGGCAACAGTGAAAACAAAGCCCCTCACTTGCCTAAGTATCCACGGGACATTTTTCTTTGATTATCCAATGGATTTGTGCTGCTACAGACCAAGCTTATTAATTTTCCTCCCAATCTGTAGTTTGCTCTGTTTTTGTCAATCAGTTTCTCTCCATGGCAATTTTATCTGTCCAATTTTCAAAGTGTAGCAGCAGTTTTTCTTTTTGTTTCCTGGCTTTTAAACTGTCAACTTTATTCTACAACTCCCATGATCCTTGATTTATTGTCTGTTCTTGCGTCTGAAGGGACTTCCCTATACCTGTCAGTCTTTTACACAGTTACTTTTTCTTCATGATTTTTTTCTTTTACCATCATATGCCTCTTCTGTTTAGAGTTTGTATTCTAAGCACTGCAACTGTAAGCACATGACCACAAGGCCCTGCATGACTCTTGCTATTGTAGGTTTTCACAGATCTCCCTTAAGGATGTAGAATCCCCTTTATTTTTTTTTCTTTGCCAAAATAAGACATTGCTCCCAAAAGATTTCTTCCAAATGTCTACCTGAGTAATACCATATATAAGCCCTTTATTTTGTTTCACATCTGCATGTATTCACTCCTTTTGTTTTGTATTATCATATATCAATCTTTGTTTTCTAGTAGCTTTGTGACTTGTCTTTCTAACATGGGGGAGGCTACCTGAAGAGGGATACTGCTTTCTTCCTTTCCTTTGCCTTCCATGAAATGTCAGTTAAGTACATGCTAAGTCTTTAGAAAATGTTTATTGAATAAATAAAAATATAATCAGAGGCAGAGAAAGCTTTCTTCAAATATTGTTTACCTATAGTGTAAGCATGGCTCCACTGGACTCCTTATTAAATCTAAGTGGTACACTTAAAAAATATCAACTTTTCCAGATTATTTAGAAAACGTATGCACGTGTTCATTACTCTTTATTCTGGATAGACTATGGAAATGACAGAAAGACTCAATTGTTTTCTGTCAATTAGTTTTTCTAAATAATTTTTGCATAGCAGATCCTCTTGAAAAGATTCTCTTAACATTGTATTAGTAATGCTAATAGTTTTACTCTTCTTGCATGCAGCACTTGCAGTATTGTCTAATTCTTTCATTTATAGTTTTTTTCACTTTCTGAGACCCTTTCACATGACCTCAACTGGTTTGATCCTAAACACCATATTGTAGAATAGCTAAAGTAGCTAACATTATCTTCATTTTAAAGATGATAACATTGGGGATCTAAAATGTAGCTTCTGTAAAGTGATTCCTATTAGAGTTGGGATCAGATTTAGGTCCTTGGGGTTCAGCTTTCATACTCTTTCCATATATTCTGGCATTCTTTTGTGTCTCTGCTGAAAATTGAGCAAATGCTAATGATATTACAGCTAAGAAGAGTTTAGTTTTGTAAACGTATCAGTTAGTATAGTACTATCAGGCTTAATTTAAATGAAATAATTTTAAATTATTTACTCCAAATCAGTGAAAATCATTTGTCAAAAAACATAATTGCTATTAATCATAACAACAACAGGGCAGTATCAAGTATAAGAAGTTTCATGGATTTGGACTCCTAGCTTTGCCACTTAAATTGCCAAATAAATTTGATCAAGTTAGTTAAACTTTCTGAACTTCAGTTTTCCTCTGTATAAAATGAGAGCCAGGTGGAGAGAAGAGATAAGCATAAAAACCCTGTAAATGATTTGTGATAATATATAGATTTATAATATGTAAAGTACTTAGTGTAGTGGATACTAAGAAGAGTTTAAAAATGCCAGTTATTATCATTTGTCAGCAATTCCTGTTAAACTTCATAACTTAAAAATGTTGAAAACTTGGTTGAAAAAAACCCAAACTATAAAAGCTGTCTAGATAAAAGATGAAATACAAGCAATTTTACATGTATAATACAACCGTCAAAGCATTCAACATGTTCAAACTTAATGATATATCAGAAGGTGAGAGTAAGGTTCTAAAGTAAAGATTGCTGTTGAAAAACTGAAAGGCAAGACATTTGGTAGTACACAGCTATTCATGAATAAACAATAGAATGAGTAAATCAAACTTTGGGGAGAATAAAGAATAGTTCTTTGAAGTCACAGTGACTGAGAATTGTTTATCTTATTCAAATAATGCAAGCAGCATTAGAATAATACTAAATTTGTACTAATGGAAATAAACAATATGCAGTACTTTGTATTTTCAATAATTAGCCATTCCAGCTAACACTACCTGAGGTAAATGTTTCAGCAGAGCAGTGCAGGTATTAGTAGCAAGATTTTTACTATCTTTCCATTGGCAACATGCTAGATTTTGCTTGAACACACTCTCAATTCTATAGTGCATCAACAACAATAGACTTTTGGGTGCTGCTTTCTTTTTTCCTTCAAAATTGGCCAAGTATTTGAAGTGACTGAAAAAGCTACCTTGAGTTCAACTTTTATTATTCAATAACTAGTTACATGCACATTTACATTATAATGATCATTTTTCATTGAGAAACAACTTTATCACGTTTCCACTGAATAGTTTACCGTCTCTGCTAAAAATACAAAAAATTAGCCAGGTGTGGTGGTGGGCGCCAGTAGTCCCAGCTACTCGAGAGGCTGAGGCAGGAGAATGGCATGAACCTGAGAGGTGGAGCTTGCAGTGAGCAGAGAGCACACCACTGCACTCCAGCTTGGGTGACACAGGAGACTCCATCTCAAAAAAAAAAAAAAAGTTGCTGGGCTTATTATTTCATGCAGTCAATATTATCTTTATTCATAGATGGTAAATTTAAGGTACAGAAAATAATATGACTGCCCAAAAAATCCTTGGAAAAAATCATAGCCCAATCACAAGCTTACTTCTTTGAACTGTCAAGCTCTTTTTATTAATCCAATCTCTGATAATTCTATTTCAAATCAATCAAAGACAATAGAATTTAAACTTACTTAGGACCACACAATTTTTAGTCCTTTACTGTGTACATAATTCAAATGTAGATGCCATATTCACTTACAGGAAAGCTTTATTTTCTGCTGTCTGTGCTCATACTTAAAAAAAAAAAAGCTTAAGAGCCCATGTTTTCTTTTGGTGGTTTTGACTAGAATTGTAATATTAGTGGAAATTTGCATTTTAATATGATTTAGTAAAATAGTGAAATAGCTAAAGGATTTCCTTAGGGGATTAAAAGCTATGAAACTTAATAAAAGGGATAGCTGTGTTTTTTGTCTTCATTCAGTATTTTGCTTATATGTAACCATCTAAATCAAGAGCCTGGTCACTATACAAATATTATAATGTTTTTAACCTTACAGGATCACTAAATCCAGCCATTTCCTGGAAGAAATAGAATTATTTTAATATACTTGTGGCTTCTTAAATCAAAATTTTTTGAAAAACTACAGTAGACACATAACATATTTAGGCAAATGTCTTTCAAGCAATGTAAGATTTTATAATTGAAGTTCATCTTAATACTTTTAAATGAAAGAATATAAAACACAAAATATAGTGGGCAGATATGGGTAAATGTTTTCACTAAGGATGAAATTATTATTTCTGAAAAGATGTATTTATTTTAAATTAAGTATTATTAGGCAGAAAGAAAGAAAATAGTAGAACTCTGGACATAAAAAAAAAAAAAAAATCACCAGAAGAAGGATCTTAAGAAAGAACAACAAAGAAGTGAATGGAGTGTGCTATCTCCTATTGAAAAAGCTTAGCACTCACCCCAGAATGCGAGCTCACTGACTTGTAAGTGGTGACTAATTGCACTGAACAATTTCTTTAATCATGACTCTTTGAAGTCCTATCACGCATTGGAGACAAATGGAATGAAAATTAGGAATGCATTCTGGACATTGCAGAGGGGGCAGTAAGCGACCATATGTTTATGCTAATATAACTTCAGTTCTCACCTGAACCCTGTGCTCCAAGCTTTGCTCCAGGACTTTCTTGAAGCACACAGTGCTGTCTTATGCCTCGGTTTTCTCTTTTCTATGTACTCTATCTTTTTTGTGAGCTGCTTTTTTGCCTATTTGTTTTGTAGGGAAATCAACAGAGGGAAGAATACAGTGCAGAACTGTGGAAAGCTATTTGGAGCTGTTTTGTTCTTTTGCACTTTTTCTGAATGTCTCTGATCAGCACAATTTTTGAAATGAGGAGGGAAGGTGCTAAATAGCATGAGAGTTGCAGTACATTTCCTGGAGAAGAAGCGTTGAGGAGCTAGTTCAGCTTCAACAGTACTCAGAAGTTGGCAGAGAAAGCAGTTGGCACCCCCATTTTCCTATATTGTGAGAAGCGAGTCAGCTGCTTTAATTAAGGATTGTGTGGATGAGAATCTCAGGTATAATCTCAAGAATACAAATGTGGAAATGATTAAGATGAGCTTGAAGATGTACACACTTCCAGAAACTTCTAGTAATTTATAGAGTTGGACAAGGGGCAGAATTGTATATTTCTTGTAAAAAGTGATCTTGGCTCTGGTCCTCATCTCAGTCCACACCAATCAACACCAAAGATTTTACAACAGCAGATGCTAACACCTATGGCTGGAAAAATATCAGAGAAGAGTCATAAGGTTGGAGTTAAGTAGGAGAAGTTTCTTCTTCAGAAAGTTGGGATAAATACTGGTTATATTGAATACATTTGTAATTTTCTAGAGAAAAGTCCAACCATGCTATAAAACAAAATAGGTTCTTTGGAAAAAAGAAAGTATAAGGAAAAAAAAGGCTTGTTAACTACAACTGACCAGAATTATAATCAATATACAACAATCACAAATAAGTTCCTGAAATGGCTGAAACATAATGACTGTTTGGTTACTATTACAAAGCAATGCACACGGGTTTTGCCTTTCTATATCAGAATAGATTGGATTTATTGATCTCATAGAGCAGTTATTTTGGCACTATGTCAGTATAATTTGATTTTAAATTAAAATGAATGTTTATGTGTAGATTTTACTGTGTGAAATTTAACAATAAGAGAGTAAAATAATAAAACATTAATTATAATGTTACATATTACTTCCACTCTTCATGGTATTCTAGAAAGTGCTAGAGGTTTGGACTCAGAGAATTGTGTGTTCAGAACTCAGTGAGTCATTTTCTTCTTTGAGCTTTTATTTCTTTACATGAAAATTGAAATAATAATACCGCAATAATAACTGTGAGAATTACATGAGGTGATACCTATGAATACTTGGCACACAGATGAGATTTAATAAATGCTAATGCCCTTTCCCATTTTAAATAATAAGAAATATATATCAAATTCTGTTCTAAAATTTAATTTTTTTAACCTAAAGATATTCCTTGGTAACATTTAAAATAATTAGGCCCAAACAATAAAATTATCTGAGACTTGCTGTGCTTCCTTTAAAGACTTGGTTTGATTTGCTTCTCTTAAAAATTGAAGGAAAAGAAAATTGGACCAATGCAATCTCTACAATTTGGAAGAAATACAGATGATTAAAGTTAATCCAGTATAAAATAACAGCTTTTAAGTCTTAGACAATGGGATCCACTAGAATTCTGAGAGAATATAAACATAGTGTGGCAGAGAGATTGAAAATATTGGAGGAAGGAAGGTAGACATTTCTTAATGTTAAGAATGGATACTTTCTGAAAGAATTTTACAAATAGTAGATGTGGCATAGATCATTAAGTTTTGTAGGCAGTGAAGGTTGGCAGGGAGTTTTGTTTTTCTTGCCTGGCCATCATTTATATTCTCCTGCTGGGTTTTAAACTTATGGCTCTAAAGTACACTAACTAAAGCTATTATTTCTGTTTGAAGAATCTGCATGTTTTTATAAGACTACTGAGCACTTAATGGCCTTTACAACCCCCAAGAACAATGACAGTGGCTTGGATTTAGGGACTATGTGAGACCACTGAAGTTCCAACAGCGAGGTGACCCCTGAGCCATACTGAGCTGTTCACAGTGATGCAGACATGCAGGATTTCTGCAGGTAGACGGACTCACCAAATGATCCTCAAGATGTTTTTATCCTTTGATCTCATGATATGGTTGGATATTTTAATATAATGATATTACTCCTTTCCCCTTTTAACAGAATGGCTTGAGACCCAAGTCTACTAAAAAAAAAAATATGAGATTTCTGTAAAAACAGAATCTTAATTTTTTCCTTAGAAAAATAATCTAACGCTTAGATGTAAATGGAAGAATTCCTAATTTCAACTTTTGAATAGATTTTTATTACTGGATGGGGATTGTGGAGTAGAGAAAAATATAATGAAATTTAGGAGCTGCAAGGAAGATCTCAACCACCTGAGAAAGTTCAAACCTGGGAAAGGCAGGACCCTCACTGCTTCCTATCAACCAAAGCACAAGACAGTCTTAGTTCAGAAAGACAGTGATACTAGAACACAACAGAATTTTGTCCTACAGTTTAACTGGCTCAGAGTTACTGAAGCACTGGGATTTGCTGTCACTTTCTGGGTATTAGGGTGGATTTCAAAATACTTGTTACTACAGCAATTTTCATTCCATAAATCTGAATTTCTTGTTAAAGTAGCATTATGTCAAAATAAGACTTTGATGATATTTGTGGTTCTCTGAGGAAGTACCTTGTGCTTCTGCTTCTGAAGTTGTGTGTGCATGTGTTTGTGTGTGTGTAAAGTTAGCTACCAATAAAAATTTCTTCTCTGACAGATTTCTGTTGTATAAAGACCGTCTGCATTATTAGGGGCCACAGAACAACAACAGAATCTTAAAAACAATTTTCTTTGAAGTTCAATGAAACAGCCTTTTGCTCTAATTGCTTATTTACTTCAACTAGCAAAGACAAGTCATTCGTTTAGAATACAATACTCTCCAGTTTCAGAGAAATCAAGGGAACCTGACTGAAATTGATCAAAATAAAATAAAACCAAGAGAACAATCGCAGCTAAATTATAGGTTCTACACTGAATTTTTTCATAAGAGTTCTGTATTTGACTTTATTCAAGGCCTGAAAAATAAGGAACGGTGGAATCAAAACAAAAGAAAATCTTTTTGCCAATCATACTCAGCAAGTTTTGCTCTTTCTGGCTGTGGATACTTATAGAAAAAATAATAGGTATTTTAAAGTAGTTCTAAGGTATATTTGCACTTTGCCCCATATGGCTCCACATAATCAAGTCCCTTCTGAAAATAAATATGAGTTTTTTTGTTTCTGTTTGTGACAGGGACTCACTCTTCCATCCAGGCTGGAGGTCAGTGACACAATCATAGCTCACTCTAGCCCCTACCTTCCAGGCTCAAGAGATCCTCCTGCCTCAGCCTCCTGAGTAGCTGGGACCACAGGTGCATGACACAATGCCTGGCTAATATTTTTATTTTTTTATAGAGATGGGGTCTCCATATGTTGCCCAGGCTGATCTTGAACTCCTGGGCTCAAGCATTCTCCAGTCTTTGCTTCCTAAAGTGCTGGGATTATAGGCATGAGCCACCACATCCGGCCTTCTTTTCTTTTGTCATTATCTTGTTTTACATGCCTAATTTAAGCTTTAAGCTTAAAGGTGTTAGACAGTTTTAAATTCAGAATATGCAATATAGAGGAAATACAATTTAATGTCAGGTATTGTATTTGTAACATTTAAAAACAATGATTGTACTTTCACTTGTTTTAGGTTAAGAGCTCTGAATTTTTTTGTAGAACTATAAATATTAATTCTAGACATTCATACCAAAGGAAGTATTTTTCCTTATTGGAAGATTGTAAAATGATTTGGTGAGTACAAGGGAGAGGACAGAGAGGAAGACCAGGTTCAAATTGGTGAAACTGATTTATGCTAAACATTTCCTAGTTTTATGTGAAATCTTTAATCTTCCTTAGGTTATATTCTCCCTTTCTTCATCACCAAAACCTCAAATCACTTTTCTCATCAATTTCTGTCCAAATTTCTCATAATTCTGCCATCTTAGCAAGTTAACTCTTTCTATTTCTTCTTGTCCCCATCTCCACACAAACATTTAGAGTTGTCATCCCAGCATATACAATTTTGTATTCAGCCTTTTTCATTACAAGTTTTCACATTACCTCATGGACTTCTTTAATTCTTTCAAATATTATTAAAATTAAGTCAAGTAAAAAATTATTTATTTACCCACACTCAGTGAAGAAATAAAAAAGTATGGGTACTACTAAGGCCACATATGACTACCTTTGATTGCATCCTTTTCTCTCTTCCTAAGGGGTAACCTCTACACAAAATCTAGTGCTTTTATTCCTGTACATTTCTTTATGCTTTTATTACACATAAGTGTCTTCTTGGGAATTTTTTAGACTTTTTATTCCTAAGAAAACCCTTGCATACATCACAGAGAAATCTTAACAGCTCTTTGAACTTTCATGCTTTAGAGTCAAAATCACCTAACTTTAAAGCCACAAAAGAGTAGTAAACGCACCATACGTGATTTGTCACTCAAATTACCAAGGCGTCCCACATGCCCAGAAATCCATGTCACTTGTATTTAATGTAGGTCAGCATTTACACACTCTATCCTTGGAAGAACTCTCAGTTTACAAAAGTGATGCTGTTCAGGCAGTCTCTCATCTTCTTCCCTTGTCTAATTGGTACTCTCTTTCCTTTGAACTGTTTGAAAGTCAGACAAGATGTTAAGTCAGAAAAACATAAGAAAAGAAGCATAAAACCCTGTTTTCCAACACCATCGCAGTCATTCTGAAATAAAATAAATCAGAATGATTATTCCTTAGTATTCTTAAATGTGTAATCCATAGGAATATGTAAAATAAAGGTGTACTTTAGCTGACTTTCTTCTGAGAATGAGATATTCTTGTTTATTGTCATAGCAAAACTCAAATAATCACTTTTTATATTTACTAATTAATTTTGCTTCTTCATCTAAACAGTTGATTTTTTTTCTTCTTTTAGTAACCTTGCCTTTTGTGAAATAAAATGCTAAGCATCAGAAGGGAGAATTCAGATGTTGTGATACATCCTAAAACATTTGTTAGCATTCATCCTACTTTTTTAACCCACTATATACAGTAAGGAATTTTCACCGCCAAGGCCATAACCCAGTATATCAAAGGGGATGTGGACACAAACATCCATTTCCAAAAGTATATGAGGTTAATAGTCAGATGCTTTTCTTTCTCGGTTTATTCGCGCGGTGGCTCACGCCTGTAATCCCAGCACTTTGGGAGGCCGAGGCGAGCGGATCACCAGGTCAAGAGATCGAGATCATCCTGGCTAACATGGTGAAACCCTGTCTCTACTAAAAATACAAAAAATCAGCCGGGGGTTGTGGCGGGTGCCTGTAGTCCCAGCTACTCGGGAGGCTGAGGCAGGAGAATGGCGTGAACCCGGGAGGCGGAGCTTGCAGTGAGCAGAGATTGCGCCACTGCAGTCCGCAGTCCGGCCTGGGCGACAGAGCGAGACTCCGTCTCAAAAACAAAAACAAAACAAAACAAAACAAAACAAAAAACAGCAATGTTACAATGGGATGCTGTTAACAGATTCCTGGCTTCTTTTTGTTCTGCACCAAAAGTGTGACCTCACTGTAGTACCACTGGCAAGATGATAAATAGATTTAGTTAATATTAGCTGTGCGACAAACATATCATTTAGCCTCAATACATGACTGCTAATCATCAAAATGAAGCTTCCAGTGATCAAACATGCTGATTTATGGTATGAGAAGGATACAGGTTGACTATTTTCCCACATTTCAATAGATTAATGTCACCTTTGTTTACAAGTCTGAAATTGAGTTATTGTCTTATTATAATATCTGATGGGTTTTCTTCAGTTTCAGATAAAATTGAATTTTGATACATGCTACTAAATATCTGTTAAGGCTAAATTCAACAAAATTCTCTTTTGTGCCCTACATCTTTAAGATCATTTATCTTGGCCATAAACACACAGAGACTCTCTTATCAAGTTGCTAGAAGCTATTTTTATTAGTAACATGGTCTCCTCTGGAAATGGAGCTGAAGTTAACATTAGGAAGCTTTGATTTGAGATTTCCTGAAGTTAATTTAAAGATGAATCATGGGTATACCCTGCGTAAAATATAATATTCTCATATTGTGTAAGTACATTTTGTAATATTGTTACTCAGATAAAACTCAAGTGTAAGGCAAACAAATGAGAAACATGGATTAATTAACTTGAGTAGATGGCATTTTTCTTCTGTATCAGGCAGAGTAACTGGCATTAAAAATTTTAGAAGCATTCCTATTGCTTGTAAACTTTTGGAAGCATATCTGCTATTAGTAGTGTATCTCCCTTCATCAAAAAATGGTTTTGAGTTATTGACCAACCCCTTTTAAAGATCTTGGAACTACAGCATGAGAAAATACATGTTTCTATCACTGGACTTGATAAAAATATTCAATAGAACTCATGTAATTTTTAGCACATATAACTCAGAAATCACAAGAATTGGCATCACATTTGTGCTTGATAAGGTAATGGTTTGATAATTTAAATGCCCTTCTAAAGAAAGCGCAATGACAAAGAAAAAAAATTCCCTGGATATATTAAAATCAATCTGGAGCTACAAGATTCTGCAGGCCAACAAAGCCTGAGATTCCTTTTTGGGCTCCTGTTTTCAACATTGAATGGGTTTGCATTGCAATATTCAGAGGCAATTAAATACACCTGTGCTGTTGAAAATTGGCATTGCAAATATTAGTAGAGAAAATATGTGCCGAAAGGCAGAATTTCTTTTGCCGTTTCTCTCATTGTCCTGCATGATCATGTTACAGATAGTCATGGCAGTCATCTGCTTTTAATGTTTAACTGAAATCCATGCTTTCAAACTGCAAAATATGTCATTTTCCAAAGCCACAAGTGGTTGCAGAGCCCTTATCTCTCACCTTAGAACACGTAAGCCACTATTCATTTTGTATTCTAGGGATATATTTTAATTCAAGCACTGTTTAAAATTGGGATAATCATAATCTTGGTAATTAATTTATGATTACACATTCTCCCTATTAACATACTTTAATGTACATTAAATTATTAGGCATCTGTCTAATAATGTGGCAGAGCAAATCTATTTAGAAATCCACATTATCCACTACAATACACAAGCAGTGAAACTTATCAGTATACCTCAGTTTCTTCTCAGTAGACCCAAAACTCTCTCCTGAGACAAAACTGCATATACTGCAAACACAAGGGCACCTCATTTTAAGAAATCTTTCAATTCCACAGAGTCTTGTAGAAGGCCATTACTCTTATGAAAAACGTTCCTGGTTACATAGACATTCTTCTTCCTTACTTTTTGCTAAGAGAGTGCTGAATTGTTCTGGTATTATGCAGGGATTAATTTACTCAAGAATAGTAGGTTCCTTTCCCAGATGTGTGAGATGGATTATGACCAAATTAAGTCAGTTTTGTACAGGCATAACTTACAGATATTGCAGGCTTGGTTCCAAACCACCACAATAAAATGAATATTGCAATAAAGTGAGTCACATGAATTTTTGGTTTCACAGTGCATATAAAAGTTCTGTTTACACTATACTGTAGCCTGTTAAGTATATAATAGCATTAGGTCTAAAAATCAATGTACATATATTAACTTAAAAACACTTTATAGCTAAAAAAATGCTGACGATCATCTGAGCCTTCAGCAAGTCATAATCTTTTGCAGGTGCAGGGTCTTGCTTCTGTGTTGAAGGCTGATGGATGCTGACTAATTAGGGTGGTGGTTGCTAAAGTTTGGGGTGGCTGTGGCAATTTCTTAAAATAAGATAACTATGAAGTTTGCTGCATCAACCAACTCTTCCTTTCATGAAAGCTTTCTCTGCAGCCTGTGATACTGTTTGATAACATTTTACCCACAGCCAAACTTCTTTTGAAGGCAGAGTTAATCTGCTCAAACCCTGCCACTGCTTTATCAAATAAGTTTATGTAGTAATCCAAATCCTTTGTTGTCATTTCAATAATGTTCATAGTATCTTCACCAGGAGTAAATGCCATCTCAAGGAACCACTTTCTTTGCTCATCCATAAGAAGCAATTCTTTATCTGTTAATGTTTTATCATGAGATTGCAGCAATTCAGTTACATCTTCAGGCTCCACTTCTAATTCTAGTTCTCTTGCCATTATCACATCTGCATTTAACTTCTCCACTGAAGTTCTGAACCTCTCAAAGTCATCCATAAGGATTGGAATCAACTTCTTCCAAACTCCTGTTAATGTTGATATTTTGACCTCCTATGAATCATGAATGTTCTTAATGGCATCTAGAATGATGAATACTTTCTAGAAGATTTTCAGTTTACTTTCCTCAGCTGCATTAGAAGAATAACTATATACAGCAGTTACAGTCTTACAAAATGTATTTCTCAAATAATAAGGCTTGAAAGTTAAAATTACTTCTTAATCCATGGGCTTCAGAAAGGATGTTGTGTTAACAAGCATGAAAACAACATCAATCTCCTCCTGCGTCTTCATCAGAGCTCTTGGGTGACTGTGTGTATTGTCAATGGGCAGTAATATTTTGAAAATAATCTTTTTTTTGGCTGAGCAGCAGGTCTCAACAATGGGCTTAAAATATTCAATAAACCATGCTGTAAACAGATATGCTGCCATCCAGCTTTGTTGTTCCATTTATAGAACATAGGAAGAGTAGCTGTGTCATCATTCTTAAGGGCTGTAAAATTTTTGGAATGGTAAATGAGCACTGGCTTCAACCAGCTGCATTCATCCCTACTAAGAGTCAGCCTGTCCTTTGAAACTTTGAAACCAGGCATTGACTTCTCTCTAGCTATGAAAGTCCTATGAAAGTCTTCTTCCAATGCAAGGCTGCTTTATTTACGTGGAAGACATGTTGTTTAGTGTGGCCACCTTCATCAGTCTTCTGGAAAACTTGTGGCAGCTTCTCCATCAGCACTTCCTGCTTCACCTTGCACTTTGATGGTCTGGAGGCAACTTCTTTCCTTAAACTTCATGAACCAACTTCAAACTGTTTTTCTGCAGCTCCCTTACCTCTCTCAGCTTTCATAGAGTTGTGAAGAGAGTTAGGATCTTGCTCTGGATTAGGCATCAAATTAGGTAGTTGTAGCTAGTTTGACCTTCTATCTGAAACTTTCTCCACATCAGCAATAAGGCTGTTTCACTTTCTTGTGATTTGTGTGTTCAGTGGAGTAGCACTTTTCCTTCAAGAACTTTTCCTTTACGTTCACAACTTTGCTAAGTTGTGCGAGATGACTAGCTTTCAGCCTGTCTTGGGTTTCAACATGCCTTCCTCACTAAGCCTAATCATTCCTGGCTTTAGATTTAAAGTGAAAGACACAAGACTCTTCCTTTCACTTGAACACTTAGAGGTCATTGCAGGATTATTAATTGGCCTAATTTCAATATTGTTGTGTCTCAGAGAATTGGGAAGCTTTCTGAGGTGAGAGAGAGAGAGAGAGAGAGAGAGAGAGAGAGAGAGAGAGACTGGGCAATGGCTTTTGGTGGAACAGTTAGAACATACACCACATTTATGGATTACGTTTACTGTCTCATATGGGCATAGTTCTTGGTGCCCCCAATTACAATAGTAACATCAAAGATCACCGATCACCATAACAGATACAATAATAATGAAAAAGATTTAAAAATTTCAAGAATTACCAAAATGTGACATGAGAGAGATAGAGTGAGCGTAGCTTTGGGGAAAATGGCATTGATTTGCTTGACACAGATTTACTAAAAATCTTCAATTTGTAAAAAAATCTGCGGTATCTTTAAAGTGCAATACAGTGAAACATGATAAAATGTGGCAAGCTTATAGTTTTTTTCTTTTTGTCATTGATTGGTCTAGGGTTGGATATAAGATTTAGCACTAACAGTAAGATATAATGGAAACCTGGAGGAGACTTTCAGAAAATATTTTCCTCCCTGATAAAAGAGAGAGCACTAGGGGAAAAGATCCTTTTTGCCTTTGCTCCCCACCATTCCACTTCCTGATTGTATTGCTATGTGGGAATATGATGTTTGGAGCTGCCACAGCTGTTCTTTAATGATTCAGAGAAGGCTCAGAATTACTGGCTCAACCTGTCAACTAGCTCTGGAACTTCCTTCTCCATTACTTGACTTTATCTGAGAAAGTTAAATGCGTTATTGTGTAAGGTGGCTGTATTAGTCAGGATAAGTTAGATTATGCACCAGTAATGTCACAAACAATCCGAAGTCTCAGGGGTATAACACCACAAAAGCTTATTTCTCACTCATGCTACAGGTCTACGGTGGATCAGTAGAACTTCTGTTTATTGCAGTCACTTAGAGACCTGGGTTGATGGAGCAGGAGCACCTGCAAAATTGCTGGTTTCTGTTCCTGAAAGAAGAATGAGGTCTGGATGATCTCATATCAACAATCAAATGCTTATCCCAGAAGTGAAGCATATCACTTCCATTCACAACTTCCCTGTCAGAATGAATCACACAATTCTACCCACAAGAGAGTAAAAAAAGTGCAATTCTGCCAAGTGCCCCTAAGCAGGCGCAGTCAGAAATACTTTTTGAACAGTACTAATGACCACTACCTCTGCTTAAGAATCCTGTTACTTGCAGTGAATGTATACTAAATATGGTGATGATGATGATGATGATGATAATAATCCTTAAAATTATTGAATGTCAACAATAAATTAGCCATTGTTCTAAATTTTTAATATTAATGCATTTAATATGTACAATAATCTTATAATGTGAGTACCATTTTTATTCTCATTTCTCTGATGAAAATCTCAGAGTAGGTTCTTGCTCACATTTAGAAGCTTAATGATAGAGTCATGATTTTTTACTAAACTTAGGCCGTGTAGCTGTGAAATCTATGCTGGTAACTAACATGCTCTACCATGTCATAAATCTGTAAATTTTTGCTCTTCAAATATCCATAGATATATAGATACACATCTGTCTATATATTATCTATCTATCTATCTATCTATCTATCAATCATCTATCTTGTTAAGAAAAACATATATTCAACTACCATAACACTGTTATTGGAAAAAAAAATAAAACTCCATTAGGAGATATTTATCAGTTACTATACACTTAGTTGAAGTCAGCATATTAGACACGTTTTGAATCAGTTTTTCCAAAGCATGGAAGTAAGCAGGTTTTCCTCCATAAAACAGAAAAGCAAAGTATATTTTATAAATTACCAAGCCTGAGGCCTCAATCACTAACAGCCTGAGTTCTACTCACTTGGGGTTAAGTCAAGATTGAACACACTTTTTACTGTCCATGGAAGGAAGCAAGTATCTATAGCCCAGAGCTCTTCACTTGGTGAGTGCTGAACTTCTATAAATAGAAGTTATAAACCTCAGACAATGCATTCAGGCGATGACTACAGAGTGTGGTTATCCATAGAAGTGCAACTTCATCCACCAACTTACTCTTTATGGGAAGACTATTTTGCTACCTGCGCTTGTTGACTGGGTGAGGGAGTATCTAGATTTGATGACTAAGGAGGCTTATTTTGACTCAAATTTCCATTTTCTCTTATCTGAGCAAGTTCTATTTATTTTCTGGGGAGATTTCCTCATTTAATTTTCCTGAATTTGGATTTTGGAGTTTTAATTGATTTTTTTTTTCCCTCCAGGTTCATATCCATTGTTTGGTAAAAGCACTCAAATTCCTCTCTGGAAAAATAATGCTTCCTCATTGTTAATCAGGGTAATTAGAGTATTAGTGATTCTTCCCTTCTTTAAGGGTGGATATAAGTCTCAGGTCTGGTGA
This sequence comes from Homo sapiens, assembly GCF_000001405.40. Classification (NCBI taxonomy): domain Eukaryota; kingdom Metazoa; phylum Chordata; class Mammalia; order Primates; family Hominidae; genus Homo; species Homo sapiens. Next base: position 79,251,191 of record NC_000012.12, on the reverse strand, counting down.
GTCAGGAGATTTCATTCCTCCAGGGCAAAATGATTAGTCTATAGCTGAGTACATGACCCAAGTCAGTATTAGTAGTACTCAGACTTGAGACTATTGTGACAAATGCTAGAACTAGAAAAGGCAACAGAAGGGTAGAAATTTTGCAGTCTTCTTTACTGATGTATTTCCACATTGAGTACAATGCTGTCACATGGTAGGCACTCAGCATAAAGTGAAAAGTCACTTTATGCTGAGCTGCTCCACTAGTTGAATGGAAACCTTGAGCTGCCAGATAACCAACATGTAGAGGACACCTGCCTAAGAGAGATGTTAAAACCTGAAGAAAGCCAAGCCAAAGATGGAAAAAGAAAAAACGAAATGCTGATAACATAATTTGCCCTTTGGTGTCCAGCTTTGTGGAAGCCAGGGTAGGTGGCTACTTCTTAATTCTTAAACAAACCAACAAACAAAAAATTCCCCTTAACACACAAGTTGAAGTTGAGTTCCCCCCACCTAAAATACAATTCATAGATCATCCATTTTATCATATGAAGATTCTTCTAGTTCTGGGTTATTATAACAAAATGACCAGAATTGGATCATCCTAAAATCACTGACTTCACCATTTTGTTCACAGATTTTTATTGTTGCTGCAGTATAAATTATAAATACATTTCCACAGATATAAAAACACTGCAGAGATATACCAAAGTTGTGCACGGTAATTACCCTCAAATTTGAAATATTTTAAGTGGTCTGTTCTTGCTGGACTCAAGGAAATTGACATATCTGAGGGTGATTCAACGTGAGTGTTCCAGGAAAGCCCTTATTAGGAATACGGAGGAATATGTTTACATACCGGAATTGTATTTATTAATAAAGAGTGAGTAAGAACAAGAAATAAGAGCTTTTTCTTACTGGGAGGTATCATATTCTGGAAGTCAGACACACCAAGCCATGTTCCTTTTTTTCCTGGAAGGACTTCTATAAAAGGGATGTTCAACTCTTGTCCTGAATCCTCCTTTCACCTATGCAGTGGTATTTTTTGTCAACCACTTTTAGATAGATTTTGTATCTTCCTAGATACATATTATTGGTAAAACTTTGGGTAAGTTAATTTCTCTAAAATGGAAATAATGATAATATTCATCTTATAGAATTGCATGAAGATTAATTAAGATGATTCAAGTAAAGTGCTTAATAATCACTATATTAATGATAATGATCATATTACAGGTTCCAGACCCAACCCTATTTTTTTTTTATTTGGTCTGGGGACTTTAAGGAGTTCTAGCTTTCTTAATTTGCCTTATTCTGATTTGGAGATTCACTTCTGATGTTGGGGTTCAAAACTTTGATACTTTACATTCTACTCTAATTTCTAAAACAGGCTTCATTCTCCTAAACTGCTGTTAACATGAAAAATTTTAAATTCCATTTCTCCAGGAATGGTGACCTAACCTTCTCTTGTTGGTTCATTGATAGGAGTAAAGTCATCACCAAGGCTGGGCTGCTGCTATTGGCTGCCACATTACCTGCTTGGTTATCTGCAAATGACAAGACCCTTGTTTCTACATCCTTCCTGCAGGTACTTAGCACTAACTTCTGGCTCAAAATGCTTTGATGCCATCTCCCTAAAGAAAAACCAATAACTTTTGGTCTTTCTTTAACTACCTGATTGGGCTGCTAGTCTAGTCCTTCCATAGAGTTGTGTATGTCCTTTAGAGTCTGTCTCCTCTGGATGCATGTGATTTCTCACCACTCACACTTCCAACTCTTCAGATGGAAGATATAGAAAGAGGTAAAGAGGGCCGGGCGCGGTGGCTCAAGCCTGTAATCCCAGCACTTTGGGAGGCCGAGGCGGGTGGATCATGAGGTCAGGAGATCGAGACCATCCTGGCTAACAAGGTGAAACCCCGTCTCTACTAAAAATACAAAAAATTAGCCGGGCGCGGTGGCGGGCGCCTGTAGTCCCAGCTACTCGGGAAGCTGAGGCAGGAGAATGGCGTGAACCCGGGAAGCGGAGCTTGCAGTGAGCCGAGATTGCGCCACTGCAGTCCGCAGTCCGGCCTGGGCGACAGAGCGAGACTCCGTCTCAAAAAAAAAAAAAAAAAAAAAAAAAAAGAAAGAGGTAAAGAGAAGAGGGAATAATTTGCATAGTGGTTGCCCTTCAACAACTCTAAGCCGGAATAGCCATATGCCTGGGAGATGAAACATGCTCCGGAGTCAAAAATAGCTAAAACACATGCAGAGAAATAAAATCAGTTTATTCTGCCAAGGATATCCTACCTCTAAAAACAGATAATTAATTTCACAGATTTTTAAAGGGTCAATATTCTCAGATTTTCTATACAATCAGTTATGTGTTAGAATCAATTTAATCAATCACCTCCTTTGCAGGGCTAACTCTCAATTAGAATGTCAAGGGTCTCCAGCTGACTTAAACTTTTGGCCCAGAGGTGTTTGTGTCAGCAAGATCTGAAATCTGATATATTCCAGAAGCAAGCCTTTCTTGCCTATTTGCATTTTGTTGAACATACCATTTCCTCTTGACTCTCATTTTAGTCTTCAGTAAAGTTAGCCTTCTCCATCTTCTTTGGTACTCATTTACATCCTATCCACTGCCAAATTCCTCCCCATGGCATTTTTGAAACTTAAGACTTTTTCATTTTCACAAACACCATACTTCTCCTTCCTTTTGATATTTCCATGCGTAAATTGCTATAATGATTTCTAAACAAGGAGGCAAGAAAGGTCTCTGGCTTTCATGCTATTGTCAAAATATTTTTTCTTTTTTGAATATGCTAATTTTCCTCCTTTAAAGAATGTCAGGTACAATAGAGGTTCTCCATCACCTGCACAACCCAATCTCTCCGTCTGTTGAGTCCTAGTTTTTTTCTAATATATTTTTATTTTAATCAATCTAATCTTACTGTACCCTTTATCCATCTCATTCATCTCACTTACTATTAAATCCTGTCTTTTGGATCTAAAAATAATCTTCTCAACTCTCCATTAATGGAGGATTCACTTAAAATATTTTTTTCAGAAATCTCATTGGTTTGCACCAATGTTATGTGATTAGTTCACCTACTTTAATGTGGGGCATCCTAAGGAAGATTTAAATGGACTGTGCCAACTGGGTCAAATGGGCTTAGTTCTGTGTAAGTTAACTTTAAAATTTGACTTAATTATTCGGACTATTCTTCGCTATTTTTTCTAACCAATAAGATCTTTATTGACCTTCATTTTCTGAACACGTAATTCAAGATGTTCTTTCTTAAGAGAAATATTTTCAGCAGCCAAGATGGCTCTTATTACTTTCATACTTTGTGTTCCTTCACTGTGCATCTTCCTAGATTTTCACTATAGCTTCCTGCGGTTTTTGAAATACTGCTCTGGAAGCTGTTTTTCAACTCTTATTTTTTTTTTGTTTTCTTTTATAACTGTGAGCCTTTTGAGTATCTATGTTTGTGTGCTGAAAGCATCTATTGTATTGTAAATGTCTTCCACTGCCATTGTTGTGTACTCTAGAAGGTTGTTTAGTACACAGCAGGCACTCATTAAATGTTTAGAGATCCACGGCCAATGTGTAGGTGGTTGCTAAACAATCTACCATGTATTAAGGGAATATATGTTTTTACCTTTCTCAATTGCAGGTGGGATGCTAATAATCCTGGAGTTCTTAATAATTTCCCATAAATTGTTTCTCTCATGAGGAAGAATTGTGTATCACTGACTTTGCTTGTGTTACTTTGCATTATACTCTATATATCCCAGCAGTGGTATGTTAATTCTAGGCCAAGAATGTTTAAAAACAATATTGTAAAGTCCAATTATAAGAAAAGCCTTCCCTGCCTCATGAGTTATACATATTAGATGGTTTTTAACTTCAGATATCTTTTTAAAAGCAGTGAACCGAAAGTACCGGTAAATGGGAGAAATGAGAATGCATTTTCTATACAGGTGAGAAAAGATGCCTCATCATACTTGACTTTTGAATACCCTCCCTAAAATTTTAATATCTGCTCTATAAAAACCATACACTGTAAAGTCACAGGTGATAAACTCATCACTAAATGTAATTATCTTTATTTTTCCCAACCTCTATGACACTTGGAATTGGAAACAAATTTAAAATTTCTAGATTAAAAAAACCTTTATCCTTTGAATCTGTTGCTTTTATTCTTTGACTTCTCAGCAACTGTACATCTTTACTTCTATCACTCTATCCATCTAACACCCCCAATAACTGAATGCTCTGTCAACCTTATACTGAACCCTTATGTTCCAGCCACTGGGCTGGACAAGGGTGATAAAAAGAAATCAAGGCATCCCCTTAATTTTCCAGAAAATCATAATAATTGAGATAAGAGATAAATGACTATGATTCCAGATAGAATTAACGATAATTGCCTCAGAGGCCATTATTGTCTGAATGTGTCCCCCAAAATTCATATGTTGAAACTTCATCACCAGTGTGGTAATTTTAAAAGTCAAGGTATTTAAGAAGTGATTAAGTCATGAGGGCTCCTCCCTTGTGAATGGGATTAATGCCTTATAAAAGAGGCTTCACACAGTATTTGCCCCTTTGCTCTTCCACCTGCCACCGTGTGAGGAGACAGTGTTCAAGGCACCATCTTAGAAGCAAGGACCAGGCCCCTATCCAGACACTGAACCTGTTGGTACCTTGATCTTGGACTTTCCAGCCTCCAAAACTGTGAGCAATAAATGCATGTTCTTTAAAAATTATCCAGTCGCACATATTTTGTTATAGCGGCAGGAATGGACTAAGACAGAGGCAAAAGTTAAAAAAAAGTGGAAATCCAGAGAAAGAAGAGAAGAACTGGAATGGACTTATGAAAGGGGTATCATGAAAAATGTGTAAAATTCACACATGCGAAGCTGATGGGTGAAAGAGAGGCAACGTGAATAAAAGAGTAGAGGCGAAAATAAGTACTACATTGAAAAAGAGAACAATATCTTTTATGCACATTGCCTCGTCTTTTGGAATTGACCACTAACATGTCTACTGGTCTTCAGATTCTGTTCTTCATTAAGACTTTTGCATAATTTCCATAAAATATTTTAATCTTATGATTAAAATACTAGTAAAAATCTTTAATAACTCCCTATTTTTTAAAATAAAAGAAATGCTCTGCTTTAAATTGATATTAAAAGTACTTTATATTTGGATGCTAAACATTTATCTCATACTATGGTGCAGGGGCTGATTTTCTGCAACCAAACTGATCTTTCCACGTATCTCAATTATGCCCTGCTCAGGCCACATCTATTTGCTCATGTGGTTCCCTTTCCTGAAAAAAAAAAAGTGTTAGTCTACTGTTATATATTCTTTTTACTTTTCATGAAATCCTCTTAAACTACTCTGTTAAACATTTCTAGAACTGAAGGAATCATGTATTATGTTCATTTGGTATCTCACCTATATTTATCCTACTACATGATCTATAAGAAATCATGTTGAATTTAATTAGACAGTGATAGAAGCTAGTTTAAGGGATTTCCCCTGAGTTGCTCCCCAGAACAGCTTGCTTTGGTCTCAGAATTAACAAAATTGCATAATTATTTTCTGTGTTCTTTTTCTTTTTTTTCTTTTTGCCACGATGCTTTGCCATTATATTTTTCTTGTTATAAACATTCTTCTCAAAGTTCTGCACGAATACATACATAATGAAGTTTTTTTTTTCTTTTTTCTTTTCTTTTTTTTTTTTTTTTGTTGACGGAGTCTCGCTCTGTGCCCAGGCTGGAGTGCAGTGGCGCCATCTGGGCTCATTGCAGCTCCGCTTCCCGGGTTCTCGCCATTCTCCTGCCTCAAACTCCCGAGTAGCTGGGACTACAGGCGCCCGCTAACATGCCTGGCTAATTTTTTTTTTTTTTTTTTTTTTTGTAGAGACGGGGTTTCACCGTGTGTTAGCCAGGATGGTCAGGATCTCCTCACCTCGTGATCCGCCCGCCTCGGCCTTCCAAAGTGCTGGGATTACAGGCGTGAGCCACCGCGCCCGGCAATAATGAAGTTCTTATGAAGTCAAAGCCAGGTTAGAAGTTATTTATTTATGTTTGAGTTTTCAAGCAAAGACCAAAGTGTCATTTTTTAAAGCATGGCTTGCTTCTACACAGAGGTATGGCAATTTCAGAGTCATTCCTTCGGCCAGAAAACTCATTGCTCATACCTTATCTTGTAGCCATAATAGCTATCATTCCAGTGGAAAAAATTTTCAGGAATTGCATTTACTTGCCAAGACAGCTACCTACTTCATCAGATGAAGTTTTTGAGTAACTTTTAAAGTTCTCATTCCATTATTGCCACATAGAAAAAGAAACTAAAGATAGAAATCTCAGTTAAAAAAAAGCCGTTCAAAAGTCAAACTAGAATCCCAGCTTCACTAGCTCAACATGTACTAAACTGAGATGTGTGGAAACTTAGCGGGGAAGGTTAATATAACCATGGAGCACTTTAGCTTTTTTTTTTTTTTTCTTCTTTTTTTGAGACAGGGTCTCTCTCTGTCGTCCAGGCTGGAGTGCAGTGGCGTGATCCTGGCTCACTGCAACCTCTGCCTCCTGGGTTCAAGCAATTCTTCTGCCTCAGCCTCCTGAGTAGCTGGGACTACAGGCGCCACCACCATGACTGGCTAATTTTTGTATTTTTAGTAGAGACAGATTTTACCATGTTGGCCAGGCTGGTCTCGAACTCCTGACCTCAAGTGATCCTCCCACCTTGGCCTCCCAAAGTGCTGGGATTACAGGCGTGAGCCACTGTGCCAGGCTATCACTTTAGCTTTATGATCAAATATTGATGTTTCCTGTGCCAATGTAGAAAAAATGAAAGTTTCTAAGGAGAAAAAGAATGCAAAAGAACTATGAAAGAAATCATGTGGAAAGTTCTTGAGGATCAAGATTTCCAAAGAGAGAGAAAAAGGTTTAGCAAATTGTAAAGTAAATGAGAGTATGGCATGTGCAAAGCCAATGATAGTGATGAAGGTATTAATTAAAGCATCTTAATTTTTGGCCAGGAAAAGAGAACACTAATAATTATCAGTATGAAGTCTTTCGATGCAGTACGTTAAAGTGCCCAGAATGGAATCAAGGTGAATTGATCAATTGTTTTAACACAATTGAAAATGTGGTGTAAGAGTTCATTATGAAACTGGGTAAAATATATAACAACTTTCTTTTACTTTATGATAGAGTATACAGGATTATGCTTTTCATGTCATAAAATTTATATCACATTCTAAGCTTTATTAGGTATAATTTAGCCACCCCCATCCTGTATTTCCTTCCTTCCTTCCTTCCTTCCTGCCTTCCTTCCTTCCCTCCTTCCTTCCATCTCACCTTCCTTTCTTCCTTTTTTCTTCCTCTCTTTTTTCCTTCCCTCCTTTCCTCCTTCCTTACTTTTTATGCTAAGTAAATTTGTAATGTTACCTTTTTTTCCTGCTTGGAAGGCCCTGTGAACTTTGTTTTCCATTTCTGAGATAAAGATACTTAGTACATTTAAGGAGTAGAGGTTTGAAATTAACATTACATTAAGGCCTATCTTTAAAGTGACAACTCTGCCACTCTGGAGTGACTTTAGTTTTAGAGACCTCCTGCTTGCCGGTAAGAATGCTTTACGATGCTTGAATTTCGAAGCAGGGAAAAGGGATTCGATTTCGATTGCTTTAGCAATTCTTGCTCCCAGGGAAGGTCCTCAAATTTATTCTCACTGTGCTGAGTTTATTTTAGAATTTATTTTAATACATAAACACAAAAGAGACCTAATAAATATTCTTATCTTAATTTACCAGCAAAGTTGCATCAGTGTGAAAAATATGCCCTGTACTTGATGTTTTGCTTGACACTGAAATGTGAGAAAGCATGTGGCTGTGCTAGGGCAATTTAAGAAATTCTATTTAACAAGTCATAAAGAAAACAAACATGAAAAAACGATAAAATGGGAACATTTTGGAGACTATTTGATATGGTTCGACTGTGTCCCCACTCAAATCTCATCTTGAATTGTAGCTCCCATAATCCCCACATGTTGTGGGAGGGACCCGATGGGAGGTAATTGAATCATGGGGGCTGGTTTTTCCCCTGCTGTTCTCATGATAGTGTATAAGTCTCACAAGATCTGATGGTTTTATAAAGGGCAGTTCCCCTGCACATGCTCTCTTGCCTGCTGCCATGTAAGATGTGCCTCTTCTCCTCCTTCATCTTCTGCCATGATTGTGAGGCTTCTCCAGCCATATGGTACTGTGAGTCCATTAAATCTCCTTTTCTTTATAAATTACCCAGTCTTGGGTATTTCTTCATAGCAGTATAAAAATGACTAATACACCATTTTAGGAAAAAAGCAGCAAGGTACAATTTTCAATGTAAAGTTACATAGAAGTTATATACACGTGCAATACAAGTTACATATTAAATATAACACACAGTCTTCCACTGGCATTTTGGGAGGAGGAGGCAGTATGTAGTAGCAGACAACCTGGTTGGTTCAAGAACTTAGTTTTGGCTAAGTTTTGAATCCTGCCCTGCTACTTGGCAGTTGAATAATCTTGGTTAATAAATCTCTCTATCTTCAATTTCTGATCTTCAATTTCTGAAATTGTTTTACCTCTGTGTAGAAGCCATGATTTAAAAAAATATCACTTTGCTTGTTGCTTGAAAACTTAATTTCTTTCTGTATATTACTAGGTGCATACTCAGCCAATGGTGGCTATTAGGACAATCAAGCCCCAGTGCATAAATCAGCATTTCAAGCCCACAGGGGAGGGGCCTCTCACTGCAAAAGGTCCTCAGGCCAGAGTTTTCCTTGTCCTCACACAATCCAAAGTAGACATAACTAGCCCAAGAGAAGATGATAAGTAGATGAAGTCTAGCTTCCCAAGCCGCTCTATAACCCTCTTCTTGTTAAGGGACATTCTCTCCTTCAGGAGCGGTGGGTGACAATGATCCTGGGCAGAGATGGTAAAGTCATTGCAGCATTCGTTCACAAGGACCCAGGTGATCCACATGCAGCTCGTCCATTATATTTGTTTCCTATGACTGCTGTAACAAATGACCACAAACTGGGTGACTGAAAACAACAGAAATTTATTCTCTCACAGTTTTAGGGGCTTCAAGTCTGAAATCAAAGTATTGGAAGGCCATACTGTTTCTGAATGCTCTGAGAGAGACTCTGTTCCATGCCTTTCTCTCAGTTTCTGGTGTTGCCAGTAATCCTTGGTGTTCCTAGGCTTATAGATGTATCACTCTAATCTCTGCCTCCATTGCCACATGGCGTTCTCCCTGTGTATCTCTCTTCTCTTCTAAGGACGCTGGTCTCTTCTCTTCTAAGGCATTACTTCGGTATGACCTCACCTTAACTTGATTCGATCTTCAAAAAAAAAGTGATCTATTTCTAAAGAAGTCACATTTGCAGATAGGTACCAAGGGTTAGGACTTGAACATACAGTATGGGGCACATGATTCGACCCACAGCACACATTATCTACTTTTGAGTTTAAAAAATACATTTCTAATTTCTTAATGCAGATACATTTTTTTTCTGTTTTCACCAACACCAATTATTTTGTACTTAGTCATTTTCCTATGCTTTATAAAAACATGAATTTTTATGTTTTGGGAAACACATTCAAAGTCAGTGTAGGCTGGACATGGTGGCTCATGCCTGTAATCCCAGCACTTTGGGAGGATCACCTGAGGCCAGGAGTTCGAGACCAGCCTGGCCAACATGGCGAAACCCCATCTGTACTAAAAATACAAAAAATTAGCCGGGCATGGTGGCGCCCACCTGTAGTCCCAATTACTCAGGAGGCTGAGGCAGGAGAATCACGTGAATCCGGAAGGTGGAGGTTGCAGTGAGCCGAGATCGTGCCACTGCACTCCAGCCTGGGTGACAGAGTGAGACTTCATCTCCAAAAATAAAATTAAAAAAAAAAAAAGTTGCCAGTGCAAATCATTCCTCAGTAAACGAATCGCTTTTTTCTAGAATCTCAGAATTTTACTTACCATTTGTTTTTGTTTTTGTTTTGAGACAGGGTTTCACTCTGTTGTTCAGGCTGAAGTGCAGTGGCACTATCACAGTTCACTTGTAGCCTTGACTTTCTGGGCTCAAGCAATCCTCCTACCTCAGTCTCCTAAGTAGCTGGGACTAAAGGCATGTGCCACCATGACAGGCTGGTTTTAAAATTTTTTATAGAGATGGGATCTTGCTATGTTGCCCAGACTGGTCTCCAACTCTTGGGCTCAAGCTATCCTCCTGCTGTGGCCTCCTAAAGTGTTGGGATTACACGTGTGAGCCATTGTGCCCAGCCCTTTCTTTTTTAAATAAAATATTCTCCTCTACATTTTTTAGATGCATATTTCTTATAAAAGACAATATCAACACCTTGCAATATATAATTACTTTTTAAAAAATGAATGTGTCAAGCTAGCAATTTCTAATAACCAATCCCATGTATACTAGCTCATAATTTCAAGTTGTACAACTGAGATCAAATTAAGCACAGAAACTCTACTTCTTCCTAATCATTTTTTTATTTTAAGCAAAAGTTTAGAATTGGAACCGTGTCTCCAACCTGGAATCTATGTTGTTTTCATAGATTGGAAATAGACATTCCTGAACCTGTTGATATGAACTGATCACCATCACCAAAATATAACCTTTGAAGGATTCACTAGACTGAGAATAATTAATAGTGAACTGATATAGCTTTCATTTTCTTTTTAAACAATGCTCAGACTCTAAAGAATCTGCACTGGAAGATATCACCACTATAATAACCATGCTGCTGCTAACCCTGCAAAAATACACTATTTTAGTGGCTATAATGGAATGACACCAAAAAGAAGGAGAGAAGAAAATGAGAATAAGAAGGATGCTTTTCAGTTCAAATCCTTTAAATTTTGTAAAAAATAGAGTAGTGCCAATTGACACTATTTAGATAAAAGGTAATCTATTGCCTTTTCATAAAGTAACAATTCTTTTGTTCTCTGTCATACATTCATTCTCTTTCCAAATCTTTGGTAAGCAGAATTCTATTAATAAGATGGTTTTCAAGACTCTACCCTCTCCTGCATACATGCCCTATGTAAGCCTTCTCTTTGAGTATGGGAAAGATCCGTGACTGTAATGGATTGTGCTATGTGGCAAAGGTGAAAGGATTTTGCAGATGTAATTAAATTCCCAAATAGGTTGTATTTCAATTCATCAAAAGGGAGACTGTCCTGGGTGAGCCCAGTTGCAAGCCCTTAAAGCATGACTAGGCCCTTCCTGAGGTGAGAGAGATGTTCCACTGGCCTTGAAGAAGCAGTCATGTTGTAAACTGCATATGGCAGAGTCATCTTTAGGAACTGAGGGTCTCAGTCCTGTAATTTCAAGGAACAGAATTTCTGCCAAAAAGTCTGAAAGAGCTTGGAAAAAAGCCTGGACTCCCTCTTCTGTGGTCTAGTTGACATTTTGATGGCAGCCTTGCGAGACACCGAGCAGAGGACCCTGTTAGGCTGGGCTTGGATTTCTAATTCATGTAAACTGTGAGATAATAAACGTTGTGTTGTTTTAAGCCACTAATATTGTAGCAAATGTTTTTAACAAACTTTTTTTAGAATAGGTTTAGATTTACAGAAACGTTAAGACTGTACAGAGATTTCTCATATACCTCATACCTAGTTTCCCCTATTATTAACCTCTACATTAATATGGCACATTTATTAGAATGAATGGACCAATGTAAATGCATTATTGTTAACTAAAGTCCATACTTTATTCAGATTTTCTGAGTTTTTCTGTTCCAGGACACCACATTACATTTAGTTGTCATGTGTCCGTTGGCTTCTCTTGGTTGTGACAGTTTCTCAGACTTTCTTTATTCTTGATGACCTTGACAGTTTTGAGAAGTACTGGTCAAGTATTTTCAAAATGTCTCTAAATTGGGATTTGTCTGATATTTTTCTCATGGTTATACTAGGGCTATTAGTTCTGCAGAGGAATAGCTTGTGGTAAACTTTTATGCAGCAATAGAAAACTAAGATATCTCTACAAGTCAATTTTTTACACATATTTATAATAGGGAAACATAGTATCTAAAATTATTTCAAACCAAAAGTAATTATTTAGTGCCTGCTGTATAGGAGCAGTACATACAAAATATCAATTTCTGCCACCACAGAATATAGGATAATTTGGAAGAATAAGGCAAATAACTAGAACATACAAATAAAATTGGCAAGTGCTATATGCATGAGGCTTATGGAGAATTCCAAGGACAGGGAGACTCTGATCAAAGAAGCAGGGGAAATATCGCAAATTTGTTAATGAGGTCTCAGCAACACTTTATAGTCAAAGCAAATTAGCCATATGAATATATCCAAAAGGATTTCTCACATTCAAGATTATCAGTTGGATTGCCATCAACATTTCTGTCCCAGGTTCACAAGCAACTTCTGCTGCAAATATATGAGGGATTAGTAATGACATCAAGGGTGTGGATATGTGGTAGCATTTGGAAGTAGGCAGGAGAGTTAGCTCTGCCTTTGGTAATGAAAACCTATTTATTTTCATCTCCTTCTTTTCACTACCGCAGCACATACCCAATTGCCCTGCATCTTGTTAAGTGCATGAGCTGTAATTCTACTTGTCCTCTTATGGAAGAGAACAGTTCACGCTCACCGCTTTCACATTCTCACTCTGTTTCCTCACTTCTTAACTTCTCATCCTGCACCCTGCAACTTGGCTTCTGATTCCAGCTCTCTAATGAAACAAGGCTTTCCAAGGTCAACAAAGAGCTCTAAATCCACTGGCCCTCTTTTCAGGCATAATCTTCTGTGATATATCTGAAGCATTTGCCATGCCTGGATGCTTATATGTCTAGCTATTTCTTTAATGGTCCAAAAAGAAAAAAAAGTTGGGTCATACTTTGTTCCTTAAAGCCCACAAAGGATTAGAGTTTGCAGCATAAAACCTGCTTAGGATGGCATTAAAAGTTCTTAGAAAACGGGGTCACATGCTTTCTCTTCCAGCCATACCACTAAATGTATCCTACAGTAAGTTGTAGTATATACAATATATTGTACACCAAGCAATCACACCAACCTCACTGTTAACCACAAAACTCTGATGATACCTCATTCAGTGTGGAATGACTTTTTACCAACTCTCTGGTTATGCAAATCCTTCTTTGGTTCAAGGCACAGTCTAGAGGTTATCTCTTTCTTAACTCCTTTTCTGTCATTCCCATACAAGTTGTATTTCCTTTGATCTTAGCTCACTTGTATCTCACTTTAATATGTACTTTATTAAACCCTGTACTAAAATGTATTCTGCATAACATCTTTGAGACTTTCTACTCCTCTATAAAATTGGGATCATAAGTGTATAGGGTTAGCAAAATTATAATTCAATATACAGATGATGGCCTGTACTAAGCACTCGGAAAATGATGGGAATGGTGATGATGAGGATGAAGTCTGCTACTTCTGCCCCATTAGACTGAAAACACTATAAGGGTAGATTGCCTGCTTTAATCATTTTTATTTCTTTTTTTTAACTTAAAATTTTCAACGGGCAGCTTCTGGAGCTGGAGTAGGCTCAGAGCCTCCCTATTGTTTGTTTCTTCCAAACTTTAAGCAGTACTTTAAAAAACATTCTTTCACATGGAAATGACTATTGTTTCTCTGAAACTCTCTCTTAATTTAGCTTCCATGACACACTGCTGTTCTACTTTACCCAATAGTCTTTGACAGCTCATTTATCTCTTCATCAACTTCTTTACTCTTCCATGAGTTTTGTATTTTAGGAATTTATCACTGGATTTCTGTCTTTTTTCCCCCTCTGTGTAGTCTTACTAATAACATATATCCACTTTATTTAATGCAACCTAAACTTGTATGTGGTCAAAGAAATCTCAATTTCTAATGCCCAACTCTTTCTCGTATTGTCCAATCCCTACAGGGCATAACCCTGGAATGGTTACCCAGCTTCTCTGAAATTATATTTCATTTTCTCTTTTCTACACACCTTCAGACCCAGACACAGCACCTGTCAACAGCATGTTCACAGAGTCTGTCACATCTGCGCTTTTGCTAGCAATTTAGTCTTTCATTATCTCACGCTAGTGTTCCTTCAGTTCTCTCTGTCCTGCCTTTCTCTCCTTCCAGGTTCCCCCGTCACAATCCATTCTACCCACACACTGCTGCCAGATTGATACAAAACTGTAATTATGTTACTTCTGTGTTTGAATATCTTGAATGGTTCCTGGCTCATCTTTAACTATTAAATAAAGTCTAACCTCAGCCTGATATTGATGGACCTCTCTAACCTAATTCCAAATTACCCTATGATGACTCCTCTACACGTCTCTCACAAGTTTTATTATGCATCACATGCTACGTTGTTATTGTTTCCATGCATATTCTATTTCTCTTATCAGATTGTAAGAATGATGGCTTATTCTATTTTATATCCCATCATCAAGCTGTTTATCCATGACACAAACATTTGTTGACTGTTTTCTCCTTGTAGGGCATATAACATGTAGTTGGCACTATGTAGGAATGGGTCAACCTCTACAGTTTTCTTAAAAATCTAGTAAGGAAGATATGAGCTTATAGTAATACCACTTGGTGGAAGATGAAAAGTATATTAAATGAGTAATACTGGTATTCAGCAGGAGCTTTATAGAAGAGCTAGCATTTGAATTGAGTCTTAGTCTTTTAGGATAGGGAGGTTTGACTATACAGAGATGGGGGTAATGTCATTTCAGATGGGAGAACACCACAGACTAAGGTAAAACAACAGGAAATGGAAGCACGTATCTGTAGAACAGTAATTAGTTCAGTTCACAAAGTACTGAGTACTTAAAAGAGAGGCTGGAAAGAGGCTGGAAAGGTAGGTTGGGGTTAAACTATAGAGAGGTTTGAATGCCAAATAAAGAACTTGAAAAGCCAGCTAAGGGGGAAGTACTAAAGGTTTCTGAACAAGGGACTTGCATGTTCAGAGCTCAGATCTAAGAAAAATCATCTGAAAGATTTATGTACAATGGGCTGGCCATAAATGGAAAATCGTTGTGGGAACACCTCCTAAGAGACTCTTACAATATAGATGAGGGCTCAAACCAGAATAATGACAGTGGAAGTTGAGAGTAGAGAGAGGACAGAAAATTAGGAAATATGACTTGCTAACTAGTTGGACAATGGGGGTCCAAAAGTGGGTAGAATTAAATATAAGCTCTGGTATTGAGCTTCAGAGTCAAGAAACATGCATGTGTTTGTTTTGTTGGGGGAAAAAGAAAAGAAAGTGAATTTAGTTTTGGATATGGTGAATTTCAGTTGCTAATGGGTATATAGTTGAACAAATCTAGAAGAGAGCTTTAAAAATCCATTTCATTGTTATTTTATATTTTCTTACTAAGAATGCTGAACATGTTTACATGAACTTAGCCATTCATATCTTCTTTGATTTAGTGTCTATTAAAAATATTTTGCTCATATTTGTATTGAATTGTAAGAAGTTTTAAAATATATATATTATGGAAATGACTTCTATGTCATTATATATAATCATTATATATATTTATATATTAATTACATATATATTTATATCTATATATGAAATGAATATTCTCTCCCATTCTGTGACTAGCCGTTTTTGGTATTTTCTTAATGGTATATTTACAAAGCAGAAGGCTTGACTCCTTGAAAAATCCTAACTTATCAAGTTTTTCTTTTATACTTAATGATTCTGGTGACCTGTTAAGAAAATCTTTGTCTATATCAAGGTCATGAAATTATTGTCTATATTTTCTTCTAGAAGTTTTACAGTTTTAACTTTTACATTTAGGTCTACAATCCATTGTGAGTTACCAGGGAATTGCACATTAAAACCACAATGATATATTCTATACACATACTAGAGTAACTAAAATGAAAAAGACTAGACAATTCCAAGTGTTAGCAAGGATGTAGAGCAACTAGAACTCTCATATATCACCTGTGGAGATATAAATAATAAAACCACTTTAGAAAACAGATTGGCAGTTCTTTTTTATAAAGTAAGACAAATATACTTCTGTACTACCAGACATAGTAATTCTATACTTAGGCACTTCCTAAGAGAAACGAAAACATAATAAATATATGTCCTCTTAAAGAGTTGCCCAAAAATATTTACTGCAACTTTATTCTTAAGAGCCCCAAACTAGGCTGGGCGCAGTGGCTCACGCCTGTAATCCCAGCATTTTGGGAGGCCAAGGTGGGTGGATCACGAAGCCAAGAGAAAGAGACCATCCTAGCCAACATGGTGAAACCCCATCTCTACTAAAAATACAAAAATTAGCTGGGCATGGTGGCATGTGCCTGTAGTCCCAGCTACTCAGGAGGCTGAGACAGGAGAATTGCTTGAACCCAGAAGGCGGAGGTTGCAGTGAGCCAAGATTGCGCCACTGCACTCCAGCCTGGTGACACAGCAAGACTTCATCTCAAAAAAAAAAAAAAAAAGAAAGAAAGAAAGAAAGAAAGAAAAAGCCCCAAACTAGAAATAACCTAAATGTCTATCAAGAAATACATGGATAAGCAACTCATGGATATCCATTCAATGAAATGCTACTCAGCAATAAAAAGAAATGGACTACTGAAACATGCAAGATGAATTGCAAAAACATTGTGCTAAGTGAAAGAAATCAGACACAGAATACGTGCATGGTTCCATTTTAGTGAAATGCTGGAACAGTTATAACTAATTTGTAATAACAGAAAAGCAGATTAATAACTGCCCATAACTAGAGGTAGCAGGGCAGCGATTGCTAGAAAGGAACTAGAAGCAATTTTTGGGGGTGGTGATTACATTGCTTGTATATGACTAAAAGCATAGAACTATACATTTTCAATGGGTGCATCTTATTGTATGTAAACCATTCTTCAATAAAGTTAATTTAACAAAAGAGGAGAGTTCAACAGAGATATCAAGTTTGAGGACTGAGTTTTGAGTGTGATTTACATATAGTATTGGAAATCCTGAAATTATAAATAAATCATAGAGGTAGAAAAATGCCAGAGGCAGAGGCTTGGAGAGTACCCACCTGTAGGCAATTGGAGGAGACAGAGAGAGAGAAAGAATGTTAGAAGGAAAGAAAGAGAATTAGAGAATTGAGTATCAGAAGCCAAGGGAGACGAGATTTTCAATAAACAGTAAGATACATTGTGTGGGGTGCCTTGTACATACGGATCCAACTATCCCTGCCTAAGGGAATGGCCAAATCAAGTAATCCAGAGTAGAGGCAAGGCGGCATCAATCTCCAATGGAAGATAACAGCAGCACAACTGACTTTGGGAAACTGCCTATATGTTTTCCTGTAATTGCAGCACTGGTAAAATTATGCAGGGCTCAACTGTTAGATTATTACATTCAAGCTTTTATGGAAGTACCTTGCCTTTCACGTCAGTAGCACTGGTGCTTAAGACTACTTAATGCAAAATAGCAAAACAGATTCACTACTGATGAGGGCCTGGAAAGCAGCCAGGTAAATCGCATTAGAGCCACATTAGCAGATCCGGAAAAGAAAGGTGGATGAATGACAGCAGCTGTAGAAAGGTGAGATGACAGAACAGTTCCAATCACTGTGGGCAGAAGATGGCTGTCCAGGCCACGTGGAAGCACCACTTCAAATGATATCCACGGTTGTGGTGATATCGACAATGTAGCTGAAAAGAGGAACTGCTGTGCTTTGTGTGCCTGATAGGGTGAAACACAGAAACCTACACAAGTTTCGTATAAACAGCTACTCAGCAAAGCAAACCTCACACAAGTACCCACTGGAGGAAAAGCCACTGTAACAGTGTATCCAGGTTTCTTTTGAACTGTCTCAGTGAAAACACAGGAAACTGGGCTATGTTAGATAACAATCATCATGTAAAATGAACTAATCTTATTTTCTGGACATTTCAATACAATTCGTTATTTTTAAAACAAAAAGATGAAGCTATCACCGAGTCCCTGATCTCCACTTGGAATAAACATGCTTGGGGGTGAGGACACTGTTTAGCTGGAGGACCAATTTGGTGGCTGCTTGCATCTTGACTCTGAATTAGATGGGGCTGCCACGAGACAGGTAGAGAAAAAAATAAACAATGAACATTTTAAATCAGCAGGGGCAAGGAGGAAAGAAAGGGAACAGAAGATGATAATGTTAAAGAAAGGTCGAGGAAAGGGAGAAAAGAAATAAAAGGAGAGAGAAAAAGCAAAGATGTATTGTAAAGTAGAGTGGGGTAGAGGGCATGGCAGAATGGTTCTGGAAGGTCGCCTACCTTCGGTTCAGCTTCACAGTGAATGTCGCCTTTGATTATTATGTCCTCTCACCCTTTTCCCGTAAGAGCTCTTTGGAAGTCTTTCTTGATAACTTGATATGAGGGCCTTTGAGCTAAAGGAGAATAATAATTCTGCCTACCTATGAGCCAGATTTTGTGCTGGAACTGGAGACACAAAGATGAAAAGACAGTGTGTCCTTGGCCTCAAGTAAATACAAAATAATAAAAGTAAAATTTATAAACATATGCAAAGTATAAACTTGTTATGGAGGGAGAATTGCTGAGGAATAGTGGGTTAGGAAGTTGGTACCAGAAAAAAGGAAAAGCTTTAAAGAAAAATAGAGTTCTGAAGGCTAACTAGAAGGAGTCTAGGTAGACAAGCTATGGCAAGTAAGGAATTTCAGGCAGAGGAGACAATTTGTATAAAGACCTGGAAGAAAGAAAAACTATGGATAATACATTTAGTAACTGTCGTGCTGGAGCAAACTGTGTGAGGGCGAACAGTTGAAGAGGAGGCTAGAGCATATGCAAGAGCCATATCATAAAGAGCCATCGCTGTCCTGCTAAGACATTTTAATTTAGAAGTCCTTCTCGCAGAAAAGTTCTGAGTTGTAATGCTGTTGAGGTCCAGAAAAATTATGTGCTTTGATTTAACTCCTTCCTATGGCATATACAGTCTTGCACATAGTAGGTGCTCTATACATATGCAGTGGAAGCTTATGGAATTTGAATGTGACCATTATATTCCAGACATTGTTTTAAGCACTTTATATACACGAATACTTTACTGCTCACACCTTCCCAGAGGTAAAGTACTATTATTGTCTTTATTTTACAGAGAAATTATATCATTTGCCCAAGGTCACACACTAGTAATGGTAGAGTCAGAATTTTGAACTTGGGAAGACCAACTTTGCAGCTCATACTACAAATGACCTCATTTCATAGATGCTCACCATAGCAAACAATGTTCTCCTGAACCTCGGTTAGTTGCTAATATTGGCTAAGAATCTGTGAGTGATTAAGACAGCATTATGGATAAATTGCTACCACTTTTGGGCTACTGAAGTATAACAAATAATTTAGGTAGTAATATTTGCGTGATTATAACAGCAGTGTTTTAAATCCACTGCAATAGTTAACTGATTTAAAATAATCTGATCCAAATCCTTACAAAAATAAATTTTTTACATTTTACATTAAATAATTAATTTTTTATATTTTTACATTAAAATAACATTTTACCTTCAAGGCATTGAACAATATGACTAAATCAATTATAGTTTATTGTCCCAAGATCCTGGCTCTTTTCTGAGTTTTTATGGACAGATATAAACTACTTTCAGAAAATGGCATATTTATCAGTTCAAATATATTTCTATTATTCGTTGTCTACTATTATCTTTTTTTTTTAAGAAAAACTTGTATGTGTGAAAACAGCTTGAAAGAGAAGAGAAAAAAGGAGAGGGTTCAAGTGGTTTTGAAATTTCTCCAGGGTAGCAGTGTCAATGAAAGTGTTGCTTAGTGAGGAAATCTTTCAATGGGCCAATATTTTCTTAATCTTTATTTCAAAGTTACCTAGGTTCACTCAAAAGACAGGCTGGGGAGACACGTGGACTCAGAAGATATCAAGTACAAATCCCTTTATTACAGTATTCTTATAAAGGAAAATCAAAACAAACAAAAATAAAGCCAAGCACTAAAAATATAATGGTATATCTCATACATTCCCTCTGGTTTCTGCTTCTAAATTCTTTACTCAATTTAATAGAAACTAGCACAAACCTGACAGATCAGCAATGCAATAAGAGATCTACATAGTCATGAGTGAGGAGAAACAGCAGTCTCCCAGCTTCTCTTATTCTGTCATCTTTGTAGATTTGTTTTTGTAGTCAGGCTTTGCTTAGTGAAAATGTAGTCTGTGGTTTGCTACGTGGTAAAAACAAAATAGATGTTAAAGCTATTTTAAAGTATATTCGTATGGTGTTTCAGCAAAGTAATTCCTGAATTATTTTGGATATAGGTCCAAAATCTTGTTCAAGCCCCTCATTTTCCTCAGGTGTGTTTTCTTAATATCTTTGAAATGCTAATGGAATGTAGCTGAATAAAGTTTAGAAACTTAGTTGCGATTTTAATTTACTTGGTGGCTTTTTGTGCTTACTGTTACTCTGTATTACCTGTGCTTTGGAAGTTTATAAAAATCCCTCAACACTAGTTTATAAAACAAAATCCAAGGAGACATATAAACAGCCTTCCTGAAATGTAGCATCAGTAGAATGTACTTTTGTTAGCATTCCACCTTGAATAGAGAATGTTGATAGAGTCCTACTGCACATTTGTTTTTTAAAATCAGTATTACCCCAGTTCATAACAAATATTTTATAATATTCCTTTTTTTCTGTCTCAAAGTGTAAATAAGAATATAACATACCTACCTACATAATTTTAAAATTAATAAAATTTGTCAACTATAATATAATGGAGAAATGACAGTAATTTATTTAAAAAATTCTATTTCAGTACAAAAATCTTCAGATGCAACTATACAATAAGACACAATGAAATAATCAAATGCTTGAAACTATGTAATACTAAAAAGCATGTTTAGATTTAGAGAAGACAATCAGAAGATTTTTTAAAAATCACAAGAAAATTGGAGATTAAAGGCTAGGTGGACATTAGAATACAAACTAGACTATTCCATGTATTCATATATGAGAGCCATGCAAAAACACTTTGTGTTTATACAGAAAATAGTTTTAGGTTCAGATAATTATAGAAAGGGTTTCCATCTACATGTATGTCCTATGGGGCTTTTGAAATTTGTGTGGGATTCAGAACAATTCTTCATTCTGTGAAACTGTCCCACACTTTACAGGATGTGTAGGGTCCTGTGACCATGCCCTCTAAATGCCAGGAGTTTCCTGCAGTTTTTAATATACTGAAAATGACCCCCAAAATATTTACACTGTGTTGTAGGAGCAGTGCCATCTCTATTAAGAACTACTGCTTGGCTGGGCGTGGTGGCTCACGCCTGTAATTCTAGCATTTTGGGAGGCTGAGGCGGGTGGATCACCCGAGGTCAGGAGTTTGAGACCAGCCTGGCCAATATGATGAAACCCCGTCTCTACTAAAAATACAAAAAATTAGCCAGGCATGGTGGTGAGCGCCTGAAATCCCAGCTACTTGGGAGACTAAGGCAGGAGAATCGCTTGAACCCGGGAAGCGGAAGTTGTAGTGAGCCGGGATTGTGCCACTGCACTCCAGCCTGGGCGACAAAGCAAAACTCTGTCTAAAAAAAATAAAAAAATAAAAAATAAAAAAAACCCTACTGCTTTAGGTGAACTTTCTGCCATAGGATTGTTTTTAATGGTAACTCTTAAAACACACGTACACGGTAGTACACACACAGACACACTTTCTATATTTTGAGTCAAAATTAAACTAAAATTATAAACTAAAGAAGATGATGAAATAAAATAAGACCTTATACATTTAAGTATCTATGTAATACTGCATTTGAACAAAGCAATCCTTGGCTAAAAAGGTTTGAAAACTACTGCTTTCTAGATCACAGTTTCTCCGAGCATGGCACAAGAACCGCACTGTTTGCTTTAATGTTAATTTTTGTAATTTGATATCTAAATAGTTGTTTGTAGCAGTAATTAACCTAGTCTCAAAGGAAACAGCTCCTCCTCCCCGTTTAGGCTGCCCCATGTATTGGAAGGACAGCTTTGCTGTTGTTCCTCATCCCAACACAGTGCCGAGAAGAGATCTGGATTTGATTAATGCCTTTGGTGTCAGACACTTTCAAGATGTGGGGGATACGAAGATGTGTAAGAAAATGGTCCTGCCTTTGGCTAATTTACATTTCAGTGAGAAAGGCAGAAAACCCCAGGTAACCAAAACAGTGAGAGATTTGAATGAAGAACTCTGAAAGGTTGGAGAAGACTCATATATTTCTGCCTTGGGAAATGAGGGAACCTCTCATCCAAGTGGTGACACTTGAACTGGCTCTTGAATGGCAAAAAAAACCCCAACAATGTATTAGGGTACTGGGGAAGGGGAATCCAGGAAGAGAGAAAATCATGAGGGGAGACAGTGGTGTAGTGAAGTGCTGGCTGGTTTTGAGAGACGTTCAAGGTAGTTCACATAACTTGAATGCAGGTACAGAATATGTGGTGAAATCGCTCAAGGAGTCAAGAATAATAGTGAGATTTTTTTATTTGAATGGCTAGGTGAATGAAACTGCCCAAAAAGAGCATGTAGAATAAACATGGAATAGGATTAAAAGAGAAACCCCAGAAAACAAGGACCTCTAACACCTAATGGGAGAAAAGATCATAACAAAAGAAGGACCAGTCAGTGAAGGAGAAGGGGAGGAAAGAAGAGGAAGAAAGGAGAGTGGTCCTGGAAGTCAAGAGTTTTCAGTAGATGAAGGCCAATAGTGATAATAATGCAGAAATATCTGAGCAACTGAATATTTGTAATAACCCTCGTAATTGTACATCGGGAAGTATCTGGGGACTTTAGTAAAAACAATTTTAATAGTATGCAAAGGATGGAAATTAGAGTGAAAGGAATTGAGTTGGTAATGGGAGTTGATAAAACAGATGTCAGGGTCCAGATTACGTTTTTAAATAAGTATGGTAGAGATGTGAAGGGAGGAGACAGAATGATAGCTTGATGGGAGAGGTAAAGTAGGGGAAGAAATTTTTAGAGCATAAAGGTAGAAAACTGGTATCCTTAAGAACCTACGATGTATGGAATTTTGCTAGGCATTATCAGATATGTGAATCTTGAGCATGTGTGTAGGCTAAAGGGAATGAAGGAGAGAGAAAGTAAAATTATAGGACCAAAAAAAAAAAAAATGGAGGAGAGGATGAAATAAGAAACACCAAGAGAGAATTTACCTTCTCTAACACAGAGATCATTGGAATGGGATTAAAGAATGCAATGCACTTGTATTTGGCTGCAAAGTTTCCGGAATTTTCTCAATTTGGGTGACTGACCTGAATAGAGGGTTTTTCTAAAATAGAAATAGACTTGTTAAAGTGACAGCTTGAGTTTAATAATAGCTACCATTTATAGAGCGCTTATTCAGTGCCAGACACTCTGCTAACGACTTCACATGCATTGACACCTTTACCAAACAACCCTATGATGGGAGTATTATTTTCATCCCCATTTTATATAGGAGGAAACTGATAGTCAGAAAAATTAATTAAGATGCCCAAGGTCACAAAGCCAGTATGCAGTGGAGCTAGGGTTTGAACTCTTGTAGTCTATGGCTAGAGCTTGTATTTTTAATTTCTGAATTAAACTGTCTATCCAATAACATTTCTGCATAAATTATACAACTATTCCTAATCCACTTGCTCTTATTCTGGACTAAGAGTCAAGTTCTGGCTATTTGACTTTCTACTGTGCTTAAAGAAAGGTGCACTCTACTTCAAGAAGCTCATGAATATCAAAGCCTTAATCACAGCTATTCAGATGACATGAGTTCATGCTTTACAGACCAACCATGGCCCTAGTCATATTAAAATCAAAGTTGCAAAATAAAAAAAATTCTAAAAAACCTTGTCTGCTTCATTTAGATAACAGTGTGAAGAATGAATTGAAAGATAAAAATGCTAAGCGTTTACCATTTCCTTCTCCTTTTTTTAAAAAAAATTTAAGCCTTAATTTAAAAAAATTAAGGCCTGGATGATATCATCAGGCAATTTGGTTTGAATATGTTTCATGCTGGACTGTGCAGATTACCCAACTAATGACATGCACACTCCTTGCCATTGTGACACCCCTCTTCTTACAAGTGGGAATTTCAAGTGACAGAGTAAAGCTGTTTGCTATCAATTTTGCAAAAAACACATCTGCCAGATAGCCAAGATTTAGTTCAGAGACTGAAATCAATTAATATTCTAATTTGTTACCCGTCATTAGCATCACAGTATGTTATGCCAAGTCAAAAGTGATAACCTTTATATATCTTATAGTCCTAAAGGAATTTGATTTTAAGGATGTGTTTTATTTTTGTTTAGTATTGCCTCCTGCATATAAATCCTATTAGAAATGTCAATTATATAGGCAGGAAAAATTATGACGGATTAAAATGAAAGTGTAAAATACATACTATTACACACTTTTAATAAATGGCATGGCTTTTATTTATGATGCTGTGTTTTCTAACATTGATTTAACATACCACTTTAAATAAATGGCATGGCTTTTATTTATGATGCAGTGTTTTCTAACATTGATTTACCATACCACTTTAAGGTTTTAGTTACCTTACTTTTTTCTTCCTGTTAAATCAAGGAGAGTGCTAGCAACATAATATTTTTTAGGGGTGGTACTCAGATTCTTTGACATTCTGTTATTTCAGGTTGCTGGTCAAAGGCAAATCTCCATGGACAAGCAGATTGTTTATCTGGTCTGATTTCCAGTGCCCAATAGAGGGACACAGGACTAAGACAATGGTTTGGGAAGGAAAAAGATGAGATTACCCAAGAGAAGCAAAAGAAAGGAGAGTTTCATAGATAATTTTTTTCCAGCTGATTGCTTTCCTACTAATGAATAGGGAGGAAAAAATAAAGTAATAGCTGGCTCTGAGTGAGAAAGGCTAAAAGATGGAGGAGTTGTGACCAAAGAAACAATTACATTTTCAACGTTTATGACACAGTCAAGCATTAAAATGATGCTTTCATAAGTGTTGGAAATTTAAAATGTATGATTTAGTAAGATGCTTAAATTTGTCAGCATATTAAGGCCTCAAAGTCTAAGAGGAATGGCTCAGGATACAAGTTAAATTGGTTGTCATTAATCCACTCATTCATCAAATATGTATTTAGTGCCTCATATGTGCTAGGCATGAGCATAAACAGACCCAACATATTGCCTTCAGAGAGCTTACATTATTTTGGAAGAAGCTAGAGCAATTTAAAACAAAATAATAAAATACATGATATTTCAGATATTGCTAAGTAATATGGTGGGAAATAAAGCAAGGATGGGGGACAGGAAATACTGGCAAAGATGGGGTGAGATGAATGGATTGCAATTTTAAATAGTGTGGTTGGGGAGGTGCTAACATTGGGCAAAGACCAAAAGGAAATGGGTAAATGAGTTAGGCTCGTATATGGGGAGCATTTCAATCCTATACTTATCAGCCTTGCCATGTGTCTCATGTTGTTTATTCTTCCAGAGAGGAAGATGGTGTTAAAAGCCAAGATATGAATTTGATTTATGTTGTTCATTGCTTTCTCTGCTTCTCTAGAACACATTTCTCCTATGTAAACATTTTGATAAAATATTCCTTAAGTGAAAGTTTGCACCCATAATATATGTATTTGGTTTATGCCTGGTAGTTATGACCTCAAAGTTATATCAAAAGTACCCGGAGTTTGTGTATCAGTCCATTAACTCAGCAGCAGAGCAAGGACAAGAACTGAGATTTTGTGTTTCCCATTCTAGTGTTCGATGTATTGGACCATCTTCATCTCTACTGGCTTACAAGTCTTCCTGCTAAGAATGGTAATTACTGACAACTGTGCTAAGTGTGTGTCTTAGATCAACTTGAACTTCTTAAAAGTGGACAGACAAATTAACAAGTTGCTAATTAATGAGGAATAAGAAGCTGATTCCTTGTATGCTTCATTTAGTTTTTCAGTGTCCTTATAGAATAATTCTCTTATAAATCTCTCATCCGGATTATTGCAACAACCTGCTTTCTCTTCTACCCTTGCCTCTCTATAGCCTGCTACCCCTGCTTTTTTTTTTTTTTCCACTGTAGCAAGAATAATCTTTTAAAAAACTCAAGTCAGGGCTGGGCGCAGTGGTTCATGCCTGTAATTCCAGCACTTTGGGAGGCCAAGGCAGGCAGATCACCTGAGGTCGGGAGTTCGAGACCAGCCTGACCAACATGGAGAAATCCCGTCTCTACTAAAAATACAAAAAATTAGCCAGGCGTGGTGGTGTATGCCTGTAATCCCAGCTACTTGGGAGGCTGAGGCAGAAGAATCGCTTGAACCCAGGAGATGGAGGTTGCAGTGAGCTGAGATCACGCCATTGCATTCCAGCCTGGGTAACAAGAGTGAAACTCTGTCTCTAATAATAATAATAATAATAATAATAATAATAATAATAATAATAAAAAATAAATAAATAAAAAATGAAACAAAACAAAAAAACCACCCGTCAGATCATGGGACACCTCTGCTCAAAAAGGCATTTTATTTCACTCAGTGTAAAATCTAAGTTCTTTAGAACAATTGACAAGGCCCCACATGACATGGCTTCTGCTACATTCAAATTTATCTTCTGCCAGTCTCCACCTCGTTCAATCTACTTAAGGCACACTGGGCTTCTTGCTCTTCCAGGTAGATTCTTACCTAAGGGCCTTGGTTCTATTTGCCAGGTTTTGTGATAGCTTCTCCTCCACTTCCTTCAGATCTCCTTATGAAGGAAACCAGCCCTGGTCATCCCCAAAATAACAACCTTTTATGCTTTTCCCCTTCCCTATTACATTTACACTATTATATTTTTCCTTACATCATTTATTAATATATATTTTCCTCTTTATTAATTTCTAACTTCTTTTCTTCACTAGAATATAAGCTCTGTGAGTGCTAAATATTTGTTCTCAGCATTTGGGAAAGTGCCTAGTACATAGTAAGTATTCATACTTGAAGAAAAAAGACTAAGTTGTAGTTTAAGATTCAAATTATATGCAACTGGACTGAGGCAGAGTAAGATGGAGGAGTAGGACTCTCCAGATACCATCTCCCACAAAATCATAAGTTTGAACAGCTATCCATGCATGAAAATAACTTCACAAGAGCTAAGGAAACCACATGAAAGCTCACAGTAACTGGTAGTAGCATAATACTAAGAAAAAATGCATTGAAGAGATAGGAAGGACAGTTCTACAACACCTGCATCACTCTTTCCCTAGCCCCAGGCAGCACAGGTGCAGAAAGAGATACTGTCAACTTGGGGGAAAGAGAGGGAAGCGAGCACAGGACTTTGCTTTGGAGCCTAGCATTGCAACTGCACAGTAAAACTCAGTACCAGGCAGACTACCACGGCCTTATATTCAAGACCTATACTGGTGACTGAGCCTCTAAACTTGCCCTGGTGCCAGGAGGGACCATAAAGCCCCAGGCTTCAGGCTCGTATGGCAAACTCGATCTCTGGTATGTATCGCCACTGGGTTGGTATCAGTTGTCTTGGGCTTCAGGTCACCCTCAGCAGCAGGCAGCATTAGTGGCCCTTGGCTTCAGCTGTCCCAGTACTGTGCTTGCTGTTGTGGACCTCAGGCTTCTGGCACCACTCTTATGGCCACAGTTGCCCTGAGATTCTGGAAGTGCCATGCTGGCCACAGCTGTCCCAGGCTTTGGTCTGCCCCAGTGCCATACCTGCTGTAGTGGGCCCTAGGCTTCTGGCAGCACTGCACTGGCTTCAGCTGCATCCAGCTGTTAGAGCACCTTAGTGTCTTTCCATTTGCATCTGCCTCAGGCTTCTTGCCCACTCCAGTGCTTCACCTGCCACAGTGGGCCCCAGGCTCTGGCGATGCCATGCTGGCTGCAACTGTCCTGGGCTTCTGATGCACTCTAGCACCACACCCTACTGCAGGGCTTTCACAGACAAAGCCTGTCTATGAAGACTGTGAAGACTGAAGTAAGTGCCTATTTCTTCAAATGCACAGACATTGATACATGATCATAAAGATCAAGAAGAATCAGGGAAACAAATCACCAAAGGAAAAAACTAAGGTGCAAGTGACTGACTGTAAATAAATGGAGAGGTATAAAATGCCTGACAAATAATTCCAAATAACTAAGGAAGCTCAGTGAACTTCAAGAAAACAAAATGAGAAAATAATATGAGACCAGAATAAGACATTTAATAGAGGTTTAAATAATAAAAAAGTATTCTTGGAGCTAAGAAATACAATGAATGAAATGAAAAGTGGAGTCAAGAAAAATATAATGAAAGAAAAAAAATGCAGTAGAGGGTATTAACAGCAGAACTGGTCAAACAGAAGAAAGAATCTTTGATTTTGAAGACAGCCTATTTAAAAATAGTCAGAGAAGAAAAAAGAATGAGAGGAAATGAAGAAAGCTCATGGGATTTATGGGACAGCATCAACAGAGCAAACAATCAAGCCATAGGAGATAAAAAAGAAGACAGAGACAAAGAGTGGGGAGCTTATTTAAAGTAGGCCAGGTGCAGTGGCTCACGCCTGGAATCCCAGCACTTTAGGATGCCAAGGTGGGTGGATCACCCGAGGTCAGGAGTTCGAGACCAGCTGGGCCAACATGGTGAAACCCTGTCTCTACTAAAAATACAAAAAATTAGCTGGGCATGGTGGTGGACACCTGTAATCCTAGCTACTTGGGAGGCTGAGGCAGGAGAATTGCTTGAACCTGGGAGGTGGAGGTTGCAGTGAGGCAAGATCGTGCCACTGCACCTCAGTCTAGGTAACAAGCAAAACTCCATCAAAAAAAAGAAAAAAGAAAAAAAAAGTAAATAAATAAATAGTAGCAGAAAATTTCTTAAACCTGGAGAAAGATGTAAGTATCCAGATACAGAAAAATCAAAGGTCTCCAATTAAATTCATTCCAAATAAGACTACCCCAAGACATATACTCAAGTTGTCAAGGATCAAAGACAAAAAAGAGGATCCTGAGAGCAGCAAGAGAAAAGAAGCAAATAATATATAAGGAAGTTCCAATACATCCAGCAGCCAACTTCTCAACAGAAATTTTATAGGCCAGGAGAGAGTGGAATATTATAAAACATGCTGAAGAAAAAAACTGCCAACAGAGAATAGTGTACCCAGCAAAGCTATCTTTCAGAAATAAAGGAGAGATAAAGGCTTTCCTAGACAAACAAAAGTTGTGGGAGTTCATTACCACCAGGCCTGTCTTATAAAAATACTAAGGGGAGTTCTTCAAGTTAAAAAAAAAGTTGCTAATGATTAACACAAAAACATTTAAAAGTATAAAATTTGCTGGTAAAAGTAAGTACACAGTCAAATGCAGAATACTATAACACTGTAATCCTGGTGTGTCATTTACTTATAAATTCAGTATGAAGGCTAAAAGGCAAAACAATTAAAAATAATAATAGCCACAATAATTTTTTAAAGGAATATGCAATATAAAATATGTAAATTTTGACATAAAAAATTCAAAATGTGGACAGTAGAGGAGTAAAATTGTAGAGGTTTTTTCATGATCAAAGTTAATTTGTTTTCAGCTTAAAATAACCTGTTATAACTATAGATGTTTTTTGAAAACCTCATGGTAACCACATAGAAGAAACCTCTAGCTGATATACAAAAAATGAAAAGCAAGGAATCAGACATACCACTAGAGAAAAATCATTTAGCCACAAGGGAAGACAGCATGGGAGAAAAGAGAGAAATAAACAATGTACAGAATAACTACAAAACAATTAATAATATGGCAGTAGTAAGTATTGATAATTACTTTAAATGTAAATAGGTTAAATTCTCCAATCAAAAGGCATAGAATGACTGAATGGATTTTAAAAAGATCCAGCTACATGCTGTCTACAGTTCATCTGTAAGGACATACAGAATAAAGGAATGAAAAAAGATATATAATGCAAATGGAAACCAAAAGAGAGCAGGAATAACTATATATGTGTATCAGATCAAATAAAATAAAAGCAAAAGTTGCAAAAAGAAATAAAAAGGTCATTATATAATGATAAAAATGGTCAAAATTCAGCAAGAGAATATAATAATTGCAAACATATATGCACCTAACATTGGAGCACCTAAATATGTAAAGCAAATATTAATAGACCTGAAGGGAGAGATCAACTGTAATACAATAATAATGACTTAACACCCCATTTTCAGTAATGGACAGATCATCCAGACAGGAAATCAGTAGGGAAACATCACCTAAACTACAATCTGCATCTAATCAGCCCAACAGACATACAGATTATTCTGTCCAACAGCTACAGAATACACATTCTTCTCAACTGCACATGAAACATTCCTCAGAATAGATCGTATGTGAGGCCACAAAATAAGTCTTAATAAACTTAAGAAGATTAAAACTATATCAAGTTATTTTTTTCTGACCATGATATAAAACTAGAAATCAAAAACAGAAGGGACTTTAGAAAAAATGCACAAATACATGGAAATTAAACAACATACTCTTGAATAAATAATGGGTCACTGAAGAAATGAAAAAGGAAACAAACATTTCTTGAAGACAAAAAATTTCTTAAGACAAATGAAAAAGAAAACACAATATAGCAAAACCTATGCAATACAGCAAAAGCAGTTCTAAGAGGGAATTTTATAGAAATAAATGTCTATTCCATCAAAGGAAGAAAAATCTTAAATAAATAGCCTAATGTTGAACCTCAAGAAATTAGAAAAACAAAGACAAACTAAGCTCAAATTTAGTAAAGGAAGGAAACAACAAAAATCAGAGCAGAAAGAAATGAAATAGAGACTACAGAAACAACAGAAAAGATCAACAAAACTGCATTTTTGAAAGTTAAACAAAATTGACAAACCTTTAGCAAGCCTAGCTAAGAGAAAAAAGAGAGAAGACTCAAATAAATAAAATAAGAAACAAAAAAGGAGATATTGCAACTGATACAATAGAAATGCAAAGGCTCATGGGACTCTTATGAACAATTATATACCAACAAATTGGATAACCAAGAAAACATGGATACGTTCCTTGATACATACAACCTACCAAGGTTGAATTATGAAGAAATAGAGTATCTTAATAGATCAGTAATGAACAAAAGATTGAATCAGTAATAAAAAATCTCCCATAAGTGAAGACCTTATATCTTCATTGCTAATCTCTATGAAACATTTGAAGAACTAATACCGTTTCTTCTCAAACTCTTCCAAAAATGGAAGAAGGAATACTTCCAAACTCATTTTACAAAGCCAGAAAAGCCCTGATAGAAATGCCAGACAAAGACACTACAAAATACCAATTACATTCTTCACAAAATAAAAATTTGTATGGAACCACACAAATCCCTAAATAGCCAAAGTAATCTTGAGCAAAAAGAACATTGCTGGAGGTAACACACTACCTGACTTCGAAATATAGTACAGAGTTATAGTTTTATACTATAGAGCTATAGTAATCAAAACAGCATGGTACAAGCATAAAAACAGACACATAGACGATGAAACAGAAAGAGAACCCAGAAAGAAATCCATACATTTACTGCCAACTCACTTTCAACAAAAGAGCCAAGAACCCACAATGGAGAAAGAACAGCCTCTTTAGTAAATGGTGTTGGGAAAACTGGATATCCACATGCATAAGAATGAAACTATACTCTATCTCACAACATGTACAAAAATCAACTAAAATGAATTAAAGATTTAAATATAAGATTCAAAATTATGAATCTAGAATAAAATGCAGGATAAAAATTTTATGACATGGTCTTGACAATAACTTTTTGGATATGACCCAAAAAGCACAGGTAATAAAAGCAAATAGACGAATGGGATTATATCAAACTAAATAGCTTCTGCACAGGAGAGGAAACAATCAACAAAATAAAGGGGCAATCTACAGAAGGGGAGAAAATATTTGCAAACTATACATCTGATAAGGGGTTAATGTCCAAAATATATAAGGACCTCAAACAGCAAGAAAACAAATAAACCAATCAAAAGAAGGGCAAACGACCTGACTAGACATTTCTCAAAAGAAGACATTTAAATGGTCAACAGAAATATGAAAAAATGCTTAATACCACTAATTATCAAGGCAATGCAAATTAAAGCCACAATGAAATACCACCTCAAACCTGTTAGAATGGCTATTATCAAAAAATCAAATATAAGTGTTGGCGAGGATGTGGAGAAAAGGGAACCCTTGCACACTGTTGGTGGGAATGTAAATTACTACAACCACTATGGAAAACAGTATGGAGATTTCTTTAAAAATTAAAACTAGAACTACCATATGATCCAGCAATCCTACTACCCGGTATGTATCCAAAGAAATGAAATCAATATGACAAACAGATATCTGCACTCCCATGTTTGTTGCAGAAATTTTCACAATAGCCAAGACATGGAATCAACCCAAGTGTCTTATCAGTGGATGAATGGACTGTGGTACATCCACTTGAGAGATACCATTCAGCTATAAAAAAATGAAATCGTGGTATTCGTGACAACATGAATGAACCTGGTGAACATTGTTAAGTGAAATAATCCAGGCACAGGACATAAATAATACATGATCTCACTCATATGTGAAATCTAAAAAAGTTGATTTCATAGAAGTAGAGAGTAGAATGGTGGTTACCAGTGGCTGTGGTGATTGTGGGGAGGTGGCAATTGGGGAGATGTTGGTCTAAGAATACATTTCAGTTACAGAGGAGAAATAAGTTCGAGAGATCTTTTGCACAACATGATGTTTATGTCTACAACATGATATTTTGATACATTGTGGAATAACTGAATCCTGCTAACTGACATATGCATAATCTCACATAGTTATTTTTGTGGTGAGAACACTTTATATTCACTCTCAACATTTTTCTGGAATACACCATAGATATATTATTAATGATAGCCAACATGTTGTACAATAGTATGATTTTATCTGTCAGTGTAAAAATAAAATTAAAAAATTAAATGTCACTGATTAGACTTAGTGCTATACTTATCCAAATAAACTTAGGTGCAGTTTTTTTTAATGACAATAAGGAAACTTTAAAAAATAACAATAAGATTTTTAAATGATGACAAATGAATGACAGAAAATCAAACCTGCGATATTGGGAAAGCAAACCTTAGCTATTGTTCAGAAACAATCTTTGCAATGAAATAATTTCATAAATGCAAATCCAAAATAAATATAACAGAACCCATAAACATTAATATTCTTGAGAGAAACAGACACCAAAGAAAACAACCTACCTGTATTAAATACAAGCTGCAGACTTTTTTTTTTTTGTAAACTGGATTTTCATTTATGAAGTATATTTAAAGACAAGAAGAATATTCCATTTCCAAGAATATTTCATTTTATATTGGGATACTATCATTCCCATAGTAATAAATTAAATGTAAATTTATAGTATATCAAACGGAGTTCTACTTTCTTTCCAATGGATGGGGTATTTTTCAACCACTTATTTTTACTCAAGTACTAATATAGAATACTCACATGGAATTTTATGCAACTCATTCATAAACTTCTCCTTCAGCTTAGAAAATGCATCTTCCTTTCCTTCTCCAGGACTGGCTGGCTCTGTGGCGTTGCTTGGCAGAACAGTCGCGACAGTGGTGACAGGCGGGGCTGCCAGGGCCTCATGGTGACTCTCGCTCACCATTTTAGGTTCAGGTGAAGCTGTGAGGGGAGGGAAGCAAAGACAGAACAATTCAAAATGGCTTAACTGCTCCCACATCAAAGGTATCCCAGAGATGAAACAACATCAGAGGTGGCACCTGCTCACTGGGTAAATAGTCCATCATTAGCATATTGCTTTGTGTTGGTAAATGAAATATTTATGGAACCACAGCGAGTGAAGAGTTCTTCCCCAGAAGGTAAGACCAGACATAGTTACTGAATAGCATTCTATTCCAGCAATACTATGTATACTGTCAAATCTATTAGTTATTTATACAGCCAATTATTTGCTGTGTAGATTTAACTTTTAACCCATATCTTACCAAAACGTGTATGAAACAATTCTTGATGAAATACATGCTTTATACTTTAAATATTTTGTATTTTCTAAAAGGAAGAAAGAGATAAAATATTTGTATTGGAAATGTTGATAAATGATAACATGTACTCAAAATGCTAGTGACTTTAAAAATGGTTATAAGTAATATTATTCATAATATTGATACTCTAAGATGTTATGAATATATTACAGTAATTGGTTCTTGAATCTTATTTATTGATGGTAAGTTTTCACCCCAGTCACTTTTTTCACATTTATTGTAAACAATACTCTGATCAATAATTTACTTGTCTTGCTGGGTAATTATTTAAGTCACTATAAATGTGGCATGGTTGACTATATATATCAAGGTGCTGCTAATGAAACATAACTTATAAGTTTAGATATTTTACTTTATTTAGCTTATTTAATTAGAATATTTTATTTTATTAATGTATTCAATTATTTTAAGTATTTGTTTACCTCCAAAATATGCCAAAATAATTAATAAAGTAATCAATACAAACAGCTGTGAATTCAGAAGACATCAGTTCTCATCCTCTTCACTAGTTAAATAAACTTTAACAGGGCATTTGACATCCTAATTTATCCACCTTCTGAAATATGAAGAACTAAAACCTGCCCTTCCTGGATTTTTCTTAGAACACGTGAAGGTACAAATGTAAGGAAGGTATTCTAAGGGAGTAGAAATGAACGAATATTCTCCATTCTAAAAATATTCCAGACTTTGTAATTTTCCTGCAGAACTTAAGATTTCAGGCTTTCTGAGGAAAGAATGGGCATGATTTGGGGCAGAAATAGATAAGTAAAGAGGCCTGGACAGGATTCACTTCACGTTCTTAACAGGAAAGTAGACGAACTTATAAAAACCTTTTAATTTGCAAAGACGTGGAGATAACCAGCAAACAAGATTTTTTTAAAAATGAAATTTAGTCTGGGCGTGGTGGCCCACTCCTGTAATCCCAGCACTTTGGGAGGCCGAGGCAGGCGGATCACTTGAGGTCAGGAGTTCGAGACCAGCCTGGCCAACATGAAGAAACCTCATCTCTACTAAAATATAAAAATTAGTCAGGTGTGGTGGCAGGCACCTGTAATCCCAGATAGTCGGGAGGCTGAGGCAGGAGAATAGCTTGAACCCGGGAGGCAGAGGTTGCAGTGAGCCAAGATTGTGCTACTGCACTCCAGCCTGGGCTACAAGAGCGAAACTCTGTCTCAAAAAAAAAAAAAAAAAAAAAAAAAAAAAAGAAAGAAATGCAAACGATTTGTGAGTTGGTCATGCATAGTTACATATTTAGTGAAAGTACAATTGAAAATAGAATAATCTCAGATGCATAAGATTCTTATTAAAATCTTAATCAAAATCCAGAGATTTTGGATCTACTTCCAGGAGATCATGGCTGAGGCTAACACATATACATAGATACGAATTTTTATTTTATAATTGACTATTTCTCTCTCTCTCTTTTATGAGATAGGGTCTTGCTCTGTTGTTAGGCTGGAGAGCAGTGGCGAGATCATAGCTCATTGCAGCCTTGAGCTCCTGGGCTCGCATGATCCTACTGGTTTCAGCCTTCTCAAGTATTTGGATTACAGGTGTGAGCCACCGCACCTGGCCTTGTTCTCTTTTTTAAGTTTTTAATTTTCCATTACTAGCTACCAATATAATCCTAAAGGGTAGAATTGGACAGATATCGGCTCAGATCTTCTTCGTTTTTCAGTTTCTTCTTTTGTAAAATGAGGATAATCAGACCAAATCTGTAAGGTTTTTATGAGTATGAAATAATTTATGCAAAAAAATTAGCATAGTGTCTGGCATATTAATTTGTTCCATTGCTCCATTGTTCAATTGATCCACTGGCATATTAGTTTGTTCCAGAGATCAGTGGATCAATGGAACAGACTACCAGTGGATCAATCAATTGATTGATCAATTGATTTATCCACACATCTCTAATAGCACTTGGCCTCCCAGAATTGTCCAGAATGTGGAAATTTTTTGTTTCCAACTCAAGTCACGTCCCAGAAGCTTTTTCTGATTATCTGATTTTGTTCAGTTTAGGAGCTCATCTCCCTGGAAAACTTTGAAGTTTTGTTTGCTCTGTTGATACAACTTGGGTAAAACTGTTGATATTAATGATGTCCTAACTTCTGTATTTCATTGAGTCAGCCAGACTAAAATTGTACACACACACACACACACACACACACACACACACACACATATACACACATTATTACAGGCACGTATTCAAAAAATTAATTTTTCCTTTGCTGTGAGAAACACCAGATGTGACACACATTATTACTTATCTCTGTACAGGATAGTTGAAGATATTTGAGGACTTATGGCTTACTGTAGAATTTAAAGGAAATGATTGAGTTAAATGAAAATAGCTAAGTACAATAGCTCCATCATTACATTAAAGGTATATTGCTCAACTATGTTTCTGCTTAATTTTTGTCCAGTTGTAGAGGTGGGATATTGTTGCTGGTCATTCAGACTGATGTTCAGCTCCTACTTTCAAGTGATTACACAGTTGTTTCTAGCCTTTGTGTGTACTGATAGCTGGATCCTCCTTCACTTCTTGAGTTGCTAAATAGTTTTCATTTTACTCCAGCTTATAATTGTACATAAAAAATTTCTACATATAGTTTGAAAGACATAAAAGACTATAGGAACAATAAGACTTTTGCTAAACAGGGTCAACATTTAGAAAATGTTCTTAAAGTTACCCAGCTTTTTTTTAAGGGAAGCAAAGAATGTTTCTATAATTTCCAAACCAATCCTCTATAGACATAAAATACCCTTGGAAGGTGTTCATCAGAAAAGTAAGAGCTATAAGCTTTTAACTCTTACCAGCCAATGATATCATCCCTGTTAATTCTTATTTTTTAATCAAAAAAAGATTGTAAGAAATATAGACAAAGTTCTTTTTACTTAGTGCATACCACTGTGAAATTTAAAAAAATCATAAAATACAAAAATGTTGTGGGTAATTGAGGATCTAATATACTGACAAAGACTAAGGGATTGCCTAGTGTTTTATTTTTATTCCTTCATATCTTGAGAGATAATATTGTTTGTAAATAGCAAACCTAAGAATAGTTACTTGGTTCTTGAAAATTCATATTTATGGAAATAAAATGCTTATCAGGAGGCATCATTTTGTGGATGAAAAAATTAGCTGATTATTCAGTCCTGGCTAATGTGATGACTTCATTTTTTGTTTTTTATTTTTTTGAGACACAGTATCGCTCTGTAGCCCAGGCTGGAGTGCAGTGGTGCAATTTCTGCTCACTGCAACTTCCATCTCTTGGCTTCAAGCAATTCTGCCTCAGCCTCCTGAGTAGTCAGGATTACAGGCACCCACCAACACACCTGACTAATTTTTGTATTTTCAGTAGAGACGGAGTTTCACCATGTTGGCCAGGCTGGTCTCAAACTCCTGACCTCAAGTGATCCGCCCGCTTCGGCCTCCCAAAGTGCTGGGATTACAGGCATGAGCCATCAGGCGCCCAGCC
Organism: Homo sapiens; assembly: GCF_000001405.40. Taxonomy (NCBI): domain Eukaryota; kingdom Metazoa; phylum Chordata; class Mammalia; order Primates; family Hominidae; genus Homo; species Homo sapiens. Next base: position 79,213,640 of record NC_000012.12, on the reverse strand, counting down.
TGATGACTTTATATTCTTTTATGTACATAGTTTGCTTATTCAGAAAAAAAGATATTCTACTCAGTCTTTAAAAAATAAGCTAACAGTTATTGAGCACCCGCTAAGTGGTTTACACATATTAAAGCATATAATATTTCATATTATTCTCGTTAATAATTATCACCCATTTCATAGGTGAGGAAAGTAAGTCATAGGAGGTTATACAGTAAAAGCCAGGCAGTTAAAGTCATATAGTAGTAATTAATGGAGTTGGGATTTGAACCAAGGTGTCTTAGCCACTATAGTATCAAAAGACTTGGAAACTATGAGACAAGTATCCAATATAATCCTGTTTTTTGGAGGAGTTTTTGGATACAACCCATAGTTAAGAGGTTATTTTACATTGTCATCCAGTATATACACTCTGTCTGCCTAGATATTATATACTGAAGAGAAGTTTCGCATAAAAACACTTCTGTGAAATACTTGGATAAATTCAATTCTACTCTATTCTTTATCACTAAAAAATTCTAGTTGTATCTCAAAGTTGTGTACATTAGTTTCACAATCCACTCATGATTTGATACCTGCAGTTTGAAAAACCACTAAAATAAAGGACATATTAATATAAAATAACACCAAAAGGGGCTAATACTAATGATTCCATTTATTAGGCACCTACTTTGTGCCAAAATACTGTTGTTGATATTTAAGGAGAAAATTCTCAATTCCTATTACAACCCTGAAAAGTAACTCAATCTTATTTTACAGAAGTAACTGGAGTGTGGCTTTCCCAGGATTAAGTGATTGGTCCTACACAGATTTAGCCTGATCCAAGGTTCCTTCTACTGGTCTACTCTACTAATAACATTTAAGCATCATTAAACAATTAAATCAGTACTGAAGAAGTATTTATGATTTTCTTTTGAATCTATTTGCCAGTAAATGGAAGACACAAGTCATCTTACTGAAAGGAAACATAGTACTTAATTTTAGAGACACAGTCATTTAGTTTGTTAAAGTGGAATTCAGCATCCTGAAATATACCAAGAAAAATATTATTGAATAGACAATTAAATTATCAAGAAAAATATTATTGAATAGAAAATTAAATTATCTTCTAAAAGAAAGTCCAGCACAGGCAATTTTCTTTTTTTTTTTTTCATTTTACTTTAAGTTCTGGGATATATGTGCAGAATGTGCAGGTTTGTTACATAGGTATACATGTGCTGTGGTGGTTTTAAGCACCACATGCATTAGGTATTTGTCCTAATGCTCTCCCTCCCCTTGCCTCCCACCCCTGAAAGGTCCGGGTGTGTGATGTTCCCCTCCCTGCATCCATGTGTTCTCATTGTTCAACTCCCACTTATGAGTGAGAACATGCGGTGTTTGGTTTTCTGTTCCTGTGTTAGTTTGCTGAGAATGATGGCTTCCAGCTTCATCCATGTCCCTGCAAAGGACATGAACTCATTCTTTTTTATAGCTGCATAGTATTCCATGGTGTATATGTGCCACATTTTCTTTATCCACTCTATCATTGATGGGTATTTTGGTTGGTTCCAAGCCTTTGCTATTGTAAATAGCAGCACAAACAATTTTCAAAGAAAGAAATACAAACTCCTCTACCTCCTGACAAAAACTAAAAGCAAAATCTTAAAAAATTTAACTTCACAAATAAAGAACTGCAAATTAAAATAACAGTGGGATAACATATTCATTTATAAATCTGGCTAAATATAGATAGTGAAGGTGAGGGTACAAGAAACTGGGCAATTAGGAAGGAGACTAGATTAGGAGGATACTTTATAGATACCAAACTAACAGAACACATCAAAAAGTTTAGAAAGGCACATATACACCATGGAATACTATGCAGCCATAAAAAATGATGAGTTCATGTCCTTTGTAGGGACATGGATGAAATTGGAAATCATCATTCTCAGTAAACTATCACAAGAACAAAAAACCAAACACCGCATATTCTCACTCCTAGGTGGGAATTGAACAATGAGATCACATGGACACAGGAAGGGGAATATCACACTCTGGGGACTGTTGTGGGGTGGGGGGAGGGGGAAGGGATAGCATTGGGAGATATACCTAATGCTAGATGATGAGTTAGTGGGTGCAGCGCACCAGCATGGCACATGTATACATATGTAACTAACCTGCACAATGTGCACATGTACCCTAAAACTTAAAGTATAATAATAATAAAAAAAAGAAAGGGTCATTTTTCTTCTAGAAATTCTCAATAAAAAATTAATCTTAAATGGATATAAAAGCAATTTAATATAAGGATGTTTGTAGTAACATTATTTACAATATTAGAAGTGCCAGAAATTATCCAACAGAGAGACCTCTTAATTATAATGATCTATAAAATGATGTTATAAAAAGTATCTAAAAGGTAGCCATCTATAAACCTGGAAATACATGGGAGTGTTAGGTAAAAACACAAATTATGAGACAGTATATAAAGTGTCCAGTTTTTCTTTAAGAAATCTTTTGCAGAGAAGAGGCTGGAAAGATGCATTACAAAGTGTTAGCCTTGTGGAAGAATACCCACTTTTCCCCTATATGTCTACATTCTCAAAATATTGTAAACCTGAATTATTTTAAATTACAAAAAGAAAAAAAATCTTTAAAACTTTTATTCTGGAGAAAACTGGATCTTGCAGAAGAGGTTTAATTTCCTAATGTCAGATTTTCAAAAAAAAAAAAAAAACTTTAAAATGTAATTCAGAAGCTAAATCTCAAGAATGAATGATGCAGCTACATATTTAACCAATATGTAAAATGGCCACTGGCTAAAATACAATGTAGAAAAGATATGAAGGTATCATTAAAATTTATACTTTTGTTAGAACTAGAATTTGATCCAGCAATCTCATTACTGGGTACCTTTCCAGAGGAAAATAAGTCATTATATGAAAAAGATACTTGCACATGCATGTTTATAGCAGCACAATTCGCAATTGCAAAATCATGGAACCAACCCAAATGTCCATCAATCAATGAGTGGATAAAGAAACTGCGGTATATTTATGCAATGGAATACTACTCAGCCATGAAAAGGAATGAATAAACGGCACTTGCAGCAACCTGGATGAGATTAGAAACTATTATTCTAAGTGAAGTAACTCAGGAATGGAAAACCAAACATTGTATGTTCTCACTGATATGTGGGAGCTAAGCTATGAGGATGTAAAGGCATAAGAATGATTCAACAAACTTTGGGGACTTGGGAAAAGTGGGAGAGGGGTGAGAGATAAAAGACTACAAATATGGTGCAATGTATACTGCTTGGGCTATGGGTGCATCAAAATCTCACAAATCACCACTAAGGAACTTACTCATGTAACTAAATACCACCTGTACACCAATAAGTTACGAAAAATGAAAAAAAAATGAGATATGAAAAAAAGTTTATAGTTTTGTGGTATAAAATGAGGAAAATCAGGATTTTGATTGCTATGACAACTTCCCTCTGTCCTCTTAGAAATTATTCTTCTTAGTAGGACTTTAATTATACCTATCTCTAGATCTACAAATTAATATAGATTTCTCAGATTACATAGTAAGATAGTCTACTATACTGCAATAGCATCATGATTTTTAGACAAAGCATTATTTCCATCTCTATTTAAGTATTGTATTTTATAACAATAGCATGCAAAATTAAAGCACATACAGGAGGAGGTCGAAAAAATATTACTAAAAAAAGTCTTCTAATGCAGAAAAGTCCCATATTGAAACTAACTCTTGGAATAATTATTAAAAAGAAGCTGGGAGATATTATGGAAGGTGTTAGAGTATATTTTGAGGTGGAGGGCAGAATGTAGTGATTTTATTCCATCCAAGTTTTCCTTGATCTGCTGTGGGTATAGGTAGAATCCGTAAGTGAGGGCCAGGTCTATTCAGTTCTTCCCATGCCCTGGGGCTTTCAAGAATAAGGATTTCAGCCTCTTCCCCCAGCTTCAGGCAGTGCTGCCTGCTGATTGCTCACAGCCAGGGAGTCACTCCAGAGAAATTGCCCTTGACCAAAAGCAGCTGCCTTGCTGAAGGTTAAACCCCCTTACCCAGGAATGGCCTTCACACAATGAGTGGTGGATGCTGGCCTCGATTTAGTTCATCTCTGAAGGACACTGCAGGATCAGCTAAAGCCTGTTGTAATGGCATATCAGTTCAGCAAGCATCTCCCCTTCTGCACATCTGCTTCCTTCAGTTTCTTACATGGAGAACATTTCCTAGTAAACTACCTCTGATTGAGAGCAGGTTCCCAGGGAATCTGACCTATAACACCTACTCTGAAATATTTTTGGAAAAAAAATGAACCACTGTCAAAGCTTTCATTTAAATTCTTTCCAAATCCAAAGATCCTTAGGCAGTTAAGTAAAGCCTAGCAGCATATCAAAATCCTCCATAAGTTTGCAGATGTTTGAATGTCAGGCTTGAGGTGTATCTTCTGTCTAGTTCAAACATAATTTCTCTTGAGGGAAGTAAGTGGGAAGCAAGAGATTGAACAGCCCTGTCACTATGGATGAGAGCTGACTTATGGCAGTAGTTCCAAAGAAACAGCTACTGAAGAAAGGTTGTTTTTCAGACCTTACAACAACTGGAAGCACAGCAGTTTGGCTAACCTAAAACACCCAGGTGCCTGGATTCTTCCATTTTTTCCAAAATGGATCTAGTTACCTCCAGATTTTACCCATTCAACAAGTCACAAAAATTTCCTCAGAGGTGTAGGGAGATTTTTTTTTAAAGAGTATGCCTTCCAGGAAGTATTTCTCATAGTGCTTTTGCAAATTGAATATAACTGGGCCTTCTTAGGTTTACTTTAAGAAGAGAACAAACATTCTTCCGCAATGTCACAAATCCCACAATACAAACATTGAAGAGGTGTGTAGAGGTGTTATGCTGAAGATGTCTTTGGAAGAATGTAAGCAGAAGGAAATATTGCATGCTCACCAGCTGCCTTTCCTAAGAATCCCCTTTAAATATCTCTTTTCCCCCTACTATATGTCTTCTCTCTTCCTTCTTCAGAAATTCTCCGCAGCTTCCTAAGCCCTATTGGCTTTCCTTCTCGTATCCCTCTCTCCTGTCTGCCTCTCTTCTCATTCTGATCGAAATGCTTCAGTCTCCATTTCCTCTTATAACCCTTCCTTGGTCTTAACTTTTTCTTTTCTTTCTTTGATTATTTTTTTCCCTAATGGGAGAACAAGAATCATTTTTAGTTAGGTCTCACTTACCATGTACTAAAGACTTGATGTAAGTAATGAGAATTTAGTGAGCTTTATGCTTTGTGTGCAGTTGGAGAATAGGAGAATAAGACATCAATTCACACCATTAAAGCAGCCCACGAGTTTCTGCTTGCTGACCCTTCCTCCCATTATGGAAACTCAAATATGCCCCCACAATGTCATCTCCTGAAACCAATAGTGGTAAATTACAACTCATAGTTATCTTCTTGACATTGTTAGATAATTGGGAACATGACTCTGATTTCCAGGAAGCAGGTGGGAAAGCATGAAGAAGAAGTAGCAAATAGGACCAGGAATTAGGAAATTTGGGCCCAAAAAGGATACGTGCAGAGAGATGCAGCTGTAAGTTTCTCAAAATGAACAAATAGCTTAAAAGGCAAATGTTTGTGTTAAAAACCAGGGGTTAAACTGTTTAAGTAGCTAGGTAATCCTACTTCCAGAGGTTGGAAAACTGACTTACCAACTTGCAAATTTCATATTGTTAATGAGAATTCTTTCTTGTTTTTTCTTATGTAGTTTGCTAGATTCTCCAGTGTTCATTCCCTCCCATCCCTGTCTCTTGAAGTTGAGCAAAAGCTTAGGAGCCGTCGTTCTTAAAGATGGAAGGAGACTGGTTATATTAAGAATTTAGCTATTTTCCCATCTAATCCTAATTTTCATTGTTTAAAAATCATAATAACATCCTGTGTCAAAAAGTGTCATTTTTTTCTAGATTTGTTTCCAAGCTGGCCCAACTAGTTTAACATCTCTATATCTTTTTTCTTTTTTTAAACTTTGTTTTTCATTGCATGTTCTCACTCATAAGTGGGAGCTGAACAATGAGTACACATGGACACAGGGAGGGGAACAACACACCGGGGCTTGTTGGTGGGGCAGGGAGAGCATCAGGACAAACAGCTAATGCATGAGGGACTTAATACCTAGGTGATGGGTTGATGGACGCAGCAAACCACCATGGCACACGTTTACCTATGTAACAAAGCTGCATGTCCTGTACATGTATCCTGGAACCTAAAATCAAATCAAATTAAAACAAACAAAAAACTTTGTTTTCTCTGAGGAGAGATGGATCTAACCCTTGATCCTAAAGGTGGTGGGTGGGAGATGTACTCAAAGTATGAAATCCAGTGTGTGCCCATCGATAGCTCCTTTTCAGTAAAATTGTTCTCATGGCTCTAAAGGTGGGAAAGAGCTCATGCACATTGTGTGACCACCCCCTACAGCATAGTCACAGCAAATTTGAGGAGGAATGTGTACCTGATTCAATGGCAGCTCATTGGACTGAGGCCAATGACACTGTTTGGCATGAAAAGGTGAGTTAGGCAATAAGAATCATTCCCTAGGAATTTAAACTATGAAAAACTTTGAAGAAACTAAGGCATAGAGAAAAAAATAAACATGCTCATTGTCACAGAGTTAATAAGTGGTGAAGCCAGGATTCCAGTATGGCTATCTGATCCCAGGGCTCACATCTGTGATCACTGTCCAATGTCATCCTTGCAGTTACTCCACTTCTGTTGGCCTGGTTTTCACCTCGATCTGAGTTTCACTACATAGTATCCCACTTGATGATGATCTAAGTATCTGCACCTTGTAATCAAGAAAGTATTATGAGAAACAAAACCTACTGTGTGGAGTCACTAGTCTTGTTAGTTTCTGGATCATTTGAATTTATAGCCAGAAGTAATGAATTTTGTCAGTAACTCTTCACTGTGCATTCCTAACTGCACATGGAAGACTGTTAGAACTGAGAGCATTGAGTGATGTGGGATCCCATCATGGAAGCTAAGGAAAATGCCATGGAGACTGATGGTTGAGTGATGGATTAAACACTCAACTGAATACATTCTTTCACAATATTTTTTTTCACATTTTTTACATCTTTGAAATGGGGATTTTTCTTAAAATCTGTGGTATCTTACTATCACTGTCTGCCAGGCCCAGTTGTTATTTGCTCAACGTACGCTCAACACAGTTATTATTCCTGCTGATGTTCCAGTCAACAAATCACTCAAAGGTGACTTAAAGAAGGGATCTGCATCTGGGTTGTCGTCTGAAACCTTTTAATATTGGCTTTACCATCAAAACTAGCAGAATGAGAGTCAAGCAATTTGGAAGATTTTGGAGGCAACAGTAAAGCAATATTTGCAGAAATGGTATCTGAAAAAAAGAGCATTATCAAATCTGAGTATTGAGAACAGATTTAGAAATTTTAGAAATTCATTAACCAATTTATTTTGCTTTTATTTTTGTTTTTTTTGTGTGCACAAGAGTGACAAAATGAAATCTGTCTAAATAAGTCTAAATAATCTTTTAATACAAAATAAAATTCAAATTATATGAAACCATTTTTGAAACTGTTTTCAACATGCTTCCTTAGTGCTATATAAAATAATGGTGCATCTTGTAGTTAATGGTCTCTTAGAGTACATGAAATACGTATTTCCTAAAGAATGAGGAGAAAATATGAGTATTGTTTATAAATAATGTATTGGAAAGGGAAAACTTAAAAAAAATTTAAACAAACTGTGTTTCTCGTTCTCAGAAGATCAATTACAATTATATTTAGCAATTGTAGTCAACATGAATTTCAGAAGAACTAGCCAAAATAAAAATAAATCCATGAGCCAAGTGAAAACTATATTCATTGCTATGTTATTTTCCCCTTTGGACCTATATTATTGAGAATAAAAGAATGGAAACAAACTGGCAAAACATATCCAAGAGAAAATTCAAGTACTGAATTACTAAAGTGATATACAGAAAATCAGAAGGTTTTATACAAACCTGAACATTTTCCACCTACAATAGGGATGTGAATCTTAAAAATATGGTACATCAGAATTGTAACTAAAAACGTATTCATTAATGAATTCACAAGTTTAACATTGTTTTGCTGATAATCCACTTATTACGCATTCATTTCTCTATAAATAAAATATCATTGCAGTTTCAAAAACCATATTTATTTTAAAAGTGCCACTGAATAATGTAGAATTTTTCTGGCTCTAAAAAGCCTCCCAAGATTTTAGTAGGAATGGCAGGTTCATAATCAAGAAAAGATATGAGTTTTTTCAAATGCATTATAAAAACTTCAGGTGTATTTTACAGTGTTTTAAAAAATGTTGCAACAGGAGGCCGGGTGCGGTGGCTCACGCCTGTAATCCTAGCACTTTGGGAGGCCGAGGCGGGCAGATCACGAGGTCAGGAGATTGAGACCATCCTGGCTAACACGGTGAAACCCCATCTCTTAAAATTACAAAAAATTAGCCAGTCGTGGTGGTGGGCGCCTGTAGTCCCAGCTACTCGGGAGGCTGAGGCAGGAGAATGGCGTGAACTCGGGAGGCGGAGCTTGCAGTGAGCCGAGATTGCACCACTGCACTCCAGCCTGGGCGACAAAGAGAGACTCCGTCTCAAAAAAAAAAAAAAAAAAAAAAAGTTACAACAGGAGCAAAGTCTCTCTTTTTTCTTTTTAATTTATTTTTGATAGAAGAGGGAGATGTAAAGGCCTAGAGATGGAACTGAGGCGGAGCTTGCAGTGAGCCGAGATTGCACCACTGCACTCCAGCCTGGGCGACAAAGAGAGACTCCGTCTCAAAAAAAAAAAAAAAAAAAAAAAGTTACAACAGGAGCAAAGTCTCTCTTTTTTCTTTTTAATTTATTTTTGATAGAAGAGGGAGATGTAAAGGCCTAGAGATGGAACTGAAATCTTCCATGGATCAATTTGACATAGCTTTTTTTAGTGACTGTACTCATTGTATAGAATATTAATTGAAGTGATCTCTAACTTTTGTATAGTAAGATGGTACTAGATGCTTTTGGTAGTTATGAAGAGATATAGCTTAGTTGAAGCAAGCCAATCGGCTCTCAGTGTTTTTTATAGAAGTTACAGATAAATAATTTGGAATTTCCTTTCTCCGTTGCTTTGCTGAAACTCAACTCTGAACTCTTGCTGTTTCTGAGCTGCAGGCACTTGACAGAAAATCTGAGCTTGCAGCTCACAGCCCTCTTTTATCACACTGTGTTCAAACAGTCATTGTTTTGTCACACAGTGAAGCAAAACTTTAAAATCCATCTATACACAGTTCAGACTGAGGTAAATAGGATGATGGAAAATGTTGCAACCTACCAGTTAGAAATAATATATCAATAAATAAAAATATCTAACATTTATTAAGCTATACTATTACCTAGACATTATTATAAGTGCTTTAAACATCTAAGCTCATATAATGCTCACAAAATAAACCTCATGAGTCAGGCAATATTATTACAGTGTCTCTCTATTATAGATGAGAGAATTTGCCAAAGTTTGCACAGCTAGTAAGTGGTGGAGCCAGGATTTAAATTGAAACAGGCCAGCTCTGAGTCCATGGAAGTCTGCCTTACTAATAAATGAATAGATAAATGTTGATCGAATGAATAAACTGTGTGTCTACAATGTGTCCAACATTATACTAGGTGCTTTGAATAATTCTCAAGTAATTCATTCACTATTTGAATGGCTGGGGATACAGCCATGTACGCAGATGGTTAAAATCCAAAATATACTCTAGTATAAATAATTACAGGAGACTTCTCCCCAAATTCTACCTTCTGTTGTGTGCCAATGAATTAATTTGGGGACATGAGACAAGAATGAACAGTATCTACAATCTACGAAAAAATAACAAGCAAGATTGTTGGCCGTTTACCTAACAGTGTGTTGGTTTTTTACCTAACAGCTATTCCTTCCTTTCAATTTAAGATAAAACCCCACTTTTTTTTTCTGACAAGTACTGCTTTGGGGAGATTACCTTATCCCTGTTTCATAAGAAAATCTTATTAGTCTATATGTTGATCATGGAAATCCTATTCTTTTTGCCGATGGTTGGTTTAGGCAAGGGCATATGAGTCAATTTGGAAGTGTAGCAATATAAGAGGAATTCTGTTGGGTGATTTCTGGAAATGTTTTTCTAACCTTTAAAAAGACGTACAGAGGAAGCAGTATCTCCTTTGCTGGGTGGTGATGTGTTTGCCTGTGGTACCTGGAACTGCTTGCAGCCATGTCGTAAGTATGAGAGAATCTGGTGAAAGGGAAGGCAGATAGATACTCTATGGACAGCGAGCTATAAACTGAAAGTAACCATAACCTCACAATGCCGTTGAGCAGCTGTGTTAATCAACCTACGACAACCATACCTTGGGACTTCTTGTAATGGAAAATAATACATTTCCCTTACGGTTTGATTCAGTTTGTATTACATCTGCCAAAAACGAGCATACACAAATACTTAACAATCTCATTTTCACAATAAAAAAATTTTTTTTTCCATAGGCTTATTATCTACTAGGCGAAGCTAACTTGCCTTGTTGCTAATACTCTTTACCTACATGTGCCTCTGACTCCTAGCTTTTGATTCCCAATAGGTCTAAGAGATTTTCATTACATTTTTTTCCTATTCAAAACAGGGTTGTGTCTTCCCTACATTCTGTAAATTATGGTGAAGTTCAGCACCCTGCATCCTGTGGAGCTGGATAAATATGAATTGAATTGATGTGAATTATAAGAAAATTAGTTTTGCGATTGGTTTAAGCTGCTTTAAAAGATTTGAAACGTTTAGGTAAGGGTTCAGTTTTATATATTGCATTCCAATTGAATGTTCTACCTTTTAGTGTGTCCATCATTGATCAAAGTCTGCAAGTGAGGAAGCAGTGGACAAGTACACCTTGATCTACTAGGAGTACTCTACAAATAAATCCGGGGGACTTGGAGGACTGGAAAGAATATTTGAAAGGCAGGTGCCCTATTGTGATTCTTACATGGCATAATCTCCATGTGTTTCTTAGTGAGTTCCTTTTCTTTTGCTTCTTCCCTGACTCCTTCTCTTTCTTCTTTGCTTTTGTTTCTTAGTAAGAAACAATTTATTTTCTGTTTCTTCAACAAGTCACGCTTTAATAAAGTTAGGGATATGTCCATGGCGAATTTTCACATCTTTCCTTCGTCTTGACAAACCCAGAACACACCACTTTAAGAAAGCGGGGTTAAGAACAGATTTCCTATAAAATACCATTGAGTCACCATCTCACATTGGAACATGACATTGAACATTGTGAAGTAAGTAACTGTAATAAAAGGTCATTATCTCTGGCTCTTTAACTTTTATTTTCATTTTGGCCAATGCCTGGACTTAATGCCATTGCCATCTGAGTGGCTTAATAAGACTGATGAATATACCACAGTTTGCATCTCAGATCTTCAAATAAAGAGTTTAGAAAGAATATAGTTTCTGATTTGGAGCATGATCTGTAACTACTATCCTATTTACATGATAAACAGGCATGCTGGCTTACTGACAAGAGCAATACATGGAGCTAAATTGCCTTTTCATGTTTTATTCAGTAATTATAGATACTATAATTTCACTGATATGAAGTCATTCTACAGGCAGTTGGCTCATTTCTTTAGACTTTTTTCATACTTACTGATCAATAATTTGATATTATGACATTAAAAGAAAACTAAAACATGATCTAAAGTGCTTATACTGAGTGTGCCAAACTTCCACTTTAAAAGTTGTTGGATGTCTTTTATTATCAAAAGCCCTATTATAATTTTTTAAGATTCTTAAGTAGAAGTCATTTCTACCTTACTGCAAAGCAACAGATATATGGAAGATCTGCACCTTTTCCTATTGTGTAGCTCAAGATTGTTGATGACTAGGACTCCAAGTTTATTTCATCAGTCTAGTTATAAACTATGATGCATCGTTGGAAGAAAACATGTTTGTATTTAGATACGCAGTACTAAACAATTATTAAAATTCTGGCTTATATATTAGCCCCTTGTGAATTGGGTAGTGTCAGTCACACCGAAAGATGACTTTAAACAAATTTTTGAGCCTATAATTTTGAAGGTCAGATCCTGGAATATGGCTAACTTTTTGCGTCCCTACTTCACTATCCTTTGGCCTTATAGCAACATCGATTTGACTTACACAGAACTGAAAGTATTTTTGTCAATTTCTTGATGAAGCCTGTTTGCCTTTCTTTATAGAATAGGATCTAAAGATATTTTCAGATTTATCAACTTTTAAATAAAATCATAGCTGCTGCCAAATAAATTATTCAGGATTATTTGTGAAACTGGCTAGAATCTCTCATTGGCTCTGGCTCAGCTTTGCATGACACTTAGAGGTAGTCAAGGTAGTCAACTATTTACAAGCCCCAACTTCCAAAAAATACGTATGGGGAAATCACCCTTGCCTAGCATGGGTGTTCCACTACAGATCCTAGGAACGTTACTATAAGCCTTTTAGAGGCTCCATGGCATCAACAATGAAGGAAGTAAAAAGCTCTGGGAATTGGAAACAGCTGGGAAATGATCAAAGGATGGCTCCATGAAATGATGGGCTGACCCATGTGATAACCCTCTGATTCCAAAATACATTTCCTTACCATTTCACTATTTGTACAGGTTGATGATTCACCAATTAGATATTTATCTGGCTTACAAAAAATCCCCTTTAATCAAGATATATATGACAGGGAGGGTGGACAGATTATGTTTCTGAATTATGTAGATTGGTTCAGTTATTATCTGGATAACAGCATGGACTCTGAAGCTAGAAACTCTATGTTGGAATCTAATATTGATTAATCTTATGACTGGTATAGATTTTGTCTAAACTGGGCAAATCTCTTTCCCCAGTTACTTCTTCTCTGAATGAAAGTGTTGACTGAGAGAGTATTACACATGGTGACACAGACTTTCCTTCTAAGTGCCTGGGCAGGTACCAGTAGATAAGCTAGGAGTTCCCTCATTTTTCAAGGTAAAGGAGGAATTTTTCTGGGAGCGGACAGCATTTTCTGTCTGGCAGAGGGGCTATTCTTACTCTTTCATACCCTTTTGAGTTTCAGAGGACTGTGCTTTGCTTCTTGTTTGCTCCTACACCCTGTCCACATTACTCAGAGAGCCCTCATAGTGGCTCTAAGTACCTCTATGTGAACTGGAGCCAGTTGTCCAGCTGTGAGGAGGCAATTCTCCTTTAATAAATTACTCCACTGTAATTACCCTCCAAGCAGAAATCCTTTGGCAATTTGTTAGACTATCAAGGGCCAGCTGGGGAAAATGGCTCCTCTCTCTGCAGCACATTTCTTCCAAGCACTTCTGGGTTGCAGTTTTCTCAGATCTGGTATCTTTATCAATTATTATAAAATGCTTTCTATGTCTTGGAAACGGTTCAGAATTTCTGATTTGTTAAGGTACTTTCTTGTTGCACAGAATTTTATGTCCTTCACCCTTTTCATCTCTCTTCTATTCTACCATTTCAGTAGCTTTTGGTAGGAAGCATAAATAATCTCTTGTGGTTAAGATGTCACCAGGAAGAGAAGCCCTCTTTATAATTCTAATAAAAAAAAATTTATGCTACCTATTCTTAAACATATTTTCTTAAACAAAGTTCCTCACCATTATATTGGGAAAGGGAAAGGATCAAGACTTTTAGGAATTAATGCATTTCTAGAATTATATCATGATTATCTTCTTATGTATCTATTTCATCAATCAGCTCTGAGCTCCCTGAGTTTTGGGATAGGATTTTATTAACATTTGTATTTGCAATACTCAGCACAATGTCTCAATCCCTACCACAGTATAAAATTTGATAGTGCTTATGATACGTATTTATATTGATATAAACCTAATTTTGCATTACTCTGTTATAAGGGAGTAAAACATAAATGTGAGTAAACTTAGGTGAATTTGCTCGTGATTTTTCATTTTTCTCTGGTGTCAGAAGCAGGCTTTGGATGCATTTCTAGGTTTTGCATGTTATAGCAGAATAAATTTAATTTTAGAGAGAATTGGTGTTTGGAGAGGTGATAGGGCATTTCTATGGTGAGAATGGAGGCCTGACTCAAAGCCTGAGTGAAAATAAAGCCTACACAATATGGGGCACATATTGTAACTGAATCTTTTTCATCACAAAATGCTGACAGTGGAGAGAGGGAAGGCAGCTGGTAGGGAAAAACGGATATAGAGCATTCAATTTTGAAAGAGGGGAACATGTAGCTGCAAAATCATGCTGTTATTCATGGTAACAAGTAAAAATTTCAGCCAGCATTTTGCAGAGGGTGTTAGAGAGAGGAAAAGTCTCTGTGGAAATCTGCTGATTAAGATGCACTTTGTAGAAGTCCATCATCAGACACTGAATTGAATTGAATTGGTTGTGAATGACAAACAGCCTTCCAAAGAGGTAAGAATGGTATGGCATTAAAGAGGATAAAAAGAACTTAGACAACAGCAAAAGTCTCTACTGCCCTTGAGATTTCTTTCTTGGCCATGCTGGTTAAAGATTATAACTACTTCCTCAGTGAAGGAAGTCTGAAAATCAATATCAGAATGTCAACTGACATCAGAATATCAGCACAGAAGGTTTGTCATTCCAAAAATTCATGCGGGCTTCCCCTTCTTCATGCCTGTCTCTGTAATGTCTGAGCATTTTCTGTCTTAATATATAAAGTAGGCCTTAGTCTCCTGCTATTATCAACCAGATTGAAAGAAAATGACTGAAGTCCTAAAATTTAAGTATTTCTTTTAGGAAGAGGAATGAAGGAAAGAAAAGCTTTATAGCAATTTCTTCCCACATGAACATTCTGTCATTTTCACACTTACATCTTGTTTCCTGAAGCTTTTATCTCCATCTCTACTCCCCTGACACTTCCATCCATAGGCATTTATGCTACTGCAGAAGACAAAAAGCTCATATAAAAGTAATGTTCAAGTTGATTTGGGCATGAAATTCCAAAACCGTCCAGAGAGAGTTCATGCTGCTTCAAAATAATTTTAAGTGTAATTCTACAAATAAAGAAACCACTTATATCAATAAAATACTTGTTTTCTGTGTATTGCATAAAATCAATTTATATTCAAATATTTGGCTATTCCCAAATCAATGCCTTTTAGAAGGCTTAGAAACAAAAGTACTGTTAAGATTAACTGTGAAACATTTTGCTCTATGAAGAATAATAAAACAGAAATTAGAATATTAGCAAGAGAGCAAAGCAATACTGACAAGTTCACTGTGGTTGTTATGGGTTACTTCTGAATTAATAATTTTCTACACTTTTCTTGCAATTGATGAATTTTTCCCCTGGTCCTCATTTACTTATTCATTAGCTAAAGGGATTAGTAAAATTAATTAGAACACGAAAGACAATGTAAGTACTAAAACGCCAAAGATAAGGAGCTGAGAATATCAATTTGTTTTCCCTCCTAATTAATTCCTAATATTAAATTACAAAATGAAATTTTATAACAAATTTCTACAAGATTTTTATTGAAAGGTTAGAAAAACCTGAATAAGGTAATGTGAATTCTTTTCTGTTTTGGTCTAGAAATGGATTTAATATTTAGAATTAATTTTCTCTATTAGTATTATCTTATTTTTTCTGGGTGATAGTGATGTTTTATTTGCTTTCCATGTTTCTTAGCTGTCTTAGTTGTATCCAGAGTTTTTTAGAAAAAAATTTATTCATCAAAGTAACAGTGTTACCTTGTTAAAAAATATACTTTTTCTCTGAGGGATCAAATTTGAGTCACTCTAGAACATTTCTGCCAGAGTGTGTTGGATTTTAAATACTACAGACATACACATGTTAACATCAGTATTCTCTTTATTCTTTTGCTGAACAAACTAAAAGATAATGTGAAACTGATCAGGATTTACTTTCTGGGTTTAAGCAGCTTTGATCATTATTAAGAATAGGCTAACATATAAACTCAAAATTTGATGGAATTATGGCTTTAAACTTGTTCCTATATTTTGCTTTTGAGGAAATATAGTAAAATTCTTAAGCATTTTCTCTTTTCTACTGTTTTGGATGAAATGTTCTTGATTATTTTTATTAACTTTCTTTTTGCTTTCTTACCCGGAGGAGGAGAGGGACCTGTCTCTCACATTGCTCTGCATGAGACATAGCTTTGAGCTCACTTAGAGCTAGCCCATCACTCTTAGTCCATCCTAATTTCCTCCCCACCCTGAATTTTGTACCCTAATATCGCAACAAAAGCTCTAAATCTAGAATTCCGTATGACTTGAAGATCTCATCAATTATATTACTCCAAGTTGCGTCATATTTTCTTGGTTACAACTTCATCAATCTCATAAATCTTAGAATATTCCTACACATTGCATTTACTAGACATAAATACTAATTAAATGTGGACCCCAAAGAAGGCATCAGGTTGCATTGAATGTTTGGGTTCCCCCATTTCCAACTACTACCCATAGAAGGGGAGTCACAGAATTATATCTTCTAAATTAATTAATCACTTTGAGTTTTTCAGCAACACTTCAGCCACATCTTGTCAAAGCTAAAATCAGCAGCCTTCCAAAACCATGAACACAACTTGACTGATTTTGACAGTCCATTTATTAATTGCTGCCAAACTGTAATTGTTATTGCATTAACATCGCCTATCTGCAGAAGAGCAGCATCAACTAAGCATCTGCCTCTAAAATTTGAATATAAATGTATTTACTTAGCTTTCACCACTGATCTTTAATGCTCTTAATATTTTCAGGCAATTTCATCTACAACATCAAATGAATTGTAGAAACTGGAACTAATTGTTTCCCTAATTGATTGACTCTCTTACCTCCTGTTGTGTGTACAATGCATGTCATTGGGCTGTATGTAGCAACAAGAGGGAAACTATCAATCAATCACAGAACAATTAGTTCTGATCTGAAGCTTTCTTCCGTTGTGTTGAAAGGGAAAATAGCCCCTTCAAAGGTTAAAGGGACACATTTCTGCTCTGTAGTTGTTACTAAAAGAAAAGGTATAGAGGTTGGACTAATTCCTTTTCCTCCATATAATTGAAATTAAATTCCAAATTAAGGTTCTTCGAGTTTGAGAGGAGTACCCAGATATAGAATTAGAAATGTACAGCCGGGTGCGATGGCTCATGCCTGTAATCTCAGTACTTTGGGAGGCTGAGGAGGGCGGATCACGAGGTCAAGAAATCGAGACCATCCTGGCCAACATGGTGAAACCCCATCTCTAGTAAAAACACAAAAATTTGCTGGGCATGGTGGCAGGTGCCTGTAGTCCCAGCTACTTGGGAGGCTGAGGCAGGAGAATGACTTGAACCCGGGAGGTGGAGGTTGCAGTGAGCCGAGATCGTGACACTGCACTCCAGCCTGGTGACAGAGGGAGGTTCCATCTCAACAACAACAACAACAACAACAACAACAACAACAACAGAATTAGAAATGTACATAGCTCCATGTACATTTTATTGCTATTAGTGTTTCTTAGTATGTCTTAACTACCTGGCTGGGCAAGAGATGTCTGTTCGCAACTATATTTCCTTCAGCTAACACTTGGCACACAGAAGCTGCATAATAAATATTTGTTGAATGAAGAAATAAAGAGAATTTGTAGTCTTTAAATATAAACAATGCATGCAATTTAAAATTATTTGTGTCACTGGAGACAGTTCTCAGTAAGAAATCCATAGATACAGTAGTTGAAATGCGACATGTAGTTTTAACTTTGTCTTCTATAATTTTACATAATTTTATAAAAACAGGAAAAGCAGGTAATTTGATTGTCATACTTTCTTCCTTAGTTTATCCCAAGTTAGACTGCAAAGAAAGGCAGATCATGTGATGAAGTGATGAATCTGGCATCTTTTAATCTGTTCCTAAATCATTACTTTCAGTGTTTCATTAAACTACTTTGGGCATCCTCTTTCCTCCCCATAAGCAGTCCCAAAACCTGATGATGACTATGTGGTTATTTTCTTGGGTGCCAAATAGTCCCCATGTTTCTGAACTTCGGTATTCTCAAACTCTCCAACCCCAGCTCATTCATACTGTATTCTCTTTTTTTTTTTTTTTTTCAGGGTTACCTCTCTTTTTTCAAATATATGATTGTGCAAAGGATAACTCTGAATTAATCAAAGCACCTGGTAGACTCTATATACCACTCAACCCAACAAAATGCAGCATTTCTTTAAAAAATAAATAGCTAAATAAATATAGTTAGAATTTTCATTTTGGTGGAGTGAAAAAACTAGTTAAAATTTTTGGACTCTGAAAACAGATGATGGACAAATATAGGAAAAAGAGTTAAGAAAGGAATGACAGAATGATAGCAAACATTTTTCAAAGGTTTTTATATTTTCTCCAAATGTAGGTAAGCTGCTACTACACTGACATCCAGCACCTACGTGTAATATAATGTGGAAAAGACAAAAAGAAAGACCTAGCAACTAGAGAGCAGATTTCATTATACAGTCTGCCATGGCCTTACAAATTAAAAGATGTAGCAATAAATATGCAAAATGGGCTCAGTTAACAATAGGGATTTTCTCGCTTATTTGTGTTTTAATCAGGGCTTCAAGGTTAACAGAATTTGTGTTATTAAAGTTTAGCAAAATAGCTTATTGAAATGCCAATTTTAGATCTATCTTACTGGTATTAAGTCTACGCAGGCAGGATTCTATTGACAATTTGACCTTAGCGTTTAAGGCATTCCCAGCAGCTGAGAACTGGTTTTGAACATCAAAACAGTTCTATAGGTTAGAAGTGGTTATATTCACTGCCACATAATAAGAAATGACTAATGATTAAAAAATGTAGCTGGTTGAATGATGTACAATCACACAGGCATTTAAACACACACACACATACCCTTCATGATCACAAATTAATTTAAGATATATATATTTATGTGTTTCAAGTGTGTGTGTGTACACAGTGGTTCTCAAAGTGGGTCCCCTGGACCAGCAGCGTTGGCATCACTGGTTACTCATTAAAAATAAAAATCCTTTCATGTCTGTAATTCTAATTTTGGGAGGTCGAGGCAGGGGGATTGCTTGAGGACAGGAGTTCAAGACTAGCCTGGGCAACATAGTGAGACCCGTCTCTACAATAATAATAATAATAATAATAACAAAATTATTAAGCCCCACTTCAGACTTTCTGAGTGTAGAATTTTGCAACTGAGTTTAACAAGCCCTCCAGGTGAATCTGATGTGGCTTGTCTTTGAGACCCACTGCAGTAGTTACATTATTAAACATAGGTGACACCAATCATACCCACTCAGGAAAAAAATAGTAAAAAACAATTATATTTTTCATACAATATGGCTCTTAAATCAAGCCTATTATTTCATTTAGACTTCAAACCAAGTGTGGTGATCTTTTTCAATGTTATACTAGATTTACTGAGAGACAGGAAAAATCAGCCTACCAAATTTTATAGTAGGCCTATTTGCAAAAGTTATTTAGACTATAGATAATTTTTTCCTCAGAGGCTCACTCTGCATAAAACACTGCTTTTCTGAATAATTTTATACGAGTTGCAGTGCTTAGCAGGAATTTGAAATTTGGGGTTCAACAACAGTTAGATGATTACAATCATGAGTCTGTATTTTTTAAAGCCAATTAGCATCTCTGCTTAAAATCATATGCTCTATGATAATTATTTATCAGAGCATATTGGGATTTAGAAATACCTAAGAAGTAAGAAAAAATAAAACAATACAAAGTGAATCATTTTAAAAATAAAAAATGTGGAATTTGATGAAGAAATATATAAGAATGATATTTAATGTTAGCTTCATCCATTTTTCATGTATTGAACAAAAGATATTTTGGCCATGCTGACTTGATGGATCTTAGAGATGGGGTTCTCACTACCCAGGCTGGAGTGCAGTGGCATGATCATAGCTCACTGCAGCCTTGAACTGCTGGGCATGAACGATTCTTTTGCCACAGCCTCTTGAATAGCTGGGATTACTGGTTTGAGGCACAATACCCAGCTTTGATGAATCTTAATAATAGTAAAAAATGAAAGTATGGAAATAAGTAATGATAAGCCAGGAAATGAAAGTAAATTATTGGGTTACACACCTGAATTTTAACTCTATTAATTAACTCACCATATTGATAGGAGCTCAATTTTCCTCAGTCCTGGCAAACTTTCTACCCAAATTCCACTCCCACTTAATTATTTACTATCCTAATCCTTGTAATGGTTTAAGTTCTAAGTCAACTGTTTTCTTCTTCTCTGAGCCAGCCCAGTCAAAATTTATTTATTTCCCTAGTACATCTCTTATGTCTTATTGCCTAGCATTATATTTATTATTTATACATCTATTTCATTTTTGTAAAAAATAAGGCTTCAAAAAGTCATACTGTAAACTCCTTGAGAGTTAGGTAGTGTCTAGCTCAACCCTAGTATAAAGAAAATGTTTAAAAAATTGTTTCCTGGATTTATTTAATTATCCTATGTGTTTTTCCTGAAGTTTGTTGGAAAGTTAAGGAACTCTTTCAGGCTATTAAGAAATTGTTTTGGGTCATTCCTGGCTATGGCATTGTGTAAAATGAAATGTAGAATCACCTGAATGGAACTGCCCTTAATTCAGGTATAATTAGCCAGTTTGTGAGTCCACAGTATTGAAAGGAATCACTTGATTGTAGAGAATCCATTTGTGAGAAGCATAGATAGAGGTATCAACTTATTGGAAAAGAAGGAAGAAAAAAATTTCTTATTTTGGTTCTATTAGAGGCCAGTGAGTCTTAAAATTTGAATAAGTAATAAATAATTCATTCATATTACTCAACTCTCATACTGTGAGGTCAATGTTGGGAGCAGACACTGTGTCTTTCTATGAATAATGACAATCCACAAGGCTGGCCCCTAAGTGAGCCAGAATGGTTTCGCAAAATACTTCACCTACCAGCAAGGTCATTCAGCTTAGCTATAGGGTAAAGGTCATCTTGGTCACCTTCAAAACAAGTGTCTCTTCCTCCTTTGCATCCTTTCCCCACCCTCCACATTGTAGATATTAACGATAGTAAACTTCCAGACCCTCAGTAGATGATGCACTTCTTGTTTCATCCTCATCAGTATTCCCCGAGTAATGAGCATCTGAGCCTCCAATGTCCTGTACATGGGGTCAGAAATTAAACTCTTCTCACTTTATCCCTACCCATCCTGAAGACAAAAGGTCTCCTTTGGCATCTGCATAGGTCAATTCAGGCAACAAATAAACTAGACTGTCTTAATGATATCAACTGGTAATTCTATCAAAGGAGAATCAAACAATGATTTTCCTACTCTGCATCCTTTTATTTTTAACTCCTTAGGAATAGATTTTGGTTCCTTTCATCCTATGTGATCTCTTTTCACTAAAACACACACTCCTGTTCCTTCTCACTCCTAGTCCTTGCTAGGTATTTCTGACATTCTTAGACCTTCAATCTCTTTCCTTTTTACTTGCACGCTTGTCTTCATTTCAGGTTCTTGCCAAAGCATCCCCCTAATGTTTTAACACAAGAATAATGCTAATGATACACATCTAAAGTTAAGGGGAAGTTATAGGGGTGGATTGATATTAAAAGTACCATTGTTTTCCCCTCAGGTCAGCTCCTAATGTCACCACTTAAAGGAACCTTTTTTATTTTTTTCAGGTAGAAGCAACATTTTTCTTCTGCACGGTTATGGCTACTGATCTCTGTACCTTGCTCATGGCCGTCACCATTTTGTGTCTTAAGTTGTGGTTATTCAGGTATATGTCCCATATTCCATACTAGACCAGCAAGTCCTCAGAGGTTACATGAGGATTAAAGGAGATGTTATGTATGTGTGAAGTCCCTGAAGCATAGCAATGTCCACTACAAGTTTTTGACAATAAAAAAGAAACAACTAACCATGCATTTTTGAAGTCTAGAAATGTCTTAAAATTCTTAAAATATCAACAAATGTCTCTACCTAGTCATCCTGGCATAATGAAACCCACATATCCTCATGTGTATAAGTGTAAGAGGAAGTAGAAGAAAAGAGAAAATGTTAATTGCATAGCAACTAAAAACAGGATGTCATAGTGTAATTATAAATATTTCTATTAGCAGGAATCATTATTATAAGGCTTTGCCTATTTTTATTCCCAAGGCTCTTCATGTACTTGGATCTGCTACTTCACTAAAAAAATTTCATGTGAATGTCTTTGAACAGCAAAATAGAGTTTTTACACATGTTCTTGGTAAGTTAAACTTAATGAGGAAAGAACCCTACTGTTGATGTACACTTAGAGATCAGGAATATCTATTCTATCCCCATATCTATGTTTCATCAAGACATTCCTTATTTTTATAATTGGTATGTAGTTACGTTGGTATAGTGTTTTTCTTGAATGAACCTGTGACCAATTTGAATTTAGGAATAATAACATCTGCAAAAATAAACAAATAATAAGATACATGAGAAATGGAGCAAAGAGTTTATACATATATATATATTTATATTTATGTTTTTTTCAGTACAAATTACTAGCCAGTAATATATGTATTATACAAGCATCTAAACCTCTAATCCTCTCTGCTCCAAGACTCACATTTTAATTATCTCATTGGTAAGTGAGAGGTAGAAATTTCTGTGCATAATTAGTTCAAGAAACAGGAACCTTGTTTTGTGAGTAGCTGCTCTCATTATTGGGGACATGGACACATCTTTGTAGATACAAAACATGTAATATATTACTCTATCAAAAGAATGATTGGGGGACACAAAGTTCTGAAAAAAAGAGGGGCAACTAGAAGTAAAATGATCAAATGCTATAAAAATTAGCCTTGCTAACAGAACTAATGAAAAGCTTTTTAACTCCATCAATCCATGATATTAGTGAATATTGACTGTAAGTGAATGAATACAAACTGCTTCTCAAATGAAGGGCATATAGTCTAAAATAGCTGAAAGTCATTTCTCTGAAAGGAGATCATTAATCTGGAGAATGAAACACTGATGTTTCTTCCTGGCGCCGGTGCTGTGGAGTACTGCACTAGGATGGTAACATGGAGATTGCAATGTATCGATTTCAAAAGTCATACTTTTCGCCAGCTATGGAAAGCAATGGGGTCAGAGCTCTGGCTTCTTACATTTGAAATGAAAATGTATGTGTGTGTGTGGGTGTTTTGATGTCAATTATTTTATGGTGCTCTTATAGGCCTTTTAGCACTAATTTTATCTAGTTTTATGTGAATTCCAGGCCAAATCTCAATAAGTTGCTGAGCTTTCTGAGAAAGTTGATTCTTCACAGGTGATTTTGACAGGAAAGAAGGTAGGGGAGTAACAAGCTGTGGTTCAAAAACTCTCTTTGACTTTATGGATTTGCATGCTTGAAAAATATATATGCATCATGTTCTAAAATTCTCTGGCAAGTTCGGAAAAGAAGAAATATAAATCAGATATTAATTGTAAAAATGATTCAAGAAACATGGACAGGTTGATTTTCTTCAGGATGTAGTGCTGCAGTTAATTATGCATTAGTCATCTAGACTGAAGGCAGAGGTCTTCCACCAGAGTGGAAGGCAAAATACAGTCCAGTGATTAAAAGAGTGAACTCTGGGGGAAAACACGCTCCCCTTTATATGCCACTTCCAGCACTTTTTCACTTGTGTGACTGTGTGCTTATTTAAGTTATTTATATTTATTTTTTTGAGACACAGTCTTGTTCTGTCACCCAGGCTGGAGTGCAGTGGCACGATCTCAGCTCACTGCAACCTCCGCCTCCTGGGTTCAAGTGATTCTCCTTCCTCAGCCTCCAGAGTAACTGGGTCTACAGGAATGAACCACCATGTCTGGCTAATTTTTGTATTTTTAGTAGAGACGAGGTTTTGTCATGTTAGCCAGGCTAGTCTCAAACTCTTGACCTCAGGTGATCTGCCTGCCTTGGCTTCCCAAAGTGCTGGGATTACAGGTGTGAGTCACCATGCTTTTCCTAGGTTAATTTTTTCATGGGTAAACCAGGGATAATTATATCTTCTATACTGTGTTACTGAGAGGAATAATTGAAATATACAAATCAAGAACTTAGTGTTTCTCATATAATAAACACTTAATAAAATGTCAGCTATTATACAAATATTTGGGAATTGTTCACATTTTTCAGTTATTTTAATTGTTTTACATAGCTATAATGACTTGAACATACCTCTGAATCAAACAATAGCTAAAAGTTATTGAAAGTCAACTAGGCCAACATCATTTGATAGAATTCCTTCTATAGTAGATACTGCAATGATCTCCATGTTACAGTAAGGAAATTAAAGTGTAGACAGACTAAATAGTTTGTACAAGACCACAGAGCTAGTAAAGTGATAGAATCTGAATTCAAACCCAAGAAGCTTATTGCAGAACTCTTTTTTAAGAAATAGCTTGAGCCTCCTAATTTTAGAGGAGGCAAATAACATTCAGAAAGGGATGGTTGCTTCCAAAAGTCAGAAAGCTAGATAGTGGTCTAGTCATCTTTTTACTCAGTTACAGTTTACTCCATTAGCTGTGCTAAAAATTAGAACATTAAAGTTGATGCAACCATCATAGAAGTTAGAAGCCTGACTGAGAAAGAGCTACTTTCAGAGCTTGAGCATCAAGATAAAAAAAAATAGGTTAGTGATTTGATACTCAGATCTTTGGTTTTTATAAGAATAATAAAGTGGGACTCTGTATTCTTCTATGCATTTTCAAGGACTTGAAAAATTTCCAGTTACATCTCCTAGACAACTACTCCACATTCATTGGATTTTTACTTGAAAGTCAGCCATTAGTGATTAATTCATTTGTGTTAACTATTTTCTCTCCTTACTCTTTGTGGGGGGAAAAAAGCAAATTATTTTTTGGAGTGATGCTACAAAATATTAAGACTTTTCCCTCAAGATAGAAAAAAAGAGTATTAGCTAGAAAGCCACATTGGCATTGAATAGATGTGAAGCTAGAAAGGTGAAATGGAACAAAGAATAAAGCCTTATTTATGGCTTTGCCTGTGGTCAACCCTTGTAAAAAAAAGTTGTGAAAACACATGCTTTTCCAACTCCATGAGGATGCAATAAAGATAAAGGAAGTCAAGATAAATGAAAACAATCTAAGTCCTGAGAAAAGGGTTCAAAATCCAAATTACACCATTTCTTTCTCCTTAAAAATCAATTTGACATGGACACTTTCAGAAAGGAAGAAATTGCTTTTAAATCATAGATCTGAATTCTAAAATCCAATCAAAAATCTTGCACTCAGATGTTCCAGATACATTTTTTATAAGTTCCAAATCCATTTTTCATAAGGCATAAAATGGAAAAAATCTCCTGCCATTTGTAGAATGTCTCTATTCTAAAAATATATTCTGGTATGTTGAGTTTTTTACTGTATTACATGCTATATGATCTTATAAAAATCTCTGGATGAAAAAGGGAACTGGAATAGGAAATTTCACTTTAAAAAATTATTTTAAAAAGCAGCACAATAAATATGAAATTTACAAGACACCAATATAATGCGAATAAATTATTTGAAATGGAAAAGGAATAACCTGTGCTGTACATGTGTGTGTTTTTTAAAAAGACGTGTTTCTTTCCCAAGTCTTGATAGTTCAGTGAAAGAAATGTAGAAATAATGAAACATGACATATTCCTTAAATAATTCAAATGAGAAGAATTGGGAGGAAGGAAACAGAATGTAAAGATTAGCTTGTGCCCTACAATAGCTGAACAGGGGCATTGTGGTAGGCTGTCTTGAGAGAATCAAAATTAGACATTCCAACATATCAGCGAGATTGCTAGTGGTCTTGGGAAGGTTCCCTTTTGTTCACTACCAAATATGCCTTCTTTGAAGGGAATCCTTTTCTGCCCTCTCAGGAAAAGAAAAAAGAAATATACTGGAATAGTGATAAAGCTATTTCTAGGGCTCCTACTAATCTTTTATGAAGCCTCGTCTGCTATCTCTTTTAGAAACTAAAAATAACGTGAGGTGATACATGAATATGCAATGAAATATTAAAGCTGCTCACCCAAATTGGGGAAGGTTCTCACTGTTACAATTGGGAAATTACCAAAATTAATGTGAATGTATGAAATCCGGCAGGAATTAAATCCCAGGTGCTTGTCAGCTGTTGCAATTTGAGTGATAGACATAAAAACTAAAGATAGACATAAAAACCAAAGTGAAAAAGAAAGTGGAGGTGCTAGGAGCGTTGCTTTCTGGACGATACCTGTGGCAAGATGATGAGAGAATTATTCCAGTGCTCTCTGAGCAGCTGCCGCTTAAGACCTTCCTATTATTCCCACTGTTATGCTCAATGACTTTTAAAAAGCTATTTTGGGTGCAGTTCTTGGGCTCCATCCAATATATATCTTTTTATTCTTCGCTGGTGTATTGCCACTTGAATGGGCTGAGAGAGTTATATAAAACAAGCCAGATGGTAGCTGCTTGAGGTTTGAGATACCTTGTGCTGTAAGGGGGTGTAGAAGAAAATAAAGAAACAATAAAAACCTAAAAGCAAGTGTAAATAAAATAATGTTTAGATGAGGGGACTGTCTTTCTTATATCTAATTAGTAAAACACTATTGAAGTTATCTATAAGGAAGACAATGTTAAATGAACTTATAAATAATACCAGATTAGATTACCTTTTAAGGAGTAAATATTATTTACATTTGTCATCTCCAGGAATTGGTGTATTATCACAGAAAAGTGCCTGCTAAGTATAATTAACGTGACTATTTTTGACTTTCACACAGATTGAAAAAAACATGAAATTGACATTCACTAATTATTCACTTGCAAGGAAAATAAATCTTAGGCCTTCATTGTCTACTACTCAGAAGATGACAAATTACAATTTCAAGAGAAATCTGGTAGGAGGAAATGTATCTGGCAGCTAGTCTTTGATGTGGGAAACCAGGGGGCCAGGAGTCTACTTCCGATTTTTTCACTTATTGGACATTTAATCTTTGGGGAGCCACTTAGCTGCTTAAAGACATTTTTACTAACTGAAATGGATATCATGAATAAAATTACTTCCTTTCTCTCAAAGAAAAAGTTTCAAAAGTTCAATTTGCTTTCTAGACCTGGGGAGGATAATAAATTGAAATGCCCATGAATATAAAAAACACACACAATTAAAAAGTTATGGGCAAAGGAACACAATCAAGTACAATATTCCCATTCTAATATTGATGAAAGAAAATGTCAAGCAATGTAAGACTAGAACCCAGGTTTTCTACACTTTTTCCAGTATAGTATAAGAATACTTTTTACAAAGTAATGGCTTTGTGCAACAAATATAAATAAAATACAAACTAACATAGGTATCATGCAAGTGAGGTAGAATATATAAGAGGAATTTGAATGTCTAGAATTGATAAAGTAATTGAACTTTATGTCATATTACTCATAAAAATTTTATACTTATGAAATAAGTAAAATCCAGAAGATACCAGAAAATCACATGCAAAGAAAGATGAGAGGAAAGTTTTAGAAGATGTAAATTTGAGGGGATCCTTGAATATAAAGAAAATCCTTTGGTGTCAGGGGAAAAGGTGACAGAAGCAGCTTCTTGAACAAAGAAAGATATAAAAAATGCTATGACACCAAATGAACTATTTTTGAGAATTAAAATGTCAGAAAGTAAAACAGTTAAATTCTTAACATGCTGCAGGATTGCATTTAAATATTTTTTTGGCCAAAAATGTTGAAGATTTAAAAAATGGAGAGTATCTCTCATTTTCTAATGGACATTAGTGGAAATATAGGACATATTTTATAGAAAAAGCCTGTATAGTTAACTTTGCTATAAAATAATCATTACATGATACATTACTTGGTTCAGTGGAACTGGTATGTAATTATGGATATTTTCAAGTCACTTCTATATACATACTACTGATCCATATTTTCAGTCCATACTGCTAGTAGTTAGCTGATATAATGAAGATTTGCTGTAATGGACTGATTTCTTTTTTTGAATGGGCTACTCTTTTTTTAACATATATTTGTCTTTTGTCTCTAATAAAGATGTCAGCTCCTTGAAGACTCAGACCATTCCTTCTGCAGTGCAAACTTATATAACAAGATATAATGTGGCCACTTATTATCTGTGTACTCTGGAGAAATCTAACACAGAAGGGATATTGGAAAGGTGGAATAGTTGTTCTGTAAAATCTCACACTAGATCACTCCAATGTGCATTCAACCCTAAAAGTGCCTGATGGAGGTGAAGACCTTACCAGGCTCAATAGAACTGCTAGAAAAACAGTCGGAAAAATAGAAATGCAAATGGATAGGTGAAAGATAATTTAAGTAGCATTTAATTTCATTTTAATAAATCTCCAGCACTTAGTTATTTGTCATTCAAATAGGTGACTCTTCATAAGCACTGATGATTGACTTCTTGTGAACAAAGGTAATTAGAAATTCACAGAATCTGTAAATAATGTCTTAGGTCAATTTCTGAGCATAACTAGTGCTCCTGAGGATCAGTAGTACAGACCAAGATGGCAATTCATAGTGGAGAGAGCCGGCTTCTTGATACTTCCTTTTGCTAGGTGACATTTCTGTTTGCTAATGAAGATGCTCTTGCGGTAAGAACACAGCTCATGCAGTTTTATGTCAGGAAAGAGATCCTGGGATAGAAGAATTTTCAGAGGAGATGCTTAAGCTTTACCAGTTTAAAGAGAAATATTCCCTTTCTAAATATCAACAGTTTCCCAGTGAATCTAAAATACTCAGAGCGTGCATGTTAATAAAGATGATGTCACAAACCACTGGGGTGCAAATTAGATTTCCATTCTTTTACTTCTACTCCTAGATGTGGATTATAGTTATTCATATTTGACTTGGAAAGAGCTGAAACATAAGAGTTTTAAAACCTACCTAATTCTGACCATCTTAGATATTCTGAATGCTGGATATTATCTCTTAATATAGTTTACAGTGATTTTCAGTTGTGCTATAGAAGACACATGCAAGATAATTATCTGTTGGTGACAACAGCAATGGCAAAAATCTTTGTAATGCCCATGCTAATCTCATCTCATTATAATCTCTCTGCACAGTGGGTGGCTTGCTGATGGTCACATGGCCAGAAACTGATGATGCCAAATTCAAACCCAGGATTCTCATGCCAGATACTAGCTCAATTTATTTATTTAACATATTACCAAATTGAGCCCTTGAAAGGTTAAGTGAGGTATCTAATGTTACATAACTAATAAAGGCATAAGTTCCATTTGGAGCTCAACTGTTGCCAAGTAACTTAGTTCATATCTAGTCATATAGTTCTACAAGTACAATGATAACATTACAACCTATGTTTTTTTCAGCATTTAAAATAAAGGGAAAACATGAGTGAATTCTGGACTAACACCAAGATCCCTGTGAGTTTTCCATCACGTGAAATAGAATACTAATAATGATTTACATGACTCACTTCCTCTTTCTATTCATATTTTCATAATAATTTATTGTCTACTTCATAGCAACATAATGACAGAATGGGAAAAATACTGATCCATGTGGGCAAAACTACAGGATGTTTCCTCACCCTGGGAAGTTTGTTGTTTCTGATATTTTAGGAAGGTAGCTAGAAAAATGGTGGCTGGCGGAGACGATGATGTGGCCCTGCTGTGAGCTGCTAAGGGTACAAACACACTGCAAAGGAATTGTAATTTGTGGATTGTGCTTGTGCTTCTTGTTATGAGATTTTAAAAACAAAGTTGTTTCCTGTAATTATGCCCAGCAGGCACAGAACTCACTACCTTAGTGCTTGCTCGAAAACTTTAGTAAGCATTGATTGACCCTTGAGAACAGCTTGAAAAACAAATAGAAGGTACATATCTAACCTGAACATTCTCTGTTTACCCATGGAACAAAAAACAGCCAGAAAAATTAGCTTGAAAGGACCATCTATACGGTAAGAGGGAGGAGAGGGGCTGTGGGAACAGCATGGTGTATGTTCTTCTAAGAAAGAACCCAGTAATTAAGCCACATAGACCCTTTAGCCTAGAGAAGGGTTTCTTGGCCTTGACACTGTTGACATTTTGGACTACATAATTCTTTGGTGGTTGGGGGTAGCTCTCCTGTGCATTGTGGGATGTTTAGCAGCATTACTAAATGCCAGTAGCACCCTTTTCCCTGAGTTGTGGCAATTAAAAATATCTCCAGATATTGCCCATGTCCCCTGGGGGCAGTATCATCCCTGGTTGAGAACCACTGGCAAAGATGAACCAGTTCCTCTCTACAGAAGACAAATATCTTCCTGTCTGCGCAACTTACTGTGTTCACTAAAAGCTGGTACATCCTATGCAGCACCACTCACTGCAGAAGACTTGTCTCTTCCCGAAGTGAGTGGTGCTGCATGTGTAAGCTACATATACCATAATATCTCAGCCAGTTTAATTCATTCAGATGGAATGTGCATGCTCCAGGGGACAAAAGTTTGTCTAGCTTGAATCTCTAATGCTCAGAAAAGTGAATTCCACATAGTCAGTGCACAATAAACATTTGCTGACTTAGGCAATGAATGTATGATGAAATATTTCTTAAATTCTTAATTAAAAAGAATATAACACATTTGGTTCTTACTCTGAACGATTATTACAAGGACCAGTTTGCATCAGAATTTGACCTACATCAAATGAAGCTATAACAATAT
The DNA here is from genome assembly GCF_000001405.40 of Homo sapiens. Classification (NCBI taxonomy): domain Eukaryota; kingdom Metazoa; phylum Chordata; class Mammalia; order Primates; family Hominidae; genus Homo; species Homo sapiens. The sequence continues at coordinate 79,182,920 of NC_000012.12, read as the reverse complement.
TATTATCTGTACACAATATTTAACTTTTTAAAATTGTTAGGCCTTTAAAAATGGGGAAACAGAACTGATTTCTAATGAGAAGTAACAGAAGTAACAGAACTGATTTCTAATGAGAAGTAACTAAGCACAGTTTAGACACACTAATATTATGCAATTTGCTTTAGGTTATCAGATTGAAAGAAAATCTTTTCAGCAGAGATGCTAGAAGAAGGGTAAACATTTATGCTTTTAAATTATAGTTCAGATCTCTGCTTTCAGTCAGTTAAAAACTATTGATGCAATTAACTGCAATATGTGTTGGTCTAAAAAATAAAGTTCTTGAACTATACGCATATCATCTGGACCTACCCATATCTATAGTTTTTTCTCCTTTTACTCTCAGGCTTTGTTGATTGAGTCCCCAGGATGCATTATGCTATTTTCACAGTCCAGGAGGTATATTCTCATGGATGGTCCTCAACTTGTTGTTCATCTGGTCAATTACTCAAGTAGACTTTATGAAGATGTTTCAGGAAATGCTTAATTTTAGGAGTTGGGACAAACTAATGAACAAGAGAGAATAAGAGCATTTAGGAAGAAAACCATGACACCAAAGTGTCCCAAAAAATCACAGAAAGGGAGTTAAAAAAAGACCAATCAGTAGTACCAAACATTAAAGTGAGTTTAAGGAGGATGAAGACCAGTAAAAGACTATTGAAATTAGAGTTTAGAGGTCACTAGAAACTTTTAAGAGAACAGCATTATGAAGTGGAAGCTGGATTACAAGGGCTTGACAAGTGAGTAAAAAGCTGTGATTTTAAAACAGTGCACAATTTTGCAGTTGAAAGGACAAAGACAAAGTAATAACTCAGGGTAACATGGTGAAAAGCTGTCTTTAGAATGTTACAGACCTATACATGTGTGTAGACAAAGAGAAGTTACCAGAAGTGAGAAAGATTTAAAACATTATAAATTAAAACGGAGATGACTTATAGTGCTCCAGAGGAAGAGCATGGAGGATGAGGTAGGGGTGGGGTTGTCTAGGAGAAAGAGAAAAAAGAGTGAAAATAAAGATGTTCTGGAAAAGGGATGATAGAATTGATAGGAACACAATGGGATGTTGTTGGTCTTCATGTGAACTAAAAACTAAGGTTATCAACTGAAAGAGAAGGGATTAGGGGCATTGTGGGAATTTCAGACATTTGAAGCCTGGAGCAGCAGGAGTACTGAGTAGCAGTGAAAGCCCATTGGTGTCTCATGAGGAGAATCCACAGTGGTTCCAGTCACATGACCTGGTCTGCCACACTTAGCTACTTGGGAATGGAAACTGAGAAATCAGATCATAGGGTCTCAGGAACTATTTAAATATATTAGACATCTAGAAAGGTATACGGTTGATATGGAGAAGAGTGGGGGCCCTGGAAGAAAAAAAAGGGAGAGAAGATTGTATTTTGAGTAGAAAGTGGCAAAAATGCTATATGTATTGATCCATACTCTAAGAAACAATGTGATATGCATTCAATCATTTTTATATTGTCAGTACTTCACCTTCTGCTAATATGATCCATAAAAGTAAATCCCTAAGATTTCTTTCCACTCCAAATTTCTATGTTATGAATGACTTTGTTTTATTTAATATTTTTAATTAGCTCAAGAAAAATGCAATCATAAATACTGATATCATTTGAACCTGTGTCCTCATCCAAATCTCACGTTCAATTGTAAACGTGGATTAGTTTACAATGGATTACAATGGACGATGGATTAGTCCATTCTCACAGTGTTAATAAAGACATACCCAAGACTGGGTAATTTCTAAAGGAAAGAGGTGTAATTGACTCGCAGTTCTGCAGGGCTGGGAGGCCTCAGGAAACTTACAATCATGGCAGAGAGGACGCATATACGTCCTTCTTCATGTGGCGGCAGCAAGGAGAATGCAGAGTGAAGAGGGGAAAATCACCTTATAAAACCATCAGCTCTCGAGAGAACTCACTCGCTATCATGAGGACAGCATGGAGGTAACTGCCCCCATGATTCAGTTATCTCCCACTGGGTCCCTCCCATGAAATATAGGGATTATGGGAACTACAGTTCAAGATGAGATTGGGCTGGGGGACACAGCCAAACCATATCACCCAACGTTGGAGGTGGGGCCTGCTGGGAGGTGATTGGATCATAGGGGTGATTTCTCATGAATGGTTTAGCACCATTCTCTTGATACTGTCCTCATGATAGTGAGTTCATTTTCTTGAGATCTGCTCATTTAAAAGTGTGTGGCACCTCCCCCTTCACTCTCTCTTGCTCCTGCTCCTGCCATGTGAGACGCCTGCTCCTCCTTCCACTTCAGCCATGATTATAAGTTTCCTGAGGCCTCCTCAGAAGCTAAGAAGATGCCAGCATTATGCTATCTGTACAGCCTGCAGAACCCCGAGCCAATTAAAACTCCTTTTTTTAAAAAAAAAAAAGAAAATAAATTACCAGTCTCAGATACTTCTTTATAACAATGTGAGAATGGACTAATACCAATACTAAAGCTTTAAATGATTACATATGTTGAGGCTTGTCTAGAATTATAGTCTTCTCTGCTTCTGCAGTGGCATATTCTACCTATAAAATCTAAATTTGAGTTTGGAATCAGGAAGTGAGGATAGTGTGTAAGGAATTCTTATGCTTGTTCTAGAAAAGCTCTTTATTTTTTAATATTAGTTAATTAATATTGTTCATATTTTCAAAGAAATAATGGTTTGGTTATTTTAGGAAGGACAATGGTGGAAATGCAAAATGGTACAATTTCTAATAGAGGGAAATTTGGCAATATCTGACAAAAGTATTTATCTTTAGTAACTCTTCTCTTTGCAATCCCACTTCTAGAAATTCACCCTGAAGATACGTCTTGAAGAATATAAAATAACATGCACAAAGTACATCATTATAGCATAATATTGGGGAAAATCCCAAATATCAAATTATAGGGATTGGTTGAGTAAATTCTGATAGATCCATAAAATGAAGAACTATGGAGCCATAAAAAAGAATAAAGTGTATCTCTATAATCTGTAAGTCTAAAACTTTTTCAAGTGTAAAGTTAGTTTCAATATACATTGTTAAGTGAGACACCCTTAGTGGTACATTGTCCAAGGACAAAAATGAATAATTAAAAATCTGAAACTTAGGCTAGAGCAAATGGCAAATAGATCAAGGACGTTAGAAACTACTGTTTTCAGCCAGGCATGGTGGCTCCCGCCTGTAATCCCAATACTTTGGGAGGCGGAAGTGGGCTGATCACCTGAGGTCGGGAGTTTGAGACCAGCCTGACCCACATGGAGAAATCCCGTCTCTATTAAAAAAAATCTATATCTATATCCATATCTATATATCTAAATCTATATCTATATCTCTATATCTATATCTATATCTATATAGATATATCTATATCTATATCTATATAGATATATCTATATCTCTATATCTATATCTATATAGATTATATCTATATCTATATGGATATATCTATATAGATATATCTATATCTATATCTATATGGATATCTATATCGATATATCTATATCTATATCTATATCTATATCGATATAGACATATCGATATATCTATATCTATATCTATATCTATATAGATATATCTAAATCTGTATCTATATATCTATATCTATATCTATATATCTATATCTATATCTATATCTATATATCTATATCTATATCTATATATCTATATCTATATCTATATATCTATATCTATATCTATATATCTATATCTATATCTATATATCTATATATCTATATCTATATCTATATATCTATATCTATATCTATATCTATATATCTATATCTATATATCTATATCTATATCTATATATCTATATCTATATCTATATATCTATATCTATATCTATATATCTATATCTATATCTATATATCTATATCTATATCTATATAGATATATCTATATCTATATATCTATATCTATATCTATATCTATATCTATATCTATATAGATATATCTATATCTATATCTGGGTGTGGTGGCGCATGCATGAAATCCCAGCTACTCAGGAGGCTGAGGAGATTGCAGTGAGCCGAGATCACGCCATCGCACTCCAGCCTGGGCTATAAGAGCGAAATTCCATCTCAAAAATAAATAAATAAATATAAATAAATAAACAAATTACTGTTTTGACAGTGGGAGATGTGATATAAACATATGAAATGGAGAAAAGTGAGGAAACATTCTATGGTATTGGATTTGACTTGGAGGTATAACTATGTACTCATTATTAAGAAAAATATAGCCCTGTCCACCAAATGAGCCTAGAAAAATAATATTGCAGTAAAAATGAGCATATGCAGGTTTCCAAATATCATTGCCCATAGGAAAAAAACAAAAAACAAAACAAAACAAAACAAAAAACAAATGTCTGGAACAGGCAAGGTACAAAGTGGGCCTAGAATACCTTATTTTGTAAGTAAGAACATGCCCCAAATCTGTTGGAGACATGTCAGAAAGACACAGGGGTGGTTTCTGGTGGCTCTCATCAGCTAAATTTCAGACAATACGAGCATGAAAAAGAAAAATAATGGTGATGGACTACAAAAAAATTGAAATAAAAAGGAATCTATGTGGCTGAGTGATACTATTAAGTAAAAGGAAGAGAACAGTCTTCACAGAATAAAAAAATCTCAAAATGTAAAGGAAATGATAGAATTAGAAAATCACCTTTTTGTAATAGTCAATATAATAAGTGATTCAGGCAAGGGCCAACTATGCTAAAAACACTGGGTAGAAGGTATCCTGGGAAGAGAATATTAATGATAAGAATAGAAATATGCTTTTACAGCAATGGCAACAAAAGCCAAAATTGACAAATGGGATCTAATTAAACTAAAGAGCTTCTGCACAGCAAAAGAAACTACCATCAGAGTGAACAGGCAACCTACAACATGGGAGAAAATTTTCGCAAACTACTCATCTGACAAAGGGCTAATATCCAGAATCTACAATGAACTCAAACAAATTTACAAGAAAAAACAAACAACCCCATCAAAAAGTGGGCGAAGGACATGAACAGACACTTCTCAAAAGAAGACATTTATGCAGCCAAAAAACACATGAAGAAATGCTCATCATCACTGGCCATCAGAGAAATGCAAATCAAAACCACTATGAGATATCATCTCACACCAGTTAGAATGGCAATCATTAAAAAGTCAGGGAACAACAGGTGCTGGAGAGGATGTGGAGAAATAGGAACACTTTTACACTGTTGGTGGGACTGTATACTAGTTCAACCATTGTGGAAGTCAGTGTGGCGATTCCTCAGGGATCTAGAACTAGAAATACCATTTGACCCAGCCATCCCATTACTGGGTATATACCCAAAGGACTATAAATCATGCTGCTATAAAGACACATGCACACGTATGTTTATTGCGGCACTATTCACAATAGCAAAGACTTGGAACCAACCCAAATGTCCAACAATGATAGACTGGATTAAGAAAATGTGGCACATATACACCATGGAATACTATGCAGCCATAAAAAATGATGAGTTCATGTCCTTTGTAGGGACATGGATGAAATTGGAAACCATCATTCTCAGTAAACTATCGCAAGAACAAAAAACCAAACACCGCATATTCTCACTCATAGGTGGGAATTGAACAATGAGATCACATGGACACAGGAAGGTGAATATCACACTCTGGGGACTGTGGTGGGGTCGGGGGAGGGGGGAGGGATAGCATTGGGAGATATACCTAATGCTAGATGACACGTTAGTGGGTGCAGCGCACCAGCATGGCACATGTATACATATGTAACTAACCTGCACAATGTGCACATGTACCCTAAAACTTAGAGTATAATAAAAAAAAACATAAAAAAAAAAAGAAATATGCTTTTACAATGGAGTTATCAGTGAAATTTTGGAGAATTGGGGGAATTTAAATTTAGAGATTATATTGGATAATATTATTGGACGAATGTTCAATTTTTGGATGTGTGATTGACATTGTGGTTATACAGGAAAGTATTTTTGTTCTTAGGAGATACTACTGAAGTATGTAGTAGTATTGTAAACTACGTAGGGTTGTAAACCCTAAGGTTTACAGGGTTATAGGTTGAAGTGTCTTCAACTTATTTTTATCTAGTTTACTCCAAAAAAAATAAATTGATAGTCAAAGCAAATGTGGCAAAGAGGTTACCATTTGGTGTAAGCAAAGGTATATGTGTGTTCATTGTACTATTTCAACTTTTTTTGTAAGTCTAAAACTTTTTCAAATGTAAAGTTAAAAAAATATAGAACTCAACAACAAGAACAAAGCCCCCAATAAATGTACTGTACGAAGCAGGTTGTAGAGTATCAGTGTTTAGTTAAAAGAATTACTCAGCTTAATTTAGTATTGACAAATGAATATCAACATGGAGTATTTAGCTACATGAGTGAAGATAAAACACCATAACTCTTGTGAACTGTGAAGTGTTTCTATTGTGGTCATTATCTTCAGTTTTGCCACTCGGTCTGGGTAACATTAGATCTCTTGCTCCTACACCCCTGAAAATCTGCAGACACTGCCATCATTTACATCAATATCACTTTCTTTTCCAAATCACTTTGGTATTTTTTTTTTTTTTTGAGACAGAATTTCGCTCTTGTTGCCCAGGCTGGAGTGAATGGAGTGATCTTGGCTCACTGAAACCTCAGCCTCCCAGGTTCAAGTGATTCTCCTGCCTCAGCCTCCCAAGTAGCTGGGATTCCAGGCATGCACCACCATACCTGGCTAATTTTGTATTTTTAGTAGAGATGAGGTTTCACCATGTTGGCCAGGCTGGTTTTGAACTCTGAACATCAGGTGATCCACCCTCCTCGGCCTTCCAAAGTGCTGGGATTACAGGTGTGACCCTCCACACCCGGCCCGCTCTGTACTTTCTGAACCAAATTTAAACAGTTTAAGGACCAATAGTGTGAAAATAATCAAACAAGAAATGGCTCCAATTATTTTAACATTAAAATTATTTAAAATGTTTCATCACTTTAACATTGTTGACTGTGGGGATGCTACCCCCCAACCCCCAGGTCTTAGAAGCAATATTAATGTACAGTTTCTTGGGTGGTTTAGATATGTTTATGCCTACTGATAGAGGGGTAAATCAGGGACTTTCATGGTTCCACATGGGTAAACTCTTTAGTGATTCCACATACAAATGATGATAAGATGATGAAATTGTCTCTACTCCTGCCTTTGCTTCACAGAAAAATAATTACAATAGCTAACTCATAAAGCTAATTTACCATGGAGATTCAAATAATGAATTTTAGTGGCAAAAGGGAATTTCATCACCAAAAGTTTGAGTGTGCCAAATAGATGTCTCTGAAGTTACTTTGAAATACATTTTTAAAGAGATGTGCAATAAACTTGAAAGCTGTGCTTTTATAAAAATTTTAAGAAGGGTCCTTGCTAATGGCAGCTAGATTTATTTTATGTTGTCAGCTGCCAAATTAATGTTTCCCATTTAAGTTTGCTCATTATGACCTTACAGACAAACTGAGACTAAATACGAGTGAAGTCAAAAGTATTTATTACATTATCCCTATACTGATGAGCATACCGTGAAGGAAAAAACCCATAGCACCAATAAAATCACAGCAACAAATGTCCATTACTTTCCTCTGATCAACCAGGCCTATGTCGCAGATGTTATTTTCCATTGTGTTTCTATTAGAACTAAAATTGAATACAGTGTAAGTCCCATTATTTCATGGTTCCTTATTGCATTAATTTTGATAGAGGACAGGCTAAATCATGTTTCCCAGAGCATAACACATATAGAAAACAAGCTGGATATAACTCCATTAGCTTAGAAGTACATAGCAAATCAAATCCCTGCTATGCCATTTTTGAAGATATAATAAAACACTTTCCATACAAGCTTTCTGAAACTTTGATGAATATTAACTATAAAATAAAATATATTCTTAAAGAGCAATGGAAAGTACCTGTAAAGTAACCAAAGTAACCACTGGATGGCATTGTGACTACATTAGAATGTGTTGGCAAGACCTTGTATCTGTCTCTAAAAACTCCCACGTTGTTAGCAGCAAGCTCCAATAGGATGATGCCAATTCCTGTTCCTAATTATAAAGTGTTGAAGGAATATAATTTTTTAACATCCCAAAGTGACTTGGCAATACCATTCCAAAGGACTGAAGTGATTAAATTATGACACCTTCTGTACTGTCAACAGTTTCCTGGAGCTTCTCTCTCAACCCATTTTCTTAATCCTTGCTATTGATAGTTCCCAACTCCCTTTTCTTACCTAGATCTCTCTTGTTTCCCAGGCCACATATATACTCTGGCCCATTTCCTTGCTAGTGTCTCATAAATCATATGTTACTGACTAGCTACATTTTATTGCACATTGTAATAAATTCTCAAATCTTTTTCAAGGCTCGTTACACTTTTTATTAATTGAAACCCGATTTCTCCCTGATGCCTTCTAGCCTATTTTTTCTATAAGGACAGGAGAATACGTCACCATATTATTTATCAGCCAATACCACTTCCAGATTATTAACCAACAGCATGTTCTGAAGCCACTTATTTTTTCTGTATTTATGCTATTTAATTCTTCATCAATGTCACCAACAACTTCTGTGATGGGTATCCATCTTTCTCCACTAGCTTACACCACATTGTGCCAACATTTTTAGAAGCATCCTTAGTGATTTCAGCATCCAGTGATGACCCTCTGCTATTTGGCCCTCAAAATTCCTTTTGTTAAAATTCTAATGATTTTCATAATTATAGTGTGGGTTTTATCTCTGGGCATTAATCCATTTTCCAAAACTTCTCTTTCATTATAGACGTCTGTCTTCTGCTTTTCCCCATAAATCTGTTCATTATTTTCCCTTCTTTACTCCTCCTAGACTGACACAGATACTGGTTTCATTTGTCCAGCAACAGAGCCTGAACTCCACAACATCTATTGTAATGATACACTACTTTCATAGAATGCCACATTAAGTTAAATATACATTACGGCACTTGCTAACTGTAAACACTTTATGATGTCTGCCTTATCCTTGCCTCCTAAATATTAATAAAGAAAGTCTCAAATCGTACTGACTAAATTCATTAAAAATTCACTCCAATGTTAACTGGGTCCTTTTTGAAGCCTGGAAATTCTTCTAGTTATTTCTTCTGGACGTTTTACAAGGCTCCTTATGGTAGCCCTTTTCTTTCATCTTGCCTGTTTAATTTGTATTCCTCTTTTAAGCCTTTCTCAGATACTATCTTCTCTCTGAATTATTTCCTGATCATTCCAACCATCTGGAATCTTTCTTCTTTGAATTGAAATTCATGTTGTCTCTTTTAGGATGGGAACACTTATTTTTACTCTTCATATTCCAACCGAGTGATGGGGAATTTCCACTGCATGCACTAAAGGGGAAAAAAGGAGCAACATTTACATCTTTTGGGATCCTTTCCTTCATCCATCTTGCCCAGGTGGGGCAGTGGGGAGGATGCTTGGCCTAACTGACAAATTTGGGGGAAGAAATTAAGCACGCTTAGTCCAGGACATTTAGGGTTCTTACTGTCCATCTGCCTACCTCCTAAGAGGCTGCATGCTGCTCTATCAGATGCATAGTGAGCTTACAGGGAACTTGCAGGGGAGCATTGCTGATCTGAATTGTAAGCTCAATTCAAGGAACCAAATTGGGGATACACATTTAAGCCCATAATGCAAAAAGCTACTATCCTGATCTGTAGCAGCTTGATACTTTGTTCTACCTCTTAGTTGGTTCAGGACTCTGATGTGAAAAGGTAGAGATGCTATTAATCAGTTCCCTAAAATCTCAAGAGGTTTTATATACCTTTTCTGCCACATTATTTTATTTCTGGACAGGCCAAACTCCCTTTTTTTTTTTTTTTTTTTTTTTTTTTTTTTTTTTTTGAGAGCAGGAACTCTAGTAACCTGAATTACATGTAGTAGTATCTTGACACAAACTTATGGAATTGAACTATGAAGCCAATGTGAGAAAGGCATCTAGAGTTTGAAACCCAGTATTATCAAATGATCATAGTATTTCCAAGGGGAGATGCTGCTAACATAGGCTTAAGAGAAAATGGCTTAGTCTGTAAAATAAATAAGGGAAAGAAGTTACAAAATAATGAGAGATTTCATAGAAGTTTCATAATCAAAACTGTTTACAGATAACTATAATTCACTAGAAAATTGACAAATCTCAAGTGTTGTGACTGATTTTCTTAGCTCAAAAATTTAATTTAGAGCATTATAAATACCATCATATTAGATTGCCCCACATAACTAACCCCATTCTTTAGGGAAAATATTATAAGATAGAAGAAAGAAAGCAAAACTAGTAACATAATAAAAACAACAATAACAGCAAAAAGCTCAAAAAAGATTTAACTAATATTTTCCAATTGCCAAGGCCTGTCTTTAAATAGACAATAAAATTATCTTATCACTATTCAGATAGCATCTTCACATTTTTCACTATAATTTTACTCTGTGTCCCAGTAAATGTCTTACCACTTAAAATTGAAGCATTATAACTCCTTTTTTTGGGAGCAGGCACTCTTCATGTAACTGTTCATTATAAAATGAAGTCTCAGTATACCTAAAGTTAGGTTATTCAATGTATGCATTTTATGTTTGGAAAAAAATTTAAAATATGAGAAGTTTAACTGTCTAGTTCAAAGCATTTAGAACCAAGCAGTAGTTGTAAAACTCCAATGAAATGCAATTATTATTGTGAACTTAAATGTGTTTATATCTCTATTTAGAAATTACTTAGGCACTTGGAAAATTAATTTTGAATTTTTCAGTTTTTACAGTATTTTTCTGTCATTAAATAAATAATTAAAAGAGATAAAGATTTGCATGATATAGTAGTAACAATCAAGATACCTTTAAAAAATAAGTGATCTCTTTAAATCCAGAAATTCTAACAATAACTAGTACTTATTGGACATTTATAATATGCCAGATACTGTGTAAGTGCTTTCTCAACATGCTATCATTTAATCCTCTCATTAAAATAAGGAGGAATACATTATTATTAAACCGATTTTATTAATAATAGGAGAGCTGAGGAGACTGAGGTTTGGAGAGATTAACTAGTTCATCCATGTTACACAGCTAGCAAGGAGTATAGCCAAGATCTAAACCCATGTGGTCCAACTCCAGAACTTATGGTTCTAATCATTTTTTTTTTACTGTGTACCTCCTTTGGAAAATCATGCAGTGGTTTTGGCAGACTAAGCCTTTACTGAATAGAATAAGTGAATTATGGAAGGAATATATAAAACATAGTAAATGGAATTAATTTGAAAGAACTTTTTTATTTATAATACACAAGTCATGTGAAAGCCAAATGATTCTTCCTCTTCTATAGTTATTTAGTAGGAGCAAGAATCATCTTCCTTAAAAATATTTCTACTCTTGCCACATAAAGAATAAAATACCTAGGAATACAGCTAACTAGGGAGGTGAAAGATCTCTACAAGGAGAACTGCAAACCACTGCTCAAAGAAATCAGAGATGACACAAACAAATGGAAAAACATTCCATGCTCATGGAGAGGAAGAATCAATATCATGAAAATGGCTATACTATCCAAAGTAATTCGTAGATTCAATGCTATTCCTATTAAACTACTCTTGACATTCTTTACAGAACTAGAGAAAACTATTTTAAAATTCATGTGGAACCAAATAAAGACCCCAAATAGCCAATGCAACCCTAAGCAAAAGAACAAAGCTGGAGGCGTCACACTACCCAACTTCAAACTATATTGTAGGGCTACAGTAATCCAAACAGCATGGTATTGGTACCAAAAGAGACACATAGACCAATGGAACAGAATAGAGAATCCGGAAATAAAACTGCACACCTACAACTCTCTGATCTTCAACAAACCTGACAAAAACAAGCAATGGGGAAAGGACTCCCTATTCAATCAATGGTGCTGGGATAATTGGCTAGGCATATGAAAAAGATTGAAGCTGGACCCCTGCCATATATAAAATCAACATAAAATAGATTAAAGTCTTAAGTGTAAAACCTCAAACTATAAAAACTCTGGAAGACAACCTAGGCAATACCATTCAGGACATAGGTATGGGCAAAGATTTCATGATGAAGATACCAAAAGCAATTGCAACAAATGTAAAAATTGACAAATAGGACCTAATTAAACTAAAGAGCTTCTGCACAGCAAAAGAAACTATCAACAGAGTAAACAGACAATCTACAGAATGGGAGGAAGTTTTTGCAAACTATGCATCTAACAAAGGTCTAATATCCAGCATCCATAAGGAACTTAAACAAATGTACAAAAAACCCCACAAACAATCCCATAAAAAAGTGGGCAAAGGTCAAGAACAGACCCTTTTCAAAAGAAGACATACATGTGGCCAAAAATCATATAAAAAAAGTTCGACATTACTGATCATTAGAGAAATGCAAATCAAAACCACAGTGAGATACTACCTAACACCAGTTAGAATGGCTAGTATCAAAAAGTCAAAAAATAATGGATGCTGGCAAGGTTGTGGAGAAAAAGGAATGATTTTACATTGTTGGTGGGAGTGTAAATTAGTTCAGCCATTGTAGAAGACAGTGTGGCAATGCCTCAAAGACCTAAAGACAGAACTACCATTTGACCCAGCAATCCCATTACTGGGTATATACTCAAAGGAATAGAAATCATTCTATTATAAAGACTCATGCATGTGTATGTTCATTGCAGCCCTATTCACAATAGCAAAGATATGGAATCAACCTAAATGCCCATCAATGATAGACTGGCTAAAGAAAATGTGGTACATATACACCACGGAATACTATGTAGCCATAAAAAAGAATGAGATCATGTCCTTTGCAGAGACATGGATGGAGCTGAAGGCCATTAACCTTAGCAAACTAATACAGGAACAGAAAACCGAATACCACATGTTCTCACTTCTAAATAGGGGCTAAACGATGAGGACACATGGACACATAGAGGGGAACAACACATCCTGGGGCCTTTTGGAGCCAGGTAGGTGAAGGAGGGAGAGGATCAGGAAAAATAACTAATGGGTACCAGGATTAATACCTGAATGATGAAATAATCTGTACAACAAACCCACATAACACAAGTTTACCTATGAAACAAACATGCACTTGTACCCCTAAATTTAAAAGTTAAAAAAAAAGCTCTACTCATACCTCTCTCCTTCTCAGAAGCGCATATGGCAAATCCAAATGGTGTCCTTTCAAATCTAGGTGCAGCTAGATTTGGTCACATAGTTCAAATCTGCTTGTAACTTTTGCAGGTGAATTTGAAACTTCATTGATTCCATCTTCTTCCAGAGGAGTTTTTAAAATGTTGTTTGCCTCACTACATGTCATAGGCCTTCTCTAGATCATTCTGCTCACAAATTCATGTGATAATAAGCAGATCGCTAAATAAGATTGTATATATTTCTTTTTTCCCTGCCTAAGTTCTTACATTCTTTCTAGATTTTGAAGCATTTTTCATACCATTTATAATTTATACTTTTGTAAGTCATGCATGTATATATTTTATAAGAGTTTTCCAGTGAATAGTAGTACATTTAATGCAGTTTATAAAATTTGGTGTGGATAGTTGACTGCTGCTTTGCTAACTATTCTTCTGTGAATTTTTGGAGCCATAAAGAAAGAATAAGAATTACTTCAAAAAAATGAGGCACTGGAATTAATGGGTTAATATCTGTAAAGTGTTCTTAGGATGGCATTTTTTAGAAAAACATTTGCAAATGGAGAAAATCACAGACTTCCTGCTGTCCCTTGATTCATCCATAATTTCAATGGGACTCTCACTTAAAACTATCTACATTGTTGAAAACCCATTTAATTTCTCATTCACAAAAGCATTCAACTGGTGATTGCTGCAAACAGGGAAAATTGCTGCTCAAGTGTTCCAGATGCCTTGAAAAGAATGTCGAAAACTTAAAGATGAGGGAATTAATGGCCACAAAGATATGGGAAAGCTATTTAGAAACTTGACTGTTGATTATTATCACTGAGGCCTCGTTAAATTAGAAAATGTTATCTGCTAATTAAGGCAAACCTATAGATAATTACCCTCTCATCTCATTTTATCTTATACACATTCAGTAAACAATGTCTGGTTGTGACCTCAAAATCACATCCTTGCTAACCTCAAACAACATGATAACTATGTCCAAGAGCAAGAATTTCCAAAGACAAAGCTCCAGTTTAAAACATTTCATGAAAAAGACCTCAGAAAATTGTGTTATTTTCTCACTGTAACAAACTCTGTCCTTTGTCTTCCCAGTGACTATATCAGAAAAATTTAAAATGTAAATTTAAAATTAAAATGTCACCAGTAAAAACTAGCAATATTCTGTGTGAAAGAGAATAGTTAAGTTTAGTGCTGGGTGTGCCGTCCCATCTTTGCCAGATCAAACTATCACTTGGTGGGTTTATTAAGAATAAAGATTACTGAGACACTTAATAAACTCTCACTTTTTTGAGACCCAAGCATTTGCCTGACACGGTTTTGGTTCACTTGTGTTGATTATAATGCTGAATCTTTACAACAACCCATTGAGTTAGGACTTCCCTCACAGATGAGGAAACTGAGGCTTAGGGAGGTAATCTGACAACTTTCACTCAAATAAGGCTCTAACCAGATCTAGTTGTCTCTCTTAAGCTCCCTGTCTCTTTACATTTCTAAAGGAATAACTAGAAGACAAAGAAGTTAAGTACATACATATGTATTAGACCAGAGGTCCCCAAACTCCTGCCAGGGATGGGTACCAGTCCATGGCCTGTTAGGAACTGGACCGCACAGCAGGAGGTGAGTGGCAGATGGAGAATGAGCATTACTGCCTGAGTTCTGCCTCTTGTCAGATCAGCAGAGGCATTAGATTCTCATAGGATTGTGAACCCTGTGGTGAGTGAACCCTATTGTAGACTGCACATGTGAGGGATCTAGGTTGTTACGCTCCTTATGAGAATCTAATGCCTGATGACCTGACATGCAACAGCTTCATTCCCAAACCACCCCATTCCCAGCCCGCTGCATCCCCCAGGGAAAAATTGTCTTCCATGAAACAAGCCCCTGGTGCCAAAAATGTTGGGGACCGCTGTATTACACTATAAGCATAATTATTCTTAATTCTTAATGTTTTAATTGCAATTTATTAGATTTTGGGGGAAAGTATAGCCACAAATATTCAGTCCCTGACATTTCACCTTCTTGTTTCTTTGGTAAAAATAATTAAAGACCATTTTCCACATAGTAGGCTTAATAAGTTTCAGTAATACATTCTAGGGTAAGTCATTTGATATTTATTCTGTGATTCTTCGTATTATCAAATTTTATGTTTCTCAAGTATATAAGCTTGAGGGAATAGAAGTAAACATTTACATTCTTTTGTAGTATACCTTTCAAATCCATTTCCACTACACACAAGCACACACAAACACACACATTCTCCCAGAAATCAGGACATAAGACAATGCTTTCTATACAACTGATTCTCAATAAAAAGTATTATTCAGGCTAGGAATGAGATTTAACCATAAAAGTGGCTTATAATGCAAATTTTAGTTTTGGGTTTATTTCCTTTATATCTTGTAGATACCCAAAGTATGCCCTACGTCTTCTTGAAATCCTAACATTTTCAAGGGCAGGACTTTGTCCTTTTCATAGGGAATCTGAGATCGCAATATGGTAAGTATTCAACAGAAGAACTCAGTTCAATTCTCAATCCTTTCTACATAGATTTTTCACTTAAACAATTGTATTTATTTTGTTGTAAATGTCATTCCTTTACTTATGCCATATTTAATAAGTACTCTATTAACAATCTGTTACACTATTAGCATTATGCTTCATTGTTTATAAAGCACTTTCATTATAGATCTCATTTTGTTTGAGGTGATTTACAAAACAGCACTGTGGTAGAAATTATATCCTCGTTTTACATGTAAAAAGTATGACACAGAGGAATTAAATTTAAATGATTTACTCAAAATAACATGGCTAGCAAAACTGAGTTTTTTCAACTACCAAGTCCAAGGATCCTTCCACTGTGCAAAGGCATCTCTAAAGCTTCCCGTATAATCCAACCAACATTTGTATAGCATCTGGAGTCTTTCATACACATCATCTCATTTGATCCTCACAAGACCCAGGGAGGTAGGTATTTTTATACCTATTTTGATGTCAATTGCATTTCTAAAAATAGAAGGAGAGCATGTTATCCCCCAGGGTTTAGGACTATTTGTGATGCTATTGAACCATTACTTGGGCATCACACCATAAAAATAAAATTAAATAAAATTTTGGTCTAAAAATGACCTAGATGGCTATTCATTTTCTCATTTTTTCTCCCTAAAATATTCTTCTTCAGAATATTACCTTTGTCTCCTAGTCTCTGCAGTGTATATATCAGTTTAGAGCTTGGGCTTCCCTGAATAGAATATGAAGAGACCAATATTATTGTCAGCTTATGAATTCTATTCTATGCATTGCATTAAATGTTTATATTCATTATTGAATTGTATTCTATTGCAATTATGATAGAGTTTACCATAATTGATGTTTTAAAAAATTAATGATGAGCAGAACCTGACAGACTGACTCTGACAATTGGTATGTGTTTCAAAATTCTAAATTGCCTTCTGAAAAATTGTTTTATTTGTATAAAACAGTGATTTGCAAAAGCAGGTCTAATGGCTCTTGAGTTCCAGATGGCTTACAAAGGTAAAAACAAATTTTATAGGTACTGTTCCACGTTTTGAATAATCAAATCTCAGAATTCCAAGTTGACGAATCTGACATAATATCCAATTTTGATTATTGTCTTTGGTTTGCCTTTTCCATTTGAAAATAAAGGATAATGATTTCTTGTAAACAGTAATATGTTTTTGTGCAATAAGGCAGGTAGTCAAAATGAGAAAAAGTAAGAAAAAATTGAATTCCATGGGTGATCTTTAGCAAGTAATGAAATTTAAGTTTCCTAGAATATTATTCTTCAAAAGAAAATGTGCTTTAGCACTCATTCTATTGTAACATACCTAATATGTATCTTTATAAACAGTGGAGAAGGTGGACAATTCAGCTCCCATTTAATATTTACTCAGTTCATGCAATAGGGTAGCAAAAGATTAAGTTATGTTATAAGGACTAAAAACAATCAGATTAATATTCACTTATTTAGCAATGGGAGTCAGGTCTTCAAATAGCAAGTGCTTGATGATAAAAGCTCTTGAGTTATTATAAGGATAAATAATTGTTCTAAATTGCCATCTTCCATTGCAATCAAGATAAATTTCTAAGGCGTCTGCTTGAAGAATAAATTTTCAGTGAAACACATTTTAATCGAAGAGTCTTCACAGTAAACCATCAAATAAAATCAGCAACCATACCGTCCTTAAAGAACATTATAATTTTGGAATACATTTAGTGAACAAAACCTTTGCAACACTGTTCTAAATCTGATTTGGGATGGTGCCTAGCCCAGAAAAAAGCTTTTATTTGTGAAGAATACTCTCAAGCTACAAATATGTAATAAATTTGGCTATTTAAATACCACATAAGCTATGTAATTAATCAACAGAGATTTTTTCTAACTGTTCAATTATAATTTTCAGCCATAAATGACATAGAAAAACAGAGTTAAAAATTGTTTCTAAAGATAAATGCAGCAAAAATGTCACCCAGAGCAAGCTTCTCTTAAATGAGCTTAGCTGATACTTGTCTAAGAAAAATTACGTTTCTAAACAATAATGGGACACTAGTCAGCAAAAATTTTGAAGATAATGAAAAAAAACCAACAACCCTATTATTGCTTTCCTCTCACTTCCACAGGGATTCCAGTATAAGATTCCTCTCTTTCTACGGTCTTATCAAAATTTGTGTCCAACTCCTTCACAAAAGACCAATGATAGCCAAAAGGTTACCTCTCTAGATATTTGCCTTTTACTTTATATCAAAGTCTTAAACTACAGGGATAAATCTCCCTCAACAGAAATTTAGGTATCCGCCGGGTTCTGTCTACATCACCATTTCCCTTTGTTCATTTGCCATTTCTTATTTATTAAATGTAAAAGCTGGATATTTCTTGATTCATTAAAAAATAAATTTAAATCTAATCTATCCACTTTGCAAAGCAACCAATGATCTCCAAATGCCTGTTACTGCACAGCCTCTCTCTTGAGAAACTAATATTTTGACATATTAAAAATAATTAAACATTAAATTTCCAAAGACAAAACAAGAGGCTCAACAGAGATTGCAGCCACTGAGAGAAGCAATTACTAAGGATTTCTCTCTATATTGTTTTTTTCTGGGCATGCTCTAAGGCAGGTAAAGGGACATAGGTCTTTCTCTTTATTCTCATCTCATGACAGCAAAGCCTGATGTGGATGAAAAAGTAATAAATATTTATTCGTACTCACATACTTTTTAATTTAGTGAGGCATCCGCACAACTTCTTGCAACATTTTTTGTAAAAGCAAATGGAAAAATGAAGAATGAGAGGGCAATCTAGTTTAGATGAATTAATAGTTGGTGGAACAATGGAAGTTTTAAAGAAAAGATGCCCACTAAATTCTCTGTGAATGCTTCAAGCTAAGTGGTCCTCCGCAGTAGTGTCTTGGGACACCAGTAATTTATCCCCGATGGTAAAGCACCAACATTTCTTAATTACTTCCTTTAAAAAGTAAAACTGATTTGATGTTGTCCCTACGATAATACCATGCTTACTTTATTTTATGCTTGTGATCTTATTTTTTTAATGGAAAAGAAGCTTCAGAATTAGGAGTGCAATGGGTATTGTGAACATGATACAGATATGTATGTCAATTATCTGTGTCATGGTGGAAAAAAGATAGAAAGTCATACAACAATGGCACAGCCCAGAATTCTTTCTCATTCAATATCCTACCAACAGCCTGATTGAAGAAATGAAGGTGTATGTTGAGCTCTAAAGCACCTACTTAACAAACAATGAGAAAAATGTTTGAAAAATACTCCCCTTGATTTAAAAAGGCTAAAAAGTATAGACTTAGTAGTGGACTATGAGGGAACTCTGCTTTAGGGTTTGATACATGCCTGCCAAATTAGCTCTTTAGAACACAGAACACAGGGTATTCATTGGTGATGGCGGGTGCTGCTGTCCAACTGGTAATTTATTTGACTACACCAAAGGAAGGGTCAGCTGACCTGCAGAGGAACGAGAACGGCAATAGAAAGAGCAGAGTTTTCAGTGTAGACAGGCTTTTTGGAAAATTGACCCTGACAATTACTGACCTTGTGAGGCTACTCAAGTTCTTTACATCTTAGTTCCTTGGCTGTGAAGTCCTTCTTTAGACCGTGTTATCAAGGAATATAGGAGACGACTTACATAAAGTGCACAGCATAGTGCTTGGCACATAGTGACCCCTTAGGATGCATGAGCTACTTTCATTATTGATACTGTAGCCTACACAGTTCCCTGAAAGGAAGCCATGTGGAGTGCAAGGCCCCCATGAGCCAGATAAATTGATGTTTATGGGTTAGTTCTTTTAAACAGAGGAACAGGAAGAGAATGTTCTCTATGATCAAACATATGTTTACAGTTGCCAGAAAGGAATTTCCTAATTACCATGAACACTGAAGAGGACTTAAGGCTGGAGTTCTGGATGATAGCAGAAGCAGCCAAATAGATGAAATTACTGAAATGACACCCTGTGTGCAGTAGGTGTCCCACTCAGTGTGACGTCTCTGGGTGCATATACATAAGGCAGGCAAATACAGATAATGCTGTGGTTATTTGCAGGGTGCTGTGGGGATAGTTCTTAAAGGCTAATGTAATATTCTAATTATGGATCAATTCTGATTTGAACCTTTTAAAATTGTGTGCACCTTGGTGGATGAGATTTCTCAGGAACATTCATTGTATCTGTGCACAGTACATATAATGAATTGTAGATCCTTATACTTGAAGCTGTGGAAAGAGACAGATGATTGAAAACTCTGCCTGAAATCTAGAATAATGGGCCCACATAAATAAAATAAAGTTTATTCAACTCTATCTACACCATAAAAAATTAATAGAGAAAATGTAAAGTCTTGCATTTAATTTCAAAACAAAATTGCTGCTTCTTTGTAAGTATTGGATGAGTTAAGATTTACCTCGGCAGTTAATGTGAAAAAATAACTAAGGGTTTTTATGGACTAAAACTCATTAGGCACCAGTAAAATGTTGTAAATGCTAAAAAAAGAAAAAGCTAATGCAATACTAGGTTACATTAGCATATAGTGCTCAGCACAAAAATAGTAGCAGTTTCACTGAATTCTGAGAAGGCCAGAGAGAAGCTGCATGATTTTGTTTAGCTCTAGATGTCATATTTTAAGAGGAACAGTGAATAGAATGGTCTCTGTTCAAAGGAGAGTATAAAGTTTTGTAAATCAAGCAACATAAACCGTTGAAGGAATTGGAAATATTAAATTTCGAGAATATAAGGCAGTGTGGTGTCATCTTTTGAAGTGCATTTTGCCCACAGGGATTTTTTCTTTAGCTTGCATAGTATTTAAAATAATGAGTCACATTATCAATGGGAGGCTTCACCTAATATTTTAAGTTTCCACCTTCCCTTACAAAATCTGAAATTTGAGCAACACAGAGCTTTGGGGGTTTGCCACCTTTTTAGATGGAGTTTTACTCTCCATTTTGCAATAGTTCTCACCATTCCTTATTGTACACAAAACTGAATTCAAGTATCTGGTGCTCTTAACATCATCTTACATTGTTGCTTTCTTATGGTAGAGAAATACTTGTTTCCATGTTTCAGTCAAAATACAGAAAAATGAGAATAGAGTAAGAAGATCACATATTTCAAGAAAACCTTTTCTTTGTGTGTGGAATCGAACAATATGTCTTCATAGTTAAAAGAAGCATGCCAGTGTCAGAAGCATACAATTCCAGATATCCTTAGGGAAAGACCCAGCTAGGGTCTCTCATATGTTACTTACTTGTGTCTTCTGTAAGCATTTGGGTTTGATATTATACTCTATAAAGAAGTAAGAGCAATGTATAAAAATTAAAGGAGGATAGGCTTTGTGTAGGCTGGGTGCAGTATGAAACATGAGGGCTTCCAAGAAAGAGCCTCAGGCTCAAATCCCTACTCAGTCACTTACTAGCTCTGTGACCCTGGGAATGTTACTAAACCTCAGATGTTCTTCAGTTGTAAAATAGACAGTTGATTATCTGTTATGCAGTTATAAGTATTTTAAATCAGATGTAAAATGTCTTACACATGTCAGCATCCATTATATAGTAGTAGTTTTAGTATTTTATTAAATAGTATTATTTGGCATAAGGCATGCATCACTTAACAACGATGGAATACAGTCTGAAAAATGCATTGTTAGGTGATTTTGTCACTGAGCAAACATTATAGAGTGTACTTACACAAATCTAGATGGTATGGCCTTTTACACTGCTAGGTTATATGGTGTAGCCTTTTTCTCCTAGGCTACAAACCTAGCATGTGACTGTACTGAATACTCTAGGCAAAACTGTAACACAATGGTAAGTATTTGTACTTTAAATGTATTTAAACATAGAAAAGGTAAAGTAAAAATACAGTCTTATAATCCCCCACTTTTTTGAGACAGGATCTCACTCTGTTGCCCAGGCTGGATTGCAGTGGCACAATCTTGGCTCACTACAACCTTTGCCTCCTGGGCTCAAGTGATCCTTCTGCCTTAGCATCCTGAGTACCTGGGACTACAGGTGCACCCACCATACCTGGCTAATATTTTTTGTGTTTTTTAAAAAATAGATATGGGTTTTTGCTATATTGCCTAGGATGGTCTCGAGCTCTTGGGCTCAAACGATCCACCTGCCTGGAACTCCCAAAATGTTGAGACTCCAGGTGTGAGCCACTGCGCCTGGCCCAGTCTTATAATTTTATGGACCACTATCATAAATGCAGTCTGTCATTGATCAAAAGGTCATTATGCACCACATGACTTCTGCTAAGTATAGCTTACTCTAAGGTTCTATGCTTGAAACCTTTACTATTTCTTTATATTTTTTCTCTTGGCAATCTTTTATGCCACAGCACCAATTCTCACTATGAATAGATGATTTGCAAATTTACATCTCTAGATTTGCCCCATCTCCAGAAATATAGACCACATTTTCAACTATTCTTGGGTCATTTTCACTTGATGTCTTGGCAGCACTTTCAACATAGCATATCTAGAACTGAAATTTTTACTCTTCTCCAACTAAACTGCTATATTTCTTAACTTCTCTGTATCTCTTATTGGGACCATTTTTCTCTCAATACCTAAAGATCATCAGTTATCAAGACCTAGAAATGACATCTTCACAGTATGTCTTGAATCTGTCTCCTTTCATTTATTTCTAATGCTTTCCCTTAGTTCACGTGAACATAACTTCTTAGCCAGACTTTTTATTTTGTAAGTGGCTTCATCCACTTCCATGGTTTCATTGACCACATCACTTAGATGCATCCAAAATCAATACCTCTAGTTCTATCTTCTTTTCTGAGCTAGGGCCAATATTCCAACTGCCTGCTGGGGATCCCACATGTAAGTCCTACTTATATTTCAACCTCAGCATGTCCAAAGCCAAACTTGATGTCATAGCCCAACATGATCTTCTTTTTGCCCTTTTGGTCTTAAAGACATTACCTCATCAGCCATCTTAGACATCACTTAAATGTCTCTCCCTCACCATCTGCATTCAGTAGCACAACAAAGCCTAATAGTTCTATTTTCTAAATATCTTAAAACATGATCATTTCTTCCCTTCAATCACAACCGCCATTTATTCTCAACATCTCCATTATATTTCCATGTAATACTCAGTAAGTATTTTTGCAACACTCAATAAGTATTTTTGCAATTAATTTATGTTCTCATTTACTCAGTGGCTGGAACCAGTGATCAATTCTACTTTTGCCTAAGTTATTATACAATATTTCATAGATTCTGAGATGCATTCCCTGCTACATTTTAACTCCGAGAAATTGGAATGTATCTAATAACAGACGGTGTTTAACTGGAAGTATTTTTCTTTCTTAGGATTTCTTAAAATTAATGTGCTCTACAGTCGATGGTGCCTTAGATTTGATGAAACATGCTAATGGTTTTCTGTGTACAGTAATCTCCCTTTCTCCATGGGGGTTACGTTCCAATTTCCCCAGTGGAGGCCTGAAGCCTTAGATAGTACTGAACCCTAGATATACTATTTTTTTCCTACATATACATACCTATGATAAAGTTTAACGTATAAATTAGGCACAGTGAGAGAGTAACAACAATTACCATAATAAGATAGAACAATTATAATAATATACTGTAATAAAAGTTACATGAACATGGTCTATCTCTCTGTCTCTCTCTGTCTCAAAATACTGTAATATTTTCAATCTGTGGTTGACCACAGGTAACTGAAACCTTGGAAAGCAATCCACAGATAAGGGGGGACTACTCAACCTTCCCAGCCATTCTGTCTTCTGTTTCCTCTTTCTGTCTTCACTCCCCAGTACTCTCTTTGTCAGTCCTCAGGATAAGTCTTAGAAAACAAAATGCTGAATATGATATGTATGCATCATCTCTAAACCTACCTAATTTCTACATTTTGCGTTTTCTATAATTTGGAGAGAATCCACCAGCCTATGCTCCACCTTACTGTTCACCTCTCTTTCCTTGCTTTGGAAACCTTTGCTGTCTCTCTATTGTTTGCAGGATAAAGTGCAAACTCTTCAGCAAAGCATAAGAGGCCTTTTCCAATCTGGTCCTAATGTAATTTCCCCGCCTTTCTTCATTTCTCTGACATACTTTAAATGCCATTTTTTACAGACTTCATCAAGGTTCCTTGAACAAACTGTGTTGCCTCAGGACATGCTACATGTTTTGCCTTGAAATACTTTTCTTTGACTATAAATTCAACCTATCTTTTATCAATTTTTTTTTTTTGAGACAAGGTTTCACTTGTCACCCAGGCTGGAGTTCAGTGGCGTGATCACAGCTCACTGCAGCCTCGACTTCCTGGGCTCAAGTGATTCTCCTGCATCAGCCTCCAAAATAGCTGGGACTACAGGTGTGCTCCACTACAGCCAGATATTTTTGTATTTTTTGTAGAGATGGGTTTTCACCATGTTGCCCAGGCTGGTCTTGAACTCCTGAGCTCAAGCGATCCACCTGACTCAGCCTCCTAAAGTGCTGGGATTACAGGTATGAGCCACCATGCCTGGCCTTTTATCATCTATTATTATTACTCAGAAATATTTCCTGGTTCCCCTGAAAGGGTCACTCTCTTATTTTAGGTGATTATAGCAGGGGTCCCCAAACTACAGGCCATGGACCAGTACTGGTGTGTGGCCTCTCAGGACCAAGGCCACACAGCAGGAGGTGAGTGGCAGGTAAGCAGCAAAGCTTCATTTGTATTTACAGCCCCTCTTCATCGCTCACATTACTACCTGAGCTCCACCTCTTGTCAGATCAGCAGTGACATTAGATACTTCCAGGAGGGCCAACCCTATTGTGAACTGTGCATGTGAGGAATCTGGGTTGTGTGCTCCCTATGAGAATTTAATGCCTGATGATCTGTCATTGTCTCCCATCACCCCCAGATGGGACCATCTAGTTGTAGGACAATAAGCTCAGGGATCGCACTGATTCTACATGATAGTGAGTTATGTAGTTACTTGTACATATGTAGTTACTTGTAACATATGTATATATGTTACAATGTAATAATAATAGAAATAAAGTGCATGATAAATGTAGTGTGCTTGAATCACCCCGAAACCACCCCGTTCATTCCCCACTGGTCCATGGAAAAATCGTCTTCCATGAAACTGGTCCCCAATGCCAAAATTGGGGACTGCTCCTTTATACCATGGTGGATGTAAATGTGGACTCTGGAGTCAGCTGCCTGAGTTTGAGTCCTAGTTTCAGAGGTATTAATAAATAAATTAGTAAGTCACTTAACCTCTCTGTGCTTTATTTTCTCTATTAGTAAAATGGGGGATAATAATAGCAACCATGTGAAAAGTTGTTGGGAGAATTATTGGGTTAATATACTTAAATCACTTAGAAGAATTCCAGGGCATAGTAAGGTTAAAGCTCTTAGTACAAAGTCCTATAATTGTTTGCCTTTCCAATTATAAAGCCAGTCTTTCACTGGCAGTGACAATATCCTGTTTTTTCCTTATATTCTTAATACCCAATCTAGTTCCTGACATTTGTCCAATACTCCATAAGTATTTATTAGATGAACAGTACCATCAAACCAACATGGAATGGAAGCACATATTTATCATATAAGGTCAAATGAGTACATTATTTTTGTCAGGTTCTTTGTACAGACAGAGTTAAACATGTTTAGGTTTCATTTAAAGTGGGGGACTTTTTGTCACTTTCTATTTCAAAAAAGAAGTCTCTAAATAGCGACGGGATGGAGGTTGATTCTGAAGTAGCTATTTTGGTTTTTTCACCTAGTGTCAGTCTGTCTTTTGCAATTTTTAATTGCCCAAGGTGCATAACCTGGTGTCATACTTCAGCCACCTGCATCAATGCAAAGGGTGAATGATAGTCATGCCTATAGGATGTGGTGCTTTTAAAGGTCACTGCTAAAAAGTTCCCTTGCAATAAACGGCAAGCAGTTCACTTTGTCTTGCGTGACAAGCTTGCCTGACAGTGGAAAGGAGAGGGTACTAACTGCAGCAGGTGCAGAGGTGGCAGGAGCAGGGATGGGTGACCCAGACCCAGGATCAGTCTAGGCAGTCTACTTGAACTCTACAAGTTCCTCTTCTCTGCACCTCACCCTGACACCGCCTTTCCCTCCTCCTCTTTTCCTCCCCATCAGTCTGTCTCTCTCTTGCCTAAGCCAATTCTAGAGGTGAAGCTCTGGACACTTCCTGCCTGTATTGGTGAGGGGAAAGGTGACCTGGAAGTGTTTGCTTGTGACAAGTGACAGTCATGCTCGCCAAGTAGGACCCTTCTCTGAGTGAAGTCACTGAGTACATCTAATCAGAACCTTTAAGTTGTGTTAAATTTTGATGATTTTTGATTAAATAATTGAATTAAAAATTAACTGAACAGGCCAGGTGCGGTGGCTCACGCCTGTAATCCCAGTACTTTGGGAGGCTGAGGCGGGCAGATCACAAGGTCAGGAGATCAAGACCATCCTGGCTAACACGGTGAAACCCTGTCTCTACTAAAAATACAAAAAATTAGCCAGGCATGGTGGCATGTGCCTGTAGTCCCAGCTACTTGGGAAGCTGAGGCAGGAGAATTGCTTGAACTTGGGAGGCAGAGGTTGCAGTGAGCTGAGATCATGCCACTGCACTCCAGCCTGGGAGACAGAGCGAGACTCCATAACAACAACAACAACAAGAACAACAACAACAACAACAACAACAACAGCAGCAACAACCACAACAATTAACTGAACAGCCTACAGTTTTCAGGCAGTTTGGGGGTAAGAATAGTCTCTGAAGGCAAACAACCTTAAAGGGTTACACACATACACAGATAATTTACCCGTACAAGCCATCTGTGTATACAAGGAACACCAGTGAGCTTCCCTGATTAAAATGAGGTCATACGGCCTCGCTCACTGATGGTGGGCTTTCTAAGTCAGATAAACCTCTCTGGATTAGCTTCACAATTCTGTCAGTTCATTCTGTCAAACCCTATTGAGTTCCGGTTTTGTCACTTGTAAAATGAATAATAATAATACTCATCTTGTCCAAGGTTGTTCTTAGTATGAAGTCGTATATGTAACACACTTGGCATACGGTACTTGATAGATATACAATGACCAGATGTTAGACCTAAGTAGATTTTAATATGTTTTTCCTCTAGGAAGATTGGTTAGAGACTGAGTACATGATTTAGTAATTTGCTCCACACATGTAACAATGGCTGATTAGGCAATCAAGTTATCCACTGAGGTTATGTAATTGTTAACAAATTCCCATCTCACGTTGGTTGGTTGAAAGTATTCAAGTTCTACTCTGTGAAGAGGAAATACACAAGAGAGGCCGGAAGGCAACAGAAGAATTCCCTTTGGCTTTTTCCCTTCTGAAATGGAGTCATCACTAAAAGTCTGTCAGAGAAGTTTGTTCCATTTTAATGCACATTTTAAAAGTGAAACTAGATATTTGTAATTGTGATAAAGAATGCATTGATGGAAACATAACTGTAATAGGCTGTCTTTTCTGATATATAAAGTACATTAAAACATATTTTGTGTTATTTAGGGACATCACTGTGAATCTAGGACACTACTAAATTACTCACAGATTTTAAACAAAATCTTTACAGTTGATTTGATGCCTAGATGAGAAGAAAGTTTTACCCTATTTTAAAAGAATATAATGTCAACAGAGAAACTCAGGCATGTTTGGATTGTTAATGCCTCAGAGACAATGATTACAGCTGAGTATGGATTTCTATATTAACACTGGGATCCTAGGGAGTCCCTGCCTTCCAACATCTGAATTTTTAACTAATGAGGATGAACAGCATCCCTTCTGATATTCAGAGACAGAGCCTCTATAATCCCTCTTGGCAGCCCATTCTAATATTTGATTAGCTCTTCAATAAAATGATTTTTCTTATATCTCTTTATAATCTCTTGCTTTATTTTTATCTCTCTTACATTTGTTTGGTCTTTCATGGCAATGAACATAGTTCTTTAGCTTGTCCTTTAGCAAGATGTATTTTTCTGTTTTTATAATATATTTTCATTGTTTCCATTAACTTGATGTTGATATACTTTTAATTTCTACACTTGGCTCATAAATTTAGCTAAATATTTATTTTTATGTTTTCTTGCTCATCAGATCCTGAGCTTAAGAGCTTAGAAGAGTGAAATTGTGGTGCCATGGCCATATGGCTGTTTCATGTGGGAGTAGAGATAATTTCCTGGCTCTTTCATATGTTTCTTGGTAGATGTATTCAGTAATAAGCACCTCTAAGTGGTGCAATATGCCTTCAGTGGAGTGAAACAGCATTTTTTTCCCCCAAAACCTTAGTTGTCATGTTGATTCCAAGGCCTCAAGTCCATATGCTTTTCCCTCTAAACTTATCTTCACACATTCCAGGTGAAACTATGAAGCAATATGTCCTCAGTGACCCTTTCACGAAGTGTTTGAAGTTCTCTCCGTTTGTTACTATGTGGTCCTCATTTAGTTATCACATGCCCCAACACCATTATTTTCTAAATGCTTCACTCTACAGGGATTTTCCTGCTTCTCATCAAAATGTAAGTAATCATTGAATTCAATGTTTTGCTCTTTTTCCCCCCATTATCTCTACCTGACAGTGGTGTAAAGCATAGATTCTGGGGTCAGACTGCTTCCTAATCTAGCTCCAAAACTTACAAGCTGTATGACCTTGTCAAGGTATTTAACTTCTCTGTCCCTCAGATCCCTCATTTATTAAAAAAAAAAAAGGAGAAAAAAACGTACCTATGTCATAGAGTTGTTTCAGGATTAAATAAATTCCTACCCATAATGTTCTCATAACAATGGGGTAAGTACTCAATACATGTTAACCAATATTTTAAGGTAACATTTAACTAAACTAAAATAATAGTTTTCTTGTGATTTCTGAAATTTTAGAGCTTCTGAAATTGAAGAGCTTCTGAAGAGCTCTTCAGTGGCTCTTTAACATACCTGTGAATATTTAACTCTGATATACACCACAGAAATTTAACCAAGAATCAGGTTAGTAGTAACATGAGCTAGTAGGTCTCAGCCTAACTTCACACTAATGATTGGCAGAATGTATCTGAAGTCTAAGCTATAGAGTGGACATCAATGGACTTTAAGTTTATAAAGTCAGGGGCTTGATTCTCAGATTTGTCAACTAAAATCTGCTTGGTTTTCATAGTTCTTTAATCTTTCTGAATGTCAATTTCTCTGACTGTAAAATAGAGACAACATTATTAGCAACAGTGATTTCCATGTGGGTACATGTTTTATATCCAACTGATAAACATTCAACTTGATTTTATTTCTGAACCTCAAATGTCTAATTGAATACATGGGCAGACAAACAGTAGAAAGAAAAATAGCACCATCGTAATGACTCATTTTAAGTAAAGACCTATGAACTTTCAAATTTTCTGAAGAAATAGTGATGACAATTGAATGATTTTTATGTCAGAGATTATCATCTATGAAGTCCACTTAACGAAGTAAAAGCATTTGAAAATAACCATTATAGTAAGAAGGGTTACCATTGCTGCATAGTTTGATTATCATAAGGCAGGATAATTTACATACAAAATGCATTATATCCTCTGTGCTTATGTTTATTTTTTCCAGTCATAATTAATGTGTCTGTATTGTTCATCAACTGAGTTTTTAACCACAGCCATCCTATAACATAGATTGCATTAGGGTAGCCAATAAACCATCAAAATTGTAACTCGATTTTTCTTTTAGGTAGTGAAACAGAACAGAGTTTTCTAACATGTTCAATGGCTCTTCTTCCGACCTACAATTTTCCAGATAGCTAGCTAGGGGCATAGGTTTATTGTTAAATTTGAAACCAGGTGAATTTGATCTGATTGGCATCCAATTGATTATAGAGATCATAAGTACTATTAAATTTAAGGTTTTTATTTTCCAGATGACAAAAGCTGAGAAACCTGTGAAATTAAATAATTTTGGAAATACCTATGTCTTGGGCTAGAACTCAGCCCCGTTTCCCTCAACCTCTCCCAGTGAGGGTTCCTTTTGAGTTTAATGCCTTTTTTGGGGTTGTTTTTTGGTCATCGATGACAACTTGGGAAATAGGCACTTATAGCTTATTGTCAAGATTAATGTAGCTTACCTTAAATTAAAGGGTCTTGAATATTCTTATATATAATGAGAAGGGTAATAATTTTCTTATATAAATGAGAAGGATAATAATAATGGGTAAAACCTAAGGTTTCTCCTAGGTCTTAATTTCTCTTACTTTTTTTTTTTTTTTTACATTTTTCTTGCTTTTTATGAAGCATCATCAGTTAATTAGTTTCCATAGTTTGGACCCAAAATGAAAGCTTTGCTCCTAGCAAAAATTTCTATAATACCCCTTTCACCTGTCCCTAGTCAAGCTTCCCTTTCCATTCTATTCTTCAAATACTTACTATGCTTACTTCTAAACCATTAATATTCCAAGCTGTGTCCTCACTCTCAGCATACAATTCCTTTCTCATTTTATAGAGATACCTCCACACAATTTCTCATAGAATAGATATAATGGATAAATATTTAGGTAATATGAGATTATATGAGGAATATATAATTCCTCACATAATATTCCTCATATAACAGATAATTCCTCTCTCATACATTTCCCTTCAGAAAATAGAGGCAAACAAACAACAATCTCCGTGATAGCTGGCACTTTTCTTCCACTTCTAACTGCCCTATACAAAGTGCAAAACGATTCTCACTTCATAAGGATTCCAACCACCCTTCCATGCCAATAGAAGAGGTATGTCTGTTTGTATCTCACTCCTTTCCACTGCCAACTTCCTATGTCCTAAAAACCATTCAGAGTCCTGCATCTCCCTCTCTCCTCCTGATCAAATTCTGTAACATATCTACATCATCACTTAGAACTGCCTTTTTGACCCATTGAAGTCTGGTTTCCACATTATCCCCCTACATCTGCACATTCTTTTCTCGCAGGTCATCTAAAGTCTTATCGTTCAAATTTCCTAAGTTTATTTTAATTTCTCTCCCTTTAGTAGTATCTGTCACAGTTGACTAATCTCTCCTTCCAGAAAATTTCTCCTCTCACTTCTCCTGTGACATCATTCTCTACTGTTCTTCTAGCTTTGTGCTCACTCTTCCTCAGTCTTCTTTGAAACTTCCTGAATACACACAGTTCTTTTCTCAGCCCTTTTACTATCTATACATTTCTGGGCCATGTCTCTTTTATGTGGTTTGACATTCAACTTTGCTGATAAGCCCCCAATTTCTCTCTCCTGAACTCCATATCATTTTCTCCCTTCTCTCGTCAGCACATCCCTCGTACTTTTTGGGACAAATGATAATATTACATCTCCTCTGTACTGCCCTGCTGTGAACCAGGAACTTGGGAGTGCTCTGAGGTTTGTTTTTACTTCACCACAGACATCTAATCAAGGTGATTCTACAGCCTAAATAGCTCTCAAACCATCAGCTCCTTTCTATACTCATAATCTTTGGTCCAGCTCATCAACTCGACTGCAATATTGGCTGTACCTGGTCAACTTCCCACTAGTCTTGTTGCTGTCCAGTCCAACCTTTTGTCATCATTAGGGTGATGTTTTTTATTATTCTCCTGATTAAAAACCATTAATGGCCGACTCTCTTCAGAATCAATTTCAAATGTATTAGCTTGATATATGATCCCTTCAGTGATGTGCCTCTAACCTGTCTTTCTAGGTTAGGTAGCACATATGAATTTCAAGTTGCAAATTCAAATGACAAAACTACTGCATTTATTTATTTTCATAAATCATCTTAAAACTGACTCCAAGTTCCCATTCTTCCTGGCAGGTGGGAATGTCAATCTTAGTAAATATGGAACTTTATAATCTCCAGGTTGTTCCGAAGTCCCAGGAATTTACTGAATGCCAAGCAGGAATGGAAGTTCCTCTGGTCATAATTCCTCTGCCAACCCTTGACACCTCTGACATGCCCAATTTCTCAGCCAGTGTGGTTTCTTCAATAGGTTTATCACCCCATCTTCCCTTTTCTTCATTCTGTCATTGGGACACAGGACTCTGAGGTGAAGCCAGCAGCCTCTGGGTCTGTGGCACAGTCATTACCATTGTCTTACGGTCCTGACAAACTAGCTCCCCTTTCTTATCTCGAGGAGTCGCTCTTCTTATTCCCTCCTTGTCCTCAAAATCATGCTCCCCTTTATTTTCCTTTTTTCTAGGCACTTAACGTATCTCTTCAATACATTTAAACTCTCATAAAAAACAAGAACTGCTAATGACTCCTGGCTGTTTCTCCTTTCTTCTCTGAAAAGAAAATGCCTTTAGACAAGTAATGGGTTACTTGCTCGAAATGGAGGAGGGCAACAACAAAATACAATATAATATCTTAAGCAATTATTCTGCAATACTATTCTATGAATGCCCAATCATTCCAGATTCCTTGCAGTTGATTTAACTTGCTCTGTGCTCTTTCTCACCTCTGCACCTTGGCATGACTATCATCTTGTTTTTGTGCCCTCCTCATCATGTTCACTTGGAATTTCTTTTATGACAGTTCAGTGCCCATTTAAAAATGGTCTGATCTGAAATATACATTATTATTAACTATGGTCTGTCTCCATGCTGTCCACTACATCTCAAAAAC
This sequence comes from Homo sapiens, assembly GCF_000001405.40. Taxonomy (NCBI): domain Eukaryota; kingdom Metazoa; phylum Chordata; class Mammalia; order Primates; family Hominidae; genus Homo; species Homo sapiens. The sequence goes on along the minus strand of NC_000012.12, from coordinate 79,150,508 downwards.
TTATTCCTCCTGTCTAATTGTAATTTGTATCCTTTGACCAAAGTCCCACTACCCCTCTTCTCCAATACACCTTTTGGTAAACACCATTTTACTCTACTTCTGTGAGTTTGACTTTTAAGAGTCCATATATAAGTGAGACCATGCAATATTTATCTCTTGGTGCCTGCTTATTTTACTTAGAATAAAGTCTTCTAGGTTCATTCATGTTGTTGCAAATGACAGAATTTCCCTTTTAATGGCTGAATAGTATTCTATTGTGTGTATATACCACATTTTCTTTATTCATCTGTTGGAGACTACAGTTAGTAATAATGTACGGTTCAAAATTGTTAAAAGAGTAGATTTTAAATGCTCTCACCATGAAACACTAGAATATGAACTGATGGATATGTTAATTACTTGATTTAATTATACCATGTTGTATACAAATATCAAAACATCTCACTGGACCCCATCAACATATACAATTACTATTTATAAATTAAAAATAAAAAATTCAAAACTAGTCTAATCTGGGTTACATAACAAAACACCGTTTCAGACCTTTCATTCATTCACCCTCATTTACTTATTTCTTCAGTGAGTATGTATAAGTCAGCTACTATGTGTCAGAAATGATGCTTGGCATTGAAGATACTATAGTGAGCAAGAGAGAAGGTGTGGGGCCAGTGTAGAGTTTATGGTCTATTATGAATACAGATTTGAAAAACGTAATTGCCATGTAGAATGTGGATCATTTTAACAGGGGAAGTTCAGTGTGCTAAGGCAGTCTATCACAGGGGATATAATCTAGTCTAGCAGTCCCTGAGGCAGTGATGTTTAAGCACCTCCCTTACAGCACTCATCACCCTATTTTTAAATTTATCACTTATCAATCTTTTCCATAAAGTATGGATTCTTCAAGGGCAAAGGCAAGGATTTTCATCTCTTTCAGATTAAAAAAATATGTTATATGTTACAATGACCTAAGAAAAAGGCTATTTAGGAAACTATTTTATGATGCTAAACATTGTTAGGGATAATTTAGAAAAATTACCATTACAACCTTAAAAGTGTCATGCAAATGATTCATTTTAGTTATAGAACTTGCAGATTAATAAATCCTAGAAACTACTTTACCCATAGTTGAGTTAAAAATCTTGACAGAAAAAACATATTTCAGTCATTTCATTTGAAATTTCACCTCCCTATATTTTAAGTAATATTTTCAAATAGCAATAAAACCAGTATTCACTTTCAAAGATACAAAACAAACACATTCTTCTTTCATAATAACATCTTTTTAGGTTAGAAGGGGTCTATAATTCAAAAGGTCAAATAGAAAATGTTAATGAAAACAGAATGTAGTCAAGTCAAATAAAGTAAAAAAATAAATCTAGATTTTGCTTCAGGCATTGTAAATCTGATTTAAACAGCCCTCTCAGAAGAATAAAGCTACTATTTACTCAAATATAAAGTAATGTTCTTATACTTATTTGCCAGTAATTCTCCTTTTTAACTTTAGGATGTAACATTCTTCCAAAGATAATAACTTAAAATAATCTTATATACAAGAACTAATTTAAACGATATTGAGACGCTAATTTAAAAACCTAGATTTAACAATAAAGGTCAAAAATCCTCATGAAATGACTAATTACCAGTGTTTAATAAGGAAAGCCAATCGGTAATCTCGAATATTAATGGTTTACAATCAAATTACAGACATTTTAATAGCAATTGAACAAGTCTATCATCATCATTGTTTCAAAGCTGTAGGGATTAATTTAAGTTTTTGCACATACAGATATAGCACCTCAGCCCTTTGGAAACTATAGTGCATTATTTACAATAGCCAAAGATCTGTTTCCATAGCATAGTGCCCATTTATGTTTCAAGGTGTGATTATTAAAGGTATGATTCTTGGACCCATGATATTCTCAATGATATATCAGTAAGAGCATTACAATACTCTTTATTTTTGTGAAATTGTGCCATCTCCATATAATTTACCGTGAAGCATGTGTCTAATAACTGATCGTTAGTTGAAGAGGTCAAAAATGATTCAGGAAAGACCTTCTCCTGAAATTAAAAGTGTCAATTTCAAGACCAGATAGCAATTTAACATTGGAATTAGTTTTGTACAATTTTACGGGAAAAAAAGATTATCACTGAAAAATATTTCCATGGTCTGTCCTAAATTGATTATTTTTACCTTGTGGTCTCCAGGGTTTCATAAAAGTTTTAACAGAAGATTGGAAGGAGTTTGCTGCCCACTCATAATGATGCTTCAAAAAAAAGTTCTTCGGAATGGATCAAAGGCTGTAATTTCCCTGCCATTTCTGTCCAATTTTCTTTTCTCCTAATGTTTTCATTTTTTGAAATGCCTATGATTGCAATCCAATTTTGCCCACACAGCACTGCATGCCTAAATGAACCATTTATCACAAACTTTTTGTCTTTTTGATGCGTGAGATTTTATTTGCTTAGAAATCTTTTTTTTCATTAATGTTTACAACTCAAGCTGCATTACAATTACCTTCAGTAAGTAATTACTACCTGTTGTGGATTATATTATTCTGTTCTCCAGATGTGGCATCAAAACTTCCTATTTCAAACCAATTATATGTTAGTGCTGAAATTCATTACTATTTCACCAAATACAAATTCCCTTATACATCCTTGAAAAATTTTACGTTTGACCCTCACCCTGACTTACAAATACTAAAACATTAAAATATTCAGGATTGATATTTCATATTTCTTCCTGTAGGTAATCTCAGACTTTTATGAACTCATTAGGTATAACAGTTCCTTTGTGTCAGTTGACATATTTTTAATCATTGTGATGGGACTGTTCAAGTTAATTATTAGCTACTTGCATTTGGTACTGAATGTATTGTAAGAAATGTAGTTATAGTTATCAAACTTTTGAGTTTAAGATCTGTTAATACTGTTTAACCTCACAAAGCCTACTTAAAATTGTCCAAATTTAAGTTACAATTATTGTAACGAACATTGTAACACTCTTTTTCCCCCAGTTTCAAAATTCACAAAAATATTTTAAAAATCAGTGTAAGTCTAGAAAAAAAATAGGCTGTACACCTTAAACATACTTCAGCTCCTTTCTTTGTCTTTTAATTTTCAAGAAAGTTTGTGATTAGGGGAACACTAAGAATATATTTTCTAAAGGCCTGTCTTTCCTTTTCATATACTTAGAAAATAAAGGAGATAATAGCTAAGAATAAATATTATATTAGCTAAGAGGTGGAGGAAGAGAGCAAATATGAAGAGTAGACAGCTTAATTTTTGGTAATGATTACAAAGATTCAGTTTACAAACAATGTGTACATTCTGAAGATTTATTTATTTTTTAAAGTAGATATATGCTGGCCGGGCACGGTGGCTCACACCTGTAATCCCAGCACTTTGGGAGGCCAAGGCAGGCAAATCATAAGGTGAGGAGTTCGAGACCAGCCTGGCCAATATGGTGAAACCCCTTCTCTACTAAAAATACAAAAATTAGCCGGACATGGTGGTGGGCGCCTGTAATCCCAGCTAATCAGGAGGCTGAGGCAGGAGAATGGCCTGAACCCGGGAAGCAGAGCTTGCAGTGAGCTGAGATCGTGCCATTGTGCTCTAGCCTGGGCGACAGAGTGAGACTCCATCTCAAAAAAAAGTAGTAGATATATGCTGTTTAGCCTTTTATCTCCTTTACTTTGTAGACACTTTACACAATTTTTTTAAAACCCAGGTCAGATCTAAAAACGTTCAGAAAACATCCTTTGATGAACTTCAATGGCCTCTGTTTATTCTTCTACCATATCATTTCATAAGGTCATGTTTTAAAGTTTATTATTTTCCAGAATTGTTGAAGTACAGACACTCCTTTTTGTTTAATTATTAATGTCTCCTGGCTTCTGAGGTGAATGTCTGGAGAAGATTAGCATTTCACACTACTCAAAGCATTGTCTTCTCAAACTGGAAGTTTGGGTTAAGGCCTCTGTACTGTGGTGTGGTGGTGTTGTAGGCTTTGAAGTCAGAATGAGGGTTGAATTCTAAAACTTTCATAATTATCTGTGTGGTCTTCAGAAAGGTAATGAACTTTCTTAGGCCTCAGTTTTCTCTAAAGTGACGAAGATTGAATGAGACAGTACAGGGAAAGAGCCTGACATACAGCTGACAGTTCCAGTCCTTCCAATGGACTGTTTCCTACAACAACATTAATTGACATTGTCTTGTAACTTGCGTTCTACTCTAAAGTGTGAGGACGGAGTAGTGTGTTGTCTGAGGGTGTATGAATGTGCTGCCTGTCTGTGGGAATATGTTTAGGGCTGAAAGATGGTTAGGACACAGGCTGTACATTCTCATGATTAAAAACTCCTTGAAGTCTGAAGTGGTTTTTGTTTTGTTGTTGTGCTGTTAGCTTTTTGCTTTTCCCTCTCCTCCACAGGACTTAAAACACTATGTTTAGGCCGGGCGCGGTGGCTCACGCCTGTAATCCCAGCACTTTGGGAGGCCGAGGCGGGCGGATCACGAGGTCAGGAGATCGAGACCATCCCGGCTAAAACGGTGAAACCCCGTCTCTACTAAAAATACAAAAAATTAGCCGGGCGTAGTGGCGGGCGCCTGTAGTCCCAGCTACTTGGGAGGCTGAGGCAGGAGAATGGCGTGAACCCGGGAGGCGGAGCTTGCAGTGAGCCGAGATCCCGCCACTGCACTCCAGCCTGGGCGACAGAGCGAGACTCCGTCTCAAAAAACAAACAAACAAACAAACAAAAAAAAAAAAAAACCACTATGTTTAAATCTTGGGTTCTGGGGTCCAACTATTTGGGTTTGAAAAATTAGCTGTGTTATATTGGGGAAGTTATATAAAACATTTGTGCCACAATTTACACATTTGCAAAACTAGGCTGTTGGTAATGATGTCAATCTCATTGGGTTGTTGTCATGAGTAGTAAATTTTAATATGTAAAATCATTAAAAATGGTCATGGTGTTTTGGACATTGTAAGCATACATACCATACACTTGTTAGCTATTACTAATTATTGCATGTAAAGAATTAGATAAAAAATTATTAAAGTCATAGAAAGAATCAGATAAAAATAAATATTAATTTAAATATTTCTGATGAGTTATGAAGATTATGATCTTTAAAATTCACATATAACAAAATGACAAAGGTTGTTAATTCATATTTTTTAAAAATGTTAATATTCTAAATAAAATTAGAAAAATATGTTTTTAATCAAGATGAGTCAAAGCTATAGAGATTTATAAAATTAGATAATATATTATTAAGCATGTATAGTACACATTCCAGAATATTAAGTGGATTTGTTACCATCTAAAGCATTTAAGGGAAGAGTAGAAATGAACAAGAGTAGTAATTTGGATGCTGTCCTGTGTACTTTTATATGCATTATCTAGCTTGATCCTCATTAATATTCCAATATTATGGAGTAAAGTGATGTTCTTTATTTTCTATACAGGTAAACTGAAGCTTAGAAAGTTGCTAATACCAAGGTTCTTGCTCTTTCTATGATGTTTGTAGGAAAAAAACAAATTGTCCAGGGCAAGGTCAGACTCTGAAACTCTTCGTTACTGAGGGTACCAAGCTCTGAATGTGTTAAACACTAACATGACACAAAATTTAGAAAGTGCCTTCAGGCTATAGCTAAATAGGATGAAACAGTGTTTTGATTTTGACAGTGCAGATGGATTCAAGAGTATTTCTCCCCTGAAAAGGTAAAACAGAATTATTGGTAATTTAAAGTGAAAGCTTATTAGAAGCTTATCCCACGCCAATTTCTTGGGAAATAAGTCTCTTAAACGAAATGAGCCAGGGTGTGAAGAGGTTTGAGAGGTATTCTGGTCTTCCTAGTGTCGGGTCAATAGTTGCACTGGCTGACCCAGATGATGGGTCTTGTTGCAAGAGCCATCTACCTCCTGGTGCTGTCTAGCCCAGTTTGTTTGTAAATGGGAATTGTACATCCTGGGCCATGGATGCCTGGCATCTGGATGCTCTTGGAAAGGGTCCTTGCACAGAAAATCAGAAGCCTCTTTCCCTTATCCCAATGTGGGCTGAGGAAACTGCTGAGACATGCCCTTCTGGGCGGTGGGGTAAAAAAGGAAGCGTCTTACTGAAAAATGTCAGGGAAGGGATTTGAGCCCTGGGACTGATAGCTCTGTTCTCTATTATATTTTAAAGAACCCAGTATTTTATATACACTGCTGAATGCATAATCCTTGCTAATAGGTGTTATTGACTCTGCTTTTCCTGTCCACTTTTGAGATTCAGGAGAAATAAGTCTGGTGCCTGCCAGTATATTCCACAGTTGTAATAATAGATGGCACACTTTATTGATAGAGACTGAAAAGTAATTTGATGCATTGTAAACTAAATGAGCTAATTTTGGAGGAAATGACAGATCAAGGAGGTGAGGATGGATGTGCCATTAGCTGAAGCCTGTTGCAGTCAAGTGTGGTGTGCTTTATCTTCCCCAGTACCTAAGACTCTCTACTTAAGAGTATTTCAGGAAATCCACAATCATGGCACAAATCCACATCACAGCAGAGGACCGCATCTCCCAATTTGTTTTCTGGCAATATGTTAACAATTTACAACCTGAATTCATACTTCTTTCTTTCGGCTTTAGAAAGATCTGTAACCTGAGCTAGCATATTCTTTCAACAGCAAACCACAGGCCTGTAATCAGTATCTGTAATATAGTCTAATTAACTATTCTTTTAAGGGGGGAAGTAGAGGAGCATTTTCCAACGTTGCTCGAGCTGAATTCTTTTCAGTTTCATCAGAGAATGTGATTTTTAATGAAAAATTAAAAAAAGAATGTTTTAAGGAATTTGAGGATGACTACTTGTTCTGATTTTATGTTTTCAAAATAATACTCAACATAAAATGACTGGGTTGTGGGTGAAGCACAATCTAAATCTGCAGCAGTGTCAACATTTTCTTTGATTTTCTTATTTGATTATAGCAGCCCCATCAGGGCTGAGCACCCATCACTGCTGTGACTCAAAGTTCCCTACAAAAATGACAATTGAGCTCAGAATATTGAATCTTTTTTTCTTCTATGCCAAAGAAAGACTAAACTTCAATGTAACAAAATGGTTGAGGATATAAACCAGTGAAAGTTACCAGTGAGCAAATTTACATAAGCTTACCTAAAAGAGGGCCTAATAAGTTGTACTATACACATGAAAACGCTGCAAAAGACAACAGTATATAATTGTAAAGGTAATTTAATTAAATCACTTTCTGGGTTGGATGTTATGTGTGTATAAATGATGCTTACTAGTACCATTGTTCCTATGGTAACAATTGCTCCTAGCAACATGGAAAGATCTTAACAGGGTCTGTTCTTAAGAATCCATTTTTGGAGTATCATCAGAGAAAACTGTATATTGCTCTCTATACCTAATCACCCATCTTTTTTTTAAATGTAGGATTTTCTTAGAATCATAGACCCACAAGGTTACATGAAGACAATCTAGGGTTTGAAGTTTTGTTATTATGTCTGCTTCTCACTTGCCAAGGAGTTGTACTTGACCTCCTACTTTAAAATGCACTTGAGACATAGACCATGCCTATTTCAATTTTCTGCAAGCAAAAATGATATTCCTCCAAGCATTCTGCAGCAGACACAAATCCCATAAAGAAACTATTCTCTGGTTCAGAACACTGGAGGACTCATACACAAGCATATTCAACAGTAAGTGATGGAAGTCTAAAAAGAATTCTGGTTCTCCAGTGATTAAAAGCAATGATAGCTATTTTATTCTTTGCTCAAAAGACAAATGAGAGTTCTTATGAAATTATGAATTGCCTAGAGTTTATTTCTCCTCATTTTACTAATATTTGAATTTGATTGATTAAATTTTGCTTCACCTGCAAGCATTTTGCCAAATGGAAATATTCCATTCCATCATTTTAGTAAGGGATGGTTTCTTGGCATGTGAGATTAATAAAAAGTCGTATTTCTAAGCTCTCATGATTGGTCCACATGGAAGTTGATTTGTTTTTCTTTACATCTTTTTATGGTCACATTTTTAGTATACTTTATCCAAGCCAGCCCTCTATTTATTTCTACATTTTGTCTCTCCCAGGACACAAATATATTAAGCTCCATCCCCACAAAGGTGAAAAATGTAAGTTTTCAAGTTGTAGCAAAGTTGTAGCTTAACTTCTCAATAATTTCTCAGCTGTAACTTTAGAGCATTAGTAGTGAAGGTGAGACGCTTACCTGGCACCACAGGGATCCCTCGCTTTGGAATTTTGCACAGGTGTGCTGTAATATGAGTGAGCTGTGAGTCCCCAGGTATAACTCTGGTCTGCAATGTCTGTGCGTTAATCATTCAGCAATGATCTGACATTTCCTGAGGAGCTTTCTTGAGATATGCACAGGCACACAGGATTACTGCATGATGCTTGGAACCCATTTCTTCCCTGGCTCTTGGCAATTCTGTTCATGCCTTACACAACAAGCTACTCAAGCACATTCAAGGGCATTCCCCAAGAAACAATATGCTAATTCTGCATCTCAAATTGCTGCCAGTTAAACAGGGTTCTGATGCACTTGGGCAGCACCCTGAAGAAAGAAACCCAAGCCAATGACATACACTGTTTAACCTAATGAATTATGCATCTGAAGGCAAGGTGTCCTTATGGCCCTATGACGTTTCTTAGAAAATATGGGCTCCATAAGACAGAAAAAAATTGTGGGAGCATTAGAAGCAATGAATATCATACACAAGGCTCAAATTAATTATGACAAGTGGAATATGTCTGAATATCAGTTTATATACATTTTAGTAGATATCATCTTGTTTTTCATGTCTAAATAATCATTGCTAATCTAGATATTTTTTATCTTTTTCCTAATTATTCAATGACTCCTCTTTGTCTCATTGTCAGTGCTAGAACAACATTAGTTTTACTTGTTTGGACTATGAAATTCAAAATAATTTAATTATAATATATTTCTCATGTTTTTCAAATATATTAACCTATATAACCACAATAATATAAATGGAAGAAAACAAAATGAATAGCTTATTTTAGTTAAACCAGCATGTCTAATATTATATATATTATGTGCCTAAATAATAAGCTTAAGAAATGGCAGAGATACAAATACGCATTATTTGTACATTTCCAAAGGAGTATAATTTTGAAGAAATAAAGAATACATAGAGTGTCACAGTATATTAAAATATACAATTCCTTAGGTTTAATTAGGAAAAAAATTAACAGACAATATTAATGTACCAATGTATAGACTGAATTTAATCAGATAAAGCTGGTAGGGTGAAGGAGACGAGTATGAATAAACATCATATGGAAGGGCAAAATAAATATTTGTTGCTGAATTAAAAACAATACTGAACTTTGATATCTCAAAGAAAACAGATGGCATACATGCTTGTTTCCACAGATAAAAATAGTTTTTGTTTTAACAAAATTCAAGATAGAAAGCAAGGGGCAAAACCTGGCTTCCATTTTTCATGAGGAACTCTTAGGAAGCTAACTCTCTTGGCACTGTATGGCTTTGACTGCCAGTTCATTCAGATGTCGGCAAGCTGAGCTCAGGGTGAGGTAGTGACTAGAGGACTTATGCCAATCAACAATGTGGTTTTTTTGAGGGAAGCAAACAGTAATGGTCACAGGGGTGCTGGCAATCTGTTAGCCTATAGGCTTCTCTTCCTAAGACAACAAGAACTTCAAATTGTGAAGGAATCAGTGCAACCAGGATGCAGTATAATATTAAAGCAATGATTTCCAAACTTCAGCATGTATGAGGAGCTTGTAAAACTAACAATTCCTAGGCCCCATACCCAAAGACAAAGATTCAGTACCAGATGCAATGAGGTGCTGATAAGCATTCCAGATGATTCTGATGTATGCAATCTGTAGAACCCTGCATGGTAACGAAGCACACGGTCTTTTATAGTCAGTTAGGCCTGGATTAAAACACATTCATTTGATCTAAGACCCCAACAAATACTTAAGTTTGCACACAGTAAAGACAATATATTTCAGAGAAGTGACTATTAAGATCACACTATATACGGAAAGCACCTAGGTAAAGGCATACTAAATCTGTATCAAGGAGTGTTCTGTTAGAAAAGAGTTTTTTATAGACACAAGAATTCTAAAGGCAGATACGCAGTAAAGGGAAACATGATTCTGCGTTATCTACCAGAAGAGGATATGGGATTCTTGTGTGCAGAAGAACCTGTAGAGTCTGAAGTTTGTAAATGCTTCTATAATGGAAGCATGCAGATTTTTAGCCTAAATGCCACTGGAATATTATATGGTTATTATATGCCTCATATTTTAAGCGACTGTGGCATAGCAAGAACTTGGCTATATTTTCAACATTAGCATGGTCTTCTCAGATGAAGCGAGTTTCTGGCAGCTGTGTGCCCCTCTGGGAGCCCAGGGGCAAAGGGGAGGCCATATACTACCTATCTTTTCCTGCTGTGGAGAGCCCCTGTTCCATTAATTTCAGGATACTTGTTAAATAAATCAGGGACTTTCTATAGGTTTGTATGGTCTTTTCCCAGCAGTCCATAGCCCACCTAAAATGCTGCATACGTGGCAGCACCAGCTGCGATATATTTTGTGCACAATTTGGTAATGGAGGACTAGAAACACCATGACTCACTCATTCTGCTCAGTGGCCTGATTATTCTGCTCACTGGGTTATCCAGTGGTGACAATTCTTTCTCTTGGGGTAAATCAAAGACAAAAATGTGTCCTGTCTCAGGAGAGAACAAATCAAAACCAAGTAACACCAAGCACTCCAACTTAGTCTATGATTTGGTTTTAGTAGAAGCGTATTTAAATATTTGGGAATAGGTATTATAGAAGGAGGATGTCATCATTTTTATTTATCAAAAAGTACCATTAACATTGACTCTACACCTACACATGATGAGGATTTAGATAACTAATAGGGTATTTTTTTCAAGGCCAATAGGAAGATAAAATAACTATGGAATACTCCTTTATATTTATAAGCCTAAGAGGAACCAGAAGTTCATTTTGTGCTTCCTAAAACTATTACAGAAACATGGATACTTATTCAATGTCATCATCAAAAATCATTCTTGGATGAAGCTGATGCAGACTGAGGGAACAGACAGTGCTCATCTATAGCCTTTCAAGCATGGTGAGTTCAGAATGAAGCTCCCTCATTGCTAGATCTTTGTGACGTTCTATACTCTCTCATTCTTGCTTTCTCTCAAATTCTCAGCTTGAGTTTTGCCTTCATTCCTATCTCCAAATTCAAGATTTAAACCTTTCAACCTCAAACCGAGAATAAGGAATGAGGCTGTGAGCTGCCTTATGTAGGAGGCCTGCGACTAAGGACGCAGACATCTTGGATGTTGTTTCTGTGTGGGGGCCAGAGCTACGGGACATGTGTAGGCAACGCTGGTGAAAGCAGAGCTGGGCTAAGCCACACTGGAGGCTGAGGCGAAGGAAATGCCAGTCCTGTGGACCTTGCCTTTATTTAATATTTTGAGGTTTTGTTCATCAGGAAATTTTGGATAAATTCTGATTTTTAAAAATACTGCCTAAATTTTTATTTCACCTTAATTACTGAGTTTTTTTCTTACCACCTTAAATTTTGTGCATAAGGCAAGTGGCACACTTGCCTCACCCTGGCCCCACCATATGTGAAAGCCTTGCAAAATATAAGGTATTTAACTAGGTGTGTACACAGGTAGGTCATGTAAATATACAAAAAGGGAAAAAAAGGATGGGACTCACAGTTTTTGAGAACCTACTACATGTATGCCAGGCATCGTTTGTTTATGCATATGCATGCATGCACACACACACATGCACACACACACAAATAATATGTATGTGTATTTGTATTTAATCCTGTGAATTGCATTACATTTTATAGATAAAGTGAGGAAAGCTCAAAGAGGTAATTTACCCAAAGTTGCAGAGCTGACGGGTCAAAGGCAGGAGGTGAATAGAAGTGAGAGAAAGTAATCTATTTATGAATTAAGATAGTACTTTTTTATAAACCAATAAACTACTAGTAATAGTTATTACTGCCTTTGGGAAATGCAGCAAAATATCATTTAATATTGCATTACTAAATAGCAATAATGTTCTTGCCTCTTTCATGGAGATTAAAAATATAAATTTGATGCCCTGAATTTAAGTTTCTAGAGGTATCTTTTAAAAATCATACATGATTTCATTGGTTTCAGTTGCTTTCTCAAGTTTTTAGTTTGAATTACTGCTTTTTAAGTAGTTTTTTCTGTGTATTTTAGTAATATTTCATGAACTATGAGATGGGAGTTAAATATTTAAATGTCAGACAGCTTCAGAGGTAAAGTATTTTTCTATCAATCAGTACTTGAGAAAGCTGTATGGGTTAGAGGCAAGATCAGGGAAATCAATATTAATTATTTATGTTGCCCTTCTTGTCATGGTGAAATAAGTATTATTGAATGACGTGATGGTTAAGTAGGTATGTGCTGGGGTTTAAGAAAGGACATGAATATCTATTATCATATTTTTATGCATGACTGCTTGCAGGAATGGAATAAATATTTGCTAACAACATGACAGCAAAGAAATTTGTGCAGAGAAAGAGGAAAGGAAGAAATATCCACTGTCAATACAAAAGCAGGCTCATATACATGAATACCAGTGCTAGGAAAGGTCAACAAGGCTAACAAAGAGTTAACATGATACCAATTATGTAAAGAAATGCATTATAGAATTACAGCTAAATCAAATTCTATTCATCTAAAATTTAAAAATATGCATTAAAATGTTTATGAATAAACCAAATATTAAATGAACTCAAGGTCTTATTTTATACTTATAGTTTAATTTTTAATATTTTCAAAGGTATTTTGAATGCAGCAAGTTGATAGGGTAAAAAATTAGTACTAGGAAGCAGGCAGTCTTGGTTTTAGAAAATCATTTGTCTCTTCTAATTTATGACTTGGGAGAGTTATTTAACTTATCTAAGCCCCATTGCTCTTGTATTATTGTGTATAATGTCAGCTGCTTTATAGGATGGTTGTGAGTATTAATGAGATAATAGATATAAAGTTCCAAGTATAAAAAAGTTCTGGCCGGGTGGGGTGGCTCATGCCTGTAATCCCAGCACTTTGGGAGGTTGGGGTGGATGGATCACCTGAGGCCAGGAGTTCGAGACCAGCTTGACCAACATGGTGAAACCCTGTCTCTATTAAAAATGCAAAAATTAGCTGGGCGTGGTGGTGCACGCCTGTAATCCCAGCTACTCGGAAGGCTGAGACAGGAGAATTGCCTGAACCAGGGAGGTGGAGGTTGCAGTGAGCCGAGATTGCACCATTGCACTCCAGGCTGGGCAATAAGAGTGAAACTCCATCTTGGGGAGGAAAAAAAAAAAAAGTTCCAAGTATAGTATTTGGAACATATCAATTTATTGAATAATAAATGTTAGACCTAACTGTTTTTATTATTGTGTTTGTGGAAGCAAAGGAATAGTATTTTGGAACAAATATCTGACCCATAGAAATAACTACCCATACCTTGCAAACATGGAATAGTAAAAACATTTTATAATTTTTCTTGTTTCCTAAATAAGTAATACTTGCAGAACTAAACTGGGAAGGAAATCAATTTTAATATGCAAGTAAGGCCATATTTAAAATTGATCACTGCCATTATAATTAATGAAAAACACAAGAGAAATGATTTTTTTCTAAATGTAAAGGATTTACCATTTACATGAAATAACTTCATCAAACATATTGTTTTTCAGTTTAGCAAGAGCAATAAATTATTGACCAAGAAGAAACATTTAAGCAAAAAGTGCTTTAGGTAACATGTTAAAAGTGAAAATTACAGAGTTGCATTAGTCATTTTTATTAATAATTACAATGTCGTTATTAGAGTATTATATATTGTTAGAAGCTACAGAAAATAGTATAATAGTAATATGTAGTACAAAAAAATGGAGATTAGAAGTCTTTTTGTAATTGGAAACTATTTTACCCAGCACATGCGTATGGGATTCCTCAAGTTTACAGCTGGTCAAGGTTGGCAAAATATGGTAGTAAAGAAGATGGCTTTGGGGTCAGTACATTGGGTTCCAATTCCAGCCTCACTCTTGTGAGCTAATGAATCTTGAATGTTACTTAACATCTTCATTATTTTTCCCTTCTTTATAAAAATGGGATAACTAAATTATCAACCTCATAATACTACTGTGAGATTTAACTAAGCTTATGCAGTTACCAGGTGCCAGACTGTTAATAAGAGTTCAATAGATGGTAGCTGAAAGGATGTCTATTCTACTAACTGGAATGGTAGATTTATTTTTAGAATAATCAAAATTAAGTAATTTTCTATCTAAATGTTAAATCTAAAAATCCACGATTTATTCTAACATAGACATCTTTTCCAATCTAAACTTCTAAGCTGAACTCAACCCAACTCCTTTCAGGCATTCAAGAAATTTTTAGGCAATGTTGTCTCAAGCTGCCCTTCTGGGAGTCAAAGAGCACTGAGTTGACTTGGAGTGAAAGCTTGCCACTTTGATTTGCTTCTCCAAGTTTAAACAACAAAAGCTTTTAATTAGCAGCTTATTTTAATTACTCTTGCAAGGATCATATTTGTTCAGAAATTCAACCACACTTAAGGGCACCAGAATCTTTCAATCCTCCTACTTCTGTCAAGAGAAAAAGCACGCATTCACCATCATTGACCCCTGTTTCCTGTGGCCCTAAAAGTAAAGGCATGGAGTTGAATAAGCTGATGTTCCAATGAGTGCCTTTTACTATCGAAAGCAAGATGCTCCTGTAAACCATCCAAGTCTGTCATTCTTCCTCATCACAGAATAAATCTGGAGTAACCTACTTTACAAGTATCCAAAAGGCTTCCCAAGTAGCTTGTAATTTTTTCATAGGCTTTTCCCCTCTTAAGTGCAAGCCTGTTTCATATTTATTTATCTTGTCAGGGACACCAATAATGAATAAATAATTTATGAACTATTGAAACTGAGTCTTTACAATAGGAACATGGTAATTAAATAACATTTTATAAATGCATTGACTAGCAGGATATTAGAAGTCCTGGCTCACTTTCCCACCCTACCCTTATTGAGATATAATTGACAAATAAAAGTGTATGCACTGTTCTCACTCATAGGTGGGAATTGAACAATGAGAACACATGGACACAGGAAGGGGAACATCACACACTGGGGACTGTTGTGGGATGGGGGGAGGGGGGAGGGATAGCATTAGGAGATATACCTAATGCTAAATGACGAGTTAATGGGTGCAGCACACCAACATGGCACATGTATACATATGTAACAAACCTGCACGTTGTGCACATGTACCCTAAAACTTAAAGTATAATAATAATAAAAAAGTATATGCACTTAATGTGTACAACATGATATTTTAGTACACATATATAGTGAAATAATTACCACAATCAAGTTAGTTAACACATTGTTACCATTTGTGTGTGTGTGTGTGTGTGTGTGGTGAGAACATTTAAGATCTACTTTCTTTGCAAATTTCAAGTGTACAATACAATATTATTATCTATAGTTACCATGCTATACATTAGATCCCCAGAACTTATTCATCTTATAATGGAAAGTTTGCACCCTTAGACCAACATCTCCTTATTTTCTCCATCTCCAGGTGGCCCCTGGAGACCACCATTCTACTCTATTAGAATGTCTTAAACTTCTCATAATGCCCAGCCCTGTGTTAGGCATGGAATTGATACCCATCGAGCCCTTGTTACTTATTTGTTAGTGTCTGAGGTAAGCTTAGAATAATTTTATACTTACCAAGAAATAAAATTTAAATGTAGGTAGACTTAAGGGATGAGACAGACATAAATATTAACCAAGTAACATACTATTAAAAAACTTGAATGCATACTAAAGGAGCATTCTAGTATATTCTAGTACTAGCGATGTCTTTGAAAGTTCAATTTCCTACTTTTATGAAACTGATCAAATCTTGCTATGTACCAGTCATCAGGGTGTGATAAAGTACAAAATCTTCATTGTTAGCCTGACATTTTCATTCAGCTTCTGCTGAATACCCAGTCAATTCTTCAAGCATTCAGAAAAATGTTCCTCAGCTTTTACCTTGTAATTTTGATGATGCTATACATCTCACAATCAAACAGAAATTGTCAGGTCTCCTTTTCTTTTATAGTAATTCAAATATGCCTTTGTAAACCTAGATTCCTTACATTGATTGAGGAAAATGATTTATTAGTTTTTTTCCATGCTTCCATATTCTCAGTAAATGAATATGTAATTATCCAGTTTGCATATACACAACATAGTTTTAAAACTTTTACACTTAAAGTAAAGGCAGATTTGGTTTGACACCCAGTAACAAGAAAAACAGTGTATGAGATTTGAGGCAATTTACTGAGTCACAGGGAAATCAGAATATGGACTTTTTATTGGAAAGAGTGGCAGAAAATTGCCACATGACCAGCACTTCAAGATTCAAGAATAACAGATAAAATCTGATATATGAAGCCTGCAATCTATGGACACAGATGACTGCCAAATCTCTAATTCTATCTAGGCCTTTCTCCTCAATTCTGACCTGTTCACTGGAGATTTAGAGCAGGAGTTCTGCTATCTCTTCAAACTCCTAACTTTCTGAAATTGTGTTGATAATTTTTTCCTTCCCAAACCGGTTGCTCTGTTCAACTTTCATATTTCTGTCAACAATATAATCATTTCCCAGTCACCAGGATGCAAGAGCAAAGTTTAATTTTTTTTGTACTTGTACCTGCCATTAAGTTCTGTGGTTTTTCTTCCATATTGTCTTTTATACATATCTCTTTTTCATTCTGGTTGGTTTCTCCCAAGTTTAGGTCTGTCATCTCATCATTAGAGGTAGCAATGCCAAGGAAGAAATGTACATTTTAAAGCCTTTTAATTTTTTTGGATACATAATATTTGTAAATATCTACAGGGTATAGGTGATATTTTGATACATGCATACAAGGTATAATTATCCAAACAGGGTATTTAGGATATCCATTACCTTAAGCATTTATCTTTTCTTTGCATTTTAAATCTTCTCTTGTAGTTTTTTTGTTTTTTGAGACAGGGTCTCACTCTGACACCCAGGCTGGAGTGCAGTGGCACCATCTAGGCTCACTGCAGCCTTGACCTCCTGGGCTTAAGTGATTCTCCCACCTCGGCCTCCCAAAGTGCAGGGATTACAGGTGTGAGCCACTGCACCTGACCCTCTTCTAGCAATTTTGAAATATACAACACACAATATACAGTTCTTGACTATGGTTACCTTAGTGTGCTATCAAACACAAGAACTTACTCCTTCTATCTATCTATCTCATTAACTACCCTCTCTTCATCCCACCCTGACCACCACATTCCAAGCCTCTAGTAACTATCATTCTATTCTCTTCCTCCATGAGAGAAACTTTTTAGCTTCCACATATGAGTGAGAACATGTGATATTTATCTTTCTGCTTCTGGTTTATTTCACTTGACAATGACCTTCAGCTCCATCCATGTTGCTGCAAATGACAGGATTTTATTATTTTTTATGGCTATATAGTATTTCATTGTGTATATATACCACATATTCTTTATTCATTCAATGATGAACACTTAGGTTGATTCAATATCTTGGCTATTGTGAATAGTACTGCAATAAATATGGGAATCCAGGTATCCCTTTGATATACTGATTTCCTTTCATTTCGATAGCTACCCAGTATTGAGATTGCTGGATCTCATGGTAGCTCTATTTTCAGGGTTTTTTTTTTTTTTTTTTTTTTTTTTTGAGAAAACTCCATATTGTTGACCATGAGGGCTATTCTTATTTACATTCCCATAAACAATGTATGAGAGTTCCACATCCTCACCAGCCCTTGTTATTGTCTTTTTGATAACAGACATCCTAACCGGGTTAAGATGATTTTATTGCGGCTTTTACTTGCATTTGTCTGATGATTAGTGACGGTTAGCATTTTTTCATATACTTGGCCATTTGCATTTTTTTTTTTTTTGAGACGGAATCTTGCTCTGTCGCTCAGGCTGGAGTGCAGTGGTGCGATCTTGGCTCACTGCAACCTCCATTTCGCAGGTTCAAACGATTCTCCTGCCTCAGCCTCCTGAGTAGCTGGGACGACAGGCACGTGCCACCATACCAGGCTAATTTTTGTATGTTTAGTACAGACGGGGTTTCACCTTGTTGGTCAGGTTTGCCTCAAATTTCTGACCTCGTGATCCACCCACCTTGGCCTCCCAAAGTGCTGGGATTAGAGGTGTGAGCCACCACTCTCGGCCTGTATGTCTTCTTTTGAGAAATGTTTATTTAGTCCTTTGCATACTTTTTAATGGGATTATTCCTTTATTTTTTCTGTTTAGTTGTAACAAAGTCTTTAATAACAATTTCTAATAGGAAGAAAACTCACTCTGGTTAACCACACTCCATGGTATTGCAGCATTTAACTATAGAAACTCAAAAGAAACAAAACGTGATCCTTAACTCAAAAGGAATAAAAAACTTCAACTAAATTATCATAGCTCCATACATGTATAGCTAACTTCCTGCCTCCTCTGTCTTCTCTTTACTCGAATTAACCACATTCTTTCATCATACTCATATTCCTATTAGTTTTTCATATTTCTGATTTGTAAAATGGGCTGTTCAAAGTGATTTATTGTTCTTAACTTTCCATAGAAAAACAGTCAAAATAAATATATTATCAGTATAGATTTGTTTTAGAAATTGAATTTTATGGCATTTGCATTTTTAATGTCAGTGAATATATAAGTTGACTCATTGATGGTCTTCTATGTGTTAGCACTTGGCTTATAACACATCTGATTATACATGCTGTCTTATTAGCTTAAAACTTAATTAAATTGTATATGAAAATTAAAGTTCAATCAAGCATTTCAGAGACCCAAAATTTTCTCTGAAGAAACCTAGGATTGATCAGAACATAATTGTGGAAGTCCCTAAAGTACATCATCTCTAAGGAGCTTCCCATATGTAATATTTTCTGATTTTTAAGTTATCACAACACACACACACAAAACAAACAAACAAACAAACAAAAAAACCCTTGTTGAAGGAATAAGGGACAGAGTTATGAAAAACACTGAAAAAAATTTAACAAGTTTTAAGAATTTAGAGTTAGACCTTATAGGGCCACCACCCTCTCTAAAAAAACTTTATAGATTAAGGGAAATACCTAATGTAGATGACTGGTTGGTGGGTGCAGCAAACCACCATGGCACATGTATACCTATGTAACAAACCTGCACATTCTGCACATGTATCCCAGAACTTAAAGTATAATAAAACAATGGGCAAAGAAAAAAAAAAAAAGAAAACACACATGCACACATTTGCATGTTAGCAGAAGTTCCTTTATTAAAAAAAAGAAATTGAGTAGCAGAAAGAAGTGAAATAATTTGCACAGAGTAACTCAAAAAATGGTTGTAATGCAGTGGGATTACAATTTACTTCCAAATCCCTGTTCAATGCCCTGTCTCATGCTCAACTGGATTGAATATCACTATTATAGTGTTTATTTGTTTTGCTTTTGCCCTGTAGATGTGTGTTAAGAACTATGAAGGGACTGAGGTTCTGACCTACTTGTAAGCTAACAAGTTAGCCTGCTATAAATTCATGGAGGCTAGCAGAAGACATGAGACTCCTGGTTCAAAGACAAAGGACCAAATTATTTATGACATAACAAGCAGCATGAGCTTTATATTTGTGCAAGTTCCCCTTGACACCCCAAGTCCCAAATCCCATGCGGGTAATTATGGCATGGCCCAAGCAGATGATGTTCACATAATGGGTTGAAGTTAGAACTGAGAAATCCTAGTCTTAGAAAATCCAAATCTTACAAAAGATGCAAACAAATAAACTTGATCTTTGCTCCAAATTTCTAGCTTCCAAAGCTCTTTGCCATACAAAATTTCTTGAATATATTATCTGGAATCAAGGCAGACAATTCCTGTGCTCTCAAGATGTTTGGAAACAGACATCCATGGAGAACTGCTTATGAACAATACGATGGTGAGACTCAGAGAGTTTAGAGATGGTGGACAATATAATGCATAGGATGGCAAATGATATTAAGAAGGTAGTTATTATTCCTCGATTAACTGTGTGTTCCAGTTTGCTCATAGAAAAGCCTGGACAAAGCCTGCTATAGATCAACTAATACTTTTAAATTTGTTTTAGCACCTCCTCTCTCAAAAGTGTCTCATATGAATACATATATAATCACTCAGTTACAGCTCACTGTGAAAAAACACTTTATTCCTGAAAAAATATTCTTTCCAGATGAGCATAAAAATTATTCTTTGGTGGCTATAACTGTATACCCCAAATACCTGCTGAAACTTAGCAAATTTTCCATGTTTTTATGTACAATGAAAAAAGTTTACTTGCTTTTATAAAGGTTTCTGATAAAGATCTGCAAACTTTTAATCTAAAAATGTTACTTTTTTTGTATATGTGTAATTCTCTCCATCTGGCCATTTGCAGAGGTCTTTACCATTTTCAAAATAATACATCTCTGTAAATGTTTATAATATACCCATATTTGAATCATCTTTGTTACAACTTTACATTCCATGGAAGCACTATGACTTAAATGGAATTTTATACATTTATACTTAGATTTACTATATTAAAAGCCACCGCCTCCTCCCCAACCCTGATTTTCTGGTTCTGGTTTGATGATAAAAGGTACTGGTAAGTCTCTTGATTTAAAATGCAAAATTTAACTCAGAGATTCTTAACCATTTTGAACTCTTAGCACACTTTCAAGTACTAAGTCTTTGCTGACACTCATACTTAGTGGGGTTAAAATACTCAAATATGGTGAATTAGACAGCAAATTTTGCAAAGTAATCCCTCCTAGATTACATCAATATTTCTACAAAGCTTTAGAAAATTGCATCCATGGTCAATACACTACTCAATTGATCTTCTTTCAACAGTGACTCTTCCTTTCAGTATAACTTTTATCAGCTTGACTGTGCTCTTTCATAGACCCATGAGGGAAAGTTTTATGGGTCTATTGAGCATTTGATCTTTCTTTGGCTTAGCATGCATCTATGCCTTTTATCTTCTGCTCATAGCAAACTGTGTTCTGTTTTCCATTGCATCTCATAGCCTTTCTGCTGAAAATATCATCTGATGAGCATCACCTTAATAGCATGTGTATTTAGTATTAGCAAAAATGAATTTATACATTGCTAAAATAAAAGCATAATAAAACAAAAATTGCAAAGGCTTTATGAGTCATGCCACACCAATTATTGCAGTCCTTTGGTTAACCACGCATTTTTAAAAATTTTCACCAAAGTACACATAAAGCTAAAGGAGAGGGAAGGGATACCATCAGGAGGGTCTAGGGGACTGTAACCCAAGGCCATGCTCCTCTAACATAAAATGACACTGATTCTTTAAGGTTTTGTTCTATAAAATATAAATATATATTTTTTGTTTTGTCTTATATCTACACTTTTTGAAACACAAACACAAAATTCTAGTAAGAATAGCATATAGAAATCATGTAGAAATCAAAAGTGTTCAGGGAATTACCAGTAAGTCCAGCTTGGCTCAAGGAGTAGGAAGAACTGACAGGAAGAGAAGTTAGTAAGGTAAGTATGATAATAATGGATTTTTAAAATTAATTTATTTTTTATTATACTTCAAGTTCAGGGATACATGTGCAGAACGTGCAGGTTTATTACATAGGTATACACGTGCCATGGTGGTTTGTTGCACCCATCAACTCAGTAATGGGTTTTTATGTTCTATAAAGAAATTGGGATTTTATCAAATTTTGCAGGGGCATGTTGATGATTTTAATAGGGTATCAACAAAATCAGAAGTTCTAGGAAAATCTGCCAGGTTTTCCTTGCAACTTGAGTGCACCATGCCTGAAAAGCATAGACTTTAAACATAAGTGTGTTCAGCTGTAACTCAGAAGAGGAAGGGAGTTCCAAGATTTGTTCTTTCTATCTACGTGTCTGTCTATCTATCTATGTATCTATCTATCATCTATCTATCTGTGTATCTTTTTTTGTTTGTTTGTTTGAGACTGAATCTCATTCTGTCACCCAGGCTGGAGTGCTGTGGCTCACTGCAGCCACAACCTCCTGGCTCAAACAGGTGCTCCCACCTCAGCCTCCTAAGTAGCTGGGACTACAAATGTGAGCCAGTACACCTGACTAATTTTTTCATTTTTAGAGAGACACGGTCTCCTTATGTTGCCCAGGCTGGTCTTGAACTACTGGGCTCAAGAGATCCTCCCCGTCTTGGCCTCCCAAAGTTCTGGGATTATAGGTGTGAGCCACTCTGCCCAGGCTATCTTTCTATCTATCTAATCTCTCTATCTAATTATCCATCTATGCACCCTTATATGTTTTTATCTCTGTGTCCATCCACCCACCTACTTATCCACTCATCTATATTATGACTGTTTCTGTTTTTCTGTCTACCTAATTCATCCATCATGCATTTATTTACCTATCTACCCATCTATCTATCTATGATCTTTTTTATTATCAGCACAGGCATTCCATTTCCTAAACAGCTGAATTTAAACAACATTAAACAATATTAATCAACTTCTCCAACTTGATCCAACATGCATTCCTAAAGAAGGTCCCCTTCTATTGCTTGAAATAAAGACAAAGTAACCATTGTTTTCTAGGACTCCTATGAGCTTTTCGTCTTCTGTGTGGCTGGATAAAGACAGCTGGAAACAGAAACAGTCACACAAATGCAGGATGTTGGCAGCACATGAAAACAACAGACATGTTGAACTGCTATGTGATAGTCATTTTCATGTTCACTATTCTGCTCAGGCCTTAAGACAACGTTGTTCAGTGCTTACTCATATTCTCACATCACTCCTCTGAGCTAGGTACTATCATTATTCCTATCTTACAACTGAGGAATCTGAGCTTTAGAAACATTAAGTAAGTTTCCCACATTCAGATGGCTGTTACCACCTACACTGGCTTCAAAACTCTTGCTCTTAAATATGACTAAGCTCTAGAACCACAATCTGTTTCGTAAGAACTGCCCATGTTTTTCACATCTTTTGCAACCAGTGCTATGTTAAGTCAAAGTCAGATTAAGTGTGGGCCAGTCAGGCATTTGCCAGAAAGCCAATGTGTGAAGGGCACTAAAATTTATTTTTGGAATGTTAGAAGATGGAGAAAATTGCATCTACTAGAGCTTGTTTATGCCTCTGGGAGGAACACTCTGATGAGCAACCTGGTTGAAGAGAGTGAAGCTCTAAAATTATGCTTAAGTAACAAATGCCACTTGTCTGCTTTCAGTGGAAGATCAGTCCAGATAATTCCTGGGTTTTCATTTTGTGGAATAAAATATGAAACTTTGGAGACACATTTTAACAGTGTGAGACAATAGACTAGATGCTGAGAGATGCTGCCAGAGACTCCCAAGTGTCTCTTCCTGGTGGGCTATGGTCCTACATAGGAGTCTCTCACCAATGTCAATGACATAAAATTGGAAACAAGCATGATGTGTTAATTCTCAAGTTGAAAGCCAGAGTTTTACTGAATTCAGTATAGACACCATAGGGTTGACAAATAAGCACAGAATTCACGTCACTGGTAAACCCTACCCTAATTTCAATCTTGAGTCCAAGACATAATAAGGGAGTCCCTACTCTCTAGTACCCCTTAAACCTGCTCACTTACTAATCCAGGACATCTAGGACACTGTCTTATTGTAGGTCTGAAAATAATTCTTACTAACACCATTTTGAGGTGTCCAGATAGATACTTTAAATGGGGTTATTTGACACTGCATATATAAATCCTCCAAAGTCGCTATTTCACTGGAGTTATT
This sequence comes from Homo sapiens, assembly GCF_000001405.40. Lineage (NCBI taxonomy): Eukaryota > Metazoa > Chordata > Mammalia > Primates > Hominidae > Homo > Homo sapiens. The sequence continues at coordinate 79,126,593 of NC_000012.12, read as the reverse complement.
TAAGGGACAATTCTAGCATATTATTAAACACTTTTGGCCGGGTATGGTGGCTCACGCCTATAATCTCAGCACTTTGGGAGGCTGAGGTGGGTGGATCATGAGGTCAAGAGATCGAGACCATCCTGGCCAACATGGTGAAATCCCGTCTCTACTAAAAATACAAAAATTAGCTAGGTGTGGTGGCACATGCCTGCAATCCCAGCTACTCTGGAGGCTGAGGCAGGAGAATTGTTTGAACCCGGGAGGCAGAGGTTGCAGTGAGCCAAGATCGTGCTACTGCACTCCAGCCTGGCAACAGAGCGAGACTCCGTCTCAAACAAAAACAAAAACAAAACAAAACAAAACAAAACAAAAACCACTTTTATTAATGGCCATATATATGGGTTACATACTCAAGATATCAGCTATGTATTTTAAATGTGCTGATATTAATTTTTATCAGTTTCTGATACCTAATAATTAGGACTTTGCTCTTCCAGAAGATAAGTCTTTAATATTCACTTTTCAGTAATCACTGCATTACCATTGAAATAATTATTGCTGAAGTTTTCTGCCATGACATACAGTAGTGAAGCAAAGAAAATCCATGGTCTCATGGAGCTTACTTTCTAATGGACTGAGAACGACACTAAATAAACAGATGTTACATTGCAAGAAGTGCTCTGAAGAAAATAAAGAAAAAAACAAATAAGGAAAGTAGTGATTGATGAGCCGGGGAACTTACTTCCTGCAGAGGTTAGGAAAGTCTTCTTTGATAAGGAGGCCTTTGTGCAAAGACATGAAGAAACTTGGGGGCTACCTGTTCCAGGAAGAGTGAATGTTATTTATTCAGGAATGTGATATGCCTATTAGCAAGCTGCATATTGATATTAGAGCAGTCAAAGGAAAAATATAGTTTTTATATTTTAAATTTTGTGTAAATATGCTGAGAACTCTGAGCTCTTTTCTTTTTTTTTCTTTTTTTCTTTTTTTTTTTGACAGGGGCTTGTTCTGTTGCCCAGGCTGGGGTGCAGTGGTGCAATCACAGCTCAGTGCAGTCTCCACCTCCCAGGATCAAGCAATCCTCCCACCTCAGCCACCTCCCATGTGGCTGGGATCACAGGCACGAGCCTCTACACACAGCTAATTTTTTTTTTTTTTTTGTAGAGACAGTGAGGGTCGCACTATGTTTCCCAGGCTGGTCTTGAACTCCTGGGTTAAAGTGATCCTCCTGCCTTGGCCTCTCAAATTGCTGGGATTATAGGCACGTGCTACTGCGCCCAGCCTCTGAACATTTTTCTTTCTTTACAATGTTTGCCAAAGAAAAGTAAAGTTCTGAAGTAGCAAGAAGAAAACAGAAAAATAAATAGGTACGTTATTTTCCATTTGCACAGTTTTTAATGGATTCTACCCATTCTTTTGAGGATTCTATGATTTAACCTTCTGTGATAAAGCAATCTGCTGAGCCCTAAGATGCTTACCAAAAAATGGATGGATTATTCGTCATGAGAAATAAAAAGACGCAAGGATGCATATGTTATACTGTAGTCCTACCAAACCAAACCAAATCAAACCAAACCAAACCAAACCAAACAAAACCCACAAGAGCAGAGAATGGAAAAAAAAAATTTGACATTCCAATTTTTTCCCCATCTCTCAATTTCCCTCCTTTCTTTCCTGGTTTCCTCCAGTCTTTTTTCCCCTTCATTTCATTTGAAACAAATGAAGCTCTTCAGTTATACTCAAATTAGTCCATACTTGACTTTTTAAACCTTTATGGACTGGACATCTGACTAATAATATTAAAAAAAAGAGTAGAGATACAATTGTCTAGTTACCAAACATGAAATGACTTCATATATTGTTGTATATGTACAATACACACAACTACCACATGGAAGAGTCTTATTTTCTACTCATTTCCTACCATTTTTCTCCCAAAGAATCTAAGAATGTATCAGGTGATGATGACGATGAGGATGATGATAATGGCGATGGTGATGATGATAATGGTGATGATGATGATGATGATGATAATGGTGATGGTGATGATGATGATGGCAATGGTGATGATGATGATGATGGTGAGAGTAATACCCTGTTATTTATTGGGCACGCTTTTTTCCAGATTATCCATATATTATCTATATTCTACCTCACGACAAGCCAAAGAAGAGTCGTAAGTTGTAATCTCAGAAGATTATGAGTTTGGTATCATAGTCCCTTTTCAGATAGGATAATATGTGATATTCTGATTCTGAGAGCTTTGGTGGTATTGTCTCCAAGATCATACAGCAAGAAAGTTGCGAAGGGTATATTAAAACACTAGGCATCTATGTTCTTCCAATTACATCATGTTGGTGCTGGAGAATTTTTTCCCATGGCAGGCCACATAATTTTGAAAGGCAACCTACTTCTGGCTATGTTTAGGGCAGAGTCAAAATGTGTAAGTTACAGGATAGCTTTTAGAGGATGAATTTTGATCAGCTATTTGCAAGAGGTTTTTCTTTTTGACAATTTTAATGTGGCTTATTTCAGGAAAACCTCATGGGGTTGTGACAAACATTGAATAGTTAGATGCAGGTTTTTGTCACAGTGCCTGGCGCATAGTATGTGCTTGATAAATGTTAGCCAAAAACACAAGAGCAATAACAAAACAGAAGCAGGGTGGGAAATATATTTCTCCTATTGGCATTAAAGAGTCTTTAATTAGCCTCCTCTTCACTTAAGGGGAAGAGTAAAGCTCTTTAAGACTTTTTTTTTCTTTTTTGCTGATTTACTGGTCAATGAAATAAAGAACTAATATTTGTTAATTTTTAAAAAGCATTTCTGTTTATTCCATATTTATCAGGAATCATTAATTTGAGCTCATTCAGGTTTAACACCAGAAAATGGAAAACAGAACCTTTAGACACCTGCTGGCAATTAAGGAAATGTAAAATGCTTCAATTTTATTTTAGCCAGAGGAAAAAAGTATAATAAGGTTCTATGCACAACAGTATTGGATTTATGCAGTAAATGTGTTTCTGAATTGTAAGTTAACAAACTGCTTTCAATACAAGAATGCAGCGCTGTGGTTAAGAGCATAGCCTTGAACAAGTTACTCAATCCCTATGAGCCTCAGATTCCTCATCTTTAGAATGGAGATGATGTTAGTACCTAGAGGACCAAATGAAATAAACATTAGGTGTTTATTTTTAACATAGTTACCTATTTTGTTTCCTGGGTGACTTGCTTACCTGATTTCTGAGATGATAGCTAAACACACACACACACACACACACACACACACACACACACACACATTGCATTTTTAGAGATACATGTAACAGAGTGTTACCGAGTACTGGACCCATTGATAGGAATTGTAATGCTGAGGCACCCAACTTAAAGCACATTTTTAGATAGATGGGCACTTAGGTAGGTTCTGTCTAGAAATCCACTGGCTTCTGGTTTGCTTAGTGTTAGAGCCTACTAGAAACTTGCGGATAAAATGGTAAATTAGTTTGAAGCTTTTAAGAGATATTTTATTCTTTCCATCATAACTGAATTAAACATACAAGTTTCTGTGGGTGACTGTAGAAATTGTCTCCACAGAAAAGGTAAAATTCCCTTTTGTAAAACTAGGCTCTCTTCTCATTATCATTCTTCATTTTCAGTGAAACTGCTTTTAAAAATGATGGATGTTAATGATCACTTTACTTAGAAGGTGTCATCATTTATATAAAAAATAGAGCAAGTTGGATGAACAGTTAGAATTATAACTTGGAGGCTTAGGCAATATGGGGAAAATAAAAGCCATCTTTCTCCAAATAACTGAGAATTTATTATTTACTAAGAACTTGATGGAAACAAAGCATTACCTTAAAAATCATAATGCTCAAATATCTCTCACTCAAACTTACCAGACTCAATTTATAGGCAATAAAATGAATGGAACTTACTTTTGACCAGAAAAATGTGTCTTACTCATCACATTTGGAATCTGAATTAGGTATATTCCAGTTTAGTAATAGCTCAATTTATTGGAAATTTTTAATAACTAGTTAAATGTTCATGTGCATTTGAAATATGAATCTCTTTTTTTTTTTTTTTTTTTTTGAGACGGAGTCTCGCTCTGTCGCCCAGGCTGGAGTGCAGTGGCGCGATCTCGGCTCACTGCAAGCTCCGCCTCCCGGGTTCACGCCATTCTCCTGCCTCAGCCTCCCGAGTAGCTGGGACTACAGGCGCCCGCTACCACGCCCGGCTAATTTTTTGTATTTTTAGTAGAGACGGGGTTTCACCGTGTTAGCCAGGATGGTCTCGATCTCCTGACCTCGTGATCCGCCCGCCTCGGCCTCCCAAAGTGCTGGGATTACAGGCGTGAGCCACCGCGCCCGGCCTGAAATATGAATCTCTTTATTGACTTCTTTCAAAGGAATTTCATATTTTTCTACAGTCTTTTATTTCTAATTATACGAGTGATGAAGAGTTTGAAGAAATGAGAGTTTACTCAAGATGTGCTAAAGATTTATAATTTGAAGACTCTTATAAATCTTGCCAGGAAATATGATAAACAGAAGACATCTACTTCAAAAAGTGCTGAAAGCAATGACAAGAGCAGAATATTTTCATTAATCTGTGTGGTTAAATTCAGCTTTTCTTAGTTCCCCTTTACCACAGAAGCAGGGCTTTTCACTTTTTTGTATATATCAGGCTATCTTGTATTAGGAACTTAATAAACACTAGTCAAATTGAATTACATCTACTATTTGTATATTATTCAATACATTGACAGGTTCTTGATATTTAAACAAATACAAGGCTTGAGTTCTCTATACAAGATCTGCCCTTAGGACATTAAAGACAATACTTGGGCTCCAGAATTTTATTTTTTGAAAGCATCTAATAAGAAAATTTCCTGTCTATTAGCACCTCTGGTGGCTCAGTACGCAAGTGCAGCCGACTCATTGCTCGTTAGCTGTCTCTGGCCTGACTTTATACCCACACTAAGAAATGGGCATGGGAGCAGGTTATGGGGTGAGGGGGTGATTGTGGTTAGCAAGTCCTGAGTGGGGATAGAACAAAAGTGTAAAATTGAACCCTTTATTCAGAGGCTTTGCTTCTAGAATCAGAGAGAGGCTAGCAATGTTGAATAGCAGTCTGCCTTTCTTTTGAGATCTATTTGATGTTACTGAAAGCTTTCCCTACATTTTATTTAAGATTATTCATAAGATGTTAGAGGAAACCTGACAGACAAAGAAAACTTTCACCCTTGATTAGTATATGAGGCTATCTACTCCTGCAGAACAAAACATATTCAGATGCCAAGTCCAGCAATGGCTGGGAAGGAGGTGGCTTGAAGTGAGTCTCTTGGGAGTAAGACTCAGTCCCTACATTCTGGGTGGTGAGCAGTGTGTAAGTGGGCAATGGGATGCTCGTGATTGGAAAATGGGTTTGCCAGAGGAGAAGGAAGACAGAAGGCAGGGGTTAGGAGTAATCTGAAGGAAGACAAACAGATTCCTAACCTGGATATATATATTCAGGTTACATATATGTATGTGATTGGTGATAGATGTATGAACATATGCATATATATACATATACAAATATGTGTGTATATATGTACACGAATATGTGTGTGTGTATATATATATACAAATGTGTGTGTGTATATATATCTATATATATATATAGATATATATACATACACAAATATGTGTATACATATGAACTTCCTTCAAGGTCAGGCACCTTGGGTTTCTAGGCTAACACTGGCTGTGCCATCATTAAAGTCACTGAACTGCTACATGCATTGGATTTTCAGCTGTAAAGCAGGGAATTTGGATCGGATGATGTCAACACTGCTTTGCAGCTGTAAGAATGAGACATTTAGGAACATCTTCTTAGAATTTAATCACATGAAACATCATATAACTTTTTGATAAACATACATTTTCATATAGATTTCTTTGATGCTTACAGTTCACTCAGCTGATCTACATAAGGGAAAAACCATGTTTTAGAGGATACTTTGCATAAGTTACATCATTGAAGTCCAGTTTTACTGAAAATGTGTTAGTTTTGATAACTTATATACTAAGAGTGTGAAACATTGACTGCTAAATAGAAATTCAAGAAAGATAAAAATCCTTGAAGCTGTTTTAAGCAGCTCTCCCTCTCAAATTTTGCATTTTTATATATTTTTTTTAAATTTTAACTTTGATTTTAGATACAGTAGGTACGGGTGCAGATTTGTTACATGGGAATATTACACCTAGGTAGTGAGCCTAGTGCCCAATAGGTAGTTTTTCAATCCATGCCTCCCTTTCTCTCTCCCCCTTCTAGTAGTCCACAGTGTCTTATTGTTCCCATGTTTATATCAATTTGTATTTTTATAACTGATATATAAATTAATTGCTCTGTCCTCTTGAATTGATTGGGTTCTCATCGCCGCATACGAACATTCTGACTTGGGTAAATATATATATATTTTTTCCTAAGCACAGGCCCATTTCTTTGTGTGGTGCTATTGCCCACAAGCAGCAGAACAGATAGGGAGCCAGGGAGCTGAATTCCTTGCTTCTGGGAGGCCTTCGCATGCAAATGTTAAGCTTGATTGGCTCCCTCAGTCTCTTGGATCCTGTTGTTCCACAGCAGGTCTTTAGGAGGCAGCTGGGACCTTCACTACATCTGGCTATACTGGGGATTAAGAAAAGAGGAAGGGAGATGATATTTTTCCCATCTGTGCCTTGGAGAATGCCTAATTAGCTTCTGTCCTTACTCAAGGGGAGAATAAAGCTATTTAAGTAATTTAGCTTAGAAAAAAAAAACAACTTATGAATTAATTCAGGAAGTAAAGGAATCTTCCAAAATGATTTGAAATGTTCCTCTTTGTTTCAGTGAGTCCTGGGTTTCTTGAGTTCATTTACAAGAATATCTTTCTTGCTGTCACGTCAACTCTCTAGACATTTAGTTAACAAATTCCAAAATATAAGACCCTTACAAATTTTTGTAAGACTGGGTCAGAAAAGGATTTCTGGTGATAGTGACATTTACTGAATCTTAAAGGGTGAGGAGGAGTTAGATAGAAAAAGTGAAAGGGTAGATAAGAAGGACCTTCTCAGCTGAAGAAAAGTTATGACTAAAAAAAAAACACCTTATGTGAGAAAATATGTAAGGAGTTGTGTGTCTGGAGAAAAAAGTCAGGGGTCAAAAAACTGAAGAGCGGTAAAGTTTTATAGAAGAAAGCGTGAACCAGATCAAGGAGGGACTTGTTAGGAAGCTTGGCCTGTTTTCTCCAGGAAATGGAGAACCATTAAAGGTTTTTAAAAAGCAAAATGGCATACTTGCATTGTTTACTATTGACTTCTCCAGCAGTAGTATGGAGGACAAAGTTCAGGAGGCTAAAACTGAAGGCAGGAGGACCTGTTAAAAGTTCAGGCAGGATATGATGATAGACACAATAAGAAGTTAGTGAGAGTGGAGAGGACAGGCACAGATTCTCTAGTTGCTTTTGTACATTATAGAGGAGATAAAATTTGTAGGAATATATTAGGGGTAATGGAGAAGAAGAAAACGACCAGCCCTTTCCTACTTTGGCTGGATGGTACCAGCAACCACAGGAAACATAGAGAATAGGGAATTCAAAAGTGGGTAAGTGAAGGATTATATGTCTAGGGACAAGGAAGAGATGTTTAGTAGGCAGTTGGATATCTGGATCTGAAGTTGAGAAGAAAGGTAACAGTGGAAAATAATGGATTTGAGAGTAATCAGAGTATATAAGTAGCAATTGAAACCAAGTAAAGAGATGAGATCACCCAGGTAAATTATGTACCATAGAAAATTAGAGTGCTCAGGATAGGGAGCCTGTGGAACACAACATTTAAAGAGCTACCAGGGCACATTTGGTGAATTTCTTAACACCTGTAAAACTCAGATAATAACGACTTCATTTTGGCTTTGTGGAAACTAGAGGAGCTAACACATGTACAATGATTGACTAGATCAACACTGACATTCACTAAATGCTCCTTTTATTTCCTTTCTAATTTCTATACTAGTGCTGTTTGCTTTATTAAATGGTGGAGATGGTAAACTTGATTACTGTCATTTTAAACAACAAAAGCAGAAAAAGACAGTCTACCATTAGTTTTTACATCAAGATTAGCACAAGAAAATTGTATATAGACTTGAATGAAATGACTTATCTATCCAAATTACATGAAAAATTTGTTCTTAATGTTACACTTGAAAAATGTTTAACCTTATGATCATGCACAACCCAAACTTTGAAAAACCTAACCCAGTAGAGACTGCTGATTTCTTGAAACATCAGCTTCTATATTAAAATCATAGTTTTAGTGGAGTTCAATACATAACCAATAATTTTTAACCACACATGTTAAATGGCAAAATGATTCATTCTAATATGCTGTTCACAAGTACAAGGTAATGGGTTAAGTGATAATGTAGTTCAAGAAAAAAGGGTCTTGTCAAACAACAGGCTAGATCAGCTCTAAAAAGATCAAATTATTTGATGGAATCAGCAAACAGAGAAAATAAGAGACAAGAGCAGGGAGGTCAAAAGGACCAAGGGGTTCCTTTCTCGGCTCTGTGCTACAGATTTGCTAATCCACGTGTCTAGCTCAGTACAAATTTATTTGGTAAACATAGCTATTTTAAATTGATGATAGCCATTTGTGGAAAATTTCTGAACATTTAGGCTCTAACCCTGGAACTCTGCAAATTATGAGTTTTAAGGTGTTACCCTAAGAATTATATAATTTCATACAAAAGTATTTATGACACTGCATTTATGATATCTGGCTACCACCAACAGTGCCATAAATAATATGACCTAGCTCTTACATGTGTTAATGATTGGTTTGAAAATCTTCTGTATGCAACCTATTTATTTTATATATATATATATATATATATATATATATATATATATATATATATATATATGATGTAATACACACACACACACACACAGCCTGTCCTGTGATCTGTCCTGTGGTAGAGGCAGGTGAGCTGTCTGTAGCTCTGCACCCCATGGGCAGAAGCTGGGGTCTATCAGGCCTGAAACTGTGGCTGCAGCTAACAGGAGATTGAGCACACCCATGCTCACATGTGGAAGCTTTTTCCTTGATTTGAGTTTACTCTTGAAGAGTGATGGTGTGGAACTGCAGTCAGCAGTCATCCACTGTGGAGTTGGTTGCTCCTTCTGAAATTGAAATAAATTGGCTGAGGGAATGTACAGAACAGCAGTTGGCGAATTTAACACGGAGCATTGTGGGTCCGCATGGATAATGACTTCATTATATTAAAGCAGAGAAATGCAAAGTGAAAACCTGCTTAACAATATTGTATTTCTCAATACATATTGAGGCACCAAAAATGTAAACAGACCTTTTACATTTTAATTGTAGTAAAACTGAGTGAAGAAGGAATGTAATTAGCCTATAAATGATTTTATTGGGACCACCATCTCTCACTAATCTGTCTTTGTATATTGCTGGTAGATTAATCTCTCCAGTAACAGGACTTTCAAGAAGGAACGCCTACACTCAAGAATTTAACTTTAGTTCAGAAAAGAAAGGTGTTAAAATTTTGTACCATGGCTTCCTCATTAATTTTATTACCCAACAATCTCTACATCAGTGCTTCTCTATTTGGAGAGCTGCTCGTGGATTTCAGAGGAGCCCAGATAGAATCTTACTTGCCCTCCTCACTGGAGGGGGAGAGGAGCAACTTGCCTACTCAGGCCTTCAGAGGTGAAACTCAGGATTTTGGTGTAGGCTCTGAGATATGTAGCTGAATGGAAAATTCTCCTTGACCTCCCAGAGCTCACAATTTAGCAGAAAGTGACAGAATACAGCAAATAGTTATCCTATAATAAAGTGAGTATAGCATACTATGAGAATTCAATATAGGTAAGGGCTAAATTGTTGTCTGCTTAGGGAAGAATATGGGAAAGACTGCTCTTGTAAATGGCAGAGGGCAAGCCTGGTAAAAGTGAACAAAGCATTCACTTTGGACTTTGAAATCTGAAGTTTGAATCCTTAGTTCACCCACGTTGGGCATGTTATATTAATACCCTATGCTGTGAGTTCCTCACTTATGAAATAAGACACAAATAAGAGAGTGTTTTGCTTGATTTGTGTGGATCCTAAGTCAACACCTCACCAACACGTGCAGGAAATACTTTGCCTTCCTAATTTTCACCTATCTTTTCCTCCATTGAATATTGTGTACATCCCTGCCAGTGTAAAACCCCAAGCACTTCTCCTACTGAACACTAATACCAATCCTAAATGTCTTCGTTAGGCTTTTTGGGCCATCATCCTCTGGCACTCCCAATAGACATAGTAGTACTAAGAACAACAAAAATATCAGCCATAGTAACTACAAACATGGGCTGAGGGCCAGTTTTCTTTACCACCTATTATTTGTTTTCCATTAATTATCTCAACTAATCCTACTCTAACCTATGAGGCAACCATCATGATTCCCATTTTAATGACAAGGTACCTGAAATTTAGAGAAGACAAATGATAATTCCAAGGTCATCCAGCTAGTTAGTGACAGAACCAGGTATCAAACAAATATCTAAGTTCAAAGGTTGTATGCTATCTTGTTCACATCATTAGAATCTACTCTGTTTGCTCATTATAGCTTTCAGGGTGTGGGGAAGTGAGAAATTTTATGAGAACTTACTGCATATTTGATTGACAGGCTAATGTCTGAAAAATCCTGTAGAAATATTCAAAGCAACCCTAAACTGTGGAAGGGCATGCCCTGGAATGGAGCCTGGATGGCATGCTGAGCAATAAAGGAACAGTTGACTGTGTTAAAATTTTACAAAGGATATCTGGCATTGCCCTGATTCCCAACAAAAATTAGTAATTATAATTTAAAAAAATTACTTAATATTCTACAATATCAGTGGTGAAAGCTGTGCTTACTTTATGGTTTCTGTGGAAAGAACAAGATGTTTTTGTGCAGAGGCAAGGTTACCTCCTGCTCTTAAAACACTATTTTTGATATTTCACTTAAGGGGGTTAAAAATTTGTCTAGGTAGTGCTGTCTTTCAGATGAAAATGAAAATATTGTGGCAAATAAATGAAAGGTTTTTCCTAAGTTCATAAGGGTAAAATTTGTTGTTTATGTATTGCTCAGATGCCATTCACTTGGGTTGAGGTGGTAGAAGTGAATTTTGAGAATTTAGCTGCATATGAACATGAGGAAACATTTAAGAAATGTATCATATAGGAAAAATATTTCTCACTATGTAAGTGTGATTGAACCCTCTAGCTAACAAGAATAATTGTTGAATCTTCTCTTTAGATAGTTTCCTGGAATTATGTGCAACTCAGTCCTGCCCAGAGGTAATAAAAATGGACTAGACATGTTTTTGAAACTCCTTTCTGAGTTATAATTTTATGATATTCTAATAAATTTCAAGATGACTATGGGGAGTATGTTGTTCTACACAAGCTTTTTACTGCTACTGTGACTGTACAGTAATTGGAGATAATTTACTATTTTATGAGGCATAACAGAATAATTGCAGCATTTTCAACTTTAAAGAGAAAAGAGTGGGAGAGGTCTGGTCAGGATGATAAATGAGCACATTGTCCTGTGAATGTTTCCTTTCAAAAATGTAGAATAATTGCATATACTAACATATTCCAGTTTTTCATTTTTTAAAACATTTTAATCTTCATTTTACTGGAATGTTGCCAGTTTGGTATTTTTGAGATTATGTGAAAAATGCTGAAATTTTCAATTGTAGAAACTCTAATTTTGCTTCTATATGGCTTACACATTGATTTCAAAATCTGGGGGGTCTTCTCCTCAAAGACAAATGAATATTTTGACAAGAAGTAAACACATCAATATAGGCCTGGCCAGAAGTATTCTAACATATATTGTATTTTGGGAATATACTTCAAAGAGCTGTGTTCTATCTCAATAAAGAAGTGCTCTGGCCTGAAGATATGATTGCAATCAAGACCCAGAGTCTGCATGAAGGAATTTCTCCAAAGTTGGATAAAACCCCAGAGGTAAAGCACTGTAGGAGTTATGATGTAGGTGGGTCACCCTTTGCAACTCTGGGCTTAAGACATGGGAGTTAGGGGTTGGAGGAATTGAGCATCAGCCCCCTTACCTCCCAATACCTGTAGCTACCTGATTAAAGAGCCAAAGGTAAAGCTTGTAAGAGGTGTGATGCCACTCATTCTGCCTCCAGATTATCCTACATGTACCAGGGTTTGCTTAGTGTTTCTAAGCTTTCCTGACAAGGGAAATCCAACAGTAAAAAATATTTTCCCTTAGGCTCTGTACTGCATGAATGGAATGAATTACTGCACTTATTTTTCCCCATAAAGCCGTGCTCTCCCACACAAAGACCTTGTTTGAAACTCTTCCTTCCCTCTTACCTACTCATCCTTCAGATTTTGGTTTATTCACAGAACTACCTTTATCCACCAAGGCAGTTCCCACAACCCAAGGTATTTTCCTTAGCAAAGACATATCAGGCTCTTTCCTTGTCTTTTTCTTCTACTACCCTGCTTGTTTAGTGAAGGTGAGGACCATGAGGTCTGCTCATGAGTTCATTTCAACATATGTCATGCTTCCTGTTGTGGAGTCAGAACATAGAAAGCCTTGGTTGAATGAACGGATGGAGGCAGCAGAGATGGGGAGATAAAATAATCAGAGATAATTTTCTATTTTTGAGGCAGAATTAGATAGGACTATGAAAATCCTGTAAACACTTAGGTTAAATTTGAACACCTATTGGGTTGAGGTGTTGGGTGAGGTTACAGGACACTATAGCAGTTTTTGTGGGAACTGGGATTAGTGGTGAGCAGATCTTTTATTAAAACTTCACATTTCTCTGGTATATAATGCTGCTTTCCTTGTTCTCTGGCAAAATTTCCTAAAGTCAGCATGGAATCTGAATATATGTTCAAGGAAGATTAATCAATTTCATGGTCAAATAAGTTTGGAAAGCACTGGGTTAAAGAAAGTTAAATAGGTTTTATTTTTAGGTAGCACATGTTAGACTTTAATATGCTACTACACAGTATGTATCTCCAAAAGAAAAAAATACACAAATTTCCAAAATTCAATTGACAATATAATTTTTTCTAGATCATTTCACAGAATTTATAACTCTAAGAATTTTTTTGGTCAACGAATACAACGTAGTTTCAAAGTCATATCTCTCTAGTATAAGATAGTTATCATTAAAAAACTGCTTATTCAGTGCCAGTAAGTGCCAGACTCAATAGCCAGCATCAAGGAAAATACTTTCCTATTTTATTTGCTAAAAACTTCAAGTTAAATCAATGAAGTTGACCTTCTATGTTGTTTAGAGATGCCAATTGTTATGGTCATTATTAGCACAATATACTCAGTATTGACACCATTAAAATGGACACCATACATAAAACATTTTGGTTAACATATCAGAAACACAAATATCCTAAAAATGGCTGCTTTTGAAAACAGCAATAAAAAACATAACTTGACTTTTATGTCGAATACATTTTGGAATTGATAGATATCTGGGCTTGTTCATTCAGTTGCAGTGATCCTAGGCAAGTTCATTATCTCTTTGTACACTTCTGTTGGTGTTTGTGTATGAGTCTAAAGAAACTTTTATTTGTCTAATTTATATGCCTTTCCTTTGTCTGCACTCTGCCAGTTTAGATGTCACCTGTAATAACTATGAAAAATTGCCATATGCCTTGTGTTCTTTTTAAATCAGAAATAGAAGTTCTCTACAAGTACCAAAGGGAATGTAGTTCTAAGAAATAACAAATCTAATTTAACCATACTGAGTTGCAATCTCTCACCCAAATAAGCATTTTGTTTAGTATAAAAACTCATCATCAGGGACTCTCTTAAACTCATTTTATCTATTTGAGGGAATAAACTAAAAGAATATGTTTATTTTAGATCACCTAAATATTTTCTGAGATACAATGGTGTAATTAAGTGATGCTACTTTATCATTTTTATCTTTGAAAACTTGACTAGTGTCCCTACTTTGAGCTTCTTACAGCATCCTGTATTCACTGGTAGGTCAATCTTTATAAACCCCACCTCCAATAATGTCATTCCCCTGCTCAAAACTCTCAATGGCTCCACATGGCTTATCAAATTATGAATGAATTCCTTAGTCTGGCATTTAAGGTCCTAATATTTCACTCTTATATTCTAAGAAATAGAACTTTTTTTTGTATCACTCTTACTAAACTGGCTCTCTCCAAAACATGCCCCACACGTCTCCACATCGTAGCTTTTACTCAACGTCTCATTATTATCTCAGAATGACTACCTTTATATTTGTCTTCTAAAAGTAAACCAGTTCTTCAAGTTTTGTCTCAGATTCTACCATACCCATGAGTCTGTTAGTATCTCTTTCTTTTGAGTCCACAATCCCCTCTTTTAAATTCCTCATGTACTAGCATATTGTATTAAGGCTGGTGCATAGATTAATTACCTAATAAAATTTGTCCAACTAACTGTTGACTCTCTTATACCATGTCTTTCTTGCTTTGAATTGCAGTTCTTTGTGTTTTTTTTTTTTTCCTGATCCTTTCTAACTAAACTTTAAGTTCTCTCAAGGGCAAAGATTGTATCTATTATTTACTACCACTGCGCTCTGCAATAAACAGTTAAGTTGAAATGAAAAGTTAAAAAATTTCTGTGGAATGTAAACACTTCGGTGTAGTAAAATTTTTTAGAACATGAAATTAGGTACATGACAGGAAGGCCTTATAATTTACCAGAAGACCAATTTCTTGTCTGAGCTGTGAGGGAAACAACACTGGATGCAGAACTGAAAGGCATGAGTTTGAGTCTCAGTTTTTTTTTTTGCAGGATTTGTGAATCTAGACAAGTTTCTTAGCTTCTCTGTGTCTCAGGTTTCTTCTTATTTAAATACTCACCATAGGGGCTTATCATGAAAATAGAATGAGGTATTATAAGAAAATGCGTTGCAAACTGTGAGATACTTTGAAATATATCATATTTGTCTATTCAACAAATACTTCTTGAGTGTTGAGTCTGTGGGAGGCATCGTGATAGTTTTAAAAGTTGTTATAACTTATTATAATTTATTATAATTATTACAACTTATTATTATGTTAAGATGAATAAAAAAACTCATGGTCCTTGCTTGAAAGGTTCTGATAGTCTAGAAGAGATCAACTTGCAGAACTTAGCCCTGAAGTGAGGGAGAGGTAGAAAGGGTGTTCCAGGAAGAGAAAGAGTATTTGAAAGGCTACGTAAGGCAGGAGAAAAACTGGTGGGAAATTCTAGAGTTGGGAGGTGGTGTGTGCATAGTATTAAAATGCTCCTTTTTAATTCTAATATATTCCCCTAGGGATTTTCCCTTCTTTATTCCACTGCCCCCCACCTCAGCTTTATTACAAATACTGCGCTAGATCACGCTGACATATACGAATTCTCCTTTCATTGTAGCTAGTTTCTTTTTAAGCTTTTAAGTGAGGGCAATTTACATTTAGAACATCCTTCATTTTTCATTGCTATACTTTATATAGTTAAGATTTTGAAAAATAAATGTTACCCAGAGTGTAGGTGAGAGGTGAGGAACACTGCTTGTTGAGTTCGACCAGTGCCTGCATAATCCAACTTCATCACTTTTTTTGTGGCATGTCCTTGGGCAAATCACTTAATAGTTTGACTATAAAGTAGCAATGGTACTTAATTATAAAATTATTGTGAATATTAAAAGAAGTAACGCATATTATAACTGCAGGTCGTACTTGGTAAGAGTTCAACAAATGTTAGCCTTTATTATTAATTTCCTAAGAACCAATCATCGGTACATCTTTCCATGCACTTCTATTTATGCTTTATTTTGAAGTCTATGTGTGTTTAATTCATGTTATACTTCAATTAGCTATAAATTTTTAAAAAATGTATTGGTTCAATCAGACTGCCATATGAAGAATTAAAGTTTATGAATTAAAAATCTGTCTTGTTAACCAATGATCTAGGTAAGATACAAATTTCTGATATCAATAATTAGTTTTAGAATGAAAGTGAAAACATGCTATTTGTAAATCTGTAACAAAATGTAAAATGTTTTCTAGATTTTCGTGTGTTTCTTATAATGTAAATGATCAGATAATCCAACCACTAATAAAAAAGAAGATGAAAACCCCATAAAGTCCCTATTTTAGGAGGAAAAAAGGACTTATGTCCTATTCATAAATTGCTCCATAGCAATATGAAAAAGCTGCCTCTTTTTTCAAATTATTATTTATTTTTTCCTGTGCCATATTACAGAGAAAACCTAACAGAAAATATTGGAGGTCAGCTCACTTTTTTTTTTCCAATCAATAAAAATTTTCCTACATCTCTAGCTATTCCTTGTGTAGGACGCTATGCTTATAGCAGGGTCTTCCTTCAATCTTCTATTCGGAGATAAATTAAAGTAAGGTTTACTCTTCTTGAGAAATGGAGTAGAAGTCAATAGGAGACAATATGGAAAACAACTGAAATTAGGATGAAATGTGATATTGTAAATGAGACGTAATTCAACCAAAATTTATTTAAGATGCTAAAAAATACTTGTTTGCAAAGTGTTCACTACATTTTGAATCATATGAGACTAATTTATTTTCTCTCATATCTCATCTGAGATTCTTTGGCAGTAGCAATATAGAGTGGAAAACTTGCTGTAGATGCATGATGATTTGCTGCACCTAAAGTCTTACACAGGAAGACAGGTTCTGTGGTTGGAATTTACTTTTAAAGAGGTCATTAATAGGTTAGTCTGCAATAAAACACTGACTAGCAACACTGGGTAGACAAAGCTTCAGATATTGGATTCAATAAGGAAAAATAATTTCTCCTATGAAATATCACAATTTTTAAAGTTTGGGGCAAAGATAAGTGGTAAAATAAGAAAGATACTTTAAAGAAGGAAACTGTAAATACTTAATCTCTATTATGCTTTGAATTTATAGAATTTGCTATTCAGGGTGCGTTCACATATAGTACATCATTTGGGTTTCACAACATTGCCAAGTATTATTATTTCCATTTTATAGCTGAGTTGAGAACCTTTTGGCTCAAGTAAGTTAAATGGCCTCTCAGGGAAGATAGCAAATAAATAAGTGATCTAGCTGGGCGTAGGTGTTGGCATTCCTCCTCCAAGTCCCACCATCCTGGACATTCATGTAACTTCTCTGACCCTCGATTCTTTTATCTACAAAATGGTGAAAGCAGTAACATCCATCACATAGGGTTTGATGATTAACTGGGCTAATGCCTCTGAAGAGCTTAACACAGTATCCGGCATATGATAAAGTTCAATATTTTGACTATTACTGAGACAGGTGGGAAGGGCTCCCTGGCAGAGCCTCCAACTGGCCTGAACATTGGGAGGAGTGCGCACTGGGTTGGAGCCATAAAAGTTTGTGCTGTTTGCAGCAGGGAGGAGCCTGGCCCTCCTCTTCCTGAGTAGAACCTGGGATTCAATCTGCCAGGCTGGAAGCACCCTAGCAGGGCCCCTGGCCTTGTGGAGAGTCCCTGTTTTCCCTCTTTTCCTTGAACCCTGCCCTCCTCATGCTTCAAATTGTCTGCAAGCCTAATTTCTTGTGGACACCCATCTTTAGCTGAACTAAGGAAAAGTTCCCGCAACGTTACTAATGTTATGATAGTTATTACTATATATACCATCTACTATCCTTATGAGAAGACATTGTGTATTTCCATTTCAAGGACTAAAATGTTAGGCATGAACTTACTGGGGAGAGAAATTGAGACCATAACCATGTTCAGTACTCATAAATAAATTTTAAAAAGCAGTGTTTTAAAGAAGTACTATATTTAAAAGTTCTAGCTTGCTGCATTTACATAAAACATAACTTTCTTGAATTTGAAATACTTTTTATTTTCCTTAATATAGAAATAATGTGTAGTATTATAGAATTTTTTAAAATCCACAAATGTATGAGAAGGAAAGTAAAAATGCATTATGATTCAGCAATCAGAGATTTTCATTTCCCCTTTTGCATTCCTATCCAAGGGGCATGGGAGGGTCTCTCTCACTGTATCCTTATCAGTCTTAACATTTAAATCACAAAATTACAGAGATAAAAAAGCTTTCTCTATTTTTAAAATGTTTTTGTTATATTGAATTTTTAATTTCTTATTTTCAGTGCCAATTACCTGATAATATTTATAAAATTTTCTATTAGAATACTTTTATTATAAGTGATACATATGTTTACATATTAAAGATATTAAACATTTGTTATATTGGATGTAAATATTTCCCTAGATTTTCAGCTTTTATTGCTTTAACAACTTTTTAAAAAAATACAGTCAGAAGAAAGTAAAAATCACTCCCACTAAAGAAATATAGAAAAAAAGAAATAGCCTCACCCCTCCATCAAACCCTTTTAATTCCACCCCCAAGAGATTATATTGTTATCAGCTTGGTGCATATCTTCATCTTTGCTCTTTTTTCTTGTATTAAAAAAAAGTAATGTCATTTAATTGTAGCTGTCTTTCTACTTTGATTGTTCCAAATGTACTTTATGATTATGTTAAGTTCTTAACAATATTCTAGTAATTTGCTGAAGATTGCATTAAATCTCTAAATTTAGAATTTATATTTTTACAATATTTGTTTCCATCCAGTAGCCCATCTAGTACATCTCTCTGTTTATTTAGTTTTTTGTTTTTTAAATGAAGCTTTATAGTTTTATTGGTAAAGTTCCCACAGATTTGTTAGGATTGTTTCTGGGTATGTTTTAGCTTTTTTCTTAATTGATAATAAATTATTTCCATCTTGTAAGCAGTCATCAGTGATACAACATCAAGTTACTGGTTTTTAGGCTATTTATATTGTATCTAAATTCTTGTAGCTAAAGTCTTTAAGAATAATGTCTGACAGTTTTCAGATAACTCTCTGGGGTATTCTATGCATATAAGCATGAGCTCTGCAAAGAATAATTTTTTCTTATTCCAAAATAATGGAGAGAATAAGTATGCTATATTTTGGTTTTAACGGTAATACTTTTAATGTGAATATTAAACTTTATCAAATTCATTGACAACATTTTTTAAACTTCTGGAACAAACCTATCTTATGTCATCAATACATTAATGTATTATTGGAAATACCTTGTTGGTATATATTTTATACTTTTGTATTCATCTATGTTAATAGTTGCATCATTGTACTACATTTTTTCATGCTGTTGATCAAATTGTTGATCAAATTTTGTAATCATCAGGAACAATAATAGATAACCATTACACTTTATATTATACAAACACTATATCAAGTTATTACTTGAATTTCAAAATAACATTAGTAAACTCTCTGGCCCTAAAGTTCTTGGATAAAAAATAAAATTTATTCCTGGTTTATTGAACTCTTTATGTTTTAAATGTCTTGAGTTAATTTTGATCATTTCTAGCTTTTGAGATATTTATTTCACTGATATTTGCAAGTTTATTAATATATAGTTGGTCATAGTAATTAAATACCTTACATAAGTTTTATTATTTCTTAATTCCATTTATAATTTTATTTATATAGATAAGCATGCTCATTTGAAGAAAGAATTTTTTCTATGAACCCGAATTCTGGTCTACACAATGCAAAGTGAGACATATGTTGGATAACAAATAAAATAGAACAATGTATACAATTTTTATTTATATTTGCTGATTTTGTTTATACTTTGTTCCTACTATGATTAAAGGTAAAGTAGAGGAAAAACTAGCAGATAAAAAAGACTTTGTGATAACCCCTCACTTAAGATGCATTTCTAAATGCCACCATAAGACTAGAGTCATTTAAAGAAGAAACAATTTCATCACCTTTAGCTATTATGTCAAAGAATTTTTTTTTTTTCATATGGAAAGTAAGAACTACTTTCTAGGAAGCTATTATGGGTCTGAATATTTCACACTTTCCTTAGGAAGTTATTCTAGGCTTTAAAAATGGAACATTAAAAAAAAGTTCCCTATGAGAGTTTTGTAAGTAAATTAGATATATACAGGAAAAACACACAGAGTTCAGGAATTTTTACATCATTTTCATTATGAGCAAAAAAAAAAAAAGCATTATAAACAATTTTTAAATCAGTTGTTTGCCATGCCATAAACTGAATATCTGAGTTAAAATGTTTAAATTCATTATTTAGGTATCATTTATATCCAGCAATTGACATGTAGAATATGATCCCTGTTCTTCTGGCTTTCCTTTGACCATGTGGATCACTCGCCTATCTCATTCATAAACTCATTCTTCTAGTCTTGTTAGTGAACTATACTTGGACCTTAGGGTTATATCCTTAGTATTCTGCTCTTTTATCTTCATTCTTTTCTCTTGACAATCCAACCGGCAATCTGAAAGCTGCAGCTAAAATCTGAATGTTAGCCTACATTTCCAGCCAGTACTTTTCCCCTTAGTTTACTTTTGCATTTCCAACTGCTTGCTGGATAGCTGCAGGAATCTCAGAGCAGCAGGTCTACAGTTCACTCAATTTCTTCTGACTCAAACTGGTTCCTTCCCCACCGTCTGTATTTCAATTATATATTCTCTCAGGCTCCTGAGATTGTACTCATTCATTTAGTCACAAAGTCCTGCCAAGTTAACCTCTACAATGTCTTCAATCCAGTCCTTCTCTTTGGTCTCTATCTTAGAACAAATTAAATTGCCTTTTTTTTTTTTTTCTTTTCTTGAGACGGAGTCTAGCTCTGTTGCCCAGGCTGGAGTGCAGTGGCGCAATCTAGGCTCACTGCAAGCTCCGCCTCCCGGGTTCATGCCATTCTCCTGCCTCAGCCTCCCGAGTAGCTGGGACTACAGGCGCCCGCCACCAGGCCCAGCTAATTTTTTGTATTTTTAGTAGAGACGGGGTTTCACCGTGTTAGCCAGGATGGTCTCGATCTCCTGACCTCCTGATCTGTCTGCCTCGGCCTACCAAAGTGCTGGGATTACAGGCGTGAGCCACCACGCCCGGCCAAACTGCTTATTTTCTTATCTCCAATATCCAAAATACTTTGTCAACAATTGCTATATTAATCTACCCAAAGTTTACTGCTGACACATCACTTCCCTGCTTAAAGGAGTGCAAGGATTTTCTCCTGATTATGAAATAGTCTGATGTTTCATATTCTGCTTAACTCTAGTTCCTGTTTTATTTGTAGACTCATTTTCCATTACTCTTCCTTATATGTAACAATTAAACTGGACTCAATTCTGTTCTTCAAAATACTCTAGAATGGTTACTTTGTTAGTGCTGGACACGTTGCTAAGCCCTGTACATGCATCATACCAAGAAGTACTCATCACACATGGGAAGCTGGGCATCATCATTATTTTTGCATTAAAAATGAGAAGGCTGAAGCTCGAAAAAATAGATAATGTGGTCAACGCTAAACAAACAGGAGGTGGAAGAGCTAGAATTTGAAGCCAAGCCATTTGATCCCAATAGCCACCTATGTTCAACCATTGTGCTCTATGTGTTTTGAATTGTATTTTGGCTCTAGCTGTTCTTTCTGTCTTGAATATCTCCTTGATCCTGCACAGTATGATCTGTGTCTACCTCTCTAATCTGACCTCATTCTGTCCCACCGCCGTTTTGTTCTAGTTATTGTTTCTTGAACTCATGACCAATATTGTTTCAATCTCGGAATCTCTAATAAATCTATTTCCTTTTTCTGAAATGCTCTATTTGAGATTGGCTTTTAATATTTATTCAGATACTGTGTTTCCAGAAAGCCCTACCTCACAAAAAGGCCCCATTCTCTCCTCTTTCAAACAACTTTCAAGTTTGCTTGCAACTTACTCTTTCAAGCAACTTGCTATTATCCTATCTTATTATTGTAATAGAATTTATCAGTATCTGAACTTACCTAATTTATCTAGTATTCGTTTACCAGAAGCCTTTAGAGTAGGGTTTACTTAGTGCTGTTCAATTGATCTGTCTAGCCCTTGGACAAGTTCATAGTATGATGCTAAATTAATATGTGTGTAAGGAATAAAGAGATCCTTGCCTATTAATAGCCTACTAATACTTCAGGATCCAAATTAAAGCCATTATCCTGATGAAACATCAGGACTTATGCATCTCCCCATTATTTCCTAATCATAATTTTTATGGTCACTTTTTTCTCTAAATTGCCTTAGGATTTTGTAGCGATTAGGGAACATGCTATATATGTATTGTATATATATATCATGTACTGTGTTTTTAAAAATCCCTCTCCCTCCTAATTTGTAAGTTCCCTAAAGAGAGGTATGATCTTTTATTCAGTTTTGTAAGCAACAGAAATCCTTATTTATATACTTTCTACAGTTTTCACTAAATCTCTATTAAATTTGAAAAAAGAACTCTGTATTTTGAAGGACACATTGAGATGAGTGTTGTCTGATAGAGTAGACCAAATTACAAAAAAAAAAAAATTGACTCCATTGAATGATGTCAACATAATTTTTTTATAATAACATATCATATAACATTGCAATGTATTGCAAGAAAAACACTATTTTCCAGTGACAACAGCATATAATAATACTGTAAAACAATCCCTGTGCAGCTATTTTTAGTATAATTTTACTATTTGTCACTGTGGGAGCATTCAATTTTTCTATATTTCCTGCCTTATGTTCTTACAGTATGCATGTGGAATATCTATCAAGTGAAATTTACAGACCCAAGGGTAAGGTTGCACTGCTGGTGTGGGTAAGTACATATTCTTAAGAGAGCCCCATCCTCTGGCATTATCTGTTGAAGCTCTTATGGCTCATTTTCACACATATGAAAAATGCCTGCTCAGAGTAAATCTGTTCAAAATATGGTTAATTATCACAGATACAGTTTAACCAGGGAAGTTGAGTTGGACACTAAGAGGTCACATCATTCTTATTTCCCTAAAAATATTAGAAGCCACTATGAATCTAATATTATAACTACTTAAAATATTTTTATTTTATGGAATAAATATTATGCTATATTATTCAATTAAAACTTTTTGAATACCCTTTAAATAATTTCATATTTACTTACATAAAAGAATATACCTACTATCTGCCAGGTCAGTTTTTTAAAAAAAATTTTTAGTAAGGAAACTTTCACTCCTCATTCCATATCATAAAGTAAAAGATGAATGGATACAATTGAAAAAAACATTTAACATGTTAAATGAAAAAAATATCTTTTAGGACTTTGCTTATTCTGGAATTTTACTGGTTCACTATTTTCATTCCTCTTTCACTTTTATTTATTTTAAGTTGTCTATGCAAAGCCCAAAGATAAGGAAAATTTATTTTAAAAGTGGTAATGTCTAATTAAAGGATTAGGGATGATTTTTATATTATTTTCTTATTTGAATATTCATGTCTTCACTTTTTTGAATGAGCACACATTTTAAATGTAATAGGTAATAAAAAATTGCCACGATAAGTAAAACTTATCTGTGTTTAGGGAAAGCCACAGTCAATACTGCTTAAAGGCATTAGCTTGGGAATCATTGCTAATAATGAAATCCAATTTGAATACTTACTTGACCTGGGGTAAATGGCTCTGTGTACCTCAGTTTCTGTATCTGTAAAATGGCAATAATAATATTTACCTTATAGTGTTGTGAGGATGAAATGCTACAATGAATGTAAAGCATTTAAGAAAATACATGACAAATGCTCATATTCAAATTATTTCTCAGTGGAGAAAAAAGTTGGGTCCATTTTATGAAATTCTATTACCTAAAATCAGGATATTATCTCAGAGAACAAATGACCACCTACTTAAAATTTGTTGATTCAGAAATGGCTCATCCTTACTACTGCAAACCTCAATCTCATTTTATCTATACCACAAATATCAATGACAGCCAATGAGGTATTTCGAATATGTTTATACAAACAGTTGCACACGCAGTATTTGCTGAGTATTTACTTTGTACCAGGCACTGTGCTAAGTGCTGTGACACTGGAGATACAGTGGTAACAAGACAGTTGAGATGTGTGCTGTCCTGGTGCTCACATTCCACTACAGAAAGAAAGAAAACACACAAGTGAACCATACAGCATTTTAGTTATTGAAGTGCTAAGGAGGAAACACAGAGAGAAGGCTAAAGCGTAGAGTGGCTGCATCTTAGAAGCAGCACTGTTTTGGATGGGGCCCTTAGGAATGACCTTGCTGAAAAGGAACAACAGAAGTCTAGGGGAAGCTTTCCAGGGGTGGAAGTATTGAGTGTCATGTCTTTGTCAAAGTTAAAAAGTTGGTATGTACCAGGAACAGCAAGAAGCCTGTGCAGCTGTAGGAAGGACAGAGAGAGAGAGAGAGAGAAAGAGAGAGAGAGAGAAGGAAAGAGAGGGAGAGGGGACATATGTGTAGGTATATTTCTATGCACAGAAATCAATATTATAAAGCATTTTTTGCAGAATTTGGATTTTATTTATAATGTGAATGATACCCACAGGAGGAGTTCAATAAGCAGGGATATATTATGATCAAAGACCAATTAGGAGGCGATAAATGCAAGGTTTCTAAAAAAGATGTCTATTAAAGCATCTTTAGGAGTACAACCCTTATGAATAGGTAATTTTAAGATTTTGAGAATGTGATCTGTCTTGAACGCAATAACAAATGAAAAATACTATTTAATATCTTTTATTTTATTAATTAATTTATTTCAATTTTACTTATTATTTGAGGAAGTGTTTCACTCTGTCACCTAGGCTGGAATGCAGTGGCATGATCATAGCTCATTGCAGCCTCGACCTGTCAGGCTCAAGTGATCCTCTGGCCTCAGCCCTCGAGTAGCTGGGACTACAGGCATGCATCACCATGCCTGGCTAATTTTTTTACTTTTTGTAGAGATGGGGTTTTGCCATGTTGCCCAGGCTCTTCTCAAGTGGTTTCTACACCTCAACTTTGCAAAGTGCTAAGATTACATGTATAAGCCACCACACCAAGCTTATTTATTGAGGAAATTTATATATAACACAAACTTGACTATTTTAACCATTTTAAGTGGACAGTTCTTTGCCATTAACTACATTCACATTGTACAACCAACACCACTCTCCATCTTCAGAACTTTTCACCTTCTCTAAAACTTTGTACCTTGTATACTCTGACTCTCCATTCTTCCCTTCCTTCAGCACTCTACTTTCTGTCTCTATGAATTTGACAACTCTAGTCACTTCATATAAGTGAAATCATACAATATTTGTTCTTTTGTGACTGGATTATTTCACTTAGCATAATGTCTCCAAGGTTCATCCATTTTGTAACATGTGTCAGAAATTTGTTCCTTTTTAAGTCTGAAAAATATTCCATTGTACGGTTATACCACATTTTGTTTATTCACTTATCCACTGATAAGTGGTACTTGTGAATAGTGCTATGAATTATTTGGCTTGTGAATGATGCTTGTGAATAGTGGTACTATGAACGCCAGTGTGCAAATATCTGTTCTTACCTTACATTTTAAGGTACAGTTTTTCTGAATTCTAACAAAATAAATTCTGATCAGAATAATAAAACAAATGTAAAATAAAATGTATTGATAAATAATCTTATTTATTTCATTATGTATATAATATTGGAGAACAAAATAAGATTGGAATGTTTTCCATTGCAGTGAGGTAGAAATAACATACTTATTTTAAAGCCACAATGTGGTTTGCATTTTTTTCTTCACAGAGCACCTAAACATAATATAAAAATATAGAATTTACATATAAGGATTAAACCATTCTTCAAAGTTTTTAAAAAACAGTTATTATACATTTATGTGTTCTAAAGGTAGCTAAGTAATAAGTATAATTAAAAATCTAAATCAATTCCTATATTTACGAAACAGGTCAACTAAGACATATGTAATCAGCCTGTAAAATGACTCATTTATTGTTTTCTGACTATAAGAGCAATACATGATCATTCATTCTCTTATTATAGGGAATTTGGAAAATAGAGAAAACACAGTAAATTACTGCCACCCCATCATCTGATAATAAGTATTTTGGTTTATACCTTTTTAGTCTTTTTTTTCTATGTATATTTTCACTGCAAAACAGTTGTGTCTATATTGTTTTGTAAGATCCTTTCTCTCCTCCTCCTCCTTTCCTTCTTTTCCTTCCTCTCCTCTCTCCTCCTTACCTTGGTTCCTCTTGTTCAACTAATAATGTGTTAAAAGCATTTCCTATTATTATGACTTCTTAGCAGACCAGTTTTCACTGAAAAACCTTTAAGATATAGTATGACCTGGTGGTTAAGACGAGGTTTGGGAGCTAGATTGCATGAGTCCAAAGTTGGCTCTGCCACTTGCTAGGTGTGTGACCTCAGGCAATTTATTCAAATTAGTTACCTCTTTTCCTCATCATAAAATGGGCGATAAACATAATACTTCGTACAGTTGCTGTGAGTACTCAACAAAATAATATTAACGAACTCCTCCTTAAAACAATACCTCCAAAGAAGCACTCCAAATGTTCGTTATTATTATTTAACATACATCTATTTTTGAATATGCTTATATATAACGTATGAATAATATATTACTCTATTACTTTAAAGTTCAAAGAACATGTACAATTATTTAATCAAGTGTTAAATAATTTGACAAATCTTCAGAAATTTCTATGGCAAAATATGTTTACTGTGATTCTAAAGCTTTAGCATGCCTACGATTACCTGGAATGTTGAATGGAAATGCTTCCCCTGGGATTCTAATTTAGAGGATCCGGATTAGGAGTACAGAGTATTAGTGCTGTGCTTTGAAAAATGTGAACTAGATTAATCTCCAATTGAATCCAGTAAGCCAGTCACTGTCATAATTAGGAATTAGTGTCTATGCTATTTTTATAAAATCACACAGTACATTACTGACAATTTATTTCAAAGTATACCAGTGTTTGTTTTTAACACAGACACAGAAGTTAAAAAAAAAACTCATTCTTTTAAAGATATTTATCAATATATTCTTCACATTGTTAGAAATGACAAGCTATTTAAGGATTAAAAACCCTACTTTGTATTTACAGATAGACTACTTTAACCATCTGAGAAGTTGTGATTCCTCCAATATTTCTGATTTTTGAGTAATTGTTCACTGTTCTACCTCAAGAGTACATTTCTATCAAACCAGATGCCTTACAACTATGTGGTTTTAAATTATTAATTTTTATTTCTCTCTAAAGGATAACATTAACCAGGCATATGTTTATTCCAAATTGCATTGTTTTAAAACTCTCAGTGGCAATGAATAAATAATGTTTAGACAAAACGTTATTGTGCTAAAGCTTCTCTTTTATGTGGAAAATGGATTTTTTGAATTAATACATTTCTCAATGTATTAGTTGAGGGAGTAATTAATTGTAGGGAGTATTTAGTGACATCAGGGGAATTAACAGTTTTCTCAGGATCAGGACTGTAAGCCAAGTAGCAAAATTCACCTTCTGGCTGCATTGCCTTTATTTAGTTAAAGTTTATATAGGTTTGTCATTGCCAAGATTGAACAGAGTTACTAAGGATAGCACTAAGGTAACCTATTTATCTTTTCTTTTATTTCCTCCTTTCCTGTGCTTACAATGTAGAAAATTACCATTGGCTGCATTTTTTGGAATTATTTCCCAATTTGCCCTTGAGTGGCAGCAGTAAAGCTCTAAAGGATAAAAAGTCGATACTCATACATTGGACCAGTTGAAGTTGCTCTGCTACCAATCTGTGTAGTGTGCTGTTCACAGGTTCTAAAATGGCACGTGGAGAGGCAAAAATTTTCAGATCATGTTATGCTTAGATCAGATCTTTCTTAGGAGCTGCTTATTCACAAAGAGATTCAGTTCCTCAAAGGTCCTGATAGGAGCCTCTGCTAACACGTGGTTTTCTCCTGTTGTACCACAGCAGGGTACAACATGTTTATGATTGGACTGGGGCCAAGAGCCCAAGGATGGAAACATCGTACTAAGTCACCACTAACCAGAACATTAAATGTTTTTTTCTTAGTGAATAACTGGACACTGTAAAATAACTGTTTTGAGAACTACTTTAATATATTTAATTGAAACCACATCTTTATAACTTGAAATTCTAGTATACCCTTTGAGATGAGGTAACATAAATAATATTAACTGACATAGACAAATTTAGATCTAGCCAATATAAATAGTTTCTGTTGCTGGGTGTTTCATACTTATTGGGCTCTTGTTGCTAATACTTTGAGATTTTTCATTTCTAGTTTTATTATTTACATACAAAAAATTTTGTTAGTAGATGATGAATTCTGGAATAAAGAGGTTCAAGGTAACTTAGAATTATTAGGGGCCACTTTCTCCCCAGCTCATTTGGAGATGACAGTGTCGTGGAAGAAGTGATGGCTTTAGTGTCAGAAAGACTTACTTTGGGCAAGTTGTTGAGCCTTTTGCAGAGGGAGATTCGTGTATAAAAGTGGATGTTAACATCTCATTCATATAAATATTGAAAAATAAAATGAAATGAAGAATGTGAAACTTCTATGGTTTTGAACAGCATAGAAACTCATTAAATGGTGGCTGAGATAAAACATAAGCCCAGAGAGACTAGGAGAAAACAAAATAGAAAACATTTCAGGAGAACAAAACAAGTTTTTAAAAGACCATGCAATGTCTGGTAGATTTCAGGTAAATGTGTATGTGTGAGTAATATGCATGCTCACATGCACACACCCGAAATGGGCTCTTGTTTCACACTAAAGAAGGCGAAGAAACTAAGCTTTTCCCTAGTTAGGAACAAGCAGTGTTGCTTTGGGAGTCCTGGCTTTCCATCTCTAAGCAGGATACTTGAAAGTTTAAATTTTCTATCATTATTAAATATAAATGTACAGTTGTTATAGTTTTACTACTATTCCTTGGAGGAGAAGACAAATAGGTCATTTTCCAGAGGTCAATAGGACTGCTTATTTCTTGAATAAAGCTGGGTAAGGCCTCATTTGACAAAATCTTAGCTTTAGTTTGTGAGCGTGTTGGTTTTTCTAGAGGGACTTTCAAAGATTACACAGTATTTTATAGTGATACCAGCTGCTATAGGGAGTCATAAGAAAAGGGAAACATGTGTTTCTATAGGCCCTCCAAAAACTGCTTTCTAATACCTCAGAGGTTTAATCTCTTGTGGATAGATGATATCAATGACCTCTGGCTAACAGGTCATTCTGGCAGTCTCATGCATCTTAGAGGATGACAATATATTATTTTAATTATTTAAACCAAGGAATATATGCTTATGTACCGGATGTATGGCTGATAGCCCTCAGACTAGTTAAGACGGACTAGGCCTATTCAGGGTCTTGTGGACTTTGACTACTGCAGTAAGGGAATATACCTGTATTCTTTGGACAGTCTCAAATGTTGCTTTTGCTTCATCCCATGTCCCTTTTCACTCTACCTCTTCTACTTTTAGTAATTACATCCACATCTGTGGCTTCAGCCTTCCTGCTTTTGTAAAGATTCCCAAGTATGTAAGTAGCTGAAATCGAAGCCCCCTTACATGCAACACTTCCAAAATCAGGTATATTATCTTCTCTGCCCTGATTCAACCTCAGTCAATAATGTCTCTTCCGTACTTGATTGTGACTAATGGCATCTAGGAATTATCATTTACTTCTTCTTCTTGCTATTGTGCCCTTCTGTACTTGTCATCAACTGATGTGGATTCTGATTCCTAAAAATCACTTCAATCTTTCCCAGCCTCTTAATCTCTCTGACTCTGCTTTTGTCCCACCTCACTGTGAATATGGCAATGGACTTTTATCTCAACTGGGTACTAAATTTAATTCGACTCCCATATTGCTTTCAATGTGAAGATGTCATGCCCCTGCTCAAACTCCTTTAATAGCTGCCCCACCAGTATCTACCCTGATCTTTCATGATTCTTCCTTCCAATCACACCTAGTTTCTTTCCTCCAAATGGGTCATATTGTTGCATTCCTCTGTTCCTTTTAACATACTGCTTATTTCACCTAAAATGCCTCCTTTCAAGGGGAAACTCTGTCTCATCCTTCAAGGTTCAACTAAACAACATCTCTGCAGTGTAATATTCCTCAGCTGCCCCAGGAAGTGTTAAGAAACGTATCTTCTGGACTACATCTGTTAAAGCATTAATCACACTTAGCAAAGTGTCTCTCAGGAGATCAAAAGATCCCTGCTAGCTGGTATATTGTTCCACCTGACCAATGCAGGAAACCAAAATACATCACCTCAGAGTGTACCTCTTTGGCATATTTTGAGACGGCTATTCAGAGGGGCTGCAGACACAAGCATAGCTCTGAAAAATCTATCCTTTTGTAAAAGAAATTTACATCTATCTATATTAATAAAGCAAACAAAAGTTGCAGGGAGAGGCTTTTTCTGAGGTCCCTTTTTTCTAAACCTAGGAAAGATTAAATCACAGGAAAAGGGAATTAAAGAAAGGTCTGACACTTTTAAAGGTCTGACAGAGAAATTATCACTACAGGTTATGATCTATTCTTTCTGTGGGCTATTGCCTGAGAGACTTTATCTGTACAATGAAACAACAGCCTTTGTTCACAGTGCATTTCTTCCCCTCATCCTCCCATAACCTGCCACCACAGCCCTCAGGACCGCCAAGACTCTATCCTTCCTGTACAATATGAAAACGTCAGCCATCAGGCTCTTTTTTGAGTCTCATATTTTGTGTGACTCTCATGCTCATGTGCATATAATAAATTTGTATGTGTTTTTACCCTGTTAATCTGTCTCTTGTCAGTTGGTTTTATAGACACAAATTATTGAATCTTCAGAAGGAAGAGGGAGGAAAGTTGCCTTTGTCCCTAACAGTTTTGGTGAGCCCAGGCAGGAGAACAAGTCACTCTGCTCAGTTTAGAGGCTGTAAATGGGACCCTGGGACAACTAACAAAAAAGCCAGCCAAGAAAGGTAAGAATTTTTACCAAGGTCAGTATTCCCAGATCTCTGCCTTTAGAGCCCAGTTGAGTAAGAGTGGCAAGAGTCACTCCTTGTCTCTTTTTCCTTCAAATTTGGAGTTGCTGGTGAAAACAGGTCTATAAATGAAGTCTTTTATTGATTTGAATCACTTTTGTAATAAATAAATTGGTTATATGTAGAAAAACTCTCATCTTAACTATTGCTATCTATGAAAAGATCAAATTAAAAAAAAGAAGAGACACACGTAAATATAACTGTTACCCTTAAAGACTCCTTTGGCAATATTAAAATAATAAAAATCAGTTTTAGAACAAAGTTAAAATCCTTTTAAATGAGAAAAGTTTTTGGATCTCTGGGCTCCAAAGTTTAAAACTTCCCTTCTCTGAATCCACCTCCATTTTTTTCAGTACATTTCTTTAGCTCAGGAGATAAATACTTGTAAGAATTAGTTTATAAGAATTTATTTGAATTATTTGTTTTGAATTTGTATAACTCTTGACTTTTGGGGTACTCGTTTGATAATGATCCTCTTCCCTCTCATGAATGGCTTTTGTTTTCCTGTTTGTCTTACCAACTGTTGTCTTTTTTAAACATTTTGTCTACTGAGGGCACACAGGTTATTAGGCCCTCATGTATGGGTGGCCTACCAAAAGGTTGAGAGACCCACAAATATGGCTGGACAGAAATATGGGTTGTACCCCATTTTTGGCAAGCAAAGCTTTTCTTTCTTTTTGACTGCCTTTCTTTTGGGAGTGGCTTTGGATTTTCAGCAGCCTGTATCTTTTTGCTCTAACTTTAGACACTTGGTTAAAGCCATTAAAAGGCTTATTAATTTAGGTCATGAGAATTATTTTTGCTGTTGAGTTTCTTGTAGATATACCTTTGTTTTAGGGCTGTGGTTCATACTCAGAGCATAATAAGAATTTCTTTGCCTTCTCTCCTAAGCTAAAATGGAACTATATACTCAGGGAAAAAAAGCTATTTAAAAATTTAAAACAAATGAAAAATCTTAAAGGTCTTTTCTATTAATATTGATAAAGGGTTTTGACCATTGTAAACAGGTAGTGTTAACTTGGTTAATACTTCATAAATTGGTGAGTTTTATATTATTGTATCTGTCTAAAGTTTTACAATAAAAACTATAATATTTTTGTTTGTGTCCTATCTGTATGTTTGTATATGTTTATACATGTGTGCATGTATGGTGCAAGTTGTATCTACATGGGATAAAATTTCTTGGAAGAATTTCAAATTGGCTTAAAGAAAAATTTGTTCTTATGAATTAAATACTTTTAAAACTGCTAGAAATATGGTAACAAACTCAAAGGCTTTTCAAGTTCATGTGACTTGGGTAAATCTTTCACAAATAGGACTAGCTTAATGCTGTTGGTTTTAAAGTAATTAAATAGATGTAAGTGAGATAAAACTTTATAAATTTAATTTTTAACAATAATTATGATTTATAATATATACTTTCAAAGGTTTCTCAAATCTTTCAGGTAACTACACCCTTAAAGTATTGCTAAACTAAATTAGATAATGAATATTCTTTAAATAATTAGATCATTTCCAAATAAGATATAATACTGGAACATTAATTGTTAATCATACATTTTAGCTTATTTACTTTTAACTTCTTGTTACAAGAGAACTAAATATATTTGGTTTGGCTGGTAAATATGTCCTGATCCACATTGTAAAATTACTTTATGAGAAAGCTTTTGTTTCTAGAAATTATGAAATCTATTGATAACATGTTGGTACAATGCCAGTTCAAGATTGTTTACTTCCTAGATTTTCACTGGAAAATAAGATTACTAAGAATTGAAATTCTAATTAATATATGTAATTAAAACTACTAGAAATAAGATAAAAAATTCTGTATGTAAGTGTAGAAGGAAACTAGGATGTGTTTTTGGTGAGGAAAGTTATAAGGAAGGCATAAGGATTTTTTGTTGTTGAAGAAAAATAATTATTCTAGTTTAAAGGTTGTTTCAGAATGAAGAAATGATACATAAAAAGCTGAATGACAGTTCAAGAGAGTTGGGTAAAGAGAGTGAGAGAAAATATTGTAAGGTTAAACTGACTAAAGTTGAATAAAATTATTATAAAGGTTTCAGAAATGAGCTTTAATAGAAAAAGTGCACTGGTAAAAAACTAAACTTTGGTCTTCTCTTTTAAAAACAAGAGTATTGATAGATTTTGCATTTTATCAAAATAATTTCCTATGCTTTATACTGTCTTTATTAGGTCTTTGATTACTTAGAAAAACTGGGTTAAAGAATTAAACTGTTTCTATAATTATGTAACTTCCTGCATTTTATTTTGAAGTCTTTAAATTGCCATTCTGGTTAAATGAATTTAACAGTAACCTGTGATCTTATTTTTGATCGAATGCTTCGAACCTTTATTTTTTAACAACCTTCTCCAAATCAAAATTAAGTCTTTTTGACCTCAGACTAACTTTTGGGCATTCCAGAAGGACCCCTAGCAGTACAAAAGAGAGATATTAAACAAGTTAGGCCTATTTAATACGCTAAGTTATATGGGAAGCACTCCAAATAGCAAGTGATGTTTAACCTTCTTTGAGTTACAATTTTATACATGTGTTATTCACATGTATGTTTAACCTTCTTTGAGTTATAATTTTATAGATATGTTATTCACATGTATTCCAAAATTGTATGAAATTTCTAGAAATTTATATCCTAGTGTACATTATCAGTAATAATTATGGTTATTATGTTAAAGCGTTGTGTGCCACAACACATTTCCTTGTCAATGACTTGTTATGAATTCTCATTAGGTTTTTAACCATGGCTATTGTAAGTTTTTGTCATTGACAGACAGTGGTTTTGCTTCTTCTCTAAAAGCATCTTGCAGTCAGTTATAGCCCCAAATTGCTTTTCTTCAATGAAATTTATAGAAAAGACTCTCACAAGTACCATTGAATATAGTTTTCTGATGATTTTGAGATCGTAGTATTTGACTGGGTAAGAATTCCGAACTTCAGTGAAAAAACTGAACTCAAAAAACTACTAACCCAACATCAAGCAGAATAAGAATTATTACATGGGACTAAAGCAATGAAAGATTATGATTTTATGACTTTTTTGTTTGGCACATGGCTTATTCTTTCATGTTTCATTTTCCACATTAATTTTTTTTTTCTTTCAGCTATCTACAGTTTACGGGAATATGGGAAGGTGTACTTTTGTGTGCAGAATTGAAATTTTTTTTTCTCCCTACCTGATCCCTCCAGAGTTTGGAGACTATTTGTGAGTATTCTTATTTCAATAACAATATAGTTATTTGCTTACATTTAAGAAGAATCTATTCTCTTTCTAATAGGACACAATTGGAAACATTGGCCATATTACCAAGGCTTTGCCTGACATGTCCTATTCTGAGATATGACCAGATTGCTCTAAGGAATTAAAGTTGACTTTATAAAGCCAATTAAAACCCCTTGGAAAATCTATCTTGATATCTTGGATAAATAATTAACATGGTTGATTTACAGGTGAGAAAAAATGTCACTTCCTGAGAGGCCCTGGAACCTGAATATATTTTTGGGAACCTTGAGAAGAGAAGTATTCACTCAAGTTTAAAGGTATTACAGGCACAATTTGAGGGTGACTCCTCCTTGGATTGGCTTCCCAGCCTCAAGAGGCTTTCAAAAGTTTAATCTGAGATTCCTTGTGAAAAGTTCCAGCAAAGCAAAATTGAAAATGAGCTTATATGATTAATCATCATTTTGCTGTACTTCTGTAAATTATTAGGCAAAGTATAACAAGCCTAAAACTTATTTTGCAAACAAATTAGTTTTATTGTGATTAACTTTGGTAAAAAGGGGGGAACTCGAGAGAGAAAAATTATGACTTAAAAGAAAACTACAGTGTATCTGTTATTAGATTCTAGCTCTGTTCATTTTTTTGAGATTTTATTATTTACCTACAATTTAGACTGGATTCTGAAATTGTTAGTTTCCTCTAATGTCTGACTGCAACTCTCCAAAATAACATTTTCACTTTTTTCTCCAATTTTTTTCTGACTTGGAATCACTGAAATTAAATGTGCCTTTTTCTTGAAGCCCTGAAAGCTGAAGCTGGTTGACTCCAGATAAATCACAATAACAACTTAAAATCTGTCAGATTGTCACTGTCTATCCACACTTCAACTGAAGATGTTTTGAGGCCAAATCTAGAAATCTTTTCAACTGCTAGACTCAGAACTAGTTTATATGCTGCTTCAATTATTAACTTTTGTCTTTCTTTTGTTTCTTTAGAGAAGCCTCATATTAAAAACTTGTTTGCTTACACCATGTAGAGACTTAACTGTGGGAACCCTGCAACACCACTTCCTAAAATGAGACATTTTTCTACTTATTCCAATATATGTTTTTCTTCCCTTTGCTAATGTCTTATCTCAAAATGTCTAAAGCAAATTTTCCACAGTTATCAATCCTATTTTAATATGTAAAACTTTCTGAAAATAAATTTCAAAGAGGGGACTGTGGGAAACCAAAATATGCCATCCAAAGCGTGCCTCTTTGGCATATTTTGAGATGGCTATTCAGAGGGTCTGCAGACACAAAGCATGGCTCTGAAAATTTATCCTTTTGTAAAATAAATTTACATGTATATATTAATAAAGCAAACAAGGGATGCAGGCAGACGGTTTCTCTGAGGTCCTTTTATTTGAATCTAGGAAAGATTAACTCACAGGAAAAGAAGACTAAAGACAGGTTTGACACTTTTAAAGGTCTGACAGAGAAACTATTACCACAGGTTACCATCTACTCTTTTTGAGGGCTATTACCTGATAGACCTTCTCTGCACAATGAAACAACAGCCTTTGTTCACAGTGCATTCTTCCCCTTACCCTTCCATAACCTGTCACCACAGCCTCCAGGAGCTTCAGGCCTCTTTTTCTTTCTGTATCATATAAAAACCTTAGGCCCTTCTTTGAGTCCTGTATTTTGTGTAGCTCCCTGTGCACGTGCATGTAATAAATTTGTATGCTTTTTCCTGTGAATCTGTCTGTTTGGTTTATAGGCTCAAATTATCTAACCTTCAGAAGGGGTAAGAAAAATTCCCTTCACTCCTAAACCAACTTATTATCTAGAAAATTATGATGTACATGAACCCCAGCACTGCTTATGGGTCTCTGATGGGGCGAATTCTTCAGGAATGAGGGAGTATTGGCTGGATGGGCAAAACAGGAAAGTGTGAGAGGTGTTTTGAGATACCATAATAATTGAGGGAAGATACGAAAGAGCAAGAAACCAAATGGAGGCAGATATATTGGAGTGATGTAGTTTTGGCTGTTAAGTGGGACTGGAGAAAAAAGTTTGCTATCCTACACCTTCAACACCTTCAGTTTGATTTATTGTATCAAAATTTGAACAGGCTGTACCAACTTACAATGAGATCTATTCTCCACATCTTAAAAACTTTTTAATGGGATAGTTTTACTACAATAAAAATAAATTGTGTTTTCAAGTAGAAAAGATCATTTGTTCTATCTTCAAAACATATTACTGACTAAAAGCAAGCAGGAGGTATAGTAAATAAGCTCTTATTGAAAAGACAAGTCTCAGGAAAAAGTAGACATAGTTTTAGGCTATTTTTCCATCTCACTAGGGTGTTAGCCCACACAAAACAAGCTACAGAGATTATTTTCACCCTCACGTTGTTACATAGTTGTTGTTGGAATAATCACATGGGGAGCAATCAATGCCACAAAAATGTTTCAATACAGATGTGTTTTTCCTCTGAGTTTTGAGTGAATTAGGGTACAGATAAATGAACCTGCACAGGGGAGGAGAAACTACTACAGTGTATTTTCTTCAAATAGACCAGGGTTCAATTTGATTTGGAGTTTAGCAAATTAAACGCAAGAGATAAAGAAACATTGAGTGTTTGCTCTCAATTCTGGTATGAGACAAAATGAGGTAGTAGCAGGATACTGAAAATTATTTTTGGGATATGTGAGGTGAGTGTTACCCCTTGTTATCATATTAAGACAGATATAGGGCCTTGGATCTGGGGTCTCAGCAAACTTGAATCCTTTGCATAAGGGAATAGTTTGAATTTGAACCAATGGAGCCTGTTATTTCAATTTGTGTCCTTGTTTGGGCACAAGCCTTTTTTTTTTTCTTTTCTTTTTTTTTTTTTCAGTTGACTTCCACAAGTGATTACTGAGTGGCAAGCATGTACCAGGTACCATGCTAGGCAGAGGCAGTAAAATGATGAATAAAACACAGCAGAATTTACAGTTTGGTGGGATAGCAAAACACAGAAATAGATAACTCAGTATAATGTGGTGAATGCTAAGAGACTTAGCTCAAATCAGCTTGTTTTGAAAATTTTAACTGTTGCCAAGCTACTAGTAAATGAGTTCAAATTGTCCACTTTAGCCTTCTAAACCCTGATTGTTTCTGTGCAGTTTTAATTCTCATTACTATACTGTGTGATCTTTCTGATTCAGATCCAAACAGATTTCTCTTTTATGAGCCTTATTGTCTCCCATTTCTCACCTTGGATCTTGAAGCCATAGTAACATCTTTCTCACATTCTTTTCTCTTTTATCTCTATCCATCTTTCCTAACCCAGGTTAATTCCTTGGTCTTTTGCAATACCATATTATATTCACTGATTTATTATTAACATGTCTAAAATGGAAATTTTCATTCTTGAAGCCAGTTTTCTTCCTCATAAATCTTCTCCCATCTCAAGAAATGGAAGCTTCTATTTTTCTGCTTAGGCCAAAATTCTGGAACCTCTCTTTGTTGAATGCCACATATCTACTCCATTAGTGAATTCTGCCTAGTAAACCTCCAAAATATATCCAGATTTTGACCACTTCTCTCTGCCCCCTCACACACACACACATACACACACACACACACACACACACACACACACACACACACAGGCCCAAAGCCACTGTGATCTGAATAACCTTCTGATTCTTCTGTTCTCTCCATGTTTGCGCTCCTCCAATCTATTCAGAGTGCATAAGTAATTCTTTTAAAACCTAAGTTAGATCAGGTTCCTTCTTGGCTTAAAATTTTGAAGTCTCACCATGGCTTATAAATCCCTCTGTAATCTGTGCCTTTCCCTCCTCCAGCAAGTCTTTCAACTTCGTTTCTTTTTATTTACTCCCTTCCTCAGCCACTCCGCTCTGGCCACACGGTTTAAACTGCATGAAAGCCAGCCTTTGCTCTGCTGACGTTCAGTGCCTAAAACAGTGCGTGGCATGTCTCTACTAATTATTATTACTAGTATCGTTTTGTATGCCTGTTTCCTGTTAACCTGTCTATTGTCAGTTTGTTTTACAGACTCAAATTATTGAACCTTCCGAAGGGGGTAAGGAAGATTCCCTTCACCCCTAAACCAACTTCTTGTTATCTAGAAAATTACTAGTAATAATAACTGGCTAGTAACTAGCCAGTTACTAATAATAACTAATTAATAACCAGTAGCAGTTACTAGTAATAATAACTGGCTTATATAACCCTGATTTTGAGACCAATGCTAGTCTATGTTAATAACATATTAATCTCATTTTTTCCTTACCATAATCATAGGAGAGAGGCCTGGTTATTATGCTAATTTTACAAATAAAGAATTAAGGCACAGAGAGGCAGTAGGCACTCAATAAATATTGGTTGTGTTATCCCATTCAACTAATAGTCACTGAGTGTACCCTAAGGGCCAGTTCTCCAACTTGAAAACTCAGAGGAATATCAGTTTGTGTATCTCAGGGAGTTTCTGTAAGAGGGAGGAAAAAATGAACAGTTGAAAGCAGGAAAGTGTTAAATATAAAGCCCCATGCAAATTGTTCAGATGCCCTATTTCAATTACTTTCACTTGGAATATTTTGGTTAACAAATTACTATACCTGAGCTTCTATCATGGATTGTCACTATTTTACTCCTTTTCATCCAGCTGAGACATCACTTTCTTCAGAAAGTGTTCCTTCAACTCCCAGAATGAGTTAATGCCATTCTCTTCTGTTATCCCTCTGCCTGGTGTATGTTACTCACCACTGGGCTTGATGCACCTTACTCATTCTTTGCCTGCAAAGCTTCCCCTCCACCAGACTAGGAACTCTCTGAGGACAGGAACTAGTCCTATTCATCACTCAATTACAAGTCAGACATACAGGAGGTGCCAAATACATGCTTGTTAGATGAATAGATGAGACAGCAACACAAATTGTGACTAACAACTTAAAGAAATATAATATTAACATAAATGAGCATTAAACTGCACATTCAAGAAGAGAAAGTTCATTTGGTTTCCTGAGATAGAATTCAAATAAATGTCCTATTTAGATTAATTACCATAAGTTAACGAGTTCCATAAGAGACTTGTGATAACTCTCCTTCTGCTTTTTTAATAGCTGTCCCATAAACCTGACACTGAAGTTCCATTTGCAATGAAAGTCACAGAATAACCATGACTATTACAAATTTTGGAGATGGATTAACTGCTCTGCAAACATAATGCCAGCAACTTAATTCAAAACAAAGACATATTTTAGAATCATAAAGCTAGAAAAGGCCCGAATTGTGTACTAACACAGCTGTGAAGGTAACGCTGCAGACTCGGTTTCAGTTTTTCATTTGTTTCTGACTGTTGTAACTCTGGTTTTTTATACTTTAGTTCAATCCTATCAGGCTATTTCAAGCTTGTCAGAATATAAAGTCAAAAGAGTATTACAATGGTGATTGGAAAGAACATAAGATTAATTTGAAGTAGAAAAAAGGCATTTTATAAATGAATGTGAAATGCCTGGAGGCCTACCAAGAATACCCGGCCATGCATTAGTTTTTCAGCTTAGATATGCTGCACACAGCACGCAACAGCCTTGGGAGAAAACCCCACATCACATGTCATTGGAAGCTGCTCAGCCAGGCACACAGAAAGGCACCTTGCACCAATGATATTTGACAACCCCGGCAGTGATTTTTCTGCTTCAGTGGCTAACTTGTGCAAAGTCACGGCAAGCCAACACACAAATAGTTCACAAAGAACTAAGCTGTTAGGATCATCTTTACAAGGCAGTAACCATGATGCTTCTTTTAATGAACATTTCACATCCTGCGAAGCCAGGAATGATTCAACCACTAAAATGTCCAGAAAAGGGAATACTAAACTTCTGGGGATGAAAGAAAGTTTCTAACAAAAATGCTATTAGTTCAATATTCATTTTAATCTGCAGAAAATATTTTTCGTCACCGTGTTCTGAGATTGGTACTTCATTCCTCAGTATCTTTTAATCTAAACTAATCACATTTTATATTTCTAGTGCCTGATAGAGAGTAGATATCTTGACAGGAAAGTAGGAAAAATGACGGAGGCTAAAAAATTAGTCACAGGCTCACACACACACATATACCTATACACAGCTCCCTTGTGCCAGACAAGTGTTAGGTTTTTCTCATGTATTTGATCACATTTATATAACAATGATGATGATGATGATGGTGATGGTAAATTGATCACAG
This sequence comes from Homo sapiens, assembly GCF_000001405.40. NCBI lineage: Eukaryota > Metazoa > Chordata > Mammalia > Primates > Hominidae > Homo > Homo sapiens. The sequence goes on along the minus strand of NC_000012.12, from coordinate 79,086,156 downwards.
ATCACTTTATTGATTTCTTCTTTATGTTCTAGATTCTTTTCTAAGTGCTTCACATGAATTATCTTAATTAATATTCACAATAATCCTGTAAGGTTAGTAAACTGCTTGTAGAGTAGTTAAGTAATTTAGTCAATATTCAGACTGACTAGTAACTGGAAGATCTGGGATTCAAACCTGGTGATCATATTATGGGACCCTCAATTTTCTCCTTAATTAATTTAATCTTAGAGTTCATCTTGTCCACTAATTTTTACAAAGATTTCTCTGAGTTGTTCCAAAGTGCTTCTTGAAATGTCTCTGAGGATTTGGGGAGAGTACTCAAAGTCCCATCTCAGGCTCAGGTTTACATATTTAACATTTGCTTAAAATTTCAAGTGAATAAAGGACTGTAGGAGTCAAAACAGACCTGATAACTGCTGTATTGTTCTTGTTCAATGTTTTCATTTACATAGATGAGGAAACTGGAGCCTGGAGAGGTGAAGCTCAGAGTCCCAGGTGTTATGGTCCTACTCCTGGTTACTGGCAGTTCTCTAATTAGGACCCAATTCCCTAGACTTTGGTTACATCTTTCTATGCCATTGTGAGCCCAAAGAAAGGTACACATCACTGACAGAACATGGTCATAACACTTCAGTGGCCTCCACTGTGAGCACTGGAGGAGGTGTCTGCCCTGGGACATGGCCAGTTGCATTTTCCACCACATATAAACTTCCTGGATGACTTAAAAACCAGAAGAGACGGACTAAGATTTTCAAGCATAAGAGTCATTTTTGTATAGGCTGAGCATCACTAACACAAAAATCCAAAATCTGAAATGCTTCAAAACTTGAAACTGTTTGAGCACAGACATGACGCCACAAGTGGAAAATTCCACCTCTGCCACATTAATTTTTCACTGTAGTAATGGTATGTCATATTTCTTACTGCTAATACTTATGTGTGAGTAACTGCAAGAAAATGATTGCTTATCATTAGCATATAAATTCAGAGTCAGGAATGATGGTGATGCCAAACAACTACAGGTTGTCCACATAGGTGGCTGAGACAGTGACACCTCTGCTTTCTGATAGTTCAACATACACAAACTTTGCTTCATACAAAAATTTTAAAAAATATTGTATAAAATTATCTTCAGGTCATGTGTATAAGTACTCTATGAAATATAAATGAATCTTGTGTTTAGATTTGGGTCCCAAACCCAAGATATCCCTTTATGTATATCAAATATTCCAAAGTTTGAAAAAAATCAAAAAATTCAAAACACTTCTGGTCCCAAGCATTTTGGCTACAGGATACTCAACCTGTATTATTTTCTTTATACATCTGATTAACTACTTTATCTATATCAAATTCTATAATACACATCAAAAAAATTAAATCATAAGCTTAAGGTTAAACAATTTTGTTCTTTTTAAAATTTTACTTGTAGTATATAATTGATATATTACACTGGTATCAAAGTTATAGATTGGCCAATTGTACAGGCCTTCCTCTGAACCTTAGAAAACATCTACTAGTATTCATAAAGAGCATGTAGTGTAGAATTATGGTTCTCAAATGTTTTTAAGCTGTCATATCCTCTGCAAGTCCAGTGTGAATATCACTAAAAGTGAAAGAGTGCAGCAGTCAGATATGGACTTTAATCTGGACCTCAGATTTAGGCAAAGCACTGAGCCTCTTGGAGTCTCGGTCTCCTTACATAGAATGATGGAGTCACCACTGCATGGTTATTTGGAGGGTATCAGGTTAATTATGTAAGGTAGTTGGAGACTAGTGTATGTTCAACTAATTCTCACTATTAAAGTACCATTTACCCTCATAATATCTTTATGCTAATTATGTTTTTATTCCTGAAATTTTAATAATATCTAGATGAATGAATAAACTATGTGTCCATCAACATTTATGGAATATTTATTCTAGGCATAGTGACAATTGTTTTATATAGGCAATATTAGTACATTGCATCACAGTACTGTGAAGTAGATTCCACTTTATTAATGAAAATAATGAATCTTTAAAAGGAGAAATAACTCTTTTAAAAAATTCACATCTGGTAAATAGTTACATCTGAACTGCTCCACACCTGATCTCAAAGCACACCAACAGCTACTCTATACATATGCACTTCTGTGACATAGGACACCCTCAACCTGCCTCTCTCCTTGACAAACTGCTGTTTTAGTTCTTGTTAGGAGATATGCTCATTTGTGAATCTTCCATTGTGATTTTGATTTTATGAAATACAAAAATAATATTACAAAGGATGTCCACTTCCATGAACACAAAGATGTTCGTGTTGACATCTTTGCATCAGTGTTCTCTCTCTCCAAGAATCAAATATTAGATATCAGCTAAAGCTTCTTCTATTATTTTGCCCTCCCTTCCTTCTCAAATGCAATCATTTTGCTGAAGTTGGTGTATATTACATCTCCACATAATTTTATATTTCATAAAATATGGATATCTATATAAACAATATATGTAATGCTATTTTCTAGACTTAAAGATTGTATATAAATGCATTTTTTACATTAATATACGTTTTACAACTTTAAATACTTTAATACTCTTATTTTTAGCAATTTGCTTTTTAAAAATCATATGGCTAGTATAGTATTTTTCAGCCAATACTATTTATCTGTTTTCTTACTAAAAATAATTATGTTGTTGCTATGTTTCACCTTTACAAAGGGAGCTGACCTGAGCATCCTGGCCCATAACTCCTTATGGAAATGTGTGGGAGCTACTCTAGGGGATTCATCTACTAAAACTGCTGAGTCATAGCTCATAAGCCTGTTCAAATTCACCAGGTGTTTTGAAGATACTCTCCTTTGCAGTGGTACTAATTTATACTTCAGTCAGTAATGTATATAAGTCTTATCTTTTCACATCTTCACTAGTACCTTGGTTTTTAAAAATTAATTAATTTCAATCAACCTCCTTTATTAATATTTCAGAAGTTGCTAGTGAGCTTTAACGTTTGATATATTTATTGACATTATAATTTTTTCCTCAATGAAATATCTGATGTTATCTTTTACCTATTTTTCTTCTGGATTATTTATTTGTTTTTTAAATATATTTTCTTAGTCTTGACTTGTTCTTTCATGTTTTTTACCTTTTTTTTCATTTGTGTCTGTTTGTTTCTTTTAATCCTCTTGGAGTTATCTTTGACAATCATTTCTTTTATTGCTTATTTTATTTTTGTTTTTTCATTAAAAAATTTTTCCTTTACCTGGAAGCTACTCAAAGCCTGAGAAGACGTGTTCACCTGGCAAGGACCATTCTCACAGGCAGGTTTAGCTCATATACCCCTCAGGCCAGGCTTTTCTCAGAATCTAACACATGCACTGGGGCCTCACCTTGGACCTCCCCTAACTGGTCCCTGCCTCTTCCTTGGCTCATGAAGTAAAAATTCTTGCCTTAGCTCTTTCTTTCAATAGTTCAGCAGGGCAGGAGGCCTTAGCAGCTGATTGGCTCAGATACAGCAAGCAGCAAGGGTTCAGGGATATATTCAAGCCATCCTCTTCCCATAATTCTCTGATAGCTATTTTCCATCACTGCTCAACTTATTTTCTTCGTAACACATATTATAAGGTATATGTTTATGTATATATTATTTTCTTATTCATTTATTGTCTGACTTCTGCTCTGTTGTACCAGTTTCCTGAGGATAGGGATCATGTCTGTTCAGAGCTAACATACTTGTGCTTAGGGTACTTCCTGGGATATAGTAGGTGCACAAAAATTTATGGTAAATGAACTAATAAATGAATGATTAGATTTTCTTATTCTCCCTGGAAAGTTGCTATCCTGTGATGTTTATTGAAGCTACTTCTTGCAGACTGTTGAGTGGGAGATGGGTCTCTAAGCCTTTGTGGAAACATACAGAAAAGAAGACAAAGGACACCAACCCACAAACATTTTTAAAAATAATAAAAGATTAAAAAATGACAAAACTCTGAAAAAAGGCTATATAACTTCCTCTCTAAGAAAGCATCTATAAAAGGTCAAAATTCCTTCCAAAATCTGTGTTGAATTCACACAAGCCTTTCAATAGATGGGCATTTGAGGTCCAGCTTACTACATTATTCATCTTGGCCACAATAGTTTCAGTAGGAAAAAGTTTTAATGTCAATGTATGTACTACTTCTATTTTGTAGAAAAATAATTTTCTATTTTTTCTATATATTTTTGTATTTATTTCAGGTTTGAAAATAAGAGGCTTATTGTGACAAATACTCCTTTACAGTGAGATGAATTCAATGGTAAAGCAGTCACTTGTGCTCTTAGAAGCTCCTGGGGAAAGCAGAGCAGAAGTACTTGAATTGACAGAGAATATGCTCCATCAGAGAAACAAATTGTTAATTTTAAATTTGATAGGAAGAAGAAACTGTGGAATACAGAGAGAAATGAGGACGAATGACTAGATACAGAATAGGCCTCACATGTCACTTGTAGAAAAAGTGAACTTGGGCTGGGCACCGTGGCTCACACCCGTAAGCCCAGCACTTTGGGAGGCCAAGGTGGGCTGATTGCCTGAGAGCAGGAGTTTGAGACTAGACTGGCCAACATGATGAAACCCGTCTCCACTAAAAAATAAAAAAATTAGCTGGGTATGGTGGCAGGTGCATATAACCCCAGCTACTTGGGAGGCTGAGGCAGGAGAATCAGATTAACCAGGAGACAGAGGTTGTAGTGAGCCAAGATCATGCCACTGCACTCCAGCCTGGGTGATAGAGTGAGATTCTGTCAAAAAAAAAAAAAAAAGTGAATTTGTGTGACATAACAGTGTCTCAGATTCCACTGTGGAGGTAAAAATGTAGTAATTTGCTTTTTTCTTTTCTTTATAGATTTTATACATGAGCGTTAAAACGTTCATAGGTATATGGCCTACTCTGGAAGGGGAGAAGACACAAGGGGGCTGAGTAGTAAGCAGCAGGTTATGTGTGCAAGGTGCACACACACGTACACATGCATATGCACAGGCACACAATAGCTTTTGATATAACATATAGCTCTTCCAAGATCTCTGTCTTTTTAAAATCTTTTCAGTCCCAAACTTTTATCAGTTCCTTTACAGACCCATTCCCACCACCCTCAGCCTCTGCACTGACCTAACATATAGCTCTATACCATCTGAAGAGTTTTACAGCATGACCTAAATCCCCCATCTAGTCACAATAGTATCCTCTTTAATCTGCTTTTATCATAAACCCATGTCTTGGCTGTAGACACTCTCCAATCTCACATCCATTACAGGATTCCTAAATTCCTTGTCCCATCTGTCATCTTAAACTGTTTTGACGAAGTATTGAAAGTGGAAGGTACTAACCTAGTTAGTCTACAGCATCCTTGTGGCTGCTAGGCAGCCTCTCGGGAGCTGTTATATCCAAGTAGATGGCTTGTGGACTTGGTAAGATCTGAATGCCTTTAAGATAATAGAGTCTAAAAATTGTCTGGTGTAATTGCTGCTAATTTATATTGGAGCCAGTACATTCTCATCAATTTTTGCTTGTGATATTTAGCCTATAAAACCTATATATTCAACCCCACCATCTTTTTGTGATTTTTTTTTGTCTTAAAGATTGAAGAAAATGTATTTATATGTATATCCACCAAAATCCATTGTGATTCCTTTCAGATTCAGATTTAGGGACAATAATTTTAGTGTAGTGAATGGCTTTTCTTATATTTTATAGCAGAACTTTCTCTAACTCTCCTTGGACCTGAAGGTTAATTAATAATCATTAAATCTGTTTTGCCTGGTGCCAAATCATTTAGATAAAAAATGAAATGCTCAGTTAATCATATTGAGGTTCGTGGTTGTCAAATATCCAGATGTCCCAAATATGCAGATGTCTGATATAATATAAAAAGAAATAAGTAATTTGCATAATTCTTTCTTTCTTGTCCAAATACACAGATTTTATATCATTGGATAAATGTCTATATACTAAATCCTCAGGCTGTTTTCCTATAGGACCAATAAGTTAATATTAAACATAAAATGAGGATTAGTCAAATGCTTAATCTCATTGAAAGAGCAGAAAGTTTGCTATTGAAGAAGTGAAGGTTTTACTTTGGTAACAATGACTCACTGGCGAATAATAGAAAATATTGTACTTTGAATTTAAGATTCTCCTTAAATTAATTAAGATTGAATTAAGATTAAATTCAATCTTAAATTTGAATTTAAGATTGTTATCCATAACAATCAGCAGCTATGTAAAAGTACTGATCTTATTTTTAAAGTATTATCCTTGAGTCAGCACAAAGGACAGATGGCCCATTTTTCATGTTTATGGATCTATTCAATGTTAACAGCCACTACAACTTTAAGATCTAAAATCTGTTTTATCACTTCAGTGTATTTTATTTTGGTCAATGTCAACTGCAAATAGTTCTTTGAAATTATTGTGGCCTTTCAAATGAATAAAATTATTTATTTATATGTTCATAACATAACGTGCATGTTTCAAAGGTTCTGTGGTTGATATAGAACATTGCTACAATGAAAGAAAAAATAAAGGAATTCAAATATCTGAAAATGTCATTTCTACTATCATACTTTGATACATTAATTTTATTTGATATATCTATGTATAAAATATCTAGGTAATTAATTTAAATAACAACATATATATCATAATTTAAATGAGATGATAATCTGTATTAGTGGGGATTTAAATTTAGCTAGATAAAATTTCCTATTTTACATTCTACAAAAATAATCTCACAAATACATGTCAATCTTCTTATAAAGTTCCAAGGCTTTTACATCTTGGATTCAGGGGCTTTTGATATACCTAATGCTTCATATAGCATAGGAACCATTTAAATCACTCAGTGTATTTTTAATATGGATTATACATCAAAGTAAAATTATTACTGTATTAATCTCTGTGTAGGGAGAGGTGAAAGTCAGTTGAAATCGTTCTCATGTTCTTGCCAACTTGTGACAATAGTTTTGCCAACTTGTGACAATAGTTTATTAGACTTATATTTTACCATGATTGCAAGTTAAATATTTTCTATTCATTCTTTAGTTATAGGGTATTCCAAACATCACAAGCGCTAAACATACTGGGGATTCAGGGTTGTAGCCTAAATTAGTCCCCTGTCAGAACAGAATTTTTAGGTGGATCTCATGCATTCTTTTAAATTAATGTGCCTTTTAAATTCTTCCTCTTAATATAGCTGAATATATTTATCACTTACCATTGAGTACAATGGACTCTCCATGAAGTCACACCATACATCATAAGTATCCATTTGCATCCAGGGGCAAACAGTATGTATAAAACCTTCTTGAAACTCTAAACCAGGAAATAACGCTCCCGTTTCTTTCTGTGTGTGTGTATACACAAACTGATGTATTCTTCTCTTAAAAGGCAGTTTTTTCATATGGACACATGGAGGGAACAACACACACTGGGGCCTTTTGGGGGTGGGTAGGTTGAGGGAGGGAGAGCATCAGGAAGAATAGCTAATGGAGGCCAGGCATAATACCTAGGTGATGGGTTGGTCTGTGCAGCAAACCACCATACACAGGTTTACCTATGTAACAAACCTGTACATCCTGCACATGAACCCCAGAATTTTAAAAGTTGAAGAAAAAAACAAGGAGGTTGTTAGTATTAGAAAAAAAATAATGGAAAATATAAAAAGGTTAATTCCTTCAGAGATAGGTAATTATGTTGTTTTATTAAGTAATTATTTTATTAAGCTCCTACTGTATGTCAGGCACTAAACTAAGTGCTTTATATATATTGGCTATTATAAAAGCCCTAAAAATGACCTCTGCTAGAGAAGACACTGATATTCTTAACTATTTAGAGATGAGAAAATTTGGGGGCTGAAGAGGGTGAGATCCAAGAACAGAGTGAAGGTGAGGGGAGAAGGCACGCTCAGCTCCCAACTCTAAGTCTAAAGTCAACTTGCTTCTTCCCCAACATTGCTCTGGCTCTCAAGTGATAGTCAGTAGGATAAATTACAACTGGACAATGACCAGTGAGTAAAGGGAAAAAGGCAACCTTAATTTTATAGTTCTAGTGAAGCTTATTGAAATTTTAGAGAAAAAAAACCATTTCATAAAAAACAAGTTTTAAACACCAAAAATGTATTCTTAAATGTAGTTTTACAAAATTGCCTCTGTACCTACTAACATAAAAACTAATGCAAAAATATTTCAGAAAACATATCAGAAAAAAATGTGAGTAGTACTTTTTAATGATTTAAAATTTAAATGTAAAAATTTATCAAACCAGAAAAAAAAAGCATACAATTTTTTAAAAAGGGCATGGTATTTCTAATAGGGCCAGCAAGATAGACATGATAATACTGAATGGCCCAATGCTTATTTTTATGTGACATTATTTTTAATCAGCTTTTCATAGTTCCCTTCAGCTAACAATTTGTAGGAAAAGCAACAACACATTGAAAAGCAGAAAGTATGTAATGCTCTTGTCAAAATTTATGTCTTTAATTAATTGTCATTTATTTCTTGCAAATACTGCACAGTTGACCCTTCAATACATTGCTTAATATCACTTTATTTTAAAAGAAGAATATTCATAATTTGCCTCAATTCCTTTCCCATTAATTGCCCAAGAACATGATAACTTACCCAAATAACCACCTAATTTCCCTCACTATTTGGATCGGTCAGAATGGGCCAGAGAGCCATTTCATCAACAAGAGACAATGGAAAGGAAATGGGCAAGAAACTGGAAACTAGAAAGTGTACCTTCCCTTGGTCCTATCCAGTGTCAAATGGTAGATCTCTGTGTGGTTACTGTGAGCATTGAATACAATAGTGTGAATGCACTGTATCATGGAAGAATAAGCAGTATGTTTAATATCAGAATTAGGTGGATGGCAGTGCTTTGTATCTGGGCAAAGTAGCCCATTTCTGGAAGGAATATAGCAATGTTGTAGGAATAAATAGCTTCTCATTCTCTAGAGGTGGGGCTGACAGAAACCAAGCAGGAATAAGGCTTTATCCAAGAGAGCTCAGGGCAGCAGCAGACCAAAGTAGAAAATTCATGGTGGTTAATGCAACAGCTGGGACAAGGGAATAAAGGCATGCTGAGATGCAGCCTGCACTAAAACACCTGAACTTTGTCAAGACTGGCTCAGTAATTGACACAGTAGATCCAGCAAGTGGAAAATCCAGAGAAGAGTTGGGGTTAGGGGTAGGAAGGAAGACAGGCTAAAAAACATCTCTGTAAATACTAGTGAAATCTAGGCATGGAAGTCTGCAATGACAAGCCCACTGCCTCAGCCTCTCGCATAGCTGGGACTATAGATGCGTGCCACCATGCCCAGCCAATTTTTGTATTTTTAGTAGACAGGGGGTTTCACCACGTTGGCCAGGATGGCCTCGATCTCCTGACCTCGTGATCCCAAAATCCTCCCAAAAACCTCGTGATCCCTGCCTGCCTCGGCCTCCCAAAATGCTGGAATTACAGGTGTGAGCCACCGCACCCTGCCTCAACAATTTATATTCTTATAAATATGCTCGCACTGAATGTTTTATATTTATAATATCTACTATGAAAAGCAAAAACAGAGGACCAGGGGTCACAATTGCATTTCACCTGATTTGGTTAATTTAGAAAATTCTGAAACTTTTTATGTATTCACCTACAAATAAAACAGTAAAGAATGGATAGAAAGTATGAGAGTAACAACATATAAAATAGTATATTATTTCTTTTTAGAAAATTTTGGTAACATTCTATTTTTTAAATATGGAGTTCAGAACACGCTACCACAAAATAATGTATCTTGGCATTTGAGGAAACAACAGAAGCAAGAAGGTCACGGTCACCTTCCTTTGATTTTTCTCCCCTGAAGCAGGTCATAAAACCCTCATTCTAGAGGTGCCTCGCTATACCCAGAGAAAAGAAACATCCTTATCTCTGAAGGAACAGGGACACAGAGGAGAATCTGAACAAATAGGCCCTCCTAAATTCCCCCAGCTTGTTCCATTAGATCACATCATACTTCTCCACAACTATCCACTTCTTCATCAAACTTAGCAAAAAGGTCATAGGTTTCCCCGTTCCTTTGCTCTTCACTTCTGAAGGTTCCTGTGTTCTGTAATGTAATTTTATGACATGTCATAAAATTTTTATTAAAAAATCTGTGTGCTTTTCTCTTGTTAATGACTTTTGTTATAAAGGCCTCAGCTACAAACCTAGCTATGGGTTAGAAAAGAAATCTTTTCTTCCCTACAAGGTTGATATAATTTGTGATTTATAATCATCTAATATATATTCACTTCTAATTTGCATGGTTTTCTTTTCTTGGGGTTTTCAAAAAAATCTGTGTATGACTATGAAGATAGAAATCCTGAGAGGGCAAAATTATGCTGGGGATCGTTTAAATTGTATCCGATTCTATAGGCTTGAGATTTTTCTAAAGAGAAGGGCATCTGCTAAATGTGATGAATAGTTGTATCACAAACTGCAGAGGTGTAGGTGACCTTCAAGATCAAATAGCCGATATTCTTATTTTACAAATAAGGAAACCAAGACTTGGGGATTAAGGTCACACAACTGATAGTCTAAATGTTAGATCTAGAATATAAATGTTAAAGCATCAGATGTACTTCACCACAGTGAAAAAGACGATTCTGTGTTTCATCTTAAAGCCCAACCAAACATGGCTCTATTTCCTTATATCAGGAAAGTGTTCTTTGGCAACTATTCATCAAGCTTTAGAGACAGACACTTGCTGGGAAGGAAAATCTAAATGTCTGCTAGGGCAAGGCCAAAAAGTCTATTTGGATTAGCACAAAAAAGAGAGAGAGAGAGAGAAGTTGTAGTGAGTATAAGGTGAAAGCCTCAAAAGAGAAGTAACAAAGATGGAGAGTAGGCCCACAGACCAAAAAGAGAAATTCACTATGAAATTCAAGAGCCTTGAAGATTTTGCCCAAGAAGCAAGAGATTGAACGAACTGATGGGGGAACTCCTAGTATCTCTTTTGCATCAGTATGTAAAATTAAAGAGATTAGACATATATTAGTTAAGGTTCGCATTTCTGCAAATATAGGGCTTGTTCTTCTAATCCCTGGTTCTGGAAGTGTTATACAATATGTGTATGGTACATCTAATTAGAGATCCTTGAGATCCAGGGTATTTACGATGATATTTTTGTTTCAGGACTTCACAGTGAAGTACATAGTATTTTTTGGTTATATTCCTACTGCATGGAAAACAAGAAGTAAAAAGCAATATCCAACCAATCCCATTATTGAGAAGAGGGCAGAACTTACCTTATCCCTAAGTGTCTCAGCCCTGCCAAATCCAAAGAGGGAAGACAGGGATAATAAAATCTGGAATCACATTCAGAATTGGGCTTGAATGAAGCCCAAGAGCATCAGCTGATGCTCAGAGAAATTTAGTCTATCAGGCAAACCTTGGCCTGTGTCAAGAAGCATGATAATAGCAGGGTACAGGTCGAGGGGAAAGTCAAGAATAGGAGTCTGAGAGGCTGACATAGGATGTCGCAGTTCATAAGTAAGCAAAACTCAAGAATGAAGGATGATTCATATTCTGACATTTTATTCAGAAAATTTTATCAGCAGGTGAAATTCTATCAGCAACTGGGCTAGAAATCAGAGAACAAGTAGATTTTTAAAAGACTTAATGAGAGGATAAAGGTGGAGTTCCAGGCTTCTAGAGACTAGTTGTGGGAAGCTACACAGTTAGAGATTTAGGCACAAAGATGGAGGCAGAACCTCAACACAAATGCTGCATGTGTCACTTGGATCTGGAGCCTTTTAAACCTCTCATTTACAATTGGCAGGGCAGTACTGAATACACATGTTGGGGCCATGTAGACCACAGCTGTGTGGAGATGAGGGCTGCAGGAGTGAGGCAGCATACAGTGTGATAGAATGTTAAATAGAGGACGATTTTCAAAACAAAAGATGAGATTAACATATTGGGGTATTAAAGTCCTGTATATGGTGTTATTTTAAAGATTAATTACTAGTAAATCCACAGGATCTGATTAGAGGTTTCATTAAATAAAAACACTCCAGAGTCTTGGTCTCTATTGCAAAATGCAAAATGTGTGAATATCTAACATACTTATGGAATGTGAGCACATTATTTTTTATATATGGAAGCTAATGACTGGAATGAAAGCAGAACAATTTAGTTAAATAAGCAAATGATCAAAATTGACAACGTGAGGGTAAATAAGGCCTGAATTAAGTTGCTCATTATTTTTTCTTGCAGCAGACATTGCTTTGTGTTTGGTTTATAAGTAAGCTATATATGAAGACAGATAGGTGCCTGTGCTGAGAGGCAGAGATAAAGGGAGAGACAGAAAAAGAGAGTCAGGTAGACAGAGGTGAGCAGATACATACAGCTGAAGGTCATGTTTTGATTAATGTCGAAGAAGTAATTCTGGCCAACAACAAATACTGCAAGGGTAAGCAAAAATTTGCTTTTCTCCTTCCTCCCTCTACTCCAGTTCACTGGACTCTCTGTTTCTGGAGAGACCTACCATTCTTCTGCCTCAGGGATTTTCACCTGCTGTCCTTCTAGCCAAGCCAGGAAGACTCCGGTGGCTTGGACCACATGCTCACTTTCTTCAAGTATCTGCTGAAATGCTTCATTATTGGAGAGGTCATCCCGCTGATGTATGGAGTAGGGATTCCCCACTCCTCACAACATTCCGAATTCGCCTAACCTTGCCTTATTTTCTCCAAAGCATTTATCACCATATAACATACTACTTTTAAAAATGCCTTTATTTGCTATCTCCTCCTGTTAAGATGGTTTGATGGAGCAAATGAAAATACAGGGCACCCAGTTAAATTTGAACTTCAGACAAGCAACAAAAAACTTTTTAGTTAATTATATCCTATCCAGGCATGGTGGCATGCACCCATAGTCCCAGCTACTAGGGAGGCTGAGGTGGGAAGATGGCTTGAGTCTAGGAGTTCAAGGCTGCAGTGAGCTATTATGGCACCACTACACCCCAGCATGGCAACAGAGTGAGACCTTGTCTTTTTTTAAAAAAAAGAATAATTATGTTCTAACTATTGCATCAGACATATGAAAAATATTATTACTTGTCCTTGTCATTACCTATTCTGACAACTTATTCATTGTTTAATTATTTAAGTGTCCCAAATATTTCATGGAACATACTTGTACTAAAAATTTATTTGTTGTTTATCTATTATTCATCCCGTTTCCCTTCCTTCCCCTTACTCCTTCACCTAGAATTTAAGCTACTTGAGGTTAACCTATTTGAGGGCAGAGACTTGGAACATTGTGTTCATTGCTGTGTTCCCAATACCTTGACCGGTGCCTGGTATAGAGCAGAAACTCAACATATATAAATTGAATGAATTAATCGTTCCATTTCTCTGGAATATCCATCCCATCCTTAATTCTCATCTTGTTTAAATCTCTTAATATAATGATTAAATAGAGTCTCTTGCTGTCATGGAAAACATTTTGTTTTCTCTGCAAGTTCTAGCATATAGTTTGGAATTTGCTGGATACAGTAAGTTTGTAACATTCAACTATGGTAAGCAAAAAATTGAAAATATTTTTGCATACCATTTACGCATTCTTAGACACTATAAAAAACTCAAATATTAAACAATTTTCAGGTTGGATATGTATATAAATTTAAATAACTTATAGATAAAATGTGTTAATCTTATGTACGTATTTATGCTTATGTGTCATATTTTCAAAAATTTCAAACTTTATTATAGTCACATTTTTGACTTTGAAGTTTATTATATTCACATTAAATGAACAGGATGTCATTTAATACTCCTCCTCATCTCTGGACAAGATTTTATCATTCTATTTCATTAGTCTCCCAGTATGAACAAACTACGAAAGAGAGAGGTTACACAATATCCATGATTATTCTGTTTTAGAGTGTTGTTGCTCTTTTTTACCCCATCTTTAATTGGTAATTAAATTTAGTTTATCTTTTTTATTGTTCATAGAAGATAATCCTTTTTATATTTAAAGACAGAATAAGAAATTCTACAGATAACAATGAAATAATGACAGCTGTGTATATATATGCCTATATATAGAACTGTAAACTGTAAAACAATATGTCATTTTATTCTCTGATGTTTTAATTAAATCATTACCTTTTAAATTCAGAATGGCAGAAATCCAGTGTTTTAATGAGCACCTAGCTGAGTAAGTGTTTTGTGTTGAATTGTGCCTCTTAAAAAGATATGTTGAAGTCCTAATCCCCGGTATCTATGAATATGACTTTATGTGGAAATAGGGTCTTTGCAGATGTAATTAAGGTGAAGTCATTCTTGAGTAGGGTAGGCCTTAAGTCCAACATAACTGGTGTTCTTAAATGAACAGAAGAGACAAAGACAATGAGGGAAGACAGCCATGTGAAGACAGAGGCAGCAATTAGAGTTATGTTGCCACAGTTAAGAAGTGCCTGGGGCTACCAGAAGCTGGAAGAAGCAAGGAAGGAGCCTTCCCTAAAGGAGTTCAGAGGAAGCACTGCCTGACTGACATCTTGAGTTTGGATTTCTAGTCTTCAGAACTGTGAGAGAATAAATTTCTTTTGTTGAGGTTATGCAAATTGGTGGTTTGTTATGGTAGCAAACAAATATAGTAGGCATTTAACCACATTTAGGCTTTGGGATACAGTTTTCTGATCTATAGTAGTGTTTATTGTCCACAGAAGTATTAATAATTACTTCTTTCCTTGTACTCTTTTAGCACAGATTTATTATATTTGGGTTCCCCCACTCTCTTAGACTGTGAGCTTTTTAAGGACAAAGTCCATATCATTTGTTATTGTAACTTCAGAACTCATAATAGTGTCTGGCATAGAAAGTAGTAAATAAAATCTTGAATTAGCCAATAAATTATTTTTAAATAAAATTTACAAAGATTTCTGTACACTTCCAGCCAATAATATACTGAAGAAGGATCTGTTGCTCTCAAACACACACCCTGAATTCTATTTTTATTTTGTTTTTCTAGTTATTTAAGTATTTTTTGAAAAGGATGAGGCTCAGCATTTCAAGATATTTGTTTCTTTTGTCTATATATCTTCACTTTTGAAGGGCAGAACCCTCTTCCTTTATTTAGAGTTTGTGTTTAGAGGGGAACCGAGGTTTGAGTTATCTACTCTTATGTACACACAGCGTAGACTATTTTTTACTACTTGCAGCTATTACTTATCTCAAATTTTGGCTAATTGAAACAAAACCAAACAATTTTCTTTCTTTTTTTTCCTTTCAACTTTTATTTCAGATTCAGAGGGCACCCATGCAGGTTTGTTACAAAAGTATACTGCATGATATTGAGGTTTCGAGAATAAATGATCTGTCACTCAGGTAGTAAGCATAGTACCCAATAGGTAGTTGTTCAGCCTTGCCCCTGTCGCTGTCTTTCCTCTTCAGTAATCCCCAGTATCTGTTGTTCCCGTGTTTATGTTCAAGTGTACCCAGTGCCAAACAATCTTTAGTACATCTTTCTAGTTTAGCTTTGCAGAATAAAGTAAAACTTTAGAAAAAGAAAAAAAAGAAGAGAAAAACGCCTAAAAAATTGGTGTTGGAAATAGGAACTTAGAATAGAAGTGTAACCTCAAATACAAGTATAGCCACAACATGGATTCACAATAGCAAAGAATGCTGCATTTTTAAGAAAACAAAAAGACCTTCAAGGTTAAAAAAAGAGATAATGCAACGCTAATAATCAATTAGACTAAAAAAAAATGAGCCTGAAAACCATAATCTGACTTTCTTTGTCCTTGGGCAAATTAATTAGCCATTAATTTCTCACTAGAAATTGTTAATAAGAGCAAATGTTCTCTCAAGAGTGTTGTTAGAATTTCTTGAGGTCTATAAAGCATTTTGGAGGCAAAAATGTTGACTTGGCAAATGCTATTCTCACACTGATGGACATGTATCTAGATTCCTGGGTCTATCTTGATCAGTTTGTATGCCACTCATTGGGTGTATTGGTAGATCCACTACGGTTATATAAACTAGCAGAAATGCTTGATAAACCGCCTTCAAAGAATAGGCTTTGGTTATAATAGAAGCATTATTATTTACCTATGACACCTTAATTAGCTTTTGAAAAATTTGAAAGGATGAAAATGAAAGGCATTTGAACACTCTTATAACCCTGCAAAGCATTATGTTCAAGGTTATATTTGAGCATCTCTTTATTTTTCTCATTTATTATTTATTGATTCTGTTGGACAATGAGACTTAATTCTATTCTATTCAATTTTTCCATTTTGCATCTCAAAACAGCAGTATTTGTATTTTTGGAAACATAAAAGTAAAAATTATTCTTTCACCCAAACACTTTACTCCCATTAAAATAAAAAGAGTAACACAACAGTTATGTTTGCCAAGAGGACTGAGATCCAGAAAGGGATTTTAACATCTGACTATATCCTTATTTCATACTTATTATGTGTTCATTTGTAAACACACGAGTATTTTTCTATCAATGTCAAGTCACATGTAAGTCATAGTTAGTAGCCATCTTTCTACATTACAGGGATTTTTAGATTCCTTTTTATATTTTTAAAATTTTGAATTAGTATTAAAATTAATATTATAATATCCATAAATAAAATAGAAAAATCACTTAGAGTCTCAACATCCAAACACAATTGAAAAAAAATAGAAACATGTATAGACAAATATAAAAAGAACATATGTTCTGAAAAAGTCTGTGAATATTTTCAACAAATACATTTAAATAAGAGCTTAAGTCAGCATTATGGCCTTAGTTATGTATGTAATGTATTTTGTGAAGCCTAAAATTATAGAAGAAACAGTGCATAAAATATGTTTCTGATTAACTTGTCTACTTATGGATTTAAGTTTTGTTTTTAGCTGCTGTGGTTTACACTCTTGTGAAATCCTTACCAGAAATATTACCTGTGGTCTTGGTTTCACATTGTTCATCACCATTTATAGATGAACACCTGCCATTCCTGTTCTCTCTCTTCTGAAAAACACATTAATTCACTACAACAATTTACCCATAAAACTATAATCATTAACTGCCTTTCCTTTATTGAACTCTAGAGCTTTGGCTTTATAATTCTATTTGGCCTGTATATGCAGGAAGAGTATTGAAATGGTCTATATTTATTTCTTCTCTCTGACATAGATGGAAACAGGTAAGCTATACTGATCTCTGGTATCATTATTTATGATATGTTGAGTTTTTAAATTTGATTTGCTAGATCATAAAAGGACATTAGGAAGAAATGAGAAGGAAGTTAAAGAAATATCAAAATTTTTCCCACATGGATCTCATGATGTTGTCCAGGCTGCTCATGAACTCCTGAGTTCAAACAATTCTCCTGGCTCGGCCTCCCAAAGTGCTGGGATTACAGGCATGAGCTACCATGCCCGGCAGGTTACTTCTCCCTGTTTCTTTTCTCTTTTCTGTACCAATGTACTGATTATGGAAAATGTTTGGAATAGAGTAGGAGGAAAATCAGTTGTCCATATGTGATAAACTCATTTAAACAGAGGGCTCTTTTTCCTATGAAACTTTTATTTGTTGGGTGATATCTGTAAGAATTTTAACAAAGGAATTAATATAAGCAGAAAACACTTCCAGAGCATAACTATTATTCTTGAGCTCTGAAAGAATTTATCCACTTCGCATATGTGAACAGTTTATCCCCAGAGTATTTTTTCAACGTTCATCAGCAAAGGATTAGGCCCAATTATAATTAATTCTTTAATAATGAAATTGATACCGTTTTCAAGTATTTAGACTAGACACTAGATTAGAGTACACTATAAAATATGCTTCTGAATAATTATGACCTAATTAATTATTTTAGACAGCTTTTTAAAGTTTAATTTACTAATTGGAATCTCCAAAATTGAAAGCAGGAAATAGAGCTGTCTAGCCCACCAGAGGCTTCATTCCATTTGGCACAAAACCAGATTGAAAGTTGACTTAATTTGTGCTGTTTTGCATGGTTAGGTTTGACAAGTGTGTTTGGGTTTCATAAACTACTCAAAGTTCATTTTTGGCCTGAATTTTTTGCAACTTCAACCCAAATTGATAAGATTGTAATCCAAAGCATGGTAGGAGCTCTGGAAATAATATCTATTGCTGTCACCTTCTTTAAGGCTTGTCTCATGGGTGTGTCTTCGTGGAAATAAAAATGTAGAGGTGATATTGCCAAATGATTATATTCAACCCTGAAACGCAGCAGCACATATATGTTCTACAACAATTTCTACTTGATCTGTTGGTCTTGAACAAATATATTCTGAGTCTTTATTTCTAGCCCATGGCAGCTTGATCCTAGGGGAGGATGTATGCCAGGATAAAGAAGTGGGGAAATTTAAGTGAATCTTTAAAGTCCAGGACCTGTGTCCATATCCCGACTTCTCTCATCTGCCTTTCTACACCACACAGCAAAAAAGTACAGTTGGTATTGATGTTTTACCTGGAATCCCCTACACCTCTGCATTACAAGGTCTCCTTACAAACTAATTGCTTGGCCTCACTTGCATTAGTTACTTGTTTCAAAGTTAATGTAAAAGTTTTTGGAAAGCTATGGTTTTTATATTATCTTAGCATTTGAAGAAATTTTTCTCTAAGGAACTCCAAGTAAAGCATCTTAAATGTTAAAAAAAGAAAAGCCTCTTGAAACTAACTGACTCTAGAAAATGACTATATTTATATAGATATAGTTTCCTACTACTTTTAATATTTAAATGGCATTGATATACATACCTTCAAATTCCAATTCCACAGTTCCATGACTATTTTTCTGCTCAATATAGAGAGCAGAACTTAAAGTCAACTGTAGGAGTTAAATACCCATAAAGACTGTATTTTTGTACAATGGACATTTGAAAAAAATAGATAGGTATGAGCTATATGATTTTGATAAGGGAAAACTACCTTTCACCAAAATCTATAACATTAGGCTCTTCTTGACATTTCAACAAATTAAAAGAAACACTTTTGAAAAAGCATGTCTATTTTGTAAGCTGGGGGAGAATCTCACAGTGGGACAAGCCAACTGGCTTGTTGTGGCAGGAAGGTTTTCCCATCATTTTGATCTATGATCCCAAAGCACACTGCGTGGAGGCAATTATAGTAACACTGCATCAAGGCAATGTATAGTAACATTCATGTAATGTGTATTTCCAACCTATCCCTGAAAATTTTAAGGTTTTATTCAGGTCTCAGAGACATATGAATGCAGATTCAGTAGCCCATATTAATACATGTTAGGACACTAAATGGAGATCAAGTTGGAAAATGCAATTAGTTTAAGCTAATGGATTATGCAAGGGGAACCAACTAGACCAAAAGCAACTGGATAATCATCAGTTATAACAAGGAAGTGAAAATCTGTCTCACCTTTCCCCATTTCTGTTTTTTTAAGCATCTTTGATGTGCCAGGCATTGTATTAGCTATGTTACCAATATTATTTCATTTATTTCTAATTAGGCACTAATTATTAATTATCCCCATTTGTAAATTGAATATTAGATTAAGTATAATTCACAATATTTACTGCAAGGTAATGCCATTTTGCTCATAGCTTCTGCTCACTGACTCTGCTCTCTCTCCCCAGATGATGATATGGCCTCCATGTCACTGAGTTGTTTTTTTTTTTAATTTTTTTTTTCAAACCAAGAGATGTGATGCTTAATGTTAATCAGAGGCATAAAAATTGTAAGTTTAAGATTTTCTGAAGTCATCCTGTACCTCTGGCTTATAAAAGTTCGGTGTTGCAGAAAGAATTCAGGTTTATAGGTTTGCTTATATGTCCAGTTCATAGGCAGCTGTGAGCCCCCACAAGGACTCTGGGGATCAAGGGAAGCTACTCTGATATATGCTACTATCCTATGTGGTGTTTACCCTGCTTCTGGTAAAATGTATTCTTTGCTAATTAAATTGGGAGCATAATTTTGCCATGTTTGGATAAGTGTGTTTGTGAGCATGTGTCAAATGTGTGGTCTCTGCATTTGTGTGGGTGGATGATATGTGTGTAGTGTAGACTGTGTGTGCATGTCTTTTTGTGTGTGCATGTGTATTTGTGTTTGTGTATGTTCATGCATGTGGGTATATATGTGTGTGGTCTTTTCTGTCTGACTCATAATTCAATTCATTTATATCTTTTTCCCATCTTGTGAATAATTACTTTGTTCTTTTGTAATTTTTTTCACTCTATCTAGGGCACTAACTTTCCTCTTCCCTTCCCCCCCGTAATTTTTAATCTTTTAAAATTTGCTGCTCATTACCAATTAAGCTATAAGATAGTGAAAAGAAGGAAAACTTCAAACCAATTCACACAGTATCTTCTGTGCGCATAAGTGCACAAAAAATAATGATAAAATGAGAAATTGTATCATTTTGACTTTCCTATAGATCTCAACAAATAGTGGGAGCACATTTTGGTCAGATTTCATTAAGAATTTGTGAAGTGATTATGATGGGTTTCAAGATAATATAATAAATATTCAAAATCATCCTTGACTTTTTTTTTCCTCAAGATTTTTTTATTTTCCTCTTTATCATCTTGCCTGCAGTGACTGCTAACTGTTGTTACTGGGATAGATTATTTTTCAGTAGAGAGGAAGAAAATGAGAATATCAGCTTTATTTGATATTCAAATGTATGGCCAGATTTGAGATAAGCAGACAAGAAAGCATCCTCTGATATGCATGGCACCTTTGTGCCCCTCTCCTCCCCTCCCCTCCACTCCTCTCTTTTGGGACAGAGTCTCGCTCAGTCGCCCAGGCTGGAATGCAGTGGCACACTAAAGGCTCACTGCAGCCTATATCCTTCACCTCCCGGACTCAAGCGACCCTCCCACTTCAGCTTCCCTAGTATCTGGGACTACAGGTGTGTGCTATAATGCCGGCTATTTTTGTTGTTGTTTGTTTTTATTTTTGTGAAGACGGGTTTTCACCATGTTGCCCAGGCTGATCTCAAACTCCTGGGCTGAAGCGATTCACCCACCTCAGCCTCCCAAAGTGCTGGGATCACAGGCACAAGCCACTACGCTGGCCTCCCTTAAGTTTCTAATTGGAATGTGTGAAGAATGGTAGAGTGGCAGCGTGCAAACCCTTAGAGCCCTAGAAATGAGAAGGAAAGGTTTCCTTTTCTTTCTTTCTTTCTTTCTTTCTTTCTTTCTTTCTTTCTTTCTTTCTTTCTTTCTTTCTTTCTTTCTTTCTCTCTATTTTTTTGTCTAAAGAGTGGGGCTGAGGGAATAAGAGAAACTAAACTAATGCTACAGAGTACTGGAGCAGGAGAGAGAAGAGTAGATGGGGTGTGTTGTGTGTGTATGTGTGTGTGTGTGTGTTTGGGGTGCAGAATAGTTAGTTGTTATTGGAAGTGCTGGTGTAAATTAGCATAATCTGTTTCATAGACCAAAAAGAAAAATCATACCCCCCAACACACACACATTTATGGTGGGGTTTACTTTATTCAGGAATATCTTAATATGGTAATATGTAGGTGGTAGGTAAAATCCCTTAGTCTTCTCATTTCACATATTATATTATAAAAACATATAAAAGAGTTTGTTTATAAAATTCATTAGCTAAGGAGTAAGCAAAAGTTTTATCTTCACATATATAAAAGTGGAAATATTTTAGTAATAAGAAAAATAGACTTTGAAATTAGTGGAAAGAGAAACATTTAGAAACTGATTTCTAGTCTTCTACAAAACTATCTACCCCATCTCCACTGTGAATTATTCCTCTGAAATATTCATATTCTCAAAATAAATTTCTTTGCTGAAAGTAAACAATAGATATTATGTGAAATACTATGTGATAAGTGAAATCATTACACTCTTATTCACATCTTGGGCCAGGCTTTCTTCTTTCCTTCCTTCCTTACTCCCTCTTTCCTTTCTCCTTCAGTCTTTTCTTCCCTGTCTCTCTCATTCCTACATTCCCTGTCTTCTTCACTCCCTTTCTTCATTCCTCATTTCTTTAAACATTCTCTGAGTGTAGCACACAGCACTAACAGAAGGTCTGGTACTGTTGCATGGCTGAATAGATTCATCTACTTGTGCACTAAGCTTTATGCTCCAAGTGATGGACTGTTCTCCGGAATGGTAGGGATAAGGAGGGGGCTCATTTTGCTCATGTCCAGTAGAGAAGATGGATACTGAAGCAGAGGCATGTCCTAGGTGCTTTGAGAATACAGAAGAGAGGGAGAAACCAATCTCGCCTAGGAGGAGTTAGGTCAGGAAAAGTGAGGTCAGACTCCTGGGTCAAAGCTCTGATATTTGAAAGAAATGATACTTTTTGGAAGGGTGAGTGGGTTTGCTTTGGTGTTCCCAAGGGGGATAGAGGAGGGTAGTGTACCTGTTACTGTATTTGTTTTATTATTTTTCCCTATTGAATCCAACAACTTTTTTACTTATTTTCTTTACCCAATTCCCATTTCAGAGCCCTAAATTATTTCAGAGAATTTGATGCCATTGGGTTTTGGAAATACTGGTGATAAGGCAGAAATGTACTTATTACCCATTATAATATTATCTTATTTGTAATTCTATAAGGTTCTCCTTCCCCCTCCTCCACTTATGTGTAAATGAACATTATGCTTTGGTTTACAAGCAGACATAGGGACAGACTGCACAGTGGAATGTCTTTGAAAGGCAGAGATGCCACGGGCTGGGATCCTGGGAGGAGAGAGCAGGAAATAGCAGCTATGTAAGTATTTCCTACATAGTTTTCAGGGGCAGAGCAGCTGGGTCTCAAAAACATTATTATGCTTTTGCTACAGGCAACTATTTTCTGGGTAAACATAATCCCACAAACTCTTCAAGGGCATCAACAGACAAGTTCTCCAGCTGCCTTCTCCCCTGATAAAATAGAAGCATAAACTAGTAATGGTAGAAAAGAAGACATTTTTGCAAATGATGCTAACTTAACAAAGGGTCATATTTCAGCACAAGGAAATTCATACCCCATTTCTGATCTAAAGCCTCAAGATGGTCTCACAAAGATTAAGGTGAAATGCAAAATATAGTTATCAGTTTTGTGAGGTTAAAGGAGGTGGCATATGTGAAACTGCTATGTAAACCGTGACGTGCTCTGCAAACCCAAATGATATTACCATCATTTTTAATAAGTAGAAGTCAACCACAATTAGAAAGATAGAAGTAATCATTCTTGTCTTGGACAAGTCACTTAACTTCTCAGAGTCTTTGTTTCTTTATCTGTAAATGGTTTAATGATACCTACCTTACAGAGTTGTCAATATTATAGATAGCATGAAAGTTGCTAAGCACAGATCTTGGCAGATGGTAGGCATTCGATAAATGGTAGTTATTTTTATTATGATTATAAAAGAACATTTCTAACCATTCATCATTTTAGGAAAATCTCACAGAAGTGATTCTTTTAAATTGTACTAACAAAATAAGTACTTCCAATCCAAGCCATCTCACATTCCGTGTGTTCAAAAATATCAGAAAACACCTGTGACTTTATATTTCAAGTTTCAGTCACCATGGGGAATTTTTAAGAATGAAGTTTAAACTTTTAAAGAATAAGAAGTGCATTGGAATGTCTGAAAGAATAAAAGAAGCAGGAGAACAAAAAAGAATAACAGAGAAAACACAACCCTTTTATGGCAACAGCCTAGGACAAGTGGATGATTTTCAGAATGATAATAAGCACTCACCACCCCATGGCTCAGGGCTGCTCTAACTTCATGCACAGTGGGGAACCTTCTAGGCTTTTCAATATCAAATTGTACATGCAAGTTATTTGTAACAGAACATTGAAAAGTCAATGAAGGCAAACCTGGTAGGCAGCTACTGTCAGAAAACATCTGAATCAATAGGACACTCTCAGAATTGTCTTTCCCAAGCAAAACACAAAACTGTATTAACCAAAAGCATGACAGCACTGTGAAATTTCCTCACTGCAATAACTTAAAGCTACATAGACCTAGGGAAGCTGGCTTTAGTGCCTCACCCAACAGGTCAGAAAATAACAACAAAATGTCATTATGGATCATGTTATTGAGCAGCCTTGAGGGAGATGATAACTCTGATCAAAATGCAAAGTCATACACTTAAAATCTTTAATCATGCCTATAATGCAAGAACATTAAAATAAGCTAGCATAAGCTCATAAAAGGATTCTTTTTTAAAAAAATTATCTTTTTCTTCTCCTTCGCTTGTTCTATTACTAAGGCTTCTACAGAATGGTAGATTAAGCAGAAAAAAGTAGCAAGAATGAAAACATAAAAACATTTGTTTTCCACTGCTAAGAGATAAACTTCAAACACTTTAATTTAACCTTCATGATCTCATTACAGCTTCAACTTTAACCAATCATCCCATGTGCTTAACTAAATTCTTTACTAATTAAAATGGAAAACCAGCATGGAAGGAAGTCATGTAAGGCCAAGATGGAATGCCCTTTCCTTTGCAAAGCTTTTCAGGCACTGTTAAGCTATGTCTACCTGCTGGCATCCAAAGAACTTCTAATCTTCATACTATTATATTTTAATTAGTTAAAAATGCCCATCCATTCCAGTATAATATAAATTTTTCCAGGGTGGAGACTGTCCCATTCATTTTTGTGGCCCAGCACCATTCACAACATGTAGGGGAAGTGTGAGGTGACAGAGCAGCAGCCTTGTATCTAGAAGTCCTGTTCTCAAATGCCAACTCTGCCAGTTATTAACTGAGAAAGTCACTTAACCTTTCTGATCCTCTCCTTCCTCATTTGTAAAATGGTGATGATGTCTACTTTTCAGTGTGAGGATTAGAGGATAATGCTGTGTATTATAGGATATATAATATGTGTATATGAGCGTGTCTCTGGCATTGATAAATGCCAGCTAAAAAATTATTGGTTAGCACATAAGGAAAACTGCTGAAAATACTAAAAACTGTATAGATTATTTCCTTCTTATTGACTTAAGGTTCAGACACCAATTCTTGAACAAGAATATTCCATAATACGCTGATTAGAAGTTAAATGGTAGTAGTAGAAAACTTGATGGCTATAAATTTGCATTCTTATTTAGAATCAATGCTCCCTTCCCTATT
This sequence comes from Homo sapiens, assembly GCF_000001405.40. Lineage (NCBI taxonomy): Eukaryota > Metazoa > Chordata > Mammalia > Primates > Hominidae > Homo > Homo sapiens. The sequence goes on along the minus strand of NC_000012.12, from coordinate 79,061,075 downwards.
ATTCTATTTAATTTTAGAGAAATGGCAATTTTTAAATACCCTAACTTCACGAATCTTCTGAAGAACAGTCAATGTATCAAAACAGATAATCAAATGAAGACAGGCTAATTCCAGCCTGAGTAGTTAAAATGTGGCATATTTATAACTCATAAATCCTAAATTATCTTAAGCCCATCTATTTTTTTTTGCTGATTGCCTAAACTGAACTAGTTTTCCATGATTAATTTTAGGGCTTATGATATAAAAAGAGAGATGTTCTAAAAATCATGAACTCATTGCATTTCTATATTTGCATCTTATCTTTCCATCAAAGAATTGGCAAAAAGATTTCATTTTGGACAACTCCATTACTCAATAAATCATCAGATAAATGGATAAACAAAATGTGATATATACATACAATGGAATATTATTCAGCCTTAGGAAGAAAATTTTGACACATGCTACAATAAGGATAAACCTTGACAATATACAAAATAACCTAGTTACAAAAGGAAAAATACTGTTTAATTCCACTTATATGACGTAGTTAGAATAGTCAGTTTCATCAAGACTGAAGGTAAAATAGTGATGGCCAGGGGCTGCAGGGAGGGGGAATGGGGAGTTGCTGTTTAATATGTACGGAGTTTCACTTTGGGAAGATGAAAAAATTCTGAGGGTGGCTGATGCTGATGATCAAACAACAGTGTGAATGTACTTAATACCACTGAGCTGTATACTTTCAAATGGTTAAAATGGTAAATTTGATGTTATATATATTTTACCACAATTAAAAAAATGGCTAAAGATACAGCTCTTGAAAATAAAAGCTTTTTGTTACAGGGACGTAGGTTTTGTTTGGGGACGTGGATAACTTTTCTGAAAAAAAGTAAGGGAACAGAGAACTTTTAGTAAAGTTACTGCTATGATAGAGCTGGATAAACAAGTTGTCACTTTGGTTCAACCAGCATTGAGCACCTTCGCTGTGTCAGGTTCTGAGATAGGAGGATGCTCTGCCTACCACACTTGTGGAGCTCACTCTCTTATGCAAAGAGAAATTCATCAGATATTATTTCAGTGTAAGCCCATGAAACAGTTTGCATAATGTCTAGGAGCACAGGTTTTAGCATTACACAGACTTTAGTCTGCATCTGGCTCAAAATATATAAGCTAGTTATTTTGAGCAAGTTGGTTTGCCTTTCAGAATCTGTCTCCTCATTTATGAAATATAGATATGAAAATGCACTTCACAGGAATGAAATGACATGGGAAGCATGCAGCAGGGAGTAAGTGTTCAGTTACCAACATCCACTGTTTCCATAAGCCCTGAGGCAGAGGGATGGGCTATCTGGGGCTGTCTAACAGTAGCCTGGTATAACTGGTTACAAAGGTCTGGCCTGGCCTTACCAAGCCACTTTCATAATTGTTGATGCCAGCCCACAACAAGTACAGCATTTGTTTGATCATTGTGCATGGAGTTATTACTGAAAACATTTTAGTTATATTTATATCCAGAGTTATGATAAAAAAATTGAAAATTGAAAACTTGATTATTTTCTTGTTTTGGGTGGCCAGGTATAAGGAATGTTATAACTAACACAAATAACGATTTCTTTCATATAGAGGTAACTCTTAAAATTTACTTTATGAGTGGATGGTTTTACATTTGAGGTATTGAAAAGAATTAAAATTAAAATATAGGTAAACAATATTATATAATCATGTATTTTACATTTACTTTTACATTTTAGAAAAAATGAAGCAGTTATCTCTAGCTTATTACATCTTGATATGGTTTGGTTGTGTCCCCACCCAAATTTCATCTTGAATTGTAGCTCCCATAATTCCCACCTGTTGTGGGAGAGACCCAATGGGAGGTCATTGAATTATGGGGGCGTCTTTCCCATGCTGTTCTCGTGACAGTGAATAAGTCTCATGAGATCTGATGGTTTTATAAAAAGGAGTTCCTCTGCACGTGCTCCCTTGCCTGCTGCCATGTAAGATGTGCCTTTGACCCCCATTCACCTTCTGGCATGATTGTGAGGCCTCCCCAGCTATGTGGAACTGTGAGTCAATTAAACCTCTTTCCTTTATAAATTACCCAGTCTTGGGTATGTCTTTATTAGCAGTGTGAGAACAGACTAATACATACCTCATTAACAAATCTTCTATCACAAGCTTTGCAAGACCCACTGGGAAAATGTGTATGTATTAAAATAAAGAAACTATAGGCTCCTAAGTATAGTATTGAAGAAAATGTATCACTTCAAGAGCAGTGCAGGGGATGCTGCATTTAAGGCTGAATTCCCACCTATCCCAGTTCCTGTCTCCAAATATCTTCACCCATACTATCTATACATGTATCACTCCAGGACCCCACACTGCCAGAAATTCCTTAAGTTATTTGTTTATTTAAATTAACAATTGTGGTGTGGGGGTCGGGAAGTGAGAAGCAGAGGGGATGCAAGATGCAGGGCTGGTGTGGACACTTTGGCCCAATTATTTTTTCTTAGACATTTCCCCATACCAGCTGTACTGAGTCATTTTGATCAAGAGATAAGTTGGGTTAGAAAATTGGAAACCAAAACCACTTTAAAGAAAAGGCAGCTAGAGAATATCAGTTGGGAAACAGCATTACCTCAGGAAGAAAACAAAGGTGACAAAGAGAGAGAAGGCTGTGTGAAAAGCTGGCTTTAGTTATTTTTCACATATTGGGCAGGGTCAACTGAGTATCAGGAAAAATGGAGAAACATGTTTTTCCTTGTGTCCCTCTCACTCACACAGTCACCATAACCAATGCTAAAAATATTGTCATTTAGCATAAGCTGTGGGTTTTCACAGGTTTTTTTGTGTGGCCACTGTCGATAAATATCCATCTTATAAAATGGAAAGAAAACATCTTAAAAGGAATTTTGTTATATAACTCATTCATAAGTTGGGGACTGCTTGTATTGCTTCCATTCTTTTAGCTGTCTCATTTAATGACAAATCTGGCTTTGCCTTTCAAAAAAACACACTAATAATTGTTCACTTCTTAAAATGGGAACAATGGATATATCCATAAATATACAATTGTCCAAACCCATTTCTTTCTGGAATTATGTTACTAGGCATAATTCAAATAATTATTTTGTTGCATTCTGTAATAAAATGGTATTTATTATAAAGGTTGTGACATATGTAATGCTCATGAGCTTGTCCAACCTGCCTTATTTTGTTGTTGTTGTTTTTATTTTGTTTTGTTTCAGGCTTTTAGCAGCCTGAAGCCATAATTTTTGGTTTCTGTGTCTAATTGTAAGCAGGAAGGAGGGATGAGGAAGGGGTTTTACTGGCCCAACCAGAAACAGAAACTAAGAACCCATGACTGTACTCTCTCCCTTGGACACCCCTGCATGGTGAGTCTAAGACATAGAGGGTATTAAAAACATTTTTACCTTGTGCAAAATTAGAAAAAAAATTTTAAAGTACAAAAGAGAAAGAACATCTAAGACTAACCTTCACAGCTCAAATAGTAAATGCCTAAAAAAAATATATTACTTCCTAGGAGATGTTATAGCAAATTGTGTCAATGCCACATGCAAATATAAAATGGATAAGCAAAAATCCTGAGCAACTTGCAAAACTACTGCTAAGAATTATTTCTTATAATATATTTCAGACTATTGAAAAATTGTATAATATCATTTGGGGGGGGTCATATGAGTTAGAAACCAATGTATTTTGAGCTTTTGTTTAGAGACATTTTCCTTAGTCTGAAACATTTTGTACAAATTCATGAACATAGGCTTTGCCAGGATTCCTTTGAAAATGGAAAACAAAAACAATCACAGGATTAAGCAATTCATATTAACCATAAGAACAGAGGATATAGATTGCTCAAATGTACAATGGAGCATATGCTGAACCAGATTTTTCATCTTTCAGAATAGAAAAGAAATAAAATTGTCAGTATTTGTAATGATTCAATTCCAAGGAAAGGAGGAAAATGCTAAGATACTTATTATGAATTACTTTCTGCTGAAACAGGAATAGTTATTACTAAGACTGGGATATACTCATCTTTAGAGGCATAACAAGATTTTACATTGAAAGGAGAAGTGGTGTTAGGATTGATAGCCCATGTCAGACTGTAAAGGGATTTTTATGGTGTTTGCAAAAGAATGACTCAAACAACAAAACCACTTAAAATGGTGAATATGAAAATTTTCATTTGAAGATAATTAATTGAGGTTTTAAAATGAGGAGAAACAGTATTCTGTATCATGAGGGAAAAATGCAGCAAAATAAGCAACTTTGTCAACTGAGATTTCTTTGGTAAAAGAATAATGCTGTGATTTCAATTTCAGACATCACATACAAAATTTTATTATTTTTTAAAATGAGAGTTGCCATGTAATGGCATCATACTGCCCTTAACTTTAAAATGGTGCATGTAATAACAATGTGTGGGATGTAATTTATTTCTGGACATCTGTTCAGTCTAGAGTTTGGTTAGGTCTATTTTCTCTGGAGGAAGTGGTCCCCTTTGTTATTACAAAGAAAATAATTTCATGATAAGATAGAAAGCATTTTTGCTACCCTTCACATCGTGATGCATACTGATTCAGCCTACTTCTAGGGCCACGAAGACTGTCAAAATGTCTCAAGCTTTACTCTCCACCTTTCTGGAAGTGAGTCATGCTATTGAGATTGTCTAATTTCTGTGTTTGCTTTAAGAAGGAAGAGGCCTTCAAGGAGAGGGCTCCTGATGGACTCCTCCCAAAGCAAGCCTGCATCCTACTCTATCAAATCGAAATTTCATCTTGTGTTAAAGATTTCCAACCAGACTTTTCTCCTTTTCTTTCTTCCCTCACACTTTCCCTTCCTCTTTATTCCATCTAGACTTCTATATACAGTTATGAATCACTCAACAACAGGGGTACATCCTGAGAAATGCATCATTAGGCAATTTTGTTGTTGCTGAACAGCATAGCATGTACTTATACTAACCTAGATGGTACAGTCTACCTCACACCTAGGCTGTATGGTTTAGCCTTTTGTTCTTGGGCTACAAACCTGTACATGTCACTGTACTGAATACTGTAGGCAATTATAACACATTGGTAAGTATCTGTGCATCTTAACAGAAAAGGTACAGTAAAAATCTGATATTATAATCTTAAGGTGTCACTGCTATATATGCAGTCCATCATTGACTGAAATTTGTTAGGTGGTACATGACTATGTTTTATAATTTAAAAGATGTCAATTTATAATAAATAAATAAATTTGAAAGAAAAGAATGCCCCTTTGATATTACTAAGATGTTTTAAATAACAAATATAACAACAATAATTTTTACTTATGTTACTATATTAATTTCTGTAATAAGCAGTTAATAAACATGTCATTATTCTCATATGAAACGTATAAAATAGGATTCATTTTCATTTTTATAGAAGAGGACATTGAGGCAGCTTATTTTGTTTTCCTGCTGACACACAGGTAGTAAGTGGCAGAAATAGCACTTGAATACAGTTTTTTATCCAGTGCAAACATTCTTAATTACAAAGGAGAATAATGCAACCCAAGGCAAAACCCTGGTGTAGCCAAGTAAATAAATCATAATGTTATAGCAGATCAAAACTAATAATTCATATAGCTAAATCATTTGATTTAAAGTCTTATTAACTTTGGACTTTACATGATTTCTTTAAAACTGTAAATGCTGGTTAAATAATTTCCACTTTATCTCTTTTGACTAGACAACTTACATATCAGAGTCATGAAAGATAATGTTTTTCAGAATAAAATAAAGACTAATATCAATGAGAGCTTACAAATCAAAGATTAATAAGAAGTTTTAGAAACAATGAACTGAATTCTATCAACTAATTATAATAGCTAACTTGAATACAGTAACTACAATCAACAAGACACTTATATAAACAAAGACATTGCCTATATTTGACTCATTTGAATATCACAATTACTCAATGGAGAAATCAAAACTCACAGAGGTCTAAAAAATTGTCCTACATCCCATAGTTAATAAGTGGTGGAGCTGGCATTTGAATATAGAGAATTTTCAAAGCCAGTACTATGCTATAATAAGATTATAAAAGACTCCTTTGTTAGTGTATCAAAAAATACTGTAAATCATGAAATATGGTTTAGATTTATCATGAATAATAATGATTGTGGGAAACCCATTTTACTCAATTTCCAGGGAAAGTGACAAAACACTGAATCATTTGACAAATAAAAACATAATTTAATCTGATCATGGTTAAACAGACGAGTAGCTTGAAAAGAAAATCTATGACTTATAGTCAATATAACTTTTATTCTCCTTATGAAGCAAACTTTTCTATATTTGTAATTACTAAAAATATAAACTACTTGATGACAGAGACTATACTTTATTTATTCCTATATCTAAAACACCTGGAACTATGTATACAGTGGGTAATCAATAGCAGCTGTTGAATAAAGAATGAAGGATAAAGGAATGAATTTCCAAAGTTGTACCAAAGTTTTTAAAGAAAATAAGTCCAGATAATGTAGCATGTATAAAAATCTAAGTATATATGGTGAATGTCCACTGTATTGTTATTTACAAACAAAATAAATATTGTTTTTCTCCTTTAGGTGAATGTTTATACTTATGGCTATAATCCATTTTGATTTGGGTTCTACTTTTCCTATCAAAAGATTGCTGTCTTTAATAATTAAATTCTCCTACCATGGTTTATTTTTAGCATCTGAAGGACAAATATGCATGATGCAATCTAATATTTATTGATGATAAGTAGAAAAGAAAAGTAACGTGTGCACATTAAGTATTTTGCATAGACATTCATATAGGAAGGTGAAATATGCCTTACTTTCACTAGTTGTCCCCGTTTAGTTGAGTCCTAACTTGAAAAGGAGAAATCAGACAGACCTGAGTTTAAATGGCAACTCTGCTGCATACTAAGTAAGCTAACCTTATAAACCTTTCAATCCACATTTTCATCATCTGCAAAACCACTATAACATCAGAAGAATTCTTTGAATAATTAAATGAAATTTAGTTCAATGCCTACTAAACAGCTGACACAAAACAAGAGCCCAATAAATGCTTCCTTTCCTTTCCCAACTCCCTTCCTTCTATATATGAACTCTCTTAGGCTTATGTGTGGGAACACAGATCAGGATTAAAGATAAATTATAAATTCAAGAAAAAGAGAATTTTTTTTCTGGATGATCATTATTGCCTAAAGCAAAAATCAACCAACAACTTTGGTTGTTTCAGAAACATGCCTTCATAAAATGATGCATGGTACTCCAAAAACAATTAAGGCAAATGTTCACAAAAACAACTTATTTTTACAATAATATAGTCTAAGTTTTATGTAATAATACTTATTGTTTGTTTAAAAATAAGTGTTGTTTATTTATATATAAATTTTAATTATTTTTAATTAAAAATCAATATATTTTATTGGTGATATATATTTTAAATAATTGTCAATATTATAAAATAATTTTAATTAAAGTTAATATGCATTATTTTATACATAAGAATTTATATAATATATATAAGAATTTTTTTAAATTTTATTATTATTGTACTTTAAGTTTTGGGGTGCGTGTGCACAATGTGCAGGTTTGTTACATATGTATACATGTGCCGTGTTGGTGTGCTGCACCCATTAACTCGTCATTTAGCATTAGGTATATCTCCTAACGCTATCCCTCCCTGCTCCCCCCACCCCACAACAGTCCTCGGTGTGTGATGTTCACCCTCCTGTGTCCATGTGTTCTCATTGTTCAATTCCCACCTATGAGTGAGAACATGCGGTATTTGGTTTTTTATCCTTGCGATAGTTTGCTGAGAATGATGGTTTCCAGCTTCATCTATGTCCCTACAAAGGACATGAACTCATCATTTTTTATGGCTGCATAGTATTCCATGGTGTATGTGTGCCACATTTTCTTAATCCAGTCTATCATTGTTGGACATTTGGGTTGGTTCCAAGTCTTTGCTATTGTGAATAGTGCCGCAATAAACATACATGTGCACATGTCTTTATAGCAGCATGATTTATAATCCTTTGGGTGTATACCCAGTAATGGTGTTGCTGGGTCAAATGGTATTTCTAGTTCTAGATCCCTGAGGAATCACCACACTGACTTCCATAAGGGTTGAACTAGTTTACAGTCCCACCAACAGTGTAGAAGTGTTCCTATTTCTCCACATCCTCTCCAGCACCTGTTGTTTCCTGACTTTTTAATGATTGCCATTCTAACTGGTGTGAGATGGTATCTCATTGTGGTTTTGATTTGCATTTCTCTGATGGCCAGTGATGATGAGCATTTTTTCATGTGTCTGTTGGCTGCATAAATGTCTTCTTTTGAGAAGCGTCTGTTCATATCCTTCACCCACTTTTTGATGGGGTTGTTTGTTTTTTTCTTGTAAATTTGTTTGAGTTCATTGTAGATTCTGGATATTAGCCCTTTGTCAGATGAGTAGATTGCAAAAATTTTCTCCCATTCTGTAGGCTGCCTATTCACTCTGATGGTAGTTTCTTTTGCTGTGCAGAAGCTCTTTAGTTTAATTAGATCCCATTTATCAATTTTGGCTTTTGTTGCCATTGCTTTTGGTGTTTTAGACATGAAGTCCTTGCCCATGCATATGTCCTGAATGGTATCGTCTAGGTTTTCTTCTAGGGTTTTTATGGTTTTAGGTCTAACATGTAAGTCTTTAATCCATCTTGAATTAATTTTTGTATAAGGTGTAAGGAAGGGATCCCATTTCAGCTTTCTACATATGGCTAGCCAGTTTTCCCAGCACCATTTATTAAATAGGGAATCCAACTTACAAGGGATGTGAAGGACCCCTTCAAGGAGAACTACAAACCACTGCTCAATGAAATAAAAGAGGATACAAACAAATGGAAGAGCATTCCATGCTCGTGGGTAGGAAGAATCAATATTGTGAAAATGGCCATACTGCCCAAGGTAATTTATAGATTCAATGCCATCCCCATCAAGCTACCAATGACTTTCTTCACAGAATTGGAAAAAACTATTTTAAAGTTCATATGGAACCAAAAAAGAGCCTGCATTGCCAAGTCAATCCTAAGCCAAAAGAACAAAGCTGGAGGCATCACGCTACCTGACTTCAAACTATACTACAAGGCTACAGTAACTGAAACAGCAGGGTACTGGTACCAAAACAAAGATATAGACCAATGGAACAGAACAGAGCCCTCAGAAATAATGCCGCATATCTACAGCTATCTGATCTTTGACAAACCTGACAAAAACAAGCAATGGGGAAAGGATAATATATATAAGAATTTTAAATTAAATATCACTATAGAGATCTTCATATACTTAATCCAATCTCAGAGAATCTTGGGAAGTATGCTGGGTAGACATTTTTCATTACCCAGATGAGAAAAGGGAGACTCATTGAGATAACTGCTTAAGTGTTGCTGATGGCAGATTGCTTTTATGTATTATTATTACATATTATTATTATCTAGTTGTTTTTTCACTGTGTAATCTTGAATGTCCTCACATTTTCCTATGGATTCGCTGCACATGAAAACTTAATGTGCATATGTTATTTTTCTTTACTACTTATCATTAATAAATATTAGGTGGAGATGGATTAAGCCAAGACTCAGATTACCTCTCTCTTTATACATATATAGTAGAGATATATATAAATATAAATAAATAAATACCTATATAAATGAGCTCTCTTTATACATACATAGTGGAGATACATATATATGTATATATATATTTATTTATAAAGGTTATACTGTGGAGATATATAACTTTTATAAACATCATTCTAATAAACTATATCAAAATACAATTTTAAACTACTAGAGATTAGACAAACAATAATTTACATAAATTTTCACTAGTGTTTTGGTTGAAAAAAGATTAAATTTGGAGAAGAGTTTTTTTTTAACAGTTCCGACACATGCATTTTTTAATAACAGCACTTTCAGTTAATATGGCAGATAGAAAAAAATGGTGGGTGGTTAATTAGCACAGATTTTTTTTTCAATTCTATCACTAGATATAAGAGCTTAGGCAAATGACTTGACCTATCAGGCCATATATAAATGATAATATTAGAGGAGGTAACCTCTATAAAATGAAAATATTAGAATAGGTGACCTCTAAATTTTCTCCTAGCTTTATGCCACTATTACACACACTCACAGGCTTATGCTTTTTTATTGCAGGACTTTATTACTTCTAATAGGGAAATATTGACTAAGTAAAACTTGTCAGGAGCATTTGCAGGTAACATTTGGGATATTTGCAAATAATATTTATTCTCTAATGAGCCACAAGATGTTTTATTGGTTAAAATCTGCCTTCCATTAGAATCACTCTTACTAAAAACTTCTTGCTATATTTGTTTTTTCAGGAAAGCAGTGTTGTTAATAGTTGTCACACTTTGAGTGAGTGTATCAACTCCCAGTTTTATTAAAGAGGCTTAGGAAATCTAGGATAATATGAAGAGTTTCTAACACGGATGTCTGAGCATCTGAATGATTTTTTAAACACACCCTCTTTATTATTAGTATCCAGTGTGATCAGAGTTTACAAGGAGGAGACTATGAAGTTCTTGAAAGTATTACTGAGCTTCAGCAATCAAAAGAAAGATGACTATAGTTGACACTTGAACAACACGGGTTTGAACTATGCAGGTCCACTTATTCACAGGTTTTCTTCTGCCTCTGCCACTGCTGAGACAGTAAAACCAACCAACCCCTCCTCTTCCTTCTCCTCCTCAGCCTAGTTAATGTGAAGATGAGGATGGAGACCTTTATGATGATCCACTTCCACTTAATGAATAGTAAATACATTTTCTCTTCCTTACAATTTTCTTAGTAATATTTTCTTCACTTTTCCTACTTTATTGTTAAGAAGAGTATATAATACACATAACATGAAAAATAAGAATTAATCAACTATTTATGTTATTGATAACATCCAGTCAACAGTAGGCTATTAGTAGTTAAGTTTTGGAGGAGTTAAAAGTTAACCATGGAATTTTAGGACTGTGTGGGAGTTGGTGATCAAGAGTCAACTGTATTTTAGAATACACTTTCCAGTGGTCTTTTATTTTTCTATTCTTATAAGAAAGCATCTTATATTTTTATCTTTTATATTTCTTAAGCACAAAAACCTTTTGTAAGCAATAAATGCAATGTGCTCTAAGCGTCTTTAGCAATATTATAGTAATATTTTAATCAATTATCAACTTGTTCTTAAGCTATGGATTTAAAAGCAAAATTGTAAGAGGTTTGTAGAGCTTTCCTGTGCTAAAAAGCTTTCATTTATAAAGTTTTGATTCCAATACAATTCATAAAACTCATTCATGGGCTAGAAACACATGCACAATCTATAGATAAAATGTCACTGTATTATCTATTATATTCATCTGATATCATGTTTTATTCCATGTATTGTCTAACACTAACTCACGAGCCTTTAGTGGCTAAGATATTTTAAGAACTCTTATGTTTTGACAATGTCATTTAAGTCAGAGTATTCCTCTTCACAATATCTGATAAAATTTTTAAAGGATAAATTATACTTTTTATTACAGTATAATAAGAAGAGTCTTTTTTTGCATGTAATTTATGAGTGATTTAGCATATAATTATTAAATAATAGGTAATTAAAATCTGAGATTAAAACCTGCTCCAAACCACATAAAAATGCATGAAAAGAGGCATAATTTCTTCTTTGGAAACATGTATGTTATTTTTTTCTAAGATTACTGCAAATGAACAGGAGATCTCATTACTTGAATGAGATGTCTCCGAGGTATGCTAGGCTAAATCCTATTTCAATACAATTATGAAAATTACAGTTCCAGTCAAATAACTTATATAGGTCACACCTGAACAATAGATCAAATAACTTATACATAAATCAGCGCAGAAAAGGAGTCATTGATGGCTTTTCACATGAAATTATACTCAGAGGGCCGAGAAATTGTGAGGGAGTGAAGTAGATATCACTTGGTTCTTGCATAAAGAGCTTATGTCAGTCCTGTCAGTTTAAAAAATTCAACCATTTTCCAATGAGTATTGTACAGAATTGAAATTATGTTTAGAAACAGAATTATATATATAAAAACAAAACTTTAAGACAGTCTAGTCTTTTAGATGTTGAAAAAGGTTTGTTTTGGCTGAATGATTTCATTGTCTATGTTAGGGTATTAAGATGATAAAAAATTTCTATGTCAAAAAGAAATTTCTCACTTATTTCATATCTTGTAACTCACGCAGATTTGCAGGTTTCAAAAATTGTTATATATGACAGAAAAATCTGATTCTTAAATTATCCCTGTACCCAGAACTATGTAAACATGCCCGTAACCTGCTCTGAATACTCAAAATAGACTTTCATACATTTAGAGTTAATTTTTTAAATCAAAGAGTAGTTTTTAAAAGTGTAAACATTTTGAATTATAAATTTTATAGATTTCTGTTTAAAATATATGGCCGTTCATAACTACAACAAAAAGTAAGTGGCAGAGTGCTTTGTGTGAAGTTGTAACATACATAACCTTCAGACAGGCAGGTAAAAGAAATGTGTTTTCTCTGCCTTTCTCACACCTCAAAAATAAATAAAATATATTTCAGATAAACTTCATTTATATCATCGTGATGATGATTAATTATACCCAATCATTCAAAGTTAAGATGTAATTTATGCATCAAAGTTCTTTGGGGCTAAAAAATGTTATTATGCAGGAATAATTTGTATATATCCTATAAAATTATTTAGAAATTTCTACTTTTTATATATCAAACTTACATTTTTTTCCATTGAACTTGACTCTAGTTTGATATGTACTAAGATATAGATGTTTCATTTTGTTAATTTATTATACTATGTTTTACTCTAATATTTGTTTGAAACTTTTGAAACATTGAGTTTGAAATGCAATTTCAAATGCAGTTTCAAAAATATTAAATGTGATACAACGTGGGTCATCAACATGGGTTTTGCTTTTCTATCTTTATGTTATTGTTCTTCATATTCACATATTCAAAATTTATAATTGCCTGCATCTTGAAAATTTTATATTGTCACCAATTTTACCATAAAGATTGACATCAACATGTACTTTGCTTAGTGAGAACATATTTAGGAAAACTATATTATCATCAAACAATAGCAAGGAAATACATTTCTAGGAAATACACTTTTAGTTAAGTTGTGAGATTAGAAACAAATGTACTAATGAGAATATGGTGTAGATTTTAAGCCTGCAGATAGCTGCCATTTTTTAATAATCCCAATTTAGTGATTATAAATAAACCAAGCACATCAATAGTATTTAAAATTTTGTTCAAAATAAGTAAAAACTTTTTATCACATATGGAGAAAATGAGGCACTTTGATTACATCTAGCTTATTACTGTTTTCTTCTTTAGAATTTAAGATGATACTATGCTAGTCAAAAGATATGATGGAGTCATCATAAACGTTTTCTGCCCCATAAATGTATCACAACGAGTACTTTGCCCTCTTATGTAAGAGGATTATAGGACAAATGATTTTCAGTTTACTCCAGTAAATTGAAAGAGAAGGCTCAACTTGCTTCCTCTACTAATTTATTATCTTAGAAAATAGAAGTTAGTATTTCTATAAAAGACATTTGTAAGCTCTAATTTTACAGATTTATTATCATCATTGTGTCATTAAAGTACTTACTGTTCTATTAGGAATTCTGGAGTATGTTTTTCTTTGTTTTCTTTCTTTCAGAATTATTCTGTTTTTCTAAAAGGAAAACAATATATACAGAGGTTACTTGACTACACATAGTTCAGAATCATTTTTGTCATAAATATGTTAATTTTATTATTTAATATTTCTACTTAAAATTTTACTATATATTCCAATAAAAATAATGTCATATATATCCATATTTAGTATATATAATACAGATAGTTTGGATTTTAAAGTTGTTTGATGAGCTAGAGATTGAGAGTCTGTGGATAGTTTATATACTGATTTTATGAAAAGTCAATTATGCTTTCTATAGTGTTTTAATTTGAAATTAGAGTAACACTAATCTAGGCAGACATTAGAGAATATTACATTTATTAAGAAATAAATCACATGATTCTTAGTCAATTAAATATCTGGTGCTGTCTCAATTACCAATATGACTATTACAAATCAACCTTGTACAGCCCCATGTTACTTTTAAGTTTTATATTTTTCACCGATGTTAGAAACACCTCAATATGTTATACATATTTGCCTATTTTCAGAAGCTAATCAATATCTAGATATAACCTACTAACTATTCTAGTACATAGGATAAACATACATGTATTTAAATATACATGTTTATATACATATTAATAGATATGTAGGTACATACACACACAAATAAATATGTATATATTACAAGCCCATCAGGAATTAAGAGAAAAATGATTGCACGTCATTGCATAAAAAAGATAAACTTTCAGTTTAAAGAGTAAAAAAATTAAACCCTTCTCAAGAGGCAACATTAAGAATTGCTTTAATGTAATAAAGATATCAGGAATTTCTGATTTGGTTTGACATGTTAACAACTCATAAATGAAAATTTCCATGATGCTACAGACAAGTACCTTTTTATATAAGTTCTCATCATTTTCAGTCTTCAAAAAATTTAGGTATCATGAAAATGAGGAAAGAATGAAATATTTAAAATAGGTCTTATAATAAGTATGTTACTCTGTTTTTAAGAGTTCTCATGGCATCTATTTTCAACAGAATTACAAAAATATTTTAATATCAGCAGCTCTAGCTATTGGGTCACATAGGTAACTCAGCATAAAATATCTAAAGTGACAGCGGTATTTCCAAAACCTCATTTACTGCATCTGCTCAACAGTTAAATCTCCAAGATCTGCTTTTCCTTTATTCCTGCTTGAAACTCAACTGTTTCTTAGTAAAATCCATTTGGAAGAGCAATGTTAAAATGCACCTAGGTTTGCCTGACTGCCTCTAAAAACATGACTTAGAGCCATAATCAATTTTAGATATGCTTTGTATAGTTTTAGTATACGGACACTTCTTTTTTATTAAAACAAAAACTAGAGCAAGATTCTGTGGACATACACATTAAGGTAAACAGTGACACAGAGCTTCTTACAAGAAATATGGGAAAAAAACCTGTTAAATAAGACAAAGACATTCTATTAAAAAATAAGAGAATAGTTGACACTATATACATTGTACATTACTACTTACCAAGGGCCAGGCTTCCCAAAGGGATGCAGTGAAAGAATTAAACAGTGTTTTTGACTTACGAGCCATCTGTGGGGATTTGATTTCATTTTGGTTTTGCATGCATATCTATCACAAGGATGAATGGGCAAACTTGTTCTACTGTAGGGGACAAACAACTATTTTATTCTTGGTGGTAGAATCAGGGAGGAGCCAAGATGGCCGAATAGGAACAGTGCTGTCTACAGCTCCCAGCGTGAGTGACGCAGAAGACAGGTGATTTCTGCATTTCCATCTGAGGTACCGGGTTCATCTCACTAGGGAGTGCCAGACAGTGGGAGCAGGTCAGTGGGTGTGCGCACCGTGCGCGAGCCGAAACAGGGGCGAGGCATTGCCTCACTTGGGAAGCGCAAGGGGTCAGGGAGTTCCCTTTCGGAGTCAAAGAAAGGGGTAACAGACGCACCTGGAAAATCGGGTCACTCCCTCCCGAATACTGCGCTTTTCCGACCGGCTTAAAAAATGGCGCACCACGAGATTATATCCCGCACCTGGCTCGGCGGGTCCTACGCCCACGTAGTCTCGCTGATTGCTAGCACAGCAGTCTGAGATCAAACTGCAAGGCGGCAGCCAGGCTGGGGGAGGGGCGCCCGCCATTGCCCGGGCTTGCTTAGGTAAACAAAGCAGCCGGGAAGCTCGAACTGGGTGGAGCCCACCACAGCTCAAGGAGGCCTGCCTGCCTCTGTAGGCTCCACCTCTGGGGGCAGGGCACAGACAAACAAAAAGACAGCAGTAACCTCTGCAGACTTAAATGTCCCTGTCTGACAGCTTTGAAGAGAGCAGTGGTTCTCCCAGCACGCAGCTGCAGATCTGAGAACGGGCAGACTGCCTCCTCAAGTGTGTCCCTGACCCCCGAGCGGCCTAACTGGGAGGCACCCCCCAGCAGGGGCACACTGACACCTCACACGGCAGCGTACTCCAACAGACCTGCAGCTGAGGGTCCTGTCTGTTAGAAGGAAAACTAACAAACAGAAAGGACATCCACACCAAAAACCCATCTGTACATCACCATCATCAAAGACCAAAAGTAGATAAAACCACAAAGATGGGGAAAAAACAGAACAGAAAAACTGGAAACTCTAAAAAGCAGAGTGCCTCTCCTCCTCCAAAGGAACGCAGTTCCTCACCAGCAACGGAACAAAGCTGGATGGAGAATGACTTTGACGAGCTGAGAGAAGAAGGCTTCAGACGATCAAATTACTCTGAGCTACGGGAGGACATTCAAACCAAAGGCAAAGAAGTTGAAAACTTTGAAAAAAAATTTAGAAGAATGTATAACTAGAATAACCAATACAGAGAAGTGCTTAAAGGAGCTGATGGAGCTGAAAACCAAGGCTCGAGAACTACGTGAAGAATGCAGAAGCCTCAGGAGCCAATGCGATCAACTGGAAGAAAGGGTATCAGCAATAGAAGATGAAATGAATGAAATGAAGCGAGAAGGGAAGTTTAGAGAAAAAAGAATAAAAAGAAATGAGCAAAGCTTCCAAGAAATATGGGACTATGTGAAAAGACCAAGTCTACGTCTGACTGGTGTACCTGAAAGTGATGGGGAGAATGGAACCAAGTTGGAAAACACTCTGCAGGATATTATCCAGGAGAACTTCCCCAATCTAGCAAGGCAGGCCAACATTCAGATTCAGGAAATACAGAGAATGCCACAAAGATACTCCTCGAGAAGAGCAACTCCAAGACACATAATTGTCAGATTCACCAAAGTTGAAATGAAGGAAAAAATGTTAAGGGCAGCCAGAGAGAAAGGTTGGGTTACCCACAAAGGGAAGCCCATCAGACTAACAGCGGATCTCTCGGCAGAAACCCTACAAGCCAGAAGAGAGTGGGGGCCAATATTCAACATTCTTAAAGAAAACAATTTTCGACCCAGAATTTCATATCCAGCCAAACTAAACTTCATAAGCGAAGGAGAAATAAAATACTTTACAGACAAGCAAATGCTGAGAGATTTTGTCACCACCAGGCCCGCCCTAAAAGAGCTCCTGAAGGAAGTGCTAAACATGGAAAGGAACAACTGGCACCAGCCGCTGCAAAATCATGCCAAAATGTAAAGACCATGGAGACTAGGAAGAAACTGCATCGACTAACCAGCAAAAGAACCAGCTAACATCATAATGACAGGATTAAATTCACACATAACAATACTAACTTTAAATGTAAATGGACTAAATGCTCCAATTAAAAGACACAGACTGGCATATTGGATAAAGAGTCAAGACCCATCAGTGTGCTGTATTCAGGAAACCCATCTCACATGCAGAGACACACATAGGCTCAAAATAAAAGGATGGAGGAAGATCTACCAAGCAAATGGAAAACAAAAAAAGGCAGGGGTTGCAATCCTAGTCTCTGATAAAACAGACTTTAAACCAACAAAGATCAAAAGAGACAAAGAAGGCCATTACATAATGGTAAAGGGATCAATTCAACAAGAAGAGCTAACTATCCCAAATATATATGCACCCAATACAGGAGGACCCAGATTCATAAAGCAAGTCCTGAGTGACCCACAAAGAGACTTAGACTCCCACACATTAATAATGGGAGACTTTAACACCCCACTGTCAACATTAGACAGATCAACAAGACAGAAAGTCAACAAGGATACCCAGGAATTGAACTCAGCTCTGCACCAAGCGGACCTAATAGACATCTACAGAACCCTCCACCCCAAATCAACAGAATATACATTTTTTTCAGCACCACACCACACCTATTCCAAAATTGACCACATACTTGGAAGTAAAGCTCTCCTCAGCAAATGTAAAAGAACAGAAATTATAACAAACTATCTCTCAGACCACAGTGCAATCAAACTAGAACTCAGGATTAAGAATCTCATTCAAAACCGCTCAACTACATGGAAACTAAACAACCTGCTCCTGAGTGACTACTGGGTACATAACAAAATGAAGGCAGAAATAAAGATGTTCTTTGAAACCAATGAGAACAAAGACACAACATACCAGAATCTCTGGGACACATTCAAAGCAGTGTGTAGAGGGAAATTTATAGCACTAAATGCCCACAGGAGAAAGCAGGAAAGATCCAAAATTGACACCCTAACATCACAATTAAAAGAACTAGAAAAGCAAGAGCAAACACATTCAAAAGCTAGCAGAAGGCAAGAAATAACTAAAATCAGAGCAGAACTGAAGGAAATAGAGACACAAAAAACCCTTCAAAAAATTAATGAATCCAGGAGCTGGTTTTTTGAAAGGATCAACAAAATTGATAGACCACTAGCAAGACTAATAAAGAAAAAAAGAGAGAAGAATCAAATAGATGCAATAAAAAATGATAAAGGGGATATCACCACCGATCCCACAGAAATACAAACTACCATCAGAGAATACTACAAACACCTCTACGCAAATAAACTAGAAAATCTAGAAGAAATGGATAAATTCCTCGACACATACACTCTCCCAGGACTAAACCAGGAAGAAGTTGAATCTCTGAATAGACCAATAACAGGATCTGAAATTGTGGCAATAATCAATAGCTTACCAACCAAAAAGAGTCCAGGACCAGATGGATTCACAGCCGAATTCTACCAGAGGTATAAGGAGGAGCTGGTACCATTCCTTCTGAAACTATTCCAATCAATAGAAAAAGAGGGAATCCTCCCTAACTCATTTTATGAGGCCAGCATCATTCTGATACCAAAGCTGGGCAGAGACACAACCAAAAAAGAGAATTTTAGACCAATATCCTTGATGAACATTGATGCAAAAATCCTCAATAAAATACTGGCAAAACGAATCCAGCAGCACATCAAAAAGCTTATCCACCATGATCAAGTGGGCTTCATCACTGGGATGCAAGGCTGGTTCAATATATGCAAATCAATAAATGGAATCCAGCATATAAACAGAACCAAAGACAAAAACCACATGATTATCTCAATAGTTGCAGAAAAAGCCTTTGACAAAATTCAACAACCCTTCATGCTAAAAACTCTCAATAAATTAGGTATTGATGGGACGTATTTCAAAATAATAAGAGCTATCTATGACAAACCCACAGCCAATATCATACTGAATGGGCAAAAACTGGAAGCATTCCCTTTGAAAACTGGCACAAGACAGGGATGCCCTGTCTCACCACTCCTATTCAACATAGTGTTGGAAGTTCTGGCCAGGGCAATTAGGCAGGAGAAGGAAATAAAGGGTATTCAATTAGGAAAATAAGAAGTCAAACTGTCCCTGTTTGCAGACGACATGATTGTGTATCAAGAAAACCCCATTGTCTCAGCCCAAAATCTCCTTAAGCTGATAAGCAACTTCAGCAAAGTCTCAGGATACAAAATCAATGTACAAAAATCACAAGCATTCTTATACACCAACAACAGACAAACAGAGAGCCAAATCATGAGTGAAATCCCATTCACAATTGCTTCAAAGAGAATAAAATACCTAGGAATCCAACTTACAGGGGATGTGAAGGACCTCTTCAAGGAGAACTACAAACCACTGCTCAATGAAATAAAAGAGGATACAAACAAATGGAAGAACATTCCATGCTCATGGGTAGGAAGAATGAATATCATGAAAATGGCCATACTGCCCAAGGTAATTTACAGATTCAATGCCATCCCCATCAAGCTACCAATGACTTTCTTCACAGAATTGGAAAAAACTACTTTAAAGTTCATATGGAACCAAAAAAGAGCCCGCATTGCCAAGTCAATCTTAAGCCAAAAGAACAAAGCTGGAGGCATCACACTACCTGACTTCAAACTACACTACAAGGCTACAGTAACCAAAACAGCAGGGTACTGGTACCAAAACAGAGATATAGATCAATGGAACAGAACAGAGCCCTCAGAAATAACGCCGCATATCTACAACTATCTGATCTTTGACAAACCTGAGAAAAACAAGCAATGGGGAAAGGATTCCCTATTTAATAAATGGTGCTGGGAAAACTGGCTAGCCATATGTAGAAAGCTGAAACTGGATCCCTTCCTTACACCTTATACAAAAATTAATTCAAGATGGATTAAAGACTTAAACGTTAGACCTAAAACCATAAAAACCCTAGAAGAAAACTTAGGCATTACCATTCAGTACATAGGCATGGGCAAGGACTTCATGTCCAAAACACCAAAAGCAATGGCAACAAAAGACAAAATTGACAAATGGGATCTAATTAAACTAAAGAGCTTCTGCACAGCAAAAGAAACTACCATCAGAGTGAACAGGCAACCTACAAAATGGGAGAAAATTTTTGCAACCTGCTCATCTGTCAAAGGGCTAATATCCAGAATCTACAATGAACTCAAACAAATTTACAAGAAAAAAACAAACAACCCCATCAAAAAGTGGGTGAAGGACATGAACAGACACTTCTCAAAAGAAGACATTTATGCTGCCAAAAAACACATGAAGAAATGCTCATCATCACTGGCCATCAGAGAAATGCAAATCGAAACCACAATGAGATACCATCTCACACCAGTTAGAATGGCAATCATTAAAAAGTCAGGAAACAACAGGTGCTGGAGAGGATGTGGAGAAATAGGAACACTTTTACACTGTTGGTGGGACTGTAAACTAGTTCAACCATTGTGGAAGTCAGTGTGGCGATTCCTCAGGGATCTGGAACTAGAAATACCATTTGACCCAGCCATCCCATTACTGGGTATATACCCAAAGGACTATAAAGCATGCTGCTATAAAGACACATGCACCCGTATGTTTATTGCGGCATTACTCACAATAGCAAAGACTTGGAACCAACCCAAATGTCCAACAATGATAGACTGGATTAAGAAAATGTGGCACATATACACCATGGAATACTATGCAGCCATAAAAAATGATGAGTTCATGTCCTTTGTAGGGACATGGATGAAATTGGAAATCATCATTCTCAGTAAACTATCACAAGAACAAAAAACCAAACACCGCATATTCTCACTCATAGGTGGGAATTGAACAATGAGATCACATGGACACAGGAAGGGGAATATCACACTCTGGGGACTGTTGTTGGGTGGGGGGAGGGGGAAGGGATAGCATTGGGAGATATACCTAATGCTAGATGACCAGTTAGTGGGTGCAGCGCACCAGCATGGCACATGTATACATATGTAACTAACCTGCACAATGTGCACATGTACCCTAAAACTTAAAGTATAATAAAAAAAATAAAAAAATAAAAATAAATAAAAAATAAAAAAATAAAAAATGTGGTAGAATCAATTAAAAAACTATTTTATTCTTAATCTATGCTCTGAATATGGATGGGCACAGCATTTTTCTGGTAGCTAATTTCTATTTCTTGCATGTATAAATGCCTTGTCTTTATTTTAGAGGAGAAAGTGAACATAGCAAAGGATTATTTTGCACCTTCCATCATCTATCTGATGTTTCAGTAATGTAATTGGTATTAACTGACTCAGATAATTTTCTCTTATCAAGGCTTGATACTTTTATGTTTTTGTACAATACTTTTAAAGAACATTAATCTGTTTAGGTAGGGTTGTGTGTTTTTCACAAAATATTATATACATTCATAGTTGGTAAAGCTGATGACTTTTTAGTGTTTTTTTGTATCTAGTTTTAGAAACAGGCTTGACATTGAGAAAATATATCTGAGATTTAGGGATTATTGTTGCTTCGACAGAGGCTAGAAAGCAAACTGCTCACACCCTGTAGACCTAACCATAGTCTATTTACAGAATTAAGCAAAACACTGCATGCTTTAGGCATCAGAAATATACAAATAATTTTTGCGGCATTTTTGGGGAGGAAGACAACTATTTATATTCATTTTAATGTTGGACATTTAAAAGTGCATAGCTGTATGTTTTTAAAAAGATAACTTACTTTCAAGAATGACAACTCATATTTACATCCAGGTTTTGTTTTAAATATATCAAGCATTTCTTTTGAGGAGAATATTGATTTTATTTGAGGCTTCGGTAGCATAGTGCTGAGCTAAATATTTATTTAGGATTGGCTTTAAAGAGGGCACTGTGAATCCTTGTTCCATGGCTACTTATAAACACTATCCCTTTAACCCATGATGGACTAGAATGGCAGTAGAATCCTAGTCCTAAGGTTTAAATTTCAAAACTGTAAAATATTAATAAACTCAGAGTTTTCTGTCTTGGACCCTCTCCCATTGAAATGCCAAAACTGGTGGTTAGAAAATAGTTACAAGGTTGATGTGCACAGATATCCTCAGCACAGATATCACTAATCCTAAGGGATTTTGTTACATATCTTTTGACTTAAATTCTTATTATTGGAACAGCAGTCAGTAAGCAGGGATTATTTTTAAAAGGACACTGTCCAGATCATTATTGTTAATGTAAGCTTTTCAACACAAAAATAAAGCACTGTATGGCAACTAAATTCACTGCATGATTCTAGATTGGATCCTGGACCAGTGGGAAATAAAACAATTAACTGTTAAGAACATTATTAGGACAGTAGATGAAATTTGAATATAGATTGTGATTTAGATAATGGTATTATATTAATACCATTATATTAAAGATAAATTGCCTGTATTGGACAACTATATATATATATGTATGTGTGTATATATATATGTGTGTATATATATGTGTATATATATGTGTGTGTGTATATATATATATATTCATATATTCACAGAGAGAGAGAAGATAGAGAAAAAATGACATATGACAAAAGGTAAATAATTAGTGAGTCAAGGTAGAGGGCATATGAGAACCTGTACTATCCCTGCAGCTTTTTGTGAGAACTTAAAATTATAGAGCAATAAACATTACCAAAAAAAGACCATACAACTATCCTTTAAAAATATTAAACAAAAATAAAATGCCATTTTCATTATCAATACTGTATTACATGAAACTGTGGCTATTTTATTTTGTTCATTAAGCACAACATTATCTGATTGTGTCTACAGCTATAGAAGATAATAATGTTTACCTGGATAACTACTAAAGAGTATTAGGTAGTGAAAGAAAAAGAATTCATCAAGTAATAGAGTAAACAAAGAAATGTTCTATGGTTACAGGTAACCACTAGAAGTACCTGTGGGGTTGCTGGTAGGAACAGTATGGAAGGTAATGGTTCAGAATATGGACTTTCTTGGAAATGAAGGTAGAAGGCCAAAAGATTGTACCTCATATTTAGGGCAGAAGAATTTTCCTATTTTTTCTCTTTTGTTGTCTAACCATTGACAACCATGTAAGAGGCATAAGTCTACAAGCCCGCTCTCATTATGACAGAACAAATGTTTAGTAACAAAGATTTTAAAAAGGGAAAGGGGGCAGGGATGAAAGAACTACTCATTTTTTCTGTTTTGACACTTTATTATACAAGTCAACAAATACGAAAACATCTGTTGGCAGCCAGAGTTACAATAATCACATACTGGGTTCAATCATGTTTAACATTTCATTATACTCAAAATAATTATTTTAGAAAGGGGGGATGACAATGAGGCAGGATGGCACTAAGTCAGGAGAGCTAGTATGTACCTTGAAAAAAAAAGGATGGGAATTAATTAAATGAGAAGCTTGGGGAAGTTAATTGGGACTGAGTGACGATAAGGGCACTATCAAAGCATGAAGAAACAAAACTATTTACCAAAATCTATAACGGAAAGTCACATTGAGCACATCTAACTGAAATCTGCAGAGATGTGAATATCAGGAGCAGAATTGTACCTGGGGGGGCTTTGGTTGGTCTCCAGCCCCTAGAATAGTACCTGTCACATAAATAAATGTTCAATTAATAAGGTTACATAATGACAAAAGTAAAATTCTGTATCTTATAATCCTATTTCTGATGCCTCTATTTAGTCCATAACCTTAGGCAAATCACTTCATCTATTCTGACCTTGATTTCATTAGCTGTGAAATGAGAGAGTGGGAGAAGTTGATTCTCCAAGGTGACTTCCAGCTTTAAATATTTCTGCATACAGGTCCGTTTATTAAAATGGGCCATTGTGAACACTCTCGTGAAAGAGAATAGCCTGATATGAATTATATAAAGAGAAATGAGAAAAATAGAAAAGATGAATAAAGGATCAATGCACTGATTCAAATAATGAAAAGTAAGTACCACTGAAAGGGGCTTTAATATAAAGGAGAGAATGCCAAAGGTAATTTATGGTTTTTGTATGCATGAACTGACATTCACATGTACTATTGATATAGGTATGCAGATGTAGAAATCTTTATCTTTTCTTTTTATTACAGTCAGAGTGACTCTACACACTTCCTGCTTCCACGTTTAGCATCCCCAAGTGAAGAGATATGAAGAGTGTTCAAAAGATGCTACAAAATGGTAGGAGTTTATGTAAACATTCTTTTACTACAGGGTCATATAATTGAGACTACTCATTGTAGAGGAAAAGGAGCTGAATAAATTCTTAGCATCTATATTTAATTCCATGAAGAGCTAATTCAATACCCATCTGGCAATTACTGACACCTCCATGAAGCTTTCCATACCAACAATGGCTTCCTTAGGTATTTTTTTTCCTACAAGCTTGTCAGGTACTTACATTCTGTAACACAAAATTCAACACTTACTTACACATGATCTCTCTATTTTCCCAGTTTCATCAATGCTCATTTAGTCTTGACAACTAGAGGAGGCCATGCACTATATATTTGTGCTTCCCTGTAATAAGCTGGTACTTAAAATGAGTAGTTGTTAGATAAACTCTCATCAATGAATGGAGATGAGCAGAAAATACTCTGAGCTTAAAAACTGGACAGGAATGTTGATTGGCAGCTGCCAAAGATGACTTCTCAGCCATGAAGGCTGGATGGTTCCTGGGACTTCTGTGATGCCTCTACCTTGTTTTTTTTTTTTTTGTTTGTTTGTTTGTTTTGTTTTCTCATTGTCATATTCTCCTAGGTGTTCTTGGAAAGAGAGGCCAGGGCACTTATCACATGAGGTTCAAAGATGTACAGTTCTTTAATGAGAAAGGTCTATTTAAAAAGCATTACAAGCAACTGAAGCTACAGCTTCAAGTTTCCTTGCCAGTTGAGTCTGCAGGGGTGAGCAGGGGTCATTTTCTCAGCTATATCAAAACAGAGCAGAATGTCTCTTATGATTCTATGTACAAATCAAGACCACCATGGCAATATTCCTATAAGGAAGCTGGCATGGCAGTGATGGCAGAATGGGTGGCTTTGTGGGCAGGAAGTGGTGGGTAAACAAAGGGGACTACAGAAGAGGAGGAAGGCATGAGGGAAAGAGAATGCAAAGGAATTATTTCATTTCCAGAAGGTATTGATATCTACACAGATTCTGATGCTGCAACAGTTAGAGTCTGGAGAATGTTGAGATAAAACAGATACATAATTGTTGGCTTCATAAAAAGGAGAAGCCAACCAAAAATCTTTACAAAGTGCTCTAAGGTAACTGCCTAAACTCTGCACATTTCCTATAAGGATGGAGGATGTTGGTGAAATGACAAACAATGAACATAAATGGATTCAGCTTTCCCAACTTTTGGGGAAGTGAGGTAGAGAGAATGGGGTAGCAATTCTCTATACACGCCTAAGACTGAAGAAGAGAAAATTATGTATTTAAACCTTGGTTTGCTCCATATTCAAACCCAGCAGTGTGTCATTGAACAAGTAAGTGGTATGTTGGGGTTCGGCGTGAGATTTTTATAGTTCTGAGCTGACTAGCGGCTCATCTTTAGGTGCTTTGCTATATTCTGAGTTTAGTTCAGTACCATACCCTGTGATGACAATGGTGGGAAGGTGCCAAGCTGGAAATGCAAGACCAGTAAGGACAAAAATTACAGCCTAGAGGAAGTGGTCTTTGGTTTCCACTGTTGGGCATCCATGTGGAGAACAACTGTAGAAATAAAATAGGAAATAATCAACTTCTCATGCTAAATTACTCTAAAGACACCATTATTTTTTATCCCTGTCTTTAAGACACCAACTTACAGGTATATCAAAAGGGCATATATCAATTAAAAATAGAATAAAACTTTTTAAAAAGGTGTCAGATTATAAAAAATAATACAGCTTTGTTCACAGGTATCCTGGACCTTTATATTCACATGAAAATTGCCCTCTTCAGAGATTCACTGGAGGAGGCTATATGCCTATTTATGGAGAAGCAGCATAGTTTAAAAAAATTACAGCTGCTATTTAATAAGCTGCATTCAGCAGATTGCATATGTTTATCACATTCAGCTTCACAAGGAAATTGTTCAGTAGGCGTTAATTATCTCTATTTACATATGAGCAAACTCAGTTCATAACTTCTTTGGAGTTAATAAGTATCAGAGCTGGGATCTAAATTCAATTCTGTTTGTATCCAAATCCTGTTTTTCTCTTGCAAAAAAGTCTCTGTAATTTTGGAATGGACTTTGAGAGGGTAGTAAATCAATTTTTTAGACATTCCTTACTACTTATTAGATATATTACCTTCATATTAATGTAAGTTTTCTTCATCTTAATTTCTTCATCAGTAAAATGGGGAGAAAGCAGTATTTACCCAAAGGAAAGAGAACAGATTTACTAATTTATTGAGGTATCTTAGATTTCTGAAAATCATTTATCTAATCTTAGAGGAACAAAAGCCTTAAAACAAAAGGGCTTTCCAAAGAATTTTCAAGATAAAACATCTTTAAATTGATCAGTTTTCCTGGGGCTTTTGCCTGAACAGCATGATTCTTATATTTAAAAAATTCAAAATCAACAGGACAGCTTCCTCTACACATGATGATTTAATATTGTGGGCTTGCCTTCAGGATAAATTTATGAGAAGTTCAAAACATTTGTCATACTACTTTTAACTCCAGAACATCTATTTCTACATAGTTCACATAGAATTACATTAGGCATAAAACAAAACCACATGTCTATGGAGGTCTAGAGATATGTTTTGTCTTAATTATAGTCTATAAAATATGAGTGAAAATCTAAGTGAAGAGGTAAGTACTAGAGAGATGGGTAAGATATGTTATATGGAGACTTGAAATCACAAAAGACCATGTTAACCCAAATAGCCACACTCCTTTTAAATGGACAGCATTTCTTTAATTCTAAAAGCCCTAGAAGTAAAATTTTTAAAAATTTACTTTGGTTAAAACACATTTTAAAAGCTAGTTCTTAGATTTAGATGTTCGGAAGTTGGAGTACTTATGAAGCCATGATTTCAGAATACTAGACTCTAGATCCCCCTTCAATGGATGAAACATACTGATAAACAGAAAAGACCAAAGGTAGGAGACGATGCAAGAAAGAAGCTCACCATAAGTTAAGAACCAACCACCTAATTCTGATCAAATTATTCTTTAATGTTAAAATGAGCATAAATGCAATCCTATGAAATTCTAAATCAATGATTTATTCAGAGGAGAATTCAAAGATGTTTTTAAAGTAATGTAATTATATTTGAGAGAAATAGACAGCATTCAACAAATTACATGAGGAACGTATAGTTAAGTCATACTAAAGTTTTCACTAGAGGAAGCAATTGGGTGCACTATGGTTAGAGATTTGGGGAAGAGTTCAATCTAATTACACCTACAATTTTGACACTATTTGACTTGGTTGGAAGGAGACTCTCATTTCACCCATGAAATGATACAATGAATAGAATAACAGCAGATCAAGTGAAGCAATAACATGGATGAGCTGTTTTCTCAGCTTCCAATCTTTGATCTTTTAGGTGTCTAATGTGAATGGCAACTAATTTTTACTGACAAAAGAACATATTCAAGAGAAATATCAGATTAATTCCTTAGAACAGGCAAATTTCCTGGGAGGTACAACTCGAGGCAGATTATAAGGATCTGAGTTTTTGGTCTTCTGATATAAAACTCAACTAAAGAGACTGAAGTTCAATTTGAAATTCAAATTCTTTTGGAGTTATATACTATAGCAAGTGATTTCAAGTGATTTTTTTGCTTTGTTTTTCAATGTCATCATTGTGGTATTTGCCATAGAATCCCTTAGCGTTGTGATTTTCTCTCTTGTTATGGTTTAAGTTTGTAACACTTTTGAAAAGAAACTGTCTTTCTTACAATTACTTTGTATCCTTGAAATAGGGAATAATCAGAAAATAATCATAAAATAATTCACTTTAACAGACTTTACTGGAATCTTGTAACACCATCTATCACATGTGGATTTTTAATTTTACTAACAATTGTAACATGACCTAAAATGTCAACATAATGAAATCGTTTAAATGCTAACTGTATTAAGACTAGCAAACTTGGTTGGCAGAGGTTGATGGGAAGCTCAGCCCTTCTAGCTGAATACAAATCACAGTATTTTTGTGAGTTGTATTCTTATGTCAATACACTGGAGGTAGCCCCAAGTGAAGCCAAAGTTCCATTTCTATAAAACAGGCAAACATCAACAAATTGTTTAATTCCAGGAGTTGTGTGGTGTAAAAAAGAGTACAAGATAAGGTCCCTGCCTATAAAATTCATGTCTCTATCATATATCACTTAGTGCATTACACTGTTTGTTTTTGTTATTGTTGTTTAGGGCAATAGAAGCTCCCCAAGAAATGCTATCTAACTAATCTTCAGTTCACAGTACCTAGCACATTGCCTGGTATATACATATAAGGTTCTAAATAAATATTTGTTAAACTAAAAGCTCAAAGGACACAATCAGTCCCCTTTCCCAACACAGCATCCTCTCACTCAGAATTTACCTTGCCAATCTGGTGGTACAGTTGAATCATGGAGCTACAA
This sequence comes from Homo sapiens, assembly GCF_000001405.40. Lineage (NCBI taxonomy): Eukaryota > Metazoa > Chordata > Mammalia > Primates > Hominidae > Homo > Homo sapiens. The sequence continues at coordinate 79,032,083 of NC_000012.12, read as the reverse complement.
TTACACTTAGGCTTAATACTAGCTATGCTCCTGACTTTTATGTAAACGTGAAAAAAGTTACTTGATTTCTACAGGATATTTAGTTATTATGTAGGACATAAAATAATTTTCAATTATCTCCCATGATATTTATTTATTTAGATTAATAACATATATATATTTTCACAAAGGCTTACATGCCAGCTTGCATCATTAAACATGATTTGTGACCATTAATAGAAAGAAAAAACGGGTACAGGAGATACTTTGCCATATGTGGGCATATATTCTAGACATTTCCCATGATTAGGATTTCCAAAAGTAGAATATTATTATATCTTATTCTATGTCTCATTTTTCCTCTTTCCCAGTCTGATAATTACTACACCTCAAACCTTACTAACCTCCTGCCCATTAACTATGCATGCCTTTGCTTTTCTTTTAAGTTCTATAAGGAAGAGCCAGGATTAATTCTGTGATGTGTTTAATATGAAAGTTACATAATAGGGTTCTAACAAGAATTAGCATCTTAACAGGAAGTAAGAGCGGATGGATTTGGTGATTTAGGGATATTCAAGCCATAAATATAAAATTCCCCTGCATTTTCTGACAAGCTATAACAGATTATCCACAAACCTGAGAGGTCGTTTCTGTGTTGTACATTGTTCATGTTTCTTTATTGTGAAGAAGCCAAAGCTAAGAAAATAACTTAACATGGAAGCCCTGATGAATACATTAGGCACAATCTACTACAACCTCAAATTTTATAATATTACTTAAAAGGGAATATCAGAAGTATTTGCAGAAGGCATAAAATAAAATTTACGTTTATTTAATATACTAAGGAAAATGTTCTTATTTATTTTCTAGAATAGAGTTTTAACATGAGAGAAGTCAAATAATTGTGATATTAATAGTTAATATCAGTATAATCAATACTATTTTGATGATTATTTCAACTAGTAGAGATTTTATTGAGCAGCTAATTTTAATAGATGTTATTTATGTAAATCATTTTTTAAAATTATGTGTTTATTCTCTATTTAAACTTACGCATTTCATTCTTTCTGGAATATATATAAATGAGCAGCAGCTCCAAAAGTTTAGATAGTGGTTGTTGGGAGTGAGTACGCATTGGAGGTAAGGATTGGAGAATACTATAACTCTACTGGAGACATAACATATCTCTGAGGAGAACTCAACCCATCTCATCTAAATGTCATCATTATTTAAAGACAATGTAGGTATACTTCTAAGACAAAGTAGAGCTGATGGCATCACCTTACTCCTTCACTTAATTTAAACATAAAAGTGTATAAAGAACTATTGTTTTTATTTTGGGATGGCCTCACCAAAGTAATTGGTGCCATTCACTCATAATGTATATTGGTTCATTATATTTTGCTGATAGACTATTTTGGGCAAAGCATTTTCCCAAATGCTGTTTAAAATAGAAAAGCAAGAAATCTCAAGAAATTTCTGCTTTCAAGAATTTTTAATCCAGAAGATGGAGTGGGAAAAGGAGAGTTCAACCCATTTAAAACTCTACCCAAGGCAGACTATAATGAGTTTTTTATGCATACAAATTAGAGCTCAATGGAATAGTAAAAGCCCTAATGGCATTTGGTCCTTGAAGGGTGACCATTCTTTCTATGCGTTTTGATAGAGAAAAGTGTTTCAGTTATGAAGGAGAAAAGTTATGGAGGGAGAAAAGCACTGGGAATGTTTGGATTCTAGAGAGTAGGTTAGTGTGGCAGGAGAATAAGGTAAGTATGGGAAGGAGAGAGAAAGAAGACTGAAAAAGTTGATTGGACCATATTGTAGACATCCTTAGAATAAGGTCACAAAGGGCAACAAAGAGCAAATTCAGGTTTCTCATGAGAACAGTGATAAACTCAGAAAATTAATATAGCACAAGAATTTGGTAGCATTTATTTGATCAGGTAATGTTTCATTTAATGTGTCACAGTACTTGAATAAAATAAAATATTGTAAGGCAAAATTTAGAAAGTGAATTATGAAGTATGTAGAATTTTTGCTTCTTTCATAGAAGTGTATTTAATACTGAAATTCATCACATGTTGAAGAGAAAACATGATTGACTTAAAATCACAAAATTTCATGTAGTTTATATGGTACTGATGATCTGTGTTCAAGGAGAAAAAGGAAAACTGTGAATGGTGAAGCAAGTCTGACATAAAAACTAAGCACAGTGACATGTAATTGTATTAGAATTTATATAATACATGTGGCTAGCAACATACAAATCAGCTAACTTTTCTTTCTACATTTGAGTAAAGAAGAAAATCATTATCTTTATAATACAGTTGATTATAAAATAATCTCTAATTGTAAAATGTTACTGTGAGAATTCTTAGAATAACATTTATTACAGCTATTATTAATTACTTAACTTATACCATGTAACCTCCTATGGCCACACTTAGCATATCTACATAAATAAAATTTCATTCAGGATTCCTTAGCTAGAGAATAACATTACATGCATGAAAAATATTTTAATTTCACTAATTTCACAAGTGATGCTAAATTAATCACCAAATCAGAAGTTGCAAATATTTCTGAATCCTTGTGGTTGGAAGAGGGCAGAATGTATGTTTGGCTTCACGTTTTATTTTATTTACCCTTTCTGTTGCTTGGTTTTGAGAAACATTGAAAAAATATATTTGCTCCAGCACTACAACTTTCCAGAACAGCTTTAATTACCTATTTTTTTTTTTTTTTTACTGATTTGTACAATATGGCACACTAGCACAGTGTGTGAATTAAAAAAGAAAAGAAACAAAAACAATTTGTACTGTTGATGCTGATATATGGAGTAATTTTCTCAGGCTCTTTTCAGTGCAATCTGCAAATGCATTAACAAAGGCTATAAAACAAAAACAAATCTGCACTACCGATAGTATGCAAGGGTGAGGTATTGAATAGTTTGAAGGCATAACTGATACCTGCATTAGTAGAAATTACCCAGGAACAAGAAAGTATCCTACTACCATGTAGGACTTCAAAAACAAAAATATATCTTGTACATATTTCTGCATAAGAGACTAATGTCCCAACCACAAGATATAGAAAAATGAAATATTTTTGTGACTATTGTTAACATAAAAGACTCTTTTGAAATAATGCTCTTAGAATATTTATTACTGTTATTATTCCACCTTGAATGGCAGGAACCTCTACATACGTTTTCTATGTCTTGTCCCATTTCAACTATTCTATTGCTCTTGAGACAAGGTCATGGGTAAAGTGAAGTTTTTACTTATGGAACGGCATAAAATTGTCACTCAATTATACAACTATAATACTTATACATTTCATTGTTTATTGAATATAATTCATTCCTTCCCAATACCACATCCAGAAAAACAGGCACATTTTAGACCAAAGTAAGACTATATTAACTATTTACCAATTATACCTAAATGGCTAATACTGTGTTATAATTATTTTTATTTTGGGGGAAAAGGGATCATTTACATAGCCTCAAATTTTTGTTTATCCAACAAAGATGTATTGAGTGCCTATATAGTGCTAAGTGCCCTGGATATGAGGCCCACAGTGCGCACAGGGACTTTACTCTCCTAGTGTTTACAGTCTCTGTAACGAATATACAGGCTCTAATTTTCTCTACAGAAAAAACTTTGAATAGCACTTAGCTCTATCAATATTCCTTTATTTCTGTGTTTTGAATTTTGAACTTCTATAGTATTAGATTAGTCAGCAACATGCATTATTCTGCAGCATTTACACTTAAAATTTTAGAAGAACAGTAACATAAGAGAAGATTATGCTTAAAAACAGATTTGTATTGAAGTGAAGAAATATCTGATAAGGTCTGACAGGGTTAGTAGAACACAAAAAATAACTCGACAGACAGAAAATTTGAAGAGGCTTTCAGTACACAGTATGTGATTTTTCTGGTTTTTGAACACATTCACCATAGAAATACCTTTGAGATGACAAAATTAACCACGTGTTTTTACAATATTACTTGAACAAGCAATTGATAATCTCATCTTATGGATTTGGTCATATTCAATATCCTCTTTTTCCCCTTTAATCTGATCAAATGTGGAGATCTTTATCAGTCCATAATATGACTGCATAAAGAGACAGACAAGTTCAAATGCACACAAGGTGGGAATGTATAAGGAGAAATGTCCATCCACAGAAAGGCTATCAGACCATGAAAATTTGGCCGGTGGTTGATGTGAAGTCTATGGCTATACTGGTCTCTATCTGTTTAAAGCAAACTCAAGATAATTGATGTGGTGCTATGCTTTTATATTGCTGCAGATAGAATGTATCTTAATAAAGCTTCTTATTTATGGTTTTAAATAAATTATTTCTATTGTTCCACATTAAAATATCCATAGAATATTATGTTTTAGTTTGACTTCTTCTTTGGGAAAAAAATGAATTTTTTTAAGATCACAAATTGGCTTCGAGTATGTATGGTTGTCACATGCCTAAAAGCTTTCGAGTTTCAACCTGCCCAATGCATTTATTCCACAGAGGGCTTGACAAGTTTATATATATCTACATAATATCTATGTATTATTTGTTATACTTATATATAATAAAAAGCATACTTATATATTTATATGCCTTATATATGCATTGACATTTTATTTTTTGACACCTCCTTAATATGATAGACAGTGTTTCTAGTGTTAAATATGATGAAGTCCTCACTCTCATGGACTCATTGAGAAAGTGAATCAATATAACTCTTGGTAGTAATAATGGCTATGAAGAAAAATATAGGCAGGTAAAGCTTAATGGAAGTAAGCAGGAGACAGGGAGGAGAGCCTATTTAAAGTAGGCGGTCAGCAAAGGGGTCTCTGGAAAGATATTTCAGCAGAAACCAGAGTAAAGTGAGAAAGACATTCAGCTGAGGATCCAGGTAAGAAACTTCCTGGAGAGAAGGTGGAGAGAGCTGAAGGCTCAGTGGCCTGAGGCAGCAGATAGTTCTCTGTGTTCAAGAAATAGCAAGAACCTCAGTCCTCTTAATAAAGCAGAGTACATCCACAAGTGGGCTATACTGGATTGTGTGGTAGTTCTATTTTCAATTTTTTGAGGAACCTCCACACTGTTTTCTATAACGGCTGTAGCATTTGTTTTTCTATCAACAATGTACAGGATTCCCTTTTCTCCATTCCCTTTCCAACACTTGTTATCGCTTATCTTTTTTTGTAGTAGCCATCCTAATAGGTGTGAGGTGAAATCTCATTGTGGTCTTGATAAATCCAAAGGAAAAGAAATTAGTATCTCAAAGAGATATCTCCACTTCATATTTCTTGCAGCATTATTCACAATAGCTAAGAAATGGAAACAACCTAAGTGTCCATTGATAGTGAATGGACAATGAAAGTGTGATATATATATATATATATATATATATATATATATAAAATATATATGTATATACACACACAATATTATACATATATGTGTATAAAAGGAACAAGTCAGTATCCAGTTCTGTGGAATTTCAATTAGCTTTAAATATATTCTAATAGCTAAAAACCAATAAATAAATAAACCACGTGATTCCAATAACATAAAAGCATAGTGTTTTATTTGTTATAACTTTTCGCTTTTCTTAACTGCAAAATTGCATTTTCTTATCAAGAAAGAACATGTTAAATGGATAAGAATGGGCATTTTTTCCAATGTTCAATATATAAATGCATTACACATTCAGAGAATGCAACTAACTCTTTGGATCTTTACTTCCTCATTTCTATAACTAGGACATGCACTCCTCCTTCATCAAGAAGCAATAATAACTGTGTACTGTACTTGGAACATGTTTATGGAACAGATATAATTTCTATGCCCAACAAGTTAATAAAGTTCTTCTTCCTTTAAAATGTTTGAACAGAAGCATAAACTGCTGTAAGCAATCTGTTAACTTAGAATTATAAAAGGAAGTGATTTAAAACACTTGAATAGTAATATTTCCTTTAAAAATTATATAAAATTCAAATAAATGATGCATAAAATTAACAAATCAGGCTTTAAACACAATGCTTTATCATAATATTATGCCAAAGGCATTTGCATTTCAAGGATCTTTTTAAATATCTATTTTCAGTATCTTATATCTAGCACTGAGGGAAAGATTCACTTTAAAGTAGTTTCATATTCATATATAAACATAATCTACTTCTATTTAGCAAAATCAAAACACATTTCCCAACGAGGTTGTCAATATTACCAACCTTCTGAAAAGGTCACTTATACAGTTACAATGTCTGGTATTTTTTAAAAAAGCTCTAGAGTCAAACAGGCTTTATAACTTGCTACCACTTAATAGCTATTATGCACGCACACATAAACATATATATGAATGCATACATTACAAGTACTGAAGAACAAAATACAGAGCCTATATACATATGTATAGAAGAAATATATATGTATATATAAAACACATATACATACATATATCATATATATGCATATGTGTTATATGTGTGTGTATGCCTAAGATATCAATCATGTTTTTATTCTACAACGTATAATAGCCAGAAATCTGACACAGTGTACTTCGAGTTCTTTTCACTAGATTTGTGTGTCTAGAAATAATATCCCCAAAGCAAGCTACTAAACTTAGTTTCTCATGGTTTAAAAAAGGCTACTAGAAACAACAAGGTTCAATATAATTTAAGCATCATTTCCAGGCTTCCCAGTGCTTCTATAAAGCTCAACAAGCAAATGTCATTATAGCTTTGGCTTTGAGTTTAAGAGTTTTAAAGTCAGCTTAGGGGAAATGGAATCATGTTGATGTGGAGTCATGATTCACATTGAAGTAAAACTAATGATGGTTCAGATAATTTTTTTCTTGCCTCCAGAGGAAAATTACTCTGAATTCAGGCTTGAGTGTTTAATACATGTATCACGTCAAAATACTTGTAGACAAATCATAACTTCCTAAATATTAAAAACACACATGGAACTTTGGATATAAAATCAACACTTGGTATTCACAATAATTAGTTCATTAATGTATACATCTGTAAGCTTTTGCTCATGAATGTATAAATTCTATTTGCCTAAAGAAGCATCTTATAAGCACATTTTAAATAAGTGTGTTCTGCTTTGCTTTAGACTATCAAAGGTCACAATAAATGCAGCATAAAGTACCTGCTATCCTGAAAATATTTAAAAATAACAAAATATGTAGCCAACAAACAGGACTTTAAGAAGACAGTAGATCATTCTGAGGAACAAAGCTAGATCAAAATTTTATTTAGCGTTATTCTCCAATCCAAATCTTTCCTTAATCACAAAAATAAAAAATATAGTATGTCAGATATACCAAAACATCATTTCAGCATCCCCCTACAGAAATGATATTGCTAAGTTCAACAAGGACAACAGAATGTACCCTAGAAAGTACTTTCCAGGGGAGAGCAGGGGTCTTGCCCATTTTAGTCAAATACTGTTTTCCTAGCAATTAGAAACTCTGGTACATCATTCTTATCTGTAAGTGTTTGTTGAATGAATGAGTGTTGAACAAACTGCTCAGGTATCTTTACAAGGTAGACATTCAGTTAATATTTGATTATTAAATGAATAAATGAGTTTATAGCCCTAGAATGTTAAAGATACATTACACATTATATTAACATACTGTCAAGCAAAATTCTGGATTTGGATAAGAGTACAGCAGCTAACATAAATGTGCTTTACTTTTTGAAGCAGCACAACCCTGGGTTCTGCCACCAATTCTGACATTAGTCAATAGGCACAAACAGAAGCTTGGGATAGGTGCTCTCCAACCCATCCTCGAATTTGCCTTGCTGCTTGCTGGCCACACGCCTCTCTCAATCCCATTACCCAGCAAATACGTCTTTGAATTGTCCTTCAGTAAATGATTCTATTCTATTTCCAGCCCCAATTTCCTAGAATCATTGCTAGACACTCAAGACTGAGTTAGAACCCCATGCATTTCCATCTGTTTGCCCTTCACACTTCCTCCTTCAACCTTTGGGAAAACAGCAGTTCTCTCCCTCCGTGAGGTTAGGATGCTCTTCCAGGCAGTGTTGCGAAGAATTTAAAACAACTCCAGCTATGTGTTAGGTAATCCTATTGCATCAATGTGAAATTTCCTGATGTTGACCACTGTACTGTGGTTATATAAGAAAATGTGCTTATTCTTAGGAAGTACATACTTAAGTGTTTAGGAGTAAAGAGGTATGATGTCTCTAACCTATAGGTGAATAGTTCAGAAAACAAAAGTGGATGTGTGATGAATGTGCATGGAGAGAGAGAGAAAGAGAGAGAGAGAGATGGAATAATAAAGCAAATGAGATAACAGAAACAATTGATGAAGCTTGGTAAAGAGTATATGGGGATTTTTGTGCTTGTCTTGTAACGTCTGTAGGCATGAAATAATGCAATATAATTATGTAATAATAATGAATGTATTATTGTCAGTTATATATAATAAAAAATAAAAAGTTACTAAAAACAACGACTACAGGCTGGTTTCTCAATATCTGGTCCCAGAGGAAACATCATTCTTGGCTCTCAGTCTCTGTAAGCACAGATTGCTCTCAATGAAGCTCCCAATGCATGCTCCTCCATTTGAGGGCTGAGTCAGTCACAATATCCCCACCTTTGACTTTTCCTGCTGTGGGTCAGACATCCTCTGTGGAGCCCCAGAAATGTCATGTGTTACAGATGAGGATCTCCAGATGGTCTCTCTAAAGCCCCACCCCTCAGGTTTTGTGGGAGACAGAAGCTTTCTTCTTCCCTCCTCTATGAAGATTCAGAGCACAATGACAGCCATAATCAAATAAATTATTTAATTTCCAAAAACCTGGCTTTTCCTACTTCAACTCTTTTATATTCAGGTAGAAGCAGCATTGTCAAACCAATTTTTAAAGTTGTCTTTGAAAGCCCTGTGGAGACTCTAGCCCCTCACATTGGAACGTGCAAGTTTTATCACCCATCTTTTCCTTTTTGGCTTTTTAGACCTTTGCTCAAACTAAGTCAAAAGAGTCTGATTTAAATACCTGGTTACAGTGACAATTCATAACTCATGACCTCCAAGCAAAGAACAATAATTACTGATTTATTTCTAGGATAAGTTAAATAAAAAACCGGCATGGAAGCAAGATTTTATCTAAAGGTTATTTCTAGCACTAAAACTAAGGTACACAGAGATTTGCTTGTCTTTCGAAAGCTAGATCCTGGGTTGTTTTGCTGTATATTGTAGCTTCCAATTTTACTCAGTAAAGAAGCTTAATTTAGCACAGTTCTCAAAATGTTTTTTGTATCAGAACTCCTTTATACTCTTAAAAATTAAGGATGCATGAGAGGTTTTATGTGTGTGAGCTGCATCTACAGACATATAACCTACTAGATATTAAAAGTAAAAAATAAAAATATAATTAATTTATTTTAAAATAAACAATAAACCTCTAACATGTAACATAATTAATATATTTAAAACAATTTTCCAAAACAAAACAAATAATAAGAAGCATGACATTATTTTTTGTATCTGCAAATCTTATTAAATGTTTGATTTAAGAGAAAACAGATGGACTCTGCTTCTTCAGTCAAGCAGCTGGAGGTAACCTCTAGAAAACTCCAGTGTACAATTGTTAGAGAATGAGATTTTAAATGGTATTATAATGAAAATAGTTTTAATCCTAGAATCTTCTTTAAAAACGTCTTGGGGTCTACAGGTACCCAGATCATACTTTGAGAGCCACTGACGTAGCAGACCATGTAGTTGTTTTGGAGTAACAATACTGAGTTTGAATCCCACCTTTGTCTCCAAGCAGTTTTAAAGCCTCAGTTGAATTATTTACCCTATCTAAGAGACTCAGTCTGTTGTTTGGGAAATTGAGATAATGGCTCTCCACAGATAATTACCTAATAAATATAAAACTTCTCTCAATAGTTTTCAGCACAAATAACTTTGTATTCAGTGAAAGTAAGTTTCCTCTTTTTTTTTTCTTCCGCAAATTCATTGGCACTCATAATTATATAGTCAATGTCTGTAGTGACATTGATTTGTGAACTTAGAAATGTTGTAGTTTATCTCTGTTTTACACTGTCCTCAGTGGGAAAAAAGTAAATCAGAAATTTTTATAGCTAACTTACAGAATGGCTATGAAGACAAAAATAATAGATTTGAAGATGCTTTCAAAAAAAAGGGGGCGTACAAATATAAAAAATAATTTTATTTTGGCAACAGAATAAAAATGTTAATGAGTGAGTTAAATTTTCTGCTTAGAATTCAATTCTTTGAAAAATCAAATAAAAAGAATTACACTAAATTATTTTCTTAAAAAGCCTAGGTTTGGGCATTATATATTTTCTAAACTTCTATTCTTCCAATACTAGCTAGCTTTCTGATTTGGTGCAAATCAACATTTGTGCACAGCAATTTTCATCTTTAAAATAATTTTTGGAGGGGTTAACTGATCATCCTTTCAGTTCTCAAATTGTATGATGCTATGGTTCTTTTTTTATAATTATTTTTCATAATGCTATAATTTATCAATTGTACGATGCTATGATACTATTTTCAGTAATAATTGATTTTTTTAAGAAAGGAGATATTTTCAGTATTTTAGGCTCATCTCCTCACTATCTATATATGCACAATTTTAATTGAGGATCACTGTGCATGGAGAAACAGGGTGAGGCAGCTTGATAATGATCAGGCCCCTTATGAAAGACAATAAACCAATATTAGAGGAAAAATTTACTAAAAGAAATGGTTCCTATTTTACTAGGCTCATGATAGAATCTCTATGCTTTAGCTCCATTTCTTTTCTCAACAGTCCAAAACCAATTTTATAACTCAGTTGTCTCCTAGCCAAATGTGCAGCCTGCTGCAGAGATGAGTTTGTGAAGCTCAACCATACAAAATGGTATATCTAAGGAGTGCCTGCATACATTTGCAAGGATGTTTTTATAGCTGAATGGAGCTTTGCTTCAGTTTGGTTTTCTTTTTTTGGCCTCTTTTCTGATGTAGGTTTACATGAAAATTAAAAATATTTATCAAGAATAGAACAGAGAGAAATTGAGTTGGACTAAAAGAGTTATGGCTTACAATGCAATTTTGTTAAAAGTTTAGCACCAACGTTGACTAAGAGAAAATGTCAGTTTCCTATCTCATTAAAGTATTATTGAGAAGCTGCATAAATTCTTCTTGAAGCCCTTTGGAGTCATCATCACACTGTGTTTTTACTTTACCACCCATTAGGTAGCCTTGCTTAGCAATGGTCTAGGAATTAAACACCACAGGTTTCTTCAAAGAGTTCATAGAGTAAATGCTATTTAAACATTAGAATGATGCATTTTCTTCAAAGTGCTTTCTTTCCAGAGCACAGAAAACCCAGACCTATTGCTATGGACAGGGAACAGCAGGCAATAGCAGCAATATAAACTCATGGATGTATCCATCTATTTTCCACAGGAGAGACAGAATTAAGAAAGGAATGCCTGGTGCATATACTATAATGCAGAGAATAAAGAAATCACACTTCTCTAAGTTTCAGCACATACTTTTTTTGTTGTTGTTTATATTGGTTTCCTGCTAAGACTGTGCTTTCAAACAAAAATAGAAAGTTGACTTTATGGTAATAGTACATAATATTTTCTTCTTTTTCAGAGAGGAGGAGAACCAGTGTGAGCTTTTATTATTCTGCCAGGGAAATGTCCTGGGCATCCTGTTAATTGAAATGGACAACTTCCTAGGCTCAAAAAATCTGTCAGGTGGACTTGTTGCAGCAACATAATGTTAACCACAGGCACAGATGACATGAGTCACATTCGCAACATGCTGCTGGTTAAACTGATTTAGGGAGATAAAAAATAAATGTTGGAAAATAAGCTGATGATCACAGAAACATACATTAAAAAACTTCTAATTCATACTGATGAAGAACATCCTTAGTATTGTACTTCATTTGCATTCAAGGTCACAAAAGCTGTTAATACAGAGATCAGGGAAAAAGACAGGAGTCTTCCAAATAATTTATGTTGGATTTGAAATGTCAGATCCTGTATCAACTTGGAATGCAGTATTCATTCTCTTGACATATAAATTGACACTACTTTTGTTTCTCAAAATGAGGTTTTTACATTAGCTCTTTGGATAAGTGTCCTGTGGTGCAGTGTATCACACAAAAGCAATTTGTAGAGGTGTGAAAAGGAAAAAAAATGTATTTTTGCATCACAGGAAACATCTACTTGTTAAATGGGTTATGAAAATGAAAGCATTTTAGTACTGTAACAAGAATTGATTAGAATTTGTTTTGTTTCACTGACAAATTTTACTCCTGGTTTCTCTAATCAGCAGTTTTATGTTTCTCTGACATGAAAGGAGTTTAGTAAAATAAATAAATAAATAAATGCTGTAGGTCGTTTCTTCACTTCTAACTCCTCCCAGTCCAATGTCATTTTTCCCATCGAAGTTAAAAGTAACCAACATAGTACCAACCAGGCAGATGAATCATAAATAAAATGTCTCTCATGTTGATTATCCTTGATAATTACATCTATACAGATAGCAACTGTGGTAGGTAGGCACTCTGAAATATAATGTTTGCATTAACTTTTAACTTCATTATGATTACTATCATTATGATATTATCAATGTGTAGATTGGTTTATGTAGTTATATCATCTATAGGTTTTGCAGTATAACCCTGGAATGTTGATGGTAATTCAAACTAGTTATCTCATGAGTAACTTAATTTGGCTTCAAATTTTTGCGAGAGTTTTAAAGACAAATCCCCAAATTAAGTTATTTTAAGAAGGACATTAAAAGAATACTCATGAATGAAATATTATTTGTATATATTTATAGACTGCGAAATCACATTTTACTGTCTTTATTTGACAATACTTCTCTCTCTCCATTAGATTGTCAGACCATAGCCAGCAAATCTGTGACCCCTTGATACAGGACAACACTTCAAAAACTGCTTGTTGATTGAATAAAGGAGAGAAACAAGATATAAAGAAATATAAAATTGAGGTTTGGCAACCCTTAATTTAATGGACACATGTACTACTTTCAATAGGAATTTGACGAATAGCTATCATTTACAAATTACGTATGTGCTGAGCAGAATACAAAACACCTTACTTATACTATTTCATTTAATTTTAGAAATAATTATGAGGCAGATATTATTCTCCCATTTTAAGCATAATACAACTGAGTTTCAGAGAGAATCCAACTGATTCATACAAAATTTTATAACTACTAATTCACGGAACTGAGATTAACATGTCTTTCCCAAATTATTAGAAGGAAACTCTTTAACTCTCAAAGAACCCAGTCTTTATGCTTACTGAAGGTAAATAATGATACCCATAAGGAGCAACTTTTCTTCCAGGAATGTCTTGCTGCCCAACTCTAGAAAGTCTCCACCCTCAAGTGGCAAATGTTTTTCTTTAGGCCTTTATAGGACTTAGGTTTGGCCCATCCAACCAAGGGAAATCCACTTCTAGCAGCTCTTTCCTTTCTTGGTACTTGGTTTTCACTTAGAATTTGTTTTATATAAGAGGAAAGACTTTAATAAATATACAATTTTTTATTATTATTATACTTTAAGTTTTAGGGTACATGTGCACAACGTGCAGGTTTGTTACATATGTATACATGTGCCATGTTGGTGTGCTGCACCCATTAACTCGTGTTTAGCATTAGGTATATCTCCTAATGCTATCCCTCCCCCCTCCCCTACCCCACAACCGTCCCTGGTGTGTGATGTTCCCCTTCCTGTGTCCATGTGTTCTCATTGTTCAATTCCCACCTATGAGTGAGAACATGTGGTGTTTGGTTTTTTGTCCTTGCGATAGTTTGCTGAGAATGATGGTTTCCAGCTTCATCCATGTCCCTACAAAGGACATGAACTCATCATTTTTTATGGCTGCATAGTATTCCATGGTGTATATGTGCCACATTTTCTTAATCCAGTCTATCATTGTTGGACATTTGGGTTGGTTCCAAGTCTTTGCTATTGTGAACAGTGCACAATTTTTAAGAAAAATTGTCTTTTGCCCTAAACCTAGATCTGCTCTTCATGTCCTTCTTTGTCCTCATTATCCATTGCCATCCATGCCACACTACTCTTCTAACCAAAATAAACAATTTTATTTCAAACCAGTCTTTTTAAACCATCCCTACTGACCTCTTCACCTTTGGCCTGGACCATGCCATGACTTCTATACTAAACTCTTGGCTGCTAGCTTTATATGACTTGTGTTACTCTTTCTATCTATTTATTTCCTCGTTGACAGAGACATTTTATCAAAGTACAATCTAATCATGTCAATTTTCTGGTCAAAAATCTTCAACAGCTGCTTCCTGAAATTACTTAGCAGAGCATGCAGGACCTTTATCAGCCTAACCTCTTTTTATATTTCCAACCTCTTCCTCCAACATTGGCTCCCAACTCTTACATGTTCTGGCTAGGTTGAAGTCCCCTCCCCACAATGTGTCATGCCCTTTTAGATTTCCTAATTTTGTATCACACACATTGCTCACAACCCCCTCCTCATCTATCAGTTTGTTGGTAAATAAAATACTTTGAAAAATCATTGAACAATTATCTCTTCAGTAACATCTCTGTTATATTTTTGAACTATCCTAGTTAATTTTTCTTTGTTGATCTATGTGTCTCAATTAGAGACTCTACCATTACATTGTGGTTATTTGCTTACATGCTTGGTTATTTTATTAGACAGCTCACTGAAGACAAAGACTATGATTAATTATTTTGCTATTCTTAACACTTAGCATAATGCTTGATATAAAATAAATGCCTAATACAAGTAAGTATAAAATGAATGTACTACAATTATTTCTAATATTCTTGTCTCCTGATCTGAAGTCATATTTTTCTTAAAGTGAATATCTACCTATCATAAAGCAGAGAACTTCCCAGTTCTCAGGTAGCTGACTTGAGGTTGTTTTTTAAAGCCACCTTTGGAAATCTTGTGGAATATTAGGGAGTCACTATATTTTTCTCCATTCCCACCAGGGATTTCTAATAGGTCAATAAGTGATGGATGTAAGAAAATTTGTGTAAACACAATAAGCCCCTTGTCCATATCTAGGAGCAGATAATTAAACAGACCAATGCTTTGCCTCTTAAAATGCCCAAAATCATCATAGTTAGTACATAGTGGAGTGGATTTATGGTGGCCTTCATCCATCAAACTACACTACATTTCAAATAAAAAATAACAATTTTCCCAAATTTATACCTTGTTGGTAGTTATTTATTAAACTGTTACAAACTGAATGGGAGACCAAATGCAGATATTTAAATCCTGGGCATATACTGAACATTAACTTAATCACCATGCCTCCTCCATGACATCATTAGTAACAACTTCCACCAGTTTTAAAAATCCATTTCAAATTAAGTTGCAGTAAGCATTGCTACCCATTTAATGCTCAGGGATTTTGTAATTGAGTTTTTCCCCTTTAAATGTATAAATATACCAGAGGATAATCTTTCTGACACTGGCGCCCTTAGTAAATAATTTAACTGATTCCAGATCTGAAAAACTAACCTCTATGTAGTTTAAGTTGCTCTCCCTCCCCAATTTATAAATAACAATGCAACAATGTTTTTCATTTGAAGTATAATTACAACCAGTATGAAAGCAGTTGCACTGAGGACAGCTGTTTAAACAGGAACCATGTGACTCCAAAGGAAAGCATAATGCTTATGGAAACACACTAGACACAGCCTTAATTCTAGAAACACGTATGATATCAGAGCATTGAAGAGCCATAGACCTATTTTTCTTTTGAGCTTTTATCTGGAGATAGGTGTGATAAATTCACTATACATGTCCTACCTCACACAGATGCTGTGATAGTGAAAAGATGTGAAACCTTTGATATTATTAGAGAACAGAAAGAACTTCTGTTTTTAACTGTCTTTCTCTTTGCGATTCATTACACACAAAATTTAGAAATGGTAACTTAAACAGATCTCAGTTGTATTAGCTGAATGTGTTTCAGTGAAGGAAAAGTTATCATCTGACCTTATTAATCTTGATTTGGGATAAGTGCTTGATAAATTATTTTCCAGGAAGGGAGGCACCATGGCTCATTACACTTTGTTTTCATCTTAGATCTGCTGTGGACTCACTGTGCAACCTTGGCAAAGTCATTTAACCTCCCCTTACCTCAGATTTTTCATTTATAAGAAGTGTAGATAATCCTGGCCTACCTAGCTTGGCAAAAATAAACACTAGCAGAATACATTAAATAGGTATGTACATGGAAGTTTATTGATATAAAGGATAAACATGATGGCATAAGAGTATTACTGTGTCTTTCACATAAGCCTTTAAACAAATTGCTTTCATTTGAACTTCAGAACTGTTTTGACAACTAGGTATTTTGGATTCGTTTAAGCAAATAGGGAGCGATTATATTTACTTCGGTCCATTAGACCGAAATATTCTGGCTGCATATCTTTTTTATATGAATATGTTTAATGCATAAACTTTTATTTTTCTGGCTATTTAGGCTCTGATTCTTCTAGTTTAAATCATTAGCAAAGTAGTAAGTGATACAGACATCAACAATATGAATCAGATAAAACAAATTGTCAAAGAGATAATATATGGTATAAATTGATGTGCACACCTATAAAAATAGGAAAAACAAATAAAAAAGTTGGTTACTTATTATTACTTAAAACAAAAGGACAATATTACAAACATATTTAAATTGGAGTCCAGTCTATGCAGCATAAGCTTATATTAGAGTGCAAGTTTAGCTTTGAAACTTTTAACTTACATTTAATATCAAAGTTTTAGAATGCATTTTCTTTTTTTATTTTTTATTTTATTATTATTATACTTTAAGTTTTAGGGTACATGTGCACAATGTGCAGGTTAGTTACATATGTATACATGTGCCATGCTGGTGTGCTGCACCCATTAACTCATCATTTAGCATTAGGTATATCTCCTAATGCTATCCCTCCCCTCTCCCCCCACCCTACAACAGTCCCCAGAGTGTGATGTTCCCCTTCCTGTGTCCATGTGTTCTCATTGTTCAATTCCCACCTATGAGTGAGAACATGCGGTGTTTGGTTTTTTATCCTTGCGATAGTTTACTGAGAATGATGATTTCCAATTTCATCCATGTCCCTACAAAGGACATGAACTCATCATTTTTTATGGCTGCATAGTATTCCATGGTGTATATGTGCCACATTTTCTTAATCCAGTCTATCATTGTTGGATATTTGGGTTGGTTCCAAGTCTTTGCTATTGTGAATAGTGCCGCAATAAACATACGTGTGCATGTGTCTTTATAGCAGCATGATTTATAGTCCTTTGGGTATATACCCAGTAATAGGATGGCTGGGTCAAATGGTATTTCTAGTTCTAGATCCCTGAGGAATCGCCACACTGACTTCCACATGGTTGAACTAGTATACAGTCCCACCAACAGTGTAAAAGTGTTCCTATTTCTCCACATCCTCTCCAGCACCTGTTGTTTCCTGACTTTTTAATGATTGCCATTCTAACTGGTGTGAGATGGTATCTCATTGTGGTTTTGATTTGCATTTCTCTGATGGCCAGTGATGGTGAGCATTTTTTCATGTGATTTTGGCTGCATAAATGTCTTCTTTTGAGAATGCATTTTCAAAGAGAAGAAATATTTGCACTAAAATAGGCATGATATGGAATGGTTAAAGGGAAGAATTCTAAACATTATTCTAAATAGTATAAAGTATTTGAAAAGACTGGGAATCATATCTGAACATAGGTTTCAGGTTAAATTTCAGAAAAAATAAATTGTACTAACTATGAGACTTGTTACTGATGAAAATATTTGAACTGGTTTTTCATTAGAAGTTGTCAAAAATACCCAAGGCTTATTTTCTTTTCCTTTTTCTTTCTTTTTTTTTTTTTTCTTTTTTTTTTTTTTTTGGAGAGAGTCTCACTCTGTTGCCAGGCTGGAGTGCAGTGGCACAATCTCAGCTCACTGCAACCCTTGCCTCCTGGGTTCAAGCGATTCTCCTGCCTCATGATCCCGAGTACTGGGACTACAGGCGCCCACCACCATGCCCAGCTAATTTTTGTATTTTTAATAGAGACGGGGTTTCACCATGTTGGCCAGGAGGGTCTCAATCTCTTGATCTCATTATCTGCCCGCCTTGGCCTCCTAAAGTGCTGGGATTACAGGCGTGAGCCACGGCGTCCGGCCTGAAGGCTTATTTTCTAACAAAATGGACATAATGATAGAATCTTGGTCTTACATGAAGAAAACCTTCATAAGCTTACCCTTCTAATGTTTTCTCTTAGCCTTTACATTCTATAACTATCTAGAATAAAAGTGGCTTTATATAGTAAATGAAGAACCTATCTGATGTTTTTGCTTTGTTTTCTATAACTGGACTGGATTGGATATTTTTATTAAGACCTCCTAGGTGTTATAGAGGAAAAAACGCAGGAAATATAGTGAAATATGCTTCAGATGCTTGCAGAGAAGATGGGGAGATGAGTTAGTGAGAAAGGGCTACCGCTTATACAAATGGGTGCTCCAACAGCATCTACTTGTAAGAGAGTTGGCTAAAATTCAGTGTGCAAGTTGTAGTTACAGTTTATAAACAGTTAATCCCTCTTGGAGTTCCTGGTGCCCATTACTGGACTCAGTACATAGCAAATATTGAACAATTATTTGATGAACCCACTCAGTGAACTGAAATCATAGACCTGATGCTCTCAAAGTGTTTTAAACCCTCATTCACTTCTTCAACAAATACTTATGAAATACCTACTATGCTTAGGCAATATGGTAAACACACACACACACACCAACACACAATCCCTGCATTCAGTCTAGTTAAGGTGATATTAAGCAAATAAACTCATGAAAGAGAATACAAAAACAAACAGAGAAGTGCACTCTACAAGATAGAAATAGTGTTTAATAACTGACCTTGATGGGGAATCAAGGTAGGCTTCTTTGGTAAGTGACTCCTGAGCTCACATGTGAAAGACGAGTGTTAGCTAGGCTGGTGTGGAAGCAAGCAGAGGTGGCACAGACCTCCAGGTAGAAGGGACTGCATGGGAGGAGGGGCCTTGTAGTAGAAAGGAGCATGGCACAGTTAATGAAGCAAAGAAAGAGGGTGGATGCATCTGGAGGTGGGCTGGGGTACGTCCCAGAAAGCACAGCAAGCCACATTAAGGACATTACCTCATCATAAAGCATAATGAGAAACCACAGAAGGAAAATGCCATTCTGACTACAAAGCAGTGGCAGTCCGGAAAGAGGCACAGGGAGCAGCGACAGGGTGCACTCTCCTGTTTTCAGAAGCATTGAACACTTGTTTGTAGACAGCTGGCTGTTTTTGCCTACACACTTCACAAGGAACCAGGAAATATTATAATAAATTTTCCCTTCAGCTCTTTTTGAAAGGAAGAGCTATATAATGGTGACGTGACCACATAGATCCCAGAAGCACCACAATAACAAATAATAGAATTGGAAAAGTGATTCTCTCCTTACTTATTGAAATCTCTACATATACTTACATTTTTGTGAACAAAGAAGTGTTTGCCTTTTGTATACCAGAATAGTACCTGCTCAATTATGCTTGAGTAAGAGATGGTTTGTGCTATGTATGGTCAAAAAGTAAGATATCATCCAGGTGATTGGATCCAATCTGCCTCTAAAACTTAAATCAGTGTCTAGTCCACAGTTGTCTTCTGTAATAGATAATATGGTGGTGAAACTTCAGAGTTCTCAGTTACCATGTGTGGTCTGTCTACTCCTCAACCAGCACTGACTGTGCTGATTCCCAAAAATAGAGTCTGGACCTCTTACCGCTACAAATTCCAGGTTCTCAGGTACAGCCTGAGAGTATGCAGATATAATACACCACAGATGATTCTCTCCCTTTTTTTTTTTTTTTTTTGAGACAGAATCTCATTCTGTCACCCAGGCTGGAGTGCAGTGGGCTGATCTCGGCTCACTACTGCTCCCGCCTCCTGGATTCAAGCAATTCTCCTGCCTCAGCCTCCCGAGTAGCTGGGACTACAGGTGCACACCACCATGCCCATCCAATTTTTGTATTTTTAGTATAGTTGGGGTTTCACCATGTTGGCCAGGCTGGTCTTGAACTCCTGACCTAAGGTGATTCACCCGCCTCAGCCCCGCAAAGTGCTGGGATTACAGGCGTGAGCCACCATGCCAGGCCTAAAACACCCACAGATGGTTCTTAAGAAAACCTATGTTTATATTTTAGGCAAAGTTTCCTAATTATTCATATATATATGAAACACCCAGGGAGCTTATAAAATGCAGATTCCCAGGATCTACTCCCAGAAATTTTAATTCAGGAGGTTTAAAATGGTGATTGGTCACAGGTGTTTTTTTTTTTTTTTTTTTTACAAATCTCTGGAAAATGTTAAGAGCAAAATTGGCAGCTATTGTTTTAAAAATTCTTCCCTAGTTTATTTGAACTATTTCTAGCAAGATCTTTCAGAAAGCATATAGATTCCTGTGTTGTAAGTTCTTAGAGGTCAGGGACAGTTTTTTTCAACTTTCTCTCCTTAATATTATGATAGGATTAACTCTTATTTATTCTTAGGGTCTCTGATGAAATGTTATTTCCTTCTTGACTAGATGGAATGCCCTACTATAAATTTGCATATTTCTCTGTAATTTCCCAATCTGGTCACTCATCACACTTCCTTGTAATAAACTGATTAATTATCCTTCTTCTAAGCTGGTATGTAAACTTAAGGAGATATTGTTTATTGTATGCTCAAGAGAATCTTTAATATCTAGCAGAGTACCTAGCAATTAATAAATACTTATTGCATGAAAAAATATGCAGTAAATGTTAAATAAATGTTTCCATTACTTGAAGACTGTGGTCTCTTCCTTAACTTCCTCTTCACTAATGACATTATATTATTTCGAGTAAAGTTTCATATTATATTCTAATGCAACCTTTTAGCCATTATTTCTTTTAAGAAATAGAACGCAAATTCTGTAAGAACTTCTCAACAATGATTGGCATAATGACCTAAATCTGGCTATTTCTCACCATCTCTGCAGGTACAATTCTAGACCAAGACACCTCTGTCCTTCCTTCCCTTTGAGGGGAAATAAAATAGGTTTGGAAAACGACAACATTCTTATGGGAGCAAGATTGCTCAGGAATTAGGTAAATATAAAATGAAGGGTACAATTAGAGGATCTAGCTTTAGAAGAAAATTGTCTTCATAAAATGAATAATGAAAATACAGATAGAAAGGTGAAATGATTAGGATGACCTCTAGAAAAAATTTTGAACTTCCATAGGGATGACTTGAAAACTGATAGCAGGACAGGACTTTATGAGTCTGTAGTGAAGGAACAAAGGCATAATCAGTGAGAATCAAAAGATCAGAAGATCTGGGTGTTTTGGAGGCATTATAGGAGGAATTGAAATTTTAAATCAGGAATCCAGGTTTAATTTAAAAAATATAGTAGGGAATAGTGTAGTGGGCTTTATTTAATAAGTGAGGGGATAAAATATAGATACCTCCTCTCCCCACTTTCATATAAAGAGGTGCGGTCTTCATCAAGGGAGGCAGTAGGAAATACTACTACAAACAGCTTGGTCCCTGCTGTGAACACATAAGGAAACATTTTGAGAGGAGAATTTGTTCAGAATGAAGTGGAGGATTCCATAGTAGGCAACCAAAGTGAGAAAAGGGCATGTGATAGATACATGTGAGACATTCCCCACCTTTTATTTTCTGAGAGAAGCTGGAGACACCTCTTTACTCTAATCTTGAACTTCAACTTGGAAAAAAAATCATTCAATTTGTTTCTATCCAATTTTCATCTTGTCATGGTCTCTTTTCAATTCTAATTCTATTGATTTTTCAACCTCTCTCTCCATCATACTAGGAAGATATTGAAAGAACAGGATAAAGAAACATTAACCTACAGTAATAGTAATAACCTACAGTATTCATCTAGCAATAACAAGAAACCCATAAAACCTCCAGTACAAACCTCAGACTCACATAGCAGTATTCCATTCACAGACACTGAAAGGCAAGTAAGAAATGTTGGAAATATTATCAGAGCTCAGTATTGTGAATCTGGGAGAGAGAACAGTGACAGCAATGAGGGGAAAGTGCCATGAAACATAGAGGATGCCGTCTGTGCTAAGCTCAAAGTACCTGTGGAGAAAAGCACCAAATCTAGATTCAGAAACAAAAATAAAAGAAAGGAAACATAGGATGATAATGAAACAAATGGAATTGATATTGATGGGGAAACAAAGAAGAGATGCAAGTGAAAGCACATCAAATTTCAAAATGCTGAAAATCTAAACAGTTAAGAATGTGAGTTGTAGACTTTTATTCATTTCAGTTCTAGTTGAACAGCTAGATGATATTGGCACAATGTTTAACCTTTCTAAGCCTCAGTCTTTATCAGTAAAACGGGGATAATTATGTTACTTACTTCATAGGGTATTTCCATTGATTAAGTGAAATAAAACATACACGTGTTTATCATGGTACCAGGGAGCAAGTAAGAACTTAATACCTATAATTTAATATTAATAGCTATGATTTGCATTTGCCAATGCTCATCCATAAGGAAGTATGCAGACAACCAAAGATTATTCTGAGGTCAGGGAAGACTGAAAGTAGGTTTGCCTACTGCTTTTGACAATCCACAGAGTGTATGGCCTTACATAAATAATTGGAATTCAAAAACAAAACAAAACAAACAAACAAAAACCAGAGGGCTCTTTATCTAAATGGTGAAGTCACTAAGATTTAAAGTATTAGTGTAGGAAAATACGATACACAGTAATCATAGAGACTTTTTTCTCATAGAAAGTACTAACCATTTATAGAGCTCTTAAAATATTGTTTTGTATTTCATAACAGCCACAACAGAAGTTGTCACATAATAACAAAAAGAGGTATCTTCGTGCAAGTTAAACATGTAATGAAAGTGAACAACTCATATTTTAAATTTGATGGAAGGCCACTAAATGGAACAATCATGTTCCAAGTAATCTTGGAACCATAAACATGGTTAGAGCAAAGCTAAAGTTTCTATAAATTTTACCAAAATGTTTTTCCTATAGAAGAAAATTGTTCTTGAATCATATTTTCTTTTCTAGGTAGTAGAGAAAATCAGTTCATGGAGTTTTAATTGATCCCCTGCTGTGTACTTCAAGCTATGCTAGACACGGTGTGGAGAAAAGACATGGGGGCACTTGTCCAGAAGGACATTAGGCAGGAAAACAAGGCTAGCAAAAAGCAGGAATAAGCAAAGGGAGGTGGCTGAGAAGGCATTTGGAGCACCTTACGTATCCAACATACTGCTGATTCCAGGATCCTGGAAATCATCTGTGATTCTGTTCTTTCCCTCACTCTCTACATTATCATAACCTATCTATTCTGTCTCCAAAAAGTGGTCCAAATCTAACTACTTCATATCGTTCTCACAGCCACTATTATAGTCTAAATCACTTCCATTATTCTCTTCACTCTCTTAACTCTTATCTTTTCTCCCTATAGTCAATATGCTACCCAATAGCCAGAGTAAATTTCTTGAATATATCTGGGATCATAGTATTTATCTGCTGAAAACATCTCAGTGGCTTATTATTGTAATTAGAATTAAGTCCGACCACTTGTCATGGCTTATACGATTCTACATGCTGTGGTCATGCCTATTTCATCCAATCCTCTCTTCTTCTTTTTACTAAATTCCAGCCATACACTTCTATCTGCTCCTAGAACAAACCAGAGTCACTCTTGCCTTAGGACTTTTGCACATGCTGAATCCTCTGCTTGGAGCCCTCTTCCTTCAGATATTCCAGGATGGTTGTTATTCTTTAGGTTTCAACTAAGAGGTGACCATTTCAGACAGCCTTTCTCTGACCATGCTATACAAATGGACCTTCTACTCCCAAGTCACTACTCATTATTCCCTTTTTATCTTCATGTTTCCCCTCACCACAGTAATCACTATTTATAGGCATATTGGTTATTTTCTTTTTTTTATTTCACTAGAGTATAAGTTCCTTGAGGGCAGTGATCCTGGCTAACATATTTATTACTATATCTCCAAGTGCTTCCTAAAACCAGTGCCAGACACTTAGAAAGCATTTGTAGTTGAATGCCGAATGACTGAAGGGGGCCATTACTCATACTTTTTATCCACATGCATTTCCTATCTCAGAATCTACTTCCCACATACTCTTCTGCCTTTGATGAACTTTTGCACTGAAATTATTTCATTACCTCTCTAATGAGAATTGAGCTCTCAAATCTACTATTCACCTTCTGCTCCCAAAGCCTTTTCTTGACACCTCCCAGGAAATGAAGGTTGACGTATGGGAACAAAAAAGGGTATAAGTATGATCTAGCTTTTGTCCTCCATTCCCAAATTAACCGTTCACTAACTTCTGAGTTCAAATGATCTATTAAATTAAGAAAAAGTAAATTCTAGATATTTGACATAGAGGTCCTTAAGGGCATCAAGTTCCTGCAGTACTGTTATTACCACATGATGGTTAAACAGCTTTGGTCAGGACTGATCCAGGCAATAATCTCCTAATAATGGTAATGAAGCTGACTACAAAAAAATACAATAATCACATAAAACATGCATGTTTTCACCCTCTAGGAAAATAGTTTCCATGTGCTCAATGACTAATGTGTCTTACTTTTCATTTTAAATACCCGAATAAACTAAGAGCCATGAAAGTCCAGAGGACAAGGTGGTCAACATGGCTTGGAGTACTTAACGAAGCATCACAGAGGAGGAGGGACTTGATAAAATCTTGAATTATGGATGAATTTAAACAGTTGCTATATTTAGTCATATAATTTCCCCTCACATAATTTTGAGGGGAGATTTGCTTCTCCTCTATGCCCAGTTTCTCCTGGCTGGCTGTCATGCCTGTCAGCAGCAGGAGTGGCCCTTTTGCTGAAAAATGGCCAACAAGGTAACTGTGAATAGTTTCACATTGAAAACACTTATAAACTGAAATGTTAATGGGCAGAGAGCTTAGGGGTATATTTGTAAGGATACAGACCTACTTCTTTCTTTAGAACTCTGCTAGTGGCTGGAAAAAATTTACAAAGCAAGAAATATCAGGAGCTATATATCAACCAAAGTCAATAATCAATGCAAGACATCTTAATTACCCATTAACAAACTGTGTTTCAAAGGAATTAAGTGTGATCATAATGCATTTTGCCAAAAGCATCAGCATGGCTGATAGTGGAGAAAGCAGGAACTGTGTTGCAGGATCCTCCCCTTTTCCCCCATTGCAATCAGACTTACTACGCAAAGCTCTGAAGCTTTCCGAGAATATCTTCTCACAAATATCTAACGATCCTACATAGTATATTTCAGATAACAAAACCCAAAACAAAAGAAAAAATTCACACACACAAATAAATAAAACAGATGGGACAGATGTCATTTCAGGGGCTCTCAGAAGATGGCACCAAATACTTATCCCTACTGACTGCCAAAAGATAAGAAAAGCCAAATATATATCATCATCATCATTCTTAGTAACATGACCAGTTTCTCAAGAAAAGCACCTGTTGTCTAGACCTCATTTACAGTCACTGCTGCTTCTGCTTTTTCCCCTCATAGAGCATTCCAATGACAACATATTATGGGAACCACTTCTTACATACTAGCCACTCTTTGGCCTTGGCAATTTCAGCCATACAGGAGTCACTTGATCCATTGGCTAGTCTTAACCAAGCATTCCTTTGATGACCGAATCTAATACTTTAATTCCCAAACCTGATATAAGTGATCTTCATACATGGTCACAAGTTGGCCTGCCAGAGACAGGAAATCCTGAAAGTAATGAATGCCATCATGTCCTCTCTAAGCTAAAATAGAAATTGTATTTTTAGTCAATTTCAAGATTTTGGTCCTCCCTAGAAGAAAACCTTGAATGAGAAGCCTCTCTAAACTTTTTATTCACAGTCACATCTGGTTGTTAGGAGATGAGGCCTGTGGTCTTTTGGCATCTTAAAAGGTGCACCAAACACTTTCAATGCAAAACAATTAGGGAAAAGAAATGTAGGCAAACAGAGCGCCTATCCAAATGGCAATACTCCTTTGGGTATCTGATTCTAACCCATGAGTGTTGAAGTGTTTCCATGGTGGGAAGGACAATTTGAAAATGTGAGTTTAGACTGGGGCCCTCATGACATATATACCTTCAATGGGACCAGTTCTCAACTTGAAATTACTTTTGAACTCAGTGAAAGCTTTTGGAACTCTGACAATTTTAATTCTTTTCTGGCTTGGTAATTAGTAAACTGCATGGCCAATGCTTGTTTAACTGCCTCTCTTTTCAGTCCATAACCTACATGTCTATGTAGGGGCCGTGTCTATTTAATATTAAGGACCATGTCTAGTATCTATCACTAATAATGCTATTATATATGCAAAAATAATAAAATCACTTCTGAAGGGCTTCCTATACTCAGATATCCCATTAAGTGTTTTACATATACTATCTAATTTAATACATGATTAATGTACAACAGCCCTGAGATAGACATTATTATTGGCCTGAGTTTTCCTATAAGGAAACTGTAGATGAGTGAATTAAAATTACTTGTCCTAGATCTAGAGCCAGCAAAAGGAAAACTGAGATTGCAATCCAGGTTTGTGGGACCTTAAATTCCATGTTCTTAATATCCATGGGGGGTATACTTTCTATTAATAAATATTTATATAATTGAATTTCATGATATGAATAAAATATTATCATGAAAAACATTACTAATAAATAGGTTCAGATATATTATGAGCTCATTAATACTCTCTTTCTAAAGTCTATGGCTGGCCTATAACACATGTTGGATGCACCCTTGAAATAAGGTTCTCCGCTGACTTCACATATAGCTAAGGAAAATAAAATTAGCATAGTCACAGAGAAGCCTTATTTGCTAGGACTGAAAGTGCTAAAGGAAAGTTTTACTGTGCCCACACAATAAGCATCTTTTTATAAGATGCTATCTATTATGGTTTTCAAGTTACCTTCTATGAAACCCTGGGGTTTCATACAACTAAAGTTAAGCTTCAAGTTTTTGTGTAAACTCTGCTTTGAAAGTTTGAAATTATATGAGCATATTATTCACCAAACCAATATTATTGTTTAATAGAAAGGATCTTAGAGTTAGCTATATTGATCTATCACTTATAACCATGTGACCTGGGCAAGTTACTGAATCACTTTCTGCTCCATTTCCTTTATCTAAATATGGAAATAATATTTTCTTGATAATGTTGTTGTGAAATGAAATGTGGTAAAGTACTTAAAGGAAGCTGAGACATATTAGATACAAAATATTGGTCTAGAGTCTTCTCACATCTGTATCAAAATTGCATTATTATTTTCACTCTGTATTTATGAACAATTGCTACTGTACTAATAAAATATCCAAAAGCAATTGCAACATCAAATCTTTCTTATCTTTAGCCCTAAGCCAACAAAACAAAATAGCTATTTTATTGACATTTTATTGAAATTTCATTCAAATTACTTATGCTAACTAAAGTAATTTATACAATTACTTATGCAACTAAAGAAAACGATAGTATAATAAAAATGGCAAAATTTGTGTAGAGCTCAGTAATTCCCAAGACTGTCCTCAGTGCTTCATATCCAAATCTTGGAATTGATCAGGTACATAAGAGAAGTCAGTGAGAATTAGATGAATTAGTTACATGCTATAATTACTTTAACAGAAATTGCAATTGTCATCACTTTCATATTTATAATTTGTTTTTAATAATAATATAGCATGCTTTAAAATGCCCAAGTACATTACCTTTAAGAATTTTAGACAACTGGTAGCTTCACTAATAACTGTAAATCGAATAAAATTTCAGTGAATATGAATGTTTTTTCATTATCATTTCTTATACATATAAACTAAATGTGATTACCTTTTCTTGGATAGAGTATTAGATTTTTAAAAAGGAGGGTCATTAGATATTTGGGAACATAGAAAATGGAATTATTAGTGGCATCACAGTTACTCTAAAGACGAAGGTTAACTGTTTTCTTATGGTTCTGCTCATGGCTGTTTTCCCACATAATTGATACTTTTCAAGATGCTGGCAATTGTTGCTTTAAATTGGAACAAAAGAAATTAATCCTTTTAGAGACAGTGATGATTCAAACCTGCCAGATGGAAAAAAAAATAACTGTAATCTGACTTCAAAGCCTACATTTTTTCTTTGTAGAAGTAGTTTCTATAGAATTATGTAAAATGAAATGGGACTGTTCAACACTTACAAATTGAGAAAACAGACTACATCATCAACGTGTCAAGTATGAATAGATCATATTCTGGAGTTCAGAAAGATCTGCAGTATAATATGAATTAAAGTATACCCTTTTGTAATCAGAAACAAAGAAGCAACAACCAATCAATGATGCATACTAGGTTTATTTTACTACTACATTATTTACTTAACTTCATTGAATATCTCTAAATTTTTTCTAATCTTGCAGTGATGTCTTAAGTGTGTGCCTGTTCATATTTATGAGGCTTTTGATAAGCTACAACTCCGCCACTGTGGGTTTTAAATAACATATGTGTTGCAATATTGCTAATGTTGACTAGGACTGTGTTTGGAAAGGATACATGAAGGTAGGAAGGCAGGTACACTAGAAGAGTGAAGATTGCAAGTCATTAAGTGGAATTTGTGTGTATGTGTGTGGTGGGGGGGATCAGTTCTAGACAAGTAATTTCCAAGGGACTAGGTCTAGGAGATGTCATGTGATAGAAACACTTAAATTTCTAGATACCAATCACTGGATCAAAGGCACTACAATTTTTAAGGGGAAAAAAATGGAATGAAGTGTTTGGCTTGAATATCCTAGCTAAATTCTAAGTTGAGAGACTGTAGTCTGCTTTTTCTGACTCTCCCTATAGATTCTTTGGGATGCTGTACTTTCTCATTGAATTCTTTTCTTAAATGATTTTGCAGTATTGTTGTGATCTGTTAAACAGCTGCTTTGTTCTACTCCAGTGGTGGGTCAAGTGATTTCTGCACTCTGTATAGTTTGTATAGTTTGTAACACTCCTTAGGGAAGAAAGGTGCTGCATAAATAAAAGATCCTTGTACTCATTTTAAAAGGAAACGACATACTGATCTTAATATAACACATATTTTTAAAACTTTAAATCTCATAAAATCATTTCCAAACAAAGTAG
The DNA here is from genome assembly GCF_000001405.40 of Homo sapiens. Lineage (NCBI taxonomy): Eukaryota > Metazoa > Chordata > Mammalia > Primates > Hominidae > Homo > Homo sapiens. The sequence continues at coordinate 79,002,809 of NC_000012.12, read as the reverse complement.
GGGGCTCCTATGTTTCTCATTCTGCCTTATTTTACCTCCTCATCTCCTTAACAACAATAGAAGGATCCCAATGGAGTGACTCAGTGAATTTGAGCGTCAAGGAATACATAGTCATTAGTGATGCTAAACTAGATTCACAATTAGAGGAGACTTGGAATATAAATGAAATAAGCTCAGGGCAAGAGTTCAGGGAATTTAAATAAAAACAGCATGAGAACATTTTTGGTGTAGCTCCCTACCTGGATACCGAAATTGAGGTCAAAAGCCAAACTTCATTCATTAGGAAAAACTTTTAAAAATGTGAAATGATGAGACATTATTTTAAGCAAAATTTTCCTTCATAAAAAAAAAAATACTGGCAATGAGCAAAAAGCCAAACAAGGAATATTTCATGTTGAAATCACAAGTGCGCTGTTATTCCTCCTACTGAGGAAATTTCAGCTAAGAGCAAGTAAGTTGTTCATAAATGAAAATTATAATAAAGGAGCAGCAAGCATATGCCATGATTGCTTTTATTTCATAGTCTTTCGACTGGGGAGGGAGCATGTTGCATTGATGCACTTTGTTCTTGCTTAAGCTTACTTTTTCCATGTTATTTCTGCAAATTTTTTTAAACAGCAAAGGATTGTAGTAAGTCTATAATAAAATTGATTTAATTGTTTGAAAGAAATGAGAAACAAACATTATATTTTTATACTTTTTTATAAAAGGGACCTATAAACATTTCTATGCAACTGTAGCAGTGTTTTTTCCTTAAATATTTTAGTTATTTTATCATGCAGATGATTAAAGTAGAGAATGCTCTTAAAATAGGATTATAAAACCCTGAAATCACCAAAAGCAAAACTTCTCAGTTAATTCAACCACTGAAATTAATCCATGTACTCTTTTTAGCTTCTTTTAAATTCCAGGCAAGTGCCAAAAAAAAACACTAGTTTATCTGAGTGAAGAAAGTTGAAGAAATCAATATCCAGAAGATAAACTTCACATCAGGAAAAACAGATGATAAGTCTGTACCTTTCAGCAAGAGAGTATTTTAAAATCTGCATCACTTTGACAAAAATATTATCACCAGAAAAACACACTTTACAATATGCTGTTCTCTCATGCATCACTGACACTAAGAACAGAAAATAAATTGGTAGTATGGAGTGCCTTTCAGTTCCAATTTTTCTAAAAGCACTTCACAAAGCAATTAGTCAGATAATGGTGGTGTGCTGACTCCTTGAGCCTTTATATAGTCACTAATAGCACCTGATCTTACCAACCATTAGAATGGATCGTAGAGAGAGCAGTGTAACATCTTTAGTCTTCTAAACCCTAGTCATAGATTCTCCTTAAATGCGTTGTTTGAACTGTGTTCTTTATACAAGAGTTAAAATTTGCCCTAAAGGAAGAGAAAACTACTAAGTATTGATATTTGAATCCAATTAATAATAGGAACTAAAGTTAATGTTCTCTAAATTATCTCTGAATGATGAAACTTCAGAATGTTCTACTGTACTACTGACAGTGGCTTCATTAGAAGGATAGGGGCTTTTTTTTTTTTAAAAGAAATGAACTTCATAATGTGTAAAGAATTTGCAAAATATCATCATTTTAGTCCATTAAATGTAGCATGTAAAATAGGTAAACTGGTTAAATAATGGCAATTTTTAGCTACTGAAAGTTTAAACTAGAAATCTCCTGGAGCCCCTTATCCTTGCTGTAATTTTTACACTAGAATAGTATATGAATTAAGGTATGGACAAATAAGGGATTCCATGGGCAATCACATTAGAAACGTAAACTTTCAGAATTCTTGGAAAGGCACTGTTCAATTATCCAATGTATTTGAAACTTTCTGTTGACAGTGTGGCTAAGATTGCTTTTGTTTAGTTTTTCTAAGTAGCGATATTTGGGGGAATTTAAATTGGCATTTCTTGGAGAAACTGAATATACAGGTATTTGATCAACAGATATTGATGTTAAAAGGTAAACCACTTGGTCTAGCCACAATATTTAATTCATTAAATCGTGATGAAAAAAAAGTTTCTTCCCCAAACAAAATACTGATTGGAACCCTTTGGCCCCAGAATAATGTGTATGAATGACTAAGGCACCATTAGGAAATCCAACCTCAGTCTTGGCAGCTTCAACTATACAGACAAATTATAATTTCCCTTTAAGGATAAAGAGCTTTATGTATTCAAATTAAGAAGAAGTTAAGGTGGCCATGCACAGTGGCTCACACCTGTAATCCCAGCACTTTGGAAGGCTGAGGTGGGTGGATCACCTGAGGTCAGGAGTTTGAGACAAGCCTGACCAACACAGTGAAACCCCGTCTCTACTAAAAGTACAAAATTATCTGGGTGTGGTGGCACATGCCTGTAACTGAAATCTCAGCTACTTGGGAGGCTGAGGCAGGAGAATCGCTTGAACCCAGGCGGCGGAGGTTGCATTGAGCTGAGATTGTGCCATTGCACTCCACGCTGGGCAACTAGAGCGAAACTCTGTCACAAAAAAAAAAAAAAAAAAAAAAGAAGCAGTTAAGGCAATTCTAAAAAGTCATTTTTAAATACCACTTATGTTAAACAGCAAGGGAGGTATTTTGTTTCCAAGAAGTTTACAATTTTTAATCCTTCCACTGCTTAGCTGAAAAAAAAATTGCACTCTGCTTTCCATTTTGTTTGCAGCTGAATCACAGCTTAGTAATGGTGAATTAATTTTGAATTACTTTAGAGATGTTGTCTGTCCTATATTCTAACACGCCCCAATCCAATTTAATATAATCTGATCTAATATTGGTAATGTTTGCATTTATTTCACACTTCAAACATTTTGTATATTTCCATGAACTTCACTGATACATTTCCAATAGTTAGCATTTCTTAGTATGAAATAATATCCAGTTGTATAATCGGCACCCTGGCACCTATTAAGTGCAAGTGCTTATTTAAAATGTGTAGTGATTAGAACGTTTTCTCTCAAATCACATCATATTGAAGTTAATGAATTCTTTGTAGGGATATTAGCAAGCTTCTACACCTTGTGATGGTCCCCTCTCCCATTCTCACTAATATTGAATATATTAACTACTGACAGTGACTGATTCCTGAATTACCTCAATTCAGTGGGCCAAAGTGCTACACTGAACCCTGCATTACATGTACCTATCCTCTCTAAAACACACAAATTCAAATATTGAGAGTGTGATTATTTTAATTCCAGTTGCTATTAATCACATGTATTCTGATAGATATACATTCCATCCAAAGTAGACTATTTCTTCCAGGCTGGAGGGATTAGAAAAGAAAAGGAAAGGTGATATAAATCAAAATTGAACTTGTCATTAGAAGGGCTGTCAGAAACCGTTTACATCATGGTTATCCTGGTTTTGGTCAGCACTATTAGTCTCCCACTTTTAGACAAAAAATAGAAAAATACGTCAAAGATCCAGACTCTTTAAAAATAACCCTCAGAAAGTGAAACTATAGATATACATAAGAATCTTCTTGACAAATAACACCATCATGTTGCCTCTAAATTGTTTGCTGCCTTTCTAGAGAGAATGTTGCAAATGAAGTTTCAAAAACACTTAGGACCACAGCCAAGAGCATGCTACTGCTCCTTGAATGATGCTAATGTAGATGAAAAACACGAGATATGAATTTCCAAAAATTACTTGCTGAGTCAGAGCTTCCTATTTGAATTTTATAATTTATTTATTGGTTAGTTGATAGGGCAGAGCACTAAAATAAGCCATGTTCTGTGACATGGTCCAAAGTATTGATGTTCTAGAACATCAATATTACTATCTACAAACGAGACCTTTTTATCACCACGCTTTATTTCACCCATCCCTTGATCAGTAATCAGTGTGATAGAATGAAAATTTCTGTCAATACGGAAACTCAAGATATTGACCAAATTTCCACTGGACTTTGCATATAGCTGTACAGCAACTTGTTGTACTTAATATTTCTGAGTACTCATTGTGTGAAAGAAGATGTGCTAAGTGCTTTATGTCCAAAAGCTGATTCATTTTTAAGAATGATCCCATGAGGAAGCTCATATTATTACTCCAAGTTTGCAGAGAAAGTAACCAGATTTAGAGAGAGTAAACAAATCGGAGATCACAAAGCTAGAGAATACAGTCATGATTTGAATCAATTTAATCTAACTTGAGAGTCCCCACTCTTAAACACTACTAATTCTACACTTCTTCCCAAGATTTCTCAAACATCATATCGTTGTTTAGATACTGCTTTATGATTTAATATCCTTTCAGCAAATCTTACTCAGTCCAGCGCCTCCATGTGCAGGCCCTATGCTAGGTGCTGGGTGTTATGTCATGGCACAGTAGACATGACTTCTGTTCTCAGAGTGCTCATAATCCAGATCCCTGAACAAAGCAAGCAGCATTGCTCCTTGGCAAAGAGACTTCACACATAGGTTGCACTGAGTTCACATATTTAGGGTTATCTTCCAATGAGTATGAATGAAATTTGTTTCATGTCAAATCCTGACTGTTGTGCTCTTGCCCTAACTGTTCCTTCAGCTAAATTAAAGGTTGGTATCTGTAAAATATCTCCATGCTTGGTCATAATTTCAATATTTTTCTTTTTCATAGGCAAATGAAATAAAATTACTTCTAATCAAGGACAGCACTAGGCAAACTATGAAGAAAGCAAGAGTCATTTTGGGGGTTCTCAGATCCTGCTCTTTCTTTCTTTCCTTTTCAGATTATTGTAATTCTTTTGTTTCATTTGTTCTCAGATCTACCAAAACCTGATCTGGGGCAAAGATCTGATAGGAGCCAATTTGTCACTTGTTTTGAATTTAAATGAATCCAGTCTTTCCTTTTTAAATGTGGACTGAGGGTCAGAGCTTTTGTAAAGTCATTTCAGGCACCAGGATCACTAAGAGAAAGATGGGGTGACTGTGGAGTCAGTCTCACTTCTCCAGAATTATTCCTTGAAGCAGTGGTTCTCTTTCCATGAGGCTGCTGGGTGAGGGGATACCTCGTTTAACAGCAGTGTTCTCTGCTAGACACTGTCTTTCCTTCCCCATGTGTCTCTTCTTCCTCACGGCCTTTCCTACCCGTCATCTCATCCAAACTCCACTGTTTTCTTCCTCATTTCTCAAAAAAAGAAAAAAAAAAAAGGAAAGAGAAAGAAGGAAAGAAAGGGGAAAGATACATAATTTGGGTAATAGATGGCTTCTGGGAGGGCAGAAGATACCCTCAGTGCATGCTCCTCCTCAAGTATCACTTATAAACTCAAGAGAAAAGAAACTCAAGGTTGCTTACAGACTAGTTTAACCCTATTTTTAAAAGCAAAGTATTACCACCTACTCTCAAGGCATAATTATTTAATATCTAGCTGTCAAGAATATAAGGCAATTTAGCCAAAATAGAAAAGCCCAAGGCATTGGGAATAACATGATACATAAGTTTCCCTATATTTTGGTGACCTTTCTTTATTTTAAGGACTCTGTGAAAATAGCCATAACAGAATCTTATGGAGTTATCTATCTAGGTCCTTCTAAGTGAGAACTGCTGACACTGTCTATAGCAATGATTCCCACGGGCCATGTTTTTGTTCTAAGAACAGCTTTCCTGGTTATTGCTAATTCACTAGTTCATATAGGATGAGCCTCTTATCCAAATAGAAAAATCAAATAACTTTCCTGCCAGTTTGGAATTGGAACTGAGAGATATAGAGGCATATGCTGTTGGGCCTCTAAGAGACTTCCAGAAACCTGGAGACCATACTCCTGCTGCTGACCTCCCTGTATTTGCTTTTGATCCCTCTCTCTTTGAGATGCTAAAGCCTAATGCTTCCTTGGGTTCTGTAGATAGCCCAGTGTCTTTTTTGATAAAAATCACTGAGATTAGCTCACATGGTTTCTATGACTTACCATTCAAAGATTCTTCATACAGTGACCAGGCCTATATTTATTCTGTGAATAATCCAAACTCTGTTTCTGAGTTTCCTTTAAAGCACTGCATTTCCCAGGCTGCTTTTGTTAGTTTACTTGTGTTCTTTATATCTGTGATTTATTTGACCCGTTTTCTGTATTTTGGTAAACTAGAGTTGAGCAGGAAAAGCAGATATATGGATTTGTAGGGTGTGGCATGGAACTCCACGGCATCCTCAAATCGTACTGTTCTTGGGCTCATTCTGCATATGCTGTTTGATGTGATGTTTAGAAACCTAATTATTGATAGGTAACAGTGTCAATGTGGCCTTTCTGAACTTTAAGAACCTTAAAGAATACCCTTGACTATTAGCGTCTAAAATAACAATCAAGGGAAGTTTAAAGCTCTTCCCCACGGCTTTAACAAAGTTCTGACAAAACAGAACAGACACCTAGCAGAGTTCCCATCTCATTCTTTTCTCTAACTTTGTCTCAATATACTGGTCAATGGGCAAAAGTGTCTTTGCAAGATTCCCCTATAAAATCCTGAAACCAACCCTTCCTTAAGGGAGAAGTCGGTGCTTAGTAACATTTTTCTAAGGCAAAATCATGGCAATAGATGTGATCAAGGGATTCTCTTGAGAGCAGCTGGATATTATATTCATTGAAAATTACTATTAATACCTCTTTTTATGGTTTACTTAATGCACTGAGGTAGCGAAGCATAAAGTTCAGCAAAAGCTGACAGAGATCTTTCAACCAAGTAAATTGTATGAAGGTAGTAAAAAAGAGGTCAAATTATACCTATAATTACACCTCCAGACCTTATTGTAACAATCCTGGATGGAGATAGACCTGGGTTATTAGTGACATTATGGACAACAATAAGTTTGGTTCAGAAACTTCAGGCAAGTTTTTGATCCTACAGTGAGTAATGTTACGTAGAAAAAGAAAACTATCTTTGTTTCTAAGCAAAAGGATGTCATTTTCCGTGTAAATTAAGACTGAATGCAAATAACACCACAGTTCATTCAAACAGCAATGAATTGAGGATTGCTTACATGTTTGGAGCCACTTCTTATTTTTTCTTTTAATCCATCTGGTAAACCTCAGCAACAACTGCAGGAATTGGGCACGGAGTGAAAGGAGGCTGGGTTAAAAAAAATCCTCCATTAGATTTTCCCAGCATAATCTACCTTGGGGAACCAACAGATGTAGATATTTAATAGAAATTAATCTCTTTCTGTTATTCAGTCTTACAATGCATCATTCTAATACTGATTACACTGATGTTCTAAGATATGCTGGCGAAATGCTACTGTAATACAATTTCTTTGCTGCTAGAAATGAAAGCTCTTGAGACTGCTGTTGCTTATATAGCTGCTTCAGGTGATTACATCTTTACAAAGATGTTAATTACTCTCTGGAGAAAGCTGCCCAAATTGTTAGGTGAGTAGCATAATCTGGCAGTGGATACCAAAAAGTGACTTCAAGACCATTATGGTTATTGTTTCTCACCCCTATTGAGATCTGAGCTCTACTCTGATGAATTTTGGGCAGATAGAAAAAACTTAATAAATGGTAGCCAATGAATCACCACAATGGGTTTCTAAAAGTGGATATAGACACTTGCTTTTAGCCTATTCCAAAGTTTGGGCCTGGTTTCAATGAGGTCAAAGACACAAGGCTATGCCTGGGGATTCTTGTTAAAACTTCAATTAGTGGTTCTCAGGCTTCACTGTGCATTTAGCTCCCCCTGGGAGATTTAAAAAAATCCTAATGCCCAGCCTTTGGTTCAGGCCTATTTAATCAGAATCTTGGGAGTGAAACCCAGGTGTCAGTATTTTTAAAACTCCCCAGGTGATCCAGGGTGAAGTGAAGGTGGAGAATCGCTGGCTTCCATGAATTTCCCTACTGTTACTCAGCATATAGACTGGGGAGCGTCAGTGCAGCAATCACAGGTGGGATGACCAATTTTGGAGAAACAAAGTGAGAGCTCTGAAAAAAAACAAAAAACAGAAACTCTGCAGCATTGGGTATATTGATGGTGGGAAACATTCGTTTCAAAAATATTGGCCGGGCACAGTGGCTCACGCCTGTAATCCCAGCACTTTGGGAGGCCGAGGCGGGTGGATCACGAGGTCAGGAGTTCAAGACCAGCCTGGCCAAGAAGGTGAAACCCCGTATCTACTAAAAATACAAAAAATTAGCTGGGCACAGTGGCAGGTGTCTGTAATCCCAGCTCCTCAGGAGGCTGAGGCAGGAGAATCGCTTGAACTCAGAGGGTGGAGGTTGCAGTGAGCTGAGGTCACGCCACTGCACTCCAGCCTGACGACAGAGTGAGACTCCATCTCAAAAAAAAAAAAAAAAAAAATCCTCAGAACAAAGGATGCTCACCAAGCGAAAAGAAAAAAAAAAAAAAGGAGAAGAAAAAGAAAACAAAGAAAAAGAAAAATTATGATGACACTTCTCAAGTAAATGTGAAAGAGCTAGGCAGAACAATAGGCAGACTATTCAGTGAATGTCTTACAAAGGGACAAACTACATAGACATCCACTTGTGATTCTCTCCTCAAAACTGAAGGAACAATAATATATGAGAACAACTAATGTTTTATTTATCGTGGTTGGTGCAATTGAAATGATAAAGGCTCACTTAAGTGCTTTGTTAATGTTTCAAGACACAGAAAGACTAGGCTAATTCTTACATTAAAAATTGGGGAACAATATCTGGGAAAGACTAAACTACACTGACAGGTTGATTCAGGGTGAATCTACTCAGGAGGAAATAAATACAGGGAATTCGATAAAAAGCAGTACGAAGTTGAGGAAATGCTTAAGAAAAACCACACATGTGAAGGAGTTGTAAAGTTTTGGGTCACTTTGTAGGCAATGGAAACACAACTTTTTTGTTCTGCCAACAACATACTATCATCAGAAAAAATGTTTCATAATTATTAAGTTGTGTCAGCTTTATTCTTTCTTTACCACATGCCTGGCACTCTGAACATAGCAGAAACTTAGGACAATATTTGTTAAGTATGAGAATGAGGAAGAGCATCAGACTGCTTCTAATACCAGCTGAACTCAAAGAATTTGGATACTTAAAAGCAATTGCATATTGGGTTTAGAATATTACATTACTTTTTGAAAAGTAATATTAGATTGGGCTATATGAAATCATCATTTTTATAGGCCAAAAAACCAAAGTATCAGCAATTTCATATGGTTCATGTAAATACTTTTAAAAATTTTGTTTGCCTTTTAAAATTTTAATGTGGCTTAAAATAAATAAATGCAGAGTGTGTTTTATTTGAAAGGTTTTCTTTCCAGAAGAAAGATTCTATGGATGTGCAGTTGCTTCTAGAAAAACAGAAATGGAGTCCCAGTAGAATAGCAGAATTTCTGAATGGGCATCCATGCCAGTAAGCAACATGTAAAACAACATCACAGGACCTAATGTCATAGGCTTTATATCTTCAAGGATAGCTGCCTTGATGCATCAACTTGATTTTATCAAGAACATGAACAATGATTATTCTGAAAGGAAAACACCAAACTCATGGAAAATAAAAATGCAAGAATTTGAACATTACTGCCTTTTCTTGCAAGATATACTTTGCCCAAATGATTATGCAGCTCAGTCAATATTTGAGAACACCTGGTTGTTCTGATAAGGAATATATTTTCCCCATCATTATGTGTCCTTTCACAGATTGGGGTTCAGGATAATTTAGGCCTGACAGTTTCATATTCTGTTTTATAAAACAGATAAACATAATACAGGCTTTAAGTAATTAGATATAAAGCCATCAGAAGGGATGAGTTGCAGGTAGATGCACAGGGATTTTATTAGCATACAGTTGCCATCTTGTTGCTGACAAAAAAATGCCAAAGAGCAAGTGTAAAAGTTTGTAGAGGAAACATATAGAGAATTTTCTCTGCAGTCATCATAGTACCATGAATTCTGAGGAAAGATACCTAAACACAGCTCTTACATATACTAAATAAGGATACACTATTCTATTTGCTTTTTTCCCACAAGTGCCCAACTGAATGGGCATGTGTGAGTTTTTACTTATTACACCCACATGATGACTGCAGCTCAGATACCTTACTTACTGCAACATGACAGCAAGAAGACTGCCCAAAGCAATCACAGACCCTGAAGATCATCACTGCACTGCTTCTTTCTAGTGGTGCTGAATGCCAGTCTGTGCTCTCTATCTTTGAGTGGTATTTTTTAGGGGGTTTTCATGTTGTACTAGATGGTCCAATTCTGTAGGCTGACATCTTTTAAACATTTTTGGAAAACTTTTACACACGGTAAGAAATACATTTTACAGCACAATTTCATATACACAGTACAAATATACAAAGTTTCACAAAGCAATACTAATCCTTGCTGCATTTGATGTAACTTACATCCTTTATTTTTTTCTATTCTATTTTATTCAAATGCCAATCACAAGCCACTAATTCGATTCCATGGCCATCCACTGTTTATGAAGCACTATTTAAAGTTGTATCTTAATATAGCCTCATGCTACTGACAAAGAACAAGTCAAAATAGTTTGGGAAAAACCATAACTACCTTCATATCTTATCTTAGAGATAATGTTTTGAGGACTCTTTTTAATTATTGTGTATAAAGGACAATACGTTGGAGAGCTTAGTCACTTTGCCTAGGGTCACACAGAGGTGTCTGAGCATAACTGTTTCTAAAACTCTTGGATATTCCAATCCTCCACAATGAATTTTAGGTAATTGTTACCTGCTATGCAGGGCATAGGTAAAGAAGGCACTGTTCCTTTTCTTTCCCTGTAAGTGAACCTTTCTGACCATTAGGCTGACTTTGAGTTGGGGAAAGGGCAGTGGTATGAAAAGGAAAATGACCTTGATGAGGAGCCTGGACCTTAACTTGCTAGGGCCCCTGATCTACATTCTGAGGCTGCAGAATAAAGTTTCCAGGAAATAATAGCTCTTCATGTAATGATACTCATTACAAAATGATCAGTCTTTTTTCAAACAGTAATTCACACAAAGCCAAATAAACTTGGCATAAAGATACTTATCCACAAAAAGAGTACATTTCTGTAAAATCTATAAATGTACAACTATCAATTTTATAAACAGCACCTAAAACTATAAGATTAGAAGAACTTGTTAGCCTAAGAAAGAGTTCAAAGAAAGGGCAAGGCTGAATGTTTGAGTTTTTCTAATCATATTTGAAAATCAAAATTATTTCTCTAGAGTTTTCATGGATAAAAAGTCTAATTTCTAATTTTAAATAGTGCCACATCTTTAATTCTATTCTTCTTTTACAGAAAATGATTCCAAATCATGAATTCTTCTCTTCTCTTAATTACAAATCAATGTTTACTTTTATGTATAAAATCCAAAGAAAACAAAATGAGTTTTCTAGAGGTCTACAATTTTAAAATCTCTGTATTAATTAACTGTGAGGTTTTTTCATTCGCTATAGGCCAAAGAGACATGATATGATGTTTTATTACAAATTTTCTAAGAAAAAACTTCAACAAGCTTAATATAAAATATAAAGATTTGAGTTAGAAATAAGGAAGAGTTTCTATAATAGGTTATATGAATTTCTTCTTTAGAAGATCTTTACATATTATAAATTTGCCTAGAGTCAGGCAAGAACTACATAACTTCTCAGGGGTTCTTTTAATGTTATATATTCCCTCAAATATTCATTTAATTTTGATGATTACTTAGGATATATATCCAAGTGGAGTAAATGGAATAAAAATTAATATAAAGAGTAAAAGTATCTCATGATTTTCATGTCATTTGTATTCATAAATTGTTAGATAAGAATACAAATGCTGTTGTTTTGAAGTAAAAACAGTAATATATTAAGCAAGGTCATATTCTTGAAACTGCTGTGCCTTATAAGTAAAACAAAGATTCTCATAAGGCCACATTCACTTGTTTTATTTCAATACTTTATTCCTTCATGTACTTGTCAAAGTAGCACCATCCCTTGCCTTTCGTATTTCTCTTTGACACAAGTGAGCTTGAGCTGCAGCGTGCATACCATATTTTCCCCAAATTAACTTCATACAGAAGTTGGATGGTTGCTTGAATAACCGGCACATGTGGCTGTTACTCTGCATTTTCCTTCTTTATTACATTTTCAGAATCAAAAGGAGATAAGCTCTTACACCAGCTATTGTTATCCATATCAAGGAGACACAAACATAAGATATGTGAACAAAATGAAATTTGAAATGTCAATAGGAGACACAGTGTTGTAGGAAAGTACCAGATAATTAAATTTAAGAAAGAACCTAAATTTTGGACTTCTCACAATACCGTGTGATATGGCAGACACAGATAAGAATTTGTACTTAAAAACACATGTAGATATCAACTCGCATTGTCTTTTCTATAATAGAACAAATAGAACAAAGTAAATGTCTGGAAAGACAGTGTAAACCAGATAGTCATGGTTTAAATGTCAATAGATTGCTTGGGTTATAGTTTTTAAAGTCAGAAAAAGTTACAATAATAGGAGAGTTATGGCAAAAATATTTAATATATTACTAATTTACCTAGATCACCATCAGAAATTATGAACTTTTTGAGGATAGAGGCCTGCTTTTTATTTGCTCCAGGCACAGCACCTGGTTGGTATATCGGAGAGTCTCAGAAACAAATGAACAATTAATACCCATTAAGCCCTCTCACAGAGGCTGCTGGTGAATGGCAGCATTCACAGGCATCTAAGACATTCAGGTGCACTAGCTCATGTTCAAATACCACCCACAATCCCTCAATTGTGGTACAAAAACCCAGAAACTTATTTTCCAAAATCCAGTTTCTTCTACTTTCCTGTGAATGTTCTAAGCTCTTCTATTATTTCTGCTTGTTCTATTTATGATTCAACAGGTCTGTCTATCCCCTTATCAGGCTGATATAATCTGTTTCTTCCAGTAGCCACATAGAGTTTTATACAGAGAGGATGAAGATATCTTGAGTGCACAGTGGGTGTATTTTTGGGGACATCATCTGGTCCTGATTTTAAATAAAATCTGTAAGAGAATGTCTCCTGTAGCAGACATGGAAGGTTACCTTCCCAACATGTCCTAGTTTTTTCTTTGATGATGGAACCTGAGTCACAAGTAATAACTCATACTTGTCCTCTCAATTTTAGACAATACACTTCCCTTTTGCAAAGGATGGTATAGGGATGGGCATTTGCTGTAGCTCTGGAGGAAGACATTAGGGAAATCCATTGGTAGTTTTCTGGAAGATATTTTCTCTCTTCTCCCCAATCAGATAAGAGAGCTAACTTTAAAAAGAATCCCTTTCTCCTGCATGTTCTCCTTACAGTGACTCTGCCTTCTCTGTTGCCATGGGAGGATATGATGCTTGAGATGCTGCACAAAGTCTGGGAACGGGGGGGCTAGGCCCTGAGACTCCCAGAGAGGCTGACCCAGGGTTTTCATATCAATAATCTACTGAATAAACCTTGGTACTCTCTAGAGTTGGATTTAATAAACAGATATAATAAAGTGACATAACAAATATTAATAATATTTAAGTAAATTTTAGTAAGGTATTCTTTAATTTGCTATTGAGAGTATCTTACTTCATACAAATCCTAATTTGATATCTTCATTCCAGTCTTTTTCCCTGAGGTCCAGCCTCCTATATTTTAACTGCCTAACTGGCTTCTCTTAGAAGTCCAAAGATGACCTCAAACCTAACATATAAAAACAAAATTTGTTTTCTCCTCCCCTACCCGTTTCTGTTGGAGTCTTCCCCATCAGAATAAATGGCTTCACCAAAGTGTTCAAGGAAATCTCTAGGGTAATTATTTTGATGATTCCTTCTCTCTTATTTTCCATATTCAATTCATCAACAAGTCATATAGGTTCTACTTTAAAAACATATCTCAAGTCTATTAATTTCTCAGTAGTGTACAGCCATAAGCCTAATCAAAATTACCAACTCTGGTAGCTGCCTCACCTGGAATACTGCAATAACTTCTATTGTTCTATCTGCCTGCACTCTTGATATCTAAATATTGTCTTCTATACAGAAACTGGAATAAATTTTGTATAATAGTCAATCATTTTACAGCATTTTCCTATTGAAAACCCTCCAATGGCTGTTCATTACATTTGGCCAAAAATCACAACTCCATGTCATTTCTCACAAGGCTCTGCATGATTTGATTTCCATCTAAATCTCTGACTTCACATCTCCAAGTATATTTCCTCACTCACTCTACACCAGCCTCTGTTGTTGTGTCTTGTTCTTTATGTCTGCAATGCTCTTCCAGGAAACATTATCAAGATGCTTTTCTTCATTGCCTTTGGGATTTTACACAAAGTCATTTTCTCAATGAGGCCATCTCTGAACAATCTATGTAAATTTCACCGTATGTACATGTTAAGTTCTTGTTTTCTTCTTGGCATATATCTTTAGCATACTTTACATTTTATATATATATATAATATTTATTATATATAATATAAATCTTACTATATATCTTACATTATATTGGAGAAATAGATAATAAACAAGATATCTATGTATCTTGATTTATTGATATAAAGATAACATAGTATATAACATAGATATATTTATGTTGTTTATTGTTTATTTGTTTAATATCTCATTTATTGTCTGTTTCTCCAATATAATGTAAAAACCATGATGGCAAGGATTTGGCCTATTTTGCTCACTATTGTATCCCCCAGCACCAGGTATAATGCCTAACGCATTGTACATTTTGAAAAAAAAAATTTGTTCAGTGAGTGAATTAATAAGTGACTGACTGAATGAGAGAGATGACAGGTTTGATTTCTTGACCACGTAGAATCAACCTCACAGAAGTAAATATTGGTTGAATGAATAAATGGTTTGTAATGGAAAGCAGAACATCCCTCCACAGTTCCATTACCTTTTCACCTGACAGGATGGTTTATGGGCTGGCTTTTGTTGAGGAGTTTTGCCTCTATATTCATGAGAGATACTGGTCTATAGTATTCTTTTCTTGTATTACCTTTGTCTAGTTTTGATATTCATGTAATTCTGTCCTCACAGAATGAGTTAGGATGTATTCCCTCTGCTTCTATCTTCCGGAAGAGATTGTAGGGAACTAGTAATATCTCTTCTTTAAATGTTGAGTAAAATTCACTAGTAAGCCCATCTGAGCTTGGTATAGGCTGGCTTTTTAGGGTTTTTTTATATATCCCTAATGTAAAGTAAATAGCAAATGGTAACTATGTATGCAGAGTACTGTAGGCTCAAGTAAGGTTTCATATTCCAGTAAAGAGAGGTAGCAGGGGAAGGTCATGTGTAGCCTCATGGGTTCTTGAAAGGACCTTATATCCTGTCTGGGATAAGGATGTAACTATAAAATATAACAAGAGCTGAGTAAAAAAATAGTCTTTTTGATTCAGCCTGAAACTTTATGTGTCTTTTTTTCCCCCACATCTTGAAAAGGTCTAACTAATGTTCTGGGCATAGCCTGCGAGGTCTTTTAGCCAACATGTGACCTCATGAGCCCATCAGCCTCAGAGTACTTCTCCTTTATGAGAGATGTATCTTTTTGTCTAGAAAACACACACCATTTTGAATTAAAGTGTACTTGATGAATGCATATTTCCTTTGGAGAGGGCACAGACTCATTAAAAGAAATGTTCCTCATGCTTAGAAAGGGTGCCTCCTCATTTGTACTGATCATAATGATATAATGCCTTCACAGTGGTGTTTGTCAAAGACTGCTTCCTGGTGCATAAACTGGCTCTAAAAGTTGCAAACAAACAGCAGAATATTTTGAACGATGGAAGCATCTGAAATTTAAGGTGACCATAGTGAACGACAATATTCATTCAGATATAAGCCCTTTATTGGATATGAGCCCTTTATTAAAGGAAAGTTTTATTATTTCATGGTGATGCTTCATAAAACTTTAGTATTTTTCAGTTCTGCATCGTAACTATCTTTAATAAGAGATATCAGAAACACTGAGGCAATTTTCCACCTGTTTTCTGAGACTGACAATGCTGATGGCATTTTTGGAAAGAAGAAAGATATGTATCTAATCCTTCATGTATATGGAGAACAACTCATCACAGTCCATAATTCTATTATAGAGAGACATACAAATAGATATATATTCTGTTTCACAAACTAAATTTCAACATACATATCAAATAAATAGATGATTTATATTCCAGAACAAAAATATGTAGTTTCAGGACATGAATGAAAAGCCTTTCTTAATGTGGAAAAATATTTTTCCCCTGTCAGGAGAAATGCGATTTTCATTAAATATAAACAAGAACTGCTAGCATTAGAAACCAAATAATCGTTACTTTGTTTTGGAGATATAATTGTTAATTAATAAATATATTTATTTTTAACTTCTGAAGTGTAAATAAAAGGCAAGGATAATTTTCAGTTAGTAAAATATGTTAGCTAAAACACTGCAAAAATTGTAACCATGAAAGAAATTGATGTCACTGTTTCATCAAAAAAAACTACTGACTAATAAAATAATTTGGGGAAAAACACAATAGATATTTTTAAACTGTCATATGTTCTAAGGCATCAGAGATCTACAAACTAATGGTTTATCAGAGATATACAA
The DNA here is from genome assembly GCF_000001405.40 of Homo sapiens. NCBI lineage: Eukaryota > Metazoa > Chordata > Mammalia > Primates > Hominidae > Homo > Homo sapiens. Next base: position 78,986,276 of record NC_000012.12, on the reverse strand, counting down.
AAAGAAAATGGAACAAATGTTACATAGCAATAAAATTATGATGAACACAGAGATTATTTTTATAAGGTCAGCTTTATGCACATAAATCATCTTCGCTATTCACCAGCGACATTTCTTTCAGTAGAAAAACACAAACTTAGATTTTCCGTTTGAATGTACTTCCTAGTTAGAAGAAACTGGTGGGGAAATACTGGCCTGTGTGTTCATAACATAATGGAATCTGATAAAACCAGTTAAGTTTTGAATACTAGGTTACATAAAAAGCAGGCAAAACTGCATATAATTTTTATAGTGGTATATAATTTCTCTTTCCTTCTGTTTTTATTTTTCCCTCCTTCAAAGTGCTTTTCGAAAGAAAATGACAAAGTTGTTGGTAAATAAAAATAGATTAATGAACATTTTCCTAACTACAGTTTATTGGATGAATACCGTTTGAAATTGCTTCTTTTGTTGATTTAAATAGATTAAATAAAGGGAACATTTGGTACCCAAAATAAACTTGAAGCACACTGATCATAAACCAATTTATAAAGTCCTATTCTAGACACTAAATTATGAAACAGAATTTCCTTACATTTATACTCAGAATTAACCAGCACTATATAATAAGTCCCAAAATTTTTAGAATTAACAGTCCTAAAAGAACATAAAGAATTTGTTATCACGTCTTCTACTTGGAATGTGCCCATTAACATGAAGGGGGTTCATGAGCAATGGTGATCAGGGTGACAATTCTGTCCCCAGAGAGGCACTTTCTTGGATGCCATCAGATAGTGGTCATTTCTCCTTCTATGTAACATAAAAACAACCACTAACCCCAAATGATTAGTCTGATTATTCTATGTATTCAGCTGCCATCTTGAAGGGGAGTTATTTTAGAAAGAATATATTCTTCTTTCTTAGATTCTCCCTTGCTTACAGTTAAATAACAAAATCGTATAATAACTTATCACCTAGAAAATTGTGATAGTGTTCATATTTCAGAAATTTAGGTTTATTATACTACGTATAGTTTTAATACTTATGTATAAATATGTGAGAATTGGGAGGTAATACAGTGGAATAGTTCTTCATTGTTAAACAGAACTGTATTATGATTTTTCACAAAAGATAAATAGCTGTCTTTTAAAAAAAATCAAGAATAAATTTCAACATTCTCTTCTCAGAATATTGCATTATGTCATTCGTTGTTCTTTCCTACAATTTCAGTAAGTTTCTTTTTGGTTCTCGGTATACAATGTGTCTTGTAATGGTATATATTTACTTTAAATCCACACTTGATGCATCTTTCTTTTTTCTCTCTTTAGCATCTTGAACTTATTTTCTTACAAGATTATGTCGCAAACTACAAATAACTGCGGTTTTGTTGCTCTTTCCACCTTCCTGTTAATTCTTTTTCTATTGTGGGACCTAAATTTGAGCCCAAGTCTCTAACGAAGTGACCGTACCCAGGATTATTTTTGTTATGTTTCTATTTAAATACCTTAGAATAATGTTTATTTTTAACATAAGCATATTGTCAACTTGTCAGCTATTGTGAACCAAAAACTCCATCTAATTTTCTGTATATTTGATAGCAAATTATAATTCATCTTTATGTGTGTTTCTTCCATGAATATAAACATTTATTTTCCATTCAATTAAATTCTATTCTTCATTGTTTTCTAATTTGTAATTATCTAAACTAATTTGTAATTTTTATTTGTAAATAGACACATTAGGTTTTTGTTGTTGAGTTGTAGGATTTCTTAATATATTCTGGATATTAAATCCTCATCATAATAACTAAAAAATAACAATTTACAAGATCAATGACCAAAAAGCAAGAGAAAAAATCTCATAATGCTATATAAAATGCATGTTTTATTCACTTTTCTGTTGGCATATTATACTTCAGCCAATAGATTAATAAATAAAATACATTGTGGTATTTGTGCCATAAAAAATAAACAAAACTGGCATACTGCAATGGTAAATATACCACTGTGTTGCTAGGGTGCTCTGAATTTTTAATTTCTTGATAAATTGTCCAGGGAATTAAAAACCATCACAGGTATGTAAGGGCTGTAATTGTTTTGAGAAGTTTTAAAATCTAAGATGTAATAAAGGGATTTATACAAATTTCTTAATAATTCTCTTGGCAATTTGTCTTGGTGGTTGGTCTGAATCTAGACGCTATTAAGATTTGCCCTAGATAAAGGCACACTTGATACAATATATATTCTCTGTATTTTGATGAAACTGTGGTTGTAAATATTTAGGTCTGAAAACTATTATTCTTGGATTCACTGAATGAAAAGGACAGTATCATTAATTGATTATTGCTAAGGACCAAACTTTGTACTGGCACATCTTTATGTATCAAATTTTTGAAATGTTAATGCTGTCAGAGAGGTGCCCTTTTAACAGCTAGTTAAGTTCCCTAAGTTATAGAAACTTTACACTGCCTTGATTCTTTACTTTTGCAGTTATCTGAACTCTTACATTGCTATTCTTCTTAGCAGTAACTTCAAACACGAAATTTTTATGTTCCCTTAAGATTATCCTTTTAGTTCTTCTTGAACCATCATCAGATGTAACCTATTGCATTTTCAAGATGTGTATTCAGACATTTATATGTGTACACAAGTAAATGACTATCCTGTTCTAATATCCTGGAATAGTGTGAAAAATTTATAAACAATTTAGGGCTAAACCTTTATACCATCTTTGTGCCAAGTACATATAGTAAATGTAGAATGGTTAAGCTAGGGATCCTAGAGGAGGTTGTTAGGATAATTGGAATAAGTTCTTGACAGATAGTTTATGATCATTGACAACTTAATATAGAAAATGCATTCCAATGTGTAGAAATGGGACACTTAATCACTGGAAAATGTAATTAAGAAAAATCTCATGATAAGAAAAGATGCCTTTGAGGCCTGGGCTGTGAGGTATTTGATTCCATAATGGCCACATTGGAGCCACTCTGGTATTACTTACATCTGGCTATACGGATCAAATTTCTCCGGCAATTCATCTTATCTAATATGTAAATTTATGAATTTATTTGTTCCTTCCACTTAAGATGATGGAAAATCTTAAAAGAGTTAAAATAGTGGATTATATTAATTTGAGGGCAATGTTGAAAACAGTAAGAATCAAGTAGGCTAAAATGAAGAGTAGGATTACTGACTGAAAAAAAAAAACTTGGAAGAAGAAAATTTAGACAAAAATACGATTAAAGTTAGTGAATAAACAAGATTTTGGTGGGTCTTATTATTTATATATTTGTTCCTTGTTAATAGTCTACCTCTCTACTAGAAGGTAGTCTCCATGAGGACAGGGGCCTGTACAAGAAGGTTTGAAGAATAACTGACATTGTAGATGTTTAATAAAAACATTGAAGAAACAAAGGTATGAACTCAGGCTGCATGATGGATAAGATTTGTTGGATCAGGGAAGTGTAGGAGATAAAAATAGATTGATTGGAAACTCAACTGTAGGAAATATTATCAAGCAAGTTTATATGTGAGTATAACTATGATATAGCATCAGTTATAAATTTTGAGGTATCACTTCTATGCTTTGGGGTAACAAAACCGTTTAGAAAATTCACACAAGGCTGCGAGACCATACCATCATCCTCTTCTTAAGCCCAGGTTTTTATAGTAGCTTTCAGAAGCTGCCAAATAGAGATTCAGGTAACTCAACACAGGCATTGACCATTTCTGCCCTAAGACACTTCTTGGAATGTTGCCAAAACTCATCCTTTGCTCTTGTTTCTTGAAAATGGAACGGAAAGGAGGGGTGCTTGATATTGAAAAATTCCTCTAAATAACTTTCTTCAATGAAAGATGAACAATTATTTTTTCCCAATCTTATTCACCTGTCTCTCCAGTAGAATTTCTAGAGTTAAAAGGGATTTTAGAAACTTACATGATGACCTTCTGTACTTCAAACTAACTAGTAATGGAGATTTAGACTTTTATTTCACTGAAAATTACAGTTGATGAAGAATTATGGGCCATTTTTCCAGGATGCCTTTCTAACTTCTTGCTTCTTATACCATAGATTAGCCTAGTAATGAGATATATCAGCTCAAAAAGAGCTATATACTGCAGGTCTTCAATTTGAATGTAGTAGTTTTTCTTCACTTTGAATGTAGAATTTTTATCATGAGCAAATAGTTCTATTTTTTCCATCTCTAAAAATTGTTTTTAAGGTTAAATGGAAGTGATGGGGGCTCTGCTTAGGGCTGCTAAGACCTCCTTAAAATCAGCAGAATAGAGGAACAAGACAGATACCTCCTTTTTTTGCACCTTCTTCTCTGGGTTATCCACACTCCTAGCCCTCCATCCCTAGGCATGGATGCCACCTGTTCCCTTCAACTATCCAAATTTAAGAAACAGAAAATAAATGAGAAATGGTAAAATACAAAATACTAAAATTCAAATACAACAAAATATTCTTTGTGTCCTAATGTCTGGGCTAAAAGTAACAAAATTTGCATAGTGCTGACTACATAGTAGGTATTCAATAACTATTTCATAAATTAAATGAACAACTGTGCACACAAAGGCAGCAAATTGGTAAATTTGGTTCACTTGATGCTGAATTTTCAGAAAGAAACAAAGGGTAGAATTCCTTAGAAAGTGGAACTCAATAAAGAGTAAGGAGTTAATCCACTCAGAGATAAAGCCATTAGTAGAAGGCCAAAGATTCATTAGTTCTCCCTTCACTCCATTAGTTGGCACTCACTGAGTTAGCATGCATGCTCGCCCACTATCTCTCCTTACCATTTCCTCTACACAGCTGCTTTCTAAATGGATATGTAACAACATAGTTACCTATTCATTTTAAAAGAATTAAGGCTGCTCATGGTGGCTCTCACCTGTAATCTCAGAACTTTGGGAGGCCAAGGTGGTGGATCACCTGAGGTCAGGAGTTTTTGACCAGCCTGGCCAACATGGAGAAACCCCATCTCTACTAAAAGTACAAAATTAGCTGGGTGTGGTGGCTCACGCCTGTAATCCCAGCTACTCAGGAGGCTGAGGCAGGAGAATCATTTGAACCTGGGAGTTGGAGGTTGCAGTGAGCCAGGATCATGCCATTGCACTCCAGCCTGCGCAACATGAGCAAAACTCCGTCTCAAAAAAAAAAAAAAAAAAACAAAGAAACAAACAAAACAACAACAAAAAACACAAAAACAAACAAACCATTGAATACACCTGTTCTTCTGGATTATAAGCCTACCATTTATGAGCAAATTTTCTTTTTAATAGCTAGTTCAATGCTGTTGGCCACTCATACTTGAGATCCTTTTGCCTTTCATTCTCTAAATCTACCCAGCATCTCTCCCCTCCATCTCCCTCTCCCCCCTGGCTCAGGAGAATACTGTTCATGCTATAACCCCACTCTCTCTGTGTTTTAGAAAAATATTCTACCCCCTCTTTTAATTTCTCATTTATTTATAAGCAAATTTACTTTCCTTTAGCATTTATATTCAAAGTAAATATATAATGTAATATTTTTTGTCTAATTGGCTTAATTTTGACGATCATATAGTATTGTTTTCAATGATTCTTCCCTTCAATTTCTAGTTTTATAACTTATGTAATTTTACTATAATGTTGTGGATTTCATAAAATTGAATCTGGGCATGAAACAGCATTTATAGCATTCTTTATATTTGAAAATAAGTTTTGAGTCCCAAATATTTAACTTCATAATGAAACTTTTGAAACACAACCCAATTAAAGTAGTCTGTCCATAATCTAAATACAATCTTCAAAACTAGCTGAAAACAAAAGAATTTTTGATACATAAAATGATTCTTATGAACGCAGAAACAATTTAAATTATTCCAGTCTTTTCAGGACATATCTAGTTTACAAAGTAAGTTAACCTACAAACCTAAGATTTCGACCATTTTCCCTTTTTAGACCTTGTCTCCATGGAGTCGGCTATGTAGGAAGCAAAAATTAATTTTATGGGTCAAACATTCTCTGTAGTCTTTCTACTAGAACTAATGTAGATTTTTGCTGTCTTTCAGTGCCTGAGGTAATCACGACATTCCGTCTTTTCATGGTTCAGAAGACAGTTCTTTGTCCCCTAACTCTCATTTGAGTGTATACTTACTTTAGAGTTTGGTATATTAAATTGGCAAACATGTCTTACTTGCCGCACTGAGAAAATATTCTTATTAAGATTAGATAATATGGAAATATTCATTTATGAAAAAATGGAAAAATCTCAGCCCAAAGAATTCAATTTAGTTGTATTAATAAAGTATCTTCTGAAAGTAAGACACTCACGTAATTCATTTAAATGGAAACCTTAACAAAAAGATCGGTTGAAATTCTTTAAAAAGTGTTGTTTATTAGATATATAAAATATTAAAGATAGACTTGTTATTTACAAAGCTTTGTAAAACTAAAGATTCAAATATGAAAATACTAATGAATGATACAAATTATAAATTTAATACCTTTTACCATTATAACTATCATTCATTGTTTGGCAACTTGGAAAAAGCTTTTAAATAACAGACATCCATATCCTTAATTAACACTAAATATTAAAATTTTAATTTAAGATATTTAAAACTCATATTAAAGGTGAAATAAACAACCTAGAATGCTTTTTGCAGCCAAGTAATGAAAACATGTAGAAAAAAATTAAAATTCAAATTTAACTTGATTGTGGTGTTTTTATTTTTCATATCAGTTATACATCTAGTTTTACAATGCTTTTCTGTCAGTTGTTTCCTTGCTCTCATTTTGTAGAGCAGTGGTTATTTCACTTTGGATTACATTATAATCACCTAATATGTATATTTTAAATGCTGGTCCTAGGGCCTACTCCCAAAGATTCTGACTTAAGTCTGGCATGGAACTCAGAACATGTATTTTTGTAGGTTGGCTTTAGACCACATTTTGAGATGTTTCTCAAAATAGTTGTAGGAAAGAAGATGAAAATGTTCCTAAAAGACATTAATGTAGAAGAGAACAAAATGGAAATATTTTAAGATCTGTATGGTAAGAATCATACTGCAAGGACATTAGGCACCTGCCCTTCATTGTAAAATGATTAAAATATCCAATGTAAATTAGTACTGTGGCAATTATTTCCTAGAAAACTGAAGTACTATCAATACTGGGTATATGCATTTCCAGAACCACTTTGTTTAAAAAGAAATCCATGTAAAGAAATAATGATAATTTGAAAAAAGTGTTTCAACAATAACAACTGTGATCCTACACTGTGGTATCTTACTGCAAGAGATAGGAGAAAGTTCTAGTACTGAAATAATTTATTCCTAAAAGGTGAAAAATATTATGATCCAGTATCGCATAAGCGTATAGGTACATTTACTTAATAAATAGGTTAATTTTATAGGAATATATAGTTGGTGTATTTCTATGTATTTTTGTATTGGCGATCCACTGTAGCAAACTTCCTCAGGGAAAAGAAAGTCTAAGATAGAAGTAGTAAAACAGAGTCTTAAAGACAGAGCTTCACACTGTAACACTATTTCTCCTGTATACAGTGGAAGTAATGTGAAAGGCTATTCTTTAGAAATCCAAACTTCTGTAGCATGGGACTCCAAATAAAGATCATGAGATAATCTAATCACCTCACGTTTACTTCATAGAATTGTGTGTATGCCTAATAAAAGTGTGTTAGAAATGACTTAGACCAAAGGAGTAATTTGATTGGTTAATGAAGAATGGTAATTGAATTTGATGGAATTCATTAGTTAAGACAAACAGATACTTTACAACCCAAATTATGTACTCTAACATATGTAATAGTCACAGTGTGATATATGTACTTCACTGTTGAATTAGCCATATATGAAAGAATGAGACACAGCATGGTACAAGGAAACATCAGTCTGAGACAAATTCTGCTCTCCCCTCTAACCCCTCACCCAATACTCGTGCTAAAATATCATCTGTGCAGCAGGCCACAAAAGCACAGAGGCAGATGCCATGGCATATTCTTTTAGAATGCAAGACTGCTCAAGATCATCTACAGATAATGAACCATGACAACTTTGGATTTGATAGAGTACAAAATGACAGTGGGAGAAAGCAAACATGTTATACAAGGAGCCAGTGCCCCACCAACGAAAACAGCATTTCAAAAACATTAATAATAGTAATAATTTCAGAATATGTGACAAACACTAATTTCCCCTTAATATCACAAGAATTTTTAAAGAGATACAGTTCTTCAATCTTCAGCACAAATACTACCCTTCCCTCCGCCGGCCCCGCCGCCACATATAAAAAGATATGGATGGATAAAGGAGGTTGATCATCAACAAAATGTGTCAAAAATTTGTTTTTTCCAAATACCTTAATCAGACAGTTCCAGTGCAATTTCCAGGAATGAGGCAGTAGACAAATGAGCAGTCTTCCAATCTGAGTCCAGGCGTTTGTTCAAGCTCTTGCTAGTTCTTGCTAGCTCTTGCTAGTTTTCCCGTTTTCCCTTGAGAGAGAGAGAATAATAGAATCTGTGAAAATGCTAGCCTGCAACTCTGCACACTGACTGGGTATAGACTTCTGCTTATTGACTGGGTATAGACTTCTGCTTATGCAGCCCATTCGTTATTCACATCCTGCTCTAGCTTCCTCAATTCCTGGTTGTGCTGGGTGCTCCAGGCTAAGAACCAATAGGTATGAATCATGCTGACATTTTAAAAAAATCTAGAAGAACAAACATTTCAAAAGAGCAACTTTTTCATATCATTCTGACATCTTCTGTTCAATGGCATTGGTCTATAGAGGAGAAGTAGCCTGTGCTGCCACAGAAGACACCCAGTGGAATTACCAACAGCAGGGAATTATCTAAGCAATTCACACTTTGTTTTGCTAACAAGACTCTATGTTAGGATACTGGAGTGCTATCCTTTTCTGGCAATGTTCTCCTACCTTTTCAGAATTATTGAAAAGCTAACTGAGTCTATTTTGATTTGTGAATCTCTTTGTGAGCAACAGCAGCTGCAGCAGTGCTAATAAAAAGGAAAGACATTGCTATTTACCTAGGAAGAACTTTGAAATACTGCACATACTAAAGCATCTGGGTGGTAGGGAAGCTCTATCAAATACTTCAATATTCCCTTCCTTCCTCACTTTCTTTGCCCTTTCGGGTTCCCTTCCTTCGCCTTTCTTTTACATTTTTTTCTCTTCTTTTTTCCCCATTCTTTCTTTTAAAATTTTTTTCTGTTCTCTTTAATGCACTCCCTATTGCATTCATCTACTTTTTTGATATAAAACTGCAAAAAATTTTGCCCCATATTTCTACTATCTTATATTTGATGGTTGAAAGTAATAATTTTAGAATATAGAAACTCTAAAAAACTGAGTTATAAAGTAGCATAATTCTTTCACAAATATAAAAACGCAGGTAGACAGAATTCACGTTATCAGCTGAATCCTGTAGACCAATTAAGAATTGAGGCTTTGCATAGTAGAGCATACATTAAAATCATATTGTATACCACTAGTTTATAAAATTTGTCATTTGTTAATTGAAATAAATAAATTATAAAAAAAATTTAGGTTTTGTCGATTCCAGTGACTCCAATACAAATCACATCGTTCTACTGTCTTTACAGTTTAGTTTTCAACTCTCCAGAGGAAGCTGACATGGCAACACTCTGTTATTTGAAGATTTGAGTTTTCCTACTACAAGGTAAATGAATACATAATACCATACAGCTTTCATTATATTCTGAATAGAATTTTACATTTCCCCTGCAGTTATTAAACCATTCTCTTCGCCAACCAGTGGATTGGAATGATTCTGGCATAAATCCATATAGAAAAACATGGGAATTTACAGGGTTTGGGAAAACGTAAGTCCTTAGTTTAAAGGAACAGATTCTTCACAAGAGAGTTTTATTCCCTGAATGGCTTCTGAGCAACATTTTGCCTGGCTGATACAGACAAGAAATAGTTGACTCCAGCTCAGGCTGCTTTTAATACTTCTTTACTATCTGTGATTTATTTAATGAATATTAATTGCCTATTTTAAACTTTTTTTTCTTCTTTTTGGCCAGTCCTTGGGGATAAAAAAGAGAAAAGATAGGTTCATGCCTCTAAAGAAGTTAGGGCGACATATATGGAAATAAAATAAAATATTTTTATAAATTGGTAAGTGTCATGGTGTAAATTTGGGATATGCTAGTTAGTGAGGAAAGATTCTTCCAGTCCTCAAAAATAATTCTAATTTCTCACTCTAAAAAACACAGAAAACATCACCAACACTGTTTGTTTGCTGTGTATGTGTGTGTCCTTTAGAATATTGAGCATGAGATGATTAAACAATAATGCCCTGAGCTACTGCTATCTGGGATTATTTAATGGTTTTACCCATTTGTGATTTTTCATAATTGAATTTTTTTCAACAATGATTCCAAGCATAAAGTGGCTTCCCCTCAACTCTCTGAAAGTGTTTTAAACCTTTCTCCCATGGCTACAAGTCCCAGAAAGTATCTTATTCCTCAGAGGGAATGGCCACCAGAATCAGATTCTACATGTTAGAGAAAATACATGAGTTAGTAATACATACCCATTCTAGAAGCCAAATAGCAAAGATTAAAAACCATCTGTCATTGGGATTATGAGCTTACAGGCAAGCACAGCAGACTTCAAGTAGAGTCTGGGGCAAGAGCCTCACAGATTTAAAAACACAGATTAAATAACACAGATTCAACTAGAATCATTTGCTCAGTCCCATGATTTAAAGGATATTACCAGCTCCCACCAGAACCCACTTTGCCAAGTGTTGCATAAAACTACATGTTGTAAACTGAAGACATTTTTTATGAAATTTATTCTTTAATTCTCTCAGGAACAATTTTCTAAATGCCTAGTCTATGCCAGGCAGGGTGCAAAGCAGTGAAAGTACACTGGCCAAGGAGAGAAACAACTGCCTCCACCCCTTCTCTGAACTCGTCCTGCAGAACTTGCAATCTGAGGAGGGGTATTTGATAAATATACAGAGTATAACATAAGTGTTTACATAATTTAAATAGTAGTAAGTTCCCAAAGGATAGGTAAAGACCCTTGAAGAGTGAAAACAGAGGAACCTCATGGAGAACTGGCTTCCATGCAGAAATCACACTTCGGTATTAAAAAGTGACCAGGAGTTAGTCGGGTTTGGGGGTGGGGTGGGATCAGGGAGGTGGGGGTGGGCGCAACGTGGGAACAATATATGTGTGAAGACCCAAGGCAGGAAGGAGCATTAAACGTTTGACAGACTTAAAAAAATAAAAAGTTACTATGGCTTGAATATAGTGAGTTTAGAGAAACACGGAGGATGATGAAGCTGGAGGCGGGCATGGGTGAGTTTGTGCTGAAGGGTCTATGCAAGGAGGATCACGAGAAGCCTCTGGACGATCTAATTTCTTTAGTTGCTCTTTGAAGAATGGATTGAGGTGGAGGCAGGAATGAAGAGGGGTAGGATATGAAATTTATCATGATTAAAAAAATTCTTGTACCTATTCTCAGGAATAACTATTATATTGGTTTAAAAAATAATTTTCAGGGCCGGGGGCGGTGGCTCACGCCTGTAATGCGAGCACTTTGGGAGGCTGAGGCGGGCGGATCACGAGGTCAGGAGATCGAGACCATCCTGGCTAACATGGTGAAACCCCGTCTCTACTAAAAATGCAAAAAATTAGCCGGGCATGGTGGCGGGTGGCTGTAGTCCCAGCTACTTGGGAGGCTGAGGCAGGAGAACGGCGTGAACCCGGGAGGCAGAGCTTGCAGTGAGCTGAGATCGTACCACTGCACTCCAGCCTGGGCGACAGAGCAAGACTCCATCACAAAATAAATAGATAAATAAATAAAAATAAAATAATAATAATAATTTTCGGAAGACCTGATGTTTAGTAGATTGATCTGTTTTCTTAATTTATAAGTAATGCTATATTTTTCTTCATAGCACTTATCATTATCCAATATAGTTATGCACCAAATAATAAAATTTCAGTTAATGATGAATTGCATTTAAGATGATGGTCTCATAAGCTTATAATACCATATTTTTACTGTACTATGTTTCAATACACAAATACTTACCATTGTGTTACAATTGTCTACAGTGTTCATTGAAGTAACATGTTGTACTGGTTTTGAGCTTAGGAGCAATAGGCTATACCATCTAGCCTATGTATATAGTTAGCTTATATCATCTAGGTTTGTGTAAGTACACTCTATGATGTTCACCCAATGACAAAATGCCTAATGATGCATTTCTCACAACATATCCTTGTCACTAAGACATGACTGCATATATATATATATATATATATATATATATATATATATATATATATATATTTTTTTTTTTTTTTTTTTTTTTGGTGTTCGTCTCTTCCTCTTGCTGCTATAGTTGCTTTGAAAATCTACAAGAGTTAATTTTTTTTTCAGTTTGGTTTTTGCTACATGTCTAGGACCTAGAACATCACTTGGCATATAACAGTGGTAGCTCAGTAAATACATCTTGAATGAGTAAACAAACGCATTATTTTGAAAATTGTCTCCAAGATGTTAGGAATTATTTAGTGCTAATATTCTTGTAAAGTTACTTTTATGCAAGGTCAACCTGTGTAGTAAGTTGGAGCACATTAGATTAACAAAATGTGTTCCTGGTTGTTTGTCATTAAAAACATTCTTTAGGTTGATTCCATACATTGGCTACTGTGATTAATACTGCAATATGTAGTGGAATGGCGATACCCCTTTGACATTCTGGTTTCATTTCCTTTGGATATATACCCAGTAATGGGCTTGCTGGATGATATGGTAGTTTTATTTCTAATTTCTTGAGAAGCCTCCATAGAATGGCGGTTATCAGGGCCTGGGGTGTTTAGATGTTGGGCTGGGGAGATGTTGACCAAAAGAAACAAAATTTCAGTTAGAAGGAATAAGTTCAGGAGATCTACTGTACAACATGGTGAGTATAGTTAATAATATGAGGTAGTCATAAAAATACTAAGAGTGGATGTAAAGTGTTCTTACCACAAAAACAGTAATTATTTGAGGTAATGCATATGTTAATTAGCTAGTGTTAGTCATTTCACAATGTACATAGACTTCAAAACATCATGTTGTGCATGTAAATACATATCATTTTTCCTGTGAATTAAAAAATAAATTTAAAAGAAACAGTTGTTAGAGTTGTTGTAGTTTATTAAAAAGGTGTAAATAAAACCCGATTGGGCAAAACAAATTGATGAAAAATAGAAGGTAAAGAGGCTAATGGGAAAGCAAAATACGTTTGTCCTAACTAACATATTTCTCTGAGACTTTAAGTTCGATTATTGTAGAGTAAGATTCAATTATTTTAAGCCCATTGTCTTGATGTTTACATAAAATTCTGAATCCTTTAGTTATTCTCAGTTTAGAGATAAATGCAGATAGCAGACTGTCTGGCACCCTTTATTTGATAGGGAGACTGGTGGGGATATAACTTAAGCCAAACGTATGTATTTTATACTTATCTATATTATATTGTTATGGCATAGAAATAAGTTCATAAAAACTCAAAGGTGAAAAAAAAATCGAATGAGTTAGGAATATTAATAGATTTTTCACAGTGAAGTGTTTCTTAATTTATCAATTATTTTCTCCTAATGAACATATGTGACATAAATTTCACTGGATTAGATATAAATTGGTTTAATACACCAACTTAAATAATTTAGAGAAATGTGCCTCATAAATATATATATATATATTTTTTTTTTGCTGAGAAAAGCTGCCAAGTTATTTGCTTATGGCACCCTTAATTTTAACTTCTGTGTGTTCGTTTTTTCCCATAGCATAATTTTTAAAAGTCTAATTTGAATATTACTTTAATATGGAAAATTAACTTTATCGTAGTCAATGTAGGTTAAAAGATTCAGTGAACCTTGGCAAAGAAAATATAAATGATTAGTTTATGATGCATTACCTTAGGTTTTTGACCTTACGTATAAGCAAATCACAGATGATATATCAGCTAATTACCTGAGACATGAATATTTAAGGAATAATTACACTGAAATATTCTTTGTGGCAAGATATCTTACATGATATTTACATAAGAAGAATCTTAGTTTAAAAGGTCAAAGGCAGCAAATGGGGGAGAAAATAGAAGAGCGAGACTTTCACCTACACCGTTCAATTGTTTGTTCTTAGTTTAAGAAATCATTTACAATTAAATGATTACAAATTGTATTAGAAACAGAATGTAAAACAGACATTAGGATTATGTATTTCTTCATTTAATTACCTATTAATAGGAACTTTAATTCCTAGAAGTCTGCAAACCTCCTGAAATATTTTGTAAAATTATACATGTTTATGCATTTTCACCAGACCCTTAAAAGGGGTCAATGATTCCCTTCCTTGAAAACAGTGTTCAGAAATTGAATTTACTTGCCCAAAGTCTCACAGCGTATTAGTAGTATAGTTGAAGTATCATTCATATCTATTGATTCTCAGTCTAGTCAGTGAAAAGTGCCCTTTTCATTATACATTGCCTCTGCTATAATATATAGTCCAAGTCAAGCCATCATAAGACTTTATTTGCCTCTAGAATCACAAAGTTAAAATAGTATAAAATACGTAGAAATACACGTTTTAGCTTCATTATTAAAAATAAAATTTGTTTGTTTTCTTATCAAAAATGTTAGGAAAAATTGTTTACCATATTATTCAATGTGAAATGAAAGACACAAGAAACTTTATATAATTTTTCTTTGTGAATTGTTCAGAAAAGTGAATTGAAAAGCTTAGCTCTCTTGTCTGATTTAATCCATGGAACAATGCATCTACTCTTTTTTTTATTATTTCTAAAATCTCAACACAGACTATGCTGTGAATTTTAACAACCTGTTTTTGTTCAACTGAATTGCCTTCACTTTCTCTAGTCCTTTGTTAGTGAGGACAGATGAATGTATTTCTTTTATCTTTTGTAAATTTATTTTTCAAATTTTATTTTTAAATTATTCAAAAGAAGTTTGGACATCTTTATAAGATAAATTTGGTTAAGAAAGGAATCTAGTCTAGAGATTTGCTGAAAGTAATTATGATGAGAGAAAATTTTTAACTCACATGATCTATTGAACAGTGACATAGTCTCACTCTGTTGCCCAGGCTGGAGTGCAGTGGTGCAATCTCAACTCACTGCAACCTCCACCACCTGGGTTCAAGCAATTCTCCTGCCTCAGCCTCCTGAGTAGCTAGGATCACAGGCATGCATCATCACACCCTGCTAACTTTTTGTATTTTTTTAAATTTTATTTTATTAGAGATGGAGTTTCACCATGTTGGCCAGGCTGGTCTTGAGCTCTTGACCTCAGGTGATCCACCTACTTAGCTATAATTCTTGATTTCATCATCTAGAAAACAAACAAAAACAATGGGTATAATAGTAAATCTCCAACATTGCTGTTATGAGGATTGGGTAATTAATCCAATTAAAATGTGTAGCTCATAATAAGCCATATTGGGTTTATTTCTCGGTTGAGAATCTTGGGTAATTAAGTTACTCAGTGATGTCTTTGATCTGCAAACCTGATTTATAGTGTATGTGCTAAAGGCTAGTGGTAGCAGATTATTTATCACATCTTTGCTATCCTCTGAAGAAGATAATAGGAATATAACAATTACATACTTTTCTCAAGGTCACACTAACAGGAAGTTGAGCTGAGATTTGAACCCTGGCTATCACGCTTCAAGACCTTGCTCTTAAACATGTCTCTGTCTTATTTTTTTTCTGTGTATTGCTGAAACATAGGTGCACCTAGCTAAACTGACTCATGTTTATAATACTACTGAGTTAGTCCAGGATGTAAAATGAAACTAATATACTGATAACCTTTTAAAATTTAGGCAACTGTCTTTACCCATTCTATTCAAATATAAGATGCCTAAAACTAAAACCAGTTCCCATAACCTTGCTTTCTTTATTTCTCACTTGGTCCTGTGTTCATTTATTCACTTTAAGTAGGGTTTATTGGAGGTTTGCAATGGGCTAGGCCCACAAATACAAATAACAATGTCTTTAGTCATTAATACCACATGAGGTCATCTTTGCTTTTTTCCTTTCTTTCTGTAATCAGGCACAAGTCTATCAATTCTTTCTTCTATGACTCTAGCAGCAACTCACCTTTTTCTCTCAATTTCCATCATTAATACATTGAGTGGACTGACTGAGATCTTTACCACTTTATACTTAGATACTGTAACAAACTCTGGAATAATCTTCTACTTCCCCTTCATCTGAAACACCAGTTTCAGATTAATTTTCCTAATATACTTGAGTACATAATCATTCCCATTATTAGGAAAGAAAGTACTAGTAGAAAGAGCAATAGACATCGAATCCTGGGCCTTTACTTGTAAATTTTATCCTTGAAGACAATCTTGATCATCTGCCAAGGCATTTTCTATAATATATCCAGTGAAAATGCAATACTCAAAATGCAAGACTGATAAAGCACGTCACCTCCCCATTTAAAATCTTCAGTGGCTCACCTTTGCTCTGATGATAACTTACGTTTATAATGCCCTTTATTTCCTGGGTCCTGCTGACTTCTCCTACTTCATCTCACCACACTCCCCTCATTATATCACAGTCAAATCAAACTTCTGGAATAAGTCATGCTACTCCTTCCAATCCAAGCTACTCCTTCCAATCCCAAGTTGACTTATTCCTATCCTGATCCCCTGCCATGGCCCATAATGGCTCTGCTGGCCTTATCTACCATTCTCTGTCCTCCTCAAACTGCTCTTGCCACATTGGTCATTCCTGAAGCCCAACCAAGATATGTTTTTACCCAGGGCTTTGCATTTGCTCTTCCCTCCACCTCCTCTGGATGTTAACCTGGCTTATTCTTTTATTTATTGCGGTCTTTTTCCGAATGTCACCTTTGTAGGGAAGTCTTCCATTGCCATTGTACCTTTATCTTATTCAGTCATTCCTCAGTATCTATTGGGGATTGGTCCCAGGACCTCCTGTAAATACTAAAATCTTTGGCTATTCAAGACCCTGATATAAAATGTTGTAGTATTTGAATATAACCTACGTACATCTTCCAGTATACTTTATCTCTAGATTACTTATAATACCTAATACAATGTAAATGCCATGTAAATAGTTGTTATAGTCTATTGTTCAGGAAATAGAACATGAAAAAGTCTCTACATGTTCAAATTCTAAAAAATATATTTTTGATCTATGATTGGTTGAATCCAAGGATGTTGAACCTGTGGATACAGAAGGGTCACTGCATATATATTTTCTTTATAACACTTATCACTACATGATTATAGAATTTGTTTACTTGTTCATTTGTTTATTTTCTCTCTTTCATACAATGCATGAGGGCAGGCACTTTGTCTTATTCACACACATGATACCAGCATCTTGGATAGTATCTGGCCTATATGAGCACCATATAAATATTTGTTGAGTGAATGGATTTTTCATGCCTGAGCTTAGATATTATGTCTGCTAAAATATTACTGAACCCTACTTTGGCATGGTCCCTCTAAAGTCTGGGTTAATTAGGTATCCTGCTTAATTGTTGAAGTACACTCTGCACTATGCATGCCCCAGATTGGGAAGTGTTCAACAATCATTTGTTGAACTAATGAATACAGTGGAGATCCTTTTAGATCTATTTTCTTCTCAAGATTCAGAGTAAATTAAGAGATATGAGTTACTCCTTTTAAATGTGTTTTAAATTTACAGGGAACACTTGAAATTCACAGATGAACTTTCAATGAAATAGTGTAGAATATACATCCTCTCAAATGCATTTCATCTTGTTCCCTTGGGCATTGCTCATAAAATACTCTGTCTACATATTTCAGAGATTCCAAAGTTTCCTTTTGAGGGTGGTGGGGGCTAGAGGGGTGTATGAATCTTTATGAGAATGTGATGACTCTTCCAATAAAACTACATGTACATTCAATATATTGCCTAGGCTTGCAGGAGATCAAAAACAACCTAATAGACTCCTAATCCGTGATTTTGGGTTAAGAATTCTTGCTACATTTTTCTCTATTTCTGTTCCCTACTGGTTCACAAGTATGTTCAATTTTCTCCATACTGAGTCAAAATATTAATTCCACATTGCATCCTATTTAACCATATACTCCTCTTTCTCCTATTTACAATTAAATTTTCATAGTAAATTTTTATGCATTTACTTCCATATATAGATATGTAATCTTTAGTAATCTAGGTTCCCCATTCCATCCTA
This sequence comes from Homo sapiens, assembly GCF_000001405.40. NCBI lineage: Eukaryota > Metazoa > Chordata > Mammalia > Primates > Hominidae > Homo > Homo sapiens. Next base: position 78,968,020 of record NC_000012.12, on the reverse strand, counting down.
CTAAAGTCATCACAAAAGTCCTGGTTGTCAAATCCCATACCTCGTTCTCAATTCCGAACTCCTCTACATTGTTAATATTGTTGAGCTTCTTTTCACTCTTTGTTTCAAAATTTTGGTTCCGTGTCAATGCACACACATTTTGTTTTTTCTAGTTTTGTGTTCTACTTCAGTGTATTTTTCTGCTTACTCTTCCTTTATCATATCTGTGTTTAATTTCCCCCAAGTTTTTATCCTCGGCACTTTCCTATTTCTATAATCTTCTATGTACTCCAATTACTGCTATGCTGTATATCTTTGCTGCTGGTCTCTTTACTGTACTGTAGACTCAAATTTCCCACTGATGGCTATCTGCTCATAGATGGCTTGCTGGTATATTAAACCCACAAACCTCAAATGAAATGTCATATGCTTCTCCCACAGTTTTCTTATTTTGTGTTTCCTAGCCCAGTATCTGATAAGAAAACTTGAATTTATCTTTGACTCCTCCTAATTTCCACTCTCACATCTAATTGTCACATACTATTGATTCTTCCAGTGAAATGCCCCTGGTATTCCTTTTCCTTCTATTCTATCAGTCCACTGACTAATTCAGGCTGTTATCATGTTATTGCCTATATATGCTTTAGCTTCATAACTGATGTCTTGCCTTTAATATCCTGCCACTTCAATCCAAGCTTCACATTGCTCTGCCCTCTAGCCTTGCTCTCTCAATACTAGCCGAGCAGTTTATATTGCTATTAAAGGACTTACTTTATCCTTTCAAATACTACAGTTGATTGTATACATGTCAGCTTTTGCCGTCAGATTATTAATTCCTCAAGGGCACAAATGATACCTTAGTCTTTTTCATCTCCTCCATAGTGTCACCTTGCCAACTATGCACTTAATAAATATTTGTTAAATTGAGCATAAGATGTGTGGGTAAAAACAATTCAGAAAATATGTCATCATTGGGGTAGGCTGACTGAGATGTGATGCTCTATTATGGCATAAGGAAATAAAATTATGCTGTTGCCTTCAACAGTTTATGCTCAAATATTATCTAATATTTTATATACCTCTGGTATTTAGTTTTTGAACAACAGATTGTTAAAAACTGTAACATACTGGAAAAGTTAAAGAGAGTTTAGCAGCATATATTGACTTTACATGTAACTCAGAAATCAACAATGATTTCTCTTAAATTTATCTATTTTTGGCAAGAAAATGCTTTTATGAATATTAACTTTTTGGTATGCTTTATATGTATCTGTAGGATACAGAAGGAATAAGTGCTTTCTCCAACATCATATCAAAAGGATGTAGTGGGAAATTAACACACATGCCTGAATTTTTGAATCATGCTCCTGGGTTCAGGCTGAGGCACTGTAAGTAAATAGGTGACACCTCATCAACTTTTTTATTCTGACTTACCTGATATAAGTAATATGGAAGAAATGTTTGCCATACATCTTTTGAAACGCTAAAAATGTGAAGAAGGAAACTACTCTCTATAGTTTGCTAGGCAAAATGGATCAGCAAGATGGTGTAGTAGATTTAAGTCATTAGAATTAGGCAGACTTGGAATTGTCTGTCTAAAGTCAGTGTGTGACTTTAACACACACTGGCCTAGAGAAAATTGTTCAATTTCTTGGGTTTTCACTTCTTTAAAATGATGATAAGGGTACCAATCTTAGAGTTAAGAGGATAAGATGGGATGATATATGACAAATAAACGATTCAAATAATAACAAATAAATACAATAAATAAATAATACAAAAAATAAACAAATAAACAAATAAATGATTACAAATAAATGTAAATGTTTAATGTTCAGCAAATGTTGGTCCCTTCCCACTACCTTGTCAACAAAACAGAAAATAGATATAGTAAAAAAATGTGAACTATGAATTAATAAAAGTCAATTATATTCGTTTATTCAATAATTTTTTTTTTTTTTTTTTGAGACAGAGTCTCATTCTATCACCCAAGCTAGAATGCAGTGGCGTGGTCTCATCTCACTGCAATCTTTGCCGCCCGGGTTCAAGCGATTCTCCTGCCTCAGCCTCCCGAGTAGCTGAGATTACAGGCGCCTGCCACCGTGCCCGGCTAATTTTTGTATTTTTAGTAGAGACGGGGTTTCAACATCTTGGTCAGGCTGGTCTTGAACTCCTGACCTCGTGATCCACCCACCTCAGCCTCCCAAAGTGCTGGGATTACAGGTGTGAGCCACTGCACCAAGCCTATTCCAGAATATTTTTGATGATTTACTAGGCTCCACGCAACATGAGATCTTTGATGAGAGAGTATCACATGATGGTAATGGGGCCTGGAGACCGATCTTGGCTCAAGTGTCAGCTCTGGGACTTATTAACTATGTGATTGTTGGCAAGTGGCTGAGCCCCATTAAGCCTCCTGTTTCTCACCTGTGAAAACTCTCAAAAAGTGGTTTCCCTCAAAGACTAGTTAAAGTGATATTTGATTTACTAGGTTATAATTGTAAAGATTGTAAGTATTAGCACTAGATGTAGATTTGAGGGGAACACATGTATTTGATTTGAACTTAAATATCATATATTTGAAATGCCAATAGGAAAATCAAGCACAAATATTCAGTAGGAAGCTGGAAACAGAGGATTATAGACTATATGCTCCAGGAGAGCAGAGGTTGTGCATCACTTGCTTAGTATTATTGTTCTATGCTCATAGTAGCTGCCTAATCTGTACATATAAAATGGCAACTAGCATTTTCATAAACTGAAAAGGAAAAATGATATCTCTTAAAGGCCTAAAACATCTCACAATATTTAATTCGTATTATTTAAGAAATATATCAGACAACAAATATTGATTTCCAATATGGTGAGGAACTAACAAATAGAGGAAGATTAAAGTGAATATAAAATTTTTGAATCATTTAAATTTACAAATTTTACAAAGCTTAGAAATAAGATTAGGAATAATTTCTCATTGTCAGATTGGGCCTATTTTTATTTAGTGTGCATAAAATGTATCACTTTCCTCAGTGGCATATCAGAATATATTTGCATTAATAATAGTTAATAATAAAATATTATTATTTACATCAGTATTTTATAATTTTATAGAATTCTAAACTGTTCACATTTATTTGACCACAACAACCTTGTTATATATAAAAGTAAAGTGCAGAGGTTGTATCTTTCTTTCTTTTTGCTCTTCTAAGAGGAGAAGAAAAGTTATCAGCATTTGAGGCTCAAATGTTTTTTCTTTCAAAAGAATTATTTTTGTCTCAATTACTCACTCTAAACAACCAAGACTGCTGTGAGAGGAGACTGAGACAGTTGCAGGGGATTAAGGTCATAACACTTACAGGAATTCTTTTACTTTAAGATTTTTAAACTTTAGTATCTTTGTATGACTACAGTTTTATAACACTTTAGAGCACAAATAGTAAAATAGTTTATGCCATATGCAGCATATTCACTATTTCAATTGTGACCATTCAGTGTAGTTTTGATATGTGCAGTAATTCCATTTTCAGTGAGCTAAGTTTTGGGCCTTATCTCAAATCGTCCAAAATTCTAAAGAGAGTATGTATTATCCTCCCCTGCTTAATGCAGTAACCCTAAATTTTAAAAGAAAATAGTAGCACATAAAGGATTTCTTTTCTCTGTTACCCTGCTAAGAATCTTAAACATTCAGATACATGATTATGAAATATAAGAAAGGGAAGCTTTAAGTTGGGTTTTGACATAATTCTAATATAAAACTAACTCAAATAGAGGAAAAACTACTAATGAAAACTTTTCAAATTATACTTTATTCCAGAGCCTCTGAGAAAATACACATTCAATTAATTATTCATTCATCTTTTTTTCATTCATCCTACATATATTTTTGGGACTTACCTTTGTGCCAGCCTTTGTGTTGAGATCTAAATTATGATTAAAAATTAGTTGGGTGGGGCCTGGATGGGAAAGTGTTATAGGAGGATGATTCAGAATGCCAAAGATTCCTCCAAAATGAGTGAGCATGTGCCGGGGACAGCTGAAGCACAGAAAGCAAAGTGAGAGTGGAACAGTAGTCCATTGTATGTATATACTACATTTAAAAAATGTATTCATCTGTCAATGGACATTTAGGTTATTTCCACATCTTGCTATTGTGAATACTGCTGCTATGAATATGGGAGTGCTAATGTCTCTTTGGTATCCTGATTTAATTCTTTTGACCAAATCCCAGGAGTGATATTACTGAATCATATAATAGCACTACTTTTAATTTTCTGAGAAGCCTCCTCTTGCTTTTTTAGCAGCTGAACCCTTTTTCCATTTTCACCAAGAGCATATAAGGGTTTCAATTTCTCCACAACCTTGCCAGCATCTGTTTTTTTGTTTGTTTTGTTTTTGTTTTGTTTGTGGCCATCCTAACAGGTGTGAGGTGATATCTCTGGTGTTGATTTGCATTTTCCTAATGATTTGTGAGGCTGAGCATCTTTTCATATATTTGCTAGCTAACTGTATGTCTTCTTTAAAGAAATGTCTGTTCTGGTATTTAGGCCATTTTTAAATTGGGTTGTCAGTGTGTTTTTTTTGCTATTGATTTGTAGGAGTTCCTACATTAAAAATTTACCCATCATTATCTATGGTTTGCAAACATTTTCTCCCATTCTGTAGGTAGTCTTTTCACGCCATCGTTTCCTTTACTGTGCAGAAACTTTTTAGCTAAATGTAGTCACATTTGCTATTTTTGCTTTTGTTGCCCGTAATTTTATTTTCAGACTCACGAAATCATTGCAAAAACCAATGTCATGATGTTTTTCCCTATGATAAACATATTTTAAGAATACAGATAAATGGATAAGAAAATGTCATATATATATATATGCGATTGAATATTATTCAGTATTCAAGGAGAAGGAATTCCTATAATATACAGCGACATGAATGACACTTGAGGATATTACACTAAGTGAAATAAGACAGTCACAGAAGGTCAAATACTTCATGGTTCTAATTTATGAGACAGGTAAAATAGTCAAACTCATAGAATCAAAAAATGGAATGGTGGTTGCCCGAGACTAGGGGCAAGGGGAACTGGGGAGTTGTTCAATTGGTATGAAGTTTCAGTTTATGAAGATGAATTAATTCTAGAGATATTGTGTTAACTCTTCTTACCACAATAAAATGAAAAAGGAAGTCATTAAAAATTGTTAAGCCGGGTGGGCAATTCTACTTGATCAGACCTGAATTTTTGAAACATCATTTTTGGCTGTGGCATGGTGAGTAGATTTCAGGGAAACAAAGATGTACAAGTTAAGCTACACAATTTTTTCTTTCCAATTCTGATTAATCAAATTCCTTGTACCTATGAGCCACATTATTAAAACATAATTTAAATGACAGCTCAGATTTAGAATATCCTATAGAGATTACGAATGAGAATACACACAGGCCAACCTCTCTCTCTCCCCCACCACACAAGATGGAAATGCACACACCTCACATATATATACTTATTCAATTGGTCCAATCTCTTTACAAATTTACCCACTTGGTTGATGTAATTAGGTCATAAACATTGAGATAGTTTTCTAGTACTGATGTCCAATATTTATTGATCATTAGGCTATAAAGGATAAGTTTGCACAAGAGAAAAGCAAAGGTACGTGACCCACGAAGTGATGCTATTATTAATTATAAGACTCAAAAAAAAAAAAAAAAAAAGAAAGAATGCTATTGAATGATTACTGCGTACCAAGCAGTGGTCAAAATACTTTACCTCGTATTAAGTTATTTAACGTTTGTAACAATCATATTAGATAGTTCATATGTATGTTTGCTCCATTATATACCCAGCCTCATTGAGATAATTCCTTAAGTTAGCTGAGTGACCCAAACTTGTGTGTAGACTCTCTATGTCAGCACAGTCCAAAACACTGAAGTAAGCAAACCTAAACTCAAACCAAACCAAGCCAAACAAAGCAAAACAACAACAAAAGAAAACAAAAACGAGAAGAAACCTATAAAACAACAAACAACATAATCCGATACATTCGTCTCAATACAATTTAGTTACATAGAATTATGTGACATTAAAAAATTGTAAGAATATTATAATATTACCTTTTATCTTTGATTGGTTCTTAGTAACTTATGAGTCAAAAAGTTGTCACTGTGAAGTTGCTAAAGTATAATATCAGCTACTTAGTAAATGATTATGTCCATTTGCCAAAATATGACATATCAAGCAGAAAAGAAAAGGATACCATGTTCAACAATTATTCCAGTTCAATTATACAGCTTATATCTTCTGGAAGGATGGTCATTTTATCTGTACTAAGAGCCCTTCTGCCTAAATAGTTTCAAGTTGTCATTAGTAATGCCTAAGAATTGCTCATTGTTAAGCAATGTATTCTATAACTACCTTCTCATGTTTATATGCCATACTGCTTGCGACCCAGGGAAATATCAACCTACTATAGGAGACATAGTTACAAAGATAAAATCTTCTCCTTCTACAAAGACAAAAAGGTATGATCAATTTTCATGAAGACATGAAAGCAGCCAATTGGTTCAATAGGAACGTGGTCACAGAAATCTTGCATCATTAGAATTTAAGAGGGTAAGAACTATTTAAAGTGTGGAATGTGCTGGGAGCAGTGGCTGGTACCTGTAGTCCCAGCAGTTTAGGAGGCTGAGGTGGGAGGATCACTTGGGGCCAGGAGTTCAAGACCAGCTTGGGCAACACAATAAGATTATGTCGCCACAAAATACAAATTCAAAAAATTAGCCAGTGGGTAGGTGGGGCATACCTGTAGTACCAGCTACTCTGGAGGCTGAGGTAGGAAGTGATCCCAGGAGTTGGAGGCTGCAGTGAACTGTGATCACACTACTGCACTCCAGGCTGCATGACAAAGTGAGAAACTTTTTCTAAAAAAAAAATTTCTTAAAAAAAATAAAGCTTGAAGTAGCAAACTTAAGGAAACAGCAACAAAAAAATACTCAATGGGCATTTTGAGTACAGAAATAAACTACTTCAGAAAGGTAGAATGAATATATACGTGTTTTTGAAGAAAACTTTAGAAAATTAATGGATGACAGAGCCATATTGGGCTATATAAAACAATTCTGATAGTTTTATATTGCTTTCCACCTCTACCGTATGCTCCAAAGTGCTAACATGTGAACACAGACCACTGGGCTAATAGACATTCTTGCAATTCAAGTATAAACTAATATTTTTAGTTCTACAGGAAAAAAACATGGTAGGTCCTTCTTTAAAACTTTTAGCTAGGTTAAGTTTTTTTCACTTGAAAATTTTCAAAAGTGTTCCATATTCCAGGTGACATCTCCCAGAAGCCATCTCTAACCCTATTGATGTAAGTGAGAATCCTTCCTGGGTACCTGCGGATCCTGCAGCCCCCTTCATAACATGACACTGATGGTGCCGCTCTGAACTTGGTCCTCTTCAAGAGCCTGGGATGTCCCAGAGCAGGAAGCACGCGAGAACATTTGTTTGTTACATTTAGCTCACCAAATGGTTTCATTCATGCTAAAGGAACTCAGTTTTGTTGTTGGTGTTGCTGTTGTTGTTGTTTGGCATTTCTTTAAGATAAGGGAAACTTAGGGATAAAGATTGAGTCAGAAAAGTGTTTCTATTTTCCAAATTATAAACATATTTACTTATTCACTCAAGAAATGAGCACTGATTTTGCAGGTCACTATATTGCCAGATTGCTGTATATATTTAAATTGTGGCAGAAAAATATGACCAAAAAATTCCTGAAATTCAAGTTATTACTTGAAATGCATATTTAGAGAAAATCTGAAAAGGCCAATGTTTAGAAAGAAATCTACCTAAAAGAATGGGTTCAAATGGGGTTAAAACAAAAGCCAGCATAACTCCCAGAAAAACATATGAGTGGTAAAGTTGCCATTTTTATTAAATTTCTTCACTAATGTATTGACTATTAGACGGTAAAATTTTAAAAAACCAAGAATTTAAAAATATATAAATTTTGGAACTTTGAATTTATATTACATTTTAAAACAGTTCTGGAATGCAGTTTTTCCTAACTTTGGCTTTGTATCAATTTCAAAATCACCAGTAGTGTTTATTTGTTTACTGATACCTGCAGTTCAAACTCTATAACCACAATTCTTCAGAAACAAAATTGCTTCATATGGCCCTTCTGATCATGGCATAACATTGAAATGCACTTACAGCTCCAAAGACATAAAAACATTTCCCCTGTTATCTCACTTTTCCACCGAGTTCCTCCCTGGCTTACATAGCTGGCATTGCAACTGCGTTTTTATTAATTTCAGACACAGAAGAACTCAGCAGCCTTCTCTGATGGGCACATATTCTTAAGAAGCCCTGACAGCTGTTGTTTGTAATAAGAGGCTAGAACCTCTATGTTTGACTTATTCTTCCTTTTTAGGTGTCTCTTGCTAGAATTGTCCAACAGAATAATGGATATCTATGGCGAAGTTCCCCCTCATTTACATTTTAAGGTAGCAGTGCCAATTCATAAACAATGTTTTTGTGATATCAGATGTGTACAAAAAAATTAAAGAACAAATTTGAAGCAAAATAAAATCAGTATTTTTATGTAAGGTAGCTTTTAAATTACAAATTTTAAAATAAGATTATCTCAGTAACTCTAAACAAACATCTTAAGCTATTATATTTGCAGTTACCTATAATTTTATTCTAAATATATTTATGAACATACATATTTAGTTAAAAAAATCTTTCTTCTAGCTGATTCAACACTTTGGAACATCTCCCGAGTTTCCCTCAATACAGCATGCATATATAAATTACGTATATACATGCTGTATTTTTTTAAGGTTTTAGTCTTTTATTTCATAACAATAACTGTGAGGTAAGCAGGTAGCTACATTTGCGCATTCCAGCTTAGGTAGCTTCTCAAATTTCCAGAAGTTATCTAGGTATTCAAGTTAAACTCAGCTGAATGCAAATGGGCTTCCCTTATGCTGCAGTTTTATAGCTTTTTATCAGTTTGTAGATATTGACAGCTTTCTATCAGTTTGCAAAGTAACTAAATGGATTGACTGAATAATTTGCTGAAAAATGAAAGAATGAAGTTTGAGTTAGCATATTATAAGAATATTTATGTAGGAAATCTTTTCACATATCAAAAAAAAAGTAGACTTGTAAGCCCTCTAAATATTTTTCTCAGATACTATACAGATCTTGAAAGTTTTCCACGTTTGCGTAAATGATCCAAAATGAGGTTAAGCATAGTGTGGTTTCCTTTATTTCAAATTACAGCTGCAAGTAATAAAACTCAATCACCATAAACAATAATGCATAGTTTTTTTTTTTTCTCTTCAGAAAGAGTTTTGCTTTTGTCACCCAGGCTGGAGTGTGGTGGTGTGATCTTGACTCACTGCAACCTCTGCCTCCCAGGTTCAAGTGATTCTCATGCTTTAGCCTCCCGAGTAGCTGGGATTTCAGGTGTGTGCCACCACACCCAGCATATTTTTGTATTTTTAGTAGAGAAGGGGTTTCACCATGTTGGCCAGGCTGGTCTCCAACTCTTGACCTCAGGTGATCCACCTACCTCAGCCTCCCAAAGTGCTGGGATTTCTGGTGTAAGCCATGGCTCCCGGCCTTGTTTGTGTTTTGATTGATTTTGGCCTGTTCCTGAACATAACTGATAGGGACTAAATAAGAATTATATAAACAGGGGAAAAAAAGAAAAAAAAACATGGCAAGGAACTTATAGACAAACTTGTTTTGTTTGGATTTGTGAAATAAATTTTAAAAAGAAATTTGAAGTGTTTATTGATTACTTCATTTCTAAGTGACAGCTCTTGTGTGCAGTGTTTGTGCTGTTGCTTGAAACTACCTGGGCTTCAGAAGCATAATCCATTTATTAAAGGACACTTGGAGAAGGGAGATAAATCTTTATCTTATAACTTTCTTCACAAAGAAAGATGAAAAGTACACTCAAAAATGGTTTTTTTCCATAAAAATTAGTTTGAACAGAATTATAACAGGCTATGATCTCACATGAAACTATGCAAGAATTTAAAGGAAAAGAGAAATTAAAGTTTTTTAGTTATTTCTTTTGTTTGAAAATTATCTGAAGGCTGGAAAGCAAATAAAATTACAGATTGGGTCAACTGATTTTAAAGTCTTAAGCAATTTCTGAACCAAACAATTTGGTATAATGTTACTGATTTTCTACATTTTGTAGGATTTCTTTATTTACTTATTTTGTGAGTATTATTTGAAAACACCTTACAAGATTAAGATCTCCAGGTTTAAAAAAAAATGTGCACAGGACCTTAACAACCCAAAATAACAACAACAACAGTAACAATAACAAAAACCATGTAGTGATTCAGTTCAGCACGCTATTTGACTCCCAAAGAAATGCAAAGAATATAAGCTTTTCCTTTAAAAAGAAACAGGATCCAACCTTGGCTCTACTCTCCTACTAGCTGTGTGATCACAGACAAATTACTTAATCTTTCTGAGTTCATTTTAAAGCTTCAAAATAAAGTCAATAAAATTCATCCCAAAGAGTTTTTGTATTAGTTGAAATAATGTAAGTATTATGCTTAATGTTTGAACGTCGTAAGTGCTTCAGCAAGAGGCAGGATGAGAAAGAAGAGTTTTCTTTAAAATACTTAGAAAGCACTTTTATTTAAGGAGAAAATGAAAGTAGGGAAAAAAAGTAACTACTTCTTAGGTATTCTTCTTCTTTATTTAAAATAGAGACAGGCTCTCACCATGTTGCCCAGGATAGTTTGAACAACTGGACTCAAGCTGTCCTCCTGCCTGGGCCTCCCAAAGGGCTGGGATTTCAGGCATGAGCCACTGTGACCGGTTTTAGGTGTTCTTCTTAATAATCAAGGCACATGGGTATATTTTCCGGTAAATTGACAATTGATAGAAAAACTAAGCAGATGTTTGCCCATCAGTCTCCCTCAAACAGTGGACAGCCAGTGGAATCAACAAATGTGACTTTCAACAGCAAATCTTTTTCTGATTCTGACCTTATCTCCTTAGTCCTCTGATAAAATGGACAAAGGATATAGTCCATATTCACTCTGCTGTGCATTCTCCTTGAAATCACTGATGTGGGGCTCCTGTCCTATTTGATCTTTCTTTTTCAAGTCAGGAAAGGCTTTATGGCCTAGATGGGTTTTGAAAAATAGACTCCATTTAACTGCTCTAGAGTACATTTAAATTCCCAGGAACTTTAGTTCTTCATGTACAAAAGTTTCTTGAACTTGATAGAACTTATGTCAAGAAATAAAGTTTATATTTTTAATTTTATCTTTTAACTACATTTTCCATAAGCTTTTTGAAACTCCCTTATATATACGGAGTCAAATCTCAATAAATATTACAGAGTAATTGGCTACTAAAATACAGAACCTCTGCACAAATGTCATTATTTTTGACAATAAACACTTTTTTTTTTTCATTTTTGATGCCTATTTTAAGTTTAAAATGATTTTCATCATTGTTTCAGGTGTTTGGGCCACATTCCTGAAACACGTTAAAACCTCCTCAAGTTTTCTTTCTAGCAGGGGTAGGGAGAGAGATATTAACTCAGTTAACCATCAAGACAATTTAATGAAATAGATGCTACTGTTTCCCCAATTTTACCCATGAGGAAACTGAGGCTCAGGGAAGTTAAACAAATTGCCCATCATGGAAAAAAAAAGGAGAAGAGCTAGGATTCAAACTCAATAAGTGTGTCTCCAGATTATTTGTCTGTGTTTTATATTAATATCTTATGTTAAAATGTTCCAGGTATTTCTCAGACTGTTATTGCACTTTTGTGAAATATTTATTAAATGCACATTCTGCCCCCCCATACCAGTCATTCTGTCAATGTTGGTACTCCATTATTACTAAGATACTCTCTCCCAAATTACTACATACCACATTTCCATTCAAAAAGTATCTGTGTTCAATAGAGAAGTAAAGCACCCTCATACTGCACCTTCATTGCAGTATTTTTTCATATTATAGAAGTTTCCATCCTTACCCACACACCTTGACCTCTTTTATCACCCCATTCCACACAGATCAACTCATTTATTTTCAGCCAAAGAAAAATATTAAACTACGAGTTTGAACTTGAAATTTCAAAAGATAGGGGAAAATGCAATTGATAGTGCAGACATTGCATTTGAGTGCTTCTCTCTCTCTCTCTCTCTACATGCACACACACACACACACACACACACACACACACACACAAATATCTTGGCAGAAAATAAAACGCATGGACCCAGAAAACTGTTAGGTTAAGGGCAAAAAAAAAAGTTTCTTTCTGGTCCTTATAAAGCTTGTAGTTCAATGACACTAAAACCAATTGCTGTGGTTTGAATGTTGTGTCTCCAAAAATGGCATTAAGAGGTGGGCCTTTGGGGGGGCTCTGCCCTCATGAATGGAATTAGTGCCTTTATAAAAGAGGCCAAGAAGCTTGCTTACCCCTTCTGTGGTGGGAAGACATATAGAAGTTACCACCATAAGGAATGGGCTCTCACCAGACAGAATCTGCCAGGGCCTTGATCCAGGAGTTTCCAGCTTCCAGAACTGTAAGTAATACATTTCTGTTATTTATAAATTACCCGGTCTAAGGTATTTTGTTATAATGACCCAAATGGTCTAACATACCAACTAAAAATCTATGTGACAAGTAAGCATATGCTTTTCCCTGAGGCACAACTGGTGTTATGGCATTCAAGATCTATGGACAAAACCTGAATGTGTGTTTGAAAATCGATCAAGCAACGCTTTTCTTGTCTTCTGAATTTTGATCCAGTTGATCATTCAGATATCACCTGAATATAACATGTTGTACAAAACCAAACAGAACTGTTGAATTATTAGAAACTCTGTTTAACCGTCATTTCAAAATGAAACGGCATTAATGACATCAAAAAATTCTTTTATAGGAGAAATAATTTAAAAACCAGAAATGTGAAATTAAAAGACAGAAAAGCAAATCTCAAAAGGCACATGAACTCAGCAGATGGATTTACACAGTTTTCTCATCTTCAAACTTCAGAAAAAGATTTTGATTATCTCCCTTGAAAACTGTTGTTATCATTAAAATAAAAATTCCATCATCACTTCCCTTTCACTTAGTATTCAGGATAATCACAAGCTCAAAAATAGAATTTAAATTTCTGACTAATAGTGCAATAAAAGAGTAGAGAAATATAATGCAGGCAATATGCATTTGTTTAAGTACATTTTAGCAAATGGCTCCTTTAGATCTAGCATTTATTATTTTACACAGATAGATGAGTTACATATTTTATTTTTCCCTCATGTGCTAATATTCAACAAAGTTCTAAATGAAAAATACTTCTATTTAAAGTTATTCATCATAGTATACCATTATTGAAAACAAATCTGTAGGGTAAATATCATATGCACAACAAACTGATGAAGCTTAAATTAGCTCAATATTAAAAAGATATTTACATATATTTTTCTTTCTCTCTTTCTCTCTCTCTCTCTGATGTTCCATGTATATTTTTATTATAAGAAAAGCTACACAGGGTACCACATAGGATCATTCTGAAGACTGTCACTTAATACCTGCTATCATTTTGGTAATTTAAAAAATTACTATATATTCAAATATAAAAGTTATGTTAATAAGTAAAAAGTGGAAAAAAATCAAATACCTGCTCCTCAAGTCAGAGAACACAAATAATAGATGATAATGTTTGAGTTAATTGTGAGGCTGTAATTTGCAGCAGATTTATTTTCATGGTCAAGGTGACTTCTGGATATACTGAGTGAATCCTTACACAAAACTATACCAAAAAGAAAACATGTGTCAACCCTGTGGGTGGAGGTGACATGCAATTTAAAATGTTTAATTACACATTTCACCTTAGCTAAACATCCTGAAAGATGACATGATCTAATTGGAGATTAATGCATTATTTCTCTAAGGCCACAAATGAAGTAGCAGCTAGAGAAAGTATCTCTCTGATTCTCTAAGTAGTCCAAGAATTCTATGAAGTGCCTTTGTTCACCATGTGAATCTGAATAATTTGCCTTAATATCACTGACCCTATAAAAACAACTGAAATGTTAGTAGACATATAAATATCATTGAGGATTTTTAAAAAAAATATTTGGATAGTTTTAAAAAGCAACCCTGGCTAAGGGCCCAAAGCAAACCAGTTTAGTGCTAATAACAATAAAAAATCTGATGCACTTTCTTTTCCCTTTCTCTTCTCTCCCACATATTCCTTCCTTATTTCTCACTCTACTGCTCCAGGCTCCAAGTTCTTTCTTTCTAAATATTTTATGAAAAATTTCAAAATGGTTTTTCTTTTGGCTAAGTAATATTTGTGTTTTCTTAATGTCATACTGTGGTTTGGGTTTTCAAATTTTACAAAAAATTGTGTTTGCTGAATGCCTGACTCTTTCAGACATTGCTTCTTGTGCATTATTTCCATTTCCATGAGTTTTCAAGACAATAATACCTCAAAGCTCCTTAAACGGGGCAAGACTTTAGGATTGGGCGATGATGATACTGTTCATCCAGTATGAGTCAGTGTATACATAAATGCACTTCGGATACTTCTAATGTGCCACACTCTATGCTGGAAATAAAAAGGTGAACTAATCCATCTAAGTAACCCCTAGGAGCTATAACAAATCAATGTGATGGGTGCAATAGCAGCACATGAGCAATGCATGGGTGCTCTGAAGAGGGAATGTTCATTTTGAAGTGGACTCTCAGACCAGATACAAACATATCCATTTCATCTCTTCCCTATATCATTCATTCCTATTCTCATCCTTTAATGTTAAAAAAATCCACTTTCTCCAGACTCACAATAGTCTAGCCACACAACTTGTCTTTTACTCATTCACTCATGCATTGATTCCTACCACCGCTCTTTTTATTGTGCCCTTACTATGTGTTAAAGGCTAGAATACAGTGATGAAGAAAATAGACAGTTCTGCTTCCAAGGAGCCTATGGGGATGAAGTAAACTGAATATTTAATTGCAATTATTGAGTGCTAAAAAATGAGACACAAAAAATTTTGCCCTCTTGGTTTTCTCATTAAAGGTCAATTTTTCCTTTCTTTAATCTAATTCTGGCTTACTTTGTTTTTAATAGTCAGCTTAAGAAAAACAAAACAAAACAAAAATCCCTCAGCATATAGAATGTGATTTCAATAAATCTATGCAGTCTCTACTTAGGAAAAGTTGGTCTGTTTTCATGATGGAGAAAGGGTTGTGTCATCCCGAACAACCTCCTTTAGCAGTGGCCATTTAGAAGACCAGAATTTACATAGTGGTCATAAAGCCACTCATTTATTTTTACCCTGTGGAAAGAAGAACATAGGGGAATGTAGGAATAGAGTGATTCTGTGGACCTAAAACATGACAAAACTGTAGTCTAGGAATATTCCAGAATTACCTATAAATTAATAGTAACAACAGTACTTTTTGCTTTAGCCATATACAGTATTCATCTGAACAGAGGATGAGTCATGGTATCCTGACAGTCCATGCCGAATTTGAAACAAACTGGACCTATAATTTATAGTACAATAGAACCCAAGACAGAGGCACATGCAGTCCAGGCTCTTTAAATATTCTATAAATAATAGCTCAGAGAGGCACAATTGACAATGAGCAGAGGCTGGATGATGAATCATCAAGTAGTTTAAGTAAAACCCTGCCTGATTAAATGCTTTGTTTTTAAACCACCTGCATCAGTGTCTGCTGTAGCAGGACAGATCAAATTGTTCTAGGTCTTTTTTTGAAAAAGCAGACAGGCTTACAAATGATAAGTTTTATTATATTATGAAACTGATGCCAAACTGAAGCGCTGAGTATTGCATAATTCCAATTATCTCCATTTTGGCCCAGGATTTCGTGCCAGGCAATGTTACAGATGCGGCTAATGTAAATGATCAAGCTTCTTCATGGTTTTGGGTTGTATGCTCATAATTTCATTTTGCTCTTCATGGCCTGGAGAATTCATTTTTCCATCCTTCACTTCGGGAGTCTTTTCTGTTTATCCCACCAACCAGTTACCAGATGCTATGCCGACTAAGCTAATTAGTGGAGTCTCCTTCGAAAGCTGGAGCTTGCTGAGTGTGGTCATTAGAACAGACAGAAGTGCAGACGCCAGAGATGCCCTGAATGACACATAAGCTCCAGAAAGCACTCACGTAGCCAAATCACTGGGAGCTGCACGGAGGTTGCGATTAGACAATGGCAAAATACCCACTCAGGTGAACAAAAAAATCTGGTCATTCATCTGGCTTTTAACATGCTCACTGGTAGGTTGACTAACTTGTTCACTGTACTGACTCAAAATACAGACTAGGAGAGTTTTAAATTACTGTTAACCAGGCATTGTATTTCTTTGCATAATTACACATTGACATCACATATTAAATGGTACATTTCTCCCACCTTGGAGTATTCCAATTACTTTAACATTTTTATGTTATTAGATACCATATTAATGTTGTCCTGGAAACCAAAATTACACTGGTGTTCATATGTCTTCTGTATTATAACTCAAAATGAACTTTGGACTATATTTTCACCTTATAGTCGACATTATAACAATTCCTTGCCCATATAACTTTCCTACCTACTATATTGGTAACTACTACGTGAAGATATTGATTCTATGTGTAATTTGTTTTTATATCCCTAGAGTCTAGCATAAATCTAGGAAATAATAATTGTTTCATAAGTTTTGTTTAATAAATAAATAGATGACTTCCTGATCCCATAATAGACTGACGTATTAGGAGGTAAAGAACGCTTTTTACTCAAAAGAAAAGAAAATAGTTGTTTAAAAAGTTACAAGTAAGGATTTATTATGAAAGCAATGGGATTACTGAATTAGGAAAAAAGATTTAGTCCATATACTGAGAGTTTGGACTTGACTATCACTCTGGAGAGAATACATACGTTCATTTATGTAGAGGATTGCCTCATTTTCCAACCAAACCAATTAGTTCCAATATACTATAATATGCACCAGATGGGAAAATTTTATTTTTGATGTCCATGGGTGATGTCAATTTGTATTTAAAATGTAGAAATATAGAAACCCATCATTCCTGCTGAGACAATTTTTGAGCTGATACTTTTGGCTAGAGCACTATGGCAACTCCATTTTTGTCTGAACAGCCAGGTTTCCTGTTAAGGATGTTAGGTGAAAATCAGAACAGCACAATTTTTGTGCTGTTTAGAAAAGCAAATCAGAGATTTGTGGTTAAGGAAAACAGTTTGAGACTCAAACCATCTGATTAAAAAAGCATGATCTAATCAAATAAATATACATACATTTAAAGTGCCTTTCCTGCAGTTTGTTGACCTGGAATGACCAAGGAATCATCCAAACACAACTGATTTTGAAGATTTGTTTTGCCGTATATTATGTATGTGTCTTTCAACAAACTTTTCAACTTCTTTGAAACATATTGTCTTCTACTGTAAAACAATGCTCACAATTTCTACAAACAAATGTTTTGATTTTATGAAATTATATATGAAAAAGTCCCTGGCAGTTCCTATATATTCCACAGAAACTGGTCCCCTCATATCACAGAGGCTTATTAGAAACTGTGTAAAAATGTAAATTCCACTAGAAGTGTGTGTGTTGCATGATTGTTCATTTACATATGTTGCATGATGGCTTATATTACTGTATTAAAAAGATACTTCAAAAAGGATTATTCAATTGAATTATGATGCAGTTATTTAATTAAACACTGTAGTGACAAAATTATAAGGTAGGTTCATATGTAATGATATAAAATGCTTATGCCTCATGACTGAATGAAAATCTAGTCTATAGCAAAATGTTATAGGAAAATGTCATTAATGCAAAAATACATATTCATGCACTACCAAAAGTCTGAAGGGATTTACACCAAACTGATTATTGCAGTTACTTTTAGAGTATATAGTAATAATTCCAGGGAGGCTTTTACTTTCTTTGTGTTTTTGAAAAAATAATTGGAGAATTGTGGGTTAACAGAAAAATGCTAAAATATTTGTAACTTGTGAAAAAAAGTTATTCTGCTGCTATGTACAAACATTTATTATATTATTTATTTACTCTTCCTGTTCAGTTAGAAATGCATATCTTAAAGGTTTTCATAGTTCAGATAATCCAATAGAATTTAGGTTGCCCAGTTTCACATTTTTCCTGTTTGTCCTTTCACCCTAATGGGATGGAACTGCCCTACTATCCTCTGTGGCTTCTCTGTTTCTCTGATATGCTTCTTTCTCAATATGCTGAATAAGCCAAAATGAGAGATTTGAAAATCTGTCATATTTTCTCACTCAAAAATAAATTTTGTTACTTGCCTCCTTTGAATTCTCTTCTTTTAGGGGAAGTTTTATGTCTGCAATAACCCATCTTGGATATTTTCTATAGCAATGACTCAGAAACATTTGCCATTGTCAGTGATTTTCTGGAATATAGATACTTCAAAGTGAATTATAAATGCAATGGTATTTGAAATCTCTTAAACTGGATATTATTTAAGGTTTTTTTTTTTTTAATGAGCTATATTGTCTTGTGAGAACTCACATCTTCTAAACTTTCTTGGAAATATCTTGAAACCAGTAGACATATTTTACTCGTTATCATTGACCTGCACAGAAGTTAGTTGGTATTACTTTAAAAAAGTAATAAAACTTTATTTCACACCCATTTTAATATAGCCATCTTGACTATTCATGCAATATATTTATCAAATTTTCTTCAAGTATTTCACGGGAGTCCTATATTTCTAAAATTATGTTCTATGGTACAACTACAATGGCACTTTTTCTAGTATTTTTTGCCTATGGTTCAAAAAATATGTGTTCTCATATTAGCTCAGAGGTATACCATTTCTTTCCTATAATTGTAGTCCTTGTTTGGAGAAGTCCTATAGCCAATCACTAGCAACTGGCATAAAGACGATCACTGAACTTAGTATGACTAAAGAAAGCAGTGACCCAATTCAAGAAACCTAAATTTGGTAGTTGATAATGTAATATAATATAATATAATATAATATAATATAATATAATATAATAGGCCTTGATTTTTGCTACAGAAAAAGAAAGAGATTTTAACTTAGGCTTCTGTAAGAAACTTACATTTGAGACAGCAGAACTGGAGTTGTCACAAATTTATTATCAGGGCATGTTATGGAAACACCTCTCCATGGACACTATGCAAGTAGTTATCTCACTTTTGGCACAGTGCACAGGAAGAAAATGGATACTACTTAAAATGCTAACGTGTTCAGTTTAAGATTTTCATATGTCTGTGATAAGATGAAAGGAAAATGAATTCTTGACCAGATTAGAATCTTGAGAAACTGTCAGTCAAACCCCACTTGTCATGCCTTAGGTTAATAAAATTCACATAATCCAATATACACATGAATATATTAAATGCAAATTTTTATCTGTGAAGTCTAAATTAATAAGCAGAATGAATATGGCTTCATTTTATAGAATTATATAGAACAGACATAAAATGACCAGCAATTAGAGTGTATTATATCTGTATCATGTATATCACTAATAATAGTATATTTTCATTAAAATATGGGTTATGAACTATGCTAAATAGTGTGAGCATCATTAATTTTCTGTCACAGTATATTATACAAATTTAAAAGGCAGTAATTAACCTAACTTAAATGTTTCTTACAAGCCAGCTGTTAATTTCTCGATGAAATAATACATTCTGTAAATTGCATTTTGATTAGGAGTAAAGATAGCAATATGACTAAATGAAAAAGTTAAATATGTCATTAATTATACAAAACACTATTCCATGACTAATTCCTTCATTTTGAAAGCCTTTAATATACTGAGTTATAGTAATATTGACTTTAAAAAATTACCTAAGTAATAGTGCTCTCTTTTTCTTAATTAAATGGTTAAATTAATCTGCAGGACCTTTCATTGTTATATTTGTATCTTTTTCCATAACTATTATTAAGTTCATCACCTTTCTTATGCAATATATCTATTTTTCTTTCAAAGTTCTAAAAAATGAACTTGAAATCTATAGCTGGTATTTTAGAATGTTAGTGGGCTATGAAGGGATTTTAATAGATTAAAATAAAATATTTATTAAAATGTTTTAAGAGATTGGTTTATATAAAAGACTTATATTGGCTTTTTTTTTCTCATCCATGTAGAGACTCAACCTTTTTAAATTCTATCTTTTTTTTTTAAACAATCCCTCCTGGAATAGACTCGAGCTTTTTTAAACCAATTAAAATAACCTAAATAGTTATATAAAGAATAACAACATTTTGAAGAAAACATAGGAACAAAACCAAACAAAATTTCTGTTATCCTCCAAAGCTACATTAGCTATTTCTAGCTTTTCTGTATTCTGTAGGCACTGAGAATATGAACAGCCTGGGGAACACCAATTTAGTACATATTTTAAAGTTTTAATCTCCATTAGACATTTTATCCTAAGTGAATTTTTTTTTTTTTTTTACTAGATTCAACCTTTTGTCAGACACTGTCTCTGTCATCTGGCTAAATTTGATAAACTGTATGAATAGTCCATAGTTCTTGCTCAAATGGTTTGGTTTGGCTTTAGAGGAGCCCCCAGTTCAGTAGCCACTGGGTTTCCAATTCTAGGTCACGATGCGCACATAATCTAGCCTAAACATGAGTGATGTTTCCTTCAGGAAAAGAGCTTTGCCAGTGAAAAATTTTCAATGTAAAAATACCTTCATTTTTCCTCTCTATCATTTGGTATATTTGCCAAGTTGTACCTAAAAGCTCAAGAAATAAGCAATACATGAGGGACATCATTCACATTTCTGTGAGAACAGGAAGCAACCAAGATAGCAGGGGAAAGTAGTTGCAAATCTTTTGGGAATAGCTTTTAAAAATCCAAACAACCTTAAGTGATGCTGTATCACAATATCATAATAAATCATTCAGATACAATAAATAAATGTCATTAAACATTTGAGGAAACAAAACTTGGGTTTTGGTGTGTTTTTGAAAACAGAGAGGTATAAAATACACTTTTTACTAAGAGGCAGACTCATAAGAAATAAATATGTGTATACTGCATTCTGATCCAATCCAGTGCTCCTACTGTTCATCCCAAAGCTAGGATATTTTAGCTAAAAACATATCTTCTCTGGTCATTACATTTGGTGAGTACGTGTATCATCAGAAAAGTATTTATTACTTATTTAGTATAATGTTATAGGCACTATAGATTTACTGAGTTTAGTGGGTTTAAGAATTGCTCCAGGTTTTATAAATACATGCTTTTTCTTTTCTTTTTCTTTTTTTTTCTTTTTTTTGACAGAGTCTTACTCTGTCACTTAGGCTGTTAGGCTGAAGTGCAGTGGCACGATCTTGGTTCACAGCAACCTCTGCCTCCCAGGTTCAAGCGATTCTCCTGCCTCTGCCTCCCGGGTTCAAATGATTATCCTGCCTCAGCCTCCTGAGTAGCTGGGATTGCAGGTGTGTGCCACCACACCTGGCTAATTTCTGTATTTTTAGTAAAGATGCAGTTTTGCCTTGTTGGCCAGGCTGGTCTTGAACTCCTGACCTCAAGTGATCCACCCGCCTAGGCATCCCAAAGTGCTGGGATTAGAGGTGTGAGCCACTGTGCCCAGCCATAAATACAAGCTTTTATCCATTACGTATGACTAGAACATAAGCTTCTCAAAGACAAGACATTTGTCTTTCTTGTTTCCTGCTGTATCTTCAGTTAGAAGACACCTGGCATTCACCAGATGCCCCTCAAATTCTTGAGGCCTGAATAAACCTGTTCCCTCATTGGAAGAGATGATCTTTTGGAAATGTTTACTTCAGATTTTAAATGTTTTTAAAAAGACATTTTATTGAAATAAAAACAAAGGAGTTTTATTTAAGAATTCTCTAATATATAACTATTTGTGTGTTATTAATCAGCTGCAATATTATCACTGTGTTATAGCCTAAAATTTTCTCATGGATGTTACTGCTTGAAAGAAAAGGTCCTGAATTTTTCTTTGAACAGTATTAGGTTGAGTGGTGCCATTGAAGAGGAAACTGGATATTTTGAACTAGACTTCTTTTATTTCCCCCTTAAACCTTCTTCTACAAGGCTAAAGAATCTTAGAAAAAGTGGTAAAACCAAGAAGGGCTGCCTTCGATTATAGGTAGGATATGTGTGAGGCATGTTGGCTATGGGGTTGAGGATCAGGGACTGAATAAGGGTGGACCGGGCACAATTGTCCATTCTTTACTCTCTCTACAAATGGAAGTGACTTCCCATTAATATTACGAGATTCATGTCTTTGGATTACATTGTCAAAATCTACATTAGTAAAGAAGCATAACCCTAATTTGACTAAATTAGCACCAAAGACTGATGATTCAAGGAGTGTGTCATATAAGCACTGCTAATCTCATTTTCTGAACAGAGGAGGGAGGTTTGGCTTGAAAACATTTGCCTAATCACATCATTGGTTAACCTAAAATTGTGTAATTTTATAAAGAAAGAAAGAAAGAAATGTGTATATATATATATATATATAGACACACATAATATAAATGTAAAATATGTATGAATATATTATGTACATATATGCATATGTATAACATATGCATATCATATGTGTAATATTATATATATGTGTGCATAGCTTTATAAGTTCCTACAAAGAAAATCATACATGAAAGAATATCTTAGGCTAAAAATCCAATTAATCATTCACAGATGCTCAGGTAAGAAAAAAAATCAAGTTAAGGTGCATTTATATTTTTAAAGTTTAGAAATAATTTGTAAAAATGAAATAATTACTTATTTATTCTGAAACAAAAAAACAGCTGAATTGCTGTGTTATTTATAAGTTCAGTTTTGTCTATACACACCTGTGGCTACACATTCTTTTAAACTGGTTTTACTAAGAAATCGACAAGGAAGGCAAACTGATGTGGTGGTGATTGAAGTTGTCATTCTCACACACATTTCCAGGATTGGTATGTAATAATGGAAATTGCTCTTATTTGAGTTTGAGTACAGTTTGTCTCTGCAACATTTCAAAGGAAATTTAAGTATCAAATGCTGAATCATGTCCCACATCTGAGGGAAAAACATTTTTGCTTCAAAATTATTCTACATTAATCTCAAGTATTTTGCATACTGGATATTAATCTCAGTTATTATGACATAAGACTACACTGTGTGTGTGTGTGTTGATTAAAATCAAAATTTAGTCAAAAATTTTAGTTTCTCCAAAATTGTATTTAAAGGAATAATTAAATGCTGTCACAAATAAGGTAATTACAAATAAGGCATATTTCTGTTTTGAATTAATTACAACTTAATTTTATTTCTGTTCTGTAACAAATACAGATTAATTTCATTCTTTCATGTTGTGATCACAATATTCTTTTACTTTATTTATTGAAGTAAATAAAGTAACCTGTCTTTTGAATAATTCTCTAAGGGAGTTTTTAATAACTGCATTTCCCCCCAGGAGTTTTTTTTTGTATTTGCATTCTGAACTCCCAAGATAAAATGAAGTCCACTTACAAATATTAGATGGTACACAAATAAAATTAATGTCCTGAGGCTGAGTTAGAAGCTTTTTCCACTTTTTAAATAGAAACTAAGTTGTTTGTAGTAACTTACTTATAAGAAATATTTTCATCTTTTACTAAGCCTTTATCTCCAGGAAAAAAGATAAATAAAATTAATATCTCTAATCGCTAACATTATCACCACTGCTGTACTACACATGGCAAGAAGGGGGATTGGCATGGTACTTGCCAATTTACCATTATTTAACTGTTTAAAAAGAAAAACCTTCCTCTAAGTATATGTTTCAGCTACACTGAACATTAAGCATCTTTTAGCGTATATTCCTTCCCAGAGATTTTTAAAATTCTGAAATCTTTATAAGAATAAACTAATTTTAAATATTATTTATCAATATATACAACCAAAAGGTATAAGTTTCTGAAAGATATAAATTGCAATGTTTATGAGATATCATCATTCAAAGAAACACATATAATTATGCAAAATTAGTGATAATATGCAACTAATTCAACAGGAAGAAGTTGTAACTTCTGACTTAGTATGAGGTTCAAGCCAGATGGATCATGTGATGCAGTCTTGTCAATGGTGAGTAACAATGCCAATTTTATGTCATTTTATCAGGGAAATATTGTCAAGGTACAAGAACCATATGATGAATTGTAGTTGAGAAGTTTTGCAAAGTATTTTCAAAGCAATCATGGCATTGTAACATGGTATGACTTGTCACTATTACTTAAAAATCTGTTTTGCCAAATCTGACATGCCATGCTTTTTCTACTAGTTTTAGTATTCGACATAGGCTAAAGCTGTGGCCTGTGAGATGGGTGATATAGTTTGAATATATGTCCCTGCCAAATCTCATGTTGAATTATAATCCCCAGTGTTAAAGAGGGGGCCTGGTGGGAGATGACTAGATCATGGGGGCAGATTTCTTATGAATGGTTTAGCACCATGTCCTTGGTATTGTCCTCAAGCTAGTGAATGAGTTCATAAGAAATCTATTTGTTTAGAAGCTTGTGGCACCTCCCTTGCCCCTCACCTCTTGCTCCTGCTCTGACCATGTGAGGTGCCTGCTCCCCTTTTGTAATCTGCCATGATTGTAAGCTTCCTGAGGCCTCCCCAGAAGCTGTGCAGATGCCAAGACCATGCTTCTTATAAAGCCTGCGGGCCCATGAACCTATTAAATTCTTTTCTTTATAAATTACCCACTATCAGGTTCTTCTTTATAGCAATGCAAGAACAGCCTAACACAATGAGACTCCATGAGAAATTCCAACCACAGATGGGATAAAAGAAGTAATAGATGACCGAAGAACTAGCCACTTGAATGGATTAGAAACCCCTTATAAATTATTGTGCTCTATACAAAAGAATGTAGTAAATATCTTCTTCTTAGTCAATGAATACTCATTGAATATTTACTATTATTAGACTACTATACAGAGAGTGATGTGGAAAATATAAACATAGGAAAGCCCTGGTCAGTTTTACTGATGATTTCATAGAACACATACAGAACTCAAAGCACTGTAACCAGTTATCTTTGCATGGTCTCACTTGGGTGACATGACTTTGAGAGTTCCGCTCATGGCTGCAGGGTCAACCAACTTGTCGGGACCCCAGAGCTGAATGGCTTTCCTTTCTGTCGACCCTCGGCTCAGCCTGGAAGTACAGGAAAAGTGGAAGCTGGTTCCAGGCAATATATTTTACAACTGTTGTTCATACGGATGGCGAGATAAGTCAGAAGAACTAATTAGAACCAGAGACTGAACTAATACCCTATTTTACTAATACAGTAAGCTGGTACTACCTTCCAAGTAGTTAAGGAGACTTAGATAAATATATAGGTAACCACAGAGCAAGAAAGTAAATGCTTTCAGACAGTGGGACACAATTCTGCAGAAGTTCAGAGAAGGACATGGACGCTTTGACATGGAAAGGTCATGGAATGCCTGGAAATTTGGGCTTTAAAGGGGATGATTATTTGGGGTTGTTGGGGAGGAAGAGAATTGGAAAGATGGAGAGAGGCCATGAGAAAGATTTGGAGTCTGAAAAGTTAGGCATATTTGGAGAATCGTTGGATTAGTTATAATTATGTGCAAGTAATTAAAAAATGTCTAGAGACAAAGGTTAAGAACCAATCTTGAAGGTCATTGAATGCCTGGATAAGAAGATTGAACATGTGATCATGGGAAGCAGTCATTGTCTGCAGTAATGTGTTGTTTTGGAGGATTCAATGAATAATTTTAAAGGACATAAAGAGTTAAAGGACATAAAGCTTGAATGGAGAGAGAGATTTTAATAAGGAATCAAATGAAGGTTAATTCTTTTCTTTGGACCTCAGGTTTGACGATGTTTGCTGAATGGAATGTCAGTAGAGGAGGTTGGCATATTGAAGGGTTCTCCACAAAGACAATGAAGTTGTACAAAAGAGGCCAAAAGGAAAATAGTAAGCCAGATGCCAGTGTCCTCAATGATTAGAAGACAGTGCTGGGATGTGTGTGCAGAGGAAAGGTTTTACATAAGAGGAAAGTGATGGTCCTTGAATGGCAATGGAAACTGAGGAGAATGTCATCCCTATTTTCAGCCCTTCCCTCTCTTTTCACCCCCAACTGGTGTAATGAAATGAATAGCCTCACTTGGGATGCCTTGTGTTTTTGGCAGGTGAACTGACCAGGTGTCTATTAGCTCAAGGAGGAAGAAGAAGCATTTATAAAGAAATGTAAGATGTGGATCAGAGAATATAGAAAAGTATGGTGGAGACTGTTGGTTGTAGAAATAACAATCAATGGGAAACATTTCCTGTAATAGTGTAATAGCAGTCTTTCATTTTGACCAGTAGTCAAGAATGACAAGATTCAGTGAAATAGGATGCAATTCCATATAGCTGCCTAATGTTACTATTGATTAAAAGCTCTCTTCTATTTTTGCAAAGCATGCAGTAGATGTAAAATATAAAATTTTCCTAAGACTTTCTCTAACAATGAAAATGATCCATCTTTTTCTTCTAAAGTATTACATAATGTGTGTGTGTGTGTGTGTGTGTGTGTGTGTGTGTGTGTGTAGATTCTATTAAGAAATGTTCTAGGCTGGGTGCGGTGACTCACGCCTGTAATCCCAGCACTTTGGGAGGCTGAGGCAGGCGGATCACGAGGTCAGGAGATCGAGACCATCCTGGCTAACACAGTGAAACCCCATCTCTACTAAAAATATAAAAACTTAGCCAGGCGTGGTGGCAGGCGCCTGTAATCCCAGCTACTGGGGAGGCTGAGGCAGAAGAATGGCGTGAACTGGGGAGGCAGAGCTTGCAGTGAGAGGAGATGGCGCCACTGTGCCACTGCACTCCACCTGGGCGACAGAGCGAGACTCCATCTCAAAAAAAAAAAAAAAAAAGAAAAAAAAAGAAAAAAAAAGTAAAGAAAAGAAAAAGAAAAAAAGAAATGCTCTAAAGGACATGTATCTCACTGCAGTTATTCTCACAGAGCACACAATTAAATATTCAACTTCGCCAATTCAATTCAGTAATGCAGACACACATACGTTTTCAATGTTGACCTTTCTGAAACAGAAAGTATTGTTGTACTAGTCCACTAATCTAACTCGACACCTTACCTTAGGCATGTTGAATTCTACTGATTTACAAAATGCTTTGATAACCATGCCCCTTTTCTTTAGGAAGAAAATGTATCTAAAAATAAAACTAAACTCCAAGGAGTCATCCAGAAATTTATGTTGCAAAGTAATTTTGTCACATTAAATTTTACTTAAAGTGACTAGGTGCAGTGTTTCATGCTGGTAACCCCAGCACTTTGGGAGGCTGAGGCAGGAGGATGCTTGAGGCCAAGAGTTCAAGACCAGCCTGAGCAACATAGCCCCATCTCTACAAAAAATTAAAAAAAAAATCAGCTGTGCATGGTGGCAGTCTCCTGTTGTCCCAGCTACTCAGGAGGCTGAGGCAGGAGGATCACTTGAGCTCAGGAGTTTGAGGCTGCAGCAAGCCATGATTGGGCCACTGCACTGTAGACTGGGCAATAGGCAAGTCACTGTCTCTTTAAAATTACTTAAAGAAATGAGTTAATGGAGCTTGGATATATTTGTTTCACTCTGTTCTGATGTTTGAGCTCATAACAAAAAGGAGCATTAAGAATGGTATAAAGAGAAATATAATGTTGGAATAGGGAATTGAAATCAGGAGACTCAATACATCTCATTCTTGTCCTCATCTTCCATGAGAACAGAATAATAAAGAGAATTAATTTCAACCAGATTTAGAAAAAAAAAATCATCAACCAGCATTTTTTGAGTAGTGACTAAGTAAAGAGTATTCTGTTAGGCTCCAGGGACTAGCATTTAAGCACATTTCATTTAAGTAGAGAGATGGCAAATGCTGCTTTATATGGTCATCTATATTTTTACTATAGAGTTATGTATATATCCTAAAGTCTTATTAAATAAAGGAATCAAAAAGAAAATAACCAATAAGAATTGAGATTGGTAAGCTTCATGGAGGATGTAGCACCCAATCTAAACTTTTAAGATAAGACAGGATACACTAAAAATGAGAAGACAAGCTAGCAGATAGGGCATTGTCAGAAACCCTAATTTCTCTATAAATGTAGTGTGAAAGATGAATATTATTTTGGCCATCATTGCCTTCCATTGCTGATCTGAGACTGTAGAAGATAGTTTCATGATGCCAATGTCATGCTTATAAAAACCATAATCTCTTTTTGAACACTGGTTACCAAGCCACATTTGCAATATTCTTGGTAAGTGCAGAAAGTGAATCTAGAGTCCCAGTTTCTCTCATACAACTCAAGTATCTGTGTGGAAGTTAGTTTAAACTAGATCTAGTTTCTCCTGGAGACAAGGGACTGGATTAGGTATCTGGAGATCCTTCTAGTTCTGTAATTATTTTGTATTGATTTTAATTATCCACAAAGCATGAAACTGCTGAGAGCTCTGATTCCAAAGCCATGACCTAAATGTTCTAGAGTCCTACCCTTTCTCCTGTTAATTCAGTTCCCTTGTCTTTAAGGGACAATTAATGCTGCAGATAAAGCTTCAGATAGCATTTGTCTTTTAATAGCGAAAACAATAAACTTAAATCCTAACAGTAAGACAGAAGTTTTGAAGCTTACTTTGCAAGTTCAAAAGGTGACTTTGATCCCAGGAGTCTAGAAAAACAAGAATATGAAAACTCGATTCTCTTTAATAACTCATAGTCCACATTTGCATTTAAATGAAATATCCTTTGAAATGCTTTCTTTTACATTAAACTATTCAACAGTTCATTTTATGAGCTAGGTTTATTTTATTTTTTTTAAAAACTACCTGATTAAAAGTTTTAATCTGCAGTAGGAACTTGGGCAATACCACAGATCTTAAGGCTCTTCAGATGCACACAGTACCCCTCTGTCATGTTATTTGGTGGCTGCATGACAGATGCTTCCCTGAAGAGGCAGATGTTTATACATAAGACACTCATTCCATAAATCTTTAGATGAACAAAGAATAGCATTAGTTGAAATACTATCCAACTTTAGTGATTCTTAAGCAGAGTGTCTCTGATTTCTGTCAATTTCTAATCTGCTAATCGGTTTTGTCCTCATTAGGGTCTATAAAAGCAGACTGTGTGTGAGCTACACAAAGACGGCAGCTGTTCCTTTAGTGTTACTGTACAGAGTTATACTTCCTGGATAGCCTACATTTATCCTCTGGTCCAATCTGTCAACTTATTTCAAAATTATTTTTTAATTTGTGTTATGAGTAAATCATGAATGATGAGTCACAGGACTTTATAACATTTGCTTTATTGATGAGTTATTCGTTTCTGTAATTTAGTATGCTTGGCATGCTTACTTGTGCATGTGTGTGAGTTTGTGTGTCCATTTTAGGACCTTTTTACTTGCACCTGTGCAAATAGATGGAGGGTCATTATCTCAGATGATATGTCCATAGAAGCCAAAGGATAAAACAGGCAATATAATAGCAGTGAAACACTCCTGAAGTAAATCTGCTCAACCGCTGCTAATTCATACTTTATGACAAGGTTTCCTTATCAGTAGAGCCACATTTCTCAATTTCTATTCCACTACTAGCTTTATCCTATTAAACTCAGAGGAAAGGGTGAGTTGTCAGACATGGCTTACTGAATACTGGCATGATCTGGACTTACTCGCTGATGGCTGTTTGCAGGTAGATGTTCTTTCTGTGTCCTATTTTCCTGGAGAAAAGCTGTGTTAAAAGAGAAAGAAATAGAAGGAAAAGGGTGGAAAGGGAGAGGAGGGACCCTGAGAATTCAGGTGCTATGGGAATGGTGGATGAAAACAAAGAAAAAAGAGAAATGCAAAGATAAAATTATTTTTAGCCCTAGTTGTAATTATTTTAAATATAGTACAAAGACTCCCAGTTTCCAGTCTTTACATCGACTTTTAACTGTCTCACCTTCACATGCCTTTGTATGGTAAGCATTGCATTAGCAGTATAAAATTAGGATCTCAGCAATACCAGTCACATCTGCTCGTCCCCAAGTAACTGGAAAATCATACCTAATTACCCTAAGCAGCATCCCAAAAGCAGATATTAGAGAGCTCTGGCTTTCAGAGAAATAAAAATTATCCAGTTAGCTTTTCTTACTGACATTTTTATGAGCAAATTTATTCTGAATTATTTTCAGCATTATAGCACACTATAGAATTTTCCAGAAATTGTGGCTTTTTGTTGAGAAGATTCTGAAGGAAAAAAGTAATTTGTAATTATTACAGTCTTCTTACTAAAATGACACATAAACACCGTTTCTCTTTTAACTTCAGTTGGAAGGTAAGAAGCAGCTAATAGAAGAATATGGCTATTCTATTTAAGTAGTTGCTTATCTTGACTTACATTTGAATTTATTTATCTTTGTAATATAACAACCTCTCTTTTTTATTCCCCATCATGTTTACGGTCTAAAAAAAGTACTAAAAATATTATTAATAATTGTGTTTCAATGATAATCCTCTTCTATGCAATCTCACTGATTTAAGATACATTTTCATTGTTTGTTACCAGAATAAATATTTAATTTCTACTCAACTTATAGAATTTAAAGGCCACAAAGTCTTCTCAAGAAATAAATAGTGGATAGCAGAGTAAAGGAGAGTACCCAAAGCATCATCCCTACTGTTCCTCCTATCTCCAAGAGTCCAAATGAGTCATACCCAGAAGGCCCACAATCACAGGACCTCGAAAAAAAAGTTAAATTACAGGCTAATATATTGGCCAAGGTGGACTAAACATTCCCCTCAGCTTGACTAAATTTTAGACAGGCTGCTTCCTGATTCTAGGCCCTTGATCTCTTTTTTCTTAGAGCATTTGCTTTAGAAAACTTGTAATTGCAAAATATTTCCTCCTTTGAAATGTAAATCTTTAAAAAAGCTTCTTGTCAGTTTTATAACCAGAAATGTCTTTCTCAAGGACCTGGGAGCCATCCTTTTGAAATGTCATCATTAAGGAAGATAGAGCTCCTATTCCCCTGTCTTTTGGAGGGTAGAAGCCTAAGTTTCAGGGGTACCTTGCTCCAAGTTGCAAAGCCATCCCTTGCCTGGAAGATATGAGAAAGTTTTCCTTTCCATTTGGTAAAGACAATTAACAAACACCTATGGCTTAACATTCCCCCACCACTGCTTTTAAGAACATTTCTGCCTTTTATTTCAGTGGAGTTGAGCTCAGACTGAATTCTGGCCTTCCTTTCCTACTGCAATAGTCTTGAATAAAGTGTCCCTTGCTTGTTCATGCAAAATTGCCAAACTCGGTTAAAGTCAGAAAAATATAGTCTACATATACTAAGAAATAAAGAATATGCATTTTTTAATTAGTGAACATAAAAGTAGGTTTTTAAAGGAAAAATTGTAATTAATCTTACCTCCTAATTATCTATAAATACCCAATTTAAAGAATAAAGAAAATAAACAGGCATACCTACAAGGCCAATCTACAAGAATTATACTAAAAGCCGCTTAAAAGACGTAACACATATGTAATGATTTAAGAAACAGTAAATAAGCAAGGTTTAACTTTTCAATTATATAGTAGGAAGCACACAAGTCATAATTTGAATTCTAATTCCTTAGGGTTTAAAGAATCCTAGTGTTCAAGTTACCAGGAAACTTAGAGATAATACTGATTAAACCACCATATGTTACAAATGAGGAAACAATGAATACTATGTCCTTATCTAAGCAAACATTCCCAAATATATGATATTTTCATCGGTTAACCTTTCCTACACTGAAATTGTTCCTTTAAAGTGTAATTCTTTGTAGACAAAGATTAAAATTTCTATGTAACTCTAAAAGAAGTGACATAAATACAGTGGATCTCAATAATTGATTTTATTATAATAAAATAATTTTCTCCAAGCTTTTAAAAATCTTATATCCAAAGGCTTGCCTTGGCTATAAGATTACTGTATCTCTCCTTTGTTTTATCAAAGAAAATGAACTCTTTGTACTTGGAAATACTTTATGAGGCTAACATAATTCTGGTTTCCAGATTATATGATCAAGCTGTGCTTACTCTGCCCTAAGATATAGCTTAGGTGGCTACAGATAAGTATACTCCTTTTCAAATGACTTTACAACAAATTTTTTAGTTTTTATATATGTTTGTAGCTCTTAAATACTTAGTAACCTAGGAATAATTTCTTTTTTGTTTTAATTTTTATATACTTCTTTTAACTGCTATCTAAGAGCCTTTCATTGGCAAATGGAAAATTAAAATCAGAATATAAAAGCATGTTTGTCTTAGAAAGGATTAACATGAACGGTTTTATTTTATTTTATTTATTTTATTTTTTCTTAGTTCTCAGCATAAAGCAAGGGTAACTAATCCCACAGTTTTCTTTACCCAAGCTGAACCTATAATTTGGAAAATTATTCATATCCATTCTTGTATATTCACATTCCTTTTTGGAGGGTCTTACTTCTGTTCTGTTCTATAACTTAGTATATAGCCTTTCTTCTGATGAATTGTTATTTTTACCAAAGCAGTAAAATGTCGTTTGCTGAAAACATGAACCATGCCTATATTGTAGCCACAGGGCCTAGCATACTGCCTGATTCACAGCAGGAGCTCAAAATTTATTAATTGAATAAATGATTAATTGAAACAACGAGACCCAGAACTAACCTCTCAGAACCTTCACAGCAGAGTGTCTGCTTTGAAGTTAAGAGCAACCTTCATGGAAAATGCAATCAGTGCTACCGAGGGGACGGGATGTCTCTGCAGCCATCTCCAGACACCTACTTGCTTCCTATGGTTGCCCACCTGTCCAAAGACAGATTCAAAATTCTCTAGGTCAAGGATGTACCATCCTCACAGTTTAAATCTTTTAAATTATAAAATTTCAATTTTAGTCTTTTCCATGTTTTTGCATTTCATTCATTGGAAATGAATTCAGCCAATTATAGACTCGGGCGAGGCATGATTTCCGTGGAGCACGAGACGAGATCTGGGCTTTGGTTATTTTATACCTCAGTTACCAACATGTAATACCTTTTCTCTAAGGGCAGAAAGCACGATCTGCTTGAATTCCTAAATTCAAGATTTCATCTACCCGCAGAGAATGTGGAGGCCGTGCAGCCATCACCATGCTTCTAATACTTTCTAAAGACAAAAATTATATGCCACATTCTTTAGAGAGAGCCTTGACTTATTTGTGTAGTAAATTTCAGTGTATCTTTTCAAAAAAATGTTCAGATTTTATTTCAATATAAATATTTTGCTCCAGATTTTCCACTTCAACTTCTTTCTTTTTCTATATTCCACATAGAAAATTAATCTAGTTTTTGACTGCGTGACAGGTGTTTTCAATTCCGGACATGATGTAAGACAAGTGTTTTTTCTGTTGTTGTTATTTCGTTTTATTTGTTTGTTTTTTGAGACAGAGTCTTGCTCTATTATCCAGGCTAAAGTGCAATGGCACAATCATGGCTCACTGCAGCCTCAACCCCACAGGCTCAGGTGATCCTCCCATCTCAGCTTCCTGGGTAGCTGAGACTACAGATGTGCACCACCACACCTGGCTAATTGTTTTGTTTTGTTTGTTTGTTTGTTTTTGTAGAGATAGGTTTTTGCCCTGTTGCCCAGGCTGGTCTTGAACTCCTTGACTCAAGTGATTCACCCTGTGATTCAATTATCTCCACCTGGCCCTGTCCTTGACACATGACGGTTATTCAAGGTGAGATTTGGATGGGGACACAGCCAGACCATATCAACAGGTATGGTGTGTGTGTGTGTGTGTATGTGTGTGTGTGTACACACGCACATACACACACACACATATATACACACACATATGTATATACACACATATATATATGTAAAAACAGTGTATATAGGGTTTACTACTATCTGTGGTTCAGGCATCCATTGGGGGTCTTGGAACATATCCCCCTGAATAAAGGGAATAACTGTATTGACCAAAAAGACATATAAACTGCATCCCTTAAATACAGAACATTATACTCAATTTCTCCTACTGAGATTCCTATGTTTCTGGAAATAACCAAACAGACAAACACACAAAGCAGGCATGTTCCCTTAAATTTTAATGTTATCGGATTCTACCCCATCTCAATCTCTCTTTCACTTTTCTCTCACTCTTTATTTCTCTCTTGATGAGGTAAAACAAGGATTTATTAAAAAAATTGGCCTGTAGAATTTATGCTAATATCTGTGATGGAAGTTTATGATGAATTATCAAAAATTATTAAACTAATGCTAAAACAGTATCCAAGGTGATCTGAAACATAAAGTTGAGTGCACCTGACATATATCTCTATCTTTTAAATGAGATGGTTATTAATAAACTGTACTAGCAAAATACTAATTTTTTAAATGGTCTTGAACTTGACAAGTAGAGTGAAAAGAAATGGGACCTTGAGAAACAGGACCTTAAGAAATAGAACATTACATTTAAGCCAAAATCAAATTATTTTTACTACTAAATTCAAGAATATAGAAGCCATAACAATGATTTTCCTGGGTTACTCTTATATTGATAATATATGCTAAAATGTTTATTTAGTAAGTTCTAGCTCCTTTTTTGACCTCTTCACTTTCCCACCGCAAACTTTTGTCTTCCTTCCTCTGGTAAGAGTTTCTTAGAGGCTCTATAACTCAGCCAAATTCATTTTAGACAAGACAGGCTCACAGAAGTTGATACACTGAGGTCAAGATTGCCCTGGTATTAGTCACACAGATTCATCTAACCATATGCAGACCAACATGGTAGAAAGCAAGATGATAAAGAGAGATGAGGAAATATCTATGCCCTAGATATTTCTTCACAGGTGCACTCTTTCAAAGTCGAGAAGAGTAAGTTAAAAATATTACTCAACTTGACTGCTTAGAGGCTTTCTTCAAAATCAAACAAATATTTCCAAGGATACCAGGAGTGATGTCCAATAACCTTTATACTTTTGGACGTCTTAAGGTGATATAAATTTGCTTTTTTAGAACTTAGTTTTTTTGCATGAAAGTAAGACGTTCTGAGATTTTGTGTTTGAGACAAGATATAAGAATTTATGCGCCTATAATTGAAATGATGAAACAAAATGAATAATTATTTTAATACAAGAACTGACTTAGTAGAATGGACTCCCTCTTATCCAAGTGAATAAAATATTTGCATAATACTATATAAGCTTTGATTTTTATTGGTACAAATTGACAAGAGTTAAATGAGTTCTCGAAGAGTTTGCATATTGTTCCCTGAAGGCAATTGAAAATAAAATTACAAGGAGAGTCAGATAAAAAATAAATGATGGCAAAAAATTTAAATAGAATATGATTTCCATGTGATGTTAATATTTACACAAATTTTAAACATTTCAGATAGAAAACCTAAGGTGGAATTTGGTTTTTCAATAAAATTCAAATCAAAATATTTAAAACTGACAGCTCATTGCAATAGTATCCTTTCAAAATTTGTATTTTCATATGACATTAGATAATTTTGAAGGCACAAATAACTATCCAAGTGTTTTAGAACAAATATAACTGGCACTGAATATAATCCTATGAAACCAGTAAAAGATAGTGACATATTTCCCACTTATATGCATGAGGAAACTGAGGCACAGAAAGCATTAAGGCAGCAGGCTTATGTCTCCCTCATCACCACTATCAGGTTATTCTATAAGCTACAATTGGTTTCTCATTACAGAAGTATTTATGGTTAAATGAATTAATTAAACAAAACCAAACCAAAAACCTAAATTTTGATATTCAGATTATATTCTAAAGATGTTACAGATTCAGGGGAAGAATGAAATTTATTCTCTCACAATTGCATCAATAAGGGAAGACTTTATAAGCCAAACTGTCACGAAGAATAAAAAGGAAACACACCTTGTGGCAGAGGAAAGTGGCTGTCCAAACAGACTGCACTGATACACCAGCCATGCACAGACTCAGATGTGCTCATCTTTAGGATAGTCATGTCAAAGTTTAAAGATTCTTGTAGAAAGTGGCTCTTGTACTAACTATTCATATATAGATGGGAGAAGTGGGTGCAGAGAACAGACTCTGCTTTTACCAACACTCCTTCCTCTCCTGACTGCTCAGCTCTCTACCTCATTAGATTAGAGAAGCCATCTGCATGACAGGCACACTTTGTACCCAAAGGGCTTCTCTCTTCTCCAGAGGCAGCATCAAATAAATTGGCTCATCTCTATTGAAAGACAGTACTTGCCAGCAAGGGACACAGAACAATAGCAGCTGGTAGGAGAGCTCCAGAAAGTCTGTTAGAAGTCTCAAAACAAAATTGTTAAAATAACTCCTGAGAGAAAAATAAATAAATCTACATCATGCCTACACACTTGTTCACTCAGTTCTAAGTAACCAATTTCAGTTCTCAAGATGCGAATTGAAGTCCTGCATTCTATGGGCAGATGGAAGCTCTCTGAATATTTACCTAACTCTTTCTCTTTCTTTCTTTCTTTCTTTTTCTTTCTTTCTCTCTCTCTATTTCTTTCTTTTCCTTCCTTCCTTCCTTCCTTCCTTCCTCTCTCCTCCCTTCCTTCCTTCCTTCCTTCCTTCCTTCCTTCCTTCCTTCCTTCCTTCCTTCCTTCCTTCCCTCCCTCCCTCCCTCCCTCCCTCCCTCTCCTTCCTTCCTTCCTTCCTTCCTTCCTTCCTTCCTTCCTTCCTTCCTTCCTTCCTTCCTTCCTTCCTTCTTTCTTTCTTTCTTTCTTTCTTTCTTTCTTTCTTTCTTTCTTTCTTTCTTTCTTTCTTTTTCTTTCTTTCTTTCTTTCCACAGACTTTCACTCTTGCTGCCCAGACTGGAGTGCAGTGGTGCGATCTCAGCTCACTGCATCCTCCGCCTCCTGGGTTCAAGTGATTCTCCTGCCTCAGCCTCCCAAGTAGCTGGGATTTCACGCGTGAGCCACAGCGCCTGACTTGAATATCTAACTTCTTAAATCATCGATGCACAATGCCTGGAGAATTTTCCAACAACTACAACAATATTTACCATTTATTCAGTCTTAGGTATAGCAACACATTATTTCCTCCTGACAGCCTTATGGAATAGCTATTATTTTTAACCTCATTTAACAGATGAGGAAAATGAGACTTAAGGAAGAAAAGCAATTGGCACAAGATTACAAATCTGTATATTACTCTAAAGCTTAGCTTATACCTGTTGCTCACGTAACCTGAAGCCATGAAGAGCTGCATTACATTCAGTAGATCAAATTTTGCTTGCAACACTTGGTTATGTTTAAGTTTTCACCACTTCCCAACCTCCCAATGGAGGAGGTTGGGAAGTGGTGAAAATCTTTAAAAATATTTTAATCCTGTCATTATCAATCTACAAAAGTGATTGAGGCTTCGATCATCCTTTCCAAATTGAATGACCATTCTTGGGCTTCACAGCTTGGTGCTATTTCTAAAAATCTCTGAGTCATTAACTCCATCTATTTTTTTTTCCCAACTTTTGACTTTTTGTTTTCTTTGTTACTTTTTCTTCAATTCCCTTTCTCCTTACTTTCAGCACTGAATAGCTATTTTACTTTGATTGAAAATGTATTACAGTATATTTGCATTGTATTTTCCTTCCCTTTCTGCCTTCAATTTTCAACATGAGCTTTCTTTTTCTATTGGTTTATTTTTAAATGACAATTAATAATTGTGTGTATTTATAGGGTACAATGTGATGTTTTCATCCATCTATACATTGCAGAAAGTTTTAACCAGTCTAATTAATGTATTCATCACCTCAGCAACTGATTTTTTGTGGTGAAGACATTAAAATCTATTATAAGCAATTTTGAAATATATAGTACATTATTATTATCTGTAGTCACTATGCAGTGCAATAGATTACTAAAACTTATTCCTCCAGTTTAACTGAAATTTTATCCCTGGATCAACAGCTCCTCTTTCTCCATAACTCTTCCTCCCCTCTGTCCTCTTAGATCTCACTTATTAGTGTAATCTAAAAAAGCCCACTTCACAGAAACATGAGCTTTCTTTATTGAATTTTGTTCTCATCATTTTACAAATGGTCCTACTCACTACCACCCTTCCCCCCACCACATTCTTTCTCAATTATAAGTATCTGTAAGTCAGTATAAAATCATACATACAAAACCAGAAGACGTATCTTGCTATTTGCAGCTTACATTTCTCACATGTTGCTTGCAGAACAATCTTTTAGGTTGGTAATTATTATCATATTTTACAGGTAAGAATACTGAGGCTCAGAAGGAATAAATTAAGTCTAGTAAGTCATATGATTAGATGGCTGCTACATTTTCTGACTGTAAACTCCACAACTTTCCATTACATCATTTGGCTTTTTAAAATAAAATTTGTCTTTTGAAAATCTCTATCTTTTCCTACTCAGACAGGTAATAACTGCTAACTGTAAATCATTCAAACACTACATAAATTGTGAAGTTAGAAAGTAAAATTATTGAGTAAAGATTCTTCCTACCTTTATAAAACTAATTGCTGCTAATAACCTTTTTTTTTTTTTTTTTTTTTTTTTTTTTTTTTTTTTGGGACGGAGTCTCTCTCTGTCACCCAGGCTGATGAGCTGGAGTACACTGGCGCAATCTCCACTCATTGAAACCTCTGCCTCCCGGGTTCAAGCAATTCTCCTGCCTCAGCCTCATGAGTAGCTGGGACTACAGGCATGTGCTGCCACGTCCAGCTAATTTTTGTATTTCTAGTAGAGGCGGAGTTTCACCACGTTGGCTAGACTGGTCT
The DNA here is from genome assembly GCF_000001405.40 of Homo sapiens. Taxonomy (NCBI): domain Eukaryota; kingdom Metazoa; phylum Chordata; class Mammalia; order Primates; family Hominidae; genus Homo; species Homo sapiens. The sequence goes on along the minus strand of NC_000012.12, from coordinate 78,929,200 downwards.
TGAACTCCTGCCCTCAGGTGATCTGCCCGTCTCAGCCTCCCAAAGTGTTGAGATTACAGGAGTGAGTCACCATGCCTGGCTGCTAATAACTTTTTATATATTTATCCAAATTTCCTGATTATTATTATTTAAGACATAAAATAAAACTATATGTAATTTTCTACCATCTTTTTTTTAGTTAACAATCTTAAGTTTCATCTGTAAGAAGATTCGCACAGTTCAAACCTGTGTTGTTTATACAGATATAGCTATGCTGTATATCTTATGTAAATTATTCCCAATGGAATATGATTCAGACATATATACAGCATTCCCCTCTTGTTCAAGGTTTGGTTTTCATGGCTTTAGTTACCGTGCAGTTTGAAAATATTAAATAAAAAATTTTGGAAATAAACAGCTCATAAGTTTTCAGTTGCACATCATTCTGAGTAGCTGATGAAATCTCATGCCATCCTGCTCCTACAGGCCCAGGATGTGAATTATTTCTTTGTCCAGTGTATCCAAGCTGTCCACGCTATTTGCTCATGAGTCACTTAGTATCCGTCTCTGTGATGGATTGACTGTCTGTGATATCACAGTGCATGTGTTCAAGGAACCCTTAATTGACTTCAGAATAACCCCAAAGCACAATAGTAATGTTGGTGAGAATTTGGATATGCCAAACAGAAGCTGGGAAGTGCTTCCTTTAAGGGAAAAAGTGAAAGTTCTCCACTTAAGGAAAGAAAAAAAAAGTATGCTGAGGTTGAGGTTGCTAATGTCTATGGTAAGAATGAGTCTTCTATTCATGAAATCGGGAAGAAGGAAAACAAATTATGCAAGCTTTGCTGTCATACTTCACTATAAAAGTTATGGCTAGAGTGTATGATAAGGGCTTAGTTAAGGTGGAATAAGTATTAAATTTGTAGGTGGAAGATGAACAGGAAGATTGACAGCAATTGGGTTCAGTACTATCTGCAGTTCCAGGCATCACTAGGGGGTCTTCTAATATATCCCTGGAGAATAATGGGGGACTACTGTACTTTAAAATGAAGTGTCAAATGCTTCTATGATAGTTACTAACGAAGTCAGCCAAGAAGGAAAAATACTCAAAACTTTTATTGTTACAAATTATGTCTTTCTAAGTTATCTCTCTCCCTATCCTATAATAGCAGCATATTTCTTACATTGCATGAATTACTATTATTTATTTCAAGTTCAAGTGTATACTTTCAAATCCCAGCAGAAGAACACGGGGAGAAATACCGAAAAACACAGTGTGGAGGTATCCATAGCTTTTTGAGTGAAAGCATAGGGAAAATTAGTAGAATGAAGTAACATAAATGCAAATAGAAGCATCATTTTGAAAGGGTATTTAGTATTATGCTATAGACGGTTAGCTAGGAGAAAGCAATGAGTTCTTTATTCCTAATGATAATTTCAAAACCAGAAGAGAGAAAGGCAAGCAACTGTAGCAACGGAAGCCTTAAATTATCCTGATATCTACTGGAAATCTTATTGCAATAAACATGGAAAAGCTAATATATTTTTTCCTTGCCATGCTAACAATTTCATCTAAAGAAGGAAAATAAAGTCATTAGGATAATTTCCTCTTCATTTAGACCAACAAGCGGGGCGGGTGAATATCAGTTAAAAACAAACTCAAGACACTTATGTAATTTCAGAAAGGGTCATGAAATTTAAGCTTGATTCCATGGTCAGAGATTACAGAATGGGACATATCTCATAACGCACGGAAGACACAAAATTTTTTAAATGACGCACACTAATCTTACAGTAAAATTTACAGTTCAATTGTTTAGAAAGTTGAAACAAAATTTTCATAGAAATAATCTTACCCAAAGATTGGGTGTTCAAAAGAGCCCAAGGAAATCTGGGGTTCAATGTGTGGTTGGATTTCATGCACATCCTGGTGATGATGTTTGGCAGTTTCACTTCCCCCTCCAGCATCAAGGACAGAGATGGGCATAAAAAAGTTGTATGAGAAATCAGGAAAGAAGGAGATCTTAAAGAGGAGTGGTGATGTGGGGAAATGAGGGACTTTGGAAGCCCTAGCCACAGCATGGAGAGGACTTGGGTCCTGAGGAGCTACAACTTGGAAACGTTGTTGAATCTACCTCATTTGGAAGATGAGACCTCAGAAATGTGAAAGAAGGGTACTAACCAATCAGTAAGCATCTGTGTATTACTTTAAGAAAATTCTGGGTAAAACTGGATATCTATTAATATCTCTGGATATATGATTAAGTATCTATTAAGATACTTATGTTACAGAATTAAAATTTCCCTTCAATTCAAAATATAAAGTGTACCAAAGGTGCATTAAAATTAACATTTAAATGTATGCAACTTGTAACTTACCTCTAAGTTCACCCTGCTATTAAGATATGGACAAAGAAAGTTTCTATATACTATAAAGAATATAGGGAGTATATCTAAAAGTAAACATCTCTTAGAAAGATTGTCATGCTGGTGATACTTACATGGATTTTACAATTTGATCTTGATATGTCATCTCTATTTGCTTCCCAAAAATGTTTAAGATTCATAGTTGTATTGTCATTTAAGAGTTTTCTAAGTATACTTTTTTTTTGGTTTATTCCATTCCTGTTATGTGATAAAAATAAAATGTTTTAAAATTTCTTATGATACTCAATAACTTTTATACATGATCAAAAAAGAAGTAAAAAGATGCTTTAGTAAGGATATATGATTCACAAAATAGGAAAATAATTCAAATTTTATCCAGAAATTTTATTGCAAACATTTAGCCAAGAGAAGAAATCTGTTCTCTGACATATTTACTGAATATCACTAGTAAAATATACGTATTAGAATCACTAGTTAAGTATGCACAGAAGACTTCATGAGAAAAATGCAGCAATGTCAGACATTTCCAGAATCAAAGCTTTCTCTTTAAAGAAATACATTAAAATAAAATAGATTCTAATGATGTAGTGCTTGCTTTATTTGTTTCCCTTGCAGAGCATGACTTAATCTAGAAACCTTATCTTCCAGAATTAGTTAAGCATGTAATCTGCTCATTTCTTCAGACATGCCTCAGGACTCTTTGTTTCTCTGCAATCTAACAATTATAACATTTATGCAGAATTACAGCTATTTTCTTCACATTTAAGGCACCACTAAATGAGTTCTGACCCTGATATGTTTTCTATATTACTCCTGCAATAACACTGTGCTTATGCCACATGCAGCATTCATGTTCTACTTTTTAAGGAATGAAATAAGCCATTATTTCTTAGCTAGGAAATCAAACACAATAGTTTGTTTCGTGATTAATTGTGAGAAAGATTGCAAATAATATTTTGCTAGTAAGAGTTAAAATACCAAAATTTTAGAAGAGTTTTGTTCACATATGTGCATTCTTATTTGGTTTCATACATTGAGAAAAAGGTATGAAGTACTTAGTGAGTGTGTAATTGAACATAGAAAAAGCGCGATTATTAGATGAATAGCTATATTAGATTTTTTGAGACCTAAATATGTGCCAGGTAATGCAAAATCTAAACATTTATAATATTATTTACTCTTCAAAACTGCTCTATGAAGAAAGGGAGGATGGACTTACACCTTCTTGAGTATAATATTTTATGGTTCTGACTTTTGGGAATTTTTAATGTTTCACATACATACTTTAAAAAGAATAGAAAACTAACAAGCATGGGAGGAAAAAACTCCTAGAACTAAAAACCTAAAACAAAAACATGAACAGAGTCATATTTCAAATGAATAACATGGCCACACAGCTTAGGGGGAACCTCAGTTAACTTTTGAACTATATGAACCTTGACTATTAGAACTATGTACTCTGAGTCTGAAGACAACTCTGAACAAATATTCAATTCTAGTGAGTAGCTTTTGCTCAGATTCCTAGATTAACAGTTTGGAAACTAGTTTCTATATATTCTAAGGTGAGCAAAGAAATAAAATAAATTGTGGCCAATGGTAACTAAGTTTTGCTAAATTAGAGAAGGGAATTACAAATATGGAAAAGGGAGAAGATAGAATGAACTCCAAGGTGTTGATTTTGGAGGCGTCAGTTTGAATTTAAGAGTTTTAAGATGGATAGCTAGATACATAGATAGGCATAAAAATAGAAATAGATATGTAGTGACACATATACTCATAAACATGTATAAATATATATGCCTTTATATGTATTTATTCATATAGATAATTATACATTCATGAATATTTCAAGTCCTACTTCCAGGCTATCTGCTGAGAAGGCCTAGAAGCAATGACACCCAGTAGCAACAAGAAGAAGACCTAGCCCATGATCTAGGCTTCTAAATACTTTTCACTCAAAGGAATAAAGGAATTTTAGGAAAATTACTGATTCCAGGGCTAGTGAGGGAAAGTAGAAAATCATTATGAAACCTCATCTTGTGCCAGAAATTAGGGATGTATTCAAAGAATTATGGAGACACATCAAAAGGACGTAGAAGCTAGCTTGAAGGAGCTCCCTTAACTCAAATCCAGGACAATTTGAGCATCAAAGATATAAAGAAATATATACAAATATATATATTTATATATATAAAGAATATATATACATATATATGTATATTCACATGTATTATATGTAATGACATAAAGGATGACAACCCATTGAATAATATATGTCTACCAGGATATAAATAAATAATTAGGTGGAAAAAAGCTGTTTTTCAGGTGGAAACTCGACTAATAAATGTAAAGAAAATATGGAACTAGAAAATCTCTATTTAGCAATCATCATAAGAATTCACATAAGAATCATGAATAAGTGCAAAAAGAAGTGTGTAAAAATTCGAGGCAGCAACAGGATATTTAGTTATTCTCAATGTAACTTTCCCCAATATATTTTTCATTACAGAGGGAAAAAGTAATAACTACATTGAAATTATTGGCAGACATTGCCTATACTAGCAAACACCATTCTGATAGACAGCACCTTAACCCGATAATAAAGTGATTGAAGTTAACATCACCATAATGGGGCAGTGAATACCATGGGCCTTCTGATATGATGCATTGCAAAAGACACATCATCACTTCTGTGGTATTGCCACCAAAAGTGCATAGAATAAATTTCATCATGAGGAAACATTTGACAAACTTAAATTGAGAGACTATTTACAAAATAACTGGCTTATATTATTTAGAAAATGTCTATGTCATGAAACGCAAATTAAGATTGAGGAATTGTTTCAGAATAAAGAAGTTTAAAGACATGAAAATGGAATGCAAGGCATAAGATGATATTTTCTTTAGCTATAAAAGACATTATTGGGAAACCTATGAAATCTGAATTAAGTCTGTAGATTAGATAATAGTATTAAGACTAGTGAATGTTAATTTCCTGATGAGAGATCATGCCTTTATTTTTAGAAAATATGCACCTAAAAGAAAAGGAGTAAGCCAGCAACTTACTCTCTCACATTGTTCATGAAAACAATAAAGTGTACACACACACATATACACACACACAGAGAGAGAGAGAGAGAGAAAGAAAGGGGGGGTGGAGAGAGAGTTCAGAAACCTTTGGAGATTCTCAGTGAAGTTCATGCAGTTATTCTTTGTACAATTCTTGTCTCTATTCTGAACGTCTGAAATCTGAAATTATGTCAAAATAAATTTTTTTTAAATAGTTCTATAATGTAGTTCAATAATCATCCCAATTTAAGGGTAAGTCAGCTCTAAACTCAGAGTAACATACTAAGCTCCACAGCCAAGATGTAAACTTGTCTCTTCAGCATCTAAACTTTTAGTCACTACTTTCTCTGTCTTGTCAGCCTACAGCTATGGGAGAGTGTCTCACATATAAATAGGAGCTGTAACACATGCCAATAAAGAAAACACTGAAGAGCTTTGATATAGAACTTAAACTGCATTGCCCAATAAGTGCTGGCATGTGCAACAGCCATGTGTGCTTATTTAAATTAAAATTATCAAAATAATAAAGTTGGATCCTCAGTCACACTAGCCACATACCAAGTGCTCAAAAGGCAAATGTGGCTACTAACCACCATATTGGACAGCATAAATATAGAATATTTCTTTCACATCTGAAATTTGTATAGAAATTGGACTCTGCTGGTTTGGATGATATACTGTAATGCAATTAAAAGGGGTGCTCCTTACATTCAACCACAATCGTGTGCAAGAAGCAGAGGAGATTTTCACATTCCACTTCACATGGAAAGGGTACTCTGTACTGGTTATGGGAATGGGCTCTGGAGATTACCTGGGTTCTCGTCCTGACTATACAACTTACTAGTTTTGAGTTGCTGGGCAAGTAACCACATTTTTTATTTAGGTTTCTCATCTGTTTAATGGGAACAGTAATAGTACTTCATGGGGTTGTGTGAGAACTAAATGAATGAAATAAAGTACTGAAAAGAACACTCCTTTATAATTCAAAGAGAACATTCTGAGGCATACCAGGGATACAGTTAACAATTTCCTTAAAGATAAAGTTAAATATACAGCATGTGTCCATCTGGTCCCTATGTAGAAAGATAATTAAAAACCAGAGATGTGGTTGAACTTGATGCCTTTTAAGGTCTCTTTCAACAGAGGCTCTATGATTTCATAATATTAAGAGCATTGCCATTCTGCCCTGGAAGTGACTTTAAAACAATTAGCATTTATAATTTGCAAGGATCATTTACATATATTTCCTTAATACAGTCTGAGAATTTTTTTAATTTTCCAAATAAATAAATTTACTTTATAATATGTTTTCTTAAGAAATTATATATTTAAAATTTAATATAATAAACAACATTTTATATGATAAATTATTAGCCCAAAGTTGAATAATCAACAACTGGCAAAGCCTAGGGTTGAAGCGAGGTCTTGCAACTCCAAGTCCTTTATGCCTCTTGACTCTATTAGTTACACATTCATTGTATATTTATTGAGCACATAGTATGTACTGGATATGGTAGTATACACTGTGAAAATAGTGTTAAATATGGAGAACAGTCTCCTGTGCTTAGTGTAAGAGATATTCCAGTTCAAGTTCTTCAAACTGTTCAAAGAATCTCAGAGTTCATAAAACCTTATTTTATTTGGAATTGCATGGAGAAAAGTCAAGTAAACCCTAGGATAATTTTTATGAAGTAATATTTAGATGTAACTTTTTGATGCAAGATAAAATATTTTGAAATTTTTCCTGTGATGATCAAAAGTTTTTTTTTTTATTCTTTAAAGGTATTTGATTTAAGCATATAATTTATTACCTTCTCTTAGACCTAAATTTGCTCTTCTACTGGTTTCATCCAGCACAAAAGTATGCAAAAATATTCCTCTTTTTGCTTATTTACAAAATCACCTCATCCTCATCATCTTTTGTCTCTCTCACCCGTGTCTCTGCAGCATTTTGTCATTAAAGACATAGCAGAAATACCAGACAAAACTAGTAAATAACATTGTAATTATCTCAGCAGCGCCATGTGAACATATCTATATATGCATATAAATTGCTTCCAAACAGAGTTCACTGTTAAATATGACTGTGTCAAGGCAGCATACCAATGGGAAGAAGCCTGGTGGGGCATGTCTTCATTACCTAGCACTTTTTGCCTGTTCTATCCACCCTGAGCATTAGAATCAAGACCTGAGCTGTGTAATAACATTATTGAAATGTTCCAGTTTTAGGAATTGTAGCATATACAACCAGACTTTCTTGTACAGAAAAAAAATCTGGTTTAAGGATTTGAAGGGTTATGTTTAAGAATATTAAAGTCTCTCCTTAAATATTTTGTTTGATTTAAAAATAATAACTAGCATCTACTGACTGCTTTCTGCCAGAGACTCTAAGTGTATATATAGTTGTTACAACAAACTTGAGTATCGGTTTCACCAACAGCTCCCAATTCATGGATTAGATGAAGCAATAGATAACCTGTTATAGTCGTAAAGTGAGGAAGAAGTAATTTAAAATCCGTTGTATTTGACCAAAATTTCTACTCTAAAGTATTCCCCTATGCTAACTTCTGTTCATTATAGAATATTAAAAAAATTAAAGTGGTAAAAACATGAGATAGAGAACTTATAATCACACTATACAACTGTACTAAAATTTTTGGTGTATTTTCTTTTAATTTTAGTTATTTGGTGGTCATGGTGGTCCTAAGTATCTTCAAAGTTGTAATACTAAATAAAAATCAATGCCTCACCTTCAAAAAACTGATGATGCAGAGAAGAAAATAGATAATCTATCAATCGTGTAGAAATGAAAACTATGGACTCAAGTCTGACTGCTGAGGACTGGATCTTAGTATTAATACCTTATTTGTCAGCTGCATGGCCTTGAACAAACCTGCTAATCTGTCTAATCTTTGATTTGCAAATCACTAAAAGTTCATCATTATCATCATTATTAGCAGCATCATATAATACAAACTTGAATCAGATAATAAAGGTTAAAGCAAAGTTTAGTGGAAACATGAAGGGAAAGAAAGGGGATTAATTTCAACTGAATAGATCATAGAAGGTTTTGAATTGCCGGTTGAGACTTACTTTATATACCCCAAGGTAATAGCAATATTTAAAGAGCTATTTCTATTCTCAATGTGGTTATGTAAGCATTTTAATAAAAAATGCTTATTTAGAGAACTTGGTTATAAAAGTTTATAAAAATGCATGCACCTAAGTGGGTAAAAGAAGAAATTAAAACATGTGAATTAAAAACTAAATTGCTTCTTGAATTTTTACTAGACCAACTTCAATGTGTTAAAGCCATTCCAATAACCCATACTGTGCATTCATAGATGATGGCATCATCTGTTTGTCTATGATGCATATTTTGTCTTTTCATTTTCATTTGTTGAATGCGATCTATTAGCTCATAAGACAACCCAGTCACAGGTATTATATCTATAACTTTATTTCTTATCTTGTAAAACATCTTATGAAAGAAAAAAGCATATCCTATCAAATGTTATTATTTCTCTGGTAAGAAGTCATCACTACATTATTAACCTAATTATAGATTTCCAAGATTTTAATTTAGTTTGCACATTTCATTCAAGTCCATTAATAAAGACACATTACTATATATCACTCATAACTGAAAATTTATTTTATTTAAATTTCGGTAGTTAGCTTCACATTTTTCTGCCTTAGTATTTCAAAAAGACTAAATTCCATAGCTCTTTGAAAAAAAAATAGCCCAATGATACTCTACAATATATTGCTACTAATATATGGTGTCTGAGGCTGGCAATGCATACATAAATCAGATCACACATTGATCACTAGGACAATGTATTTGTATTATGCTTGACATATATAATACAAATTATGGAAATGTTCTAGAGTCTTAGGAATTGTGGCACACACAATTAGACTTTCTTGGACAGGTAAAAATTTATTTTAAGGATTTTAAAAATATCCAGAGACGTACTAACACAATACTTTATCTTCTATTCCAACATTTCATGTGCAGGACATTTGCCACTACTTAGCATCCAACACCTTTCTATTGGAGGCAGGGAGTTACAGAAATCTCAAAATATGAGAAATGCCTTCACTAGAAGCCAAAGGAAGCAGTAAATATACATGCAAGTCCCTGGAAGCTCAGACATCGGCATATGCCATGGGAAATGGGGTGGTAATATATACTGCATATATACTACACCACCTTAAGTTTTTGTTTCTTGGCAAAGCAAAGCAAAAATGTAAGGGGAACTAACGATTATTCATGGCAGGACAGCCCAGGGGTCAAAGGCTGTGGCACAGATCGATTGTCAAGTGGAAGAGTTGTAGCCAGACTATTCTCTTGGTCTGCCTGATCCAGCTTTGTGTTCAGCTCCCTGGTCTCACCTGGTATGGAGCTTCCCTTGACATCCTTCAGAAGCTTGGATCTAGCCACCCAGCAGATTCTAGGAGTTCTTTAATAGCCTTCTAACCCATCATTATTTTGCTCAAGGTCCCCAGAGGTAGTTTTTATTGTTCATAAACCAGAAACTTTTATACCTGTCACAACTTTTTTTAAAAAAAATTTAATTACACAGACTTTCATTACAAAAGGAGTAACTTTATTGTCTGTGGAATATTTGCATAACACATAGGAGCACAAAGACAGGAATTAATAATCATGAAAAGTCATCAATAACTCTGTCATCTCAAAGGTTGTTTTCACATCAATGCTTTCCTGGCCTCTTTTAAAATTTTCGTTATAATCTTTCATTTGTCCTGTCTCCACATCTTGATCTTAATTACCATTTTTCTTTCCAAATAAATTAGTTAAGAATTTAAAAATGAGGTAACAATATACATACTGCACTGAAATTTAATATTTAATTTAGTATGTCATAAACATTTCTCCTGAAGATCTTAAAGGTTTTTCTTTACCATCATCATACATAAATGCATGATATTTCTTTGTATGGATGTACTATAATCAGTACTATAATAGTTTGCCATTCAGGACGTATCCTTTTTCTACCCATTATAAGTCACTCTACGAGGAATGTTTTATATACAAAATCTGGCCCCAGTTGGTCTCTCTGTGTATTGCTCTGTTTGGTTTTTTTCTGGGTGCTGCTCTGATGAGTCCTCTGTGAATGATGCATTTGCCATGTGGAGCATTTGCGCTGCTCAGGAGCGCTGTCAGTATTGGCAGTTCTGCCTTTCCCATACATATCAAGAGTTGCATATCCCTGGTTTGAAAAGGGGCCAAAATGTAACCAGCTCATATACCCACAGGGCAGCCCTCCTGTCCCAGAGTCTGTAGCTTTTAATTCCCTCAATCAGTCAACTCTGCCCTGGTATGGCTCTCCAGAAAAAGCAAATTACACATGAATGCTGCATGAACTGATGCTGGCAGTTTTACAGATAGGGATGAGCTTCTTGGCAGATAACCTGCCTGGAATGGAGAGAATGGCAAGGGAAAGGCTGTTTTCACATCAATGCTTTCCTGGCCTCTTCCCTGGAGGAATCAAGCCCACTCAGAGCATGTATGGTGCATAGCCTTGCTCCAAATCTTAATAGAAAAGTTATCTACTTATTTACAATAAAACATGTGTCTTCTGTTGTTTTCATTAAAGCATAGCGTCTGAAAAAGTTTAACCTTTTCTTTAACTTGCTAGCAGATTTAAAGACACCTTAAAAAAATCCTGGCATTATTTTTTATATTCAAGAAGTTACAGAGGCTAATGAACTATTTAAGCAAAAAAACCTGTGTTAATATTGCTTGTACATTTCTGAGCTAAATTATTTTAGGGAGGATTTAATATGACAGTACTTAAAAGCCTTACCAAAGACATAAAAATCTCTTTATTGATGTATGACTTTTAGAATTCCTGAAAGACTTTGTTCCATATAAAACATTAATTCTTAAGAGTTAACAAATTTTGTGTTTTAGGCTATCCAACAACGTAGGCTTTAGTTCTGTCCAAGGCCCAATTCTCGTCAACCTTAAATTCAATATGAGTCAAGATTACAAAACAACCATCTTCAAAGCTAATCTCATTAGGCAGGTTTGTGGGGATGTGTGGGTGGGCAGCAAGGGGTGTTAACGGAAATTTATTCTCAAGAACAAAATTGGTTTTCCTTTTTTTTTTTTTGAAATTTTTTTATTATACTTTAAGTTCTAGGGTACATGTGCACAACGTGCAGGTTTGTTACATATGTATACTTGTGCCATGTTGGTGTGCTGCACCCATTAACTCGTCATTTACATTAGGTACACCTCCTAATGCTATCCCTCTCCACTCCCCTCACCCCACCACAGGCCCCAGTGTGTGATGTTCCCCTTCTTGTGTCCAAGTGCTCTCATTGTTCCTTTTGCTGTGATGTTCAGACTAAAACTGGGTCCTACAGTCAACTTTGGGTATGGAAACTAATTGGGATACATTCAGAAGACAGGATGATAAAGAATTCAAAGCCATGACTCATGAAAAACTGCCAAGAGCAGAGACGATGTAGGAGGATAAATACAACTGTCTTCAAATTCTTGAAAGGCTGCCGTGTAGGGTAAGATTTGTTCTGTGTAGCCACAAGGGATTGAGCTATTGGTGGAAATATAAGAAAACATTTCAACTCAATATAGGAAAGAACTTTCTTTCTTTTATTTCCTACAAAATATAAAAAAAATAGCTCTGCATGGTGGTGCATGCCTGTGGTCCCAGGTACTTGGGTGGCTGAAGTGGTAGGATTGCTTTTGAGGTCAGGGCTTCAATGAGTCATCATCATGCCACTGCACTCCAGCCTGGGCGAGAATTTTCTAATAAAGGACAGGGACAATTGTAAATGCTTTGAGAATTTATATTAAGATTGTAAAAAGAAAAGTTTTCAAGTTTATATTTTTAAAAAAGAAATGAATCTGTGAGAATGGGGGTACATAGGAAATCTCTGTACCTGCCTCTCAATTTTGTCTGTGAAACTAAAAGTGCTCTAAAAAATAAAGTCTTTAAAAAGAAATTAGGTAGCAAAACAGTAAACACTATGGTTTCAATATTAAATATTAAACACGGAGACTTGAACAGAGAATAGAGTTTTAGAAGTAATTAAAAAAGGTTTTGATAGTTTCATTGGGTACAATTAACCAAGTCCTTTATAAATAAAGGATACTTTGCTTATTTTATATGTACACAATAGGAAAAAATGTCAGATGGTTCAAGCGAACAGATCAATAAGTAATAACTAAATTTATTTAGTTGCAAGACTACAAAAAAGTAGGATAAGAGAGAAATAAGTCAATTTAACTAGTCTGAACTTTGAAACAAAAAAGAGAAATAAGTTATCAAAGGAATATTGGTTTCAGTAACCAAATCTGAGCTCTCCTCAAACATTTTTTATTGAAAAAATGTTTTGAATGATACATTCACAATTATTTTTATTATTTACTTCACATGAGAATTTTGTTTTATGCCATGATTTTAATATATTTTAAACAAGAAACCATACGTTTGGCTTAGTGATTTATTCAGACATTTCAATAAAGTTAAATAAGAGAAAATCTTATCTCAGCAGATGAATCCTATACCATAATGTTAATGCCTGTCTGGCAGGTTCAACCACAGAGCTTAACTACTTTACAGCTACAAAACTGATAACTGAAACCGGAGTCTTCCGTTGGGGTTCATTTCTTCTAGTTTTACCCATCATTTTTGGCATGTTCTACCATTTAATTAAAATAAGACTAAATTTCATTTAGGTACAAAAACATCCGATTAAAGTCTAGAATAAATCATCCCTATCAACACAACATAATTAAATACTGGTATTTTAAGTTAGCATTTACAAATACAATTTCTATCCTTATGCATTAGGGAATCTTAATAAAAATATATAGAATTTGGGATGAAAAGTAGATAACAAAGCCCTGAAAATGGTCTCAAGCATAGTGGTTTTCTTTCTCATCAACTGATATTTTTCTTCTTAAAAATATCCATGGTAAGAAGCAGAGTCATTTTAAATATCAATGTAATTGTAAAAGGACATAAAATTTTAAAACATTTTCAAAATTCTAGCCAGAATAAATAGAAAAAAAAGAAATATTGTAAGCTTATTCAGACAAATTTTGTTGTTTTTTAAATAAGAGAAAAATGGCAGGAAAAGAACCATTCAATACATCTATAGATAAAATACAGACAAATACATATATAAGACAAACTTTTTGGCAAGTGTATTTTATTAAATTCAAATAGTGGAAATTATCATTTTGAAATTTGGACAACAGGAAAGAAAATATCTTCTGTGTCATTTCTACATTTTTTTTCTTTTTTGACCCCATTGTCTTGTCTTCTCACCCTCCTTCGAGTCTATCAGCGAGGCCAGAGCTTTTTCATTGCAGCCTGTGGTTCTTAACCTTGGCTATGCATCAAAATCACTCTGCAGGTTTTTAATATTACTTCTGGGGCTATATCTTAGACCCACTGAATTAGGCCCTGAGGAGGGGCCTGGAAATTTGCAGTTCAAAAGTCTCTGCAGATGCTTCTGTAGCAGGGGGTTCAGTGCTTGGGAACCTTTGATCTATTATTAAAATAGTGATCTGACTGCATTTTTACCTGCAGAGTCATTCCCTGCCTTCCAGTCCACCTGGTTCAAGCCACTACTTCAATCTTCCTAAAGCATCTCTCTGATGACATCACCTTTCTATTTTAAAACGTTCAATAGCTCATAGTTGAGTTCCAGTCTATCTTTTTAAAGAGATTACTAGTTATCTTTCAAGGCACAGCTCAGAAGACACTTCCTCTAAGATGCCCACTTTCACCACCTGTGAGAAGTCATCACACCCTCTTTGGAATCCCCAAACATTCTGTATGACTAATGTGGCATTTGTAATCTTCACTTTTGTATTATAATTGTCTGCATATGTACAAACTCTGTATTCTGTGTACATATCTCACAAGTGTACATATTTAATTACATGAATTAATACATAAAAATACATAGAAAACAAAATAATATTCTTGAATTCAGAGATTTTATAAGAAGAAAAATAAATATTCCTAATATAGCACTTAAGCTGAATATATCTTTAGGCAAACATCAAAAGGTATAGGAACCATAAATGAAGTCAAATCAGCCTGAGCTGTAATTCATATGTCTATTTAAACTTATGTAAATGAGGGCATTTAAGTGGAAACATCTGTCTCTCTATCGATCTACCTATCTACCTATCTATCATCTATCGCTCTATCTATCTATACTCACATATCTATCATCTATCTATCTAACATGTGCATCAATACAAACAAATTATAATTTGTTGCTGTTATAGTAGGCTTAATGCATTAAACTGCTTGGTGGCTAATCCATATGAAAACATCTGTGCAGAGGCCATAGACTGTTATCAGAATAGATTCCAGGACAAACCAGGAAATAGAATTTTTCCATTGTGTTTCTAGTCCCAGTTATGCACCTCACTCTTCATTATCAGCACCACAAGCCATCTTTTTCCCACTCACAGAAATAGTTTCCAGGGTATCTTCACTGCAATACCCATTTCTCCAATGTAAAAGATCCACAATCATTTCCCAATGCCCCTTTGAAAATTTACTTTTATATATATATATGTATATCCTCAGAATTTTGATTAGTGATTAATTTGATAGGTGATCAAAAGAATAATTAATTGAACATTAATATCATCTTTTTATTTTGATAAATTTACCTATATTATCTAATTTATAGTCAGAATAACATTGTGAAATAGGTAAAAATTATTATCTGTATGTCACAAATGAAGAAACTGAAACTTAAAGAAATTAACTGATTTTCTCAAGGCAAACCCAATTCAATGCCCTTTACAACATACCCATTTTTCCCAAGATACTTAAATTTTTATGAGACTCCTAGAGACACAATAAATATTTTGGATAGCAAGATACCCTTCCAATATCCCCATGTATGTGACTAGTGATACATAAGGTTGATTTGTTCACCATCTATATCACTGGTTAATGGTTAGACTGTAATTACTATTAGTTTAATCATTTCATGTACCCACCATTGTGTTAAATAAATCACATATTTTACAAGATCAAATAAAAGTTGTAAAGAATCTGATTATCAATCAAGCAAAGCATAAACAAACAACTCATACTGGAAAAAGCTACTTAAATACTTATTCAGAGTAAAGAATGAATGAGGAATTCTGCATTTTATAAAAAATAATCACTGACCTCATTACAGGATATTTTTCAGTTAAACAATTGGAGAAATGAGCATACTAAAGCATTTTTGAAGCATGTATGGATTTTAAATCATTATGAGATCTAGAGAAAAAATATATAAAGTTCCTTAACTATAATAAAGTATTTAATATTTCATTATATAGAAGTTTAAAAATTGTTTCTTGAAGAAATAGAATTTTTTCAAAGTTTATGGATCTTCTCAAATACACAATTAATAAGACAAAAAGAGTGTATTTTGCTTAGTTTAAAATTAACTAATAGCTATAAGTCAATGTTAGATTTTACAATGAGTGTAGATTGATGCAAAATGAATATGCTTAAAAATTATTTTGAAAGAAAACAAAATAAATTCAATAATTAAATAAAACATATCTATGAAGAACAGAGAAATAAAATTTAGAATTTAGTTCTTAAAAATAAGCCTTCTTCATAAGAATTTTAAATGGAAAATCAAGATTATTGTGTACATTTTCTGTGACAAAGTTGAAATGTTCTATTTAGGTAATCTAAGAATAGACTCAATAACATCCAGTAGAAGTGAATATATTAAAAATAACTTTACTTATAATTAGAAGTAAAATATAACTTTCCAGTCTTATGTAAATAAATCTAATAGATGTGTAACATATTTTCAATCAATGGACATTTTCACTTGTATTTATCAATGTAGAGCATCTCTTAGAAAATGCTAGTTACTAAGTGGGTATTCCCAGTGATAATTTGAGGTGAGTTACAGGGCAACCCCAAGTGTGTGAGCATTTTCTCCTGCTTATTATATGAACACTTAGATGTCCTACCAACACATGATGCCCAATAAGCCAATAATTATAATTTTACTTATTTAAAACATCTCCCTTTTAAAGCATCTTTTTTAAAAAGTTCCTGTTATTTCCAAATTCACTGCCTTTACCTTTGCATGCCCCTGTTGATTACTGAGTCTTCAGACTACTTCCATTACATAATGATTTTCATTTATATACACTTCCTAAAATTGATATCCAGATTATTACAATAACCAAACTCTCTTTATTTTTAGACCTTCACAGAGCTGCTAGGAAATCTCTGTTAAATGTTATTTTTTTCAATGCTGCTTTATTCTCCACCACGTCTCAGCCTTGCATTCAAAAGTATCTATCATACCTGTCCTCTCAATGCTATTCTCTTTAACCTTATCTTTATTCATTCTGACATAGCCTTTCTTTTTCAGCAATTTCAGTGTATTTATCATTATCTCATAATTTCCTTTTTCTATTTATCATCTAGTGCCTTGTACAGTACGGAATAAACATTAGGTATTCATTTCTTAAAGAGAACAAGAAGAAAAAAAGAATACGAAAGGAAGAAGATGGGGTAAAAATATATGAATAAATCTATTTTCACTTTGTAAAATATCACAAATGACAGATACACCTAACATTCCATCCCTGATATTATCTTTCTTATATATCCCAATTCTAAATTGTATTTTCCAAGTGTTACAGAGAAAACTTTCAGAAATATGGAAACTCACCTGGGAAGTCATGAATATTGGAAGTCAGACACGATGTCATCAATTATGTTGGACTTTGAGCCTTGTAGAAGACTTTATGATTCTATTAATACAAATTTTTAGGTACTATTGTCAACAAATATTCATCACATTTAGTAATTTAACAAAGTAGGTAGTCCCAATGGGGAGCCTCTAGGACTCCATCACTACCATGTTTAGAATAAAGTGAAAGAAATGAGGCAATCGCAAATGTTTCCCCAGCATTTAAGTCTCCTCACTTTCCCAAGGTGTCACCAACATCATGACCAAAAAGTCTCAGAGAGGCTGGAGTTGTCTTTACTTATCTCCTCACCCCACACCATTGTGTTGACTGGTCCCATGACTGCATTGAAACAGCCCTTGCTGGGATCCCGAAAGACTTCCATATTACTAAATCTAACAGACATTTTTCAGTTTTTAGGTGATCTCAAAGGAGACTGTTTTTTTTTTGATACAGCATCTTCTCTCACTCTTAAACCATGTCTTTCCAGGTCTTCTCTCACATATTTGCCTTATTTTAGTCTTTCCTCTATCAGCTTGCAGGCTTATTCTCGTGTACATAGACATGAAATGTTGGCGCACCCCAAGGTTCAGTCTTAGGCTCTCCATTTTTTTATTGTATACTTTCTTCCACATCCACAGCTTGAATTACTACCTAAACACAAATTATTTTCTCTGAGCTCTCAACCAATATATTCAATTTTCTATAAGACATCTCTCCTAGGATTTATTTCCAAACACATATTCATGTCCAAAATCAAATTCACAGCCTTCCCACACACTCAGTGTGTTTTCTATCTCAATGAATAACACCCACATCCGTCTAGTTGTACAAGCCAGAAAACTCATCTTGACAACAAACTAATCTGTCTACATCCACCTTAGTGCTACTTTCACCTATTTACAACACTGAAGCTTGGATGATAATTTAAAAATCAAATCTGATCATTTTCCTCTCTTGTTCAACACCTTTCAGTGGCCTTCCATTACTCTTAAACAAAATCTCACCATAATCTAAAAGGCCCTGCATGATCTGGCTATGTCTACTTTGATCTTTTCTTACACATGCCTTTCTGCATTGCCTGAACTTCCACATACAGGGGACTTTTCATTCTCTTGTCTGCCCTCTCAATAATTTGCCTGGATTCTCTTTCCCATGCACATTATCTAGGTTATTTCCAGTTTGTCCTTCTGGTGTCAGCTCACATGTACACTACTGGTGAAAGCCTAGATTCTTCGATAAGGTCAAGTTTCCTTACTATGAGCTCTCAGAACACGGTATATTTTACCCTCTTCTGTAGAATTTTTCAGAGTTGTAACTTTGCGTGTTTTTGCAATAATTATCTAATTACTCTATTTGTCTAGACTGCAATTTTCATGAAGGCAAGGGCTTTGCTTGTTGCGTGTTTACTCCCTGTTGCATGCAAAATTCAACAACTTACATTAAAAAATCAATATACACCAATTGAATGAATCAACAAATAAATGTTTGCAGTCTGAACCAGATGGATGTAAATATCTAGGGATTTAAGATGAGCTGAGAAATCAATTAAAAGGGCAGAAAAATCCCTAAGCCTTTTTATTATTTGAGTCCTAGAGTCTAAAAAAGTTAACCCAGGTTTAGTACAAGGCAGTAGGCAGAAATTGAATGTTTAGGAACTGACACACTGGATATGCAATAAAGGAACTATAAGAACTAGGCAAGGAGGTCAGGGTTTAAGTTCATGCTTTTGTTTATCCAATTATTCACTCATCCATTTACTTAGCAAATATCTGTTAAACACCTACTATGCCACATGGACTATGCTAGGCATTTGGGCTACAAATGTAAGATGACAACTGCCCTTCCTTAGGAAGCTTACAACCTAGTAGGTAAATAGTTCTGGGGCCCACTCAATGGTGAGGAAGCAATTTCTAATTTATTTCTAGATATGAAATGTAGTGATTCTTGGATGTACATGAATAAAGCAGGAAACAACAGGGTTGGGGGCTGATAATGCCAAGCTGGATATATGTGAACAGAGGAGGAAGAAGGGGTCAAACAATATTGGAGATGGTACTAGGGCATCAGTAATATCTGATAACTTTATGAATGACTATTATTTAAAGAGAGAGTACATTTTTTAAAAATTGAAAGAACAACCTGTTGTGGGTGGTACTTGACACTTTGAAGACTAAGTTAGAATAACATGGTATTCGATTGCAGTAAAATGAATTACAACAACCAAAAGTGAAATGGATTATATTGAGATAGGTGTTAGTTATTAAAGTACTAGTTTGGTGATGGCAATGTTCAAGAAAACAAGTAGATATTATATTGATTAGTCATTATCTGTAATTTTCCTTCATGGAGGACAATGAGGACAAAATCTTTATCTATATCTATGTCTCTGTCTATCTAGGCTTAGATTATAAGAGGACCAAAATTTAACCATAAGAAAAATATGTCAGCAAATAAGTCTGGTTAGAATGGTTTCTATAACAATTCTCTCTGGATAGAAGGGGGTATACATGTCCCTGGATTTTTTTCCCTATGGATAAAGCATAAGCTTATATTTATTGTTTGTGTTGCAGTTAGAATTTAATCAGAATCTTAAGAGCAAAAAGGAATTATAAATACCGAAAACAATTTGAAGATGTAATAAGAAAAAAAATAAATTATTTTTCTACCTAGAAAATAAGGAAACAGACGAAGCAAAGCAATTTAGAAATAACTCACCCTGAGATGTTTTGTAAATAAATGGATGATAAATCATAGCATACTTTAATTTCATAAAGTAATTAAACTAATCATACACTTATATTAGATAACCATTCACCTTGGAAATATTTACAATAAGTTAATAAAATTGTGAATGGGAGCACAAAAAATGCATGGAGGCTAGAAAAAACAGTAACTGTAATATATTTACTCAGTGCAATGCCAATTAAGATAGCCATTTCTGGGCAGAAATCATTCCATATCCACAGGGAGGAGCAATACAGAGTCTGTCATAAAAGGCAACTTCCATGCCCTCTTTGTCCTGCAGGGATTAGGAATCTTTTGGTTGATTGAAATGCCTTAATTATATATTAATAAAACATGATCTGATTGTTAAATCATTTCTTTATGAAACATATAATAGAGATCAGTGTCCCAGAACCTGATCAATCCCAAATGAAGTAAAAAAAATATTTGATTTTCTGCATATTCCAGATAAGAGGTTAAACCTGGACATGTCATGACTTTACTAAGGGCCAAAATAGTGGACTCTGCCGACTCTTTCCATGAATTCTTTTTATTCATTTCCACTGCAATATTCTATTAAGTCTATTTTATTTATAGAAATATTAGAAGTTGTAATACAGGGTAAAGTGGAAATATTACCAAATAACCACTGGAACATGGGAAAACCATATTTTAGTGTTTGGGGAAAATATCTTGGCTTTAAGTACTGATCATTAGAGCAGAATGATTGACACAGATTCTGCTCTAAGAGTGAACTGTTGAGTTCTGTTCAGTTTTATATTGTTGAGATATGTTCTTATGAAAACTGACAGAGACTGTAGCCTGAGCTTCTGGTTTCTTTGAAGTTGTACCATGTGCCCTTAAGGTAACATTATATTTAGAAATAACATAACCAGTACTTAAAAAAAAAAAGAAAAACTGATCCGTCTTCAAAATTTGTAATTTTAAATTCAGTATTTCAACTAAAATAATGGATTAAGAAAGACCCTCTGTGCTTAGAAATGGGAAATTCCATGAATATTAGTTGAATGAGTAGGATTTTCATGGAATTGTGGAGATTGTGGATATGAGGAAACTGAGGCAGAGGGAGATGAAGTTATTTGCCTCAGGCTGATCAGATAGTGAAGAATCCTTGACAGATTATTTTCCTTGAGTTTCTGAAAACTGGCAAGATGAGAAAAACACACAAAAAAATAAAGTAAGATTTTAATAGCTTGGTGTGATTTTCTATTATTTTGACCTTTAGGCAAAACCAAAATTTGCATACTTTCAGTGTGATCACACGGCTGCTGGCTGATCAATTTCAGATACTTCAGACCCTAGAAAATGTTTGGAGAAAAACTTTTCTCTATATACCTGAGAGGTAATTAAATTACTCATTACCTTCAAAGTATAAAGCAGAGAAACAGATCAATGCTTTGTACAAACAGTCATCTTGATCATTTTGCTTCTATTAAGTCCTAAGAACTTGTGGTTTTGATGATGCTTTTTTGGTTGTAAAGCATAGGCAAACTCACATTTTTATTTCATTTGACAAAATAAAAGGTAGCTTCATGACAGTAATAACTGGGAGGCAGATCAGAGTGTTTGACCTAACGGCACTTGGCATTTTATATTTTGGTTTCAGACAGCTCATCTTCGGATACTTTCATCAGTACATAAGAGAAGAATTTAGTGTTGAATGCTCTAATAAGTATGCAACTTCTGGAAAGAACTGCTTTGACGATGTAAATCTCTAAGAATCATTACCGAAACGTAATCATTTTGCTTTGCTAGAGAAACTCAATCTCTTGGTCCTTAACTAGACAAGTGATATCCCAGAGAGCTAATATATAATATATTATGTAATATATTCTGATTTATACATAAATCTATTTATGTATTATGTAATATATTCTGATTTAATGTATTTTCATATAAACTAATTGATTTTTCCATATTGTATAGGTAATTATGATAATATTATCAAGCTACAGAATGAATCTATTTTATGGGGTGGTTTTTGCAGGCATCCTATTTTGACAGAAAGAATAAATGAATACTTAAGATTCAATTGTCTGCTTTGCCACTTGCTTGCTTTATGAACTTGCATATCTTTTTTTTTCTTCTTTTAAAATGGGAAACATGACACCCAACTGAAGATAATGTTTTAAGGTGATTTTATAAGGTAATGTACCTGAAGCACCTACCACAAACCCAAACAAGAGGAGGACCTCAATAAATGTTAAATTCCCTGTCTAAACACACTTTGCCATAAATGTACACTTTAATAAATACAACATGAAAATCTTATCTTTAAATAATTTACATCAAAAGTTATAGCAGTAGGTATTATTAAAGTGCCAGAATTAAGCTTTTCATGTGCGGTTATGAAGTCTTAATTTTCTTTGTATGCACAAGATATAGCATAACGTTTGACACAGTAGGCACTAAAATAAATGTTTTGGTGATGAGATGTTAACCTGAAAATGACAGAATGATCAATACGGCCTAGGGATACCGTGGTGCTCTAGCAGAGTAAAGATAGAGCCCAGAACACTGCTTCTTCCTGGCAGGACTCTGGTCATTTCTTACACCAGGACAGACACCCCCAGTCTGTCCACGACCTGCATCAAGACAGGCAGAATGAATCCTCTGTTTACTCTAATTTCCACAAGAGGCCAGGACTTCCAGTGTATCCCTCACAACTTGAATGCTGTCGCATGAATTTGTGGCCCACAGACAACTCATGTATTTACTGCTGTTACGGCCTTTTTCCCTTTCTTTTCTCTATAGAATTTTAGAGTCTGACATACTAAATATTTTACAACTTAGTACATCTATCTGCTTCTCTCTATTATCCCATAAACTAAATGAAGGTTGGTATCTTTTTCTGTTCTGGGCACTGCTATATCTTCAGCCCTTAGAATCAGGTACTTGGCAGGTACTCACCAGTATTTGTTAAATACTTGAATGAACTTCCACTTGTCATGAGGAAATACATTTTTCCCTCAGAACATCTTCCTACTTTTTGAATACATACACAAAAGCCTACAATAAAATCAATCACCAGAACTTAATATTTGATTTCATTTTGTTTTTTTTTCTATTTCAAGACTTTCTTAATGTTATAGAAAATAATTCAATAAATCATCTTCTATTGAAAGGAACCTCTTTTATAATTGTACTTTCTAAATACACAAATTTCTTTATATTTATATATTCCATATCTTTATTTACTGGCTTGATTGGAGTATGCTAAAAATAGTGCTTTTATTTCTTCAGATTCCTTGAAATATACTGACAAGGAGACTTACTTCTAAATTACAAATATAATTTTGATGTTACTTCGGTGAAGGGAAAACTCATCAGTGTTTATGAAATATGAGAAGCCCTTTGGGGGAAAAAACTTCCTTGATGCTGCAGCACATATAATTAGAGTAATTTTTCTCCATATTAGAGTTTTAAATAGATTTTACATTATTTACAACACTTTTAATAGCCTTGTAATGTGCTGTAATTTAAAAAAAAATTAAAAAGGTCAAAAAACTCTATCTTTACTTTTCCTAGGTCATTTCCCTTAAAAGGAATAATAGTCCAATGTTCAGGTATTTAGGTTTATTTTATTGAAACTGAAATAAAATGAAAATAAACAACAGTAAGAAAATCAAAATCCAATATATTGTAGATGCCATGTAATAAAAGGTTAGGGGAGAAGAATAGATGGTTTACCTTTCTCCCAACCATTCCTGCTTAAGGAATTTTAGTAAACATAAATTGTATGACTTTGAAGGAAACATTGAATGTAAAGCTGATATTAGTGAGTGTTCAAGACAATTTAGCTATTACTATTACAACTGTTTTCCTTCAATTACCACCGGGACACCACTGTCAACATACAAGTTAGATAATTTGGATAGGGAGAGTTTCCAATTCTCCATGAAATTGGTGGATTCTTACTCCTAAAGCTGATCTTAATGGCAAAACCCATTGTATGTTATGTGGAAGTGTGTAGGTAAGTCAGTTCCCGCCCCCCGCGGGATTTCTGTACTTCTACTAAGAAGGAACTATGGGCTGGCCCCAGATAATTAATCTCTTTAAAATCATGGCAACATGTTACTAAAGAAAGATGATAAACTTTTCTGGCCCACAGAAAACAGGAAGACATTTCTCAAGATTAGAATGGTCCTGGAACAAAAAATTGCCTTACCAAGTAATCAGTGCCTACTATTGGATGTATTCAGGTAAGAACAATAACAACAAAAAAGCTACAGTTTTATGAGATATCTTAGGAGATTGCTTAATTCATATTTGGCCTTCTTATTATAAGATGATTAAATACAATGATAATTGAGACTCAAGATAGGACAATATTACAAACTATTAAATGGATTTAAGTGAAAGTTGATTCTATTTAAACTTTGAAATCTTTTACCAAAAAAATAAAATCTCTTCTAAAACATTTAGTTCTATTATGCCTAATTGCCAATGACAATTATATATATAATTTGATCTTTCAGGTTAAAATTGTATGTATGTTATTAGAACACTAAGAATGTCCACTTGTGTATTTTTATGTTGTATAGACTATGGCTCATATAATATTACTCATGTAATGGAGCAGATTTTGCATCATTTTTGAACAATGGAATATGTATCTCTTCCCTTCAAATGTCAAATAACATTATCTTGCAGCACTTTTCTTTTTAAAAGTTTTCCATATAAAGATAGTTTTTCTGTGTTTCAGGTTGACTTACGTATCATGAGCTACTCTAGAATTAATGAGTTTCATCCTTGGGCAGAGTTAGGTCGAGATACTCGAAAACTGGTGAATAGAGGTTATGATGTTTTATACATCCATGTTCTCCAAAGATCCAGTACATTATTTTTTTCCAGAGTAGGTGCTCATTGAATACTTACTAAAAAATTCAAATTTTATATTTTTACACGTTAATAGTGTCTCTCTTCAATGTATCTAAGCTTTCCATTAGCTTTCCAATGGATAAATCACATGTAACTTAATATAGAAGTATCATAAGGCTAAGTCATATGCAGATCATGACCAATTTAAAATCTCACAAATATTTATAGGAAAACATTGTCTATAAAAATATAAATTCAAATTCAATACACACTAGTGTTTCCAGTTTGTTTTTTAAATTGTAACATTTCACTATAAAAACAAAAATTAGTAAATTTGGTTTATGACTAAATTTTGGTTACCGGGGATTCTAATAACTGTTATGATATATAGCTGTTTAAATTATTATTTTTCTTACTGAATACAGTAGTTACTTGGTTCCATTAATGAGACAGATCAAGTTTTCTGTAATACAGATTCAACTGTGATTCTTTAATAATATGTGATTTTTTAATAGAAAAAAAATAATGGGGTAAGAGAATTGTCCTCTAGCTTAAAAGGTACAAAAATTTCTTTTTATAAAATATGGTCAAAAACTATAAGAAAATTCTTGGCACATTTATAAATTAATTTATGTATAACTATCTTATAATTTGTCATTCAAGATTATGATAAATATACATACCTATTAAATATTCAGAATATTGTAAATCATGTTCATTCAGCAATTTTTGAAATTAATATATGTGTATCTCTTTAACCAATAAAGAAAACCTTTTTATAGAATGCAGAAAGAATAAAAGCCTATTGAATTGTACAGATAATTATAAAACAAGTGTTACATATAAAATATACAAATATTTTATCCAGGTGCGGTGGGTCACGCCTGTAATCCCAGCACTTTGGGAGGCCGAGGCGGGCAGATCACGAAGTCAGTAGTTCGAGGCCAGCCTGACCAACATGGCGAAAACCCATCTCTACTAAAATTACAAAAATTAGCTGGGCATGGTGGTGCGTGCCTGTAATCCCAGGCTACACAGGAGGCTGAGGCAGGACGATAGCTTGAACCCAGGAGGCAGAGGTTGCAGTGAGCCAAGATCGTGCCACTGTGCTCCAGCCTGAGCGACACAGTGAGACTCCATCTCAAAAATATATATACATATAATATATATTTGTATATATATTTTGTATATGTATAAATATTTTGAGATTTTTCTCTTTTTTTAATATAAAACACAAAACTCTTTTTAAGATAAAACACAAAAAAGTATCTACATTTATTTGAAAGATAAATTTCAGATTTGACGATTTTTTATTTTACTTCTATGAACTGCCATACTACTTTCACATGAGGTATAAGATAAATGAATTTTGACAATTTTCTGAGTTAAGAATTGATTCTGTAAAATTGTAGCCAAATCCAGCTGATTTAATACTATGACCCTAATTCCTCTTTCAGAACTTACGTTAGTAGAGTTTGAATAGTTAAGACTTGAAATTAAGACCCTTGCTTTAGTACATAATCTCACAAATGACTTTCAGAAAATGGTGCATCCAGTATGTTTATTTGGAGCTTCAAATTTTTAATAGTGTCAGAGTCTTTCACAGCACGCTACAAATTTCATGAGTATCAGATGTCAAGATCAAACAAAACACAGTTGCCAGTAAAATAACCAACTATCAATTTACTTCTGCTTTACAGTTAATGTGTGTGCACCCACATCAATGAAAAAAATAAACTTAAATTTCTTATGTTTAATTTGATTTTGTATATTTATTTATTTGGTTGTTAAAAAACTCAAGGTCTACCACTTTCTAGAAAAATGAGAAACCTCCTGGAAAAAATATAATAATACTGATATTCATCAATAGTATTGCTATAGTTCAAAGTGAGGGCTGTTATTACTGACAAATTATTTTTTCTTTTCCATATTTTCAGTTTATATTACCTACACTAGTTTGCATCATTGTTTATAAGGAACTAACACTGGTAGATGGCTGTTTATAAATTGTGACCTATTATATTGCCCTATGTGGAAGGTACAGAGATGTCCCTAAGATACACTTCATGTTTTTACTACTCTATATGTTGAGCTTGCTTTCAATTGGATTCTTTACAATTTATGTAAACAAATGTATTGTCATTTTTTCAAGAATCAGTGGGCATAGTTACACACATAAGATCAACACTATGTGTGTAATTGCGATTATATGATCAGCATAATCAGTATTAAAGTATATATATATATATACATATTTATTATTATACTTTAAGTTCTGGGGTACATGTGCAGAACGTGCAGGTTTGTTACATAGGTATACATGTGCCATGGTGGTTTGCTGCACCCCTCAACCAATCATCTACATTAGGTATTTCTCCTAATGCTATCCCTCCCTCCCATCCCCCACCCTATGACAGGCTCCAGTGTGTGATGTTCGCCTCCCTGTGTCCATGTGTTCTTATTGTTCAGTTCCCACTTATGAGTGAGAATATGCAGTGTTTGGTTTTCTATTCTTGTGTTGGTTTGCTGAGAATGATGGTTTCCAGTTTGAAGTGTATTTTTAGGAATGTAGATTATTTTTAGGAATGTAGAGGTAAGGAGGCAGCATCCACATTTCATCCATTAAGAGTACTCTCCATTTTTAAAGATGTTTCAAGCATGTATGATGGAGTTTGATCACATGACTACTGTGAAGGCCAAGCACTCAACAACAACCAGTTGGTGTCTGAGGAGAATTGGATTGGTCTATGATCACCATTTTGCCAACAACTACATGAACAAATATTTGGACTTGTTTTCACAACAGCAAATTATCTCTTCAAATTACCCTCCAATTTACACTTGTGTTACTAGATTGTCTTTTTGCACAAATAATAATGGCTTCAACCACTAAAATCAAAAGCAAAAGTAGGCAAAAGCTTAGTTTTATTAATGCTAAGACAGAAATGTTAATTACAGAGGATATTGAAATATAAAAGACCTCCCTTTGCTGTCTCCAATCCCTTTTGAACTTCTCAGGGGTTTAAATACAGTGTGTGTTTGGCAGACATTCATGTCTGGAAAATGAAGAAAAGGGAAAAAATACTACACCAAAATAAAATCTCGAACTCAGTAACCAACACTAATCTTCATCATTCATGGAAGAAGACTTTCTTTTTGGAAAAAAATATTTTAGGAGGTCCACATTCAATTCAAAGTTAATGTTTTTAGAAAATAAGTAGTTTTATCATCATGAAACATTTCATGATACACTTCATGAAAAATTTCATGACACATTAAATCATTAACCTGAAAAGATATTGTTCACTACTATTCTTTCTGGTTAGAGAAGCAATGGATTAATATAAAATCAAACAGATAGAGATACATATCCATACAAGTTTTAAAAAGTGTGATGTTTTATGAAGGATATAGTGAAATAAATGGTTTAGATTTTGTTCAATTGAATTTTGAAATAACTGAAAAATGCATTCATGTAAAAGGATAAAAAGGAAAATACTATGTCAAATGATTTTAATTGCCTCTAGTGTTCTGACAAACCGCAATGAATTAAAAATTACATGCATTTTGATGGTATTGAGTATTCAAATTAAGAAATAAGAATGTTCACCAACAGGAATCCAAATTCATGTAACTATAAAAAGTATAGAACAGCTATTGTTCCACATAAAAGAAATTTCTAAAATTATAAATAGTACCAATATGCTGTTCACAATTCATGATACTTGTAGTTCAGTCCAGTTCTTTCCATGGCCTACAAGGCCCTATGTGGTGTACTTTGCATGTGCTCTAGCCTCTTCTCCACTTCCTTCCTCCAGTTCTCCATGCTCCACTCTAATGTGCCTTCTCTCCATTTTTCAGACACACCGAGATCAGCTCTCTCCCTTGGAACATTTGGCTCTTTCTTTTGCCTAGAGAATAGGACTCACAATCTTGTAATGGCTGGCATCTTGTCATTGGATCTCAGTTCAAAGGAGACTTCCTTGACTATTCAATCTAAATTGGCCCTGTCTCCCCACATCATTTTCTGGTCTTTCTTATTTTCTTCTCACAATTAAATCCACCTGATTTCACCATAGTTATAATGTATTAACATCTGCCTTCTCCTCCCAGATTTAAGTTCCCTGAGAGCAGTTTTGTTATCTGGCTTGTTCACAAATTTAGTATTAGTAATAGAAGAGTGCCTGGCAAAGCGTCAATTTAAATCAATATTTGTTAAATGAAAGAATAAAATAATAAGTAAATAAACATCACCTCAGTATTTTTTCCATCCAAAACATCTACTTTATCAGAAAACTATGGAAATATAATTATCATTACCTCAGCCTCTCTTAGTCACCACTTACACATTTAATAGCAATTTTCAATGACCATTTATTTGATTAACCTGGTTTGTCACATTTGCGTTTGGTCTTACTGTACAATTACAAGATAATGCTACTTTACTTTCAATAAGGAGTCTATCTATTCATATGACTTTCTAATTTATATTTCTAAAAGTAACTTAGATTAAAAAGTAGGAGCTAAATTCAATTATATAACAAAATTAATGACTTTGCTTCAAAGAACTTCATCTTGGAAAATATTTTGTGTTACCTATAAAATAATCTAGCTATAAAATTATTTTAAAATTCATTACAAAGTTTTGATAAAAAGTATAAAGCATATTGAACTAAGTGTATTAGAGAAAAAGTTTTCACATAGTGTTTTAAGAGCCAGGCTCACAAAATCCAATTATGCTAAGTTTGCGTATTAAACAAAGCACTGAATATTTTTAAGCGCTACATTAAATTTCAAAGAGAAAACTTTCTTGAATAAGAAAAAAGAAAAAACTCTTTTAGGTGAAAAATATTAATATTTCACAAGTACATTTTAGAAACTTTTAAATAGAGTAGATTGTATTTCTCTCCACCCACACTTAAATATAGACATGCATCTTTTTTACCTTATAATACATTCATATGTATTTAATACAAATTATGCACATCTTTTTAAATATAAATAAAAATTATATTTCGAGAATATTATGTATATTTTTGAAATGAAAATTTTTTCCAGGGTTCGTAGCCTTTCATCATTAGCATAATTCCTCTAATTGACATTCTGCATTTCTTAGATTTTCATACTTATTTACTGAATTAGTTATTACATTGCACTCTTAACTGTCAGGCACTGTTCTAGTACACTGAGGGACAAGGCAAAGTTCCCTACACTAAAAACATTCATAATGATTTCAGCAATAATCTCAATTATTAAGAAAGTTAAATGCTAAATTTTAATCTCAGATTTTATTTTAAACTAGTTATAGTTAGTGAGCAATAGTTTCCACTATTAGTATAGTATAAGCAACAATATTACAGCAGAATGTGCCACATCAAAGCTGTCAATAATAAAGTTAATACAGAGTCATGCCAGTGTTGAGCAAATAGTAGACACTCACTAAAGATGTATTGAAGAGATGAATGAATAAAATATCTCAAAACCAACAGGTCATTTTATATCTTTACTGGATTTGCAATCAATTGTTGGAAAACATGCTTTTTAAAGAAATGTCCCATGTTAGCTGATAATTTGTAAGTATCCATTTCAAATGCACGCATGTTAAAAAATTGTGATGTTCTTTTATATTAAAAATATAATTTCTCTACATGCGAAATCACTATTAAAGGGTTTCTTCTTCACTGTAAATTATGCTTGAATTGGCCTGCAGAATCAAAAATATCTGTGCTCCTGTTCTCTAAAACCCAGAGAGCAGTGCAAAGCCAGCTGGCAGAACCTGCTGGCTGTCTGCCATTCTTGTCTGAGGTTGCAATGCAGTCCTAGGGGAAAAAACAATCATGAATTCTATCTAACTAGGGCCATAGAATGGCATTTGTTTCTTGATGGATTGTTGGTCTATTACTAAGACAAACTAGATTAAAGCCATTCAACTACTACTTTCTGTGACTCTGGGAAGATCAGAGGGCTAAGGAAGTTTTGAAAATAGGGATTATGTTGTTTGTAATTCTTTGACACAATGATAAAATAACCAAAAGGAAAGTAAATGTTCAAGCACCAACTTGCTATTTTGACTCTTAATTTTTCCCCCTCAAATTGACAGAATAGTTTTGGCATGGTATAGGGACAACCTATCTAAGATAACAACAAGGCAAAACAATAATAATTTTGCCAGGCATCGTTCCAAGAGTATTGATATTTATTAAGTCACTCTAATCCTCAAAATAAGTCTATGAGGCAGTGCTAGTCTTATTCCAATTTTACAGATAAGACAAATGAGACACTGAGTTTAAGTAATTTGCTCAACATTCTACAGTTATTATGTAGCAAGGGCAAATATCTGAATTCAGAAAATGCATTTTCAACTGTATAGACTTGCAATTTCAGACATTCAAGCGTTTATGAATGCCTTAAGTTTTATTTAGTAATTAGGAGTTTTGGTTAGTGAGGTTTTTCATCTGAGATGTTTCACCCTTTAGGAGCTAAAGGTGAGGAAGGCTGCCTAAACCCAAGCTCTGGGTGGCCCTTATATTTGGTTCATGTCCTAACTTGGGAGTTTCAGCTCTGCTCAGGCAGAGGTGCTGTGTACACTAACTTCATGAAATAAAAACCAACAAAGGCATCAGAGGCTTGGCACTATATTCTCTAATGAACATAATATTTCAAAACCACTGGAAAAAGAATGCCTCCAAATTTTAAATTACCAGTACAAACTTATCAATAGGTTAATTGTGATTTTGATGAGCATTTGAAATGGTAGATGTAAAGCCCTAGCATAGGCTCTGCCTGTAGCACTTAATAAGTTATATATAGATCCTTGTTAGCATTATTGAGCATATCAGCATATGAAATCTAATTTGTATCAGTGTGAAACCATCATCTGACTATTCATTTTAAAGGATCAGGATAAAGTCTCACATATGTCTCTGTACAACAGTCTCGGGCTGTCATTGTTTAGGCTTGCAGAATTTATGTAATGATGAAGATCCACTTTTAGGTTTGGACAGTATTTGAGCCTAATTTGTTAAACAAAACAAAACAAAACAAAACAATCTAGCTTCTGGTCACTGAAAATTTAATCCTACAAGGATAGTTTACTGGGTAATATTCCCATGTCTGTATCTTTGAACCACAGAGAAAGAAAAGTTGCTTTTCTTTTATGCTCAAAAATCATTAAAAGTATCCTGGTATTTGACATTTTTAAAGATAAATTAGGCTGAATATTTTCTAAGTGTTATTTTTAATAAAACATGTATAAAAGCTACTTATGACATGTTTTAGTTTAATTAATTTGAAGGAATTATATATTTAAATGCCAGGTTTGCTATTTTGTAGTCTATATGTATGAAATAGAAGAAAAGTTTAAAATAAAATTTACCTCGAATATATTGCCTTCAGTTGACTATTGACATTGTCATACACTTATATAGATATTTTGTTAAGTCAAAAGAACTGAAGAGCATGATTGTGAGGTTCTCAGACTTAAGGAAGGTAAATTATTTAATTATAGGTTTCCATTTATTGAAAGTAATTTTGCTGTAGAAAGTGATATTTTATATGTTGGATTTTAAGATTCCTTATTATCTTCCTAAAGATATAGAAATCGTAAAGTAAAAACTACTTCCTTTTTCTCTTTTTGTATTCATCAAAAAGAAATGAAGATAATTCAGATATTTTCTTTTCACATAATTTTTAAAATGAAGATATATCATATTTTGTAGTGTTTTAAATGAAAATGGAATTAAATGGGCATGGCTTTCTACATTATAAATAATTAATGAAAATATTGTTGACTGCTAATACTCTAAAGTCTCTGTTTACATGAGGAGAGAGGTTTGGAGATATTTTTCCCCTTGGGGAGGGTGGTTGCTCTTAATTTCAAGTTAAACTCACCTCTTCTATGTTTCAGAATATGTTTGTTCTCTCTTTCCTTAAAAACATGTTTCAGGTAAAATTTTGGGTAATAGGAGATAAATTTTTTTTCCCAATAGATTTATCCTTGTTTTTTGACCACATTTTCTCATTTGTTCAACAGAAAAGGGTAGCTAAAATATTTTCTTTCATAATTTATCCTAAGGCATCTTCCCAGTTATTTCTTTATCATATATTTCCATATATTCTTTCTTCCAAGTACATTTTTCAGTGTGTTTTTCTTGTGATTCCTGTAAGGGCACTAGTTATTCACTATTTAGCAAAACCATAGAAATAGGCAATTTTTTATTCAAATAGGGCAAGCAGCAATTTAAATTAGTAGGAAAGAATAATACAGTTCAAACTTTACATTAAATGCTTAGAGAAAAGAAAATAATAAAGGGATTTGGTGGTATACAGAGTTGGATTTCTAGATATAAATTCATTAATTTATTTACATAGCTCTGTCACAGACTATATGCCAGAAATTGATCCAAGTGCTCTATGCACCACCCAGCTTTAAATTAGGTATAATTATTCTCAGTTTACATTTGAGAAAAAGCTCCCAAATAACTGCATTGCATGGTAACTAAATAGCTGACTTGTCTCCTGTCCTTACGTTTCTCTTACCCATTTTTCTTTCTTCTACACAATTATACTTTTTATAAGGCCCCCAGCATAATACAGTGACTGGTTTCTCTAGGTTGAA
Source organism: Homo sapiens (assembly GCF_000001405.40). Classification (NCBI taxonomy): domain Eukaryota; kingdom Metazoa; phylum Chordata; class Mammalia; order Primates; family Hominidae; genus Homo; species Homo sapiens. Next base: position 78,895,829 of record NC_000012.12, on the reverse strand, counting down.
ACTCCAATGAGTTACAGAATCAATAAACTTCAATTTAGACCATAGATCAAAATATGGACTAAAACTTGAAATAATATTTTAGCAGTTACAATTACTTTTGCACTTTTTATTGTCCTTAATAGTATAGAATTAGCTCTCACTATTCAAATACTTTGCACATTTCACAATCATTCATTTTTGTGCCCGGTGGCTTCAAATATGTTATTATTTAAAATATTTTACATATGGGTAAGTATATAGATCAACAACAACAAATGGAATTGTGTTATGGAATACTTTTAAAAATACTTAAAATTAAATCTTTATCACAAATAAATGAAAATGTGTCTATAGAAATATTTAATTTTTCATATGAAGATGCCATTTTTCAAGCTACCAAATGTGTTTTTCTTTAGTCTGCTTATTATGTGGGAGGCAAACAAATGCTTAGTCTTCAGTAATTGCCAAAACAAATATTATTTTACATTATGCATTTGACAGAATAAACATTATAGTTGAAGAATTTTTGGTTGTTTTATTTAATATGCTGATTACTTAATCCTATAATCCTAAATGTCACAAATTAGTTTTATGAAAAAACACTTTTTTATCTTTGCTCATTTTGTATTCAAAATAATTTTATATCTCAAAAAAGTAATATTCTCATGAGTTACTCATTTCAATAAATATTTATTTTCTAAGTATTTTGCAGGATGGTATGGAAAACCTCAACGGAGAATACATCAAAAATAGTGGCTTGGTCACAATTTTTTTTAGTTTTTAATTTTAGCTTATCTAATTTTTAATTAACAAATAAAAATTGTGTATGTTTATATTGTATAATATGTTTTGATATATGTATATATTGTGGAATGGCTAAATCAAGCTAATAAACATATGCATTACCTCACTGAATTATTTTTTTGTGGTGAGAACACTTAAAATCTACTTTTTAGCAATTTTCAAGTATACAATATACTGCTATTAACCACAGTCATCATGATGTACAATAGGTCTCTTAAACTTACTCTTCTTGTCTAACTGAAATTTTGTGTCCGTTAACCAACAGCTCCCCATCCCCACCTCCCAGTCTCTGGTAACCAGCATTTGACTCTCTGTTTCTATGAGTTTGACTTTTTTAGATTCCACATATTGGTGAGATCGTCAGATATTTGGCTTTCTGTGCCTGGCTTTAAATAGCCGTAATTGTAAGAACTAGCTCATAATGAGTTGTCATCCTTGTCCAAGATCTCTGATAAGCACTTAATATGCATTGTTTCATTTAATCGTGAGGAGTTTATGAAGAGAATCCTATTATTTTGATGCGTATCAAAATGTAAGGGAACTGAGGCTCAATCAGAGTAAAAGAATAAGTGACTTTTTTTTGTGTATGTTACACAGCTAGAAAGTCATAAGGCTTGGGTACAAGTCTCTGCCAGCCTTATTTTAGGCTGTAGACATTTGCTACTACATTATGGTGATCACAAAAAAAAAAAAAAAAAAAAAAAAAAAAAAAAAAACAGATTAAAAAACACAATCATAAATTAAGACCGAGTAAAATTAAAACTGAAAATGGATACAATCGAAGTACTATAAACATACTGTAACAACTGCCTAGAGAGGAGGTATTTAGGGTAGTCCTTGACTGCTAGGAAGGATTTCAGTGAGCAGGACTGATGGGGAGAGATATTGAAGCAGAGAAAAAGAATGTAGGAGTGGTTCCAGGTGTTAAGTTTCTTGACACTTGTACAATTATCAGAATCTTTTTGGAAAAAAAAAGAAAAATTATAAAAGCAATATGAATACAAAGTTAGGTAGAAAGAACACAGTGCTCTCACCAATATTGGTTAAAACAGCTTATTTTTGCAGATTTTCCAAAAATAAAACATATCCATTGCTAGCCTCCTCATTCCAAGCCCCTGGAAGCATCTTTGCGCATGAGAGACTGAAAGTTGAGGTCTTCAGGAGAAATGCAGAGGGCAACTTTATTATTATTATTATTTTTTATAATTGCCTTGGTTATGGCAGAATCATCCGTATAAAATAAACATTAAACTCACTTCTAATTTATTAACACTGCACCATGGTTTTTATTTTTTGCTTATCTATAAAACATGAGATAAATTCTAGCCTTAAACCTATCTTTTTAGTTAAAGTCTTAGTTTCTCTTCAGAGAAGTTTGTTTTCATAACATATTGTCATCTACTGGCCTAGTGTAAGCAGAAATTATAGGATAACAAATTTTATTCAAATAGAAGACTTGACATCTTTGCCTCAACTTTTCCAGGATATTCTCTTATAGTTCAGACTTCATGAGTATCTAAGTTTGTGAGCATTTTATTTTTTTAGTATTCAGTGATTATTGGCACTAAGACTTTCCTCCTCTTTAATACAGATGTAGAAGAATGTTGCTAGGTGAGTTGGCTTTGAAAGTTATGCTTAACATTGATTCAAATTTTGGAGACAGAATTGAATTTTTGACAAGTTTAATTCAAAAATATGTATTTTAGTACTAAGAATTAATAATGATCCATCTAGATTATAACTTTACAGTCAGTGCTAATCCATATATTTTGATAAATCAGCAGTGGAAATTTTAAAAAAATTAAAGCAAGAATCATTATTAGCAAATTGAAAAATGTAGCCTGTCATTTACTGTTAGTCATGGTTGCTCTTAATATTGAAATTGCCCACAAATTCCCAGGAATTGGTTTTCATTTGTAGACTCCTCCTCAGTAAGTACATGCATACTGATTGTAATGATGGCAGCCATTGCATTTATCTGCACAATCCTAGTGGAGATTGGTAAATATTTTTGATGGCAAAGGCCAGCAGTAGATCAACTTATTTGGGCAATTTAGTTAGGAGTGAGTCCAAACCATTATGAGAATATTATAATGCTACTTATACATCCTAATTTTTCAATTCAAGAATATGACTTATGTTTCTCTTAAGTTCTCTGTGAAAGTGAGTTTACTCAAATTAGGATTCATATCTAGTTATTTCAACAATATTGTGTAATTCTGAAAAAAATAATTCTCCTCTTTACCGTTATTTGTCATTAAACTTTTTCCCTTGAGATTATTTTGGGTGATTAATGTATTGCTAAATTAAATATCCATATATATTTGTGTCCCATTATTTCCAAATTAATCTTGACTTCCTTTTGACTTCCTTTTAAATTTTGACTTCCTTTTGAATTCTAAATCAGACCTCCAGTAAAATAAAATGAATGTTATTTTCTATGGAAGATTGAAGTCTTCTATTTATTTGCCAAAATTTAAAATTTGATCGGGGCGGCTCCTATTTTAAAATGTGTGTTTAGAGAGGTGGGGAAAGGGAAACAACTGATTGTTTAGGTCTATACTGGTCATTTTTCCTATTGCTAAAATATTTTCTCTATTTTATATTACTGAAGAATGGTTTATAACTTTTTTGATTTTTATAATAGCAGTGACTGATCCCCTGGGTGTATGTGACTAAGCTAATTTCTGAGTAGTATTATGTGCAGAACCTAAAATGTACTATAATTTGAATGATAAGATTATTATTTTAAAAATTAGTGGTAGGTAGTAGGTAGGTTGTTTTCATGTTAAAAACGTGATAAGATGATGTTTTCCATATTAGTGAATCCAAGAGGTTAATGAGTGAAGCCACCTGGTTTTTATCAAAGTATGTTAAGTATTATCCCATTTAAACCACTTAGCATAGTTCAAGGACTTGCCAGATCTATAGTTCAGGCAGACCATACATGATATGGAAGGAAAACCAGACATAACTTGACCCTCAATTCATAAGAATTAAGACAAAAATATTTATATCAGGAGAAAGAGAATGAAAAATTGTTAATATATAAAATTATAGTGATTAACTTATTCACAGTTTTCTTAGGTCTTCTATTGATTGCACATAGAATTTATTTGAACAATTCTCAGCACTTGAGCTTATCAGTGCTAGCACTGTGGATCTAAGAAGACACTAATGAGATGACATGCATCTCAGTTTCAGTTTGGTTTATTTTGCCACCCATTACTTAGCTTTTAAAGAGAAGCTGTAGAGGGAAGACTACTTCACAGATCTCACTACAGCCATGATTTGTGTCCTTCCTCCTGAGCACAGTTCAAATTGCCACAGGTTTCTCAAGACATCCCTGACAAAGTTTCCTTTTATCCTACATGTTCTGAGGTGTCTTAAGTTTTACACCTTAAAAAGCTGCCAAAAATACCTTCTTCCATATGTAAATAAATGTTAGTTAACCATCATTTCACCGTGGAGACTTTAAAATTCAGTAACACCTAGAAATTCTGTTAACTATCTTGACAAATTTGTTCCAGATATTTTCCTTTAATCAAACAGATATTAGAAACAATTTCATTTTTAACTCTCTTGTACAAAATGCAGCCTTGGAAGACAGCTATGGTAACATGGAAACCTGGGTATGGAGTAAAAATGTTGAGTTTAATGCTCAGTTTAGCAATTTACTAGTTTCCTATTCCTAACCAAATCGATGACTTTCTCTAAATGTACTGTTTTCTTATCTGCAAAATGTGGATGATAATATATAATAGTGTTGCTATGATTAGTAAATGAGAAAAAGCATGTAAAAGTGCTTTGTACACCATAAATTATATGTTGGCGGCTAGCAACTATGTGTCATTCCCCTCCTAAAATCTTGCCAGTGTCTTAATAACTACATATCAAGAGCTCATTTTGTGCCTAATGATCTGATAGATGAAAACAAAACAAAATAAAACAAACAATAAACCAATAATAAAATAGACTTATATCTGACCCAAGAATATTATAGTTTGGGTGAGAAGATAGGTAATACACATATACATGAGGAATCAGTAGAATTAATTCTAAATAAAATAGTGAGCTATGTACCTAAAATCTGGAGAGGTGCATGTTAGGAGCATAGTTCTATGGCATAATTATTGCATAGTTGTAATTCAGAAACTTTCTAGCAGATGGTTACTCTTCAGCCAAGCCTTGAATTTAGAGCAATATTTAAAATGGTGAAAGGAAAAGATAGACTCCGGATTGTAGATTGGAGGTAACAGAAATGCAGTTATAGCGAGGAGTGAAAATAAGAAAGACAGTGTAAGGAGATGAAGAAAGTAATTTTCTGGGGAAAATGAGTCCATTTTGGGAAAGATGAGGGAGTTGGAGAATGAAAGACTGGTTACAATGGACAGAAACTGTGAAGCTTGGAAGAAAAAGGAGCGAGGAGGAAGATGATAAAAGTAGAAGGGAGGAGAGCATCCTGAACAGTCTAGTTTAAGATACATTATTATTATTATTATTATTTTATTATACTTCAAGTTCTAGGGTACATGTGCACAACGTGCAGGTTTGTTACATATGTATACAAGTGCCTTGTTGGTGTGCTGCACCCATTAACTCGTCATTTACATTAGGTATATCTACTAATGCTATCCTTCCCCGCTCCCGTCACCCCACGACAGGCCCCAGTGTGTGATGTTCCCCACCCTGTTGTTTCTTGATCTAAAATACTATTGTGGGTATGTTGGATCTAAGGTTCTTTCCCTCCCACTATGGAAATTCATCTCTAATATGATGATGTGAGTCAGAGACAACACTATCAATTTATAAAAGTTAACTTTGCAAATTTTTATAACTTTTTTGGATAGAAAAAGTGAAATGCTTTCAAGGCAAGTCACCTTATTGTACAGATTGTAAGAAATAAAAGCACTGCTTGAAAAGAAAAAAATATTATTTTTGAGGTGACAGTGGAATATTCAAATGGATATGTCTGCTCTCTTTAGCCATAAAATTTGAACTTTTTTCTTTTAATCAAATAAAACAGAGGCCCAGATGCAAACTGTACTGAATGTACTTAATAAAACTCAAATATACATAAGTTTGGGGCAGTCTGTGTCAGTGTAAACTGCTATAATGTGATTTGTTATTGGAAAACTGTGTTTAGCCCCTTTGGGAAATGGACCAGTGTCTTTATTAATTATATATCATGATGATCATTGTGACTGAGGCATTTTACAAAACATCCTTGAAGAATATTTAAGGTTTTCAAAATCCAAAAGTGTTTAAATCTAAGGGTAATTAGCTAAAATATCAACTACAATGTATCATTGTATTAGTCAACATTTTAAACCATGAGAATTATTAATATCTCACATGTTCAATAACCTTTCTTTCTTTATAAATCAATATTATTCAAGACATGGGCTCTTCGTTATGTTCCCATGCACTCTAATCAATACTAATTCCAAGGCTTTGCTCACACTCTTTCCCACACAGGATAGAAGTCCCATAAAACTTTCATAAATAACATTTCTAAATCCAGACAAAGTCTCAGTTATTCCTCTCCAAAATGATTATTAAGTGATTTTTCTCTTTTTACCTATTGTAGAGCATTTCACCTTTATTTTTATACTGTCATTTATGGTGTCAGCTTCATTTATATTACAAGTTCCTCAACCAAGGAAATGTGTTTTTTGTATTTCTGCCAGTGTAGTGAGTGAATCTTAACTTTTTTGGAGTCTCAACCCTTTGGTAACGTGATTGGAGCTATAAGCTCATTCCCCAGAAAAATGCATATGCAAATGTATACACCACATTTTGTATAAAATTTCAGAGAAAATTCTCTGAAACCCTTGAAGAAACATGGATGCCAGGATAAGAAATCCTGAACTAGTTCTTAACAAACATTCCCAGACAAAGCAGGAATTCTATACATGTTTGTCAATGCATTAACTATAAGGTTCTCAAATAAGTCTTGATTTTTTCTTAAAAAAAAAATTAACCAGGAGCTCTGAAGGAACTGAGATAAAAATTGATAGTAGTCTAAAAAGGGGAAAGAATACGGGTTTCGGAGCAAAGAAAAGCTTTGGCCTTAGGTATTAATCTAATTACAATTGCCTTTTTCTGGTAAAGATTTGTCACCAATTCACATTTCTTATAGAGAAGCAGGTAGTAAATCTGTAAATGCAGGAAGCCTCAGAATACCAGACGCCTTAAAGAACCTTGCGCTCCAAAGTAAAAATAGAAGTGACAGTGAGCAGGAGGAAGGAGGAGGATTTGCTTGAATGCAAATCGCACCCTTGGTTTCCTGATGAACCATGACTCAGAAGCTACCAAAGATATTAACCAATCAGCAGGTAGTGGTATGCTGAACTATAAAAAGTAAAGAGGAGTTCAGAAGGTGACTAGAAGAAGTGATCTTTGAAGCACTCCTAAAAGTGAACAACTCCAACAAGATTAGAAAAGATGATAATAACTATCATAGAAATATTTATTGGACATTTCTAAGTGTCCAGCACGGTGCTAAACATCTTTTTAATTCTAAATATGTTGCTATGCATTTGACTATAATAAGGAACATTTAGGTGATGATTAATTTTAAATGATTGCATAAAATGTCTTACAACTTTCAAAATCATCCTTCAGCAGAGTGGTATCATTGGGGATGTTGATGTCAATCTATTTTTATTTAAAATGAAATTAAATATAAAATATTGAAATGGGTCCATCCATTTACCAGGGTAATTGTACACAAGGATTTCCAGGAGAGGAAATGAAGATGAGGTCTAAGAATTGAAATATGAGCAATCCATTTACACTAACTTTATACAATTATATGTGTAATCTTCTACAAACAAAGCCAATACCTACAATACCTCATCCTCCAAAATCATAGATTTTGAAAAAAACTATCAATTTCTTAAGAAAGGATTTAAAAATATTATAATATCTGTGATTCTACAAAATTATATTCCTTATTACTATTACCAATGACACATCTTAATTTTCTCATGTAATGAGTTCCACTACTAATTATAACTTGAAAATCTCTTACTTTAAATTGTCTATCATAGTTTTTTGGGCACAAAATTTGAGCAGTCCTCTTTAGAAATAAAATTCAGTTAGTTGGTTTTAATTATTTAAATCTTAACAGTGTAAACCTGTCTTCAATAAGTTAACAATATTATACTTGAGAAATACAATCAGGTTTTTAAAACAAGTATGAATAATCAATTTCTTCTAAAGAAAGGGCTAGATATTGAAATTATATTTTAGTATGTCATCACCTACTTCAATCAATAAATATTTACTGAATAGTAACTTTATGATATATAATTTTGGATATAAAGATGATTGAGATATCCTCTTTACTTATGAGGAGCTCTTGTCCTAATAGGGAAGATAATATACAAAAGCAATTACGTTACAGAAATCCTCCCTTATCCGTAGGGGATATGTTCCAGCTCCCCTACTGTATTCCTGAAACTATGCCTAGTACCAATAATTATGTGTACCATGCATGGATTTCTCTTTCCTTCTTCACAGTTTCATGAATAGATTTATTCTTACTATCGCTGTTAATGATCTCAGCATATGATTCTTTCTTCTTTCCTTACTAAGTCAAGAACTTTCACCTTGTCACTTAGAAGAAGCACTTTATGGCTTCTCTTTGGCATATCCGAATTGCCAGCATCCACACTCATGTGCATTTGGGCCATTATTAAGTAAAATAAGGGTTACTTGAACACAATCACTGTAATACCGATAGTCAGTGTGACAACTGCCAGGACTACTAAGTGACTAACGGGTGGATAACACAGCATCGAGATACTGGACAAAGAGATGACTCATGTCCTGGGCAGGATGGAGTAGGATGGCGTGAGATTTCATCATGCTACTCAAAACAACATGCATTTTAAAACATACAAATAGTTTATTTCTGGAATTTTTCCATTTAATATTTTCAGACCATGGTTGGCCATGGGTAACTGAAACCACAGAAAGTGAAATCGTGGGTAAGGAGGACTACTGTAAAAGGTAGAAAGTGCAAGTATCATGGGATACCATTATTTCCTTAATCTCAAAGAAAAATATTCCTTCTAAAACTTCATACATAAACTGGCACTCTATCCTACACTGACTGGTGGGGCTTCCAGTTTAATCTCATGCCTAAATATAGATCATGAAAATGTGTTGAATGACTTAACCCCATATAGCTTGTATCAGCTTATTTCCCATGGCTTTTATTTAAATATCCATTGTCTTTATTTGAGCAATAAATAACGCACTATCATACACTTTTCTCCAAAAGCATTTTGTGGGTCTTTCTTGGCTGTTTACTTTATATTCTCCCTGAAAACAACCCAAACCTTTCAAAACATTATTCAAATGTGGCTGAATGCTCATCTCAGAGCAGGCAATAGGTAAATACTTGCTGACTGTGTATTAAAAACATCAGGAGTATGTACTGATTAAAATATAGATCATCACAGGCATATGGTTACAAACATCTTTTAATTCTAAATTTGTTGCTATGTATTTGTCTATAATAAGCAACATTTAGGTGATGATTAATTTCAAAGAATTGCATGTATTATCTTACAACTGTCAAAATCAGCCTTCAGCACAGTAGGTATCCCTGTGAATGTTGGTATCAATCTGTTTTTGTTTAAAATGAAATTAAATGTAAATATTGAAAAGCAAAACCATTTTGTCTCAAAATAACTTACTTGAAAAGCAATACCAATCCAGGAATTTTGAGGAGGATAGCTTTTAGAACCAATTGCACTCACTCTATATTCATGAACCCTTAATGCTTCTCATTCTCTGACGTTTGTGAATGCATTAGTCTTTCAATCATAGAAAAAAATAAAAAGATATTTTTCTGCTATTTTCCTAGATGCCTTGAAGTTAGCCCAACTTTTATTTACTTGCCCCAGGATAATAAATTAGCTGGCAAAGTGGCTGAGGAAGTACATATAACATGTTAAAAAAATTAGTGTTATGATAAGCCCTACCAAGTATGAGGGAAGTTAAACTCCATTTCTTATAAAAAATGGATAGGAATGTATTTCTGAGCTTTCCACTGCTATCTTAATGTACTTAGAGGTCACAAAATCTAGGAAATACATAAAATAGATATGTATTTTGCTTCCATCATAGGCCAACAAAGTCCAAATTCCCTTCTTGTTTCCACCCTTGGCCCTATTCAGTCTATTCTAGCAAGAATATTTTATTCTCAATGATCCTTAAAAATATCAAAGTTGGATGTGTTACTCATATGCTCAAAATCCTTTACTGGTTTCACCTCTCATTCCAAATAAAAACCATAGTCACCCCAGGGCCTTACACCATCTGGCCCTGTGTTCCCTCTCAGAAAAAAAGCTTTCAGTGCTCCCTCAGCCTGCAGCACCTGGCCCACGTGGACGCCTTGCTTTCTTTGAAATCACCAGGCATGGCCTGATCTTTAACCCTAGCTTAATTCCTCACCTCTTCCAGATCTGTGGTGAAATGTGATTTTCAGTGACAATCTTATTTAAAAATGTATTCTGTCTTCATATTCCCAACTTGGCACTCTCTACTCTCTTTCCTTGTTTTTTATTTTTATTTTTTTGATAGCAATCATGAAAATAAAGCTTATTAATAGCACCTGTCCTCCTTCTCTCTCCCTTCCTTCCCTTCCTCCCTCCCTCCCTTCCTTCCTTCCTTCGTTCCTTCCTTCCTTTCTTCCTTCCCTCCTTCCTTCTTCCCTCCCTCTCTCCTTTCTTCTCTCCTTCCTTCCCTCCTTCCTTCCCTTCCCTCCTTCCCCCTTTCTTCTCACTCTTCCCTTCCTGCCTTCCTTCCTTTCTCCACTTATTTTTCTGCCCCCACTGAAAGGTAAGTTATTTGAGGGTAAATAACTTATTAATACTGAAACATTTTGAACTAATGCTCAGAGATTTTTGAATTAATGAAGTAATAAATCATCTAGATACTAGTGGATTGAAATCCAAATCCCCGAACATTTAACAGCTATGACCTAAAAGCAAATAGTATCATTTCTCTGTGCCTCAATTTTCTTATTTCCAAAATAAGCATTATAATAGTTCACAGAGGTTTTGAAGTAAGTATTAAATAAGCAATATACAAAAACAGTTAAAATAGCACCTGGTATGTAATGAAAACTCTATACATATAAACTATTATTATTAAATTTGCCAAATTTTATAAACACTTTTAAAACTTCATATTTCTTCAGACAGATTCCATATTTTTTCTTTTTGTTTTAAAAAGATTTTACATGTAGCTAACATGTGCAAGCTCATTCTTAACAAGTTTACATTTTGAAAAGCTTTAATATTCTTAAACTCAACAATTGCAGCCCCAAACCAAAGATATATTAAATATAATTATAAAATTTTATTTATAATGTCTGAATGTATATAGAAATGCAAACATTAAAATATTCTAAGATTATGATAAAGAGAATCAATTATTAATGAAAATATTAAACAAACAAGATGTTATAAAATATGTTAACACAAGGATACTTTGCAGTATGAAAGAAGTGGAACATTTACAAAAATCTTTAGACATGATCAATCTATAAAATCCTTTAGTACACCTTATGTTCATTGTTACTGTCATCACAAATTTTACTAGAAAAAAACTAAATTATCAAACTGAATTAGCTTAGAGTAAAAAATCACTTCAAATTAACATGTTTCACACAATTACTTAATGCTGCATTAACCAAAAGCAGTAGATATAGCTATTCCTAATATATAAAATATATAACTATACATTTAAAAATCACTGTAGATTGTATAAAGTAATATCTAATCCAACATAAATAAAATAATCTAACTGAAAATGTATAGACCGTTGTGTATATCATGGAATGTTGATTTTAAATGTGATGTTTGCAAATGCAATATTTCTGTTAGGGGCTTTAAATATTTCTGTTAGAGAATATAAGAGATTGGTAACAGTGGCTGACTGAAAGAAAACAGTGTCTGAAAAAAGACTAATTTTTCCATTTATATATTATTAGATTGAGTATTTTAAATAATTTTATGGAATAATTTTTTATTTAGAAAATTATTTTTATTTAAAAAACAAGCTAAAATATTTCCTTTAAAATATTTCTCTTTACTAGAAATGAATCATAATTTTCTTAAAAATATCACTTTCATGTGTATAGTATTAAGTATACATTGAATATATTTACAGAAGGAATAACTTTTTCAGTGACAGAACCCCTTCGCACTTTGGATGCCATAGAGATTTATAATATAACTGAAGAAGTGGTTAAAAATAGAGAAAGAAGAAAAGGTGGAGAGAAAGTGAAAGGGAAAAGAGAAAGTCAAGAATGATTATCTGTTTCAGAGATAGGTAACATTGGCTCAAATAATCCAAAACATTAGTTGGTCCCATTAAAGAGAAATTGGAATATATTATTATACATCATCTCTTCACTCTTAATTGTCCATGACAAAATGAGCATTTAAATTACCATATTTTATTTGAAACTTAACAGTGAGCTACCTGGTGATTTAATCTAGGGAAACAAAGACTGAGAAAAGAAAGAAAGTCATATTTCACCTTGGAAGAGAAGACTTGACTACATCTAATATCAGTTCATGAAGGCTTATTACCAAAACCACACATTAAAGTATTACACTTATTCAAAAGAAATATATAAGTGAGTGAGAAACGAATGAAAAAATCAAGAAGGATGATACTTCAGTGATATCCACCAAAGATTTTTAAGTACTACTTAGTATGTGCCATGTATTGCTAGGTCGGTACTGGGGAAAAAATTGCAAACAATATAGAAATGGTTCCTGCAATCATAGAGGACTTAACTCAATCTTATTTTTTGCATTGTGTCAATAAACATCAATTGTTCACTGTTATAACATTATAATTTAGTGTATTACTGTTCGAAGAAATTACAGAAATACACACATAGAATCTCAGAGATTTTTTGACATAGTTATTCTCAACTGGGTAATCAAGTAATAAGATATTTTTTTAAAAAATCATATGACCTTGTATTTCAGTAACAATCTCTACTTTATCTTTAGCTAGAAGATTTATTTTTCACTGCACTTTTTTAGGTAGTTTCTGAAAATGAGTTTTCACACCCAGAGGATGTAAGATCACAGACTGTTCCCATTACAAAGAAAAGAAGCAAACAAGAAAAAAAAATCTATGATGCCATGATTCAGAGAAAAGAGATTATCAAAACAATTGGATAAAAACTCAAGGTTAAAATTTTAGCAATATATATTTAAAGCACTTCTCTACATTCACTTCAGATTTCTGTCAACTAAATTTAGTCTCATCAGTACCCTCACCTATGAGATATGAATTTATAAATATATTTCTTCTTTAAAATCGTTTAAGTTTTCAATATTTTCAAACTTAATGTCTACTTAGGGTTTACCGAAATATTTTCATTTTGTTGCAATTATTTGTTCAAATCTCTCTACCACGCAGAGTTTGCCAATTCTTGGCAGTTCTGGAGGAATTTTGGAAAGCAAATTATTCATACTACTATAATATGAAAAAACTGAATATTTACTCTCAGATATAAATAATAAAAATTTATTTTTAAAGAGTCAGCCATATTACATTGCTGAATTTACAATTTTAGTGTCTAATGATAGTAGATACACTCATAGAGTGATTAAATTTGTATTCAGATTGGATCCAATCACTGTGGAAAGCTCAGCTTTCTATTTTAACCAAGCCTGCTCATCCTCCCTCAAATATACCAGACTACAATATTATTTTCTGTTTCCTCCCCAATACAGAAAACTTCATACTTCTTTAAAGATTAGGGGATAAAGAAAGCATCTATTTAAAGTTCAGTCAATCGCCTATGCATCTTATCATCTCCCCATTCATTCAGCAAACGTTTTTTGAACATCTACTATGTGTCAGGTGTTGAGTGTAACTGGCATTGTGGCTGCTTCCATAGAGCATACATGGCCCCCGACCTCTTATGGTTTATGTTCTTAGTGGCTTCTCCTGGCATTTAATGAATAGTATAATAAATAAATATATAATTGCAAATTGTGCAAATGTTATAAAAAAAATACAGGGTGCTATGGGAAATATAATGGGAGACAAAATTGTCATTGAGAGATCAGAAGTATCCTCTCTGATTTAAGCAGATGCCTGAGGGATGAGTCAAGTTTAGCAAGCCAAAAAAATCATCTTAACATTTCTCTTGTCAAAGATGAGCCCTAGAATCAGCTTCTCAAAGAGAGCTGGTACTCTTCTTCTTTTATCTCCTCTTTTTTTTTCTATCTTTTCCCTTCCTCTGTCCTCTCCTCATCTCCTCTCCTCTTTTCTTCTTTTGAAAGGAAAATTACCAAGCGAAGGTTACTTGGTTTCCCTAGACTGCATGAAGCTTACTCTCCCCAAAGCATAAATGGCTAGTGATATAATCAAGTTTAGCTTTACAAACACAGTTAGAAAATGCCTGATTTCTGTGCATATTTTAGAAGTTTTCCCCCATCAAGGCTAAATATACTCATTCTCTTTTTATTCAACAAGGTTCGATAATGTCTGTTATGTGCCAGACATTCCTCCAGTAAATGGGAATACAAAGAATAAGACACAATCTTTAAACCCAGCGAGTTCAAAACCAAAAGGGGGTGGCTCTATGAACAATAATCCTAAAACAACATGACAAATGTAATGCTGGAAATATGCTGAGAGTATTACATAAGCTTTGAACTACAGAGATGGGTTGGGAAAAATTTCTTTGAGAAACAGACCTAAAAAATAAATTAGAAGTGAAGGGAGCGATATAAAATTGATGTAGTTAAGGGTAGCAGTTGTTCATGGAGAGGGACAGGAGGGAAGTATTTGGGGGTGACAAGTACTGTGACGAGCCAAGCAAAGTCAATTATAATGGGTATATAGGAATGAGAGGCATTTCCTTTTGTTTTCTAATTTTGAGGAAGCTGCATGTGTATGTCAATCAGAAGAATAATCTGATCACATTTGTGTTCAGTGACTTAGGTGACTGTGAGGAAGATGAGTTGGAAGAAAGCAGGACTGTAAGGTAGAAAAGCCAGTTGGAAAAAGGTTTGTTTTTTTTCTTACAATAATTAGTGTGAGATTAGAGAAACAAATTAGCAATAGTTAGGAGGAAAATTCAGTAGGATGAAGGTGATTGGATGATGACAGAAAATAGCTAAGCTGAAAATTATTTTTATAATAAATATAACCCTTTCACTAGAAAGTTTAAGTTTCCAAGTATGGTATAATAGACAAATTAGTCATTTTGGCCTTCTTATTGTAAATTATAACTTAGTCTACAAAAAAAAAGAAAATTTCCTACATGCACTTTAAAGGTATAAGCTTGTCATCTCTATGCAAATTGTTAAGACTGGTAAATTAATATTTTTTTCATTGGATGAGATGCATAGAGCTGTTCTAATTAATGGAGAGACAATTCACAGTTCATTTATTCATTGACTCAACAAATATTTATGGAACAACAAATATGTGTTGTTTTAGGCATTCGGAGATCAGGAAGTAAAAAATATAAAAATCTCTGTTATCATGGAATTTACAGTCTAATGATCAAAGGGAGGCAATAAATAAATAAATTTATTTATTTAAAAACTGTATTCAAAGAGTGATAAGTGATAAGAAGAAAGATGTTAGGGAAGTGGGAGGAGATATAAATGTACTACAAGACTGGTCAGGAAAGACCACACAAAAATTGAGTAAACACACAAAAGGTTTGAAGAAGTAATCAAAAGAGAATACAGAGGAAGTGCATTCCATCCAGTGGGAAGGGGAAGAACAAAGGATCTGAGGCAGGAATGCAATGTAATGACTAATTACTATTTGTGAGGCTCTGGTCCACATGGATGAGGAAAAATCATGCCTGTTTTGTTGAAACTCCAAATCTGGTTGGGGAAGAAGTTACTAATCAAATAACCACCCAAATAAATACATAATCATATATAATGATAAATTGATAAATTCTGTAAAGGGAAAATACAGGTCACTATGAGGAGGTACAATGCAAAGTTCTGAGTGATTCTGAAGAGTCAAAAATATCTTCCCTGAATAGTTGATACCTATATTGAGATCTGAAGGCTGCATAGAATTTAACCAGATAAAAGAGAAAAGAAAGCACTCCAACATCATAACCAGCATGTGTTAAGATCCTGAGGCAGAAAAAAATCTGGAATATTAAAAACCTGAAAAAAGGCCAATATGGCCAGAGTATCAGAACAAAGGAACAATATGATAAATGAGGCTGGTGAATACGTAGGGCCAGATAATGCATGGACTTGAAAGTCAAGTTAAGGATAATAGATTTGAGAAGGCAAGTTGATTTGAACTATGGTGCTGCAATGTAGACAGAGAAAAGTAAACATATTCAAAAGATATTTATGAGTTAAAAATTTTATTAAGACATATATTCTGAATTTGAGATTAAAAATGAGAGACATATGAAACAAGTATAACTCCCAGGTTTCTAGATAACAAAATTAGATGAATGGTGCAATCATTCACCAAGATTGAAGACACTAGGGAAGGACTACATATGTTGATGAAGATGAGTTCAGTTTGAATGTGGTGAGTTTGAGATGTCTTTCAGGCTTCTAAATAGATCTGCCATGTAGGTGGTTGCACTACGTGTCAGGAATCCTAGTAAGACGGGAATGATTTTGTTCAGCTTCCAAATTTGCCAGGAGTGCTGGCCTTCTGAACCAAACACATATCATTGTTGGAGACTTAGATTTTTAAAAAGAGATGCTTTCATTAATGAATGAACTGAACACCTAACATAACCCCAAAGTCACTCAGAGTATCTTATGCATCACCTCCTATATAAAGCCATTGCTGTTTCAGCTGTCATTCACTCTCATGTGTTTGCAGAAAGCTTTGCATTTTCCTGATGCAGCTTATCTCTTCAAATACTTGCCAATATCCTCTTCTTCCAAGCCTGGGGTGGGAATGGGTGTGTTATACTTCCTATATCCTTGTAATTAGGAGCCACGTGACTGGGTCTGGCTAATGGACTGTGAGCAGAAATTTTATGTATCTTTTACAGGGTGAGAGTAGATAATTGCTGGTAAGAAATTCTGATGTTCTTTGCCCTACTGCAATGAATCCTTAAACTTTACATTGAGATGACAGTCTTATAAGACACTGGGGCACTGGAGCTCTCAGAGTCTAGATTTTTGAATGACTATGTAAATCAGAGGACACTCTCCCCTATGTACTCTCCAAACACTCTGATCCGCAATGGCTATGTGGTATGTCCAAGGAATAAAGCTTTCGTGCTGAAGCCCTTGAGGCTTTTGTACTGTTTGCTACCACAGAATATCCTACACAATGCTATTTCACAGCTCACATGTGAATGAATCATTACTTCCTTATGGTTTCACTCTTAACTAGATGGTACTCAATTCTTTTATGGGTGGCTAATGGTGTCTTGGAGTTTGTTTGTGTACTTTAACTATTTTTGAGTAGATTAATGAATGACTGAAAGATGAAAGACATACTCTTCAAACTTATTCACCACTATGAGAGTAAACAAATGTTAGAAGGGAAGCCAAAGGCTTTATGTGCTGCGTTACTCATATGTCTAATTTTCTTGCAGCAAAATGCCATAGTCAATTACAGACCTTCACATGTTAGCACTGAAAGGTGTCAGAGAAATCATTTAGTAAAATTCCCACATTATGTACTTGGTGAAGGATTGACAGATTTTATGTTATTTGTTTGTTTCTTAATTTGAATACAAAACTCTAAATACCTATGCTCAATCTTCATTGTCTATTTTTTCCATAGACTAGTTCTCCACTCACTATTTTAAAGGAAAAGAGGTAATCCCTTATTCCTTTCGTGTATCCTCTTCCGATCTACAAGAAAGTTTATCCACACACACACACACAAAAAAGAGTGCAATATATCAACCCCATGACAACCAAAAGGAAGCTTAAGAGCTATTAGCTGAATCCCTTAGAAGGTAGCCAACTGACGTGAATCTGCTTAAGAGTGGCCAATAACAGCATTGGTGCTAGATTCATTGTGGACTTAAAAATAATGGATTATAAATTCACACAAAATTACCTGTATGTGAATATAGCAAGAAGATTATACTTTTGAGGACAGGTGTGGTGGCTCATGCCTGTAATCCTAGTACCTTGAGAAGCTGAATCAGGGAGATCTCTTCAACCCAGGAGTTCAGGACCAGCCTGGGCAACATAGTGAGACCCTGTCTCTACAAAAAATACAAAAATTAGCCAGGCGTGGTGGTATGCACCTGTAGTCTCAGTTACTCAGGTAGCTGAGTTGGGAGGATCATGTGCTTGCTCTCCAACCTGAATGACAGAGCCAGAATCTGTCTCAAAAAGGAAAAAAAATACAGGCTGTTATACATTGTTAGATTGTAATATAAACTTAGTTGATCATGACCAGTACTTATTTAATGAAATAGAAAAGGATAATTGAAAAGTATCAGAAAGCATAACAAGTAATATTTCATAGAACTTTTGCTAATAGTGTGTGTATGCATACACTAAATTTGGATGCCAGTTAAAAATGTTAGAAAATATAGAGTTACTGGATTTACTCATTGATATGGTTTAGCTGTGTCCCCACCCAGATATCATCTTGAATTGTAGCTCCCAAAATTCCCACATGTTGTGGGAGGGACAGAGTGGGAGGTAACGGAATCATGGGGGAAGGTTTTTCCCATGCTGTTCTCATGATAGTGAATAAGTCTCACGAGATCCTGTGGTTTTATAAAGGGGAGTTCCCCTATACATGCTCTCTCTTTGCCTACCGCCACATAGGACATCCCTTTGCTGTTCCTTCATCTTCTGCCATGATTTTGAGGCCTCCCCACCCATGTGGAACTGTGAATCCATTAAACCTCTTTCCTTTATAAGTTGCCCAGTCTCGGGTATGTCTTTATTAGCAGCGTGAGAACAGACTAATACACTCATTCAATAAATATTCTATAAAATATTCACTCCTTAATATCTTTCAGGTACTGAAGAGTCAGAGATGATAAAAATGTCATCGCAAAATTCTGAAAAACTGGCATTTACTAGAGGAGCCAGGTGCATTTAAAAAATCAAAATACACTATATATAATATATAATATATATTATATATAATACATATAATATATAATATATATTATATATAATACATATAATATATTATATATATTATATATAATATATATTATATATAATACATATAATATATGATATGTATTACATATAATATATTATATGTATTATATAATATATAAATATATAATATATATAATATACAATATATAATATATAATATATAATTATATTATATAATATATTATATAATATACTACATGTGTGTATATATACACACATGTACACATGTGCACACGTGTGTATATACATATGTGTACACGTGTGTATATACATATGTGTATATATTTACATGTGTATATGTATACGTGTGTGTGTATATGTGTGTATATATATACACACACTCATATATATAGTATAACATAAAATATTTAGGATACAAAAGAGCCTGATGGAGCAGAGTAGTTTGGCAAAAAAAAAAAAAAAAAAAACACCTCCATTTTCAAAACATGTTATTATCAGAATATAATGTCTATAGAGAGCATTAGCAGAAAATAAAAGAGGAACATTTATGATTGAGGCTTTAATTATTACTTCATTACTGTGTAGCAGATTGCGTGGTAATGCAGTCTCACAAAAGTTAATATGCCTTTGTAGGCAACTGGTTTACTATCATATAGCAACCTAGGTAGACTTAGGTTATTGAGTTCTTGAAACCAGGATATGAGACTAGATAGAGGAAAAATAATTTCCGGTTAATGCTACAAGAACTGTGTTGTCTAAGTGATAATCGACACAAAATGATTTGTTTCATTATGTTTTCTGTGTTTATTTACTTTTGTTTCAAAATCTAAATTAGAGTTTTGTAGGATATAATCAAAAATATACTCAAAAGGAAATTGCATTGACAAGTGTCATGAATGTGATAAAAAGTTAAGGTGTTGACTTAAATTTATAGGAACAATAAAACTGGAGTTAGGCCATGTATTTAATTTCTTTAGAAATGAGGGGAAAGGGAAAGAATTATTAAGATTTAAGAAACGGAAGATATGTAGAAAGTGTCTGAGGAATATACAGAATAAAAGAAAAGCAGCTACTCTTCCGAAGATAAAACTGGAGTATAAAAATACATGTCTACAAGACATCTGAGAATACATTTTAAAAGTCAAAGTAAAAACAGTGTATATTCTATGATTGTCGCCATAAAAAATGTAAGCATATGAACACACACTGGAAACATATTACACAGAAATGAGACAGCATATATTTAAAGCATGGTGAGATTATACATGATTACACTGTTTTGAAAACTTCTTAATAATGTTTGCAGATTATTTTTAATTAAAATATTAAGGCACGGGAAACACATAAAACCAGTGTCTTTATACCTAAATAGACCAAACTGTTCCCATTGTAGAGCTTCTGTACTGGTTGCTTCATTTGACCCCAGTGCTTTCCCCTGATAGTTACAGGGCTGGCTCCTTTTCCTTTTGGTTGATCACATTCCCCACTATTGCTCTGTTTTATTTATTAGCCTATTTTACAATTTTATAGTATTTATTATATAAGTACCATAGCAATGTTTTGTTGTTGTTTTTAATGGTCTCTCTTCTTCCTTAGAATGTAAGCTCCTACATGCAGGAAACCTGTCTACTATTTTTATTTCTGTATCCCCAGCATCCAAATGGTGCCTGGCATATAATAGGAACATCATCATACTTACCGAAGAAATATATTATTCCCAAATATTTCCTCTTCAATTCAGAGTACAACAAAGATAAAAATGTATAATATATTTGTACAAATTGATAACGTTTAATCTGTAGCATATGTAGGTTAAAACTTTATAAACTCCTTGAAATAACCCCTCCTTCCTTACAAAACTAATAAAAGTTTGAAATTCTCATTTACACGCAAGTGGCTCTGCAATTTGCTGTTCTTGGTTCTACTAAGCTTAATTTCTTCAAGTCTTGTAAAGGACTTTCTTCTTATCTTTGCAATGAGATGAATAAAGACTATCTACCCTTCTGCATTAAAAAGTGAGGAAGCCAAACAGAGTAAGGCAAGGACATAACTAGAATTAAATAACAATCAACTCAGCCAATATCCTCTTATAGGTAGACTTTTCACACTGGTATAATCATACCAGTCGTTAAATTATTGAGTACTAGTGGTACAGTGGTAGGAAGGAGAATAGGCTTGGTTCTGACCACATGGTGTGAGCTCCCATTTCCACCTATGACTGAAGCCAGAATATTCATGAACTTTATGGTCACATGAGCACCAAAATCCCTTTTCTTGCTTAAGCATTTTGAGTCAGGTGGCATTTTTACAAGTGAAAGAATTTCTGAAAATAAAAAAAGAGAAAGAGGAGCAAAGGTGGTCAAATCTACCATATAGTAACAGGGCACCAGACAATTTGCAAACATTATTGCATTTTCATTCCTGGGGAACTATCTTATTGAAGTTCACCATTCCAGAGTTGGCTATCTGAATCCAGCTCTCTAAGTTTCATACTTTTATCCTATTGCCATCATGCTCATATTGACCTAACCTATAAAGTGGATCAATTTGCCTATCACTATTTAATCTCTTTTGGGTACCTCTACCTCTTTGCCACCATCTATTCTCTTCTTCTGACATTTATGAGTTTATTGATTGTGTGACTACCTATGATTGAGTATTGGCTCTGTAAATAGGTAGCTTGGGTTTAATTCTACATCTTACTACATAATGTGACCCTGGGAAGTTGCTCAGTTATTCTTTTTCCACTACTTTCTCACTTAAAAATTATAAACAAATTAGCACAAATCCCAAGGAGTTATTGAGAATATTAAATGGGATGAAGCATGGAAAGTACATAGAAAAGTGCCTGACATATTGTAAGAAACAATATGAATACCTGTATTCATTCAAATATCTCCCTTAATACCTATCCTATGTTTCATATAATTTTGTATTCTTTCTATAGGCCCTTCCCAACTAAAATTCCTGTTTTCTTAAATCAGATTAGCTACAAACACACTTATATTATTCCACATTGCAATGGTATGGCTATTAGCTATTGCTCGCAAATGTGTTTCTTAACACAAAGAATTGCCAACTGATAGACTTCATATTTGAATTGAATAATAATTGTGGTTTGGATATGTTCACTTAGAGCAGAATGTTTAACCATTCTACCTTGGAATAGAAGATAAAAAGTATCAATAGATTCAACAACTTCCACTAATGTTATGTGAAGGAACAGCAAGAAGGTGTGTATGAATATCAATGAGGAGAATAATAAGAGATAAGTTTGGAGAGTTAGTGATAAAGCTACAACACTTATGATTACAATCACTTCTCATTGCACCCTACTTGGTGGCTTGGAACTATGGAGTTTACAAATAAGAAAACAAATAAGGTGACTTATCTAACATCACAGTGATATAGCAATGACTAAAGGCCAACTTAGCCTAGTGACTCAAGCTTAGTGACTTTTCTTGTAGATTACAAAAATGTCCCTTGAATAATTTTAAAACACAAACTCAATTTATTTTGCAATTAGAGTCACAGAAGAAATAATGGTATATCAAATCTTTCTTATTTTTTCAGTGGGATAAATAAAGACTATGTATCTTATACTCAATAATGATGTTAGATAAGCAAAAGCAAACTAGTTCTTACATAGTAAGAGAATTACAAAACATGCTTTTTCCTGCTTTATTAAGTGCTGAGGCAGTAAGTTCCAACAGACAAAAAATATAAGAGGCTTTCTAAATGTGTAATTGCAGGCAAGTAACAACACTTGAGTCTCCTTCATTGCATCTTTAAGAGAGAGAACCTCTTCATTATCAACATCAAACAAGGCAATAAAATAAATAAACAAATAAAAATACAGTGCTGCACGCCTGTCATGAACACAGTAACTTGTTACCATTGCAATGGCAAAATAGAAAATAAAGAAAAACATGCCAAATAGTACATGCCAGTTTTTTGGACTCTAAAACATTATTCTGTCTCTCTGCAAAAAGTTACGGTTTAAAAATTATCCGCAAGCCCTTTACATGCAAAATTTTAAAAACATTCATATGATGACACATTCCATTTAAGTGTGCCAATTACATAAACAAATTAAAAGGCTGCTCCTTTATTTATCTATACATATATTTTGTGAAGCTAACCTAAAATGTATACAAACTAAGAATTACATTTCTTAGTTGTTGACACAAATTAATTCAGCTGGTGAAGATTACTATGGGTCAAAAGTACTAAACCTTCATTTAGTGATTCTATAGGAAAATATTTAATTAAGATACAAAAAAAGAAAGGAAAGACAAAAGAATGAAGAAAAGAAGGAAGAAGGGCAGAGTAGGAAGAGAAGACATGAGAAAGGAATAAAATGTACAGAAAGGAAGAGAACACAAAGGAATTCCTATATCATTCTTATAACCAGAGAACTGAACAAATCTTTCCTATTCAGGCTGTGAGGTGTAATATGCTTCGATGCATAC
The DNA here is from genome assembly GCF_000001405.40 of Homo sapiens. NCBI lineage: Eukaryota > Metazoa > Chordata > Mammalia > Primates > Hominidae > Homo > Homo sapiens. The sequence continues at coordinate 78,872,458 of NC_000012.12, read as the reverse complement.
AGGTCTAAAAGTCCAGAAATCAAGAGAAATAAAACTGTTGCTATGTGTTCAATATATAAATGATGAAACAGATTCTCAAAGGCATAAAAGAACTTGTCTCATCCACTTTTGCCTGAAGGAGTCAGCTCTCTCCTGTCATTAATATTCATTCTGTGTTGTCTAAGAGTGGTTCAGAAAGTATCTAAGATTCTCCAGAAAAAAAACAAGTCGTTGGAAACTTGCATATCAAGTACTTTTTTACAAAACAATTTAAAAGCAGGGCAGTTTTGTCAATTTAAGGGTATGTTGGCTTTGTACTGAAATGTCACTTTTTGAATTATCAGGCTCAGATGTAGCTCAAGGTGAATGCTTGGCTTTTTAAATTTAACATTATAATTTAATAAAACCACTAAAAATAGGTACATTATTTGTAATGTCATATTGTTAACTAAGCTTTTAACAGAAGAATTTCCTGTACACAGACAGATAAAACCCTAGTACTTTCAGGCATAGAATGATCTGGTTTATACATATTTAAATATAAAAACTTGTGGCCTCGGATTCTGAACATTGGTTAAAATAGAAGAGTGATGTTATGCTATTTATAGAAGAGGTCTCGGTGCTCTAGAAATATGCTCTAATGCCCAATAGTTCACTTTATTCAGTCTTCAAATCTGATGAAAATGCTAGGGATTAGGCAGAAAGCCAGCCTTGTAAACTAGGATCTGGCAGACACTCCAAGTCAGAAACAGATTTCAATGCTTTGCTTCCTTGTCTTTTTCCTGAGAAACTGTGTCAACTTTTCTTCCTAATAATCTTGATAACTCAAAACCTGATTGCTAGAGCTCAACTGTCCCTTAATGAGTTGTTATAGCACTTGTCCTTGCTTCAAAGGCCAATAAATCATTTGTCTAAAAATCTTTCTAGAAAAGTTTTTTTTCCCTCAAAAATAAGCAGGTAGGCAGTTTCCGTATTTCATAGGAGCTAAGCAAGGACCATGTCCACTGTTTGTATGGCATAGGATATTGGAGACCAGTAAGTACATCATGAGGGAAAAAGATACTCAGTTAGCTCTTTCTCCTTCTCAAAGAGAGAGCAGACAATTCAAAATTGATATTTTAGTGAGTGTTGCCTGCTGCTGTAATGTTATCTTATTGTTTATACTTGCAGAAACTCTCACATACAATTGTGTCTGAAAAATACATTATTAATAATCTATCCTAAAAGCAAGCTCGTGTGTGATGTTTCATAATATCCAGAGATTTTGTAGAAAAACAAATTGTCAGTTATCTGGGATAATGACCATGAAGCATGTGCTTATTTAAGGGTCTCCAGACACAGATGGATTTTGAAAGTATGATTTGAAACACTTTTTAAACAATCCTTTCAGCTTTATTCTCAGGTGTTAAGTTAAAAAAATACTATACTGACTCATGGTTTAACAGCTTCATCTTTTGCTTGGATCACTTGTGAGTAAACAAAAGAAATTCCAAGAAAGAAAAGCTTTTTCATAAATTATCCTAAAATTATATAAGATTCAGTATCGCATTTTAAAAGTGTTCACGTAAGTACAGCTCTGCATGTTTTGACTGAGTATTCATGTCCTTTTGCCTTCATGTTGATGAAAAAATATGTCAAGGAATCTCAAAGCAGCAATCAGTCAATCCAAGTACCTGTTTCCTACCCACAGTAGGCATGGAGTGACATGCAAGGAGGATGGCCCAGCGGAAATGAGCCTCAAGTAAAACAAGAGGCTGTTCCCTGGAGGCCACATCATGAGAACTTTCACCAGAGTTTTCAGGTGGTTTGTCTGCTTTCCTTTCTATTCTCAAGGGACTGAAATGATGGCTGCTGTCAGGGAGCATGATGGAAGAGGACAGGAGACTATATACTTCTCATGTAAGCAATTGCAAAATAAGAATGTTTACATTTCAAACTCTTCAAATATGTTTGCATTTGAGTGCATATGTGCATTTTATCTTTGATTTCAAAAGAGAAAGAAAACATTTATCTATCACAGGAAATAAGACACAATTACTTTTACTTATATAATACCCTTTGATAAAAAAATATCGGAACTCTAAGCACTTTAAAATTATTAATAAAGCTATATTTCACAAGTACAGAAATAGGTTCTTTGAGGTAAGATATGACCAAGTTTCAGTACCATACCTGAATTTAATTAAGTGGATATTTCAATCAGAAATTAATTTCTAACTGAGGCACTTAGCTAAATGTCTTTTTAACAGTATTTATGATTGCCGTAGCATGGTTGCAAGCTAGTATCTGTGATGAAATGTTGTCCAACAGGGCTGTATGAACTCTTGGAAATAATATCTTAAATTATATCTTAACCAAGTAGTTTCACCGAATTCTTACACTAGTTTATAGGCCATTCCCGTTCTACATGGAAATTCCCCAGCTCTCATTTTGTACAAACAGCTAGAAATAGAAGGCGTGTTTTATATCTTCATCTGCTTTATGATTTTCTAGAGCTCCTCTTTAACAAAATGCCTTTTTATGTGCATAAGTAATAATGTTAAACATAAAACATACTATGTGTGAGACATTTATAGGAGTGACCAGTATGCTTTCTTTGTATTTCCGCAATAGCAGTAACCAAAAAAGATAAACTTTGACCTCTCATTTGCATTATTAGTAAAGTATGGAAATCAGCAATCAGAACTTAAGGCTTAAATAAATATAAAAATTAGAGCAATTACAGAAATAATTCTTTAAAATATTTGTTTTGCATGTGTCAAAGACATGCTAGAAAATTCATTTCTAACACTACCATAAAGGTGTTATTTTACTTTAATGTAGGTTTTAATTTCTTTTGAAACTCTCTTAAATATTGCTTTTTTAAAATAATGTAATGTAGATGCCATTTTAAAACTAGGATTCTTTGCAATAGAATCTCTAATATTATATTTTAAATTGCAGAAATAGCATCTCTAGTGTTTACCATTTCTACAACATAGCAATATATTTATTGTCCACTTTAAAGAAAAGTTTTCCTTTTTTAATAAAACAAAAGTTAATTTTATTGATGTAGACAGTAAATGATGGCATGCTCTCTTCTAATAGGTAGCATACATTTGCACTATAATTTTAAATAAGTTTATTTTGTATTGCTAGTACATATGAATGGAGTGATGTTCACATACCCGGCTACCACAGTTTATCTTACAGTCCATATAAAACTAGCTCCTCAAGAACACTCTTAAAATGACCAGCTGAAAGAAAAATGCTGGTTATCTTTTTTTTTGGAAATGTTAAATTTCTCCTTAAGGAAATGGAAACACTTAGTGGAGAAGTTTAAGTCAAGTTTGCAAAAAGACTGAAAAAATGTTGATCATTTCTTGAGGAATTTAATGAAAACATATCAACCCACATTCTCCCACCCAATGCAATGATAATCATGCCATTCAATTACATAAAAAATTAAGAATGTTTACCTTAATGCAAATATTGAAAGAAACATCTGCCAAAAGCCTTAGAAAGACAGAAGTTTTATCAGCCATCATATCTAAATCATGTAAAAATATGATTTCAACTTATTTGTTACCTGTATAAAGAAGTGCATCATCTTGTACTGAGAGTTTTTTCAATCATGATACATATAAAAATCATTTCTGCCCAAAGCCATGGAACCCCATTTTAAAAGAAAAAAACTCTAGGCTCTCATTAATATTATCTCTGAGTATTCCCAGACTTTCAACCAAAGAACCCTTAAAAGCATTCCTAAGACACCGTCATCTTTCTTTAAATGGTACTTTGTACATGAATAGCCCCTAGTTTCAGCAAATTATAGTCTACTGTCCATGAGTTTCTAAACCTTTTTGAAAAATTTAGATAATTTCGGAATATATATACACACAAATATATGCATATGTATATACACACACATATCCTTAAATTCTAGCTGAAATTATTATGTATATTGCCATATACTTTGTCTCTTTTTAAATGGCTTTGGTCAATTTCAGTGAAAAAATTTCAGCTAAAATCAGCCACGTCATGTATTGAACTTTTGGTACAGATATATTTATGATAAATAAATTATTTAAGAATTTTAAAATATCACAACTACATCAGATATTTACTTTTTAAAAATATTATATTTTCTGCAGAATGCATGCAAGACGCATACCTACATTACACAATGGCAGAAAGTCTAACTTTGGTATGGGTTTTTGGTAATATTAGACAAAGATTTGTTCCATTATATAATCAAACTGTTTTTATTTCTTGTTCCCCCCAAATTACTTAATTATTACCATTAGGAAAATAAATATTATGTTTCAATTTGGAATTAGTGATAGCTCTTCTTGGTTGTTGCACAAACTGGAAATCATAAGAACTATATTTCAGGCTCGTATAATTGTCTGCATTAAGTGTGTGTTCTTTAAGATTAGATGGCTCTAACTGTTTTGGGAATTTTCTCAAAATCAACTTAATATACTGACATCAAAAGTGATGAACTGATATTATGTTAATGGTGTTATTAGGCTAACAGGAAGTTCAAATTAACTTTCAGATTTCTAACATATTCTACATTTTATTTTATTAATCTTCCAGCTCATCTTGCATATAATTAATACAAGCATATAATTAATACTATTTTTTAGTTTCAATTTCAGTCTAATATGCAAATCGTATAAATACAATGTTATTCATTTTCATATTTGTTGATTAGAACTATCTGATAATTTGACCAGATGAAATAACTAATATTCTCCATTATGAAATGAAGTTCAAAACTACTCAGCAACAACTCTCAATCATGTGGTATTTTTGTGAAATTAGTATTTTAGGATTTTCCCTATATATTAGCAGTCTTCAATTCTGACAAAAATACCTCGAGGCATAATTATCATATTTACTCTGAAACATTAATGAGATTTACTAAAATATCCTGTCAAAGGGAGAAAAAACAAAGATTGTATGAAATTGTGACATTAGACTATTTTGTGGGATAACAAAGTAAGAATTTCCTATAATATATCATGTAAGGTCTCTCCCCAATCCACTCACTATATATTGGAATTAGTTCTGATTTCCAATACACAGATATTGAATTTTTTAGAAGTATTTGAAAAACTACTCATATCCATATTTTTAGATGTTATTTCTATAATTAACATTTGTAAAGAGTCATGAAAATAAATGTCACAAACCAAGCCTAAATTTTCACATATTCCTAAGACAGTGGAGAAATGAGAAAACAAAATCTTAATTTTCTCACATGAAGGCAGCTGGCTTCCTTTTTGTACATCTTTTCATGTCTAAACTTGTTAATTCAGTTGTACATACATGTGAGGTAATTAAGTGATTGTCCCTTTGTCCTTGTAACCAAAAGGTGGCACCTCTAAAAACCAGAGTTAGCTTTCAACAGAGACACTATTTTTTTTTTTTTTTCATTTAAATGTCAAAGCCCTAGAAAGAAAATCGTTTTTCGTGACTTGGTAATTCTATTTAGGGAGAGATCATTGCCTCAAATGCAAAATGGTTTGGAAAATAGTACACATTACACTGATGGCAAATGAATTCAGCTCTTCTCTAAGTTGGTGTGTAAACTTATATATTAAACGTACGTAGTGAAAAAATACTCTCTGAGATACAAAATTAGTGTGGAAGGTCAGACACAGTTAAGATAGAAGATTCTCTTTTCTTATATCAAGTGGAGTTCTAGACAAAAAAAAGTAAGACTCTGCATTTCCCCTGATAAATAAAAAGAAGTGTTTTGTATACTAACATCTGTGGATTTCTCTGTGTTCAGGTAAGACCCACTTGGAATGCTTTCCTATTACATCAAACGAGGCATTTCTCTATACCTCCTTCCATCTGACAGTACTATCGCTTAGCTGTCCCTGAAGAATAATAAGAAAAGAAAGCTTATATCCCCAATGATGGAATTAGAGACTGCTGAAGCTGCTGTAAAGGCTCTGTCCAACAAGTACCATTTACTTGACCTATTATGCAGGCAGCCAGGGGCATGTTGGTGTTTTGATATATTTTTCTTTCTTTTAACAAGACGTTACAAAAATGTTTTCCCCTTCAGGATTTTTAAAATTTAGGGTATCTTTCTAGCATTACTTTCTAAACTTAGTTCCAGTACAGGAGGATTCTTGTCCAACTGAGCCTCCATGTGCCTTCTAAAGGGAGTGCTGAAATTGTATAAACATCATGTTTACATCCATTAAATATTGTCCTATTAAAAGAAAATAAAGCCAGGCATAAGTTTGGTATCCAGACAATAAAATGCAAATAGTACAAAGGTAGAATAAAGTGAAAATTCTACACAAATGTAGCTTCCATACAAAAGTTAAACAGTTGCTTTATTTCACGAAAGGGTTAATACTGGAGAAAGTGAATATCAACATGTACACAAAGCTAACTAGAAGATTAGCTTTCTCAAAGTAGAAATCCAAGCCTCCCTATAAAATTGTTGTCCCTTGCAAATGTTTTGAAACTTTACATTTTTTGATCCCCCAACAACAGGCCATACCAAGAAACCTCAGGAAAGTAATAATCTATTTTAATTGTTTTTTTTTTTTTGTTACTCAAGAAAGCTTTCAAAGTTCAGATATTAACACTGATGTGCAATACCAAATTGTTAGCCCCACAGGACAGATGGAAACAGGAAAAGTCAGATGGTTGGCACTCAAAAGCAAAAGCAATTAAGCAGTTGAAAGTGGGTTGGATTGTCGGTTTATTTTTGTTCCATTTGAACGAATCAAGTGAGAGACATAGACTCTTGCAAGGAGGAAATCAAGTCAAACTTGACGCTTCCTCTCTCTGACAGCCCAAGCTGGACTGGTTGTCTACTCCCCTTATTCAGTTTAATTGCTTTATGTGCTCTGATTTTCGCAGAGCTTGTATTCTATCTTGTTTACGTTCCCCCCCCCCCCCATATCCCTCTCCCCAACAGAAAGAAATCTTTCTCCTTTCTTCACTCCCCCTCTTTCCTCTAAGAAAGGCAATCCTCTCCAGGAGGAGAAAGAAACGCTGTGCGTGCTTAGGGTGGGAGGAGGGCGAGAGGGGAGGTGTGGGAGAGAAAGAGAGAAAAGATTGAGATTGGGGGTGGGGGACGGAGGAGAGAGAACAAGAGAAGGAAAGAGGAAGCAAGAAGATGGGGGATGCCCAACATCAACTCCAGGCTCTAAATCACGGGCGCTGTGCAAAGTGCTTTTCCAGGAGATGCACATGTAGTCTCATATTTCTCACAATAGGCCACCCGGGGATCCCTCCCTAGGTCTCAGACTCCCACCACTAAAACCCAAGTGTATCGAGAAGAAAATCTTTGGGATGGATTCGAGCAGATAGGCACCGCCGAGGTGGCCGCGCCGCCAGTCCCGCTTCCTTACCTGGAGGGCGGACCGGGAGGTGGTGCCGGGTCTCGGTCCCCAGTGCTCTCCCCGCGTGGACCGGCGCGAGGCACACGCGTACTCTCGCTGCCTCCGCTCTTGGAGGGGCAGCCTGCAACACAAAAGGGGTGTGTGGGTGTGGGTGTGTGGGAGGTTTTCCAGGGCCACCAGCTGGTCCCACGTGGTCGCCCCCACCCTACACACACCCCTTCGGGGCGCCAAGCCCCCCTCTCGGCTGAGCACCACCCTGGGGACTTGCCCGGGGTGCAGCCTCAAGTTGCCGCTGCTAACTGCTGCTGCCGCTGCCGCTGCTGCAGGAGGAGGTGGAAAGACACTGGGGGCAGTACTCGGTCTAGAGCATCCCCACACTGCAGCTTCTCCAGGAATCCCTCCAGTGAGGAGGCGGCCGCCCATCATCTCCGAGCCCCAGCATCCTGATTGGCTCCACCTCGGGTACGCTGCGCCAAGGAGCCAATCCCCGCGCACTAATAATAGGTGGATCCGTTCAGCCAACATCGCCCATCCCAGTTCTGTTAGTGTCTCTCCATCCCCACAGCGGACAGGGACCTGGGAAGCGGGGTGGAGGCGGGTTGGGGGAGGGGGTGAAGTAAGAGGGGAACAGATCCCAAGGAGACACAATCAAGGGCGTCTGATAAAACCTCTAGGTAGACTCAGGAATGCCCCACAAGCTGTTCAGCAAGCAGTATGCACAGGAGAAAGAGAGCATAATACAAAGCTTTTTTTTTTTTTTTTTTACTCTCAATCAAAACCTACCCTGATACTGAGCATGCCCAGACTGCAACAGCGACCTAGGAGTTTCGATGTGTGTGGGTTCGCCAGCTGTGGGTTTTTGAAAAGCTGGGACCGGGGACAGGAGAGGTAGAAGTTTGTCTTTGGCCATTTAACCCGGCGGAGTTGTGAAAGCTGGGTAGGGTGGGGATGTGAAAGGGTTCCGCACAAGTGTCCTCAAACTGAGCCGCGGGGAGGTGGCCCACCTGGCTGCCGGAGGCTCATCATGCTGTTCTTCTGGGGTTCCGGGTTGGAAGCGGGGGCGGGATAAGCTGAGCTTTGCTGGAAGCCTGGGGACTTCCCGCGAAGGGTGCGGTGGAGCCGAGATGCGGGAGAAGCAGCTCCGTCCCATAGGTGGGGCCGGGAGCGCGACTCCACCCATCAGCGGCGGCTGCCAGGCCGTGGAGAGTGCACTGGGAGTTTCCATTGCAGCGACCAATAAGTTTGTACACTTGGGTCAAGTGCAACATTGTTGGAGATGCTTTTTTATTTTTTCATTTTTATTTTTTGCCACCTCCCTCCCCCATCTCTCTCGACCCCTTGCCAGAGCAGTGACGACTAAAGCATAGATTCTCTCCCTGCTTCCTCTCTTCCCAGCTGAACCGTTCTGCTCGGAAGTAAGAAGCTTTTCTCTTGTGAGGGCGGTGGTGACCTGATTGTCTCTAAGCTCTCAGGCAATTTATAGCTTGGTAATACCGAAATACCGAACAGGAAGGCTCAGCGGGTGGGGGAAGGGACCGCGCGCCAGGCTAGGGGCGGGAGCGGAGCCCAGCTGGGAGAGGGGCCCGTCCATTATCTGCTCCACAGGTGAAAGGATTTCAAAACGGAGAGAACTATTTCCCTTTCTCCCTCCCTCAACCTCGTTTAAAGGCCTTTGAACCTCTTATTTGTTTTATTTAGAAATCCTAGCATTTTGTGTAAACTTGATCAATAGCTACAAATGAGAACTCTCCTAATTGGGTTCTTTATTTTACTGAGAAGATTATCTTGGCATCTCAGGTAGGGAAATAAATAGCTATCTCAATTCCCCAAACCCATCCACTTTGAACTGGAGTTTTATTAACATTGGTGTGCAAAGGTAAATGTAGCAAGAATTCAATTAACAGTAACACATTTCTTCAAGTTTTTAATTAAATCTCTTCTACTTATGTAATGTTTAAGATTAAGATCCTTATTCTAAGTATACGGGAAAAGAAGGCAACGTGATATAAATATATCCTTCTAAGTGACAAACACTTGTATTTGGGCTATGCTTGAATAATAGGAAGTTTAACATTAGAGGTAGAAGTGTGAAAATAATGCACCCCAGACTTGTGACTTCATGTAAATATTCACTTTCCATTTTCCAAAATAGTCTCCAAACCTTATTTTAAAATCATTTCATAGTTGGAGAAATAAGATAAAAGAATTTGGTCTAAATTTTATTTCAGTTATTTAGTGAAGGAGAGGAGGAGGAGAAGACAGAGAAGGAAGAAAAACGACAGGATAAAAAGTAGAAGAAGTTGGAGGAGGAGGAAGGGGAGGAGAAGGAGGATGGTGAGGTGGAGGAAAAGGAGAAGAAGGAGGAAGAGAAGACGAAGAAGAATTAAGTAACCCTGTAATTTTGTTGTCCAATAAATATCTTTGGATGAGAAGATTATTATAATATCCACTTAATATAGATCTTTATTCTAAATATATGCCTAGCATACTTTCTAGATTCCAGTGATTAAAACTGGCACATTTATCCTATTTACCAATAGCTGCATGTAGAAAAAAAGTATGCTTATTTTAGAATAAATTAGTCAATAGAATACAAATACAGATTTTAAAATTTTTGCTCCAGACACTGATTTTGTCATTAATATTTTAGTCAATTTCTTTTCCTGTTTACTTCACATCTTACCTAGCAATCTTTCTATTTCAGTGGCCAGAATCCTTGGCAACATGAATGGTATCAGAAGTTTGTAACCCAATGTTCCTTGAGGGAGACTGCAGGTTAAAATAAGAAATGGGCTTTACATGTATATTGTGCTTAACTTTAGAATTGATAACATTTTCTGTACATAAATAATAAGAAGACTCTATTTATATGGTGACTGTAGCTATACTAAGATTTTAACTCTCCCTCCTATTCCTAAATTCTCTCCAAGCTCTTGGGAATGTGTTGAAGACGTCCTCCTGGATCTACTGGGCTGACACAACATTATACTTTGCCGCAAGTGTGTATCATCTCTTTGCCTATTGAAGCAGACTCATTTTTATTAAAAGGAAGATCGGGTCAATTGTTCTGTAGAGACAAAGAGAGAGCTCTTTGTCACTCTTATCATTCCATTTCTTAAGTACTTTTACATCTAGAGTACTTTTGCTGTTGAGAATTAACTTATCCCCTGATTGTATGGTATTTTAAAAATATTATTTTCAGAACTTTTACAAAATCTGTTTAATGTTTTGTTTCCTCTTTCTTCGTTAAAAAAGTGTTATTAATTTTTCTTCACATTTTGCTCTGATCAAGATCTCATTTTCAATATTTTCTTTATTCCTTTTTTATTGGATTCATCTATTTACTACTTTCATGCTTCCTTTGCCATCTATTTTAGGCTACAGGATCAGAATAGAAACTAAATTGGATTGGGGCACTGAGGAGGAAAGTGTGTCTTATGGCAAGAGTGGGAATTAGGGACATTAGAACTAGAAATTCATTAAGTGGAAACTTAGCCAAGGTTTCTGTAAACCACAGAAAGAATACTTAACGTGAGAGAGGTATCAAGAAAATTCTGCAGGTTGTTGGAAAGGCCAGAATTACCTGGTTGATCAATGATACTAAAGAGTTACATTTAATCCGGCTGGGCGCGGTGGCTCACGCCTGTAATCCCAGCACTTTGGGAGGCCGAGGTGGGCGGATCACGAGGTCAGGAGATGGAGACCATCTGGCTAACACAGTGAAACCCCGTCTCTACTAAAAATACAAAAAATTAGCCCGTCGTGGTGGCGGGCGCCTGTAGTCCCAGCTACTCAGGAGGCTGAGGCAGGAGAATGGCGTGAACCCGAGAGGCGGAGCTTGCAGTGAGCCGAGATCCCGCCACTGCACTTCAGCCAGGGTGACAAGTGCGAGACTGTCTCAAAATAAATAAATAATAAAAAAAGAGTTACATTTAATTAAGACTCATACATCATTAAACTTTATATCTTTAGTAGCCACAGTAGTTGTCTGGTAAAAGCTATTTATAAATATCATTACCCAGGATTGTTTCTTTAAAAAAGAAAAATAATTGACTTCTCTAAATTTTTCTATTTTTTTGTTTATTTTTTATATAGATGCAGATCTTACTATTCTTTTCACTTTATATCTGTGTTTCTCAAGATACTGACTTTTTGGTCTCTTTGCAGGACAGATAATTAATTAAATGTTTTCTGGTGTCAGAATTTGGGTAGAATTCCAGCTTCACCACTAATTGGCTATGCCACCTTGAAAAATGTACAAAACCCCTCCAAGTCTCAGTTTTGTCATCTAAAATATGTACATAAGAATACAACATTTATCATTAGGTTTTTTTTCTGGATTAAAAAAAGCAGTGCACATAAAGTGCTAGTTCCAAGCACATAGCAAGAACTTAATGACTATTATTATCATTTTATCATTATCATTGCTGCTACTTCTGCTACTACTATTTTTTTTTTCCAGATTTCTGGGTTATTGGGTTTCCTCCCATCATCTCATCCATTTAAGCCAATAGTGAGCCATAGACTCCTCACCTATGAGCATTAAAGGTAGAAGGGTGTTAATTCATGTTATAAGAACTTTTATTTATTTTTTGATGGGAGGAGTCAGTGTCTAACTCTGTAGCCCATGCTAGAGCGCAGTGACTCAATCATGGCTCACTGCATCCTCCAATTCCTAGGCTCAGGTGATTCTCTCAGCTTAGTCTCTTTAGTAGCTGGGACTACAGGTGCATGCCACAATGTTGGGCTAATTTTTTTTTTCTTTCTTTCTTTTTTTTTTTTTTTTTTTGCCATATTGCCCAGGCTGGTCTTGAACTCCTGGGCTCAAGTGATCCTTCCACCTTGACCTCCCAAAGTGCTGAGATTACACGTATGAGTCACCGCGCCTGGATACAGAACTTTTTTAATACGTAAAATGACAACAGTCATCTGTCTTGCATGTAGTAGTCTTACACTGTAATCATCTACGAGATGAATAATTTAGTTTTTAGGGATGGATACTTAAGCTTTTTTTTCATAAAAACATTTGTTTATATTATTCTTTCAAATTAAGAAATATCCAATTCTGGTGGCAAAAAAAAAAATGATGAACACTATTTTGTTTTGTTTTGTTTTGTTTTCTAGAAAATGCTCTTGAAGACAGTAGAGCCATCATTTTTATTTCTCTTCCATTCATCTTTCTCAAGATCATTTGTCCTGGGATTACTGCTAGTGATTTTGTAACCAATTGGTAAAGAAAAAACATGAAGGCTCCTTGTATCAGAATTAGATTAGAAATTAGCTGTGTTGATTTTTATACTGAACATCCATGGAATTTAATAAAGAGACTCTAGAAATGGGAGAAGAAAAAAAATGAATACTGATGGGAGTCAAGTCTCTGGAGCAGAGAGTTAGAGCCCCATAATTGAACGATGAAACTTCACAATTTCCAAAGAAAGGAAAACAAAGAGCTAGTAGTTTTCTATGTGGCTTTACAAAAGCCTTTTCTTAAAGATGTGGCTAAGAAAGTATTGGAAATGAAAAGGAGGACAGTTACTCAAAAAGTAATATACTGTGTCAGGCTGTTGAGGTTAGCAAGGAAAATATCATTTAGGTGAATCTATCTCAGGGGCAAAATAAAAGTAGTTTGAGCTAATGTTAGCTAAAGGTCTTAGAAAGGAAACAAATGATATATGTTTCAAATACTCTATGATAAAAGGAATATACCGTGGTGAAAACTAGTTTGCTAATAAAGCAAGGGCAACATTAAAGTTTACATTAATTCCCTTTGAAATCAGAGGAAGGATTTCTATCTAATTGAACACACAGAGAATTATAGTTCAGCTGCTTCATTCAACTTATTTGAAAAGTGTGTCCAGAGAGACTAATCGAGTTACCAAAAGCCATAGAGGGTTGAGTGTGAGTGGGAGAAGAGTCTGTGTTTTCAACAAAATAAAACTATTTTAATAATACAATTGTGAAGAGAAGGATGGTAGACAATCAAAACCTCTACTTTGAAATTTGATTCTGCAGTGGTTCTTAGTGTTCTGATAAGGGCTGAAAAATACATTTGATCCTTTCCGGGACACTTCTGGATGGCTTTTTGCAGAGCGGACCATATGGGTTTGCTTCAATATTTTATGCAATCTGTACTACTTGTTCCTAGTTCACCTAATACTAAATAAAGCACCATAAATTGGTGGACTCCTAAAGGAAGGTTCATTTATTGGACATTGAACTAATAAAAAGGGTAAGGACACCAGGTTTTCTGCCTCTGGCCCCAGCAGAAATGTCTGTCATGGACCTGGGCATACTTCCATTTGTATATTTAAGTCTTTTGGATATTGAAGACATGCTAGAGGTGATAGGGACGTGAGTGATTGTTCTCTGTCTGTGGGCATGCTTTCACTCCAGGTGGCGGGAACCTACTATGGGTGCAAAAAAACGACATCTCCTGGACCATAGATGTCCTGGATGTGTGTCCCCACATCTATCCTAAGTAGAACTGAATAACTAGATTTGAGTATCAGGAAGCCAATGGTATAAATAAAAACAAACATTTTTGCAAAACCTGAGACACAGAAATGTTAAGTAATTTTTTGAAGATCACATGGTGGCTGACTCCCCCTCTTCCATGCCTTCAAATGCCATGGCTTGATAATGTTAATAGACAATTAAGATATATTAAAAATAGCTGTGACTATTTCAAGGACTACCAGTCTAGTTGAGTAGACTCTAGAAATACTGAGTAACTTGAAAGATTTATGTAGGAACAGTTTGAATCACATCTATTAATATAAGTATCACATCACCACCAAGGGAAATCCATGAAGCTAGAGTAGGGATATTTTTCCAGTCACTCTCTTTAATCAATGAGGCGACTGAGTTTTAGCTATGGGCTTAAGAAATCTTAGAACTTCATTATGAAATAGTATGCATGCTGTAAAGGTTAATAATAAAGCCACCAGTATACCCACAATCCAGCTTCAGAAATCAAGTATTAAGGTAACATTTGCCATCACCTATTTCTCTCCCCCATCTGATATTTCTCCCTAGCTGCACAACCAAGGTAACTACTATCTTGTGTTTACCATTATACTGCTATTCTTTATAGTTTTACCATGTATATTAGTTTTACCTGTTTTTGATGCTTTATACATAGAATCATGCTTTAATATGTACGTCTGACACTTGCTTTCTTAGTGAAAGAGTAAAATTTGAGAATTATTTATGTAACTGAAATTATTTTATCAATTTTTTTTTTTTTTTTAGACGGAATCTTGCTCTGTCATCCAGGCTGGAATGCAGTGGCGCAATCTTGGCTCACTGCAACCTCCGCCTCCTGGGTTCAAGCGATTCTCCTGCCTCAGCCTCCCAAGTAGCTGGGATTACAGGCACCCGCCACCAAACCTGGCTAATTTTTGTATTTTTAGTAGAGATGGAGTTTCACCATGTTGGCCAGGCTGGTCTTGAACTCCTGACCTCAAGTGATCTGCCCGCCTTGGACTCTCAAAGTGCTGGGATTACAGGCGTGATTGTGTTCAATTGCATTACTTTTTTTTTTTTTTTTAGATGGAGTCTTGTTCTGTTGCCAGGCTGGAGTGCAGTGGCGTGATCTTGGCTCAGTGCAACCTCCGCCTCCCAGGTTCAAGCGATTCTCTTGCCTCAGCCTCCCGAGTAGTTGGGACTACAGGCAGGTGCCATTACACCCACTTATTTTTTTTTTTTTATTTTTAGTTTCACCATGTTGGCCAAGATGGTTTTGATCACTTGACCTTGTGTTCCGCCCGCCTCAGCCTCCCAAAGTGCTGGGATTACAGGCGTGAGCCACTGCGCCCTGCTGCGTTAATATTTTAAACCCATTCTTCTGTCTTTAGATGTTTGCATTATTCTGATTATTTTATATTACATACAATGCTGTTATGAACATTGTCACACATACATAAGCTTCTCTTGGGTAAGCTTCTCCTGTGGTAAGAATTGGATCCAGGTTTTGTAGATTGGAAATATTTATAATTTAAGGTATTTTGTAAAAACAAAATAGCCCCAAATTAGGCACTGATGTTTATATTTACATGGAATAAGAAAATAAATCACAACAAATCTAAATAATTTTTGTCAGTGTGGCGGATACCAATGATATATTTTTGAGATTTAAATTTATATTTTTCTTATACTGAGAAATTTGAGAACAATGTCACATATTTATTGGCCATTCATATTTCCTTTTCTGTGATATGCCTTCACAGATCTTTTGCCCATAATCTATTTATTTTTAAATATTTCCTTTCGATTCAGTGGAATTTTTGATAGTCTGAATATTAATACTGCATTGGCTACTATATACTATTGATATCTTCTCCCAGCTTGTGGCTCATATTTTGAATTTTAGGGAGGTTTTTTCTTTTCATATGAGAAATTTATTTTAGTGTAGTCCAATTCTATCATTTTTTCTTTATATTCTCTCTAAGTTAATAAAATTTAATCATTTTATATTTGCTTTCCTTTTCTAAAAATAATTTTTATTTATGCTATAAGACATAATCTAATTCCATTTTTCTACACTAATGATCAGTTTCCCAGCAGTTATTGAGAGCCTCTTCTTTCCCCATCAACTTTCAATTCTAGCTCTATCATTTTTTCATATATGCACATATCCGTTTCTAAAAGTCTTCATTCTATTTGACCTCTTTATTCCTGCATTAATAGCATACTGCTTAATAATGTAACTTTCTAATATATTTTAATATCTGAAAGAGCATTTCCCCACAAATTCTTGCTTCTACTTCCAAAATGTTTTGATTATTCTTAATCTTTAACATGCTCATATATATTTTAGAGTCCCCTTGTAAATTTCCAGCAAAACGAAAACCTGCTTGATCTATTGCTATCATTTATTACTTTTTAAAATTAATTTTGAGGAAAATTGGCATTATTTTGACTTTGATTCTATCAATCTGGCTTATAGTTTCATTATTTGGTTCTTCCTCTAAGCATTTCAATAAAAATTTAATATATTTTCTAATAAAGGCAAGGCACATTTTTTCCTAGATCTAATTTAATACCAATTTTAATGTTGTAAATTCTACTATTTTAAAACTTATGTTTCCTCATAAAAATGAAATAAATTAACTTCTGTAGAGGGATTAAGTATCTAGCAATTCTGTTTTCTAATTAATAATAATATTTTGCAGATTTTAACAATTTTCTCTAGAGACAAACATAAAATCGATGAAAAGTAGCTTTTGTTTTTTTCCAACATCTATCATTTTCAGTTTTTATGCTTACTTATTGCATTGGGTGGATTATCCACTTAAAGTAAGGACTCTTATTATCTTCCCTTTAAGAAAAATGCTATAATATGTTACCAATAAATCTAATGTTTGCTGTAGGGTTTTAGACAAAGTTATTTATTAGGGTAAGGAAGTTCTCTTCTATTTTTGGTTTACTTTTTAATTATTGTAACCATGAATGGATGATGAATTTTGTCTAGGTTTTTGTTTGTTATTTTGTTTACACATACTGAGAGGGCAAGTTTCTATCAATTTGTTAATGTGGTTTACATGATTTATATCAACGTGTATTTTTGTTGTTGTTGCTTTTGAGACAAAGTCTCCCTCTGCTACCCAGGCTGGAGTGCAGTAGTGTAATCATAGCTCACTGCAGCCTTGAACTTTTGGGCTCAAGCAATCCTCTTGCCTCAGGCTTGCAAGTAGCTGGGACTGTAGGTGTATGCCACCATGCCTGGCTAATTTTTTAGTTTTTGTAGAGGGAGGGTTTTGCTTTGTTGCTCAGGCTAGTCTATAACTTCTGGTCTCAAGGAATCCTCCCACCTAAGCCTCCCAAAGAGCTGGAATTACAGGCATGAGCCACTGTACCTAGACAATGGGTATTTTAATTAAATTACATTTGCATCTTTGAAATAAATGAACTCTAATATAATGTAATATTTTTAAATCAATTACTGGATTTCATTTGATAATATTCTGTTGAAGCGTTTGCATTCCTATTGTCTTCTAAGATGGTACTATAATTTTTCTCTTGAGCTATACTTGCTGGTTTTGATATCAAGGTTACTGTAGCATCATAATAAAATATATTGGGCATGCGTTCTTTTTCCTATGTAGTACAATGTTTCGCATTTTGCCCTTATGGATGGTTTGTTTTGTGTCTACTGTAAGAAATCTTCCTTGACTCCAAAGTTGTAAAGACAATTTCCTGAATTTTCATCTAAAAGCTTTGTTTGTTGCTTTTAACATTCACTTATGTACTCCATCTGGAATTACATTTTATGTATGGCTTTAAGTTGGGGTCAAGATTTTTTTTTTCAATGTGAGTATCTAGTTGACCCAACAGGATTTATTAAACTGATCCTTTGCTCATTTCACTGCAGTAGCAATTCTCATCAATCAATATGCAACAGGTCTTCTTCTGTTAATAGAATCTATATCTTGTTCAATTGGTTTACTTTGTCCTTATGACAATATTGCACTATCTTATTTAACATTGCTGCTTCATCATAAGCCTTGAATTTGGTAGTATGTTTTCATACTTTGTTGATTTTTTCCAAGACTGCTTTGACAATTCTTAGTCCTCTGCATTTCAATATGCTTTTTAAAATTAGTTTCACAATTTTCACGGAAAAATACCTGCAAAAAGTTTGTTTTAGTTTGGCTGGGTTCATTCAGTTTCTTTAATATATGGATTTAGAGTTTCAGTCTATAGTTAGGGCCATTAATCTTTGAAATATTTCTTCTGCCCACCTTAAACCTATTTTGTTTTTAATAAAGATTTCACTTATACATATGTTAGACTTCTTAATATTCTCACAGTTAACCAAAACTTATATATTTAACTTTTTCTTTTTCTTTGTTTCAGTATGGGTGTTGATAATTTTATAGCTATGTCACTTTATACACTGTTCTTTTCTTCTCAGTATCTTATTTGATATTTAGTTAGCCTATCATTTTTCCTTTTAGATAGTGGGCCTTTAACTTCAGAATGTTGTTCTGTTTCCTATCTTCTATTTCTTTCTCTGTTATGTGTTTGTTTACCTTTAAATGCTTGAACTTATAATAGCTCTTTTGAAGTCCTTTTTGCTAATTCTATCATCTCTGCTATTTCTGTTATTTTTCTATTAACGATTTTCCTCCTAATCATAGAAAGAAAAATACAGGGCATTGTGAATATTATATTGTTGAGCACCTGAGCATTGTTGTGTTCTTTTGAAATGTGTTGAATTTTATATTGGCATGAAGATTTATTTATCTAAGATCAACTTGTTCATTTTAAGGTTTATGTTTTAGCTTCATTAGAGTGCATCTAGAGTAGCCATTACTATAGGATTACTGTAGCTTTCTTCCTAAGGCATGACCTCTCTGAGGTCTCCACTAAATGCTCTGGGTGTTCAGCAAAGTTCCTCCGCTTGAGTAGGTCAGAAACTGATTATTTCTCTGCCCTGTGTGAGCTGTTGAATTCACACCCTCATGAAAGTTCCCTTTTTCCCTCATGTGGATCTTAGTATTCAGCCAAAGAGTCAAAGTAATCTCTATGCTGACTTCAGGATCTCTGTTCCATCTCTATTTGGTGCCTTTTCCAGTACCCTTCCCTGTTAATTCCAGCTGCTTCAGACTGTCCAAAATGGTCTCTTTTGAGTCAGACAAACCCAGAGGCAAACTGAGTTTGCACTGCTTCAGTTTCTCCTTTCTAAACCACAGTCCAGAAAGTGCCTCCAGGCAGAATTTCAGGATGGTTGTGACACTCTTTTCTTTCCCTATTTTGGGGAATGCAGTTATGTATCTCTTGTCCAATATTTGAAAGCAGTTGTTTCATATATTTTGTCCAGTTTTCTAGTGTTTTTATGAACAGAATGTAAGTTGGGAACTTGTTATTTTGTCATGGCTAGAAGTGAAAGTTTTTCATATTTGCTTTCATTTTAATGAATGTTTTCACTGGGTTTAGAATTCTGTGGTCAGTTATTTTCTTTCAGCATTTAAATATTTCATTTTATTGTTTTCTGTTGAGAAGCAAATTATCTATTTTTTTGTTCTCAAAATATAATATTTCTTTTTCACTCTGATCACTTCTGAAATTGTCTGTGTTTTACAGTAATTTTATTAACTTATTTCAATTTGTGGTTTCCCTTGGTTTGTCCTGCTTTGGGTTTACAGAGCTTCTTTAATATATGACTTAATATCTTTCCTCAGTTTTGAAAATTTTATAGTCACTTTATATATCTTTATATATTGTTTCATTTCTTTTACTTTCTCTTGCTCTGGGACTCCTATTATATGTATGCTAGACCTTTTTTACTGTGCTCTACCTCTGTATTGTAGTATTTCTGTATTTTCTATTCTTTTTCTCTCTGTATGCAGTCTTTATTTTCTCTATGGAATTATGTTTAATTTAATTGTTATGTACAATTTCTGTCTTCTACTCTATTTAATCTGTTGTTTAATCCATATAATACTTAATTTAATTATTGTATTTTTCAGTTCTAGAACATCCATTTCATTTTTTTTTTTTTTTAATGGAGTCTCACTCTGTCACCAGGCTGGAGTGCAATGGCATGATCTCGGCTCACTGCAACCTCTGCCTCTCAGGTTCAAGCAATTCTCCTGCCTCAGCCTCCTGAGTAGATGGGACTACAGGCACGTGCCACCACACCTGGCTAAATTTTGTATTTTTAGTAGAGACGGGGTTTCACCATGTTGGTCAGGCTGGTCTCAAACTCCTGACCTTGTGATCTGCCCACCTTGGCCTCCCAAAGTGCTAGGATTACTGGTGTGATCCACCAAGCCCAGCCTTATTTAATTCATTTTCATAGACTCTAATTCTATTTTATTACACCTTTCCTATATTTTCACGCTCTCCTTTTTAATCTCCTTTTTTGACTGTCAATCATGATTATTTTTTAAAAAATGCTTAACCATAATTACAATATTTTTATCACTTGTATCTTTGTGTTTCTTTTTTTTTTTAACCTTGGATTGTTGTCATTCATTTTTTTTTCTCTCAGCATACCTTAATATTATTTTTCTTTAGAATGCATCACATTTTTCATTAAAAATATAGAGCCTTAAAATATATTCATCCACAGAGAATTTATCTTTTCCTCTGGTAGGTGGATAGAACAGAGGCTGTTCACCTTAATGTATTAATGAGCTGAAATAAATAAAAGTTGAGTTTCAAATTTTGATAAACATTCCTGTCAACCTTAAGATGTAGTCTTTATTACATTGAACCGAGAATCTTTGGGTAATTGATTTAATAGTTGTGCTAATCAAGATAAGAAATAAAGGAAGCTAATGGTTCAGGTTTTGGGTATGTTCAGTTGGAGATGTCTTCAAAGGATTTGCATGTGACAATAGTAAATACATAATTGAAACTAAAGCAGAAATTTAAACCAGGAATATGTATTTTAGATTCAGGCAACTATGAGTGAGCATTGAAGTGATAAAAGTAGATCAAATATATAGTGATGGAAAATCAAGAGCTAAAAATGAAACCTTGGGAAGATTATAAAATTTAATAAGTAAATAAAAATATGAAGCTCTTAAGTGAAACTGGAGGAGGCAAATTTGGGCTACCAGATCGACACACCCCAGGTGTTCAGTCTAGAGAGAGATTCACACAAAAGAAAATAGTCCACACTGGCAGATAATATGTACTTAATAAATGTTTACCAAATCCATGAGTAAGGAGCCAAGAACTGCAAGTACTTTAGTAACTTTAGAACTGTAGATGAGTATACTGGGGTTCTCAAAATAAATTTGAAATTTTAGCCAGGACTTACATTATGAAGGACAAACTTTGAGCATCTACAAATAATAAAGAACAACTAAAAGAGAGAAATATAGTCAGATTTTCTTTTCAATGCAGAAAATAAAATGTGGAGTATGGATTTGAGAGGGAGATTACAGGATTAGACATGAATTGCCGCTTCAGTGGTCTTTTGTAAATAAAATTTTTGTGAAACCCAACAGCACCCACTTGCTTATGTGTTGTCTATGGCTGCTTTCAGGGTGTAACAGCAGAAGTAGGTAATTGATACAGAGGTTATATGACCTAAAAATCCTAAAATATTTACTCTCTGGTCTTTTACAAGAAAAGTTTGCTGGCCTTTAGCCTCAGCATGTATGTGAACGCGAATGAAGTCAGTGATAGTAAATGGATAAGATGGAACACACTGGGGAGATATTTAACAGATAAAATTAAGACTTCTTCAGGTCTGAGGGCAGAGGTGATAAAGGAGAAATATAGGAGGATAGCAGATTTCTGACTTAATTGAAAATTTTAAATTAGTTGTTAACTAAGGTCCAAATACAGAAAAATTACATTTTAAAAAGAATGTCAGTTCAGTGTGGGAGTTGTGAAGTTTAGGTTGCCTATGGAAAGGAGATATGATGGTGTTTGCATAGGCCAAAAATATTCAGCTCTGACAATCAGGTACAGGTTCAAGATAGCACTTTGAAGAGGTTGTTTATTTGTGATCAAATTCATGGAACACAATAAGAAAAAAGGGCTCTTGCCATTTGTACTATTGTTCTAGCACACAATTTTTAACAATAAGGTAGAATACTTGTATCTCACCATTTACCCTGTTTTCATAAGCTTCTTAGAGCATAATTTTATATAAAGAAAAAAAAGCTACCTTTACTTATAATAAACAAATTAATAAATTATAATGAAAAGTTTATTTGTAAGATGGTTGCTTACTAAATATGTATATATGTATATATACAGACACACACACATATATAGGGGTAGAGGTAGAGAGAGAGAGAGAGGGATTGTCATAATGCTCTTCTACAGGACTCACAAAGGCCTATACAATCCATTATACACCTAAAGCTTAATAATAATAATTCATATTAACTATTTTAACCATCATATGTAATACTACTTCTACAGGAGAAAAACATCAGTGCAATATGTCAGAATATTACAAAAATACTTTCAAAATTTGCATATTTTATGATTGGAATACTTTGTATGTTACAGAATATTTGTACCCATATCATCTTATTCTCATAGCCTTCTGATCTCATTTCCATTGGTCCCACTTTACAGAGGATGAAATTAACAGTCAGATTGTTTAAAGGTCACAATAAACATTACAGAGCAATTAATGGTATAGGAGTGTAACTTGCTTCTACTGATGCTATGTCTATTGCTTTACCTAGTTTACTTCTGTATCATCTACATTGATAGTGTCAGAGTAAACTGTTGATGCCAGGCAAAATCCAGAATGCAGTAGCCAGGAATAGTTTCAGGCTATGCCAGTAAAGCCTTAAAAAATATGAGGTATAACTAGGCAAAGGCAGCTATTTCAATTCATTGATCAGAAAAGCTGTTCCCAAGGGAAGAAAAATCTGCGGTGGTTTTAGCTTAAATAGTAAGAATTTAACATTCTGGTTTTGGGGTGATGAGAGGGCAAGCTGATTCTGGGCATATCTAACAGACCAGAGGATTTTGGAACTGATTAGAAAAAGGTTAATTAGGAGAAGGTCAATGAGAATGAAAATGGACTGAATTGAAAGAAAATTCAGAGCACAAGTTGCAAAGAGCTAGTAAAAATGGTGGTTCAAGTGAGTTTGAATTGGTCTAAAATTTGGGAAATTAACTTTGTTTTGCTGCCTATTCCTAAGACTATAGGTTAGGTATTTATTGGTCAAAGAATTACTTTCTTAAAAATTTAGGTGCGTACAATTGAGATTTCTATGATTTTATTTTAATAAAATGTATCTGCAAGATACAGGTTTCTTTTTTTCTTTTTTCTTTTTTTTTTTTCTTGAGATGGAGTTTTGCTCTTGTTGCCCAGGCTGGAGTGCAATGGCACAATCTAGGCTCACCACAACCTCCGCCTCCCGGGTTCAAGCAATTCTCATGCCTCAGCCTCCTGAGTAGTTGGGATTACGGGCATACACCACCACGCCCAGATAATTTTGTATTTTTAGTAGAGACGATACAGCTTTCTTAAGCATTTTATCAAAATTATGCCAAATGTCTTGGCATGTCTAATGTAAACATTCGTGATGAAACCATAAGAACTTCATATCATCTATTCAATGAGTATTGCTTACAATGGTTTTATTATTTTCAAAATGTCTACATTTCTCTGCTTACATATGGGTTTCTTAGCTGAACAATTTATGTGTTTATATTTTTACATAAATTGAACAGTTTTAAAACATAAAAAATTGAACTGGAAATTAAATATCATTAATACAATGAGGTGCATTTTAATCACAAATTTAATGTGTAAGATTTTAACTATTATATGGTACTTTAAAATATTTTGTAGCAATTTATGTATTTGCAAACTACACACTTAATAGCGCTAAAATTAAAATAAACAGTCTATATTGTTAATGTCTGTAGAAGTTGAAGAACATTTCATTTTTAAATATAAAATAATTTATGATTTAATTATAGCGTTTTTTTCCTTCAAATTTATCTGAAACAACTATTTCTTTATATACTTCCTCAAGTTTCGCCCTTATGTTTTCCAGGCAACCCATCATAAAATATAAACCTATTTTATATTCTTTCTGCATATTAAAAATTTTTTCTTCGGAATGCCTGAGAATACATTTTGTTGCTTCTTTGCTTTTTAAAAAATAGTTAGAGGTTTAAGTTATCTGTCCTTTATAATTGTAAGCTTAATATTTAGTAAGGAGCTAATACATGAAACTTATGGAGAGATTTATAGAAAGTGGTTCTGTGTCTGTGGGTCTGCAGCCAAGGGTCTGGTTATGGGTCTGAGGGCATTATTAGGAAGAAAAACTGGGTATAGAATGGAGAGATATGAGGAAAAGCTAGAAATTGCCAAGTTCTTCTTTATGTTACACATTTGTCAGTTTCTGTCAGATATCACATCTGAGTATGAGGACCTTCTGTGACCAATAGCTGCAACTTTACTTCTATCTTTCATATATTACACAAGTAACACTGAACCAACTCTCTATTTACATCATACATAGAAAGAAATTCTGGAAAATAGAATTCCCATCTAATTAAATTCACATAGGAATTTGTATGTATGTCTGTGTGTTTGTAAATAATGAATAAATCAACATGTCATTATTTGCAAATTACATTTTTCTATATGCAAAAAATTTTTAAAAAGGATAAATGGTCTTAAATTTAATAAACAAACAACCAATTTTTGGATAAATGATCAATATGCAAAAATAAATAACTTCTCTATATATTAGAAACAGATAATTATAAATAACATTTAAAATACCATTTAAAATAACATCAAAGAACATTAAATATTAAGCCTAACAAAATATGGTTATGACATCTATATTAAATATTATAAACGTTGCTGAGGAAAAATTAAGCAAATGGAAAAAATATCATATTTTTATATTAGAGGAATAAATATAAATTTCCCTTATGCTGATTTACAGCACAATTAAATACCAATTTTAATGTAAGTTGACAAGCTGATTAAAAATGTATATGGAGCTCTAAAGGTCTTATAGTAGCCATAAAACTTCTTGAAGAAATTTACCTGTATTGAAAAGCTTATACTACTGAGTATAAGGATTTATTATAGAGCTTCAATAATCATAACAGTGTTACTGGTAAAAGAATATGTGAATAGTCCAATGGAATTGAATGCGGAGTCCACAAATACTCCCACATAAGTGTACAGTCATCTGATTTATAACAAATGCACATCTACAATTCAGTGGGAAAAAGGATTTATGTTTAATATATAATACTAAACCAATTGGATGTATGTATCTAATTGGATAATTGGAATTGGAACATAGACCTAAACGTGAAAGTTAAACAGTAAATCTTCTGGTGTAACATATAGAAAAATATCTTCGCATGGTACAGATAGGCAAACATTTCTTAAATGGAAATAACTAAGTATTGATGGAAAATTGACATAATGAACTTTGTTAAATTAAGAACTTCAGATCATCAGAAAACATTATTAAAAGATTGAAAAGGCACATCACAAACTGAGATAAATCATTTATACTGCACATTTCTAATAAAATACTGAAATCTAGAGCATTTAAAGAGTTCTTAACTGTGCAGAACACATAAAATAATAACTATTAAAGGAAAATATTGACAAATCAGTCTACCAATATTAAAAATCTCTTCAAAAGATACTTAAGAAATTAAATAGGCAAGCCACATTGGTACCCAAGAGATATGAACAAATCCTAAAACCCAATAATAAAAATATAGTTAAGCAATTTAAAAAATGAGGAACAGATTTCAACAGACATGTCACAAAAGAATATGTTTAGTACATTTAAAAGTGCTCAAATCATTTATGTTTTGGAAATTGCAAATTAAAACAATGTAAAATATCCCTACAAAGCCTCCCAATAAGGAAAAGTGCAAGAGTAGATCACTTTACTGGTTAATTCTACCAAAATTTTGGGGAAAAATTAACTTCAATTCTTCTTGAACTCTTCCAGAAATTAAAAGAGGAGGGAATGCCTTCTAATTCATTCCATGTGCCCAGGCTGATAAAAAGCCAAAACTACCACAAGAACACAGACCAATATCCCTTACTTCTATAGATGAAAAAAATCCTGAACAATATGCTACCAAAGTGAATCTAGCAAAATATTAAAAAGATTATACACCATGACCAAGTGAGAAATAGACCACCAACAAGTGGGATTTGTACCAGGAATGTAAGAATGGCTCAACATAGACAAATCTGTATAATATACTACACTAATGAACAAAGGTTAAAAAAGAAAAGAAAAACAACAACAAAAAGTCAGCTTATATGATTATCTCAATTGGTGAAGGAAAAGCGTTTCACAAAATCTAACACCATTTTATAGTAACAGTCAACACACTAGGAATAAAAAGGAAATACCCCAACAAGATAAAAGGCATTTATGAGAAACTCACATCTAACATGATTCTCAATGCAGAAAGAATAAAACTTTTCTCATTAAGATCAGGAAAAAGAGAAAAATTTCATTTTGTACTTTTATTCAATATTGTACTGTAAGTTATAGTCCAAGTATTTAGGCAAGAAAAGGAAATATGAGACATCTAAATTGGAAAAGAAAAGGTAAAACTATCTCTATTGTTAAATGACATGATCTTAAACATGTAAAATTCTAAAGAATCCATAAGATGCAACTGTTAGAGAAATAAATTCAGAAAAATTTTCAGGATACAACATTAAAACGAAATGTCAGTTTTATTTCTGTATACTATCAATGAACAATCCTCCAAAATGTAGAAAACACTTTTATTCATAATAGCATCAAAAGAATAAAATATTTAGGAATAAATGTAACAAATGAGGTATAACACTTGTACACTGAAAATTTCTTAAAATTGTTGAGAGGAATTTAAAAATACTTAAATAAATGGCAAGACATTCCACGTTCATGAATCGGCAGACTTAATGTTACTTAAATAGCAACACTTCTCAAAGCAATTTATTGAAGCAGTGAAATCTCTATCAAAAGCCAATCGTCTTTTATGTAGAAATGGAAAGCTGATCCTAAAATTTATGTAAGATTGCAAGGAACACTGAAGAGTCAAACAATATTTTTTAAAACACTGGAAAATTCACACTTCCTGATCTCAAAAGTAACTACAAAACTACAGTAATCAATGCCAATGTGGTACTGGCATAAGGGTGGACATATGAAATAGACTTAAAAGTACAGAAATAAACCAAATATCTATGACCAATTAATTTTTGACAAGGATGACGAGACTTTGCAAAAGGGAAAGGGCAATCTTTTCAATAATGGTGCTGGGACAATTGGATTGCAATGTGCAAAACAATGCGTTGTACTTTTTTATCTCACATCATATGTAAAAAGTAACTAAAAATGGATCAAAGACCCAAAGATAAGAGCTAAAACTATAAAACTCTTAGAAGAAAACTGTGGTAAATCTGTATAACCATGGATTTCATAATCGTTTCTTAGATATGATACCAAAAACACAAGCGACAAAAGAAAATAGATACATTAGACTTCATCAAAATTAAAAATGTTTATCTATCAAAGGACACAATCAAGAGTCTTAAAAGATAAACCACATATTGGTAGAAAATAATTGCAAATCATAAATTTGGTCAGGTTCTGGTGTCCAGAATACAGACCTATCTCACAGATATTGTGGATTTGGTTTCCAACCACTGCAATAAAGCAAATAGTTCAATAAACAGAGTCACATGAATTTTTGGTTTCCCAGTGCATATAAAAGTTATGTTCACACTATTCAGTGGTCTATTAATATGCAAAAACATTATGTCTAAAAAAGTACATGCCTTAATGTAAAGATAATTTTTTGTTAAAATACGCTAACAATAATCTGAACCTTCAGCAAGTTGTAATCTTTTTGCTTTTGGTGGTGGGTCTTGCTTTGGCATTGATGGCTGGCTACTGGCTAATCAGGGTGGTGGTTGCTGAAGATTGGGGTGACTGGTAATTTCTTAAAATAAGACAACAGTGAAGCTTGCCAGATTGATTAACTTTTCTTTTCAAGAAAAATTTCTCTGTACTATGCAATAGTGTTTAATAGCATTTTACCCACAATAGAACTTCTTTCAAAATTAGAATTAATCCTTTCAAAACTTGCCACTGCCCTATCAACTCTGTTTATGTAACATTCTAAATCCTTGATTGTTATTTCAATAATGATCACAGCATCTTCAAGCAGAGCACATTCCACCTCAAGAAACCACTTTCTGTGCTACCCATAAGAAGCAACTCCTCATCTGTTAAAGTTTTATCATGAGATTGCAGGAATTTAATCAAATATTAGACTTCATTCCCAATGCTAGTTCTCTTGCTATCTTCACCACATCTGCAGTGGCTTCCTCCACAGAAGTCTTGAACCCCTCAATCATCCATGAATGTTGGAATCAATTTCTTCTAAATTCCTGTTAATCTTGATATTTTGACTACCTCCCATGAATCACTATTGCTCTTAATGGCATCTAGAATGGTGAATCCTTTCCAGAAAGTTTTTAATTTACTTTGCTCAGTTCCATCAGAAGAACCGCAATATATCCCAGCAATAGCCTTACAAGATGTATGCTTTAAATAATAAGACTTGAAAGTCAAAATTACTCCTTAATCCATGGGCTGCAGAATGGGTGTTATGTTCGCTGGCATGAAAACAATATTAATTTCCTTGTACATCTCCATTAGAGCTCTTGAGGGACCAGGTACATTGTCAATGAGCAATAATATTTTGAGAGGATTATTTTATTCCAAGCAGTAGGTCTCAACAGTTGGCTTAAAATATTCAATAAACCATGCTGTAAACAGATGTGCTGTCATCTAGGCTTTATTTTTCCATTTATAAAGCATCATTCTAAAAGGCCCTATGATTTTTGGAATGGTAAATGCTCATTGGCTTCAGCTAAAAGTCACCAGCTGTGTTAGTCTCTAACGAGAGAGTCAGCCTGCCTTTTGAAACTTTGAAACCAGATATAGACTTCTCTCTAGTTATGAAAGTCTTAGATTACATCTTCTTCCAATATAAGGCTGTTTCCTTTATAAGAGAGGTGTGTTGTTTAGTGTGGCCACCTCTAGTGTGGCAACCAAATACGTTAGCCAAGTCTTCTGGAAAATTTGCTGTGGCTTCTCCATCAACACTTGTTGCTTCACCTTGTACTTTAATGTTATGGAGACAACTTCTTTTATTAAACCTCATGAACCAACCCCTGCTAGCTTCAGACTTTTTTTCTTTAGCCTCCACAGCTCTCTCAGCTTTCATAGAATTTAAGAGTTAGGACCTTACTCTGTATTAGGCTTTGGCTTAAAGGAATGTTGTGGGTGGTTTGATCTTATAGTCAGACCACTAAAACTCTCTCCATATTAGTAATAAAATAGTTTCACTTTCTTATAATTTATGTGTTTACTGGAGTAGCATATTTAATTTTCTTCAGGAACCTTTCCTTTGCGTTCACAGCATAAGAGGCCTAGCTTTTGACCTAGCTTGGCTTCCAACATGCCTTTCATACTAAGTTAAGTCATTTCTGGCTTTTGATTTAAAATGAAAGATGCATGACTCTTCTTTTCACTTCAACACTTAGAGGCCAGTGTAGGATTATTAATTACTTCATGTAATTATAATATTGCTCTGTCTCGGGAACAAGGGGGCTTAAGAAGAGGGAAACAGGGGAACAGTCAGGTGGTGGGGCAGTCAGAACACACACAATATTTATCAATGAAGTTTGCTGAGGTTTGTGGTACCTCAAAACAGTTACAAGGCCGGGCGCAGTGGCTCACACCTGTAATCGCAGCACTTTGGGAGGCCAAGGCAGGTGGAATACAAGATCAGGAGTTCAAGAACAACCTGGTTAAGATGGCGAAAGCCCATCTCTACAAAAAAATACAAAAAAAATTAGCCAGGCGCGGTGGCAGGCGCCTGAAATCCCAGCTACTCAGGAGGCTGAGGCAGGAGAATTGCTTGAATCCTGGGCAGCAGAGGTTGCAGTGAGCCGAGATCGCGCCACTGCACTTCAGCCCGGGTGACAGACTGAGACTCTGTCTCAAAAAAAAAAAAAAACCCGACTACAATAGTAACATCAAATATTGCTGATCACAGATGACCATAACGAGGTATAATAACAATGAAAGCATTTGAAATATTGTGTGAATTATCAAAATGTGACATAGAGACAAAAAGTGAGCACACGTTGTTGGAAAAAAATGGTTCTGGTAGACTTGCTTGACTTAGAGTTGCCACAAACCTTCCATTTGTAAAAAAAGAAAAAGAAAAAGAAAGAAAAAAAGCAATATCGGCAAAGTGCAATAAACTGAGGTATTCCTATATATAAAGAACATTTGCAAATCACCACTAAAATAAAAACAACCCAATTAATACATTGGCAAATGTCGGTAGACATTTTTTCAAAGAACATAAACAAATGTCCAACCAGTACATGAAAAATGCTCAATATCATTAGTCATTAGGGAGAATTAAAACCAAAATGATACGCCATTTCAGAGACACTAGGGCGGCTATAATCATTTAACAAATGAAAATAAGTGTTGACAAGAATGTGGAGAAATATTAACTTTCATATATATCTCTGGTGGGAATGTCAAATGGTGCAGCTGCTATGGAAAACAGTTCTTCAATAATTAAAACATAGAAGTAAAACATGCAAGTACTACATGACCCAGCATTTCCACTTGTAGATACATACTCCAAAGAATAGAGCACAAGTGTTCAAACCAAAAATTTTATATTTTATATTCATAGCAGCACTATTCCCGATAGTCAAAATGTGGAAACAACTCAAATGTCCATCAATCGACGAACAGACGAAATGTGGTATAAACAAACAATGGAATATGGTTTTTATGAAAAATAATGAAGTACCCGGTGCATGCTTATAAAATACATAGAATTCAGCCCTGTCCTCAGAATGCTACAGGTTACAGCCCATTTGAGCTCCTGTATGGACACTCCTTTTTATTAGGCCCCAGTCTCATTCCAGACACCAGACCAACTTACACTGTGCCCCAAAAAACTTGTCGTCCCTACTATCTTCTGTCTAGTCATACTCCTATTCACCGTTCTCAACTACTCATACATGCCCTGCTCTTGTTTACACTGCCGGTTTACACTGTTTTTCCAAGCCATCACAGCTGATATCTCCTGGTGCTATCCCCAAACTGCCACTCTTAACTCTTGAAGTAAATAAATAATCTTTGCTGGCAGGACTATGCTAAATCTCCTTAGGCACTCCCTAATCAGACATCCTGAGTCATCCCAATTCTTAGACCTTTTATACCTGTTTTTCTCCTTCTGTTATTCCACTTAGTTTCTCAATTCATCCAAAACCGTATCCAGGCCATCACCAATCATTCTATACGACAAATGTTTCTTCTAACATCCCCACAATATCACCCCTTACCACAAGACCTCCCTTCAGCTTAATCTCTCCCACTCTAGGTTCCCACGCCGCCCCTAATCCCGCTTGAAGCAGCGCTGAGAAACATCGCCCATTCTCTCTCCATACCACCCCCAAAAATTTTCGCCGCCCCAACACTTCAACACTATTTTGTTTTATTTTTCTTATTAATATAAGAAGGCAGGAATGTCAGGCCTCTGAGCCCAAGCCAAACCAAGCCATCGCATCCCCTGTGACTTGTACGTATACGCCCAGATGGCCTGAAATAACTGAAGAATCACAAAAGAAATGAATATGCCCTGCCCCACCTTAACTGATGACATTCCACCACAAAAGAAGTGTAAATGGCTGGTCCTTGCCTTAAGTGATGACATTACCTTGTGAAAGTCCTTTTCCTAGCTCATCCTGGCTCAAAAATCACCCCCACTGAGCACCTTGCAACCCCCCACTCCTGCCTGCCAGAGAACAAACCCCCTTTGACTGTAATTTTCCTTTACCTTCCCAAATCCTATAAAACGGCCCCACCCTTATCTCCCTTCGCTGACTCTCTTTTCAGACTCAGCCGGCCTGCACCCAGGTGAAATAAACAGCCATGTTGCTCACACACAAAAAAAAAAGAAAAAAAAAATACATGAACCTTGAAACAATTACGCTAAGTAAACAATGCCAGACACAAAAGGGTACATATTATATCATTCCACTTGGATAAAATACCCAGAAGAGTTAAATCCATAGAGACACAAAGCATATTAATAACTGTCAAGGGTTGTGGGGGAAAGAGACAACCCATTAAGGAGAGTGGCTGCTTGTGGGTATGAGTTTCTTTTAGAGGTGATAAAGATCTTCTGGAACCAGATCATGGGGATGATTGGACAACATCATTACGACATTAAATGCCACTGGATTGTATACCTTAAAATGGAAAGATGGTAAATTTCTTATTTTATATGTATTGTATAATAATAAAAAACTTAAAAAGACAAATTATTCCATGTGCTCAGAAGGAGATAGTGGGAAAAGAGAATAACATTGTATGTTTTTGTGTTAAGAATATCGCTTTTGATGGTCATGATCCCATGAGTTAGAAGGAATCAAGAGAGTTGTTAAGAGACCCTTGAAATAGAACTTCATTTCATTGTTGATGAGGTGCTGTATTGAACTTTTTTCTTTAAGAAAGTCCCAGCTACTCCGGAGGCTGAGGCAGAATGGCGTGAACCCGGGAGGCGGAGCTTGCAGTGAGCCGAGATAGCGCCACTGCACTCCAGCTTGGGCGATAGAGCGAGACTCCGTCTCCAAAAAAATTAAAAAAATAAAAAAATAAAAAGAAAGCTGTTTACAGTGTAGCACTTGTATGGGAAATTTGCTGAAACAATTTTACACTGAATTTGTCTTCTCTGACCCCATGGTTAATGTGTGATACTTTTTCAGGACATACCAATACAGATAGCCCTTCCTAACAAGGTATCAGCATATTGCCTCAGTCTCTACAAAGTTAGACAAACTATGTGTGAAAAGGAATTACTAGTTCTATTTTTCTTTTCTTTTTTTTTTACATTATAACCCTCTTCGTTTAATTTCTTCTTACCAGTGTTACTTTTCCACCCCTTAATCATCTTTGATTCCTTTAATTTTTTTATGTGCTTTCAAAATTGTATTGTCCAGCACCTGTGGAAGATCTGTAAAGTTAAGCAGCTCTTATATCCAAATTAGAGTTTAAATCATTTACTTCTGAGACATTTAAAAGTTATTTTTAACGTAAACAATTGCAAACCCTCTGGATTTACAAGTTTTTGATTTACAGGATTATACAGATAAGGTATATTTTATGTTTGATATGATTCAAAGAAAGATGGAGAAACACACACATGCCAATCTTCCTGTGTAACCAGAAGTTCATTCTTAAAGTATGCCAACAGTGTACTATTCTATAGTCTGAAAATGCTTATTAATGCTTGGACTGAAGGGATTTCATTGCTCTCAAACATATGACACTGCAGGAGTTCACTTCTTTTGCTTTCCTTCCAATTGGATTGTGGGAAGTTTTCTAATTAAAATTGATTGTGAAAAAATTTTCTACTGTGAGATCTTCAGGCATATCCTTTAACAAGTTTTTTCGTATATTAGAAAATAACCTTATGTTGTTAAAAACATTAGTATTCATTTCGTTTCCTTATTGAACATATCATTCACATAAATGTCTTTCCTATATGTGTCTGAGTTTAAAAGTGATGTAAATAATATGATTGATATATATTTTGCCCTCATTCCATACACTATGAAATTCTGCACGTTTATGATACCTGGTACTGTTCACTCTTTATTTAGACTCCCAAATAAACAAACCTCCACTATTTTCATCACCTGGAAGCAATAATAATATTACAACATATTGAGCATCATCAAGCAATTATACTTTGTACATTTATTACTTGATTTCACTTAATAACCTAAAGTGGAAGATATTGATACTTGTAAGTTGTTTAAGAACTATAAAAATAGAACAATAAAGCCAAGGTTTAGAATAAGTGCTTTTACTTGAACTTGGAAAATTGCTCACTTATAATTAAAAATATAAATGTAAGGGATTGGTATCAATTAGCACAATCTGAAATATGAAAATTAAGAACCTCTTGATATCCATGTTATTCTATTTAAAATAAGAAGAAATACTGGCCAAGTTGCATACTGTGTGGGGAAAGGAGCACTAAATGTAAGTTAAGAAAGGAGAAAAAAACATTTCAGGAAGCACTGCAATAGAGGAAACATTTCAGTGAAACATGATAACCTAATTTTAGGTTTTTAAGACATGTAGAACTTTAGGCATTTCAACAAATTACTAAATTTTAATTATTTCATGATCAGATAAATCTTAAACAAAATTTCTCATAAAATGGTGACTTTTTTTCTTTATGTGTTAATATACTTAATTCACCTATTCCTCTGGTCATAAAGTCAATCCTGCAAGGAAATAAAACTTGGAACCCTGAATATCAATAAAGTTTTTAGTCCATCTCACATCAATAAAAACAAGTGAATCAATTTCAAGGATTAAGTTCTGGAAACTTTTACTATAACTCTTATATTTAAGTTTGGCATTTCTTTAAAAGAGGTAACTCAGGAAAATGTGGTGTATCAATAGGAATTCCCTAAACTTATTTGGGATTAAAAATGAGCAAGAAGTTAAATAAAATGTGAGTTCATTACATCAAGATAAGTTTGTCTGTATGTAAAGTTCAACTATCATAAAACTATATTTTTAATGTTATAAGAGATAGAGGGCCTACATTTTAAATCTTTGGCTGATAGAATACATTTTTTAACTTAAGAAAAGCTACTTATTTTAGATTTTAGAAGATACTATAGACATGTTCTGAATTATAAATACTCAAACATGATATGTAACATATATCTATAAATAGCCAGAATGACACTGGTTGTAAATACTATATCTTTCCCGATTTATACAGGAGATGATGTTTGGTATAAGTATATGAAGTCCAATAATAGTGAATTACCAAATAATTATGTTTAATAACTCATATTAAGGTATGAAGTACTGTAGGATTTAATTATTAGCTCAAGTGGGCAGTTTTATGTCATTTTAAAAACTTGTCTTTTGGGACCTGTTGCATAGATACAGATAAATATTTACAAGCATATGTAAATTATAATAATATACAATGAAAATATCATCCAATTTTTACACACTATTTAGTTGACCAAAACAAATACTTTTACCTTTAAAGCTTTCTGTATGCCCCTCCTTGACCCAAGCCACTGCATCCCCCGTCAGAGATTACCACTGCCCAGAAGTTGCTGCCTAATAGTCCCCTACATATTTATAGTTTTCTTTATAGTTTACCACATCTTCGTATCATTAAACAATACATTATTTAATTGTACATTTAAACATTTTGTACAACTTTATATAATTAAATTTCTGCTCTATCATTTTATGATTTATTACTCAATTTTGAGTTGCTGAGATCAGTTCATACTGTTGAGTGTTGCTGCAAGTCATTTATTTTCTGCTGTATATTACTCCATTATGTGAATATATCGTGATTTATTGTGTGATTCTCAAATGAAGTACATTTGCTTTTTTGTGCTACGTCTGTGTTGTTGTTGGGAACAATTTTACACATATTTTTTGTTGCAAGCATGGAGGATTTTTTGAGTATGTACTTCTAAAAATCAGATAACATTAGTCTGAGGTTACATGCAATCTTAAGTTTACTATAGAATGTTAAATTGTTTTTGAAATTGGTTAAATCAGTTTGTACTGCCTCCAGAACTGTATAATTTTCAGGTTGCTTTTCATCCTTGTCAACAGTTAATATTGGGAGATTAAAGTTTTTTTTCTATCTAGTGAGTATAAAATGATGCTATTTTAATTTGCATTTTCATGTTCACTAATAGACTTAAGCTTATGATATGTTTATGGGCCATTCAAATGTTCTATTAGAATTCCCTTATCTATGGCATTTTCTTATATAGTTATTAATTTGGCTTATTATAGATGTTTATACATATTTTGGGTACTAATCATTTATATGTGTTGCATGTATCTTGTCATTTTTGTCTTTCATTTTCACTGTTTTTGATAAAAAAGGATATATATATTTTAATGTGGTGAATTTTACAATCATTTGTGGACTATTTTGTGGCGCTGAGTGGGGAGGGAATTGTGGGAAATCCTTCTTCTATCTCTAAGGATACAGTCAGCAAAACTAGAGTGTGTTCCAAGTAGTTCAACAGCAGACATTTCAAAGAGCCAAGTGGCTGCAAAGGTTGAAAAACTTGAAGGGCCATACAGGGAAGCTGAGAGAATCTAGAGCTCCACAGCATCAGGAAACAACTACCACCTATGAGGAGCCAAGCTCCCTGGTTCCTCTTGCTGTGAAGGCCGTCCAGCGAGAGCTGAGACCTCAGAGAGGAACCATGAAAGACATGCATCCGTGGCCAAAGATGCCATCTGAAAGGGAGGGAGAAGGAAGGAGAAAATAATAAAGATTTGGCCTCTTAATTTATGGTCATTACTTTTTTTAAAACATAAACATTTGAGGCTATACATGTTCCTCTGAGAACCACTTTATTTTTTAACTAAATAACTAAGTCCATCTATAATTATAATTAGTAATTATTTCAATTTATTTGTAACGTTTGTCATTTTCTACTTTTTCTTTGTCATGTCTTTTCTCTTTTTCTCCCTATAGGCCATTCTCTATTTGCTTATTTTGAAAAAAATTAAAAGATATAAAAATACATGTTCTACTAAACATATTAAAAAATGGTATAAAATTTGATATGGTATAAAATTTCTAGAAGAAATTTTGTTCATTTTTCTTGCGTTACTCAGGTTCTTCTTTCTCCAACTTTTATTTTAAGTTCAGTGGTACATATGCAGGATGTGCAGGATCGTTACACAGGTAAACATGTGCCATGGTGGCTTGCTGCATGAATCATCCCCTCACCTAGGTATTAAGCCTAGCATTAGCTATTCTGAATAGCCCATTAGCTATTCTTCCTGCTGCTCTCCTTCCTCCCATCCCCCAGCCTCCTCCGACAGGCCCCAGTGTATGTTTCTTGCTCGCATGAGTCCATGTGTTCTTATCATTCACCTCTCACTAATAAGTGAGAAAACGCGGTATTTGGTTTTCTGTTCCTGTGTTAGTTTGCTGAAAATGATGGCTTCCACCTCCATCCATGTCAATGCAAAGGACATTAACTCATTTCTTTCTATGCATAGTTTCTTTATCCTGTCTATCATTGATGGGCATTTAGGTTGATTCCATGTCTTTGCTATATGAATAGTGCTGCAATAAACATATGCGTACATGTCTCTTTATAATAGAATGATTTATATTCCTTTGGGTATATACCCAGTAATGGGATTGCTGGGTCAAATAGTATTTCTGCCTCTGGGTCCTTGAGGAATTGCCCTGGAGACCATCAGGAAAAATCAATCATTATCCTAAAGCTACTGATTTATTTTTCTTCTTCCATCTCTTTCCAAAATTTTATATTATTTTTAGCGGAATGTCTTCTAATCCTAAGCTTTCTTTATGTCTCTCTCATTTCCATTATTCTATCTTTTTCCATTTTTTTCCTTTACAAAACCCAAAAGAACCAGCTTGATAGACTTTCTCTGAGAGTCAACACCCTTCGCAAGTATCTAGTGGCTGTATCAAGTATTGTGAGAAATATAAATTTTATTCTCCTTGCACCATGAATTTTTTGTTTCAATATTAGATTATAACAAATTGTAAAATTATGTGTTTCAGACACAGCATGATTTATAAAGTCTTTGGGGGGGTAGCCTGAAAATCACTACATTATGTCTATCACTCCCTCAGTTGGAAAGATGAGTTCCAAAAAACAAATAACAAATTTAAAATAAACCCTTGAACACGAAATATTTACACACTGACAGTTACTTATAAATTTATGTTACACGGTTTTTATTTTTGTTTAAATATTTGTTTGAATATTTTAAACAGAAAATACGTGATGTAAGATATATGGTATAAACTTTCTAGAAGAAATTTGGCAAGAAAAAAATTCTTCTATTTATGAACAGATAAGTTTCTGAAAGATTGTGAGTCCTTTTGTTCCTCCATGCAAGTTATAAATAATGGCATTTGTTGACACCAAGAAGAGTTCTGATACTTTTTGTGTTTATTCATAGTTTTATTTATACTCGCATGTAATTAATAAGATTTAAAATTTTAAAGTTTTGTATTTTCTGAAATTATTTCAAATGAATAATCTTGGACTTATCTTTCCATTTTGTGCAAAATAATTTGGTAATTGAAAAAGGAATATGTCTAAAGATTTTTATCACAGGCATTCTATTTAATAGTGACAAATTGGAAATGCTATGAAAGTCCATCAAAATTGAATTGATTAAATAGTTCATAGTATAGCTATTCATTTGACAAAGTATGCAGTAATAGTAATAAAAATATAAGATTTTATGTTATAATATACAATGTGACCTAAAATAATATATACTAGTGGTATAATATTGTATCAAGTTATATAGTATTATATAAAATACTATGTACTAGTTATATAAATGCCATGTACTAGTTACTTTACAATAGCCATATGTGGTAGGTAGTGCTTTATTCCCCATTAAAGAGATGAGGTTCAATAAAGTTAAGCAATTTGTCCCGTTGTCCACAACTGAGTGGTAGTCTTAATTCAGAAAACCAGGAAAAGTGATTCTAGAAATGATGTTTTGGGTCACTATGCTATTGATGTTTCTCCACATTTACTGACATGGGGTATGTTCTTAATATATTATTCAGTTATTTCAATTATTCAGAATACAAATTGGGAAAATGAAATATTTATCTTAAAATATTCATAGTAGTTGTCTCTGAGAGCAATGATATATAGTATTTCCAATTTATTATATTTCTTTCATTTTTAAAAAAATTTTCTATAACATTTGTAGTTCATTAGAAATTATAAGTTTAATGCATTTGAAATATTCTTTATATATGAATGAACTAAATGAATAATGAGGGAAAATAAAACAAAGCAAAACAAATATTCTCATATAAATATGTCTTAATGGTTATTAATTAAATTGTTACCAGGATTTGTAATAAAGTGCTGGATTATAAGACAAATACTTCCTGGCTGGGCGCGGTGGCTCACACCTGTAATTCCAACACTTTGGGAGGCTGAGGCAGGCAGATCACCTGAGGCCAGGGGTTCGATACCAGCCTGGCCAACATGGCGAAACTCTATATCTACTAAACATACAAAAATTAGCCACGAGTGGGCTCCCATAATCCCAGCTACTCTGGAGGCTGAGGGAGGAGAATCACTTGAACCTGGGAGGCAGAGGTTGCAGTGAGCCAAGATCGTGCCACTGCACTCCAACCTGGGTGACAGAGCGAGACTTTGTCTCAAAAAAAAAAAAAAAAAGAAAGACAAATATTTCCTAAATTCTGTTCTGTCATTATATGTATATATTTACATTTTCTTTGGTGAAAATATATTACACAAATAATAAAAATCTAATGAAAATTTCAAATAAAAACTATTTGCTTTCCTCGCAATAAATACCCAGTGAGTATAGGAAATGATGGTGGCAAGAAAGAAACATAACAATGAGCCTTGCTACCCCTTCAGCAATGTAAACTATTTAAGTAGAACACAGATGATATAAGCATGGTATAGTCATTGTTCCCAAGGTA
This sequence comes from Homo sapiens, assembly GCF_000001405.40. NCBI lineage: Eukaryota > Metazoa > Chordata > Mammalia > Primates > Hominidae > Homo > Homo sapiens. The sequence continues at coordinate 78,833,027 of NC_000012.12, read as the reverse complement.
AGCAGTTTTCATTGTCTTACTGCAGCTGCATAGAGCACAACTTTCAACCACTTGCAGAAGTTTCTTTAAAATATATCCTCAGAGACTGTAAGCATGCAGCTTAGCGGGTTTTTTTTTTTTTTTTTTTTTCATGACACAAGCCAGGTTAAATTATTGAAGTTCTCTAGCTTTTGCTAATTCAAGGAGTCTTGTTGTCTGTTTCCACAGAAGCAAAGGGAAATAGCTGCTGGCTGTACATGAAGGTCTTAAGAATCTATATCCTAGAGGAAATGTCGTTTTTGAAATTAGGTTAAATTAAACTCCTCAAGATTTGCCTTTATGGGTGATCCAAATCATTGAACACATGATCCCAAGACATGAAGTTTACAAATACAAATAGATGGCCCATCTATTATACTCCTTTAATTCAAAATCAAATCTCATCTCTTCTATCTCTATTTTATTGGGAAAGATCATAGAATTGGAGAATCATAATGAAAACTTTAAATTAGCTAATTAAAGAGCTTATTTCTTTAAAAAAATCTTGTTAAACGTGACCTAGTCTATGTTCGCTTGTCATTTTTCTTGCTAGCAGTACAGAAATTTTTTAATAATGGATTTTGAGATATTTCTCAGAGGACCAGAATCCGTGACTTTGAGGACTGTTACTACACAAAGTCAGAAATGTCATTGAGAGTGATTTTGATTTCACAATATTTTTGATCATCATAATGTTTATTAAGAGATCCATTAAAAGTCCATCATGCTAATTTAACAGGGACAATTTAATAGATTACTGTTGGAAAGCTTCCACTAAATTAATGTAGGAGAATTATAACCAAAGCTTTAATTGCTATCATTAAGAAATAAATAAAAACAGTAATAATGTATTAGTTACAAGCAGAAATCAATGGCATTATTAGTGAGTAAATTTAAATCTTTACTTAAAACAAAATTTAGTAAAAATTTTTCGATCTCATTTTTTCTCACTATTCATTTATATTTTGTTTCAATATTAGTTAATGCACCTCACTCATCATATGAGTTCACTAATTTGGAATGTTGTAGGTAGGGGTAAGCCATTCCTCTTCCCTTACTTCTAAGAATACTCATGGATATTATATTTTCTCCTTATTTCTCTGGTGGTAGGCTCTCCTGCAGGGGTGGCTGGCCCAAAGCAGAGCTGCCTTTTGGGTAAGTCGAGGATTAAAATTCGTAATCCTAGCCAGTCTCTGATGTTGGTCATACTGAATAGATGAAAAACTGGCAACTGTGAGAAAACAAAACTTCTAACTAGAAGCCAAACTGCAGAAAGAGAAGAAGGGAGCAAGTACATACAATTAAGACTATAAGGTCTTGAAATTATCAGCTTTCTAGTCCTGGTGTTAATTCCTGGAAAGACCTGGTTGAACTTCCACATATTGTGTTCTCTGAGACAGCTGTGTATCTTTACGAGATAGTTTATCTATCTATCTGTCTATCTATCTATCTATCTATCTATCTATCTATCATCTATCTATCATCTATCTATCTATCTAATCTATCTATGCATCTATCTAACCATCCATCCATCCATCCCTAGTTGTAGTTGTATTATGTAACTTTCAGTCTTGGAATTTATCTTTCCTTTGCCTCTAACTTTCTCCTCTTTTCCCTTCTTGATACCTCTTTTTTGTTGAGGGCTGATATAATCCTCTCTACTAATACTTCTTTTCTCTTCCCTTTCTTCTTGCTTCTATTTCTATCTACTCTTTATGTCTTTTTTTCTACCTACCTCCTTTTCTGCTTTCTCCTTCTCATGGTACTTCTAATTCTTATCTAACCATTCTTTTTTTTTTTTTCTTTTTTTGACAGAGTCTTGCTCTGCTACCCAGGCTGAGGTGCAGTGGTCTGATCACAGTTCACTGCAATCCCTGCCTCCTCGGTTCAAGCAATTCTCATGCCTTAGCCTACCAAGTAGCTGGGATTACAGATGTGCACCACCATGCCTAGCTGATTTTTTGTATTTTTAATAGAAACTGTGGTTTCACTATGTTGGCTAGGCTGGTCTTGAACCCCTGGTCTCAAGTGATCTGTCAGCCTTGGCATTCCAAAGTGCTGGGATTACAGGTGTGAGCCACCATGCCTGACACTTATCTGCCCATTCTTACCACAAATTCTTCCCTAGTGTTTTTAGGTATGTTCTCATTTCATTACTTTTCCTCTTTCTTACCATTGCCCAGTCTTAAATCCCTCATATCTCCAATTTGAGCCTTGTATATGCACCTAAGGCTTTGTTTAGGTTTTTTGAGCTCCTATAGTACTACATTGTAAACAAACAAACAAACAAACAAAAAAACTAAAAAAGAAATTCTGGGTTTTATCTCTAAATATATAAACACACTACTAAAGAACAGAACAGATATATAAATATTGTATGAATTTTTTCCATCAAGAGGACTTATCCAAATTAATTTCACTTTTTCTTTCAGTCAAAGAAAAATTTAAAAACCTGAAATGCTTTGAGGTCAAAGGGTTGTGTTTTTACTATAGAATATAGATGAAAGTTTTGAGCTTGTACTATTTGAGAATCTGCTAAGTAAAATTTAATCTTGTCTTCAATTAAAAATACCACTACCTAATTGTCATTCAGTGTTCTCCTTACAGAAGCTGAATATATGCATATGAGTGAAATTTGCATGAAGGTAATGTTTATAGTCATTTCTGGGTTAAAGAACAAGATTTATTTCACTTTATAGAAATATAATTTCTGACATGTGTCCTATTGCATTATGATCAAAGGGCTGAAGCGCTGAATATGGGAACTTCTACAGGAAGGCTGACTGTCAGTGATTATGTAAAATTCTAAGCAAAGGCAGCCTCCATTATGCACCTTGACTGTCAGAAGAAATTCTTTGCAGGTTATAGATTGCTGAATATAACAGGTTTCTGTCTACTGAGATTCCACAGGAGAGTCTAAGTTGTTTTATAGGTATAATAATATGTAGATATGCTGTTGCCAATAGTTTGAACCCAAGCAGATGAGCCTGTTAGAATCATACCCATGGATGTTGACCATATTTTATAAATAGATGATGACGATTTTGCTGAGAAATATAAAGCCAAATTCCCTTTTCAGATCCATGACTTGTAACCTGCCAGACAAGAAAATTGGCCTGAGTAATCATGTAACTCTATGAGCCATATTTTGAACCTGTCATCTATCAACCAGTGAGTCAAATATGTTTATTTTGCTGTTATCATGTTATTGATTTGCTTATATTAATGCTTGCTGGGGAGTGCCTTTAGGATACGGCATGAAAATATTTAGGATTTTTGCACCTATTGATTTTTCATCTATGTATAAATGTACATATATACTAAAAAAATTATAATGAGACATTTTATGCACTAATATTTTTATGATTTCATCAGGATTGCATTCAGGTGTCTGTTCAACTATCTCCCCTTCAGAGAAGCTTTCTCAATTCACCCTTGTCTAAAAGAGAGCCTCCCCATTACCTTTTATATCTATGTCTTGCCTTAGTATTCTTTGTAGCCCATGCCATTTATTTATATGTATATAGAAGTTTTTATCTGTGTCTATATTATTTCTTCCCCAGCCACAGTATTAGCTTCACAAAGGTAGGGATTCTCCATCTTTTGTTTTCTACCGTATCTCCTGGCTAGAGAACACTCTTAGTTGGTGAATGAATGAATCATGACACTAACTATAATGATAAAAAGATAAAAATAAACTAAATGCTCTATAATAGAAATATAGTTAGATAACTTAGTATATATTAATAATTTAAACCATTATGTGGATATTTAAAATGATGTCTACATGTTTCTTAGAAAATATTTTGTTGTTGTTGTAATATTATATGAATAAGGCAAGACCAAGAATCATATTTGCAATGTGATCGTAACAGTGTGTGTATGTACTCCTAGGAAAAACCAGGAAGAAATTTAATCCCTGAACAGACAAACAATGAGCTCTGAAATTGAATCAGTAATAAACAATCTACTAACCAAAAATACTCCAGGACAAGATAGATTCACAGTCGAATACTACCAGATTTGCAAAGAAGAGCTGATACCATTTTTACTGATACTATTCCAAAAAATTGAGGAGGAGGGACTCCTTCCCCACTCATTCTATGAAGCCAGCATCATAATGATACCAAAACCTGGCAGAGACACAACAAAGAAATAAAACTTCAGGCCAATGTTGTTGATGACCACTGATGCAAAAATACTGAACAAAATACTAGCAAACCAGATCTAGCAGCACAAAAGTTTATCTACCATGATCAAGTAGGCTTTATTCCTGGGATGCAAGGTTGGTTTGATATACACAAATCAATAAATGTGACTCATCACAGAAACAAAACTGAAGACAAAAAAGCACGTGATTATTTCAATATATACATAAAAAGGTTTTGATAAAATTCAACATCCTTTCATGTTAAAAAACCTTCAATAAACCAGGTAGTGAATGAAGATATTTTGAAACAATAAGAGCCATCTATGACAAAGCTACAACCAACAGCATACTGAATGGGCAAAAGCTGGAATCATTCCCCTTGAAAACTGGCACAAGACAAGTATGTCGTCTCTCACCACTTCTATTCAACATAGTATTGGAAGTCCTAGTCAGAGCAATCAGGCAAGAGAAAGAAATAAAAGGCATTCAAATAGGATGAGAGAAAGTCAAACTATCTCTGTTTGCAGATGACATGCTTCTATATCTAGAAAACCCCAAAGTCTCTGCTTAATAGCTCCTTCAGCTGACAAACAACTTCAACAAAGTTTCAGGATACAAAATCAACATACAGAAATTAGTAGCATTTCTATACATCAGCAACATCAAAACCAAGAGCCAAATCAAGAACACAATCCCAGTGACAATTGTCATAAAAAGAGTAAAATACCTAGGAATACAGTTAACCAGGGAAGTGAAAGATCCCTACAAGAAAAATTACAAAACACTGTTCAAAGAAATCAGAGATGACACAAAAAGCAGACAAACATTTCATGCTCATGAATAGGAAGACTCAATATTGTTACAATGGCTATACTGCCCAAAGCAACTTACAGATTCAGTGCTATTCCTATCAAACTACCAATGACATTTTCTTCACAGAATTAGAAAAAATTATTTTAAAATACAAATGGAACCAAAAAAGAGCCCAAATAGCCTAGGTAATCAAAAGAACAAAGCTGGAGGCATTATGTTACCCAACTTCAAACTGTACTACAGGGCTACAGTAACCCAAACAGCAAGGTACTGGTATAAAAATAGACACATAGACTAACAAAACAGAATAGAGAACCCAGAAATAATGCCATACACCTACAACCATCTGATCTTTGACAAAGCTTACAAAAACAAGCAGTGGGGAAAAGGCCCCATATGCAAAAAATAGCACTGGGATAACTGGGTAACTATATGCAGAAGATTGAAACTGGACCCCTTCTTACACCATCTATGAAAATCAACTCAAGATGGATTAAAGATTAAATGTAAAACCCATCACTATACAAACCCTGGAAGATAACCTAGGCAATACCATTTATGGCATAGGAACTGGCAAAGATTTCATGATCAATGCACCAAAAGTAACTGCAACAAAAGCAAAAATTGACAAATTGGATCTAATTAAACTAAAGAGCTTCTGCACAGCAAAGAAACTACCAAGAGAGTAAACAGTCTACAGAAGGGAAAAATATAGTTGCAAACTATGTATCTGACAAAGATCTAATATCCAGCATTTACAAAGAACTTAAATTTACAAACAGCAATGAAAATCCCATTAAAAAGTGGGCAAAGGACAAGAACAGACACTTTTTAAAATAAGGCCTACATGCGGCCAACAAGTATATAAAAATGCTTAATATCACTGATAATTAGAGAAATGGAATCAAAACCACAATGAGATACCATCTCAACCTGTCAGAATGGCTATTACTAAAGTAAAAAAATAACAGATGCTGATGAGGTTGTGGAGAAAAAGGAACACTTATACACTGCTGGTGGAAGTGTAAATTAGTTCAACTATTGTGGAAAGCAGTGTGGTGATTCCTTTTAAGAACTGAAAACAGAACTACCATTCAATCTAGCAATCTAATTACTGGGTATATACCCAAAGGAATATAAATTGTCCTACCATAAAGACACCTACATGTGTATGTTTACTGCAGCACTATTCACAATAGCAAAAACATAGAATCAACCTGAATGTCCATCAATGGCAAACTGGATAAAGAAAATATGGTACATATGTAAGATGGAATATTGTGCAGCCATAAAAAAAGAACAAGATCATGTTCTTTGCAGGAACATGTTTGGAGCTGGAGGCCATTATCCTTAGCAAGCAACCACAGGAACAGAATACCAAATATAACATGTTCTCACTTATAAGTGGGAGCTAGACATAGAGTACCTATGGACACAAAGAAGGGAATAACAGATACCAGGGCATAGCTGAGAGTCAAGGGTAGGAGGAGGAATAGGATCAGAAAAAATCACTGTTGGGTACTAGGCTTAGTACCTGGGTGATGCAATAATCTGTACACCAAACTCCCATGACACAAGTTTACCTATATGACAAACGATACATGAACCCCTGAACCTAAAACAAAATTTTAAAAAAGAAGCAACACTCTCAAATATTTATAGCACATGTGATTAGATGGAGATGCCATGAGTTTTATTTTTCATATATTCTAATTTTTTATAATTATTATTTATCACTTGTCAGAAAAATGAAGTAAAAAGGAGGGAAAAGAGAAAATAAATACACTAGAAATCAAGTATTATAGACAGGTATTTCTTGATGTTTTCTGAGTATTCACTATGTGTGGGTGTTGTTTGAAGTGCGTTAGTCAAATGAAATTGCCTAATTCTCATAATTAGCCAATGAAATCATTATTATTATCTTCCAAGGTTACACCGCAAATAAATGGCATATCTGGAATTTGAAGCTTGGTCTAACTCAGAATCTGTAGTCTTAACTTCCAGTTAAGGATAAGGAAGGGAGTAACAGCTTCTGAAATTAAAAAAAAATTCATTCATAAATTCAAACAGTATTTAATTAATTTAAAAAGTGTAATATTTGTTAGCTATTTGAAATGGCTCATTTTGGGTTTAGTCAAACATATAGAGAAAAATGAATATTTGTATAAAAATTAGCAAGTTACTAATGGAATGTAAATTGGTGAGCTACAGGATATATATTATGCTAGAGATGATTATTGTGTCCTGGTGACATGTCAAGCCACTCCAGACAAAAAGTGGCCTTAATAAATCAGAATTTCATACACATGGAATCCTTCTGAGTTTTACTTCATTTGTTTAAACCTACAGATATAAAATGTTACCAGGGCTTTGTGTCTAGATGCCATTTTGATGTGGTCTAAAATGCTTTTCTCTCTGTTTAATTTAATGATATACACACATTCCATAAAAATTAATAAAATACCTGCAACTCTAATATTATGTGGTGGGAAGAACATGGGCTTTGGAATCCTTGGAATTAAATTTGTTTGGGTTTGAATTTCAAATTAAAATTTTACTCTAAGTTTGTATTCATAAAGCATATCATTTGGATATATGATGTTTTAATGAAAGTCCAAGTGAAAACTTCTAGTATTTCCGTAATGTTCAGAATATAGGCATTTGCAATTCCATAGAGCCAAATAACTCAATTGTTATTTTCAAAATTAAGAATCTTGGGTATTTATTATTTATTAGTTCTAACAAAAAGGTTATATGACTATAAGAGTGATCAAAGTCACAGCTGACACTTGAAAATGCCTTTACACAGCAATATACCTGATTCTGTTCTCAGTGAAAAAAGTTCAGGAAATTTAATTTAGGATGCCAGGTGGCACAATAGGTTATACATTAACTTGTCCCCTCTGGAAAATTAAATTTGAATTTGGCCCTGGTCACAAATGAAATGAGTCATTTGGTACATGCCACTAAGGATACTCACAAAGCCAAAATGACATTTCATTGAAAAATCACCTGTTAAGAAAAATGTCTTCAGTCACTGGGGAGTTTAAAAAAAAAGAAAAAGAAAAAGAAAAAGAAAAGCAAGTGATAGAGCAAAATAAAAGGAATACTAGGGACTATTGTAGATTGTGGGCTTGCTGAAAGTCTGGAGGAAAGTGCTGTAACACTTATCAGCTTATCTTCAGCTCGAAAAACCCTTAATTTTAGCCTATACTTCAAGATCCTAGGAGATTATTTACTTATTTTCCAATGAAAGTTTGTTTTTTTCCTTGTCACAGGTTTAGCCAAATGTCAGTTTGTATCAAATTATTATGGATTACTGAGCTCACTGCAAGGAACCATCTAATTATGATTTTGAACCTTATGTTTAGATCTTTCCGTTCTTTCTAGTAACTAAATAATGTAATTATAAGTAATATTCTCTCCTCGTTTAGGGGAATAAGAAAATGTATAATTGACAGACTTCAGAGATAAACTTAGTTTAGAATTCATACATTTTCCTTCTATTGTTGTATACTTCTTCATCTAATGATTACATAGTAAGCACTTAGGCAAATAATGAGATTAATAACAGAAGAGTGAGATTCTCCAAACAAGCAATACAAGCCTATTTCTTTCATATTTACTGTTGAAGAAATATAGTAGAAAAATATAAAAATCATCCTAATTGCTCACAGTTTACGTGTCTTTTCCTGGATTCTAAATAGACACTGGTAACTTGTTTTGGGGGAGTCTTAAAACTTGACAAGGCAGTACTTTCTGATTAGGCCAAGCACCTTTTGTATTCTGCTTAAAAGTAATATTCAAGCCATACTTAGCTGTTCTATGACGGCTTTTGGCCCTCTACCTGACAGTTAAAACCTGAAACATCTTAGTGGTTCTGTGCATCTAAACTCTCAGGCTGGCTTGTGCTGGGGCAAACTAAGAAGTTAGGGAGTTCCTGGCCAACAATTTTACCTTGGCAGGAAATTACCACATCATTCTACTCCATCCGGGAGAGAAGTTATGATAAGAATTATAGTGTGATTGACAAAGTTAATGACAAAAATTTATTCACAGAATCTCTGAATTGTATTCCCCACAGTACCTCCTAAGTAAAGGTCCTTGCTTAGCAATTGTATTAGAACTTAAACAAAGGGACAAACTTCACTTTAAGTAGATCAAGATGATAGGGTTATGCAGCAAGATCTCCAACAAAAATGTCATTGGATTTGCATATGTTAATTCATTCTTCCGTAATGCAAACATGAAATTATATTTTTACAGAAAAGAATGTATTAGCCTTTTGGCAAACCTTACTTATAAACAATGGTCCCAAATTTACTAATATTCTCTCTTTACATAGAAAGAAGTCATTGCAATTGAGATTACTGAAAAAAATAGCAAATTACAATAAACCAGCACACATAGAAACAAATACATGCAACTATTCTGTAAAAGGTAAACAGAAAAATCTGTATAAGCATAATTTCTTTTATATGGCCTAAAACAAAATTATCATCCTTATACTCTATTAACTGCCTTGGGAATTCTAAAATCTAAAAAATTATGGTTAGTTTTGTGCAATAACATCTAGTCCTATGTTTTCTAGGAGAGGTTTAACATATACAAATAATAATAAAATTTATCTGCAGTTTTCAAGTATAATGAGTAAACTATTATTTTGTTTCGATTAGTTTCAGATTTTAAAAATCTGATTTAAAGAGGCAGACAATTATGGAAATAATCCAAGTTGACAGTATGTATTGTTTTACTTCTCGGAGATATATATTGAGTTCCAGCCACTGTAACTAAAAGTTTTCTTAGGCCTTTGCGTCATCATGTATTTCTATCTCAGACATTCTGAGGACAAACACCACTTTTTAGTGGTAGATATAAAAACTTTCAATTTACTATCTAAATATTTTTAACAGCCAAATTGAAAAGTAATTGGCAGTCTTATCAAATGTAAAATCCAGTCTTAGTTTTTCAAAGCTTCTTTTTTAGCTTTAAAATGGAGTTCCAAATGTTTAACCAGGATTTTTGGAAATACTTTAACATCAATAGTGAATAGAAAAGTAGTTCTGTGGGACTTTCAGAATATATTTTCTTAGTCATAACATTATAGAAATCAGTTTCTAAAAATTGGAATGAATATTTACAGTTAGGATTTATTTGATATTAGCATCATAACGAGAGCACAGCATTCCTGTGTTACCCTTCCCTAATATCTAAAATTCTATGAGATTCATGACTCAATTCATTGGGACCTTGAAGACATTTTGCTAATATCCTTATTTTAAATAAATTAATTTTACTACACTTCCAATTCATAAAATTAGAATGTAGGATCACTCTATAAGATATTCGACTTATTTTAATACAATTGGATTATGACATTACATTTTAACTTGTTCAGTGAATCCCTGTTGCTTTTAAGATAGAAAGCCATGCATGCATATACATGTGTCTTTTGGAGTTTTTGGTTTTAAGCATCAAAACAACTCTGTCTATGTTAGGTAAGAAAAGACAAACTTACTTGAGGGCCCAAACTAATAATGGGTAGCTAATAAAGAAGGCACACAGGTATAGGGCAAGTCTGGTAGTATAAAAATCAAAAAAGCACAGAAATCATGCTTTATGTTTGACAATCTAGAAAGACAGCATAGCTTATCAATTAATAGTCTAAGCTCTAAAGCCAGTGTGACTGGGTTTGAATCTTGGGTCTGCTGCTTACTCTTATGTTACTTTGTATAAGGTACTTAACCTTTCTGTGGCTTTGTATAAGGTACTTAACCTTTCCGTGGCTTAGTTTCCTCATCTATACTATGGGAATAATAACAGTATTTACCTCATAAAGGTTTGTGTTGGGCAGGTTAGGTTAGGGAAGGCTACTTTTTGGTAACGACTCTTCAAAATCTCAACAATTTTTAAATAAAGGTATATTTTATACTCATGGTACATATTTATTATGGGTTGGCAGGTAACAGCTCCTTGTCTTGTCATTCTCATTTCTATGACCAGGCTAAAGAAGGAACTACTGTCACTTAACTCATTGGCCAAAACTGGTTATTTGGTTTCACTCAACCAGAAGGCTATCAGGGAGTACAACTGTACCATGAGTTCAGAGTATTTGATGAAGAGTGTCAACGACTAATAAACATTTCCTAGTAAGTGAATATTTGTAAAACACTTAGATCTGGACCTGAAGCATAGTAAGAATTATAAGTGTTCTTACTAAATAAACAAACAGCTAAAGCATTTCTGTCTCTGGATTTAGTTACAGCTAATTTTAATGATTCCAACCATCTTAATGTGTTTACATCATTTGCTTCAGATTCAGATTCAACACCCAGGGCTCTGCTTTACATACTTGCACACAGCTTTGCTGCCATTAGGTGCAATTGCTCTCAGTTTCCATAGAAGAAAATAGAACAAATATTGTCCATGTTATTCCCTCTTTTACCAATGGAAAGAAGAAGGATTTAATATTGATGGTACCTCAAACGATCAAATATTCATGCAATTACTCCTTGGCTGTCTGGTTTCCACATATATTCTTGTGTCTATACCTACCTTTCTAAAAATAATATTCTTAATAAGAAAACTAACCCTAAACTGCAAACATGTTCAATTCCCTCCAGAAAAGCAATCAAGTTCTGGGAGGATTTCTCTACTTTTTTGACCTTCAGGTCTTCCCTGTTCCACCTCAGGCATATGGCTAATAATTGGAGGAGCTACTTATCCAAGGTATGGTCAGCTAAAAAATCATGAAGTCCGGATTTGAACCCAAACAATCTTTTCTCTAGAGATCACACTCTTCACCAGCCCTGTGCTGCCTCTATCCTACTCAGCTGCTTTAGTCAGAAACTTGAGAGTCATCCTGGATGCTTCCCTGTTCCTCAAAGCCCACATGTACTTGGTCATATGTTCTTGTCAATTATACCTCCTAAAGTTTTCCCAAATCCATGACTCACTATTCCCTCTTCCACTTCATTTCAAGCCTTATCCTTTCTCTGCTGGATTTACAAGTGGACGTCTCTTCATTTATGCATCAATGTCACTTATCATTGTGCCTGGTACATGGAGAAAATGGATGTGTGCCTTCAAATGCTTTGAAAATGATCTCTCTAATCCAAGTATTGTTTCATCTCCAGTATACCTTCTAGTTGCTATTAGAATAATTTTCTATAACACAAATCTGTTATGCATTGTTCTATAGAATATCATACAAGTTCTTAGTTATCAAACTTCTGCCACTCTACTTTACCAGAGTAATATTTTACTAATTTTTTCTCAATTCAGTCCACTTCCTACAAGCTCCTCAAATGCTATTTGAGGACCTGATATAAAATCGTTCTGTTGTCCTGCTTTTCTATTTGTATTTTCTTTATGTGAAACATCATTGACTACTCTTATGTGAACTTAAGGCTCTATAAGTGAGTCTAACACTAGTGACCACTATAGAACATTTACTATGAACCCAGGCCCTTGATCTATATTTTAAATCTGTGCATGTTTGTCCCAAGGTGAGAATAAATATTTGCAGAATGAATAAATGAATTAATGTATAATATCTACCTTCCAAAGTAGCTATTTTTGATTTTTAGATATATTTAAGATATTCTATGACATTTTTCTAGCATTTCCACACACTTGTGGATAATAAAAGAAAAAGGAAATAGGATTTGAACCCTACTTTATCTAACTTCATTTATCTTTTTACATGAAATCAATCTCTATATTAATTTTAGTTTTTGAATGTTTTGCTTTTCTATAATTGGTGAATGGCAAATTATTCAATCTTTTAACTCAGCAAATACAGTGGTGCAGCATTTATAATTGAGGATACTGGTGAGATAAAGAGTACATACTGGTCCATACTATATTATTTTAGTACAAATTGAAAAAGGACAGGAACTGTGTGTCTTTATCTCACCAGTATGTACTCAGACCTAGAGCTGTGCCTGACCCAAAGGAAATGCTTGATGAATATTTGTTGGACAAATAAACAAAGGTGAGAATTAATTATGTAAAAATATAAAATTGTGGAGGGAATTTGCCTGCATTTACATGAATATAAGTAAATTTTTCTGTCCCAGAAGCACTGAAGAAAGGAAAACTGCCTTAAGCTGGTGTAGGAGCAGGATGATAGTTATAATCGAGAATAGGAAATGTGGCAATTGTTTCATAGTGTTTTGAAGCTTTATGCCAGCTTTAGAATCAAAGTCCTCTCACTTATCTACCACTCTATTGCTACTATATTTTTAGGTTTAAGTTAAATAATGAATGAAAATAGGCCCAATATTTCAACATTACATTTCCTTCTTTAGTTCTTTCCCTTAGGAAATTCCTCCAAAAATATCAATTTTGGTATGTAATATGTTGTGGGAAAATGTAGTCTTTTTCATTTGAACTACATAATATCTATGCATTTACCAGTCTCAGTTGTAGAAGTACATTTCTTTGATTTTTGTTAGAGTTAGTTTAATTATTAGACCAATCTAAATTTCATTTAAAACATGCCCTGAAGAAAATGTCAGAGAGCACTGCCTTTTAAGTATTAAATTTTATAGGAGACTTTTCAATATGTTTTTCAATTAACCATGGAGATGATGTCTAGGAAATATTTTTATAACGAATACAGGCTATAATACCTAAATTTTATTTGAATTCATTTTGTCCATTTATTCATCATTATTAATTCAGCACATGCTTATAGGGTGCCTGCTATGTGCCAGAAATAGTAGTGTCAGCACATAGTGTTTTAAAAATATAAAATATAAAAAGTGATTTAAATAAATTGGTATATCATATAGTTACCCAATTACTGTCACTTTAATTTCTACAGAAAGAATAAGTTAACTCTGATATGTAATGAAAATCATCCATATGAACCTTAATATTTATTTCAGAATATGCTTTTCACTTTTTCAGTTTGCTGGAGTTTTGTACATTTAAGCCTCGCTCAACTCCTCGGAAACTGTCAGAAGTATAATCATAGCATTTTAAAGCTGTAGCTAATCTTAGAAATAATCCAGTCAGAAAATTGCTCAAAATGCAATTTTACAGAAGTTTAATAGTTTGTCTATTTACTCATTTGTTAAAGGCAGAGGTATCGAGGGCGCAAGCATGATGATTCTTTGTTCATCTTTTTTATGACACTATGCCATATGTATTTTTCCCCAGAAGAACTCAGCTTTTTCACTTAACAGTTCAAATGTTAAAATACAAACTGGAATGAATTTCTATACCAGAAACTGCCATTTACTGAAATCTATTTGCTCTTTTTTTGGGGGTGGGGGGCCACACAATTTGACTACAAGTCCCAGGCTTCCTTGCAGTTAAACGTAAACATGTCTCTGAGACCTAGCCAGTGCAATGCAGTGGAAGTGCTACATGTCGTATCTGGGACAAGGGTTAAAAAGATGGGTGGGGCTGCTCCACCCTTTCTCTCCCGTTCAAGTGACTGGATGATGGAAATGACAGTAAGGCTCTCCCGTAAAGTAGAATGAAGACGGAAGAATCCTGAGTCTCCTAATTACTTCAAGATTGGCATTAGCTGCTTAAACTGAAAAGTGAGCAAGAAATAAACCTTCTTGAGCTTGAGTTATTAAAATTTTGTTCATGGATTTGTGTCTGTAACTTTGTGTTATATCTCATTTGAATTCTAATTCACTCCTTGGAATATGTAAGCACCCAAATTGACTATTCCAGTAAAAATCCATGCAGGTGCTTTTACAGAGAGAGGCTAGGTGAGAGAGAATACTCTTGTCTTCATATAAAAATTGAGGATTTAAGGGTAATTTAAAATATAGATTTGGTTATATTGACACATATTTACTATGTCATGACTAATTGATAACTAAAAATTTTTAAAGCTTTACTTCTGTGTAAGAAGTACCAGTGTAGGGTGCTGTTAGTAGGAAAGTAAATTAGTACAGCCATTATGAAAAACATTATGGTGGTTTCTCAGATAGAACTACCATACTTTCCAGCAATCTCACTACTAGATATTTACCGAAACGAAATGAAATCAGAATAAAATCCTGTCATTTGGAGCAGTATGAATAGAGCTGGAAGTCATTATATTAGGTGAAATAAGCCAGGCAGACACGAAATAAGACAGAAAGATTAATATTACATGTTCTCACTCATAATGGGAATCAAAAAATTGATCCCATGGAGGTTGAGAGTAGAATGATGGTTACCAGAAGCTGGGAAACGCTGGGGGGAGGAAAAAAAGAGAGGTTGGTTAATGGGTACAGACGTACACTTAGATAGTAGAAATAAGTTCTAGCATTGATAGCACAGTAGGGTGACTATAGTTAGCAACACTATACTGTATATTTTGAAATAGCTAGAACAGATGATTAGCAATGTCCCAAACACATAAAAAAAGATAAATGTTTGAGGTGATGTATATCCTAAATACTTTGATTGGATCATTATACATTGTATTCAGGTCTCAAAATATCACTTGCATCCCATAAATATATACAATTATGTATCAGCATTTTTTTTAAAAAGTCAGTGTAGGTTTGTCATCTGCAAACAGGAATAGTTTGATTTCATCTCTTCCTATTTGGATGCACTTTATTTCTTTGGCTTGCCTGATTGCTGTGGCCAGGACTTGCAATACTACGTTGAATAGAAGTGCTGAGAGAGGGCATCTTTGTCTTGTGAAGGTTTTCAAAGGCAATGCTTCCAGTTTTTGCCCATTCAGTATGATGTTGGGTGTCAACTGTCATAGATGGTGCTTATTATTTTAAAATTGGTTCTTTCAGTATCTAGTTTACCGAGGGTTTTTAAGATGAAAGGATGTTGAGTTTTATAAAAAGCCTTTTCTGCATCTATTGAGATAATCATGTGGTTTTGTCTTTAGCTTTGTTTCTGTGATGAATCATATCTATTGATTTGTGTATGTCAAACCAACCTTACATCCCAGGAATAAAGCCTACTTAATCGTGGTGGTTAAACTTTTTTGTTGCTGTTGTTGAGACGAGTTTCGCTCTTGTTGCCCAGGCTGGAGTGCATTGGTAGCGCGATCTCGGCTCACTGCAACCTCCGCCTCCCAGGTTCAAGCAATTCTTCTGCCTCAGCCTCCCAAGTAGCTGGGATTACAGGTGCACACCACCACATCAGGCTAATTTTTGTATTTTTGGTAGAGATGGGGTTTCACCACGTTGGCCAGGCTGGTCTCAAACTCCTGACCTCAGGTGATCTGCCCGCCTCTGCCTCCCACGGTGCTGAGATTACAGGTACTAGCCACCGCTCCAGGCAGGATAAGCTTTTCAATGTGCTGCTGGATTTGGTTTGGTAGTATTTTGCTGAATATTTTTGCATCAATATTCATCAAGGATATTGTCTGGTTTTAAATAAATAACCTACGTTAAAAACTTAGAAAAACCTCAAAGTTTTCTTTCTTTCTTGTGACTCTGCTAGGTTTTGGTAACAGGAGGATGCTGGCCTCATAGAATGTGTTGGGGAGGAGTCCCTTGTCCTCAATTTTTTTGGAATAGATTTAGTAGAAATGTTACCAGCTCTTACATCTGGTAGAATTTAACTTTGAATACATCTGGTCGAATTTGACTTTGAGTCCATCTGGTCCTGAGCTTTTATTGGTTGGCAGGCTATATATTAATGATTCAATTTTGGAGCTTGTTATTGGTCTGTTCAGGGAACTAATTTCTTCTTGGTTCACTTCTGGAAGGGTGTATGTGTCTGGAAATTTATCCATTTCTTTTATATTTTCTAGTTTGTGTGCATAGAGGTGTTTGTAGTAGGCTCCAATGGTTATTTATGTTTCTGTGGGGTGAGTGGTAATGTTCTCTTTCTCATTTCTATTTGTGTTTATTTGGATTTTCTCTCTCTTTTTTGTTTTTTGTTTTTTTTCAGATGGAGTCTGGCTTTGTTACCCAGGCTGGAGTGCAGTGGTGTGATCTCAGCTCACTGCAACCTCCACCTCCCGGGTTCAAGCAATTCTCCTGCCTCAGCCTCCAGAGTAGCTGGGATTACAGGTGTGCGCCACCACACCTGGCTAATTTTTCGTATTTTATTTCAGTAGAGATGGGGTTTCACCGTGTTAGCCAGGCTGGTCTCAATCTCCTGACCTCATGACCTTGTTTTTTTGTGTGTGCGTGTGTGTTCATCGAGGATATATTAAAACAAAAGAAAAAAAACAAAAAAAAATGGATTTGTTGCTCTTTTGAATGGTTTTTCATGTCTCAATCTCCTTCATTTCTCCTCTGATTTTGGTATTTATTGTCTTCTGTTGCTTTGGAGTTGGTTTGCTCTTGCTTCTCTAGTTCTTTTAGCTGTGATATTAGGTTGTTAATTTGAGGTTTTTCTAACTTTTTGATTTAGGTATTTAGTGCTATAAATTTTCCTCTTAACACTACCTTAGCTGTGTCCCAGAGATTCTGGTATGTTGTATCTTTGTTCTCACTGGTTTCAAAGAACTTCTTGATTTCTGTCTTAATTTCATTATTTACCTAAAAGTTATTCAGGAGCAGCCTGTTTAATTTCCATGTAATTGCATGGTTTTGAATGATATTTTTTTTAGTTGTGATGTTTATTTTTATTGCACTGTGGTTTGACAGTGTGTTTGGTATGATATAAATTCTTTTTCATTTGCTGAGGATTGTTTTATGTCGAAATGTGTGGTTGATTTAGAGTATATGCCATGTGGCAATGAGAAGACTGTGTATTCTATTGTTTTGGGGCGGACAGTTCTGTAGAGGTTTATCAGATCCATTTGGCTTAATTTTGGGTCCAGGTCCTGAATATCTTGGTACATTAACATTTCTTTAGATGCATGTTTGAGGTCCTTCATTATGATACTTTCTAGTTTTTAATATAAATATTTAATGCTATAAGTTTTCCACAAAGTACTTGTGATTTTCCTACATTCTGCAGCTTTTATAAGTTCTACTATGACAATTATTATTTCCTAGGAATTCATAATCAGCTTAATTGACGTATATTTCACATAGTAAATTTCATCAATGTAAAGTGAATTGTATTGTGAATTTTGAGAGACAAATGTACAAATCCATATAACTACCATGGCATTCAAGATACAGAATATTTCCATCACCCTAAAAAGTAACCTCATACCCTCTTGCAGTAGATCCCCTCCATATACCCATTTCAACACTAATAACTATTGATTGTTAATTTTTCCTTTATTCAAATTTTATATAAGTGGGATTATATGGTACATGAATTTCTTTTTGTTTGTTTTTGCCTTCTTTTACTTAGCATAATGCTTTTGTTGTGAGTAAGCACAGTTGTTTGTTTTGTAGGTTTATGCCACAATTTGTTTATCCTTTTATTTGTAGATAGGCATTTGGGTTTAGAGCTTATGGTCATTATGAAAAAGTCTTTGTTAACATTCATGTATACATCTTTGACTCGACATATATTTTCATTTATGTTGGTGTGTACCTTGGAGTGAGATTGCTGGGTTGTGTGGTAAGTGTCCATGTGCCTTTAGAAGAAACGATCAAAGTATATTATAATGTGGAATTCATACCAGCAATATATGAGAATTCCCATTTTTTACATTCTTTCCAACATTTGTCATTGCCAATCTCTTTAAACCATTCTAGTTTATAGTAGTATCTCCTTGTAGTTTAATTTAGATTTCCCAAATGATTAATTATATTGAATACGTTTTAATGTACTAATTGGGCATTTGTATAAGTTCTTTTCTAAAACATCTGTTCAGAACTATTTCTATTGTAACTAGACTGGTTCTTTTGTTATTAAGCTGTAAGAGTTCTTTAGTCTATGTTAAAATATGTATTACATATACTTTTTAAAGTATTTTTCCCCAGTTTATAGATTGCTTTTTCACATGTGACATTGAGCACTTATAAGTTTAGTAGTTTAAATTTAAATAGACTTGAATAGATGATGACTACCATATTGGAAAGTGCAGAAAAATTATATTTAATGTAGCCTGTAAGTTTGTAAATAATGTTTTCATTTTTATTCAGTTTCAGGGTTGCTTAATTTCTACAACCTCCTTTTTGAAGAATTAATTACTTATCAATATATTTTCCTTTTAATCTCCAAAATGTGAAAATTTTAATTTATATTTTCACTATGAACTTCTATCATAATTGTCAATAAGGTGAAGTCACAGTCTTTATGTTTTGTATTTTTTGAAAAATTTTTTGAATTTGTATGGCCTTTTTTAAGGCCTAGTATTTGATATGTTTTTATTAATGTTTAATGAGTGTTTGAATAAGTGCTATTCTCTCTCTATATATATGTATATACACACACACCTATATAAATACACATATATAGGTATGTGTGTATATATAAACATGGAAGTATGTATATATACTCCCATAGGTATATATATTCTCCCTCAATGAGATCAAGACTTAATTGTGTTATTAGGTGGTAGCTTTTCCATATTTTTGTCTTTTCCCCATAATCTATCAATAATTGAGAGTGATATTGAAATCTTGAGGTATGATGGTAAAATACTCAAATTCTTTCTTTAGATGTATCAATAATATTTACTTTATATGAAACTTTAAATTTCTTACATGTTTATAATTGATCTAATATCTCCTTATGAATTGAACATATTCCTTGTTGTCATCTAGACGTCCAGATCTCTTTCTTTTCTTAATGCGATCTGCTGTTATTTGCCTTTAATTTCTGAGTTACTCCAATGATGCTTTTTATAATCATTGGTTTACTTGAATATTTTCCCTAATTCATTATTTCAAATTGTACCACCTTTTCTGTATTATTCCTTCATTTTATCTTATTTTAAAAATAATATCTACTGCTTCTACCTGCCATAAGAATTTTAGCATACTCTGATTTATTGGTCTCCTCATCCACTCCAACCTCACTCTTACTCTTGTAAATTTTTACGACAACAAAACTTGCAATGCTATTTGATCACTTGCTTTTATTTTTATCTTGCAGCATCTCCTGGATTTTTTCTCTTCAAGTAGTTTATATAATTTTTTTTTTAAATTTATCATGACACTGTAGTTGAATTACACAATGACTGGTATTACATCTGAAATTCCAAATAACATCCTTCTTAGAAAATGTGACTCTATTGCCACTTTGCATCAAATGTTAAAAATTCGGATAAACCAATTTTTCTTCTTTATTTTTTTTTTGTCTGTATCCTTAATTTTATCTTTGTGTGTGAAATCTTAAAACTTACCAAAATGTTTCCAAGTATTGTATTTTGTTTTTGTGGGGTTTTCCTTATAATTTTTGGTTAAGCAATTTGAACCTGAGGTTCAATTTTTTATAAGGAATTTGAACCTGAGTTTCTCCCATAACTTTTTAGTATAAAAAATGTTTAAAGTTGTAAGAATAATATAGAAACATCTATTTACCCTTTACCTAGATTCAATAACTAAACCAAAATTGTGTTTTCTGTCTTGCCTACATATACTTGTATTATTTAAATGTAAGTTGTAAATATCATAATAGTCACACTTCTTGGTTCCAATTAATGTAGTATTATAATAAATTGCCCTTTGTTTCCTATAAACTGGATATTATATGCCTGCAGACTTGATCAGATTTAAATTGAGCATTCTTGGAACAAATACTTTGTAGTTGATAATATATACTTCAGAAAATGTCACAACAGGAAACATATATCAGCTTGCTCCATTATTAGTGATGCTAAGCTTAGTGACTTAAAGATCGTGATTGACAAATGTCTGTATTGTAAAGGACTGTTCTCTCTTTTGCAATACATATTTTGGGTAACACTTTTGTACTTGGTGAATATCTTTTCCCAATATCATTTCACCTAATGGTCTTATGGTTTTAGTAGCTTTTGGTGATCCCTGCCTGGGGAATGTTAGAATATGATTCTTTTCTCTTTCTCTCTCTCTCTCTCTCTCTGTCTCTGTCTCTCTCTTTCTCTCTCTCTCTCACACACACACCACAAAGTCCATATTTAAATACTTAATACATACCAATTACAATATTACTTTCCTTCTTTTAAGCTAAACTTGTTCCAAATTTGGTTAAATTTTCTTCATACAACTAGCTTTTGTGTACATTAATATTTGATATCTTCCCTACTTTCTGGCTCAGAATATCTCATACTTCTCATACTCTGGCTGAGAATATCTCATACTCATACCTCTCCAGACTCAGAATTAGCCATTTCTTCAAGCTTTCCTTATTCCTTCTGTTGTGAGTGATATTCAGAAGATTTTCACTAGTTAGGCTCATTGTTAGTAATGTGGCTTTATTTCTAGGTGCTTCCATTAGAATTTTTCCTTGAAAAATAATTTTTTTTGAAATTTCTCCTATCATGTTTTGGTGGGATGATGCTTGTCCACCAGTAAATATTTCAGGTTGGCTCATAAGTAAAATAGCTTCTCTACAAATTTTTAAAAATTTTATTATACCTTAAGTTCTGGGATACTTGTGCAGAATGCGCATGTTTGTTACATAGGTAAACGTGTGCCATGGTGGTTTGCTGCACAGATCAACCCATCACCTAGGTATTAAGCCCCTCATGCATTAGCTATGTATCCTGATGCCCTTCCTCCCCCGCCCCCCATGACAGGCCCCAGTGTGTGTTTTTCCCCTCCCTGTGTCCATGTGTTCTTATTGCTCAGCTCCCACTTGTGAGAACGTTAACCATTGTATTTTTTATTTTCTCTTTGTCCCCTATGTTTATTTATTCTTCTACTAAAATAGTTTCTGTATTTTTTAATGTTTAAGTCAGTTTTTATTAGCTCTGATACTCGAAAATCAATTTATCCAAAAGAAAATGCTTTGCTTAGACTATTTTTTCCCAGTAACTTAAAAATATTGCTCCACACAATATTGGAAATTTTGATGCCAATTATTTTTCTTTAAAAAATGATTTGGTTGGCCTTTGTGTTTTTTGTTGTTATTTTTGTTCATTTTTTGTATAGAAGAACAGATTTTCTAAAAATTCTACTGTGATATGTTTTGGACTTGACCCTTCCGGGTTAATTTTTCTAATTACAAAGATGGACCTCTTTAGTGGAAAAATTAGGTGCTTTTTTTTGTTGTTGTTGTTGTTTTTGAGACAGTCTCGCTCTCTTGCCCAGGCTGGAGTGCAGTGGAGCGATCTCGGCTCACTGCAAGCTCCGCCTCCCGGGTTCACGCCATTCTCCTGCCTCAGCCTCCTGAGTAGCTGGGACTACAGGCGCCCACCACCACGACGGGCTAATTTTTTGTATTTTTAGTAGAGACGGGGTTTCACCATTTCAGAACATTTAAAAACGTTTAGCTTTTTTGTACTATTTTGTTTTATTTTTACATATTCAAATTCCAATTATAGGTATGTTAGATCTCCCGTGCCTGCCTTCCAGATCTATATCTTTTATTCATATTTTAATCTATATTTTCAAATTTTATTTTTGCTGTTTTTTGCATGTATCATCTCTATCACTGTACATTCAATCATGTTGATTCTCCCATGACCATTTATTATTTTAATATTCACTTCAGATTTGACTTTTTATTTTTCTTCAATTAATCTGGTAAATAATGTATTTTTCATTTCTACTTTCAGAATTTCTACTTAAAATTCAGTAGTTTGAATTTCTACTTCATTGTGGTGTATCTTATCTCTAACAATTGATTCAATTAAGTTTAATTTATGTTGATGTTGTGTATCAGTTTTCCTCTGATTCATGGTTGGCATGTTTTGGGAGTGTTGCTTCAGCTAAAAAGTTTTGATTCCTACTATATCTTTTCTTCTCATAACAGCTTTCTATGAATAATGTGCTCCTTTTACTGTTGCTGATAAACTTTATAACATTCCCCTGGAGCAGCAATTATAGATAATTCTACAGAGGGAAGATAAAAATGTTTGGGTGGCCAGACGAGGTGGCTCACGCCTTTAATCCCAGTACTGTGGGAGGCCAAGGACGGAGGATTGCCTGAGGTCAGGAGTTTGAGACCAGTCTGGCCAACATGGTGAAACCGGTCTCTACTAAAAATACAAAAAAATTAGCTGGGCATGGTGGCGTGCTCCTGTAATTCCAGCTACTTGGGAGGCTGAGGCAGGGGAATTGGCTGAACCAGGGAGGTAGAGGTGGCAGTGATCTGAGATCACAGCACTGCACTCCAGCCTGGGTGACAGAGCAAGACTCCATCTCAAAACAAACAAACAAACAAACAAAAAAGTGTTTGGGTTATTTTGTCTATTAGTTCAAGATTAGCTTCTTCACAGTAAGAACAGTTTGTTTAAGCAGTTGTGTTGGGAGAAGTTTGGTTTTATTTTATTTTATTTTACCCAGTAAACGTATTTATTTGCCTGTGAGTATATCAGCTATTTGCAGACAATTTGGAAAGACCAGGATGGCTCTGAAGAGCTGAAATGAGCTCTAGGATGAATATTTGGAGTTACCAGAAAACCACAGGAATTCCCTTTTCACTTCCTAAAATCAGAAAAGGTTTTGCCTTCACCCCCACCCCTACCAAAGACCATTAGGAGGAGAGCCTTTTTAGAATATAATTCATCAGTCCAGAAAGTTTAGAAAAAAAGTGGTGTGAAAACACTGCCTAAATTTAGTTATTTTCACCTGTTTTACTCAAATTCTCAAATGCATACGGCTCCACATTTTACTCCTGATAAACTCCTGACTGGTGCTCTAAATCATGGCCGGTGTGGGGGCACACATTTGTTCTCTCCAAGGCAATGGCAGAAACTTAATCCCAAGAGTTATTTTCTACTTTACCTTTCTACAACATTGCCATGCCCCATGCTAAAAATTTTATTCTCTGCCCTTCCTCCCCATCCCCTGACACGAAACACATACACTAGTTCAAAACAGAACCCCATAAGCTTTGTGAGGTTTTCTCTATTTTGAGTGTTTTCCATTTTTCATACAACATTGATCTTGTGGGAGGGAGTCAGCCAATGTTCCAGCACTAAAATGTTGTTCTTACAAAATGAAGACTTTAAGTCCCAGTAACTTTTATGAAGGACTATTACAACTAGAATAATTCTTAAGTCTTTGTGAAAATAAGTTATTAGGAATTGTTTCAGTAGAAAGTAATTCATGATAGAGGAGATTTTTATAAATTCTGTAATTTCATCTTGGTGATAATTTCAGATTTTTAAAAAGTTGCTTATTTTACCAACATATTTGCTTTACTAAACAATCTTAACAACTATACTATAAATTGTACTTTTCTTTAAAAGAATAAATTATGGACTGAAGTTTTAAAGGTACAATTAGAGGCAGGAAAAAACAATGCTTTCCAGAAGATTTGCAATTAGTAAATTCTGTTTTCACTGAGACACAAAATGAATTTGAAAGCAACTGAATTTACTTTTTACATAAATCTTGTGTAACAAGAGATATTAAATTTGGATCAAAATTTTAGGCAGGAATATATCAGTCAACAGAGAAACCAAAAAGACATATTAAAACCAGATAACTATTGAACCTCACATTTTTTCAAGGCTTACGTTGAAATTCAAGTTTTGCAATCCTTAATTTGTTTTGGATGCTATTTGAAAGGCCTAAATTACTTGTTTTTAAAATGAAAACACTTAGAGATATAAATCTAAGAAAGGATGACAGTAATTTAATATATGCAAATATACATCATTTTCCTCTTAAATGTATGCTGAATGAGAAAATACTATTAGAGTGGTAAATTGAGAGACAAGGATCTGGCATAAAACAGACTAGAAAATTTACCCAACAATAGGAATCTCTACATACATAACAGAGATAAAGCCATCTCTAATCCTCCTGGGTAGAATTCTTGAGTGGAAGATTTCACCTTAAAAGAAACAACAACAACAAAAAAAGCTCTCTCTTAGAAAGCTTCTCAAGGTCAGTTTAAGATAAATTTTTATGGGTGAAACACAATATATTGAAGCTTTTCGATAAAGTACAGATTATTTTCTTATACACCCTATTCTGAAATAAAGAACCTTGATAAGTTAAAAGTCTGAAGCAGGTTAAGAACATTTATAGACCATAACACAATGTCTGTTCCCTCTTAGAGAGCCATATATCTCTATTTAATATCCCATTCTTTAAGGGCCTTAGGATTTCAGATAAATTTAAATAAAGCAGCCTTGATTTTTCAGGCAGAATTAGAGAATCTCTGATTTATGGGCCACTCAAACTTGTACCTGTAATAGTGTAATGACAAAGTAAGAGACGGTATTAGGTAAGTGTCAGCTAAGATTACCATTAAAACTCATGCTCAATTGGGTGTTATCCACGCAGTATGCTCCTTTGTAGCTTTGCTTTATCGACGTATCAAGTGGTGCTTATATTTTACAGAACCTTTCAGCATTTATTACTTTCAAAAAGCAAAAAAAAATATAAGAATCGAAGAGTTCTGTGAACTTATTTAAAATCCAAATTAAAGTTTAAAAGCTCAAACAAAAAATATTCTTCTCTCTCATACACTATCAACCCTGCAAAAAACAAAACAAAACAAAACAAAAACAAAAAACTTTTTTTCCGCTACTGGAGCGGGACATCAGGAACTCTAAAATAAAATTTTATTGACATTGCTCTTCATAATGAAATACTCCATAGTTGACTGACTAGATTTATTATTATTATTTTCTATTCAGTATATTTAATTTTAAGTTGAATACATAATTAAAAGAAGATGGAATAATTGATTTTTCCTCAATTTGTGATAGTATCTGAAGGACTCAGGTGTATTTTATATTCTGGTAGAGTAATAAAAGGAACATTAGTATCTCTGGGCATAAGATCAGACTGGAAATGGATGAAGTAAGGTAGTGACCCTAAAAAATTTAATGCTAAATTCTGTTCATTTAAAAAATAAATTTATTGTTCAAAATATATTTTGAGAAGTGATTAAGTGCATATTAATTATACAATTAATATACCTTCACTGTAGACATTTTGAAAAATACTGAAATATATGAGAAAGAAAAGAGAGATCTCTAGTCTCACCTTCTAGCTCCCAACATACTCAGTATATAAAAAAATGATTGTGGTGTATTAACCTCCAGCATTTTTCTCAGTGTATGTACACATTTCTACATAAAATTGGGATTATAGTTATGATTACACAAATTGTGTATCCCGCTTTAGGTCTTTTCAAATTATTTTATGAATATTTTCCCATGTTGTTAAATATTTTTCCATAGAGCTTTAATATCCACATAAGACTATAATATACCCATCGCATTATTTATTAAACTCTTTTTTACTTTAATAAACATGGCTTTACTCCTATACTACGTAAGGCACAATACAGTGGGCCACATGAGAATACCAACTAAGAAAGACATGGCTTTTTCTGGGGAGTTAGATAGCTGAACAAATAATATAAGGGAATAAGTTTTAAAAATACAAAAAATAGACACAGAAATTAAAGGTGGCACCAAAGAAATAAATTCAAATGTCCCAAATTAAATATATTAATATGCCCCTATTATATTTCACTGAGTTGAATTAAAATTTAACTTTTATAGTCTTTTTATATCCCAAGGTAAATGTCTCACTGAGTTTAAAACACATATTCATAGTTTCACTATTTCAATTTGTTAATATATTTTAATTCAGATGGTAACTCTTCCATATGGTTATGCAATCTGTGTGGCATTTCAGATGTGATGTGCAAATTAATGACTTTCATATTTTACTATGTGATGAGACATGAATAGAATAAAAATCTCTCTGTTCTTTCCCATTTTGTAGCTCTTATGGAAGGATAAAATATTAGAAAAAAATTAATAAATCCTTTTAACAATAAATTTCTGCCAATTAAGAGTACCCTTTCAGTTAAATAGCATAAGCAGACAGAAACAATAATTGAGCTAAATCATGCAAACTCACTGATAAAAATCATTTGCGATACAGCTGTATGTAATGGAAAAGAAACTATATGGTGCTGAATGACACCAGAAGAGAAGAAAACCTGTTTGTAAATTTTATTGAAAACGTCATTGGATTTCCTGAGGGTTTTTTTTTTTGTTTTTTTTTTTTTTTTTTAGTTCTTTAGGGTTGTCCAAACATTGTGTCACAAAAAGTAAAATAGTGTTCATAAGGCTTTAAAAACTTTATAGGAATACAGTAAATAAAATAAATATTTAATTTCCATTAACTATTGAAATACATTTTTCTTTAAACTTTCTTATTATTCTATCTTATACTCTTCATGTTAGCCAATGATATAACATCTACTTGTGATTTTTTAAAGATAAACATAAGGCCATTTCAAATTTTAAATATGCAGTTGGAAAGGATGAATAA
Source organism: Homo sapiens (assembly GCF_000001405.40). NCBI lineage: Eukaryota > Metazoa > Chordata > Mammalia > Primates > Hominidae > Homo > Homo sapiens. The sequence goes on along the minus strand of NC_000012.12, from coordinate 78,805,808 downwards.
GGTGGTTTAGCAATGTGTCTTCATCTACCAAGTGTTTGGGATTGTGCTAGACATGATGAGGGACTTCAGGGAGTACTACTCCTTTCTTTTAAAAGCACCTTATGGCTTACAAACTGCTTTACCAAATGAGAAAGCCAAGGCTCAGGAGAGCTACACATTTTTCAAATGAGACAGCTAGAATGTGTATTCCAGAGTATGAACGCTGCTCTGAATTCAACTCTGTGTTTATCATTACTGAGCTCACTGCTCAAGGCTCCTTGAATCAAATTGGAGAAACAGAAACCATGAATGCATGAGAGGAACACAGTATCAGAGCAGCAGATTTTAAGCATGATGAACTGTTTCTTTTATTATAGTCCTATTTCTACTAGAAGAAGAAATACATTTTCTGTTACCTTATAACTGAAAATGAAATTCCACTTGTTTAATGCATTTTTAATGACCTTATTCACCGTGATAACAATAGATAGTCTGCATGGAAAGTCAGTTAGTTAATCTGTTTTTGCTTATAAACTTACAGAAGTCCAGGATCCATCTATGTATTTTAGTCACTTTGTTCGTAAATGCATTTTGTCCTCATAACTCTCCCAAATGTATTCACTTTGAGCAGTGTTTCACAGTGATGATGGATTGAATCAAGTCCTTCTCACATATTTAATATATCTAAGTGGTGGTAGACATGTTAAAATTCATTATCAGATGTGAAATTGCACACAAATGAGGGGATGGAACTAAAATTTTCTCTATGAATAGCTGCATATGCAATGCGTAGTTATTGATGGATAACCTAGACATGCAGTACATGGATACCTATGGATAACCCAGGACATGCAGTGCATGGATATCTATGGCTCACCTGAATATGTGGTGCATGGATATCTACGGGTAACCTGGACATGCAGTGTATGGATATCTACGAATAACTTGGACATGCAGTGCATGGATATCTATGGCTCACCTGAATATGTGGTGCATGGATATCTACGGGTAACCTGGACATGCAGTGCATGGATATCTACGAGTAACTTGGACATGCAGTGCATGGATATCTATGGCTCACCTGAATATGTGGTGCATGGATATCTACCGGTAACCTGGACATGCAGTGCATGGATATCTACGAGTAACTTGGGCATGCAGTGCATGGATATCTATGGATAATCTGGACATGTGGTGCATGGACATCTACGGATAACCCGGACGTACGGTGCATGGACATCTACAGGTAACCCGGGCGTGCGGTGCTTGGACATCTACGGGTAACCCGGGCGTGCGGTGCTTGGACATCTACGGGTAACCCGGGCGTGCGGTGCGTGGGTATCTATGGGTAACCCGGACGTGCGATGCGTGGGTATCTACGGGTAACCCGGACGTGCGGTGCGTGGGTATCTACGGGTAACCCGGCCGTGCGGTGTGTGGATGTCTATGGCTCACCTGAACATCGGTGCGTGGATATCTATGGGTCGCCTGAACGTGCGGTGCGTGGATATCTATGGGTAACCCGGACGTGCTATGGGTAACCCGGATATGCTATGGGTAACCCGGATATGCAGTGCATGGATATCTATGGCTCACCTGAACGTGCGGTGCATGGATATCTATGGCTCACCTGGACATGCAGTGCATAGATATCTATGGCTCACCTGGACGTGCGGTGCTTGGATATCTATGGGTAACCTGGCCATGCGGTGCATGTATATCTATGGCTCACCTGGACATGCAGTGCATGGATATCTATGGCTCACTTGGACATGCAGTGCATGGATACCTATGGGTAACCCGGACATGCAGTGCATAGATATCTACGGCTCACCTGAACATGCTGTGCATGAATATCTATGGGTCACCTGGACATGCAGTGCATGGATATCTATGGATAAGCTGGACATGAGGTGCATGGATATCTATGGCTCACCTGAACATGCAGTGCATGCATATCTATGGCTCACCTGGACATGCAGTGCACGGATATCTATGGGTAACCCGGACATGCAGTGCATGGATACCTATGGGTAACCCGGACATGCAGTGCATAGATATCTACGGCTCACCTGAACATGCTGTGCATGAATATCTATGGGTCACCTGGACATACAGTGCATGGATATCTATGGATAAGCTGGACATGAGGTGCATGGATATCTATGGCTCACCTGAACATGCAGTGCATGGATATCTATGGCTCACCTGGACATACGGTGCATGGGTATCTATGGCTCACATGGACATGAGGTGCATGGGTATCTATGGGTAACCTGGACATGCGATGCATGTATATCTATGTCTCACCTAGACATGCAGTGCACGGATATCTATGGCTAACATGGACATGCGATGCATGGATACTATGGGTAACCGGGACATGCGGTGCATGGATATCTATGGCTCACCTTGATACACAGAACGTAAGCCAGTGACCCTGGCAGCAGCATCACAAAGTTCAACCTATGAAACTAACCAGCATCCACCGTAAACTACTAAGCCAATTAATTTAGAATATACTATTTTGAGTAGATTAGAAAGGATCTTTCTGGATCATTACAATAATGTTTTCCCATGGGAAAAATAAATGTTAAGTATTATAATACAGAGTCCAAGAAAAAAAAAAGAGTAATGTTTTATTTAAAGGAATAACTTAGTCATATGTTGAGTAAAGAAATGTTTGGTATTTTAGTTGTTTATTTGTTGCAGACCATTTGGAGTGTAGATTAACTGAAAATTCATTTTATACAGTCAACTTTTAAAGTACAATTAATAATTTATGTTTGAAAACATTCACTATACATGGAAAACAAATTAGCCGAAGAGCTCCCCAGCCCGCACTTCATCTGCTCAGTGAAGAGCCTGTTGGCATCAGTTCCTGTGGTTGGTTTGCAGAAGACCATCCTCCTAAATCCCAGCCATCACTGGATATCTTCCAGAATCAGCTTTCGTTTAAGCATGAAGGAGAATTAGTGCAGAGGTTCCCTTCAGCTCCAAAGCTCTAAGCTATTTAATCACTGCTTTGGCTCAGCCCAGGCCAATCAGTCCATCAGAGCAGTGACTCATTCCTGGGTGAGCTGAGTCTGGTGTGGACCTGGGTGGTATGAGAGCTTAATCATATTCCATCTTTTTCGCAGCAGGAACAATGGGTATATTTAGTCTTCTGTATTTCCTGATATCATATTTGATCTACTGACCAGAAGATGAAAAACTTCCAGTAAGAATTGCTGAATCATATAATACATAGACTTTCCTCTTCTCTGCATTTTTTACCTTCTCTACTGGAGGAAGGAAAGACCTCATCTCAAATGTCTCTGACATTTTTATTTTCATTTCAAGAAAATAAGATTTTTGGGGTGCTGGCTTGATTGTCCTTACATCTTAGATAGCTTTAATCTTCTTTTAAGCATGAACTGTTTAAACTTCCTGATTTTAGGTCAATACTACTGTTGATAATAGAGACCAGCTAGTTCAACCCATGTATTTGGTAGATACTCTGTTTCCTCAAGGTTTAATAATGTTGGTTCTTGGCTATCCTAAAACTTTGGGCATTGGCTATTAAGAGGTATTTAATAATTTCCCAAATGTAGCACAATGATATTTTATACTGACTTTGCAATCATTCTGATGTTCTCTAATGAGATTGCTATTTAATCTATAGTAATTTAAACTTTACCTTTGATTTGTAATAATAATAGCACCTCATGTCCCAGGCACTGTTCTTAACAACTTACTTATATTATTTAAATCCTCAGAAAAATTCCTATGGGATCAATTTTGGTCATCTACATTTTATAAGTCTTAAAATCAAGACTTTGTGACTTTATGATTTTTCCAGGCCCCCAAAACAACTAAATGATAGAAGAACATAGGGTGAAATTCAGGTAGGCCTGAATCAATATCCCTTGATCTTAACCAATAATATATATTATTTCACAAAATAACTTCCTGACTAAAGCTTAAAAAAGTATTTAGATAGTCTTTGAAATAGATAACTTCTTCGAAACTGAAATGTATTTTCTGTGAATCTCAAGTAATCCATTAAATTTTTAAAGGTTTAAATAAACTAGAAACTTTTACATAAAGAGACAGACCTTTAATTGAGTCATCTTTACCAGACTCTCTGATAATTTGATGGTGTTCAATACAGCTAAAAATGATAAGATATGCCAAAGATTTTTAGTTTGCATTTGGAATATTTTTCATCAAATGTGAGATTACAATTTTATAACATTACTGTAGTACTGGGATTCATTATCACACATTGTCAAATGGCAATCCTATTGAATATTTTATTCATGAGATTTTTTTCAACATAAATTTTCAAGATATTAAGCAATCTAATTATTTTCAAAAGTGGATACATACAGTAACAGTAACAGAAGGACAATTTTAGAATAAGCTATTTTCACATTAGCTCTGTAGCACAGAGTTTAGAACACATTTGAAACTTGAAAGTTGTAAAAAGCACTTATCAAAAGTAAAATAAGAGGGTATCTACATCTACACTTGGAGTGTAGATTCTGAAATGTACAAGTAATTCAACATTTTCTTGCATGCATAACTTTTAATTACATCAATTTTGCACTATGATTATTTTTCCATTATAAAGTGTCCTAAAAGAATTAGGAGTTAATTTAACTCGGCTACCTTTCTATGTTTATATTTACCTGTTCTCCTTCCTGTATAGTTGTTGCCCCTTCTTTTTGTACGCAAGCTTTCACATACACTAAAGTGGAAGAGAGATATAAAATTACTAGTGGTTCTGATTCATGGTATAAGCCATACACACAGAACTGGCTAAGCTACCACTACTGTGAATGTCTTCAGGAGTCAAAAGAAACTGGGCATTTAAAACTTCCACACCTTCCCATCTTGCATTATGTACAGACTGAGCTAAAGTAATGGGTGGTAATAGCAGGCTATCCTCTCAAGAATGTAGCTACAGTCAGAAACTATCACTGCTGTGGATAGATCACCCTCCTGTGTGGGAGGGTTCACAGGCTTTCACATGAACAATAATCTGTCTGATTGTGTGTAAGAAATACGAAGGGCAACCTTTCCACCCAGCCTTAAACAGTCTACCTTGGGAATTGTGTTTTTAAAGATAATTGCAGCAAGGTACAGAACTGGTGGTTAGGCTGAATTTGCAAGAGCAGCCAAAGGGGATTTAAACATCTGTGGTGTTGAAGAAAAGGGCATACTAATATATTGATAAAACAAAATTTTCAATGTTTACCAAACCAACCAGAAATATATTTGTATAATTGGGCTATTCATGTCATCCCAAAAAAATCATGCTACATTTCATATTCCCCCGACCCTCTTTGGAAGAGAAAAAAAAGCTGGAAACATAGCACTTAATTAACATAACCTATTATTTCATTTTAATTGTAATTTTGTGCTAGGAATAGGATTTTTAAAACTGTTACTTTGGAAAGTAGACTGTGATTTTCTCCTAAACCATTTGCTCATTCTTGTCATCATCCTTTATTATTCCAGTGCTTGAAATTCTGATACAAAGATGTATTTTTAAGTGTTCTTGTACTTGGGAAAATGTCGGCAGAGTCCCAGTGAATCTCTAAAAGCAGTGAAACTGCATTCATATTTTCTATTAGAATGATGTATGGAAGGAGACAGATGCTGATGTGGTCTAGAATCAAGGCAGCCAGGTGCTTAGTAAGGATTATGTTTGCTAATTTAAAAAGAGGGAGGGGAAGTTACACACATTATCAGTCTAAAAACAGGGACAGAAGCACCGTTGAATTCAAGCTGTGTCATTTATTCCGTCACTGTCATGCCTGTGCTACCTTCCCCTCCTCTTCTACTGTATTCTTCCATTTCTTCAGTTTCCACCCACATGAATTGTTGCTACCACCTATTCTCCTCCAAGGGAGTTAGGAGGGTGGACTGGCAGCTTTAGCTCCCTGGAGAGCTGGTGCAGCTAGAGCTCTGGAAATAAGCTCACTGTGAGTGCTGGATCCCTTCTGAGCACTGAGATTACACACTGTGCTAACATGTTTGCAGTTCCATATTTTAAGCTCTGTGTGATTACAAATGTTTAATAGGCTAGTAAGATCACCCATAGGAAAATGTTAGTAGAAACTATATTTCAGAACAATTTCCAAATGCTTTTCTTCCCCTGGCTCTAAAAATCAGGGCAGGATTGAGAGACTGTTCACTTGTAATAGGATAAAAGTAGAGGGCTGCTTACTTCAAAGGCTTTTGGATCAAGCTCTTAAGGAGAGCAATTAAAAATGTATCCATAGCAGGACACCAGGACACGGATGTACACTGATATACAAGGGGAATGACTTTATTTTCTTTTTTCAATAATCAGATATGAATGAAGCTCCCTGCGTCACGCTCTACCAGGATCTCTGAGAGGCATTCCTTCTGTTTCAAAGTGCCTTTACACCAACTTACAAAGTATGACAATAAAATAATAAAAAAAAATTAACAAATACCACAATGAGTGTTGACCTTCTTAGGAATTGCCCTGGGAGACTGTATGTTGATGATAATTATGTTACCATGGCTTAAAACATTTTATTGTGGCACTATTCACAATAGCAAAGACTTGGAACCAACCCAAATGTCCAACAACGATAGACTGGATTAAGAAAATGTTGCACATATACACCATGGAATACTATGCAGCCATAAAAAATGATGAGTTCATGTCCTTTGTAGGGACATGGATGAAGCTGGAAACCATCATTCCCAGCAAACTATCACAAGGACAAAAAACCAAACACCGCATGTTCTCACTCATAGGTGGGAATTGAACAATGAGAACACATGGACACAGGAAGGGGAACATCACACACCGGGGGCCTGTTGTGGGGTGGGGGGAGGGGGGAGAGATAGCATTAGGAGATATACCTAATGTTAAATGATTAGTTAATGGGTGCAGCACACCAACATGGCACATGTATACACATGTAACAAACCTGCACGTTGTGCACATGTACCCTAGAACTTGAAGTATAATTAAAAAAAAAAAAAAGAAAAGATTTCCACTTAAAAAAAAATTTTTGGAACTCCTCTTCTTGAATTGTGTTCAGAGAGCTGGTTTTACAAACCACCTAAGAAAATGAATTTCGTTACCTTGTAGTCACACCTCATCTTTTTCACTGCTGAGTGTATTCAGGATGAGTTTAAAAACTGAGATATTTCATAACCAGATTGAATTTGATGGAATAATATTTGTCATTGATGGTATTTACCAGTTTCTGACTTAAAAAAACTCTTAATTCAAGTATTCATGAATTGCTTATTGAATTTCAGCAAGTAGTTCATGAATTGTTCAGCATCTAGCAAGATTAATTAAATAATATCTACAATATTTCCATAGAAATGGGATTATTATAACTAATTTGCAGTATTTTCACATGGCAAATCAAAAGAAAATAATATTTTAAAAACTTATGAAGAAGCATGGTTCATGTGTTTTCAGAAGTTCTAGAGAATGAGACTGTCACCCTAGGGAGGAGACTGACACGGTAAATTCTATAAGCTTCAAGAGAAATGTAATGCAGAAAACAGAAAAGACAATGATTAAAAATAAAATAATAACTTTGTAGTTTTGACTATAATAACCAATGAGGGAAAATGAAATTCAATTTCTCAGTTGCATATGAGTAACTCAAACACAGCAACTATAAATACAGTCCTTAATTTAAAAAACAATTCAAACACCATATGTTTGGTTTGTTATTTTTCTCAATTTTGTTTCTTGCTTCTCAAATGTATATAGGCTTTTCTGAAAACTTTATGTTAATTGCTAAGTAACCAGTGAAGGCAACGGAACACAATTTTTAAAATCAAGTTTCACTGAAATGTCAATATAATGTAAAAGCTCTCCAAAATCAGTTTTGAGTTATTTAAAATTAATCTCTAACATACTATGGATCATCAGCTATTGTCAAATGAATAGCATTCTAATTACGCAAATCAATTTAATATAACTGAATAAAATTTTTGAAACACAAGTAATAGGTCATGAATAGGTTATATTGCAAATGTTCATTGACTATTATTGCAAAATGTAACTCACAGTACAGGCATGCCTCAAATATACTGTGGGTTCAGTTCCAGACCACTTCAATAAAGTGAGTCACAAATTTTTTGTTTTCCCAGTGCATATGAAAATGATGTTTACACTACAGTGTAGTCTAAGTGTGTAGTAGCATTATATATAAAAAATGGACATACCTTAATTTAAAAATACTTAATTTAAAAATACTAATTAAAAATACTTAATTTAAAAATATTTTAATTTAAAAATAATTTAAAAATACTAAGAAATGATAACAATCATCTAAGCCTTCAGCAAGTTGTAATCTTTTTGCTGGTAGAAGGTTTTGCCTTGAGGCTGATGGCTGCTGACAGATCACGATAGTGGTTGCAGAAGGCTGGGTTTCTTAAAATAAGACAACAGTGAAGTTTGCCACATCAATGGACTCCTCATTTCATGAAAATTTCTCTGTAGCATGCAATGATGTTTGGTGGCAGTTTACCCACAGCACAACTTCTTTCAACTTGGATTCAATCTTTTCAAACCCTGCCACTACTTTATCAACTAAATTTATGACTATTCTAAATACTTTGCTGTCATTTCATTCCTTTCTTTCTTTTCTTTCTTTCTTTTTTTTTAAATTGAGGCAGAGTCTCGCTCTGTTGCCCAGGCTGAAGTGGAGTGGCATGATCTCAGGTCACTGCAGCCTCCGCCTCCTGGGTTCAAGTCATTATCCCACCTCAGTTTCCTGAGTAGCTGGGATTACAGGCACACACCACCATGACTGGCTAATTTTTGTATTTTTAGTAGAGACAGGGTTTCACCATGTTGGCCAGGCTGGTCTATAACTCCTGACCTCAAGTGATCCACCTGCCACGGCCTCCCAAAGTGCTGGGAATACAGACATGAACCACCACGCCTGGCCTTTTTGTTGTCATTTCAACAATATTCACAACATCTTCACCAGAATTACATTCCGTCTCAAGAAACTACTTCCTTTGTTCATCCATAAGAAACAATGCTTCATTCATTCAAGTTTTATGAGATTGCAGCAATTAAGTAAAATCATGAACTCCTCCACTTCCAATTGTCTTGCTATAGCCACCACATCCACAATTACTTCCTTCACTGGAGTCTGAACTCCTCGTGGTCATCCCTGAGGGTTGGACTCAACTTCTTTCAAATTGCTGTTAATGTTAATATTTTTATTTCCTCCCATGAATCACAAATGCATTTAATGGCATCTAAAATTGTGAATCTTTTCTAGAAGTTTATCCATCTATTTTGTCCATATACATCCATAGTGATCTATGGCAGCTCTAGCCTTACAAAATCTATTTCTTGATCCACAGACTTCAGAATAGGTATTATGTTAGCAGGAATGGAAACAGTATTAACCTCATTGTACTTCTCCTTTAGAGTTCTTGGGTGACTAAGTGCATTCTCAATGAGCAGTAATATTTAGAAAGGAATCTTTTTTCTGAGCAGTGGGTCTCAACAGTGGGCTTAAAATATTCAGCAAGCTATGCTGTAAACAGATGTGTTGTCATCCAGGCTTTGTCATTCCATTTATAGAGCACAGGCAGAGTAGATTTAGAATAATTCTCAAGGGCCCTAAGATTTTTGGAATGCTTAATGAGTACTTGAGTACTGCCTTTAAATTTGAGTCATCAGCTGCATTAGCCTGTGGCAAGAGAGTCAGCCTGTTCTTTCACACTTTGAAACCAGGTATTGACTTCTTCTCTCTAGCTATTAAAGTCCTACCTGGCATTTTTTTCCAAAGTCTGTCTCATCTGCATTAAAAATCTATTGTTTAGTTACAGCCACTTTCATCAGTACTTTTAGGTAGATCTGGATAACTTGCTGCTGCTTCTCCATCAGCACTTGCCACTTTACCTTGTATTTGATGCTGTGGACATGGCTTCTTTTCTTAAACCTTATGAACCACCCTCTGCTAGCTTCAAACATTTTTTCTACAGGTTTTTCACCTCTCTCAGCCTTTATAAGATAGAAGAGAGTTGGGACCTTGCTCTAAATTCTGCTTTAGCAAGGGACTTTTGTACCTGCTTTCTTCCTTTATCCAGATCACTAAAAATATAAATAAATAAATAAATAAATAAATAAATAAATAAAACTTTCCCAGACAAACAGTAAGGTTGCTGCTTCTTTGCTTCTTTTTCTTTTCTTTTCTTTTTCTTTTTTTTTTGAGACGGAGTCTTGCTCTGTCACCCAGGCTGGAGTGCAGTGGCTCGATCTTGGCTCACTGCAAGCTCTGCCTCCCGGGTTCACGCCATTCTCCTGTCTCAGCCTCCTGAGTAGCTAGAACTACAGGTGCCCGCCACCATGCCCAGCTAATTTTTTGTATTTTTTAGTAGAGACGGGGTTTCACCATGTTAGCCAGGATGGTCTCGATCTCCTGACCTCGTGATCCGCCCACCTCGGCCTCCCAAAGTGCTGGGATTACAGGCGTGAGCCACCGCACCCGGCCCTTTTTTTTCCCCTTTAATTAATCATGGGTTCACTGGGGTAGCACTTTTAATTTCTTTCAATAATCTTTTCTCTGCATTTACAACTTGGCCAACTGTTTGGTGCAAGAGGCCTAGCTTTTGGCCTATCTTGGCTTTTGACATGCCTTCCTGATTAAGTTGAATCATGTCTAGCTTCTGATTTAAAGGAAGATGAATAACTCTTTCCTTCACTTGAACACTTAGAAGCACTTGAAGGATTATTGCTTGGCCTTTTCAATATATTGTTTTCTGTCGGGATAAGGACTGATATCTAACTGAGATGCAAAATTTTTAAGCACAGTTGAGCACAATGACTTAGGCGGTCTCATGCAAGGTATGCTCAGTTTCTGCAAAATAATAATAAAAAAGAATATTTTTCCATTTTACTTCCTTTCTCGGTAATCAACATAGCATCCTGATTTATAGGGGAAAAGATGTGGTCAAACCCACAGGTAACTGATACAGAAGTCATTTGCAAAAGCCTGCTGAAACCCAAGGCCTTTCCACCACCACCCCTGCTTCCCCAGAAGAGAATGCCATGGTTTGGTTGCTTATGTCCATTATCCCATTATTTTTGTTCAACTCTTGATTGTTGCTCTATGTTAGAGGATGTGTAATAAACGGTCTTGCTGCTTACTAAGATTTTTGCCTTGTAGGAGAAAAAAATAAGACAAGAGCCTAATTACTCTTTTTGTGTGATTCCAAATGCTCCAACAGGCTACTCTTGTATTTATCGTCCTTTCCATATCTCAGGATTCAACTTTTTAGGACCTTGCTATTCAAAGTGGGGTACATCAGCAGCAACATTGAGATCACCTGGCAGTTTGTTAGAAACAATGAATCTCAGATACACTTTAGACCCATGGAATAAACATCTGCGTTTAATAATATATCCTAGTGAATCTCATGCACGTCAATATTTGAAAAGCACTACATTAGGAGACAGAACTATCTGGGTATGAATTCTGGTATTACCTCTTAAAAGCTTTGTGACCTTGGCCGACTGAGGATCATATTCATCATAGGTGAAATAGAAATAATAAAGACTCCTCCTTCGACTGCTCCCAGTGCGGGGCCTCGCAGGCGACGTGGGCCGAGCACCCGCTGCTTCCGGAGCCCTCGGGGCGGCGGACTGGCTCACGGTGCAGATTCTTCCTAACCTGTTGGTGAGAACTACAACACAAGATGGCCGCAAATAAGCCCAAGGGTCAGAATAATTTGGCCTTACACAAAGTCATCACGGTGGGCAGTGCCGGTGTGGGCAAGGCAGCTCTGACTCTACAGTTCATGTACGATCAAAGAAGGCACCTATCGGAAGAGAGTAGTACTGGATGGCGAGGAAGTACAGATCGGTATCTTAGAAACAGCTGGGCAGGAGGACTATGCTGCAATTAGGGACAACTATTTCCGAAGCAGAGAGGGGTTTCTCTGTGTCTTCTCTATTACAGAAATGGAATCCTTTGCAGCTACAGCTGACTTCAGGGAGCAGATTTTAAGAGTAAAAGAAGATGAGAATGTTCCATTTCTACTGGTTGGTAACAAATCAGATTTAGAAGATAAAAGGCCGGTTTCTGTAAAAGAGGCAAAAAACAGAGCTGACCAGTGGAATGTTAACTATGTGGAAACATCTGCTAAAACACAGCTAATGTTGACAAGGTACTTTTTGATTTAATGAGAGAAATTCGAGCAAAAAAGATGGAAGACAGCAAAGAAAAGAATGGAAAAAAGAAGAGGAAAAGTTCAGCCAAGAGAATCAGAGAAAGGTGCTGCATTTTATAATCAAAGTCCAAATTCCTTTCTTATCTTGACCATACTAATAAATATAATTTATAAGCATTGCCATTGAAGGCTCAATTACTGAAATTACTTTAACATTTTGGAAATTGTTGTATATCACTAAAAGCATGAATTGGAACTGCAATAAAAGTCAAATTTACTTAAAAAAGAAATAAATGTGGCTTTACCAAGAGGCAAAGTTCAACTTATTTCATTATTGCCTACATTTATCATCGTCCTGAATGTAGCATATGAGCTTGCTTTTCTCAGGCAGTCTTTCTTGAAATGTTAAAGAGGTGAGATGGGGGTGGGGAATGGGAGGAAAGGTGACTTTCTCTCGTGTTTTTTTAAATAAAGCTTAAATTTTATATCATTTTAAAATATATTGGTCTTCTACTACCTTGAAAAATGACAATTGTGAACATGATAAACTGTACCACTTTTTTTTAAACCATCGTTATGCAAAATTTAGAAGAAAAAGTTATTGGTATGGTTGTTGCATGTAGTTAAACTGAGAGTAATTCATCTGTGAATCTGATTTAATTACCTGTTGAGTAATTTAGAAAAGTGCTGTAAATGTGTACATGGAAATTTTTGAATATACCTTAATTTAGAAACTGAAAAACACCCAGTTATATCATTCTGGATGTGTTCTTGCTGACACCAGGGTTCCACTGCCCCATGTGTCATGGTGAGAAAATATATGCCCAGCATGGAGTACTGCTTTTGTATAAAAGATCCTTGAGAAGTAACTGGCTGCTAGGACTCTGCCTAAATTTAAAATGTTGGCCATTCTCTGTTTCTTGAAAATATGATTCCAGATCTCTTTGATCGCTTTTAATAAACTGCAAGGTCATTTAAAATGAAGGACCAGCATGTAGTTGTAAGAGAATTTTTGACTGCGAGGATTCAGCACCAGTTTGAATGAACTCTCTTTTTCTCTAAGATGCTGGTCCCTGGAAATCACTTTCTGCCAGTGGAGAACATGTAAGTGTTAAGTTTTTAATCTCCTGGGAGCAGGGCACAGGAAGAAAATGTCAATAATGCTAATGCATTTTGCACTGGAACACTTTGGGAAAATATTCATGCTTGCCATCTGTTCATTTCCAAGTTTGTATTCATGAAGTTACAGTTTTATATAGGAATTATTAGGAGTAAATTTTGTCTGTTTATGTTCATAATGAAGAACACTGTAGCTACATTTTCAGAAGTTAACATCAAGCAGTCAAACCGGGATACAGTGCAGAAAATATGTTTGGCACACACTGACCAAACATTAGGCTGTGTCACCATTGCGTGGTGTCCCTGCTAGAAGAATTCTAGCACGTTATTTGGGGACATAATTTCAGTCGGAAATATGCCACTGTCAGATTTTTTTTTCCTCTTTGCAGTGGGGCTGGGACAGTTGATTGAACAGAGTATTTTTTTCTTTTTGCTTAGTCCTACTTTCAACAGGTCAAAGATATGTTCAGGCGGCAGTCCAGGTAATAGGTGTGTACGTAAATTTAAAAATAGGCTTTTTAGGAACTCGCTTTTTAGATAGGACATCCAGCTTCTCATGTTAAATATTTATCCTTAAAGGATTTGAGATGTACATCTTTCATATTTCTCATAGGCTATGCCATGTGCAGAATTCGTAACCAATGTAACACTGGCCAGTGGGCCTAGCAATCTCCCTGTATACTCGTTATAGTCTTATTTAGCCAGGGGTCCTAACCACTAACATTGTGACTTTGCTTTGAGACCTTTTCTCTCCTGGGTACTGAAGTGCTATGAAGCCAACTGACAAAGATGCATCATGTGTCTTAGGCTGGTGCCACTACCTGATTTGTTTATTTGCAATTTGAGCCATTTAAAAACCAATAAACTTATTTTAAAAAAATTGAAATAATGTTTGTAGGTTTTTGTGCATACATTTTGGCATTGAAGAGGGTTTCTTCCACCTGTTTTTCTATATAACATAAAAACAGTCCTTAATGTCCTATTGGGACGTTGCACTATCCATCAAAAGACTGTATCTGACAAACTCTCTGTGCTCCATAGTCAAGCAGAGCTGAATTTCACCCCTGGCTCTGCCTCTTTCAAGATTTTTATGAAGATTAAATGACATAATTAAAGTGAAAATGTCTGGTAGTTTTTACAGAACATAAGAAGAATTGAACAAAATTTATCTAATGAATATTAATTTGCTCTATAACAGTTGAGTGAAATGAGTGTTGCCTTGTTTGTTCGTCTAAAACCACCAGACTCTCATGCTAAGATCCAACTCACTGACCATAGTTTTTTGACATTCTTGAAGACATCTGTTATCTAGAAAGCTGGCGTGGCACTGAGTCCTTAGCATATTTTGGCCATAAAGCTTTCAGGACTTAAAAAGTTGATTCCTTGGTTATCTGGCCATGCTACTTTTCTTTCTTCTTTCTTTCTCTCTTTCAACTATTTCCATCCTCATCTCTTAATTGAATCTTCTACCCTTTCAAATTTCCTGATTTCAGCTCTTAGATAAAAAACAAACTTAAAAAACGAGCTCACACTAAGAAATTTCTAGTACAAAATAATTTTCCTATAGATAATCATGCATTAAGAGTATTTCTTAATCCAAGTGAATTTTTATTTTGTGTTTATATTATTGTGACTTATTCACAAACACAATAAAATGTATATTATTTCATTAAAAAAGATTTATTGAGAGCCTGCTACGCAGCAGACACTTTTTTAGGCAATGAGGACTTAGTTCAGAAGTAGACAAAAAAATCTTGCCCTGCTGTAACAACCAGACGTCCACATACAAAAAAATCAATGTAGACACAGACATTATGCCCTTCACAAAAATTAACTCAAAATAGGTCACAGGCCTAAAACACAAGAACATAAAACTCCTGGAGGATAACATAGAAGTAAATCCAGATAACCTTGGATTTGGTGTTGACTTTTCAGATACAACACCAAAGGTACAATCCATGACAGAAATAATTGATAATCTGGGCTTCACTAAAGTTAAAAACTGCTCTGTGAAAGAAAATGGGAAGAGAATGAGAAGACAAGCCAAAGACTGGGAGAAAACATTTGCAGGCCTTATGACTGTTATCCAAAACACACACAAAAAAAACTCTTAAAACTCAAAAAGAGAAAACAAAAAGGCTGATTTAAAAATGGGCCAATGACGTTAACAGGTATACAGATGGCAAATTCACACTTAAAATACTCTCCACGTCACGTCATTATGGAAATGAAAATTAAAGCAGCAATGAATTATTTCTACACACGTATTAGAATGACCAAAATGAAGAATACTGACAACACCAAATGCTGGTGAGGATATAGAGCACCCAGATCTCTCATTCATTACTGGTGAGAATATAAAATGGTATGCCCACTTTGGAATAGAGATTGTCAGTTTCTTACAAAATTAAACAAATATTTACTATATGATCCAAGAGCAGTAGAAGTTCTTGGTACTTCCCCAAAGGAATCAGAAGCTTATTTTCACAAAAAAAACCCTACACATAGATATTTATAGTAGCTTTGTTCATAATTGCTAATGCTTGGAAACAATCAAGATATCCTTCAGTAGGTGAATGGATAAAGTATTGTATATTCAGAGAATGCAACATTATACAGCACTAAAAAAAAATAAACTATTATGCCATGTAAAGATATGGAAGAAACTTTTACATCCATTACTATGTGAAATAAGCCAATCTGAGAAAAGTTACATATTGTATTTCAACAATATAATATTCTGGAAAAGGCAAAACTGTGGAGACTAAAAAGATCACTAGCTGTCCAGAGTTGAGTTGAGGGTTGAGGAAGGCAGAATTAGTAGACAGAGCATAGAGCATTTTCAAGGCAGCCAAAGTATTTGGTATGATACTATAATGGTGGTTACATGAAATTCGTTATACAGTTGTCCAAATCCACAGAATGTACAACACCAAAGTGAACCCTAACGTAAACTATGGACTTTGGGTGATTATGATGTGCCAAGGCAGGTTCGTCAGTTGCAACAAATGTACCACATTAGCGGGGGATGTTTATAATGGGGAGGCTGTGGTTGTGTGGGGCAGGGGTATATGGGCTATCTCAGTATCTTTAACTCAATTTTGCTGTAAATCTAAAATGGTTCTGAAAAATGAAGACTATTAAAAAACTTCCTGCCCTCATGGAAGTTATGTTGCAGTGGAGGAGAAACAAAATAAAAAAAATAGAAAAAAATATAGTATGTTAGATGATGACAAATTATATGTAGAATAAATAAGCCAGGTGGAGGCAGAGAGATTCTGTTGAGAGAGGTGAAATGTTAGGTGACACAGTAGGGGAGGCTTCACGAAAGGTGATTTTTGACAAAGGACATGGAGGAAGTGCGGGATTGATCCATACAGAGATCAGATGGAATGGGCATTACAGCCTTGGGTTGTCAAGATCAAAGGTATTGAAGCAGAGATGCATCTGGCTTGTTTCAGGAACAGCAAGAAGGCTAGTGTGTCTAAAGTGGTGCACAACATGGAGAATGGGCATATGGCCAGATCATTTTGAGAAGTGTATCAGACAGGATTAAGCCAGGTTACATGTCAGTAACTCACAGTAACATAATCTCAGAGGCATAAGGCAATAAAGGTTTAGTTTTCACTCATGCTGCACGTATATTTTAGGTCAGCTGAGAGCTCCATTTTACCTTCAAAGACACCTAGACACATAAGCATAATTTTCAGTGTATGTAAACATAAGCTATTTCATACATTATAATGCACAAACAGTAGAAGCAAATAAATTCTGTTAAGTGACCAAAAGAATTTTTGCAAAAGGTCCTCATATTTCTGAGATGCAAAAGATAGGAGTCTAGTGCCTTCTGGACTTTATGATCTTGATTCCTTCCTCGGTGGATGCTGAGGCTTCTGTAGGATTCATTTCATCTAATTTTCTGCTGCTTTGTCCTCCTTCTATTTTCACTCCTGGGGATACAGATCCAATAACTTCTGCAAACATTTCCATATAGTGTGGAACTGATCTACTGATCTAAAATGTCACACTATCTGATCCTTTGATATCTTATGTGCTGTACTGGATGTAGAAAATGACCAACTTGAATAGTTTCCCTACTGGGGTCACTGGTCATTCTTTTTTAAGCCAATTCAACTGTTTCTTTTGGCAGCATCCATCCATACTCTACTTTTCAGTTCTAGAATTTCACTTTATCTTTATAAATTCCAAGTTTCTCAGGAAAATCTGTTTTCTAACATCTCCTCTATTTTCCTGAACATGTTAATCATAGCTATTTTTAAGTCCTGTCTTCTAATTCCAAAATCAATGTCATCTATGGGTCTTTTATATTATCTACTTTTTCTTTTGGCTGGAGCTTTGCCTTTGATTATTGATTATTAGATATTGTGTATGAAAAATTGTTAAGGATTTGGAGGCTCTCCAAAATGTGTTTAATCTTTCCATTGCTAAACACAAAAAATGCAGATAGGTTATTTTAATCCAATCAAAGTTGAGCTTGAGACTGGATTTCAGCATTACTAAGGTTTTGTATACTTTTGGCTTACCTATAATCTTGGATGTAACTCTCCAGCCACACTTGGGGTGTGTTCACAAATGAGCCCTGAACCCTAATCCTGTTTAACATGGAGACTATAGAAAATTTTTCTTTAAGTGTTGAGAGTTTATGCTTGGTTTCTCAATCTTGTGCCTTATGTGGTTTTAAAATTTGGCAAATACTCTGTGTGAAAATTGAGATGGTATTGGCATCAGTTCTTTGTTCCACCCTTCTTACTAACAATCTAAGTGTTTACTTTTTTATCACTTTATTCCCATGGGGCAATAATAACTACATGCTTCTTCTTGATCTAGTAATAGAGGCCTTCTCTCTGGGTCTATACTGTGTTCATCAGTTTACTGCCTGTGTTTAGAATCCTAAGCAAACTGGCTACAAAGTGTTGATTTGCTTAACCTTGAAACTGCTTGCTTTTCAGGGATTACACACCCCCACCCCAATTCTGGTTATCTCAGTAGTTCTCTAATGCCTATAATGTAAAAATTATTTTATCCGGATTGTCTTTTTGTTCTTTAGTGGAACATTTTTCTGTTGCAAGCTACAATGTCTTAAACAAAATTAAAAGTCCGTGTATATAGAACTTTTTCTAGTTTGTGTGTTCGTTAAATTTCCACCTTCTCCTTATAGATTATAAACTCCTTGAGAGTAAGGAGTTTATCTGTCTTGTTCATCATTATATCTCAAGTGTCTATTAACAGCAATTGTCATGTAAGAACTCAATAAATCTGTGTTGTATGAGTGAGTGTTCAAAGTTCGCATAAAATATGTATGTGCCAGATAAATGCCATCCGCTTCTTTCTTTTGTTCTATTATCAGAAGCTGCTGAGGCTAGAGGTGAAAATACATTGTTTTGGAAATCAGAAAAAACATTTAAATGTATCCTTACTATCAGCCTTAATTACCTATAAATGCCCTTACACTCTCACTTGCTTATTCCAAAAAAAGTCCCATATTTGTGAGAGAAGCTTTTAAATTTCAAAGCAGAATCAACCATCAGTTATATCAGCACTTCGTCCATATCATGAAATAACAAGCATACTAACCACTGCTCTCCCAATCCATTCTTACTGAAAAATCCGAATTAATTAAAAGGACAAAAAGCAAAAGTAATCAATAATATCAATTTTCCCCTCATATTTCAAATCTGCTTAGGCCATAGGAAAATAGGAAGAATTGCTTTATTATGGCTGAATTAGACCACTGGTGGTATAGTAAGAGGAAAAAAAACCATTCCTCTATTCTGAATGGTCCACTGGATTTTATAAAACAACAAAAGCCCTATTTAAATTAGTGACACTTGAAAGATTTTTTACTTTAATTATGATGGGTGATCACAATACACTCAGTGTTTAGGAGTTCAAAACCTAATTCTTCTGCTTAATTGCTAGAACTTCTGTATGCTTTGCTTAGGTCACTGACAATCTGTGAAGAAGGAATAGCTGTCTATCAGAGTTAGACCCAGGGTGAACAATGTTGGTTAAGGATAGGAGTTTATATTTAAACTTATTACTTTCCACTGATAAAGACAGTCCTGGGATACTTATAAAATGCTTCTCTAGATAAATATTGAAGTAAAATGCACATATCTGGAAGACTACCAAGAGAAAAAGTCATTTTTTTCCATCAAATTGAAAATTTTAGTTAAATAATGTGATTCAGAAATGTATAATTTTTAGTTTCTAAGAAAATAAAATTAACCAATTTTGAAATAAAAATAAAATTTTTTAATAAATAAGATTAATATTACTGTGTTTCATTATTATAGTTTGTTTCAAAATCTGCACTGATCAAAAATACATTCAGCTGATTTTATCACATATATACATTTATTTATCGATGAAACATGCTTTATTTAGAATCTACCAAACCAACCAGGAAAACTAGCAATGAATTAAAACAAAGCAAAGTACGTATCTGTCTCAAGTCTTGAGAATTGCTTCTGAAAGCAATATACCGTGTCTGTGTGTGTGTGTGTGTGTGTGTGTGTGTGTGTGTGTGTGTATGAGAGAGAGAGATACAGAAAGAGAGACAGAAAGAGAGAGAGAGTATAATATCAATGTAGTCCTCTTTTAAAATGTTGGGCTTCCCAATCTCTGTATATAAAAATAATACTGTTTGAAAATTAGAAAAAAGTTTTACCTCATTATCTAAAGTGAGAACTTCAGACCATATAGTCTTATATACATAATTTGTATTTTTATTGCCCTGCTATGCATTTAACTACTAATAGAATTTAACAAAGTCCATTGTAATTCATATATACTTTCCAATGTATATATTTACCTTTGACTAATCACCTAACATTATTTTTAGTAATCAGAACTCCATGGTTGTATTTGATTGGCAAATATAACCTCCTATGCAGCATACTTAAAATTTTTTATATAGCTAAACTAATTTTCTAACCTTATTTACTTTCAAGTCAGAAATTTCATTTCCCAAGAATTTTCTCTTACCTAATGATTGTTTAGAGTTAAATTAGAATATTCTCTTTTGATTAACATTTTTCTGGTATAATAAGGTTAAAAATTATTACTAAATAATTTGCAGCATCAGGCCAAGGGTCCACTTGAACATTTTTCATGCATAAAATATATGGTTATATAAGGAATTGGAAATAATAACAGTAATTGTAACCTATCCCATGATGTATTTGTTCAAATGAGCATACTCTTCACTGAATATTTTTGAAGCATATAGGAGAATAATTGAAGGAGTAATAACTTTCATATGAAGAATAATGAACACAGAGAGATAAAACAAAATTAATCTGGGATTCACTTATAATGTCAATGCTTCTTGACATCTACATCTTCTACTCACTAACTGCTTAATCTCAGATGCGTGTCAATTACAGGAATCCAATCTGACATTTTAAAAGAATGCAACTTGCCTAAAAAGTTAAAGGAAAATTACTTTTGTCTAAATCACACCACAATTTTCTCCATATATATAATATATATACATAGATATATGTAATTTCTCAACTCTCCTTAGTTATTTGAAGTTCAGAACAAAGAGCATAAATATATGAATTATATTATAAAATATTGAGGTGCAATTATTTTTAATTATTAATTGTGAATATTGTTTATTAAAGTCCATGTCTTCATAATTCTCTTTTTTCTTTAGTTAGTTGTACCTGCATTGAAAATACTCCAAAAAATGATCCATGTTCTCCCTTTAGTAAGATATTTTTACTGGCATTATAAAAGCACTCAAATTTAGCATCTCTAGGTTTTCTTTTAGCTATATTAACATTTAACTCATGTATGCACACATTTAAATAGGATGGATTTTCTCATTATCTAGTCTCATTATTCAAGTTCTCCATTATTGTTTTCACTTAGAAATTTCCCAGTAGTAACATTTCACATACGGATTCACTAACACATTTGGAAAGAATATGACTATTTACCCTGTTCTGAAATATCATCCAACAAAAATTTAGTGATGATTCCGAGACATGTAAGTACCATGTGAAATAAGTTTATTTATTTTTCATCCAAGCAGAGAGAAGGCTGAGATTAGATATAATTAATTCTTTCCAATATTGTATCAGATGGGTTATTATAGAGAAAAATGTTTACAATGAACTACCTTAATTCATGAGGGATAGTATCAGATGTAGTTGATTTGAAGTAAAGCACTAGAGATTAAAATGTTATAAATATATTTCCTGATAATTAGGTTTATTAATTATTGGAATGTGTTCCTAAGAGATGTCCTGGAATTCCCACTTTTTAAAGTGGGTCCAAAGAATAGAATATCAGAAAATCCCCAATAGCAAACTATAGATAAGTTCTCTCTTAATTCAAAGAACAGCGAGCATCATATGTAAATGCAACTCTGAAGGTATTCTCATTATAATTTGAAGTGAGAAAAGAATTACGAGCCTGATATTTTATTAGGTCAATAAGCCACAAATAAGATATGTTGGTTATAACTTTTGAAAACCTGGCATCATAATCATAAATACTTGTAGACAACATGCTTTTCTATTTATGAGAACTAATGGTATAGCAGTGTCTGGATAAAAACTAAATATACCAAAATAAATAGCTGCCCTATATAAAAACTGGTACAAAAACATAAAATGTTGAGAAAAAATTAACAATAAATATGATGAAATTACATTATGGAAGTTACTTACAAATATGGAGCAATGTAAGAGAAATCTTATAAATGAAGACGTATACCATGATCTGGTCTTGCAAGAACGAATAAATCTTTAAAGTCTTCTTTAATAATTAGAGGGTTAAGTAATTTTAAGTAAAACTTCAAGTGGGAAATGTTTTATTCTTTTGTAGGATTGAATTGGAATATCAGCTGAATAAAATAAACAAACAACATTAGCCAAGCCATTTTAAAAAGAAGACTGAATAGTACATATCTTGTTAGATTTTAGAAATATAGCATAAAGACTAATAGTACAATTTCATAATTTAGTTAGTGTGTACGTTTTATGAGCAATCTAATGCAGTTTCTAGGTTTTCTTTTCCTTCAAGATGCCTATGAAGAGATAGAAAAAAAAAAGGAATTGAAAAAAGTAGTACTTGTCGTCAAAATACTGGCACTCTCTGCAAAATTTCCAATAGCCATAATGTCAATAATATTTCAATTAAAAACAAATTGTACTCTGACCAAAACATGATGCAAACATTTTTACCTTACAGAAAGTAGAGATAGATGCCTTTTGCTTGTTTTCTCCAGTGATGTTATGCTTAGTCCAGAAATGGAAGAGTTGTGACAAAAACAGTGTTGTAATAGTTACTGTAGTGTCTGACCTTTTATTCACCAGCTCCCTGACCTTATTTACTCAATTCTGCTATAAGTATCTATTTTTATTATTTTAAAATTTATCCACCTAGTGATTATTTTAGAAATGTAAGAAAACATGTATATTTGTATTCATTTATTCCTTTTCTTACACAAACGAACATATTTTGTATACTGTTTTTCACCTTTCTTTTTTTTTCATCCCATATTATATCCTGGAGATCACTACATATCAGCTTAGGGATATGTTCTTAACATTTTGCAGTTGTGCAATATTATTAGGTGGGTGCAAAAGTAATTGCGGTTTTTAACATTAAAAGTAATGGCAAAAACCGCAATAACTTTTGCACCCACCTAATAATACATTATGTAGGTCGACTATAGATTACCAATCAGTCCCAAATTGAGAGATATTTGTTTCCAATCATGTGGCATTACAAATATAACCATAAATAATAATTTTGTGCCTAAGTAATTTTATAAGTTTGCTAGTATATATTTGGGATAGACTCCTGCAAGTGGCCAATTGGGTGAGAGTAATAAATTCCCTAAAGTTTTTCCAGATATTGCTGTGTTCTTCACCATAAGCGTTAAAGCTTGTTGCATTTCCATAAGCAATGCATGGATATTCCTGTTTCCATACAACTGAGCTTGTTGTCAAATTTTTAGGTTTTTGATAAATGCGAGGTATAATTTTAATGCTCATTTGTATTATTATGAGTAAGGATGAATATATTTTTTCACATGTTTGAGGACCATTTTCATTTCTTGCTTTGAATAGTCTGTTCATATATTTTATTCAGTTAAAAAAATTATTGATAGTTTTATTTTCCTCAAATTTTAAGATGCCTTTGTATATTATTTTTCTGCATTGATTATAAAGTTCATATAGAAAAATTAACAAACAATAATTCTAGGGAAACTTTGTGTATATTATGTCTTAAATATTATTTATCAGTCAGTATGTTATTTTTACTTGTTTATGGTGTTTTCTGTAATGCAACTTTTAATTTGCAAATCTATTAATTATTTGAATCATAGTTAAAATTATTCTCCATCCTCAAGTTTTAAAGTAATTTACCTATTGTTTCTTTAAGTACATGATGATTTTAGTGTTTACATTTACATTTCTGACCCATTTGTAACTTATCATGCAGTATGGTATGAAATATAGATTCAGTTATCTCTTTCAAAATGACTAGCCTTAATAATCCTTATCAAAAAGTCCTTATTTCTGCATACATTTGAAATGTCCTATTCTTTGCATACTACTTTTCCGCATGCATTTGGATCTGTTTTTGGGCTTTGGACCCTGTTATATTGGTAGATCTGTAATAACAATAAACATTTAATTATAGGGCCTTTACAATATTTTTAAATATCTGGTAGGATTGTGTTCCCAATAGTCTTCTTTTTTTTTTTCTTTTGCTGGAGTTTCCCTATAATTCTTATTTGTTAATTTTTCTATATGAACTTTATAATCAATGCAGAAAAATAAGCCTGTTGATATTTTTACAGAAATCATGCGAATTTATAACTGAGAAAGAATTGACATTTTATTTTTCACTTGTTTAAATATATTATGTGTCTTTTATCGGATTTTTAAGTTTTCTCATTTAATTTTGCACAGCAGTTTTAAGTTTGTGCATAAACATTTTTCTGGCTTTCTGTTGTTTTTTGTTATTGTTACTATAGAAAATAGGATTTTCTCTGCTATACCTTCTAATTGGTTATTCATTGTATTGATTTCTATATGATTATTTCCTGTCATGTTATCATACTCTTTTATTTTTTGTAGTAGTTTTTTCACGGATTCTCTTGGGTTTTCCAGATATAAAATCATGCCATCTGTAAAACTTCTTTCAATTTTTATTCTCATTCCTCTAACTGCATTCTTCTATCTAATTTTATTGGCTAATAGCTCAGTACTATGTTAAATAGTAATGACAATAGTGGTATCTTTGTCTCATTTCAGACTTTAAATTAAGTGTCTCTGGTGTTTTCTCAATGTATGAGTTTTTCAGTATATTAATCAGTTTTTTTTGGCAATAATGATGCATAATGACAAAATCAAAATTAAATGGCCTTCACAATAAGCATTGATTTATCTTTCTCAGGTCTATGAGTGGACTGTGACTTTGCCTGACTTCTCTGGAAGAATAAATAAGAACAAAAGCAATATTTTTTTAAAAGTGAGAAAAAATGTTTTTAAAATAGTAATCCGTTATATAAATTAAGGGAATCACTGTACTACTCCCAAACTCAGTCAAATAAGATCCTTATCAAGACATATCCAGTAGAAGTGTTGAATTTCAAAAAGAGATGAGGTCCCTTCCCTAGCCTATAAACTTTTTGTTAAAAGGAGACAGTTTTAATTTTATACCATATGTAATAGAAGGTCAAAGGGCAATGGAGTAATAGTGAAAGAGTACTGGACAATTAGGACCCAAGAAGTTTAGAGAAAAGTTTCTTCCATGTTAGAAAACAGTGAAATTTCCAGCTATTCAAGGGCTCAGAAAACATGTCACCTATGTATTTTTGTTGAATATATGATGAATATGTGCACACACACACACACACACACACACACACAAAATACGGTGACATAAAACTTTAAGTTTTTTTGTTGTAGTTGACAAAGATTTTATTTAACCTGACAATATTTGTCAAGTATGCTTCCAACGGAAAAATTGATGATCAAAACAGAGGTTGATCCTGGCTTCATGGTGATTTATGGAGATAAACAGGAAAAAATAGTAACTTAAAACATATAAGAAAAAACTTGTGGCGTACAAGAACATTTTAAGTTTTAATACAGTTTGTTTCTTGAATTGGGAAATAATTTACTTCACTCAGCTTTCTCATGTGTATTACATGAATTTTGACCCTGAATGTTTATTCTTCCAGTAATGGAAAAATGCGATTTTCGAGCCACATCCTTAATCCCACAATACATATAAATGTTTTTTCAAATTTATTTTTTTTCCTTAAAAAAATTGTGCTGAAATAAAAACAACAACAACAACAACAAAAATTCTCTCTCCAAGAAAGGAATCCTTGACAAAGATAATGGCAAAATACTTATATACTAACTCCTTAGATTTCGAGGTTAAAAAAAATTGAAAAGGCCGGGCACAGTGACTCATGCCTGTAATCCTGGCACTTTGGGAGGCCGAGGCGGGCAGATCACCTGAGGTCACGAGTTTGAGACCAACCTGACCAACATGGAGAAACCCCATCTCTAATAAAAATACAAAATTAGCTGGGCGTGGTGGCGCATGCCTATAATCCCAGCTACTGGGGAGACTGAGGCAGGAGAATAGCTTGAAACCCGAGAGGCGGAGGTGGCAGTGAGCCGAGATTGCGCCATTGCACTCCAGCCTGGGCAACAAGAGCGAAACTCCGTCTCAAAAAAAAAAAAGGAAAAAAGAAAAATACTAACGAAGTATAAGTTATCTACTATAAAGATAGTGGACATAACAACTTACTCGTAAAACCTGTAAAAAGTCCTGTGTTGGCATTTGTTAAAATCATATATAAAATTACTTCAATCTATGTTAAGTAAAAATCTGCATAGTAATAAAAGTCTTTTCTTTTAATGGTCTATTCATTTTAGCAGTAAGCCTAACGCAACTAATATATAGGATATTAGTATTCTGAATATACAAATAACTCTTTCAAATTTATAAGTGACATATTAAATGTACTTAAAAAAAAATTGAAGACCTGAAAAGGTAATTGATAAAACACTAAATTATTTTATGAAATTATGTTCAACCTCACTGGAAGAAAATTCAAATTTACTTAAATATTAAGATACAATTTAGCCTATTAAAATGAAAACCAGACATTAGGAGATTTAAAATTTGACATTACGTTTCTGGAAAGTAGTTTGACAATATACATCAAAAGGTTAGATGGTCATGATTTTGAGCCAATAATTCTACTTATATCAATTCACCTTAGGCATTACATTCAGAGATGTGGATATAGATATTTTCATAAGGGTACAACATATAACACTGCTTAAAAGAAATGCCTTTGGATGTCTGAATAAGATTTTTACTAGAATACAGGTAAATACAACTTCTTCCCAAATTTCCATAGAAATGGCTTTTTTTTTAAAAAAGAAAAAATCAAAGAAAAGGCTGTATCGTAGTGAAAACAGAAAACAAGTCATCAGTCTTTTGTTACTTACAAATTTGTGTTAGCGAATCAGTATGCAGGCAGAATAGGCTTTTTAGATGAAGGCACAAATGCTAGAGAAGCAGGAAGGGAGGACACCGTTTTAACAACCTGACCAATGCAGATTCCAAGTAGGAAATGCTTGTTCTTGGGACCAACCCATACAAGAAGTAGGAAGTTTAATTTTGCACATAATACAGCTCTTAGAATGAGAAACAGGCTAGGTGGATTGGAGGCAGCAATCAAATAAATATACAAACAAAACATTTTTGGCCTGGAAGATGTTCTTGAACTTCTTTCTAAAGAAATTTTAGCTGAGTGAAATAGACCTAAATATAGACAAAGTGTGATAATAAAAAGGGCAAAGGAAGAGCAAAACAAAACGTTACAAATACTTTTTGAATCAAAATCAGATTTTTGGCAGACATCTATGCAATATTGAGTAACAAAAAACAAAACAAGAGTTTTAAGGTAAAAAGATTGCACAACCGGAAAATATTTATCCAACCAAGTTGTCATGCCTTTGCAAACACAATAGAAAACCATCCTCAGACTAATATACTTTCTTTAAAAAATTACTCAAAGATGAATTGTGATTGAGGAATAAATAACATGAAGAATGAAAGAACAAAGAAACAGTGATTTTATGAAGATTTATTTTGAGCAATGGAGGCAAATAATTTGTCTAAAAATAATTCCTATGGTTGAATATGGTATAAAGGTTAAAAAATTATTCTTGATGGAAAGGTAAATAATTTTTTAAAATATTATTAATATAATGTAATTTTCAGGTTACATCAACAAAAACCGAGACTACACTTATGCAGAAAGTAAGACAATACTGTCACTTATGAAAATAAATGGAGCTAATTATTAAAGTCCTGTGAGTCAATTTATTGAACAAAATAAACTTGTAGAAATGAAATCATACAAATAGGCTTTTTTCACACCCTTGCTCCTAATACTATTCAGATTTCACAGATTTTTAGTCACTCTCAGATATTGACCGAAATCCTCATTTTTCTGATTTATAAAGTCTGATTTGATTTGAAGCAACAATTGACTTCCTTTTTCCCTTTAAATCATTTGTACTTCCCTCACTGATGCCTGACACACCTGAGAAGTAGAAAGGTGGTGAGTTTAAAGTTTTGCCTCCACTCCTTCAGCTAGACCAGTTTTGTCAGTAGAATCTCTCACCTGCAGGACCCTGATGTGGGCAGTGGTTCCTCTGGTAGCGAATTTTGACCTTTCCTTTGCTCTACCTTCAGGCAGTCCTCACCACCCAGACCCAGTCAGTAGAGGTTGTCTTTCCCATTGGTCTCTCCCCTAGCTACCTTCCTCAAATGTGTTCCACAGGAAAATCTGTACTATCTTTTATATATATATACATATATATATACACATATATATATGTATATATGTATGTATATATATATGTATATATATATACACACTATCTTATAATCTTATATATATATGTGTGTATATATATACACATACACTTTAAGTACTATCTTTTTATATATATACATTATAAAGTATATATATACTTAATAATGTATATATATAAGTATATATATACTTTATATATATATACTTTAAGTACTATCTTTTATATGTGTGTATCTATCTATCTATATATATATATACACTTTAAGTTCTAGGGTACATGTGCACGTGCAGGTTTGTTACATATGTAATGTATACATGTGCCATGTTGGTGTGCTGCACCCATTAACTCGACATTTACATTAGGTATTTCTCTTAATGCTATCCCTCCCCACCCCCCCAACGCCACAGCAGGCCCCGGTGTGTGATATTCCCTATCCTGTGTCTAAGTGTTCTCATTGTTCTCTGTCTTTACCTGCCGAACTCTGAACCTCAGTCTATTTCCAACACACCTTTCTCACCTCTGTCAGGCCAGGCCCTTCCAGCCAGCCTCTGGCCTTCAGGTATTTTCGGGCTTGACACAGACATCAGTGGTAGTTCCTTTCCAGCCCTTGGATTCTTGTCAATCTTTCTGAATATGCTCATAGAAGCTTTCTTACTTGACTGGGAGGATGTGCCAGGCTTGTGTCTATGGAGATGGAGGAAGAAACCAGCATTCTCTTCATAGAATTTCTTATTTTTTTCATAAAAACCACTCTCTCTAAGGAATTCTTGGCTTTTGCTTATATAATATTGTGGTGAGAGATGCATTCATAGTTGACACAGACAATTTTGGATACCTCCTTTGCATGTCCTGCAAGCAAGTTCTATTGCTTAGAAAAACAATACTTTACACTGTTGTTCTCGATTTGAGGCCAGACTTCATGCGCAGTCTTATTTTAACATTGTGTTACATACTTAGCCCACTCTACAAATCCAAAGCCTTTAAGTAATCTGAATCCTATATACCCTCTACCTTCACTCCCACTTGCTCCATACACTTCAGCTACAATGGCTTTTTCTCCAATTCCTGAATCTAATGTACATTCTCTTGCTACTCCCTAGAATATTTTTCTCTTAAATCTTTGCATGACAGGATCTTCATTCAGAAATTAGCAAATGCCACCTACTCAGAAAATCCTTCTTTGCTCACTTATCTAGAATATCCCATATCACCTTTATCCTATTCGACTGCCTTTATTATCTCCATAGGACTTAGAAATATCTAAAATATAGTCTGTCTCTCTCCACTTGAAGGCATATTTCAGGAGAGCGGGAATCTTGGCTATATTGTATACCACTTTATTTTCAGGAATTGAAAAAACTGCTTGTCCCAGGCTATGCAACAATACCTAGTTAGTGAAGACAAGACATAAATGTAAAAATAGAGCAAACAATATCTAGGCTATCAGAATGGTATATTCTCTATAAAGGAGCAATCAATAAAGAAATAGAAGAAGAAGTAAAACAAAAATTCCAGCTATGGAAAAAATTATGCCAGGCAAGTACAAACTTGCATACAAGTACAAATATTCTAAGTTGCCTATTTATACTGAATAGGTTTAGTAATAAAAAAGGCAAAATTAATACATACCTTTCATTATCTTTTACTGTCAAACCCTAT
This sequence comes from Homo sapiens, assembly GCF_000001405.40. Lineage (NCBI taxonomy): Eukaryota > Metazoa > Chordata > Mammalia > Primates > Hominidae > Homo > Homo sapiens. The sequence continues at coordinate 78,775,953 of NC_000012.12, read as the reverse complement.
CACAGCACCAAAGATGATATTGAGATGCTAGAAAACGAGTTTCATGAGAGCAAGGACTTTCGATTTTTGTCTAACTAATATATTGACAGTACCTAGAAAAATACCTGGAATATAGTAGATATTCAGTAAATATTTGTTGAATGAATGAATGACTCAACCCAAAGTAAAAACTAGCTGGGCATGGTGGCTCGTGCCTATAATCCCAGCACTTTAGGAGGCTGATGTATAAGGATCACTTGAGCCCAGGAGTTTGAGAACAGCCTGGGCAACACAGGGAGACCTCATGTCTAGAATAAAAAATAAACAAAACTAGCCAGGTGTGGTTGCATGTACCTGTCATCCTAGCTACTCAAAACGCTGACATGGAAAGGCTGCTTGAACCTGGAAGGGTGAGGCTGCAGTGAGTTGTGATGGTGCCACTGCACTCCAGCCTGGGCGACAGAGCAAGACTCTGTCTCGTAAATAAATAAAGCAAAAACTCACTATAAATTCAATAAACATTGAATAAGTGTACTTGAATTGTGCAAAATACCATTCAAATTTTATGCAGACTAATTAGGCAAAAATAAATTGATCAACAGAAGTTTAAAATAAAGGAATTATTATCAATTATAATATTTATTTGCAAACACCTTTAATTTCTTTATGCTACTATTTATTTAATGTGTTCAACTGGAAATTTCAACCTTGGTATTTTCATGTGAATTTTAAAATGAATGAATATTGTGTAATGAATACGTTATTAATATAAGAATTCATATGGACTATTTTACTTTACAACAAATGACTATATATTTTTGCAAACATCAAATAATCTGATTATACATAAGATTACATATTATAAAATCTGATTATATACCAGACTACACAGAATACTTCCACAAGTACCTAAAGTCAGGTTTATACAGGCATAATTTCCAATTACAGATAAACAAACTGAATGTTAATGGCAAAATTTTAAATGAGAAATCACCCACTGTTAAATTAAGAAACAGTCCAAATGATTATTTCAAATAAAAATCAAAATAATCTTTAAAAACTATAAAAATGCATATGATTTATATGATTAAATTATATACTACCTAATAATTAAGAAGAATCAGACAATCATTCTATTCAAAATTTTTATAAAATGAGGTTCAAATTAAAAGAGACAAATGAAGACTTTTACTAACTTTATTTATGTTTATGTTTATACATATTTTGCAATGTCCACTTACTGTTTTGGAATTACAAAGGTGATACATAATAAAAGATAAATGGATATAGATGACCACTTTTTGTATCCATATGCTAGTGTTTCTAAACCATTACTGCACAAAGCACTGCTTTACAGCATATTTATAAGTATGTTTGTGTATGGGTGGTAAAAGTCTCACTGTCTGTTTGAAAAATACCAGGGTAAACAAAAATAGGGATGTATTTTGATTCCAGGGCTAATTAGAAAAATTGATAGTGAATGCACACTGCTGACTTATATGGCTGTTTAATCTACTTTACTAATGAATACTTTTTCTTGGCATATCTATTAACAATTCCCGAATCTAATATCTCAAGAAACCAAGTTTTCAGAACACCATTCTATTATGATACACGAAAACATGCATATTAAATCAGTAATTTTCTAGGAAGATATAAATGACCATAACTGACAGAAGAAACAAAACAAAATGAATCAATAATAATTAAGTATGTAAATAAGTTGTGAAGAATTATAACCAAAACAAGCTACATCCCCAGATCATTTGATTAATAGCTTTTTAAACTGTTTTAAATAAAAAAGTTAATATAATCTTCCAGGAAATAGGAAAAACAGTTGCCTAATTAACATTATATATATTACTAATATAAATATCTATCAAAGAGGCATGAAATTAAAATTTCTAAAATAATCTCATTTAGAAATATCCAGTGACAAATAAAATATCCAGTAGTATAGTAAAAAAAAAAATCCTTGACAAAGTAGGATTATTGATCATACATTCAAAATTATTTATATTTTATGAAATGTTTTCATATAATTCTTCCTACCAATAAGTCAGATGATAAATGGCTCAGCAATCACATTTATTTAATTCAACCAAAACTAAAATCCTTCATCCCCTTTTTTACCTGATCTCTTTTTGCTGTTTCTAATTTGAGTTGTCATAATGACAACTCATACTCATGTGTGATAGATAGTAAAATAAAGAAGGAAGTACATGGACAAATAAAATAATCAAAATCAATATTCTTACTGTTTTCCAATGAAGGATTATTTATTTAAGGATCACGACCAAAGATATATAGAAATAGGAAGTTTTAAATTTTTTCTTGTTGTTATAAGACAGTCACTTTTAAGTTTAGAATTAAGGAAAATCACATTTTTTCTTTAATTTTCCATGTCAGTTTTATGAGATGAATTTTATTCATTTTTAAATACATCAGTGACATTTATCTGAGGAATCCTAAGAATCAATATAAAGTTCACACTATGCAAATATCTCTTATATCTGGAAAGGCTAGGGCTGAAAAGTTCCTGTTGAGATTAGCATAGATCCAACATTTTGGAGTCTAAAGAAAGACGGAACGCAAGAAGACTGAACTCTAACAAATATCAAAAAGGTCAATTATAAGCCTTGATCCAGTATTTTCTAGAAGATTACTGCTCCTAAATCTCCCACTTGGCCAATTGGCACACTGGTAGTTGGATGTTATTGCAACAAATAGGTTTTGATTTCCAACATAGAAGGCTATCATCTAGAACTAGTATATTTTTCTTTCTCCTATTTCATTCATTCATTCATTTATTCAGTTATATACCTGCATGTTATACAGAATTACATGTAGAAGAAAGAATTACTATGATTAAAAATGCAAAAATAGTTAAAGAACACTGATGAGTAATATCAAGGAAAAGGATTGCAGATCAAGAACACTATACCACCCAATCTTTTTATAATAAAACACAATATTTGTGAATATACTTCTTTTGGAGTGGATGAGCAAGGTGAAGGAAAGAACATTATCCCCACACATCAGAATATGTAATTTTGTGACTTGAACAAACTGTATCTTTGTGGTTAAAATAAAGGTGTTACAGAATATCCTGAAATATGTTACTTTTGGTAGAACTCACCAGAGAAATTTCTCTTAAGTGGTGGGAAAAAAATAAACTATCTAACTAATAAATTAATGATGCTCTCCTAAATATATAGATTTTCTTTTAGCATTATGGATACTGTGTTCCCTTTTCTTCTTTTCTTTGTTTACTGAGAATCTCATAGGCAAATCTGTGGTCCTTGAACATGTGATCTAGGATTTGAGCAATTTGACTTTAATTTTATTTTTTATTATCTTTGATTTAGTAATCTATTTTATTGTATGTCAGTGTTTATAATTCTGTAACATATACAAAAAAGAGATTTTTGAAATACTGTACACTGAGTCATCAGAACTTCCCTATCTCTTACCATCTAATTTTTTCCATTTCCATGTCATTATCTTATTTAGACCTTGAAGTAACCTACACACTATATTGTCTTCACTAGATTTTTGTTATAACAGTCCCTTTAACACTACTTCCAAAGTTATCCTAATTTTGTAACTTCCCACTCATATTCAATATTTTTTACCATTTTATTGCAACAGAATATAATTACAGCCCTTCAAGCGCTTTCTAAATTGATTTTTAACAAACAATATGCTTCACAGAAAAATATGAAAACATATACAAGGCTAAAAATTGAGGTAAATATGTTTTGGAACAAAAATATTGAAGGATAGAGAGAGCAATATTGTTATGAATATAAACTATAATCATTTCGTAACACAGTGTTATTGTAAACTGATCAAAGTTCCACAGTCAAGACTTCTCTGACTTCTAGACTTCCCTTTCTTCTACAACCAACTCCAAATCTGGATAAAATACTCGACAGGCATTAAGCCTCAGAAGTTAAAAACTCTAATTCTCAAAAGAAGAGAGACACATGAGGTGAACTGCACATTTACCCTTGCTTTCTACCTGTGATCTCTTTCTAGATGGTGCTACAAGGATATAGAAATGAAGTAGAGCACAGAAGTCTTGCTAAGTTGAAGAGGCAGATGTTGGAAATGCTGCTGAGGTGTCTGGAATGTACTGGGTAAGGTACCAAAGAGGAGACAGCTGGACAGAGAGATGGACACAGAACTCTGATAGAGGTCCCTTTATGTACTTGGCTGAGAGCTGTGGAGAATATGCACAAAGAAGGAAAAATAAAACACACACACACCATTCTGGCAAGTCAAAAATAATTATCTCTCCTAAATATATGGATTTTCTTTTAGCATTATTGATACTGTGTTCACTGTTCTTCTTTCCTCTGTTTACTAGGAGTCTCATAGACAAATTTGTGGCTTATCAATTTGTGTAATTGATAAAGTAGTGTTACAGTAATTGATTTGTCCAAATAAACAAAATATGATATTCTTTAAGGAAGACAACATTCAGATTCTCTACAGCACATCAACCACAGTGTCCAGAATATAATTTAAAACAAATAATATTAGAAGTATAAAGAAACAAGAGTATGTGGCCAGAAATGAAGGTGACAGTTAATAAAAACAGACCTTCAGGATGACCTAGATGCTGGAATTAGCAGACAAAGACTTCACTGTAACTAGTAGTAATATGTTCAGTGATTTACATAAAAGATATAAATAATTAATATATAGAAAATCTCAATAGAGAAATAGGAAACAAGAACCAAATGAAAATTTTAATACTAAAATTATAATATCTGACAATTTTAAAATGTTCTAAATGAATATAACAACAAACTTGAGACTAAAAAATAAAAGGTCAGAATTCAAAGACAAACAAAAATAATTCCATGACAAGATCTGAGGAAAGAAAGGTTGAAAAACAAAGGAATACAGCTTCAGTAACCATAAGGCAATATCAGCCAGTTTACCATTGCATGCTGGAGTCCAAGAAAGAAAATAGAGAGAGAATGGGAAAGAAAAATATATTCGAAGAAATAATATCAGAAATTTCTCTAATTTCAGGGCAAAATATCAACTTGTAGATAAATAAGCTTGGTGAACTCTAAGAAGGATAAATACAAAGAAAACCACACATACTGTATCTTAGTCCATTTTTGAAAATTAAGTATAAAGGAAAACATACATCAAATATAGAAAAATATGAATATCATGACAGCAGACTTTTCATTGGTAGGAAAAATGGAGGCTAGAAGATAGTGGAGTGATATTGTCTATGTAATATCATTATGTGATGATATCTTTAAAGTGCTGGAACAAAAATACTAACAAAACAGTCAAAACCCCAAAATGTTGTATGTACTATAACAACATATAACAACATATAACATATATACAACAACATATAACAAAATGTTGTATGTATATCTCTCAAAGATGAGGATGAAAATTAAAATTTCCAGATAAACAAAAGATGAGAAAATTAGTTACTAATGAATATACACTTCAAAATATGCTAAAGAAAATATTTTAGACTGAAAGTTACTGATACCAGATAGAATTTCAGATCTGCAGGAAGAATGAAGACCACCAGAGTGGCAAATATGTGGGTAAATATGAAGGAATATATATTTTTTCTTCTCTTGATTTCTTCAAAAGTCAATTGACTAAAAAATAAAAAGGGTATTATTGTAAAGTTTGTAAACTTTGTAGAGGTAAATCATAACAACAACATAAAGAAGAGAATAGAGTAATTGGAACTACACTATTGTAAGTTTCATTTTATTTTGAAAATGACAGATTGTATATTTTCTGTGAACAACGTGATATTTTGAAAAATGTATACATTGGGGAATGGCTAAGTCAAGCTAATTAAAATATACATTACCTCACATAGTTATAATTTTTGTGGTGAGAACATAAGACCTCCCTTAAAATTTTTTGAGATTACAATACATAATTTAAAAAATTGGAATACAAAATATAATACATTGTTCTTAACTATAGTCACCATGCTGTACAATAAATCTCTTGAACTTACTCCTTCTATCTTCCTGAAACTTTGTAACTTTTGACTAACATCTTCCAAACCTCCTCTCCCACCACCATCCAAATCCCTGTTAATCACCATTCTACTCTCTACCTCTATGAGTTCTACTTTTTTAGAATCAACATACATGTGAAATCATACAATATTTGTTTTTCTCTGTCTGGCTTATTTCACTTGACATAATGTCCTCCAGGTTCATCATTGCTGCCCCAAATGAGAGAATTTTCTTTTTCTTAGCTGAATAGTATTCCATTGTGTATGTATACCATATTTTCTTCATTCATCTGTTGATGGATATTTTAGGTTGATTCCATATGTTGGCTATTGTGAATAATGCTGCAACAAACATGGGAGTGCAGATATATCCACAACATGATTATTTTATTTCCTTTGGATAAATACCCATATGGGATTGCCGGATTATATGTTAGTTCTAATTTTGGTTTATTGAGGAACTTCCATATTGTTTTCCATAATGACTGTGTTAATTTATATTCTCACCAACAGTGTGCATGAATTCCCATTTCTTCGCATTTTCTCCAACATTTATCTTTTGTCTTTTAGATAATAGCTGTTCTACCTGGAGAAAGGTGATATTTCATTATGGTTTTAATTTCTATTTTCCTGACGATGAGCATTTTTTCCAAATACCTGCTGGACATTTGTGTATCCTCTTTTGAAAAATCTGTTCAGGACCTTTGCCCATTTTAAAATCAGATTGTTTTCTTGCTATTGAATTGAGTTTTTTCTATATTTTGCATATTAACCACTTATCATATGTACGGCTTGTATTTTCTCGCATTGTGTAGGCTGTCTTTTCACTCAGTTGATTGTTTCCTTTGCTGTGCAGAAGCTTTTTAGTTCAATGTAATTCCATTTGTCTATTTTTGCTTTTGTTGCCTGTGTTTTTGGGGTCATATCCAAAAAAATCATTGCCTAGACACATGTCACGGAGCTTTTCAGCTATGTTTTATTCTAATAGACTTAAAGCTTTGGCTCTTAAATGTAAGACATCCATTTTGAGTTGATTTTTGTATATGGTGTAAGATAAAGGTTTAATCTCATTCTTCTGCAGGTGCATTTCCAGTTTTTCCAACACTATTTATTGAAGCCACGGCCCTTTCTCCATTGTGTATTCTTTGCACTTTTGTTACAAGTCAGTTGGCTGTAAATCTGTGGATTTATTTTTAGGTTCTTTATTGTGTCCCATTAGTTTATGTGTCCATTTTCATGCCAGTACTAAGAAGCTATTTTGGTTATATAGCTTTGTAGTGTATTTTGAAGCCAGGCCGTGTGATGCCTCTAGCTTTGTTATTTTTACTCAAATTTGCATTGGCTATTCAGGGTCTTTTGTGATTCCATATCAATTTTAGAATTTTTTTCTACTTCTGTGAAAATATCATAGATGTTTTGATAAGAATTGTATTGAATCTATAGATCACTTTGGCTAGTATCAATATTTTAACAATTTTGTGAGATTTTAAAATTTATATATGAAATACTTCTTAATTCTAGAAGGAAATGTAGAGTATCTTCATGATCTTGGGATGGGCAAATATTTCTTAGAGAAGACACAAAAAGCAATAATCTTAAAAAAGGAAAAATTAGACTATATCAAAATTAAAACTTTTGTTCATCAGAAGATATGAAAAATGTGTATAAGCTACAAACTTAGAGATAATAGTCTCAATACATATATTTCAGTGGTCCCTAACCTTTTTGGCACCAGGGACCGGTTTTGTGGAGGATAATTTTTCCACAGATCTGGGCAGTGGGGGAATGGTTTTGGGATGATTCAAACATATTATATTTATTGGGCACTTTATTTCTATTATTATTATGTTGTAATGTATAATGAAATAATTATATAACTCACCATAATTTAGAATCCATAGGAGACCTGAGCTTTTCTTCCTGCAACTATCTGGGGGTGATGGGAGACTGACAGATCATCAGGCATTAGATTCTTATAAGGACCATTCAACCTAGATCCTTTGCATGTACAGTTCACAACAGGGTTCACGCTCCTATGAGAATCTAATGCTGCTGCTGATCTAACAGGAGGTGGAACTCAGGTAGTGATATGAGAGATAGGGAGCAGTTTTAAATACAGATGAACCTTTGCTCCTCCATGGCTCACCTCCTGCTGTGTGGCCGAGTTGCTAACAGGTCATGGACTGGTCTGTGGCCCAGTGTTTGGTGACCCCTGATATACTTGACCTGCCCCATAACTTGTATCCAAACTAATTGAACTACTCACACACTTTATACAAGTACATATACAAATGGCCAATACGCATAAGAAAGGGTATTTAAAATCATTATTCACCAAAAAAAAAAACACATGAAAATTTAAAGCTGTCACTTCATTATTAGAAGAGCTAAAATTAGAAACTGCCAAAATTACACAGAAACAGAAAACAGAATCAATTGTTATCTAGAGTGAGAAGGAGACAAAGTTACTCATTAATGGGTATGGGGTTTTCCTTTGGAATAATGAAAATACTCTGGCACTAGATAGCAGCGATAGTTATACAACATTGTGAATGTACTAAATGTCACTAATGGTAAATTTTATGCTATATGTATCTTACTATAATTATAATAAAATAATTGCCAATATCAAAAGTTGTCTTGGATGTGGAACAAGAGAATACTTATATGTTGGAGATGAAAGGGTAACATGTTATAATCATTATGAGAAAAATACTTTGGCAGTTACTTTTTTCCTAATGATTTTGATAGCCAAACTTAGAGCCTGTAATCCCAGCACTTTGGGAGGTCAAGGCGGGTCGATTGCTTGAGGCCAGGAGTTCGAGACCAGCCTGGCCAACATGGTGAAACCCCATCTTTACAAAAAATACAAAAATTAGCCAGACATGGTAGCACGCGCCTGTAGTCCCAGCTACTTAGGAGGCTGAGGCAGGAGAATTGCTTGAACCCGGAAGGCAGAGGTTGCAGTGAGCTGAGATAGTGCCACTACACTCCAGCCTGGATGACAGAGTGAGAGCCTGTCTCAAAAGAATAAAATAAAATAAAATAAAAAACTTAGAAACTCATATATCCTTTGTCAGAGCAATGGGTAAATATCATTTTATATCACTGGTGTAATCATTTCCAACAATAGGAAAAATGAGTTTCCGACACATGCTACATACAATATATATGCATCTCAAAAACAACATTGGAGTGAAACAAATCAGATCAAATGTATACGTACTGTATAATAGTATTTACATGAAATTAAAGTATAGGCAATATTATCTATGTTAGCATAAATTAGAGTATGTGGGGAGAGATTTACTTGCCACAAGTGAACCTGTTGAAATTATGGCACTTCTATTAAAAGTCAGTTGACCGCAAATCTTTACAGGAATATTGGTTACACAGTTGCATAGACATTCATCAAAATGCACAGGATTGTACTTTTAAGATTTCTACATTGTACATATATAAATGTTACTGCAATTAAAAGAAATGAGCATGTTGAATATAGACCCAGTTTTGTTTGTAGAAAACAAACAAATGTTTGTAGCTCTACAAACATTACTATGTACATTTAAAAGAAACAGAAACAAAGAACTGTATGCCAAATGGTTAACACTGGTTTTCTCTAGGGGTAGATATATTTAGGATTTTCAAGTTCTATGTTCCAAAATTTGTGGTTTATATATTTTAAAATAATGTTATGAGCAGAAAATAAGCACCAATTAAAACATAGAAACATTACATCTAGTTATACCAAACAATGCTAAATGTGCATAAAATAGGAATAAATGGATCGTTAAAAATGTATATGAAAAGACAATTGAAGTGAAAGATTTTGACTATTTTAGATCTCTTATCATTCTGATTGATCAAAGTGGTAAAATCAGATAAAAATTAAATTAACAATATTCTCCTACATAAGATAATTAATAGACATTACCTTTAGTGACCAAATAGTATTTGTCAAAATTTGTCATATAATAATATAAAAATAAGATTAGATTAATGCATAAAATCAGAAATATCGCAGAGTATTTTTCCTGACTGTTATGTATATTTAAAGTAATACGACAATATATCTATAAACAACAATCAAACAAAAACTCAAACAATTGAAGATAAATTTATAGTCCCCTAGTATCAAATTAGTGAGGAAGTAGGTCAGGAATACAGCAAATCACTATTCAGAAACATACAATAAGAATACAATGTAAAAGACTTTAAGGAATATAATAAAAACATCACTTACAGGATGTCAAATGGTAAAACTCTTAATCATGTACATAAAAAGGGTTAACACTGTAGTGTATGAAGAGTACATTCACATTTATATGAACATAATATAAAGAGCAATAAAGAAATGGGATAATGATATAAAAAACACAAATAAGAAATCAATTCATTATAAAATAGTATACATTATTAATCAAATAAGCACAAGAAGAAGAAGCAATAATCAGGTATAATTTTACTTAAATAAATTGATCAATTTAAATATATATATTTGTGTACATTTGCATGTGTGTATACATATACATATATATGCAATGTTGATATTAGTATAAGGAAGTCACATTTGCATAACTGGTGATGATATAACTTGGTATATATATATTTGTATTCACTAACCTTATTCTTGGAAATGTATTTTAAAATACTAATTCCATTTATTTACAGCTATAGCCTTAAAGACTCTTGGTGAAGCTTTATTAATAATTGTAAAAATTGGAAGGAACCTAAGTGCTCTATAATAGAAGAATCATTAAGTTAATTAGGGCTTATCAGTTCAATGAATTTTGATGCAGACATGAGAAAAATAATTACACTCACTATTTGATAACAAATTATGCTTACTATGCTATATTGAACTCAAATACACAAAATATATTTTGTGTAAAATTTGGTTAGCATATTTTTAAATATTATATGGACATGAAGTTAGGATGAACAGAAAAAAGTGTCTGAGAGTATATATAAATTCTTAATAATACTGTCTTCGTGTTATGAAGACCTTTTACTTTTGATTTCGTATATTTCTTTATTGCTAGTTTTTAACCATAAGTAGGCATCGCTCCTGTAAAAAAACTATACACATTTGCATAAATATGTATATATAGACATGCATATATATGGTTTGATTTACCATTTTTGGACTTTATGATAGTTTTTTGGGGGTGGGTTGTAACCCCATTGTACGTTAAAAAGCATCTGGATTTAAAATAGTTCAACTTGTGAATTTTTTACTTTATGATGGACTGATCAGGGTATTAAATGCATTTTGACATACAATATTTTTGAATTATGATGGATTTATCAAGATAACCCCAATTTAAAGAGCATAGGTAATACATATACATACATTTTTACCTACATATGTATATATATGTATATATGTATGTATATTAATTTTATTTTAATTTTTTAAAGTACTAGATGCTGTGATCAGTATCACGGATACAGAAACAGTTAAACTCTTTGCCTCCTAGAAGCTCTCAGTCTCCATGCAGGGGAGCAGGTGGCCTATAAACAGATTACTGTAAGGCAGTGTGAGAAAGTCAGAAAGCTCTGGGAACACACAGGGAACATGCAAAAATGCACAGAGTCACTGCATTAAAGAAATGATATTATGGTCAGTTTTTAACATGCCCTTTACATTGTTATATTATTATTTAATGATAAATATTTAATTAGTTATATTTGAATGTTGTTTGTTAACATAATAAATTCTATGCCCTCAACTTTTCCCAAGAATTTACAGTATCTGTTCACAGATTTCTGTTCAATCTTACTCTTTATTTTCTCCTACCCATTATCCTAGCCAACATGTCCTACTTAGTTATTTCAAAAATAGCATTTGTGAATTTCTTCCCCTTCAACTTTGTTTACATTATTGTTCTAAACAAGAGGTCTGTAAACAAAGTCCATGGGCCAAATTTGGCCCACTGCCTATTTTTGTAAATGAATTTTACAGTTTAATCAACTCATTCATTTATGTATGGCCTATGGCTGCTTTGAAAAAAAAAAAGTAAGACGAGGAGCTATGACAGAGATCATCTGACCCATAAGCCAGAAGTATAAGTATCTATCTGATCATTTACAGAAAAAGTTTGGCGTTCCCTGTCCTAGACTGTTGTCCAAGACTTTAATGTTCTCTTTACTTGTTGAAATATTACGTCTTCCTTCCCCATAGGCTCAACATCATTTGCCATTAGAAAAATGAAAATTAAGACAACATTGAGATAGTAATACATATCTATCAGAATGGCTAAAATCTAAAAATACTGACAATATAAATATTTGTGAGGATTCAGAACTATTAGAACTCTCATTTATTGCTGGTGAAGATAAAAAATGGTATGACTATAGAAAATGGCTTGAAAGTTTCTTATAAAGCTAAACATAGTCTTACTGTACAGTTTCACAGGTATGCTCTTATATATTTACTTGATTGATTTGAAAATGTATGTTCACACAAACACCTTCCATTAATGTTTATAGTAACTTTATTCATAAGTGTCAACAACTGGATGCAACCAAGCTGTCCCACAATAATAGGTGAATAGATAAAACAACTCTGGTTATCTGTGTAATGGTGTACTATTCACCAATAAAAAGAAATGCACTATAAAGTCAAATAAAGACACAGACGAACCTTAAAGGCATATTGCTAGGGAAATAAGACAGTCTGGAAACACTGCATACTGTATGATTCCAATTTATATAACATTCTGGAATGACAAAACTTGAGAGAGTAAACCTATTATTGGGTGCCAGGCATTCGGGGGCAGTGGTTAGAATAGGTGAATCACAAAGGTATTTTTAGGGTAGTAAAAGTGCTCTGTATGACAATCTAATGGTCAGTACGGGACATTAAGCATCTGTTAAAACTTACAGAACTTTACTGTACAAAGCGTTAACTTTAAGTATGCCAATGCTATTGCTTTTGGTGTTTTAGACATGAAGTCCTTGCCCATGCCTATGTCCTGAATGGTAATGCCTAGGTTTTCTTCTAGGGTTTTTATGGTTTTAGGTCTAACGTTTAAGTCTTTAATCCATCTTGAATTAATTTTTGTATAAGGTGTAAGGAAGGGATCCAGTTTCAGCTTTCTACATATGGCTAGCCAGTTTTCCCAGCACCAGACAAATGGGATCTAATTAAACTAAAGAGCTTCCGCACAGCAAAAGAAACTACCATCACAGTGAAGAGGCAACCTACAAAATGGGAGAAAATTTTCGCAACCTACTCATCTGACAAAGGGCTAATATCCAGAATCTACAATGAACTCAAATTTACAAGAAAAAAACAAACAACCCCATCAAAAAGTGGGCGAAGGACATGAACAGACACTTCTCAAAAGAAGACATTTATGCAGCCAGAAAACACATAAAAAAATGCTCACCATCACTGGCTATCAGAGAAATGCAAATCAAAACCACAATGAGATACCATCTCACACCAGTTAGAATGGCAATCATTAAAAAGTCAGGAAACAACAGGTGCTGGAGAGGATGTGGAGAAATAGGAACACTTTTACAATGTTGGTGGGACTGTAAACTAGTTCAACCATTGTGGAATTCAGTGTGGTGATTCCTCAGGGATCTAGAACTAGAAATACCATTTGACGCAGCCATCCCATTACTGGGTATATACCCAAAGGACTATAAATCATGCTGCTATAAAGACACATGCACACGTATGTTTATTGCGGCACTATACACAATAGCAAAGACTTGGAACCAACCCAAATGTCCAACAATGATAGACTGGATTAAGAAAATGTGGCACATATGCACCATGGAATACTATGCAGCCAGAAAAAATGATGAGTTCATGTCTTTTGTAGGGACATGGATGAAATTGGAAATCATCATTCTCAGTAAACTATTGCAAGAACAAAAAACCAAACACCGCATATTCTCACTCATAGGTGGGAATTGAACAATGAGAACACATGGACACAGGAAGGGGAACATCACACTCTGGGGACTGTTATGGGGTGGGGGGAGGCGGGAGGGATAGCTTTAGGAGTTATACCTAATGCTAAATGATGAGTTAATGGGTGCAGCACACCAGCATGGCACATGTATACATATGTAACTAACCTGCACATTGTGCACATGTACCCTAAAACTTAAAGTATAATAATAATAAAATTAAAAAAAAGTATTCCAATGCTTTAAAAATCATTTAGGGTTGAGGGAATTCCAGGATAATTATTAAATGGAATAAAAGAACATGACTATATTACAAATACGTAAAACAACCTCACCAAATGGAGTGGCAGAATAAAGCACTGATATAAATAACTTTAGATAAAAGTGGAGAGTATTAGACTGAAGGCAAAATAAAGTATACATAAAAATTGCACTCTAGGCTGCGTGTGGTGCCTCATGCCTGTAATCCCAGCACTTTGGAAGGCCGAGGTAGGAGGATCATTTGAGATCAGAAGTTCAAGACCAGCCTAGACAACATGGTGAAATACAAAAATTAGCCAGGCATGATGACACTTGCCTGTAATCCCAGCTACTCGGGAGGCTGAGGCAGAATTGTTTGAACCCCGGAGGTGGAGGTTGCAGTGACCCAAGATCATGCCACTGCACTCCAGCCTGGGTAACAGAGCAAGACTCTGTCTCAAAAAATAAAAATAAAAATAAAAATAATTGCATTCTGGTTGATAACATTATTTTCCATGGCATAGGCATTAACAATTCTAAAACCACCATATATGTATAGAGAAATTGAACAATAAAGAAAGTGGAAGAAGATGGTAGGAGTCTGATATGGTTTGGATTTATGTCCCCACCCAATTATCATGTTGAATTGCAATCCCCACGTGTCACTGGAGAGACTCCACGTGTCACGGTGATTGGATCATGAGGGTGGATTTCTGTGATAGTGAGTGAGTTCTCATGCGATCCAATAGTTTAAAAGTGGCACTTCCTCCCTCTCTCTCTGTCTCCTGCCACCACTAGAAAATTGTTCCTTCTTCCCCTTTGCCGTCTGCCATAATTATAAGTTTCCTGAGGCCTCCCAGCCATGTGGAACTGTGAGTCAATTAAAACTCTTTCCTTCATAAATTGCCCAGTCTCAGGTAGTTCTTTATAGCAGTGTGAAAATGAACTAATACAGAGTCATATTTCTAATTACTGGAGCTGTAGATTATAAATACACAAGGGTAAAAAGGTAGCATGATCCATATGATACTTGATTAGAGTTGGAGGCATCATTATTAACTCATCATTAGCTTAATATGGATATAGGTAGTTAAATATAAAATATTTATAGATATGTTTGTATGCATAGTTTAATACACACATGTCTCTGTGCTTTATCGGCTGAAAGGTTCTAAAAACAATGATACTGTAATAGCAACAAATTTACCTACCACCCAGACTTTGGACTTCAGTAAAAGGAGCAAGGGCCTTTTAGAGAAATGGCTGATTTTTGAACTGGAGCAAAAAGTATACATGCAGATGCTGGAGCATTTTGTAATTCTAGAAAGGAAGAACATGCTCAAAAAATAAAAAGAAACTCTATATTATGAGGGCATGTCAAAGGGATATAGAAGTCACCTGAATGAGTTCCCAAGAACCAAGCTGAAAAACTTGAAATACAAAGTAACTAAGTAGTATTGGATCATAACCCAATGCATAAAATAAATATTCATGTGTCTATAATTATAAAAATGATTCAGTAAGAAATAAATGGGGGAAAATAGATAAATACTTCCAAATAATTTATGTAGTTATTCTGCTCTTAAGGAAGTAGAATATGTATTTCCTGCCCCTTAACTGTGGATATAGTGACTTTCTTGTAGAGAGTACAGTAGAGAAAGGGGGGAAACAAAGAGTAAATTTACAGTGGAGAAACCTGAAAAATATTACCTCAATCCAGGTAATCAAGATTATGACAGTAGGCATAATACTGGTTCAACAATGTGCATGTCCTGGTCCCTGGAACATGTGAATATGTTTGTTACAGGGCAAGACAGAATTAAGGTGGAAGAAAGAATTGAGATTGTTAATCGGTTGACCTTCATATAGGCATAGTATCTTACATTACTCAGGTGGGACCAATGAAATCACAAAGATCCTTAAAGATGAAAGAAAGAAACACAAGAGGAAAGTCAGGAGATGTGACAATGGAAAAGCCAGAGAGATGCAACACTGCTGACCTTGATGGTGGGTGAAAGATACCAGGAGTCAAGGGAAGAGGGCAACATCCTGAAGCTGGAAAATAAAAGAAATGGATGCTATTTGTAAGGGAAATGGCTGCGCTTTAGTCAGGAGTAGGCCAAGGCAGCCTTCCCACACAGCATGACTCAGCAGGTTTGGAGTGCAGACACACAACTCTGCACTATCTGTAACAACGCCATGTGAGGCTCATTAGGTGACCACTCACGTGAGCTTGTGCTTGGCTCAGAGCCACTATTGTCTGCAAAGGATATCATTACCCTGCTGATGCTATACATATGTTTCTCGCCCAGAGAGACAATAAAGCCATGTTGAAACTGCCTATGATTCTTCAAGTGTTTTTCCAGCTTCCTGCCCACTGACTCCCCTTGGACCTCAGTTTGGGATAGGACCTGAAAATATTCTAGAGCCTCTGAAAGAGAGGACAGCTCTGCTGACATTTTGATTTTAGTGAGATTCATGTTGGACTTGTAACCTCTAGAAATGTAAGATTTTGTTGTTGTTGTTTGAACTACTAAATTTGTGATAACTTGTTATATCAGTAATAGAAAATAAATACAGCTAATCAACAGTGGGAATCCATATTGATATATGTTTCCTTGACATTTTATGATGAGAATGTCCCCTTACTTCCATGGTCTTCCCCCAAAAAACACATACTCCAGTCAAATCATGAGGAATACATCAGGCAAATCCTAATTGAGGAACATTATATGAGCAACCTGACTGTTAATCCTAAAAACTCTCAAAGTCATCAAAAGCAAAGAATCTGAAGGCTGTTTAAGGGGTTTGGGGATAAATGACTATGTATGTGCTGTGGTTTGAATGTCCCCACCAAACTTGTGTCAAAATTTAATTGCCTTTGTAACAGTACTAAGAGGTGGTGATTTTAAGAGCTGATTAGATCATAAGCATTCTGCCCTCATTAGTGGATTAATGCCATCATCACAAAAGTGAGTCAGTTATCAGGGAGTGAACTACTGATAAAAGAATAAGTTTAGTCCTATTTCTCTGTCTAGTGTAATTACTTCTCCTTTTGCCTTTCTTCCATGGTATGACCCTCACAAGATTCCAGTGCCAGGCTGTTGGAATTCCTAGCATACAGAACTGTGAAAGATAAATTTCCTTTCTTTACAAATTATTCAGTCTGTAGTATCTTGTTCTAGAAGCAGAAAACAGACTAAGATAGAATGTGATAGAATGTAATGTAATGTAATGTAATGTAATGTAATGTAATGTAATGTAATGTAATGTAATGTGTTATCCTGGATGAAATCCTGAAACACAAAATTACAGTAAAACTGAAGAGATTTGAATAAACTATGGACTTTAGTTAATAACAATATATCAATATTAGTTCATTAATTGTGACAAATGTACCATACTAATGTAAATTGCTAATAATTGTGAAAACTGGGTATGCGGTATAAAAAATTACTGTTTTTGTAATAATTTGTAAATATGAAATTTGTAAAACAACAAAAAAAGTATTTTATTATTTATTTTAGATGTAGAGGTTATGTGTGCTTGTTTGTCACATAGGTATATTGCATCACAGTGGGGACTGGGTTTCTAGTGTCCTCATCACTCAAATATTGAATATTGTACCCAACAGGCAATTTTCCAACCCTCACTTCCTCCTATTCTCTTGCCTTTTGGAGTCCTCAGTTTCTATTATCTGCATCTTGAAGTCCATGTGTACTCATTGTTTAGCTCCCACTTATAAATGAGAACATGTGGTATTAGATTTGATTGATTTCTGCCTCTGAGTTAGTCCACTTAGGATAATGGCCTCCAGCTCCATACATGTTGCTGCAAAAAATATGATTTCATTCATTTTTATGACTGCATAGTATTCCATGGTGTATTTGAACATTTCCTTTATCCAATCAACCATTGGTTGACACTTAGATTGGTTCCATGTGTTTGCTATTGTGCATAGTGCTGGGATAATCATTCAAGGGCAGGAATGATTTTTTATATAACAATTTATTTTCCGTTGAGTAGATACCCAGTGGTGGGATTGCTGGGTCAATTGGTAGTTCTATTTTTAGTTCTTTTAAATATCTCCATACTGTTTTCTATAGAGGTTGAAATAACTAATTTGCATTCCCACCAACAGTGTATAAGTATTCCTTTGTCTCCACATCCATGCTAACGTCTGTCGTTTTTTCATTTTTATTTATTTATTTTAGATACGAGGTCTTGCTCTGTGCCCAGGCTGGAGTATAGTAGTGTGATCATAGCTCACTGCAGCCTGGAACTTCTGAGCTCAACTGATCCTTCCTTCTCCTGCACCAGATTTCCAAGTAGCTGGGACTACAGGCACATGCCACCAAGCCTGGCTAGTTTTTTTTTTTTTTTTTTTTCTTTTCTTTTTTTACTTTTCATAGAAGCAGGGTCTCCTTCTGTTGACCAGGCTGGTCTTGAACTCCTGGCCTCATGAGAGTCTCCTGCCTTGGTCTCCCAATTCTTTTAACTTTTTAAATAAAAGCCATTCTGACTGGTGTATGATGACATCTCAATGTGGTTTTAATTTGCATGCTGATAATTGGTGATGTTGAGCATTAAAAAATATATTTTAAAAGGCCTTTGATATGTCTCCAGTTCCAGTCACGGACTTCCATCACACGATAAATCCTAACAAAGAGAAATTTGGCTGAGCCCAGTAAATGCAGGAACTATGAGAGATAATATTTTTAAATGTTATTTTAATGCAACTAAATTTAGAGTGGTTTGCTATGCAGCAATAGATAAAAGGAGCAGTCCTGAAAGCAAACTAATTTTGTTTGTACCTTTTCTCTCTCTCTCACTATGTTGCTTTTTTTTGCAAAGTTGGCCAGTTTATACTAAGATTAGCTGTTTACAAAAAGCCTGAATGCTTTCACTCTACACAATCTTCTGGTTTTTCTATTCTGATGTAAGAGTTCTAGAAACTAATTAAAACCAATTTTATGAGTGAGAAATTACAACTTTTTACTGTATGTTCTATTTTGTAACTTAAATAAGAACTATCATCATCATATACATACAAAAATAGTAATGGTAAAATCAATATGCAACATTCAGTGAGTGCTGACTCTGTGCCATGCCCAGTGCCCAACACCTTACATATTATCTCATTTAATCCTTAAAACTCTATGATAGAAATGCTATTATTGATCATCTTATAGAAGATGAAACCAAGATATAAGTAGATTAAGTAACTTGCTAAATGCATAGATAGTACTCTTTATTAAATATTATTATACTGAGTCATTCAAATAAATTTTATCTTCAACTCAGATATTGTAGATGACATGCATATTTTAACAGAGAATTTAACAGCATTTTAAAACTTCTATGTTTAAGCATGCTGCAAAGAATCACTCTTGTTCTTGCTAGAAAATTTTAAGTCAGTTTTTTAAACTGATATATGAAGGTTATATTATTTTCTAACCCTGATTCTCAAACTTTGGGGTGCATCAGAAATGTCTGTGTTAAAAAATATAAATCTTACTCACCCTCTTGAAATCAAGAGAGATGTGGCCGGTGGCATTATATGTTAAACAATATTTTTTTTCATGTTGTCATTATCATTTTAATACATTTCTTTAATTTTTTTATTATACTTTAACAAAGAGTAAATTTACAGTGGAGAAATTTCTTTCTTATTTTTATTCTTTTATGTTTTTCTTATACTTTGAGTTCTGGGATACATGTGCAGAACGTGCAGGTTTGTTACATAGAGATACATGTGCCATGGTGGTTTGCTGCACCCATCAACCCGTCATCTACATGAGGTATTTCTCCTAATGCTATCCCTCCCCTAGCCCCCGACCCCGCAACAGGCCCTGTTGTGTGATGTTCCCCTCCCTGTGTCCATGTGTTCTCATTGTTCAACTCCCACTTATAAGTGAGAACATGCAATGTTTGGTTTTCTGTTCCTGTGTTAGTTTTCTGAGAACGATGGTTCCCAACTTAATTCATGTCCCTGCAAAGGACATGAACTCATCCTTTTTATGGCTGCATAGTATTCCACAGTGTATATGTGCCACATTTTCATTATCCAGTCTATCATTGATGGGCACTTGGGTTGGTTGCAAGTCTTTGCTATTGTGAATAGTGCTGGTCTTTGCAAGTGATTCTGTGACACTTTAAATCTGAGATTAAGTGCACTGTCAGATTTTTTTTTCAAATTTTCTCCCTTCTCAACAACTTCGAGTTTATTTCTAGTCACTTTCATTATACTTTTTGATAAATGAATAAAAATATGAAATGCTATGAAAGCTTCTAGAAAAACCTTTGCTAAAGAAGAAAACGTTTAATGTGAACCTGTCTAGACCATTGGGATGGTTAGTCATCCAACAATAACACATAGAAAGAAAGTGATAGACAAAATTAATAAGTAAAGTTTTTATTAAAATTATTACTCTATTGCCGAAAGTGTTGACAACATGTAATTTTCTTCTTTGCAGCCCTCACTATAATTTGCTTCATTTGGTTGACTAAGAGGAAAGTTATGTGTTTCTGTAATCACTGTACCAGCTTCAAAAGAAGGTGCTTTCATGTGTTAAGCATTTTATAATGCCAACCAAAAGGCACATTCTTAACAAGAAGAAACCAAAAGCTTAATTTCAATTATGATAATCTTTGCTTGTGACCATTTGAGTGATCCTGCTCAGATCATGCAAAGTACACAAAATATCTTTCTCCTACATATGCCAACCTGTTGTAGAGATGTCTTGCTCTTTAAATGTTCCAGTCCTTAAAATAGATATTTCTAAAGATCAGCCTCAGAACTCAGAATTCACAGTCCTAACTTTCTTATACAAAAAAAAAAGAGAGATAAATTCACTAGAATAAGAACTTTCACTGTGTTTATTTTTCTTTGAGTCCTTGGTATCTTTCCTTGCCACTGGTGTAACGTCAAGAATTTGTTTCTTCGTCCCTAAGCTCTAGGTTTCTTCAAAGACTAAGAACAGTCGACCTCCTATAAACAGAAAGTTGATTTCTGAGGCTATAATATTTTCAAGGAGATGAATACATCTTTCACTTCTAATCTGCCCATATAATTTTCCATCTTAAAGCTCACGTGCTATTCTCATTCCATAGAATAAAATTCAAGTTCTATAACATGGCATAAGCCTCTCCATAATCTTAGTCTTCCTCTTTCTCCAGATTCATCTCCTGTCATTCCTGCCTGACATAAGAGACATCTTAAACTTCTTTCAGTTCCCTGTGTGTTCACCTTATTTTTTCTTAGTGTTCATGTTCTTTATGCAGTATATTTCTCATTTTTTACATTCTTCCTGCCTGCTTCTGGAGCCCATGTGCCTTCTCAAACTTTTAGTCTGACAGTTCAAAAAAGGTATCTAACAGGAATCTGCTTTGCCCTTCAGCCTAGATTAAGTGGTATGCCCTATAGTTCCATGATGCTTTGCACATATCTTGACAGTGTATTTAAATTGTTTTGTTTTAATTGTGTTTCTCTCCCATTGTACTGACCTATTTAAGGATAAGTAATAATCTAATTCATCTTGAAAATTTCTAGAGACAGGATTATAGTTACCCTCCAAAAACATTGAACAAGGGAATTAATATCTTATGTTAGATGTCAACAAGAATTTGTTGAATTAAGTGCAAAATTGGATTAATGAAGACACTGCAACAATCAGGCTGGATGGTAAAGAAAAAATATATAGGCAATTGTCAAATACCAAGCCAAGAACTGAATTATTTTTCTTGCTCTGAAATTTTCTTCCAGGGTAAGAACATTTTTTATTTTACTTGTTTTAGAAATATTTTAATATATCAAAGATATAAATATATAGTACATATATCATTATTAAGTTTACTGAATGGCCTCCTCATTAATCCATGAGGTCATTAATATTATTGATTTTATATTCTCAGGGTGAAATATTCTTGGCTCAGAATGAACACATAGTAAATACTTTTTGAATGAGTGAATGATGAACTGAATGAATAGACACTTTTGTTTAAGATTTCTTATTTTGTTAATTCAGGTGTGAATAAAGCCAATAATCAGGGCTAGATCACACTGATAAACAATAGAAATGTTTTGAATTTCAAAAGGAAGTTCAGAAATCAAAATTACAAATTTTGACTATTTGTTTAAAAGCACTCTCAGCTGAGAAAGAAAAGAAAATGTGTGTATACTAACCTGTGTATATACACATATCTACAAATATTTCTATATGTAAATATACCTACTGACATTAAGCAAGATATGAGTTGATACTGATATTGCCACTTTAGTCCATTAGCACGTGGGTCATTCTACCCTACACCCCCTAATTACATGTACCCTCCCACTCAAACAGTGAGAAAACTGACTCCCAACTTCTTCCACTTACTTCACTGTGCAATTACAATATATATAATTTCAAAATTGCTAACAACTAACCCTTTGGAAACCAACTTTATCAACCAGAGTACAGAGCTATGTTTAGTTCCTTTTGCCTTTACTTTAAAAGACTCCACTCATTTCCAAAGTTACTTAGGTCAGCATTTTTATTCCCCAACCCCATTAAGTGAAGCCGCTTCATATTTTATAATACAGTTAGGTTCTTTTGTCATGTTCAGCATCCTATCCTTAAATCACCTGAGTTTTAAAATATTTTTAAGATTTGCATCCATGAAGTTTGATTCTTTGTGCTGTGAAGTTCTGTGGGTTTTGGCAAAAGCACAGTGTAATGTATTTACCATTACAATATTACACATAATAGTTTCACCACCAAAAATAAATCATCTTTTCTTCACATATGTAATTCCTCCACACTCCTCCAATCCCCTGACAGCCTCTTGTTTACTGTCTCTACAGTTTTGCCTTTTGAGGAATTCCATTTAATGCAGTAATAAAATACATTGCCTTATTAGGCTGGCTTCTTTCACTTAGCAATATGTATTTAAGATTCATCCATATCTTTGTGTGGCTTGATAGCACATTCATTTTTATTGCAGAAAAGCATTCCATTATATGGCTGTATCACAGGTTGTTTATCCATCCTAAGTTGCAGGACATCTTGGTTGATAACAGTTTTGAGTGATTATAAACAAAGCTGCTATAAACATTCTCATGCAGATTTATATATACATATGTTTTCAAATCATTTGAGTGAATACCTAGAAGTGCAATGCTAGATCATGTGTAAACACTACGTTCTACTTTGTAAGAAACTGCCAACCTGTCTTTGAAAGTGGTTATACCATTTTTTCCTCCCACAGTAATGAACAAGAATTTTTGTTGCTCCACGTTTGCTTACCAAAATTGGTATTGCCTATTTTTTATTTTATTTTAGCCATTCTAATAATTGTGTAATATTTTCTCACTGTTATTTTTGTTTGCATTTTATTTATTTATTTATTTATTTATTTATTTATTTATTTGTTTGTTTTTGAGATGGAGTCTCACTCTGTCACCCAGGCTGGAGTGCAGTGGCACGATCTCGGCTCACTGCAACCTCCACCTCCCAGGTTCAAGCAATTCTCCTGCCTCATCCTCTCGAGTACCTGGGACTACTGGTGTGCGCCACACCTGGCTAATATTTGTTTTTCTAGTAGAGACGAGGTTTCGCCATGTTGGCCAGGTTGGTCTCAAACTCCTGACCTCAGGTGATCTGCACACCTCGGAGTTCTGAGATTACAGGCATGAGCAACGGCGCCTGGCCCTTGTTTGCATTTTATTAAGAGTATAGTATATGATATTGACCACCTTTTCAAATACTTATGTGATATATATATAATCACAAATATATAAAATATATATCACATATATAAATATATACCACAAATATATATATACACATTTATATATATATATATATTTTTTTTTAAAGCTGACTGGTCAAATCTTTTGCTCATTTTTAAATTGGATGGTTTGTATTATTATTATCGAGTTATAAGGGTTTTGTGTATTCCAGATACAAGTTCATCATTAGATGCACACTTTTCAAATATTTTTCCCCAGTCTTTGGCTTGTTTTTTCATTCCCGTAACAATGTTGTATTCATTCTCTATGGCTGCTGTAACAAATTACCACAAAAGCCTAAAATTGTAGAGATATAATCTCACACATTTCTGAAGGCCAGATTCCAAAATCTATTTCACTGGGCTGAAAGCAAGGTGTTGGTTGGGCAATACACTCTCCAGATGCTCAAGGGAAGCACCTGTTCCTGCCCCCTTCCAGCTTCTAGAGGCTGTTGGAATTCCTTGGCTTGTAGCCACATCACTACAATCTCTGCATTTGTGGTTATATTGTGATCACTTTTGTCTATATAAAATTTATTTCTACTTTTTTTATAGAGGTGATTACATTTAGTGTCTACCTTCTCAATATCCTTTATTTACTCACATTTGCAAAGACTCCCTTTCCAAATATAAAATAATATTTACAGGTTTGAGAGAATAGGACCTTATATCTTTTAGGAGAGATTATTAAGCTTTCTAAAGTGAATTTTGCACAGCAGAAAGTTTCATTTCACTCCTTTTTTTCTTTCACTGATTGGGCTATTCATATTTTATCTATAACTTCAAATTTCATTTCAGTCCTTTTTTTTATTTCATTGATTGGGCTATTTATATTTTATCTATAACTTCAATTTCATTTCAGTCCATTTTTTTTCTTTGGGCTATTCATATCTTATCTATAACTTCAAATTTCATTTCAGCCCATTTTTTCTTTCATTGATTGGGCTATTCATATTTTATCTAAAACTTCAGAATCAAACACAAGATGATATAGATTGTCCTATGTTTTCTTCCAGAACTTCTATAGTTTGGTATTTTATAGTCTTTGATACATTTTGAATCAATTTTTGAAAGTTGTAAGGTCTGCATCTAAGTTCTGGCATGTGAATGCCCAATTGTTCCAGCATCATTTGTGGGAAAATATTAATCTTTCACTACTGAAATGACTTGCACATTTGTACAAAGTCAGTAAACTGTATTTGAGTTTGTCATTTTGGGCTCTCTATTGTGTTTCATTGATCTGTGTGTCTATTCTTTCTCCACTATCACACTGTTTTGATTACTGTAGTTTTTATAGTAAGATTTAAAAACAAGTAGTGTAAGCCTTTGAACTTTGGTGTCATATTGTTTGACTAGCCTAGGTATTGCCTTTCTATATAAACTTTTGAATCAGCTTGTCAACATCTGCTAAATAGTTTTCTGGGGTTTTGATTAAGTGTAAAAATCAGATAGGGGAAGAACTGACAAAGTATTGAGTCTCTCAATCCATGAACAAGAAATAGCTCATTTATTCAACTCTTCTTTGATTTCTTGCATTTGTATTT
Source organism: Homo sapiens (assembly GCF_000001405.40). Taxonomy (NCBI): domain Eukaryota; kingdom Metazoa; phylum Chordata; class Mammalia; order Primates; family Hominidae; genus Homo; species Homo sapiens. The sequence goes on along the minus strand of NC_000012.12, from coordinate 78,750,465 downwards.
TGCAATTTTATAGATACAGATCCTGTACATAAATTGTCAGATTAGTACCTAAGTACTCTTCTTTTTTGGTAATATTCCTTGGGACTTTCTCCATAGACCATCATGCAATTTGGGAACAAAAACCTTTTTTTGCCTTTCTTTTCCATCTCTATGCTATTTATTTATCCATGTATGCATTATTCCACTAGGTAGAACTTCAAGTATGATGCTGAATAAAAATGCTGAGAAATGATATCTTTGTGTTGTAAACAATACCAGAGGCTTCTCAATATCTTTCTCTTATCATTAAATATTATGCTAGCTGTAGGTTTTTAATAAAATATTTCAAAAATTAACTTTAGGAAGTTCTTTTCTATTAGAAGTTTGCTGAACATTTTGATCATCAGTAGGTAAAACCTTTTTCTGCACCAATAAATAGGATAGAATTTTTTTCTTTAGCCTTTTGATATGGTATATTGATTTTTGAATGTTAGACCAGGCTTGAATACTTGGAATTAATCCCACTTAGTCATGGTGTACATTTCTTTTTACGCATTTTTGAATTACATCTGCTAATGCTATGTTGAGGATTATTACATCTATGTTTATTAATGATATTGGCCTTTTACTTTCTTTTTAGACAGTGTTCCTTCTGCTTCTATTTCCTGAAAGAGATTATGGAGTATTGGTATCATTTCTTCCTTGAATGTTTTGTTGAGTTAATTAGTAAAATTATTTAGGCATTGTGCTCTGTTTTGGAAGGTTATTAATTATAGATTCAATTGCTTTAGTTGATATAGATCTATTCAGATTACTTATGTCTCCCTGTGTGAGTTTTTATAGCTTGTGTTTTTCAAGTAATTGATCGATTTCATCTAAGTTATCAAATTTATACACATGGAAGTATCTCTTTATTACTCTTTAATGTTCATGATATCAGTAGTAATAACCTTCTTTCATTTCTGCTATTGGCGATTTGTATATTCTCTCCTTTGGCCTCTGTGTGACTAAAGGTTTATTTTTATTCAGCTTTTCAAATAACAAGATTTCAGTTTTATTGATTTGCTCTAATTTTTGTCTACAAATTCATGGATTTCTGCTCTAATATTTTAGAAGTTACTTTATTTCACTTTGTTTAGGTTTAAATTACTCTTCTTTTTCTAGATTCTTAACTAGAAATGTAGGTTAATGAATTTAGATCTTTTTTCTTTTCTGGTATGTAAATTCAGTTCTATAAATTTCCCTCTAAACTCTTCTCACTGCTTCTCACAATTTTTTACAAGTCGTACTTTCATTTTCATGGAATTCAAAATATTCTTAAAATTTCTCTTAATACTTATTTTTTGGCTAATGGATCATTAAGAAGTATGCTGTTTTATTCCAAATATTTAGAAATTTTCTAGCTATCTTTTTGTTATTGATTTATAGTTTAATTCCAGTGTGGTCTGAGAAGATATGCTGTATGATTTTTATGGTTTTAAATTTATTAAGTTCTATTTTATGACCCAAATGTGGTCCATCTTGGTAAACATTTATTTAATTTTTTGTTTTTTTGGGCACATAATAGGTGTATATATCTATGGGTTGCATGAAATATTTTGATACAGGCATGCGATGCGTAATAATCACATCAGGGTAAATCGAGTATCCAGCACCTCAAGCATTTATCCTTTGTGTTTCAGACAATCCAATTATACTCTTTTAGTTATTTTTAAATGTACACATTTTTTTTACCATAGTCACTCTGTTTTGCTACTAAATACTAGGTGTTATTCATTCTATCTCTTTGTACCCATTAATCATCCTGACTTCCCCGCCCCAACCCCTCACTGCCCTTCCTAGCCTCTGGTAACCATCCTTCTACTCTCTATCTCCATGAGTTCAATTGTTTTGATTTTTAGCACCTACAAATAAGTGAGAACATGTGTTTGTCTTTCTGCGCCTGACTTATTTCACTTAACATAATGACCTCTAGTTCCATCCATGCTGTTGAAAATGACAGGATATTATTCTTTTTTATGGCTGAATAGTACTCCATTGTGTATATGTACCACACTTTATCCATTTATCTGTTGATTGACACTTAAGTTTCTTTCAAATCTTAGCTATTGGGAATAGTGCTTCAATAAACATGGGAGTACAGATAACTCTTTAATATGCTAATTTCCTTTCTTTTGCGTACATACCCAAAAGTGGGCTTGCTGGATCATATGGTAGCTCTATTTTTAATTTTTTGAGGAATCTCCAAACTGTTCTACATGGTGGTTGTACCAATTTACATTCCCACCAACAGTGTATGAGGGTTCCTTTTTCTCCACATCCTCACCAGCATTTGTTGTCATCTGACTTTTGGATAAAAGCCATTTTAACTGGGGTGAGATGACATTTCATTGTAGTTTTGATTTGCATTTCTCTGATGATCAGTGATGTTGAGTACCTTTTCATATGCTTGTTTGCCATTTGTATATTTTCTTTTGAGAAATGTCTATTCAGATCTTTGCTCATTTTTTAATTGTTATTAGATTTTTTCTATAGAGTTGTTTGAACTTATATATTCTTGTTATTGATCCCTCGTCAGATGGAAAGTTTGAAAATATTTTTCCCATTCTATTTTTCTCCCCTTTGTTTATTGTTTCCTTTGCTGTGCAGAAGCTTTTAAACTTGATGTGATCTCATATTTCCATTTTTGCTTTTGTTGCCTGTGCTTGTTGGTTATTGCTCAAGAAACCTCACAATCACTAACCTACATTTTATCTCTATGGGTTTTTCCATTCTTGAAGATTTTAAGTAAATGAAACTAAATAATTTGTCATCCTTTGTATCTGGCTATTTTACTTAGCATAATGTTTTCTGGGTTCATCCATTTGTAACATGTATCAGCATTTCATTATTTTTTATGGTGGAATAATAATCCATTGTATGAATATTTCATGTTTTATTTATTCATTCAATTGATGAACATTGGGTTTTTTCACTTTTCAGCTACTATGAATAATGTTGATATGAACATTAATTCAAGTCTGCTATCAATGAATTCTCTCAGTGTTTTTTAAAACCTGAATGTCTTAATTCTCCTTTAGTTTTGAAGAATAGTTTCTTATATATAGAATTCTTGGTTAAATTTTTCTAAAAGCACTTTGAATATGTCACACAGCTGTGTTCTGGATTCCATGGTTTCTGATGAGAAATTAGCTATTAATATTATTGAGGATAATTTATATCCTCAATATAGTGTGATGAGTCACTTCTCTCTGGTTGATTTTAAGAGTCTCTCCTGCCCTTTGGCTTTTGACAATTGATCATGATGTGCTTAGGAGGGGATCTTTTAAGTTTACCCTACTTGGAGTTCATTGAGCTTCTTGAACATATAATGTTTTCATCAAATTTAGGAAGTTTTTGGTTATTATTTATTCAAATATTCTTTCTGCCTATTTCTTTCTCTTCTATCCTCATAGGACTCCCATTATACCTATCTTGATATGTTTGATGGTGTCCTACAGGTCTCTTAGGGTCTGTTTATTATTCTTTATTCTTTTTTCTTTTTGTTTATCAAACTGAACAATCCCATTTAACTTCAAGTTTCCAGATTTCTTCTCCTGTCTGCTCCAATATGCTATTAAGCTCCTCTAGTGATGTTTTTTTCATTTTAGTTATTGTGCTATTGAACTCCAGAATTTATATTTGGTTTCCTTTAATAATTTCTGTATTTTTAATGATATTTTCTATTTGATAAGGCATCATTCTCATACTTTCCTGTACTTATGTAAACCATGTTTAAAAGAAACATTTTTTGAGCTCTTTAACATATTTAAAATAGCTGTCTTAAAGTCTTTGTCTAGTAAGTGAACTGTCTGGGCTTCTACAAGAACAGTTTCTATTTACTGTTTATTTTTTATGTGTTTATGAGCTGCACTTTCTTGTTGCTTTGTATGTGTCATAATTTTGTGTTGAACACTGGACATGTAAAATAATATAATGTGGCAAATCTGGAAATCAGTTTCTCTCCCTTCACCAGAGTTTGCTGTTGTTGCTATTTACTGTAGTTTTCATTTTTTTCTTGATGTTTCTGAATGAATTCTGCAAAATATGTATTTTTTATTGTTATGGCCATTGAAGTCTCTGCTCAATTAGCTTACTGGTTAGTTAATATTGAACAGACATTTTCTTTATTGCTTTGAACAAATGAATATCCCAATGTCTGCCAAAAGCTCTCTGTACATGTTGGGGCATGCCTTCAACACTCAACACTTCAACACAACAAGCAGTTGACATCTCTATCTTAGCCTTTATCTTTTACTTTTAACTACCTGCTGGAGCATTAGCTGGAGGTGAATGTTCAGGGCCTCTCAGGTCTTTCCTAGGCATGCACACAATCCTCAGTATGTATACAAGCATGCATGTGAATTTTTAGATTACGAAGAACATGTCAGAGGTTTTCAAAATGTCTCTACGCATACTATTCTCCAGATTTTCCTCTTAAGATTTACAGTTAATCTATTGTTTGCACTGTTATTCACCACTCCAGACAGCTATAAAATTAAAATGCTTGCTGTAATTGTTTTCAACAAACAACTGTGAAAGAAAGGGCTTTTTTACACTTGGATATGCTTTGTTATGTTATATACAAACAGCCTTGCAACTAGGGTCTTCCAGGGAACCGCCAGGCAGGTTAAATAATGACAATTCTTTGTGCATAAGACTTTGAAAGGGTTGTAAATAAATTGTATTTCCTCAGACAACTTCCAGGCTGCACTACGAATTTGGGCTGTTTACTTTTTAAAACTACTGCATAGGTGGAAAGAAGAGATGAGACTAGGGCAAGCTAAAAATGCCACAAAGCTCATTGTTATTTCCAAGATTTAACTGTTTGTTTGTTTCATTTGTTTATTGAATGAATGCTCCCTGGGTTTCTTACAGACTCTAGTTAGTTTCCAGCATTCTAGAAAAGTTGATTTTGAAAAATTTTTCCAGTGTTTTTTTGGTTGTTATTGTTGTTATTATGAAGGCAAGAATTTTTAGGGGTGTTTGGGCCAGGCGCGGTGACTCATGCCTGTAATCCCAGCACTTTCGGAGGCTGAGGCGGGTGAATCACGAGGTCAGGAGATTGAGACCATCCTGGCCAACACGGTGAAACCCTGTCTCTACTAAAAAAAAATACAAAAATTACCTGGGCGTGGTGGTGGACGCCTGTAATCCCAACTACTCAGGAGGCTGAGGCAGGAGAATCCCTTGAACCAGGGAGTCAGAGGTTGCAGTGAGCTGATATCATGCCACTGCACTCCAGCCTGGCGACAGAGCAGGACTCCATCTCAAAAAAAAGAAAAAAAAAGAATTTTTACAGGTGTTTACTCCATTGTTTACACTAACATCTAGTTCTATCCATTTTTGCCTCACAAATTTTGTGTGTTGTAATGTGCATATATAATTAAGATTGCTATATTGTCTTGGAGAATTAACCTTCTTATCATTATGTAATGCCACTCTTTATCCTTGATATTTTTCTTTGTTCTGAAATCTTCTTTGTGAAATAAAAATAATTACTACAGCCTTCTTTTGATTATTGTTAATGTGACACATTTTTCTCTTTCCCTTTACTTTTAACTTTATATAGTCTTTATATTCAATGCATGTTTCTGAAAGTACAGAGTTGGGTCTTCCATTTTGATCCATTTGGAAAATTTATGGTATTTAATTAGCACATTTAGATAATTTGTAATTAGTATGTTATTAATTTAGTTTAATTAACACCTACCTTGTTTGTAACTGTTTTCTATTAATTGTGTTTTTGTTTGTTTTTTTTCCTCCCTTTGTCTGCCTCTTCTGGTTTTAATTGAACATTTTAGATGAATCCATTTTAATTCCCTTCCTTAACACATTAATTAGAGGTTGCTCTAGAATTTACTATATATATTTGCTACATGTTTAACTAATTTAATTCTACCCTGAAATTACACTATACTCTTCACCTATGGAAGAGGAATCTTATTAATAGAATACTTTATCCCCAGTTCTTTCCCATCTCTTGGGATATTGCTATCTGTCACATATCCATATTCTATAATCATTTAGCACATTGTTAAATTGTTGATTTATTTAAAGGATTATATTTTAGATAAGTTAATAATAAAAAATAAAAATCTTTTGTTTTATCTTTCTTTATTCCTTGTCTGGTGCTCTTTCTTTCTTTGTATAGATTCAAATTTCTGACCTACATCATTTGCCTTTTGCCTGAAGAATGGTTTTTAACATTCATTGCAGAGCAGGTCTTCTAGAGTTTTTGTTATTTTCCTTTCACTTTGGAAAGATAATTTTGCTGGATATAAGATTCTAGGTTGTTGAGGTTGTTTTTTTTATCACTTTAAATATTTCACTACACTCATTACTTTCTTACTTTGTGGCCTGAAGCCCACTGTGACTTTTCTCTTTGTTCCTCTATAAAAACAGTGTTTTTGTACTATGGTTTCAATACAGACTTTCATTTTGTGGTTGATTTTCTGCAGTTTGAAAACCATATGCATATTATATATATCACCTCACCCCAGTTAGAATGGCCATCACCAAAAAGACAAAAGAAAGTGCTGATGATGCTATGGAGAAAAGCGACCTTCATACACCATGGTAGGCATGTAAATTAGTATTGCCATATGGAAAAGAGTATGAAAGTTCCTCAAAAAATTAAAAATAGAACTACCATATGATCCAACAATCCCACCAGTTGGTATATAGCCAAAAGGAATGAAATAAGTATGTCAAAAAGATATCTATGCTCCCATGTTTATGCAGAACTATTCATAATATCTAAGATATGGAATCAGCTTAAGTGTCCATTAATGTATGAGTGAATAAAGAAAATGTATATACAGACAGTGGAATAGTATTCAGCTATAAAAAAAGAAAGAGATCTTGCCATTTAAAACAGCAGCAATGAACCTGGAGGACATTATAAAGCAGGCACAGAAAGACAAACACTGTACAACATTACTCACATATGGAATCTAAAAATGTTGAGCTATAGAAGTAGAGAGTATATCAGTGGTTTCCAGAGGTTGAGGTGGTTAGTGGGGAAGGGAGAATGAGGAGATGTCAGTTACATACATGATTACAGTTAGGAGAAATTTCAAGAGATCCATTGTACAGCAAGGTGATTATAGTTAATGAAAATATATTGTATTCTTAGAAAATGTAAAGAGAGTGGATGTTATGTGCTCTTACCACAAAAATTATGTAAAGTAATGCATTCTTAATTAGCTAGATTTAATCATTCCACAATGTATATGTATTTCAAAACATCATGTTATACATGATAGAAATATACAACAGTATCTGCCAATTAAAAAAAAACTAAAAAAAAATGCATAGGCATTTTTTTTTGCTTGCTAGTATTTTTGTATTTATTCTGCTATTCTTGGACCTTCTTGAATGTGTTGTTTGGGGCTTCTTCTTAATTTTGTGAAGCTCTTGGCCATTATTAAGTCAAATATTTCTGCTGCTCCCATCTCTCTTTCTTCTTGCATTACAATAGCATGTGTATTACACATTTTTAATTGTCCCACAGTTCCTGAATAATCTGTTCTGGATTTTTATTGTTTCTTCTCTATGCCAGAGCTAGGAGAGGGATCTTTCTCTGATCTTCAATATGAGAACTTAGCAAAGTTCCTGGAAGTAAAGCCCACAGTGGAATGGAGAACCGCTAAGACTGTAGCCCAAAGAGTTTCCTGTTCTCATGCTAGTTCACACTCAACCTCTAGCGATTCATCAAAATTGCTCTTCAAGTGTTACTACTAGTTAATTTATGGTTCCAGTTTTCTACTCCAAGTAAACTTATCTCCGAAGTGACTCGATATTGTCCTGTCTCTCCAGATTTCTGTGTGTCAGTTTACCCTGAAACCTAATTTCTCGATGGGTCCAAATAGTTGCTGATTTCTGTGTGTCCTTGTTATAATGACTGCAGTGATGACTTTGAAACTCTTTATATGTCAGACCTGAAAGTGGAACAAAACCCTCCAAACCACTGTATCTGATTTTCACTGGTATTTCCTAGATTTCTGATTAAGGCCTTAGGTCTCCTGGTTACTGTGATGAAATAATTTTATGTCCTCAGTGATTTCTGTGTTATCAGATTGTTCCCCAGTACATATATACAGTAAAAAACCCAGAAATATATATATATATATGATATAGTAAGATATTGTATATATTTATATAGCATATATATCTTTATATATTATGTGTATATAAAATAAAATATAGTAAGATATCTTACTATATATTTTAAATTTTTAAATACACATATTTAATATATCTTATTTTATACTATATCTTACTATATATCTTATTATATCTTATTTTATATACATATATACATATAATAAAATAAATATTTTTGGGGGGGTTGTTTACTATATCTTATTTGCAGTGTCTTTTAGGTAGATTTAAAAGTTGTCTTTGGTGAAGTAAAGACAAATATTTTCAGCCAATATAAGGGGGAGATTTTGTTCTACTCTGGTGGTGTTTCTCAAAATGTGGCCTTAAGATAACTTGTTGCAAAATAACCTGGAGGTTTATTCAGAATGCAGATTCCTAGACCCAAACTCTGCCTATTAAAACAGAACATCATGGAGGGATGCCGGGGAATATAAATGTTTTAAGATATTAGGTGATTTTGAGAACTACTGTTCTCAATTTTGCTAAATTTTGAGAACTACTGTTTTAAGCATTCATCATTAACTTTTGCTATTACCTACGGTAAGTCAAGAAATAGCTAAGCCTTCTCTTCTCTTAGAAAATGTTGCTCACTCAAGTTTCTTTCTGCATAACTAAATGATAACTGTAACCCTAATTATTATGGGCTGCATGAATCACAAACAAAGTGCTTGCTTTTTAAATCCTTTAATGTTTTAAAGATTCAGCCTATGGAGCTGTTTATTTCTTCAACAAGGGCAGAGCTGTGAAAGCTGTTTTCACAGTTCTTCTAATTATACAATCACACTATCAACCATGTAGAATGAATCAATACTGCAATGTTGTTTCAGTAGACTGCTTTTGGAAGAAATGCACTGTAAAGCTAGGCCACATTGTCAATCTTAAAAGAAAACTGAATCTGGATTGAAATGAAACAGTGCTTCTCAAAATCAAATATAGAAGATTTCCTAATTTTGTCATCCTGCTATTTTCAGAGAAGGAGATAAAGAGCTTGTCAAAGACCACCCAGTATGACTTTTAATAGTCAAGTTTACTTTCTTAACATCTCAACGAATAGGTAGCATATCACATTTCTTATTCCATTGAAATCTATTTTTTTAAATAGATTTTACATTTTTTACATTTTTCATGCAAGCTGGGAGATATGAGTGAAATTGGGTCAAAATGTCCTCCTAGTCCTACTTCATCTTTCATTTTTTCAATCCCAACCTATTTTCCCTGTGATCAATCAGCGACTGTGACAGGAATAGTGCAAGAGTCAGTCAAGGTCAATATGGAAGTTCTTCAAAGGGATTTCGTGCATTTTGAAATTTGCTGAGAAATAACATTTATGAATTGATGTAGCTCACTTATTTTATGGAGCCTAGGTTACATGAAAATACTTCTGTTTAGACTGAAAAAGTTCTATCAGACTAGATGTGGTCTTTTACTTGTAATTTATCCACAACTGGTCTTTGAAGAACAAGAAATATTCCCACTTTCGTTGACTGGAATTTCAAAAACAGGAGAATTTTCAACAAAAGAGTCTATGGCACTAAAAAAGCCTAACTATGTTAGCAAATATGAGGTTTCTGTGACAATAAACACTGTTGTTTTAATGTACTACTAGTGAAATTTTGTGTGTATGCAAAACTTTTCTTGTCCAGCTATGCAAATTGCTATGTGACCATGGAATAAAACACTTTTAAGATGTATACCAAGATACTGAGCAGGGATATATGGTCTCCATGTTGAATCGTGCATTTATTAAGTGTCCACTATTCATCAAGCTCAGTGCTAGTGCTTTCTATCACTATTACGTTAAACAGCTGCACTATTCTAGTAAAGTATTATTATAAAAACTTATACATGGAGAATTGAAGGGTCACAAAGTCAGTACTTGCAGCAGAAAAAATTGGAATCTGGATCAATCCGACTTTAAAGCACACCCTTTTTCCCTGTGCTATGGCTCGAGGAACATGGATCCTGCTCTCAGTGTCACTTGCATGGTTGCTAGACCTTTGTTTCTACAGGGATCAGATCGTCTTGAGACCAAAAACCCAAGCTGACTTGTTAATTTTGCTTTCCCTTCTCTTTTTCCCCCATTCAGTATTTAGCAATTTTGTTAAACACAAAATTCTTTCAATTTTAAAATAATGATATTAAATACATTATAATTCCCATTGATTTGCAAGTCACTGGCTAGAATAACATGAAATTCATAATTAATAGCAGTAGGGAGTCTTGAAATACATTTACTTTTGTAAAAATCTTAAAACATTCTTTATCCTCTCCAACACATCTTATTAAATGTTTGGAGCAATCTTGTGTAGGCCTAAGTGATATAATTTGCATTATAAATGGCTCAGGGGTAAGGAAATCTCATTAAATCTGTTCTTATATTATTACCAATGTTATCGAATAATTTAACGTCAATGACATAATCCAGCATTGTAAGATTTAATAGAAAAACCATGTGGTCCGTCCTTCCTTCCTTCCTTCCTTCCTTTCTTCCTTCCTTCCTTCCTCCCTCCCTTCCCCGCTTCCTTTCTTCCTTGCTTCTTTTCTTTCTTCCTTCATTTTTTTCTTTCTCCTTCTCCCATCAAGATTTATTGAATGTCCACAGTGTGCTATACCTATTCTTACCAAGGACATGCAATAGTAAACAAAATAAAGTCTGTTTTTCAAGGAGCTTTCGTTCTAGTTGGATTTTACTTATACAAAAAAGAAGTGAATATCTATTTACATTTTCCCTTTTAAATTCTGCACTTTTTCAGAAAATCAGCATGCCAAAATGAGATCTGTGGGTACTCTTAATAATATTGCTGCTTGTTTTGAGACAAACTGGATGTTAATGTAATAAGGGAAAGAGTTAGATCTATTCAACTACTCTTGTATCCTCAGAACATAGCATAGTTCCTGATTTGGGGAGGATTTAATCTTTGTTACTATTCTGGAACATAGAATAGTTGGAACATAGTTGGCACACCATAAGTATATTTTGAATTAGTACTTTTATAGATATTAAGTTTTGTGTCTATAACTCATCTGAATATTTCATTATACAATATGATGTAAGTATGCTGAATGGTTTTCCAAATACCAGTTTTGCTAATACCATTTATTCAGCTATTTAGTGTATGCTCACCAATGAAAAATTTCATTATTATTTATGACCATTATTACATAATCTTTATATTCTTTGCTAAATTCATTATTCCATCTTGTTGATTTGTTTATTCTTATACAAGCATCACACTGAAACTCTCATCTTTTTCTTCTCACTTTTTACAACATATTTTGTTGTTTTATTGCATTGTCTGAAACTTTTAAGGAAAGTGGTAAAAAACTGGAGCGATAGTATGTATCTTTGTTTTATTCATGAATTTAAGATGTTTGCATCTGGGCCTGCACTTTCCAATATAATAGCCACTAGCTAATGTGATATTTACATATATATTTAAGTTACCTTAAATGCAATTTAAAATTCTTATTAACATTTCAATGGATCAACAGCCTTATTTGACGACTGCCACCGTATTGAACATTGCAGAGAACATTATCAATATTGATTTAAATTCTATTGGACAGCATTGCTATAGAATTTCACCATTAAACTTGATGCTTACTGTTGGTCCAAATGGAAAATTTTTAATCACGTTATCAGAAGTATGTTTTTGGAAACACAAGTTTATGAGTGCTTCTGAGATTAGGGAAAAGATGTTAAATTTATCAAATGATTCAAATTGATTATAACTTTTAAAAAGTCTTATAAATGTATTTGTATAATGGATTTAATAAAAATATTTTTATAAGGTTTAGTTATCCTTTTTTTCTTGAAATAAACACAACTTGTTGCATTTCATCCTGCTGCATGAAATTCTCAAGGATTTCTCCCAAGATTTTCCTTTTTTTTTTTTTTTTGAGACAGAGTCTCATTCTCTCTATCCCTTAGGCTGGAGTGCGTGGTGCAATCTCAGCTCTCTGCAACCTCCGCCTCCTGGGTTCAAGCGATTCTCCTGCTTCAGCCTCCTGAGTAGCTGGGATTACAGGCATCTGCCACCACACCCTTCTAATTTTTGTATTTTTAGTAGAGATGAGGTTTCGCCATGTTGGCTAGGATGGTCTTGAACTCCTGACCTCAGGTGATCTGCTCGCCTTGGCCTCCCAAAGTGCTGGGATTAGAGGCATAAGCCAATGTGCCCGGCAAGATTTTCCCTTCTATAAGTTATATTAAACTGTTCTTTCTTTGTATAATAACATTTTAAGCTTACATACAAAACATTTTTAGCTTTAAAATAATTTGGGGGAGGATTTAATCTTTGTTACTTTTCTGGAAATTTTCAAATACCTAAATAATTATCTATTCTAAAAATTTGGTTTGATCTATATTTTAGGCATCTGTTTATGATTAATATAAACATTTAATTTTTTTGAGTCAATTTTCATAATTTATGCTTTCCTAGATACTGTCATACTTGTTGAGATTTTTTTCAAATGTAAGTCTCTTTAAGAGTTGATGCTTGTGCTGGGTGCGGTGGCTCACACCTGTAATCCCAGCACTTTGGGAGGTAAGGCAGGTGGATCACGAGGTCAGGAGTTCGAGACCAGCCTGGCCAATATGGTGGAACTCTGTCTCTACTAAAAGTACAAAAATTAGCTGGGCGTGGTGATGCATGCCTGTAGTCCCAGCTACTTGGGAGGCTGAGGCAGAAGAATCACTTGAACCCGGGAGGCAGAGGTTTCAGTGAGCCGAGATCATGCCATTGCAATTCAGTCTGGGTAACAGAGCAAGACTCCGTCTCAAAACAAACAAACAAAAAACAGAGTTGATGCTTGCTGGTACCCTGAGATATCCTCCAATGACGGTGAGAAATGGTATGTGTTTTGCTCCCAGATACACTGAATGAGAAGGGGCCAAAAGTTGGCTGCTGGCATATGAGGAACTCATATTTTTTTATCCCCCATATAATTCACAATTGGAGGAGGATTTTTCAACCTTCTACATTTCTTTTTTAGACTGAATATTTATCTTCAAATTTCTAAGCCACTTTCAAGCTTTAGTCTAGGGAGGCAGTTTGATTTGAAAAGGAATAAGATTTTAGTAGCTATTTTATGTTTTTTGCTTAAAAATAGAACATACCTTCCTGGGCTGAACCTATTTTACCATCTCCCTAGAGTGACATGGTAGGTAGTCATGCATTAGGAAAAGGAGGGGGCTCTAAGATCTACTGTAATTATATTTACTCTCTTGGTAATATATGACACACCCATTCAGGCAGCAGCACAAAAATTGTGGGTGTAAGAGACAATTCTTCACAGGGAATTTGGAACAAAGTTGGTACTTAGTGTTTTTGTTAAGTGGGTAAATGAACAAAATCAGGAAATTTTGGATGCCCCAAAGGATATATAAATAATGCGCAAAGGAAAGTTGAGAAAAATAGCATAACAGGGTAGCAATGAATGTCTAAAAATAATGTTGGGGCGTAAGAGAAGCATATTTTCCATGTCCATCTAGGTGTATGGCAGTAGCTAAAAATCACACTTTTAGTCATTAATGCCTAAATTAAACTATTCACAACATCACAAAACTCAACTTTCTTCAATTTAGCCAAAATGCTAACATGTTATATTTGTATTTATTTCTAGAGTGGAAAGAACTACTTTACATGTTTTCAAGTCTTTTATATTCTTCTCTATCCTTCCCTCATAGTAAAAAGAAAGGGGAAAAAGAGTAGCAGTAATATGGAAGAATAGTTATGAATGACATTTATCAGTATAGATCATTCATCTGTAACACTAATAAAATTGAAGGCCCATGAATTCCAGATTTTATGCAAAATTACATTAAAACAAATAACAAAACTTCATCAGAAGAAAATATACATCTTTGCTTCAGCATTTGAAAGCTACTCCAAAGACAATAAATTCTGAAGTCATTTTTTTACACCTTCTTTAAAATCTTCTTTCTCTGTGTCTCTCACCTATGCCACAGAGTAACTCCTAGAAAATATTTTTGTCTCTCTCTGTTACTCCAGCCTATCCCGACTCTGTGTTCCCAGTATGTGACTTTTCTCTTTTTCATTTTTTCCTCTCTCTCTTTCCCAAGCTATTATCTTACATCCATACTGTTCTCTACCTCACTTCTCCCTTCTACCTACCTTTCTATAAAATGCCTCTGTTTCCTTAAATGAAAATGTCCATCTTGCTTCTTTCTTTTTTTTTTGGAAAGGTTTAGAAGCAATCTCTACCCTTGCAGACTATATGATACAAACTACTGAGAAAAGCTTCAGCTATAGTACAGGTATTTCTGAATCTGGGCCATGAATTTGCCTATAATTGACTGCATATTGAACAGTATTTTCAGTCTTTCTGCCTTAGTTTTCTTATCTGTAAAATAAAGAAAACATATGCCTATCTCAGAGCTGTAATAAAAGGTAAATACCTACATGAAAATACCTAGAACCTAGTTCAACAATGTTTTTCCTCTTTGTTTAATACATTTCTCCCTAGTTCTAATAAAGATTTAATGTCTATAGAGAATATCAAGGTAGAAAATCCCATAAAACATTAACTGTGCTTAATTCAGTTCATTCAGTATTCTTTTCTATCACATCTGATGAGAATAGATGTTGGTGTTTAAAAATGGTTGCCTAAATAGAAACCTTTAAAAAAAGCAGCATAGAATTTGGTTCAAATAAGTGCATTATGATAAGCTTATAATGAGAAAGTGAAGGCATTTTGGACTTTCTTTACCACTTTACCACTTCCTCATTATGAAAAAGAAGGAAACTAAGCAGACTGGAACCTTTATTGAATTACATTATTCTATTTCTGAATACTATTGGGGAATTCTCTGCTGACTTTACACTTGACTCAATAGTCATATTAATGAGAATTCCTCCAAAGAATATAATGAATGTTAGCCTATGAAGAGGTAAATATATTAAATTAACTTTGTGGGGTGTTACTGACTAAGGTTTCATGATGATTTCTTAGAATTCGGCAAGAGAATATTTCCTTGAAAATGTTTAAAATAAATTATTCACATTAAGGAAATAAAGTACACATTTTTATATATTGATACAAAATTAATTATTAAATTATTAAAAAAGAAGCAGCATTGTCAATTTTGCTTTTTTGAAGACCTTTCTAAAAGGCAGCATAGTTTGTTGGTTAACTGCATTTTAATGCAGTTAGTTTTAAATAACTTAGTTTTTTTAATAACTTAAAATAATGCAGTTAGTTTTAAAATAACTTAGTTTTAATGCAGAAGTCAGATGGCATAGGTTGGAATTCAGTTTGACCCTGTACTGCGGTTATTAATTTCCTTATGCCTCGAGTTCCTGATCTATAAAAGTGAGATGATAAGAGATGAATAAACATTGGATGTACTATCAAGTAGTTTTTATAGCACCTGGTAGGTGTTAAATAAAAGAGCCAGTTGATGGAGAAGCAGTGCATAGTGATGTGGAACCAACAATGCTTTGGATGCGTATGGCAAAGCTTTAGCCCTCCTCTGGTCAGGAGCTTCCTATGCGGCTGTACAAGGCTTGCTTCACTTCTCTGGTCCTTGATTTTCTTATCTGAAATTCACTCTAATTTTTTTAAATTCCATGAGCCATTGCATTTTTAACACTGTGGGAATAAGGTGATTAAATCAAGATCTGATGTGTATTCAACATCTGTTCCTAGAATCCACAAAGAATGAAAATAAATTTACAAAGTTATGGGGCTATAATAATTGGGATTATATTCAGGATAACATAATAACAAATTTATTATTTTCCAATGGAAGCAAAAATCTATTGAAAATGTAATATAAACAAATAATTATCATCTGTTTTACATACCATCAATTGTCAAAAAATTAAAAAATGCAAACTGTGTAGAAATGCAGTTGGGATATGCAAGGATTTTTTTTTCCCATGGTACTCTTTAGAAATATACGTTTTACCCAAGTATAAAAGCTTTACCAGATTTTTTTGTTACTGTTAAATGAAATATTTTCACTCTGGTTTAAATTATTTTGGGATGTTGGGAGATGAGATCAATAAACTGATTATAATAAACTGACTACATGTTCCAGAAAGGCTACTCAGGAATAACATAGAGAAAAACACATTTAGCAAAGATTTTTTGAAGGCCAACTTTGTACTTGTGTGCATGTTTACATATGCTGTTTCTATTCTGATACCAAATTAACAATTATATGAGCCAGAAGAAGCCACCTCATTAAAGAATAAAATGTAATCTGTGCTGTAATACTTCCCTTGGTCCTATTACAGAATTATCTGTGAAGAAGATGAAATACTCCTCACTACTAAGTGATTTATACCTATATGGCTATTTATCGTTAGAGGTAATTGTAGCTCAGCATACAGCCTTGTGTCTTAGAATAATGCTGTATTAGCAGTAGATCGTTGGAATAGCCCGGTGTAATCCCAGTAACTTTCCTTATCTCCAGCACCCTCACATCCCATATATTTCATCATTTCTGGTATTTTCCGTCTTAATAAGTGGAACCATCTATCCAGAAGCAAAAATTGGAAATCTGGGAATTATTCATGATTCTGCCCTCCCTTTCACCACTCCTCTCATATCTAATTTATCAATAAGTCTTTTACATTTTATCTCCTACATATTTATTTCTCCCAATCTCCAACACTACCACCTAACCCAAGACACCCCTGTTTCTCTTCTGTCTGACTTCAATTGTCACTTATGCTTACTCTTTCTTCATTCAGCTCTTCTCCTCTTCTATCCATTCTCCACCATTAAATTACTTTCTTTAGTTCTTAGGCTAAGGCACAGGGAACTTAACATGACTGATTCCCTTGACTAGAACATTCTCTGTCCATCACTCTTGATTCAAAAAGACACATCCTCAGGAAAGTTCCCTTTCCATTACTTTTCTTAAAAGTATTTATCTCACAATGAACTCATATATTCATTTATGTAGTTATTTGACTAAGTTCTGTCTCCCCATTACTTTGTATATTCCTTGACTGAAGTGATTGTGCCTTACTTTCCTTACCACTGTTTGCCTGGCACAAAGCACAGTGCTCAGAACACAATTTGCATTGAATATTTTTTGAATAAATGAGTGAATAAGTGAAGGAATGATTACCAATATTACAAACAGCTTTTTGGTTCATGGCTCAATCTTTGGCTAAGATAGATATTTTGTATTCACTGATTTGGGTGAAAAAATATAACAAACAGATGAAAACATAAACAATCTAGATAAAATATTTCACTTCAGCAGATTACCTTTGTTTTGGTGGTGCCATGTGGCAATATAATTAAGTGATTAAGGCCCTTTTAATTTTTAAAACCTATTTTTTTATTATTTCAATGCAAATAAAGTATATTAATCCATTTTCACACTGCTATAAAGATATTACCTGAGATTGGGTAATTTATAAACAAAAGAGGTTTAATTGACTCACAGTTCCACATGGCTGGGGAGGCCTCAAGAAACTTACCATTATGGCGGAAGGTGAAGGAGAAGCAAGCACCATCTTCACAAGGCAGCAGGAGAGAGACAAGGCAGCAGGAGAGTGCAGGGACACTATCACTTTAAAAGCATCAGATCTCATGAGAACTCCCTCACTATCACAAGAACAGCATGGGGAAACCACCCCTTATAATCCAATCACCTCCCACCAGGTCCCTCCCTCAACACATGGGGATTACAATTGGAGATAAGATTTAGGTAGGGACACAGAGCCAAACCATGCAATAAAGGTTCCCCTAAAGTCATGAGCTGTAACTTAAAACCTCCATTAAGCTGTAATAATGTTATTTTATTGTATATTACAATGTGTGGAATAATAATATATAATTTTACTTAGACCTGGAATAACTACTGTTTTTATTTCATCTTGTTTGTGCCCAAGTTTCTTATATTTCTTTAACTGTAAGCTAACATTAAGACAGCTAAATAATAAATTTTCACTAGATACTTCACATATGCTCCTTGCACGATATTACTCAAAAACAAACTTTCAAGTAGGTGTCTATTCTTTGGAGGTGGAACCCTAACAGATTGCTCAGTCAAACCAAAACCTTCATTTTCTCTGACTCTTTCTGTCCATTCATCCTGATGTTTCTCTTTCCTTCTCTCTTCTCTGGCTTTACTTCCCCACCTCCTCCCAAACTGTCAGAGTATCTCCTCACTCAATCTCGAAACTTCTGAAGCTCTCCTTTCTACCCCTCAATCTACTCAGGACACAAACACACACCTCTCTGACCTTAAAATACTTATAATGTATTTTTTTTTAATTTTTCTCCATCACATTGGCTATTTGAGCTGTTTGCTCTGGGTTTTTTTTTTCGTAGCTACAACCTTTGCATTTCTCATCATACTTAACACATCATAGCTGTAATCTTGCTCTGGCACTTACTGGCTGTGTGACTTGGCTCCGTGACTCAGTTTTCTGTCCTGTAAACCAGAGATAACAACCGTATTCAGAGAAAGGGACCCCGAACTTAGATAATTTGAGGGGCCTAAAAAATAACACAAAATAACCACCTTTTGCAGTTACAGGATAAAATAATTTATAAAAAAACAAAATTTGGACTAAAAATAGGCACAAAGTATATGTTTGTTAAGAATAAAAAAGAAATAAAAATAAGGTAAAATTAGTTAAAAGCCAGTTGAAACCATGGTTTCACAAGATTTAGAAAGTAAAGTAATATTTGTATTTATTAAGTGATTACCTTTATAATACTTTTTGTTTTCTACAAACTTTGGCTGCAGACTTCTTGATTGGCTCTTCCTAGAACAGTAATTTCCTAAATCACTTTCTACAGAGATAGGTTTTTAAAAAAATTTACTTCTTCCTCTATCGTGGTAGTTTGAATATTTTATTGATAGGTTAGAAGTAATTGCTTTAGCCCGGGCATGGTGGCTCCTGCCTGTAATCCTAGCACTTTGGGAGGCCAAGGTGGGTGGATAACTTGAGGTCAGGAGGTCAAGACCAGCCTGGCCAACATGGTGAAACCCCATCTCTAGAAAAATACAAAAGTTAGCTGGGTGTGGTGTCAGGCGCCTGTAATCCCAGCTACTCAGGAGGCTGAGGTTTGAGAATCGCATGAACCTAGGAAGAAGAGGTTGCAGTCAGCCAAGATTGTGCCACTGCACTCCAGTTTGGGCGACAGAATAAGACTGACAAAAATAAATAAATAATAAATAAATAAGTAACTTGAGATTTAGAAGCCATGTTAGGCAATACCACACAGATTTTTACAATCACTGTCTAATTTTGGAAAACTGTCAAGTTCTTTTGTGGATGAGCTGTAAGATTGGAAGGATTTTTCGCAGACTAGCTTCTAGCTCTGCACCTTTCAAACCATGTTTCTCCTCCACCTCTACTCACTTTCAGGGCTGGAGGGTATAGAAGCCATTTATATATTGATGTCCTCTTTGGCCTTTCATTCAATATATTATGGACCGGGCACAAATCATCTCCTACTACCTTAAATGAATGCATACATAATATGTTACAAATAAATTTAATGTATCAAATTTCTAGAGAAAATAACTATTACTTTTTTTTTTTTTTTTTTGGGTGTGAGAAAGGGTCTTGTTCTGTCAACCAGACTGGAGTGCAGTGGTGTAATCATGGCTCACTGCAGCCTTAAACTCCCAGACACAAGCAATTCCCTCACCTCAGCCTACTGAGTAGCTGAGACCACAGGCTCACACCACCATGCCCAGCTAATTTTTAAAATTTTCAGTAGAGATGGGGTCTCACTCTATTGCCCAGGCTGGTCTGGAACTCCTGGGCTCAAGCACCTTGGCTTCCCAAAGTGCTAGGATTACATGTGTGAGCCACTGTGCCTGGAGGCTATTACTTTTATATTAAGAGAACAATAAATATAACAAAATACTTAGCATGAAAAGTACCGTCTATTTTGTCTCATTTAAAGAGTCATTGAAAAATATGTATGATTGTCTAGAATATTGTCACAATAATAATAATACATTTATTAATAGTTTATTATGTGACAGGCACTCTTCAAAGCACTTTACATAGGTAACGTAATTCTTTCCATAACTCTGTGTGCTATGTGCTTTTAGCATCTCTATTTTACAGATGAAACTGAGGCACTGATAATCGCTTTTCTAGATATAATCTGTACAGTACATATATTTTTCTATTAAACTGTAAATTGTGAGGATTTTACATGCCATTTTGGGGTGAAATAAAATGGTCGAATCTATTTGAGATAACTTTAAAAAAATTAAAAAATGCTTTCTTGTAGACAGATGTATAGTTAAAAGGACTAGATATATTTTTGTCTTATTTTTAAACCTCTTTAAACTTCTAGTCTTATACTTAGCCAAATATGGGAGCTTATATCAGAGAAACATTATTACTTAAAAATTAGACCGGTCATGGTGGCCCATGCCTGTAATCCCAACACTTTTAGAGGCCGAGGAGGGTGGATCACCTGAGGTCAGAATTTTAAGACCAGCCTGGGCAACATGGTGAAACCTCATCTCTACTTTAAAAAAAAAAAAAATATTAGCCGGGTGTGGTGGCAGGTGCCTGTAATCCCAGCTACTCAGGAGGCTGAGGCAGGAGAATTGCTTGAACCCAGGAGGCGGAGGTTGTAGTGAGGTGAGACTGAGCCATTGCATTCAGCCTAGGTGACAAGAGTGAAATTCCATCTCAAAAAAAAAAAAAAAGAAAAGAAAAAAAAAATATTGCCTAAAAATAACATTTATACTATCTATCAGGTTATTTAATACTTAGAGTTTTGGGTTAGGACACTCTAGTTTGTAGCAACCTTCCAGCTAATGTCTTTGTCTTTTAAGAACTTCTCTCTTTGTTTGGTGTAGGCCAAAGATTTCTTCTTTGTAGTCTTTCCTTTCACTTACCTAAAGGAGGTTGAATACAATGCCTTGAAGCCACACCTGTATCTTGTATAAATAAAACCGTTACAGTCATTTTCACCCAGCCATAGGATTGTATATATTTTTTCCTGCAAAACACAAAACAAACAAACAAACAAAAACCCTTAAACTTATTTAGGTCAAGGATTTATTCTACCTGTTTTAATATCAGCACCATGCATGAAGCCTGGTATATAATGAAGACTCGAAAATTGGATGTAAAATAAATAAACTACATAAAAAGGCCTTCTTTGTTTATTTTTGTATTGCACACAGTGAGCAGTTAGATGTACAGGGTAAGAAGAAGAAAAGGCTACCAGGTTTCTGTTTTGAATTTTTGTTGGATCATGACACAACTTTGGATGTTCATGGGCAAAATAAGTAAAAATTAGCACTTAGTAGGTGCTAAGAAATATTTATAAGTAGATAGAGAAATAGGTAGATAAACAGAGAGTTCAGAGACAGCATGGATAGCATTTTTTAAAACTGTAACATTTATTTTAGGTCTCATCTTCACCTAAACTGCAGAAAAAAATGAGAATTATAATTTTATATAATTTTTCTTCTTGGATTTGGGTTATATGTTCCATTTTCCAGGGTGTTATATGAACCTGATATTGCTAAGGTTGTGCTTTTACCCCTTCACCATCCTTTGATAAAATAATAATATTATAAAAAATGAGTGTCAATCTATTTTTATACCATCAACTGAATACTCTGAATAACTAGTTCTTATATCTCCAGAATATTGTCAGCTCAGTAATTGGTTTATTGATAATCTATATCTACCTTACTTATTTCAGAAATAAGATATCAGCTGCTCTGGGTGAATGCTTCTATAACAATAGCTAGCATTATTAATGATTACCACGTGTTTGACATTGTCTAAATGCTTTCAATGCAGTAAGATTTATTTAATCCTTAAGCTAACGCTAAGAGATAGGTACTATTATAATCCTCAGTTACATATGAGAAAGATGTAGAGCAGAGATGTTAACTGCTAGTAATTTGTAGAGATGGGTTTTGAACATAAGAAACCTAAGCTCTTAATTACAAAAGTTTACCATGTCCATACACAATGCAGCTAAAGTAATAAAAATGTAGATGATTACAACCGGGAGCAGGTGGAAGCACTTGGTGTAGTTGCGCAGTATTCACTATATACTTCATTAATCTATTTATAAATATTAATAATGCCAAGGTGCTATGCTAGGCATTGACATCAGAAAGATATGTAAAATACAGTCCTTACCCACACATATTCTATTCTTTGGGGAAACCTGACTCTTACAAAACAATAATAATGATGATATACTCAAAATGGGTCAAATACCTACCACGTTCTTGCAATTATAAAAATTATTTTTGTTTATTATATGTAGGCTTCACTTTATTCATCAACACACATTTATTGAAAATCAACTGTAAGCCAGATTATCTGCTGGATGCTAAGGACAGTATGGTATAAAAGAAAATTTTAGCTGGGCATGGTGGTTCACACCTGTCATCTCAACACTTTGGGAGGCTGAGACAGGAGGATTGCTTAAGGCCAAGAGGTTGAGGCTGCAGTGAACCATAATCACTCCACTGCACTCCAGCCTGGGCGATAGAGAGACCATCTCTCAAAAAAAAAAAAAAGAAAGAAACTTTTTTTTAAGTAACCAGAAATTACTAAACACAGTTTCTACTTCTGTATTTTATAGATTGTGATAGATTATGTAATTGAGGATTGAGGGTGATCAGAAATTTTAGGAAACTTTCCCAGGATCACAGGACTTTTAAGTGGTAGAACCTAGAACCTGAATCAAGGTTACCTGTCTAAACGTTCATATTCACTCAGTCAGTATGTATTGAGAGTTTACTTTGTTTTAGTAATGCAAAACAATAGATGCAGCAGTGAATAAGGTAAATAAGTTAGGTTCATGACCTCTTGATAGATGTGGCTCTATCCATTGCACCATGCTCTAAATACCAGTCTAAGTCCAGACAGAGAACTGGAAACGGCAGTGCAGAATATGATATAGATAAATGGCTAAACAGGTGGTAGAGGACTGAAAAAGAAGTAGTGTTGAAGGTAGCTGGATACAGAAACCGATTTCTGGGACAACTTATGATTGATAGACGCTGCTCATGGAACAAGAAGCAAACAGAAAGGAGCAAGTCCCATTTCCTTCCTTCAGCCTTGCAGTCTCCCTCTAGTGCCTCCTGATTACAGAATCTGAGATAAAATCAGATGGCAAAGGAGAAATGTGGTTTGTAGAGTCCCTGCCCCGAGGATCACAGAGCCAGAGCATAGAAAGGTGAGTTTGGAGCAGAGAGACTAGGTAGCTGTCAGACACACCCTGTCACCCTATTCAGAGAGACTATTGTCAGAAGTTTATGACGACTTGAACCTAGAAAAGGTAGTTGAAACCACCTGGTCCAACCTGCTTATCTTTCAGAGAAAACTGATACTCAAAGAAATCAAGTGCCTTGTAAAAGATTACAGCACTTGTAAGTATCAGAGCTGGGACAGGAATGTAGATTTTCTTATCACACATTTCACTGAAAGTTCTGCTATTCCATGTTGTCTCTAAGGACAATGAACAAATTAATGGCCAATGTTCTCAAAAAATGAAAAAGATGATTTGCAAAGGATGCAAAAGATAAAAAACTGATGTAATGGGTGACTTTTATAGCCTCCCTAGTTCAAAATTTTAAAAACTGTGTGCCTGATGACTTTACTTTTATGAGGGCAAACCTTGAGATCCTAGGGAATAGATAATAACTTGTGCCTTAGTCTGCTTCTCTCAATACCTTTTGTCTGGAGCTGAGTAACACTCAGTTTGAGATTAAGCTCCTGTCAGAACTGATTAGTGATTCTAGAGTCATTGTAAATTTTTGAGGCCATCCATTTAATAATTTAGTTCTACTCATTGATTCACAGATACAAGATTACAGAGAGAGACTGCATGGTGCAAAGAATGTTGAAGCAACACTATAGCTTGATTCCTCATTCCTTGATCTCACATGGCTCTGTGCTAATTGCATTGCCATGGACACACGTTGTTAGGCAGGGCAAAGGGAACTGTTTGATGAACAAACATGCTACAGCAGTATATCCTTTGTACTACAGAGTCAAGCCAAATCAAAGATCCTCGTGAATTACAATCTGTTTAAGTAGCCTAGATTTGTACAGTCTTTAAGTTCTGTGGAAAGGTAAGTTTTACAGGGATGTCAGTCTTTCACTGGTGTTTTCAAAGACAAGTTTTTGCATAAAGACACCTACGGTCCAACCCCTTTTAATCCATTTTATGTAAGTTGAAAACATTTCACATTATATTAAAATACTATAATATGCTTTTTGTCTTTGGTTGGGCTTTTCAGGGATTTACTGACTAACATTGAACATGCTTTTGTTTGGGGATTTTTCTCAGTGATGCTCTGAAAGTCAAAGTCTTTTGTTAAATTTACTCAATATGAGCTGCCTTTTTATTTCAATTGTTTAAAAGGAGAATGGCATTTAATTTTAGCACTTTACTCTCTTGGCATGACGCTGAACTTTGGCAGTTGAGAGAATGTTTTTTAATCAAACTGCAAAATATTTCAGAAATTTAAGAGGTTGCGCCAGCTAATTTTATTGGAAAAATTATGCAATTGCAGAATCATTAACTATTTTGTTGTTATTGTTGTTCTGAAGCAACAACTAATAGTACCAATTTGGGAAGCCACTCTGTTTCACACTTTTTCCATGAATAATAATCATTCATTAATTCCATGCTGAATGTTCGCATTAAACCAGAGAAGTCATCTAATTTTATCCTCATCATATATATAGGTACAAAGCACTGGTCATTTTAGGGCATATGCAGTATGAGTTAGCTCAAACTTTGTATTTAGGTTTGATTTAATTATTTGATTTAATCTCTCTTTTGTTTGAGAAGCAAAGATAAAACAAATTAAGTGGCAGAATCGTTTATATTACAAGCTGAATCTCATTTTATTGCATCTGGGATCTTTTTTAAAAAAATTAAACAATAAACTAAGATAGCCTCAGAATTAGAAAAGAAATCATTTTCATGTTGGCATTCAAGTCTTTTTCCTTTGGACTTATTCTCTTGCTTTTAATTAAATCTTATATTTATCACAGAGAGTTGCATTATTTTCAGCAACATCAGAAATTGCTGAGTTGTCAAGATTATTCCAAAGATAGAGCACTTGAAAGAATAGAGCACAATTAGGTGCTTGAAAATGTGGAGGCAAAGGAGAATTAGAGGAAAGATCAAGGAAAGAGAAGGTAAGGGAAATAAAGCAAAGCAAAGCAAAGCAAAGGAGATAAATTACTATCAGGTAAGAGACGAATCTTCACCATTTTATATGTGAGTTGTTACATATCAAATAAATATTTAATCTACTAGGTGGTTTTATTTTTAAAAAACTTTTGTAATTTATGAATATTTCTTCTTTTATTTAAAAACTGTTTAAAAAGGCTGGGCACAGTGACTCATGCTTGTAATCACAGCACTTTGGGAGGCCGAAGTGGGCAGATCATTTGAGGTCAGGAGTTTGAGAACAGCCTGGCCAACGTGGTGAAACCTCATCTCTATTAAAAATACAAAAATTAGTTGGGCGTGGTGGCACATGCCTGTAATCTCAGCTATTCAGGAGGCTGAGGCACGAGAATCTCTTGAGCCTGAGAGGCGGAGGTTGCAGTGAGTCAAGATCGCACCACTGCACTCCAGCCTGGGGGGACAGAGTGAGTCTCTGTCTCAAAAATAAACAAATAAATAAATAAATAATAAAAACTATTATAACAGAAAATGTTATCTATGTTAGTTATGGCTAATTTTTCACTTGGAAACTTAAGTATCATTCTATTCCAATTTCAGGCTTTTGGATCAGTTTTAATGCAAGAATAACCTGAGATTATGAAATCTACTTGAAAAACTGTTTTCATAGGCAAAACTAATAAAGATACAACGAAGGTTTTTCTTGTGAATGCAAGTGAAAAAATGGATTTTGATGTCAAGGGTGACAAATGCAGCTGATGCCCATAACCCCTTAGATGAAAAGTTAGTTTTTACTCAAAACTGCTTCACTTATTCTCACTCATGGATTTTATCAGCAATATATTGTGAATTTGAAAGTATAAAATATGCTTATATTGACAAATCTTTTTTAGCTATGATGTATATAGTTTTCACATAAGAGTTAATTTGGGGGTGAAAAAAGCAGCTTCCCATTCTTAAACATTTTTTTTAAAATGCATCCTAAGGACTAGGCATGGTGGCTCACACCTGTAATCCCAGCACTTAGGGAGGCCGAGGCGGGCAGATCATGAGGTCAAGAGATCAAGAGAATCCTGGCCAACATGGTGAAATGAAACCCTGTCTCTACTGAAAATACAAAAATTAGCTGGCCATGGTGGCGCGTGCCTGTAATCCCAGCTACTTGGGAGGCTGAGACAGAAGAATAGCTTGAACCCAGGAGGCAGAGGTTGCAGTGAGCCAAGATTGTGCCACTGCACTCCAGCCTGGCGACAGAGTGAGACTCCATCTAAAAAAAAAAAAAAAAAATGCATCCTAAGATTATGAAGATATACGGAAGCAGGTTTGCCATAGATCATTCTATCCAACTCTTATCATGGCTATTTATTTATTAAATACTTTTACAAATGGCATATTTGATTTTGGAAAACAGTTATTCAACTTAGGTCTGTAATCTTAGAAAAGTTATTTAGCCTTTCTTAATCATCTTTTTCCTTATTTGTAAAACGGAAATAATGATAACTACTATTTAAGAGTGCTATGAGGAATCAAGATAATAGACTTAAATATATGTAGTTCTTCTGCTTGCTACTGTCTCCTACCTGTGCAGAATGCAAAAGTTCATTAACTGTTTTCTCTTTTTTCAAGGAACAGACAAGAAGCAGGGTAAGTACAGAGCAGAATTGTAACTGAATTATTGTAATACTGTACCATTAGTATATTTTATTAAATTAAAGGTGATTTGATAATGAGTGCCTTTCTGCAGAAAGATTTTATTTGGTAGACTGAAAGATAACTTTTACTTTGGGGGTGCTTCTGCTAGAATAGATTGTATAAAACAATTACTCATTGTTTCTGAAATCTAGGCCTAAATTTATGAATCACTAGAAATTTTCTGGCCTGCTGAATGATGGCAATATGACCCAGTAATACTGACAATGACCTTCAACACAACAGTGACAAGTAATAGTTATTGAACATAATATTTTTCATACACTTTTTTAAGTGCTTTACATTAATTGTATAAAATATGCTTTAAAATATGCCATCAAATATGTATAAAAATTACTCTGTTTATGATCGTCATTACATAGGGCATAGATAAGTTAAAAAATCACCTAAGATTTCACAGCTAGTGGGGTGACAAAACCAAGATTCAAAATCCAGACAGTCTAACTCCTGATCTTGCATTTTTTACTAAAGCTGGGTTGTGGTGTCCAAGGAATCATCAGTTGGAAAGCGGGACCTCCAACAACTCTTCCAGAAAACGTCCCCGAAATAGACCCAACCAGGTACATCAGTGTAATAAGGTTATAGCCCATATTCTTGGGCTTAAATGCAACTATTTTCTTCTACTTTCTAATATAAAAATTGTAACAAAAGTAGTATGCAATGTAAATTCAAATCAGCATCCCTTGATATTCAAAACATTTAACAAGAATTATGTCACAAATGAGCAGGGGCTAAGGCAGAGTTCTAGGGGCTCCCTACTGTTTCAAATGTTAGCTCATAATTTCTGGATCTTGCTGCAATCTTGACAGGATGGCCAAAATACTGGGGGAGGTGCTAAGGGAACTCAGGGTTGTGGCTATTTTTCTACTAGTTCTGAGATATTCAAACATGTTAACATCTGGAACTTCTGACATGATTGCACGTTATGCACGTAGACTACATAGCAGTCCTACTTTAACATATATTGGTTAATCATAAAATATGAGAATAAAAAGCTTATTTGTAAAATACATAATAAAGAATAGCAATGAAATTGTTTTGTGAACTCAGTTGTTATTGCTTTTGAAAGATTTGAAAAAGAAAGGGAAGGTAACTGTAATCAAAAAAGAATTGCATAGGTAAGCCTGCCTTAAAGAAAATCTATCTTTTAAAGGCTCCTTGGAGATCACAAAACTACAATATGTTATTAAAGACACACTGCATCTGAAAATTTTTTTACTATAGTTGCTACTTTACAATGTCTCTCTGGGTTCATAGGAAGTGTAAGTAGGCTTGTGTGGGAGTCACAGGAAGTATAAGTAGGCTTGTGTGAGATCAATTCTTTGTTTATGATCACATGCAATCTAAATACAGCAAATCATTGCTGTACAGTGCTTGTTACTACTGTAATAAATTTCAGTATTCACATTAGACTGAGTATCATGTTTTCTTTCTTTTTTTAAAGGTCTTCCTGGTGAGGGGTTTAAAATAAATATTCCAGTGGAGACATAAGGAGATATAAAATAATAAATAACATGATTTTTGTGTTCTGATTTAAGAAAATGATAGATGGTCCACAGCAAGGAAGTAGCTGTCTCTGCATGAATTTAAAGATAGTTGATGTTGTTAAGAAATTTCATATTTTCAGAGTCAAAGGGTGAAAGGCAAAACTAGCATTTTGTGTTGGCTTATATATCATTTTAATAGTAAAGTGTGACATACTATTATAAAAATACATGCAGCATATGATTGTATACAGTTAAAATAACTGCATCTTCCTCTAACCACCATGCTTTTTTCCAGGGAAAGCAACTTTTCTCATTTGCTGTGTCTTCTATACAGATGTCTCATTTGTGCATGCACATACGCATATGTGGAATCAAAGGGCATAAACTGCCCTGTGATTTTGCATTTAATATTTTCAAAAATCAGCCCCAAAGATAATGTTTTATGGGAATCTATGGAAGCAGAAAGAGGCTATTACTTAATTAACTACCCCCATTAGCCGCCCCCCCCCCACTTAATATCTCACACAGGAAATACCCTTTCATTTTCTTGTTTGCTTGTTTTGATGTGTTTTTCCCCTCTGAATCAAATGTCACTTGATCCTTTTTAACTCCCTGCAGTTTGTATGTGGCATAGTGAAAAAAGGTTCTAGGTCAAAATACTTAAGTTCTAGGGTCTTTTTTGTCACTTTATTTCTAAGAACGAGTCTCAAACTCTCTGGCCCTCAGTTTCTTCATTTGAAAAATGAAATTGTTAAACCAAGTGATTTTTTTTGTTGAAAGGTCACTCTACTTTTCAGTATGTATTTGAGTTTTATAATTGGTTAGCTTTTAGTGTTGTTTATGCTTTCATGCTTCATTTACCCCAACAACAACAAAAAAATTCCCTAACAATGCCTTCATGACAATCTAGAAAATTTTTTGATAAAAACATTTATTTATTCGTATAACAAAAAGCATTTTATTGATCAAAACATTTATTTATTCATATAACAAAAAGCATTTTAGTAAGATGTATGGATTTTTTATTTGATTAAAAATATTAAGCTGTGAGTACTACAAAAGAGCACAGATTAGGTAACATCAACAACACCTAAAATTAATCGAATACTTATTTTGTGCTAGAAACAGTTCTAAGAACAGCCATCCCCCAGTGTTCATAGAAGATTGATTCTTAGATCCCTATGGATACCAAAATCCATGGATACTTAAGTCCCTTATAGAAAATGGCATAATAGTCACACATAACCTACCCACCTCCTCTTGTATACCTTAAATCATCTGTAGATTACTTATAATACCCGATCTAATGTAAAATTTACGTAAATAGTTGCTATACTGTGTTATTTAGGAAATAATGATGATAAAGTCTGGACGTGTTTGGCAACCATCCATTTTTTTTTTTTTTGCAGTTGGTTGAATCCATGGTTATGAAACCCATGGATAGGGAGGGCCAACTGTACTCTGAATACATAAACTCAGCTAAACTTCTCAACACTATGAAGTTCCCTTGCATCTTAATGTAATTTAATGAAGTATAAATAAAAGAATAATTTAAGATCCAGAGGGAGTAGAGTCCAGTACTTCCCTCAGCTATGGGATGGTCTCTGAGATACTTCCCAGTGCAAAAAAAGAAATCATATGACTGTGTTTATGAAGTTGTGTAGTATTATAATTACTGGGCATACTAAATGTGTTTAAGTAACTGGGCAGACTAAATGTATTTAGGTCATCTGAGGCCTCATAAGGTTTGAGATTTATAAGCATGCCTCACATCATGATTTTACCATCTTTGTAACACTAGACTCCCTTGCCACTCCTGAAAGCATCCAAACTTAATTCCTCAAAGCCCCTTTGGTCTCGGTTCCTACCTTCATGGAGACTCATGTGTGCTCTTCATCACTAAACTATTTCTACCATTGGCCATGACAAGAGCTTCAATCATATCAAGCATTTCAAATGTTTGTGGCTTTCTTACAAAGTTTGAAGATAAAGAAAGGGTAACCTTTCAGGCTTGTGGCTGGCTGCTGTTTTATTAGATAAAAACTTAATTCCTCTCCTTCTCTTGGAGCCTAGTTTCTCAAGCCTCATTTAATCACTTTCTCCATGCAGAGGTTTTAAATGATGGCTCTGATGAATGCTTCACATTCCCAGGGAACATGGTTACCCATGCTGTACTGTTCTGTTTTTTTTTTTCTCTGCATTTTGGTCAACAAACATTTCTCCATAGATACATGGGAAAAGAGAAGGGGCTATCGATGCATCTTATCTATAGGCAGAGAGACATGTTTCAGTACCTCCAACAACCCAAACTCCTCACCCTACATATAACACCCACTCATAAAATTAAGTTTTCCTCTTTTGGGCATTTGTTATATCATACACATTCAGTTCATGTATCAGTATGTGTGCTCTTCCACCAGAAAAAGTGGTTACATATCAAGAAACAAAACATGGAGACCCTGTCTCCAAGGTAACAGTAGGATCCACCATTTGTTTTGGAATCTTCATTTTCCTCTCCTCCCTCATGATCTCTTTATCCCATCAAATCATTTGAAGACTGGATAGGTTAATTTCAATTTTATCAATCACAGTAAGAGATTTAAGTAAAAATCTGGGAAAATTTTGTGCATAAATATTTTGTCCAGAGAGGCCCATCAGGTGTCTATGGGCTAGGACCATGCTATATAGTGGCAAAGAGATGCTTCTTATGACCAATTATCTCATTATATCCTTTGTTCGCCTTTAATACTAAAATAAAATAGAGCTTTGGCGTGGTTAGTAGAAGGGTTTTTTTTTCCCCATATACTAGCTAGTGGATGGTATTAAAAATAATCTTGTGAATTTAAAGTGCTAGAACTAGTAGAAACCTTTAAGATCATCTATTAGATTGGTGCAAAAGGTATTGTCATTTTTGCCATTGAAAGTAATGGCAAAATCACAATTACTTTTGCATCAACCTAATAGCTACTACTTCCTTTTACAAAGATGGGAGGGGGTGAGGGTTGAAAAATTATCTATTGGCTACAGTGTTCACTATTCAGGTTATGGATACACTAAAGCTCAGACTTTACCACTGTGCAATATATGCATGTAAGCAGGTAAGAAATCTGTGCTTGTACTCCCTAAATATATTTAAAAAATTAAAAATCACACCTTTAATTTCTTTCTTTCTTTTTTTTTTTTTTTTTTTTTGAGACAGAGTCTCGCTCTGTCGCCCAGGCTGGAGTGCAGTGGCGCGACCTCGACTCACTGCAAGCTCCGCCTCCCGGGTTCACGCCATTCTCCTGCCTCAGCCTCCCGAGTAGCTGGGACTACAGGCACCCGCCACCACGCCCGGCTAATTTTTTGTATTGTTAGTAGAGATGGGGTTTCACCGTGTTAGCCAGGATGGTCTCGATCTCCTGACCTCGTGATCTGCCCACCTTAACCTCCCAAAGTGCTGGGATTACAGGCGGGAGCCACCATGCCCGGCCCACGCCTTTAATTTCATCTTACATAGCAAAGTAATTTCTATCATTGGTAGATGTATTCTTATGTTTTCTCTTTTCCCCAGATATTTACAAAGCAGTTTTACAGCTAAAATTTTACACTATTGTACTACTTTTAAATAGATATATATGTAGTCTACACACCAGAGATCTTGAAATAATTAATAAAACCAGTGCTATGAAAGTGAAGGAGACATTGTTGAAACTAGATTTGTGAAAACTAGTGACGCACAGGATATCAGACTTTTGTGCACATGGTAAGTATTTTCAAGTTGAATCCTCTTCTCAAAAATATTCACAGAAGGATAAATTCTGCTCCCCCCAACCCTCTGCAATATATTGCAGCATAATTAGATTACAGGATTTACAGGATATGTAGCTGCTGTAGTGATTTTGTAAATATAGGCAAAGCATTGTAGAGAAAGAACAGAAAGATATAGTGTCCTGTGGAGTATCCGACAAGCCTTTCTTGAGGGTCAAATTTGTAGCTGACCCAATACATTTTGAAAACTGTATTGAAGGAGAAAAAGCCTATTTTATCTTCTAGGCAATTAAGAATAAAATTTAAAGCAGAGTTTCCAGAGCTATAAAAATTCCATCTATAAGAGTTCTTTGATTAAAATTAAATTTTGAGCCACTTCAGATTCAGAGAGAGAATTCTCTCAAATTAATATTAAATGTATTTCTAGAGAAATCGATATAGATATAGAAGATAAACTGGGTAATAGCCTGGACTACACTTGTCCAACACAGACATTATTCACCTTAGTCAGACATAAGTAATAATTTCACTAATTTCTACAAATGAATTTTCCATGAGAGATCCATAGAAAATTACCTTATGTAGCATAAGCAATTTTGTACATAATTATCATTATGTTAACCATATTATAAACTATATACTTCAGTCATAATTAATCCTATGTTCATGTATCAGGGAAATTCTTCCCCTTTGAAGGGAAGATAGGTACTCAGTTTATTTTAGATAATGAAGATGTATTCTATCAATGCAGGGAGAAGGGAGTGATCATGGAAAGCCATCTTCAGTTGTATAGCTCCTGGATCCTACTTACAGCTCCACGGCTTGAATGGGTACCAGACTTAAGAAGAATAGAAAAAAAAAGTTTTACTATGATTCAAGCTAAACGACAACTCAAATAACACATCATGCTTCATTTTTCTTAGAATCAAGAATCATCTATTTAAAACTTGTGTGCATCTCATTTTTAAAATCTCCGCAAGAGAGTATCCAACTGAGTCATTTTAAGTCCACCCAATAAGGACTGCACTTACTGGGCACAGGTTTTGACTAAGCATCCCAGCATCAGTCTGTTTGGCTTGAACACCGCTCTCTGGTGATGGTTTTATGGCTCAGTGCTGGTATTCCTGGTGGTTCTCACTGATTTATGGTGGATCTCATATTTTATGGGCAGGACTAAAGCAGGAGAATACTGAATTTCAGGGCTAAATCTTATGAGAAGAGCCACATCTATTCATAACATTAGAAGCAGGGGACTGAAGCTTTCTAAAACAAAGTCCTAACTACTTCATCTCTAGCACAATGTTGAATCCTACTTTCTGTGGCTACCTCCAAAATATCAAATATTGGCCGTTTTCAGGCTCTGTTATTTTTATCCCATTGTCCATTTTAGGTTTTATTTATACCTTATTATTTGTGTTTATATTAAACTATGTTTGATTTTAATACAATTTCTTTTCAGCTACATTTTTTTCTAGTACATAGCTGCTGCTCAGCATTATCTTAAAATTAATAAAACATCCTTCTAAAGATTCATATTTAAGATACCTTAATCAGCTTAAAGGATTTTTAGCCGAGCCTTTATGAATTGTAGTCCATTAATAGAGGAATAGATGGTTGTGGATTTTGGATTGTTCCTTTTCTGTGTATTGTTTTAACTACTGATGATCACTTTTAATCTTAGATTCTCTATATTTATTACACATAAATAACTGCATTAATAATATCTTTAATAAAAAAGAAATGAACTGGATTTCCTAAACAAGAGAATTGGTAATAGAAGCCAGAATTATTAAATCAAAGAAAGATGGCTGATTTGTGTACTGTTCAGAACAATAAAGTTTCCCTTGATGTAGGAATGTGAGGATTTTTACATATCATTCCTAAAGTATGGTAAGTGAATTGATACTATATCAATACATAATTTGATAGATCTCAATATACAGAGGTTTTTACAAATTTTTGTGTCAGTCACATGATAAATACTCATTAGAGAAGTTACTGTGTAGAGTGACTAGAGATACATCCAGGAAAAAAAAATATGACTGAGAGACAATTCTTTATGGATCTCTCCTGTTTTTATTCAGAAATAGAATGTCTTGAGATCAGAGGCATTGACTACCATGTTGCCACACTACCTTTTCCAGAGAAGCAAACAAACTTAAAAGATAAAGATGATATTTCCTTCCAGAGCACAGGCCAAGCACAATTACTGCCCATTGCAAAATACTCAGGTTCTCTAACCTCAGGGTTCTTCTCCTATAATGCAACCCACTATATATGCAGATGTCCATTGGTTCTCTCCATATTAGCCTGCAAGAATCAAGCCTCAGATAACCAAAGCAAAAGTAATGATACTCTGTCTAAAGCCACTGCTGTGAGAAATAAACTATTATTAGTCTCTGATCCAGGAGTCTTGTATCTTATACCAATAGCTGCCCTTCCTACTCTGAAAGTTTTGATTCCGCAGCTCTGGGATAGGGCTCAAGTATTTCCATTTTTATCAGTTCTCAAAAGATGCTGCTCCTGATTTAGAAATACATTTTGAGAACCACTGTTCTTTAAGGATTTCTGTGTCTATATTCATGAGGGATAATGGTCTGTACATTTATTTTCTTGTGATGCTTTTGTACGGTTTTGTTATCTGGGTATACTGCACTCAAAAAGTGAATTGATGTTTTCCTTGCTCATTTATATTTTTCAAATGTAAACTGTGGTCTACTAACTTGTTAACCTTTAAATAGGGTAAAATTGCAAGCCCCTCACAATTCTTGATAAATCCACTATTTTTACTAAAAGTTTCCCAGTAAATATTCCCCCTCACCTGTGGTCCCTGAGATTTCTAAACATGTTGGATGATATTATTATGAACTGGTTTGAGAGCAGGAAAATAATTATAATATTAATTGATGATAAATAATTTACAGGCATATCTAGTGGAAATATTAAAGTTTACAAAGTGTTGACAAGTCATTAATATACTTTGGAATGTGGCTTTTAAGAGATAAATTTGAATAATCAAACACATTTTAACATTTGTTTTAATTCACTTTTTATGAAGAAATAATTATCTTCATTAAGTACTCCTTTTCAAGTAAGACATTTTGTTTTGCGGAAGATTTTCAGAATGATTTTCTAATATGATGTACACAGATGACTTGGGAACACAAAAAGAATAAGTTGGCTAGTAAATTCAACTTAATTCCTAAAACTTTCCATGGAACTTTCCAAGAACTATTAAGTGCTTTAAGAAAGGCTTAATTACATTATGATAATAAGCATAAATAATCACCTGAAGAGTATCACAAATGACTGATAATTCACACTTCTACTGTAGCCTACTGCTTGAAAAAAAAACTGTTACTCTTCAGTCCCTTGGTAATCAGCTCCTGTTGTCAAAGCTTCAGTTACAATTTGATTTTTAAAATTCCTAAATGTCAAGAAGCATGTGGTCTGATAAATATGGATGACATTTAAAAAGCAAAGTAGGTAGTGTCTACAAAAGAAGGAAAGTGTCATGTGCTGCATTTATTGATAAAATATATCTCATTCACATAATTATTTACTCTTCTCTATGAATGAAACCTTCTGTTTATAAAGAGTAATACAATTCCCAAATTCGCCTGATAAGTAGGTGGGTGACTTAAATACTAACACGTATACAAGTAATATCTCAAAACCAAAAATAGGCAATTTAAAAGAAAAATTAGTGGATGTATATAAACCCTTTTTATTGTTTAGAGTCAGATACAGAGAGCTCCCCAAATGATGATAATTTTTCCATTAAATTCACTGTATTTACTAATTGAATCCTTATGACTACATCAGTACATATTTATTAATTACTGCCCTATGTAATTCAGACCTGTCACTTCTGTAAGCAGCCACTTCATACCAAATCAGAGGCTTACTAACAGTCGACAGGTATATTGCTCAGAGCAATAAACAAATAGCAGGCAGAGCTTCATACAACTTGGGAGAAACAGCTAGTTGTGAATTTTAAAAATATCACAGAATTTAACAACTTACCTCTCAAGGACCCTTATTGAATCTACTTTGCATTACATTTTGACTTGTGATACTTGGTGCCAGTTTCTCTGTATATTGATTTTGCTACCTCTTGTTAGAAAATTATTTTGTAAAACCACCCGTTTGTTCAAACTAAATAGAAATGATTTTATTGCTATAGATGTAAAACATATTTTTTAAAACTTTGGATTAAGAAAGTAAAGGAACAAGCAAATTTAATAAAAATTTGGCAAACATCTATGAGCCAAAATTTTTATGTATTTCTTAATTGGGGGGGTTAGATTTCAGATATGTCTTTTAATACACATCACATGGCAATAAGTGAATACAAAGATAAATGCAAACTTGCTGACTTTTTCTTGTGGCAGATCCCTACTCATTAGATGACCCTGTTCATTAGAGATATTGTTTTCTTAAACATCTGTTTCTGATTAATTTTTCTTACCAATGTTGTGCTTTACAGATTTTACTTAAAAATTATAGAGTGATATTTATCAGTAAATTATATGATTATTTTATATGCACATAAAAACTAGTTTGTTTCTCATAATATTTTAACAGCTTTTTAACATAAAGACTAGTTTATTTTATTTGTTTCTCATAATATTTTAACAGCTGTATTGAGGTACATTTGACATATAATAACTATAAATATTTAAAATATATCATTTGGTAAGTTCTCATATTTGTGTACACCCATGAAACCATTAGTACAATCAAGATAAATGAACATAATCTAACTCTTTGATGGTTACATTTATATGCCAACTTGGAGGCTGTGTTTGAATGAGATTAGCATTTAAATCAGTGGACTTTCGGTAAAGCAGATTGCCTTTTATAATACGGATGAGCCTCATCCAACCAACTGAAGGTCTGACTAGAACAAAAAGACCTGCCCCCCTATGCAAGAGGGAATTCAGCAGACTGCCTTTGGATTCCATCTGCACTATTGGCGCTCCTGGGTCTCCAGGCTACAGCCAGTCTTCTCATTGGAACTATAGAATCTACTCTCCTGGTATTGAATCTATTGGCCTAAACTACAGATTTTGGCCTCCAATTCCTTATAATAAATTAATCATCTATATATTCTATTAGTTCTCTTTCTCTAGAGAATGCTGACTAATACAGATTTTGATACTGTGAAGTGGAATACTGCTGTAACAAATACCTACACAGGTAAAAATGGCTTTGAAACTGGTAATGGGTTGAAAAAGTTTTGAGGTGCATGTTGAAAAATGCCTACATTGTCTTAAAGAGCTGGTTGGTAGGAACATAGACCTTAAAGGTGATTCTGGTGAGGTCTCGGATAGAAATGAGGAATAATAAGTCAATGGAAACTGGAGGAAAGTCTTTCCTTGTTATAAAGTGGCAAAGAACTTGGCTCAATTGTTTTCTAATGTGTTAAGAAAATCAAAAGTTAAAAATGATAAACTTGGATATTTAGCTAAGGAGATTTCTAAGAAGTGTTGAAGATATTGTCTAGTTCTCCTTACTGCTTATAGTAAAATGTAAGAGGAGGGAGATAAATTGAAGGGATTGTTAAGTAAAAGGAAGACAGAAGTAAAGATTTAAAAAATTCCCAACCTATGTATATTGTGAAAAAGGAGAAAGTGTATTCTGGAGAAAAGACCAGGGGGGTGACTGGAAAAATCATTTAATAAAGAGATGATAGGTGTGACTCATGGATTTAATCTTTCATCAGCAGAAACTAGGAACAGAAGTTTATACCAGTAGAAACACTGCCAGCTGGGACAAAAAGTAACAGAAACAGAACAAAATAAAACAAGGCTAGCAGACTTCTAGATTCTGCAGGATGGGGCAATAGAGCTATTTGTGTAAAAATGTGCACCATCCTTCAAGAAAAGAAAAGAACGACTCTGAAGGTGATTCAGAGATCTTTAATTCTGACATCTTCATCACTGGACCTGAGTGGTCAGGACTGGGGAGGATGCAAAGTTGTTTTCTTCTTGGTTTCAAAAGTCAAGCCTGTTTCATTCTTGGTTTCAGCAGGCCTTGCCACTGCCAGCCAGTGCCTCAGAAACAAACCTCGCTGCCCAGAATGATGGTGGTGGTTCTACCTTCTAGGGCTGTGGGGATGATGCTGCCACAATCGTTGAGACGAAGAGGATTATTCTGAGCCTTATGATCTAATGGAGTTTGCCTTGATAGATTTTGAACTTATTGGGGACCTGTCACCCCTGACTTCTTATCAATTTCTCCCTTTGAGTGAGAATGTCTACCCTATCCTAGTTCCACATTGTATGTGGGAAGCATATAACTCATCGAGTTTCACAGGTTCACAGCTAGAGAGAAATTTAACTTCAAGATAAATCATACTTCAAGTTTCACGGCTACCTAATTTATATATGTAGATGATACTCTGGATTTAGAGTTGATCCTGGAATTAGTTAAGATGTGTCAGACTATTGCGAGGGGTGAATGTATTTTGCATGAGAGAGGACATGAATTGTGGGGGACATGCAGAGAGTGGGACTGAATGATGTTCCCCCAAATTCATATGTTGAAGTCCTAACTCTCAATATAATTGCATTCGAAGATAAGGCCTTTCAGGAGAAATTAGGTTAAATGAGGCCATAAAAGCAGGCCTTAATCCAACATGAAGAGATACCATGAATTCACATGAACACAGAAGAAAGATTGTGTGAGAACAGCAAGAAGGCAGGTATTTGCAAGACAAGGAGAGAGGTCTCAGGAGAAACCAAACTTGCCAACAAGTTGATCATAGACTTCCAGCCTCCAAAACAGTGAGAAAATAAATTTCTGTTGTTTCAGCCACCCAAACTGTGGTATTTTGCTATGGCAGCCTTTAGGTCAGTTAGCAAGTAAAACAAAGGCTGTGATTAAAACCGAATTTTATTGATTTCATTGGCTCCAGAAATTATATTGTATCACTATAAAAATTGATTTTTTAAAAAAGGAAGGTAGGCAACTTTAATGCTTGGTTTGTATTCACTTCTGGCTGCCTAGAAGAAAATGAATATGAACTTTTGTTTCCATACAAGCTCTAAGGCTGAATGTTTTTGATGATATATTATCAGTTATCTTGTTTTACAATGAAATATACAGATTTTTTTTTTTACTTACAATGATGTTACTTCCTAATAAACCCATAATCAAAATGTCAAAACTGCATCTACTACCCTGATAAATGCAAAGTCAAAACTTTGTAAGTCTGGGACTGTATTAGACCATTCTTGCATTGCTCTAAAGAAATACCTGAGACTGGGTAATTTATATAAAAGGGAATTAATTGGCTCATGGTTTGGCGGGCTATACAGAAAGCATGATGCTCACTTCTGCTCAGCTTTTAGGGAGGCCTCTGGAAGCTTACAATTATGGCAGAAGGTGTAGGCGGAGCAGGCGTCTCACATGGTGGGAGCAGGAGCAAGAGAACTTGGGGGAGATGCTACACACTTTTAAATGAACTGATCTCACAATAACTTACTCATTATCACAAGGACAGTACCAACGGGAATGGTGCTAAGTCATTCATGAGAAATCTGTCCCCATGATCCAATCACCTTCCACTAGGCCACCAGGCCCCACCTCCAACACTGGGAATTACATTTCAATATGATATTTGGGCAGGGACACACATCCAAACTATATCAGGAACCATCTGTAATAAATTTAATGGAAAGTTCAAAAATTGTAATAATTTCCAACTAACTTAACTGCGAATATAAGTACCCTTTAAGTTTATATTTTTGGATGACAAAAACTTTTCATCGATGAGAAAGTGCCCTATTCCATTCAATTTCTCTTCAATATACAGAGAATACTTAAGTAAAATTCACAGCCTCTCTATTATATAGTAGAAAATCAAGGGAAGTAGAATATGTAAAATAATCAATTATTACTTATTTTGTGCTTTGTGCAATAGGTCCATAGATGGTACTGAAAGGAAAGCACGAGAAGATTCCTTCCATAGAGTAGCTTACAATATAGATGAGTAATAAGAATAAATACATTTAAAAAGACAAATTAAGGCAAGATATATTACAGTAATAGAGGAAGTAAATGCCAACATAATTCAGAGATGAAAGAGTTAATATGTGACAGCATGATCTGGGAATTCTAGGTGAAGCAGTGGGATTTGACCTTGTATATTAAGATAATTAGCAATTTTTAGAGATGCATAGTGGGCAGAGCCTGCCAACACTGATTTTTAATGTTGATTGGTTATTACATTCACTTTAACTAGTTAATCTATTCTTAAAAGCCTGTGTGTCCATTCAAATAAAAGTGAGAAGATTACAGAAATAAGGGGAAAACTTGTGATTACAATTTGTTAAGTAGTAAATGGTAGTATCATATTATCCTTGTTTAAGTTTTTTTTTTTTTTAACAATTATTTAAAATCCAAGCTGGAGAGGAGAGAATAGGGCATTTCAGCAAAAGAAACTCAGGAAGGCATTTTAGCAATTCTTTCTTTATAACTCTCTAGGCTGTCATCTCCCCCTGTCTGGCTTATTGCAATAGTCATCTCAATGGCTTTCCAGTTTGTGAGCTCTTCTGGCTTTCAATCCATTCTATTCAAAACCCTGTGTTAATCTCCCTAAACATCCATCTGTTTATGTTGATGTTTTGATTAAATGACCTAAGACAGTATTTTGAGGGAACATTACTTAATTTAGGCAGCATTAAAAGTTGCTCCTCAAAACATGTTTTGGCTGTCAAATAATTTAGGAAATATTTGTTACCAAAAGTTACATATGCTTGTGTGGAACTTCTTGACTCTAATGTGCTAATAGATGAACTGAATCTTAAAAGATGGAGTGGAGAAAGACTGTAGCATGCATTGATTTTGGAACATCCAGTTGGGAAAAACTGACTTTTCACATAAAATAAAACCAAAATTCTTTGGCTTGATATATATTTCTCTCTGCAATCTACTAGTCTCTGGGAATACTCATGACATTGAACCATACCTTTTGATGTCTGAGGTCTGAAGGTGGCCTGGCTAAATATTTTGTCTCCTTTGGAATTGTTTTATGTTCACCGTGCTCCTGCTGCCCTGGCAACTTGTGGGAACTGGCAACTGTTTTTGCTCAAAGTTTAGTTGTTTCATCAAGATAAAACTCGGTGTTAAATTGTCCTAGAACAGTCATATTTTGATGTACTGATTCAGGTATTATTTGATTTCAGGAATTATTCTTCCTTTATGTCTGTGAAAGTATTTTCTATGCGAATCTGTGCATAGAAACTTCATTGTCTGGCCTCCATACGAACTATATTATCTATATGGACTAACATGGCCTCAACACTACCCTCAACTTGTCTATACTTTAGACAGGTTTCTTCCTGATCTTCTCCTCAACCCAGTCACTAGTCACAGAGGTCCCTCTTTCCCTTTTCTTAAAACATTTACTTAAATATTTTTTCATTATAAATTCCTTCTCTGATTCTGTGCAATTTAAATTTTTTAAAAATCCTGTTGTCTGTGTTACAACACAGGACTGTCTTTTCACGGACCTGGGAGCCATCCCTTTGAATCATAATCATTAAAAGAGATAGCACCACTATCTCCCAATCTTCGTAGGAGGGTAGGAGACTAGCTAGTCTTTCCCCAAGTTGTGTAATTATCGCCTGTCATGAAGATATGAAAAAGCTTACTTTTCCTTTGGGTGAGGCCAATTAGCACATACATATAGACTATGATCTCCGTACTCCAGAGCTTAAAAATTCTCTTGCTCCTTTTTTAGCAGAGTCACGGTCACATTGCCTTCTGTTTTTTCTTTGTTATTGCAATAGCCTTGAATAAAATCTTCCTTACTTGTTTAACTTCGTCCAGTCAAATTTTTCCAATCAAGTTTTTGCATTGAGAACATTAATTTCTTTCCCTTTTTCTCAGTGTTGTATTTG
Source organism: Homo sapiens (assembly GCF_000001405.40). Classification (NCBI taxonomy): domain Eukaryota; kingdom Metazoa; phylum Chordata; class Mammalia; order Primates; family Hominidae; genus Homo; species Homo sapiens. The sequence continues at coordinate 78,708,272 of NC_000012.12, read as the reverse complement.
TACTCTTCAAATTTGTCTGGTATGCCATCGAAAAAACACTAATAGTATGTTTTTGCTCTTTTCAATATGTTTTTGAAATTATCAGTTTTATTAGTTGTAGTAGCTCCTTTTCCAATTGATAATTTATTTGATATTTTTATCTTATCTTTGATATCTTTAATATGCTGGACAGAGTAAGCCATCCTTTTCTAAAATTCAAAAAGCTGACTTATCTATGCTTTGCGTACAACTTTATCTTCTTTCATTATCTTGAAAAACGTTTGTATCAATTAAATACTGCAATTAATCTTGACTTCAGTATAGACACTTTCACTAAGGCCAATAATTGCTTCCAAACACTGTGCAGAAATTCTCTTTGACTTTCCTTCTTTCCATCGTATCACTCAATATCTTAAATTGGAATGCTCCGTGTTGTTGATGACTTTAACCTTTGTTCAATTGCTAAAGCTTATTCAGCTGCTTGGAGGAGTGGGCACTAAGGGAAAGGGCAGTATGCAGCCAACATTTTGCTGATTTTTCCTACAGGTTCATTGAACCCCATCTCCTACTGGCATTTCTGGTCAAATAGGTGTGAGGTGAGTATGGGAGCTCCATATCTAGGCTTCCAAAAATGAATACCAACCTTGTGAAAAGTTACATCCAATATGAATATCTGTGGCCCACAGAACGTTGCTATTGAATTTACACACAGGATATCTTTGTTGACCCCTAATGTTTCCACCTTTTTTTCCTTGTCTCTCCTCTGATCCGGCTATTGCTACAATCTGCTCCCTTTTCTCTTACATTAGGAATAAAAGTTATTTTGTATGGTCAAGAGGTTTCTTGCTCACTATCCATCCTGTTCTACAGAATGCAAATGTGTCCACAAACATTTCTCACTATTGATCTGCAGGTTAGAGAATTTAGTAGTGCTCTTCAGAATGTTATCATCCACCTTTTAAACTCTTTTTCATATTTAGTATTACAAGTAATATTTATTGCAATCACAGAATACTTCATTTATGTCTTCATTTTATATTTTCTAGCAGACTACTTTCAGAATGTTAAGTATGGACTTTACTGTGACAGTTTAGTTTCATTGTATATGTAGTTTAAATCCAATTCAAGGTTGTTTTTGTTCAGTCAAAGGGTTTGAGAGAGATTAATGCATTGTGCACTATGCCAACTTTCTTGGAAGTCTTCCCAAATTAGCATTAAAATCATATTCACATTTTCTCTCTGCAGCAAATAAAACATTTGGTCAATTCATATGAGGCTTGATTAGCACCCATTTGCCTAATCTCTTAATGATTTGACATGTTAGCCTCCTAACTGGTCTCTGTGCTTCAGCTCTTGTTCCTATCTTCAGTTTCTTTTCAGCAGAGCAGCCAGAATTATTCCGTTCAAATGAATGTCCAAATCATGCCACTCCTCTGCTCAAAATCCTTTAATAGCTTCTGTTTTACTCAGAATAAAATCTGAGGTTCATATTATGAATTGTAATGACCTTCATGGTCTGGGCCTTTCTTTTACTTCTCTAACCAAATCCCTTACACTTTCTGTCTAATTCACACCAGTTGAGCCACCCTGCTTCGTTGTCTTGAACAGACCCCCTAAACTCCCCTCAAGTCTTTTGCAATTGCCTTCTCCCAGCATAGCCTATTCAGATTGAGTCAACCAAGATTCTCAGAAAGGCTTTCTCGACCATTCTATCCAAATTTCACGTTATATTTCCTAGCATTCCTTTCCTCTTTTTTCTCCTATAGCACTTACTAACGTCAAATAGTCTATTTATTTTACATGTTTATCTTACTATTTTCCCCATGAGACTCTAAGTTCCATGTGGGCAAGGCATTTTTGTCTCCTTTGTTCACTACTGCATCCCCAGTGCCTAGAACAGTGGCTGGCTGTTACAGGCTCCATGTTGGGGACCGTTTAAATTTATGACTTGAATCTCTAACCTCCAATGTAATGGTATTAGAAAGTGGACCTTTGGAGATGTCATTAGGTTTCAATGAGCTCATAAGAATAGAATCTGCATGATGGGATTAGCACCCTCATAAGAAGAGGAAGAAACAACACAGATTTCTCTCTCAGCCACGTAAGGACACAGTGATAAGGCAATACCTGTGAGCCAGGAAGAGGGACCAAAACTTGACCATGTTGGTTCCTTGATTTCAGACTCCCTGCCTTCAGAACTGTGAGAAAGTAAGTATCTGCTGTTTAAGCCACCTAGTCTATGGCTCCTTTTTTAAATAGTGGCCCAAGCAGATTAAGACACTGCCTAATATTTAAATGAATACATTAATAAGTAAAGGTCTGGAAGGAAAAGACCTTGAAAACTTGGGTCCCTATGACCTCCTTTGCAAGCAGGACTCAGCTGTTACAGACCAATAGGATGCTCCATGTTATCTAATTTGGTGATTTAAAAAAAAAAAAAACAAAACCAGTGATGTGGAACTATAGATGACATGGTTCAATTGAACATTTATTACATAGAAACACTACAGTATATTAATTACAAATGTGGAATTTGGAGGCAGAATGTCTGCATTGAATTCTCACTCTGCTACTTACTATACCTTGTGCAAGTTAATTGTTCACATGTGTATCATCTGTAAAATGGGTATAACAATAATTGTAATACCTGTCTCAAATAATTGTTGTGAGGATTACATAGGTTCATATATTAGAGCATTTGGAAGAACTCTTGGCATATATTTAGTGGTCAATAAACATTAAATATTATTAGTCCACTGTTGTGAGGTTGTTTAGTTTCATTCTAGGATTCACAAATAAAAAGATATGCTTCCAAGCCAAATAGCTACCATTTTGCAGACCACTCTGGTTTACAGATGAACAAAACTTTTACAGAATACAAAGTTCACTCTTTAAATTTTACAGGCAATGAGCAATGCATTTTAACCTTAAATAATAAAAAAAACCTGTCAATTGTTGCTGATGCTTCTGAATCTCTCAAAGGTCACAGCCATCTAGAGATGAATCTGGTAATCTGAAAACTTTTGCACAGCACTTCCTTGGGTTAAGATACTAGGCCTACTTCTATCCTTTATAAGTCAAAACTACAAACACATAGTTATACAGTATTAGAATAAGAAGAGGTGTAGGAGATTATAGAGTCACATGATCAAATTTAAGTCCTAGTAGAGAGCTTTCACAATGAGTGTTCAATATGTAATACAACTCTTAGGGTTTAATATAATATCTATTATATCAAGAAGAAATAACTCACCATGGTACACTTTCTACTTGCTTAGACCAATATTAACATATTTTCAGCATAAGTAGACCATTAAAAATTAAATATATATAATCATACTCAAATGCCAGAGAATACTCAAACACTTGTTAGTAAGATGCCAACTGAATAAATATCAATTAAATGCATGTGCTTTACATAAACCCCACATAAATATACATGAACATAGTTTCATTTAACACATCATGAGTACATTGCACCCCTTTTAAAAATTAACTTTTTGCCTTTAGATGCAGAACAAAATCCCAAATAAAATTGAAAGTTGATATTATTGTGGCTGAAATGATGGAAAGAATAGCATGTGACTTTTATATTAGGAGTATTTGGTAAATCAAAATCACACTTTAAATGTCTATATCTTTATGCAATTGTGAGCAATTTAACATTGTCATTTCTCTGTGCTAACTAAAATTAACCATCTAAAGAAAGAGTATATAATTAAGTAAAGAGAAGGTATTTTAGGAGACTTTTTTATTTTTGCACTGATTACCCAGTGCTATCCCCAAGTCATGCAGTTAATCATGCAGAAACTATTCTGTTTCTTACCTATTTAAGAACTTTAATTGTCTCAGAATTTTATGCTCCTGATTTCTCACTTGCTTTCTTTCTCTGCTCATGAATTCCTATCTGCTTACAGATCTTGATATGCGTAGCATAGTCGTGCCTTTAACTAACACATTACTCATCTAAAAAGGAAATTGCTCTTACCCTTGGGAATGTTCAGCAAAAATACCTTTCATAGGGAAGCTTATTTCATTTTATTAGAATATCTGAATACTGAATAGTAAACAGCAGTCACTGAGTTATTTTTAAATGGCATCACTTAAATATTTTCAATCTTTTAAAGGACCTTGGGAATGCACGGCTGCTTTCCAGGTCAGAAATTTATTTATTTATTTTCTAATTAGATATAAACATTTGCTATATTACCCAAACTGGTATATTCAGTAGCATCACATTTTCAAATGTCTATGCAATGTTGCCAAGGCTAAAGTCAGTTGGTTATGTTCTTAAATTAGTCATGTATCAAGTAGGTGTAAGTATATTTTATATGTAGTAATAGCACTTATGCATGAATCTTGATTGAATCCCTGTTCCCAAGCATCAACTTCTTTCTAGATTAGCTGGGTGCATTGGGACTATTGAACCATTAGCTTTTATTGAAAAATAGATGAATATCAGTCCCTACAGAATAGTGTATTAGCTCTTGCCTTGTAGCAAAGCTTTTTCCTGGTTTCTCTTCACAATGGGACTTCTTTATGCTTTTCTCTAATGCAACCAGAAAGAAAGTGGCGGTCAGAAGAAGAAAATGAAATCTATTGAAATAAAATCATCCAGTGGGTATGGCTTTAGCTTCTCACAATAGGGTTATCTGACATGATTAATCCACAAAGATAAATGTGACCCTGGCGAGGCGCGGTGGCTCACGCCTGTAATCCCAGCACTTTGGGAGGCCGAGGCGGGCGGATTGCCTCAGCTCAGGAGTTCGCGACCAGCCTGGGCAACACGTTGAAATTCCATCTCCAGTGAAGTACAAAAATTAGCCAGGCGTGGTGGCTTGCGCTTTTAGTCCAAGCTACTTGGGAGGCTGAGGCAGGAGAATTGCCTGAACCTGGGAGGCGGAGGTTGCTGAGCAGAGATCGTGCCACTGCACTCCAGCCTGGGGGACAGAGCGAGACTCCGTCTCAAAAAAAAAAAAAAAAAAAAAAAAAAAGTGAACCTTTAGAGATCGCTGGCAATTTCTTTGAGTATTGAAGTGTACATGTTCTAAAATACAAGTAATAGCTGTCATTTATTGAAAAGACTAAAAAGAAAATTCACCTAAGAGAATTTAATATCTGTTGAATGAGTCTTATGATAGAATAAAATGTTCCTTCATTCTTTTTATCTTTGAAGATATTTTATGCTTAAAGATCACTTTACAGTACTCTTTTTACTTAAAAATTTAAAGCAGAAATAAAAAGATGTGAAAGAGATTCTTTGAGTAACTTATCTTGGAAATTAGATTAGTAACTCATTTAGAGAAATGAATTAAAATGATAACTGGTTGTTTCCTTGCCTGGAAAAGCTAAGCCTTGAACTACACCTCTAATATTTATCATTTTGAATTTTAAAGTAATTTTTCTGAGATTATTCAGAATTAATATGCCAGGATTTTACTTAGGAGTAAATCAGGAAATTGGTGAAAGATACTAAGAATATATGAATGTTTCATAAACTAGATTTTAGCAGAACCTCTGTATGTTTAGGATATGTATTTTAAACAGTCATTAAATAAACTTTCACTACCAGGTAGCCAGGTTAGAGATAGAAGGATTTTTGTTTTGTTTGGTTTTGGTTTGGTTTGGTTTGGTTTGGTTTGGTTAGGTTTGGTTTGGTTTGGACAGAGTCTCACTCCGTCACCCAGGCTGTAGTGCAATGGCGCGATCTGGGCTCACTGCAACCTCCGCCTCACGAGTTCAAGCGTTCTCCTGCTTCAGCCTCCCAAGCAGCTGTGACTACAGATGCAAGCCACCATCCCGGCTAATTTTTTGTATTTTTAGTAGAGACGGGGTTTCACCATGTTGTCCAAGCTGGTCTCAAACTCCTCCTCAGCCTCTCAAAGTGCTGGGATTATAGGTGTGAGGTACCGTGTCAGTCTGGATGCAAAAGGATTTGAAAGACCATTTCTCCCATGCTGAAAACAAGAAACATAAAAAATAAATAAAAAATTAAAATCATACTTTCGTGAGATTAAGAAAAAGCAGCATTTGCAATGAAATCTTGATAAACTAAATCACAGGGATAAAACAGCCTCCATAATTGATCAGAGTATACTGAAAGTTCTTTACACAGCTCCTGGAGAAAATGTATAGATTTTGAAAAGAAGAAAGCTCTAAAATCTTTTATCCAGGTTTCCACTTTAAGAAGCTAGCAAAAGGTGAACAAATTAAACTCGAAGTAAGCAGAATAGAAAATTTTGAAAAATAAGTGAAAATTGTGGGATAGAAACAGGAAATGGAGAAAATCGATGAAACTAAACCTGTTTCTGGAAAAGAGAAACAAAGTTAATAAAACTGTGCCTACAATGAACAACAACAAAACAGAGAGAAAATGCAAATTACCAGTATCAACAATAAAGGGAAGCAATCACTATATATTCCACAGGCATTCAAAGAATAATATGGGGACATTATTAACAATTTTATGCCAGTAAATTTGACAACTCAGGTGAAATGGACAAACTTCTTGAAAAGCACAAGTTACCAAAACTAATTCAATAACAAATCGAGATCCTGAATAACCTTATATCTGTTAAGTAAATTGAACTCCTAATTTGACACTTTATCTCAAATAAAACTTTAGGCTCAAATGGCTTCACTGGTGAATTCTATGAAACATTTAAGAAATTGTGTGGATATTTCAATACATGCAAAAATGGCATTTGATCAAATTTTGTATCTATTCATTAAAAAATCTCAATAAAATAGAAATAGAAGAAAACTCTTCAATCTGATAAAGGTCATCTATAAAAAAATTACAGTTAGCATCATACTTAAAGATTAAAATTATTTCCTTTCTGATGGAACTAGCTAAGCTTTGTTCTCCTCATTTCTAACAATACTGCACTGGAGTTACCAATCAGTGCATTAAAGCAAGTAAAAGAAGTAAAAATAGTAATGACTGGAAAGGAAAAACTGAAATGTACATTTTTTATAGTCAACATAACTGTGTTCATAGTGAATTAAAAAAAAAAAAATCTGCCAAATAGAAAAGAAAAGAAATGATGCAATTACTAAGAAAATTGTCCAGGTTACATGGTTTACAAGGTCTACATACAAAAATCAACTGAATTTTTTGAAACCAGCAACAGTTAGATAATACAATTTAGAACTTCTATCATTTATAAGATCATGAAAAGGGGATATAGGCCAGGCATGGTGGCTCACATCTGTAATTCTAGTACTTTGGGAGGCCAGGGCAGAATTGCTTGAGTCCAGGAATTTGAGACCAGCCTGGGCAACATAGCAAGATGTCATCTCTGTTTTTTAAAATAAAGAAGGAATATATTTAATACAAATGTTTAAGATATCTACACTGAAAAACTACAAAATACTGTTGAGAGAAACTATAGTTAACAAATGAAGAAATACATCAAATTATTGGATGAGTCAACCTGTTAAGGTGTCAATTTCACCAAAATTTATCGGTCCCAATCAAAATCTTAGCAAGTTTTCCTCCCTCTCTAGCAAGTTTTCCTCCCTCTCCTCTCCTCCCCTCTCCTCTCCCTTCCTCTCCCTCCTCTCCCCTCTCCTCCCCTCCTCTCCTCTCACCTCTCCTCCCCTCCCTTCCCTTCCCCTCCTTTCCCCTCTCGTCGCCTCTCCTCTCCTCTCTTCTCCTCTCCTCTCCTTTTCTTTTCTTTTCTTTTTCTTCTCCTGGTAGAAACAGGCTGGTTCTAACATATATAAAATGATTACATGCAAAGTACACCAAATAGCCAAAATAGTCTTGAAAGAATGAATTGAACAGACGTCTACTACTTAATGTCACAAATTACTATTAACCTGTAGCAATTAAAATTGTGTGGTATGCTGTAAGGATCCATAAATAGATTGGTAGTACAGAATAGAGAGTCTAGAAATATGCAAATACTTATATGGCCAATGGATGACAAAATGACAAAGACATTCAACAGGGGAAGGAAAGTTTTCAACAAATTATCTGGTGCAAATAGATATCCACATGGAAAATAAAGAACACTATGTCATATCTAATCCTAACCCATATCTAACTCTAACTGATATACATACACAAAAGTTAATTCAAAATTAATAAAAGAATGTATTTATAATATTTGGGTAGAAAACGCTTCTTAGAATAAAAAGGCATTAATCAAAATATAAAATAATAAATTGGACTTCATCAAAATTAAAAATTTCTACTATTCAAAAGACATTGTTAAGGAAAAAAACACACAAGCCACAGATTAAGAAAAAAATATTATATATGTATTATAATATTCATTATATTTATAAATAGTCTGTTATGTAGAACTCAATAATAAAATGACAAACAATAAAAATGGGTAAAAGATTTGAACAGACACTTCACAAAATAAGTTATATAATGGACAGTAAGCATGTAAGATGGTCACCATCACTAGTAATCAGGAAAATTCAAATTAAAACTACAATTACAATTTATTAAAATGGCTAAAATTATAAACACTGTTAATGTCAAGTATTAGCCAAATTTGGGACAACTGCTGCTGTAAAATCAATGACTATTTTAGAAAATAGTTTGGCAATTTCTTATCAATTTAAACACATATTTACCATGTGAACAAGCAATTCCACTCCTAAGTTTCTACTTCCACAAAATAAAAGCATATTTCTCCTGAAATATTTGTATAAGAATTTTCACAGAAACCTTATTTATAATCATCAAAAACTGAATGATGGAGTGTTCGGGGGTGGAAATGTCTACCAACAAGTGAGTGTACAAATAAATTTGGGTATATTTATATTAATCTAGTGAAATGTTACTCAGAGATAAAAAAATAACTTATGATTGAACATTTCAAATTTATGGGTCAGTTCTTAAAACCTATGATGAGTAATAAAAGCCAGAAATTAAAACGTGTACATTGCATGATTCCATTTAAATGAGGCTCAAAAACAGGCAAATTAATTTACGGTGTTAGAAATAAGAAACATGGCTGCTTGTGCAGAGGTGAAGGATTGATAGAAAAGGATCATGAAAGAATTAGGGTGACAGAAATTTTCTATACCTTGATTGGAGTGGTGGTTATACTGGAATATACATTTGTGAAAATGCATCATACTGTATAGTTAAAAATGTGCGTTTACTGTCTAGTAGTCCCCACTTATTCATGAGGGTAAATTCCAAGACCTTCAGTGGATGTCTGAAACTGAAGATAGTACTGAATCCTATAAGTACAATGTTTGTTCCTATGTAGTCATTAGCTGTACAACAAAGTTTCGGTCAAGGATAGACCACATATATGACAGTGATCCCCTAGATTATAATAGAGCTGAAAAATTCCTATCACCAGTGACATCATAGCCATTGTAATGTTGCAGTGCAATGCATTACTCATGTGTTTGTGGTGACACCAGTGCAAACAAACCTACTGTGCTGTCACTTGTATAAAAGTATAACATGTAGAATTATGTACAGTATATACTTGATAATGATAATAAATATGTTACTGGTTTATGTATTCACTATACTATTTTTTATCATTATTATAGTATACTCCTTTTCCCTATTAAAAAAAAATTTAACTGCAAAACAGCCTAAGTCAGGTCCTTCAGGAGTTATTCCAGATCAAGGCATTATTATCATAGAGATGACAACTCCATGTATGTTTTTGTCCTTGAAGACTTTCAGTGGGATAAGATGTGGAGGCTGGAAGACAGTGATACTGGTGATCCTGACATTGTGTACGCCTAGGCTAATGTGTGTGTTTGTGCTTACTATTTAACAAAAGTTTAAAAAGTAAAAAATAAATAAATATTTTAAAAATGGAAAAAGCGTGTAGAATAAAGAGACAAAAAATATTTTCTACAATTGTATAATGTGAGTTTAAAGCTAAGTTTTATTACAAAAAAGCTTAACAAATTTAAAAAGTTTATAAAGTAAAAAAGTTACAATAAGCTAAGATTATTTTATTATTAAAGAAAGGAAAGTATTGTTTTGTAAATTGAGTGTAGCCTAAGTATATACAGTGTTTAGTAATTTTATAGTAATATAATGTCCTAGGCCTTCACATTGACTCATTACTCATTCACTGACTCACCCAGAGCAACTTCCAGTCCTGCAAATTTCATTCATGGTAAGTGCCCTATACAGGTGTACCACTTGTTATTTTTACACCATATCTTTACTGTACCTCTTCTATGTTTAGATACACACACATACTACCATTGTGTTACAAATGACTACAGTTTTCAGTACAGTAACATGCTGTACAGGTTGTAGCCTAGGAGCAATAAATAGGCTGTACCATATAGACTAGGTGTGTACTGGCTATACCATCTCGGTTTATATATGTGCACTTTTTGATGTTTGCACAACAATAAAATCACCTACTGCTGCATTTCTCAGAATGTATTTCTATCATTAAGTGACATTGAGACTAGGCCAGGCATGGTGGCTCATGCCTGTAAGCCCAGCTCTTTGGGAGGCCGAGGTGGGTGGATCACTTGAGGTTGAGTGTTCAAGTCCAACCTGGACAACATGGTGAAACCCCATCTCTACTAAAAATACAAACTTTAGCCGGGATTAGTGTCAGTTGCCTGTAATCCCAGCTACTCGGGGGGCTGAGTATTGCTTGAACTCAGGAGATAGAGGTTGCAGTGAGCCGATATCGTGCCGCTGCACTCCAGCCTGGGCAATAGAGTGAGACTCCATCTCAAAAAAAAAAAAACAAAAAAAAAGTGACATTAAGACTGTACATTCATATTTGTAATAAAGTTTAGTTTGTAAATTAGGTGCATTAGGAGGTTAACAATAACTAATAATAAACCTACAATTATAACAATATATTGTAATAAAAGTTATGTGAATGTGATCTCTCTCACTGCACTATACTCACCCTTCTTTTTATGAGAACGTGAGATGATAAAATGCCTACATAATGAGATGAAGTGACATGAATGATGTAGGCATTGTGATGTAGCATCAGGCTATTATAATTGAACCTCTGTGTCTGTGGATTCTGCCTCCACGGATTCAACCAACTACAACTAAAAAATATTTTTAAATAAATAAAAAAATAACAGTATAACAAGAAAAATAACACAAATAAGAAAACAATAGGTAGAAAAATTACTTATATAGCATTAGATATTATAAGTAATTTAGAGATGATTTAAAGTACATGGGAAGACGTGAATAGGTTATATGCAAATACTATCCCATTTTATATAAGGAGTTTGAACATCCTTGGCTTTTGGTATCGCAAGAGGGTCGTGGAACCAATCCCCTGACAGAAGGAGACAACGCAAAGTTTCATCACACTACTCAGAACCACAAACAATTTAAAACTTAGAGATTATTTATTTCTGGAATTTTCTATGTAATATTTATGGACTGAAGTTGACTACAGGTAGCTAAAACTGAAGAAGATGAAACCTCAGAAAAGGAGGCACTACCATATGTAAATCCTATCTCAGTAAATGTTTTAAAATTCTGGTGAATATTTTCCTTTTCTCTCATCTTCTATCACATCGAATACCATAATAATGAAGGAAATGTAGGAAGTGAGTGAGGTGCCAAATAAATGCTCTTACGTCCTCCCCTATTGCTTTTTCTTTTATTCCCTAAATGATAATTTGGTGAGCTCTTAATGTGTGCTAGTTTTTGTATTAAGCATCAAGTATACAAAGTCCATTAATATATGATTTCTACATTCACAGTATTTAAGTCTGAAAAAGACACCACTAATTAGCCTAGGTACTCTCTACTCCATCTAGCTCAAACCGGCTTGTGGAGTCCAACTAGCATTATTTACACATTATGTCACTGAATTTTCCACATCCATGGCCAACTACGCTCAAATGTTGGAAAGCCAGTTTTACTTCCTTCCTTTGTCTCTGGAAGTAATTTGGTGCAATAGAGAGTGTCTCAAGTGGAATTCATTGCATTGCCTGAATCCAATTGCTGATCTTGATGCCTGTGTCAGAAACTGTCCTGTGACCTCAAGGTGATAAATGTGGATACTGCAGGCACAGTCCAGTGATAGACAAAAGTCAAGGCCAGAGTGTGAATACCAATATACTAGCCTATGTATTTTAAATTTTATCTTGAAAGCTGTGGGAGGCTATTACAGGTTTTAAGCAGAAAGACAAGTTCAGTTTGCCATGCAAGGGATCACTGGTCATAGTGAGAGGAAAGGCTTAAGAATGAGAATATCAAATGTAGGGAGACCACTTTATGGCTATTATATTCAATCAGTCAAGAAGCCAGGAGAGGCTAAATTAAATTAGGGTGGTACATTGGAGACATGTGAGAAATATCAAGGAAGAATAGACATAAGCGGTGATAATGGAGGTTACATACAAAGCACTTTACTAAGAGGGCTTTTAGGTTCTGTCTTGAGTGACTGGGTTGATAGTAGTGTAATTTTCCAAGATAGAGTGTAAAAAAAACTCTTTTCACTTGGGATTTGAGTTAAGTTCAGTACTGGGCTAAGTGTCAGATGATTGCGGAATATCTCATGGAGGTTTACAGCAAGGGTAGCTGGTTAGTCCAAAGTAGAGCCGAGAAGGCTAAACTGGAGATAGGTGTGTTTTGGGGGTAACCCACTTAAAAATGGTAGTTGAATCTACTGAGATTATCCAAGTGGAATGTTGCATATGAATGAACAGTGGGGTAATGAATGAATACTAAATAACCTGGACTTTTAAATGAGAGAGTTAAAAAAAGATAAGACAATAAAAATCAACCTGAGATATGATGGTCACTAAAGTAGGAGGAAAACCAGAAATGATATAAAAGCCAAGGGAGAAACAAGCAGAGATAGTCAATGCTACACATTGGCTGATTCATCTTCCCAATAGACATTAGGAAAGCAGGGTTCATTCAGCCCAGATTAACACTGTTCTTGTCTGAATGTTTGTGTCCTGCCAAAATTCGTATGTGAAATCCTGACCTCAAGGTGGTGATATTAGGAAATGGGGTCGTTGGGAAGTGATTAAGTTACAAGGGCACAGGCTTCATGAATGTGATTAATGCCTGTCAACCTAAAAGGAAGAAGCTGGAGCAAAATTATTATGAGTAGAGAGTTTATTTGGGTCAAGCTTGAGAATTGCAATCCAGGAGCATTGATTCAAGTTGCCATGAATATACACTCTGATAATCAGCAACGGGTTACAAGTGGATTTTTAAGGGGAAAGAAGAGGCAGTTCCTGAGTTGTTTATCAATAATTTATGAAACAAAATAATTGATTTATTGGCTATATATTGTTCTTTGTATCACAAATTCCAGGAATATGAGGATAACAGCTGAGGCAGTTAGCTGGGAATAAAAAGATTAAATAATTTCCCCCAGGCATGGGTGAGGGAAATGGAGGGGCATGACTGAAGTCCCACACTCATGTCTCCCTCAGCCTCCATAACTCATATAACTGAAACTACTGTAAGCTATTTTTCTTTTCTCATTTCCCCTTCATTGATGAAAAATCTTCCCATGGAAGCATTGATAATAAATCTCTGCTTAGATTATAGAGATAGAGGTTCTCATCCCTTGGTACTGAGAAGGCTCATTCCTTGATAGTCCTCAGTCAAGTCACCGATTTATATAATTGCTGCTGCTTGTTAAATCACCTCTAATCTTGGAATTTCATGTTTTTTGTTTTCTCAGAAGAAGTAAAACAATGAGAGATACATCTACATTGGAGATTCAGTCCAAATTTTAGCAAAATAATAAAAATTCAAAAACAATGGTTAGGGCTGAAATCTATTAACAAGTGCACATAATTGTATTCTCTCTCCAGTTCCCATTTTTACCAAAAATAAATCTTAGTAGAATCAATTTACTTGCAAAATAATTAGTAGTATTATACTTAGCCTGACTATTTGCATAAAGTTTAATAAGAATAGTGATTGGCCATATACACTTTTAAAGTTGGCTTTGCTAAAATTTTCATAGGGAATTTCAAATTCAACTCCTAAAGGCCTCAAGGTTAGGAAGCCAAGCCTAGATATACTATTAAACTGTACTTGTACTGTATGAATTGGGTGAATTCCTCTCTTCTCAAGGTCCCCAAAATATCAGAGCTTCCTGGGCCTAACTTACTGCAAGTTCAGAAAACTTTAAAGAGAATTGTGAAGACAAAGTACCAGGCCTGCCTTTACACAGGGCTTTTTATCAGGTCTATAAAAGTCAACCTCAATTCCTCAAAGCAGTCTGTCCAGAAAATATGCCACTTTAGTCAAGGCCTTGATAAAACAACCAGTGTCTCAAATTATGTCCTGTTCCAGAAAACAGATTCATATTGAGCTTATGCAAATACCTGCATTATCATAAAATCAGAATGCTCACAAATAGTTTCCAAGTTTTGGAAAAATCAGGTAGAGAGGCAAATGTTTCAATTTTGCTCACAAAGATATATTTTACACAATGGTTATAAGCTATAAATAGCTCAAAGAATAAAAGTTTTCCTGGCCCTGGAAAACAAAATATAAAAATAATCAGCAAAATTTCAAATAAAAAGCTATAAAAATCATGTCACTCCTAATCAGTTTAGTCTCATGTAATTAATTTTTGTTCTATTTGATGTTGGGTTAGCAATCTTCATGAACGCATCAGTTTATTGTATGATCTCCAAACTTAGAAACTTGTATTCAAGAGTACATTTCAACGTCTTTTTCCATGAATTTCCTTGAAAAACAGGCAAATTTTGGACTATAGCCAATTGTAAACCACTATTAAGGAAATTTGGTCTTTTATGTGACATATAACAATTTCTAATAATAACTACACTAATCTCTAATAACATATATAGACATATCAAAATTTTAGGAATATCATAAAAGTGTAGAACACATATTAATAACATAGCCATATAAATATAGCTCAGAGAAAGTTAAACACAATTTCTTATTTGACAATGTCTTAAATAAGATTTTTATATACCACATAAGCCTAGTAAGAACCTAATAAGAGCCTAGTAAACCTTTTGGACTTCCAGGGGTACTTTTGGAAAAAACTTAATTTTAGAATTTAAAATTTTATTTTTGGAAGTATGTCAAATATTAAAGATTTAAAACACTTAATTAAAAATAGGATCATAGATCATTTTAAATAATAGTTCAATTAATCAAATTCAGTTAACCAAAATGATAGTTCAAAGATTTCAAAAAGCAAAAACTTTTATCTTTGATAGAAGAATCAGCTTTTTAAACAATCAAAATATCTAAGAAAGACAGCAGGAGCCCAACAGAATCTGTCTTTCTTGCTTTATTTTTTATTTTGCAGTTTACTCAAAAGGTGAACAAAGTCTTTTATGATCACTTATGACTATTATGTGAAAATTCTGTACAAAAGAGAAAACCAAATTCTCTCTTTGCATCAGCATATTAGTATAAACTTGTAAACAAATTCATCCAATCTCAACTAGCTTTGACCACAAAAGATAAGATTTTCACAAACCTTGCAAAACTAACAATTTTCAATTAAAGAGCAGATCAATGCTCTAAGAAAATCCTGTTATTCTAACACAGGCTCTCACACTCTCTATGTCAGCATGATTTTGATATTAATTATAAATATTTAGAAAAATTAAGTATTCCCTAGCCAGTTGAGGTGGCCCACGCCTGTAGTTCCAGCACTTTGGAAGGCCAAGGTGGGAAGATCACAAGGTCAGGGGTTCAAGACCAGCCAGGCCAATATGGTTAAACCCCATCTCTACTAAAACTACAAAAAAAATTAACCAGACATGGTTGTGGGCACCTGTAGTCCCAGCTACTCAGGAGGGTGAGGCAGGAGAATCTCTTGAACTCGGGAGGCTGAGATTGAAGTGAGCCGAGATTGCGCCACTGCACTTCAGCCTGGGTGACAGGGCCAGACTCCATCTCAAAAAAAAAAAAAAAAAAAAAAAGAAAAAATCTAAGTATTCCCTTTTAATTTTAACCTATTGGATCACATACTGAATCTTTCACGAGATTAGTCTTTCACAAACTTTCTACAAATTGTTTAAACCTTCAGTTTTGTCCTATACTTCCTTTTTTATTTTGGCATTCTATCTTAGAAATAAAATTTACTTCCCTTTTCCTCTTATAATTTCAAACACACAGTTATCTCTCACATAAAAGGAAAAAAAAATTCCTCTTCAGCTTTCTTTACATATTACTTTCTTTATACACTCTCTATATAAAATTGTTTGTTATACTTAATTTTAATTACACATGTTAACTACGATTTTAACTCTTAGTAATCCTATCTTCCAGGGAAAACCCAAAAGTAGGTAATTTTGAACTGTTTTATATCAGTATTTGTAGATGAAATCATTTCATAATTTCTAGAAAGACATTTTCACAATTTTTGTTTATTAAAATATCTAAATATATTTAGATTTTCTATACCATAGAAATAGACTCAGGCATTTCATGACTTTTTTTTTTTTTTTTTGAGACAGAGTCTAGCTCTGTTGCCCAGGCTGGAGTGCAGTGGTGTGATCTCAGCTCACCGCAACTGCTGCCTCTTGGGTTCATGCGATTCTCCTGCCTCAGCCTTCCTGAGTAGCTAGAATCACAAGCACGTGCCACCAAACCCCAGCTAATTTTTGTATTTTTAGTAGAGTTAGGGTTTCACCATGTTGGCCAGGCTGGTCACAAACTTCTGACCTCAGATGATCCACCCACCTCAGCCTCTGAAAGTGCTGGGATTATAGGTGTGAGCCACCACACTCAGCCATTTTATGGCTTTTTAAACTTAATTTAACATAACTTTAAGTTATGTAAAAAGATTTTTGAAAGTGTGAATAGTTAATGTTAAGCTTTTATCCCATTTACATTAACATAATTTATTTATTTATTTATTATTTTTTTTAATTTTTTTTAATTTTTTTGAGACGGAGTCTCGCTCTGTCGCCCAGACTGGAGTGCAGTGGCACAATCTCAGCTCACTGCAACCTCCGCCTCCCAGGTTAAAGTGATTCTCCTGCCTCAGCCTCCTGAGTAGCTGGGATTACAGGCACCTGCCATCATGCCTGGCTAATTTTTGTACTTTTAGTAGAGACGGGGTTTTGCCATGTTGGCCAGGCTGGTCTCGAACTCCTGACCTCAGGTGATCTGCCCACCTCAGCCTCCCAAAGTGCTGGGATTACAGGCATGAGCTACCATGCCTAGCCAATTTATTCATTCTTAATAATTATGCTTGAGTAGCTTATTTTAAAAAGCTAGCTATCAACTCAAGTTATTTATTTGTTCATCGTTTCTACAGCCTGTAAAACCCTCAAGTTAAAATACATGGGTATTTTTGCTGGTAGAAGAGATGGCTGCTTTCCTTAAACCAACAAACTAGTTTTATTTACCAAATACTTACCAGTCATGTGAACTAAAAGACATTTGAATCAGTTCCTATTTTTCTGATAAAATACTTGATTCAAGCACTTTTTCTTAAAGCCGATTAATTAGAGTTCTTTCATATATTTTGGTAGTGAAATATTACATACATGACCAATATAAACATACAGACATAGGAACACAGACAGAAGCAAATCTTGTAGCTATATAAGATTCTTCATTTGTCAATTTTCAAATAATTTTCTTTCCTTCTTTAGATTATCAATTTATTGTTTACCTGTGCCATTACTCTAAAAAATTGTTAGCTAGGCAACCCTAAATTTTCATTTTCAAAGATGTGACTCAGGTGAAAATTAGCATTCCAAAGGCATAGAACTTAGATCTAAACACCATTGTTTGTGGAAACAGAAATAACCAGCCAAGACAAGATTGTGAGGAAAAGTAGCTTAAACTGAGGTAAGGTTTGGTATGTAAATTTAAAGCCAATGCCTTTCCCATTGTAAGTTTCTAACGGCTTGCTATGCATGATGGTTGATGCCTGTAATCCCAGCACTTTGAGAGGCCAAGGTGGGAGGATTGCTTGAGCCCAGGAGTTCAAGACCAGGCTGGGCAACATAGCAAGACCCTATCTCAAAAAAAAAAAAAAAATACAGACAAAAAAAAGTTTCTAATGGCTTGGGTGCAGGGAAATGCCATTACAAATGGAGATTTCCTTTACAGATGTGAATTTCTTTACAAAAAGTTTCAAAATAATCAGCTAAATACCTGAAAGTCATGTTTTGGAGACTGATCTAGTTGGATAGGTGATCTTTTCAACTTAGTTTGTTTCTTTATTAGATGACTGACATCAGAGTGGAGTGCTTTAATGAGTAGAGGAAGACATTTCTCTAAATGTTTAAGCAGTGTCTTTCTTATCTAAGTGCACAAAGATGTAGGTAGCCCCCCTGCAGTTACATCCATTCATTGCAACTGCTGTCAGCCATTTTAAAAAGTGCAACTTTCACAGGTAACTTGTCAGCCATTGCACACAAAAAAGTCAAGTTATCACTCACAATACAAAGTAATCCCTGCTACCACCCAAAACCAAGGAGATCAGGTAATATAGTGCAAAATAGAGCAGAGTTTTTTCAAAACAGAAGAAACTGCCCAGAACTCTTCAGACTTTACAAGGAAAACAGAAAACCCCACAAAGTAGGCAGGGTGAGTGGTGCTTTTTTCTATATTTTTCAAGGGATCTCAAAGTCATTAGTTGTCTCCTCTAAATTTCTTCATGTGGTATCATTATGGCAAAAGGAAGGAGGAGCAGAAGTGGAAGGAAATAGAAGAACAAATCTTAGAGAAACTAATTTTGGGAGATTTGAAGCTTTCTAAAGCATCAATACAGGCTGGGAATGGTGGCTCACACCTATAATCCCAGCACTTTGGGAGGCCAAGTGGGGGGTGGAGGATTAACTAAGGTCAGGAGTTTGAGACCAGCCTGGCCAACATGGTGAATGCCTGTTTGTACTAAAAATACAAAAATTAGCTGTGTATGGTGGCTCATGCCTGTAATCCCGACTAGTAGGGAGTTTGAGGTGGGAGAATTGCTTGAACCTGGGAGGTGGAGGTTACAGTGAGCTGAGATCGCACCATTGCACTCCAGCCTGGGCAACAAGAGCAAAACTCCATCTCAAAGACAAACAAAAAACATCAATTTAGTTTAACATTCTTCAGCAAAAATCATGCCAACAAGATAGTGTAACCGCCCAAGGGGTTCACCTTGCCCATTGCCGAGAGAGAAACGATTCATCCAGACAGAGGAACTGCAATAGGGAAAGAATAATTCAAGCAGAGCCAACTGTGTGGGAGACCAGAGTTTTATTATTACTCAAATCAGTCTCCCTGAGCATTCTGGGAGCAGAGTTTTTAAGGATAACTTGGTGGGTTGGGGAAGTCAGTGAGCCAGGAGTGCTGATTAGCCAGGGATGAAATCACAGGGAGTCAAAGCTGTCTTCTTGTGCTGAGTTAGTTCCTGGGTGGGGGCCACAAGATCAGATGAGGCAGTTTATTGATTTGGGTGGTGCCAGCTGATCCATCAAGTGCAGAGTCTGCAAAATATCTCAAGCACTGATCTTAGTAGCAGTTTAGGGATGGTCAGAATCACATAGCCTCCAGCTGCAGGGCTCCTAAACCATAATTTCTAATCTTGTGGCTAATGTTAGTCCTACAGAGGCAATCTAGTCCTGAGACAAGAAGGAGGTCTGCTTTGGGAAAGGGATGTTACTGTCTTTGTTCAAACTATAAACTAAATTTCTCCCAAAGTTAGTTCAGCCTATGCCCAGGAATGAACCAGGACAGCTTGGAGGTTAGAAGCAAGATGAAGTCGGTTAAGTTAGATGTCTTTCACTGTCTCAGTCATAATTTTGCAAAGGCGGTTTCAATAGTAAGCAAACAGAGGGGCAAAAAACATTTAAAAGGGGGTTTTAGTCAAAAGAAAAAATTCCCAGAAACAGGATCCAAAAGAGGAAAAGCAGAAAGAGATTAGAAGTAGAGCCGAAAATTAGCTTTCTCTTATCAGATTTTAGGCAGGACAAATATAAACTAGGTCTCTCATTCAGTTTGGTTCTAAAACCAGTTTTTCTAAATGTGTGTGCAAATAAAGTATTTCAGACATTTCAAAGAATCTATATTTTGAATACTGATTCTAATGACTATTCAGGGTTAGGTGGCTTCATTTTCCTAGATATTTACAAAAGGATGTCCCATAATGTTATACATGAATTCATCTGATTTTTTTTAAAGTGTTTAGATTTTGAAGTTTGATTTTCCATAATTCGGAAGCTTTTCAAAAGCGATTGAGGCCAGGAACGTATTTAGGGTTGAGGTGTGATGTATCTTGGACTGCCTCTAACTGCGAGATGGTAGCAGAGTGCTCAAGGTATCTCATATTATACTCATGCAGAAGAGCAAATGGGGGCACACTTTTCAGTTAGAAACTAAGAGGAGTTGGTCACAAATGAAAAGCTAAATCCAAAGTTTCAAGCAATAGAAAACAGCTGCAATCTTAAAAGCTTGCTATGTAAAATGAAACCACCGGTGCCTACTTGCCAAACCTTTGACCTAAACGTCTGCTGTGAGACAGAGGCAGAATAAAAGGTGGTTCTCTGCAGAGCTCTTTACCTGAAATCCTGTCTAAAGAAGAGACCAAAATTCTCACTTTTTTAAAAAAAGAGAGGGTTTGAAAGCAGCTCAAATACAGTCTAGATCTCCAGTCAAAGATTTGGAGGTCTGAATTCAGGAGAACTCACCTGAAATACCCAGTGAAATTTCTACGGATGAAGAGTTTGTGCTGTTCCAAGTGCCACTTTCAAGAGAAGTACCAGGCCAGGTGCGGTGGCTCACACCTGTAATCCCAGCACTTTGGGAGGCCAAGGCGGGCAGATCACCTGAGGTAAGGAGTTAGAGACCAACCTGGCCAGCATGTGAAACCCTGTCTCTACTAAAAATATATAATTAGCCAGGTGTGGTGGCACATGCCTGTAATCCCAGCTACTCAGGAGGCTGAGGCAGGAGACTTGCTTGAACCTGGGAAGCGGGGGTTGCAGTGAGCTGAAGATCAGTGCCACTGCACTCCAGCCTGGGTGACAAGAGTGAAACTCTGTCTGAAAAAAAAAAAAAAAGACAGAGAGAAGTACCAGGTGGTCAGAGGGAGTCACTCTGAGTCCTATCAGCTACATCAGATATGTCAACCTAAAAGGAAGATGCTGAGTCAAAAATTAACGTAAGTAGAGAGTTTACTTGGGCTAAGCTTGAGAATTAACAATTCAGAAGCATAGATTCTATTGCCCTGAATATAAGCTCTGATTAGCAGTGGTTATAAGTAAATTTTTGAAGGAAAAAAAGAGGCAGTTCCTGTGGTATTTACCAAAAATTTATATTAAAATAACATAAGCTATTGATTGACTATACATTGTTCACTGTATTATAAATTCTAGCAACATGAAGATAATGGGGCCATGGCGGGGGCAGGGGCAAGTTGACTGAAGTCTGAAGTCCCATACTCATGTGAATCTGCACCCTGCATATCTCGCATAGCCCAGGTTGCTCTGAGCTGTTTTCTCTACTTTTCTTTTTCTCATGCCCTTATAAAAGAGACTCCAGAGAGTGCCCTCCTCCCTTCCATCATGCTAGCTTGTAGTGAAAAGACAGCAGTCTAGGAAGCAGGTACTCCCCAGGCACCAGATCTGCTGGTACCTTCACCCTGGACTTTCCCAGTTTTTAGAACTGTGGTTTATAAATCACCCAGTTTATGGTATTTTGTTATAGCATCCTGAATGGACTAAGACAATTAATGGATTACTCAGTAGAAACTTATATTTGGTGGAAAGTAGAAATGGAGACATCTTACCATGGCTGAATTTATATACCTCCACAAGCCTTCTTCTTCCTCTTTCTTTAATATGCTATTTGATTAATCTGGATAACTAGTGTCCTCCATATGCCACTGTGACTCAACAAAGTGGGCAGTTGCCACCTCCAGTTCATGGAGGACTAAGTTAAGATTCGGGGATATTTAATAAACTGGTTAGGTTTTAAGGGGCAGAGCCAGGATTTGAAGTAAAGCCTTGTAAGTCCAAGCATTTTTCTACTACATCATGATACATCAATCCTACCTCTACCAACCTCTTTGTAAGAAGAGGAGTGCTAGGCTGGGTGCAGTGGCTCAGGCCTGCAATTCCAGCACTTTGGGAGGCTGAGGCAGGCAGATCACTAGAGGCCAGCAGTTTGCAATCAGCCTGGACAGCATGGTGAAACCCCACATCTACTAATAGTACAAAAATTGGCCATGGGTGGGGTGGCACATGGCTGTAATCACAGCTACTTCGGAGGCTGAGGCCCAAGAATGGCTTGAGCTCAGGAGGCAGAGGTTGCAGTGAACCCAGATCACACCACTGCACTCCAGCCTGGGTGACAGAGCAAGACTCTGTCTCAAAAAAAAAAAAAAAAAAAAAGAAGAAGAAAAGAAAAGAAGAGGAGTGCTACAAAAACTAAGTTTGGCAGAGGAAATTGCAAATATTTTAACCCACAAATCATAAATGACAAGTTTGATATATATTATTTTTCTTTTTTTTTTTTGAGGGTCTTGCTCTGTCACACAGGCTGTAGTGCAGCGGCACAGTCACCATTCACTGGACCCTCGAACTCCTGGGCTCAAGTGATCCTTCCACTTCAGCTTCCTAAGTAGTTGGGATCACAGGAGTGTGCCACCATGCCAGCCTATTCTTAATAATAATAGTGATTTTGGGGACTTGTTAACAAAATTGATGCCAAGCATTTATCTTTTTCCTTTAGAACCCTGAGAAAATTTATAAATAAATAAATAACACCTAATAATTCTTGAGTGCTTGCTGTGGCTAAGACAATTGTACCTCTTTTATTCCTCCTGACAACCCTATAATACCTTCCCTCCCACCCTGGGACAATCCTCTCAATCAGGGAGGATTACTTGAGCTCAGGAGTTCGAGACCAGCCCTCACAACATAGGGAGACACTGCCTCCACTAAAAATTAAAAAATTAGCCAGGCATGGTGGCATGCAACTGTAGTTCCAGCTACTCAAGAGGTATTATGGGGTGGTTGCGAGGTAATGAGGCTGGTATTATTACTGTCATTTCAGCTGTAGAGATGAGGAAACTAAAACCAGAGAGATGAAGTATTACATCCAAGGTTTTTTATAGCTATGTCCAAGTGTATGTATATAGAGAATCCAGGACTCAAGTCCAGGAGGAGCAAAATCATGCTGCCTAATTAGCATTCAGTGAGACCTGGGAAAACTACGTAGACTCTTAAGCTTCAAAACAGTGTGCTGATTGAAGTGTTATATTGCCTATTGTTCATTACTAGCAACTTATTCCTTGGGGATTAGCTTTGCTTATTCCACACATCACCCACCAATATCAAGTCATTTTTACCTTGATATGAATCAGATTAAAAGAAGAGGCAACTGATGATGGGGGATTGGGAGTGTGAGGGGATAGTGCGTTGAACAAAGATGGAAGGGAGTGGCTACATAAAGCGATAAAGTGAGATTTTTGCCTAGGACTTTTCCAGCTTAAACAGAGTTTCTCATAAACAACAAGGGAGTGGCAGAGCTCAGCCTTAGAATTCAAGGCTCAATGCTAGCTTTTAATCTACCCAATAGAGCAAAACTCCTTTCCCTTTTTATTTGTTCTGCTGCTTAAATTTCCTAAATGTAGGGGCATATTTATTCACCTTAATTTAATATTCTGTTTGTGAGACTGGATTTTGGCAAACCATGACTAATTACCTTCGGTCTCTAGGAAGCAGAATAACAGAATCCATAGCTCTACAAATTTCAGCTGCAGCATAAAAGGAAGCTCATAAAATCTGACGGGTTGTTTACAGTTAACTAAGAAAGGAAATGGTCTAATTTCCCAAATAAGAAAACATCGTCTGTCCCTTCCATGTTCATCTGCTAAAATAGAGCATGAACAAATCCTATTACCAGTGCTCTGAAAATGATTCAGCTCTATACTTTATACCTGTTTTTCATATCTTTTAGTCACTTTGGTTTTCTCTGGCACTCCCATTTAAAATGAGGAAAAAAAATCAAGGCCTACAACTTCGGCCTAGTTTTTCACCATTTAATAATTCTAGGAAAAGGTTTTCCTGTGGAAAACCTTTTCTATCAATTAGAATATAGATACCTTTAATATCAATTTAAAAAGGTAAGACTATATTCACATCTCCAAAACATTTGCTCTGTATGATATCTAACACCTTGAAAACCTGAAAGACAGATTCCCAAGTGCATTAAAAATATTTTGTGGATCTGGAAACTGATATCTTAAGTACATCCTTAATTTGAAATTCTGTATTTTCTAGTAAAATCGTGTATATTCTACAAGATGTGAAAATGAAGTTAAAGAAAACATTATATCAGTTGTAGTCATAAAGCAGTATAAGGAATGACTTTGTAGCAAAATACTAGAAAGTATATACCGTACTCAGAGCTATTATTTCCAGTAGTAAATTTGTGCTCCTCCACTTACTCAGTTGTATCCTCTTAACATTTAAAGATAATGTCTCATTGGCCTGCACCTTCTTCAGTTGCTACCTGGGGAACACAAGAAACAGGAAGACGGCCCTTCCAATTGGTCATAAGCGCTCTGAAGACATTTACATCTAAACAAAGGTACCCAGTACATGTCCTAACATTCTCCCAACTGCCCCTTGGAGTAAGGCACAGACTTCTTGTTCCATCTAAGCTGTTATTACTGTTAATTTTATTATTAATACCTCTATGCTTCTAAAAACAAGCTAAAGTATAATGCTGTGAAGAGAAAGTTAACAAGTGATTTCTGACACGTTAGAACTGAAATTGGTGATGCCAATATTTTGCATTGGAAATCCACACAGAATTTATGTCTTCCTCCTCCTTAAAATAATTCAGTGGCTCCCTATTGCCTCAAGGGTAAGATCCAAATTCCTTAATATGGCATAAATGCTTTTATAATCTATTTGCAACCTATTCTCCCAGTCTAATCTCCTCCACTATCTTACATTGACACTCTGTACTGCTACAGAAAACATCTGGCTCTTCCTTTAGTAGATCGTGGACTTTTATCTCCCTACGTTTGTGCAAACCTTCTGCTAAATAAAGTCCTAGGAAGCAGCATCACATGGTGATGAGGAGCACCGGCTCTGCTATCAGATTGTCTTGGTTGAATCCTGGCTATATCACATATTAGCTGTGTGACCTCATATAAGTTATTAATCATCTATGACTCAGTTTTCTTATCTATGAATTTAGGAAAACAATTGTGCTGCTTTCATAGGATGGTCACAAAGACAAATGGAATCAATTCTTATGATCTTAGAAGAGTACTTCACCCTTTATGGCACTTTTCCTTAGTTAATTACTTGTTTTTCCATTATTTCATTAATACCTCTTTAATTATTTTATTTTTTTACTCATACCTTATCAAACTGCACCTTATTGAAATTTGTCCTGATATCTCCTGTGCCTAAAACAAATTATAAGAGGCTTTCAAAGACCGATTTAATTTTATGCCAAATATAACTATAGTAACATTATTTTTATTAAAAATTGCTATGGTTGTGGTATTTAAAGTATCTGTGATGTGTATATCAAAAAACTACCAGTAGGCTAAATATCAAGTTATTTGGAGTTATCTCAGAGTTATAGGATTATGAGTGTTTTTTATTTTCTTTCTTTTTAGTTTTCTGTAGTTTGCAATTCACAATAGTGTAATATAAAAATGGTATAAATTTTGAAAATGTTTTTTATGATTTAGCTGATTTAGTGGAATGTGATACAGCTGGTAACTTTCTTTTACTAGAAATATTTTCTGCCCTTGGCTTTCATGATACCATCTCTCTAGATTTTGCTCCAGTATCTCTGTTACCTATTCCTTGGTCTCATTATTGGTTATTTTTTCTCAACTAGGTCATTAAATATTAGAAATTATCAGGATTCTTTTCTAGGTTCCCAATTCAATATCCTTTCATCTAGGAAATTCCATGGACTTCCATGACTTCACTTGTAATTTATAATCTAAATGCTGTATTTCTAGAGCTCTCACACTGCTTCTGATTTCAAGATTTTCATATTCAACCATCTGTTTGACATTTGGATAGCTCACAGTCATCTCAGACTTAATATGTACAAAACCTCTACTCTTCTCTGTAAATGACACCACCTTTCACCCAATTCAAGCTAGAAGGCTGTTGATTGTCCTTGACTGCCCTCTCTGCCTCCCCCTCACACCCACTTCATCAGCTAGTACCGATGACTGTACCTTATAACTGTCTCGCAAATCCATCCACATAACTGCATTCTCACTGCTAATAATGTTTTCTAAGTTACAAACATTTCTATTGTATTACTTTAATTGTCTTCTAATTGGTCTCCCTAAATTTTTCTGAAACCATTTCTTGTGTATCGCCAAAATTACCATCACCTTCATCAAACATGAAGCCCTAAAAATGTGCAAAATACTGTGCCAAAAATGTAGACACTACAGTTAATTTAATTATGAGCATGGGGTCTGCTACTGATGAATTCACAGCCTTGCTGGGGATGAGGGAGAGTAAAGGGGCAAAGAGAAAAGATGGACCAATAAATTATATGACTAATAACAATTTCACATTAGTTAAATATCTCTTATGGTTTGGGACCAGAATAACCAATGGCTTATAGGCAATTCTAACTCTATCTAAATGTGAAAAATCAAATTCACTATTTTCTCCTCCAGATATACTAGCACCAGCATATGCATTATTTTATTGAATGTTTACAGTAACTCTGTGAGAAAGGAAAAAAATGATCCTACCTTTTAAAGCTAAGGAATTAGTGTGCCTAAATACAGATGATGGCAAAATCAGCCAATGTCTCATTTGGCATAAGTTATAATTGTCTCTATTTAGAGCAAGGGCCTAAAACTTTTGTGTGGGTGGCATGTGAGGTATGAGATGTAGCTCATGGGTAGAAGTGGACACTGCATATGCAGGGGGTCATTTGTGTTGATAAACTCTGTAGAAGCTGAGTGCTCATAATGCAGATGGTTAATTAAAACATAATTTAGTAAAATTTTAGAGCTACTGGGAACATGGAGATTATATAATCCAACACTCCAGTTGTAATGAACAAAAATCATAGTTTGGAGGTTAAATGATTTACTTGCCTGAGATTATACAATAAGCCTTTGGGGGGGTTGGGGCATGTATCTGACTCTTATAACCCATGCTTACTCGAATACACGTTTCCTCACTGATTTATTTCAAGCTTCTTTGCCTTATGAAAGGACTCCCATGCATTTCTTTTACATTGCAAGCTTGTTGTGACTTTTAAATACATTTAAATATGATAAATGTATTTATATATTTGTTGTACTTTGCAACCCAAAGTGGCTTGTTTACATTTATCTTGGAATTTAAATGTTGATATATGAGGAACATGATAATTGAGAAAGTCTTCACAGGGTGTTGGGAACAGACTAATGATATTAATAAAATACAAAAGACTCAGGAAGAGATTTTGAATGACAAGAATCTGGCTGAGTCTGCTTGTCTAACTAAATCAGGTCTAGGCTCAAGGCAAATAAACAAAAGGCCAGACCCAGGAGATAGAGTGCTAAGTGGGTTAGAGATTCTTACAGAAAATGCAACGCTTCTGGCTTGCTCCCTGAGAGGGAAGCATTAGGCCACATTGAAAGTCTCCTAGAGTTTCAGGATAACACCTTGGGCTCTCTCTTCTCTGACACACTCCGTGTTAAAGGAACCTGACCCATTTTGTGTCAGATGGAGTATTTTCAGGGTTAGCTTTTTAATAATTGTGGTAAACAAGGCCACGCACCGCTTGATTGTGACCACTACACTGTTAACATTTTCAGAGAATGCAAGAGTCTGGTTAGATGATATTTATCCAAATTCTTCTCATTGGCTGTTGTATCCCCTGGAGGACTTCTCTTTTTGTGAGAGTGAAGCCAGAATTTAGTGTAATTTGAGGGAGTTTGCACCTGTTCCTCTCCCAGCTCTCTTCCTTTGAACAGGGTAAAGACTAGATTGGAGACCTAAAGATGGTTAAATTCAACACGGAACAAAAAGACCAGTCAAGCTTGTCTTTGAATCTTAACCTCTTTCATTACGTTAGATATTACAGTTGTCTCCTGTTTCATAATTGTACAGTTTTTATATCTTACATGTATAATTTATATGGCCCGAGGTAAGCACTAGGCAATCTTCATGTGTACAAGTGATTAGTCATGTTTGACAAGTTTGATGAAGAAATAATGGGACTATGTTGTTGAATATCAGACAGTTAAAGCTTAGAGGCCTCAGAATTGATTGCTTTCCCAATGAGGACAGGTGTTACAAATTGATTTTGTAGCCACAGTAACGCTTTTCAGAGGACCATATAGACAGACATGACCTTAGATTCTAGAATCTTCATGAATTTAATGTAATGGCCATTTTCCTTGGTATATGACTTATGTCTGGGTCAATAATGGTTTTGGTAGAAGTGTTGGGTACCTTCATTTTAATCATATGATAATTTGTCATTAAGCTGAGCATAAAAGGGTCTGGGTTTGAAAACAAACAAATAAATGTGAAATTTTAATGGAAGACTGAACTGAACCATTGTATGTTATTTGACAGTAGGAAGGATCATAATTCAATTTTTGATATGTCGACAACAATGTAATTCCATTATTAAATAGAATCTGACTTGTTCTTCTGTTGATGATATCAGGATTTTTAAAAAGATTTGATTAAAATAAAATGTGAATCAGGAGCTTGATCTATAATAATTTATTTAAAGAAATGGTAAAAATGAAAATGAAAATATCGGGCCAGATGGACCCTATAGCATATTTTGAAATTAGCTTCTCTTATCAAGGCTTTCTCCAGGACGCAGGTGGTAAATTACTCATTATAAAGTAATAAAATCAGGTATAAATGCATAGTGGCTATTGGGTTAAGGATTCTTAAAATGACTAATGATTGTTTGGGTCTTTCAATTAGGCACTTTTTTTTTTTGAGATGGAGTCTTGCTCTGTCACCCAGGCTGGAGTGCAATGGCGCGATATTGGCTCACTGCAAACTCTGCCTCCTAGGTTCAGGTGATTCTCCTGCCTCAGCCTCCCAAGTAGCTAGGATTACAGGCACCCACCACCATGCCCAACTAATATTTGTATTTTTAGTATAAGCTGGGTTTCACCAGGATGGCCAGGCTGGTCTCGAACTCCTGACCTCAGGTGATCCACCCGCCTCAGCCTCCCAAAGTGCTGGGATTACAGGTGTGAGCCACTGTGCCTGGCCCAAGGCACATATTTTTACTATAAAACAGAAATCTGCCTATGGAATAAGTTGATCTAAAAAAATTTCGATTGGGCTATGAAACAAAAGTTGTCTAAAATAGTTCACCAAATATAAAAGCATGTGAGAAGTCTTTGAATTTATTAGAAGGCTAGCCTGGAATAACACGTAGAGATTTTCTGAGTATCTCTGTTAATTGCCCAAAGTGAGATGATGATAATGATGATAAGGATGATGGTGATAAGGATAAGGATGATGATGATGATGATGATGATGATGTCCTATTATAACAGTTTAAAAGCTCTGAACTTCAATTTTGGACAGAGGAAAAAGTAATAGAACCAGTTTAAAACGAAATATATAGGGGACATATACTTTAATGGGGTTTAAGGAACTACTAAGCATACCAAAGACATTTATGACTGTGCATTTATTAAGTAGGTTATAAAAGCTGTTATGCCCAGAGTACTGATCGAAGACAATAATTGCATTAATCACTGTTTCTTTTTCATAAGTCTAATTGTCTATTTCACTCATTGAAATAAAAGGTCAAATATTTTCCATTATAAAATGTATCCATGTAAGAAATTATGAGAAAAAATACCTAGACAATTAAAGAAATAAAAACAAAAACAACAATGTTCTCATCACATAAAAATAGCCATAATTAATACTTGGTGTGTGTCCTAGTTTTCTATGTGTTATATTTGGGGTTTGATTTATGCTAAATAAAGAGTATGTTGATATTATGTAAATAATTTAGTATACTTAAAAAATTTGTCATAGCAACATAAGCACTTTCTATATTATTTTGAATAAAAATCACCATCGTTGTTTACAGTAGTGTGAGATTACATCAAGATGGTATTTATCCATTTAGTATTACTAAATATTTATGTTGCCTCCTATCTTTCACTTGTATAGATAAAGCTAGATAAAAATCATGTGCTTAAGGCTGCTTTTTTCTATACTTACTTTTTTTTCTTTGTGTAGGAGAATTTTCTAGAAATACATTATCAGGTCAAAGAAGTTACTTTCCAAAATATTTTCATTTATAATCCAATCAGGAACATATGAGAAAGCAAATTTTCTCATAAGAAATACATGTATATCTCACCAGTATACAGGAAACCTATTGAATTTTGTTTATGCCTTATTTAATTGAACATTTTAGGTATACAGGCCTACCTCTTTTTATTGTGCTTCTCTTTAATGCACTTTGCAGATATTGTGTTTTTTACAAATTGAAGTTTTGTGGCAACCTTGCCTAGAGCAAGTCTATCAGTGCCATTTTTCCAACAGCCTGTGCTTACTTTGAGTTTCTGTGTTACATTTTGGTAATTCTCACGATATTTCAAACTTTTTCATTATTATTACATCTTCTGTGGTGGCTTCTGATCAGTAATGCTTTATGTTACATTGGAATTGTTTTGGGGCATCACAAACTGTGTCCACATAAGATGTCAAACTTAATAAATGTTGTGTATGTTCAATAATTGTATAGGACTAGTCATGCTGAGTTTGTACCCCTTTATTTGTATGGTTCCTTACAGGTGATATAGGTGGTATTCTTAACGGGATTACCCTAGACATCTGTACTCAGATCTGTTCAGGACTTTTTTTTTTTCTTCTTTCTTTCTTTCTTTTTTTTTTTTTTTTTTGAGACAGAGTCTTGTACTATTGCTGGGGCTGGAGTGCAGTGGCGCGATCTCAGCTCACTGCAACCTCTGCTTCCCAGGTTCAAGCGATTCTCCTGCCTCAGCCTCTTGAGTAGCTGGGATTGCAGGCACCTGCCACCACACTTGGCTAATTTTTTGTATTTTTAGTAGAGACGGGGTTTCACTATATTGACCAGGCTGGTCTATAAGACTTGATGAAGGCAAGAAATAAAAGACCTAAGTTCAGAATGTATAAAGGAAACTATGTTTTCAAAGTGTGAGTTTTCCATGAACTCAAGAACCCTTTTTTGACTTTGTCAAACAAATGCCCTTTCCCTGAAAAAATACAGAAAGCTCCATTAGGTGCTGTTGTTTTGACAAATTTAATAGTAATAGGCCCACAGACAGGAGACAGATGCTTCTGTACTTGAAATACGCAGCTGGTGCGCCAGAACTAACATCTTCCTTCTCTGCTACCCTTGGTTTCATTAACCTTCAGAACTCCTTTTATTTCTCTGTATTAAACTAATCTTATTATTCCCTTAAGAGTCTGGCATGAGGAACAGAAAATGAGCAATATCAATAACTTTGTTAACCAATTAGGCTATCATTTAATGAAGGCCTAAAGTTTATCCCAAATGTTAGATAAATGTGAAGGTAATGTGAAATATCTTAGCTAATGTGAAACAATTTCCTAATGTGACTTTTTCATCATGTTTACATAAATTTAGTTTGATTTTTATGAAACATGTTGTCATAATTCTTAATGATATTGCACATTTGAGCTCACCTCAGAGCACATTGGAAAAATGAAATGGTAGCCTCTATTGACTTAAGCTCTCCTCCATGATATTACATTGTTATCATGGCTTAAGAAATAGGACTTATCCTAATAATATTTTACATTGGTTAGGGATATGGTAGAAACTAGGTAGGAAGTGGGTAATCAAAAATTTACAAAGTGGCCTGAATAATCCAGCCTTTTATTAATGTAACATATTAAAAAATACATATAAGTATAATAATTTACCCTGCTCAGCATTCTGTCACTAATGCTTGCTTCAAGTGCTTTGTCTAGCTCTTCTGAATACTCAATTCATTCCCCAATTTTATTTGGATATGTGGATCTATCTCATTGGTGGTCATTATCGAAGAATATTATAAAATGGAATCAATGTAATCATATTCACAGGCTTGATCTTTAGGCAAAAACTTTATGTGTTCATGCAGAAATTATTTTGTAGTCAGAAATGGCCTCTTGCCTTTCTCTCTGTCCAGTCATTTGGCAGCAACTTACAGTGTGTTTTGGTCAAGATTGTGGGTGACCTTTTCAAAGATTCTCATAATTTTCATAATTTAAATCCTATATCTCATTGAGACTTGGTCAGGAAAATTCTTTATATATGATATTCATAATCAATTTTCTCCCCTTTTCAAATAACAGAAACATGCTATTAGAGTATCTGTGGATATTTTTATTATTACCTTTGATTTTATTTTTGTTTATTTCATTATTTCCTTTAATTTCACTAATCTGTTTTATTGTAATCTTCTTGCTGTTCTCTGAACTTGCTTCTTCCCACATTTGATGCCCATAGCACTTTGCCATGTAGTAATAGCTACTAATCTCACTGTTTATTGAATAAAAATGTTCACTGTGTTAGGCATGCTTGCCTCTGGAATACACTACCATCACCCGTGAGGACTCAGCTTCATCAGCTCAGAAGTTCATTCTAATTCATAAAAGTTGTCATGTGTAAGCAACTAATATATACCTCCCAA
Organism: Homo sapiens; assembly: GCF_000001405.40. Taxonomy (NCBI): domain Eukaryota; kingdom Metazoa; phylum Chordata; class Mammalia; order Primates; family Hominidae; genus Homo; species Homo sapiens. Next base: position 78,675,699 of record NC_000012.12, on the reverse strand, counting down.
GTCTGCCTTTTCATTTCTGAAAAAAAGAGAATATAAAATTAAGTGCTTTTCATAACTCAAGGTTAAGATTAAATAATAGATGCGTAAGTACATACAGTGCTAATCATATTTTTATTGTAATTTTTGGTTTATTATTATTGAGGCAAAAGAAATCTTTGCTTTATAGGCAATCAGACTAATATAATCTAATTAGGGACTAAACTTACATATAGCTGGGTAATCATCTGTTCAGGTCCTATGATTTCTGGGATGCTGAACAGGGACCAGTGCCCTGAAATATACTTCTCCCTCCATCTCACTTGTGCCTGAAGGTAATTCCCTAGAGTGTCATTATTTTGACTTAAGGTTTCTTGGTCCCTGTTAACATGCAAACAGCCCTGGAAGCATAGACATATTTATATTTTGTACCTGTATGCAAGATATTTTCAGTGCCTTTCTTATACCTGGGATTCATGATTCAGGAATTAAGACCTTGAAGGGACTAAGAAGGCTTGGGGCAGTATTATGTATCATAACACTGTCCACTATATTTCAATAAGGTTATTTGCCTCTGAAGTTTAAGATCCTTGTTTCTTAGTGACTTACTTTTTTTTTTCATAATTCATACCTACTTGTTGTGCCCTCTGGGCACTAAAGAACATAATAATTTAATTGAAGGCAAGAGAGAATTTCAGTGGGAAGTTGAAGCATTTTGTGATATCTTTTAGCTGAGCTGAAATCAAGCATTAGATTCAGATGCTGAATTTTGACAGACACATTTCTAGTGGCATATGGCTTCTTGGAAAGCTTTCCTGCTTGGGAAACTGGTAGTTCTGATGTCACCTCTGGTTAGTCATGTGGCTAGCTTGCTGACAGGCTGTCTGAAGCTTCCAGCAGACTTTTAGGATCTTCAAAATATATTTGATTCACATTGAATCATTGGTGTCACTGTAGGCTATGCAGTTACTTTCTTCTTCTATGAGAAGTACTTAAAATTTTAGTGTGAGAATTGGGTGAATATTTTGCTGTTTAAATATCAGAGCCCTCCCCTCAATTTCCATTAAGCATTGGATATCCAAATACTCGTCTCTTGGATAAAGGTATCCAGGCAGATTTCCCAACTCTACTGGTGGTAATTGGGCTGAAAATGACTTTCCTCCTGAATCATCTCATATAAGGGCCTAAATAAACCTTTCTACTTTAGCCCAACTCATTTCAAAAGAGGAGCTTTTTACAGCTGTGTGGTTTGCGAGGCCCTGGGGACTCTACTGCACAATAAGTTCATTTTCTCTGTGCAAAATTTGTCTGAGAGATAGAAAATCATGAAAGTATGATGTTGATAACAGTCAAAGTCTTAGTGATGTAGTATGAATCTCAGAGAGTAATTTGTAAGCAGGTTACCATCCTTACCTTTGGAAACAAAACATGTCTGTTCTCATTTGCACCAAACGCTTATTTTATAATTTGCTTTATGGTTAAATATTGGGCTAAAGGATTAAACCAATGAGTAGTGTAAAGGTTAGCTGCAGTACATATAAAAACAGTGTAGCAGATTTGTATAATTACGAGTTGCAAACATAGCTGTTTTCTTTTTCTAAAAGAAAATTCACTCTCTCATTCATAGGCATATTTTCCCTCCACAGTAGTTTAAACAGCTTTGTAGTCCTGAAATGAGTATAAGTGACTAAATCTGATTTTGTTGCTAAATTTTAGTCTAGATAAATATTTATAAGTAGTTCTAGTGGAATGGGTCACTTTGGGGAAACAGAAGGACTGGAATCCTTTTTTTTTTTTTTTTTTTTTTTTTTTTTGAGACAGAGTCTGGTTCTGTCGCCCAGGCTGGAGTGCAGTCACACGATCTTGGCTCACTGCAACCTCCGCCTCCCAAGTCCAAGCAATTCTCCTGCCTCAGCCTCTCGAGCAGCTGGGACTACAGGCACCCGCCACCACTCCCGGCTGATTTTTGTAATTTTTTTAGTAGAGACAGGGTTTCACCAGGTTGGCCAGTCTAGTCTTGAACTCCTGACCTTGTGATCCACCTGCCTCAGCCTGGACTGTAATCTTTTTCTGGCTTTGCAGCAATATGAATTAGCAATTTTGATCTATAATTTTACTAGACCTCTGCTTTTGCACCTGTCAGTTTGGTGTTTAAGTATTAGCTCACACACTTCTTGGTAGGCTTTATGATATTAAAGTAATAAAGGTATTTTAAGTTCTTAATGTGATATCAAAATGCACAATTATTTGTATATTATACATTATTGGCAAATCATTTTTGAATACCTAATCATAGATATGATTGGTTTAAACATAGTTATACTTCTCAGAGCACATATCATCTGGTATGTGCATAAAAAAGCACATACATACAAAATGATTTGCAATCAGAAAACCTGAGTTCTAGTTTGGAAAATATTGATTTTTATCTACAAGCTTTTATCCTTTTGAACTTCAGTTTCCATCTCAATAAAATGATCATAATAAGTATTACTGACTTACAGGGGTGTTGTAAGGATTGAATGAGTTTTCAAGTAGGTATACAAGCACGTATTCACTCACATACATTTTGTAATTTATTTAGTGTGATGCTAATTGTAATAATTATAATACCAGTATAGACGTCAAGGCACCCACTCCTCAATGTATTGTGTTATATAACAGTGAAAGAATAATAGATATAAATCAACAGCAGAAGTTGAAGAAAAATTAGCCTCCGTCCAACCATATCATTTAGTTTACCTTTGGACAATATTTTGAGTTTTCATCATATTTTCAGCCTCTATGTTTAATATTCAGAGCTATTTTACACAAATGTTTCAAAGTACCCTGATCTTGTGTATGTTTTATTTTTAAAATCCCATTGTAAATTGCAAAAACAAAAAGCCCACTCAAAATTGATTGTTATATTCAAGTGGGTTATTTTCATTTGGAGTACTTTATTTAAATATAACCTCTCTGATTAGAAGACAGACTGCAGATCAAAATTCTTAGCCCTGCAATAGACAAATAAACATAAAATATTTTCTGAAGGTTTTCAGATTAACTATAAATTTTTCATGGCCGATATATATGTTGAATGATCCACATCCATGAAATCTTTAGTTGTGTTTCTATAAAGTAAAATTTAAGACTGGATTTAATGTAAATGCTTTCTTGAAAGCTACATTAAGAAAGTGAAAAAGTAGACAAGCGACTTGTGCCAATGACAATTACATGTTGCAAGGAAAACTTATGTTTTTGTTTATTTTGTTCTCCATATTTTTACTTCTTCTCCCTATTCTGAGCAAGTAGCTAAACCTACCATTCCCTGCTTTGCGGAATTCTGCAGAGGAAAGCAGCACTGTTTGAAGACAAAGATTTTTTGTTTGTTTCTGATAAAAATCCATACTCAGCCTAAAAAGTAACAGTGAGGGAAGTTCTGGGCACATGGAAAATAATTTCCCTCATCCTGCTAGGGACAGCAGAGAGCCACAACAGCTCTGGCACTGCCCTGGGCCTTCTAGGATGCAGGGAGTAAATGATACCTGCAGCTAGGAGGCAAAAACCCAGGTCTGGGGAAATCCAGGCCTTCTCAGAGATATGAGTACCAAATTACAGAATGTACTTATGGCTGATTATTGCGTATCTTCACTAAGACTTTTGTTCTCTTAGGGCTCCTAAATAGAGAAAACAAAAGCCCCTACCCCCTCCAAAAAAAAAAAAAAAAAAAAAAAACCAAAGAAGAAAAAAAAGCACCACCACCAAGAAGAAAGCAATATATTTTGCAGTTAAATGGTCCATCAATACATATATCGCAATATATACAATTCCTTTTCTAGTAAAAATTATGATTATTGTATATCTATATAGATAAATAGGTACAAACATTGATATAAATAGGTATATTTAAGTAAAATACTTTGGAAGATGCTAGGAAAATAACTCATTGTTTTTAAAACTGGTTAAAAAAAAAAGAATCAGGAATTTTATTCTGAATATCCTGTCTAAAGTTTGACCTGGACATGATGATTTTTTAAGTACCCCAGAGGATTCTATTGTGAGTCCAATGTCAAGAACCATTACTCTAGGTTTATTGTTTTACAGGGTGTCACAAAGTACAGAGTTAACATGGCAAATTACATTAAGAAGATGGAATAAGCAAAATACACATTGTGAAATATTCTACGTCTTGTTTCTCAAAGTTCGGCCTATGAACTAGCAGCTTTGGCATTACGTGAGAGCTTGTTAGAAATGCAGACTTTCTGGCCTCAATCCAGACCTACTGAGTCATAATCTGCATTTTAACCATCTCCTTAGGTTATACAGTTACATTAACATTTGAGAAGCACAGCTCTACAAGCCCAGTTTCTTCAACAGCGAGGAGGATGTAAAGGAGGGAAAGAAGAAACTTACAAATTAAAAAGTACTTAAAAGACATAACACATAAAATGTAAAAATCATTAGGATCCTGATTCAAACAAGCTAGTGGTTTAGAAAACACATATGCTTATTTAGAGATAATTGGGAAAATCTGAACTAAATGGATATTTGATGATATTAATAAATTATTAATTTATTTGAGACATGATGAGATCTTATAAAAAATAGAGAGTCCTTATCTTTTAGTGATACATGCTAAGGTATTTATGGGTTAAAGTTTATGAAGTTGAGATTTGCTTCAAAGTACTTCAGATGGGCCAGGCGCGGTGGGTCATGCCTGTAATCCCAGCACTTTGGGAGGCTGAGACAGGCAGATCACCTGAGGTCAGGAGTTTAAGACCAAACTGGTCAACATGGTGAAACCCTGTCTCTACTAAAAATATAAAAATTAGTCAGGCATGGTGGTGTGCACCTGGAATCCCAGCTACAGGGGAGGCTGAAGCAGGAGAATAGACTGAACCCAGGAGGTGGGGGTTGCAGTGAGCCAAGATCGTGCCACTGCACTGCAACCTGGGCAACAGAGCGAGACTCTGTCTGAAAAAAAAAATACTTCAGACGGAGAGAGGAAAAAATATATTGAGTATAGATGAAAAAAGATTAGATGTATTGATAATTACTGATAATGGGTGATGAATGCATGGTGATGGTTCATAACAATAACACTATTCTTGTTGACTGTGTGTATAACTGAAGATCTCTATCATAATAAGAAAAAAAAGAATGTTAAGTGGCTAGCTCAAGTACTACAACCAAAAAGTAGTGATTTTAGAATTCAAATTAGGGATGTTTCTCTCCAAAATCTATGCTTATCACCTTCTATTGGCTTTATACTATCACCAGTATACGCATATGCTTCCTAGTACTGGTTCCCATTCATTCAGCGTATACTTTGTGTCAGGTACTGTGTAAGGCTTTGGGTATAATAAATTTTGGCAGGAGATCATAATAAAGTGGAAAGAGAAAGATAAACATGATACGTATTATAATAGCATAAGCAGAGTCCTGGGACAGATAAAAAATATCTTGACCATTTGAAAAATATCTCAAATGCCATTCATTCTGTAAAGCATATATGTATGTCTGATATACACATACATGTATATTTGAATTTGAGAAATTTCTCATTTGAATGTTGGCAGGTACTGTTTCTTAGATAGTGGGATCAGCATGTACAAAGACAATAAATTGTGCAAAGGCCTGGAATGTTCTTGGATGTTGATAAATACAATGTGAAGGAGAGGGCATGACAATGAAGTGCTGAAGATGAGCATGAAGTAAAGAGGAGCCAAGATAGGAAGGGTAGATGACAACTGCCTTGTTCATCACAGCACCTTGGGCACTGGCACAGTGAGTAATGTACAGTAAACGAAAGAATGGTTTTTATCCCATGGTCAATTAGGAGCCATCAAATATCTTGACTGTTAGTTACATGATTGAAATTTTAGAAAAATAGTAATGACAACAGTATTGAGAATGGGTTCCAAGTCACCCAGCATAAAGTCAACTGCAATTTCCCTTCTTTGTATTCCATCTACTTAAATCAGTTTTCACATTTTAAAATGCTCGTCAGATTCCCTCCCAAATACATCATTTACTCTTCATGTGGACAGTGACGTGTATATACAGCTGATGACTGGAACAAAACGTTGCTCTAATAGTTTAGGAGAGTAATGGTGGGGGCCGAAATGAGAGAGGCAGTAGAATGGATGAATGGGGATCCAATTTTGGAGAAATTTCTGAATGGGAATTGGCAGGATATGGTGACTGAATGTGACTACGGCTGAAAGGGAAAGATAATTAATGATTCTTATCTTTTAACTTGTATACCTGGGTGTATGATGCTATTTACTGTGACAATGGAAAAGAACAAAACTTTTCCTTGACGAGGACTGCTGAATTCTATTTTGACTAAGTTAAATCTGAGATGCCTGAGGTCAGCATTAGAATTATAAATCTTGAGTAATCTAGAGAACTAAGTCGGAAAACTTGTGTAGAAGCCCTTTGCCAATAAACAAATAATAATACACAAAAGATAATAGCTAACCTTCATTGAATTCTTCTTTAGAGGCAGGCACTTAATATATTTCATTTAGGTAACTGTTGAAGACAGAGAAATAGTTAAAAAATAAATCACTGGAGAAAAATGAGCTGAAGCAGCATCTTGAATTTAACATGTCTTGTCCCTCACTACAATCTACATAATGTCTCCTTTCTCATGTCTTCATGCTTGCAAATGCTATTCTTTATTCTTCTTTTGGTCTCAGGTTCTTCAATCTCCTTTCTCTCCAAGCCCATCATCCCCTTCTAGTCTTATCTGCCTCTTCACTTACTTTAGTTTCATCACCCATCTTTTCAACAATGTCTCTGATAGCTCTTAAGAATTTCTCCACACAGAATCCTGAGTGACCCTGTGTGAATTATTCATTTTCTCCATTCCCAAATGCTGAAATACTTAGTATTGCTAGAAAATGTCTCAGTCAGCTGGGCGTGATGATGCATGCCTATAGTCCCAGCTACTTGAGAGGCTGAGTTGGGAGGATTGCTTGAGACCGGGAGATTGAGGCTGCAGTGAGGCACGGTCAAGCCACTGCACTCTAGCCTGGCCAGCAGAGTGAGAATGTGTCTTTAAAAAAAGAGAAGAAGAGGTCTCAGTATCACCTAGGTTTATGCTTTTGTTTTATATTCAGCCATTTTAACAATGATATATTAAAATCTCTCCATGCACTAAGCACTGTTCCAGAAGCAGGAATACTGTGAGGTAAAACAAAGTCCCTGTTATCATGAAGGGAGATACATATTATACATATTAAGAATAAATAAGTGATGGTGAAAAGTTCTTTTAAGAACAATAAAGCAGGGCAAGGGGATGGGAGGTGGGTAGTATGTGTGTGCTAGCGAGTGCATACCTGAAGATGTGTGGTGTGTGTGTGGCATTCTAGTTTAGAGAGGTTTGTTAGAAAGATCTTCTCTGGTAAGAAATTTTTCTTTCCCCTAGGTACCTTTTACATCCATTCACTAATTGTACACATTATAGTCAATCAATCTTTGGCTCTTCTTACTTTCTATACAATTTCCCTGTCAACTTTTACATTTTCATTTATTTATTTTTTCAGACAGGATCTTGCTCTGCTGCCCGGGCTGGAGTATTTTGGTGTGATCATAGGTCACTATACCCTCAACTTCCCAGGCTCAGGCAATCCTCCCACCTCAGGTGCCCAAAGTGCTGGGGTTACAGATATGAAACACCATTCTTGGCCCCCTGTCAATTTTAATAAGTGTGTAGCCTCCACTTTCATCATTATGCTGAAAACTATCAATGTTGAATTTCTAGATCTACTTCTCCTGACAGTTGAGTTCTGGATCCCATGTATTCATTGCATATGAAAAGATTTTAGCCTGGTAAATTTTTAGTTTCTCTCATTCAACAAGTAGAAATACAAAATTGTTATCCCTGTTTTCTAATCGATTAGATTTCTTTCTTCTAGTTTAGCTATTTAAATGATTACCACTATTTTTCATGTCACCCAGCATAAAATCAACTGCAATTTGCCTTCACTGTATTACATCTACTTAAATCAGTTTTCACATTTTGAAATGCTCTTCAGATTCTCTCCCAAATATATCATTTACTCTCATGTAGACTGTGACAAAGCATTACACTAAAGCAGAGGTAGGCTCCCAGCTATGGAAGGTCTGGAAAGTCACATAAAATCATTTTCTTTATCCCATAAATATTGAGGAACCATTGAAGGATTGGACAGGGCATGGTCCATTTTGTGTTATGTGGAGATCATTCTGGAAGTAGTATTGAAAGCATATTTAAAGCCTCCTTGCAAACAAGGAGGCTTTTACTGGAGAGCTAGGATGTAGTCTTGGTCTCGGAAAATGTAGTAAGCACACATTATCAGATGAAACATACTGCATCATTAGTTTGAATCTCTGTTCCAAAATCATGGCCAGATCCACATTTTCTTCAGACTAAAATACAAAGAGCTCACATGAGTATTCAAGTTTTTCATGAACTAACCCCATTCCAAGTTTAGAGTTATAATCCTGCCATTCCATTAAGTATTCTCAAACTAGACTCTTTTCCATTTTTAAAGTATACTTATAAGTTTCAATTTTCCATACCTTTCCTCTGTCACACTTACGACAAGTAATAACTATTAATGTGAACTTTGCTGATATCATGTTGATTTATCAAGTCTCTGCTCAGTCTACTCTTTCCTAGAACACTACTCCCTAACCCTAAATGGAAAAAAAATATCTCCCTCCTCAGGTAAACCGTAAGATTTTTAAGTCTTGTTTACTTCTCTCATTCCACTGATTATTAATACTATTTTATTATATTTATGTATATGTTTAATCTTCTTAAATAGGTTGTAATTTCATTGTGGGTAGTATTATTTTATATTTTCTCAGCGCCTAATTCAGTGCAGGCATGCTTCACCTTATTGCACCTCATTTTCTTGTGCATCATAGATACTGTGTTTTCTGCAAACTGAAAGTTTGTGACAACCATGTGTCAAGAATGTCTATCAATGCCACTTTTCTAATAGCATGCAGTCATTTCATTTCTCTGTATCATGTTTTGGAAATTCTTGCAATATTTCAAATCATTTATTATTGATATCTGTTATGATGATCTCTGGTCAGTGATATTTGATGTTCCTATTGTAATTGTTTTGAGTGAATAACTTAATTGATAAATGTGTGTGTTCTGACTGCTCCACCGACCAGCTGTTCCCTTGTCTCTCTCTCTTGCCTCAGGCTTTCCTATTCTCCAAGACACAATAATATTAAAATTAGGACAGTTAATAATTCTGCAATGGCCTCTAAGTGTTCCAGTGAAAGCAAGAATCACATGTCTCACTTTAAATAAAAAACTAGAAATGATTACATTTAGTGAGGAAGGCATGTTGACAGCTGAGAGAGGCTGAAGCTAAGCCTCTTGCACCTGACAGCTAAGTTCTAAATGTAAATAAAAAGTCCTTCAAGGAAATTAAAAGTACCACCCCAGTGAATACATGAATAATAAGAAAGCGAAGCAGACATTTCACTTATCTAGAGAAAGTTTTATTGGTCTGGGTAGAAGATCACTAGCCACAATATTCCTTTAAGCTAAAGCCTAATTCAGAGCAAGGCCTTAACTCTCTTCTATTCTATAAAGGCTGAGAGAGGTCAGGAAGCTGCATAAAATAAGTTTAAAGCTAGCAGAGATTGGTTCAAGAGGTTTAAGATGGAAGCCATCTTCATAACATCAAAGTGCAGGGTGAAGCAGAAAGTGCTGATAGAGAAGCTTCAGCAAGTTAACCAGAAGATCTAGCTAAGAGAATTGATGAAGATGTCTACACTAAACAACACATTTTTAATAGAGGCAAAATAGTCTTCCATCGAAAGAAGATGCCATCTAGGACTTTTATAGCTATAGAGAAGAAGGCCATACCTGGCTTGAAAGCTAGAGTGCTCTGGGACTGTAGGTGAACATTTTTTTGCAGGCTTAGGCCACAAGGACTGCAACTCCTAGGCAAGTCCTAGAGCTGAGCTGGGTACAGGACCAGTGGACCGGGGGCATGTGACATACTGAGACACCAGCTGGGAGTGCTTTTTCCATCCCTTCCCCCCACACCCTTGCAGCAGCCAGGTGGCATGGAGAAGTATGTGCACTTGGAAGAGGGAGAGTGCAGCAACCGGGGTACTTCACATTGAACTCAGTTCTGCCCTGTCACAGCAAAGACCTGGTAGGATTCATGACCTACTGACTAAAGAGCCCCTGGACCCTGAATAACAGTGATGACCAGTAATACACTGTGGGCCTTGGTCTGTGATATGTGCTGGCTTCAGGTGTGACGCAGCACATTCACAGCTATGGTGGCCATGGTGAAAGAGTCTTTCTGTTTTAGAAAACCTGGGGAAATAATAAGGGAGACTCTGTCTTGCATCCTGGGTATCAGTTTGGCCACAGTGGAGTAGAGCACCAAGCCTGAGTCCAGGCCCAGGCTCTTGGTACAAATATCATCATGAGGAAGCTGAAATTTAAATGAAGTCATACTATTTAGACTTGTTCTAAATTAACCAGATACCTACATAAGTTTCCCAATAGAAAAATAATCATGGGGAAAATTATGTGCACAGAATGGTTTTTATTCCATGCTGTGCCTTTGTATTCAATTCTCAAGGCAGTTCCATAAGGAAATGGTCTTCCCCAAGAGAATTTGTTTGTCTTCTTATGAAAAAAAAAATTAAAAAGATAAAACCGTGTGGGGTGGGGTAGAGGGAAAACTAGACAGAGCATTCCTCCTCAAAGGCCTTGAGAAAACCTTCAGGATCCATTCTATTTTGAAGGTAGTATGGGAATGAAAGAGAAGAGAGAGAAAGAGAAACAAAGAGAGAGCGAAGATAGACAATAAAATAACTAGCCTTCTGTAAGGGAAAACAATTCTCTCTATCCTCATTTTATTTCCCCAACTTCCTTTTAAAAATTGCTGCAAAGAAGAGACAGCATCCCTATATACCCTTGGATTTTTACCCCTTTGTACACAAAACTCATCCTATAAGCATAATGGCCAATAAAATTGTGAGTCCTTGGTTCACAGTACTAACAACCTTTCTTGAGCTGTGTAAAAGGGATGGGGTAGGAAGGGCTGTCCTCTCAACTTTCCTTGATTATTCACTTCACCTTGACTTTTTAGGGGGATCTCAAACCTGCTCTGATCCCCAAAGATTTGGTTATGTTAAGGTCAGATTCTAGATGAGCAATTAGGAAGGCATTAATAACAGTATAAAGCAGTGCTCTTGTAGTCCTTATGGTGTCAGGAAAAGTCCAGGTTACGAAGTTCTAAAACTAAGGAGAAAGTGACTACTTTGAGAGTTGGCATTCATTTAGGATTTTGCTTAGCCAATGAAGTGAGAAAGAATAGGCTTGCCTTTGCTAGCTTATCATTTTAGTCTGCTTGGTGATGAGACTACCTGAATTTTTCAGGAAAAAAGTAAATGTACCCTTTAGAGATAAAACATTTGATAAATATTCAGTAGTGGTATCTCAAGAATATGGATCAATTATTTCAAATTCAACTCCAGTCTGCTTTTAATCCTGCTTTACATAGTTATGGAATACAGTACAGTTGCCTTTGCTTCTATGGAGATATTTTATTTTCCCAATTCTGATTCCCCCCCTCCAATTTTTTTCAAGACCAGCTAGTCTTTTACCAGTTAGGGGATTTTATAGAATGTATTGCAAAAGATTTCCTATAAAATATTTCTCCTATTGCTAATTTTTCTCTATTGTAAGTTTAGGGTATTTGTGAATTAGATCAGTAATGTGAAATAGAGAAAACAAAAATGCTTATACATATTCTACTCTTTAACTGGTTCAGCCCTAGTAGCTTTAGGTTTGCTCAGAAGGCAAACATCTCTGAGATGCAGAAGTAAAAATTTTAAGACAAATAAAAGAAAAATATACAAAATTATTTTTCTTTTATCAAAGAGCAGCTACCTGAGAACGCTGATATTCTCTCCAACATAGTTGACCTTTATTTCTTGGGAAAAAAAATGAAAGATACCTGCTTTGCATATGTAAAAAAAACTATTTAGTAATGTGTGGGAGGCAAGTGACAATGAGGGCTCCTCTTAAGGGCCCCAGCTCGGTGGGCTCCTACCCTGATGTCATGCCAGGAGGGAGTGAGTGCATCTTTCTTCCTCACTCCCACCATCCCCCATCTAGATGACTTTCTTGTTTAAGTATGGGAAATCATTTTTCCTTTGTGCTTGGATGAAAGTAGAATCTGTTATATAACATTACTTTCTCCAGGTAAGATGTGAGGAAGATGGTTCCTTGAATCCCCTGTGACATCACTTTCAAAGTAGAGGCCCATTAAACACTGAGTAAGCTGGACATTCCTGAGAGGACCATCGGTGAAGGGAAGTGGAAGGTACCAGCACAGAGCAGGGTTTATGGGAATCTCTCACAAAACTCATAGCCACAGTACTTACAAGAACAGTCTCTGCCTCTGGGCATCTATCTGTTCACTTAACAGCAATGAAAATAAATTGACGGTTAGAGACTTAATTAAAATCATTAATGAGGATTAGTTTCGCCCTAGTTCCTAAACATTTTTCCAATGGGATCTTGCTACATAAGGCTTTTATTCATGTTTCTACTATTTATCTCAAAATCTAGGAGATTTTCATGTTTACTGATTCACCAGTGACTTGCATGTGTGGAAGCAGAAATTTTATGATGTAAACTGTATTTTACAGTTTGATAGTTGACGGACAAACACCCTTAAGGAGGAGCTAGGATTAGGACTGTCAACATTATCATGTATGAATTGCAAAGAAGGCTTCCAGGTTTTTCTTTGCCCATTGTTTTAGGAAGAAAGGTGTTTATGAAGCATATCAACAGGAAGTCACAGAGTGAAGGAACTTTGTTTAATATCTGTCTGTCAGCTAACTGCAGTACTATGGGTAGATTGGCAGAGTCTCCTGGCGTTTAAGCAGGAGTCTTTTGTGTTTGTCAAAGCAGCTTCCAGTCTAAGACAATTTTCTATGCAACTGGGATTGCACACACTGTCCAATTCAGAGAAAATTTTCTCTATTTCTCTCTTTACCATTTTTTATAAATTTAAGAAACTTAAGGACCAATTCTGTGTTATGTAGCCTATGTTTGTAAGCTTAAAATTTTCAATTGCCTTTTTTTGTTTGTTTTTATAAAAAACACTCCAATATTACACAGGAGGTTTTAGTAGTATTTCATTTTTAAAGGATATAATCTTTTTGAAAAGAGAAAAAGAAATGATAGAGTATTGATTCCAGTAGGAAATATCTAGGCATTTAATTTTCAAGCTGACATGAACGTGTGCACAGAAAAGATATTTTCATTTGAGTAACTTACTTTTAAGTAACATATCCAGTTGTTCTGGGCTACTTTGAATTTTATTTTAAAAAGCCCTACATTTGAAAGTCCATGAAAGTCTACTATATCCAAGTAGTAATGAAATAACCCATTCCATGGTTCCTTATTAAAATTATCAGCACCCACATCCCAAGGAGGAACTTGTAATTGGAGATTAATTTGTAAAGGATAGAATACCCATCAGTTCATCCAGATCAAAGGCACTGATGCTGCACTGAATGCTGAAAATGGTACCTTTTGAATAATTCATAATTATTTCAGATTAAAATGATAATACTGCTGTCATTTCATTTATATAAAGGGAAATTTACTATGAATTATCTGTAAAGTATATGGTAAAATTTCTATGTAATTATAATTATTTTATAGCAGATAAACTTAAGGAACATCATTATTAACTCATTATTAACTTTTACCCATATGAATATTAAAAAGTCATTATGTGGTTTTTGGGAAGTAAATCATGGATCATCACGGCAGAATTCCGTGTTCTAGCTTTAAATATACATGATGGGAAATCATTTATCAAATTATCTTCCTAAAATGATTGCCTTAAATGGATCCAAAGATGGGACTTAGCTTTTCCCTGTAGCATTGTTTCTAGTTACAAAACAAAACAAAACAAAGATCAGAATTCTGCAAAACATACAAAGGTTTTTCTTTGATTCCTAACATCTATTAGTTTGTCCTCCTGAGACAAACTTTGGCCGCTCCCATTGTCTTTTTCATTTTGAATCAGCATCCTCATCTACTCTGATTTTGTAACTTATTAACTAGGTGATAATTGTGTAATTACAGAGTCCATCCAGTCCCACCTCCCCAAATGCCTACTGGTCATTTATTTGGATATGCAACCACCACTTGTCTAATGCTGAATTTATCTTCCCTCTCAGTTCCCAAGCTTATTTTTCAATTTTCTTATTTTGCATGCTCCTTATGTCTTTCCCTATCATAGCCTATAAATCTATCATGTAATATTAATTGTCCAATGCTTCATGTTTATTTCTTTTGAGATCACTTTATTTCAGGAGTATAAAACATAAATAATTAATACTAATGATATTTCTTGCAAGTGTTCTGAATGCTTAAAATGTGTTTTACCTCCCTTTCACCCTACACACATCTTAGAAATTATCTTGGACCTTGAGCTAAAGAGCATGTTATATTTCTGCTTGAAATGCTTCTATGGCTCCCTGTTATATAACGAATAATAGCTCAAATCCTTATATTTTTATTGTTTCACAACAAGGGCTTACCCTTCTTTTCTGAACACTCTTTCACTAAATCTCTTACTTGAATCATCTCCTTCATTCACTGAGTTGACTTCTCCTCTGGGACCTCCACCTTGATCATTTTACTCTCCACACTGAATTTATTTTTTCATTCATTGTCAGTATTACTCCCTCTCACCATCTTGCTACATTTTTATATACTAAAATGCAACCTAGGCCTGGTGCAGTGGCTCACACCTGTAATCCCAATACTTTGGGAGGCCAAGGCGGGCGAATCACGAGGTCAGGAGTTTGAGACCAGCCTGGCCAACATGGTGAAACCCCGTCTCTACTAAAAATACAAAAAATTAGCCGGTCATAGTGGCGGGTGCCTGTAATCCCAGCTACTCGGGAGGTTGAGGCAGGAGAATCGTTTGAACCCAGGAGGCGGAGGTTGCATTCAGCCGAGATCATGCCACTAAACTCCAGCCCAGGCAACAGAGTGAGACCCCATCTCAAAAAAATAAATAAATAAAATAAAATTCAACTCAACCTTCAACCTTATATGATTTCTCTTTATTTCAAAAACTATTGAGCATTTGCTTTGTGGTAAGTATTGCTCTATACTATGAAATAGCACTTGTAAGTAAGACATTGTCTCTGCTTCCAAGGAGCATCTAGCTGGGAGAGAAAATCTAAATTACATTGGAATAAACAATAAATAAGAGTGACAGGAGCCAACATTCACTGACCACCTGTATCTGCCAGGCCCATTACACACTTTCCAGACAACCTGTGAAATCAGGATGGCTATCCTCACAACACTTGGGAAAATGAAGCCTTAGAAAGATTAAGTAATTTGTTTATAGTCACCCACCTAGCAAATGGCACTTCATTCGAAGTGAACCCAAAGCTTCCCCTTGTACTGTGATGCAATGGAGGCTTTGCCCAGAAATCTTGCTCTCCTTCGAATTCCTACCATATTTCATTCTGTACCATACATTTGGCATTTATCATATACTGGATTAATGGTTATTTGTTATATTTATTTTAAAAAACCTTGGTTGAGTACCTACAAACTTCCTGACATTGGACTAAGTGCTAAGATACATAAAGAACAACATGATAACATCCTTGCCTTCAAAGGGCTTCCAGTATGGTGTGGGAGAAAGAAACGTAAAAGAACATATACCAAACAGTATACTGAGGGCTCTACCAAGTGATGATTCTACCTTTGGAATGTCAAAATCTTCTATCACCTCCTATTTTTTTGTAGTGGCTCACTGTGCTGCAGGACTGAATCTCTCCATGTTTACCTGTATGTGGGCTGCTTCTTCCCCTACTGTGGATAGAGCACCTACCTCTGCCTTAGAGAAGACAGAGAAGGCTACCTCAGTGACTGACTGGATAGAATTTTGAAGGATAAGTGGGAGAACTCTAGGTGACAATGGAAAGAAAAATCATAGGTAAAAACAGAGTTGTGAAATATTGTTACATTTTCAAAGAACAGCCTAAAATTCAGAGTTCACTTCGAAAAAGTGGTAAGAAATGGCTGGAAACATAGCCTCAACCTTTCCATAGAATGACATTATATGCCATTCTAAGATGCTTAATTCTGTGAGCTTTGAAAAATAGATGCTTTGGTGCTGCCCAAGACTAATTAAATCAGGAACTGCATGGCTTTATGGTGGGGAGGAAGGTCTGGGCACTGGAGCTTTTAAAAAACTCACCAGGGCGATTTTAATGTGCAGTCATGGTTGAGAATCAGTGCTTCAGACCAAGGGGAGCCAAATAAGTTTAGGAAGCAAAAGGCATGATTGAATTTGTGCTTTAGACAGAGCATTCTGGCAATGGTGCAGAAAATAAACTGAAGGGTGGGATACAGGAGACAGAGATGCAGTGAGAGTCTGTTATAATAATCCAGGCAAGAGATGATAAGCCCTTAAAATTACTTTTTATCGCTTAATGCCTTTATGGTAACTAGATTGCTAACATGTCTGAAGAGTTCCTGTCGAATTCATTTTCCTAACACTTTTTGCCTAGTGCAGTTGTAGATACCTAACAATATTTGTTGAATTGAAGTATTTCATAACAAGACAAAGGTTAACATCGATGAAAAATTAAAAGTCACCTTTTCAAAATTGTGTTTCATGACTGCAACATAATACATTGTTTTCGAGAAGACGGGAAATATAAAAAAAAATGCCAATATCAACAAAAAAATAAAAATGGACCATTAGACCACCACTTGAAGATATGCAGTCTTCATACTTTGGTGTTTCCCTTCTCCAATTATTGTTCACATAGTTTATTTCATTCTCTGTATAAAATTAGAAAAACTGAATCATGCTATATCATAAGCATTTTTTACATCATTAAAGCTCTCAATCAAGTTTATTTAAAAGATTGCATAATGTGCTACACCATAATTTACATAGTAATTTTCCAGTTGTTGATTTCTGGTTTTTACTATTGTAGATGATGACCATAGTTGACAAAACATTTTTTAAATTTCTGATTATTTCCTTAGACTGAATTCCATGAAACAGATTTATTGAAGGAAAGAGAATATTTTGAAGGTTTTTGATAACTTTGCAAAATTGTTTTTCTAAGAGTTTCTCAATGTCCATTCTGCCCAACCGTGTAATAAACTTACATTTTACCTACAACTTTGCCATCAATATCCATTTGTGTATATATATATATATATATATACACACATGCATACACACACATAGAGACATATATACATATGTACATATATACACAACACACACATATAGACACACACAATAGTACATATATATGCACATACATATACACACACATACATATGTACATATATAGGTATATGTATATACCTATATATGCACAAATACGCACATGTATATACATATGTATAGATGCACATATGTATATATGCACACATATGTACACACATATACATGTGTGTATATGTACACACAAATATATACATATCTGTATATATGTATGTGTGTGTGTTTGTATAAATGTGTATGTGTGTATATATATATATGTATTTACAAAACAATGTACTGAGGACTTTTTCAGAGTAATGTTTCTACTTTCGTAATATCAAAATCCTTTATCATCTCCCATTTCCTGGTAGGGATCCAACCAACTACACTACCTAAGATTTCCATGCCTCCATAGGTTTCATTGAAGCAAAGGATTATAGGTGACAATATATTTCATTATTTCAATTTGTATTTAGGTAATGTATGCCTTTTATTATTTTATAAAAATTTCATATTTTCCTTTCATGAATAATATGATACAAATTTTACACATTTATAGAATAGGACTTTTAAGATTTTTCTCCTGGATGTACATCAGATGTTTTATAGTTTAAAAAAATTATATATCCGATATTATACAGTTAAAAAAATCCTCTTTCTCAAGATATTTAAGTATATTAGAATACAATTTTGCTAATCGTATCATTATTCCTTAAAAAACTTTTTATACCTTGACATAATCCATTTTTATATGTTTTCTGCTTATAAATCTTTCCTATTAATTGAATTTTCAGTTGCTTCCTAAAATTAAATAATGATTTTGATTGTATTGTGTTTCTGTTTACTAATCCTGTGTGTACACATTTTTACAACTTTTCTCCTGCCTGTCATAAAGCTGACTTTTTAATACTCATATTCTAGCTTCCTCAGATTAACATCTTTGTTCAACTTTTCCATTTTATTAATTATTCCTTTAGATTGGAATTCACTTTCCTTTTACTTTTCAAAATCATGAAAACTTCAAGTTCAGAGAAAACTATAGAGAGTAAGTCTACAGTTTATCAATTTAAAAATGTTTACAATAATTGCCATAGATAATTTTAAATACATTTTAAAACATTACTGTATTAATTTACTAGGGCTTCCTGAAAAGGTACCATAGACTGAGTGACTTGAACAACAGAAATTTGTCATCTTACGATTCTAGAAACCAGAAGTTTGAAATTAAGATGTCGGCAGAACCATCCTTGTTTGAAGGTGCTAGGAAAGTATTTGCTCTAGGTATGTCTCCTAGCTGCCAGGAGTTTGTTGCCTTGCTGAAGTGAAATGCCAATCTTCACATGGCATTCTTCGTATGTGTGTGTTTGTGTGTGTGTGTCCATGTCCAAAATTTTCCTTTTTATGAGGACACTACATATATCGGATTAAGAGATCACCCTATTTGTTATGACCTCATCTTAATTTAACCAGTTTCATTTAATCACATTTTGAGGTACTGGGGCTTAGGACTTCAACATATGAATTTAGGAGGAACAAAAGGCAACCCATAACAATGACGAATCTTCTTCAAGCCTTTTGTATAATTCTCCTTGCATGACTTATTCCTTCCCAAATGGAATTTTAAAAATATTTTTCAGTATTTTATACTATTTTACATATGAAAGAATTCATAAGCAAGATATAAAATTGGCATGTTTTCAATTTCTATTTTTTAAGAACTATATTACACTTATGATTTTGTGATTAATTTCTTTTACTCTATATTATGCTTTTGAGATCTATTCATGTTGACATATTTAACTCTAATTTAACTGTAATTCACTCACATTAAATGCTGTTTGGTATTTTTATATGTAAACATATAAAAATTGACTTATTTAATCTTCTGATAATGGATATTTTGGGTGTTTCCAGTTTTTTTTTCTTGGGTTGGGATCTTGCTTTGTCACTCAGGCTGAAGTGCAGGGACATGATCACTGCTCACTGCAGCCTTGACCTCCCAGGCTCAAGTGATCCTTCTACCTCAGTTTCCTGAGTAGCTGGGACTACAAGCACACATACACCTGGCTAATTTTTTTACTTCTATTTTTTGTAGAGATGGGGTCTCACTATCTTCCCCATGCTGGTCTTAACCTCCTGAGCTCAAGCTATCCTCCTGTCTCAGCCTCCCAAAGTGCTAGTATTATAGGCAAGAGCCACCATGCCCAGCTTGTTTCTAATTTTTCTTGTAAAAAATACTGTAATAAGCATTGCAATATGTCTGTACGTGTGTGAGTTGTAGAATTTCTCAGGAGCACAACTCTAAATGGAATTGCTAGGTAGGAAGATAACTTTTTTTTCGATTTACCAATTTGTCTATTTGTGCTTTGAAATTATCAATGAGCACATGCATCAGCAATGAAGGCATTTCTCCATTTTTTCACCAGCACTTATTTTTGTTAGCATTTTGTATATTGCCACTTTGATGGGTGAAATAAATAGTTTTTCTTTTGTGCTTAGCTTCTTTTTAGGTATTTCTTGGTCAATTATGTTTTGCTTACATGGATTGCCAATTTGCTTTACTGTTGTCCATTTTCCAAATGTTCTTATTTGGGGCCATGTCTATATGTTTATAATTGGAGAGTGTTCTAAATTTATTCTGGATGCTCTTCCTTTGTTGGTTAAAAATCTTCTTGACATTTTTAGCTTCTCCTAACTCTTAATTCACATTTATTTTGGTGGTATGAAGTCTTAAAAATGATGCTTGCTATTGAAGAATTTTCTCTTAAAATAATAAACATGTTATCCTTTTTCCTAAAATATTCAATGTTTTTCTAAGCTTTTAATCAGTTATAAATTTTGTACATGCTTATGCATGTGTGTCTTCACACAGGTTTACAACAAGATTAGAATCTATCTATTTTAATGCTTTTTTCTATTTGGTACATTACTGTTTAGCCAATTACCTTGGCAATATTGTTTTGAGTTAACCACTGCTTCCACACTGATTGGTAATGCTATCTCATTCATACTTCACTTTCCATTCATATGAGGGTTTATTTCCAGTCTCACTTTTCTGTTCCTTCAGTATATTGGTCTAAGTAAAATTGTTTTAATTACAATGAAATTTTAATAGCATATTTTGATGCTTTTCAGGAAAAAAGTTATTATATTTGGTTGTTTTTCAAAATTACTTTAGCTGTTCTTGGTCTTTCGTACATGGCAATGCTTTCTTGGGTCAGCTTGTTCTATTCATGAAAATTCCTGTTTTTTTTTATTTGAATTGCATTGGATTTATAGATTAATTGGATTTACAGATTAACATCTTCAAGATATTGAGTCTTTCTGTTCATAAGAACATTGTAATTTCCATTTATTGGAATGCTGTCTTATGCTTCTCAATATTTCATAACTTTTTCATGTGATCTCGCATATTTTGCTAGATTTACTTTTAAGAAATGTAAAATTCTATGAACAGTATTCTAAAACTATATTTCCTAGTTAGATCTTTACTGGTATACAGAAAAAATATTAACTGTTTATTTTGACCTAGCAATCATACTGAACTTTCCTGTAGTTTCAATATAAATAATCCTGGATTTTTTTGAACATAAGTAAAATGCAACTGGATTGCTAATCTAATAATCTGTATAAACTCTTTTAATAAGTAAATTTATTGCTCACCTATCTTGTGATTAATTAATAATATATGGACTTTTCTTGCCTTCTTGTAGCTTGATATAATTTTGTCATCCCCTCATCTCCCTTTGTCCTGATTTTCCCATGCTGCTCTGGGAGCTATAGATTGTATTTTTAATTTTTGGTTACCTCTTGAAATACGACTGCTTAATTTTAAAATTTGATGATATATTTTAAATCATTTTATATTCTTACAACGTACAAGAACAGAAATATTTTTGCAGTTGTATTCTGAATCTTAGGTATACTTAAAAATTAAAATATCACTAATTTATATTTAACTTTAAAAATATTTTATCAGTTTATGTACTCAACATTGTTTCCTATTTCCTGGTTTCACTTTTTTTGAGTTAACTCTCTTAGACATGCTGTGACTAAAAATATATCTATTTTACCTGTGCACATAACTTATAACTCAACAAGTTACAATATCTTAGTTTCACAACTATTATCCCTCACCACTTTCAGATATTTCTTTTTGTTTTTAATGAGGTGTGTGTTAATTGTAATTGTTTTTTTGTTGAAGGTGGTACTTTGAATTCACTCTGGTAACTTTCTAAGCATTTTTGTTTGTGTATTTGATGTTCTTAGGTTTCAATACAACATGTTTAGATGTAAATTTAATTTTATTGATCCTGCAAAAACTTACAGTAAACTTTTAATCTGAGAATGTGTGTCATTAATTTGGAAAAAAATGTTGCTTATTTGCCATTTAACGACTACTTTTCTACTATTTTCTCCATTCTTATAATCAAGAATTCCCGTTAGGTATTTGTTGGAGTATCACAAGCAACCTTTCAAATAACTTAACTATTCTATCACTTTGGGCTGAGTATCTAGTTTTATCACAGTGTGGAAGCCAAGAGGAAACCTCTCTTTTGCCCTTCGAAGTTTCACTGAAAAATTAACCCACAAAAGACAGATTAATCTGAGAAAAGGCATACACGTTTTATTAACATGTACATGGGAGCTTTCAGAATGAAGACAGAACTTCAGGGGAAACTGTCCATTAGATTCAATGAAGTATGGACAGCTGTGTAGAAATATAACTGGACAAAAAAATGGTATGAACTAATACTAATAGACTGAGTGAAGAAACCTTGCATAGCCTATTTCGATTCTTCTTGTCCTCTCTGTGCAGTACTCCTTCTTCTGGGTATGGGAAAAGACCCTCTCTGGAATGGGATCTTATGACCCACAGTCAAACAATGTAGGTCAGATAATTTCTTCAGGGCCAGTTTTTACACAGAAAGGTGGAGGGAAAGTTAGAGTCATATTTTTTAGGTTTTATGGCTGGCTTTGGGGACAAGGGAGTCTGGTTTCTATGGCCCACCTTGGGGAAGAGGGATTCTAGTTTCTATGGCTAATCTTGGGAGAGAATGGGACTGAGAGACAGGAGGGCAGGAGAAGGTTAAAGAAAAGCTTTTCCTTCTGAGGCTTCTTCTGATGCCTTCATTTTGGGGTATTGTTTTCTGAGTCTCAATAATAGTACTACTCTTCAATTCACTAATTCTCTAGAATTGAGCCTGATGGAATACTTATTCCAGGAAATGTCATTTTCATTTGCTTTTTTTCTTTTTCTTTTTATTTGAGACGGAGTCTCGCTCTGTCGCCCAGGCTGGAGTGCAGTGGCGCGATCTTGGCTCACTGCAAGCTATGCCTCCCTGGTTCACACCATTCTCCTGCCTCAGCCTCCCGAGTAGCTGGTATTACAGGCACACGCCGCCACACCCGGCTAATTTTTTTGTATTTTTAGTAGAGACGGGGTTTCACCATGTTAGCCAGGATGGTCTCAATCTCCTGACCTCGTCATCCGCCCGCCTCGGCCTCCCAAAGTGTTGGGATTACAGGCGTGAGCCATCGCGCCCGGCCATCATTTTCATTTGCAATACATCTAACTGCTTCTTTTCGTATACTATACACTTATTTCTTTTTTTCTTTTTCTTTTTCTTTTTCTTTTTTTTTTTGAGATGGAGTCTCACTCTGTCACCCAGGCTGGAGTGAAGTGGCCTGATCTTGGCTCACTGCAACCTCTGCCTTCCAGGTTCAAGCGATTCTCCTGCCTAAGCCTCCCAAGTAGCTCGAATTACAGGCATTCGCCACCACGCCCAGCTAATTTTTGTTGTTGTTGTATTTTTAGTAGAAACGGGGTTTCACTATGTTGGCCAGGCTGGTTTCGAACTCTTGACCTAGGTGATTGATCTGCCTGCTTCAGCCTCCCAAAGTGCTGGGATTTTAGACATGAGCCACCGCACCCAGCCTGTAGACCTATTCTTGTTTCACTTCTACCTACTTTGTTTTGTAATTTCTTGTTCATTTTAGTGAATGTGCCATGACTTCATATGTATCTGTGAGAATATTAAATAGATTTAAAATTCTTATTGACAAGTGTATAAAATTAATCTCACCTTCAGTAGCATAGCATCTGGAGGGCAGTGAGAGTAGCCTGCCCTGGGGTGCGGGCGATAAGGGTGTGTATTGACTGTTAAATTGTCTTTGAAAGAAAAATTTTAAAAACTGCTTTAAATTTGATCTGCTTTTTATAATCACCATGGCCAGAAATTCTAACACCAGTAGAATCCACTTAGAGGATCTTAAAGTTTCCCTCAGCTTGATTAAACTTTAGGTTTCTTCCTAACTGTAGGCCCCTAACCACTCTTACTTAGAGCATTCCTCCTTTAAGATGCAAATCTCCCAGTCTCTGGCCAGTTTTACAACCCAGGAATGTCTTTTTCAATAACCTGGAAACCATTCCTTTGAAATGTAATTGTCAAGAAAGATAAGGTCCTTGTTTCCCAGTCTTTGTGGGAAGGTAGGAGGCTAACTTAGATAAGCACCAATTAGCAGAGACAGATGGCCTCATCACATTGACCAAGCTCCACCTCATCCTCAAACCAACTCCTCCAGTACATTTCCACTGGCTCACTACAGTGCTTAAAAGCTCTCCCACCATATATATATATGAAATATGATATATATCAAATATATATCATATTTCATATATATCATATATATCTATTTCATATATATCATATATATTTTATATATCTATTTCATATATATTTATATGAAAGAGCTTTTAAAACACTGGATGAATAAGCAAGAAATTAATAAAAATGGTTACCTATAAGTATGTTAGCATTGGACTGGGAGGGATGGTGTGGGAGGGAAAGAGATGTGATTCAGATGTGTGAATATAGTTTTAAAAAATTTTCATTTTCTAACTATAAAAATATTTTATATAGCCTATCTTTTGTTAACCTTTGCTACATAAGGAACCACCTAAAAAAGTAAACAACCCAACTAAAACTCCATCATTTCCCACTTTTTGTTTCAGTGGAAATAAGGAAAAGAGATTGAACTCTCTCCACTCTTGCAATTATCTTGAATAAAATCTTCCTTCCTTATTTAACTCTGTATGATGTAATTACTGTTTGACAATTCAAATACTTCTACTCTCACAGCCACCTGGTGGTCTACCATTCAATGAGATTATACACACACACACATACACACACACACACACACACACACACACACATATATATACAGAGAGAGAGACAGAGAGAGAGAGAGAGAGAGAGAGAGAGAGAGGGTCTCCCTCTGTCGCTCAGGCTGGAGGGCAGTGGTGCAATCTCCATTCTCTGCAACCTCCGCCTCCTGGGCTCAAGGGATCCTCCTACTTCAGCCTTCTGAGTAGCTGGGATCACAAGCACACACCACCATGCACAGCTAATTTTCTTTTTTGTTTGTTTGTTTGTTTTTTGTTTTGGTAGAGAAAAGGTTTGGCCATATTGCCCCAGCTGGTTTTGAAATCCTGCACTCAAGCAATCCACATGCCTCAGCCTTCCAAAGTTCTGGGATTACAGGCGTGAGCCACCAAGCATGGTCAGATTATATTCTAATGGCTGGTTATGTTTGTCTTTGTATACATGAAAGATTTACTATTTGTTTAAGTCATCTTTTACACATATTAAAGAGAGCAAGCTATTTAAGTCCCAGGCCTAGAAGTAGACCCTGGATTCAGGGTGCTAGATTATGAGTTTACTTTTAGAATGGTGTAGTTCTACACAGAATCCAAGTTCCTGGCTGGCACCTCCTACTTCTGGATCCACAGCCCAGGCACCCACTGGATTTTGCTGCTTTTATTCTCTGTCTTGGGTTTCTAGTCTGTTTCTGGAGATGTTCATCTCCATCTCCAAGACCAAAATTATTCTGAATTTACTTTTGTCAAAACTTTGGAGGTATCTTAGAAGATTGATGTGTTTAGATGTTTTGTTACATGCAGTTAAGCTCAAACCTTAACTGATACAGCTTTCATGGAGCATATCACTTGCCACAAGGAATTACTCTTTCAGAAAAAAAATGCAGTTTGGAGAAGCAGTGCTATTTTGTGGTGATGGTGACATGAGTGTAGGCCACTGACTACCTCTGTCAATGATGAATCTCCTTATGAGTTAGTCAATATTTTTTCCAGAGCTCACAAAGCATTGATTTTATACGTACTTTTCAGATACCCAATAATAACTTAAACGTAATTCACAAAATTTTTCAGGACAAAATTAAACACACAAAATACAGTCAATCTGCACACTAACAATACAAAGAGAGAGACAAATCAGTAGTAGAGTAGCATCTAGAGTGTGAGAAGAGGAATATCAGGCTGAACCCAAAGCAGTGCTGTGTACTATAATGGAGTCTGTTAGCTGGTAATCATATTACCTTATTATCTGGCATTACAAAGTATTTTGAAAAGCACCCCCAATATTTCATGTAGGTTCTTTTAACAACAGGTGCTGGAGAGGATGTGGAGAAATAGGAACATTTTTACACTGTTGGTGGGACTGTAAACTAGTTCAACCATTGTGGAAGTCAGTGTGGCGATTCCTCAGGGATCTAGAACTAGAAATACCATTTGACCCAGCCATCCCATTACTGGGTATATACCCGAATGACTATAAATCGTGCTGCTATAAAGACACATGCACATGTATGTTTATTGCGGCATTATTCACAATAGCAAAGACTTGGAACCAACCCAAATGTCCAATAATGATAGACTGGATTAAGAAAATGTGGCACATATACACCATGGAATACTATGCAGCCATAAAAAATGATGAGTTCATGTCCTTTGTAGGGACATGGATGAAATTGGAAATCATCATTCTCAGTAAACTATCGCAAGAACAAAAAACCAAACACCGCATATTCTCACTCAGAGGTGGGAATTGAACAATGAGATCACATGGACACAGGAAGGGGAATATCACACTCTGGGGACTGTGGTGGGGTGGGGGGAGGGGGGAGGGATAGCATTGGGAGATATACCTAATGCTAGATGATGAGTTAGTGGGTGCAGCGCACCAGCATGGCACATGTATACATATGTAACTAACCTGCACAATGTGCACATGTACCCTAAAACTTAAAGTATAATTAAAAATAAATAAATAAATAAATAAATAAATAATATTTTCCCTAAATGTCAGCTGGCCTGAGAAATAAACGGACAGAGTACAAAAGAGAGAAATTTTAAAGCTGGGTGTCCGGGGGAGACCTCACATGTCAGCAGTTTCCGTGATGCCCCCTGAGCCATAAAACCAGAAAGTTTTTATTAGTGATTTTCAAAAGGGGAGGGAGTATATGAATAGGGTGTGGGTCACAGAGATCATGTGCTTCACAAGGTAATAGAATATCACAAGGCAAATGGAGGCAGGGTGAGATCACAGGACCACAGGACTGGGGTGAAATTAAAATTGCTAATGAAGTTTTGGGCACACATTGTCATTGATAACATCTTATCAGGAGACAGGGTTTGAGAGCAGACAACTGGTCTGACCAAAATTTATTAGGTGGGAATTTCCTCGTCCTAATAAGCCTGGGAGCACTATGGGAGCCTGGGGCTTATTTCATCCCTACAGCTCGACCATAAATGATGGCTGCCCACCAAAGTGGCCATTTTAGAGGCCTACCCTAAGGGACGCATTCTGTTTCTCAGGGATGTTCCTTGCTGAGAAAAAGAATTCAGCAATATTTCTCCTATTTGCCTTTGAAAGAAGAGAAATATGGCTCTGTTCCGCCTGGCTCACTGGTGGTCAGAGTTTAAGGTTATCTCTCTTGTTCCCTGAACATTGCTGTTATCCTATTCTTTTTTCAAGGTGCCCAGATTTCATATTGTTCAAACACACATGCTCTACAAACAATTTGTGCAGTTAACGCAATCATCACAGGGTCCTGAGGCGACATACATCCTCCTCAGCTTACGAAGATGATGGGATTAAGAGACTAAAGTAAAGACAGGCATAGGAACTTACAAGGGTATTGATTGGGGAAGTGATAAGTGTCCATGAAATCTTCACAATTTATGTTAAAAGATTGCAGTAAAGACAGGTGTAACAAATTATAAAAGTATTAATTTGGGGAACTAATAAATGTCCATGAAATCTTCACAATCCACGTTCTTCTGCCATGGCTTCAGCCGGTCCCTCCGTTCGGGGTCCCTGACTTCCCACAACAATGAATCTCCTTAGAAGTTAGTCAATATTTTTCCCAGAGCTTACAAAGCATTGATTTTATACTTACTTTTCAGATACCCAGTAATAACTTAAACCATAATTCACAAAAAATTTTTAGAACAAAATTAAACACACACAATACAGTCAATCTGCACACTAACAATACAAAGAGAGAGATAATTCGGTAGTAGAGTAGCATCTGGAGTGTGAGAAGAGGAATATCAGGCTGAACCCAAAGTGGTGTTGTGTACTGTAATGGAGTCTATTAGCTTGTAATCATATCACCTTATTATCTGGCATTACAAAGTATTTCTAAAGGCTATTTTCTTTTTGGATAGACAGTGGTGCTTTCAATTCCCTCTAGCAGTCACAGATGTGCAGGTGAATTAACTGTAATGCTCAACTTTCTAACCATAATGAAGAACACTGATAATAATTCACACTGATTGATCATCAGGTTTGTTTGTTTTCCCCACATAATATTAGAAACCTTCCTTCCAGGCCTTCGTTTCCATATTTCATTGTTAACTAGCATTCTACTGTTTCTAATACATATTGTCAACTCTCAGGTGGAGAAGTATTCTTTTAAATGTTAAACTTGTAAAATATCAGTTACATACTTAGCAATGAAGAGGAGTATTACCTTTGTGTAGAAATAAAAAACCACCGCTGTTTGCTACTCAATTATATCTTACTTACCAATGTTAGTATTTGGAGATGCCTCCCCAAATTTGGTTTCTAATAGGAAAATAATAGCAACTAAAAATCAGGTATAATGATATGGTTTGGCTGTGTCCCCACCCAAATCTCATCTTGAATTGTTATCTCAGTTGTAATCCCCACATGTTGGGGCAGAATAATATGATTTGGCTGTATCCTCACCAAATCTTATCTTGAATTGTAATCTGAATTGTAACATCCATGTATTGGGGGAGGGACCTCATGGGAGGTGATTGAATCATGGGGGCCATTCCCCTGTGCTGTTCTCATGATAGGGAGTGAGTTTTCATGAGATCTGATGGTTTTGTGAGGGGCTTTTCCCCATTTTGCTTTGCCCTTCTCTCATTCTTCTCCTTCCTGTCACTATGTGAAGGACATGTTTGCTTTCCCTTCTGCTATGATTGTTAAGTTTTCTGAGGCCTCCCCAGCCCTATGGAACTTTGATTTAATTATAACTCTTTCCTTTATAAATTACCCAGTCTGGTATTTTCTTCATGGAAGCATGAGAATGGACTAATACATATACCTTTGATTATAGCTTTTATATTTGTAAAAGTGAATATTATGGTGAAAACTTGGTTAAAATATATTACTAGGTAGTGATTCAAAATGAAAAAAATTCTCGTGTCCTAACAAAGATTATATTCGTTATTTTAAAACTACATTCCTAAAAATATCCTATCCTGCACAATGATCAGTTTCCCACAATAAAATATTTGATGAGAGTATCACAGAGATTTATTAATCAGAATTTGGTTATACTCAGGTATAAGTTAGGCTACTGCCTCCTGATGTCATTTGAGGACCTCATCTTTGTGCCCCAAAACCCTCTCCCAGGTGCTCATATGATTTCATATGACCTGAAAGGTAACTGTTTGCTAGAGGGTATCAAGCAGCTCTTCAAATCAACAGGAAGACTTGAGAAATACTCTCCAGCAGCAAAAAAAAGGGATTTGAAGCTCAACCAAGATTCAGCAACAAAAATGTGTGCTTAGAACATATGGCAGATTATACTCTCAATTCTCTGTTCTCTTGTAATAGATAATGTATACATTCACAGCCTTATCATGGTCTCATAGTAGAAAAAAAAGATATTTCCTAGTGTTTTAACTTTGTGTTTGGCCATATGACTTGCTGTGAACCATGGGATCTCAGTGGCCATGAAACAGCAAAGACTTAAATGTGTCTGGAATGTGCATGCCCCAGGTATGCTGTTGGATCCCCAGAAAAATGTGAGCCATATGGACAAGATCTAAACTCTAAGTATGGCCTGGAGCCAAGCCTAGCAATGGCTAGTCTAAATCAGCCGAACTCCAGTTAATAAGCAACACATGAGTGAGAAGTAAATACTTTTGTTGTATGCCACTGAGATTTTTGCGATTGGGTGTTGTGCAATAAAAGCTGAATGACACAGGAAAACAATGATCCCAATAGAACTGGAAACTGACAGCCACTTCTCTTGCTATAAGTAGGAATAAATATCCTTGCATTTTCTGCCAAGTGTCAAATTCCTAGATAAAAATAGGCAGTTAGGCATCAGATGTCAAAAGGTAGAATAGCTACTTCTGCTTTCATGGTGGTAAGCAAATTCCTATTTTTCAACTACCTAAGAGTTATTCCAAAACAAGAAGAACATACTAATACTGGGTAACCAAAACAATAAATATCCACTACAACACTCTAGTGGAAGTAACATGCATGGAAGAAGAATTTCAACTTAGGCAAATAAATGCTAACGGTGAAGTATTTTTAAAGGAGTTTCTCTAATAAGTATTACACCAAAGTATGGCTCAAAATGTATTATTAAAATCTGAGGACAATGGTTTAAAGAAAAGAAAAATTACCATTTTTCTGTCAGGTCTTCTCTGAGCTCTTAAGATATTAATATATTTTGTGATTTTTTTCAAAGTAAAAGAAGTAACCTTATGCAGCATTTCCCAAAATTTGGTAACAATGACCTGTTTTTCAAAACATCTCATAAGACTTTTGTTTTCTATAACACAAATTGAAAAATACCTAGAAAGAAATCACAAAGTACTTTTGGAATACAAAAAAAAGCAACTAATTGTGTCTGCCAGTAGTTGCATTTAGAGAGGAAATTTGCGAGCAGAATCTAGAATGATGTGTAGAACTTTTCCAAAAAAAACTTTTGAGAAAAGGTCATTTCAAGCACAGGGAATAAAATCCACTGTGAAAGACAGATATATAATGAAATAGCTGAAAGTTTCAATAAGTATATGCACAACAAAGACGAGTGAGAAGAGTGGTAGTGCGGACGGTTGTAGTGATGATTATAAGCAAAGGTACTAGAGGCAGTATAGCCTGGTAGTTAAGAGTAGGACTGGCCTTCAGCACATAAGAGTAACTGGTTCTGTGAACTTGGGCAAAGTATATGATTTGTCTCTGCCCAAGTTTCTTCATATATGAGGTGCTTCATATATGAGTGCACTTGGTGGTGCACTGAAAGAATGTTTACTATGTCTTTTCTAAGTTCAAATAAGCTGTAGTGAAGCATGTGATATACAGAAGTGTAACAGGTAAAGCTACAGAGCAAGTAGGAGTCTCTTCTCATGCTGCTAATAAAGACATACCTGAGACTGGTAATTGATAAAGCAAAGAGGTTTAATGGACTCACAAGTCCACATGGCTGGGGAGGCCTCACAATCATGGCGGAAGGTGAATGAAGAGCAAAGTCAAGCAGGCAAGATGACATGTGCAGGGGAAATCCCTTATAAAACCATCAGATCTCATAAGATTTATTCACTATCATGAGAAGAGCACAGGACATCCCCACTGCCATGATTCAATTACCTCCCACTGGGTCCCTCCCAGGACAAGTGGGGATTATTACAATTCAAGGTGAGATTTGGGTGGGGACCCAGAGCCAAACCACATCAGGGTTGATTAAAAAAGTAACAAAAGGAAAAAACCTCCCAAAGTATAGTTAACATTTATTGAATACACACTTCAAGTCATGCATTCTTATGCATGCTTATATATTCAAAATAACAATATACATATTATTCTTAGTCTCATTAAAAATTAGGAAAGTGAATCAGAGAGATGTTAAATAATTTACCAAAAGTTACAAAACTAGCGAATTGCAGAATTAAATTTTGAGCCCCAGTCATCTTGCTCTTAACCACTCTGCAAGCATCTCTCAAAACAATTTTTTAAAATATCTCAATCCACAGTAAGAAATGTATTTTATGTCATGAATTAGTATATGCATTATATATGTATGGGTGAGTGTGCATGTGTGTGTTTGTATCTCAAATTCCACAAAATTAGAGTTACCCTTATCATGGGTAATGTATTTGGATAACTCTATTCCAGTATATTCTATTTTTTTAAATGTTAGTCCCAAAAGAGTAAATCTAGTTTGCAGCCACTAATTGATAATTTACCAGTAGTAGATACTGATAGTCTACTGCTTGAATAATACTGTACTATGCCATCATTTAAATGTCTTTTTGAGGAATTTAGAATGGATACTACAGAGAATGGAGAGAAAGTAAAGGACTTAAAGCAAGGGAATAACCTAGCCAGATCATGTTTTAGAAATATTACTACCAGCAGTGTGGAGATTAAATTGCAGAGAGTTGGCACTGGAAATAATAAGCCTACTTAAGAGACTACTGTGATACTACAGAAGAAAATAAAGCACGGAGGGCACGAGACAGGAAATATAATCAAAGTACATGGTGCCCCATAAAATATAAAGGTGAAATGGGAATGAATGGAGAACAACTCCCATGTTTCCAGCTGTAGGATAGAGAGATAGTGAGATCATTAACCAGGCTAGTGATTACAGAGGAAAGGTTTTAACAGAAAAATAGTACATTCAGCTAGTTGGAAAAATTAAATGGAATAACATTTTGACATGACAGGGCTTGTAATGTTTTACTAGAGCTAATAAACGATTTATCTTGAACTCAATATTATTTTACCACTGTATAGTGTGAGAACAGATTACTTTCTTTTCTTTTTCTTTTTACTTTTTGTAATGGAGTCTTGCTTTGTTGCCCAGGCTGGAGCACAGTCGGGGGTGATCTCAGATCATTGCAACCTCCACCTCTCGGGTTCAAGTGATTCTCCTGCCTCAGCCTCCCGAGTAGCTGGGATTACAGGTGCGTACCAACACACCTGGTTAATTTCTGTGCTTTTAGTAGGGACAGGGTTTCACCATATTGGCCAGGCTGGTCTCCAACTCCTGACCTCGTGATCCACCTGCCTTGGCCTCCCAAAGTGCTGGGATTACAGGCGTGAGCCACCGTGCCTGGCCTATCATATTTTTCACATTGTTGATTTACATTGAGTTAATAGTTTAGTAACACCTCTGTTTTCTTCTTTCTTTTCTTTCCTTCTTTCTTTGCTTCTCTCTCTCTCTCTTTTATTTATTTATTTATTTTGGCAGGGTTTCACTCTGTCGCCCAGGCTGGAGTGTGGTGGTGCAATCTCTGCTCATTGTAACTTCCGCCTCCCAGGTTCAAGCAATTCTCCTGCTTCAGCCCTGCGAGTAGCTTGGATTACAGGTGAACGCCACCACGCCAGACTAATTTTTGTATTTTTAATAGAGATGGGGTTTCACCATGTTGGCCAGGCTGATCCCGAACCCCTGACCTCAAGTGATCCACCCATTTTGGCCCCCCAAAGTGATGGGATCACAGGCGTGAGCCACTGCGCCCAGCCCTAATGCCTGTTTGCCTGTTTTCTTTTCACATTGGATAATAGTTTTGTCTCCCTGTTTCAGCAAATTCTGAGAATATAAAGCTTCACCGTTTTATTCACTCCATCGTTGTCTGTCTCGGGCTTCTTAGGTCATGAACTAATTTAATAATTATGCCAACTATGGTGATTCCTTAGTGAACCCACATTAGTTCCCAGCTCTCTTCACTTCCTTTTGGGAGGTTCATTAACCATCTGATTCTTCATCTTTTCTAGAGTTGTACAGATAACTTACATGTTTTTCAGTTTGAAGTCTTTTAGAACTTGTATTTTTCACCCTGGTAAAAACAAAATTTGAGGAAACATTTCCCACCTTAATTTTTTGATATTAATTTTATTTATCAAAATTTAACTGATTACTGTCAGTGTTTCTACAATTAAACATGCAAATTCCTTCCAAAATGACAATTAATTTGGGATTGGAACTCATATTCACTTAAAATGACTGTATTTTGAGCATTGTGTCAGAAAGCATCTGGAACATTTATCAAACCATTTCCTATTCCTGGGCACAATAGAGGACCATTTCCCAGCCTCTCTTGCAGTTATGTGATTGCATCATGTGAACCATGTGACTGTGTTTTAAATGCCAGTAATTGGTGAGACATTATGTGTGTCGGGGGGGTGGGGTGGGGGAGGGGAGGTTGAGAGAGAGAGAGAAAGAGAGAAATATAATATATAATTCTGGGCATACAATCTTTGTGCAATTCTCCACTCTTCCCTTTCATAGTGAACTTGGCCACCTTGTGGTTAACACACCAGCAATACAACATAGAGCTGGTAAAGCTGTGTCTACTGCCAAGGAGTCTCAGGCCCACTTTAATGGAAGCCTTTATTTTTACTCCAGCACAGATTGGTCTATCCTCATTTATGCAAAGATTATTCTCCTTTTCAATATTTGCCTTTTCCTTTTTATTTTGAAAACATTCTTTGTTACGGAAAAAAGATAAATGTAAATATGCTTTCTCTTATCAGTTAACTTTACAGCACCTCCCCTAGGCAACGAGTTTATTCCATCTTTGTTCCACTTAATCATTCATTTGATTTATTTATTCATTTAGTTAGTCAACAAATATTAGCACCTTTTGTAAGGCAGGAACAGGTCTAGGTGCTTGATGAATAAGCCTAAGAACGGAAGTAGAATAGGAGTTTAAGGTGAAAGAGGGATACTTGCAATCTTAAATCAGTGGTCAGAAAAGGCTTCACCGGGAAGGTGACCCTGAAACATGAATGAAGTTATAGGCCTTGTATTTTCTGTAGAATATTTTCAAAGTCTCACCATCTTTGATGCCTCAATGTTTCTTACCTTATTTATGTGTATATTTATATTTATTCTTCTTTAAATGCCCCTTCTACTTCTTTATGACTATCAGTATAAAATATGTATTGCAAAGCAGGCATTGAGCTAATTGCTTTATAATGCTATTCAATCTAATCATCAAAAACTTGAGATAGGTAATTTTGTTATTCCCACTTATAGATGAAGACATAGATGATTCAAGTGCTTAAGTTACTTACTCAAAGTCAAAAGACTTGGGGAGAAGAGAGAATTTCAACCCCAAACTCAAAAGATTAAACCACCACAGGACTTAACTATATTCTACATATACTAACTTGTTTGTAAATAGCATGCACAAATCTGAAAATCTTAATTAAAATTTCATTTTAGTTTGTTTGGATAAAACTCCAATTCTTCCTTAATGAGAATATTTTAAATTGTAGAATCAAAGTTTTATTTTTTGATCAACTGATACTTCTTAAACTTTTTTCCTTTCAAGGTTTTTCAGGAGGAAGGATTATGACAATTTTTGTCAACCTATTTTGTAAAGTCTAAGACATGTTTCTATCTTCTTTGCTATTATGAATTTCACAATGATGTAGCCATTTTCCCCTAAGGACCCAATACTATACAGGTAAGTGTTATGAACCACTCCTCAATGACCCTGGTTATGACCAGTTAGTACGAGAATAGATAAATTAGTAGCCTCATGAAAATGAAAGACTATAATTGTGTGTGTACTTGTGAAGGCTTACCAGAATTATGATCAGAAAATATGATAGGCTACTTTTAATTTCAAAATGTAATAATCAGAAAACAAGAGGAGATTTAACAAACAACAGCTGCTCTGGAGCTATGTCTCAGGTGTTCAGGATGAGTTCTTGCATCTTATAAGAATCCTGTCTGAAAGAATCTGATGAAAAGGAGCTGGAGAAGATGGTCACCACTTTGTATTATAAATTAATTCACAAAAGCATATTATGTAAAGAACACAAAGATAAGGAAGCAGACTTTTTTAAAAGATAAAGATTTTAGTTCCAGAAAAGCTGTCTTCAATTCCTCAGATGCAACTATCTTTACATTCCAGTAATGAACAATAACTTTTGAACAAATGTGAAATACACAGAGTATTGAGACCTACATTCCAGTCAGTATGCAGTGTCATGCAAAGTTTTTAAGATTTTCCTGTAATTTAAATGACTCCATCTGTTAATGAATTATCATTTCACTTTACTTTTCCCACTTGAATACAGTAACCTTCATTGTTTCCTCTGCCTTTTGAAAATTTAAAGTATAAGCAAAATGAATCAAGTTGTAGCATGTACTCTCCTGTTAGTAGGGTCGTTGTTCTTGAATGCCGCTGGTACATTCAGTCCCTTTATTAATTAGTAGATGATGATTAAGAAACAGTGTTTTTTTCTTTAAAAAATATAAAAAGGTCAGAAAAGTTCAGAAATCATTTTTGATTTTTGGTTGGATAGAGGTGTGTGTAGAAATTCCCAGAGTTTCACAGAGAGTATCATAGTGAGTATACGTATGTGGAACAAGGCAGACCAGCCAGACTAGAAGGCGGACACACATTTACTGCTAAGAACTTGGTGTGGGATGATGTATGACTTCTACACTTGTTAACATCTGTGCAGAATGCTTCTGTTCCCTGATAGCATGCACCTGTGCCACACCTTTGAGAGTAAAGAATCCAACAACACAGATACCGTGTTTTAATTGTGCAGCAGGGCTGGTTTATTATTTTAAGGATCAAGGGATAAGTGAGACATTGTTTAGAAGTTGAAATTTTACAAAGATGAGCCCCTTAACCCAAATAGATTTGTTTTGAATTGTGCTCTGAGGGGAAATAAAGTATTCATCCTAAGAATGGTTGTGTGTGGTTATGTATGTGTGTGTGTGTGTGTGTGTGTATGTGTATTTTTAATTTTTTTCTAGATTTATTCACACACACTTATGTATTACTAAATTTAAAGATAAATGCTCAACTTTTAATACCACCCTACTTAAATATGTACAGCTCACTTGCAGAGTTGCATTTTCCTATGACCACGTATCAAGGTTTTACTTATGAAAGAAGTGGAGAATGAAATGTATTATTAAAAATGCCACTTCAGTACCCATGTGCAAATTTTTTAAGAAAAAAGAGGCAATAGCATATATGTATTCTTCATTTACCTATCCCATACCTATCTCCAAATAAAGGGATCTAGAAATAACAGAAAATGTACAAAACCCACAGAACACATTGAGAAAATGTTTCCAATAGTGAGCAAACTAGAGGGATTAACCAGGGAGCTTTACTTGTAATGTGTAAGTATTTGGATTCATTTGCATATATATGCCTTGCATATAGGAAATTTTCAAATGTTTATTGAATGACCGTATCAGGAGCCCTTAATACTCAAGACCATTGCTTGGTATAGGTAACACAGTGCCAATCCTGATAAAATTGTCCCCAATCCTGATAGAGTTGTTCCTGAAAATTGGTGGCCCAACTTACCATTGTGGTTCTGTACAGTACTAGGTAGCAGCTCTCCAGGTCCTTTTTTATGGGGTATATTATTTCTGATCCCCAGCTTAAATATAACCTACTCTATGAAATTTTGTCCATGTTCTACATCTTTCACAAGCAGAATGTATTCTTCCCAACACCCTGGTCTTCCTATTACACTTTAATTATTCTATTGTAGAGCATTTATCCTAATTTATTGTGGTTAATTGTTATTCCTTTAAGTCCTTTCCTTTATAATTTTTCTATAGCCAACCTTAACACAGGGATAAGTATATATGGTAAAGACTCCACAAATGTTTGTTTAACTTAATTACCAAAAGGCCAAAGACCACTAGTTAGGGAAGAAATGTGTTCTATAAACTGTTCTGGTTCACTGTTAAATAGTACGATTGGTCCTTGGCTATGTTTTGATAAAGGATATGACACTTAGGAAGCCTATCATTCTTAGCGGATAGAAATTCCCAGAGAGTATCATAGAGAACAATGGAGAATTCCTTGAAATGTGTCTGCTGGTTGTAGAACATTCTTCTAAGAAGTGTCAGAGTCACTGTTATGCTCCCGGTGCTTTTCTGAGGGTTTTCTTTTGCATAGGTCACTCTGAGCAAAGTGACCTAAGTGAACCTAGAATCAGCATCTGCCTAAAAAGGCACCTGTGCGAGACTGGCCAGTATCCCATAAGTCCTGTATACCTCATCTCCATGTGGGTTCTCGTCTTTTTTTCAAAGACCTATTTATCTCTTTCACAAAGTGTTTTCTGGTACATAGTTTTCCCAAAGGATGTCAATATTTGCTACTTAAAGAAATGTTTTATTATCAAATAAAGTTGGAGAATGAAAGGGAAAATAAAGCAAATCAAATCAAAACAAAACAGAACAAAACACATGTAGGATTTCTGTGTTAGGATTTGTCAGAGCTTTTCATATACAAATGAACACTTAATGTCAGGGAAATACTATATAATGTTTTCCAAAAATTAATAAATTATGGAAACTATTCTAAAAATATTTTTTATAATGGGACACAGGATACTGATATTTTGAGGAATACACTTTAGTAATGATGAATCAATACCATAGAATTTTCCCTATTCCTAGGTACCCCCATCAAACGGTTCTCTTATTCACACATACAACTCTTCTTGCACGATTCAGGTGCTGGGATGAGCTCAGGAAATTTTCCTTAACTGGTGCTGATGGTATGTCATATCAGTATTCTTTCTTGAATTAAATTTTTAATAAATATAGTGGTTCAAAGATAATTGCTGCTTGCACAAATAAAAATTTTAGGCTAATGTATGAGCTCCAAATCTATTAGAATTTCAAATAATCTTGCATACTACTATGTGTTCTCCTTAGAAATTTAGAAAAATGAAGTGAAAATTAGCAAATGTACACCAATAGTATGCTTATGCTAAAGTATGAAAAATAATTTTGGCTAAACGCTCAGCTTCCATCTAACTTTCTAACACATAGGAAAAGTTAAAGAGAATGAGTGGTCTGTGAACAGGGATACATTTCACTTATTATCAAATCAATTGTGTGATTCTATTTGCATTTACTGCATGCAGTTCTAATCTAATGCTTTTGGTTAGAAATAATTTGTATTCTTACAATTCCAGAATTGTTTAAAATTGCTGTTTGCCATACTCTGGTGTTAATGCCATAACAATACAAAAAAAGGTTGATAGAATTGAAAAACTAGAACATAATACATTGCTAGAGATTTATTAAGCAAAACACATATTGACAAGATTGAGCCCAAACCCATACTTTAGACTTTGCGCAGATGTAAAAGCTTGAAAATGACAGTCAACAACATTTACTGAGAATTAGCAATTGAGTTTGTTTCTTGCTAGCAAAAAACTGGTTTGTCCCTTTAAAATGAGGTATAGTCTCTATTTATTTGCTTAAGGTTATATTATAAAGAAATAAAAATATTATTCAATGTTAATTTTTAGAATTTATCATAAAACACAAATTTAATGTGTCAGGTTTGGGATGCATAAAAATATTAATATGTTTCAATCCCCAAGTTAATGGAATTAACCTTGAAATTTATATATTAATATCCAACAGTATGAATTGTTCTATTTCCTCAGGCTTGCTAGACACATAATATATTACATTTTAGTCATTTTTCAGTTTCAAAACACTGATTTCTTTAAAAGAAATTTGCTTACAAGTTATGATTGTTGGCATCTTGGTATCTGTATTGGTGAGCTTGAAACATCTCAGCTGTCAAAGAGTAGAAGGAAGAGCTTCTCATAACCACAGCTGGAATGGATCTGCTTCTATAAAA
This sequence comes from Homo sapiens, assembly GCF_000001405.40. Classification (NCBI taxonomy): domain Eukaryota; kingdom Metazoa; phylum Chordata; class Mammalia; order Primates; family Hominidae; genus Homo; species Homo sapiens. The sequence goes on along the minus strand of NC_000012.12, from coordinate 78,636,675 downwards.
ATGGGAAGTAGCAGCTGCAGGGAACATAAATTGTGCAATTGATTTGATTTTGCAAAGCAAACACATTCTTCGTGTTATGATTTAGCTTGCTAATTAGGCCTTGCATAATCAAAAGAACTTTAGAAGGAAGTAATTCTGAATCATGCTCAACTTCTACACCTTCTGAGATCTCCTTATAACGTTTTTCACATTTCCAAGGGGAGATAATCTCCAACTGAATGCCTCAGACAACAAAAGAATGGGTGGCAAATAATGTCCTATTGAATGATTGCGTCAGACTCCCATTACAACTGAATAAAGGGAGATGTCAAGAAGAAAAATATCAATGGATCTACGACACCTGGGTCTCAAGATATAGGCAAACCAATAACATGTTTTTCTGATTTTGAGTCAGGTGTCAGCAAACTTGTACTGTAAAGGGTCATGATAAATATTGTAGGTTTTGTGGTGCTATCTGCTCCATGATGCAATTAATCAATTTGGGCTTTCAGCAGTGAAGCAGCCATGAACAATATATAAACTAATCAGTGTGGCTGTGTTCCAATAAAATTGTACTTCTACATACAGCTGGTGGGTCAGATTTTCCATCCCTCGGTTTAATTCTCAGAAATGAGAATTGGTGATAACATATGCAATAATAGTAAATGTGACTTTATGTTGCTAAACTAACACTGTATTATATGTATTTAAAATCAGATAGATCTATATTTGGGGATAATTTCCATAGTGGTATGTATTTATGTGGAAATGCATGTATATACGTATCTACGTATATACACAGGTATGTATGTTTACATACATATATATCTACTATACATATGCGTGTGTAGGGAAAGAGAGAGAAAATATATACAACGCATATTTTATAAAGTATGTGGGGAATAAGAGGAGAAAATAGGAAAGTATTGTGGAACAAGCCAAACATTGACTAAGAGTGTCAATGGAATAAGCACTATTATATTGGCAAATTCATTAATTGTATTTATAATTTTGTTTTTCATTTTAACCAAACTCACAAAGCATTTATTGAAATTAACACACCTGGCCAAGCACAGGACTTGAATCAAGCAGCATCAATGCTTTAATAAAAGCAAATTAAAAAACTCAAGATGTAGAAGCAGTAGCCGTATCAGCAACCATTCTTCTAGGGATTCTTTTAGGGAAGGGACATATACAATCCTTCCCCAAGAACTTTGATGCTACCCCTCTGAAGAGTTTAAGCACAAAACAGAGTGCTTGTATCATATAAGCAAGGACCTTTACAGAGGAAAACTGTCATATAAATGCATTTTTTTTTTGCTTTTAAAGGATACTGCAGTAGAAATATATTAAGCAAGGCCTCAAATATCCAACATTTTCCCATATTGCATTTTAAACCAAAGTTATAAGAACCTGCAGTCTTTATAAAGAACTCTCTTCACAGCACAGCTGTAGTTCACTTTAAATAAAAAATGTTCCCTTTGTGCTATATCCTTAGAAGTGAACATAATATACAGATAAATGTGAAGTTTAGATTCTGCATCAAGCCTTATTCAATCTCACCTTCTGATATAAACCTGGATACAGTCAAATTTGCAAAGCATTCACTTAATATTTTAGTTGAAGCAACCTTAAAATATATATGGATTGTCAGTGAAGGAGACCTTTGTGAGTTTCAGTGTATTTATAATTTATATGTAGGCATTTTATCAATTTCTGTACCTATATTTGTTAGGTATTTATTAAGCTGATAAATCTTTTGGTTCTAATAGATAAAAGATGTAAATCATTCTTGCCTTTCAGAAGCCCGTATTTATATAACTATGACTTTTATGCATTCATCTCCATAACTAGGATAATTATAAAATAAACAAATTAATGTCTCACATTAGTGGTATAGACAAATAATGTCACTGAAATTGGGAAGGGAGATAATTGTGAGATGTGGTAGTACTGAAAAGCCCTTATAGAGCACAGGCTTTGAAATATAAATAGCATAGATTAAATTTATATTAGAGAAGGGGAATATTATTTTAGGTGGTGCAGAACACTGAGAACAGGAAATGTGTACAAAATTTCAAGTGGGGCTAATGTGGGAGATAATAATTTTGAAAAGTAGATTGGAGTCTAATTAGAAAAAGAACTTTGAATATCAGATAACAAAATTTCAACTTGATTCTATATCCAATGCAGAAGCAATTTTTGACCAAAGATGAAACAAGATGAAACCTATAAAATTACTTTAGCAGAGACTTTTAAATGATGGAGCCAGAGGTGTAGAAGGCAGAAACCAATTTGGTATGAGGGAGTCTGAGCTCAGTTAAGATTGATTCAAGTAGTGTAATGACAATACCAGCGGAAATTTAAAAAAAAATGTGCCCCTGGGTCTAATGAAACTATAACATCTGGCATTTTATTTACTTTACACGAATTTACTACAATGATCCAGGGAATACTCTACGCATTGGCATTTTACTTGCATTTATGTTTCACCTTACCAAGAAAAAAAAAAACCTTGCAAAATGATTGAGACACTTACCTGAAATGTCTAGCATAACACAATAGGTGATGAAGGAAAATCAACTCTAAAATAACAAACACAGTTTGGAATCAAACAAATTAGAAAAATGATGAGATAAGTATATTTTTAAATGATTATTTAAAGATGGACTTATCAGAGCCTTTAAGATGCTATTGTGTGTAGTGAATCTCCACACCCTGAGTGCTTCTGGCTCGGAGACTGTATTATTTCCTTTGTCTAAGATGTTCTTTGCTTAGGCTCATTTCCTGACCTCGTTCATTTCATTCAGGACTTAAATGTAATCTTATTGTACAAACATCTCATAATTCCTTTGAATGTTGTACTTCAAATAAATGGTTTTATCATCTCATAAGAGTCATACACTACAGATAACTTCTTCCCTACTACAATTTTAGTGGCACCTCAAAAATGCTTGTTTAAGGTTTGTTTCTTCCAGTTTTTTGTAATAATCAATCATACACCTATGTAACAACATTTAGTACCTTTTTAGTGCCAAATTCCTCGGTTTAGCCTATATACATCTTATTCTTACTTTCATGGTTTGTAGTTGCTTGTATTTTCTATATACATATTTTCCAAGGAAATTATATCACATCTCCTAAGTTCCTGAAGCAACCAAGTTTTGTTTCTTGCTTATATCACTGAATATACTTACAACCATTAATTAAATGGAAGCAGGATGTGCTATACATACATTCTGTAATTCACCTAATGACAGTGAATGATTTAACAGGACTCCACTAATTCTGTTTTTTTTTTTTTTGGACCTTTAAAAATTTCTCTAAAAAGCCAAACTGCTTGCAGAGCTGTGAGTCCAAATGTATTCTTGATACCAAATGCTCTTTGAAACTTATGAAAATAATTGAAAGATAGTGATGGTGCTCTTTAGTTTTTACTGTATGGCAAACATCACATTTCTCTTTCACACTATTTGCTCAAGAAGCATAGTGATTCTGGAACAATATAGGAATAAGAAGGTCAAAATAGAAATATGTAGACTAAACATTCATGTAGTGCGGTAGTTACTCCAGAAGATATTCAGCCAGGGTTTTTCTGGAGATGAAAAAAGATAATGGTATACTGGTAGGTCTTATAACACTAATGAAAAGAAGATTAAAACATTTAGCAGATCTTTTCTCTTTCTTTTGTATCTATTATTCCAAAAATTTTCAGACAAGGGGAAATATATAAATATGGTGAATGCATTAGCCAGTTTATAGAGTTGAAGGTCTCTGTGTAATACTCTCTTATTTATACTTTATTCCACAGAAGAAAGCACCAACCTAACTTTTTATGTGTAATTCTTTGGCACTTTATTTATATCCCTAAACAATAATGTTTTTACTTAATATCATTTGTGAAATTCATCAATGATTATAGGTCATTTAGTTGCACTCCTATATGGTATTTTATTATGTAAATATGGTATATTTTTCTTTTTTGAAGCAGGGTCTCGCTCTGTCACCCAGGAGGGAGTGCTGTGGTACAATCATGGCTCATTGCAGTCTAATCTTCCTGAGCTCAAGCAATCCTCCTCCATCATTTTTTTATTTTTTCGTAGAGACAAGGTCTCACTATGTTGCCCAAGTCTCAAGCCCCTGGGCTCAAGCAATCCTCTCACCTAGGCCTCCTAAAGTGCTGGGATACAGGTGTGAGCCATTATTCCCAGCCAAATATGGTATAATTTATAATGACTATTATAAAATTACAACTATGCATCTCACCTTGTTCAAGAGTCTCTCCAAACTACAAACCTAAAAGTGTGATTTCATAGGCCATATGCACTTTTTATTTACCAGAGAGTGTACAGTCAATTTTCTCTCTAAGGAGGATATACCAAATATATTCCTGTCAGCAATGTAATTTTAATGTATCCATGCTTTTGAATGATGAAACTTTTTTTCAACAAATCCAGTATAAAACTATACATTACTGTGGTTTTAACTTGGATCTTCTTTGTTATTAGTGAAATTAATCTTTTCATATTTTTGGGTTTGGGGGCAGTGTCTTTCACTTTTTTGCTCAAATTCCACTGCATTTTTATATTTTTCTTATTAATTTGGAGATAGTGTTTATAAAGTCTATGCACTAAATCTTTGTCCATTACATTGAACATCATCCAATGTACCTGGAATGTAAAATTCAATGTAGGATCTGTTGCAACATTTTTTTTTCTCTGTCTGCCTTGTTATTGTCACATTTTATAAATAGAAATTTTTAATCCTTGTGCAGCAAAATGTACCTATCTTTCTTTCGTGGTTACTGGTTCTTGTATCTTAAGAAATCCTTTCCTAACAAAAGCCATTGTACAATTTTTCTGTAAATTTTGTTTTTATTAATATTTTAATCAATCTGTAATTTTGATACATGTGTGTCGGTGTGTATGTGTGTAGTGCAAGGTAAGAAGCTCGTCTATTATATTTTCTTTTTCCTTTTGAGCAACATTTACTCATGTCTTTTTTTCTTGATCATTGTCAAAATTCATTTATTATGGTAGTCTTTATAAAAAAATAAAGTTATGGTTTTATTTCTAATATCTGCTTTTATCTTCATTTTTCCAGTTCTTCCATTTTATTTGGATTTATTTCATAGCTCACTGCAGTCTTTAATCTTAGGGTCAAGGGCTCCTCCCACATCAGCCTCCTGCACACCAAAGGCTACAGGTGTATCACCATGCAGCCAATTTCTTAAATTTTTAAAATTTTTGTAGAGACAGGGTCTCACTATGTTGCCCAGTTTGGTCTCCACCTTATGACCTCAAGTTATCCTCCCACCTTGGCTTCCCAAAGTGCTGGGATTATGGGTGTGCGCCCCCAAACTTGGGCTGTTTCTAAGTGCTTTGGCTTAATGTTTATCTCACAATTTTATTCAATGCAAGTGGTTAAGGTGTGTGTTTTCTTTCACTTTAGTTATTTTTCAGAGTTTTGCTATATATAATTGTATAGTTCAAAATATTTCCTGTCATAAGACTTATTCTTTAGAGTGTGTTTTTAAATTTCCAGTTGTTCTTTTTAAATTGCTTGTATTATTTTCTAAATTATTATATTCTTCTTAGAGAGTGTTCTGCATTGTTCCAAGTGTACTTGAGAGGAATACGTGTTCATAATTGTTAGGTAAAGTTCCTTTTTTTTTTTTTTTGCTTTGCTTTTTTATGTTCTATGTAATTTCTTCATTTTGATTTTCCAGTTCACTAATTTCATCTTCAGCTGGGTCGCACACATTTTATGTATTCATTACATTTTAATTTCCAAAATTATAGATTTTATTACTACAAATTCTCTTTTGTTCTTTTCAGATCCATCTGCTTATGTTTATAGTTTCTTCTTTTTTATGTCTATATTTAATTTATGTTTAATATTTTTTCTGATGTTCCCAATTATATGATATTTTTGCAGGTTTAATTACACTATCTGATGTTTCTGATGACTCCTTTCATAGTGGGCTGTTTCTTTATGTTCTCTGTAATTTTGGGTTGTGAATCCATGTTTCATGGGACTTTGTGTAAATTCTTTGAGACCTGGCATGTAGGTATATCCCTTGAGAAAAGATTTCCTTTAACTTCTGCCACATCTCTGGGGGCTACTAAATTGTAACCACTATAATTTATTTATTTTTCTAATTTTATGTACTTAGTAGGTAATATAAATGCAAACTTCAAGCTTGCAGAAGAGTAGTACTATGGGTTTTAATTCAGATAATTTTTTTTTCATGTTGCAGATTACACAGACTTTTTCCTTGTCAGCTTATTTAAGGCAATAAATAGATTTGTTTCTCAATCCTCCATTGCACTGTGACTCTGGTCTTTCAAGAGCCCCAGGGACCTCAGTGCTTTATTCTCCTTGCATAGGTGCAGTGCTTTTTTTTTGTTTAGTTTTTGTTTTTATTTTGACTCTGAGTGAACTTTAGAGGCCAAGGTTCTAGATTTCTGAGATTTGTAATGACCCATGGGGCAGATGCAGGTTCAGTTCAAAATGACCACTCTGGTTTCCTGACTCTTCTTTGATTTTGCCCCCTGGGCATTTTTTCTCTTATTTTCCTATGAACTCAACTGTGTATCTGAAAGATTGTTATATTTCTAAATAGTTTATAAAGGAAAAATATTTTTTAGAAGAGTAACCTGCCATAATACTGGTGGAAAAACACCTCTCTTTTAAAAATTCTCTCAATCTGGGCTTTAGACCTAACATTTATTTATGAGAATAAAATAAAAACATTTTTACTGTAATACAAATTTTTTTCTTTGTGGTATCTACAACTTTTAATTTTGTATTGAATAATTTTATCAATAATTTATTTTTTATGTAATACAAATGTTAATAACAACAATACAATAATAGCAAATCTACCATGCTTCCAAGCTGATAGGTTCCTCCCTTTGAACAAACAAATAAACAAATAATTTATTAATTCATTATGTTTTCTTTATTATCTATTTTGATCTCTCTAGAATCAAGGATAAGTTACCAGAATATTATAAATTTACTTTCTTAGGAAATAATCTTCCTCTCCAATAATTTGCTTATATGCTCTGTTAATGATTGATTTTCTAATTGCATTTGTCTGCTTGATGTACTTCTGAGATGATTTTACTCTTACATCCACCAAGTTGTATAGTAAATCTACCTTAAGTAACATCTTCAATATTAGTTAATCAAATGCCTAATTGGATTCTGTACCTAACACCTAATAAACTAATAAAAGTAAGATTGGCAATGTTGCAAATGATAAGAATTAAACTGGTTTCATTTGCTTATTTTTTTAAAGACCACTAGTATAACTATTTTTTATTTCCTTGATTTTAGACAGTCTAGCCAATGTGACAAAGAGGTGGAAGTAAAAACTTCCCATCTTCAGGCATGAAAAAATTTTACTGGACAGAGTGACCCTTTTCAGCCCTTAACCTACTTAACAAATCATAAAGATGCTTGGAGTATTATATTTGACTATCAATTATTCTACCAGTATATTTCATGTAAGAAATCTAAAAGTATGTTGATTTAGAGGTATAGCGTTAATTCAAATGGACATCTATTTTAGTGGTAGAGGGAAAAATATCAAGTTGAGTTAGTAGAAAAAAGTCATACAAATGAAATCAAAGGAAACAATACAGGTCAACCAAAATATTATAAGGAAAGGGCAAAGTAAATTACCCCAAAATTATCTATTACTATTGAAATAATAGAACAAACAAATCATCAGTTAGCCAAGTAATGTTAAGGTTGTAGTTAATGCTAAAGTAAGCAGCTACAACTTTTAGTTGACTCAGCAATTGGGCTCCTCACTATTTCAAATATATTATAAGAAGAATACACACATAAAACTGAGGAATATGATTGCTTCTACCGCTTAGGGCAAGCATTGCCAAATGGTGGCTCATGAGAAAAATCTAGCCTACTGCTTGTTTTTGTAAATAAAGGCTTTTTGAAACACAGCCACTCTCATTCATTTATGTATTGTCTATTGAAGCTTTCACATTACAGTGGCTGAATTGGATAGTTGTGACAGAGACCACCTGGCATGCAAAGTGTAAAATATTTACTATTTAGTCCTTTGCAGAAAATGTTTGCCAACTTCTGGCTTAGGGAAAGCCTGTGCAAGAGTTTGGGAAGATTTTTACTTTTAGGTGAAGACAAGTTATTTATAAAATAGTTTAATTATACTGATTTGATAAAAAATGATTTGATGGCTACTAACACTTTTTGAATTTATTGTTGATAATAAACATTTAGTCTTGTGTTCTCCACATTAACATTATTGTCATGGGGGAAGTCTGTCCTCAAAAAGCGGGGAGTTATGAGGGGTAGTTATGTTATTTGGCTCTAATGTCATAAGCTGGCTTCAAGTTCTGTTAGGCTGGACAATATTTAAACTGACACATATGGAAAACTTTTGCATCTTCTTCAGGAAATTCCCCTTTGCTGGGGCCATCTCATCTGCATTTCTTTTGATGCAAACGATATCCCATCAGCTCATTTTTTAGTGTTTTGTAGTATAGTCAGTAGATCTCTACAATGCTGAGTTTCACATCTTCCTTTTTGTACAGGATCAAATACAACCCATGCCACTGTGCTCATTCATATGGCTACAATTGGTCTATTCATTATTTTCCACAACATAATGGCAGCAGCAACTTCTACTTCACCTCTGCCATCATTTAAGGCATCTCTAGCTTTTGAGATTTTCCAAATGAGATTCAGGAGACAAATGTTTCTTGAGTTAATTCTTTCTTCCTAGAAGAAAGCCATTCTTTCTTCCTAGGCTTTTGGTGAGAGGCTAATGGCCCTACCCTTTTTTCTTCAGGGAGTAGGGCTCACAGCACAGTTCACAAGAAAGACATCCTCTTTCCAAAATAACCTCCTTACCCTCAATCACTTTATACCCTTGGTGTATGTGAGGAGTTTAATAGTATTCTACTAGTTCTTGAAAAATATTTTTGAAAGTTATACATAATAATCTATCTCAATAAGTCTGGTAGCTGATATCTATCAAATTGTGGTGGCTCTGACAAAAATGGATGAGGCTCATTTAAACATACCATTTCATTGACTTAACTATGTGGCACAGCAAGTGTCAATCAAGAGCTTCAATTTATCCCCATGGCTGCCGCTGATTAGTTAGGATGTACCTCTGACCTGGCTATGTTCTTCTTTGAAAAGTACCTATGATATAGTTTTATCTTGAGGATTTAGTGAGATAACATATGTGAAAACTTCTTCTGTAGTGCTCAGTAAAGAGAACAGATTTTAAAAATACACACTTCCTTCCCTAATTCACATAATGATCTATACAGCATTTTATCAGAAGTCGCAAATTCACAACTTGTAGTCTGAATTCTCTGTGTAATTATACCTAGCTGTAGCATAGACTTGAAATTCAGTTTTTAGAAGGTCTTAACATTCCAGGTCACCCATTTCTACCAACATGCCTCATACATTTTCTTTATCTGTCTAACCCAGATAGACATTTACACTTGAAAATTGTGTCCTATAAAATAAGATTCAAAATTCCTTTTCTCTCTTTTCTCTAATAAAATCACCATAGCATCGGACTTAAATACATAGCTTGGGTCCCTGAAATGCTACAGTGACAACCTGCTCCTGGCTCCTCGTGGCCTCATTTCTTAACTCCATCTTTTACTCTGCTCTGGCCACATTGGCCCCTGCTATTATGTGAACACAAAAAGGCAGCACGACTTCAGGATTTTTCAATTGCTAGTCCTTCTCAATAGAACACATTTGCCCCAGATATCTGCCTAGTTTGACCCAACACTACTTTAAGTTCTTGCTGAAACAGAAGCATTGCATCCATGGAGAGGCTTCTCTGACCACACTATTTAGTATAATTCTTGCTGCTATGCTCTCTCTCAATAAGCTGCTTTATTTTTCTTTATACTAGTTATTATGACTTTGACTTATGTTCACTTATTTATTTATTATTGCCTATGGTCCCCAGTAGAACATAGTTCTAGAAAAACCAGCTCTTATGGCCAGCACCTGGAACAGTTCATGGTACCTTCTAAGCACTCAATGTATATTTGTTCATAAACCATAATTAGGAACACAGTAGTAAATACTATAGAACCAGTTAGGGTATATGGTGACTATAATGGTGTGGCAGTGGTGGAGGGGCTTTAATTTATGAGTCTGTATTTAAGTAATATAAATTCAAAAGATGAGTCCTGGACATAGTTACCTCCTTAAATTTTAATGAGGCTTAAAGTAAGGAAAAGTAGAAAACTTTTAACTTCTGTTATACTTCATTGTATATGTCAACTTGGTAGAGCCATAGATTTTGGTCAAACATTGTTCTGGATGTTTCTATGAGACTGTTTTTTGGGTGAGATTGGTAAACTTTAAATACAGCAGATTGTCCTCCACAATACGGGAACTCTAGTCCGCCCTGCAGATTTTAGACGTGCCAGTCACCATAATTACGTGAGCCAATACCTAAATCTCTCTCTCTCTCATATATATGGGTGTGTGTATATATATGTATTATATATTATATAATATATAATACGTATTATATAATATATTATATATAATACGTATTATATATAATACGTATTATATAATATATATATAATACATATTATATATATTATATAATATATAATACATAATATATATTATATAATATATAATATATATATATATATATATTATATATATGACAGAAGCTAGGAAGAGGCATCAAAAGCACACACACACAGAACCTATATATATATATATGTATATACACACACATATATACACACATATATAGATTCACACACACACACATATATATGTTCTCTCTATATATATATGTTCTATATATATGTCATATATACGTTTTATATGTGTGTGTGTGTGTGTATATATATATATATGTATATACGTTCTATTTCTCTGGAAAACTCTAATACAGCTTCCAAAACGAAGCCATCAATTTAAATACCCAGCACTAACATTTAAGCCAAAAATGTCATATATTTATGCTCTGTAGCTAATATGAAATTTAACTACATTGGAAGACAGCCTGCAGATGATGAAAGAAATACAGGAGGAAAAAAATCAAACTATGTTGGTAGAAATAAGTCTATCCATCCATACAAAGAAGTCTATATATTGAAACTTGAATTTTTTAATGTAAGATTCTTCTCATTTTAAAATAATTTATTTCTCAATAACATAATAATAGTAGAAGCTCTGATGTTGTGTTATATCATAGGAATCTGATCTTGAGCTGGCCTAGAGAGTCAGCCATGCAGAACAAGAGAAAAGAGAGAGGGTAAGACCTTTTCCATTGAAGAAACTTAGCCTTGGTCTTCCAGCTACAACATCAGCATGAATCCAGGTAATGAATAAGATTTAAAAGGTCTCAGAAACGTTGGGAAACAAGGTAGCTGAATCTGAGGAGTGGATGTTGGATTAATTTATCCCCCTGTTTGTATTCTCAGAGGAGGTGGAGATGGAAATATGCAGAAATAGACATCTGCCACGGAGGCCTAGGCCCTGCTTACCACTTTTCACTCCATGAAGGCTGGCAGTGGCCACTGCAAAAGGGGAAGCTGCACATGGGGTGACCCAATGAGTGTTTTCAATTCTCATTGATTAAACAGTTTTTCCTCTCTTGAGCATGAGCTGGGAAAAGGAAAGGTACCCCTCTCCACAGACCGTAAATGGGTAAGAACACACAGAGAAAAATGCAGTTAAGTATTAAAACATGGAAATTCCTCATTTTCACAAGAAATAAGAAGGAAAAAAGACATTAAGTTGTCTGCAAGGTAAGAGACATCCAGGAATATTGTGACTTGGAGCAAGAAAGAATTTCATGATGAAGCAGTTAATAGTCCAGAATGTTGCTAAAATGTTTAGAATAATGGGAAAAAGCAGGTCAGGGAGGGTCATTACTTTTATTTAATTTTGGAGACCAACAGGTAAATTCTAAATAACTCTGTAACATGCAATGCCTATCATACTATTTATTTAGAGGATTCAAATTTTTGAAATAAACTTTCATTCAGCATACCTGCCTGTGACAGGAAAAAAAAAATGATTGTGCTAACATGGAGTTAAGGGTGAAGTTTATAAGAACCACATTGATAGTCTAACTTCCTATAAGATTTTTTCATTACTTTATATTAATGAGATTCTCAGTCTTGTTTCCTCCTTTGGGGAAATTCCTTGTGATTATCCCTAGTTTAATCACACATGCTTTGAAATGAGGCTGCTTCCTTCAGAAAGCCTTACCTGACCCTCTTCTGGATGCACAGTACTTTGGTCTTGATTGAAATCAAATAGAATTTAAGTATTCCCCCCCAAATTGGAATCATTTGTTGCCCATTTCTGGACTCAGAATTTAGCAATACTCCAATGCATAGTCAAGTAATAAGCATTTATTGAACAATTAAAAGGAGGCATGATTATCAAGTCATTGGATAATCATGACAAAAAAAATACTGCTGTTGTTATGTTTTTGAGGTAGGAGACAGGTGGGACTCGACCATATTGAAGACTGGCAGAAGCTAGGAAGAGGCACCAAAAGCACTGACCATAATACAGGCCCACCAACACCATGACAGTTTACTATTGTCATTGGCAACTCCCAGAAGTTATTCTCATTTTCTAGCTAATTCTGAATACCATGCATCTTAATTAGTAAACCATTAAAAGTGGATATAGTGACAGAACTTGTCCCTGGGGTGCTATTCTCAGCACACTATCTGTGGGATAGTCCTGCTCTGCAGGAGCAGTCAGGGAGCTGTAACCCTGCTACTGCCTCAATAAAATTGCTTTTTTCTACCCCTTGCTAGTTTTTGAATTCCTACTTCAGTGAAGCCAAGAACGTGCTCTGCATTATTTTGACTTTGGTTTTGGACAACAAACTTATAGAAACAAAATTCTATAAAACAAAATGGTGCAGAATGTATACTTAAAAATCATGCAACCAAAGTATGATTTGAATAGAGGAATACAATTTCAAAGCTAATTTTAAAGAATTCAAAGGGCATAAGATAAAGGTATATGTGGGAGTGCATACCTTTGGGCATAAGGAGCACATTCAAGGCTGGAGAATAAGGAGCAGAATCTTAAAGTTAGCTTGTATAAAAAAAAATTATGCAGAGAAAAGCAAGCCAATCTATTTCAAGAGACTTAAGAAGGCCTGTTTGCTGGTGTAGCTGAGGCAAAGATCAGCTGGAGGAGGACTTCTGGGCAAGCCAGGCTCAAGAGTTTGGATTTAATATGGTAGACACCAGGGCGCTCTCCCGAAGGGCCCTTGAGTAGGAATGGCTTGATGAAAATGGTGCTTGAGAAAGATTATTCCTGCAGTAGGGGGTCAACAGCCTAATACTATCAAGGGGAACATTTACACCTAACACATACACTAAAACATTACATTTTGCCACCCTAAAAGGCCTCCGTGATTACAAAAGACTGCTTTTGAAAAGCCCTGTGCTTTTTGTGGCATATTTCATTCAAGCTCTTGGCCAAGGGATTTCTTGTTCCTTTCTTTTCACTTATCATTGTACTTTAATGAATGCCCTGCCACTGGCAAAGATGGGAATCCCAACCATTTGTTTTCTGCTGCCTGTGGCAGATTGATCAGAACAGTTGCATTTTAAGCTACTTCTCTGTGTTTGCTTGACAGTGACTTCAGCTGTGACAGGGGCATTAACCTTAGGGGTGAGGAAACATTTCTTACTTCATGCTCTCTCAGTTCAGAGCTTCTCCTCAGCAGGAAGAAAGCAAGTCACGCACATTATTTGAAGCAATTTTGTGATTTATCCACTGGGTACTGACCTACAATCAAATGAACTCTGCTTAAAACCTCTGAATGGATTTTTAACTGCTGCTGTGGGATGAGGGGAAACACGTTCATGTAGCCACCTTCTCAAAAGCAAACTTCTCTAGAAAAATTCTCCCTAAACCCAAAGAGCACAGTGCATCTTTAACCTCAAATTGTTTTGCATCCGGTTTCAAAAATAGAGCAAAATCTCATCTTCTTTCTTAAAAACATGTGCCAGTTTCATAAGCACCAAATACATTGGTATTTGAATTCATTGCTCTCTAAATTCATGTTACATATTTAAACACTATTATAATTTTATAAGTAGAGACTAGAGATTAAGCATGTCAAGTTGTATTCCATGACTTCCCGATCAATTCTTACTAGAGAATTTAAACTGTAGATGTTTTAAGAAATTCACACCTTGATTATTGATTAGGTTGTTGGATTATGAATTAACCTATATGGTTTTGCTTCATTGACAACTTGTTTGGTTGAGAACGCGTGAATCAAATTGATGAAGTTAATGATGAATAAAAGTTTTACTAATCAATTTTAATATATTATTATTAATGTCATCTTTCTCTGCTCTCCAAAGCAATGGTTTACTACTTTATGAGATTTTACCTTCTGAGATTCTAACATTCATGTCAATTTCATTTTCTCCTCTACCAACAAACAAAAAAATGAATTAAAAATTGTATTTTTAAATTAAAAAATTATTGCTGTTTTGAGGATGGAGATCTCTGAGGGTGTCATATTACAGGGTGGAACATCAGGGCCAATGGAAATGGCATAGCTACTTTACAGCAAGATGTTTCTGGGCACTGTGTCAGATGCTGTCAGTTTCAGAGGGTACTGAGTGGAGTGGGGCCTGGCACCCGGAGGATGAAGAGGGAAGTAGCTAGGACAGTAAAAAGTGACAACCATGTAATCTAGAATGGAATTGCTTTTCGACATTGTCAGAGGTAAATTTTAAATCATCCAAGAGACTGGCTAAAGGAGTGGATAAATGAGGACTTAAGAGCGGAGACTGTATATAGAAGGAATACCTCACTCTTAATGCCAAAAGAAATATTTCAGGTCCAGGTTGTGGCAACAGCTATATAAACTGGAACACGATCTTGGAAGTAATAATAACAGCTACCAATTATTTAGTGCTTATCATCCACTGGATATTAATCTAATTGTTTCACTGGGGACATAACTGAATGATCACAACCAATTTGTGGGGTTAATATTTTATTAGCATCAGTCTCTTAAAATAAGGAAACTGAGATACAGAGAAATTAAGAAACTAGCTGTAAGATCACAGAAGTCTTAAGGGGTGGAGACAGAACATGAAATCAAATATAAAAATAGCATGTAAACAATACAAAGAATTATACAAATTTGTGGGTTTGTGTGTGTTTATGCATGTGTGTGTATATATATATATATATATATATACACACACACACATACACTTATGCACAGATATATATATATAAACAGAATAATGTTTGCAGTTTATTGGCAAGAAAAAAAAATGAGAAATTGGCCAGACATGGTGGCTCACACCTGTAATCCCAGCACTTTGGGAGGCCGAGGCTGGCCGATCACCTGAGGTCAGGAGTTCAAGACCAGCCTACCAACAAGGAGAAACGCCATCTCTACTAAAAATACAAAATTAGCCCGGCGTGGTGGTGCATGCCTGTAATCCCAGCTACTTGGGAGGTTGAGGCAGGAGAATTGCTTGAACCTTGGAGGTGGAGGCTGCGGTGAGCCGAGATTGTGCCATTGCACTCCAGCCTCATCAACAACAGGGAAACTCTGTCTCAAAAAAAAAAAAGAGAGAAATTTATGTACAGTATGATGCCATTTAAGTTCCATATATTTAAATATATATAAAAATATATATTATTGTTAGAAAGCAGCAACAGCTTCCCCCCTCCCCTCCCCTCCCCTCCCCTCCCTCCCCTCCCCTCCCCTTCCCTTCCCTTCCCTTTCTTGATGGAAGAGATGGGAGACATGACAGCTTGTTATTTTGCTGCTGGGAATGATCTCCAGGCAAGAAAGATTATGGAGACCACTGTTCTACCTTCTGCTTCTGTGATATCAACTCTTTTTTATTTTTTCAAGATTTCACATGTAAGTGAGATCATGCAGTATTTGTCTTTCTGTGTCTGGTATTTGTTTTTCGATTAACATAATGACCTCTGGGTCCATCCATGTTGCTGCAAGTGGCAGGATCCATTCTTTTTTATGGCTGCATAGTATTCCACTGTGTATATATACCACATTTGCTTTATCTATTCCATCCATTACTGGACATTTGGGTTGATCCCACATCTTGCAGGAAGGGGGAAAGGGATGATGGGAGGATGTTTGCCAATGGATACAAAGTGATGATTAGATAGGAGGAATAAGTTCTGGGGTTCTAATGCACAGTAGGGTGCTGATGATTGATGGTAAGCTATATGTTATAAAATAGTTAGAAGACAGGCTTTTGAATGTTCTCACTATGAAGAAATAAGTGCATGAGGTGATGGATATGCTATCTACCCTGATTTGATTATTATGATTATTATGCAACATATATGTATCAAAACATCAGATTGTATCCCATAAATATGTGCAATTACAGTGTGTCAATTAAAAAATGGAAAGTAGCAACAATCTTACCTGAATTATTTTCTGCTATTGAGCAGAAAGAGGAACTTGTAAGCAATGAACCTGGATATCTAGCTGAAGAGATTTCCTGGAAAACTGTTGAAGATGAGCCCTGGTTTCTTCTTGCTGCTTATGGTATACATGAGAGAAAACTGATACATTGAAAAAGGAACTATTAAGCAAAAAAGAACCAGAACTTGATGATTTGGGAGATTCTCAGACTATCCATATAATGTGCTCTGGAAACAGGGCCAAGGTGTAGAGGCATACACTTTTGCCAGAGAGAGGTAAATGTGTGACTCATAGATTCAATCAACCACCTAAGCAGAAATATTGTCAGCTCAGACTAAAACGTGATGAAATGAAGGCTGTTGAACTTCTGGGATTATATAAGTGTGACAGAAGCCAATAGAACTGCTCTGCTGATAAAATGTGTTGTCCTTCAAGAAAAGGAAGGAGTCACTCTAAGGGTGGCTTTGAGGCCAGCAGGGCTGCCACTAATATTATAGGACCAGAGGGCACAGGTACAGGGTGCTGGGCCACCTCTTCAGTTAGAGTGAGTGGAGCCACTGCCCAGGGCCCAAAGGAAGGGACTATCTCTTAAAACTCTTGAAAAACAGACATAAAATTTGAATAGTGGTAACGCTAAAGAAGACATTTGAATGGGAAATACAAACATAGAAATATGCTCAAATTATTAGTCTTTAAAGAAATGCAAACCACAATAAGATACCCCTGCAAACTTACTAGCATGGCTAAAAGTAAAAAGATGGACCATACCAAAAGTTGGTGAGGATGTGGATTGCCATAGACTAAATGTTTGTGTTCCCCGCAACATTCATCTGTTAAAACCTAACCCCTAATGTTATGATATTTGGAGGTAAGGAATTTGGAAGGTAATTGAATCATGAAAGTGAAGCCCTTATGAATGAATTAGCATCCTTATAAAAGAGACTGCAGAGAAGTCTCTCCCTGCTTCCACTATGTGAGTACACAGTGAAAAGATGGCTGTATATGAATTAGGAAATAGAAGCTCACTAAATATCAAATCTGCTAATTCCTTAATTTTGGACTCCTCAGGCTCCAGAACTGTGAGAAGTAAATTTCTGTTGTTTATAAGCCACCCAGTTTACGGTATTTTAATTAGCTAGAATGGACTAAGACATAGATAAACAGGAAAATCATA
Organism: Homo sapiens; assembly: GCF_000001405.40. Taxonomy (NCBI): domain Eukaryota; kingdom Metazoa; phylum Chordata; class Mammalia; order Primates; family Hominidae; genus Homo; species Homo sapiens. The sequence continues at coordinate 78,619,045 of NC_000012.12, read as the reverse complement.
CGCTGGTAGTGAGTATATAAAATGGTACAACCACTTTGGAATAGAATTTGGTGAATTTCATTTAAAAAGTTATACATAATATTCACCATACAATCCAGTCCTTCCACTCCTAGTTATTTGTCCAAGAGAAATAAAAGCATAAATCCATATAAGAACCTGTACAGGAATGTTATTAGCAGCTTTATTTATAATAGTCCCAAACTGAGAGTAATGCAGATGTCCCTAAACAAGTCAATGAATCAATAAAATATAGTACATCCATATATAGGAATACTACTCAACAGTAAAAAATAATAAACTGTGATGCATGATACAACATAGATTAATCTCAGAATAATTATGCTCAGTGAAAGGGGATAAAAAGTGCACAACTATATAATTCCGTTAATATCAAACCATATAAAATGCAAGCTAGAGTAACAGGAAGCAGATAAGTGGTTGCCTGGGGATAAGCCAGAGTGATGGAAAGGATTATAAATGGGCAAGAGAAAACTTTTGAGGGTTATGGATTTGTTCATTTCCTAGATAGTGGTGATGGTCTCACAGGTACACATATATAATCAACATTTATCAATCTGTACATTTTAAATATGTATGATATATTGTATGCCAGTTACACCTTAGGAAAGCTGCTAACAAAAAATATAAGCATCATTTTTCTGCCTTATTAAATTTTTTTTCAAATATCACTTTAATTCATGCATAAGTATTGCCATGTGGCTAAACCATAATTTATATAACCATTTCCCCATCACACTCCATTTTATTTAATATTTTTGTTAATGTGATCTAACAACAAAATATACAAAGCAAGTTGCTTTTTGTGTTTAGAGAATCTAGCAGTTGTTTTACAACAGATGAAGCAAAAAATAGCGATATATATTTTCGTAGAATGCCTTCTTCTTTCCTCATAATTAAAAAAAACTTTGTTAATGCTTATTAAAAGTCAATCATAATGAGACAGATATTTGAGAAATATTTGCCAAGTAGTTAAGTGTGGTGGAAATTGCTAGCACAAAGTTAGGTCTGTTATAGTCTCCTTGGTATACTTTTAGACTATATTTCTCAATATTCTGAATGTTTTAGGTGAGCCCACTTGATTAGGTTTTGCAATGAATGAATTGTAAATAAAAGTAACATATGCCACTTTCAGGCATGATCCACAAACATCTCCCAATGTGATAATCCATGCACTTTCTCTTTCCCATTTTTTTCTTTTCTTTCTTTTCTTTTCTTCTTTTCTCCTCCCTCCCTCCCCCCTTCGCTCCCTCCCCCCTTCCCTCCCTCCCTCCCTCGCCCTTCCCCCTTCTTTCTTTTTTCTTTTCTTTTTTCTTCTTTCTTTTCTTTCTTCCTCTCTTTTATTTCTTTCTCTCTCTCTATTTTTTTTTTTTTTTGGACAGGATCTCTCTGTCACCCAGTCTGGAGTGCAGTAGTGCAATCATGGCTCACTGTAACCTCAACCTCTTGGGCTTAAGCAATCCTCCACCTCAGTGTCCCAAGTAGCTGGGACTACAGGCTCATGCCACCATGCCTACCTAACTTTTTAATTTTTTTGTAGAGACAGGGCCTTGCCATGTTGCCCAAGCTGGTCTCGAATTAGTGGACTCAAGTGATCATCCTGTCTCTGCCTCCCAAAGTGCTGAGATTACAGGCATGCACCCAGCCTCTTTCCTGGTTTGTTACTTGCATATAAAGTACCTTCTGGAAGACTCCAAGGCCTTGGAAGATGCTGTAGCCATAGATGCAATGAGTCCAGATCCCTAAATGACTGTATGAAGCATAGTCTTCACTCTCCCCACTAATCCATACAGTCTATGACATAAATTACAATTTTACTGTATTAAGTCATTAAGATTTCAGGATTTTTAAAAAAATAAACCGTGCACAACTCATAGCGTGAAAAACAGCAGTGCAAGACCTGTTGGGAAGGGGGAATTTGTTTTGAAGTTCAGACGGGATGGATCAAAACCTGTTTGTCCAAGAGAGGTAACTGCCTATTTCTTCTCGTTCTCAAATGGAGAAACTGAACTCCGAATGCTTCCAAAATCCCTCAGTAAGGAACGACGTGCGCAAAAGACACTAATTCACACAGTCTATGACATTTAAAACATTATAACTTTATTGTATTGTTAAGATTTTAGGATGGTTTGTTATAGTAGTTAGCACATGATAATTAAATAAATACCTCTTCATTATGTGTATTAAATGTTAAATGGGTTTGTGATCATGTTGGAAAACAAATGAGATTGGCTATAAAGAGAATTTTAAAGTAATCTAAGACAAATGAAGTTAATTTTGATTTTACTTTTTAAATTCATTTTAGAGATTTACTGCTTCCTCTTATTTCAGTGATGTTGAAAGATGGGCGAGGGACATGAATGGTGAATAGAAAGATAAAGGTGGTCTGAGTAAATTCAATCAGAAACAAAACTGATTTTACAGATATTAGGGATCAATAGTTTTAAAAATTACTTGTAAACCTAGGATAAACACAAGTGACAGAATTGTCAAGATTATATAAACAAGAGATTAGTTATAAGTTATTTAAGTGCTTGTTTTTTACAATCTAATTTTAAAAGGTTTTGTTTGTCTTTAATCAGTCAGCCTGGAATTTATTTTATTTTTATTGCTCCCAGAAAATTCTAATTTCAAGTAACTTCTACAAAGTTCTGTAACTTCTCTTTCAAAGGACTGTGACATTTTCAAATGTACATTTGTCACTTTTGTATTCCTAGTAACTTGCTTGTTATTTCTCACTTTTCACAGGAATACACATTTTAAATGTTGAATCCTTACTATTTGTAGTTTATTTTTCCTAGTTAACCTTACGTAACACTCCAATGCCCACATCAAGGCAATGAATTACCATGAAAGGCTGTCTGTCATACATGCCTCTAAGGTGGCAGAGCCAGATCATTTAGGCCTTTTAATTTCCTGATACTCAGACATGCTACACAGAGAAGCATGAGATGTGATCTAGGATTTTTCCAGATAATTTCACTCTAGAAATCAGTTCAGGCATTCACAGCAATAACTGTGGTATCTTAGAATACTAACTCTGCAGTTAAGAGTAAATTAGAGGCTTACTCTGCCATTTACTTGCACATAAACTTGGGGCAAGTTACTTTCCTAGGCCTCTTTATTTCTTATCTATACAATTTTGATACTCACAAAATTTACACACATATAGATCATGAAAATTAAATAGGGCAATAGATTTGGATTTTTAAATGAAAACTATCACATAAACATAAAATATGTAGATGCACTACTGGATTTTCAAAGGAGGTCCCTTTTGCCCCTTTGCAGGCATGGAAGAAGTTCTCTAGAAATTCCCTTCTGTCTGGTGGCCAAGGATCTTCTGGATCAGAGGTACTTGGTTAGGGTGTGAATTATTTAGACAGAACCAGTTTGAGCTTCAAGAATCACCATTGGGAACTGAGTCAAAACTAGCATGGTTTTTGGTAGAATCTGGTCCACAGATGTGTTTTATTTAATGTGCATAATTTAGAAATATATCTTAAATAACATTGAATTTGGAATAGTAGCATGAAATTTACTACTGTTGCTTAGAATGCCAGTTGTATCAAATGTAGCCAACTCTGCATATTCTTAGAGTCACCACAACTGCACTACACTGTTTAACTGCAATCAGTCCAGATCTTCTAATGAATGTGTCTGTTTTAGCAGAACAAGGGATGGAGACTGAAGGAAAAAGATAGTCTGGCATATTTTCCATGCAGAAAATACTTGCTCATTTCTTCAGATTTCATAGAGGAAATAGTATCTATAATATTTTAAATAAAAGTTATGCTTAGATACTTGAATCATTATTGTCAAAGTAGTAATGAGCAAAGAAGCTGCGGTTGGGCTGCTTTATATATTTGCTTGTATATTTGTAAAAGCACTATGTTGATACTTACTATTTGAAAGACAATGTGGCGATAGGTACCAAAAATTGAGATGGCTATACTCTTTGGCTAAAATGAATGAGTCTTACAAGATTATTGACACCTTTGCAAAATAATATCTGTGCAAGAATGTGCAATGTATCACTATTGTTAAACATGAAAGAACGATCGTATACTACTTATATGCTCATTTGTATGCAGTCCTTCTTTTTTCCACAAATGGTCTTTATTTTTCAATCCAATATTTCTAACAAAACTGTAGGTAGACAGAGCAAATAGGATCCACTAGAGGAAAGATAAGTGGATTTTCAGAAACACCATGGCCAGACCACTTCCCACCACCCTGCTTTCCCCAATTCCACCCCACACCATCTGTCCCCCACAAAAAACTGGGCCCGGTTTCCCTAGCAACTGGTTCCAGCTCAGCTTAATAGCTGCTCTGAACACCCCTTTCATGCTCCAGACCAAAAGTCTTCATAGGTTTTGTCTATGTGTCTGAGGGAGGATCACACTTGAGGTTGGGACATATTCACCACCTCTTAAGCCTTAGATGAGAAAAAAAAAATTTAGATGAGGTCAGACACCTCCTTCAAGAAGGAGCAAGGGCTCAAGCACGAACCTGCAAAATCCTCCCCTAGCCAAACTGATATACCAACTTCTAGTTTTCATCCTCTCTACTTTCCTATTTTGATCATTCTACTGTTCCTACTCTCTGAAAAGATGCCTTATTTGCTTATATGCATTTATAAATTCTATCTACCTTGAATTCAGTTCAAAGTCTACCTCCCATCAAATTTTCCCGAATATTCTATTTCACGTATTATTTTTTCCTTGAAAATACTGTTGCTTTTGGTAATATCTTTTATACCACACTTTTAACTTTTTACAGAGTATTTTAATTATTTACATACAAACCGTAGTTTTCTATTCTACTCTATGCCATTTTATGATGATTCACATCTCATTTTACAGACAACTTCTTGCATGCATTTTATATATTTTTAAGGTAAATGAATGAGGCTGGGTGAGATGGCTCACGCCTGTAATCCCAACACTTTGGGAGGCTGAGACAGGCGGATCACCTGAGGTCAGGAGTTTGAGACCAGCCCAACCAACACAGTGAAACCCCTTCTGTACTGAAAATACAAAATTAGCCTAGCATGGTGGTGCACGCCTGTAATCCCAGCTACTCGGGAGGCTGAGGCAGGAAAATGGCTTCGACCCAGGAGGCAGAGGTTGCAGTGAGCTGAGATCATGCCACTGCACTACAGCCTGGGCAACGAGAGTGAAACTCCAACTCAAAACAATAAAAACAAAATAAAGTAAATGAATGAATATAACTTCCATTAGAAAATAAATTGTATTTAAACATATTTCTTGAAAGAAAATAACTAATCATCTTCCTCTCTGTTTGTTTATTTTCTGTTTTATTTCCTTCCCACATAGGAATTTTGTATATGCTTACTGGTTGAAATTTTCCTATCATCACTTCCTAATAACCTCAATTAAAATTATAATCAAAATCAAGATATTTTTAATCCAAATGTTTGATAAATGGACTTTTGATCAGATAATATAATGATAATAACCATTGATTAAATTAGAATATAAAAAGCATCTTCAAATACGGGCATTGATAGCATTGGTCATTTCTTTCTCAGATCCCTCTCATCAGGTATAAAAAATTTTAATGAAGAGACAGATTTCATAAAACTCTACTCCATATTTCTCAGGTCAGATATAAAAAACTTTCTTTTTTAATACTTTGCTTAATGTACAGCCAGTGAAAAAAACATATTTCGCTACTATTTCACAAACCTGAAAAGATTGCGTTCCACAAGTAGTTTTGCTAAACTAGAAGACTTGCTTTCATAAAGCAGCCTAAGTTTAAATTCTGATCCACCTTGCTGGTTCTAATTGATGAAACAAATATATTCCCAGTAGAAAGCTTCAGCCTCATGTCTCTTTCTGATCACCTCTATATACCAGGCGCCTTCAGATAATTATTTTTGTGCCTACTTCTTAGCATAACTGCTGCCATGTGTCCTGTTTGGTGCAAGAGATTCCAAGAATCCACGTTGTTTAGCTGTAGCAGGTGACTTCATAACATTCTCCTGAACCTCTGAGATGGAAGCAGGTCACAATGAAAAAGAGATTTATTATTTGAGTGACACTCCTCCAACACCTGAGGATTTGAGGTCACCAAGCAGGCTTTGGGCAATTGTTTGGAAGGAAACAATATCTTCATCACCAAAAGGGAAATGAGGCAGAAAGATAAAGAGTTTTTCTTGAGATTAAATCAAGCGTCATGATTAATAGCTTGGGAGGCAGTCAAAACTGGAATCAGGTTCTGCATTCGTTGGACTACAAGAATATTCTCTAGAAACTTCCATTGCTTAAATGGCAAAATGGAAATAATCAGGTCACGTAAACTAAGATATGACCATTAAATGTGATAATCATATAAAATCCCATTGCTAACAAATTACTCTAAATTTGTTAGGGTTATGATTAGAATTGAAGTGAACATTGGTCGAGGAAAGCTGACTTTACTTCTGAAATCTAAGAGTGGGTATGGTTTGTCTAAAAGTAATTCCCATCAAGTAATCCAATGCTGCTTAATGACGCACAAAAGGAGGTTTGTTGGGTGTTTGTAGGAGTGATATTTCTCATACTTAAGAGAGAGGTTCAGAAAGCCCCTCTTTTTACACCTCTGATGTGATCATGCAAGCATGTCACCTTGTTTGCTACTGGCAGCCATTTTACCACAATGAAGAATCATTTGGGGAACCTGACTCAGGAGGAAGCCAAGGTCAGAGCATGTAGATAGAAAACACATTGTTCTTGTCGCCATCACTAAGCCTCTGATAAACCTTTCTACAATGGAGCTTTTAGAAATGTGAGTCAATACAATTTTTCATTGTTTAAGCTAGTTTGTTGTTGTTGTTGTTGTTGTTGTTGTTGAGACAGAGTTTTGCTCTTGTTGCCAGGCTGGAGTGCAATGGTGGGATCTCTGCTCACTGCAACCTCTGCCTCCCAGGTTCAAGCGATTCTCCTGCCTCAGCCTCTCAAGTAGCTGGGATTACAGACATGAGCCACCACATGCAGCTAATTTTGTATTTTTAGTAGATGTGGGGTTTCACTATGTTGGCCAGGCTGGTCTTGAACTCCTGACCTCAGGTGATCCACCTGCCACGGCCTAAAGAGCTGGGATTACAGGTGTGAGCCACCAAACTCAGCCAAGCTACTTTGATTTTGGTTTTCTATTCATTGCAGCTAGAAAAATTCTGACTCATATATGCTGCATAGGGCATGGAGAATTACATTTTTATGCAAATATAAAAATAATTCAATGACCTTTTAAAACCTTTTGACCTTTTAAATTCATTTCCAATTCAAAGCCAGGGTAAGGGAGTTTCCCTTGAAACTTTCAGGCTAGTCTCCCTTGACTGTTGTATTGTAGTAAGGAGAGAACCTGAAGGGACAAGGCAATTGCATGCCACTTCATGAACAAATATACTTAGCAATCTCTGTTCAACCCCCTAATCATTTACTATCCATATAGATTTTCAGAAGCCATTTGAGCACTCCTGATATTTGTAACACATAACTTTCCTGAAAACTGCCCTCTACATGATGTTTCCTGACATTTTTCACACACAAAAAACAAAAATAGATGGCATTTCATCACTCTTCCAATATTACCTCATCACTCCCATATCTCTGGTTATCATTTATGCTGATGATTTGCGAATTTATTTCTAGCCATGTCCTTCTTTGAATCCCAAAGTTGTACATTTGGCTGCCTCTTGGAATCTTTACTTGTAATTTGGCAACTTAAATCTACTATCTAAAAGTGGATACCATTTTTTTTCCTCCAAAACTGTCTTTTCTCTTATCTTCTTCTTAGTGAATGCTATTGTTATTTATCCAGTCTCCCAAGTTACTCTATATTCCTCCCTGTCACCAGCCACCAATGATGACCAAGTACTGTTGATTATATCAGCTTATCACCTACCATGGTAATCTTCTTTCCTGCATTTCCACGGCTTCTATGTAAGTCAAGCTTCCATCATTTTTGACTTATCTACCAAAATAGACTTCTAATTTGTCATACTACCTCCAGTCTTTTTCTCTTTCACTTATCATCCACACCATTGCTACAGCAATATTTTCATTTCTTAAACTAGTTTTCATACCATTTTCTGCAACCTGTTGGTTATTGAAAACTATATAAATAATTACATGGTTTTTATGATCTGTCTCTGGTTACCTTTAAAACCTCAGTTCTTACAGGCCCTCAACACTCATCTTTCACATTCTCCTTTCTTGGGCCACAAATCTTTCCAATTAGGGTCAAAAATTGCTATTTAGTCACCTGTCTCCTCCAACTAGACCGAAAGAACTTCTTATTCTTGAATGTGCAGCATCAAGCTGAGTGATGGCCTGGAATAGGTGTTCTATACTTATTTATTAAATTAATAAGTCAGTGAATGGACAACTTCCAAAATTGTTAGAAATTATAGCAAAACCCATACCTAATCTATTATAAGTAGGAAAATTTTGAGTGTTTATACATTGATGAAACAAATTGAGAAACCTTATATTTCTGCCTATTTTTAAATTTTATTATTATACTTTAAGTTTTAGGGTACATGTGCACAATGTGCAGGTTTGTTACATATGTATACATGTGCCATGTTGGTGTGCTGCACCCATTAACTCGTCATTTAGCATTAGATATATCTCCTAATGCTATCCCTCCCCCCTCACCCCACCCCACAACAGTCCCCGGAGTGTGATGATCCCCTTCCTGTGTCCATGTGTTCTCATTGTTCAATTCCCACCTATGAGTGAGAACATGTGGTGTTTGGTTTTTTTGTCCTTGCGATAGTTTGCTGAGAATGATGGCTTCCATTCAGGACATAAGCATGGGCAAGGACTTCATGTCGAAAACACCAAAAGCAATGGCAACAAAGCCAAAATTGACAAGTGGGATCTAATTAAACTGAAGAGCTTCTGCACAGCAGAATAAACTACCATCAGAGTGAACAGGCAACCTACAGAATGGGAGAAAATTTTTGCAACCTACTCATGTGACAAAGGGCTAATATCCAGATTCAACTTCTTCCTGGTTTAGTCTTGGGAGGGTGTATGTGTCTTTTCACATAGTCCCATATTTCTTGGAGGGTTTGTTTGTTTCTTTTTATTCTTTTTTCTCTAAACTTCTCTTCTTGCTTCATTTCATTCATTTGATCTTCCATCACTAATACCCTTTTTTCCAGTTGATCGAATCGGCTACTGAGGCTTGTGCATTCATCACGTAGTTCTCGTGCTGTGGTTTTCAGCTCCATCAGGTCCTTTAAGGACTTCTCTGCATTGGTTATTCTAGTTAGCCATTTGTCTAATTTTTTTTCAAGGTTTTTAACTTCTTTGCCATGGGTTTGAACTTCCTCCTGTAGCTCGGAGTAGTTTGATCGTCTGAAGCCTTCTTCTCTCAACTCGTCAAAGTCATTCTCTGTCCAGCTTTGTTCCATTGCTAGTGAGAAGCTGTGTTCCTTTGGAGGAGGAGAGGCACTCTGATTTTTAGAGTTTCCAGTTTTTCTGCTCTGTTTTTTCCCCATCTTTGTGGTTTTATCTACCTTTGGTCTTTGATGATGGTGACGTACAGATGGGGTTTTGGTGTGGATGTCCTTTCTGTTTGTTAGCTTTCCTTCTAACAGTCATGACCCTCAGCTGCAGGACTGTTGGAATTTGCTGGAGATCTACTCCAGGCCCTGTTTGCTTGGGTATCAGCAGCGGAGGCTGCAGAACAGCGGATATTGATGAGCAGCAATTGTTGCTGCCTGATCGTTCCACTGGAAGTTTTGTCTCAGAGGAGTACCCGGCCGTGTGAGGTGTCAGTCTGCCCCTACTGGGGGGTGCCTCCCAGTTAGGCTACTCGGGGGTCAGGGACCCACTTGAGGAGGCAGTCTGTCTGTTCTCAGATCTCCAGCTGTGTGCTGGGAGAACCACTACTCTCTTCACAGCTGTCAGACAGGGACATTTGAGTCTGCAGAGGATTCTGCTGCCTTTTGTTTGGCTATGCCCTGCCCCCAGAGGTGGAGTCTACTGAGGCAGGCAGGCCTCCTTGAGCTGCGGTGGGCTGCACCCAGTTTGAGCTTCCCCGCTACTTTGTTTACCTACTCAAGCCTCCGCAATGGCGGGTGCCACTTCCCCAGCCTCGCTGCCGCCTTGCAGTTTGATCTCAGACTGCTGTGCTAGCAATGGGTGAGGCTCTGTGGGCGTAGGACCCTCTGAGCCAGGCACAGGATATAATCTCCTTTTGTGCCATTTGCTAAGACCACTGGAAAAGCGCAGTATTAGGATGGGAGTGACCCAATTTTCCAGGTGCTGTCTGTCACCCCTTTCTTTGACTAGGAAAGGGAATTCCCTGACCCCTTGCACTTCCTGGGTGAGGCGATGCTTCACCCTGCTTCGGCTCACACTCAGTGCACTGCACCCACTGTCCTGCACCCACTTTCCAGCACTCCACAGTGAGATGAACCCGGTACCTCAGTTAGAAATGCAGAAATCACCCATCTTCTGCCTCGCTTATGCTGGGAGCTGTAGACTGGAGCTGTTCCTATTTGGCCATCTTGGCTCCACCATCCCAATAAATTATTGTTAACTATAGTCACTCTATTGTGCTATTGAACCCTAGATCTTATTCCTTCTATCTAACTGTATTTTTGTACCCATTAACGAACCCTCTTTATCCTTCTTCATCCCTCCTTTTTACTACCTTTCCAGATTCTGGTAACAGTCATTCTACTCTCTATCTGCATGAGATCAACATTTTTAGATTCCAAATATTAATGTGATCATGTGATATTTGTCTTTGCATGCCTGTCTTATTTCACTTAACATAATGGCCTTCAATTCCATCCATGTTGCTGCAAATGATAGAATTTCATACTTTTTGTGGCTGAATAATATTCCACTGTGTTTATGAACCACATTTTATTTATCCATTCATCTACTGATGCACACAGGTTGGTTCTACATCTTGGCTATGTGAATAGTGCTGAAATAATCAAGGTATTTCAGGTATCTCACTAATAATTCACTTTCCTTTCTTTTGGATATATATGCAGCAGTGAGATTGCTGGATAATGTGGCAGTTCTATTTTTATATTTTTGAGCAATCTCCATACGTTTTCCATAGTGGCTCTACTAATTTACATTCCCATCAACAGTGTATGAGTGTTGTCCTTTCTCTTCATCCTCACTAGCATTATTTATTACTTGTCTTTTTGATGGAAACCATTTTAACTGGGGTGAGATGATAGCTCATTGTTGTTTTAATGATCATTTATCTGATTATTAGTGACGTTGAGCATTTTTCATATGCCTGTTCACCATTTGTATGTCTTCTTTTGAGAAGTGTTTATTCGGCTACCTTGCCCATTTTAAAATTGAACTGTTTCATTTTTGCTGTTAAGTTGTTTAAGGTCCTTATATATTTTTATTATTAATCTTGTACGATTCTACTCTGTGTCTCCCTGGGGATAACAGCTGGGATAACAGTGATCAAAACAGACAAAACCCCTGGAGTTTGAGGGGCTAATATTTTAATCATACTCAGTATAAGCCCTGCCTCTTTTGTGAACCTTAAGTCCAACACACACACACACACACACACACACACACACACACACACACACATATGAGTGTAGAGACAGCTCTTGGTTATACACACAAGTTTGAGTGTGGAGAGAACTTTTGGTCATATTGACAGGGTCACTTTTAAGCAAAACAAATCAATACATTATCTATATTGATGAAAGTTTATTTTTATATTAATCTCAGCATTAAGCTTGAGTTACTGCTGTTATTCAACTTGAGCAATTAGTTTGTTCAAAAATAATGGTAGTCGCTGTGACTAAGAGAGTTAAAATAATAGTCATCATTTGTCAATTTCTGTAATCCTATCTATAAAATACATTTAAAACAATAGGTTAATGCTTTGTGACATTTATTTCTATTATTAATAGAATATTTTACTATCCTACAGGTGACCTCATTGTGGATAATTGTATGCAGATAACACTATCAAAATATTTGCTGACACATATTAATAGGAAAGTGTGCAAAACATTTGGCTATTTCCTTGTAGTTATTAATTGCTTTTGTAATACAGTAGTTGGTCCTTTAGTCAAAGCTGATTGAGTTAACAATTGAATGTTTGGAATATTGATCCACAGCTGGCTTTCTCTATGTGTTTGAATTTACCGTGGTAACCATGAATTAGTTTTGTGACTATGTTGTGTATTGCTTTAAATTAAACGGATTTGATTAATAATTGAATAGCAGTTATAAAAGCTGTACAGCCAATGTTTCATTATTTTGATTATTTTCTATTATACTCCCATACAGACCCTATAACTTCTCTCCTGCCAGTCGCCATCAACAAACCAATAGGTTATGCCTGGTAAATGTCACATACCTTAATCAAAGCACTAATATAGACAACATTATTAGATTTTAATTGTTTTTAATTTTAAGAGAGTACTTGAGAAACTATAATGTTGAAACCATCACCTGGGTATATTTACATAATGATATTAATCATTTGAGTTCATGGTACTCTCCCAATAATTTTTGTTTTCTTTGAAGGTGTTAAAACATCTATTTTGAAACATCACCTAAATCTATATAACTGTTTTTGAAAAATAGTATAACCACACCGGTTTCGTAAACTAGCAAATGGGAATTTTTAAAATGCTTTTTGCCCCAGTATGTCAGCAATAGAGCAAAGAGAAAAGTGAAACGTTTCTATTGATTTATTTCCAGTTTACCCTTTGTGAATTTCTTTTTTTCTTCAAGGTATTATTAGGATGATCTTCCTGGATAAGAAAATTTATCATTATTTTCCTGTTCTAAAACTTCCAATGACTTGCCATTATCTATGTGAATTCCCTTATTCTTTGATCTGACATTCAGTGCCCTACATAATCTGGCCAATTCTCTGAATTCCATTTTTATTTATTTATTTATTTATTTATTTATTTATTTATTTATTTAGAGATGGAGTCTCACTCTGTTGCCAGGCTGGAGTGCAGTGGTGTGATCTTGGCTCACTGCAACCTCTGCCTCCTGGGTTCAAGCGATTCTCCTGCCTCAGCCTCCCGAGTAGCTGGGATTACAGGCACCCGCCACCACACCCAGCTAATTTTTGTATTTTTAGTAGAGATGGGGTTTCACCATGTTGGCCAGAATGGTCTCAATCTCTTGACCTCATGATCTACCCGCCTCAGCCTCCCAAAGTGCTGGGATTACAGGCGTGAGCCACCGGGCCTGGCCCCATTTATTTTTTAGGTAAATTTAACTCAAGTTCTACCTATAACAAAAACATAAGAAGATATGTATATTAAAAACAAACCAATAACCAAAGTGGAGTATGAATTCAGAAAAACAAGCTGTCTAGTTTCAAACAATATTAGTTGATGTAGGAGATAATAAACTGGGTGTACAGAAGCAAGCTAGCGACCAGCAAACCTTATGAAATATGCCTTTTACAATGGTCTTCAACTGTAGAGTGTCTTTAATATATTGATAGTAAACATTAAGAGGTATTGGACATAATATAGCTCATGAATCTAAAGGAGACATATCTTGTGGTCATTTCATAGCTAAATCTTCTCTGTTTCATGCCGAAAGACCACCTCTGTAAGAAGAGCCAGTCATCTGGCAAATATACATCAATGATCACAAAGGTATCAGGCAAAAACATTTATTTTCTTACAATAAAACCAAGAAAAGTGAGAGCAAATCTTAGCATGCTTTTATTGCTCAAAATGTATCAGAATCATGTTTTTGTTGTTACTCTAGCTGCAATATTTCTGGTGCGTGATTAAAGAATTATACTTAAGAAATCATGAAGTAAACCATGTAAATAAATCATTTAGATTCAATGGGTTTTCCTTGAGACTTCTCTGCATCTTATGGATCAACAATGATTTATGGAACTCTTGTGCCTTGAAAAATGAGAGGATGTCAAATTGTAGGGAGTGTGGGTATTGCAAGAGCTGACTTTAACCTTTTGAAAGAGAAAGTCTATGTTCCTTTCTGTACAGATTACAAATGTACAAGTAATAAATGGAAGTTGTCCATAAGCAACTGTCACCTTAATATTAGAAAGAACTTAACCATTTAGAACAATCTAAAAACGAAATGAGTGATAGTTTACCAAATTACCAAATTTTCTTGAGCTGATTACAGCAGCTCAAACAAAGGGCATTTCTTCTGTGATTAAGTGCTTTTTCTTGAGCTGCTGTGATCTGGATTCATATATTGAGGGAAATATGACCTATTTTTTTCCAATTTTTATTTTAGATTCAGGGGGTACATGCTCAGGTTTGTTACTTGGGTATATTGTGTTATGCTGAGCTTTGAGGCACAAATTATTCCATCATAAAGGTAATGAGCATAGTATACCCAACATTTAGTTTTTCAACCCTTCCTTTCTCTCTCCCTCATCCCTCTAGTAGCCCCCAGTGTCTATTGTTGCCATCTTTATGTTCATGATTGCCCAATATTTAGCTCTCACCTATAAGATAGAACATGTGGTATTTGGTTTTCTGTTCTTGTGTTAATTTGCTTAAGATAATGGTCTCCAGCTGCATCCATGTTGCTGCAAAGGACATTATTTCTTTTTATGGCTGTATAGTATTCCACAATGCAAATGTACATTTTCTTTATTCAATTTGCCATTGATAGGCACTTAGGTTGATTACATGTCTTTGCTATTGTGAATAGTGCTGTGATGAACATGCACGTACATGTGTCTTTTTGGTGGAATGATTTGTTTTCTTTTGGATGTATACCAGGTAATGGTACTGCTGGGTCGAATGGTAGTTCTGTTTGAAGTTCTTTGAGAAATCCACAAACTGCTTTCTACAGTGGTTGAACTAATTTACATTCCCACCAATAGTGTATAAGTGTTCCCTTTTCTCTGTAGCATAGCCACCATTTTTTGTTTTTTGACTTTTTAATAATAGCCATTCTGACTGGTGTGAGATGGTATCTCATTGTGGTTTTGATTTGCATTTCTCTGATGATTGGTGATAGGGAGCATCTTTCATGTTTGTTAGCCAATTGTGTGTCTTCTTTTGAGAAGTGCCTGTTCGTGTTTTTTGCCCCTTTTTCAATAGGGTTATTCATTTTTTGCTTGTTCAGTTACTTGGGTGCCCTATAGATTCTGAATATTAGACCTTTGTTTGATGCATAGTTTGAAAGTATTTTCCCCCATTTCTGTAGGTTCTCTGTTTACTCTCTTGATAGTTTATTTTGCTGTGCACAATCTGTTTAGTTATGTTCCACTTGTCAATTTTTTTTTGTTGTAATTGCTTTTGAGGACTTAGTCATAAATTATTTTCCAAGGCTGATGTCCAGAATGGTGTTTCCTAGGTTTTCTTCTAGGATTCTTATAATTTGAGGTCTGAGGTCTTACATTTAAATCTTTAATCCATATTGAGTTAATTTTTGTATATGGTGAATAGTAAGGGTCCAGTTTCATGATTCTGCCTATGGCTTACCAGTTATCTCAGCACTATTTATTGAATAGGGAGTCCTTTCACCATTGCTTATTTTTGTTGACTTTGTTGGAGATTGCATGGCTGTAAGTGTGAGGCTTCATTTCAGGGTTCCGTATTCTATTCCACTGGTCTATACACTTTTGTACGAGGACCATGCTGTTTTGGTTACTGTAGCCTTCTTGTATAGTTTGAAGCTGGGTAGCATGATGACTCTCACTTTGCTCTTTTTGCTTGGAATTGCTTTGGCTATTTGGGATCTTTTTTGCTTCCATATGGATTTTAGCATTGTTTATTCCAATTCTGTGAAAAATGTCATTGATAGCTTGATAGGAATAATGTTGAAAATGTAGATTGCTTTGGGCATATGGCCATTTTAATGATATTGATTTTTCTAATCCATGAGTATGGAATTTTTTTCCATTTGTTTTTATCATGTATTATTTATTCCAGTAGTATTTTGTAGTTCTCCTTATAGAGATCTTTCACTTCCTTGGTTAGATGTATTCCTAAGTATTTTATTTTTTTGTGTGGCTATTGGAAATAAGATTGCATTCTTGATTTGGCTCTTAGTTTGAATGTTATTGATGTATAGGAATGCTACTGATTTTTGTACATAGATTCTGTATCCTGAAACCTTGCTAAAATCCTTTATCAGCTCTAATAGCCTTTTGGCAGAGTCCTTAGAGTTTTCTAAGTATAGAATCATATCATCAGTGAAGAGATAGTTTGACTTCTTCTTTTCCTTTTTGGATGCATTTTATTTCTTTCTCTTCCCTAATTGCTCTGGCTAGCACTTTCTGTACTATGTTGAATAGGAGTGGTAAGAGTAGGTATCCTTGTCTTGCCCCAGTTCTCAAGGGGGATTCTTCCAGCTTTTGCCCATTCAATATGATGTTTGCTTTGGGTTTGTCATATATGGTTCTTAATATTTTGTGGTAGGTTCCTTCGATGTCTAGTTTCTTTAGGGGTTTTATCATGAAGGGATGTTGGATTTTATCAAAAGGTTTTTCTGCATCTATTGAGGTGATCATATAGATTTGTTTTTAATTCTGCTTATATGGTTAAATAAAATTTATTGATTTGCCTATGTTAAACCGATTTTTCATTCCAGGAATAAAGCCTACTTGATCAGGTGAATTAAGGTTTTGATGTTCTGTTGAATTCAGTTTGCTAGTATTTTGTTAAGGATTTTTTCATCTATGCAAAAGGGGATATTGGTCTGTAGATTTCTTCTTTTATTTTGTCTTTGCTAGGTTTTTGGTATCAGTTTGATGTTGGTCTTGTCAATTTTTGGAAACAGTTTCAGTAGGATTGGTACCAGTTCTTCTTTGTATCTGGTAGAATTTGGCTGTGAATCCACCTGGTCTGGGGCCTTTTTGAAGAGTAGGGTTTGTTTGTTTGTTTGTTTGTTTGTTTGTTTGTTTTGAGACGGAGTCTCACTCTGTCGCACAGGCTGGAATGCAGTGGCTGGATCTTGGCTCACTGCAAGCTCCGCCTCTTGGGTTCATGCTATTCTCCTGTCTCAGCCTTCTGAGTGGCTGGGAATACAGGTGCCTGCCACCACGTCTAGCTAATTTTTTTGTATTTTTAGTAGAGATGGGGTTTCAACATGTAAGCCACGATGGTCTCCATCTCCTGACCTCGTGATCCGCCCGCCCCAGCCTCCCAAGGTGCTGGGATTACAGGCTTGAATAGTAGGGTTTTTTTATTACTGGTTCGATTTTGGAACTCAATATTGGGGAAGGCCTAAATTATTTCTAGGCCTGTTCAATGCATGACAACATATGGTAGACAAGGAAACAGAAAACTGGGAGTTTGAATAGTTGCTCTTGATTTATGATATTTACTAACTGATTAAATTAGGCCAAGTACTTCAACTTTGTGCTGAAAGTTCCTTTATCTCTATTAAATAAGTTACTTCCTTAACAATTAATTAATGGTATTATAATTATACCTGAGAGAGAGAAAAAGGAAATAATTCAATTGTTAAGAAAAACATAAGAAAAAAATGAGAAAAAGTCATTTAAAAGGAGAGTAATTTGGATATAATATTACTTTTACAATGAATTTTTAGTAGAATAGTTTTAATTATAACTGAACTATTTATAGTCAGATGTACTAATATTTTGCATATGTGACAAGCAATGTTATTAAAAATTATTTTAAGCAGCTCATAACTGAGAACTATAAAGACATACATTTCTCTACATTCAGGTTTTAAAATTTCAGAAAGATTTCTCATTGTGATAATATATAGGGTAAATTTATTTGATTTCTACGCATGTATCTATGCAAATCTTAATTGGATTTATGCTCCAGGGTTCTAGTCAAAGATCAATTAAAAAACATTAACCATCTGATCTAAGGCTGTTTTCCAGGGAACACAAAATTAGTCTTTTTGTAAGTTCTTCATTAATGTTTTTTAGAACTACATTTATCTCTATGGATTTATTTAGTCAAAATTTGTGTTATCTCTGCAAAGAACTCAAACCACTTCCATTAGACAATTTAATAATAAAATCATAATTGTTGTTTACAACAACCATTGTGCTTTCTGCATCTTTGTTCAGTGGAGACTAGAGATGTTAAGAATATCAGTGACTCCTCTAAACTCTGGCCATTCTTTAGGACTTGAGGGGGTTCATTCCAGAAATAAACATTATTTGTTACAGTTCATTTCCCTGTTGCTTCTTTAGGGAAGTGAATATAATACTTCAAAGCAAGAAATGAAAGAGCTGAGTGAATAAAAAACAAATTGCTGCATTTTCAAATGTCACAGTAGAACCATATGGCATCTGACCTAGGAAAAATTCTCCACTAGAATGACTCTTCCTGTCCCCATTCCTTCACTGAGAAATGGCCTCCTGCTGCTCTTGCTGGTGCACAGGTAAGAAGTGATTTTGGGCACCTTGAGTGGAATATTTTGCACTGAAAATATACTGAATTTAATTCTACCTTACACATTTAGAACTGCCGAGTGAATCTTTTTATAATAAGGTTGAGGGGAACAATTAAGAGATGAGTGATAGTTGTGTCAATTTTTTGCAAACTACTTTTACAAATTATTTGATTATAATATATAATGTTTTACATATGCAGGAAACATTTCCCAGTAGTTGATAACCATGTTTTAGAGCTTCTTTATTATTTTATTTGACTATGAATTTGAATTTGAATATGAATACACAAATATGAACATTACCAATTCGTATTTGTGTATTATTTGTGCATGTGACTTTATATCTGTTAATATAATTTATTCTCATTGCAATGTTTTTAGTTTAATAGCAGGGCCTCAATACCCCTATTTTTGAGATTAAGAAACTGAGGCACACAGAAATTAAGAAAATTGGTAAAAGTCAAGCAGTCACTTAATGACCAAGCAAGAACAACAACATCAGCATCAACAAGAAAAATACATTGTTCACTTAACATGAATAAAGCACTGGGTGTGATTCTCCATTTCCAGTTTTTATTAAGATGTGGCAATGAGATTTATATATATTAATATATGAGATTTATGTATATTAATATATGACAACACGTTGCAATATATGCAACATATACAAACATGTGAAAAGTATGCAATCATGAAAGGCACTGGTATCAACCAGGTTTGAATTTGTGTAAATGTTTTAATAGTTCAGTGTCAGAGTTTCTCTACTTACAATGCCTGCCAAGGAATTGTGAAGAGAAAAATGAATGTTTAAAAATGGTGAAAAACTTCCTGGAAAACACGTAATATAATATTTTATAACTATATTATTTTTTCTATAAGAGTACCATAAAACCAAATATTTTATAAAAGTATTGCCTTTCATTTTCCCACCTTCAAAGGTAGACTGTACCGTGACGTTATTTGATGTTCAGTGAACTGCGAGCTGTGCTGAAAAGAATGGATCTTGACAGCCTCTTCAACTTCTATTGCCTCCTTTTTTCTGTCAAAAGTACCTACCTATATTAGCTTCTGGGAACCTCTCTTCTTTGCTGTTGTGCTCTGCATTTTATTGATGAATTTGTAATACAGCTTAGACTACTAAGAATTACAAAGATTGATTAGGATTTCTAAAAATGTTCCTCTCATCTCTGGTTGTCTGATGTGATGCTTTGAGGCCAGGAACAAAAGCAGCATGAAGGATGCTAGCAAAGGAGAAAGCAGAGGTGAGAGCCTTGGTGGAAATACACCCTCCCTCGGGACTTTTTATATTAGGGATAATTTAACCCTTTATTTTTTAAGGCAAATTGACTTTAAGTTTCTCTTGATTTCAAATAATAGTTAACAAAATAATATAGCGGATAAGCTAATTTAGAGAGTATTTAGTGGATTAATAGGTAGCTATTAATTTGATTAATTGGTAGCTACAACTTGTATTGATTATTAATTTGCCTCTATAATATACATGACATGAGAATTATATTTGCATTGCATCATAACTTTTAATTTATCTCTTCTGCACTGTAAGTTCCAAGAAGTTAAATAACAGTGTTTGCATTATAGTCAATAACCCTACACCTATTACAGTTTGTGGTAAAAAGTAGGTATTCCCTAACACTTTGTAAGAAGAAAAGAAGAAATAAGAGAGGAAGGAAGAATAGAGGGCAGAGTGGAAATCAGTCCACCATTGTTCCTAACTCAGAGACAGGGAGTAAGTACAGTAATTAAATTATTGTGAATACTTTAAAAATACAATAAAAATTGTACAAACAGCCCAAAGAATATCCATTATGAGTCTTTTAAATGTTAACATGGAATGCATTTTTTAAATAAAAATAAAAGGATTACAGAACGATAATACAAGATAAAAGTTGTTTTGAAATTTTACTCAACCTGAACATGTAAGGCATAAACTCACTCTTTGTCTAATATATAGTAAGTACAAGTTACAAATGCTGCATTCAACATTAAAAGCTGTATCTGTTTTAGGATGACCTTATTAACAATCACTACAAATTTCACAACTGTCAGAACAAGTAGGACTAGATTCTTAAAATTCAGATTCAGTATTTTGAGGTACTCTATTTCAATTTACCTTTTTTCTTTCACAACAACTAAAAACAGTCAATTCTATCATCACTTATCTACAGGTGATCCTTGAAAGAACACTCATCTAAATAACAGGGTAAATATTGCTTTAACTTGATCTACAACAATTCCCTGCAAAGGAAGAGTACTTCAAACACCTAATGGCTTGAACGTGAACACTTCATTAACATATGTTCAAATCTTATTTTCTCAAGTAAGATGAGAACCCTTTGGGAATGTTTTGACACTTGCTATGATAGAAGATTTCAGCCCATTCTTATCAAAACTGCTAAGTCCTTTAACTGTTTTGATGTCTCTAAAGTATGTCCACTGTCAGACATAGTATTAGCTTGAATACATTATGAAATAAAAATGCTAGTTTAATGAATACCTGCGTAAAGGTACGCTTCTTTCAAGATTCTTATAAGGCTTAATATTTTACCCGTTTAAGGGCAATCACAATTATCTTGGCACTTTAAATATACTTTTAATTTTCTATCTCTTACTTGTTTGCAAACAGATGATTCTGATGCATTAAGTGTCTATTTTGATCTTTGTAATAGAAGAAATAGGAAACTTGGTATGTATGTCTGAAATCTGTCACCCTAACATTAGCTATATGTTTTTGATGTATTAAATTTTATATAACTAAGTACCTCTTAAAGAACTGATGGTTATAAGTGATACATTTTGACCAGCAATCCTCCTTTGGCCATCAAGTCTTATTTTGCAGATCAAAGCGGACATGTGTGAGAAGAGGTATGCATGTGACTAGATAAAATGTCTGCTTTATTAAAATGTTACATTCCATAGCGAATAGAGAGGCCGGGAAAAGTTACCACAAGAATAGGGTTAAATCAACACACATTGAGCTTCTGTTCTGGACACACTAAGCTTTGGTTCCTTTAGAACATTACTTAAAACACTAACCTGGAATGTTATTAGCTTTTAAAATACCTGAAGGTTACTATTAGGTTGGTGCAAAAGTCATTGCAGTTTTTGCCATATAAAAGTTTTGAGATATATTAGCACCTAAGAGGGGCATTGATTACATTCTATAGATCAATGCTTTCCAATACAATTTTCTCCAATGATGGAAATATTCTGTATTTTTCAGTACTGTAGCCATTAGTCACATATGGACATTAAGCACCTAAAATGTGACTAGTTTGGCTGAGGAGCTAAATTTTTATTTAATTCCTTAATTAAATTTAAATAGCCACATGTGCCTAGTGGCAACTGGAATGAACAACAAACAGTGTTATAGAAAGTCCCAGTATTTGGAGCCAAATATCATTCCCATTCTCTCTCACCTTCCATCTCTAATTTTTCCTTTCTTGCTTTCTTTTGTTTTTTACACTAAAAATTTTATAGAGTGATTTGATGTGTAGTTAGCACTGTTATCCATTAGAACAGGACACAGTAAATCTAAGTTTTGTTTTTCTGATCAGATCATTTAAAATCTGGTTGGGAGTTAAAAATCATAAACAAACATTCATGCACGTACACACACATATATAGCCACAATATGCTGATATATCTAATAGTTTCATATGTAATTAAATTCAGAGCAAGAGAAGATGCAAACATAGTATCTTGGCATGGTTGAAGTATGGGGTATTAAAATGGTTCTTTTAAGAAATAGGTTTAGAAAAGTATTCCAGGTCCAGATCACAGAAGAGCTCATGAAGAAGTTGACCTTTATCTATTAAACAATAGAAAAAAAATACTCAAGGGTTTGAAATTGAATTGTAACATGTTAGTTTTTGTTTTCAATATTATTCTGGAAGCACTGATTGTCATGGTAATAATATATCATACTTTAGTTGTTTCTACATTGTGTCATAATTATCTACATACATGTCTGCTTCATCAACTATAACCAAAGATTGTTGAGGGAGGAAATTAATTTTATTTATTTTAGTAATTACAGCAGCTAGCACTGTGCCAGGCTCATAGTAAGTATTCATAAACTATTATAAATTCTACCTTGAGTGTATGCATCATATCCAAGACTGTAAATATCTGTCTGGATAATCCCTAAATAGTTTGAAAAAATGCTAAGTATAAAATACTAGCTTTCTTTTCCTTGTGTACAGCAGGATTTAGAATGTGAGTCTCATTTATGGATTAAATATTTTATCCTTTACTTAGCAGTCTTGCATAAATTTTTAAACTTGGGATACAAAAAAAAAGATAGATCATAGCCTAAATTTTACTAATCACACTGGGTAGTCTTCTTAGTAACACTGTCTATTCTTTTCTGTTCCAAATCTCAGGGGCAAGATAATTTGCTCATTTCTTGTGCCTAGACTTTAGGAACTTGAAGCTTCTTTTCAACAAAAAAGAGAACATGGAAATTCACATTCAGTGTATTCTAGACCAAGTAAAGCCAAGGAGGTCAGCAAAAACAGGACGTGTCTACTAAAATCACAGACCTGGTAGCTAAGGAGCAGGAAACCGAGCATAACCAAGCAGAGGTATTCAATATTATTTCTGCCTTTATCATCTAAAGATATTATTCACATGGGCAACATGCTATGTCCAGTAATTGTGCGTATTCTCTCATTTATATGGAAGTTTCTGTGCTAGCTGAAATGGTACCGTCTCCTTTTCCCCAGTGAAGCCAGCTTACCAGTTGGTCTCAGCAAAACAGACATTTTCTGCTTTGGGCTTTCACAGTAAATATAAGATATAATGGGTGCCTGTTCCTCAAACTTTAACCCTTGCATGTATCCAAGATATTTAAGATTTGGTACATACTATCTGATAAAAATGAGATTAGAGTCATGTAACAGGAAGACCAGTAGATCTCTAGCCTGTCATTAGCCACTGGGGCAAAGGTAGGTAAACAACAATACAAGAGAAACATCTTGGTTAGCATAGACCAGCAGAGAAAGGAAGCCTTGAAGAATTCAAATCAGAGATGCCAAGTGAGTCTATTAAAAAACCGAATAGAGGAGTTTTCATGACTAAACAGAGACAAACATCTTTCAGTAGCAGGTGGTACAACGCACAAAACATGTAATCTGAAACTTTTTCCAAATTATTTTTCTTATATTTTTATTATAATGTTTTGGAATTACTTTACTTTTAGAAACTGCATAAAATGTATAAAGGAATAATTTATGACACTTGTCATAAGAGAAATTATAGTACAAAAACTGAGTCGGATATGCAAACCTTAGTCAATGTGAAAATTTAGGTGTTGTAATAGAGTTACATACAGGATTCACTACAGGCAGTAGACAGAGTTGATTACCTAAGTGCCTCTAGGCAAGAAGTATAGCAGGGAGAGCTTCAGAGAGAAAAGAGGGTTTAGTTGTTTGAAGGATGAGTAATGATTTTCCAAGTGATCAAGGAGAGACAGTTTTCAGACAGTTAGAACAAATGGAAGATAGCATAGGGAGTAGAAACCCTGAGAAGCTTCTGGGGAGCTCCACATAGATTCATCTGGATAAGCTGTAAGTTATGATCATAGGGGAAAGAACATGAGCTTTGAAGTAAGACAAGCTCTGACTCAAAGATCTGACCCACCACTAAGTAGCTAGGTGACTTTGAACATGTTAATTAATGTATCGGAGTCTTATGATTTTAAAGGAGAGAATAATAATTATTTTCTAGGGTGTCTGTGAAAACTAAAAGGAAATAGAATCTAAAATATCTCATAGTATCTAGTTGAAGAAGATGCTCAACAAGTGATAGCTATTGTCATTCTTATCACCATGATTATTGTCACCTTCAAATTGAAGAAGTAGATTCATGTAAGTCCTTGCATTCCACACTGACTGCATATGTAGGAGACATTTGAAGACTTAAAGCAGGCTGGATGTGGTGGCTCATGCCTATAATTCCAGTACTTTAGGAGGCCGAGGCAGGTGGACCATTTGAGGTCAGGAGCTTGAGACCAACCTGGCCAACATGGTGAAACCCTGTCTCTACCAAAAATACAAAAATTAGCTGGGCATGGTGGTGCACACATGTAATCCCAGCTACTCGGGAGATTGAGCAGGAGAATAGCTTGAACCGAGGAGGCGGAAGTTGCAGTAAGCCAAGACTGTACCACTGCACTCCAGCCTGGGTGGCAGAGTGAGACTGTCTCAAAAGACAAACAACAGACAAACAAACAAACAAATAACCTTAAAGCAGAGAAAAAGCAAGCTCAAACACATGTATTAGAAAAATCGCTCTGGCAGCACCATGGAAGATGGAGATGATTGAGTTAGGAGAAATAGTGAGAAGACAGTGGCAATACATTTTCAGCCTTGGAAAGCTAAGAGTGCAGAACGAAGGCACTAAGAATTGAGGTAGAGAGATGTGTGTCATGTCTAATTTTCCCCCTTTTCTGTTTTTTCCATGCGAAGCTTAAGTGGTTTATGGAAGGCATCCAATACGAAGTCACAATTAAGGTTGCTGTGGTTACAGTGAGAAAGAAGAAAATACTGTTGATCTTTTCTTCCAAGCCCCATTCTTACAACAGTAATTTTATTACACAGTATTTCAGAATATCATGTTATAGCTAATCTTCTGCCAGGGAAGTTTTCTGTTTGGGGCTTCCAAAGTAAATATAAAATACAATATAATGGATGTCTCTCCCAAAAACTTTACCTTTAAATCTTGATTTAAGATTCAGTACATAATATCTGATAAAAATGAGCTTAGAGTGATGTCGCCATAGATAAGAAACAGTGCGTAAACACATGAATGTGGTTGCTGGGCTTTGCCACTCTTACTCAGACTGCGCTAATACTACACAAATTCTCTCTCATAACCAGTACAGCTTCTTGTCTAAAAGGTTTAGTTTTTACAACTTTTAAGGAAGCTCATTCATATCTTCTTCTAAACCTACTGGAAATTTTAGCTTTGTTTCTTCTAAGCATCGTGTTAACTTTTTGTTAAGAAGTTCCTACTTAATGGGGCACAATGGCTAAAATCAATACCTAATCATACTGTCACCTGACATTGACCTAGCCTGCTTTTTATAGTCTTCGCTCCCAAAATGTTTATATTCTAAAAGCAAGGTAGGCTATTAATAATTGAATGCAAATATAGTAGACAAGAGTAGTTATGTTCTTACTACTTTAGTTACATGGATGCTTAGTGATTTTAATAGTATTTCTTGTAATATCAGGAATAAACATAATAAACTCTACTTTTATACTGCTTTCTATTTCACAAAGTGCTTTTTTTATTCATTCATTTATTCCATGAATAAATATTAATCACCTGTTAAATGTCAGTCACTGTTCTGGAAATAGAACAGTGAATAAGACAGGCCAGGCTGTTTACCCTGAGGGAGCTTACATTCTAGTTGGGAAAATAAATGATGCAATGTATAAGGTGCTGAGTGCAATAAAAACAAACTAAGCAGGGCAGGAGTGCTGAGAGTTGCAATTTTAAAGAGTAAGATTAAAGAATCAAGATGCAAAGAAGACAAAGGAAAAATTTATACCAATATCTAGAGGAAAAGCATTCCATGGAATGGAAAAGGAATATAAAGATCTTAAGGTAGGAATATTCTAGAGATATGCTATGAACAACAAGAAAGCCATTGTAGTTGGAAATATGTAAGAAAGAGAAACAATGGTTGGAAAGGAAGCCCAACAGTTAATGTCAGACCAGATTATGTAGGGTTTGAAGACTATTTTGAAGACTTTATTTCTGACTTTGACTGATATAGGAGTCACTGGAGAGATCAGAGCAGACCAATAACATGAGCTGGATTGTCATTTTTAAACAGTTACTACTGACTGAGAAGAAATGTAGTGGGACAAAAGTAGGAATGGAGACCCCACTTAGGAAGATATAGAAATATTCTAGTAGAGAAAGGTGATGGCTTGGATTAGAGTAGTAGCAGCAGAAGTGATGCTGTATCTGTTCTGGCTATATTTCACATAGGAGCTGAGAGGATTTCAAATTGATTGGATGTGTCAATAATGACTTCATAGATTTGGGCCTGAGCAGCTGGAAAGATGGTGCATCTATTAACTGAGATGGGAAGAAGTCTGGATAAAGAAGGGACATCAGGAGTACATTTTTGGCCTGGTTAAGTTTGAGATATATATTAGATACCCAACTAGAGATGCTAGAAAGCAATTGTATATACAAGTCCAGAGAGCTCAAAAGGGAACACAGACTACAAAGAAAAAAAATTGGGAGTTGTCAGCATATAAACTATGTTTAAACCATGTCACTAGGTGTGATTAGCAAGAGGGTGGGTGAACAGAGAAGAGGCCCAGTAATTGAGTTTGGAGGCACTTCAAAATTAAGAAATTGGAAAGATAAAAAGGAATAAGAAAAAGATACTGAGCATAAGCAGCCTGTAATGTAGGAAGGAAGCCATGAGGGTTTGGTGTCATGATAGGTACATAAATAAATCTGTTTCCAGGATAGGGAAAAAATCAACTGTGACAAGATGAAGACTGAGCATTGACTACTGGATTTTGCAATGTGGCCATCATTGCCAATGTGACAAGAGCAGTTTCTGTGAAAGAGATGCAAGCCTTTTTGGAAAGAGTTTAGGAGAAAATGGAGAGTAACTGAAAATACTAAACATAGAAATCTTTTTCAAGGAGTGTTTCTCTAAAGGGGTACAGAGAAATGGGAAAGTTTGTAGAAGTATAAATGGAGTAAAGAAAGGGCTTAGTTAAGACAGAAAAACGTAATGTGTTTGTGTGTAGATACACTACATTGTTAAAAATTCTAATGCTGTGAGGTTGATATTTGCTCCCATTTTTCAGGAAAGGAGAAAAATGATACTGATGTTGAGATTTGCCCGAGTCCTCCCACTGAATTAATGTTAACAAGGATTTACCAATAGATTCTTTAATATCAGAGCCCTACTCATTCTGCTTCATTAGGGAGCATTTCCTCCCAAGAGCAAGCGCTGGGAGAAAATAGGGGAAAGGATTTTCCTCCCTGTGATGGAGGTCAGTTATCCATTTATATTATTATTGATGAAAATGTTTATTTTCTAGGACTGACTCATGTACCCATATTTAGGATTATTTCCTAACACAGCACCATGCAGAGAGCATTGCTTATATTTTATTGCTTGTGATAGTTACTGCTGGTGACCTGGAATTTAAAAAAAATTATATTAATGTATAAAAACTGTTGCTTGCAATTTGATAAAAATCGAATC
Source organism: Homo sapiens (assembly GCF_000001405.40). Lineage (NCBI taxonomy): Eukaryota > Metazoa > Chordata > Mammalia > Primates > Hominidae > Homo > Homo sapiens. Next base: position 78,591,388 of record NC_000012.12, on the reverse strand, counting down.
AGCAAATCCAACTGGAAACTGGTTTTCCAATAACATACCTAGTAAAGATTAAAAGAGAAGTGATGCAGTATATATAAACTCCTGAATGTATTTATTTTAATGTCCTTTTATTTAAATCTTTCATTTTATTTTAATGAGCTATCTTCCTTTCAGGAATTAATATGGATACATGCTATAAGGTTTATACTGGAGACTCAGCTCATATACTTTTACAAATTGGGAAGTAATTGTTTAGTTATTAAGGTACAAAGATTTAAATGCTATATATGTCTAATAATTTTGTATACTCTAACTTATAAGAGAAATTATTTTCTATATGCTTTCCTTGGTTAAAGTTAGCCAGTGCATATTTATTTTGTGTGATAATATCTACAGGTCTTAAATGAATATACACAGGAAGAGGAATAACATGATAGGTAGAATATATTTTTCATTCTCATTACACATATCTGAGGTTTTATTTATTCCTTAAACAATGGAATACATTTTTACTGTATTTATCCAGAAACTAATTAATTCAGTTTCTTCCTCCAACGTCATCAAATTAGACTACGCTCTTCATGGGAGTGTGGAATACCAAAAGGAAAATAATTTTGAGATGGTTTAAATTCATACTTATGAAAATTAATGACTGTGTAAGAAGAAAAGCAGGCTTCCAGCAAAGAAACGAACACAGAGATAATTAGAGTGCATTCAATAATATAAAACTAATATTTTATGACTCATATTCATGTTCTTCCATTTGATGATGATTTGAAAGCTTGATAAAGGATATGTTACCAATTAGCTTCTTTGAAAAGTACATCCAACTGAAAAGAAATTATCAAACCTATAAGAGAGATTATAGTTGATGATATAGAAAATGTTCACGTAATAGTAGGTATATTTTATTATATAAATAAGATTTCCTTTGATGCAACAAAATCACATTGTATGAAAAGGCAGTCTGCTGGCTTATGTACTTGTTCTAAATGCTTGGTAAAAATAATTATTTCCAGCTTCTCTTTTGGCAGTATGAATGATGTATACATGAATGTATGTAAGGATGAAAGAAAAATTCTCCGGATTAAAATAATACACATGAAATAATGGTATAAAGACAAAGCTAAATGTTGCCTCCCATTTCCATTCTCATGGAGCTGTGAGACAACTATTATTGAGTGACTGTCTGATATTGTCATACGTTTATCTTACTAGTCAGTAGATATAAACCTAACCCTGTCTTTGGTACCTCTAATGATCTGTTATCCACATGTATACTTACACACACACACACACACACACACACACACAGTTTTACAGGAACAGGATTATATGTACAATTTTGATGCTTTTTTCTTTTATATAATAATGTCTCCTTCCTTTTTTCTTCTCTCAATTCTATCCTCCTCCATGTTCCCTTTCATGAGATCATAACCAGAAACCCAAGGTAATGTGTCTAAATAATTTGAGTATAAAAATCTGTGTTTTCCATGCTGTCATACACACATAAATTGATATTTTACATTATTTATAAAAGTATACCCCAAATAATTATCACACTTCTTTGTGTGTCATTTACATTCAGCAACAGCTTGTGAAAATTTCAAGTTAAATTCATTCCTTTAAATAGCTACATAATATTCTATGCTGTAAATGTACAATTATTTATTTGACCAAACTTTCATAATTTAAATTTTATGGAATAATAGCATTTTTTAATTTTTAAGAATGTGGACATAGATTTAGTATTCATTTTTCCTAGATGTTCATGTTACACACTTCTGTGCCTTGTCTTGATCTTCCAAGTAGGACCTCTGTCACTAGCCTGGAGCCCAGCTTGGTGGCTGGGAGGAGGTTGAAAGAAAAGGAATGGTATGCAATTTAAAAAGTAAATAAAACATTCACAGATAAGATAGAGTTGACTGCAATAAAATGTTCTTTCAAAACATTTATAACCCAATTGAAAATAAGAATAATGTAAAATGATTAATGTAAAAGATTAATGTAAGTGAGATTAATGTAAATAAGATTAATGTAAGATTAATGTAAAATTAATGTACAATAATTTACATTAATGTAAGTGTAAGATTAATGTAAAATATAATGTAAATTGAAAAAAAACTGAATATCAGCCTAGAATCCATTTCAAAAAAATTCCAGCACATTTAGACTTTAAAGTCTCTCCATTGGTTTGAAAAGAAGGAGTCAGTGAGTCCTCTTTGCAAATATGCTTTCCCCCATTTTAGAGTCTGTGGTTATTTGCATTTAACTTTTAAGTTATTGTAACATTAGTTGATAAAATAGAGCATATGTATATATACATATATGTACCTATGTGTTTCTATACATATATACACATTTGTATACACATACATAAGTACATATGTGTGCATATATATACATATATGTGTGTATACATATAAATATATGTGTGTTTATATGTATATATACACATATATGCACACCTGTATACATGCATACATATACATGTGTATATGTACCTATATACATATATGTACATATACATATGTGTACATATACATATGTGTACATATGCATATATGTGTATATATACATATGTGTACATATGCATATATGTGTATATATACATATGTGCACATATGCATATATACGTGCATATATACATATGTGTACATATACATATATACATGCATATATACATATGTGTACGTATATACGTGTATATATACATATGTGTACATATATACGTGTGTATGTGTGTGCATATACATATATACACATGTGTACACATACATATATACACATGTGTACATATACACATGTGTATATATATGCATATAAAACTACACATATGTATCTGAGTTCATTAAAATGAAGAGTTAATAAAATTCTAGCCATTGTATTAATTGCTAGGTTAATAATTTTGATTTAAATTATATATCCAAGTTTTTAAAACATTTTAAAGAAATTTGTCCATGGTTTACAGTAGTAAAAGTATATGTATAGAGCATGATAAAAAAGGTCATCTGGCTCTATAATCTGTTCTTATTATAACCAGATGAATAGATTTAAGCAAAGCATTTGCCCTCAACTCATACGTTGAATAAACTTTTATTCATTTGTGAGAGCAAAACGTGGTCATGTATGTGCATGTGCATCTGTTTTTACATCTACAAATACTTTATAAAGAAGAGAATTAAGCAATTTTTTAAGAAAAACATAACAAAAATATTAAACATTCATTCATTTAACAATTATACTCTGAATATTATGGATACTACAAATGAGATTAGGATTGAGAAAGGGAGCGAGACAAACAATAATGTATAAAGAAAAGTGCCTTCCTTCAAGAAGGCCCTTTCTTTTAAGTTTGTATATAAAATGCCATAGAAAATTAAATATGATGCCTGTCAATTTGCCAATTCACTTTCAATTTATTCTATGTGCTACTCAGTTATTGTATCTCTGCTGTGGTTATAAGGGACTATAAGAGGCTATTCCCAATTTAATCCATGTTGATGCAATGTATAGAAGAGAAATAGCATTGCAGTCAGCCAGATAAAATAAAATCAAAGCTTCACTTATAAAATAAAATTTACTTATGCTCTGAGTCTTTTTCTTCAAACTTAAAATGCGGATAGTATTTTCCTTACAGTATTATTTTCAAAATGAAATTAAATGAAGCAGTATCTCTCTATCAATCTATCTAGCACTTAGCCTTTCTAAATATCTCTTTAATTCTTAGTGGACAGTAAAGGACAACATGTAATAAAATGAAGAACATATAAAGAGAGATATGTGCTGGATTGCTCAATAGGCAAACTAAATAGGCACTTTGATGAATGGATGGTGCAGTGCATTGGGGAAGCCGCCCCCAGGACAAAGGGAGCAAAAGTGTGTGCTCCCCAGATCTTGAGAGCCACCTGCCTGGGGCTGCTGCCACTGACAGCAACCCTGCCCCCTCCAGTAGCAGACCTTCTATGCACCTGCCATGCACTTTTAGGGGGAATGAGGTGGGTCCACACAGTTGCCATTCTGAAACCTTAGGACAGGTGTGCCCTGCCCACTGCTGCCCCTGCTGCCCCAGCATGCTGTCCAGGAACCTGGGAATCAACCCAATCCACCAGCCACAGCTGGTGCTCTTGGACACCATAGGGATAACCTAAGGAGTGGCCCATCTGCTCATTGCAACTGCCAGTGGCCATGCACATCATCCAGGCCTGTGGGATCAACTCACTACACCTGATTTTGCTAGTGCCCATGATCACAGTAGGGGGACCTGAAAACAAGGTCATCCAACCCACCATCAGTGCCTGAGTGAGATCCAGGGACATGAGGAGAGGCCCATTTTGCCCACCACTGTTGGTTCCCAGATGGGCCATCTAGGGGTCTGGATAGGGCTATCTGGGGGCCTGGAGTGGACCACCTCACCCACTGTAGCCTCTGCCCCTGTACCCCACTGGGGGGCCTGAGGACAGACCCATCCAGCCTGGCACTGCCACTCCCGGGACCTGTGCATGTTTTCCTGAATCCTATGGATAGACCCATCTCTCCCACTGACATTGCTGCTTGTGCACACCTTGTGGGGACCTAAGGATGGGCCCACTCAGCCTGTTTGCCCACATGCACATGATACAAAGGCCTTGAGGTCAGTCCACCCCACCCACCAGGGCACATGCACACCTTCTAGGTACATGAACAGGCCTGCCCAACTTTCTGCCACTAATGCTGCTGGTGCCCACTTACAGGTACCACTTGGGAGCCTGGGGATTGCAGTGCACAGTCTGCTACTTCCACCTCTGATGTCCACACATGCTACCTGGAGGCCCAAGGATTGGCGTGATGCTGCTGCTGTCTTTCTGAACACCATGCACACCGCCCAGGGTCCTGAAGACCTGCCTGCATGCCCAGTCCACTGCTGCCACTGCCAGAAATTTAGCAAGCTGTCTGAAGGCACAAGGATTGGCCTGCCCAGAACTACTACCACCAGTGCCCATATATAACATTTGAGTGTCCAAGGATTGGCATGCCAGGCCCACCAACACCTGAAGACAAGCCCCCCTGATGTTCCTGCCTTCAGCAATGCCTCAATTTCAGCTTCCACTAATAAGCATAGCCTAAACCACTGAGAAACTCATAAACACTACTGATGCAGATTATAGTTGAGGAAATTACACAGAGATTACACTACTGTGCACACTCAGATTCAAAGGGAAAGCACTTTAAGCAACTTACACTATAAATGAACCCATAGAAAAAGTCTTCTACAAAAGCCAATGCATAGCATTGGAAAGAGTGACTGTTATACCTGATGCCCAAATATCAATGGAAGGACACAAGAAACATAAAAAAGCAAGGAAACATAACAACTCTAAAGAAACACAATAATTCTCCAGCAAGAGATACCTATGAAAAAGAAATCTATAAAAGGCCTGCAAAAGAAACTGAAACAATGATTTTTTAAAGAAACTTAGTGAGATACAAGAGAACACAGATAATAATACAGAGAAATCAGAAAAACAATTTACAAACTAAGTGAGAAACTCAAAAAAGAGATATATACCATAAGAAAGGACCACTGGAACTGAATAACTCAAGGAATGCAATAAAAAGTGCAAATGAGAACATCAAAACTAGACTAGATGAAGCAGAAGAAATAATTTCTGAACTTGAAGACAGATCTTTTGAAATAACTTAGACTAAAAAAAGAAAAGAATAGGAAAGAGTAAAATCTACATGAGATATGGAATACTATAAAGGTACCAAATATATGAATTTGGGGTGTTCCAGAAGGAGAAGAGAAGGGCAAAAGCATAGAAACTTTATTTAATCAAATAATAGCTAAACATTTTACAAGTCTTGCAAGAGATATAGAAAATGGATACAGAAAGCTCAAAAAAAAAAAAAAAGTAAAAACAAAACTCCAAATAGATTCAGTTCCAAAAGATCTTGTTCAAGGCAGATTATAGTCGAACGGTCAACAGTTTTAATATTTCTTTTCTTTGCTACTCTGATTATATATTTTCAAATAATCTGTCTTCAAGTTTATAGATTCTTCTGTTTTACCAGTTTTGCTGTTGATGCTTTCTATTGCATTTTTTATTTTGTTCTTTGTATTTTTCATTTCTAGGATTTCCATTTGATTTTTTAAATCATTTTAACCTTTCTGTTAAATTTCCCTGATACATTTGTGAAATTACTTTTTTGTGTTTTCTTTAAGATACCTGAACTTCCTTAAGTAGCTAATGGGATTCTTTGACAGATCACATGCCTTTATCCCATTAAAGTTATTTATTGGCACCTTATCTTGTCTTTTTGGTGATGTCATATTTCCCTATTTATTTATTCTTGATGTTTGTGTATGACAGTTGATTTTCGTGCATTGAAGAATTATATATGTATTTATTCTTCAGAGTCTGGCTTTGTTTGCTTTTGTCTTTCTTCAGTAGGACAGTTCAGAAGTTCTAAGTAAACTGACTTGGGTTCCCTAACCCCTGACAACTGCAGCCATTTCAGCACTAGAGGGTGCCCTAAGTCCAGGTCTCCTGCAAGCATCCCAAGGACTCCAAGTTGGCATGGCTATCTGGCCCCTATGAATGTGGGGAAGACCTCAGTAGGACACACAGACTATATGAGAAAAACATATACAGTGCTAGTCCAATTAAAAAGCAGCATCAGTAGCTATATTAATGTCAAACCAAGTAGATTTTGAAACAAGAAATATTACCAGTGATAAAGAGGAACATGTTACAATGATGTATGTGTCAATTAATCAAGAGGACATACAACATCAAATAATGGAGCTACAAAATACAAGAAGAGAAAACTGATAATGCAGGAAGGACAAATGGACAAATTCACAATCAATTATAGTTAGAGATTACGAAAGCTTCATTAATTAAAGAAAGAAAGCAAAATAATCAGTAAGCATATAGAAGTCTTGAATAAGACTTCTTCAACATTGCCTGACATTTATTGGACATTAGATCTAAAACAGCAGAATATACATTTTTCCAAGTGCACACAAATATTCACTAATATATACTAGATTCTGAACCATAAACTCAATAAATTTAAAAGGATTGAAATTAGAACTACTAAGTCCTTTCACCACATAGAATTAAACATGGAATTGAAAACTTGTAAAAATAACTGTAAAACTCCAAAGTCTTTGGAAACTAAACAAATGACTTATAAATTAACTATGGGTCAAATTTAAAAATCACAAGGTAAATTAGAAAGTAGTTTGAATTGAATAAATTAAGACATAAATATCAAAATGTATTTAATGCAGTTAAAACAGTACTTTAAGAAAAAGTTATTGCAATAAATATTTGTGTCCGAAAATATGGACATGCTAAATTTAATAATCTAACTTTCAAACAGTCTTAAGTTTAATAATCTAAGTTTCAATGTATGGAAGCTAGAAGAAGTAAGACAAATGAAACCTAAATTAAAAAGCAACAAAATAGAAAACAGAAAATAACAAAAATAAAGTTAAAATTAAACAATTAAATTTTTTAAAAAATAACATTGATATACCTTTAGCCGGACTATCAGGAAAAAAGGGAAAAGATATAAATTGTATTACCAGAAATGTAAGAGGGCTATTCCTACAATTCTTATATACATTAAAAGGATAACAGGGAAATATTTTCATCAACTTTATGCCAATAAGTTTGACAAGTTAGAAAAACAGACATAATATTTTTGAGAGGGTTTCACCATTTCTTATTGCACAACTTTGAAAGTCCTTCCGCAGAATTCAAAACAAAAGAAAAATAAATTGCTCATTACCTTATCACTCCAAGTTAAACCATGTTTGTGTTTCCTTTTACTTCTTTTTTACTGATGCATAATAATTGTAGATATTTGTGGGTACGTGTGATATTTTGATACATGTGTGATGATTAAATCATGGTATTTAGGATATCCGTCATCTCAAACGTTTATCATTTCTTTGTGTTGGAAACATTTCAAATCTTCCCTTCTAGCTACTTTGAAATATACAATAAATTATTAACTATAGTCATCCTATGTATTATTGAATGCTGGAACTTACTCCTTTTATCTGACTGCATTTTTCTCCCATGAGAATACAATCTTTGAAAGCACAAAGTGCCAATGGTCTTTCAAGAAGAAATAGATAACCTATATAACACTATATCTCTTAAATAAATTAGGTTAATGGTTAAAAACCTTCCCACAAAGAAAACCCTCAGGCCTATATAGCTTCGCCAGTGATTTCTACCAAGTATTTAAGGAATAATCCTACATAAACTTTTCCAGAAAATCAAAAAGGAGAGGAAAAACCTTTTATTAGTCACTGTCTTGTTTGTTGTATGCCCATGTGAAAACAAAAAGATCACCCCCTTTCTTATTTGAACATAGGGTTTTGGGAAAGCAAAGACAAACTCTTTATGGGGAAATGTGTTCTGGACAGTACAAGCTGCCCCAGAAAGAATCACATTCTGTCTTCATAAAGTGGAGGAGGCCAGGCATTCTTGAGGGAACACATATTTCTCACACTTGTTCTTGGGCATAGTAACAGAGGTGTGGTGGAAATCAAGAGGAAGGAGTAGTGGGGAACGGAAAGGAATGATTCTGTGAAGAGAAATATTAGGATGTTTTTTCGAACATAGTTCATAAATTTGAAGAAAAAATAAAAGTTAAATATGATGTGTAAAGCTTATTAATATAATCTACATTACAATTTATATTTTGCAGTAGATGGTGTTATGAGTCATAACATGTAATAAATCATAGCTTTTGGCGGGGCAGAGTGGATCATGCCTGTAATCATGAGCATGAGGTCAATGGGAGGCCAAGGTGGGAGGATCACTTGAGGCCAGGAGTTTGAGACCAGCCTGGCCAACATGGTGAAACCCCATCTCTACTAAAAATACAGAAATTAGCTGGGTGTGGTCATGGGTGCCTGGAATCTCAGCTACTTGGGAGGCTGAGGCAGGAGAAACACTTGAACCTGGGAGGCAGAGGTTGCAGTGAGCTGAGATCGCGCCACTGGACTCCAGCCTGGGCAACAGAGCGAGACTCAATCTCAAAAAAAAAAAAAAAAAATTGTAGCTTTTAAGGTCGAGGTTTTTTCAGATTTTATTGTTTCTTAAGCAAGAGGTGTACATTATGTCTTAAAAGTAAAATATAACTTTTTTCTCAAAAAGTTATTGATTTATCTTTTATACACTCGTATCCTAGAATTAAAAAACAAGACCTTTAAAAAAGTTAAAAACACACATATGTATTTTATTTTTGTTCCCATTAGATACAAAAGTCATGTATTAGACCATCTTTCGTATTAAATCCAGGGACATAGCAAACCTTAGATCCAACTGTTTAGCCCTTGCCTTGCTCCCCAACTTCCCTGGATGGTGGCTGTCAGGTAGCACATCACTAGTAGCTTGAGATAGCAGTCTCTCATCCAGATCTGACTGTAATCACTCTCTATAAACCTGAAGTTATGCATTGACTATTTTGCCTTTGTTTCTGTTGGAATCTGATTTGTCTCAGTTAAAGTCACTCATCATTTTTTTTTTCCAAATTAGAAGGGAAATGAAACTTTTTCCTGCCATTTTGATCCTATCTGATACCACTACAGGGTATATTCATCCCCATTAGTATCTGCATTTATTTCTTACTGCCATGGCAACCAACCACTCTTAGCAAAATCCTCGATATCAGGTTCTCCATTGTCAATAGATAATCTGTGTTGTGTACTTTTTCAATTTCAGGTCTGAAAATTTCTGTATAATCCAACATATGTTTCTTTAACAGAAATAATCTATTTTTATTTTTAACTTCTTGAGCAATTACAAATTCAGTTATAAAATAGCATCATGTTTTTAAACAAACAAAAGAAAACAGATTCTTAAAGTCTTCCAGTTTTTGCCTCCAGAAAGGCCAGCCCAGTAGCCAAGAGGTCACTTTTATTTCTAGAAAAAATTATGTTGTGGCTTCTAGAAATTATACAACTGTTTGTATATTCCAATAACATGCTGACTTTTAAAACTAGCACCATCACTTATTTTTGCTTTTTCATTCACTATCTCACCCTAATCCTATGTTGCTATAAAAGCAGACTATTTAAAGATGGAATTTAGTTCTCTTCTTTATAGAAAAATTTATATAATTTTCTTCAAAATTTTGCTGAAATTCAACTGCTTATCATTTGAAGTTTCATTTCAATTATCCAAGATGCTATGTACTTGATCTAATTAGGTGTGCTGAAATTATCATTCAGGTCAGAAAGTCATTGTGTCTTATTATTTGACTTACAAGCTAGGATTTCAGCAGCTTGTTTTCTGAGAAGCACAGAGGTTTATCTTTAACTACAAGGGAGAGACAAGCAAAATTTTTCAACAGTGATGTGGGCTCTCAGGCAAATAAATTTTTCTGAGCAAACGGTTTATATGGACAAGTGAAATGATAGGGTTTTTACAAAGAATTATGAAGCATTTACCATAAAAGACAAAAAGGCAGAAGCATAAGGAAATTGTAACTTAGGCTTACATTATAAAACATAAAGGACAGCGAAGTGACAGATTAAACTTGCACACACAAAAAAATCAAAAGCATATCCTATATAACTGGGATGTGCAAACTTTACAACTTTTAAAGTTTCTGAGATTCCAGACACCTTTTAATGGCAGAAAGATATTCTGAATTTATGGGTTTCATCAAGAAAATCTTCTATAAACATTATTTCTATAAAGGTGAGAGATTTTAGTTAAATAATGCCTCAATATCTAGATTTTTAAAAAGTATTTCAAAAGTTTTGCTGCACAATGCCAAGCTCTGCAAAGTTTCCAGTTATCCTCAGGCATGGAACATCTGTAAGTAGAGACTTCCTGTTCTATGGAGGGCTCCAAAACAGGAAACAATATTATTTGACACCTCTAGTATTTATTTCTGTGGAATCTAGTAGTCTGAGAGCTGACCTTCCTTGCCTGCCAAATCCTCAAACATGAATCACCAAGGACTTCAAGGTAACAAGTGCATTATTCTACCTTCTTTTATTGCAGTATACACAAAAACATCCTTCCAATAGCCACCTTATCTTCTTTCTAATAAAAATTTTGCTGTAATTATTCTAAATCATTTTTACGTTGAGAATTTTGTATCCATTTGGACTCCAACCACCTTTTCTATAGTCATACCATGGTTGTATTATGATGGCAGGATAACTGGATTTGAAAATAGAATGAACAAATAGATACATGATTTAGCATAAACAGTTATTCATCTACATTTCCTCAAGTTCAAGAGGGTTGCTAGACATACTCTAGGAAGAATGTTGTTTCTCACCTCTCCTTCCTTCTCTTGTTCCACTTCAAAACAGAGAAAATTAAATTTGGTTGATCGTATTTCCTGCTCTGTGTTGGATCACAGCTGTGATGGGTGGAATTTTCAAAAAGTAAAACATGCAGGTCAGGGAGAAGTGTACTCCTCTTTCCTCTTATTTCAAAGTGATTGGAGTGATAAATCCTAACTATCTTTCTTTCTTTCCTTTTGGCACACTTTTTTTCCTGTGTTGTGGCAGGTATTTTTTTCACAAATGTTTGCTGTTCCATAGTGCTTAGAAAGACATGATTATGAGTTTTACTAGTGTACCCTTAGCGTTGATTATATATGTGTGTGTGTGCAGGTGTTTTTCTTTTTAATTTTCATAAATTAAATAGTAGAAGTTCAATTTTGTTACATTAATATATTCTATTGTGATGACGTCTGGGCTTTTAGTGTACCCATAACCCAAATAGTGTACATTGTACCCATTATGACATTTCCCATCCCTCACCCTCCTCCTACCCTTCTGAGTCTCCAGTGTATATTATTTTTCCCTCTATGTCCATGTGCACACGTTGTTTAGCTCACACTTGTAAGTGAGAACATGCAGTATTTGACTTTCTGTTTCCTAAAGTTATTTCACTTAGGATAATGGTCTCTAGTTTCATTCATGTCTCAAAGACATGATTTTATCCTTTTCATTGCTGAGAACTATTCCACGGTAAAAATATGTAAAATGTTTCTTTATCCAATCATCTGTTGATAGACAGTTAGGTTGATTCCATCTTTGCTATTGTGAATAGTGCTGCAATAAACATATGGGTACAGTTATCTTTTTGGTATGATGATTTCCTTTCCTTTGGGTACATACCTAGCAGTGGGATTGCTGTGTATAATGATGGTTCTATTTTTAGTTCTTTGGGAAATCTCCATAGTGTTTTCCATAGAGGTTGCACTAATTTACATTCCCACCAACAGTGCATAAACATTTCCTTTTTTCTGCATCCTTGCCTATATATGTTATTTTTTGACTTTTTAATAATAGCCATTCTGACTGGTGTAAGATGGTTATTTCATTGTGGTTTTAATTTGCGTTTCTTTGATGACCAGTGATGGTGGCATTTTTCAACATGTTTGTTGGACGTTTGTATGTCTTCTTTTGGAAAATGTCTGTTCATGTCCTTTGCCCACTTTTGAACGGGATTAATTGTTTTCGTTTTTTTTTCTTGTCCTTTGCCCACTTTTGAACGGGGTTAATTGTTTTTGTTTTTTTTCCTGTTGAGTTGTTGAGTTCCTTGTAGATTCTGGCTATTAGCTCTTTGTCACATGCATAGTTGGCAGATATTTTCTCCCATTCTGTAGTTTGTCTGTTTACTCTGTTAATCATTTATTTTGCTGTGCAGAAGCTTTTTAGTTTAATTAAATCCCATTTGTATATTTTTGTTTCGTTATATTTGCTTATGAGGACTTAGTCACAAATTATTTGCCTAGTCTAATGTCCAGAAGAGTTTTTCCTGGTTGTCTTGTAGGACTTTTTTAGTTTTGGGGCTTACATTTAAGTCTTTAATCCATTTTGGGTTTATTTTTGTATATAGTGAGAGATATGGGTTGTGTGTGTGTGTGTGTGTGAAACATATATAAATAACACACACATATACATACACATATATATGTATAAACACATATATGAATACACACATATACATACACATAAAGTTGCCAATCAAGGAGCAAAAAACCCCACAAAATTTCTGAAAACTACCAAAAATCTTGAAGTTGATAAATGAGAATCTCATAATCTCTGAAATTTTTCATAATTTACATTCTTCCACATTTATTCTCTCAAACAGTTTATGGAGCGCCTACTAAATACTGGGATTTTTAATATAATGACTGTCATTAGGCTTGCAACTTAGAATGGGAAAAGAGAGTATGCCTATAAATAAATAGATAAGCATATGATTATGAATTGTGCTAATGAATCTAATAAAGAAGAGGCACAGAAGCTGACAGGGGAAGCATGCTTAGACGGTATGGCCAAGGAAAACCACCATGTGTCTATGACAGTGATGCCAGACTTGAACGAAGAATGGAGGCGGCTGTGAAATGATCAGGGCAGAAGCTCACCAGGAAGAGGAGGAGTCTAGACAGTAGCCTCAAATTAAGAAAGGTCCCAGAATGACCAAGAATATGAAGGGAAACTCTTGCAGTTCAAGCAAGGTGGCCAGGAGGAAAGTGAAATAAGTGATTTATCTACTTGATTTCAGACGAGGAATTTAGCAGACTTTTCATTTTTGGAACCAATGTTACACTCCATCAGTGAGAAGAACAAGATAGCAATATTTTTATGTGTGATGTCTTGTATGCAAATTTGTAGATTATTGCTCACATTTTCACTCTCTAGCTATGTGGTCCTAGAGCTTGTTTGTGTCTCCATAGCTTCACTCCTTGCTCACGACTCCTTATTTATTTCCAGAATGCTAATCAGGACTACAAATAATATTCCAACCCAATTACCATACTTCCCAGGGTAGTGCAGTTTATTAGAATAATTATTAAAAAGCACTTATCACAGCTGAGCTCAACCCTTCCTAATCATAATTTCAACCAATAAGTCATTTTAATGTTTTTAACCAAGACATTTTCTGGGAGACTTTTTCTTTATTCATATCTTGAATCAAACCACAATACATTAGCCTTCCTATAATTTTCCCCAAAATTAAAAAGTAGAAAATACATCTACATAGTTTACTTGAAATGTCAGGAGAAATCCTGCTAGGCAAGAGCAGATATAGTATATCTCAGCAGGGTATAGGCCTTACCTAGTTGTGAACATGTATTAACAAATGTTAAATATAATTAAGAGCTAAAGTAAAACAAGAAAAATATGAGCATGCAGTCGTGATAGGGAAAATCCCATTTCTTATTGCTATGATCTGATCACATTTCCCATAGAGTATAAAAGACATGCAATTTTTGAGCATGTCACAGTAATATTAATAAATGATGTTCCAAAGCTTGTCTCCTGAGAGGTCATTCAGTCTTTACCATTGAATAGTTTTGCTTTTGCCAAATGAAAGCAGATTGTTACATGATTAGGTGAATGTGTGTGCGTGCACCCATGTGGGTGGTTTATATGTATTATGTTTCCAGCCTTCTGTGAATCCTGTACATAATAGAGGTCTGATAAAACATGCTGTAGTCCCACTGGACAATCCACAGTGCTCAGTACAGATACTTCCCTCTTCTAAGAAACAAGTACGCCGTGGGACTTTGATTTGAACCATGTATTTGACCCTTTTACAGAAAAACATATCCCCTCTGGCTCCTGTTCATGTAGTCTGTTCTTGGCTTTTATTTAGCATTTAGCTAGGGCAGGTCTAATCTGCTGAGAATTGGATATAGAGCATTGTTTTTTAGAAACCTATGGCTGAAGACTGCTTTAAGAATCTCGATTGAGCTTTGACATTTGGACCTTAGGAAAAGAGACAAATTCCATATCTTTAGTCTTATCATGAATCATTCTATATACATCCCTTTAGACCTGGTCCTAAAGTGGCCCTGAGTTAGAGTCAAAGGCAGATGCTTTCCTCACATCTCACTTGACTGTTTAAAAAAGGAATTATTTTATACAAAGATTTGTTCAGTTAAAATAGATCAATAAATAGAAGCATAAAATCTACCTTCTATCCCGGCAAATTGCTAAAATAATTAGCATGGGAGACTTGTGTATCCTTTAGAAAAGTTTTGTTGTTTTATAGAAGAGAGAAATATAAGTATATTAAAGACTTCTGTATTCTAAAGAAGGGAAATGGGTCCCATTTTGTGGTGAATTGACACAGAGTTCATTGAAGTTAACTGGGTAAAAATGGCACTGTGAAACTATGCAGAATGACATTCTGCTTTCTAAAATACATACATACATATATACATATATATATATATAATGAGAAGAAAACAAGGAGATCTGCTGCTTTATGACAACCATAGTATAAGACAATTCACTCAGCTGTAAGAAAGTGTCTGATTGGAAGGATGAAAATGGAAAAGCTAGAGGGTAGCAGAGTCATTGAAGAAGAGCAAAAATGTGTCCCTATGCTATCTACATATTGACTATTGGCTCTGAGAGCTTTTATTGGATTTGCCAGCAAACCCTGCCATCCTATGTTGGCAAAATTTAAAGAAGTGATAATAAAATTGGAGCTCAAAGTCTAAATGTATTTTTCTCTAATTAGGAGGCCTAGAAGTTTGCTAAGTTGCCTCCAGTCTGACTTCTAATAACTGAAAATTTGTGTTAGACTCAATTAATAATTACCAACTTCAAAAGGACTTTGATTTGTTTCTGCTGGTATTTGAAGATATTACAGTAGTCTCCCCTTATCTGCTATGTCATTTTCTATGGTTTCAGTTACCCTCGGTATGGTACAAGAAGATATTTTGAGAGCGACAAGGAGAGACACACCATTCGCATATCGTTTACAGTATATTGTTATAATTTTTCTGTTCTATTATTAGTTATTTTTGTTACTCTTCTGTTGTGCCTATAACCACCCAGTGGGTTCACCTGGCCCGCTGCCTAGACAGAGCCAATTTATCAAGACAGGGGAATTGCAATAGAGAAAGAGTAATTCACACAGAGCCAGCTGTGCGGGAGACCAGAGTTTTATTATTATTCAAATCTGTTTCCCGGAGCATTCGGGGATCAGAGTTTTTAAGGACAACTTGGTGGGTGGAGGGAAGCCAGTGAATCAGGAGTGCTGATTGGTTAGGTAGGAAATGAAATAGGGAATTGGAGCTGTCCTCTTGCGCTGAGTCAGTTTCTGGTTGGGGGCTACAAGATCAGATGAGCCAGTTTATCGACTGGGGTGGTGCCAGCTGATCCATCAACTGCAGGGTCTGCAAAATATCTCAAGCACTGATCTTAGGAGTAGTTTATGGAGGGTCCGAATCTTGAGGCCTCCAGCTGCATGACTCCTAAACCGTAATTTCTAATCTTGTGGCTAATTTGTTAATCCTACAAAGGCAGTCAAGTACCCCGGCAAGAAGGAGATTTGTTTTGGGAAAAGGCCACTTTCATCTTTGTTTTAAACTATAAACTAAATTCCTCCCAAAGTTAGTTTAACCTACGCCTAGGAAGGAACAAGGACTTCTTAAAGGTTAGAAGATGGAGTCAATTAGGTTAGATCTCTTTCACTGTCTTAGTCATAATTTTGCAAAGGTGGTTTCATACCTAATTTATAAGTTAAACTTTATCATAGGTATGTGTGTACAGGAAAAACCATAGTATCTATAGGATTCAGTACTATCCATGATTTCAGTAATTCACTGGGAGTAACGGAACAAATCCCTGGCAGATAAGGGGGCATACTGTATTTCTATCTCAAGGAAAAAATCTATCCGATATCAACCACATTGAATTTTTTTCCCTATAATCTCCTCATAAACTATTAGAAGACTCATTTATGAGGAAGGTGGAACAGAAAGATGATATTTGTATTCAAAATTTTGCCAGTGAATGCCTGATTAGTAGTGGGTACAATGCAATGCTGGGCTTTCCAAATTCAAAGATGAAATATAGGAGATTGTGGCCTAATAGAAAAGCCTAATTAGGCTTACCTAATGACAAGGATCAGAGATTCAGAATTTCACTCTACCATATTTAACAAAAAACAGATTTATTGTGAAGAAATGTGTGTACTAGAACAGAAACCCATAGAGGCAGCCCACAGACAGTCTCTGCTTCTCTTTCCCTTCCCCGTTCCTTCCCTCTCTCTATTCTCCAAGCATATGCTTTACATTCTCCCTCTCTCTACTAGGATCCAGGTCGTCTATGGTTCTTTCCTACCCTCTAAAAATTTTAGCTCGCACAAAGCTTTGCAGCCATTACACAGTCACTAAATAAACATTTCTTGAGCATATGCTATGTGCAGATACCCTTTCCCTCACAGGGAAAGTTAAAGAAAAATTGCACTGGACACTTACTAAAAATGACCAGACATTTTATTCATGCTACTGCAGTAGGGAAAAGAGACTTCAGTGTAGAACTGCAGTGAACATAATTAAAACAAAAAGGCAAGAGAATTTTTAAGGTAAAACTCTCAACGTTTAAGGATTTAGGTAAGCTAGTGGAAAAGTACTAGAGGGTGTTAGGGGAGAGGTTGGTCAACGTAATTAGGGCATCTGTGTTTGCTAATTGGTACTTATCAAAGTTAGGTTCCTACCCCCTCCACAGAGAATGGGAAATACAGGCTCTATATTTCTTGGTGATTACCTTTCAAAGGAATGGCTCCCTGGCTTATAAAACCAGCGAGAGTCTAGGAGAAAATTTACATCTAAAAGGGACAGAAAAACAATTTACAATTGCGAGTTTTCTAAAGTAAATGTGCTATGAAAAGGGGGACCAGGGATTAAAGTCAGGAAGAAAACTGTCAAAGTTTAGTGAAGCTGTGGAGAACCCTAAGACTATCCCTGACTTCATGAAACATATTCTAGAAGCCGATATTAATGAAAAGATAACCAAAGTTTAATTAAACAAAAGAGTATATTAGATTGGGTTAAGTATTATGGTAGAAAACACAGCAAGGAAGAAGGTGCGGACCACAGTGGGTGAGAAGGTAGGGAGTTCATAAGGGGGTCATGGATACCCTCACTAATAAAGTAAACTTCGAGCAAAGTTGTGAAGGACATAAGAGCAAGCCAAAGAAATATCTAAGAGAAGAGAATTCCAAGCAGAGGTAAGAATATTTGTAAAACCTCTGAATCAGAATTATGCTAGATGGGAGTCATGAGACTAAGGGGAAGAATAGCAGATAACTCAGAGAAATAAGAGGGAGGAGATGAAGCAGATCATGTCGAAACTTCCGGGTCACTGCAGAGATTTTGGCTTTTACTCTGCATGAGAGACCTTCAGAGGAAGAGTCCTTTGACTGACTCTATAAAAGGATAACTCTGAATATTGCATTAATATGAGTGTTGTTTGGAGGGGTAAGTGCAGAAGTAGGGAGAAACCCAGGTGGACCTTTGAAATCTGGAGGTAAGGGGAATGGTGTAAACCAAAGATTTAAAATGTGGGAATCATCAGCATATAGATATTATATAAAATTGCCTGACTGGATGAATATGTTAACAGAACCAATTTACACAGAAAAGAAAAAAAGCTGCCTTAATGCATGAGAACAAGAAGAAAACAGGTAAAGAAATTTGAAAAGAGATTCGTGAAGTAGAGGGAAACTCAGGCAAGTATTATCTCCTGCAGAACAAGTGAATGAAAGTATTTAAAGAGAGTGACCTGACTGCCAGCATAAAGGAAGAGGAAGTTTAAAAGTTCACCTCTGGGGTAGTGGGATAAAAGCTTGAGGGGTCAGGAAATTAGAGAACTCTATTATAACATCTATTATAGATTATTTTTCCCAGAAATTTTGTCCCAGAAAGAAAAAAAGAAATAGGATAGTAGTTAGAGGAAAAATGTGGAGTCAAGAGAAGACTTGTTTTATCATTATATAGGAGAAATTACAGTATATTCAAATGTTCATGAAAATGATTTAGCAGAGAGGAAAAATGATGTTGAAAAAAGAGGAGAGATTTGCTAGACTGATATTCTTGAATAAATATGAGAGGATAGGATTGAATGCACCAGTGGATGGGTTAGCCTTAAGTACGAATAATCAGTAAGAACATCTGTGGTAAAGGAAGTGAGGCAGAGTGTGGGTAGGTGAGTAGACTTGGAGGTGGGGAATCACAAAAATACTCCTAGAAATTCTTTCACCTTAGGGTTTGATAGGGTTTGGCTGTGTCCAAATCTCACCTTGAATTGTAATAATCCCCACCTGTCAAGGGTGGGGCCAGGTGGAGATAATTGAATCACAGGGGCAGTTTCCCTCACACTATCTCCTGGTAGTAAATAAGTCTCACGAGATCTGATGGTTTTATAAATGGGAGTTCCCCTGAACAAGCCTTTTTGCCTGCCACCAGGATGCGCCTTTGCTCTTCCTTCATTTTCTGCCGGGATTGTGAGGCCTCCTCAGCCATGTGGAACTGTGAGTCCATGAAATCTCTTTTTCTGCCATGAAACTTCTTTCCTTTATAAATTGCCCAGTCTCGGATATTTCTTTGTTAGCAGCATGAGAACAGACGAATACAGGACTATAACTTGAGTTTTTCCCAACTCAGTTTACCAGGCGAATTTGATCAGCCTAGCTCAAATGTTCTCACTTGACACGTCATTGGCCATAAAGTCAGAGGTCACTGAATATCCTTTGGATTTGCTGCCTCCTTGTCAGTTGGGCATTCCTGGTCAGAAGACCTGACAGGAGAGCAGAATTATATTGTTTAAGGCAGGTACCTCTAAACAGCAGAAGTTGAGGTAGAATAGTTTCTATTAGAAGAATTTATGACTGGCGGGTTCTGTAAATATGCCTTAGTGTGTCTGATTACCAAAGGAGTTCATGAAAAGATAAAAAATTAACCAATTTTTTTCCTAGAATTTAGGTTATAGATAGAAAACTGCAAGACAAGAAACTTTTGTAAACGCATAGTTTCATAGACTCAAATCTGTCTAATTATTTTGGTATTGAAACAGGAATTCTCTCATCAATGGGGTAGTTCCTCAAAAAGTATTAATACTTCTATTTTGCTTTGGGGCAAAATAAGGTGTATGGTTTTATAAATTATATGTAATTACTAGAACATATTAATGGTTATAATTAATATCTTATGTTGTGATTATATAAATGTATATTACTAAATGTTTTGGCAGACATATGCATTTTCTTTAACTTCACAATATTTCTCTGAGTTAAGTAGTGCTCCATTTTACAGATGAAAAATCAAAAGCAAGGAGTAGTTAAGAAATTGTTCCACCTAATAATTGGTAGAGCTAGAATTTTCTTTGATATATACACAGTAATAAGACAGAGTCCCTTTATTTGAGTAACTCTCTAAAAGGAAAAGCTATAAAATTGTGGAAGGTTTATGCTAAAAGTAAGTACAATCGGTATATAGCAGAGACTCTTGGAAGGAATTGTTAATAAATGTTAATAATACATGAAAAGATTCAGGAAAGTTTTCATGAATTTTGTCCAAGACAATGGGTCTTTAACAGTGTACTCCAGGCAGAGAAGTGTGAGAGGGACCTAGAATACTCAGACATTCGGTTGAGAGAGTTCAGGATTTATAGAGAGCAGTTGTGGGAAAGCCAAAGCAGATTAGAGATACAGCAAGGGAAGAAGGCACGCTGCAACTTGTGGGGGCTGTACTGAAGGCCAAGACAGCAGTTCTCAAAGTGTAGTCTGTGAATCCCTGTGTCCCAGGACTCTTTTAGATAGTCTATAATATCAAAGTTGGTTTTAGAATACTGAGGTATATTTGGCAGACACTATCTTGAAAATAAATGCAGTGAACTTGTCAACGGCAAGAAAAACAGCTGACAATAATTGTTACCAATGATAAAATTCAAACTTTCAAGAAAAAAATTAGAACTTTGGAAAACTTACATCTGCTTCTGTGAGCTTGACAGCTTCCATTATTTAAAACTTTTCTGCTGAGATTTGGGGTGATATCAATGAATGTGAATTTTAAAAATATTGTATAATGAAATGGATCAACATTTTGAATATTGGTATTATTTAGTGAACCAGTATTTTATATATAACCAAATCGTAATATTACAGAGTGATACATAAGTAAAATTTATTTTAAAGTGTGAATTAGACCAATTGATTTTAACTTAACAGAATGAAAAATATCATTGATATTTTGGATTATACCTTCCAACTATCCTGTAAGAAACTACCATTTGTTGAGATTGATGTAGTAGCAAAGAATATTCACAATTACCTAAAAGAGATGACTAAATAGATGTAGTTGTTTATCAACTACATATGATTTTTGCAGCTACATAGTGACATGATTTTTGTCACATACTTCAACTAAAACAATTTATATCAAAGCTGATTCCAGAAACATAAAATTTAGTTGACTTTTATTAATTTAAATATTTAAAAGGTTTACAAAAATAATTTCTGTTCACTTTTTGTTTTGGAGAAGGTATTGCCTTTCATTAAAAAATGTTATTTGTATTAATAATAGAGCTATTGTTATTTTAAATTAATATGTGTTTCAGCTTTAGTTTCTTTCTTTCTTTCTTTCTTTTTCTTTTTTTTTTTTGAGATAGTCTCATGCTGTCACCCAGGCTGGAGTGCAGTGGCATGATCTTGGCTCACTGAAACCTCTGCCTCCAGGGTTCAAGAGATTCTCCTGTCTCAGCCTCCCGAGTAGCTGGGATTACAGGTGCATGCTACCACACCTGGATAATTTTCTGTATTTTTGGTAGAGACAGGGTTTCACCATGTTGGTCAGGCTGGTCTCAAACTCCTGACCTCAAGTGATCCACCTGCCTCAGTGCTGGGATTACAGGTATGAGCCACCACTTCCGGCATCAACTTTAGTTTCTAATGCAGTAAATAAACTTAGATTTAACCTATATAAGCAAAGCTTTTGGGCATCATCAGTAAGTTTTTGGTGGTGTTAGGACTCAGAAAACAATACCCCCAAATTAAGCCCTCAGAGGCAAAAGTTGGTCTCTGACTTTCTCCTGCCCTTCTGTCTCTCAGTCCCATTCTAACCCCCCAAGATCAGACATAGAAACTAGAATCCTCCTTCCTGATGGCAGGTATAGTAACCAGAACCCTTTTTTTTTCCAAAGCTAGCCTAAAAACCTGAAAATGTTACTCTAACTTTCCCTCCACCTTTCTGTGTAAAAATTGGCCATAAAGAAATTATCTGGCCTACAGTGTTTGACTGTAGGTCATAAGATCCCCATTCCAGAGCAGGTCCTGCCCCATACCCAGAGGAAGGGAGAGCTGCACAGAGAGGCCAAGAAGGGTCTAGACCAAGAGGACTTGCAAGATTTCTCCAAAGTCTTTTAGCGTCCCATTATACCCTTTTTTATCCAGTCATATTTCTACATGGCTGCCCACATTTAGTTGAACCTAAGCATAAAAGTGGACAATTTGTCCTGTATCTTTAGGTCTTCATTCTGAAGGTTCCCATGTCACATAAAACTACATGATCAAATAAAATTTCTCCTTTTAATCCAATTATTCCAAATTTTCTCCAATTAATCTGCCTTTCGTGGGTTGGTTTTTTTTCAGTGAAACTTCAGAGGGTAAAAGGAAAGTTTTCCCTTGGCCTCTACAGGGGTAAAGTGGTTAGGAGACTAAAAGTTTATGGATCACTGCACTAAGCTAAGCAGTTTTATATATGGTGATGAGTAAAATAACATGTTTGTGTTAATAGCATTACTCAGCCATCAGTCTGGAGATGGGCTAGGAGATGAATGCCTTGGTGAATGTTTATGAGGGTTTATCTTATGAGTAAAACTTGGAGGATATGTTACTTTCTAGTTTCTGTTGCTAAACAGGTCTGAATTAGGTACAAAATGTTCCATTCTCTTCTGATTTCCACTCTGGTGTGAATAGGTTTTGAAGGTTCTAACATATTCATTACACTTAAGAAAAAAATAATTAAGGAACAACAAAAGTTCATTGCAGTTGCTCAGTTGGGAAAAAATGTAGATGGCTGGAAACTGTGTCCTGATATCTTAAGGGTGTTCATGTGGAAGAAGGAATTAAGCTTATCTGCTCCAGTGAGCATAATGAGTTCCGATGGTTGGAATTTACAGGGAAGCAGATTTCAGAACTACATGGCAGCTAAAACTGTTGAAAAAAGAAAGAGCTGCCTCATTTGGCCATTCTTTGAAAATAGCTACTATGTATAATGTCAGCTCAATGCAGGCCACTCTTAGACATTTGACGTGATCCTAATTCATTTCATTCTTACAGTAACCCCAAGTAATATAGGTATCATTACATCTCTATTTCATAAATGAGGAAATGAGTTTAAAAGTTTAACTCTTCACTGTCTTATCCAAGGCCACTCAGCAGAAGCAGAGCCAGTATTCTAACTCAGGTCCACTGATTTCCCTACTGGGGCTGTTGACATCATGTACACACCCTTTCCATGAAATATGCAACAGCAGTTATGAGGAATATTGTGACAAACTGGATTTACAGTTTGTTATAAGAACTAAGATTTTTGAAATACTTGGGGAGAATACTCTTTGTATTCCCAAAGCTTTTCACAATGCCTGGATCATACTTCATTTTCAACAAGTATGTGTTAAATGACCAAATAAAAGTCTATAATTATAAAATTTAAAAAAAGAATATAGGGCACTGTTTAGAATAATATGTGTGATGGTACATTTTAGGTGTCAATTTGACTGAATTAAGATATACCCTGATAGCTGGTAAAGTATTATTTCGGGGTATGCCTGTGAGGGTGTTCCAGAAGATACTGACATTTAAATCAGTGAACTACATAAGGAAGATCTTCCCTCGTTCAATGTAAGCTAGCACCATCCAATTGGTTAAGGTCCCAGATAGAACAAAAGAAGAGAAAACATGAAATTTCTGTTTTCTAGAACTGGGATACTCTTCTTCCCCTGCCCTTGAACATCAGCACTCCAGGATTTGGGGGCTTTCGATTCCAGAACTTGCACCAGCAGGCCCTAATTTTCTCAGGCCTTTAGATTTAGACTGAGATTTATACCATTGGAATCACTTGTTCTAAGACCTTTAGACTTGGACTGAGCCATGCTATCAGCTTTCCTGGTCCTCCAGCTTGCGGAGGCCTATACTGGGACTTCTCAAGCTCCAGAATCACATGAGCCAATTACCCTATTAAATCTCTTCTCATCCACTAATCTATCAATCATCCATCTTACCTAACTATCCATCCTATTGGCTATGTATCTCTGGAGAACTCTGACAATGTGTCATTTTTAGTCATCCTAATGATTAAGAGTTAGATTTTTATAAATGTCAATATCACTTGGTGTGGCTAAGTTAAAAATGACTGAAAATAATATACAAAAATCCTTAATTCGACAATTCCACATAGATATGGGAAGCCCATGGGATGTGAGTGTTTAAGAAGTTTCATTAAATTGTTTTTGCACCTGAAACTACTATGATCAGGTTTATATGTTGAAAAAGCCAGAGCCAGCCTTTTCCTAATGTACTTTTTCTCAGGAGTAGTATGAACAAGTCATTGGCTATTTTCAGCTTCCATGAGCATCTCTCACAACTCTGTGGGGTAGGAAAGGGATCTACTAAATACTTGTAACATGATGTGATTTCTCTCTGACTTCTTTATTCATCCCAATTATGGCTTATTATATTAAAACAGTATGATAGAAGAGAAATTACAATAGTAGGAGTCAGAAAGATTTGTCCAAATCTTTCTCTACCAATATTGAACTGTAGTTACTAGATTAATTAAACACATAAAATTAAATTTTTCATCTTGTTTATCCTGTAGCAAAAGGAGCCAACGGGAACAACAGCGATATTTTCTTCCCATTTGTGTCTGCATGCATGATCTGAAGCTTGATTCCCTGCCAGTCACTAGAAACACAGGCATTTCTACCACACTCCTTCTAAAGCATCATGACACAACGCCTTGTAACTTTCAGATGTCCTGACATGATCATTGAGATTAAACATAAGAACACTGCTTTCAGGAAGTCACTTTATTTTCCCACTTGGAATGAAGAGCTTCTTGATTCCATATGCAAATTTATGCATACAGCATGTCAATTTATGGTCTCTAGATTCTCTGATAATATCTAGTAGCCTTATTGGTAATGACCATTGTTGCTGTGGGGTTTCACTGAGCAGATCTGGACAATAAAACCTGTGGCCAACATGTTTTCAACTGGCAAATCTGAAGCACTGCCAGGCTATCTAGCTCTTTAGTGACAGGTTTCTGAAGTCAGACCTGTCACCTCACCTGGAAGCACAAAATATTTCATGAAGATAATTTTTTGCATGTGTGTTGGTGAATGCTAATTTGGCAAGTATATGTATTATATATAAAATATGTGATATATATGAATGTATGCATGTGTATATATATCACTTATATATAAATATGTGTGTATTTCTGGGAAGGGAAACATTTGAAAGAGCACAGTGATGAGCTATGCAGAGAATGATACACCTGAAATTTATCAAAATTGAAAAGCAATAAGTAAAAACATACATCTTTCCTTTTACAATCTAGTTTGGTAAGTATTTTTAATTTTGGTGGCAAGTCTTTTCTAAAAAGGTCTAAAAGTGTTTCTAAAAGGTCTGTGCATACTGGTGTCTATACATACTGATGTAGCTTGGAGCTATAAAACTAGAGAGGTTGAGGCAGGGGGAAGGTTCCTCTCTTCTGTTTAAAGCTTTGGTGACAACTGATTTCATTTCTATGTAAAAAAAAAAAAAAAATCACATGCTGAGTCCTGTATCACAGCTTATTTAATGGTGTTACCAGCTTGAATGCACTTTAGACCCATATATATCAACACAAGTCATTTGTGACAAATTCCATTTTACTTAATGAAAAATTAAGGTATAATTGGCATGCATTTAGAGATTGGATCCCTCAAATTACAGATTACTTGGATTAGAATAGATTTCCCAATGGCTCTTCCTAAATAACTCTACCAGTCCCTGTGTGTTCTTGAGTGGTGCACTCCAAGCCATGGGCTCACTACAAGTCAAATGAGCATTGATTATGCCAAGAGACAATGTGGGAAAAAACTTTCAAATGCTAAGACATGGGGCACACATGTACTGTGAATTTTAAGTATAGTTCATCTTTCAGAGCTTCATTTTTGCAAGCTCTATTGCTCTAGGAAAAAACTCACTTATTTTCAAACAAGAGATTCAACTTATGTCCAAAATGTAATTTTACTTTGCCAGCCACACATAGCCCCAAAGTATTTTATGTCACTTAGGGAACCTAGGATTCTATGGGGCAGAAGTCCATGAACTGGTTTTGGTTCCTCTAATTCTCTTCTTTCTTTTTCTCA
The DNA here is from genome assembly GCF_000001405.40 of Homo sapiens. Classification (NCBI taxonomy): domain Eukaryota; kingdom Metazoa; phylum Chordata; class Mammalia; order Primates; family Hominidae; genus Homo; species Homo sapiens. Next base: position 78,565,206 of record NC_000012.12, on the reverse strand, counting down.
AATCTCTCCAATTCATTGATGTTCTAATTTGTATAACTTTCATGAAAAAAAAAAAGTGACAGCTTGAACACATCTAGAGGCCAATAACTGCAGTTGGCTTGACTTCAAATACTGAGAAAGGAATTGAAATCCAGTTATTTTCCCTATCTTATTGCTCCCTATCTTATTGCCCTATCTTATTGCTGGTAGGCTGACTTCAGCATCTGTTGAAATAAGCCAAACTCAGTATAATATAAAAGTGTTAAAATATATTTTTAAATAAGTATTTAAAAATGCTTAAAGATCTGGTTATTCCAGTGAATAGGTTTGTGATGTAAGCAGATATAAAAGTAGTAGATATATTTTCCTAATTTAGACAGGGTGTGATCCCAATTAATAAATATCTTCTCTTTAGAGCATTTATCCCCAAATACCAAATCAGGGCATTGGAAAGACAGGGGCAACAGGGTTGAGCCATGTTCTAAATTAAGGCTGGAAGATAACAAGCATTGCTGCTGAATTTCAGGATATTTTTACCACAGTAAGAATCCTAGTAGAATTAAAAAATATAATTTTCTTTTGAAGGACTCTAGCTGAGAAGCTAAGCAAAACCGAGGATAAGCTATTTAGTTTCCAGCATCCTGTTTTTGTCCTTTCAATCATTCCCTTCTCCTCTTATCCACTCCCTAAATGTCTCTATATGGGAGAAGCTTTGAGAATATGCTTGCTGGCACTAAAGACTCCTACCACTCTCCTGGTGTTTGCCCTGCCTTCCCTGCCAAATAGGTCTACCTCTTAGTCTTCTAGCTGATATCTTTGAGGAGACCCCAAATGTGAGGGCATCTCATAGGCCTCTGAGTTCATATACTGCAAAAATACCTTTACAATACATAAAAATCTGCTAAAATTCAGCAGTGACTGTTTCAATCTTTTTAGTCCTTTAGAACATAACACGGTCTCACCAGAGCACCATCTGAATTTATATATTAAAATTTGTGTACTTAATTTCCAGATGCTCAAATATTTTTGTAATCCCTTACCACCTCCCATTTCCATCTAAACTAAAATACTCAACATTTATATAATATGTTTTTCCCCCAAAGAACATTGCCCCAATTAGCTAACTAGTGTTCAAAATACTCTCATGAAGGGTGTTCAGATATATAAAATTATGCTTATCTCAAAGCTGCTGGAAGATTCATGGAACAATTTGGCATTCGACTTCCTTTCATTTTCAAACAGTACTTTTGCTATCATAAAATAAATTCTGATTTATTTTCAGTGAATAATGTTGCATATGTATATAACATTTTTAGACCTTCACAGGGAATGCAATGTGCTGTACGTTCTGGTTCAAATAATACTAAGAAATGAGTAACGCTGGCCATATGTGCTTTTACAATCATCTGGAATAATATGTGTTCAGAAGACATCCACTTTCTGGCATTCATTTATTCATTCATTCATCAAATACTTGTTAAGCCCTTGCCATGTGGCAGACATAATAACCTGGCAAAATTATTTACTCACCATGTAATAATTGCTACTATTTAATAAGAGTTTTAAACATATTACATCATTTAATCCTAACTTCAAGTAAAGTAGCTTTATTAGTCAAGGTTTTTCAGAGAAAAATAATATGGTATATACGTATATAAATGCACACATGCACACACACACACACACACACACACACACACACACACACACACACAGATTTTAAGGAAATGGCTTATACAATTATGTGAGCTAGGAGGTCTGGAATCTATAGAACAGACCAGGCTGGAAATTCAGAGAAGAGTTGATACTGCAATCTTGAGCGCTAAATCTGCAGATTGGAAACTCAAGCAGGGTTTCTACGCTGCAGTCTTGAGGCAGAATTACTTATCTTTCTGGAAACCTCAGTCTTTTCTCTGAAGGCCAACTGATTGCATGAAGCCTACTTGCTTTATGGAGGGTAATCTGCTTTACTCAAAATCCTACTAATTTAAATGTTAATCACATCTAAATACCTTCACAGCAGCATCTATATTGGTGTTTGAGCAAACAACTGGGCACCATAGTTGACAGATAAAATTATCCATCATAATGAGTATGACTATGCTTATTTTATATACAGGGAGGTTGAGGCTCAGAGAGAAAATTACTTGGATTTACTCAAATAGTAATTGAGAATTTGGGGATTTGGGCCAGTCTTGTTCTGAAGCCAGATGTTTCTCTCTCTATGGCAATATATGAAGGAATGTTACAAAAATCCAATACATAGTCCCTACATTTTAAGTATTTAGAATTATTTTTGGTGGTGATGCTAGGTTACAATGTATTCATTCATCCATTCCATAAATATTGAGCGTCTACTACGTAAAGGGCATTGTGCTAGGAGCTGGGAATTGAACAGTCAACAAAACAGATAATGGTCCTGCCCTCTAGTGGGAGAAACAAACAAAAGCCAATAAACATAAGAGCTAGCTACATATGTCAAATGCTAGAAAGAAAAATGAAACATGTAAGGGTGACATGGTGATTCTCTGTAGTGGTGATATTTGAGCAGAGACCTGAATGAAATGAGAGCATAAATCATGCAGATATCCAGAGAAAAGCATTGTTTTCAGTTAAAGGGAAAACCCAGCACAATAGCCCTGAGATGGATTGGTGTTTGGCATGCTTCAGGAACAGCAGGAGACCAGTATGGCTGGAGCACAAAGATGCAAGCCAGCTTATGGTGTAACAGATTTAATATAGCACAAATAGAACATAATTGTTCTGAAGACAGAGGGAATACAAGAATGATTTGTTTAGAAGCATGTAGAAAGGGAAAGATTCTTGAAAAGGAGTTCTAAGCAGGATATTTGAAATTAGAAGAAAAAGTGGGAATGATTTAGGGAAGTGCACTGAATCCAAAGATACATCAAATGAAAATGAAGAAACATGGATATGTATAATGGTTTACTGAGTCAGAGAATTCATATTGCAGAGAGATTACACAGATGACTAGGGGCCTCAGGACCATGGAGGAGAGGAAAATAAGTGAGTAAATGTGCAGGCTTAATGTGTGGATGTAGGCATGTGTCAAAGAACTTACTGTGAATCAATTATGAGGAAGTTAATAAAGAACTAAAATGCAGAAGCTTCATTTTGATATAAAATGAAAAGGTTGTCATTGTGCGTGTTCAAAATGGGAGGCTGATGCTGAAAGAAATATTTGAGGATAATAATGATTAACAAAATCACAAGTGCTTTCTATGTATTAAGCAGGTTTATATCCATTATGCCCTTTTTTTCTTATAACCACCATTATGAGATAAGATACTGTTATTATATCCTTGTTAGAGATGATGCAGCTGAGATAGAGACATTAGTAAGTTATTAAAAGTTACATAGCTAATAAGTTATTGAGGTGGCATTTTAACTCAAGAAGTCTGGTTCCAGAGCCCAAGCCTTAAATAATAGTGCCTTACAAAGGAGTCAAGCAACTCTAATGAAAATGTGGCCTAGCAATCTCTATGGCACATAATTGAATTAAAATCATGTTTGCAAAATTGAAAGAAAATTTAATTATGTTAAAGGGATAGAAAAATGTAAAGAAATTTAAATACAAAATATAGATTTGAGATGATGGTCTGGACTGAGCTTGTAGCCATGGATGCAGAAAATAAACGGGCATCATAATAAATAGAACATGATGATGGATTTGATTTGGAAGGTAAAGGAGCAAAGACAGTAATTCTAATGTTGGACGCTTACGACTATCAGGAAATTGGCAGTGAGAAGAGCATAATCATGTATCACTTACCATACCAAACATAAATTCAGTTTCATTTAATTCTCCAAACACTGTGAGGTTTCCAAAGAATACTTATTTCCATTTTACAAATAGCATAGGTCAAATATATGCCCCAGTGCTATGCTGATAGCAAGTGGCAGAGTCAAGATCAAATCTGAGTCTGATCTGAGTCCAAGAGCCAAACTCTTATTCTTCAACTTTTTGTCAGGTTTCAAAAAGTCTCAGTATTTAGGAGATTCTTCCAGTTATACCATAAGGTTGCCTACATATGAAAGCTAGATAGGCACTGAGGTTCAGGACTGAAAATGCATATTCAGGAATTATGAGCAAAACATCAATGTGCTTGCAAAAAATAATTCAGAAGGGGAAGAGTTATGACCCAGAAGTGATGCTGGGGAGTGGGTGAGATGGAGGAAATGGGGAAAAAAGATGGACACTAGCTGATGACAGAGAGTGAAGATCAATAAGTTGTTACTCTTTGGCATCGAGTTCTTCAGAGCAAGAAAATTCAAAACCTTAGCAGTGGAATGACACCTCCACCATGCCGTTTCATCTGCGTCCCCTGCATAAGTGAACACCATCTGCTATGGAGGCGGAATGGTGGTGAATTGGAATAGCAGTCCAGACTCAATTTTGAAAACTTGGCAATGACTTTACATGGCAATTTGACTGAAGTTTGCAAGGATGTAGGAGCTTCCTTGTGCTAGCCAACTTACTGTGCAGTCTCAAACAGAAACAAGCAAAAAACCTTGCGTATTCTGTGAAAATGTTCTTGTGTTTTTACCAGAAGAAATAAACCTTCAGAATAACAACCTAGATTCCAAACAATATATTCCCCATACTGATCTGGCAAGATTCCATCATACAAAATTAAATAGTAGGTTCAATGTGTGTAGGGGAAGGCAGGGCATTTGGAGGGGAAAGACTGGCTCAGAATGTTGGTAGCCACAATCTGTTACATAGTGCACCAATATCTTTTAAATGGGCAAATTGATTATTTAGCATTTAATTCTAGCTTTGGAAAATTCTAGAACAGAATAAACCAAAATAACTCATGCATTTAAAATGTGAGTGGCATTTCATGAAAACTGTTTGATCTCGTTTCTTAAGGATAAGCCCAGCAGAGCTAAGTTATCCATTTTAAAGCAGTTAGACAGCTGTAAAATAGAGTAAATATATATTTTCCTGTTTTCTCTACTTTTTAGAGGGGCAGCCAGCAAGTATTTGGAGACAGAAGAGTAGACTTGTGAGGGGAATAAACCCTGAGTAGCCCACACAGGCTTGCTTAAACCCCAAAAGTGCCATTTGAGCAGATGGAAGATTCTGCTTGCCTTAGAAACTACTCAAGCATCCCTTGGGCTTAATTGTCCCAGGTGTTGTGGCCATCTGCCAGACTTGTTTACAACAAATGCTTGCTTAAAAATGGGATACTGAAATCTCACAGCTTTCTTAGGATGTGGTCAAAGAGCATATGGAATTGGAAATTAAATCTTGAATCTTAAATCCACCATTTCCATTATGATAGCTTCTGCAACAGAAGAGACAAGAGAGATTGATTAGGCAAGGTGAGTTGTTGACATAAACTGAAAGCAAGAGAATATTTCAAAGGTAGAGAGTAAAGAATTCACGGACACACTGGGAACTAAAGCTTAAGAAACAAATTTTCATAGAAAACTATTTCATTAAATATTTGTGGTGAGAACTCTTGGTCATTTAGGTATACATTGGCCAAGATTCCAGAGAGATAAGCAAAAGAAGGCAGCAAATTAACATGAGTAAAAAGAAACACATTTTAAATGGTTGATGTCCTTATAACGTGTGAGTATTACGAGCAGGATATTCTTGAAGCTGTTCCTGTAAGCAACTTGTGCTATTGTGCTCCTCCCACAGAAGTGTAAATGCCTGCAATGTAACTAATTAACTAAAGCTGTAATTTCAGCAAAGAATGGGATATTTGGTTGTTCATGAATAAACATCTTCAACATAATCCATTTTCAGCCTGCTTTAACAGAGTTACAGAAGCTAAAATGAGCCCAGGTTTTTTTCTATAAAAGAATCGAAAACTTACTGGTTTTGAAAATAAGAGAGGTTAAAGGATAAGAAAATTAAAATAATGGGTAACATTTAATTTAAAATAAAAAATATTGAAACCCAGTAAGTATTCTAATTAAGTTAAGGAGTTTGATGGCAAATAATAAAGATAAAACTCGATCACTTCATTACCAGGCTTTTCTAAGAAAAGAGTTGTGTGCTTTTTTCCTTTATTCCAAATATTTTCCTCAAGTAGCTCCCTCTTCTCCTTTCTGCAACAGAAAACTGAAAACCTGGTCATATTTCAATCACTGTCAATGCCACTTGACTCTCTAGTAGATATTTCCGTTTCTTCCTCTTCGTGAACATTTTAAATCTCTGCTTTCTGCTTGAAGGTATTTAAACAATTCGTGCTTTTATTTCCATCTTAGCACAACTTTCATGGTATAAAGAACTCTAACCTGATGAAGGTGGTGAGTAGCTCCACACCTTCTTAGTAGTTCCCAATTTTGTCCAGTCGTGGAAATCAGGAGCTCCTAGACTGCTAGCAATGGTTTCTCTACCCTCTCCCTTTGGCACGTACATCCTCATCTTCTTAACTCCTATTGTTTATTTGCTCTCAGTTTATCCATAATTCATTTTGGTTGTTGGTCATTTTACCACCAGTCTTCCCTCCAGCTATAGAAAACAGACATTGAAAGGTAGCTTTCTGTGACTTTCTTGCAACAAATTTAGAGAATCTTTTAAGAGCTCCCTCTCCTTGTTAAACTGTGACAGTAGCAACTACAAATAGCGTAGCTCTTTCAGGAAAGCAATTGTTGCTTATTTGGGTTGCCTAGAAAAAGCAACCTGTATACATTTATAAGACGTGACCCAGCCTTCCCACCTATGTCTTTCTGTGCCTTGTCCTTAGATCTATGTAAATTCTAATATGCCCCAAGATTTTAAAAATAAATGTAAGCGAATACAAAAAAACTCTTTTAGATTATGTGAAAGATATACATTTCAATGAAACATGATCTGTATCCTTAAGCTTAAACACTAATTGTGAAGACAGACAGACAGACATGCATGCATGTTGACATCAAGGTAGGTAGAGCTCCTGAAATTGTTACTATCCTTCTGCTGAACTTTGAGAAATGCCACCAAATGGAAGTCCTACTCCAGTGTCCCATTGCTTTATGTTAGACTGCTCGAAAATGAACACTACTCCTGATTTGCTTTGAGTTAGGTTTGACGTACTTGGCCTGTGAAATTTGAAGTCTGGACATTTTTTAAGGAGGGGCAAGGAGAAAGAGGTGCAAATTTTCTGAATTATACAATTAGGCTACACTGAATGTGGTACTTGGGGAGTACAGTAGACTTGATTAAATCAATAAACAGGATTTGCTCAAATTCAATGAATATGACGAATCTTGATAATACGGTTTAGGGTTCCACATTAATGCTACATTATAAAATCTGAATTTTTATAATGTAGGCTGATTCGGAGGCATTTCCAAAGAAGTATCACCAAACTGTCTATATTCCCAAAATGATGACTTAAAATATCACTTTCAACTTAGAAATAGATTTCCTTGTTTTTTCCCAAAACATATTTTATTGTCATTTGTATCCCAAAGTAAATAAGTTAAACTCTAGTCACAATACTAAGTTAGATTTACATTCATTATCTTCATTTTGTAAAAAAAAAAAATGTATAGATCATGGGGTTTTCCACTGTGTATTTAAAACATAAATATTTTTTCTAAGTTCATTTGTACTACTAAGGATACCAGAAATATGAATCAATTTTTTTCTTTTTCTTTACCCCAGTAGATTTTAAATACACATATTAATTGATGTACATATTAATAATTTCTCTAATTTTTTACTTTAGGAAAATGTCAAAAAATGCAAAGTAGAAACTGTATCTTTCTTTCAAACAGCAACAAAAAGTTCTTAAATCTCCCCTTGAAACTAAGTCTGCCCTAATTCTGTCCTACTTTTTGAAGTAGGAGGACAGTTGGTTCCCTACCTATTAATTATTAGCCCCCTTCATAGACACTGTCAGGAGGATGCAACCAGGACTTCTTGGGTAAAAGTGTGATGATTGCACATGATAATTTTATAATTAAGACACTTAAAAAGGGAGACAAAAAAAACCTAAAAACTCTCCATTTTAATCAATACTCTGACTAGTATGTGTAACTTGAAAATACTCAATAATTCTCTTCAGCTTGGAAAGATTCAACTATTGTAAAAACCTTTACGAAATTCATTTCTGACTCTGTAGACTGAGGCAGACTTCTTAAGGAGTATGGATCCATGAGAATAAATACAAAATCAACTTTCAGTATGATGTATTTCACACTGGCAAATGATTTAGTTAGTCCTTTAGCAGGTGTTCGCAAAGAAAATTAAATTTACAACATTAGGAGCCAAATAATCTCTTCTTCAGGCCCCATGGTATGCCCACGATAATTGAAGTTTTACAAATAATTCAGGCTCTATCTGCTACAATGGCAGTCCAAATTCAATTTAGCAATATTCCAGGGAGCCAAGGGAAGTCAGCACTCCCTTGTAGCATTGTAGGGGTCAGGCCCTTTGCTGGCATCAGAAGATGACTTAATTACTGTCCAATATGCACACCTGCTGCATATCAAGACAGAGATTATTGCTCTTTGGTGATCTTTGCCAGTAAATCTTTGCCTTGATGATTTTGCCATGCTTTGTTAGCTCTTTGATATAGACCTCATGATTCCTTGCATCAGTTTCTCCAGCTGCGTTCACAGGACATTTGGTGATGAGTTTGTTCTGAGCCTGGTTGTGTAAATGATGGAAGTTTTAAAGGTCAGGATTACTGAAGTGTTTTTTTTTTTTTTTTTTTGGTTCAGATGTGACTGGCATGGTGGTGCTAGTCCTTCTTTCCATTTTTCTGTTTTCAGGCTAAACAATTTGGGATATATTTATGTAGCCTACACTTACATGAGCATGAAAGCTTAGACAGAAAAACACTGAGCTTCTAGAGTCAAAGCTATCTATGACACTGCAACTCAAAGTTTCAGAAACCACGACAATGAACAAGTCACTTATAGATCAACTTGGACTCCTCTCTTTCTACCAAACTTATTAGACAAAAAAAACCCATAAGTCAAATAGAACTGATAGAAAAGGAATGCACAAATCAGAAGGAAAAAACAGCCACAGGTAGAAATATAGTTAGCATTTTTAGAAGATCTGCCCTGGAGGAAAATATATTTATTTAGGAATCAATTTGGTAAGAGCTCTGTACTTAAAGTATAAATGGTGAGCAATTGTAAAGAGAGAAACACAACTATTCTTAACTGGCATAAAAGGCAATAGCCATTCCAAAGTAGATGATGACAGAAGCCATGTTATCTGTTAGAAACTCAATTCATTGCCAACATTCCATGCAATTTTCCCATACCAAGGCAATCAATTAGCTCTTAGTACTAAACCCAAAGGTTACTTTTAATTTTTCAGTTTAGTTCTTCAAAGAGAAATGAGCTTCTATCATTCCTTAAGTCTCAGTATTCTTCAGAGTTCTGACATGTATTCTCTAACAGTAAAATTTCTACATAGACTGTATTTTAGTCAGTTTGGGATACTATAACAAAAATACAATACACTGGGTGTCATAAACAACAGAAAATTTATTTCTCACTTTCTGGTGCAAAGATCAAGTTGGCAGCAGATATGGCATCTAGTGAAGGACCTTCTCCTGGTTTAGAGATGGCTGTCATCTCCTTATATGTCCACATGGTCATCCACATCCACACTGTCATCTTTCCACGGGGTGGGGATAGAGATACGAAGCATGATCTCTAGTGTCTCTTTTTATAAAGACACAAATATAGCACCAAGTCACATAATTTATAGCTCCTTATATATTTAAATTCTTTCATTTCCCTCCAATCTCACTGTACCTGTTTAATGTATGCCATCCCTGTGTTTTACTTAGGTCACAACAAGCAACTCTTTAACAGGCCTCCCTTCTTCCCTTCCTTCTTCATGTTCTGAAATATAATAGAAACTTAAAACCATGAAAAGTTATTGTTGCTGGTATCGGATATTTAGAAAAAACTATTTTGGTTGTGATTGGAGAAGCCCCTTAAAACATTTCTGTCATCTGACTGAAAAAATACATGAGTATACACCAAATGGCCAGCTGTTGACAGAAAACCTGAGAAAGTATCTGTCATGAAGTGTTGAAAAGCAAAGTACAACCTTCTCTTCCACACAGGCAAAAAGGAGAAACACTCAGCTGGCAGGAAGGCAACTTCACACACCCACAATGTTGTCACCTTCTCTGAGTCTAATTAAAAACTTTAATCCAGAGTAGCCCAAAACAAATCAGATTTTCCCATCTAAAGACGTCATGGTTGTCTCCAGTTTTAATAGCAGCAGCACAGAAGTAAATTGTGAGCTGTATCCAAATGGAAGGAACACCTACAGCTTGCTATATACAGGAATGCATGGAAAGAACAGCTGCTCATGTCTGCGCTCTAAGTTACCCCCACTAAAGCCAATGGCACTCTTGAATGCTGTTGTTGGAACTCTGCAACTCAGAAGACAGATGAGCAGCAGGTAGCCTGAAGGAGGAACCTCCAGTTTCAAGTGGGACCTACCCTTGATTGAATCAAAGGAGAATTCACGGCACTGAATCTGGTGTTAACAGATGAAGGAAGGAGCATCTCCAGGAATAAGTTGTGATATTAAGACTTTTAGATTTGATGAACTTAGAACAGTGAGCAAAGTTGAATGTCATGACAGCACAGTTTCCTTTCCTTTCAGTTGTTGCTCCTTAAAATTTTCATTCCTCAGGAACATCCTGAGTTTTGTGTACAAACGCTATAGAATGGTCTATGCTAACCCATACATAGAATCAATAATACATACAATTACCTTCCCTGGCCCTCTTTGCTAAGCTCCGGTCTCATATATGATAATTATATTCACTGTTTGCTCAGCACCTACTACACAAGGGTTACATTTGGCCACTCAACTGACTCAGTATTTACTGAGTTCTTACTATGTCTCAGGCACAGTTCTAGGTACTAACATATAGAATTAAAAGAGATGTAGTCTCTATCCTTAAAGAACAGAAAATTCAGTTGGGAAGGTAGACCATAAAAAAATTATATTTGAGATTGTCATAATCTTTGAAGCAATTATTAAGCTAGTTATTTTAAAGCCTTCTGGCTAATAAACATAAGATTTTAAGATGTCAAGTTATTTTCCTAAGGTCATGAAACTGACCTAGAGGGTTAGCTGGCATGAGTGCAACGCACTTTAACTCTGAAGACAGAAATCCTAAATGTTAGCTTCTATTGCTTCCTCCACAATAAATGATTGCTATACACTTCTCCTTGAGTACCCCAAAGATAGCTCACATCCAATATATGCCAGCCTAAACTCACGTATATTTTCTTTAGACATGCCCCAAATTTTTGTCTCAGTAAATAGCAATATCTTCCATTTTGGATTTCTAAGCCACAAACCTGAGAACTATGCTACATCCTGCTTTATTCCCCACCTCAGCCATAAAATCAATTTCCATAGATGTTTATCATCCTAAACTTTCATGCCCCTTCCTTTCCAACTGGAGAAGATATATGACTGTAAATCAAATATCTTTTGAACAATATTCTTTGTTCTTTATCAATCAAATTGATAAAACCTGTCCCCAGAGAGCTCAGTTTAACATGTGAGACAGGCAAACTTCCAGTGTTTTGATAAAATGCACGTCAGACATGCCAAATGTAAAATTAGACGCCAAAGGGATGAACTGTGGTTCTGGGATGTTTTCTTTTCGTCTCCTTGGGTGAGTGTGATGGGTTCCTTGTGTCCGTTTCATGAGCTTTGAGGGTTCCTTGGAAGCAGGCACCATGTTTTCACATCTTATACAACTTTATATGATTCTCCCTACTTTGTAGTCAGATCTAGTATAGTCCTGACCTGGTAAAGAGCTCCCATTTGATAAAATCCATGTTTTTAAACTAATAGTAATAAAAGTAAGCATTTTGTTTTAAAATTTGTGTAAAATTTCCCTGGAAAGGGAAATTTACTGTAAAAAGCATGACAACTTAAAAACTGAGCTTAGCACACTAACTAAACTACTGGAGAGTAAAAAGGAAGAGAGAGGGAAATAATAAAATCCAATAAAGCCTACTACAGTGTACTCCTGTGGCTATTTTGCAGAGGATAGAATTCAAAGCAACGGTAACTTAAATTTGAGGACCCTCTTCTCAGAGTCTACCTTGAGCAGAGTTGACGAGTGGGCAATTTGGCTTTTGATTTATCTTAAAAGTCTACAGCTGTTTCTATCACCTTGAAACTCTTTTTCTCAACTGGAGGTTACTGGAGTCTTGTTTCCATATGCCTTCCTAGAACTTCCATTTCTAACAATTTTTCATTATCTCTAACTTGCCTCTCTTACTCCCGCAGCTATGTTTCTGTCTCTATGCTAATTTTAGCAGATTATGATATTATAAAACAATTGTATCTGTCAACTGAAGTAAAAACATCTGTTAGAAACACAATTCGGATACTGAATTTTAGGAAATACAATATACATAAGATACATCTTTGTTTTTCGGTATCTCACTGTCAAGTATAGACAAATTATAATAGATGGTCTGATAAATGCATTAAAAGACTAAAGGAGAACCTTGTGAGAGCCCTGAGGAAGGCAGCTCCCCATTCTGGGAGATTTAGGAAAGGGTCCACAGAGGAAGTAATCTTATGCTGAGTTTTAAAAGGTGAGTACATTTGTCAGATAAATGCTGTAGTAGGCAGGAAGGGAGAGAAAATGTGCATTCCAAGCAGAGAATTGTACTTTCAAAGGCCTAGAGCTATGAAAGGGTACTAAAAGATTTAGAAGATGCTAGAAAATAAATATGACTAAAAAATAGAAAAATGAATCCCATCATTTACTTTCTTACCAACCCACAATACTTTTGTTTTAAAAGCTTCTGAACCAAATAAGGGTTGCTATAATGACAGAACATCTGACTACATGAGAGCGTACAGTGGGGGAAAGTTTGGACTATATGAATGTGGAATATTTTTGGTCAAGGGGAACCTACAACATGAGTATCCTTAAACCTGTCTCCCAGATCATCTTCCTCAATCATCCCTCACTGTCAATGTGGAACTTATTACCACCATCAATCTATTCTAGTGTCACAGTTGACCTTATAACTGGTTGAACTCATGTCCGTCTCTTACATATATACTCTCATTTACCACTGTGCTTAGTATATGAGCAAAAAAGTAATGTATTTTCCTCACCCATCTCAAGGTCCATGACTGATATTCCTAACAGATTTAAGAGAAGAAACAGATTTGTAAGAGAAAAGCACAATACATTTATGTAACAAAGTTTCACATGAAATAGAACCCTTCAGAAATGAAGACACAAAGACCCAAGGAATACTGTATATTTTTATGTTGGATCGACAAAACACATGGATATTTGCAGAGAAATTTGACTGGACAAAAAGAACATGATGGTAATAAACTGGGGGAAACCCTGCAAAACCTGTTTGTTCAGATCCTTCTTAGCCTCTCTTTTTTAGGCTATGGTTTCGTAGAGTCATCCCTTCCCCTGAGGTATAGGACAGGACACTTGTCACACAAGGGTCATATGAACTACTTTCAGGGGAGGTAGGTCAAAGAGTGACCTTTCTAGGTTTTATGGCTTGCGTTGGAGGATAGGAGTTCTGTGACCTGCCTTGGGGAAGAGAAATTCTTATTTCTGTGATTCATGTTGGAGGATAAAGGAGTGTGCAAGAAAAAGTACTATGAGAAGGTCAGAGACTGTCTCTTCTGAGGCCCTCCTGATTCCCTTCAGTTTACAGTACTCAGCATGTCAATGAGCCATACTTTGGGGCATCATTTTCTGAGGCCCTACACTATTACAAGTTCATAATTATATATGAAATTGAAAATAGATAGATCTCATTGAATTAAACTCTAAGCAATAATAATGAAAATATGTGTTGACATTTAACATAACCCTTAGGCTTTCTATTTATTCTTCTTTTCAATACCCAGTGAGGTGGGTATTGTTTTCATTGAATATTTGAGTAAAGTGAGATGCAGGAAAATATTCATGTTGTTTCTTCTAAAATATTTAATCACGCTAAAACACACTATCATTGAAATTGTTTACTCGACATTTTGATGTCAAATTATTTGTAAAAAATGTTCTTTTTCAAATGTGTGACACAACTTTGTGCATTTGTGTTTTACAATGAAAATTGTACTAAACAGTTCCTGCAAAGAAGAGGAAAAATGCAAAATTTTTGAAACGATGATCATTCATTACAAATTCTTCTGAGTTTGTTCCAGGAACTGTGAACCATCTGTACCATGTCAACAGCTCAGGTTGTGTTTGCAGCCACGCAGCAGAATGCGAAGTACCAAAATATGCAATTAGTTGTGACCTGTGTAAATAATTTATTTATGTCAGGGAAGCAGAAATTTCAGGACTGAGCCTCCTTTAAGAGTCATCCAAAAAACTGTAGGTTTTTCTCTCTTTTGTGAGGTATATTTCTATAGCATTCTCTTTGCTCTACAGGTAATGCTATCAGTGTATTACAGTTTCATCAAGGAAATTGTCTGCATAAACATTTTGATTATTTTAGGTTAAGACTAATGTAGATTATCACAGAAAAGAGATTAACAGGCATATTAATAGGTTACAGATCTATCAATATTTTTTAAGCTATGAGGGAAACCAAACTTTTTAATCCTAAGTGCGTCTACTTAAGTTTATTTGTTATATTAATTGTAATAATGCCTGTCTATTTGTTGAAAGAATACCTTTCACAGAATAAATGTAGTTTTGCTTCTATCAGGTCATATTTTGTTAAACTTTTGATTTATTGTCTTATACGTCTTTATTTAAAATAGCCTATAATTCTATAATATATTTGTTTCCTCAATATCTGAATGGATGAGACATAGCTTTGCTTTCAACGTAGTTTTATGTATGGTTTTATAGATTCAACATCATTATCCTCCTTCAAGTAGATAATATCTATTGTACTCTCTCAGTAATGGCATGAAACCACTGTTGGGTAAGTCCAGTTGGTTGTTTTACTCAACTTCTAAAACCACCTGGGAACTTATAAATAAGCCTTGTGTTTCTCTTAGGTATGAACTTAATTTGCTAGGACTTCACTGTATACTTATAAGAAAGAGTACAGTTAAGTGTAGACATTAAACTTGATGAGAATCTTTGCAAATTTGGTCATTCAAATAGAAGTTAAATGAAGCAAATGATTTGCTCTATGGTTCAAGAGCTATGCAAAAGTTAACCCAATACTCCTACTCTCTAAATCTTATACTGTGAAAAAACCTTATTCACAGATGGATTAAAAGAAGCATGCAATCTTAAAGCTGAAATGGACCTTGGAGTCTTTTAAAATAAAACAATAAGAACTCAATAGAAATTCCCAAATTGGCAGCAAGTCCTTGTTTAACTACTTTCTTCAACTACAGTTGGTGAAGGGGAACTCATTGCTTCCTGAGATGTTCAATTCCAGTTGAAAAGCTCCAATTGTGAGAGTTCTTCTTTATGTTCCAATCCAACTGGCTGTAACATTAGAAATGAACTAGACGGGTTGATTACTTTCCCACTTGCCAGCTAATAGAGAATGAGGATACCTATCCTTCAGCACAAATATATTGGTAATCCCCAAATCTGTTTATTGTTAATTTGTTTTTAAATAGGGATTCCTTCCCTATATAAAAATAAAATATACCTTATAGATAGAAATCATAAACATATTAGTTTACATCGAATACAAACAAAAAAATCACCTTTTGCATTTTAACACAGTGAATAATAAAAAGAATTTAAGATCAATGAAGAGGCAGTTACTTACTTAATAGATTTGGAGTATATAGTTAGCAACTGAGAAAAGATTGTTAGGTTCTTTACATAGCATAATATACCAAATAAATAGAATTTGAATCAAATAGCTAATGTAAACACTGAACTTTAACCAAACAAGAAAAATACTGTCTATTAAATATCTTCAAGGTAAAAATTTCCTTAGTTTAGAAAGTAAGAAGAAATCCCTAAGGAAACTATAAAGATATAAACAGTATAAATTTCTTCATGCAAAAACACAAAACAGGATTAAAAGCCAAACAAAGTAGGAACAATCTCTTTATTATATTAAAAATTTTAAAAATCAATAGAAACTTATCTTAAAAGATAAATGAGAATATATTAATACATACTTTTCACAAGCAGAAGTACAAATGATAAGCATATGGAAATACGTTAAGTTTTACAGGTAATTGGACACAAGTCAAAATGAAAACAAAATAGTCTAGCAATAATCAAACATTATAAAACTTAAGCTAGGCAGAGACTTTATGCAGTTCAGTGCAATCTTTTTGTGTTTATATTTGGCATTACATGCCAAAGCAATAAATATATGCATGTATTCATATAATTCTGTTTTGAGAATTTTTCCTAAAGAAATAAGAGAAAGCTGGTATTTCATGATGCCCATCATAGTATTACTCATACTAGTTAAAGCAATTTAGAATTATTTGAAATAAACCAGCAGTAAAAATAATTATAAATGAGTTGCTCATTATGAGGCCTGGTAGATTAACTATGACTATTAATTTAAAATAAATATGACTATTAAAATACACAATTACAATAAACATTTACTAAGTCCCTCTTATGTGACAAATATTGTTTTAAGTGATTTACATGATAAATTATTTTACTAAATCATCTTACAGCAATTCTAGGAGGTTTACTCAAATTTTAGAGATGAGGTAAATGAGAAACAGTTTGTATGGCTTACTCTAGATCACACAGGAAAAGTGACAAAGTAGAGATAAGCAATTTCTTGAGTTCTTAATCAACACTACAATATAGAAATGGTTTATTAATATAGCAACAAGTGTCACTATTTCTAGTAAGGTGCTACATGGTAGAAACAATGCAACATTGTGCATAAAATTTTAAAATATTTGAAAATATGCATTGAAATTGTATGGTATAAATTGAAATGTTAATATGAATTGTATTAGTATGGTACATTGTTAGGTGATTTTTCTTCATTCCTTAATTTTTAAAATTTTTCATAACATTTTTATGCTCTTTATGACATAATTGAAAAAACGATGTATAAAATCTACTTCAATAGATATGATGCCCTAAGTTATTTGAACCATCTCTTGTGTTGAAAGTAACTAAAATGCTTTTAATATTGTTTTAACTTGTTAAATACATGACAGATAGTAAATCCAAGGAAGGTAGGAACCAAGGGGAGTAAGCATATCTATGAAACCACATTTTTCTGAGAACATATGCCAAACTGGAGAAATGGAGCTTTAGTTATCAAAGCCTTTTGTGGAACAGGGTCAAAATCAAATACAATGACTGGTCAAGCCTGGGGGTAGGATAGAAGAGAAAGCTGGAACTCCAAATGTCTACACTTGTAGGGAAAAGATAAGCCAGTAATAACCTTCTCCCATCTCTGTTCTGAGAGACTGAATTTAAAAACCACCTTGGCTTCAAGCAGAGAGAAGGGGATAAATGTCCCTTGGATGGCTCTTTGTGGATCTCTATGAGATAATCTATGTACTCTGAAAACCCCCTCAAGTTACAAATTTAATTTAGTAAAATCTAAAGAAATAGTGCTGTAGTTGCTTGTCAGAAAATAAATGCAAGTGCCCCTGGGGAAATGCACCTCATCCTGAACCTCAAAGAATTCATAAGAATAATAGTCCAAAAGGAGATAAACAACTCATAGTCAAAACTAACCCAGCACACAAAGAAATGACACTGTAATCAAGAACCAATACAATAGTATAACCGAAATCATCTCAAAATGATTATAGACATTGTAATTTATCAGCAATATCAAAGTCTTGACAAGCCTGGCATATTCATGGAACAGGAAGAAAGTGATTATGCTGCAGTCTAGAGAGATAGGGAAGAATGTAAGAAAATGAAATGAGGGGTCACACATGGGGCAGGAGAGGGAGGAGGAGATCCTGAAGAGCCTTGAAAGTCCTGGACAGAACTCTGGCCTTTAACCTGAGTGAGGTGGATAGCAATTGATGGATTTTGAGCTGAAATGTCATGTGGACTGATTTATTTATATGTTAAATATGTTGCCCTGATTGTACAAGCATGAAAGCAAAGAATCCAAGTAGGATGAAGGCTTTTTGAATAATCAGGTGGTTGATGATAATAGCCTCAACCTGAATGCCTCATCACCACTGGGGATGGTAGAAGTAGTCAAATTTTTGATACTTTGAAGATACAGACCATCAGATACTTAGAGACTACCAGACAGCTGGCTGTATTTTTTTTTTTTTTTTAGGACAGGTGACTCTTTTATTTTATTTTATTTTTATGATACTTTAAGTTCTAGGGTACGTGTGCATAATGTGCAGGTTTGTTACATATGTATACATGTACCATGTTGGTGTGCTGCACCCATTAACTCGTCATTTACATTAGGTATATCTCCTAATGCTATCCCTCCCCCCTCCCCCCACCCTAACCCCCACCCTACGACAGGCTCCGGTGTGTGATGTTCCCCTCCCTGTGTCCAAGTGTTCTTATTGTTCAGTTCTCACCTATGAGTGAGAACATGCAGTGTTTGGTTTTCTGTCCTTGCAACAGTTTGCTCAGAAACATGGTTTCCAGCTTAAAAAGAGCATGGAGAATAAATCAAGTTTTTTGTGCTATTATGAACAGAGGAGTTGTTGATAAAAGTTTATATTCATGATTAACAATTAATATTCTTAGCAAACTTGAGTATAAAGGAACTCTCTAAATGGTACCTTCACTATATTAAGAGCAAATTTCATACTTAAAAGTGAAACATTGAGAGCTATCCCTTTATAGGGGATAGTATCATTAACAACGAATTAGAAAATGAAATTTTGAAAAGATATCTTTTATAATATAGTCAGAAATATAGTCAGAAAGGCTATGAAATTTAATTGAGGGACATTAAAGAAGACCCAAACAAAAGGAGGTATATACCACATTTATGACGGAAATACCCAATATCATAAGACTGTAAGTTCTTCCCAGACTATTTTATGGATTCAATGCCATCCCAAACAAAATCTTTACTATTTTGGTCAAACTTGAGCAGCTTATTTTTTAATGTACAAAATAATGAAAAGGGCTTACATAGCCAAAATGCTCATAAAGAAGAAGAAGGTAGGTAGAATTGTATTAATATATTTCAATGCTTATTATAAAATATGATCATTGGGACAGTGTGATGGTAGTTTTAACCTACACAAAAAGACAAAAAGAATACAATAGAAATAGATGCACACATATATGGATACACTATATGACAGAAATGGCATTTTAAATTAGTGGAGAAAACAGACTTTTCAATAAATGTTCTGAGAAATTATGTATACATATGGAAGAAGAATGAAATTAAATATTTACTTTACACTCCACATAAAAACCAGCTCCATGTGGATTAAAGACCTTAGTGTGAATGGCCCAGGAGAATTGCAATGATCATTAAGAGTGGTGCCCATACAAAAATATGTCTTCAGAAATTAACCAGCAGGCTGTCTATCACCAATCAAGAGCCAGATAAAAATTTCAAATCCAGAACTAAACAAATCAGTTACCAGTACAACTGAGGAGAGTACCATTATAAGGACTTGAAAATTCTTGAAGGGATTTTCAGGACTTGGTTCGAGGACACATTTGTTGAGCTTACGCCCATCCTGTCCCTGTAGAATCATTCTTATAGATTTACAATGTAAATTGCCAAGGGCAGACGATACACACAATAATACTTGTAATCACATGGTAAATTTCCACCAAGAATGAGAGATTTCAAATCTGATCAGAAAATCAAAAGCTTCTATAAGGAGATCCTGCCTTTTGGGATATAAAATAAATTTAACATTTGGAGCTCAAAGAACAGAAATCAGTGCTGAGCCCCACTGCAAGAGTAATCTCACAATTGTGTCTGAGAAGACCTCTGAGTGAGAGATTTAAAAGGCCTCCGCAGAGGACAATATTTCTTAATCCAGGCATTTGAACCATGGTAGTGAGGAAATCTTGCATGGATCTCAGTAAGACTTCCCCGAAGTTCCCCAAGCTTGATGAACTTCTCAAGGTATTACCAGATAGCCTGTTAATGACAAAAAGTTAAATTTACTGGAAGTCACTGCAGTAAGGGAAAACGCCATCTTAGCAAGGACTTAGCAGTGATTCAGAAGGCAAAAATCAGAAGTCTTTTAAGGTTTTGGCCTAAGTGGTTTAAGGTGAGGTTTTGGAGTTAGGAAACTAACTGGAATTATGCAAAGCCTGTGACATCATACTTGTGGATGAATAGACGTAACAGTGAAAATCTTGAACGAAGTTTTGAGCAGTTGTCTAATTTTTTTACATAAATTTTCTGAAGCAAGCAATGGCGTTATTTATCAATGTATAGTTTTATCTTTCCTAAGCAGGGATTTCCTGAGTACAAACAACTAACTTATACTGACAACGTGCAGTCTCAGTTCTTAGTCCTATACCTATGTTTGATACAGTCGATTGTAACTCTCCCCCTGAAATACTGAAAAGTATAGGAATGTCTTCATCAGTTCAGGCTGCTATAACAAACTATCATAGATTAGGGGACTTATAAACAACAAAGTTTATTTTTCTCAGTGGTGGAGGCTGGAAAGTTTGAGATCAGGGTGCTAGCATGGTCAAGAGGTTAGTAGCCTGTTTCAGGTTAGAGACTGCTGATTTCCCTATATACTCACACGGTGGAAACAGAGCTAGCCAGTTCTGTGGCCTCTTATTTTAAGAGCACTAATTCATGAGAGATTAGTGCTACACCTCATGACCCAATTAACTCTCCAAAATTCCACGTCCAAATATTATGACATTGGGATTAGGGTTTCAACATATGAATTGTGGAGACACACACATTCAGTTCATTGCAATGACTTTGTTTATGTAAGGTTCAAAAACAAGCAAAACGATTTCACAGTTTAGGAGTCTATAAGCGGAAAAAAGTACTTAGAATAAAAAATTATTATCACAAAAGTCAGGATAGTAGTTATTTCTGAGATGGGTAGGTAAGGGTTGATCTGCAAGGACACTTGAGAAGTTTCTAGAGTTCTGACAACATTCAGTTTCATGCCCATGGTGGTGGATATACTAATATTTGCAGTATACTCATTCTTTAAACTGTACTTATATTTAATATATTCTGTGGAATGTATATTATTCTAACAAGATCATATTAATTAAAATGTATGTTCTAAATTTATATCCTTCTGCTCCTGTTGATGTCTGAATTCCAGTTGCTACTTCTGTCTCCTCTTCGGTTTTCTATACCTGAATGACCTTGATAATGTTGGTTACCTTCCTCTTCTTCATTTTCCTCAAATAAAATCTGAATAATATTATCCTTTTTGTAGATTAAAGTCCATAGCTTAATGAAGTATAACTTAATACTTGTTTTTACATTTTCTTTGTTAATAATAATGATCATGACGATAACTCATATTTCCAAGTATCCCTCTTTATATTCTGTACATTGATACACAGAGTTCTGTAAACACATTTTATTTCCATCATCTCACTTGCTTTCACTTTTGAATTACTGTAAGATTCTCCTGTGTACTACTGGGAGTCCTTTTTCCCTGAGAATTACTGTAATTATTCTTCTGCCTTATTAGCTGCTCCCTCACAGGTGCCTTTGCTGGTTCCTACTCATATCCCCAGCCTGTTGATACTGAAGCATCTCATGTCTCAGTATTTGAGTCTTTTCTCTTTTATATCTTGATTATATAATCTAATCTCTTACCATTAAATGCTGTCTATAGGGTGATGACCCCCACAGTTATAACTTCATCCTGGACCTCTGCCTTGAACATCAAATTCGTATTTATAACTTCCTACTTGACACTGCTAGGTTGTCTGTTAAATATCTCAACATTAACGTTTCTAAAACTGAACTCCTCATTTTTTCCCCTTCAAATTTGCTCATTCCATAATCCTCCTTATCTCTTTTAAAGACAACTCCAACCTTCTCTTTGCTAAGCCCCAACATCTTGGAGTGATGCCTGACGTCTCTAATTTTTTCAACTATACATCAGCAAATTTGTTGATCTCTGCCTTCTGACTACTGTCAACTAAATTGATACTTTATTATTATTATTTTGAGACAGAGTCTTTCTCCGTCACCCAGGCTGGAGTGCAGTGGTGCGATCTCGGCTCACTGCAGCCTCTGCCTTCCAGGTTCAAGCGATTCTACTGTCTCAGCCTCCTGAGTATGTGGGATTACAGACGTGCACCACCATGCCTGGTTAACTTTTGTATTTTTAGTAGACACGAAGTTTCACCATGTTGGTCAGGCTGGTCTCAGACTCCTGACCTCAAGTGATCTGCCTGCCTCAGCCTCCCAAACTGCTGGGATTACAGGCGTGAGCCACCCAGCCTGATGCTTTAAACCTTTTTCCTCCTTAGCAAATATATAACTTCATGGAAACTGGCCAATCCAGCAATTGTTAAAGAATAACAAAGAACACCAGAGATTTTTAAATAGCTAGTTTATTAACCTCCTGGGCAAAGGAGAAATTTCGAGGGATTTAAAGTGTTAGAATTAGTTCATGATGGTTATGCAAATTAAGGATTGAAAACTTGCATTCCAGATATGTCTCAGATGATTCTGTATGTTTGAACACAGCTAACTAAAACAGGTTCCATTGTTCATTGCTCAGGAAAGTATTTAGTTCCAGTAAGAGTTTGGTGTCCCAGAGTCTCTCAAAGTGCATGGTCCTTTATAAGCTTTAGGTGATTTGAACTTGTTATGATGTAACACAGTGTTCAGTTTTGGTAGCTCTTAGACAAGTACTACTATGAGAAGAACATTTCTCTTGTATATTATCTGCAGCTATGTGTCTAATTTTCAGCACTGAAACAACACACACTACACTATATACATATATATTATTCCTGGAGTCAAATTTATTTGCTTTCCCTACTATGAAACTAATGAGTTTCTTCTCTAAAAAGATGGATTCAACTTTTATGGAGGAAAATCACAACTGTTCATTCACTAAAATATTTAATGTGTAGTTGATGCCAGACACAATACTTTTTACATATTTCATTAGCCAGAATTTATTATCTTATTCTCTACTTTACCTTCTTCTATTTTCTAACTTATCACATGTAAGTTATCTTCTCTATCTTCCATTTGGTGATTTCTTCCTTGGATTATTTCTTGAGGACAATAAGAGTCTCTTGCCAAACTGATTCATATTAGATAAGATGGAAAGCACATCCTTTATTTAATATACTTATGTAGGGGAAAATATCTCTAGCAGGAAGATTAACCTATTCCAACTCATTTAGGCCATTGAAATAGGCCTTCTGTTATTAACATCTCTTGACAATTAAAAATCATTGAACTTTAAAAAAATTCATTCAGCATTTACTAAGAAATACCTAAGTTCCAGGAACTATGCTAAATACTAGGGATGCACAGATAGATCTACATTTCACTGTGGTTCTTGAATCAGACAACCATTAAGTAAATTATTATACCAAATTTCTAGTTTGCTCCATTTGTTCTCCAGATTTTAGGAATAAGTCTCTCCAGGCTACATTCCTGGGACTGCTGGCCCTTTCTGTTATAACTTGTTAATTGCCAGGGATTAAAGTTCAATTATGAGTGGCTACTAGTAGATCTAAATATGCCTAACAACATTTATATATTGAAAGAATATATTTTACCTTATTCTAATCAGCAAATGAGAGACCTAAATATATAGACACGTTTTAGGCTAGTGCCCAAGTTTTAGTCTTGTAGACCACTGACATTATTCCTCGCCACTCAAATTTTTGTCTGTAGACCTGAAACAACAGTATTATCTAGGATCTTATTAGAAATACACAATCTAAGGTGATTTCAACACCTATTGAATCATACGTAATGTGCCTTTTCACAAAATCCTCAGTTCATTTTTATGTCTATGAAAATTTGAGAAGCTGTTGTAAGTCATTTTGACTTTTTAAACCCTTTCCTGAAAGTGATTAAAGGTTTTCTTTGTACTTTTATTACTACTTTGGTGAGAATAAAACACAGGGAAAACAAGGAAAGAAAATTTTCATTACACGCAGGCCAGCACTAGGCTTTGTTAGACACCATAGAAAAGCACAGGATTCTAATGGAATGGTAGCAAAGATAAGTGGCAAAAGAATTCAACAGTTTTGCCACCTGTTGATATTATTGAAAATCTCTTTAAAGCAATTGGAAATCCTCATTCAGAAATAATGTAACCTGCCTGTCAGGAGCCTTTTGAACACTTGTAACTAATTGACATTCACCGCTCCAGGCATCAAATGCATTTACTATGCTCTTGGGGTACAGTTTAACTTGAAGTTGACATATTGAATGCAGAGTTACCGACAGGAAAGGCATGAAGTCCACTTTGAAGGCGAGCATCTTTCAGTTCTGGAACACACAGAACATTGGCCCAGTGATACGAGTTCTGAGTCATACTGCTGATTTGTTGCAGAGATAAACAAATCTGGAATCCCATAATTCTACGATTAAGTATGTGCAATGTGTGGGGAAATCGCTTACAACAGAGTAGAGTAAGTCCTGGGATTATACTTAAAAAAGAAAATGCTGAGGCTTATTTCCCTCTACTTAACCCTAAGAAAAATAATCTGAGGCCTGTGTTTCATTTTCATCAACTGCAAACTTGGATGCTGGATCTTCCTACTAGAGCTCACTGATTGCCCAGGGTTGAGGTACAAGAATTATGAAGGTAGTATGAATATTTATATATATATAAATATATGTAAAATATATGTATATGTAAAATATATATAGTATATGTATCTATGTACACGTACATATATGTATCTATGTACACGTACATATATGTATCTATGTACACGTACATATATGTATCTATGTATATATGTACTTGTATATGTATATATACACACGTATATCTATTTACATATATGTGTATATGTATACACATAAATGTATTATAGAAAGAAATGGGTTAATCTGATATTGTGTTTATTAGACTTAGACAAAGTGATTTATTTTGAAAAATTAATTTTTCTGTAAAATGTCTCATTGTAGAATTGCAGACTGAGCTATGCAAACATCAAGCAAATCTGTATTATTTACTCTTCAATACTCCAGCAACGTGTGTACTCACAATAAGTTTTTTTATATTCACTCAATGAGATGTCTGTATTGCTTTTCTATGCTGTTTTCAGTGCCTCAAAACACAAATAAGATTATTTATATGATGTGTATATAAATATACTTCCGCCCACAAAAGCTTTACTTTTGAATCCTTAGGCAAGTGTGATTTAAAGTTCTCACTACTCTATTCTTAGAGGAATGAGCAAAAAAAAAAAAAAAAAGTAATATAGTCATTGCTTCCAAACTATAAAATGAATTTACTGAAGCATAGCCTACTGATATCATATGGAGACATTCAAAAAGTATGTTATTAGATATTATGCTTTAAAGGCATATTCTGTCAGAATTTGTTGTGTTGCTTTATATGTATATACACATATAGAGATACACATATGTATATTTCTATATGATTACAGATATAATAGTTCAAACTTTCTTCTTGACACTTCTAGGTAGCATCGCTTGTGCATATTGCGGCAAAGATTAGCTATTCCCTTTTCTCCTGGGTATATGGCTAGACTTCATTTCTAGATTACATTATAGTTAGAAATGTCCAGTTGATTGGGTTCTATGTTGAAGAAAGCAAAATCTCTAACAGATTGGGTTCCTGAATGTCTATTTGGAGCAGAAATCCCCTCTACTGCACATACCACACACTTTACTGTCCCCCAGGGCCAACTGGAATTTATGTGAGCAAAAAGTAACCCTCCATTGTGTTCAACATTGAGATTTGGGGGTTGACTTGGCAAGGTAGCCAGCACTACTTCTTTGATATAAAATAAACATCCATCTGAGGAAAGCGTATATGTCTCAAGAAATTATTAGTTGCCATCCCTAATCTTACTCCCTTCCCACCTCAGACACATTTTTGTCATATGTAGAGGAATGATGTGAACACAAACTGGAAGAACAAAGAAGAAATAACACAAAAAATATTACAGGGAAGGGAGATGTATGAATGCAAAGAGGCTTAATCTCGTCCAATGGGTGGCTGGTATCAGCCTGTATGTCCTGAATTTCTGGAAATCTCAGATTTATTAGTAGCCTTTTAAAATTTAAAGGCCATCTTCTATTGCTAAAACTGATCTGTTACTTTAACTTCTACCTTCATCTGTCTACTCTGGCTCCCATGTTCCCTACCACATAAACTTAGGACTACCTCCTCAATAACAACTAGCACCCCAGAAGAGGTGCAGCTTCCCTCCCCCAACCCAATCCTGTTAATGACATTTTCCGTGATCATAGTAATATTTCTGTGAATAATATTAACGTTAAATAGCTTTTAATCCTCTTGGGTCTGGTTCTCCATTCTCCTTCTGAGATGGTTTTTCTGTGCCTCTTATAGTGAAACAATCATTATCCTATTATTGGGAGTCTGCTAAGGACTGTATTTGACATTGAGGTCACAGGGAAATAAGGCATATCTACCTGTGAGCAGCTCTCAGTTTTCTATAAGCAGCTAGATGTAAAAACAAATTCCTAAAAAACAATGTGATGAATTCTATGATTGGGGTGAATACACACAGCTGTGGAAACACAGAGAAAGATAAAAAGTGATTCTGACAGAGGAATCAAAGAAAGCTACAGGAGGTGAAATTTATGCTAGGCTTTTAAAAATGGGTATGAACTTATGTAACACTTATATAAGGGAGTGGAAATATGTCCTGGGAAGATGAAAGACCATGAGCAAAGGAATAGAAACAAGGTTCAAGGTGCATGCTCATCAGTAAAGAGTACATATTGCTAGGGTGAGAGGATTTGGGTTTACTCTGAAAAGGAGTTTATGATAAATTTGTTCAGGGCCTTGGCTGGCATGTTAAGAAAGTACTGGAAGAAGTGTGTGCATACTCACATATGTGCCTTAGACTATATCTTTGGCATAGTAAGGTAGGTAATGAGAGATAGGATAAGATAATCAATTAGAAGTTTATTTCAACAATCTACAAAGCAAAGATAATAGCATAGTCTATAGTAGCAGTAACGGGATCAGTAAGAGTACACAGAAAGTAGTCCAGTGACATAGATTGGGAAGGATATGGTTATAGAATATCCTTCCTATGAAAGGTCAAGGATGGCTATGTAGAACATATACCCCAGGGAAGAAAATGGGTGAATCCCTATAGGAGACTGGATAGAGCCATGGAAGTTGATAAATTTCATTGGTGTGTAGATCAAAAAGGGAACGTCAACCAGGTGTTCACCAGGTACTTCAGAGTGATAGGAGAAAACCATCAGTGTTCAATGTCGCTGATGCCTAAGTGAGAACTAATTTCTAAAAAAGGAAAAAGATGGACAGCATTGCCTCAAATGTGGCAAAGAAAACAAGCATGATCAGGTAGACTTGTGTCCAAGGAAAAGCAAATTATAAGTAGATGTTGGAAGAGACTAGAATATTTCCTGTATAGTTAGATATATCTTAACAGTTAATTTCCAAATAAAATTGCCATAAATATATTTATACCATAAAAAAATTATACCATAAAACTACATATAGAGAAGGAGGAGCCTGGTGTTGTGCACTAAATGCTTGTGTCCCCCCAAAATCCATATGTTGAAATCCTAATGCAAAATGTGATGGTATTCAGTGGTGAAACTTTTGGAAGGAATTAATGTCCTTATAAAAGAGACTGCAGAGTTGTCTTCCCATATTTCTACCATGTGAGGATAAAAGGAGAAGAAGGCTGTCTGTAACTTGAAGGAGGGCCCTCACTAGAACCAGGCAATGCTGGCACCCAAGTGACCTCAGACTTCCTGCCTCCAGAAATTTAAGAAATAAATTTATGTTGTTTATAAGCCACCCAGTCTACAGTATTTTGTAATAGCAGTTCAAAGTGACTAGGACACTTGATATGCTGCAGACTTAAATCACCTCAGTAGTTTACCATG
Source organism: Homo sapiens (assembly GCF_000001405.40). Lineage (NCBI taxonomy): Eukaryota > Metazoa > Chordata > Mammalia > Primates > Hominidae > Homo > Homo sapiens. Next base: position 78,537,306 of record NC_000012.12, on the reverse strand, counting down.
TATACCTAAAGCCAGATCTCCACAAGAAAACCATTCCCAAATACCACTTTAATTGTTCTTAAGTAATCCTTACCTTACACCCTCAAACCTCTGAGACCACAAAAAGTTAAAAGAAATTTTCTGTGTTTTGTCATTAATGTTTTCATTAAATTTGTGTACTACCAAGTGATTTCAAGCAGACATCAAAGTAATGTTATGCTGAAGTAAGCTATAAATACAATGAGACAAAAAGGAATCAAAATCTTTTAAACATGTCAAGGAATAGTGGTAAAATTCTGGCAATACATCTCAGAAAATTTGAATTTAAGTGTAAAATATAAATTTGAAAGTGATTAATACAGAAGCAGATCTACAGATGATAGTAAGGCATGAATAAGATTTGACTAAAAGATGTAATTTAACAATATAAAGTGTCTGCAGAGTGTAAAGAGCCTTAAAACAGATGAGATTTAGATTGTAAGAGTCATAATGGTCATTTCTGACCATTCCATTTTTAAACATGAGTTAAAATTGCCTTCCAACAGATATATAAGAGATGTCTGTGGTTTAGGAATAGAAAAATGTGCTTTATAAGCATTTAAAGTATTTTCCAATCATACTGATCAGTTATATAATACCATTTAAAAATAATTTTGTTCCTTTCCCTTCCTAAACATTTGTATTCTTTGAGTACATCAAACTGTATCTTTTCTGGAAAACAACAACAACAACAACAACAACAAAAAAACACCAAAAACCCTCTAAGGAGAATAAATTCTTTTTTTGCTCTTCCCCGAAGAAATGGATAGTCCTGACTATACTTCTAATTTCTCTTAGATTTCTTTGCTTTGATATTCTCCTTAAGCCTCAGATTCAGTATATACAAAACTCAATTCCCTTTTCCCAATCCTGTCCATTTTTTCTGGCTTCCTTAATTCTATTTACTGACACCAGGATTAAATCATCTCTGACTCCTTCTCTTTACCTTCAATTTCTAATTGGTGACCAAGCCCTGCTGGTTCTCATTCTGCTTCTCATTTCCTTCTTGCATCTTGTGCTTGTTCATATTCTCTTTATCTTCCCCCCAATAGGTTGCCCCAGTTTCCTAACTTGTCTCATCCAGATTCTCTCCAACCCACTCAAGACCTTATTATCAGATTAATCTTACTGAAGTTTAACTATTTTTAAAGTTTACTAAGGTATGATTTACATATGGAAAGGTGAACATATTTAACTTATACAGATTGTTGAGTTTGGGGATTTGTATACACCCATGAAACCAGCACTGCAATCTACGTCGTAAACCTATGCATCACCTCCAGAGGTTTCCTCCTACCCCCTTTATTTATTATTAGTAGTAGAAGTAATAGTAACGCAATATATGATCTACCCTCATACCAAAATTTTCAGTACACAATATGTTAACTACAGACATTGTGTATACAGCAGACCTCTAAGACTTCATCATCTTGTATTTTGAATGTTAATTCTGACCATATCAGTTCTTCAAAATCCTCCAGTGGCTCTCTGCTGACTATTGACAAACTCAAATATCTTTGCCTGGTATTCAATATTTCCTACATATTTTTTCTGATTTTAATCCCGATTACTTCCTTTTAGGCACTCCAGTTCCCAGTAACAGCAAAGTATTGCTTCATATACATTTCCTTTTCTTTATTGCTTTCATCGATCTATTCCTGTCCTATGCCAGAAATGTCCTCCCATCATATTTACCAGTAATTCAAATCCCATGTAGATGTCATCAATCTCTTCTCTGAAGCTCAATGGCACTTTTTCTCATATCTATATTACGCTTATGTTTATCCAAGGTTTCTGTGTGACTAAAATTTGGGGAAAATGAATGTTGTTTACATCAGAGGGACAAAAAGACCTTTCAGTTGAATAACATTATTATTATTATTTCTTGTGCTTAGACCACTGTGAGATTTAGTGATTCTATGTAACTCATTCACCCTTTTTCTTTTCTGTCCTGTTAAAAGCAAAAAACATACAAACATAAACCCCACAAGGATACTAACAAGTGTCCTTCTCATTTCCTAATGCAAGTAAATTTGACTCTCCGATGCCCCTGCTGTCAATTCAGGTCTGGGTTTCCCTTTACAAGTTCAAAAATTCAGCAGAAGCTTTGAAAAAAACACTTTGAAGAGTCAGGTTAACTTCTTAGACCCCATAAAGTGTTTCACCTTTTTCATTTGTAAGTATCTGAGATGATGCAGGGTTTAAGAAAAAGAAGAACCTTTACTTTGTACCAACACTGATCTAAGAATCATAAATATATAATGAAGCATGGAAAGATTAAGGAACTTGCCCAATGTCACATGCTTAGAAAGTGATAGAGCTGGAAAGAAGGCGGGTCTTTTTAGTCAAAATAGGTAAGATTCTATTGTAGTAGATTAATCAATAAATCAATTCAGAATTTCAACAACTTGACCCAATAGTCCTCAGCACCAGCTTATTTCAAATGCCTAAAGTGGAAATTACTTGCAAAGAGCAAAATCAGACTGAAATTGAAGCCTGGTCTGTGAGATCTACTTTAAGAAATCTCTTTTATGTGTAGCCACAATTTCCAGATACAGTATTTACACATTTAAAAATAACTCTCTTAATTATATAAAAATGAATGATTCTTTACCATTTCACCCACAAAGTTACCCAAGTAATAGGACAGAGTTACCACATTAAAGCTAAGCTAAAAGGAAAAAGACTGCCTGAGACTGAAAAAGACCAAGGTTCAAATTCCAGGTTTACCATTGCCTGAGGGTATGGTGTTATGTTAGTTACTGAACTCTTCTGGGCTTCTGTTTTCTCATCTATAAAATGAGGACGATGGCACTGACTCAATATGATTATTGTCAGGAATAATAAATTAAACAATGTGACCTGTGGCTAGAAAATTGCCTGGTCTTTGGAATGCAGTGTCCTGATTCAAATTCCAATTCTGACCCCTAATGTGTGTGTGACAGTGGGGCAGCTAATTTCCTCATCTTTAAAATGGTAATAATAATAATAATAATACCTATCTGAATCTCATAAGATTGTGAGAAGATTAAAGGTAAAATATAGAAAAGCAATAGTTGAACTGACATACAGTAGGAGTTTAATATGTGGTTGATCTGAATATGAATACTGTCATTTTCTTAACGTCTGTAAAAGATAGAGTCCATGATAATTCTAAATCTTTTCTGAGACATTATTAATTATCCCTGACTTCAATCAGCTTAAATCTCAAACAAAATAATCACACTTTATTCACTTCTTCTTTTAAATCCCTTCACTGACTCACCAGTGCCTTTTGTGTAACATTTTAATTTGTATTCCTAACATTTCACATATCTGCACAGCAGGCTTACTAAGCAGCTCTTAGTCTTTCCTACAGGTTGTTCCCTAGGCACAAGGAAGACCTGGCTCATTAAACCATATAGTATGATTTTTGCAGTATAGAAAATTGAGAAAAACAGTTCCTGCAATCTGACTTCTCAAGTTGACTTTGTTATATAATATCAAATTGATTATTCAGTTTCCCCATTATCCTTTTTTTTTTTCTTCAGACACTCAAAATCTCTACTTTCATTTTTCTCTCCCTGCGTATCATTCTACAGCTGTCTTAATTGGAATAGCTCTGGAGTTTAATTAAAACAATGAGCATCTAGTTTATACAATTTGTCCACAATATAACCTTGCATAATTATTGATGTGGGCATTAAATTTATGCACTCTCAACTCCAGTGGGCTAAACAACATTTTCCCTTTTAAATTCCTTGATATCCTTGTTGAAGGATTTAATTGATAGAAGGTGACAACAATAGCAAATCTCTGGGTCTTAACTGTTACAGACTAATGGAGGAGAAGAGAGAAGTATTATACCAGGTACATAAATCTATAATTCATCTGCAGGATACCAGACTTTTTAAAAGCATATGATTTATATTAAAGATTTTATAAAAACATAAATAGATTTTACTAAAATCTAATATGCTTGTGCCTTGATTGTGTCAAAGAATATAGTTAGCTGCACAGTGCTAGTTCATCCATTTGTACAACAGATATTTTGAACTAGGAATTAAGTAGTTGCTGGGTTAAAGAGGAGGCTCTTTGCTCTAAGAGAGGACTAAAAGTTAAGAAAAAAAATCCAGGAAAGCTAGAAGAATTTTTCAAATAGAAGGAACATCATTGCCAAAGGTCTTAAGGCTGAGATGAGGCTGGAATACCAAATAGTGGTTTGATCCCCAAGAACATTCTGTTCCATGTTGAGAAGTTTGGGCTTTATCTTAACTGAAATGGCACTTGAAATCATACATTAGAAAGGGGTTTAAAATCTGGAAATCACATAATTTGCGATACAATCTGGCTATTAAACCAGGGTAAGCTCAGTACGCAAAAAGAGCACATGAAAAAAACTCATTTAATGTTATTCTGGTGTATCAGGAAAGGGTCTTCTGAGAAAGCAATAACTATTCTAACACCCGAAGTTTGAGGAAGCAAGGTAAGGGAGTTATGAAGTGGTTTTCTAATAGAAGAAATAACATGCAAAGTTTTGGCGAAGAGAGAGCTTGAATGATTAGGCCTGCAGTTATGCAGTTTGCAGTGGTGTGCAGGGAAAGCAGATGTCTGGTAAGAGGCAAAAGATGAAGCAGGATAGACAAGCAAGGTTTGAACCAAGATGAACTTTAACAGCCATAGGTATTACTAACTTTATTCTAATGGCAATGAGAATAATGAATGGATTGTCTTTTCTCGTGCCCTCACAGTTGTCTTCCTCTTCTGGCCAACACATATCTCTTACTAAGCACCTTCTCTGTGCTAACAGAGTACTAGGCATTAGAGCACACAGGCAAGGCAGTCAGTGGCACACTCATTCCCATCTTCCATTTGTCCAACTATGTTTTAATCAAGCATCTGTGTGATCTGTGCTAAGGGTACAATGATGGGGAAAATACAGATAGGACTTCTGCTCAAATTGAGCTCTAATTAAATGCATGTTATTGTAGATAGAGGCTCATGGTGCTTAAGGAGCACAAAAGAGAGGCACCTAAAGTGATTTCTCTCTCTGAGCAGTAACTATGTAGTGGAGTGTTGTTAAGACAGATTTTCCAAAGATGAATAGGAGAAAGAGGAAGAAGTTTTACAAAAACAAGAGGAGAGAAAGACTGTAGGGTGTTCAGGAACTACTATAAAGGACGCTAACTAGCCAATTGACTGTAGAAAAAAAAAAGCTGTGAACAATAGAGAAAAGCCCCCTGCTCAGAAAAGGTTTCCTCTCCAGTTCATAGAAAGAACAGATTTATTGGTTTGTTAAATATAAAACCAGTCACATTAATTTACATTAGGTTAAACTTGACAGGATCTAGAGACTGGAAAAGGGGACATTATCATTTTAATTTTAAATGACTTTATTTCTACATATATATAATAGAGAATAAACAAAGGCTTATGATAGTACCGCAGCTGGTAAAGGGAAGAATGGTGCAGATAACTATTTTTATTTAAATGGATGTGTTGTATTCATAGAGATTAGGGCAGGATGCTGCAGCTGCAAGAGGGAATTTAAAATTAGAGCAGCTTCAATAGTGTTTACAATTTCATCCAAATTCCTAAGCCTTGCTCTATAGTAAGCATTTTTTTTTGTATTGGTGATATATGGGCATATGCATGCATACACGTTTAATATTTTTATGAGAAATTGAGACTCAACTGCTCTCTGAAAATAAAATAACCGTCAAATAATCTCTCTCTTTCTGTTTGTGTTCATAGCTTTATAGTCATGTCAAAACTGCCACCTCATAGCTTCTGTTTCTACAAATAAAGAAGCATCATTCAATTCCCAGTACCTGAACAGGTACTGTTTGTTCCACATACAACAGAATTACAAAAACTTTCCTTCAGTATTATCCGACCAAAAATAATTGCTGCATTTCAAAGAGTAGCTTACGTAACTGAGATGTCCTAGATTTCTCCAGGCTTTAAGGGTCGTCTTTTCGTTTAAACCCCAAATAAGAATAGTTCAAAAACTTCACCCTGGTGTCCACAGAGGTCCGTATTTTTTAAAAAACTGGGTTTCCTTCTTATATTTCTGCGTATCTTCACTTAAGCCTGAGGCTGGATAAAACATAGTATCCAGCCTGGCTTACTAGGGTATTGTCCACTTCAACGATAACAGCATCACTTTCTATGTGTAGAGCCTTTTACAAAGCACTTGCTCATTCATTGTCTCATTTATCCTCACATTATCTTGTACACAATGTGACTGAGATGCTAATGACACACAGATAGATATAATTGTGTCTTGGACCTATATCTTATGGGTCTTACTCCTGTGCTCAGTCACATACTATATTGTCTCAAGACTTGGGAGGTTGTTTCAGTCAAATGAGCTGATACATGTGAGAAAACACCAAGAATGATAAATTGTGTTCCAAATAAATTGATGTTGCTTTATTTTGTTGCTGTGTTTGACAGAGTTAAAGGTGTGACAGGCAAGGCTCTCTCTTCCATTCCATTCTTTGGATAATGATCAGATTAATCTCTCTGCATGTTGCATTTATTATACTGCCAAGCATATAAGAATGCTTTATTCTGAAAATTCCTTTGCTTACAGTCAAAGACATTGCATCATAATATTGTTTGAAGTTTCTTAGCTCAAGGGAGAACTGTCTGCGGTGCATATCTCTGCAGATTGCCCAGCCTTCTCAGCCAGGCTCTCAGTATCTCTGGGGAGTGTAGATCTGCCACTGGTAAAGTTTGCAAAACAACAAGGCTACTGATTGATTTAGGAAGTGACAAACATGTCAGCATTCCCCTGTGAGAAGATGTGGAAATCTGGCTTGTCCAAACATCCTTGGCAACTACAACAAAGTCTTTTCAATTGTGGTAAGTTGTAGTCTGGCTAATTCAAAAGGAACTCATGCGTGGCCCAATTTTCCGCCAGTCTTGCATAGAAACATCCAGTAATAAGTCTATGGAAGTGAGTAGCATTTGCTTTGCAATCTCTCAAAGGCCACAATTAGAATTCATCCTTCCTGCAGAGTCAGGTGCTGTGGCCTGAATAGCCTAGAGAGCAAAAGGGTGACTCTTTGCAGGGAATAATAGCAGCCCCTAAGAGCTTGCGCTTGGAAATGAAATAGAAGAATTTGTCTTCAATAAACATGTTCCATCTTTCAGTATGTTCATTTGTTGCTAAATGGTTTATTCTTTAATGATCTGCCTCCCTCCAATGTGATTTACCTGCAGTTCTTCAACATATTCACATATACAACTCTTCCAGTTCTGACTTACAGTCTTGGTCTCCCTTCCTGCCTTTCTTTAATGATGACCTATATAATGAAAACTGTTCTGTTACTGTCTTCAGGAAAGATTTCACTCCTGTTTTTGGCTCAGTTTCATTTTACTTAAATGAGGTGAAACCATTATGATACAACCTATTATCTGCTTGACTTCTTTATAAATATAGGTAAAGCATTTAAACACATATTGTATTTAAGAATTCATGATAAATATTTTATAGATGAAAATAATTAAAATTAGAATTAAGAAAGGGAGGAAAACTAAGGTCTTTGAGAATAGAAAATTATTCATAAATGAATAATTCATTTATTCATTTATGAATAAACATAGTTCATAAATCATAACTAATGTATCTACTTGAGGTTTATAATATATAATTCTATAACTGATTTTTCACAACTTCACATAATTTTTAAGAACATTTCAATAAATGATTCTTTAATAGTACAAGTTGTGACTGAGAGGAATATATTATTAATCTGTTTTTGTGAAGAAATAAATATATTAAAAGGGAGATAGCTTAACTAAAGCATCTACTTCCTATAGCCTATCAAACTCTAGTGTGTTTTGTTTAAACTATAACTGGTTTGTACTCCTCAAGAGAACTTCTCTCACCTTTTTCCAGATATTCAAATATAATAACCATGAAAACTATTATCATTAATATCAACCGATTTTCTACCTTTATCCTTTGGGAAAGAAAAATCCATGTTCCTTGAAAACTAAAATGTTCTAAAATCTTGCTATTGAAATATACAGAGCTACAATATTATGAGTCTGTGGGGTGGGGGGGAACTATAGTCAAGAGTAAGGTAAAGAATAAAAATAAAATTATATGACTCAAAAGTTAATCAGTGATTTTTAGCTGTAGTGGATATTTGTCATGTTTGGCTTGCCCCAAATCATTTAAATGCCTCTTGGGTACTTAGAGCATTTCCTCCACTCTGAGTCCTATCCTGCTATGGTAGATTCCAGGATTTCTTGTGCCATCCCTACTTACAGATAGAGCACAGGGAAGTGACCTAGGCTCTGCCAACTAGACAAAACTGTTTGAGCCAGCTAGAAGAAACAACAGGAACCTTTAATGAGATAAGCAGGAGAAAGAAGGAGACATGTACAGAATCCATCTTTCCATGAGCACGGTGGTGAAAGAGTACGACCCTTTGAAGGTAGTAGTGGTGGAAATTTGTGGTTAGGTCATTCGTATCATCTGTGCAAACTGTGTTGACTCCAACAACTGTGTTATTTGTGCTGGTTGCATGTGGTGGCAATTTTTTTTCTACAACAGATCATATGGCATGGTTAGGAAATTTTCCTGGCTGAGTTTTGGATCTCTGGAAGATACTTTGGGCTACCTAATGTACCTTAATACATTTCTGAGCTGTTTTCAACTGAGAACATTAACTGGCATAACAAGCAATGATTTTTTTTTTCATTGTATTTGAATGCAGTCTTTTCCTAGTTCTGGTCTCATTTGTTGACTTCCTAGTATATTGTTTAATATAATCTTAAAGTCATCATCCATTGGTCAACTGCAACCCACCTACTTTCACAGTGGTTTTGTACCCTCTTAGCTGCTCTTCTTTCTTTTTCAAAGCATCTATCACTTTTAAACAAAGTGTATATTTTATTTATTATGTTTACTACTTATTGCTTATCTCACCATCATGCAGCAAAATGTAAGCTCTGTATATTTTATAACAGATTATAGTCTGTTTTGGACACTGATGCATCCTAAGTGCTCCAACAATATCTGGCACAGAGTCAGGGCTCAATAAATATTTTTGAATGAAAGAATTTCCAAATAATACATCAATTCATTTTTGTGGGTGATCTATGGAGGATGGGGGTCCCTGGGGGATCTAGGGGATCTATGGAGAAATGTTTCCTAATGGTGTTTTAAATAGAAATATGCTAGAGCAAGATGAAAATCCATATCATTAGCCTGCTTGTCTTCTACTAAAATACTTTGCCATTATTTAGTTGTTCCCCTGATGGTCCTTGTACCTACCTACCAATGGTCTATATGAAAATGTTTTCTTAGCATAAACTAGCATTATCAAGTAGGGGCTATATTCCAAAAAATGCATTATTGAGACAATCACTGTTATATCAAAATAAGTGGGAGGAAAAATTTGAATAGAATTGACATCAAAACAACTAAGAAACATTTGTTCAATGAAATTGATTGAAAGAGAAAAGCTATTAAATATTTCAAAATTATGTTTATAAATAAAATGCATTTTGAGGAAGTTTATGAATGTCTCCTCACTCACATGAACATAGTTTTCTTTTAACATGATTCACACTAGGATTAGGTTTTGTTTCTTTTTCAATATAGAATGGGAAGTATAATCTGATGGACTGGAAAATAAACCTACAAAGTGTTTTACCAAATATAGATTATTGATAACTAATACAAGTTATCTTAGTAAGGACTTCATAAATTTAAAGGAGAGAAATAAAAGAAAAAAGAGAAAGACTATGAACACATTTATCACACAGCACTATGGAACAGAAATTGTGCTAGGTGTTTTATAGATGTCCTGTTACATACACAATTTTACATAATCATTAATATGTAAGACATATGTATTATGTATTATTAATTACTAATTGATAAAACTGAGCAGTAGAGAATTGTATAAGTCCATGCAGTTAGTAAACAGGAAATTTACAAAAATCTGACTTTAAAACTGTTGTTTGAATTGCACTGCACTGACCTTCTAAAGATAAAGCTAATGGGAAATTACCATTAAGGCCTTTCTTTACCACTTATTGACAATGAGAAAAATGATCTCTATATAGATCTGAAAACTCTTAAAGAAGTTGGAGAAAACTACTGTCTTAGACACGTCAGCTGCCATGGCTCAGGAGAATTGTCATAAAAAGGAATGTTGATTATTCAAATGCTAAGAGAATAAAGTGGATCAAGAGTTCAAATTCAATTAAAAAACATATTTTCATCCCTGGCAATCTAATTTGCATTCTTGAACTTCATTTTTTAATAACATAAATAGAATGTCAGATGACATGGCAAAGACATAAAGGAGAGTAATAGAATGAGATAAATTATCTGTCTTTGCTTTCTTTACAAACATCATAAACTAGCTCCTAAAATTTCAATCTTTGGTAAATAACACTCCACCTGGATTTTTGAGGCACTGCTTATAAAAAAAGTCTTCGTTCAAATAACAGGTTATTCTATATGAAATTTTCTGTGTAAGTCAAACTAATTTTCTCCCCAGAGACAGTTCTTGTCCCAGCAATACCTAAGCCCTAAATTCTCCCTAAGAGACTAATCAAATTGCATCAATTTGAGATACTCAGAATTTGACTTTCTAGAGAAAAATGTATACATTTATATTCACAAATGTATTTAATAAAACTCCATATCATAGTACATTTCAGCCGAAACTTTAAGATGCTGTTATTGAAGATGTTATATTAAATGTATACTTATACCATGGGACATTTTCCATAAAACCAATATATTCCGATAAATATATCATCAATATAAGAAGTATACACTCCATTGTACAAATCTGTGAGTTTTAAGAATGCTTTGTAATCAGTTCAATACACTTTTATCTAAAAACCAACCAACCAAAAAAGATATTCAAGAGTTTTCAAGTGTGGCAGCATTTTTCTGCATTTGATTAAATGAGAGATGGAAATGTCTCACCCATATTGTATTTCAAACTAAAAGCATAATCCAGGGATTGAATTTATTATCAGAGCTTAATGAACTCCTTGTTAACTAATCTTTGTCTAATCGAAGGATTAGAAGCTATTAATTATATCACAAATTAGCACTAAATTAACTTTGTCATTAAAAGTTAGCCATGAAACAGATGAGTGAATATTGTTTATTTTTCAAAGACCTAAAAAATGAAACTATAGTAGACAATATGTTCCCTTTTCTCAAGGTTAACTTTATATTCATACTATCTTAAGTCCTAATCATCTCAGGGTACTACAAATAGGTCTTTTGCCACCACCAACTTCGTTCTAGTGAAACTTGATTTTTATAGGTGAGTTTCAAAAAATCTATATAAATAATTTTTTTTGAATATTTGGGATCCCTTCATACATGGGTACATTGGTGTCACTGGGAACACTGAATGGCTTTACTTCTGTTGGGACCTTCCTATACTCTATGTCAAATTCAAGTTCGCTATCATTTTTAGTTTTTAACAAATGCACTAATTCAGTGTGTTCTGTGGAACAGTAGCATCTCCATTAGCAAGGAGTTCATTAGAAATGCAGACTGAGGCCTATCTTTAAACTATTAACCCTAATCTACAGTTTAATCTACAGTTTAATCCTCAGGTGATCCATATATACCTTAGAGAACAAAGAGAGTCAATTATTATGTAATCATTCTTCAATGTTTTAACAGGAATCTCAGAACCAGTGGAAGAGTGTACAACATCATATGGTGGGCAATGTTGGTACTTAAAACTTAGTAAACAGTTTCTAGACCCTTTTATTCACTCTTTCTTAAGTATTCAAATATTAGTTTAGTATCTCTTTGCACTGTGTGATAGTCTTATATTAAAAAAATTTAATTATATTTAGATCTTGATGATTGCATCTTAGACATCACAGTTGACAGATGAAACCCGTGGAAGCTAATATGGCAGAATGGAAAGACATTATTTGTAATCAGTAAAAAATGATTTTGAATTTGTAATCAGTGTTATTTAATAGCACTGTGACAGTGGATAAGCTCATTAATCTCTTGGAGTCACAGATTCTTTTCCTGAAAAGAAAGAAGAAGTGAACAGCATCAGCTCCTGAAGGCCAGTCTCCAACCCTTGCTTCATGGTTGTCTCTGTCTCAGCAAAGAAGAACCTTCCTCAAGTCACTTCCCTCTCTAGTTGCTCACACAATCATGCCCTCTGACTCCCTCATCTCCTCCAGAGAAAAGTCTCTGCTTTTTTTTTTCATTTAAGTTCTGTGATACGTGTGCAGAACAGGCAAGTTTTTTACATGGGTATACATGTGCCATGGTGGTTTGCTGCACCTATCAACCTGTCATCTAGGTTTTAAGCTCCACATGCATTAGGTATTTGTCCTAAGCTCTCCCTCCCCTTTTCCCCCACCCCACAATAGCCCCAGTGTGTGATGTTCCCCTCCCTGTGTTCTTGTGTTCTCATTGTTCAGCTCCCACTTAACAGTGAGAACATGAGGTGTTTGGTTTTCTGTTCCTGCGTTAGTTTGCTGAGGATGAGGGTTTCCAGCTTCATCCATGTCCCTGCAAAGGACATGAACTCATCTTTTTTCATGGCTGCATAGTATTCCATTGTGTATATGTGCCACATTTTATTTATCCAGTCTGTCATTGATGGGCATTTGGGTTGGTTCCAAGTCTGCTATTGTAAATAGTGTTGCAATAAACATACGTGTGCATGTGTCTTTATAGCATCATGATTTATAATCCTTTGGGTATATACCCAGTAATGGGACTGCTGGGTCAAATAGTATTTCTGGTTCTGGATCCTTGAGGAATAGCCACATTGTCTTTCACAACGGCTGAACTAATTCACACTCCCACCAATAGTGTAAAAGCATCCTTATTTCTCCACATCCTCGCCAGCACCTGTTGTTTCCAGACTTTTTCATGATTGCCATTCTAACTGGTATGAGATGGTATTTCATTGTGGTTTTGATTTGCATTTCTCTAATGACCAATGATGACCTTTCTTCATGTTTGTTGGCCGCATAATTGTCTTCTTTTGGGAAGTGTCTGTTCATATCCTTTGTCCACTTTTTGATGGGGTTGTTTTTTTCTTGTAAATCTGTTCAAGTTCCTTGTAGATTCTGGATATTTGCCCTTTGTTAGATGAATAGATTGCAAAAATTTTTTCCCATTCTATAGGTTGCCTGTTGATTCTGATGACAGTTTCTTTTGCTGGCAGAAGCTCTTTAGTTTAATTAGATCCCATTTGTCAACTTTGGCTTTTGTTGCAATTGCTTTTGGTGTTTTAGTCATGAAGTCTTTGCCCATGTCTGTGTTCTAAATGGAATTGCCTAGGTTTTATCTATGGTTTTTACAGTTTTAGGTTTTACATTTAAGTCTTTAATCCATCTTGAGTTAATTTTTGTATAATGTGTAAGGAAGGGCTCCAGTTTCTGTTTTCTGCATATGGCTAACCTGTTTTCCCAGCACCATTTATTAAATAGGGAATCCTTTTCCCATTGCTTGTTTTTGTCAGTTTGTCAAAGATCAGATTGTTGTAGATGTGTGGTGTTATTTCTGAAGCTTCTGTTCTGTTCCATTGGTCTATATATCTCTTTTGGTGTGGTTACTGTAGGCTTGTAGTATAGTTGGAAGTCAGGTAGCATGATGCCTCCAGCTTTGTTCCTTTAGCTTAGGATTGTCTTGGCTATACAGACTCGTTTTTGGTTCCATATGAAATTTAAAGTTTTTTTTTTCTAGTGCTGTGAATAAAGTCAATGGTAGCTTGATGGGAATAGCATTAAATCTATAAATTACTTTGGGCAGTATGGCCATTTCTACAATATTGATTCTTCCTATCCATGAATATGGAAAGTTTATCCATTTGTTTGTGTCCTCTCTTATTTCCTTGAGCAGTGGTTTATAGTTCTCCTTGAAGAGGTCCTTCATGTTCCTTGTAAGTTGTATTCCTAGGTATTTTATTTTCCTTGTAGCAATTGTGAATGGGAATTCTCTCATGATTTGGCTCTCTGTTTGTCTGTTACTGGTGTATAGGGATGTTTGTGATTTTTGCACATTGATTTTTGTATCCTGAGACTTTACTGAAATTGTTTATCAGCGTAAGGAGTTTTTGGGCTCAGACAGGGGGGTTTTCTAAATATACAATCATGTTGTCTGCAAACAGGGACAATTTGACTCCCTCTCTTCCTATTTGAATACCTTTTATTTCTTTCTCTTGCCTGATTGCTCTGGCCAGAACTTCCAATACCATATTGAATAGGAGAGGTGAGAGAGGGCATCCTTGTCTTGTGCTGATTTTCAGAGGGAATGCTTCCAGTTTTTGCCCATTCAGTATGATATTGGCTGTGGGTTTGTCATAAATAGCTCTTATTATTTTGAGATACATTCCATCAATACCTAGTTTATTGGGAGTTTTTAGAATGAAGGGGTGTTGAATTTTGTCGAAGGCCTTTTCTGCATCTATTGAGATAATCATGTGGTTTCTGTCATCGGTTTTTTATGTGATGGATTACAGTTGTTGATTTGTGTATTTGTTGAACCAGCCTTGCATCCCAGGTATGAAGCCGACTTGACTGTGGTTGATAAGCTTTTTGATGTGCTACTGGATTTGCTTTACCAGTATTTTATTGAGAATTTTCACGTCGATGTTCATCAGCAATATTGGCCTGAAATTTTCTTTTTTTGTTGTGTCTCTGCCAGGTTTTGGAATCAGAATGATGCTGGCCTCATAAAATGAGTTAAAGGGGAGTCCCTCTTTTTCTATTGTTTGAAATAGTTTCAGAAGGAACAGTACCAGCTCCTCTTTCTACCTCTGGTAGGATTCAGCTGTAAATACATCTGGTCCTGGGCCTTTTTTTGGTTGGTAGGCTATTACTGCCTCAATGTCACAACTTGTTATTGGTCTATTCAGGGATTCAACTTCTTCCTGGTTTAGTCTTGGGAAGGTGTATGTGTCCAGGAATGTATCCATTTCTTCTAGATTTTTAAGTTTATTTGCATAGAGGTGTTTATAGTATTCTCTGATGGTAGTTTGTATTTCTGTGTGATTAGTGGTGATAGTCCCTTTATCATTTTTTATTATGTCTATTTGATTTTCTCTTTTCTTCTTTATTAGTCTGGCTAGCGGTCTATTTTCTTAATCTTTTCAAAAAACCAGCTCCTGGATTCATTGATTATTTTGCAGGGTTTTTCGTGTCTCTGTCACTTTCAGTTCTGCTCTGATCTTAGTTATTTCTTGTCTTCCGCTAGCTTTTAAATTTGTTTGCTCCTGCTTCTCTAGTTCTTTTAACCGTGATGTTAGGGTGTCGATTTTAAATCTTTTCCACTTTCTGATATGGGCATTTAGTGCTGTAAATTTCCCTCTAAATACTGCTTTAGCTGTGTCCCAGAGATTCTGCTACGTTGTGTCTTTGTTCTCATTGGTTTCAAAGAACTTCGTTATTTCTGCCTTAATTTCGTTATTTACCCAGTAGTCATTCAGGAGCAGATTGTTCAGTTTCCATATAGTTGTGTGGTTTTGAGTGAGTTTCTTAACCCTGAGTTCTAATTTGATTGCATTGTGGTCTGAGAGTCTGTTTATGATTTCTGTTCTTTTGCATTTGCTGAGGAGTGTTTTACTTCCAATTATGTGGTCAGTTTTAGAATAAGTGCTATGTGGTGCTGAAAAGAATGTATATTTTGTTGATTTGGGGTGGAGAGTTCTGTAGATGTTTATTAAGTCTGCTTGGTCCAGACCTGAGTTCAAGTCCTGAATAACCTTGTTAATTTTCTGTCTTGTTGATCTGTCTAATATTGACAGTGGGGTTTTAAAATCTCCCACTATTATTGTGTGGGAATCTAAGTCTCTTTGTAGGTCTCTAAGAACTTGTTTTATGAATCTGGGTGCTCCTGTATGGGGTGCATATATATTTATGATCATTAGCTCTTCTTGTTGCATTGATCCCTTTACCATTATGTAATGTTCTTCTTTGTCTTTTTTGATCTTTGTTGGTATAAAGTCAGTTTTAGCAGAGACTAGGATTGCAACCCCTGGCAGTTTTTTTTTTTCTTTTTTTCTGTTTTTTTTGTTTTTTTTTTTTTTTTTTTTTTTTGGCTTTCCATTTGGTAAATATTCCTCCATCCCTTTATTTTGAGCCTATGTCTGTCTTGGCATGTGTGATGGGTCTCCTGAATACAGCACAGCAATGAGTCTTCACTATTTATCCAATTGGGCAGTCTGTTTCTTTTAATTGGGGCATTTAGTCCACTTACATTTAAGGTTAATATTGTTATGTGTGAATCTGATCCCATTATGATGCTAGCTGATTATTTTGCCCATTAGTTGATGCTATTTCTTCATAGTGTCCTTGGTCTTTATATTTTGGTGTGTTTTTGCAGTGGTTGGTACTGGTTTTTCCTTTCCATGTTTAGTGCTTCCTTCAGGAGCTCTTGTAAGGCATGCCTTGTGGTGACAACATCTGTCAGCATTTGCTTGTCTGTAAAGGATTTTATTTCTTCTTCACTTACGAAACTTAGATGGCTGGATATGAAATTCTGGGTTGAAAATTCTTTGTTGAATATTGACCCCCACTCGCTTCTGGGTTTTAGGGTTTCTGCAGAGAGATCCACTGTTAGTCTGATGGGCTTCCCTTTTAGGTAACCTGACCTTTCTCTCTGGCTGTCCTTAACATTTTTTCCTTTGTTTCAACCTTGGAGAATCTGACGATTATGTGTCTTGTGGTTGCTCTTCTCAAGGAGTATATTAGTGGTGTTCTCTGTATTTCCTGAATTTGAATGTTGCCCTGTCTTGCTAGGTTGGGGAAGTTCTGGATAATATCTTGAAGTGTGTTTTCCAACTTGGTTCCATTCTCCCCATCACTATCAGGGACCCCAGTCAATCATAGGTTTGGTCTTTTCACATAGTCCCTTATTTCCTGGAGGCTTTGTTGGTTCATTTTCAGTCTTTTTTATTTCCTAATCTTGTCTTCACACCTCATTTTAGTAAGTTGATCTTTAGTCTCTGATATCTTTTCTTCTGCTTGATCGATTTGGCTGTTGATACTTGTATATGCTTCATGAAGTTCTCACGCTGTGTTTTCCAGCTCCATCAGGTCATTTACGTTCTTCTCTAAACTGGTTTTTCTAGTTAGCAGTTCCTATAACCTTTTGTCAAGGTTCTTAGCTTCCTTGCATTGGGTTAGAACATGCTCCTTTAGCTCAGAGGAGTTTGTTATTACCCATCTTCTGAAGCCTATTTCTGTCAATTTGTCAAACTCATTCTCTGTCCAGTTTTGTGCCCTTGCTGGAGAGGAGTATGATCATTTGGAGAAGAGGGGTCATTCTGGTTTTTGGAATTTTCATCCTGTTTGAGCTGGATTTCCCTCATCTTCACAGATTTATCTACTTTTGATCTTTGAGTTAACCTTTGAATGGGGTTTCTGTGTGAGGGTTCCTTTTGTTGATGTTGATGTTATTGCTTTGTTTGTTAGTTTTTCTTCTAACAGTCAGGCTCCTCTTCTGCAGGTCTGTTGCAGTTTGGGGGAGGTCCACTCCAGACCCTATTTACCTGGGTATCACCAGCAGAGGCTGCAGAACAGCAAAGATGGCTTCCTGCTCCTTCCTCTGGAGGCTTCATCCCAGACGGGCACTGGCCTGATTCCAGCTGGAGCTCTCCCTTCATGAGGTGTCTGCTGACCCTTGCTGGGAGGTGTCTCCCAGTCAGGAGGCACGGGAGTCAGGTACCCACTTGAGGAGGCTGTCTGTCCCTTAGTAGAGCTCAAGTGCTGTGCTGGGAGATCCGCTGCTCTCTTCAGAGCTGGCAAGCAGGAATGTTTTTAAGTCCACCGAAGCTGCACCCATAGCTGCCCCTTCCCCCAGATGCTTCATCCCAGTGAGATGAGAGTTTTATCTATAAGCTCCTGACTGGGACTGCCGCCTTTCTTTCAGAGATGCCCTGCCCAGTGAGGAGGAATCTAGAGAGGCAGTCTGGCCACAGCCGCTTTACTGCACTGTGTTGTTTTTGGCCCAGTCCAAACCTTCCAGTCTTCTTAGCGCTGTCAGGGGAAAACCGCATACTCAAGCCTCAGTAATAGCGGACTCCCCTCCCCCGACCAAGCTCGAGTATTCCAGGCCAACTTCAGACTGCTATGCTGGCAGCAAGAATTTCATGCCAGTGGTTCTTAGCCTACTGGGCTCTTTGGGAATGGGACCCACTGAGTGAGACCACTTGGCTCCCTGGATTCAGACTCCTTTCCAGGGGAGTGAATGCTTCTGTTTTGCCCCGGTTCCAGGGGCGACTGGGGTATGGGGGGAGAAAAAAAATTACTGCAGCTAGCTCAGCATCTGCCCAAACAGCTGCCCAGTTTTGTGCTTGAAATCTAGGGCCCCAGTGGTATAGGCACATAAGGGAATTTCCAGGTCTGTGAACTACAAAAACTGTGGGAAAAGCATAGTACCCCAGAGGGGCCAGGTATCACAGTCCCTCATGGCTTCCCTTGGTGGGGAAAGAGAAGCTCCTCTGCTCCTTGCACTTCCTGGGTGAGGGGATGCCCCACCCTGCTTCTGTTTGCCCTCCATGGGCTGCACCCACTCTCTAACCCGTCCCAATGAGATGAGGAGGGTGCCTCGGTTGGAAATGTAGAAATCACCTGCCTTCTGCATTGGTCTCACTGAGAGCTGCAGACCAGAGCTGTTCCTATTCTGCCATTTTGCCAGCACCAACAAACTCTGTTTTTTTTTCCCCCAACTCTTTGCTTTTAAAGTATGCATGTGATCAGGTCAGACTCACTGGATAATTTCTTTATTTTCGACTCAACTGTACCATATACATAACTTAACAGAAGTAAAGTTTATCAGGTTCACAGATCCAAGAATTACATAGGCTGTGTACACCAGGGAGATGGGAAATCTTCAGGGAAAACTTAGAATCCTGCCTAACATACCTGGTGAAAGATACTAAATTTCACACAAACTGTATAACATACAAACTGTGAAACTCTAAAACTTCTTGAAGGAAATATAGGAGAAAATCTTCCCAGTCTTAGGGGAGGCAAAGATTCCTAAGGCAAGGATACACTAAAATACTCACCTTAAGTTTAAAAAATAAAAAATTTGACTTTATTAACAAATACATTTGACTTTAATGATTTTTAAATTATTAAAGTTTTTAATTTCTGCTGGTTGGGAGACATTAAGAAAAATAAAAAGACAAGCTAGAAGCTGGAAAATTATATTCACAGTATACCTGACAAAGGCCACGTATTAAAACTATATAAACTCATGTTTCAATAATAAAAGAATATGAAATTATACTCACATAAAACATACAAATGTCCAATAAGTACATTAAAAGATGCTAAAATTAAAGACATATAGTAATCATTTTGAAAGGTGGCCCAAATATTCCGTTTTGGCATAAGAATCATTTTGAGTTAAAGGCACTTAAGAAAATAGCAGATGCAACAAGGGCAATCTGATCTTCCTTTTTCTTCTTGAAAGCAAGAGATGAAACTCCCATGTAAAAGATAGTATCCCTATATCAGGAGGAAGAAGGATACTCTTATCACCAAAGATGGGGAGTCTAAGCCAAGGAAAATCTGCACAAAGCAACCTTGGTAAACTAACCCTCAATATCTCTAGTCACTTCTCCGTAATTAAATATCCTAGCCCATGTCCCTGTGTTTTGTCAGGTTTTCACAATTTACTACTCGTCCAATTTAGTATGTAAACATTCAGCTCTAACTGCTTTTTGGGTCTTCATTTTCCTATGGGTACTCCCACATACATGTAAAATTCTGTACATTTTAATAGATTTTCTTTAGAGAGTCTTTTTTCCTGTTCATCTGTTTTATGCCAACTAAATCCTCTGGCCTACTTGGAGACCATAAGAGGGTGGAGGTAAAGTTTTCCTCCTTTAGAATGTCATGACGATCCTTACTACATGCCACAAAACAGCCTAACATAAAAAACACTGACAATACAGTGTTGTCAAGGATGTGGAATAAATGGAACTGTCTTGCATCGCAGATGGGGATACAAAACAGTGCAACCACTGATTCGCAATTTTTTATAGAGAAAAACATACTCTTACAGAGTAACTCAGCAATCCCATTTCTACATATCTATCCAAGCAAAATGAAAAACAAGATTTAAACAAGAGTTTATTGTAGCTTTATTTACAATAGCCCAAACTGAGAGCAACTCAAATATTCATTAACAGGTTAATGAGTATATTAGTTTACGATTGCTGCATAAAAGTTATCCCAAACACTGGTGTAAAGCAGTGTCTATCTGTATATCATGTTATAGTTCTGTAGGTCAGAAGTCCAGACAGACTTAGCTAAATTATTTGCTTAAGGTCTCACAAGGCCAAAATCAAGGATGGACTCTCATCTGAAGTGTCTGCGAAAGAATCTGCTTCCAAACTCATTCAAGTCGTTGATAAAATTCTTTTTTTTTTTTTTTTTGTAATTGTAGGAATGAGGTTTTTCCTTTCTAGCTAGCTTTGGGTTGCTGTTGGTTCCTAAAAGCTACCCCAAGTCCATGGTATGTGTCTACTCCTTCTTTAAAGATAGCAATGGCAAGTTCAACCCCCTTGCGTTTTAAATCTCTGACTTCTGTAAACCAGCCACTAAAAACCTTCATTTAAAGGACTCCTGTGCTTCAATTTGACTCTCTGAAATAATGCCCTTTTGCCATGGAATGCAACATAACTGTAAGAGTGATATCTCCTCATATGCCCAGGTTCCACTTACACTTGAAGAGGAGGGAATTTTTACAAGAGTGAGGATCTTTGGGAGCCATTCATAGAAGTCTGCCTATCACAATGAGTAAAGCAATGATAAATCTGTACCGTGAAATACTATTCAGCAATAAAAAAGAACAGACTACTGATACATATAGCAATGCTTAAACTGTAAAACAGTCTGCTCCATGAAAGAGACAAGACATAAAAAAGAGTACATGCTCTATGATTCTATTTTTATGAAATGCTAGAAAGACAAATTTAACCTACAGTGACAGAACATCAATGTTTGCCTAGGGATGGTGGAAGAAGTTGACTCACATGGTGCATGACAGAACCCTTGAAATGAGAGGAATGACTTTTATCTTGATGGGGTGGTGGCTACTACCTATTTTATGTTTCATATTAAATTTATAATATTCATATTTCATATTAAATTTATTTACAGTCATATGCTATTTACAAAAAAGTTCTAAAAAACACATAAATTTTGGGGTGTAATTTGGCAGGTACTAGAATAATGACCCTAAAAGATGTTCACCCCTAATCCCTAGAACATCAGAACAAGGTAAAAAGGACTTCATAGATGTAATTAAGAAAAAGAGGGGATACTGAGATGGGCTATTAACCTGGATTATCCAGATGGGCCCCGTGTAGTCACAAGGTTCCTTAATAGAGAAGCTGTGAGAATAAATATAGAGTATCAAAATGATGCCGTGGAGGTTCGAAGATGCTAGCTTTGAAGAAGCTTGCTTGGAAGATGTAGGAAGGGTCCAAGAGTCAAAGAATGTAAGGAGACTCTAGGAGCCAAAAAAGGAAGGAAATACATTATCTCCTAAAGCCTCCAGAAGGAACTCAGTATGCCAATACTTGATTTTAGTCTAGCAAACCCATTTTGAACTTCTGACCTCTAGAACAGAGGTCTAGACAATAAATGTGTGTTTTTTTAGGCCACTAAGTGGGTGGTAATTTGTCACAGTAGCAACAGAAAACTAATTCAGTTAACTGACAATACCATTCACCTCTTCTACTGTTGCCATTGTTGTATGTTTATTATGCATTTTAATACCTGGCAGTGCAAACCCTCCAAATCTATTTTCCTTTAAAAGTTTTATCTTGGTAACTTTTATTCCTATTTTTAAAAATTATACTTTAAGTTCTGGGGTACATGTGCAGAACGTGCAGGTTTATTACATAGGTATACACGTGCCATGGTGGTTTGCTGCACCCATCAACCTGTTATCTACATTAGGTATCTCTCCCAGTGCTATTCCTCCCCTAGTAGCCCCCTACCCCCTGACAGGCCCCAGTGTGTGACATTCCCCTCCTTGTGTCCATGTGTTCTCATTGTTCAACTCCCACCAGTGAGTGAGAACATGTGGTGTTTGGTTTTCTGTTCTTGTGATATTTTGCTGAGAATGATGGTTTCCAGCTTCATCCATGTCCCTACAAAGGACATGAACTCATCCTTTTTTATGGCTGCATAGTATTCCATGGTGTATATGTGCCACATTTTCTTTATCCAGTCTATCATTGATGAGCATGTGGGTTGGTTCCAAGTCTTTGCTATTGTGAACAGTGCAGTAATAAACATACCTGTTCATGTGTCTTTATAGTAGAATGATTTATAAACCTTTGGGTATATACCCAGTAATGGGATTGCTGGGTCAAATGGTATTTCTGGTTCTAGATCCTTGAGGAATCATCACACTATGTTCCACAATGGTTGAACTAATTTACACTTCCACCAACAGTGTAAAGCCTTCCTATTTTTCCACATCCTCTCCAGCATCTGTTTCCTGACTTTTTAATGATTGTCATTGTAACTGACATGAGATGGTATTTCATTGTGGTTTTGATTTGCATTTCTGTAATGAACAGTGATGATGAGCATTTTTTCACGTGTCTGTTGGCTGCATAAATGTCTTCTTTTGAGAAGTGTCTGTTCACATCCTTTGCCCACTTTTTGATTTTTTTCTTGTAAATTTAAGTTCTTTGTGTATTCTATTAAGTTTTTTGTTAGATGGATAGATTGCAAACATTTTCTCTCATTCTGTAGGTTGCCTGTTCACTCTGCAGAGCAAAATAAACTATTCCTATTTTTTACAGATAAATTTTATAAACATTTTACAAAGTCAATATTAACATGACTATTTTAATTGAGATGGCATTAATTTAGAGGAGAAAGTCTATCTTTACTGTTGAATATTCATAGAATACCCTTCATTTAATCAAGTCTTCCTTCATGTTAATCAGTAAGGTTTTATTGTTTAATTTTACTTGATTTTTTTCTTAAGTTACGTTCTTTTTTGTTTGTTTGTTTTGAGACGGAGTCTTGTTCTGTCGCCCAGGCTGGAGTGCAGTGGTGCGATCTTGTCTCACTGTAATCTCCGCCTCACAGGTTCAAGCGATCCTCCTGCCTCAGACTCCTGAGTCTGTGAAATAATCTGATTCCAAGTTCATTCAAGTTGATAAAATTCTGTTTTTTGTAGTTGTAGGAATGAGATTTTTCCTTCCTAGCTAGCTTTTGACTTTGGGTTGCTGTTCGTTGACTCCTGCATAGCTGGGATTACAGGTGCGTGCCACAACGCCCGGCTAATTTTTGTATTTTTAGTAGAGACGGGGTTTCACCATGTTTATCAGGCTGATCTTGAACTCCTGTCCTTGTGATCCACCCACCTTGGCCTCCCAAAGTGCTGGGTCTTCATTATGTTACATTCTAATGTTATGGATGTGAATAGCATCTCCCAAGATTGCACAGTATGTAATATCCTGAATGTACCATTTTATATTTTGCCATTTGGACATTTGAGTTAGCTTTAATTGTTTTTTTAGTACAAATTCTAATGCTATTTGTATTTTTGTACTTTTTAATGTGCCAGTTTTTCCCTTAGGTAGTAAAATTTTGTACTATTTTAAATTTTAATAGAAACTGTCAAAATCACTTCCAAAGTATTCTTTCTTCCATCTGAGACAATATTTAATATATCAAAATATTGTCAGCGCTTTAAATTTATTGTCAGTCTGATAGAGTATTACCTTGCATTTTTCTTATTACTAGCTTAGGCTGAGCATGTCTTTATATTGTTACTAGCTACTCATATGACCTTTTCTAAGAGTTGTCATTTTTCTAATGGGTTTTTCATTTTCTTAGTGGTTTAGTTTATTTAACAAATACACATTGTGGTTATTATGTGCCAAGTACTGTTCTAACAGCTTGAAAAGTATGAATTTATTAAAACTTATAACAACTCTGTGAGGTAGGTACTATTACTATTTCTATTCTGCAAAATGAAGAGACTGAGCCTAGAGAAGTTGAAACACTTTCTCAGGGTTATACAGATGGTAAGTAGCTGAACTGGGATTCAAACTCCTGCGGGTGGCTAGAAAGTCTGTACTCTCATTTACTATCTTATATACAAAGGTTTTCTTTAAATCTATTGTCTGTTTTCTATATCACAGATATTTTTCACAGTATATTTGTTTTTGAATATCATTTATGTTTTGACTTAGTCATATATTTAAATCACATATCAGTCTATTTAATTACACATGCCTATTTTGATTTGATCACACACCAGTCTACACAGTGTTTTATTTAAGAAGGAATTATCTACTGAAAGTCAAAGATTTTCTTCAATATTTTCACCTAATTTTTCAGTTTTGCTATTTATATATAGGTCTTTAATCATCCTCTTCAATAGTGTGACATATATTGATTTTTCTATGTATACTTTGTAATCAAACAGTTTGGAGACTGATAGAATAGCTTTTCAGTTGATTATTTTTGTTTCCAAGTGAAGACAAATATTTTATCTGCAATGATAATTTGTGATCTCATTCCTACTGCATTTTCTTTTTTACTGCATTTTATGGAACTTTTGGAACACTATTGAATGATATTAGTGACAGTATATTTTTTATTGCTGAATATATTGAAAAATATTTTCAGTAATTCAACATCAAATATGAAGCCATGTTATAGTCTTTTTTAAAATTTAATTTATTTTATTTTTTTATTATTATTATACTTTAAGTTTTAGGGTACATGTGCACAATGTGCAAGTTAGTTACATATGTATACATGTGCCATGCTGGTTTGCTGCACCCATTAACTCGTCATTTAGCATTAGGTATATCTCCTAATGCTATCCCTCCCCCCTGCCCCCACCCTACAACAGCCCCCAGAGTGTGATGTTCCCCTTCCTGTGTCCATGTGTTCTCATTGTTCAGTTCCCATCTATGAGTGAGAACATGCAGTGTTTGGTTTTTTGTCCTTGCGATAGTTTACTGAGAATGATGATTTCCAATTTCATCCATGTCCCTACAAAGGACATGAACTCATCATTTTTTATGGCTGCATAGTATTCCATGGTGTATATGGGCCACATTTTCTTAATCCAGTCTATCATTGTTGGACATTTGGGCTGGTTCCAAGACTTTGCTATTGTGAACAGTGCCGCAATAAACATACGTGTGCATGTGTCTTTATAGCAGCATGATTTATAGTCCTTTGGGTATATACCCAGTAATGGGATGGCTGGGTCAAATGGTATTTCTAGTTCTAGATCCCTGAGGAATCACCACACTGACTTCCACAATGGTTGAACTAGTTTACAGTCCCACCAACATTGTAAAAGTGTTCCTATTTCTCCACATCCTCTCCAGCACCTGTTGTTTCCTGACTTTTTAATGATTGCCATTCTAACTGGTGTGAGGTGGTATCTCATTGTGGTTTTGATTTGCATTTCTCTGATGGCCAGTGATGATTAGCATTTTTTCATGTGTTTTTTGGCTGCATAAATGTCTTCTTTTGAGAAGTGTCTGTTCAAATCCTTCGCCCACTTTTTGATGGGGTTGTTTGTTTTTTTCTTGTAAATTTGTTTGAGTTCATTGTAGATTCTGGATATTAGCCCTTTGTCAGATGAGTAGGTTGCGAAAATTTTCTCCCATTTTGTGGGTTGCCTGTTCACTCTGACGGTAGTTTCTTTTGCTGTGCAGAAGCTCTTGAGTTTAATTAGATCCCATTTGTCAATTTTGGCTTTGGTTGTCATTGCTTTTGGTGTTTTCGACATGAAGTCCTTGCCCATGCCTATGTCCTGAATGGTAATGCCTAGGTTTTCTCCTAGGGTTTTTATGGTTTTAGGTCTAACGTTTAAGTCTTTAATCCATCTTGAATTAATTTTTGTATAAGGTGTAAGGAAGGGATCCAGTTTCAGCTTTCTACATATGGCTAGCCAGTTTTCCCAGCACTATTTATTAAATAGGGAATCCTTTCCCCATTGCTTGTTTTTGTCAGGTTTGTCAAAGATCAGATGGTTGTAGATATGTGGCATTATTTCTGAGGGCTCTGTTCTGTTCCATTGATCTATATCTCTGTTTTGGTACCAGTACCATGCTGTTTTGGTTACTGTAGCCTTGTAGTATAGTTTGAAGTCAGGTAGCGTGATGCCTCCAGCTTTGTTCTTTTGGCTTAGGATTGACTTGGCGATGCAGGCTCTGTTTTGTTTCCATATGAACTTTAAAGTAGTTTTTTCCAATTCTGTGAAGAAAGTCATTGGTAGCTTGATGGGGATGGCATTGAATCTATAAATTACCTTGGGCAGTATGGCCATTTTCATGATATTGATTCTTCCTACCCATGAGCATGGAATGTTCTTCTATTTGTTTGTATCCTCTTTTATTTCATTGAGCAGTGGTTTGTAGTTCTCCTTGAAGAGGTCCTTCATGTCCCTTGTAAGTTGGATTCCTAAGTATTTTATTCTCTTTGAAGCAATTGTGAATGGGAGTTCACTCATGATTTGGCTCTCTGTTTGTCTGTTATTGGTGTATAAGAATGCTTGTGATTTTTGTACATTGATTTTGTATCCTGAGACTTTGCTGAAGTTGCTTATCAGCTTAAGGAGATTTTGAGCTGAGAAAATGGGGTTATCTAGATATACAATCATGTCATCTGCAAACAGGGACAATTTGATTTCCTCTTTTCCTAATTGTGAATACCCTTTATTTCCTTCTCCTGCCTAATTGCCCTGGCCAGAACTTCCAACACAATGTTGAATAGGAGTGGTGAGAGAGGGCATCCCTGTCTTGTGCCAGTTTTCAAAAGGAATGCTTCCAGTTTTTGCCCATTCAGTATGATATTGGCTGTGGGTTTGTCATAGATAGCTCTTATTATTTTGAGATACGTCCCATCAATACCTAATTTATTGAGAGTTTTTAGCATGAAGGGCTGTTGAATTTTGTCAAAGGCCTTTTCTGCATCTATTGAGATAATCATGTGGTTTTTGTCTTTGGTTCTGTTTATATGCTGGATTACATTTATTGATTTGTGTATATTGAACCAGCCTTGCATCCCAGGGATGAAGCCCATTTGATCATGGTGGATAAGCTTTTTGATGTGCTGCTGGATTCGGTTTCCCAGTATTTTATTGAGGATTTTTGCATCAATGTTCATCAAGGATATTGGTCTAAAATTCTCTTTTTTGGTTGTGTCTCTGCCCAGCTTTGGTATCAGGATGATGCTGGCCTCATAAAATGAGTTAGGGAGGATTCCCTCTTTTTCTATTGATTGGAATAGTTTCAGAAGGAATGGTACCAGTTCTTCCTTGTACCTCTGGTAGAATTTGGCTGTGAATCCATCTAGTCCTGGACTCTTATTGGTTGGTAAGCTATTGATTATTGCCACAATTTCAGCTCCTGTTATTGGTCTATTCAGAGATTCAACTTCTTCCTGGTTTAGTCCTGGGAGAGTGTATGTGTCGAGGAATTTATCCATTTCTTCTAGATTTTCTAGTTTATTTGCGTAGAGGTATTTGTAGTATTCTCTGATGGTAGTTTGTATTTCTGTGGGATCGGTGGTGATATCCCCTTTATCATTTTTTATTGCATCTATTTGATTCTTCTCTCTCTTTTTCTTTATTAGTCTTGCTAGCGGTCTATCAATTTTGTTGATCCTTTCAAAAAACCAGCTCCTGGATTCATTAATTTTTTGAAGGGTTTTTTGTGTATCTATTTCCTTCAGTTCTGCTCTGATCTTAGTTATTTCTTGCCTTCTGCTAGCTTTTGAATGTGTTTGCTCTTGCTTCTCTAGTTCTTTTAATTGTGATGTTAGGGTGTCAATTTTGGATCTTTCCTGCTTTCTCTTGTGGGCATTTAGTGCTATAAATTTCCCTCTACACACTGCTTTGAATATGTCCCAGAGATTCTGGTATGTTGTGTCTTTGTTCTCGTTGATTTCAAAGAACATCTTTATCTCTGCCTTCATTTCGTTTTGTACCCAGTAGTCATTCAGGAGCAGGTTGTTCAGTTTCCATGTAGTTGAGTGGTTTTGAGTGAGATTCTTAATCCTGAGTTCTAGTTTGATTGCACTGTGGTCTGAGAGACAGTTTGTTATAATTTCTGTTCTTTTTCATTTGCTGAGGAGAGCTTTACTTCTAACTATGGTCAATTTTGGAATAGGTGTGATGTGGTGCTGAAAAAATGTATATTTTGTTGATTTGGGGTGGAGAGTTCTGTAGATGTCTATTAGGTCCTCTTGGTGCAGAGCTGAGTTCAATTCCTGGGTATCCTTGTTAACTTTCTGTCTCGTTGATCTGTCTAATGTTGACAGTGGGGTGTTAAAGTCTCCCACTATTATTGTGTGGGAGTCTAAGTCTCTTTGTAGGTCACTCAGGACTTACTTTATGAATCTGGGTCCTCCTGTATTGGGTGCATATATATTTAGGATAGTTAGCTCTTCTTGTTGAATTGATCCCTTTACCATTATGTAATGGCCTTCTTTGTCTCTTTTGATCTTTGTTGGTTTAAAGTCTGTTTTATCAGAGACTAGAATTGCAACCCCTGCCTTTTTTTGTTTCCATTTGCTTGGTAGATCTTCCTCCATCCTTTTATTTTGAGCCTATGTGTGTCTCTGCACGTGAGATGGGTTTCCTGAATACAGCATACTGATGGGTCTTGACTCTTTATCCAATTTGCCAGTCTGTGTCTTTTAATTGGAGCATTTAGTCCATTTACATTTAAAGTTAATATTGTTCTGTGTGAATTCGATCCTGTCATTATGACGTTAGCTGGTTATTTTGCTCGTTAGTTGATGCAGTTTCTTCCTAGTCTCAATGGTCTTTACATTTTGGCATGATTTTGCAGTGGCTGGTACTGGTTGTTCCTTTCCATGTTTAGCGCTTCCTTTAGGAGCTCTTTTAGGGCAGGCCTGGTGGTGACAAAATCTCTCAGCATTTGCTTGTCTGTAAAGTATTTTATTTCTCCTTCTCTTATGAAGCTTAGTTTGGCTGGATATGAAATTCTGGGTTGAAAATTCTTTTCTTTAAGAATGTTGAATATTGGCCCCCACTCTCTTCTGGCTTGTAGAGTTTCTGCCGAGAGATCCACTGTTAGTCTGATGGGCTTCCCTTTGTGGGTAAGCCGACCTTTCTCTCTGGTTGCCCTTAACATTTTTTCCTTCATTTCAACTTTGGTGAATCTGACAGTTATGTGTCTTGGAGTTGCTCTTCTCGAGGAGTATCTTTGTGGCATTCTCTGTATTTCCTGAATCTGAATGTTGGCCTGCCTTGCTAGATGGGGAAGTTCTCCTGGATAATATCCTGCAGAGTGTTTTCCAACTTGGTTCCATTCTCCCCGTCACTTTCAGGCACACCAATTAGACGTAGATTTGGTCTTTTTACATAGTCCCATATTTCTTGGAGGGTTTGTTCATTTCTTTTTATTCTTTTTTCTCTAAACTTCCCTTCTCGCTTCATTTCATTCATTTCATCTTCCATCACTGATAGCCTTTCTTCCAGTTGATAGCATTGGCTCCTGAGGCTTCTGCATTCTTCACGTAGTTCTTGAGCCTTGGCTTTCAGCTCCATCAGCTCCTTTAAGCAATTCTCTGTATTGGTTATTCTAGTTATATATTCATCTAAATTTTTTTCAAAGTTTTTAACTTCTTTGCCTGTGGTTTGAATTTCCTCCTGTAGCTCAGAGTAGTTTGATCATCTGAAGCCTTCTTCTCTCAACTCGTCAAAGTCATTCTCCGTCCAGCTTTGTTCCATTGCTGGTGAGGAACTGCGTTCCTTTGGAGGAGGAGAGGCGCTCTGCTTTTTAGAGTTTCCAGTTTTTCTGCTCTGTTTTTTCCCCATCTTTGTGTTTTTATCTACTTTTGGTCTTTGATGATGGTGATGTACAGATGGGTTTTTGGTGTGGATGTCCTTTCTGTTTGTTAGTTTTCCTCCTAACAGACAGGACCCTCAGCTGCAGG
The DNA here is from genome assembly GCF_000001405.40 of Homo sapiens. Taxonomy (NCBI): domain Eukaryota; kingdom Metazoa; phylum Chordata; class Mammalia; order Primates; family Hominidae; genus Homo; species Homo sapiens. Next base: position 78,507,345 of record NC_000012.12, on the reverse strand, counting down.
TCTGTTGGAGTTTGCTAGAGGTCCACTCCAGACCCTGTTTGCCTGGGTATTAGCAGTGGTGTCTGCAGAACCGCGGATTTTCGTGAACTGCGAATGCTGCTGTCTGATCATTCCTCTGGAAGTTTTGTCCCAGAGGAGTACCCAGCGTGTGAGGTGTCAGTCTGCCCCTACTGGAGGGTGCTTCCCAGTTAGGCTGCTCAGGGGTCAGGGGTCAGGGACCCACTTGAGGAGGCAGTCTGCCCATTCTCAGATCTCCAGCTGTGTGCTGGGAGAATCACTGCTCTCTTCAAAGCTGTCAGACAGGGACATTTAAGTCTGCAGAGGTTAGTGCTGTCTTTTTGTTTGTCTGTGCCCTGCCCCCAGAGGTGGAGCCTACAGAGGCAGGCAGGCCTCCTTGAGCTGTGGTGGGCTCCACCCAGTTCGAGCTTCCTGGCTGCTTTGTTTACCTAAGCGAGCCTGGGCAATGGCGGGCGTCCCTCCCCCAGCCTGGCTGCTGCCTTGCAGTTTGATCTGAGACTGCTGTGCTAGCAATCAGCGAGACTCCGTGGGCGTAGGACCCTCCGAGCCAGGTGCGGGATATAAACTCCTGGTGCGCCATTTCCTAAGCCAGTTGGAAAAGCGCAGTATTCAGGTGGGAGTGACCCGATTTTCCAGGTGCCGTCTGTCACCCCTTTCCTTGACCAGGAAAGGGAACTCCCTGACCCCTTGCACTTCCCAAGTGAGGCAATGCCTCGCCCTGCTTTGGCTGGCACACGGTGTGCTGCACCCACTGACCTGCGCCCACTGTCTGGCACTCCCTAGTGAGATGAACCCGGTACCTCAGATGGAAATGCAGAAATCACCCGTCTTCTATGTCACTCACGCTGGGAGCTGTAGACTGGAGCTGTTCCTACTCGGCCATCTTGGCTCCTCCCCTACCACCTGTAGTCTTTATTAAAATAAATACAGTGGTTCAATTATTTGAACAAAACTAAAACATAATTTTTCTTCCTTTTAAATATAATTCTTAAGAATTTCTATTTACCTACATTGTTTGGCTGGTTCTAAGATGTGTTATTTACATGAATTTGGACAAGGTACATAATTATTCTGGACTCTTGCATCATCTACAAAGTGAAAAATAATCTAGATCTAAAGTATTAACATGAAAAATGAGAAAGTACTTTATAATTGGAAAGCTGTACAAATGTTAGTTTGCATTATTATTATTACATGCTAACCGTTCCAACTGTATTGTATGCTAATGCAGTTTGCTTAATAACCCAAATAATTGAATCATGGAAGACAGAATCTCAGCAGAGGTGTTTTAAATCAGAGAATCTTTCCTAGCCATCCCTCAAGCTCATATTATAGACCATCTTATGTGGTCCTGACTCCAACCACAGGAGTGAGTAGGCAAGCCCTCAACAGTAGTGAGCATATGGTAAAATAGAGGGGTAACGACTAAGTATATGGGAAGAGTAATACATATTACTTTTTATGTGCATATGACCATATTGCAGGATGCATGCCACATTCTTCCACTGATTCTTTGGATCCAATATTTCCTCATTCTCACTTTGTGCAGACCTGCTTGTATCTTGGCAATTTGCTCCTCCTACTCCTTCCTCTATCCCTTACTTGGTAGTTCCAGATCTTTCTTGATAAGAAGATCTATTCTTATATCTCGAACGATGTTTTAATGTTTAGATTGAGTCATTTGATCTGTGGTGTTTTACTGTGGCAGTCTTTTGAAATTCCTATACGTCCATTCTTTGAACGGCCTAGATTGTGCAGAAAAACCAGCCCTTGTACTAGAGGCTATAAAACAAGTCATGTTGCAGAGTTATACTCTCCTCCCCTGTTCACCTAATCCTATTTTTTGAAAATAATATGTACTTCATGTTGTATTCTTAGTCAGTATATATTTCTCTACATATTCAAAGATGTCCCTGATGGTAAGAAGAGGATGCTAAGGTTGCACAAATCATGTATTCCTTATCAGGCTGAACACTGCTTAGGAAAAAAAGGGAAAAAAGGTTTATTTTAGGATATCAAGTGTTTGTTAGTAGGCCCATTTTTTTTGACATGTTCAATGTCTTACATTTAAATAGAGAGATTCACATTAAAAGATGTGATTAACTATAAATATCAGTTCATTATCTGTGAAATTGAGTCTCTTATGTGTGTTTCCTGGGTTTCAATAGGTTCTTTAAAGTTCACTTTTAAGAAAGATGATTTTCCATCATGCTGTTTTGTTCAAAGTACTAAAATTGTTCAAATGTCCTCTGTAAAATGATTGCTTATTGTACATGTTTGTTGTTCATGTAAGAATATTTGAGAGGGAGTGAGCGAGGGAGGGCAATGAGGTAAGAGAGGGAAGAAAGAGAAGGACAGTCAGGTCTTAGAAAAGAAAAATCCCTTATAATAACACGGCTGCTATGTGGTCCACGAATGTCTTATTTCAAAGTCCAACTACTTAGTGGGCACTCAGATATTTGTTAAATTATTGTACAAACTAATAAATGCCATTTACACTATAGAACACTGAAGAGAACAAGATAATTAAGAAATTGGATGAGTAATAGGATGAAAAAATACATTAAAGAGAAATTCTAGACTTGAATGAGACTGTAACTGAGGGGAAAAATCAGAATAGGAAAAACAATCAGGTGGCTTTAAATTTGAATTTGTTTGCTAATTTCAATATTGTGCCACCATAACAATCTCTTTCACAGGCCCCTTTTCATTGATTTCACTCTAGATGTACAAACTAAGACTGCCTTTGCTTTAGACTATTATCTGTTATATATGTCATTTATAATATAGTACGTGATTATTTGGCAGTTGTATTCATATGTGCTAAATGTTGAGCTACCAGTATACCAGGGTTTTAAAAATATAGTCAGTCATGTGATAGTAGCTTCCTTGAATTAATATACTCTCAGGAAAAACATCACTGCAGTTTATACTTCATTTCGACAAAATATGTATTTTCTTGCAATCATTGTGAAATAAATATCCAGGCTTTATATCTGTGAAAGTCTCCAAAGGTTCTACTGTCAGGGAGATCTATTGTAGAAAATGTCAACAGGAACATTTTTATATGTTCACTGACTTTCAGCAATTCTCAATTAATTTCATGATCAAAATTTACCAGTCTTCATCCCTTATTATAGAACACATGGCATATTCCATTTTAAGAAAGGTAAAGGGGATCAAAATTCTTTCATTCCACAAAGGTTTATTTATGACATGGAAAGTACAAAGTAATTTCAAAACAAGCTTTTGAAACACATGACACTACTTAAGTAATTTGTATATTTCTTATTGGCTCAACAAATACATGTTAACTAGCTGCTAAGTTTTAGATGCTGTACTGCACACTTTGAGTACAAAATAAATAAAATCCTGTCCAAAAGATATCCATAATAGGAGACAGGCACATCACAATGATGAAGAAGACAATGATTCTAATAATTAATATATGTTATAGTTTACTTGTATTAAATATATAAGTAAACTTAATATATAGAATTATGTAGAATATATAATATCTATTGAGAAAATGCTTTGTTCAAATACTATGATAATCCCCTTCATAAATGATCTAATTTAATCCTGATGATTCTGAAATTTAGAAAATATTATCCACATTTTACTACTAGTAAAAATGAGGCAGAACAGTTTAATTTCCTTCTTGGCATTGAATGGCACAATGCAGGGGTTAAGTATGTGGACTCTAGTCAGAGTGTATGGGTTCAAATCCCTACTCCATAACCACTTTATGCCGCAGAAGCCACATGGGTAAAGAAGGGATGATAAGAGAACTAGCCTTATAGGGTTAAGTACAAGGAATATGTAAGTCAGAACTTGCAATGTGCTTCAAGCAGGTCCTCCCATGTAGGACAAGCTAGTTGATATTATTTCTCTAAGAAAAGGAACAGAAGTAATTGGGTTAAGTGAATGAGGCAAGAAGGATAATTACTGCATAGAACAAAAGAGCTGTGAAAAGCTTAAGTTTTCTTTTCCTTAATAAACTATCAGGTAAAGGAGTGGCTGATACACAGACAGGGGCAAAGTGAATAAGGGAAGCATATATTGTACAGGAAATTGACTGGGGTAACATATTATAAGGCCAGCATGTGATTAGACTGTGATTTTTCATTTGTACTTTCTGCCATTCAGATAGAATTAGCACTAAATGTGGATGGCAGAGAAGCATAGAAAAAAGAAAACCAATTCTATTTTGCCAACTTTTTATTTTTTTAATTCCAGAAACACTACTCTCACTTTTTATTATCAGGAAAACTGCCTATAGTTTATATTCTCTGTTGACTACAAACAACAGTCATGGGATCTAAGATTTCTGATGTATCTTATGGCTTTTCATGCACAAAGAAAGATTTTAATAGTTTTTTTTCCATTAAATCAATCAACAAGTGACTGTTTTACGGTCCATAATTGAAGGGTGAAACAAAAAGAAACTTAGTTGAATTATTTCAAACAGATGTGGGATTGAAAAGATCAAAGCAGTTTTAATCTTCTAGGCCACTGACCCTGTGGTGGCAGTATTTTGTTTGAATAAAGATGTATACAGAGAAAAGAGTATGGGTTTTGGAGCCAGATAGATCTGGATTCAAATTGGCCTCTGACATTTTCCTACTGTGTACTCTCAAGAAAGTTGATTAACCTCTTTGGTTTCCAATATTCTCATTTGCAGAATGGAGATATTCATTCCTGTAGTTGGTTAGAAGGTTGAATTGATGTGCGCATATAAGTCATCCAGATCAGTGATTGTCAAGTAGCTTTGGCTTCATACATACTAGTTTCCTTCACCATCTTCCAATTCTTAGGATGGGATTTGTTTCTCTTCAATAACTTAAAAACGTTTTTAGATGATAACAGCAAGGCAGAAAATCATAGTGTCATAGGAAAAATAAAAAAGACATAGTAAAATAATTCATTTTTTTCTTTCTTTTTTTTTCAGACAGAGTCTCTGCTCTGTCGCCTAGGCTGGAATGCAGTAGGGCAACCACAGCTCAATATAGCCTTGAACTCCTGGCCCAAGCCATCCTCCTGCCTCAGCATCCTGAGTACAGGCATCACCACCACATATAGCTAATTCTTAATTCCTTGTAAAGACAGGGTTTCACTATGTTGCCCAGGCTGGTTTCAAACTCCTGGCCTCAAGTGATCATCTCACCTGGTCTCCAAAAGTGGTGGGATTTCAGGACTGAGCTACTGCACCTGGCCATTAATTCATTTTCTTATATTCAGCCAAGTTTAATTGACCTCCATATATGTGTGTATATATATACACACATGTGAGGTTAATCAACTTTCTTGAGCACACACGTGTATGTGTGTGTGGAAATACAGAGGCAGAGACAGGGAGGAGGAGATGGGGGAGGAGGAGAAGGAAAATAAGTAGTTTCTATGCGTTAAATCATTAGAAAAGTAAGATCTCAAATTTTAGAACAGTATCAAAGTATAGTCATAACTAAGTACACCTATCTATCATTAGTACATCTTTTAAGAAATATAAAGTCATGGCAACTTTATATTTGACTCTATGCCTTACTGCAATAGGAGTATCTAAATAATCCAGATAATCCAACATGCCTAGACTGTCTGGTTTTCCAAGCCTTCCATAATCCTGGCTTTATTTTGCTGATGGTTCTTCATGCCCACTAATCTATAATATGTATTTTTTGCTCAAATAGTTTCACCCTCTCATAATCCTACAAATGTGCCAAAAATTTGTCTTGATTCTGTTTATTAAAACATTTCATTTTTCTAACCTGAAACATCTTCTTACCTTTTCTGTTTACCAAAATATAATCTGCTAGCAAAATCAAGCTTAATATGTGCATAAAATCATATTACATTATTTTCAACATACAGTTTCTCAAACGTTTATCCAGGGTAATTTTTTTTACTAACATAGAGAAAAATAAGAACAAATCTTTTCCAATAGTCTATCAATATAAAGATCTAAGTAATAGTCTGGTTTTTATTATTTATTATATCTGAGTTTCCAAATAAGTTTTTATCTCAGGTTTTTGGAGACAAAACTAATTTCAAATATCTGTTTGCGGTCCCCATAAACCATTAAAATATCCTAAAAACTCCATCATTACAGCACTTAAACTACCTTTCCCAGACAGTTTCTCATATCCAGTAATGGCACAAAAATAATTTATTGGAACATGGGTCCTGATTTTGGTTTTGTAACATATGGTTATACATTTATATAACACAATACAGCACTTTAAAATAGATGGAACTTGCATAATTTGCATAGGCTTGCATGCTTGCCAATATCCTCAGGCTCTTTTGTATTACCTCCTTTGTATATTAAAATTGCATTGTTTAGGAATTATACCTAGAGTTCATCTGGGATAGAACAGACCCCTACTAGTTGCTTGCTGATTAACTAGATTGATTATTGATCTGATTGGATGGAAAAACAGAATGAAGTTTCTATTAGAGCAAAGCTTCTTAAGGTCAATGATTCTATGAATATAAAATTAATAATATAAACCATTCTGAAAATGGCTGAAAATATCCAGCTAAAGTAACATAGAAGAAAATAAAACATCAATTTCTGATTCCATGTTTTTCTGAAATTTATGAATTTTTGATCATCTTCTATAAACAATGAAAACTACTAATTTGTGCAAACTCAGAACTTTCTCCCCTCTGCACTAAGAAGTGATCACTTCCGTGCTCTCCAGGCCTCACACCAAATTGATAATACACTATGCTTGCAGCAAAAAAATGGTTCTCCTGCTTTCAGGGTTACATCAGAAATCTTTCTTTCTCACTTCAAAAATAGTAAAAACATAGCCTAGAAAATTGCTTTGGAGGTGAAATAGCAAGACCTTTGTTTATGAGAAAAAGACCAAGTGTGTCATTCTCTTGCTCTGCCCTGGGCCAAACATGTTTATGTGCTGAAAGGGAAGAATCCTCTTCTTCTTACCTAAAAATGTATAGCTTTGTACATGTGCCCTATTTAATATCCCCTTGGGTTAGAGCTGCTCTACATGCTCAATTTGACTGTTTTCACTCAACTGCTTCCGATTATTTATATATTTTTTAAAAGCCAAGGCAGTTTGTGCATAATGTTAAAGTCTAATGGAACATTCATGTTTTATATTATATAAATTTGCTTATAGTTTTTTCTACATCAATGGTATCTCTCTCCTAATAATTCCCCAAATTTCTAAGAAATCATTTTTAAAAGTAAAATATTTGTTTGAACTGAGACTAGGATCTCAAAGACAAGATGTATGAAATATCTTAAGAAAGCAGTTTGGAAAATTTCTTGTCAAGGATGATTCCATGACCTTTTCTATTTAAAATCTATAGGAGGGCTTGTCATTTATCTGAATTAGGAAAATGATTACTTGAATGTAGAAAAAAAAGAAATGTTGCTTGTTAAAATTCATGATTCATATAAATAATAAATTTATATTGTTTTCTTGTAGGGTTTAGTAAGAGCCCTATGATTATACTGGGATAGACATTATATTGTAAACAATATTAGTCAATTTAATTGAACGAATTTATTACGAAAATGTCAATGACTCTTTCCTTCCTGTTGGAGAAACAAAAACTTCATGAAGTTCTATACTAAGAACAAGCTTTTCTATGTCCTGTCTGAATTGTAGAGATTTATATGAAACAGTTATTCCCAGCAGATACAAGTAAAGTATATGGTTTACAAACCTTGAGGCAAATCTTAAAATACATGGTCTATGCCATGTATTTAAATTTTACCCAAATTTTATCCAATTGGTTTAAAAAAGCAACTGATTATCCTAGTTGACTGGAAAGACAGCTCTATTTTATTTTATTTTACTTTTTAGGATTCAGAGTCTTGCTCTGTCACCTAGGCTGGAGTGAGGTGGTACAATCTTGGCTCACTGTGACCACCACCTCCCGGGTTCAAGGGAGCCTCATGCCTCAGCCTCCTGAGTAACTGGGACTGCAGGTGCGTGCCACCACGCCTGGCTAATTTTTTGTATTTTTAGTTTCACCATGTTGACCAGGCTGGTCTCAAACTCCTGACCTCAAGTGATCTGCCCACCTAGGGCTCCCAAAGTGCTAGGACTACAGGCATGAGCCACTGCACCTGGCCAAGAGCTTCTTTTAAAATTATTCCTCCCTAACTCATTTTATGAGGCTAGCATCATCCTGATACCAAAGCCTGGCAGAGACACAACAAAAAAAGAGAATTTTAGACCAATATCCCTGATGAACATCGATGCAAAAATCCTCAGTAAAATACTGGCAAACTGAATCCAGCAGCACATCAAAAAGCTTATCCACCATGATCAAGTGGGCTTCATCCCTGGGATGCAAGGCTGGTTCAACATACACAAATCAATAAACATAATCCAGCATATAAACAGAACCAAAGACAAAAACCACATGATTATCTCAATAGATGCAGAAAAGGCCTTTGACAAAATTCAACAGCCCTTCATGCTAAAAACTCTCAATAAATTAGGTATTGATGGGATGTATCTCAAAATAATAAGAGCTATTTATTACAAACCCACAGCCAATATCATACTGAATGGGCAAAAACTGGAAGCATTCCCTTTGAAAACTATCACAAGACAGGGAGGTCCTCTCTCACCACTCCTATTCAACATAGTATTGGAAGTTCTGGCCAGGGCAATCAGGAAGGAGAAATAAATAAAGGGTATTCAATTAGGAAAAGAGGAAGTCAAAATGTCCCTGTTTGCAGATGACGTGATTGTATACTTAGAAAAACCCATCGTCTCAGCCCAAAATCTCCTTAAGCTGATAAGCAACTTCAGCAAAGTCTCAGGATACAAAATCAGTGTGCAAAAATCACAAGCATTCTTATACACCAATAACAGACAGAGAGCCAAATCATGAGTGAACTCCCATTCACAATTGCTTCAAAGAGAATAAAATACCTAGGAATCCAACTTACAAGGGATGTGAAGGACTTCTTCAAGGAGAACTACAAACCACTGCTCAATGAAATAAAAGAGGATACAAACAAATGGAAAGAACATTCCACGCTCATGGATAGGAAGACTCAATATCGTGAAAATGGCCATATTGCCCAAGGTAATTAAAAGATTCATTGCCATCCCCATCAAGCTACCAATGACTTTCTTCACAGAATTGGAAAAAACTACTTTAAATTTCATATGGAAACACAAAAGAGCCCGCATTTCCAAGACAATCCTAAGCCAAAAGAACAAAGCTGGAGGCATCACGCTACCTGACTTCAAACTATACTACAAGGCTACAGTAACCAAAACAGCATGGTACTGGTACCAAAACAGAGCTGTAGACCAATGGAACAGAACAGAGCCCTCAGAAATAATACCACACATCTACAACCATCTGATCTTTGACAAACCTGACAAAAACAAGCAATGGGGAAAGGATTCCCTATTTAATAAATGGTGCCGGGAAAACTGGCTAGCCATATGTAGAAAGCTGAAACTGGATCCCTTCCTTACACCTTATACAAAAATTAACTTTAGATGGATTAAAGACTTAAATGTTAGACCTAAAACCATAAAAACCCTAGAAGAAAACCTAGGCAATACCATTCAGGACATAGACATGGGCAAGGACTTCATGTCTAAAACACCAAAAGCAATGGCAACAAAAGCCAAAATTGACAATTGGGATCAAATTAAACTCAAGAGCTTCTGCACAGCAAAAGAAACTAACATCAGAGTGAACAGGCAACCTACAGAATGGGAGAAATTTTTTGCAATCTACTCATCTGACAAAGGACTAATATCCAGAATCTACAATAAACTCAAATTTACAAGAAAAAAACAACCCGATCAACAAGTGGGAGAAGGATATGAACAGACACTTCTCAAAAAAAACACATGTATGCAGCCAACAGACACATGAAAAAATGCTAATCATCACTGGCCATCAGAGAAATGCAAATCAAAACCACAATGAGATACCATCTCACACCAGTTAGAATGGCAATCATTAAAAAGTCAGGAAACAACAGCTGTTGGAGAGAATGTGGAGAAATAGGAACACTTTTACACTGTTGGTGGGACTGTAAACTAGTTCAACCATTGTGGAAGACAATGTGGCGATTCCTCAAGGATCTAGAACTAGAAATACTATTTGACCCAGCAATCCCATTACTGGGTATATACCCAAAGAATTATAAATCATGCTGCTATAAAGACACATGCACACATATATTTATTGCGGCACTATTCACAATAGCAAAGACTTGGAACCAACCCAAATGTCCAACAATTATAGAATGGATTAAGACAATGTGGCACATATACACCATGGAGTACTCTGCAGCCATAAAAACGGATGAGTTCATGTCCTTTGTAGGGACATGGATGAAGCTGAAAACCATCATTCTCAGCAAAGTATCGCAAGGACCAAAAACCAAAGACCGCATGTTCTCACTCATAGGTGGGAACTGAACAATGAGAACACTTGGACACAGAAAGGGGAACATCACACATCAGGGCCTGTCATGGGGTGGGGGAAGTGGGGAGGTATAGCATTAGGAGGTATATGTAATGTAAATGATGAGTTAATAGGTGCAGCACACCAATATGGCACATGTATACATATGTGACAAACCTGCATGTTGTGCACATGTACCGTAGAACTTAAAGTATAATAATAAAAAAGATTCTTCCGGCAAAAGATATTACCAGGAAATGGGCTTCGGAGAACCCAGTACATGAAGATGTGCAAAATGGCTTGTATAGCCTTTTTTAGTTTGCCTTTATTGCTGTATTGTAATAGATATTAAAATTGATATTGATGAGTGTCAAAAAAACCTTAAAATAAAATAAAATTATTAATAAGGCATGAATGGGCAGATTGTCCCAAAATTTAAGCCAGGCAGCAAGTAGTAATACAATGCAAGTTTTCACTTCAACTAGAAACAAATGGTAGGGAAGCAAAAGTGGTGAGCTTCTAGAGGTTGTTCCAAGGTTTACAGGAAAGGAAGCTGCTTCGGGAGGCAAAAGAAGAAAATCTCTAGTTTCTTTTTCACCAAATTTTAAGATTAAATGGAAGATATAGTAACAAGTTCAACCCACTCAAAGGCACATCCACATTTATCTATTTAATTCCTACTATGTACATGCACTATCTAAAATCAAAGCAAAATAAAACAACTAGTGGTAAGACCCATAAACTGTTTAACAGTATGTAGTGCCCTTTTATCCTCAACCTAAAGGTGAAAAAGTTGAGTCTTTATTGCCTTTTCCCCCAGGAGATAATAGGGCTAGGTGTTCCAGTGTTAGTGAAACAATGGAAGTCAGAAATTTCATGTCCCTGCACCTTTCTTCTGCTGTCTCTAGCTTATGGGACTGTAGGATTTTCCCCAGAAGTTCCCATTGCTCTAACCAATTGATGACGGAGGTTAACAGCGGAACAAAGACACCACTCATATATTTCCCCACTTTGTGAGATTGACAATCTTATTAATATAGAGATTTTTCAGATATCTAGTTAAAATATTTGTGTTACTGAGTTGACTTTGGGTAACTCTGCAATACAAGAATTACTTTTGTTACAGAGTACACAAATACATTTAATGTTAACATATTAAAACTTATTTTCGGCCAGGCACGGTGGCTCACACCTGTAATCCCAGCACTTTGGGAGGCTGAGGCGGGCTGATCACGAGGTCAGGAGATCGAGACTATCCTGGCTAACACGGTGAAACCCCGTCTCTAATAAAAATACCAAAAAAAAAAAAAAAAAAAAAGCCAGGCGTGGTGGTGGGAGCCTGTAATCCCAGCTACTCGGGAGGCTGAGGCAGGAGAATAGCATGAATCCGGGAGGCAGAGCTTGCAGTGAGTGGAGATTGCGCCACTGCACTCCAACCTGGGCGATAGAGACTCCATCTCAAAAAAAAAAACAAAACGTATTTTCTTATAAAGCTTTAATTGTATGAAAAAGATTTAGAAATAAATCCTCCCTCCCCAAATTGCACATAAGTATAATAAAAATCAGCAAAGAAGTTAAATTAAAAATGTGTCTATAAAGAAAGAAACTGCATTTTATGGCCAACTTATTTCTCCCTATAGTGTACAGGGAACAACGTTTACTTTTACCATCACAAACACTTGACAAAATATCCCTCTGAGTTCTGGGATGTAAGGACTCTCTTGAAGACTTTATTAAAAACAAGTCCAGGCAAAAATCTATTCCAATACACACATGCCACTGGCCCACAAGGTCACTGACTGTTTTTTAGAACACTTTAGCAAAAGGAATTCAAAAAATGCCTGCTGAATAACAAAAACAAAACAAAATGAAACAAAATAAACCATGAGTTATAGTTTGATAGCTAGTTTTGTCACATTCAAAAAAGTAAATGAATTAAATGATACATAAAATTACAACCATTTGCTTGTTTTATAATTTAGACTGTCAAAAGTGGTCAACATTCATGAAATTTATGTTTAGTGTGTCTAATTCTTGGAATCTAGATTTGTAGGTGCCCCTCCCCCAAAATTTCACAAACTAACATGTATGGACTGGAATCAAAATGAACTCACACATTTCATTGTTCCCACTTATAAAAGTAAAATATCTCTGTGGCATATATTACCTTTTGTATGTATTAAATATTAAAAATTGTTTAAGAATAAATAAATTACATTTCATTTCCATAGGGAAATGTGGATACTTCATGATCTTGAGAAGAGAATCCACACCAAGTATTAGAGTAAAATGAAAAGAAATAGAATTTGTTATCTTTAAAATTACATAAACCGTATTTAAGTTTACAACATCGTAGGGATCCCCTCATGTGATAGTTTGATTTATTTTGATCGAGAAAATATACAATAATACACAACTACTAGAAATGTATACTTCACTAATCACAGTGACATATACAAACATTTAAAAATAATAGTTGAACAATATTATGAATACAGTTATATTGAAATTTTAAATTACATTTAAATCAGTGGATATCTGAACCCCTAGAATCACTGTTGTCAGTCTGAGGCCAAAGGTTGTGGATTGCAAATTTGGAAGCTTTGCTACAAGTGAGAAACTATAGTTGTTGAAAAAAGATATTTCCCACCATTGCTTAGCACTTTGTGGTTCCAAGACATTAAGTGAATGAATTGGCCATGTACAGTGTTACTGTGGATTGAAGATGCATCAATACAAGTACATATTCAAAAGAATAATAAAATCACAAAGACTATTTCTTTATTCCCCTCTTACTTGACTTCTCTGCAGCATGTAAGAGTAAACCATTGTCTCCTTTTTGACACTGCTTCCTCTCCAGGCTTATAAAATACCATTTTAATTTGGTATCTCTCTCACTTCTCTGAATCTCCTGTCCATATTTCTCCCTCTCTACCTTGCTTTTTAATATTGGGGTTCCCGGGGCTAATCATGGACCTTTCTTCTCATCTCTCTCTGCCATCACCCTGTATGTAATAACATAAAATCCATTGGTTTTTTTGGAAGAAAACCAAAGCACCATTAAGCATAAACATTTATTCAGAAGACCAAGACATGTGATTGGGAGGAAGAGCAGAATTCTTAAAATCTTTAGCAAAGAAGGCATCTGAAGTTCAACTAAGTTTCAGGAATAGTTGGTAAAATTGATTCTCAAGGGAGAGGGATGGTTCTTGTGGTTTAATAGCCACTGGTTTGGTAATTTGAGTTTGAGAGGGTGGGACCGACAGTTAGTGGGTAAGGTCAAATTCAAGAGCGGGTAGGAACAAAGAGCTGCAGGTTCCAAGGGGATGCAATGGACCTAGTAGAAAAATGTTAATCCCTCTAGGTGTCTTTCAATTTAATTGTCATAATCCTACCAAGTACCAATATTTATTGCTTCCATTATACTTCTTTTCAGCTATTTGTGTTTATAATCACTTAATATGTGAGCAGACTATTACAGTTTAAGTAGAAACTAATTTCTTATTGGGTTTTGCTCTGTAATATACTGTAATTAAATGAATTAAATAATTTTATTCCAAACACATTTTAAAATCACCTTGAAAGAAACAAGTTTTGATCTAAAACAATATTCTTGTAAAATGGATATGCACTTTATATATGCCCAAAGCGCTGGAAAATTATGACAGTTAATGATAGTCACCTGGTAAAAATATGAAAAGTAGTGTGTGTGTAGAAGTCAGAGTGTAAGGACTCAAGTAAACTGTGGGTAGTGAGGAAGTGCAGTAAGTATAGACATTTATGTCTGGTAGAGAAGAGAAAAAGATTGGAGTAATAACTTAAGGAGTCAAATGGAAATGTTTCTTAGAATAAAGGGGTATATTCGTGTTATTAGGCAAAGGTAAAAGAGGTTGACGGGTAGAATAGTTGATGGAGTGGTATCTCAGCAGATATAGGAAGTGATGAGAGCAGGAACAACAGACTGATGCAACCCATGTCAGATGAGCTTCATCTTCTTAGAAATGCTGTCAGTAGAATCATTTTCTAAGAGTGAGAGAGGTAGCGGAGGGGAGTGAAACCTTGGGAAACTGAGTAGAATGGGAATAAGCAACAGATGTCTTTGAGGGTCCTTTTGAGAGTCACTAGTTTAAGCTGCATGTTGACTGCCAGCTCCTGTTAAATAAGGACCTGTTTGAAGCACACAGCAGGAACCTTTGTATGGTCCAGGAAAATAGCATGCTAAGCAAATTAATAACAATCTAAGGGTGAAAACTTTGAACTCATAAAGCTATACTATAATAAACATGGCAATAGACAATGCTTATGTTCATGTCGGCTGATTCTGTGGTTTGAAACACCTAGGCAGGATCCTCAAGATTCTAGGAAATATAGGTATATATCCACTTTTCTCTATTCCTGTAAGCAGTGTATGTATTTCAAGATAGAGACTAAATTTCTTCAATGTTTGATAGCTCCCACTATGGCACGTTAATCTCCCACCAATGCACACATACACACATACACTGACTTTTTGTTATATATTAGCTTTTATTCAATGAGTTTAAAGTTATCACCTGGTGACTCAAAACTTAACGTATGCATATCTACTTTCCACAACATATTGAGTAATATTCTAATAGCTGACCCAGGGATAGTCTTTATGAATGTTATAGGTATTATAAATATCTTACTAAAGTTATGCATAACAGCATAATCAGTTATAGGTATACTATCAATAGAATGCAGAAATATGATTCAACATAACAATCACAGTTAATTCTGAAAGGAGATCACATAAGAAATATCAGCATATTTTTCAGAAGGAACAGTTATGACAAAAGACCAAGGCACAAATATGGTGAGGACGACTTAAGGGAGGGGGTGAAAGTGGATGCAAATTAAATCTTGGACCTCCTATAACGTTCTGAGACATGGAGTTCTTCTTTAAACCTCTGGATGTGAAGGGAGAACAATAGATATCCTTTAAGATATAAGCCTAGCTCATTAGTATCCTTTAATTTATTAATAAATCTATGCAAACACAAATGAGAAGCTCCTAGAAAGTCATGTTTATACCACATAACCTTACCCCTATGTTCAACTTTATTGAACTCATTGTACACTTGACCCAAGCTTCCCTCTCCCAGGTTTTTCTCCCCTGAGAATCTGGAATTTAAAAATAAGAAATGCTCATTTAAAGTAAGCTAATTTTATTTTATTTTTATTTATTTATTTCGAGATGGAATGTCACTCTGTAGCCCAGGCTGGAGTACAGTGTCAGGATCTCAGCTCACGGCAACCTCCCCGACCGAGGTTCTACTGATTGTCATGTCTCAGCCTCCCGAGTAGGTGGGATTACAGGTGCCTGCCACCATACTTGGCTAATTTTTTTTTTTTTTTTTTTTTTTTTTTTTAGTAGAGACGGGGTTTTGCCATGTTGGCCAGGCTAGTTTCAAACTCCTGACCTCAAGTGATCCACCCACCTTAGCCTCCCAAAGTGCTGGGATTACAGAAGTGAGCCACCACGCCTGGCCAAGTAAGCTAATAAAAAAAAAAAATCCTTGATATGCCTTTCAGATAAGTCTTTCCATATTCATTCATAGATACAGGAATAAGAAAGGGTTCAGTATTTGTTGTATGTGGTAAAACATAGACAAAATGCACTATATTGTTTGCCTAAAAGGTAAGATTAATGCAATCCTAGAAAACATATGGCTGCTCTATGAGAAGTTTCCACTTCAGACCACTGAAAAATTCAGATTTGGCATTCTTAATGTGCTGCATATGCTTGTGCACACACACAACTGTTCTGAGTACAAATCATTTCGCAGGGATATGAAAGGAATGGATCACTGGAATGTTTTTGAGGAATGGATCCAATTTCTTGATGATATGATCACCATTTATTGCTTCCACTGAATGTTAAATTGTAGAGACATAGGCTCAGCAGGATTAAACACCAAAATAGGCTTCAAATGAAATTCTTGACATATCTCTCCTTGGAGGCCATTAAGAGGACTGACAAGTATTTAACTTTTAGAAGAAGTGTTCAAAGCTGATGAATAACTGGGGAAGTGGATGAAGCAGAGCTGAGATAATATAAAAATGTTTAAACATAATTTTTCCACAGTTCTTTAAAGTTTATGGTGAATAACTTTCATCTGTTAAGCTCATAATAGTATTAATTTACTAAAAAATACTGAAATAAATCTTGGATGTCAGCAAGACCCCCATCTCTACAAAGAATAAAAAAAGTTAGCCAAACACAGTGGCACACACCTTTAGTCCCAGCTAAGCAGTGGGATCCCTTGAGTTCAGGCGTTCGAGGTTGCAGTGGGCTATGTATGATTTCACGACTGCACCCAAGCCTGAGTGAAAGAGGGAGATCTTGTCTCTAAAACATTAAATGATAATAATAATAATATGGAAAAGTTTTAAATCAAAATGAGAATTTGGCTTTTTCCACTGTGACTTTTTTATTGTAATAATAATAAATCAAAACAAATAGCATTTATTGAGACCTTAATATATGCATGCCTTCCAGGCATCATACTGAATCCTTCCATTTTATTTAATTTTGAGGATAATTTATTCAACTCTCACTATTCAGATAATAAACAATTATCCTATGACAGACACAGATGTGAGAAGTAAGACTCAAGTTAAATAACTTGCCCACACCCAACTCCTAAATGACACGGTTGAGATTTGAAGCAGTTTTCTGACTGACCACAAAGCTCACATTCTCCTAACCACTCTGCAGTATTGCCATTATTCACTGTCCTACCTTCTAACAATTAGAATTCAGTTTGATAAAAACATATACTATTGTGACCTCTATGTATGCCAAAGTTCTGCAAACTTCTCCAACTTCAGTGTAACTTAATGAAGTAGAACAAATCAGTTTATCCATGTTATGTTCTATTCAGAATTTGTGGCATTCACTGTTGTTATCTTAGCTTTGTTTACTCTCTGTTGTTCTTACTGAAACTGCTTCTCATCTTCAGACAGTTTTCAGCAGCAGTAAAATCAATCTTTGTGAGGCCATACTATTAAAAAAAATTGGGAGGTAAGATACAGAAAGATGTATTTAAAGTACATGATATTTTCCATCCTTTCTCTTCTACCTTCAAAGATAGAATCCAGCGTATAGGGATTTTCCCCATCTGAAAAAAAATCTATTCTGACAGTGTATGCAGAAATAAAATTCTACTAAAGTACCCATTTTCTTCTCCTAATTTTTTAAGTGTAAACTACTATAAAATTCAAATGGAATTAAGTTTTTTTTTGTCTGAAGAACATATTCAATATGCAATTTTAGTTCTTCAGTTTCCCATTATCGGGCTGGGTATTCTGCATATTTCTCCCCTTAATTTGACATGGCATGTCTAGTCTAATAACACGAATCTTCCCTCTTTTTGTTTTTGGATGGAGACACAAGATTTGGTGGTGGGTGACAATGGCTCCAGTGACAGTGTGCAATTAAGAACTTTGTGCATAACTCATGGAAATCCCATTTTTACTTTGCACACATGCCACAGAATTCCAACTGAGTGTTCCCTAGCCTCTGGGGGAGAGAGAAGAAATGCTTCAAGAAGTGTTTTTAATTCTTAGAGCATTTCATTTCAGATTTCTTAAATCATTAATTGATATAGGTCCTATAAAGTGCCTCCATTTAATCAATTGCTTTGGTTTACGTTGACACTGATTTGACTTTAGAACTAGATTCCATTCCTCTTTCTTGGTGTCCATAATAAAGCTCTCATGCATTTGCCCTACTCAGGGGACAGGTCATTTGTCAATATCATTTCATGCAGCTTAGTATTAACGATGTCTTTCACTCAGAGGATGATGCTATTTATTTGCAGAAGAAAAAAGACTCAGATGTTTCAGATAACAATAATCCATCGGCAAACAATGTAAAACAAAGAAATTTTGATTATAGAAATTATTGAATTTTTCTCTTTCTCACCCCTCACCCAAATAATTCAATAAATAAGAAAAAGCAAGCAATTTATTTTAAAGCGAGCAGATGGAGATTGGAAAAGTCTGAATGGATAGGTAAAAACGCTTGATGCCCTGGAGGAAGGGAAGAGACCTACTAATTAATGAAAAGAAAATCTGGTCCAGGGAATGGGAAGAGAATAATTGCTTAGTTTAGACAAAGGCTGAAGTGAAAGGGAAGAAACATACGGGAAACCCCCAAACAGGAGAAAGCCCCAGCCAGGTAGATAAAGTTGGTATTTTTTGTGTGTGCCAGTGAGGGGAGAAGACAAGACCGTAAGAGACAGTGGCTAGCCAGGGATAGGTGATGCTCAGGAAAGGCCTTGTTAGGATGGTATGACTTGTATGCAGTAAACTGGACCAGAACTACCACTACCATGAAGGGAGAGAGAGTACTAGGTTTATGGCAGCAGCAGGAAGCAGACTGTTCCCAATGATGTCATGAAGTTTTCCAGTCTGTTGAGGCTCCTTTCCAGTGTCTTCTCTTTTTTCAAGGAAGAGAGTCTTCTCTATGAGGTAGTGTCACCTTGGGCCTAAGGGTAGTTGTAGTGCTAATGATAGCACCTATATATTTCAGATAATATGTGGATTCCCTGGCTGACACATGAGTTCTTGAGAGACTAGGTAAAGTCACTTTAGCCATTTGAGAGCCAGAGATCCTAAAGGACAGGCAGAAAGTAGTTGGAAGTTGTTATAGACCTCAAGTGCCCTTTACCTGTCCCCTAACACACATTATTTTGTAAACAATAGAAGACATTCTGAGATGTCCAGGCTCAAAAATAACCTTGTATTATTTAGTTATATATCTATCTTTTCCCCAGCTTAGTAATCATGAGAAATTATAGCATTACAAGGTTCTCCCCCTACATAGAGTCTAGCATGCCCTAATGATTCAGAATGTAAATGCCTAAGTTGTTTATATGTTGCACATAGAGAAGTCCATTCAGTTCCTTTCTGGGGTTCTCAAATGTCCCTATTGCATATCTAGTTCTGTCAAATGGCTAAGTGGTCTGATATAGTTTGGCTCTGTGTCCCCACCAAAATCTCATCTTGAATTGTACTCCCATAATTCCCATGTGTTGTGGGAGGTAATTTGAATCATGGGGGTGGTTTCCCCCATACTGTTCTCATGGTAGTGAATAAATCTCAGGAGATCTGATGGTTTTATTAGGGGTTTCCACTTTGTATCCTCGTTTTATTTTGCTGCCACCATATAAGAAGTGCCTTTTGCCTCCCGCCATCATTCTGAGGCCCCTCAGCCATGTGGAACTGTAAATCCAATTAAACCTTCTTTTCGTCCCAGTTTTGGGTATGTTTTTATCAGCACGATGAAAATGGACTAATACAGTAAATTGGTACCAGTAGAGTGGGGCGTTACTGAAAAGATACCTGAAAATGTGGAAGTGACTTTGGAACTGGGTATCAGGCAGAGGTTGGAACAGTTTGGAGGGCTCAGAAGAAGACAGGAAAATGTCGGAAAGTTTGGAACTTGCCAGAGACTTGTTGAATGGCTGTCACAAAAATGCTGATAGTGATATGAACATTAAGGTCCAGGCTGAGGTGGTCTCAGATGGAGATGAAGAACTTGTTGGTAACTGGAGCAGAGGTGACTCCTGTTACAACAAAGAGACTGGTGGCATTTTGCCCCATCCTAGAGATTTGTGGAACTTTGAACTTGAGATGATTTTTAGGGTATGTGGTGGAAAAAATTTCTAAGCAGCAAAGCATTCAAGAGGTGGCTTGGGTGCTGTTAAAAGCTTTCCATTTTAAAAGGGAAACTGTGAAAATTCAGGAAATTTACAGCCTGATGATGCAATAGAAAAGAAAACCCCATTTTCTGAGGAGAAATTCCAGCTGGCTTGAGAAATTCATGTAAGTAACAAGGAGCCAAATGTTCATCCTTAAGACAATAGGGGAAATGTCTCCAGGGAATCTCATAGGTCTTCATGGCAGCCCCTCCAATCACAGACCTGGAAGCCTAGGAGGAAAAAATGTTTTCATGGGCTTGGCCCAGGGTCCCCATGCTGTGTGCAGCCCAGGGACTTGGTGCCCTGCATCCTAGCTGTTCCAGCTACTGATAAAAGGGGCCAAGGTACAGCTCAGCCCATGGTTTCAGAGGGTGCAAGCTCCAAACCTTGGCAGCTTCCATGTGGTGTTGAGCCATGTGGTGTTGATGCACAGAAGTCAAGAATTGAGGTTTGGGAACCTCCACCTAGATTTCAGAAGATGTGTGGAAACACCAGGATACCCAGGCACAAGTTTGCTACACAGGCAGGTCCCTCATGGAGAACCTCTGCTAGGGCAGTGTGCAGAAGGGAAACATAGGCTCAGAGACCCCTTCCCCTCCCACCCACAGAGTCCCCACTGGGGCACTGCCTAGTGGAACTGTGAGAAGAGGGCCACTGTCCTCCAGACCCCAGAATGGTAGCTCCACCCACAACTTGTACCGTGGGCCTGGAAAAGCTGCACACACTCAATGCCAACCTGTGAAAGCAGCCAGGAGGGTGGCTATACCCTGCAATGCCACAGGTGCAGAGCTGCCCGAGACTATAGGAACCTATCTCTTGCATCAGCGTGATCTTGATGTGAGACATGGAGTCACAGGAGATCATTTTGGAGTGTTAGAATTTGACTGCCCTGCTGGATTTCAGACTTAAATAGACCCTGTAACTCCTTTGTTTTGGCCAATTTCTCCCATTTGGAATGGCTGTATTTACCTAATACCTGTACCCCGATTGTATCTAGGAAGTAACTGGCTTGCTTTTGATTTTACAGGCTCATAGGTGGAAGGGACTTGCCTTGTCCCAGATGAGACTTTGGACTGTGGACTTTGGGTTAATTCTGAAATGAGTTAAGATTTTGATGGACTGTTGGGAAGGCATGATTGGTTTTGAAATGTGGGGACATGAGATTTAGGAGGGGCCAGGGGTGGAACGATAGGTTTGGCTGTGTCCCCAACCAAATCTCATCTGGAATTGTACTCCCATAATTCCCACGTGTTGTGGGAGGGACCTGGTGGGAGATAATTTGAATCATGGGGGCGGTTTCCCTCATACTTGTTCTCATGGTAGTGAATAAATCTCAGGACATCTGATGGTTTTATCAGAGGTTTGCATTTTTGCATCCTCCTCATTTTCTCTTGCTGCCACCATGTTGAGAAATGCCCTTTGCCTCCCACCATGTTTCTGAGGCCTCTTCAGCCATGTGGAACTGTAAGTCCAATTAAACCTCCTTTTTTTCCTGGTCCTGGCTATGTTTTTATCAGCAGCATGAAAACAGACTAATACACAGTCATTTTAGTCTAGCTTTGTTCTCTCTTGATGATGGCGAATTATGCCCTAAGTAAAAAAGATGGGTTCTTTTCCAGACTCCTTTAGCCAAAGGGTCAAGGCATCTTTGTTGCCTGGTTGTCACATTTCTAGAGGTTTGCTCACTCTCAGTTCAATGTCCAATGTAGAAACTACACCTAAACTACCCCAAATTTTGATCTAAAGTTCTCTCAATTCTCTTGTTGTTGTTGGGAGTAAAGCTCAGAGTCACAAAGAAAACTAGCACTTAAAGGATTTCTCAGTGAGACAAAATTTACTTCTGTAGAAGGGTGCTGCTCGCAAGTCTGGTACCCACAAGCACACACCAAATAAAGGAGGGAAGGGGTTTTTATCCCTAACGCAGCTTGTCCCTGCCACTGTGTCCTGCCTCCATTGCCTGGAGTTAGACCACACAATCTAAGCTGAACTCGACTGGCTAACTTGAGAGGTGCAAAACGGTGGTTACACTGGTGGGAAGGGCAGTTTTGGTGGGAGGAGCCATGAGTGGGTAGCAGATGTGGTCACTGTAGATAAGGACCGGCGGGAAGGTTGTTTACTGAAACTAAGACGGGGGTACAAAGGATAAGGAAGTTTGTTTGGCCTTGGAAGTAAGTAGGGAACAGAGAACAAGGATGCTGAACAAGCCAAACCTTTGAAGAGGAAATTCTTTTGTATCTGTATCTCCCCTTTTGTATATTTTGTATTTTGTATTCTTTTGTATCTTTTGTATCCCCCTTTTTAATTTTTATAATTTTTCCTCTTCAAGCCCTTTAACATGTTTTGATTTTGTTATTCTACTTGGTCCTCTAAAATAAAAAGCTCATGTGAATAAGGAGGGGGGAAATCAGGCGAGTTTTTGATGAGAGCTGTTTCTATACGTTTTTGTCTCAGCCCTCAGGCACAGGGTATAATTCAACATCCCATGAGAATGAGTACATTTATGGCAATTGCAAGAGAGGTTAATATCAAGGACACTAGTCCATTTACTAAACCACTTTTCTATAAAATTTGTGAAGGGGTCATTCCAGAATTTTTGGCTTGTTCAGGTGATAGTGAGGTGTGAAACCTTGTAAAGCTTTGGTAATCCTTCCACTGGGGTCTGTGTTGTTGGGGATCAAAGTACAACATTGGATTCCAATCATAACACAGACTTCACTTTTTTCTGCTGGGATCATGTCTAGTGCTATTCTATTTTCCCAAGCCATTTGACTGGTGGGTCCTAATTATTCAGCTATTCTGTTGATAGCATTCGTAGTATAATTAACAAATTGTTTTCGGTTGTAATAGATGTAATTTATCCAGTCAACATTTTTATTGTTGACCACCAGAACAACATGGACTCAAGCCCTGCAGCTATTTGATTTTGAGCTTTAAATTCATCTGGGACTCCTCGTGGGACTCCAACAGCATCTATATAAACAAGAGGGTCAAAAGATCTGGGCGCGGTGCTTCTTTTAACTCAGTTTTGATTTTCTTGCTGTGTTGGCGGAATGCCAGAGTGAAAGGAATGGCCAATTGAACTAGAGCTCAAGTACCACTCCAATTACTTGGCAGATAACTCAATAGTAATTTCCCGCAATACCACTATACGTTTGTTTGGGAATGAGTAAGGGCAGCTTGACTGGTAAGTTCTTGGAAAGGCTCAATTTCATTGCACCCTTTTGGGTCTCCTAGAGATGTTAATTTCTCCCCCTGCTGTGAAAGACACAAGGTAAAATCAACATCTGAGGCTGGAGGCCGGGTGGCTCTCAGAGGCTGACCCACAGAGCCTTTGACTTCAGTCTTGGACGCCTTGCTGCCCCAGGCTATGGGGTTTTGAAAGAGATTTACCATGCAGCTCATGCCCAATGGGTCAGAAGACCATCCTAGTGGGAAAGGGACTATTTGAGCCTGCCTGCCGCACAAGCCTAACAGTCACTTTTGTTTAGTGTGCGAACAGAATATTTAATACATTCCAACCAGGCATTTGTATCTTGGTATCCTGTTTCAACTGCTGAAGTTTGTCCTAAATCTCTAGTTTCTACAATGTCGACTGTGGCTTTGTTATTGGAAAGAATAACAGTTTGATTGAAAGAAGGCTCTGGAGAAGAAAGGGAAGAGGATGGAGGATCAATGAAACACATTTCAAAAGATCCTATTGGGCCTGTTTGAGAATGAAAATCAGCTCCTAGGCCATAGAAGCGACCTAGAGTGGGGTTAGTGTTGGTGGAGGTGGGGGCAGTGATAGAGATTTGCACAGTGTTACACTGCTGAAGCTGACAGTTAGAGGGAGTTATCCTTTAGTAAAGTGGATATAGGGTTTTAGATCAATGCAGCTTCCCCTTGGGGAGGTCCAGCCTTGATAGTCAGTAGTCCAGAGTACGTTTTCCCAACCATGACAGACTCTCCACCTGCACTTTGGGTATAACAGTCAATATTATAAGCAGTTTTGTTTATTCTGGAGGGGCAAAGATACTTATGGATACAGGCTAACCCCTTTTGGCTTTGGAGATCCCCACAGGGCAGAATGAGACAAGTGTGAAAAGTGGTAACTTGAGGTAGGCTTGATCTAGTTACGTTAATAAGGTGACTAGTTACAAAGTGAGGAAAGGTGATAAGTTTTTCTTAGCTTTAATTTGGTAGGGCTTTCCCCTGGAACAATGGCCCATGACTGTGGAGGTGGCAACACTTTGACTCGGGTATAATGAGTCCATCCTTTCTCTGCTGTCTGGATGATGGTTACAGTGGTCAGGAGCACTAGGTAAGGTCCTTCCCAAGCTGATTTGAGCTTTGCTTCTTTCCATCCTTTGATGAGGACATGAACTCCAGGGCTGGTGCCTGTGCTAAGAGACTTTTGGTTTTAAGAGAAGAGAAAGTGGAAGATAGAACAAGTATATAAATTTTGAGGAACTGATCTATTGTTTCAAATGTAGGAACATCAGTAGTGGAATGTAAAGAAGGCAGCCCATATAGCATTTCATAAGGGGATAAGCCAACATCATTCCAAGGGGAGGTTCTGATTTTTAACAAGGCAATGGGGAGGCATTTAGTCCAGGGTAGCTGGGTCTCTAGGACTAATTTCGTTAGGTGGCTTTTCAGAGTCTCGTTCATTCTTTCTATTCTTTCTGAAGAAGATGGATGCCAAGGGTTATGGTATTCCCATTTCATGTCTAGCACCTGGGCTAACATTTTAATGACTTGTGCAGTGAAATGGGTTCCCTTGTCTGAATCGATGTTTTCTATTAGTCCAAACCTGGGTATAATGTTTTCCACTAATGCCTTAACTACATTACTGGCAGTTGCGCTTGAGAAGGGAATAGCTTCTACCCAGTGAGTAAAGTGGTCTACTATTACTAATAAGTACTTCAGGTGACCAATTGGGGGCATTTCGGTGTCGTCAATTTGAACACTGGAATGGTCTTAGCCCTGGATCCCTTCTCCCGAGGGGTGATTTTCTCATAGTCTGCTTATTGGTCTTTTTACATATTGAGCAACTATCTGTAAGCTGTTTGGCTAGGGTATAAATTCCTGTACACCCATAGACTCTCAGAACTGTATCACACATAGCTTGGGGTCCCCAATGAGTCCCTGATGTAGTTGAGATTTCTCTCATGAGGGGTTTCAATAAGATTTCTCTTTGATCTGGTAACATCCCTTTTCCGAGTTTTCCTTGTCTCCGATTTCTTATACTTTTTCAGTGGAAAAGAAAAAAATAGGGATTGCAGTAGGAGAAGGAAGACAAGGAGTTAAGTGAAAGATGGGCATTTCAGAGGAAGCAGCTTGTTTAGCTACTTGATCTGCATGGTTATTTCCCCAACTTTCAAAAGAAAGACTCTTTTGATGTCCAGGGACATGTAAAATGGCTATTTCTTCTGGCAACTGGAGGCTATTTAATACTTGGGTGATTAATTCTTTGTGGACAAGGTCCTGGCCCTTACTATTAATGAGACTTAATTCAGTCCAAAGGTATGGGCTACTCCGAAGGCATACTTAGAATCAGTGTAGATGGTCCCTTCCTGGTTTTGCAAGTATTTTAAAGCTTGGCTGAGTGCAAATAGTTCACAAGTTTGAGCAGACCAGTTATTAGGCAATCTTCCTGATTCTATTTCTTTCAGAGTGTCCCCATCAATTGTTAAATACCTATTATACCTTTTCCCCTTAACCACCTGGGAAGAGCCATCTATAAATAAGTGCTGCCCTGTTTTAAAAGGGGTCTCCCTTAGATCGGGCCTGACTTTCATGTGGTAGTCGATTACATCTAAACATTTATGCTCTCTTTTTAGGTTTGGATTCCCTGTTAAGAAACCCACTGGGTTGAGTGAATTATTAGTGGCTAATGGTATGTCATCTTTTTCTAACAGAATAGCCTTGTATTTCAAGATTCTTGAGTCCGTGAGCCATCTACCTAACTTTTGGTTTAAAATAGTCCTAACCTGTTGAGGTGTGCTTACTCTTAATTTTCCCCTGAAGGTTAATTTTCTGCTTTCTTCAGTTAACACTGCAGTAGCTGCAATAGATTGGATACATTCACAGATGACTGGGTCTAAAACTTTTGATAGGAAGGCCATGGGTTGCTGGCAGCCCCTGTGCTCCCGGGTAAGGCCTCCTAAAGCTACCTTGTTATTCACACTGATAAAAAGATGAAATGGTTGTTCTAGGGAGGGTAAGGCCAGAACTGGGGCAGTTATGAGCATTTCTTTTAGCTCTTCAACCTGATCAATCTCATCAGAGGTCTGCAGGAGACGGTCAGGTTTCCACTGGGTAAGTTTTTGGTAGAGAAGTTTAGTTTTTAGTGCATTTGAGCCAATCTGTAAGTGGCAATATCCAACTGACCATAAAAATTTTCTGAGTTCTTGCTTAGTTTGAGGTAAGGATAAGGACACGATTCTCCCAACTCATTCGGGCCCTATCCTTCACTTGCGTCCTCCACTTATTAAGTGTCCTAAATATTTAACTTCAGGCTCTACATACTGAAGCTTTCCTTTTGAGAACCAGAACTCCTTGAATTGTAAATGGTTAGGAATGTGTGTAGAGAAGCCAGCTACTTTCTCTATAGCTTTACCATATATGAGAAGATGGTCCACATATTGAAGCAAGCAGAGGTGTTTTGGAATGGAAACTTTATCCAGAACTTGTTCTAAAATTTGGCCAAAAAGGTTGAGTCTGTGAACACTTGGGGCAAGACTGTCCATTGATACTGTTGCTTTCACCCTGAATGAGGATCTTCCCACTCAAAAGCAAGTATGTCTCAGCTATCTTCAGCTGAAGGGCATGCCCAGGAAGCATCCTTTATATCTATCAACGTAAATCATTGATGACTATATGGAATTTTGCTGAGAATGGTGTAGGGGTTGGGGACAATGGGGGTGGGTGGTCTGGACTGTTTGGTTAATAGCTCTGAGGTCTTGTACTAGCTGGTATGATCTGTCTGATTTCTGGGGTTTTGTATTGGGATTTTGTAAGGGGACATACAGGGTTCAAGGAGCCTGTCCTTAATTAGGCCTTTAATTATAGGTTTTAACCCTATTCTGCCCTCTAGGGGGGATAGGGTTTCCTTCTTACAACTTCCCTGGGGGTTTTTAGTGTGATGTGTATTGGAGGGACTTGAAGTTTCCCTCAGTTTCCTTCCCTTGACCATACATCAGGAAGAGTATACTTTTCATCTGCAGTGGTGAGTAGGTTTAATGAGGTGAGAAATCCTTTAGAGCCAACTTGTAGGCCTATGCCTAATTTTAGCATTAAGTCTCTCCCTAATAAATTAGTTCCTCCTTCAGGGATTAACAAAAATTGAATATGAATTGATTGATTGATCTTGGTATTTGACTTCTGTATTTTCTAAGATTTTTGCCTTAAATGCTGCTTCTTTTACTCTGGAGATTAAAAATTCTTCTGAGGAGCAAGTAACAAACAGAAGAGTGAGCCACTCCTGAATCTACTAAACAGATGATGAGCTCATGTTGAGGTCCCAACTCTAAATTTATCAAGGGCTCCTGGTGGGACTTGAGATAAAAAAAGACAGAGCCCCTGACACACTTATTCTTCCTTGAAAGTCATGAGTGGAATGGCTTCTTTCTCTTTTTCCCACTCAAGGCATTCTCTTTTGAAGTGACCTATCCTTCTGCATTTGAAACATCTATCTTCTCCTTCCTCCGTCTCTGTTCTGGGATTCTTTGACTTTGCTCTCCCATACTCTTTAGAGGGCCTGGTAACTGGGGGTCTGGGTCCTGGTTCTCTAGATGGAAGCTTGGACCCTTTATAGTTCCTGGCCCCTGGTGGCTTTGTTTAGAAGCGTATGGATTTGGAGCCATCTGTTTGTTAGAAGGTAGATAATATGAGTTTTGTTTTTTGTTTCTGCTTTTCTTCATCTCTCCTCACCTATACCTTTTGAGCTTCTCTGAGAAGTTCATTTAGGGGATAGTCTTCCCAATTCTCTATTTTCTGTAATTTCTTTGAAATGTCTGACAAACTTCATGACAAAATGGAATTTTAACATCCCTTGCCCAAGGGGATCTTCTAAATTTAGGCCTGCATATTTCCTCATTTGCTCTTTCAGTCTGTTTAGGAATTCCAAAGGGCCTTCATCCTTTCCTTGCTGTATATCAAATGCTTTAGAGAGATTTTGAGTCTGGGGCACTGATTCCCGAATTCCTGTTATTATCATTTCCCTTAAATCTTGCATAATTTTCCCAGTGGGCCACATTGTTATTGTCCCACTGGGGGTCTTGGGCAGGGAACTTTTGGTCCGTGGTAGGAACATTTTGACCAGGAAGATGTTCACATTCCCAGACTACCATAGCAGCCCTACCGATCATACTTCTTTCCTCCCCAAAAAGAGGATACCTAAGATGGACTTTAATTCGACCCAAGTATATAACTGAGGTCCTAAAAATTGATCAATTTGATCTGCCACTCTATAAGGGTCATGTAACAGTGGTTTGAGTTCTTTTTTTAAACTTCAAACTTCTGAACCGGTGAGGAGAGCATTTATGAACACAATGGCTCCCCCTCCCTGTGGCACCTCTCTTAAGGGGAAGAAAGTTGAAATTGATACTTGGGTGGCAGGGGCAAGGGAAGTTTTGCATATCCTTTTTGTATTGCTCTGTCTCATGTTGGAGTCCTCTTAGGGACAGGTAAAGGACAGGCTCATGAGATGCTAATTCCAAAGAGTCGGGGTTGTAAGGAGGAGGGATAATGTGAGCAGTGGAAGGATCTAGAATGGGATTTATCATGGCAGCTGCTTCCTGAGGGGAAGGGTTGTGGGGTACCGAGTGGGGGAAGATGGTCTAGGGGATCCCATGCATTAGGGTCTTTAGGCATGGGGACTAGCTTGTCTGACTTCTCCTCTTGAGGTGTTAAGTTGAAATTTTCCCTTGTTTTTAAGGGAAAAAGGAGGACAGGTACCTGTTTCCAACAAAGCGCATTGTCCAGTTCTTCTTGAGAAACCAAACTTCTATCATTTAAATATTGAACTAAAAGCTGACACATTACATCCTCATTTGACCCAAACTTCGGCCAGAAAATTGAGGGTTTGAGGATGGGTCCCTGAATCCCAATAATACAGCAATACTTTATCATTTGTTGCTTTTTCTTATGTTTAGTACTTTCATTATCTTTCCAATATTTTAACATGAGAACCAGGGGACTATCAAGGGGAATATGATTTTTGTTAGCTCTATCCTTCTTACTCCCTGCCTTACTTGGGGTATTTCCTATCTTGGGTGCTGGTTAAGCTCAATCCCTCATACTAGAGATTTCTTGCCCTCCCTTCTTTAGAGGCTGGCTGAGGCATAATCCCTTGTACTAGAGATTTCTTGCCTTCCCTTCTCTAGAGGTTTAACCCCACCTGCTGCAGGTTCCTTGCATTCTTCTCCTTTTGTTTCATCTTCTCTGGCCACTTCCCCAGAGGGAATATTTCAGGTTCCTCTTAGAATTGGCAGGTCAGTATAAATCCCTGAGGGGACCCCCGAAGGGCTGCACTAAGCTGTACGAGGTGACCACGGAACTGCAGATTGGACTCACTTCACATAGCAGTAGTGCTTGTTACCATTCATGCACTTTAAACCTCCAAGATATCCCCAACCCCCAAGGAGATACTTTGTTGCCCCTGCAACGTTTCTTTCTTACCTTGGTCTGTGCACAGAATTACCTGGTTGCTGCAGTGTTGATAGACAAAACTTTTTCTCCCTGCATTGCTGAGAGCCTGGATTTATTCATCACAATGGGTAGGTCTTGATCTCCAGCCCCTGAGGCCAAAGCAATGAGGCAGTGTGACATGTCTCCTCCCAGGAGGTGACCAGAGACCCTTCCCTGGAGGAGAATGGGATCCCACACAAGCCCCCAGAACTGTTGGAAGTAGAGCTTGGAGTCACAAAGAAAATGAGCAGTTAAAGGATTTCTCATCAATGCAAAATTTACTTCTGCAGAAGAGTGCTGCTTACAAGTCTGGTCATGACGAGAGTGCACTGAACAAAGGAGGGAAGGGGGTTTTTATCCCTCCACTGGCTGAAGTTGAACCGCACAATCTAAGCTGAACTCGATTGGCTAACTTGAAAGGTGCAGGAAAGTGGTTACACTGGCAAGAAGGGCATTTTTGGTGGGAAGAGCTATTGTGACAGTAGGAGTAATTTATAGAGTGGGTAGCAGATGTGGTCTCTGTAGATAAGGACCAGTGGGAAGGTTGTTTACTGAAACTAAGACAGGCACAAAGGATAAGGAAGTTTGTCTGCCCTTGGAAGTAGAGAACAAAGAACAAGGGTGCTTAACAAGCCAAACCTTTGAAGAGGAACTTCTTTTGTATCTGACATTGTCAATAAAGGAATGGGGGGGATCATGAATGGGAGGCAAGAGGTGGAGGTGGAGGTGAAGGCAGGGAAGAGCTAGTATCAAAATTATCCACTACTTTTGGGGTTAAATCACTTTTAAATTCTTAGAGTTTCTTAAATTCTTAGAGTTTCAGAGGATGGCATGGCAGTGATTTGTCTGTAATAGACAGAGGCTTGTGCACTGAGCTGAAGCTTCTCAAGTATAAGATGACTTAGAAACCCAATAATTAGTGTGCTCTGTCAATCTCTAGGCCCATCACAGAAACAAATAAATTTAAGTAGACTGTCGACAGAAAAAATAATAAAATCCAGAAGACAACCTAGATTGATGACCTAAGAAAATCATAAATATGTGGATGCATCTAAACAAGCAATAAATGTATAATGCAATGGTAATAATAATTTGGGGGCTAAAACCAAAATTGTTCTGCTACAATTAAAAGACTGGGAAACAATAATATGTAAACTGAAAAAGTTGTTGGGTGTAAAAAAATTACTAAATTGTTCAGAAGAAGCTTAGAAATATTAATTTACTTTAGACATAGCTAAATATGCATGTTAAATGTTTATGGCCATTGATTAAAAATCAAGGTATAACTTACAAACCAGTAGAGCAACACATATATAAATATCTCAAGCATTTCAAATGAGGTACTCTAATATTAAAAAGAAAAAGCAACATATATATTGAAAGCTAGGTCTAATAATACTAAATGCAAGTATATTGATAAACAGTAAATATTAAGTAAAATTATCAGTTAAAACAGGTATTTTCACATTGGATTAAAAAGATTTACTATATTGAATTTATAAGAGACACTTTTTAAACATAAATAATCAGAAATATTAAAAATTAAGGGTTGTAACAATCAGATATAGCTATATATAGTCTACTATCAAACATAATAGACTTTAAAAAAATTACTGAAGATAAATTGAAACACAGCTAATTTAAAATTTTAAATCATAAGGATTACATAATTCTAAATAGTTTGCACTTAATATAGATTTTAAATGACAAAAGTAAGAGAATTACAAGAAGCAGCTGACAACACTAATTCAAAATGAAGAAAGTTTCTGCACGTGGACATGGATTTTAAAACATTCCTCTCAGTAGCTGATAGGTCTGTGGAAAAAATGAATAGGATAAAAGCATATGTTCATATATCATAAACATGTATAGAACATTCAAACATTGGAAAATAGATGTTTCTAGGATAAAAGCATATATTCATATATCATAAACATGTATAGAACATTCAAACATTGGAAAATAGATGTTTCTCAGGAACCAATGGAATATTTATAATAAATAATGGGACATTTATAAGTCATTATAATTAAGGTTTAATTCATTGTAAGCCTTAAACAATACAAAAAATCCCACACCAACAGATTGTGAGTTTGCCACCCATACCATTCATTCATGTCTTAGAAATATAAAAATATGTATTTAAAGTATTCAAATTCAACAGATGCCAACTTTTAATGGGTGAGAATCAGGAGAGGACTAGAGAACTTCACCTTGACTGTAAGGTTTTGTTTCTAAAATCTGGTGCTTACACAGGTATCCATTAAAGTCTTCTTTATGCTTTTTTTTTGTATGCTTATCATATATGATTGATAATAAATGGGCTGGGTGCAGAGGCTCACACCTGTAATCCCAGCACTTGGGGAGGCCAAGGTGGGCGGATCACCTGAGGTCGGGAGTTTGAGACCAGCCTGACCAACATGGAGAAAGCCTGTGTCTACTTAAAATTAAAAAAAAAAAAAAAAATTAGCTGGGCATGGTGGCATATGCCTGTAATCCCAGCTACTTGGGAGGCTAAGGCAGGAGGATTGCTTGAACCTGGGAGGCGGAGGTTGCAGTGAGCCAATACTGAGCTATTGCACTCCAGCCTGGGCAACAAGAGTGAGACTCCATCTCGGAAAAATCAAAAGAAAAAAAATTCTCTGGGTGTGTATTATGAGAGAGTACAATTCATAACAACATATCCTTTCTGTAAAAAAAAGTATCTTGTTTCTACCTCCCAGATATAAATAGAAAACATGAAAGATAATTTTATGCTTAAGTATATGAAGAAATGGTAAAAAGTGAACCAAAGCCATGTGAAAGCAAAATTGGAAACAAGCAACCATTGCACAGGATTACAAGCAACCATTGCACAGGATTAGGTCCCACTTGAATGCAGCAGCAGAAACCTTCCACTATATTTTTTCCACAAATTGTATTATGCCATGTGTTAATGAAAATTCTGGGTAAGAAAAGTTCTTAGTGAAAGAGCTTTAGGGAACATTACACATTGTATCTCCTCCTGGAGAAATCATAAGGCATATTATTACATGAAATGTCTCTGAGAAACTAGCTGTAAAATAAGCCTGTTAATTTTAAGTTCAGTTAAGTTCAAGTTTCTAAAACTCGTTTGATTATAGAATCCTGGTTTTAAGGAATGCCTACTAGCAAACTTTCAGAATATTAATAATCTATTGAACATAATTTGGGAAACTGTGCCCTAAACCTTTATCTCCTAGAGTCATAACTAAATAGGAAATAATTGTCATTTCTGTAGTTTAAGAGAGAATTCTAAATGTAGAACAGGATTTCTTAACGATGAGATCTTTGCTTATAGCTATCTACGAGACAGCAGATATTTTTAATTTAAAATATTTTAATTTCAATTTTATTTTTCATTGATTGCAAAAGCAAAACACAGAAATCTAATAAAATAGGAAAACAAAAAGGAAGAAAATAAACCTATGTGAAATGATGCTATCCAGATATAACCACTGTTGTAGTTACACAGGGAGGATGGGCCTCATCACATATATTTTTCTAATGTACTTCTCCAGAAAGCTTTGCCCAATTGAAGCATCTCTCCGTCTCTCTCTCAACCTGATTTTTGTGTTTTTCTAAAAATAATTTATAATCTTCTCAGAAAAGCCAGCAAACACTTACTATCTTAATCAATTTAAGCAGACTATTTAAAGCTCATCATGTGGTTCATTCAGGATCTATGTCAAAGGCTGAGTTCCAAGGAGACATCTACAGTCAGTTAGGGTTAAATAATTGTTCCCTTACCGAAAGAGCAATTCGGGAGATCCATTGGTCAGTACTGCAGTTCTTTTATTGACGTAACCTTTATTTCATTCATACATTTATGCAATCATTTATTTATCTACTTAACTAGAAATCCTATCCATTTAACCAGAAAATAAAGATGTATATTTAAGACCAAAAAAAGGAAAATAAAGGTATATGCTCTCTCTTCAAACTAAACTGGATTATACAGGCATGGGTGTAGCATGGTAAATGTGTAGGGGAAAAAAGAGAGGAGATCACCATCTCAAATTTGTCTTGAGTCTCAAGTAAAGAAACAAAACCGTAAGAGTCAAACATGATTTCATTAATGCTGGCAGCTTTCCAGAAGGAGCAAGCCATATTCCTGGCTGATCAGAAAGAGGCAGATTTGGCAGCCCAGGGAGAAGCTGCCAAGAAGTGACTCCTGACTCCCACACTCCAAGATTTTGAAGGTAGGAGCAGGGAATGGTGTCCGTGGGAAGGCTGTGCCAAAGGGGAAAAGGGATGTCACAACAACCTGCTTATTATGTTCCTGACTTTTGAAAAATTATTATTATAATTTTTAGAGACAGTGTCTTGCTCTGCCACCCAAGTTGGAGCACAGTAGCACAATCATATTAATAGCTCACTGCAGCCTCTAGCTCGCGGGTAGCTGGGACTACACACACATACCATAGCCACCAGCTATTTTTTTTTTTCTTTTTTGTAAAGACAGAGGGTCTAGTTTTGTTGCCTAGGCATACCTCAAACTTCTGGCCTCTAGCAATCCTTCCGCCTCAGCCTCCCAAAGCACTGAGATTACTGGCATCAGCCACCATAGCCGACCACCTGACTTTAAATTATTTATGTACTTGTACCCATGTGGCTGATAGCAAGCCAAAACTTCCTTTGCTACTCCCCCACCCCCAAAGAAAGAATTAGTCCAGTGGAGTATTGTTTCACATAACACGTAGAGAATATAGTTAAAATTTATTCTAAATAATGCAATTTGGAAGAAGAGAATTCTGAGTTAAAACTGTCTTAATTTGCAGTTTAGAGGTTTCCCTACTACTTAAATACATAATACAAATCGGTAATTCTTGCTTTAGAAAGTACTGTGCCAGCAACCTTGTTAGATAAACACTGTTTTCAATTATCTTAATTTTTTTAAAGAATGCATTGATTTAAAATTATTTAAATGGGTAGAACTGCAAGTATAAATAGAAACGTGTGGTATATATGGTATCCTATGTAGGGTATCCATTTCCCTGTTAAACTTATACTTTCAGTTTAAGTTTATTTCACATGCCCCTTAATTTTCACTTATGACCTTTGTAAGTCATCATTCACATAGTCTACCACTATTCCTAATTAGCAGTACAACTTAATTACCTAAACTTATGTCTGTTAACTTCTCCAAATTCTTAGTTATGAAAAAATTAAAACAATTTGGAGAGAATGGCCATACTCTGAGCCCCAGCCAGATGTACCTAAATCAAACATGAACACCATTTTAATATTTATTTCAAAGGTAGGAAATTAGAGGTGTGAGAGTGTGCGTTTGCAACATTTCTGTGTTGTGTTCAGGCAATTTCAGAAATGTTTTAAAGAAGGCAAAAACCAGATAAACATAAATGAAAAAATTTCTAAGTGCACACTTAATAAACATGCCATTTGAAGCCTTCAGGAAAAAGAAATTGATCTATTTTTAGTAGCTAGGCATTATTTCTTAGCCATTTGCAGATCTAATGAGCTTAAAAGTTAATCCTTCAGTTTCTTCAAAATGTTAGCACATTTAACCTAATTCACAAAATGTTCTCAGGTCTAAATCTGTCAACAGATTATTAAGAGACGCAGTGACTTTTCTTCTTGCTACTCTGATAGCATTGCTGTAACCTCTAGTGTCTTTAATAACACACAGTTTCCAGTTCATAAATACAGTACAAAACAATGCATATGCTATTTTGTTATAAAGGACACAGGCAAATGAGAGAGATGCATAAAAACAATGCATATGCTATTTTGTTATAAAGGACACAGGCAAATGAGAGAGATGCATAGGGTAAGATGTGGTAGGGAGAGTGCATGGGGCTTCCATGCCCTCTCTGGGCATGCCACCCTCACAGTACCTCTATGTGGCAACAGCTTGGGAACTCTCTAAACCCTATTGTTTAAGGTTTTTTATGGCAGTTTCATTAAGTCACTGTTTTCCTGAGTTCTGTGAACCACTCTAGCAAATTATCAAACCCAAAGAGAGGATTGTGAGAACTCCTGTTTAATAGCTTGTCAGTACGGGAGGCTCTGGACTTGTGACTGGTGAGAGAAATGAGGGTAGTTTTATGGGACTGAGCCCTTAATCTGTGGGGTCTGTGCTAACTCCAGGTAGTTAGTGTAAGAAGTGAGTTAAATTACTGGTGTCAGCTAAGAACTGGTTGGTGTGGGAACCCCTACTCATATTTGGTATCAGAAAAGTTGTGAGAGTGAGTATTAAACAATTTTTTTTCTTACTATATACAGTAACCAAAATATGAGCAAAATCCTTAGAGAATCAGAGAATAGATAATTCATCCTTGGAGAGTTAGAGAAAATATTATTGGAAAATGTATATTTGAGCTGATCAAAAAATGAGTGGGAATTTACCATGTACACAAAGGCAAAATATCATGAAAGGATGGGCAAATGGTGAGACATTCAGCTTGTCTGGCAGTAAACTGTATGGCTATGGAACAGAGTGACAGCTGACACCGAAGAGAGTAATCAAATGCTCATTGTGAAGCAACTTGAACTTCGTGATACGGAATCTGCACTTTTGACTAAAGATGGATCAGTTAGCATCCATTGGTCACAAGCTACAGAAATCTCAAGTAAAATTGTCTCATGAGGGTAACTTCATGAAACAGTTACTGAGTTCACATTGGGTTCCCAGGACTCATTCTATCTGACATCTCTGCTTTCCTTCATGATGGTTTTATCTCAGGCTCCACCTGGTGGCAAGAAAGCTGCCAGAGACCTCTAGCTATATTCTTCAAATTCTAATCCAAAAGGAAAGTGTCAATTTTCCATAGCTCTTTCAAGTGAACAGACAGCTACCATCTGCTGCAGGGCCACATCCTCCCAAGTTCTACTCTGTGCAGGATGAGAGTGCCTCTTCTCTGTAACCATATTACACAACCCAAGGTTCAGTCTGATTGCACCAATTTGAGTGACAGTCCCATCCCTGAACAAATTGCTGTGCTGGGGTGTGGGAGTGGGGAGCAGGGGGACTTTGGTCAGGACTGGCTAAATACCCACTGGAAAAAAAATGACTGTAGCTAGGGGAATTTGGTACCCTTGTTAAAAAGGCAAAAAATGGGAAATGGAATGCTGAGTGTCAGAAAAAAAATATGAGACCTTGGATTAAACCAATAAAGTTTCAAGAGGAGAAAGAAAATATAATATAAAATCATTTACTTAGAATATATTGGTCCTCAGAATTATCAGATGTGGAAGGAGAGGGAGATAGAGAGATTGATACTATTTATAGGCCACAACTGGAACTGATGTTAGAGATATTTTCAGGATATAACTCACACTTTCTCCAGATAGTCCCTGTGCTCATCAGACTCTAATGAGTAGATTCTAAATCTCTGTGAAATAATTAAAACTACTAAAATATTGATAAACTTGCACTAATACACCTGCAAATAAACTCATGGGCATACATTTTCTTAGATTCTAATCTATGTGCTCTTAATTAATGCAATGTTAATTAAAAATGTGTTTATGATACTGTTATTGCCATTATAGCTGATTTTTTAGCTGAAATATTTTTAAAAGGATATTTCTATGAGCTCTTGCAGAGAAAAATGACTCCAAATCTAATGTTCTGTTATTTGATTTTAACTATTAAAAAATCTTTGAGATAAGTTTCAACAAAGAAAATTTTAATCAAAAGGTTTTGTTAAAACTAATTCCAAAAAATTTTCTGCTTATCTACTTTTAAGAATACGAAAGATAAAATGTAAATTTTAGGGCTGATTTATCAAAGGATTCATCATAAATGGGACTTCAGTCTTGCCTACTCCATTAGGCTTTCAACTTGTTGCTCATTATTAAAGAAGATAGAATGTTTTATACACAATATGCAAGCAATTTAAATTACCTAAATGAGTCCCTTTAAGTAGCTGTCATCTCTGTCTCTGAACATTCCCCATCAGAGCAATTCCAGATCCCATTTAACTATGCTATTCAGCATTTTACTGACGCACCACTTTCATGATTATCTACACATTTAAAACTTAGTAATTCTAGACTTCAAAAAGGATAGACAACAAAAGTCAGCTTTGTAGATATTTGTTACATAAAATAAATTTGTGAGAAAGTTCTGTGTTTAAAATGTATTTGATACCTATTGGAGGGCAACTACAAGGTAGCCAGTTTTAATCATGCTTTTTAGATTCAGTAACTTAAAGGCTAACATAAGAGGGTACACCAGATGGGATACAAGATGACTCCACAGAACTAAACAATGCCTATGATATGTTGTGGGGAGCTCTAACTAGAAACAACCACTGGCCCACTAAGAAGAGACTCGCCTAGGAGGTGAACTTGACAGAGACCACCGTCTACATATACAGAGTTCTTGGCCCTCTATTAAAAAGTTTCTTCTCTGCCATTGGCTAAAGGAGAAATAATTGAATGCTCAGAGGGAGAAGTTAAGGGCTGCTCTTGGCTTGATGACATACATGCCCAGTAGTTTCACATCTCCGCTAAAATAATTACAAACATTATGACCTTGGACTTTCAGTCTCTGTGCCTCATTTGTTAAATGTGGTCAACAATGCCTCTGCCTCCAAGGGTTAAACTCAAAATATTTATCAATTAGTTAAGGCACAGGCACATACCAATCAGAAAAGAAGTGTGACCAATCAGAACAGTCTTATATGGTGAATACCAGCTTAATGTCTGCCTTCCTTTCCTCATACAATTGATATAGCAATTAAGTGAGATAGCTGTGAAAGCTATAATCGCACATTGTATCAGCAGAGACTCAAAATATTTACCTTATTCTTCTACTTCTTCCTGTTTCTTATCCTTCTTCAATGCACAAGAGTAAGATTCCAAGCACATTCTCTTATTCGCAACTGCAATGCTTTCCAAAAGTCCTAAACTTGGATAAGGCTTGAAATGTGTCTGTTCAACTCTAGGGACTACAGAGAGAAAAATTGTTGCCAGTAACATAGAGAAGTTTAAAAGTTTATCATTGGTTCTTATCTCTCTGTATGTGATTGTATGTGATCTTTTTAAATTCCCATGAATTATCACCTGAGTACTAATGATTCCCAAATCTATTCAGCCCAAGTCTCTCAAACTATGTCTTTAACAGCTCCGTTTATATCATTCATTTATTTAACAAATATATATTTAGCAACTTCTAGATGTCATGACATTGCTGGGCATTGGTTATTGGATAATGAACAAAACAATATACCCCAACCAGAACATGCCCCCAAAACCTCTTATCTTTCACAGGAATCAGTTCATTTTCCTGCCTTTCCTAACTCAGTGAATGGTAGCACCAATCAACCAGTTGCCCAAGCAAGAGTTTCAACTGATATATTCAATTCCTCCCCCTTACCGTCCAATACTCCACATAAAATCCACTTCAATCATGGAAGTGTATTCTTCAGAACAGAGTATTATCTAATGAGTACTTGTTAGGACCATCTTGCTCAATAAGAGAAAGAACATTTGTAGTTTTATACCCCTTTTAATAACTTTTTTTTGCCACTGTGTTTTATATTCAAGGGTAAAAATAAAAGCACATTTACCCAGCACACAGGAAAACTTTTCCTCTCTTCCCTCTTTTTCAGCATCCTGAAGTGTTATTGCTCTGGCCTCTGTGAACTCCATGGTACCTTTAATGATCATTTTGATATTGATTCTTCCTTGAGATGTGTTCCACAGCAGTTGTGACCTCTGACATCCCATTTTTCCATTGAAATGTATGTTTCACTCCTGCTTAGAGGCAACCTACATGTTTTGTCTTTTGAAGCTGAAGTCTCAGCCTAAAATTTTCTTTGCTCTTTATATTCTATCAGCAAGAGGCAAGGTTCAGCAAGTGAACACTGTTCTCTTGGTGGTGTTATATTCTATTAGAGTTTGCACAACATATGAAATTGCAGGCTGAAACAGTGGGTCAAATACATAGTAGCAACTGCTGGGCTTTGAAAAGGCTTTTTTTTTTTTCACTTTACTAAAAAATTCTGCAAGGCCCACACTGTTCTATCGCAGCTATATTCTTTCTCTGAATAACTTTCATATTCAAACTTTAGCTTATGACTAGGAGAATTTCACATATCAAAGAAAGTTCAGGCAGGTCCAAAGAAGTACCTAAATATCTAAGTGCTACGATTGTCATTACAAGGCAAGGAACAATATAAAAACTAACATTTGCCCCATGACAGCAGCTGCATTTTTTTAAACCTATTATCACCTTATAGCTTTTGTATTTTTCAGAGCTTTGAATGGATACATAATCCTAACAGGATTTACTCATTCATTTAACAAATATTTACTAAGAATATCCTGTGAGGCTATGAACCAAGCCCTCTTTCACGTAAGATACAGAAATGAAGAGGTCAAGCTCATGGTGCTTCACTTCTTTTGTGTAAGGGCAATACAGAAATGAACTCAAGTTCATGGTGCCAATTGAATATTTAAAGAATAAAAAAGAATATGCATAAATAGCTTATTACATTTGTTTCCAGAAAGATTATCCTTCACAGTCCTCAAAATGTACTTTCAGTTTTCTTCTTGTCATTGGCCTGAGTTTAATAGTAAAATATTGGGAAGGGATCCATATGTGAATTTCTTTCACAGGGAAGGACAATACCAAAGAAAGGTAAAGTCAGGCTACCTCATGAAACCCAAGTGAATTTTGTCATAGTCTTCTGTTACTTCATTCAATGAATATCACATTAGTACTGAAAATGTATCAAATACTGTACTACAAACTAGGGTTGTGACTGCAGTTAAAGCAAAGTCCCTGTCCTTAAAGAACTTAAGTAATACAACAAATATCCAATTACAAAATGTGAAGAGTTCTATAAAGAGATAAAAGAACTAATTTGGAGCCAAATAATCCATGCTATGCCCGTTGTATTTGTTTGTTGTCTAAACTCATAATTGCTCTATTCTTGAAAGCACAGAGCTATTAAGAAGTTGGAAAGTGCCAACTTCAGTCGGGGGAAATTTATAGGGAAATCCCGGAGTATCTTTGTTCCATGTACCCATGCATAGATTTATACCCCCCACCTCCGATGATATTCCCATGAGAATGGATGAGATTTTCCAAAACTTTTGAGTTGTTCATACTTTTTGGTTGTCAATTTTAATTTATTCCCAGCTGGAGGAGCATAATGCCACTTTCTCTGATTGTTGAGGCAGTAATTTGGTGTCATGATAGAAGGATTCAGAATAACAAATCCACCGTGTGACAGTCTTTAGCCTCCCTGCATCTCAATGTTCCTGTTCTGTAATATGGGACTACTTAACTTCCCCTGTAGGATTATGATGGAGATTATAATTTTAGTACTGAATCCAGTCTTGTACCTAAGAGATTCAAAATACATATATTCCTGTTGGATGTTTGTGTGTGTTCTTTTCTTGTAAAATTCTCTAATTGGTCTCCTTTTGCCCATAGTTTCATCTCCAATTCAAATCATGTACAACGAGCTAGATGACATCTCTGTTGGGTTATGTCCCACCGTCTCACCAATCTCTCTGCTTCTACTTTTAAGTCTATACCAACCAACCAAAGCAATCCTTCTTAAATAGAAAACTGATATGTCATTCATTCAAAGCACTTCAATGGTTTCCCACTGGAAGTAGAATAAAAATCAAAGTTCCAACCCCTCTGAGATCAGATTCCTCTGGATTACCTTCATGATTTGTATCTCCTACAAATCTCACCTAAACTCACCCCATTTCAGCCACTTGGTCCACTTTGCAGTTTCTAAACTGTACTTACTCTTCCCTCTGATTAAAATACTCTTCCTAAAATATCTACTTGGCTCATTTCAACTCCTTCAGTTCTAAAACTGTACCTCATAATTCTGTCCTTTGGCTAAGATAATCCTTTAATTATCCTATTCAAAGCTCTTTATTAACTCCTTCTTTGACATCAGGATACAGGTAAACATTTTAGCAATACACACTAGAGATTCCCCAGTCAGTCATAAGCATCACTGTAGACTCACCAGCTACCCCACTGT
The DNA here is from genome assembly GCF_000001405.40 of Homo sapiens. Taxonomy (NCBI): domain Eukaryota; kingdom Metazoa; phylum Chordata; class Mammalia; order Primates; family Hominidae; genus Homo; species Homo sapiens. Next base: position 78,465,500 of record NC_000012.12, on the reverse strand, counting down.
GACTTTTGCTGCAACTTGTTTCTCTTCTTCCTGTGATGATTTTCCCATGAAGACTCTTACAGAGTCTTCTAGGTTATAATTACAGTGCCTAAATTCAAAGCCACATAATGTCTGTTGGATACAGACATTGCATCCACTTTACATCTACTGTTAGACATTTTGATCTGAAAAACAAAAATGAACAAAAAATTGTCCCTGTTCTGATCATGCATATGGCTTACCATATACGCTGTTGTTCTCCATCACAGCATTTCAAGCCGTGTTCCACTGCCTGATGTTTTGCTCCAGGATTTTTTAAGGACATTTTTTAATAACAATTTTGTTCCCCTTATTACTCATTAGTAACTTCTTGGGTATTTTGCTCTCATTAGCACTTTGTCCATATCCAGCTCAGTGGAGCTGAAAAGCAGAAAGTCTTACTTCTCTGCTAGTAGACACTGTCATCCAATATTCTACCATCACTCTTCCAAGTTTGCCACTTGATGACTTGTGGATAACTCTGAGGTAACTCATCCAGAAGCCTCTTTGAATCTCTGACAGTGAACTAAAAAGTACAGATAAACTGATTAAAATCATTATGGGTAAATATATTTCTGTATTTTAGGTTTATTCTTTCCACTCAAAGCCATGATAATGATTAGATTTCACTCAGCTACATTTATGACTCCTATTTATTTCATCCATTTGGTTGCCTACAAAATATTTATTTATCATCTATTTCTTTTCACACATTGCTTATTCCTAGGAATGAAAATAAATAAAGCTTACTGGCTGGCATAGAGTAGACACTCAGTTGTATTTTTAAATGAATAAATAATGACTGGGAAACACAGTATCTATCTACAAGCACATTATAGTTAGTAGGAAAGATAGAAAGGCAAACACAATATAGGAACATTGCCTAAAGCACAGGGCTTTTTTTTTTTCTTCCAGGGTCTTTCCCTCAACTTACCATGATGTTTATTATTTGTCATTTAATGTTGTTCTAAGCAAATAATAATAATATTTTAAATTATGAGGATGAGTTATATCACTCATCTTTACAGCAATACAAATTTTAAATGTACATGTAAGAGCATTTAACTCATGTAGGGTGTCCCTGAATTACATAATTTGTATTTCTCAAATCATATGTGCATATATATTCTGTACTCTTATCAGAACAATGGAAATGTTGCAAAAACCTAACTCATCTGTTTTTATTTTACTTCTTGATACACACACATTCTACCAACACTGTATTCAGGCTAAATGAAGAAAAATAAAGGAATGAAAGAAAAAGGAATTATGGGGCCCTATCTTTCCCTTTTCTTCTACATCATAATTTTTAGCCAATGTGGTTAGCTAATATAGGAAAGTATCTATTTGCCCTGTAGGCAAATGGAGTTGCAAGCAAAGTTGGGCACACATACTTTATTTATCCTTCCTGCTCACGATCCTTTGTTCCTTTGAACTTCATTATTAAAACATATGTTCAAAGATAAAACTATTAAGAACTTCCAGATCACTATAGCACAGCATTCAATCAAGTGCAAGGCTCTCATATGTGTGAGATCTGTGCAACTGCACAGGTTGCATGCACATAAAATGTGCCTTGGTTCTAAGGCACAAAAGTATGAACCAGAGGTGTGTTCAGGGAACTTTGCATGGCCCAGCTCTGAGGAAGCCTCAAGTCTAAAGGGAATATAACTGAAGATGTGGCCAAAGAGGTAGAGAGGGGTGGATATCTGTTCCATCAGTTTACTAGTTGTGAGACTTTGGGAAAGTTATATTTCTGAGCCTCAGTTTCCTCATCTATAAGGATGGAAAATAAGAGTAATTCCCTCAATAGGTTGTTAGACTTTTAATAAGCACACCACACATACTAGCTATTATAACTTCTGGAATCATTGATCCAAACATTTACTAACCACACGACACACTTAAAAGCTAGTAGAGATTGTAAGAGCAGGGCTTATGAAAAAACCTGAACATGGCTAAAGAGGACTGTCAAAACAACTTTAATTGTGGTGAGAGAGCATGGAAATGACACTCATCATAGCAAAAGATGCTACTGGAAATGGACCAGCTGGCCAGCTAAATGTTTCATTCATTAAGAAAAGAATCAGGGCATTTGCCAGCAACATGGACAAAAGCAGAAGATTCAGAAAGATTTCACAAAATTTGTGAAAATTTAAGATGGTTTTTTTAAAAAAGGTAGACCACACTCTTAAGGGTAGGAATATATCGCTCTTTAGCAAAATTGCTTATTAAAGAAGATATACAACAAATATCTTAAAATCAGACACTGACTAGAATCTTGGTAATAGACTTCAATATACATTTCGGTGAGGTTTTAGTTATGATAGATGTAGGCCCATATTCTTATAAATGTTAATGGCCCATATGTACAAATTGGTCCATTTGCCAATAAGCACATTTATTTGTAAGCTAGCCAATTCTGTCTATTCAAAAATTCAAGAAAACATTTAGAATGATTTACAAGCATAAAAATTATGACCATTCTTACTGCAGACAATTGGTATAAGGCATTTTCACTGTAATGGGAAGTAATTGTCACCTGCAAGAGACTTTTGCTTTTGTTCCACTACATTTCATTTTCTACACAACAGCAGATTTTAAAAATTATAAATCAGATATCACTTTACTGCATGAAACACTTCAATAGCTTCCCAATGCAATGAAAATAACATCAAAACTACTTAATATACCATTAAAGATTAATATTATCTTCCACTTCAGGTTATAACCATCTTTCAGTAAATGTATTTCTCTAAGCAGGTCCCTCTTCCTGTTTGTGGAAGATACTACCAAGCACCTTCCCTTGAATCTAATGTTACTTTGGCTCAGAATTCTCTGGCCCCAAGTTTGCTCATAGCTGAGTTCTTAAATCCATTGAAATCTCAGATAAAATATCATCTCAAGAAAGCCTTCTCTGGCTCTCTTATCAAAGATGTTCTGCTTCCAGCTCATCTCTACCCCGTTTCCATGGTTATTATTTTTTAATTCTCAGAGCACCTTTTATTCTTTCTTAGTATTTTGATGTTATTATTGGTCTTATCCTAGAACATACTCATGAAATTTTTCTATTTACTACTATATCTCCATCATTCATAATCGTCACTGGCACCTATTAGGCATTTATCACGATAAGTATTTGACTGAATAAATGACTGAATGAAGAAACTGCCTCTGCAATTTTATTTTTAGCTTTTTTTATTCTTTCCATTATAGTTTACGCTGCTTTTCAGAATATAAACAATTACCCATTTGATGTTCTAATTGATTTCTGTCAAGGAGAGTTAACATTTTATCTGGTTTCAGGAAGGTTTTGGTGTTGTATCCTGTATGAGCAGGAAAATATAGCTTATTCTATAAAATGCACACCAAGAAAAACAATCCAATTGTTGCAGATAAATTGAAACTAATATTAAAGCTCCAAATGCTGCCTTAACTATGGAATATTAGAGGCTACAGCTATAAACAAATCAGTCTAGTGGGTAGAAATCATTCATTCATTTGCCAGTCCTGCAAGGTCTTGCTCAATCTCATTAACTCTGTGAAGTGTCTCCAGAGTCCTCCATTCTTCTCAGTTAAAATTAATCACTCTTGAATCTAAGTTTCTACATATACTTTATACTTAACTTTTGTTTCAGTGGAGAATTATATTTAATTGTTTAGGTATCTGTCTCCTACTAGAGACTGATAAATCCTTTGGGACTAGGATCACATTTACTTATAGTCTAGCCACAGTGACTATTACACATAGTATAAATCAAATATTTTAATAAATTTGACGTTTCTAAAACCCAAAAAAGTCCACTTTAGACCAGGTGTAAAAGTGCGTTGATAAAATTCACTAGCCTTGGCATATATCAGTTTGTAGGTTTAAAACAAGGGTCAGCAAACTATGGTCTGTTGTCTAAATTTTGGGTTTTATAGAGTCCAAAAGCTAAGAATAGTTTGTGCATTTTTGAATAATTTTTTTAAAATGAAGAGTTTTTCATGACATATGAGAATGATATGAAACAAAAAATCCAGTGACCATCAAATGTTCTATTGAAAGTGATGAGTTTCAGGATGCACTACCTCAAACTATGGCACTGTGACATTTGAGAAAATAGCAGAAGCAAAAAGATTACTCTCTCCTTCCCTTGTCCTTCTCCCCTGAAGCAGGTCATAAAATCTAGGAAGGATTTTCTGACCTTCACTTGAAACAGTAAGACCCTTAGAGGTACCTGTTCTACATCTGTAGGAAAGGAGCATCCTCATCTCTGAAGATATAGGGAAACAGAATAATCAAAACAAATGGGGCTTCCTAAGATTTCCCCATTTATTACCATTAAATCATATCCCCTTTGTCCAAACCTATTGCTGCATTTGCCTCATTATACTGTCCTTCTTTTTGAAATCCAGGAAAAGCCAACCAGCATTAACATCAACACAGAACTTAAGTCTGATAAGAAATATGTACAATTGATTATCTCTGAAGCCTGCTACCTGGAGGCTTCATCTGCGTGATAAAACTCCAACAACCCATTATCATCATAACCCAGACATTCCTTTCTACTGTCTCCAGGTCTTCAAATAATAACTTAACTTTTTCAACCAATTGTCAATGAGAAAATATTTGAAATCTACCTATGAACAGGAAGCCCCTTCACTTCAAGTTGTCTTGCTTTCCATATGTAACCAATGTACATCTTACAGGTATTGATGTATTCTGTCTCCCTAAAAAGTATAAAAGCAAGCTTGCCGGGTGCAGTGGCTCACACCTGTAATCCCAGCACTTTGGGAGGCCGAGGAGAGCAGATTGCGAGGTCAAGAGATCAAGACCATCCTGGTCAATATGGTGAAACCCCATCTCTACTAAAAATACAAAAATTAGCCAGGCGTGGTGGTGCATGTCTGTAGTCCCAGCTACTTGGGAAGCTGAGGGAGGAGAATCACTTGAACCGGGGAGACGGAGGTTGCAGTGAGCTGAGATCGCACTACTGCACTCCAGCCTGGGTGACAGAGTGAGACTCCATCTCAAACAACAACAACAAAAAAGGCAAGCTGTACCCTGACCAACTTGGGCATATGACATTAGGTCCTCCTGAGGCTGTGTTATGGGTGCATTCTTAACCTTGGAAAAATAAACTTTCAAAATTGATTGAGACCTGTCTCAGATACTTTTGGGTTCACAAGCTAATACAATAGTCAATAGCTTACATCAACTTAAAAACTTTTTCCCCTATAAAGCCACTTGTAACTGCTACTATGGAGCATATATATCCAGGGCAACTTGAATCTATGTCTCACGGGTTGCAGTCCTCAAACTTGGCCCAAATAAACTCTCTATTTATATTAATCTAGTACTATATTAATTTTTGTTTCTTTTTTCTGATTGATATTTCAAATAAATTTGGTCACAGCCACCATCAGGGAATGGCAGTTTCCCAATGGATCAAAACACCTGAAACTGGTGATCAACAGCTTTCCCAGTGTTACCACAGGGTCCTTTCTCACAGAGTTCCCAAGATGGTGGCGGGCTGCTTCCAAGATGGTGGCAAGCCTCATGTTCTGTGACCTGGGGGTTCTTGGCCTCACGGATTCCAAGGAATGGAATCTTGGGCCATGTGGTGAGTGTTATAGCTCTATTAGAAGCCGTGGGTCACGGAAGAGAACTGTGGAACCCAGTGACTAGTGTTCAGCTCGATTAGGACGAACCTGGGCGCTTAGTCATGCAGGAACAATGGCAAGCCTTTAGCCCCATCTGGAGCGGCAATGGGCGCCTTGCTGGATCAAGAGCACAGTGGACACCCTTCCAGATCTGGAGTGATGGAAGTCTGCGACGCAGTGGTGGATGGCGAGCGAAAGCTCAGCTCAAGCGTAACAAACACGGACCAGAAGAGTACAGTTGCAAGATTTAATAGAGTGAAGATAGAGCTCCCATACAAAGGGAGGGGACCCAAAGGGGGTTACCGTTGCCAGCTCGAATGCTTGGGTTTATATCCTGATAATTGTCCCTCCCGCTGTGCTCTCAGGCAACAGGTGATTGGCTATTCCTTTACCTCCAGTTTTTGCCTAATTAGCATTTTAGTGAGCTCTCTTTCCTACCTGATTGGTCGGGTGTGAGCTAAGTTGCAAGCCCCATGTTTAAAGGTGGATGTGGTCACCTTCCCAGCTAGGCTTAGGGATTCTTAGTTGGCCTAGGAAATCCAGCTAGTCCTTTCTCTCACCAGTAAGATCTCAGGAATTGGGCAAGTGGGCTCGAGCATGCCATTAAGAAGCAAAATGGCAAAGTTTAACTGGTATATGAGCTTCTGGGGGCATTCCACTGGAAAAGGGGAGAATGGCTCAGGTGAGCATCCATACAACTCCAGTAAACACACTGCACATGCTCACTTCCCAAGTGCTAGCTGGCCACCACACATGCGAGCAGCTCACACTAAGGGAATAATCAAGGGAAATGGGATGCGAGATTCTGGAAGTATGCCAGCATATAAAACCCCAAGTCAAAGGTCAAACCCCACACTTGTACTCCAAGATGCCTTCTTGGCCCTCTTCCAGGTGTACTCTACTTTTCTTTTCATTCCTGCTCTAAAGCTTTTTAATAAACTTTCACTCCTACTCTAAAACTTGGCTCCATCTCTTTTTCTGCCTTATGCCCCACAGTCAAATTCTTTCTTCTGAGGAGACAAGAATTGAGGTTGCTGCAGACCCCTACGGATTCGCTGCTAGTAGCTCGGATACTCACCACCTCTAACAATAAGACCAGTAAAGCCTAAAAAGTCTACTATCTGAACTCCACAAAACAGCTCTGCCAGTCCTTACTCAAAAACAAAGAATCGTGTTTATTTTCAGGCACCATAGGAAAGGATTGCCCTCTCCCAAGCCTTTCTAACTCCCTCCCTCCACATAACCCCTGAATATGGTCATCTCATATTGCTCATATAGAAACTCACAAGAAGGCGTATTTGTTAGCCCAGCACACCAGACTTTTACAAAGTCTATTTTGTAAAAACAATGTGATGTTTTAGGGAGTAAATCCAACATCTCTCCTAATTCATTACCCTTGTAAAAATGCTTCAGGATCACTACAATTGACTTTCAAACTGAGGGCATTCCCCTTATTGTTATTTAGCTAATTTAACCTGACTTTTCAAGAAAATGAGATGTACTGTGAAACAGCCTGAAAGAACACCTAATGCTTATCTCAGAGAGTGCTGTTACTCCACTTGACTCTACATCTTGAAATAAAGTCAATTTTCTTGTTAGCTTACAAAAGAGAAAGAGAAGGAGTGTGACCAAAAGCCTGTGGTCTATAACAGGAGGAAGTGAGAGAGAAGGGAAGAGAGAGATTTGTTCTTAAGCTTTATGAAACACCAGAATGAGTCAGTTCCCATTTTGTTTACTTGATAATAGACTTCAGGAAGAACACAAAGATAGTACTCAGAAAATTAGCAAGTCACTTGTAACCAGATAGTTTTCCTGAGATATGTCTATATCTTTTGTCCTCTACTTATTCTTTGACTTCCTTGCTTCCATTTTCAGTGCTCAACGCAAATCCTGAAAAGTGCTTATCCAAAAACCAACCTTCCCATTTCTAATTTTCCAAGTAAATCAACAAATTTGAACCTCTGATAGAGCCAGTGAACTGCTACACAATACCACTGTCCTCAATTAACATCTTCTCTAGGCAATTTGCACCAAATGAAGTTCCCTTTGTGTCCAGCCGATGTTTTAAGGAAATAAAATGATAAAATGGAGAAATCTTTTAGATTGAGCTTGTTCAGATAACATCTAAGGGGCCATCTTTTTTTACCCACTCTTCTTCAACTCCAAAAAAGAAGCAAAGAGGCCTTAAAATATATCCCACCTGTTGTGAAGTAATCACTCTCCGGGTTGATCAGAAATCCTATTCTATGATGGTTAGTAGACCCTGAACACTGCATCTTGTAGAATAAGTGAGGCACCACCTCTCTGAACACAGTTTGCATCCTTTTAGGAGGAAAACAATTAAAACATTCTCCCAGGCACTGAAACAAACACTAAAGTTTTAAATCACAAATTCACCAAAAACACACAGACACGCACGCACATATACCAAATGAATATACATATATATTAATATATCTAATGAGAGAAAGACATTTGTAAAATAGCCCTGTAAATTAAAAATATTTCTAGTTATAGAGTAATGTAAAAGTAGAATGCTAACAAGTGAATTTCCCTGTAGCTTGATCACTCTAAAGAGAAATAGCAATTAGATACTATTTTTCTCAGACTTGTAGCCAGGGAAGAGTATTTTACAATTTCAAAGCTGAAAAGAAGAGCTACATTATAGAGACATATCAGCTGATAAAAGTAATGCTGACCAGGAAGCTTTTATTTTCAAAATGTTTTATTAAACTATATTCTATTCTAGAATATGGTGGGTTTTTTAATTGGATTACCCTCCAGGTGCAAAAGTGAGCCTATTGTTCTGCCACCTTTTCCTCTGAGGGAGCCCTAGGATTATTAACCTTCTCCATTAGGAAAGACAGACAATATCCTAATGCCTAGTTTGAAGGGATAGTTGGTGTCTGCAAACCTATAGAGAGACTGGCAGAATGTATATTCATTAATTCAACTGATATTTATTGTGCTGTGGATACAGCAACAAACAAAACAGACAATTCCTACAATTGAGAAGCTTACCTTCTAGTTGACGGAAACAGATGATGCATAACAAGCATAACAAGTAAATAACAGCATATTAAAGATGACATGTGCTATGAACAAAAGGAAGGCATAGAGAATTAAAGTGGGGGAACAGTTGTTATGATTTTAAAGGAAATAGTCAAGACTGGCTTCATTGAGAAGATGACATTTGAATATCTGAAGACCAAAAATCTTGGAAAAAAAAAAAAAAAAAAGACCCAGGCAGAGAAAACAGCCAGTACAATGGCCTTGAGTTTGGACTATGCCTGGCATGTTTAAAGAACCTCAAGGAAGCCAGTGGAGTGACAGTAGATTGTGTGAGGGTAAAGTAGTCAACAAATAAGTTAAGGTAGAGGTAGGAAGATGATGTAAGGAGTTAAAGTAATAATCTGAAAAATAGATGTGGCCCCATTGGCAGACTTTGAGCAGAGGCTTAAAGATACTGCTTTGCTGGAGTTGTAATTGTAGGGCATATAGCTTTGAGAAGGCATGAGTGTTTTAGGACCTGAAATTTATTCTCATACATGAAGCATGACTTGTCTCATATGAGGTGTGATAGTATAAAGATAGCACAGTTAAGACTTTTTGTTTAGAACACAGGAGAATTAATGAGTTCCAGGTTTGCTGAGTGATTCATGAGCCACTTAATCTTTCTATGCCTCCAAGAGGTTGTAAGCAATAATGCTAGTCACCACGTGTAGGTCTCAGAAGGGTTTGAGAAACTAGGGAGATGATGGAGGAAAGATAAAGTGTCAGATCAATATGAGTTGTCTTATAGCTACAGAGTTGATGACAATCTTATGTATGTTCTAGTTGACACAACAATTATAGTGTTTTCTATCAGGATCCAGAGTGTCTATGCTGAGGCTAGAAAGTCAAATTTTTAGAAGATTGTTATAGTTGTAAGAATGATAGGATATAAAGTATATATAATTGAGTTTTACAGTAATAGTGTTGTAAAGGTGCTGTCAGGAGGCCACTATGATAGATGTCAGATAAATCTACCGGATGGAAGACTCAAAAGTGTTAGGCCAAATGTGGAAGAAGCAGCTCAAGCCGAAGTCAGGCATGTCACCAATGTTAAGTGACAAAACTAGCTATTGGAAAGCAAAGAAAGGGAATAAGAATTGCCCTTATAAAAATGTCTAATTTGTTCTACAAAGACAAAAGAACAGATTTTTGTTAGTTAACAAAATGTAATGGAATCAGATTTTTTAAATGTCAAAAATGAGAGTAAAATGTTTCCTAAGATGATAGCTACATAGCAAAAATATCAATATGATAAATAAAAATGGTAGGATAACATAGATGATCTACCAACAGACTCTCTTACATGATGTGAAGGAAGCTGGAACTTATCTAATCAAAATCCTGCAGATCACATTACATAGAATACCAATTATGAAAAACAAGTTGCTCTATTATACTTTCTTTAGAGAGCATATATTTTTTAATCAAATAAGTTAACTGTAAGCAGAAGCATTGGCACCCTTTCCCCATATCAGACTAAAAGAAATAGGTTTATCAAATATCTTCTGTAAATGGAGGCTGAGTGGGATAGGGATATGAAATAAAAATGTTCTGGTGCTAGAGGATAAAGACTGAGGACAGTGTTCCCCAAGGTGGCTTGCTTAGAAGTTTTGGTTAGAAGTAGGTGGGAGGTTCTGTAATCAAATATATTTGGGAAATACTTGTTAAAAGCACATCATGCTTCAAAAATAGGCAAACAAGATAATAGGATAAAATGGTGGGCCACTTAAAGAATGGATGCAGAACCAACTAGAAATCCAGTGAGAGCTAATTTAAGGTGGCACTATACAAAAGGACTGGAGAATCCTTCAAAGAAAAAGTTACTTCTTTAAGAGTTTTGATGAAGACTCTTGTCATAGACTATGAAAAAATTATTTTGTGTTCATAGCGTTTTAGACTTGAAAATACCCTGAAGAATACCGGATTTCCTCTTTTACAGTCCTGTGCACTGAGACTTCAAAAGGTTAAGTGATTTACCTAAGGCCATAGAGCCAAAATTTGAAATGAAATTCAAGTCTTCAATCACAATATTCTTTTACTTCAAAACTTCTAAGTATCAGGCCGGGCGCAGTGGCTCACGCCTGTAATCCCAGCACTTTGGGAGGCTGAGGCGGGTGAATCATGAGGTCAGGAGATCGAGACCATCTTGGCTAACGCGGTGAAACCCCGTCTCTACTAAAAATACAAAAAATAAGCCGGGCGTGGTGGTGGGCGCCTGTAGTCCCAGCTACTTGGGAGGCTGAGGCAGTAGAATGGCGTGAACTCAGAAGGTGGAGCTTGCAGTGAGCCGAGATCACGCCACTGCACTCCAGCCTGGGCGACAGAGTGAGACTCTGCCTCAAACAAACGAACAAACAAACAAACAAACAAAACTTCTAAGTATCATGAAAAGAATGATAGATTCTTGCAATAAATATGGTATTATCCTCTATTTGAGGTAAGTTATTTCTAATGCATTTTGCCATGAGAACTGCATTTTCCTTCTTTGGCAGAGAATCTCCTTTTCCTAGCAAAAAGCTCTTTGTACCTACACCAAGCATTCCAAAAATACAGATGCACTGAATATTTGATCTGTGCTTTCATTTTTTAAGTTTCTACCATCATTTTATCATCAATGAATTTTTATCAGTGTTTACAGATCTGAAATAACTACAGAGCTGATATTAGGAAGATATTATGATAATATAGGTCATAAGACATAGCTACAGGATAAATATAGATCTGATACGAGAAATGTAGAATGAGACAGAAAATTCCAAGTCAATAATCTCACCAATACTGAAAGATGCACATACAACCAAATAATTACATGTAAAAGATGACAACTGAATAAGTTCTATAATCTAGTTAACAGTATTGTATCAATGCTAATTGTCATAGTTACATAAAATGACAACACTGAGGGAAGCTGGGTGATAGACAGGCACACCCTATGTATTGTTTTTGCAACTTTTGTAAGCCTATAATTATTTCAAAATAAAATGTTAAAAACAAGCAAAGAGAAAAAAAAATGCCATAATTCATTAACAGGATCCAAAGACCTCCCTAAACTGCCAAAGAAGTACATGGAACAGAAAAGATTAAGAAACCCTGGCCTAATCCTTCTTGGTAACCACAAGCAGAGGTGAGGCTCAATCACAGGCCTGGGTATCTTCCAGAAAACTACTTCGAGTTGACAAGATTCAAACAAATCCATTTCCAGGAATTTTTGCGTATCTTTTTTTCCTTATATAATGGTTCAGGTCACAATTCCTCCTCCATCCAGAAGAATAGAAAGAAAACTTTTGTAGTGCTTTTTGCTGACTGATTGCAGACTATCTTTCTGGACCACTCTTACCCCCACTCTCCCTAATTTAGTAAGCAGGTAAAACTAAATGAGATGAGGTTGGCAAGAACTGCCAATCCAAGTTAAAAAGAAAAGAAAAGAAAAAGCAAACTATAAAAGAGCTGATCTCTCCTTACTTTTGCCATCTAATTAATGTGTCAGTTCTTTCAAGACTGAAGACAGAATCAGGAACATGACTTACTGTTGAAGATGTAAGAAATATTTTTCTGATTCATTTTATCAGAAAATTTAAGTTTTATATTAAGAAACATTAGTAGGTCATATTTTATGCTCATAAATATGTATCAAGTATTTTAAATATTTAACATATTATATTAATAAATATATTGTTAAAATAGTATAATCTAAAGATGTAGCTTTCAAAATTCTTTTTGTAAATAATACAGTGCCAAGTAAATAAAACAAATATAATGTTTGGAATCTATATGCATACCAAAATATACCTATGAACATATGTATTGTTTACACCAGAAGGAGTTGAAAAGAAACTTAAATTTCTCTAAATAATTTTTGCCTAAACTTCAACAATGGAATATAACTTAGTATTTCAAACATGAAATGTAACTTTTAGAACTGAAGCTCATCCTACTTGATATTTTGAAAGGGGAACAAATTTTAATATTCAAATTTCATTATTTCTCCTCAGTGAAAACTTGCCAAACAGGTTCACATCCTTCAATTTAAATGTGAAAATACTTCAAAAGCATTTTGGAGCCATTTTTTTTCTTAATTGTTAACTCTGAATGCAGAGTACGTTCAGTAAACTAGTTTTTCACACAACGCCCCAGTTGTCATTCCATTAGTTTCCTAGGGCTGCCATAACAAATTACCACAAACTAGGTAGCTTAAAACAACAGAAACTGATTCTTTCTCTGTTCTGGAGACTAGAAGTTTAAAATCAAGGTGTTTTTAGAGTTAGTTCCTTCTGAGGCTCTGAGGGAAAATCCACCCTATGTTGTTCTTTGACCTCTGGTGCCTGCCTCAATGCTTGGTGTTCTTTGGTTTAGGGCTGCATAACTCCAGTCTCTGCTTTTGTCTCTCTGTGTCTTCATTCTCTGCCTGCCTTACTCTCATAAGGACACCAATCCTTGGATTTGCTGTTCAACTTAGATCTGGAATCATTTCATCTCAAGATCCTTAATTACATCTACAAACATGTTATTTCAAATAAAGTCACATTCGCAAGTCCTAGGGAATATAACGACATATCTTTTTGATTCAACATAATTCAACCATTGTTGATTAAGTAAGCCATTATTGAACCTACTGCAAACAGAATTTTATCTTAGAAGTAAACAGGAAAAAAAAATGGTAACCTCTGTTTGATCACAAATAGTATGGGCTTAAGGTTTGAACATGTGGTAATAGTAATATCATGCTGTACATATGTAGGTTTTTATTTTTTAAGAGTTTACAGAGGGCTTTCAGATTCACTCTCTTCAATATTTACCACAAGCCTTAAAGATAGTTTTAATCTTGTTCTCATTTTACAGATGGCAAAGTGGATGCTAAGAACAATTAGTGGATGCTAAGAAAATTAGTGATTCATCAAAGTCAAACCAACAGAACATGACAGCAAATGACAGGATTGGAACTCAGTCCTGGAACTCGGGTTGATTGATTGCAGGAAAAGTGCTCTAAATGATGAGAACTTTTCTACTCCCGGCCTGATATAATGCTAAGCAATAAAAAGAAGCTAATGTCTTAATAAAGCCAATATAGTCAGGTAAATTGTTGCCAGTAATAGAGTTTTAGCAACATACCAACAAAAATAATTAAGCCAGTTTCTGAAAATAACTGAATAATATAATGTAGAGTAATTGTTGACTCACTCCAACAAAATTGTCGAGAAAGCCTCAGTAAGAGGTTCAGTTTGTTATTTTCATTTTTTTACTTTCAATGTACACATAACAGCACAAATGATCCATGTCTGGATTATTTAGTTAATGGTGGTTGATTGCACCTTTATTGGGGAAAATCAGGTCTGGTGATTTTTATATTACTACTCTCTTTTGCCTTGCGGCAGGATTCCTTTCTTATCTCCTGGACAAAGCTGATGCTATATTTATCATGTGAGATTCTGTAAAGAACCACAGATAAAGTTTTTGGCACCTTACATTGTGTGAGATATCAGCAGGATAAGATTTCAGTTCTTTAATTTTTGGAAATCCTGCATTTTCCATTGCATGGAAATAATGGCCATAACGTCTTGCTTTTATATAAGCAGATTTAATGGTTAGATCTTTGAACACCAGATTTTGTGAAGTATGCCTATTATCTCCCCAGAAATATTGCCTTCCCATCTCTGTCTATAAAGTCACATGGATCTGAACTGTTCAAATCTTAAATTTGAAACTCTGGATTAGAACATTCCAAATGATATAATGAATCTCTCTAAACCTGCATGCGTCTTGCACTCAGCAGGCTGACTGAAAGAAAACATGGAAAGTGCCTATTAAGTTTTAGTCTAGAAGCATTCTACAATAAAGTGAGTTCACTGAAGTTGATTTCCAAAGTCAGCTACATTAATCACTAGGTTCTTGGCTGTTAGGTTCTGCATGATTGCTGCCCAATATGTAAAAGAGGCTAGGTAAATCTCACCAGTTCTTTGACAAGCAGCTGTTTTGTTCTTTATTACAGAACAAAAATCTCACTGAGATATGAATTTTTTGATCACTCAATGTCAAGCATGTCAGGAAGTATTATTTTATAATATAACTTTCACTTTCTTAAACATTGAAAATGGTGAGGTGCAAAGGAATATGGAACAAATTGTGTGCAGAGGATAAGGTAGAGATGTTAAAAGGGTATGAGAGAAGAGTGGTCTTCGTAGCCATGAAGAATTTTTCTTTTTCTCTCCTTCCTCTCTCCTCTTCTTTTTCCTTTCTTTCTTCTTCCTTTCTTAATTCCTTCCTTCTGTCCTTTCTTCTTTCCCTCCTTTCTCTCTTCTACCCTTTCCTTTTCCTTTCTTCCTTCCTTCCCTTTTCTTCCTCCCTTACTTTCACAGTAATGGAAATGGCTATGGTTACTAGTAACCTGACCCCAACCATGAGACACAGAAATAAGCCTGGATGATTCTCATTTGATAGGATGATCAAATAGTTCATAGTTGTAAAAAGTGTTATGATAATGGGAGACATTTCACTCTTGTATGCATGCATTCAACAAATGTCTAGGATTACTACTATGTGTCAAACAGTACATTGGATACCAGGCACTCAAAGGTGAACAAGATAGTGAGTTCAGGATCTATAGAGGATCCAGAAAATAAAGGAGGAAGCAAACAAATTTTAAAAAATCACATCCAGTTATGATTAGAGGTCTAAAAGAAGGAATTTTGTATTATGGAGAGTATAGTAGGATGACCCAATTTCTATGCTATACTCAAACACATAGGAAAAGTAATTGTCCAGTCAATTTAATACTATTTGGCATAAAATAATAATGTGCCTAAGATAAGCAGATTTTCCTATTAATAAAATAATTCTTTGAATATCAAACAGTATCAATATTATTTTCCTAAAGGAATATAAAACTATATTCTTACAAATGAAGGTTGATTGTCATTTATATAAAGTACTGGTTATTCAACATAGGTGATACAACACTGAGTAAGACATAGACTGTTTGTGAAATTATAATTTATAAAAGGATACTTATACACAAATAACTACGAAAAAAGGCTATGGTAAATATATGAACAGTAAAAAAAAAACAGCCACAGTAGATCACAGAAATTATTCTTTTACAACAAAAACATATTATGTCATTCCTCTGCTCAAACCTTCTAATGGCTTCCTTCCTCACTCAATATAAACGTCAAAATCTTTGCAATGACCTTCAGGGCTCTACACAATTTGGCTGCTATTGCATCTTTGACCCCATCTCCCACGACTATTCCCCCTAGCTCACTCTGTTCAGCCACATTGAATTACCTGCACTTTCACAAAGCACCAAACACCATTCCACATTCAAGCTTTGAAATTGTCTTTTCCTCCAGATATTCACATGGCTAACTATATGACTGTCTTCCAGACTCTGCTCAAATCTCCCTTTAAAGGAGGCTTATGATGACCCTAGACTGCTATATTGATTGATTGATTTTACTGTACTTGTTATCTCTGAGTGTACTGTGAATGCTACTCAGGTGTCATATGTATTGTTTATTGTTAATCTCTGCCAACTAGAATATTAAACCCCATGTGGATAATGCATTTTACCTGTCTCGTTTCCAGGTGTATTGCAAGTGTCAGAAAAATTCTGATACAAAGTAAGTGCTCAATAAATATTTACTTAATGAAATAATCAACTGGAGATAAAGGCAGTGGAAGAAAATCAGAAATGGCTTAATATATGAGGCAATGCCTGGAAGATAAATAAGAATTTTGACAAGAAGGGATGATCTTCCTAACTCATCTAGCTCATTTCAGATGATTACTTTTTCAGCATGTGAAGGACATTTCTCAAACACAGATAAGTTCGAAAAATTTCTTTATGTAACTGGTACATTGGATAAGTGTGACTCATGGGATGTGATCATAAAGCAAATTTATTTTAGTCTCCCATTGTCCCTTAAATGTATTTAGTTGTTTCATTTTCATGGGCTGACAACTCAGACAATATCACGATTCTGTTGGTCATTCTCAGAAAATGGTCACTTGAAATCAAAGCTAACACATAAGTTTTGTAAGAAAAATTTAAGTTCAACTTAATTTAATACTAAGATTTATCATTTCCTCCCACCCGTCAAATCCACCAGAAGGTGGAGGATTAAGGCCAGGGAGGAGGAGGAGGAGAGAGCTCACAGTACAAAAAAACAGCTGGGGAAGGAATGATTGGGCTTCGTTCTCTTTCCATCATCACAAATATCTTACCACTCTAGAGCTGGAGCCTGGGAGAATGGAGGACAAGGCAGACCTTATTTAACTCATGGTGTCCCCAGTTGGTGTTCAGTAGGTCTGACAGCTGTCTAAAGTATACTCTTTCCTTCATTAATACTTTTATGTGCTCCCAAAAGATTGCTCAATCACTGATGATCTTTTAGCCTCTAGTCCCTAATCCCAAGCAAAAGAATTTCTATTATGAGTAGTCAATTACTCCTCCCCCTCAACCCACATATACTAGACATGAGAAAGTGAACTCTGTTTGCTCCTGCAGGTAGCCCTTTACCTAAACCCTAATGTAGTACTCCTAGATTTATTCTAATTCCTGATCTACATGTGGGCCAGAGAAAACACTCAAGCATTCAAGCATTCTTTGACACAACAAAAGCAGCTTCTTTTTTAGCTCTAGCTATTAAACTAGCTATCCAGCCATTTTTCTGCTTTCAGAATTTTTAAAGTGGAAGCCAACTATCTGGTCTCTGTTTACCCCTCGTCTGTTGCAGAAAGTGTCTATTAAAATATTTAAGTAATCTTAAGCCCTTCCTTTTTAAAATTAAGAAAAACACTCCAACTCTATTATAGGCGGAGCTGAGATTACATAGCTTTTCAGTCCTCTCTCAATCTCTGCTTAATGAACCTTATATACTCATGATAATCTTTTTATTTTCATCATTAGGAGAGAATTTATTTTTAAAGCATCACTTAAACTACAAGGATGTCCATTAAACATCTCAATTAAATATTCCAAGGGAGAAGCCACCTTATCAAAATGCCCACTTAATTCACCCAAACGTCTCAAACCCACCCTCTGCTGACCTTCTCTAAGTTTTTTTCTGTTTTAAAAACAAGACAAAGTAGACAGATACATGTTGGTAAATGCTGAAGTCCATATTATCATAGAGACACAGTGTACTCTCAAAGCCCAAAATGCAGAGAAAGGAGGAAAAAAGCTGTAACTCCCTGTGCTACCACACAGAGACCTAGCACCCTCCAGCTTCCAGCAGAGTGAAGGGAGCAGGTTTTTCTTCTTTCCCCTCAAGAGCTCAGTGGTGTTGATTCCATTCAGTTTTTGATCAGACAGGAAGGGATAAAAATGAATTTGGAAAAGAAAGAAGTAGAGACTGTTTTCCCATAGTATTCTGCTCAAGGTATTTTTCCCCCAAAATAGGTTGAGAACCATGGTGTAGAGAAAAGAGACCTCAAGAACAAGGCAACTGAGCACAAGAGGAAAGAAAGACAGACTGATGATTTTTTTAACCAGTTTAAGAGGGGCAAACCTGATCCATGTGCAATTCCTATTTGTAAAGTTCTGTAAGATGGCCTGTCTCACTGTTTACTTCAGTATCTTATCTGCTTTGATATCTATTTTCTTAAATTCTGACCAAAAGTTTCATTTTAATATCCAATTCCATTTTTTAAAAATTTTCTCTGCTTCTCCATGGCCCATCAATTAAAGTCCAAACTCCTGAACTAACAATCATACATTTACAATATAGCCTTTTTGCTTTCCAACTTTGTTTTCCATCATGCAACTTTAATACTTCCAAGTCTGATAGTCTTTAATTCATTTATCCAAGAAATATCTATTAATATTATAGTAGAAATATCTACTATGTTCCAGGCCATGTTCTAGAATTTGCTATGTGTACAGCATGGATGAATATGACAGAGTATTTGTTTTCCCAAATATATAAAAAATTGTTATGCTTTTAAAGTATGTTGTCTCTACTCTATAGAATACCATTTTACTCTTCTCTGGATGGGAAACTCAAATTCATCTTTTACCTTACTGTTCTGACGTCATCTTCTCCAAGGAGTCTACATTAAGTTCTTTGGACAGAATTCACCACTTTTTAATCTGTGCTTTTATTGATTTCAGTCAGAATATTATTACTATGGGTTTTAACTGAACTGGTAAGAATGTTGTATTAGTCAGGGTTATGTAGAGGGATGGAACTAATAGGATAGATGTATATATAAAGCGGAGTTCATTAAGGAGTATTGACTCTCATGACCACAAAGTGAAGTCCTACAATAGACCATCTGCAAGCTGAGGAGCAAGGAAGCCAGTCCAAGTCCCAAAGCTGAAGAATTTGGAGTCCAATGTTTAAGGGCAGGAAGCATCCAGCACAGGAGAAAGATGTAGGTTGGAAGACTAAAACGGTCTATTCTTTTTCACGTTCTTCTGCCTGCTTTTATTCTAACCATGCATGCTTGCAGCTGATTAGATTGTACCCATACAGGTTGAGGGTGGGTCTGCTTCTCCCAGTCCACTGACTCTCCTTTGGCAACACCCTCACAGACACACCCAGGGACAATACTTTGAACCCTTCAATCCAATCAAGTTGACACTCAAAATTAACCATCACAAATGCTATATATGTATTGTGGGCTGTATACCTGAGTCACCTGCAAGTTAATGAGATACATTTTTTTAAAAATTTCAAATAACCAGGTATTCTTGGCTTATAACATAAGAGCTCAATATATATTTGTAGTATTGTAATGAACTGGGAAGGAAGTGCCTTCTAGGGCATGTCTGTAAGTTGGCACCCACATACTTGCTTGCAGACAAGCGGGCCAATCGATACTATGCTTTGGGTAGTGGAAGATAAGGCTTTAAATGTGAATTGGCTCAATACTGGGTTATTGTGACAAGCCATGAATGTTATGAAGAGTATATAGTTAATTCGACACACAAAAGAGACATACTTAAAGCTTCTGAAGAAATCCATTGTTGGAGCTTAGATTTAAGAATAACCTGACAATAATATATAGGTTGCTTTGAAAGAGGACAATGCCAAGAGAATGGTTATTAAAGTAATAAAAGGGTAACATGAGAAGGAAAAGCACAAATGTAAATGAAGCATCACATGAATTATTGTGGAGCTGATAACAATAACTTTATAAAATGATCAAAGAAAGGAAGAGTAACATACTCTGATTGATGCTGGATGATCGGCAGAATGATAGTACAGTTGTGGGTGTTCAGAAGGGGAAGAAGATGATGATTCTTAGTCTAGTTTGGACATGTTAAATCTGTGCAAAAAGTGAAACACTCTATTAAGATTTTCAGGATGCGCACTGAAGCAGTGGTAACTTGATGGATTTCTTTATGAAGGATATGGATAAAGAATTGCAACAATTTGTGACAAAACCCAGAAGTTTTTATAAAATGACATAAAATATACATTGATTTTTTAAAAGATAAATTACCAAAAGAACAATAAAAAGCATATGAGAAAGTTTTAATTCAAGAAAAGGAAAACAGGGTTTGACTCAGTAGATTCCCCATTCTGAGGAATTAAGAACAAATCATTGAAACATTGCCAACATGAAATAGGAACAGATGACAAAGATGAGGAAAAACTCTTGATAAAGAGAACACATATTGAATTAAAAAAAAAACAGTTTAGTCTGAATCAATAATTAGCAGACTTGACATTGCAGAAAATTTAATTAGTGATTTACAGGACAAAACTGGGAAGAAATAGAAAAATCCAAAGACAAAGGGCAGAGAGTACGCTAACAGAGAAAATGAAAAAAATGCCAAGCAAAATGAAAACCAGGCTTATAAGAGATACCCCCAAAAGGAAGTAGACCAAATGGAATGTAAATAATAACCAAATAAATAATTCTAGAAAATTATCCAGTTTTAAAATATTGTATTTTGGGATTGAGAGACCAGTCATGTTCCAAGCAAATTAATAACAAGAGCCACACAATAAAAGATTGCTCGGTGACAGTGGCAAAGTTTAAACATAAAGAATGCTTCAAACACAGAAAAAGCAAGATGTAGAATGCCCCCAAACTCCTTTCAAACACCAAATGCCAGAACACAAGCGAACCATATCCATAGGGGTTGAGAGGAAAGATCATGACTCATAATTTATATATTCAGCAAAGCTGTTGTTCAAATATGAAGGCAATATATGGACCAATCTAGTAAAACTGACCACTATTTTGAAAAAAGTTTTTCTGAAAGGAATCATAAGTGATTGACAGACAAAACAAATAAACACAATCAAGGATGGTAAACTGTGGATGGGAAGACTAGTAATGGACATTGAAAAGAGTTATACAGAGAATATATTTTAAAATGTGCGGCAAATGTATTTGCAAAATATTATATGTGCACACTTTTTGTTGAAAAGATTTTTAACATTTTTAATAGATAGCTATATCATTTGAAACCAGGCAGGGGTTGGTGTAGACCTAAATAGAAACTTTAAATTCTTTATGCTCCAAAGCACTACAGAATCTTCATTCTTTCGACAGGAAAAATAAGATAGAAAGTATTAAGATTTTTGAAATTTGAAGTAGGATAGTAATTACAAAATATGTGCATAATATAAAAACAAATCAGTCATCACAAAGCAAGCAAAAATATTTAAAGGAATCAAAACTAAAAAATCAAAATATAAAATACAGAAAGGGCAAAAATTAAAAATTGTTACATCTATAACATACAATTCTGTGAAAAGGCCATATATGCAAAGTAGCCACAAATGCCTAAGAAAAAGGCAGACAAATCTAGTTTGTTGGTAAAAGGTGTTTTATTGGGGGAAATTACAGGCAGAAGCATGGTCTTGGGTGGCTGTGAGACAGTTAGATCTTTTTACCTGCTAACCCAGAACCAGGGATTATATGCAATAGAGAAAATATTTAAGTGCCCTGTGCAAGACAATTAAAGGCAATCCTCCAGAACAGACAATAATGCTATATGCATCATAGCCTATAATTTGTGCAATAACATCAAGGTTGACATATTCTTACACTAAGGATAGTAAAGTAGGAATCAGGAGACATTCACAGGACTGGGGCTAATCAGAAGTTGACATGGTGGATTAGCATCCAAGATGGAGTCACTTTTGTCTCCACATATACAGAGTATTTTATTATGTGCCATGCCTTCTGTAAGTGTCTGTGACTCATTTAATCCTCAAAATTGCCATATAAAGTAGATTATATTATTCTTTCATTCTTACAGATGGAAAAGTTTTCCCTGTTTTATTCCTTGCCTGATGAGTTCTTTATCTTGTACCCATTATAGAAAACTTTTCCTAGTCACCCAATTCTAGTTTAGAGATACATGATATATTTTTACAGCATATAGCATTTCCTTGCTACTACAATTCCATTATAATTATCTGTTGGTTTGTATCATCCACTAGACTATAAACCTTGTGAGGGCAAACACTGGGCCAATTTAAGACACTATTATGTTCTTAACGGAAGACACAAATTTGACATGAGAATAAATATTGCTTGTGGGAATGAATGAATAAATAAAAGGAAATAATAAGTGACTGGCAAAAATGTTAGAATTAAAATAATGGACAAATTTACACAGGCAAATAGGATTTTAAAGCATCAAGAGTAGCAACATTAGGAATAGACAATGTATAATTTAATATGCATCAAATGTACGAAGCAGCATTTTATAAAAGAAAGGCATCTTCATTGAAGGAAATAGAAAAAAAATTATTCCCTCATTAAAACAGCATCAGAACGCATGCAGTGATATCTGTAGTAATTCGAGGGCAATTGGCAAATGCTCCATAACACTGGGCAACTTAATATATGTTATTATTTATTTTTATACTAAATAGAGTGTTTTAATACATACTTGACAGGATTAAGTTTATATATTTTGACACTAAAACCACAGTAATTTTTTTATAACCATGGAAACATTTTTTAATGGCTCATTTGAGAGATTGGAAAGAAAACCTTACCAATTCACCCTAACTTCATCAGTGGTTACATTTCAGGTTATGAGTCACTCTAATCTCTTTATGTACACCCCAAAATTTTACAGTTAATATTACTTCTACTTACAGATAAATTAAGCTCAGACATTTAAAAATTGAACAAAAATGCAAAAAGAAGAGTAAGGCAGATGGAAACTATACAGACTGTAACGTTTGGTGATTAGGAAATCACTTATGAGTTACTGAGAGAGAATGTTGAGAAAGGTGCCAGATCACATGGTACTATAAAATAGAGAAAAAGAAGCAGAAACTCACAGCTCTTCCTGCAAAATATTTGGTGACTGAAGAAAGGTGATAGAGGAAAGTAGCTTGAAAGTAATCAAGATCAGGGTAAGAAATTTCATTTAGAATGAAGAGACATGAATTTACTATTATAGACAAAGGAAAAGGGTCAGTACAGAAGGATAACTAGCCTGTGGATGAAGAGAGGATAGTTGCTCAAAGTCTAAGAGAATGTAGACAATGACAAATCATGGTTTCAGACGTGGATTGTAACGTTAACCAGAGAGAGATGCTTCTTCAAAACAAAAGGAAATAAAGAGTGTGCTTATACATATATGGAAAAAAATGTGGACATGAAGAAGGAAAAAAAATGAGCAGTGATCTGATCCATCAGGACATTCAAATTTTCTGAGTCAGGTAAGAGCATAAGATAAAAATAAGTGTTGGGGAGAGGCAGAGGAAGCAAAAGTGAAGTTAGGGAGTTAAAGGAGTAAAATAATTATGTGACTGAAATATGAAATAGAATAAGATTTATTATCCTTCTTTTTTCTTCCCCTACATTCATAACTCTCTAGAATTAGTCACTATTTATATTTACTTATTCTTTATAGTCATCCAAGTACCATACACACCACACCACTGAATTTCTACATCCATCTACAGTCTTCTTAAGATATACATGCTCATCTTTTTAACTTTTCAGTAACGTATGTCACTGGTAAATACTCCTTCCCTATTTTAGGGGATTTGCTTACTTTTTCCTCCATGACTGTCTCTTAATATCCCTTCTAAATTGGAAGTCAGGCAGTTAGAGAGGCAAGTCAGTCTAGAATTACAGTGCTGAGGAGAGAGTTTAAGATGTATGTAATGATTAACATGCACAGAAAATTATAACCAGGGAGGGATTTTGATATTTGACTTACTCAATTGCAGAGATTACTATAGTATGTAGGTGGCTAAGATGAAAAAAAAAAAAGATTATCTTTGGATGAAGGAAATATGTTCTCGGAGATTTGAGAAGTGCCATCAAGATTATTTGTAAGGTTGGCAAAACTCACAGGTAAAGCTGCTTTTACAAGCAGACCACGATTTACCCTCATTAAAACAGGTATACTGCTCTCTAATTTTACAGTCTAAATTCATACAGGTGTTGGTAGCAGCTGAGCTCCACAACATAACCCAGAAACTCAGGTTGTCTGTATCTTGTCCCTCCACTATCCCTAGGGTGTTTTTACCCTCCAAATAGCCCAAACTCTAATTATGTCCATGAATTTGTCTGCAAGAAGCAGCAAAGAGGAAGCTTACAGCAAGTAGCTGATGGGGAAGCAAAAAGTAGTGCAGCTCTTATGTTCATAGCCCATTGGCCAGAACTTAGTCACATGGCACATGTGAAAAAATGAAAAAAAGAAAATAGTTGCTAGGAAGGTTGAAATATATAGTCTCCTGCTAGTCTCTTGCTAATAAAACTAATGGAATTCTTTATTAAAAAGAAGAAATGAAGACTGCAGATTGGGATTCTAAATAATTGGAATAAAATTGACAATCTCAAATACAAAGCCAAACTACAGGATAAAAAAAAAAAAAAAACCTGTGAAATAGATGTTGAAATCAGTGAGGAAGAAGAATTGAATCTTTCTCTGGCAGGTAGGCCAGTGATTTCAGAACAACAAAGGAAGTTGCCATAAGTAGACTGCATGAAGTTCTGTAAAGATAAGACCTTAGGTTCCACCTTAAGAATATTAAACTCTTTCTGACTTCATGAATTTCAGTGACTTCGAGTGGCAGAAAATTTAAGAGATGCAGTATCTTCGGAGAGTAATGACATATAATCCACACATTCATGGAAGAATGGAGACCTGAAGTCTTTGAAAGGGAGTAAGCAGAGAGGAAAATAGATGTGAACAGGTATAAAGTACAATGGGATGCCAGTTCTGGAGATAAAAAAAATTAAGAAAAATAAGGTAAAGATATCTACTTGTAGCATTCATATTAACGTCCAGGATAGGATAAATAGGATGGAGGCTGAATACATTGACAAAAAGGTAAGTGAAATGATCTCTTCTTATCTAGGGCTTTTTTTATCATTTTTTAAAATCTTAACAGCCCTTTGTAAAAATATTACTATTAGCAAACTTAACTTTTTGAATTTGAATAGGAATGATAAATGGAGAGGAGTCAGAGCAAGATGAATGGACAAATGTGACTCTCCAGTGATCATCCCCGCCTGCAGGAACACCAAATTGAACAACCATCACACAAGAAAGAAACTTCATTAGAACCAAAAATCAGATGAATGATCATAGGACCTGATTTGAAAATCACATCAAGGAATGACGCACGGAAGAGTACAGTTAAGACAGTTGTGAATTGCTGACACCACTACTCTTCCATACCCCAGCAGTAGCGGCATGGCATGGAGAGAGAATCTGTGTGCTTGGGGGAGGGAGAGCAAAGTGACTGTGGGACTTTGCATTAGAACTCAGTGCTGCCCTATCACAGTGGAAAGCAACACAGCAAGATTTGGCAAGTATCCACGGAGGGAGCATTTAGACTAGCCCTAGCCATAAGGGAATTATCCATCCCAGCAATCGGAACCCGAATTCCAGCTAGCTCCACTACTATGGGCTAAAGTACCCTAGGGTCCTAAATAAACACAAAAGGCATTCCACGCCACAGTGAGTGCAATCCCTGGACAAGTTCGGGTGCTATGCTTGGCTTGCAGCCAGTGGATTTGGACTGCATGTGACCCAGTAAGACACCAGCTGGGGCAGCCAAGGGAGTGCTCACATCACCCTCCATCCCCCCAACAGGAAGCAGTGCAGCTCACAGCTCCTGGAGGAGAGAGGAGAGGAAAGAGGACTTTGTGTTGCATCTTGTATATCAGCTCAGCCATAGTAAAATAAAGCACTAGAGTCCTGAAGCCCCTATACTAGGCCCTATCTCCTGGATGACATTGCTAGACCCACCCTGGGCCAAAAGGGAACCCACTGCCCTGAAGGGAAGAACTCAGTCCTGGCAGAATTCACCACCTACTAACTAAAGAGTCTTTGGGCTCTGAATAAGCATCAGAGATAACCAGGCAGTAGCCACCACCAGCCTGGAGTGGTGGCCATGGGGAGAGTCTCTTTTTACTTATGGAAAGGAGAGAAAAAAGTAGGGAGGACTTTGTCTTGCAACCTGGGTTCCAGCTCAGCCTCAGTATAATAAAGCACCAAGAAGATTCCTAAAGCCTCTAATCAAGGTCCTAGCCCCTGGACAGCACTTCTAGACCCATCCAGGGGCAGAAAGGAACCTGTGGCACTGAAAAGAAAGACTCAGTGCTGCCGGGATTCATCACCTGTTTATTAAAGAGTGATCGGACCTTGAATAAACATCAGCAGTAGCCAGGAAATAGTCTCCACAGGCCTTAGGCAAGACACAGTACTATACTGGCTTCAGGTGTGACCCAGTGCAGTCCCAGCAGTGGCAGCCATGGGAGAAATTGCATCCCCCTCCCCACAACTCCAAGCAGCTCAGCATGGAGGGTGTGACTCCATTTGCTTGGGAAGAAGTAAGGAAAGAGAACAAGGGACTCGGCTTGGTAATCCAGGGAGTTCTCCCAGATCATACCCAAAGTCATTAAGGTGGTACCTCTATGAGTCTGCAAGAGTCACAGCATTACTGGGATTGGGGTGCCTCCTAATGCACATATGGCTGCAGGGACCAAAGACTTAGGTCACAATGCAATTCCCTTTTAATACATGCGAAGTTTCCTTAAGACAGACAGGTATAAACAAGCCCAGACTGCAAAGACTAGAATAAATACCTAACTTGTCAATGCCTAGACATTGATGAACATCCAGAAGCATCAAGACTATCCAGGAAAACATGACCTCATCAGTGAACTAAATAAGGCAACAGTGATCAATTCTGGAGTAATAGAGATATGTGAGCTTTCAGACAGATATTTCAAAATGGCTGTTTTGAGGGAGAAGCCCAATAGAATCCAACATAATACAAAGAATTCAGAATCCTATCAAATAAACTTAACAAAGAGATTGAAATGATTAAAAAGAATCAAGCAGAAATTCTAGAGCTGAAAAATTCAACTGACAATCTGAAGAATGCATAAGAGTCTCTCAATAGCAGAATTGATCAAGCAGAAGAAAGAATTGGTGAGCTCAAAGACAGCCTATTTGAAAATACACAGAGAAGTCAAAAGAAAAAAATAATAAAGCCTGCCATCAGAATCTAGAAAATAGTCTCAAGAGGGCAGATCTAAGAGTTATGAGCCCTAAAGAGGAAGTAGAGAAAAAGATAGGGATAGAATGTTTACTCAAAGATATAACAGAGAATTTCTCAAATGTAGAGGAAGATATCAATATTCAAGTACACTAAGATTATAAAACACCAAGCAAATTTAACCCAAATAAGACATTTGGGTTAAATAACCCACCTCAAGACATTTAAAAATCAAACTGCTAAAGATCAAGGATAAAGAAAATCCTAAAAGCAGGAAGAGAAAAAAATAACATATAAGAAGCTCCAGTGTTTCTGGAAACAGATTTCTCAGTGGAAACATTACAGGCCAGGGGAGAGTGGTATGATATATCTAAAGTGATGAAGAAAAAAAATATAATACTTTTATCCTTCAATATTATATCCAGTGGAAATATCCTTCAAAAGTGAAGGAGAAACATAGACATTCCCAGACAAACAAGAGCTGAAGGATTTTTGTCAACACCAGATCTGTCCTATGAGAAATCCTAAAGGAAATTATTCAATCTAAAAGAAAAGGATGTTAATCAGTAGTAAAAAATAATCTGAAGGTACAAAATTCACTAGTAACAGTAAGTCCACAGACGAGGAATATTATAATACAGTAGTTGTGGTGTGTAAACTACTCACATCTTGAGTAGGAGGACTAAAAGGTGAATTCATCAAAAATAATAGCTATATCAGTGTTTTAAGACATAGACGTATAATAAGATACAAATAGAAACAGCAAAATGTTTAAAAGAGGGATTATAAAGTGTCAAGTTTTATTAGTTTTTACTTTTCTTGTTTGTTTTTGCAGAGTTAAGTTGTCATCAGTTTAAAATAATGGATTATGTTATTTGCAAGCCTCACGGTAACCTCAAATCAAAGCCTACAAGAGACACACACAAAAATATAGAGCAAGAAATTAAAATACACAAAGGAAATCACTTTCACAAAAAGAAAACAGGAAGAAAGGAAGTAAAAAAGAGAAATCCACAAAACAACCACAAAACAAATTAAAAATGGCAGTAGTAAGTCCTTATCTATCAATAACAACATTGACTGGAAATAAACTAAACTCTCCAATCAAAAGACATTGAGTAGCTGAATGGGTTAAAAAACAAGACCTAATGATCTGTTGCCTACACAAAACATACTTTACCTGTAAAGATATACATAGACTGAAAATAAAGGGATGAAAATAGATATTTTGTGAAAATGGAAACTATAAAAGAGCATGAATAGTTAGATACAATAGATTTCAAGACAAAAACTATAAAAAGACAAAGTCATTATATAATGACAAGGGTTCAATTTAGCAAAAGGATGTGACAATTATAAATATATATACACCCAATACTGTAGCACTCATATATATGAAGCAGATATTATTAGAGCCAAAGGGAGAGATAGGTCCCCATATAATAATAGTTGGAGACTTCAACACCCCACTTTCAGTATTGGATAAATCATCCAGGTAGAAAATCAACAGAGAAACATTAGACCTAATCTGCACTACAGACCAAATGGACCTCATAAATATTTACAGAATATTTAATCCAATGGCTGTAGAATACATACTACTCTTCTCAGCACAGGGATCATTCTGAAGGGTAGACCATATGTTAGACCACAAAATAAGTCTTTAAAAATAATAAAAAATTGACATCAAGTATCTTCTTTGACCACAATGGAATAAAAATAGAAATTAATAGCAGGAACTTTGGAAATGATACAAATACATAGGTATTAAACAATATGCTTATTAATGACCAATGGGTCAATGAAGAAATTAAGAAGGAAATTTAAAAAAATGCTTGAAACAAAGGAAAATGGAAATGCAACATACCAAAACCTCTGGGATACAGCAAAAGCAGTACTAAGAGGAAAGTTAATAGCAATAAGTCCCTACATCAAAACATAGAAAAACTTCAAATAAACAATTATGCATCTTAACTAGAAAAGCAAGAGCAGACCAAACCCAAAATTAATAGAAGAGACATAATAAAGATCAGAGCAGAAATAAACAAAATTGAAACAACAAAGATATATACATAAAAGATCAAGGGAATAAAAAGAAGTGTTTTGGGGGTTTTGTTTTGTTTTTTGTTTCCGAGACAGGGTCTCAGTTCAGTTGCCCAGGCTGCAGTGCAGTGGCACAATCTTGGCTCACTGCAGCCTCAGTATTCCCAGCTCAGATGATTCTTACACCTCAGCCTCTGAATAGCTGGGACTACAGGCGTGCACTACGATGCCCAGCTAATTTTTTATATTTTTAGTAGAGACAGGGTTTTGCTATGTTGCCAAGGCTGGTCTTGAACTCCTGGACTCAAGTGATATACCCACCTTGGCCTCCCAAAGTGCTGAGATTACAGGCATGAGCCACCACACTGGCCGGGTTTTTGAAAAGATAAGCAAAATTGACAAACCTTTTGCCAAACTAAGAAAAAAAGAGAGGTGACTCCAAATCAGAGATGAAAAAGGTAACATTACAATTGATACCACAGAAAATCAAAGAATCATATGAAACAAATGAAAATGGAAACTAATATAAACAACTGTATGCCAATAAATTGGAAAACCTAGAACAAATAGATAAATTCCTAGAATACAACCAAGATTGAACCCATGAAGCAATGCAAAACCTGAAGAGACCAATAACAAGTAATGACATCAAAGCTATAATACAAAGTGTCCCAGCAAAGAAAAGCCTGTAACTTGATGGCTTCACTGCTGAATTTTACCAAACATTTAAAGAAAAACTATTAACAATTCTACTTAAACTATTCCCAAAAACGGAAGGGGAGGGAATACTTCTAAACTAATTCACTGAAGCCACTATCACCCTAATGCCAAAACCAAACAAAGACACATCCAATAAAGAAACTGCGGGCCAATATCTCTGATAAATATTCATACAAATATTGTCAAGAAAATATGTGCAAACTAAATATAACAACACATTAAAAAGATCATTCATCATGACCAACTGGGATTCATCCCAGGGATGCAAAGATGGTTCAACATATGCAAATCAATCAATATGATATATCGCATCAACAAACTGAAGGAGTAAAATTATATGATCATTTCGATTGATACTGATAAAGCATTTGATAAAATTCAACATCTTTTCATGATAAAAACCTGAAAAAACTGAGTATAGATGAAACATACCTCAACACAATAAAAGCCATATACAACAGACTCACAGCTAGTATCACACTGGGGAAAAACTGAAAACCTTTCTTCAAATATCTGAGACATGACAAGTTTGTTGTTCACTACTGTTATGCAACATAATACTGGAAGTCCTAGGTAGAGCAATCAGACATAAGAAAGAAATAAAAGGCATCTGAATTGTAAATGAAGAAGTCAAATTATTCTCATTTGCAGATTATATGATTTTTTTTTTTTTTGGAAAAACCTGAAGTCTCCACCAAAACAAACCAACAACAACAACAAAAAAAACAAAAGCAAAACCTATTTTAACCAGTAAGCAAGTTCAATATAGCTGCAGGATACAAAATCAACATACAAAATTCAGTAGCACTTCTGTATGCCAACAGAGAACAATCTGAAAAAGAAATCAAGAAAGCAATTCCATTTACAATAGCTACAAATTAAATACTTATGAATAAATTTAACCAAATAAGTGAAAGATCTCTACAATGAAACCATTAAATATTGATGCAAGAAATTGAGGACAACACAAAAAATGGAAAGATATTCCATGTTCATAGATTGGAAGAATCAATATTGTTAAAATACCCATACTAATCAAAGCAATCTACAGATTCAATGCAATCTCTATCAAAATACCAATGACATTCTTCACAGAAACAGAAAACAAATACTCCTAATTTTTATATGGAACCGCAAAAGATCCAGACTAGCCAAAGTTATCCTGAGAAAAAAGAACAAAACTGGAGGAATCACATTACCTGACTTCAAATTACAATACAGAGTTATAGTAACCAAAACAGCATGGTACTGGCATAGAAACAGACACAAAGACCAATGCAACAGAATAGAGAGTCCAGAAATAAATCAATACATCTACAGTGAACTCATTTCCAACCAGGGCACCAAGAACATACAATAGGGAAAAGACAGTCTCTCCAATAAATGGTGCTGGGAAAACTGGATATCCATATGCAGAGGAATAAAACAAGACTTCTATCTCTTGCTGTATGCAAAAATCAAATAAAAATAGATTAAATACTTAAATCTAAGACCTCAAACTATGAAATTACTACAAAACGACATGGGGGAAACTCTCCAGGACATTGGCATGGACAAATATTTCTTGAGCAATATCCCAAAAGAACCGGCAACCAAAGTAAAAATGGACAAATGGGATCGCATCAAGTTAAAAAGCTTCTGTACAGCAAAAGAAACAATCAATAAAGTGAAGAGACAACTCACAGAATGGGAAAAAATATTTTCAAACTACACATCTGACAAGGGATTAATAAGCACAATATATAAGGAGCTCTAACAACTCTATAGGAAAAAAAACTAATCTGATTTAAAAGGGGGCAAAAGATCCGAATAGATATTCCTCAAAAGAAGACATACAAATGGAAAACAGGCCTATGAAAAGGTGCTCAACGTCATTCATCATCAGAGAAATGCAAATGAAAAGTACAATGAAATATCATCTCATTCCAGTTAAAATGATTTTTATCAAAAAGACAAGCATTATTGAATGCTGGCAATGACATAGAGAAAAAAGAACACTTGTACACTCTTGGTGGGATGATAAAATAGTACAGCTACAATGGAGAACAGTATGGAGGTTCCTAAAAAATCTAAAGATAGAACTAACATATGATCCATTAATCCCACTGCTGGTATATACTCAAAAGAATGAAAATCAGTATACTGAAGAGATATCTGCACTCCAGTGTTTATTGGAGCACTATTCACAATAGCCAAAATTTGAAAGCAACCTAAGTATCCATCAACACAGGAATGAATAAAGAAAATGTGGTGTGATGCATGTTCACACTCATAGGTGGGAACTGAACAATGAGAACACTTGGACACAGGGCAGGGAACATCACACCCCAGGGCCTGTCACGGGGTAGGGTGCAGGGAGAGGGATAGCCTTAGGAGAAATACCTAATGTAAATGACGAGTTAATGGGTGCAGCAAACCAACATGGCACATGTATACCTATGTAACAAACCTGCACATTGTGCACATGTACCCTAGAACTTAAAGTATAATTTAAAAAAAAGAAAAGGAAAAAAAAAAAGAAAAGGGTTAGCAAGATAAAATGTAGGAATCCTAAGGCACTATGACTTTTAGTGCTTCTTAAAAACTCTCAAATTCTGTGCCTGACTTATAAGAAAAATTTGAGTGGAGACCTGAGGACACTGCAAAAGACTAAAGGATGAGAATTGGCTCATTTATTTTTATATTCAGAATTGTCATTTGTTCATAAATACTATAATAATAAAAATTATCAATGTTAAAAAAAATAAAATGTGATATGATATGGTTTGGCTGTGTCTCTACCCAAATCTCATCTTGAATTGTAGCTCCCCCAATTCCCACGTGTTGTTGGAGGGACCCAGTGGGAGATAATTGAATCATGGTGGCAGGTCTTTCCCCTGCTGTTCTCATGACAGTGAGTAAGTCTGAAGAGATCTGATGGCTTTATAAAGGGGAGTTTCCCTGCACAAGCTCTCTTCTCTTGTCTGCCACCATGATTGTGAGGCCTCCCCAGCCATGTGAAACTGTGAGTCCATTAACCACCTTTCTTTTGCAAATTGCCCAGTCTTGGGTATGTCTTTATCAGCAGTGTGAAAATGGACTAATACACGTACATATACACAATGGAGTACTATTCAGTCATAAAAAAGAACGAGATCATTTGCAAGTTTTGAATAGAAATAGAGGACATTATCTTAAGTGAAATAAGCCAGGCACAGAAAGACAAACTCTGCATGCTTTCATTCACTTGTGGGAGCTAAAAATTAAAACAACTGAGCTCATGGAGATATAGATTAGTGGTTACCAGAGGCTGGGAAGGGTAGTACAGGTTGGGGGATTATTAGAAAATGAAGATGGTTTATGAGTAGAGAAATATAGTTAGAATGAGTGAATAAGACCTAGTACTTCTAGTACTTGATAGCACAACAGGGTGACTACAGTCAGCAAGAATTTGTTGTATATTTTAGAGTAACTGAGGGAGTACTATTGGAATGTTTGTAACACAAGGAAATGATGACTGCTTGAGGTGATGGCAACCCCATTTACTTTTATGTGATTTTTGTACATTGTATGCCTGTATCAAAATCTCATCTACTTCATAAATATTTATGCATGGTATATATCTATAAAATTAATAAATTAAAAAAGAAATGATAACTATATTCTAGTTATATGATATCTAAGGGTAACAAATAGGGCAAAATTTTAATTATTGGATGAGTTTATAATACCAATCATCTTGAACTGGACTCTTGGTAAAACCAAATGTACTTAGAAACTGTCATTGCCAACTGCTATCCCTATTTGATGGCTGGACCTTCTCTGTTGGGGACGAGGATGGAGGACAGTGAGGTAGAATGGAGTACAAACATTGCCTGCTTGTTCAGGGAATTTTCCCTGATAAGTTTACAGGTTCTGGTATTGGATTTCTTGCTGATGGTGACAGTGATGTTTGAAGGATTTTAAGCAGGAGGTGACGTGATTTGGTTTTCATTTAAAAGAGTTCACTGTAGTGGCAGAATGAACTGATGGAAATGGGATCAAACTAAAAAGAGGGGGAACACTTAAAAATTATCAGTAGCAAACTAAATACGAGAAGATACAATAGGAATTACTTTGCCATGTAGGCTGGTAGGACATCACTATGAACACTGCTTATCAATATACCATAAATGTAAATAAATACAACTTAACTAAATAATAGGCAACAAAGCATATACTTTATATTTTATAGTGGGTTCAGAAGAATCCAGAATTTTTGAATATTATAGACAGTGACATTATGGGGGTATTTTTTATAAATTCACAGGTTTCTTGAAAGGTCTGCAAGGTTGGTTAACATTTTAATACAACATGGAGAAACGCTGACAGCAGCAATGTGCTCATGAGAATGTATTTAGTCTTATTTCTGTTGGAGAAGCTTCAGTGCTATGCTTTTAGAAATACAGTGCTTTAGTATGTCCCATCAAATTTTGCATCAGAATACTTGAAAAGTCTTATTTCTGCTATTCCGTGACCTCTTGGCTATACACTAATAGATTTCCAATCCACTGAGAGGCAAAACCCTCACAGACACTTTTGAAACATTCAAAGCTATGATTAAATGTGCCTTTACATAAAAAATCAATCTTTTTAAAGGCATTCAAGGGATTTGCTCTGCAAAGCAGAGACTAGCATGCTAGCCAGGCTCTCCTAGACTTCTAAAATATCTATCTTTTCCTTCTGCAGGAAGTCATTGTTCCAGGGACTGTTTATAGAGGCAGATTTTCAAAGGCCTCCAAACTCCAATTAAGATCATTTTGGCTTAAGAACACCCTCTCATTTATTACAGGATTTTCTTTAAGTACACAAAAGTTGCATGCTGTAAGTGTAACAATCATCAATTAGTAGATTTGCCTTTTTTTTTTGTACTTTGGTTAGCTAAACAGCACAGTCTTTACTTTTAGAAACGTCCAAGTAATAATTCACAGATTTATCTTTTTCAAGTCACTGTGGAACGTCCATAAAGTAAATAATATTTTGCTTTCCAGAATTGTCATAATAAAAGTAGATTTAGCTAGCATTTAATGAGTTCTTCATATACATAAGGTCTTTTGTCAACACAGATAATTGAATTTTTTTTTTTTGTAGTGCTAATGGTTTCCTATGCTTGTTAACCTCAATTCTTCTAAAAGATATATACGTTTCTTGGGGACAAGGATCCCATCTACTCCTTTGCTTAATTTCCATACTACATTTAGCAGAGTTCTAGCGATTAGTAGGTAATAATAAACACTAACAATAAGCCTTTAATACTAGAAGAAGTCCAATTTCATGTTTAAAAAGTTTTTTATTTGCAAATAATACATGGAATTATTTGCAAATAAAATAATTTGTTGCAATTGTATTGCAATAAATTATTGCAATACAATTGCAATGATGAAAACCTATTCAATTCAATACACGGAACAGTAGGTTGAAACTGACAAGTTCTGTCATCATTGATCTGACACTTTCCGATCATTCACAGATTTTTGTTGTACAACTACAATATTGAAGCAGTCAATGAAACTTTTTGTCAATTGTCCTAATTGTCATATTGTCATATACACCTCTTACAGGTGTATTAATGTCATTCTGTTATAATAGTTTCAGTGGTATCATTCTGTTACATCCTAAACTTTCATTTGTGCCTGCTCCTTCATTAAATATTGAGTCTGTATGCAGTTTCCCACTACAACTTCATTATGTTCCAATATAATTATTTTGTTAATTTGCTAAGAAGCCATATAAGTGAACTTAAATTAATGAAAGTGGTCTGCACATGATCACAGATTACTTGGCAGAAGATGGCACAACACAAGCCAAAGGAAGACATAGATCATTTTTCTGTTTGTAAGAAGTAGGCCCTCAAAACCACTGGCAGAGGTTCAATAGGAACGTAGAGTAGAAACCCAGGAGAAAGTGATAGTGGGCTCACATCCCCAACAGAATGATCCAGAATCTAAAACTGGAACCAAATCTGGCCCATCTTCTGTCTCAAAATCTCCCATCTTCCCCAGATAGGTGGACATCCTTATCATGCATCTTGTTGTCCAAGCCATCAATATGATTTCTACTGCTTTCTCACAGCCCACAGTTAACACATACTGTTGATTCTATTTTCTTGATATCTTTTAAATTACTCTAATTCTTTTCATCCCTAGGGACACCATACATATTGTCTGTTATTATCATTTTTCTGGTATACTAAAAAGACTCTTAACTCATTTTCCTGCCTCTAGGCTTGCTTACATTCCCACATTGCCTCTACCATTTACTTTCCAAATTCATGATCATGTTCATTTTGGGCTAAATATCATTCACAGGTTCCCCATAGCTTCCAGATAAGATCAAAATTTCCTAGAAGGATATTCACATTCATTTACAATCTAATTTATGGACCTTTCCAATCTCATCTCTCACCCTTGCCTTGCTTACGTTGTCTGTTCCAATGATCATCTACTTGCACTTTGAGTGTTGGGCCACCCTGTGGCTCCTGGCTGCCTTAACCACCCTTCCAATCCATCTTCTTTATCTGGACTTCTACTTAAAAAGCTCCCATTCATTTTTTATGTTTTATTTTTTCCAGGCTTTATGCTATCTAAAGAACACTCTGTTGCCATAACTTCTGTTTCATTTTGTCTACAATAAAGTTTGGAATCCTAAATTTCAAAGAAAAATTAGATTAGAAAAACAGTAAATAAAATGGGCATTGAATTGTGTTAGGGTCAAGAGGAAACAAAAATGCAAGTTCTGCTCCTTGGAAGTGTCAAAGGGAGGGAAATTTATGAAACAAAGATAGTGTCAGTGCCATGTGTTAAACAGTGCTTCACTCTTTTCAATCAAGCATAATAATATTCAAACTGGAAACAGTAGACTAAGAAAGAGTAAAAAGTCAAAATAGGTGTAGTGGGTTTCTATTACTGCTATAACAAATTACAGCAGATTGTGTTAAAGCAATACAAATTTATTATTTAAATTCTGGAGGTCAGAAGTCTAAAAATGGATCTCGTTGGGCTAAATCAAGATGTCAACTGGGCCATCTTTCTTTCTGAAGGCTCTAAGGGATACTGCATTTTCTTGCCTTTTTCACCTTCTTGAGGCTGCTTACATTCCTTGGCTCATGTCCTCCTACTATATCTTCAAAACCAGTAATGACTAGTCTCTCTCACATAGAATCACACTGACATTCACTCTTCTCTCATCTTCCACATTTCAAAGCCACTTGTAATTACATTTGGCCCGTGGAAGTATCCAGGAAAATCTCCCTATTTTAAAGTCAGTTGATTAGAAACCTTAGTTCGATCTACAAACTTAATTCCTCTTTGCTGTGTAACCGAATATACAAGTTCCTGGGATTAAGATGTAGACATCTTGGAGGTGGGGGCATTATTCTAGCTACCACAATAGATAATATCATAAAATCTTCAAAGGAAGCTGGGTTTGTATAGAGTGAAGTCTTATGATTACATATGTGCATTTTGTAGCCAGAAAAACCTGGGTTTAAATCCTAACTCTCCTCACCAAAAATTAAAAATAAAATAAAAATTAAAAAATCCCTATATAGAAGTCTCCTAATATTGAAACCTGAGAAAACTAGGGCTTTAATCTGTCAGGGTTATTGGGATACAAGTTTTTCAAGCATATGATCTCTTCTCACAACGACTATGCTGTAAGACGGAATAATAATGGAGTTGTTTTAAAGATTATGTGACTCAAAGTGTTAAGTATAAAACATATAGAATGGCCTTTAACATGTTCGAAGAGCTCGATAATGATAATTGTGGGTATTTTATGCCTCAGTGAATGGTAGTGGTTATTATGAAGCTACAAGAAAAGTCATTCACTTTAAACATACCAGAAATTTGAGTTAGATACAATAGGAAAATATTACAATTATTTTTAGGTAAGAAACCACCCTTATTTAGAAAAACATCTAGATGGGTGCTTTTAGTATTATGAAAGCCAAAGTATTCTGAATGTAATCCAGGAGAATAGAATGCTCTGAATAATACAGAAATACATCTAAGAGTTTCCTTCAGGCAACTGGAATAGGAGGAGGTTTTTGTGAAGATGAACAAGACCCTGGGAGTAGAGAGGGCTCACCTATCATGCAAAGAACAGAGGCCAGATAAGAATATGGGTCAGTGATATATCCTTCAACACAGAGAAAATAAGAAAACAAATCCTGATAATGAAAACGATAAGTTGTTCTGTGTTCAGTGCTGTGCTATGCACCCCTCTGTTATCAAATTTTTAATCCTAATTATTTTAAATTCTAAAATGTTAGTAGAAGGAGACTCCCATCAACAATCTTATTTTAGCGGTGTTATGGGGAATCATGTATAAGAAGTCAGTGTTCAGCTCAGGACAAACAGCTCAGTTTTCAATAACGCATGTTCAGATCAGGCAACATAGAGAAGCAGAAGCCAGATGGGGAATGATTTAGCAGAAATATGAGACAAATTTCTTTCTCTCCAAATACACTAAAAGAAGGGGAATGGTGTGTTTGTTCATGTGTTTGTTTTTGAAGGGGGATAAGGCAGAGGGAGTTGTTGATTCCTGACCTCGCATGTATTCTGTTACAGAGATTAGACCTATCTAGAGAGTAGGTGTTATTATTTTAAATGATTCATCTTATGATGATGATGATGATGATGACTGCTTTCATTTTTATCATTTCCAGATGATCTACCTTATTTTGGAATTAAGAAACACTTGAAGATTATTCTCAGAAATGCCATAAGGGATATTTAAAAATCTTGGAGCACACAAGAAGTACAAGAGGAATGAAAATGTCATGTCTTAATTTTCCAAAAAAGAGAATATTTTAGTTTTTAGTATATAAAGGCAGATTAACAAACCTTCACACAAATCTAAATTTTATTACTAAATTAATTGATTACACTTTGTGTTTACTAGGTCACAGGGAATTTCAGTGGGTTTACTCTGCAAAAGATTTCATGTGAAATACATTTTTCTATTCTGAAAGGTTTTTCAAGATTTTCAAGGCAACTAAGAAGTTTTCTAAAAAGACAGTGTTTGTAATACAGGTAAGATACAGTAGAAAAAGTTTCTTCCAAAGCGTAAACTTTTCCCACATAATAAATTTGTGTTTTGGGATGTTACCTGGATCTCTTCAGATCATTAAGTTATAAACATAGTAATATAACAAGTTTTCTAGAGGTCTAAAAAGTTTAACATGTGGTATAAAAATACCTACTGTAGCTAAGATGCAGTATTTCCCAGTCGGTTTGAATACATCTTGTTTCCTATGATAGAAATGTTGGAGCATTCTTTAGTTCTAAGATCTACTATACATGTGGAACTTAGCTGATAATACTTTAAATCATATTGCACAACTGCCGAGTATTTAGGAGAGTAGTAAACATATTTCTGATTAAATCAAAAGTCAGTTAAATCAAGACCTAATTAAATTCCAATTAAAGAAAAAACCTTTGAAATAAATGTATATAAATACATTTACTGGAGCAACTTTAAGATACTCTCAGTCATCTTTGCCTACTGGTATTCATGCTTTTGTATAATCTCCTTCACTTAAGTGTAACAGGGCTGTGACTTGCTTCAATCCAATAGACTATAGCAAAGGTGATGAACTGTCACTTCCATAATTAAGTTAAATAAGATTATAACATCTGTTCAGCTAAGGGACTTTTTCCCTTGCTAGCTTTCATAAAGCAAATGGCCATGTTAGGGAAGTCCACACAGCAAGAAATTGAGAGTGACCTTCAGATAAAAGCCGGCAAGAAACTGAAGCCCTCAGCTTAACAATCCACGAAAAGTGAATGCTGCCAATGACTTCATGAATTTGAAAGTAGATCCTTCCCAAGTTTAGCTTTTACATGAGACCCCGTCCCTGGCTGAACAATTTGATTGTGGCCTTGTACAGAACTCAGCCAAGCTATGTCTGGATCTCTAACCCACACAAAAAGTAAGATAATATACATTTTAAATATTCGACTATTATTTTGAGACAATTATTAATTTTCATGCAGTTGTAAGAAGTACTACGAAGAGATATCCTGTATGCTTTAACCAGGTTTCTGTAATGGAAACATGTTATGAGACTGGAGTATAAACTATCAACCAAGATATTGACATTGACACAATAAAGATACAAAAAAATATTCCATCATCACAGGATCCTCATGTTGCCCTTTTACAGGCACACTCACTTCCCTCCCTCCCTCATCCCCTTCTTAATCTTTGGCAGCCACTGATATGTTCTCCACTTCTGTAACTTTGTCATTTCAAGAATCTTTTATAAATAAAATTAGTATTTAACCTTTTTGATTTTTTTTCACTCAGTGTAATTCTCTAGGGATTCATCCAGGTAGTTTCATGTCACAGTGGTTTACTTCATGATATGAGAAAAACCACAGATTGTTTAACCCTTCACCTTTGAAGGGCATGTAGATTTGTTTCCAGTTTTCGATTATTACCAATAAAGGGACCATAAACATTTAGTACGGATTTTAGTGGACATAAGTTTTCATTTTTCTGGAATAAATGCCCAGGAGTGCAATCACTGGGTTGTATGGTAATGGCATGTTTAGCTTTTTAAATAAATTGCCAAACTGTTTTCCAATGTGGGTGTGCCATTTTACTTCCCCACCAGCAATGAATGAATCATTCTGTTTCTCTGCACCTCCACCAGCAATTGGTGTTGCGTGTATATATGTATATATACTTACACACACATACACATATATTTTACATATAATGTATGTTTGTGTCTATATGTGTGTATATGAGATATATGAACACATATGTAAAATTCTATATATATATTATACATACACACATACACAAAGGGTCTCACTCTGCCATCTAGGCTTGAGTGCAGGGACCCTATTATAGCTCACTGTAACCTGGAACCCTTGGGCTCAAGTGATCCTTACACCTCAGTCTCAGCTCCCGCCCCAGAGTAGCTAGGACCATAGGCATGTGCCAGTAAACCTGGTTAAGTTTCAAAAATTTCTGGAGAGATGGAACTTGCCCAGGCTGTTCTCAAACTCCTGGGCTCAAGCAGTCTGCCTGCTGTGGCCTCCCAATGTGCTGGGATTACAGGCAACAGCCCACCTCACCTGACCTGGGAATTCTGATAGGTGTGTAGTGATATCTCATTTCAGTTTCATTTTCTGTTATATTGAACATCTTGACATGTGATCACTTGCCATCTATATTTCTACTTCGACAAAATGTCTCTATTTCCATTTTTAAACTGCCCATTGCACATTTTCTCATCAGTTTGCTTATTTTTTCTAATGTTGATCGTTCCTTATATGTTCTACATACTATTTATTTGTCAGATATTTGGTTTGCCAATATTTTCTCCTACTTTGTAGCTTGGATTTTGATCTTTTTAACAGGATCTTTCCCAGAGCAATAGTTGTTAATTTTGATAAAATCCAACTTATTATTTTTTTAATTTTCTGGATTGTGCTTTTAATGTTAACTTTAGGAATTATTTTCCTAACCTTATATCCTGGAGATAATCTTATAAGTTTATTTATCTAAATTATATAGTTTTATGTTTTACATGTAAGTCCATGATTCATTTTGAATTAGTCCTGCAAATGACAAGAGACTTAGGTTGTGGTTAGTGTTTTGCTTGTGGATATCCAATTTCTCTAGTGCCATTTGTTAAAGAGGCTGTTTTATCTCTATTTAATTGCTTTTGCACCTTTTTCAAAAATAAGTTGGGCATATTTGTATCCGTTTTTTCTTGGTTCTCTATTCACTTCCATTGATTTATGTCTATTCCCTCCACCCAAAGTCTTGTTTATTTCTCTCTACTTTTCAGAGTCAACTCATATTTGTTTTATTTATAATATTCAGTGATTCTACTTTTACTTAGCAGGAGAAACAGCAAAACACACATTGATTCCATCTTCCTATAAAAATGGAAGTCTCCAATATATGTTATTTTAAACTTAGTTTGTAGTAATATTGTTATGTAACAATAAATAATACAACATATAAATAATAGTATGTCTCCAGTAAGCACCAGGAGGTAAGTATTTATCCCAGGGTATCATCATAATCATTAAATTAGGTAATGTTTAATAAATTATCTAATACATTAACAATACCATGCAAATTATACCTATTTGCATAGTGGTAGAGGATAAATGGATGAGGATTCAAACCCCTACTTCTCCAACTATGAAAAGTATCCACTTGTATTAGCCTGTTCTTGCATTGCTATAAAGAACTAGCTGAGACTGGGTAATTTTTAAGGAAAAGAGGTTTAATTGACTCACTGTTCCACAGGCTCTATAGAAAGCATCGTTGTGGAGGCCTCAGGAAACTTACAATCATGGCAGAAGGCGAAGGGAAGCAGGCACATCTTACGTGGCTGGAGAAGGAGGAAGAGAGAGCAGAGGAAGGTGCTACACATTTTTAAACAACCGGATCTCATGAGAACTCACTCACTATCACAAGAACAGCAGGGAAATCCACCCCCATGATTCTATCACCTCCCACTAGCCCTCTCCTCCTTCAACACTGGGGATTACAACTCCACATAAGGTTTGGGCAGGGACACACATCCAAACCATATCATCACTAATTAATGTTTCTGAAAGCTAGAGTTACATTACAACCACCTGAGGAGCTTTTAGAAAATTACAGATCCCTGAGCTTCCATCTAGATTGATTAAATAAAAATATCTGGGCTTGAATTCCTCGAGTTTGCATTTTTTAAACTTTGTCAGTGATTCTGATGGTCAATGAGTTTTGAGAACCACCGCTCTAAACCTTTCTGAAATTTCTTCTTGTTCTATAAAGTGAGGATAATAATATGATAAGGATATCTCTGTCACAATTTGATGTAAGACATATAAATAACTTAACCTAAATCAGGTTCTCAGCACTGTATCAGCTTATAGAAGTAGAACGAGTATGCATTTTGCAAATGAGTTCCTAATCTAGCTGCAGTATTTCCTAGGTCTGTCACAGTCAAGTCATAGGACTTTGGAGATTCAGTTTCCTCATTTCTCATAGGACCTTGGAGCCTCAGTTTTTCTCCTAGTACTTAACTCTTGGAGCTGGTGTAAGGATAAAATTAGATAATGTGTATATACATATTTCACACATTGCAGATGCATTTGTTCTCGTTCTTTCTTCCCAAAACATCCCTGCAAAACACAAATGTAATCATCCTTACCATAATATAAAGTTTAATGTGGAGCTTTAAATTTTAGGAAGGGAAAAAACACCTTCCCTTTATCCCATCTGGATGCTACCAATAGTTCTATGACTTCTTCCAGGGTTGGCCAGTGTTATAGTACGGTTTGTAGAGGTTTCACCATTGAGGAAAAAGTAGGCTTGTCTTTCAGTCTTCAATGCTCAGACTTTGCTTCTTCCTTCTTCTATACTACATATTTTATTCTCTTTTCCAAGATAGTACACCCTTGTTACAAGAGTTACTGATTTCAATGGACAAGATGTCATCCTCAAGATGTCTCTTCTAACATTCTAGAATTGTTACACATTTAAAAGAGTTCTAGTGCATCTGAAAGGTTGGGAATGTCTTCCCTAAAGTAGTAGCAGCCTCATTAATTTCTGGGATATGCAATAAAGGAATTCTGAGACATATCTCTGTATTATCTGTCCTTTCTTTTAATCTGATGATATTTGTTCAGAATCTACTCAAGTGGGTTAGAACATGTGAAACAGACTTGTGGGGACTGAAAGATACAATGCAAACCCCAGAAGTGCCCTGGTTCAGCCAAACGCATACACACATACATACAAACACACAGAGACACACACATCAGAACTCAAACTCAGCATTTTGACTTTGACTTAGTAAACAAAATGGTTACCCATATTGTCATCAATCTTAAAGTTTGGTGGATTGCAGCAAATCAACAATTTTTGGAACTTTACAAAATTATCATCTTCCTGATATAATTAATTAAACTGCAAAATTTTAGTTGATCTGCTGTTCTCTTTAGATCTGGTGTCTGTGTACTGTAAGCATTATTAGATTGTACAGTCTAATATTTGAAATTACACTGTTACACCAAAATAGAAGTTGAAATGAACGATTCATTACAAAAGCTCTAAAGACAAAACTACTCAGTCTCCAATAAATGGACAATAAAAAATGACAAAATATAATTCCCAAAGGAAAACAATTATATTTTCTACTCATGAGTATCAATAGAATGATGTCATATTGCGAAAGTAGGGTAATAAAATGTCTTATTTTAATAAGCTACTGCCAAGGAATTTCAGGAAAAGAATATTTTGCTACAACAGAACTGAGTCGTCCATAAGTAGAGATTATATTTTCTAAACAG
Organism: Homo sapiens; assembly: GCF_000001405.40. NCBI lineage: Eukaryota > Metazoa > Chordata > Mammalia > Primates > Hominidae > Homo > Homo sapiens. The sequence continues at coordinate 78,421,240 of NC_000012.12, read as the reverse complement.
ATTCTTTTGGTTAGGGTCTGGGTTTAATTTTTGGCCAGCTTTCAAATGCTTTCTTACAAAAGAATTAATTTTAAGTGAATCATGATTTTCTTTTCACTCTCAGAAGCAGTTTTGTGGGATTGGGGTTGAAGAAGCTGAAAATAGATGGATCAGATACTAACAAAAGCATGCAGCAGGAGGACAAAGACGACTAGCATTAAGAGCAGCGATTTGGGGTTCCTGGATTTTTGACTTATTTACCATCAAAAAGCCTAAACCTATTCATTTCCTTGAATCTAAACAGAAACAAAATGGGCTCTCAACTATTCTAATCTAAACTAAGCTCCTATTTTCCTACTGGAAAGTACTATTAACTTTCCCCTGAGAAAGATAGGTTATATGAGAGCCGAATAAATAAGGCTCTATTTAAAGACCCTAAGAGTGCATACAATGAACAGAAAAATCAATGTGAGCCCCTTTGACAGCTGAAATTAGATGTCTCATAATGTTTTGCCAGCTTCATAGAGCATTGTATATTTTCAAGCTACCCTCTATGCCTTTGTGCTCCTTTATCTTTATTTGCCTCTCTCGTTAAAAATACAATTTTGCCCTTTTGCTAACATTTCACGGGCTTAGGGACTTACTTTTAAGACCTGGCCACAAAGCTTTGAATTGGTGGCACAGGCATTGCTAACAGCAAATTAACCTGGAAGAATATGGGCTTTGGGTTTATTCAATAGCACATTACCAATAATTTTTATTTTGAAGTGTTGCCTTATTTTCCTTTCATGTCACATGGCACCTAAGCAAAAAATGTACAAAGGCTGCAGAGAGTAGCCTGGAAGAGACAAATGCTTTGTGATTTTACAGTGTCAGTGATATTCTCATGTCTAAAGATACGGAAGTGAAATGTGAGGCACAGGTTTTTCAAGTTAGGAGAGGGAGATAGAAAACTATTTAGCTAGATAGTTCAAAATCAGGTTTCTTAGGGACAAAGGAAAACTACAGGAGGAAAGCAATTCATTGAACAGATGGACAAAGAAATATGTTATTTAATAAAATATCTTAAATACCAGGGGTACTTTGCTAAACTTTCCATACCTTACCCTGAAAACTGAGTTTATTTTTAAGCAAAAAGAATTAATAAAAGATTCATTTCTGGCAATATTTATTCTATCACAAAATGTTACAGCCTATAATAGCCTTTGAAGCCCTATCCTGACCACTCATTTAAAATCCAGTGTCTTGCTCCAACACAGCATTCTGATTCTCCTTAACTTACTCTACATTTTTTTTGTGCCTTCTAACATAACTATAAAATGTACTTATTTTTATATACTTTTTGTTTATCACAGATCTCCTTCTACTAAAATACAAAATCTATGAGGTCAAAGGCCTTGGTTTTACTTACTGATATATCCCATGAGTGTAGAATAATGCTTAACACAATATATTTGGAGAATGAAGGGATAAATTAATGAAGAGTAACATGATACACATTAACGGGGATCTTTTTTCCTGATGTATACAAATCAACCCACTGGGGGCTGACGTCATTGTTAGTATCGGCTATGACATTTTCTCTCTGTATTTGCTATTTGCCATAATTTACTTTTTCTGCCTTCATTTTACAAATGTAAATTCTATGGTATAAAAAATATTGCCCTTTCTCCCAGTTTCAAGGGTATTAAGCAATAAAGCCAGAAATAGACTTAGGACTGTAGAGCATTATAGGTAAACTTTCTTGTCGCAACATCATAAATAAATATGTCCAGGAGATCACCCACAACTCAACAAATTAAAATAAAGAACATAAGAAGAAAAATGAAAAAAAAGATTATATCATTTTGCATTGGTTTAATGGACCAGCAGAATCAAATATGAAAATGCTGAAAAAATTTAGAGAAGAAACCCGACAGCTCTAGAGAGAAAGATTGTACCTCATTACTAAAGTTCTAAACTTCAATAGAGAGGAATGACAGATTTCTGTTTTAAAAAATGATTCTCTGTGACATTTCAGTGAGTTGTCAAATCTATAACTTCCCTTTTGTGAACTGCTGCTGGAGGACAGATGCCTTTCCTGTGGGGGTTACACCTCTGTGAGTGGTTAAAAAGAGAAGGACGAGCTTCCTGCACACGGCACCACTATTCACTGAAGAAGGTTATTTTTGTGCTAAATCATCTGCACCAAACCATATGGTTGGAAGAAAATAGACTGCTAGCCAATATATAGCATCTCCAGAGGGCCTAGACTGGCATAAGATGCCTGCTGATTTGTTTGCTACTTGAATAGATGCCTTCCTTTCCTTGGCTCAATGAAGAAAATTGTGACTTGGGGCAAATAATTCCACCAAAAAATAGAATGGAAAAGAATGTCACCAAGTAAGAAATACCTCCCAGTATTTTTATATCTATGTTCATATTTTATTAAAACTTCTATGTGTTATTCAGTGCTATTTGCTGACCGTTATATTCCTTTAACAAAGAAATTATATGAGTTTCTCTCAATCCATCATAATACATGTTATGGTCTGAATTGTGTCCCAATCTCCTTAACCCAAAATTGATGTGTTGAAGACCTAATCCTCAGTACTTCAGAATGTAACTGTATTTGAAGATAAGGTCTTTAAAGAGATAGTTAAATTAAAATGAGGTCATTGTGATGGAGCTTAATTCAGTGTGACTGATATCCTTATATGAAGAGGAAATTTAAGCCCAGACATATAAATAAAGAAGACGAATATGAAGACATAGGGAGATGACAGCCATTTACAAATAGGCCAGGTACAAATTTCTCCTTCACGGCCTTGAGAAGGAACCCTGCTGACACATTGTCTTTGGACTTCTAGCCTCCAGAACTATGAGAAAATAAATTTCTGGCCTCTGGCTTCTATGCCACAGTCCTAGCAAACTAAAACAAAACACACAAATCCAAAAACTGTCTCTTCTGGATTAATGAGAATAACCAGCAAACTGACGGAGGGCAGGTGATTTCTGCTTCTATAGAAATGGCAAGAACCAAAGAGCAGTACCTTTGTAGAAAAACATCACCATTGTGATTTAAAAAGCAAAACATTAAGATTACATGAATTTCAAAGGAATAATAATTACCAATTAATGTTTGCAACATAATTTTGCCAATACTCTTTTGTTCAATTCTGACAATGCTGTGAAGTGGGTATGTAGATATCAATCTGCAAATTGACTTGTCCAATTTACACAGCTGGGATTTGAACTCAGATCTCCTACCTTTAAATCCTATTCTATCACAATGAAACCTCTCTGCTCTGATTTCAACTGGGTTTAATTTCTTTTGTGTTAATTGCCTTTAATGGAAGAAGTTTTCTCTTTCTCTTTTCTTTTTAACCTAAAGACCACGTTACTCAGTTACTCATAAGCAATAGAAATACTGGCAATTGGTGGTGTATTCAGGTTTTCTTATTGCCAATAATTTAAGATTATGAATTATTTTTTCTTATAATGACAATTCATTCAGCTTTTCAAAACAATGAAATCATTTAGTCTCGTGAACTCGTAATCTGTGTCTTAAAATTGAATGGTAAAATGTTATTCACTATGTATGTGTGAAAGATGTTATATCATTATGTATTACCCAAGATGTAAAACAAGAATGTCTCAATTATTTAAGAACACAATTACTCTCAGCATAATTATTGCTACATTCATTGTTATGAGGCCACAAATGATTCATTTAAATTGTTGTAATTTTCTATGTTGTTTTATAATGAGAAATAATGTTTAGGATGAGGGAACTGTAAATTTCTAACATCAAGTAGTCAATTTTATCAAGTATACTTTATAAGTCAAGAAAACAGAGATATGTTTTCATTAAATTTTACGCCAAAAACATTGAAATAAATAACACGTTGTGTTTTTATATCTCATTTATTACTTTCTACTTTCACTGAAGTTTTGTCTGTGTATGTCTTATATTTTACTGATTTATTAAATCTCTGAAATCAAGATTCATATCTGCTTCATCTTTGCAACTTCTATTTTGTTTGTAGTACTTGCTCAATAAATATTTAATGAACATCAAAATAGTTTTCCATGTATCACAGTTATTAAAAATATGAATTAAATAAGAATAATCCACTTTTTTTGTATCAAAGAAAACTGGGGCATCAAAATAAGAGTATTTATACCATAGTCAGATTTTAAACAAAGTGTTAACAACAGATGGTAGTGTTCTTTCATCTGTGTTAAACAGATTTTTTCATATTAACTTATGAATGGTGTTCATCAAATTTCTATAGCATAAGAAAAGTTTTCTTCTTTAAAATTTCGGCATTTAATCTGTGGCTTAAGAAACTAAAGTCCATTAGTCTAGCTTATTTATGCCATCATCTTGGCGCATTGGACTCCCCTGGGATATTTGTAAAGTCACAATTCTTTCCTGCTGTTTCAATTAACGCTCTAGAACACTCATTATCTTCAGTAGAAACTATCTTTGAAACTGTAACATGCTTCAGCTGGAAATATGTTATTTGATTGTTCAGAGTTAAAAGGCTTAGGGTTTTTATTAAGGGACTCACATGGGGACGAACATTACAAGTAGACGAAGACCTTGGCCAAGACATTCAGAGAAACTGATCACCAAGTCCCTCCCGCTGCTTAGCAAAATAACCAAGTCCATAATTAGGGCATAGCTAAGGTTAAAATGCTAGGAACATACTTTTCCAGCTCTCTAAATGAGACAGCCTTTGCTTTCCAAATCATCTACCTCATCAGCTGGGGTTACGAGACCTGCTTTCTCACTCTGCCTACCCTTTAGTTGAGAAAGTAAAAACAACTCTTTAATCTTTCCCCATTTGACTACATGGCTCCAGCCACCAGTCAACAAGGTTTATTGAGCCCCTTTTCTATGGAGATTCTGGGTGGCCATGCGGTATATTAGCACACACACCCAAAAAAAGGGAAAAATTATGTTTGCCTTTGAAGAGCTCCAAATATGAGAAATCCAGGAAAGATGTTAATTCCTGTATCACCCTATTCTTTTATTGGAATGTACAGAGAAAGACACAAAGATCAATGTGAATAAATGCTGCCAAAAATATTTTCTTCTATTGCATTGGGTATACTGCAGTGAGAAAAACACATGGAATAAACTGAGAATCCTCAGCTCACACAAATTGGCCTTATTTTTAGGCAAGTACGCCACGTGAATTTGCAAACGCATTTGCTGAAAGGTGACCTCATTAGGAAAATCAGCAACTACATGCTATAAAGACATAAAATATATGATAAAATGGTTCTATAAATATGCAGCCCTTACTTTTTTAGGCAGAGACTAGTTGACTACAGGTAAAATCAGTGTTTCTCAAAATCTCATCTTCTTTTAAACAAACTAAAATTTTAACATAGAGATTTGTGGGAATTCTGATCAAAATGTTTTATTTCCTGTTAAAAGGTTTGGTTTTTTTGTTTTGTTTGCTTTTTGTCTTCTGATTTTTGCAACCTCATTCCACTAGTGGAAGTGCAGTGTTTTGATAAACGGATAAAGACAATGTATAACAACTCACTGGGAGAAGGAAACCAATTTCTAAAACCATTTTATGATAACCTGAATCTCTCCTAATATTTTTTCTCTTGATGTTCATTATGATTAATAAAGTTTCTCAATGTTCTTGAGATTGATTGGCTTCATCACAGGCAATAAATTTATTCTAACTAAGTTCACTGAGTGCTATCCCCAACATGATTTTTGCTGTCTTATCACCCCTCCCTCCTTCTCGATTTCTCTGTCTCTTTCTCTTTCTGTCTCTCTCATTTCACAAATTATTTAGAGGGAAGGATAAAAAACTAGAATGAAGGTGATTCAGAACTAAGAACTAAGAACTATGAAAGGTAATTTGTCAAATGTTGACCTCTGGAAAGTAGGGACATACTTAGTTTTTGGCTAATTGTTTGATTATGAAATCAGGGTAGTCAGTTCTGAAACAAAAGTTATTTCACAAAAGGAAGCACTTTAATAACCAAAAGAGGGAAAAAAAAAGAGAAAAACTGATATGTTCTGTAGTTGATATTAATAGGTATTTTATTAAAGGCAAGGTGAACTAACTTTATAAAACATACTCTGATGCCTTTTCTGTAAAAAATATGAACCATTTTAGGACATTTTATGCATCTGTAGGCTCAGACACTGACTTAAGTGTTATAAGCAGTTCATTATATTTTTTTGTGAAGAAAAGGGACATTTTATTTCTATCATTTAAATTTCTGTAACATTCATGCTAGACAGCTTATTGTAAGTTTAAAGTACAGAATAACAGTGTGCACATCTTTAGGATGTTAGAGATTTATTTCTGGTCTGCAAATAGGGGATTGACTAGAACCATTCATTAATTCCACAAATATACAGTCAGCTTTTTCTGGGTTTTAGGTATGTACAACGTTGAGGAAAATGTGATCCTTGACCCAAGGAGCTTATAGCCTAAGAGAGAAGTTACAGGACACGTGCATATTCTTATTATTAAATAAAACATTCAAAATCATTAGAGGTTAAAAAGTGCTTTTGAATTTAGAGGAGTAAAAAATATATACATGGAACAGTTATCAAAGGTTCATTAGGATGGGTCTTAATATTAAGTCCTTAATGTTTGGGCAAAAATTAGATGAAATCAATTGAATGAGTTTGGAGGAGTAACAGTAACAAGAGACTAGAAGAATGAGAAGGTAAGTATGGTCCTTGACAGTGAATAATCCCATCTGACTAGAAAATAGAGTACGGGAAAAATGAAGACAGAAAAGGAAGCTTAATAAAAATCTTGTACGTTTCTTGAATGTTGAGCTAAATAATTTGGACTTTATTCCTCAAGTAATTAAGAAGAATGAGAATTAGTATATATTGCATTATTATGCACCTTCTAAAACCAGTTATTTACATAGGCTATGTAATTTAATTTCCTCATCAACCTCATAATGAAAGCAATTTACACACAGGAGTCTGTAAATGGGATTTAAGTGGCTCTTGTTCCAAAGCTCCTTTTTCTACATGACTTCTTTGTGGTCATAAATGACTTTGAGAATTTCATGAATGCTATGGAACTTCTTTCCAAAGAAATGCATATGTACACATATAGAAATGCATATGTACACATATACACAAAATTTCTCTTATAATTTCATGGTATTTATTAATTTCCATTTTCATTCCCTGTTAAAACACTCTTGCTCCACCCAAAGATATCTCTCATAAGGCAATGCATTTCCTTCTGATTCCATGATCCAGTAATATTTCAACATGGGAATATATAAAATAATACTATAGAACTGAGTTTTCAATAAGGCCATTATGTTTCCTATTGTATCAATAAAAAAGGAATGTGTAAATTAAATGATTAAAACAACGTAATAATTTCACCCCAAATTTGAAAGTATTCATCTTATAAAACAAAACAGATTGGTCTAAATCTGAACCAGCTCACATTAATTTGAATTTCTTCAATGTTTTATTAGCTTTTACTTGTCTTAATATTTTTATCTAATGTTTTCCCTTTTTAAAAAATTTGAATATCCTATTTTTACCCATATCTTTCAATTTAAATATAAACATTTTTCTTGGTTGGAAATTTTTGCATTTCAGTTGCTTAGCCATTTTGTCCTTAAGGTCTTAGGGACAAAATGGCTAAATCTGAGTCCTGAATCTCTATTGCTAGCAATGTGAATCTGGACACATTACACACACTGCATTTTATTTAAAACCAGAAAACTCTGTCAGGTTCTTTTCCTGAAAACTGGGAATAATAGTAATTATGCCCTTCCTTAAATGATTATTAAATGTAGAAAATTTCTAAATGATCGAAGTAGTTTGATATCCATTATATCCATTACTATTCAATTCATGACCATTCTTTAAAACCTAGTTGTAACAGCATTAAGTTTGGGAATTTTTTTTTTTTTTTTTTTTTTTTTTTTTTTTAAGACAGAATCTTATTCTGTCACTCAGGCTGGAGTAAAGTGGCATAATCTCGGCTCATGGCAACCTCCACCTCCCAGGTGTAAGTGACTCTCCTGCCTCAGTCTCCCAAGTAGCGGGGACTATAGGTGCACACCACCATGCCTGGCTAATTTTTGTATTTTTAATAGAGACAGGGTCTCACCAGCCTGTTTTGTTGGCCAGGCTGATCTCGAACTCCTGACCTTAGGTGATCCACCTGCCTCGTCCTCTCAAACTGCTAAGGTTACAGGTGTGAGCCACTATGCCCAGCCAAGAAACAACTTTAAAAGGCAAATATTTAAGAATAAGAAAAAGCATAGTTTAAAAGATAAATATATAAATAATAAATGATATAAGTGATATAATAAGAGCTTGATATAAAATGTTAGGAAAACACAGAAGAAGTAATGACTGAGTCCTGGAATAGTGCAATAAAGAGGTAACATTTGAGTGGAACCTTCCAGAAGGGGTTTTCTAGGTTGACTTAGCTGACTATTAAAGTAATTCTCTATGTAAAACAGCAGCTTCCTGTTCTTGTATAACATATTAGCCCATGGAACATGCTTTAGAATATGAACATTACAGAAGCAAGAGAGAAATGCTATATTTTGATTTAAATGCTACTTACTGGGCCATTCATATGGTTGAAAACATGCAATATCTTTTCAGTTACGTTGAGAAGTGCATACATTGCATTTGTTTGAAATTCAGGTATTAAAGTCAGTCATGTAAATGACATTTTAAAAAACAATGAAACGAATGTATTACTTGAGGGGTCAAATATATTTTGTATTGTCAATCAGTTTGAAAATTCTTATGAGTAATAATTACCAACTCTAAACCACACAAATGACATTGTTTCTAAATATGTCACCAAGGATGGGTGTCTCTCCATGTCAATTCCCTCCTTGATATTGCACTTGTGTTCATCAGAGCTTCTTTTAAATAAAATATTTTAGGTTTAGGGGTACATGTATGTGCAGGATTTTTATATAGGTAAACTGCATGTTGTTGGAGTTAGCTGTGCAGATTATTTAGTCACCCAGGTAATAAGGATAATACCCAATAAGTATTTTTTTAATCCACTCCCTCCTCTCACCTTCCACCCTCAAAGTAGGCCCCAGTGTCTGGTAGTTCTCCTCTTTGTGTCCCTGTGTTCTTGTTGTTTAGCTCCCACTTATAAGTAAGAAGATGCAGTATTTGGTTTTCTGTTTCTATATTAGTTTGCTTAGGACAATGGCCTCCAGCTCCACCCATGTTGCTGCAAAGGACATGATCTCATACTCTTTTTTTCCAGGTAAAATTATTTATTTTATTTTTTAACTTTTATTAAGTTCCGAGATACATGAGGTTTGTTACACAGGTAAACTTGTGTCAGGTGGGTTTGTTGTATAGATTGTTTCATCACCCAGGTATTAAGCCTAGTACCCATTAGTTATTTTTCCTGATTTTCTCCCTCTTCCCACACTCCAGTCTCCAGTAGATCTCATTCTTTTTTATGGCTGCATAGTATTCCATGATGTATATGTACCATATTTTCTTTATTCAGTCTACCAGTGATGATCATTTAGATTGATTCCATGTCTTTCCTACTGTGAATGATGCATGATTAACAGACATGCATGTGTCTTTATGGTAGAATGAATTATATTCCTTTGGGTATATACTCAACAATGGGATTGCTGGGTGGAATAGTAATTCTGTTTTAAGTTCTTTGAGAAATCGCATCAGAATGGCCATTGCTAAAAAGTCAAAAAATAACAGATGCCGCAAGGTTGCAGAGAAAAGGGAACACTTACAAACTGCTGGTGGGAGTTTAAGTTAATTCAGCCACTGTGGAAAACGGAGCTGCTTTTCTTGCTCTGCCAGGAATCAGTATAGTCATCTAACATTTACTGAGTCTTTAATCTGTACCAGTTACAATGCTAAGCATTCTGTAATGTTTTACTTTAGTTTTCTCCGATTTTACAGATGAAAAGTCAGATTGAAAGAGATTAAGCAATTTACTCAGAGTCAAGAGCAAATTCTGTTAAAGGACGTAACTGGAATTTGAACAAAGGATGTACAATATATTCACTCGGTGTCCAGGAAATAAATCCTGAGATGCCTACAGGTAAGAGTGAGGCATACATTACACAAAAGATCCAATCCAAGCTCTACATGTTTCTGTGGAAGCCCAAGGTCTCCAGGATTAATAAATAAATAAGCAGCACGACATTCAACGCCATTTTAAGTGGATAGATAATTGTCTATTTAGCAGAGAAAGCCAACACACCTCTACTAGTTAGAGTCAAGGATTATCAGATAGTAAGCTGTGGGTTTCCTATGTGTAGGTTATTGAGCTTCAACTGTTAGTGCAGGGCCAGGGGTCCAGGCAGTTCAGAGGAGCATCAAGTCTCTTCCACCTGGAACTTTTATCCTTTACTCACCCGAAAAGTGACATCATCACCATGCTAACAAATTAATGTGTGCTGTAACTGCCAGCTACCTGAATACAACTGAATGGCTCTTATCAATGTGCAATTTTTATCAAAGTAACAGGAAGATTTTATCCCAGTATTACCAAATGATATAGGATTTTTCTACATGGCATGAGGGCTTTCTAGCCTAGATACTTTCTGATAGCCACGACCTACCAAAGTGTCTTCTAGCGAGAACCTAGGATTCAAGGTAGCAATCAGAAACACTAAAATATTATTTTCTTAATTAAAGAAAGAATGAAAGAGTGAGGTCAAATCTAGCATATATTGATGATCACCTACTACCACATGCTTTAAGGTCAATGATTACATCTTATATATTCTTGTATTCCCAAAACCTAAAAAAAGTGACATTGCATAGTGAATATTCAGTAAACATTTGTGGAAGGATTCTTTGGCCTGTTATTTATATACTATCACTGAATTTAAATTTCATAAGGCTTTGAGATATGCTATTAATATTTCAATATTTTTAATGAGGTGATTACATTTTTTCCAAGAAAATCCAGCAGGTTACTGACTACGTTGAAATTCAAAACCAGACCTTCCTACCCTACCTCTCATTTTGAAGGTAACACCAGTGAATTCGATGATTCAAAAATGTGTACCTAATGATCAAGAATTGAACGTATATGCAGTACCTACACACTATGAGACATATCATGAGACATTGTTAATATTCATTTAATCCTCATAAAAATCTTTAGAAGTATTATTTCAACTTAACAGAAAAAGAGAGCTCAGAAGTGTAGAAAAAGGTGTCCAAGGTCAGACAATAGAATATGGCTACTTACTGTGTATCACTTTATATATATTAGTTTCTCATGAGCTAGGAAGAATTTGAACCCCCAGAGTAAAATTCCAATGCCCATATTATATTATTCTTCTTATGCTTACTCAATAAGTTTTAATTTCCTGAATTTGATATTAAATATTTGGATTCAAATAGCTAAAACAAAATAGCAAAATCCATAAGACATAAAATTCACAATACTTCTCATATAAAGACTTAGAGCATTATTTACAGTATTTCTTGAATTTCACAACCTGAAATACACACTTCATCCTCATCTGTGAAATCTCCCTCTTTACTTGGCCTATTTTAAATATTAATATTTAAACCTAAACCTAAACCTCAACTGCAACAAAATACCATTTGATCCTATGTTTATAAACAAAATAATATAATACAAAACATTCAAAATAGCAAAATGCTCACCATTACATTGAAGATGTATTAGCCAATTCAGATTAGATGTTTGTGTACTAGTTCAACAGGACAGTTTAAAAATCAGATTTTTATTTAATGTAAAGTATGATAAGCAATAGCTATTTTGATGAGTCCGTTTCTAGGTCAAAATTGAGGGTAACAAGACAGGGCCCTGATTTGATAACCTTGGACATTTTGGAGAAAAGAAATAGTTATCTGTCTTTTCCATAACTCCACAATGAAGATAAGCCAGAAAGAAAGTATGGCTATACATGTTTCGCACAGAGTATGATTTAATAGAGATTTGAAAAATTAAAAGTAAATAAAAAGGGGCACCTTCTTTCTCCCACTACATTGTATATTTGCAGGTCTGTCATTGTTTTCTCCTCTGGTTTGTGAGCTCCTGAGCATAGTGATTTATGTTTATGTTGTTATAAATCACCAAGTACACAAACCATGCTCCATAAATATATAATAAGATGAACAGGAACACAAACATTACGACAAGAAAATGAAGTCCACAGTGACTCAACTTTACAATTCATGTGTGCCCTTCCATTTCCTCTGGCTCTAATTCAAATTGTCAGGATCTCTGAGCTTCTCTCCAATCATCAGCTCTTTCCATACACCTAAGGACTAACCTTTACCTTCAAATTTCATGCTTACAAACACTCTATTTTTAACCAAGTCATTATAAAGTAGCAACTATTACTGGTGCTAAATTTATGAAATTCAACAAAGATCCATTAAGTAGTAAAAAAATTACTAGTGGTAAATTGATCAACTTTTAACAACTGCCCCAATTCCATGAAAATAAGTGAATAAATGAAGAATTATGAATCCAGTACAAGAGAGGGAGGTTTCCAGGAGAGCACTTACACAGATTACTTGGAACTAGAATATTAATGCCAAATTACATTAAGTGATTTTCATATGCAGAAACAGAGAAATATGTGAATATATTTCTTCAAAAGTGAATATGTTCCTTCAAGAGTCCCCAAAGTTGGATATAGCTGTTTTAAAAAAAATTGGTGATTGAAAAATGTCTACCAAATATTTGTTGCCCTTTCACAATTATTAAATCACATATTTGTAGCAAAGAATCAGAGACTTCTGTGATAGTGCCTCCCTGTTTATTATTCTTCAAAATAAATTTTATTACATAATCCATTTTAAATTTAAAAATACACTGGACTCTAGTAAAATCTGTTATAATGAATAGTTATGCCTATCTTTTAGCTGATCTGGCACAGGTATAAGCCAAGATTTTATTTGGAAAATTGGCAAATAACAATTTGGTTCTAATTTGAATCCTAATGGAAGGGCAGTTTCTGCCCCTCCCTTCAAACTGCAGCTGTTTTTTTCCAACTCCAAGCGTATAGATATTACATAGTTGTTTTAAGTTTTAGAAACATAAACATGCACTTTTTTTGGCACGTGTAATTGATACAATTAGGTTTTCAAGATGAAAAGTTGTAAAAAAAAAATTAGTTTGTAAATTGATAAAGTCATCAGCTATTTTTAAAGTTCCAAACTCCATCCTAAAGGGGATATGTAATCAATGAGGCTGATTGTATTACTCTTCACATACATCTGGTCCCTCCCCTTCCCTGTGAAAAGTTGATGCATCACCATGCTGTTTCACAAATTTGGCCATGTGACCTGTTTGGGTCAGTGAAAAAGGAGCAAATGTTATCACTTTTGCGGCCCAGCTGTAGGAGTGAGAGCATGGTTTGCATGCTCTCTCCTGCTTTCGTTAACTCACTTATCAAACAGTGAGCAGCTAATGGATCATAGATTCTAGAATAAAGACAATGTAGAATAGAGCCACAGCTGCCCCACAACAGGCATGTAGCATGAAAAAGAAATAAATCCTTTTATTTTTGTAAGCTACTAAAATTTTGTGGTTGTTTGTTACCACAGAATTACTTGGCCTATCCTGTCTAATATATCTGTTCAATATACCTTGAAAACGGTTGATGCTTTGTTTAGAGAGAATGTTTGGCCATTATTTACCATCAGAACCTCTAAAAGAATTTGTTCAACAGGATCATTTATCATGAGGAATTAACTGTAAACAGATGAACACATCACTGTTACTGTGGTCAGGTAACAGGACATAGAAATAGTTTTGCCTTAAAAATTATCTTAAATCTGTTAAATAAAATAATCACACCCCAGCGTAACCCATGTCTTTATAATAACATGAGATTTCTCATTTTAGAATGTTTTCATATGGAGAGCCAAGAGTAAAGAACACAATGAGTAAACCATGTTTAATTATTTGCCTTTCTATAAGAAGCACGTACGTTTATTTATTTTTTTCTAACAACAAAAAGCACCATTCCTTACTCCAATGAAAAAATAAAACACAGGAAAAATGTTGTTTGGTTCAAAGCCCACATTTTCCCACTTCACTTTTCATTTTGTTCTTTAAGTGCTGGTACTGAGGAGTGATTTTACTGTGTAAACAGCTCAGTATTTCCACTCATTTCTAGTAGTTACCAACGGCCTTTTATGGTGATTTAAGAGAATTCTGTTCCTGCCACATAACATATTTAAGCTAAAAGGAGGCATTGAGGTGTCATGTCGTCAATGGTGCTAAATTCTTAAACCCTTACATATGCACAAATATGCAGTGTCAATAAGAAATGATTTTGGTATCAGTAATACTGAAAGAGAAAGTGAGAGAGAGAGAGCACACAGAAGGCAGCCTGGTTCCCTCAGAAAGGAACTGACAAGTTCTGTTTTATCACATTCCCTGTAAAATGTTACAAGATATACTCTAGAATACACTTTTTTGTATGATTTACAATTAGAGAATTCTTCTTTTACATTAAAACACAGATAGATTTTCCAGCTCAATAATTTCCCCAAAATCTCAGGCAATAAAACAGCCAATTGGACCAGCTTGAGAAAATAAAAATACGAAGATATTTTCTCTAATTGAGCTACACTGTGGAGGCCTTAATTGTATGCTGTGTTTAAAAAGATGATCTGTGCCACCAACAATATTCATATTCTCTCTGTAGATGGCAGATGATTAGTCTCCAAGAACACTGTGATAAATGCCCTGCTACACTAGGAATCGACTGTTCTAATGTTTGAGGACATGCTTTGTTTTCATATCTGTATCAACACAAAATCTTTATTTGCAAGGTCTGTCATTTCAACTTACTTGTGAGAAATGATTTCCTCTCTTAGAGATTGTCAGTACTCATCTTAAATTCAAGTCATCAACAAGGACAGCAAATGGAGGAGAGTTCCTAATGACTTCCTAATGCCAAGAATATACAAACATCTTATTCTAGAAAAAGATACTATCAGTGATTATCGCTCTAAGAAAGGGAGAAAAAAAAAAAAGACTTTCAGAAACACTCTCAGTTCAATGAACCCTATCCTACCTTTTCTCTTTCCAGAAAAATAAAATACACATGAATGAATGATATAAAAGAGGTCAGGTATATCAATGCCGTTTCAATATTGAGTGACTAGTCTTTGGAAGTTCTTCAAAGGCAGCTAGGGTGAAGGAAAATTTCTTGATTCTTGAGAAAATTAGTTGGAATTACAATGATAAGAAATTACAATAAGAAATGAGAAATGTGCAGGACAAAGAAGCTAGGCTCCTTTCACTGAAAAACCAGATAAAAGACAAAGCACAAAACTTTAATGATGCTGATTAGATGCCATTCAGGGACAGCCTCAGAAACTGAAAACTCCCCACTTTTGTAAGCATGGGGAAGATACTAAAGAAAATAAGAAAATTGTCTCAACCCTAAAAAATATAGTACACTACTCTGAACTGAAGGTGACAAAACATCCTATTTGGATGATTATAAGATATTTGGAGTAAAGATGTTTTCCTAAGACAAACTAATATGTAGTCAAGAGAGTATTTTAATAGGACTATATTATTTTCAATAATATTTGAATTGATAGGTGTTATCATTGGATAAATAAGCCTGATCTTAGCCTAAGAATCAATCTTATTCAGGGAATATATAATCCATGTGTAACCATGTGTCTAAATGTGTTTCTTCTGTGCTGTGTTTAGGGCTTTATGACATGCTGATCTCAATCCCTAGCCATGAATATGGCACCTTGGGAAAGGCTGGCTGATGACATCTTGAACTGGCAGTTTTCACCTCTGAGATAGGCTTGATTGCCCTGGCCTTTAAATGTCAGGGGCTGTGCAGGAAAGGTTGAGACTTTGCTCTTAAAGATCTAGCAGCTCCAAGATCTTCCCTGCTGATGGAGAAAAAGCAAATATTTTGTATCTTTTGAAATCTAAAAATTTACTCTCCTCAAATTAAACAGAATGGGCAAAAACTTATCTCTATTGTCCTTCAACTCAGAGAGAGCTACTAAACGTAGCAACTTTCTTAAAGCTAGCTTTTAATCTCCAGAAGACACGTCTGAGGCATGTTATTAAAAGGATAAAAAGGCCAGACGTGGATCCTCACACCTGTAATCCCAGCTGTGAGGCTGGGATGGGTTAATCACCTGAGATCAGGAGTTTGACACCAGCCTGGCCAACATGGTGAAACCTTGTCTCTACTAAAAACACAAAAATTAGCCGGGCATGGTGGCCGGCACCTGTAATCCCAGCTACTTTGGAGGCTGAGGCAGGAGAATCGCTTGAACCTGGGAGGTGGAGGTTGCAGTGAGCCGAGATCATGCCACTGCACTCCAGCCTGAGCAACAGAATGAGACTCCATCTCAAAAAAAAAAAAAAGAAAAGAAAAGAAAAGAAAAAAGGTTAAATCTTAGATAAGAGGTGTTACCTGGAGTTGCAAAGCAGACATTGATTAACGGTAAATGTGAAGAGCTTATATTCCTAAAGAAAGAAATATTTTTATCCCTATTCATCTAGGATATAGGCTCCCCCTTATAAAAATTGCTTTAATGTTTAAAATAGAAAAAGAAAAAATAATTTTATCTATAGAAAAAGGGACAAATATAGCTCATTAATATTTTGGTTGAACTTTCATAGTCATGGAAGTATTTTAATATGACAATATTATTTTCAATAATACATAGCTATGGAAGTAGAATGATAGTTAATTGAAATCATTTTTCTAGAATAGCACTGTCCCCCCCAAAATATAACAAGAGTTACTATACAATACAATTTTCTGTTTTGTTTTTTTCTTTTTTGAGACACGATCTCACTCTGTTGCCCAGGCTGGAGTGCCGTGGTGTGATCTTGGTTCACAGCAACCTCTGCTTCCTGGGTTCAAGCTATTCTCCCACCTAAGCTTCCCAAACAGCTGAGACTACAAGCACATGCCACCACACTTGGCTAATTTTTTTGCATTTTTTTTTTTTTTTTTTTTTTTTTTAGTAGAGATGGAGTTTTGCCATGTTGGCCAGGCTAGTCTCAAACTCCTGGACTCAAGGGATCTGCTCGCCTCAGCCTCCCACAGTATTGGGAGCCACTGAGCCTGGATGCAATTTTAAATTTTCTAGTAGGTATGCTAAAAAGGTAAAAAAGAAACAACATAAATAAATTTTGATATATTATTTAACTAATTTTATAATAAATAATCAGTATTAAAACAAATTTATACTGCCTTGGTTAAGTTTGACTTTAATGACTTAAAATGAAATAAGAATAAAAAGTCCCTCAGTTGCAATAGCTGCATTTCAAGAACACAATACCCACATGTGCCTAGCGGCTCTCATAGTGGACAGTACAGTATTGGAACACATCATCGTGAAAACATGCACATAAGAGTTGAGGAAAGGGAGGCTCAGATTGCGTAAATGAACTTTTTAAGGCTACCCAGCCAGAGAGAGTAAAGCCACCTCAACTGGGATCCTTTTTCTAAGCTCAAGATATTTCTTTTAAGTAATGTTGTGTTGCATTCTAATGCACTAAATTTTAATTTTACACACCAAAAAAAAAAAAAAAACCTTTTGTAGTTCTTAACAGTGCAGATCAATGAAGACTAATTCATTGATTATTTGGAAACTCAGAGGTTTCCAAATGGGCCTCTTTAAGACATATTCAGCAGCTCTGCAGGCTGATTAGGAGAAATGGACACTCTTAGGGGTCATATTTTATTCTTTCACTGAAATCAGCCAAATGTCCAAATTATCACAGGTCTCCTCCCTATGTTTTTCTTTCTCGTTTTAGTTGGCCATTAGGTTTGTGGTTTTATTAAGGTTCTTGTGGCAGTGTCAGCCACATTCCAGAAATCAAGTGCATCTCATACCATATCCAGATCCTTTTTTAAAGTGTCCTTCCAGACAACTGACCACAGGCTGAGTCACTCAGTTAACTCAGCTGTAACAGATGATGGATCTCCCTCACTATGGGATCTCTCATCCATCATAAAGCACACCCTGCTCTCTATAGAGATAATACACCATTACAGGGCTCAGGGATATAAGAGAGAAGAATCACAAAGAATAATACACCAAAGAATGTGTTTTGTCAGCACAAGATAGAGCCACATCAAGCAAGCAAACAAAAACAGAATTTTCTTCAGGTGTGAGTACATTTGCTTTATAAAAATCTTCCGTTCGATGCCCCATTTTGTCTGCTGTAAACATGCTTTGTTGCTGCATAAAATTAAGAGTCATCCTTTGTGTTCTCAGACCTTATATCTCTTTCATTGAATTATCCTCTAATGCCCAGGACTGTACTGGAAACTGTCCCAGTGGCTTGTCAAATCCTTTTATTTTTGTTATGAAGCAGGTTTTACCTGAAGGAGATGCCCATTTGTTGCCAAACTTAATTAAGGAAAGTTGGATCTTTTAGAACAAGAAAAGCATATGAGTGGCTAAATAGCAAAGGACATTTTATGTGTTTTTTCTACAGCACTAAAACAACACCGTGTTCTTTCCATCTAAATAAAAAGACAAAACAGAACACTTCTAAACCCTGCTGACGTTGTGCACATTATTTGCTCATCGTTATCCCCACTTAACAGGTGGAGAAATTGAGATAGTGAAAGATAATTGGAGCTACCTAGTGCCACAAAATAGAAGACAGAGCTAGAAGTCATTAACTTTCTCAATTTCCACAGCATAGCTGAGGCACTGTGGTTTTGAAAAAGAACAGATGGTAAGTGAAGGCAAGAGCTGAAGATGAGACCTTCCTTTAGTAACTCAGAAAGCTGTGGAATGCTATTATGCATGCTAAGTAGGATAGACACTCCATATATTGAAAGCAAGCCATAGTGCCTTATATGAGGTTATAAAAAATATATCCCTTTCAAAAGGGTGGCCTATATTTATATTATCTTTTAGTGTCCTATTTTCAGGGGACCCAATTCAAAGAAAGCTTTTGTTTGTTTGTTTGTTTTAAATAGTGGGTGGTCTTTTCAGTGATCTGTTCTGAAAAGACCACCCACTATTCACCCCAAGTAGTAGGCTACAATTAGATCTTTTAGATGGGTTTCTCTAGTTTGTTTTTGTTTTTTTTTTTTTGTTTGTTTTTGCCATTTAGTTCTGTAGTGCATTCAAAAAAATCTAATCCACAAATAAAGTCCATCTCTTGTTCCCAAATAAATTCTAACCTATTAAGGTGTTCCTTCTGTCTCCAGAAACCTTGGAAACAAACTTTTTACTGTAATGCAAACCTGAGAACCAAGAAGTCTGGATACTCTTCTTTTATGTACTATTTTTCATGTACCCATGACTTTTGTGTGTTTGTGTGTGTGTGTGTGTGTGTGTGTGTGTGTGTGTGTGGGATGGAGTCTCGCTCTGTCACCCAGGCTGCAGTGCAATGGCATGATCTCAGCTCACTGCAACCTCTGCCTCCCATGTCCTAGTGGTTCTTTTGCCTCAGCCTCCCAAGTAGCTGGGACTACAGGCCTTGTTTTCTTGATATATCAAAGAAAGGATACTTTAAGCTACGAGGCATAATTTCCTTCTGCCATACTCCCATCACTGATATTTCATTTTAATCTTATAATAACTTTTACTTCTATGTCTACAATTAAGACAAATTATTCAACTTTTAACTATATACTCTAAAACTACACTAATACGGTAACACTAGCCATATGTGGATATTAGCACGTGAAAAGTGACTAATTCTAGTGGAGGTACACTGAAGTGTAAAATGCACATTGGATTTGAAAAGCATTTAATACAAATAAAAGTAAAACATCTCAATTTTTATATTGATTACACATTAAAATAATATTTGAATATATTAGGATCAATAAAACATTTTAAAAATTAACTTCACCTTTTATTTTTAACTTTTTAAAGTGGCTATCAAAAATTTAAAACTGCATATGTGACTCACATTTTAGTTCTATGGGATAATGCTACTATAGAGCAGGGGGTGGCAAGCTTTTCTTGTGAAGGCCCAGATAGTAATATTTTAGATTTTGATGTGACTATACATTCCCTATTTTAATTATTCAGCTCTGCCACTATAGCATGGAAGTAGGCATAAACAATACGTAAACTAATGAGCAGGCTGTGTTCCAATAAAACTTTATGGACACAAATTAGAATTTCATATAATTTTCATATGTTATGAAATATTCTTTTTAACTGTTTAAAAGTATTTTTTTTTAAATCTCCTTTCATGGTACAAAAAAAAGTCTCCTTTCATGGGTCAAAAAAAGGATTCAGAATGGTCAGTCAGATTTGGCCCACGGGGTGTAGTTTGCCAACCCTTGTTACAGAGTATATGTTACAAAAAGTTTGATGTGAGAGCAATCCTGTCATCCACCAAAGCCCATTATTCCTGTCAAAGAGAACCAAGTCCTGTTATAAAATTGGAAAAAGAAATCTTAAATGAGGATGGCTGGGATGAAAGTAGAGGTAAGGATACTTGTTTAATTTCTCATGTTCCATACATCACAAACTTTTTTATCTTCAGGAATTAATGCTATCATATTTTATTCCAGATATTCTTATGCTAGTATATTTTATGCAACTTTTAAAAAATGGAGGAGATGAAGAAGTTGAGACAGAAGGTAAAAAAGAATTCACAGATGTTAGTTAATTCTTCTTCCTACATTTCAGTTTCCCTACCTATTGTACAGTAGGTGCATCAGCTGGTGGGGCTGAAAAGAGAAGTCAGCAGAAGGTGGTACCTTGGCAGAGTTGAAGAGCAGATGAAGTTTGTTATTTACATTTATCCATCCCGTCTACCTTTGCCTATTAACCTCTGACCTCACATAGTTTATAGTCTAGTAGGGCAAATAGATTTTAAGCAAATAAACATGTATCATTTAAAAATGTGAAAACGTGGCCGGGTGCGGTGGCTCATGCCTGTAATCCCAGCACTTTGGGAGGCCCAGGTGGGCAGATCACCTGAGGGCGGGAGTTCCAGACCAGCCTGACCAACGTGGAGCAACCCTGTCTCTACTAAAAATACAAAATTAGCCAGGTGTGGTGGCACATGCCTGTAATCCCAGCTACTAAGGAGGCTGAGGCAGGAGAATCGCTTGAACCTGGGAGGTGGAGGTTGTGGTGAGCCCAGATCGCGTCATTGCACTCTGGCCTGGGCAACATGAGTGAAACTCTGTCTCAAAAAAAAAGTGAAAACATATGAAATAAAAGAGCAGGCACAATAGAATGGTGTTTCCCAAACTTAAACGTGCATACATAACCTGAAGATTTTGTTAAAAGGCTGTACATGATTAAGTAGGTCTAGGTGACGCCTTTCATTCTGCATTTCTCTCAGGCTTCCAGGTGATGCTGACATTTTGATCCTTAGACCACATTTTTTAAAATGCAAGGTTGACAGTAAGAAGTACTTTCGTCTTTTTTGGTTCACTGATGCATCTTAATTACCTAGAACAGCACTTAGCAGACAGTAATCACTCAAATATATTTTGAATGAATGAAAGTTGATAAAGAAGAAAATAACATGGATATATCATTTAGATTGAGATATCCAAAAAAATGTCTCTGATGGAGAAATATTTGAGCTGAGCTTGCATCCAGAGCCATCTTACCTTCCAAAAGCTACCATTGCATCCCTCTTTCCTCCACTGTTTATTCTCAACTCTAAGAATGGGTTCTCATAAAGGACCCCAAATAAAGATGGAGATTATGGATAATAGTGAAATATGTTGCCACTTCTGTGGCATCTTTTTTTTGCAACATCAGTGTCATCAGTGTCTGGAGAAGGAACAGTTTCAAAGTAAAGACTCTCTAATAATGGAGTTCAAGGACTAGTGACAACCAAATGGGGACGTATTTGGTGTCAGTGTCCTTTTGATCATGCCAAATATGAAAACTACTACAAGTCTGTACATAAATGTAGTGATACAACCATTAACAAGAATGAGCAACATTTTTTTTTCTGTAAACTAAGTCTAGCAGTTATGACTAGCACTATTTTCCCTCACAGAGGAACTGATAGAATAGTGGACTCCTAGAGATGTAAAGAACCTGAGGGATCATCTATTTCAATCACTTTCTTAAGGTATTTTTTATTTCCTATTCAACCTTTAAACGGTTATGCAATCTGAGCTCACAAAACAATCCATTCTATTGTTAGTACCTTGTAAATGGTACTAAGTTGTATCATTAATAATTTATCTATTCCTAAATCTTTTATTTACTTGTTCTGATTCATTTATTCAACAGATATTTTAGTGCCAACATGTTGAGATAAGTGCAGTCATTCATGGGCCTTGCGTATATCTTCCTGTCCTCTGGAACCCATCAGAATAAGTCTGATTCATCTTCCCTGTGACAGTGCGTCATAGTTTTAGAAGACTGTTATTCTTAAAGATGTGGGAAACTGTCCATTTATCTTTATGAGAAGTTATTTCATTTGGTCACTCTGTCATAAGTGCCACATGCCAGTTGCTGTCACAAGTGCTTGGGATATTGCTCTGCACAAGACAAACATGATATCTCTCCTTATAGAAATTATAGTTTATTGAGTAGTGCATGCATTGAACAAGTTAATACAACATTGGATATTTTTTATAAGGCAAGAAAAGATACCATGAGATCTAGATAGTAAGAGAGTAGGATTTCTAAAAACTCAGCTTTTACGTTGAAGCCTAAAGGACTGAGGTTGAACAGAGTGGGAGAAAGAATATCCTAAACCAGGGAACAGAGAGCACAAAGACCCCATTTGAGAAACAGAATGTCGTATTTGGAACAAAGATGGCTATAGCATAGTGTGGGAAGGAAAAGTTTTATGAAATAAAGCTGGAGGAACCAGGTCTTGAAGGGCATTGCAACTTAATTTGAAGGCTTTTTACTTACTTGAGCCAAAAGACATGAAGGTGAGGAGTTTTAAGCAAGATAGACACAATCAAATTTGAATTCTATAAAGATTGCCCTGACTTCAGTGTTCAGAATGGAATGGAAGTGAATAAAGTAGAGACAGGGAGATATGCCAGTGTTTCTTAAAATGTGGCATGCATATAAATCATATGAGGATCTTGTCAAAATGTAGATAAGTAGGGTTGGGTGAGCCCTGAGATACCACATTTCTAACAAACTCCCAAGTGCATGAAGAAGACTGTGGGCTGAGAGATGATGGAAACTAGATAAAGTGATAGCAGTATAGATGAAGAGAAGTGGATGGATTCAGGTGAGTTTTAGAAAACAGATTCAGTAGGTCTTCACATATGATTTGATGTGGGATAAGAGGGAAAGGATGTTCCCCAGGTTTCTGGCTTAGCAAATGGGGAGTTAGGGTCATGATGTCTTTGACCATTTTATGATTGAAAACATGGCAAAATCTCAATTATTTTCAGCCTTTCATAAATATAACAAATTTCCTCCAGTCAGCTGTCTTGGTCCATGAACTCTCATGTATGTATTCTAAGATGTGTTAAGTGGCTTAGAAAATGCATAAGTATAAGTGTATTGCCTTGATATGGGATTTCTGTTTTTTTAAAGACAAACAATCTGGGGATTAGCTTTCTGTATACATAGCAACTTGCACATCCAGTAACTATATCTTTGCAGGAGTGCAGATCTGTACTTCTACAGTGCACTGTGGACTTCAATGGCTTGCCTACCAATGGGGTCTCTTTTGGCTTTAGCAGCAGAAGTGGGTAACCAGAGATGAAAAGGCTCATTTCCTAAGTTTTTACTACTGGTGTGACAGTAAGAATGGAAATCACATTTCTGTGATGAGCCGACATGGTTTTTAACAGCTAGCATTCTTTCTCCACTCCCACAGCACATTCTCTGGCAGATTTCTGTTAAACAGAAGAGGCAATGTAAAGGTCTGATTATTATAGATTTCTTAAAGTTTAGCCCACATAACAATTGCACCCAACCTTTCTAGAATAGTTGAGAGAAGAGAGAGGAAAAGAAAAGTCTGATGTATTGAAACAACAAAATCTCATTGTGAGAGACACATCTGTTCTCTCTCCTGTCTGAAATATAATACCATTTTGTTTTATGAACAAAATGTTTATCTGTTGAACTATTCAGGCACAGGGATAATGAGCAGGTCCTAGACTTGTAAGCTGACTTGGAGAGTTAAAATATTCTTGGTTGCTAAGCTTTAAAAAGGTGGTTGTTTGTGGTATATAATCCATAGTTTTCCATCTGCTTAAATTGAAGCTGACAGAAATTCAAAGTCAATGCCTTCCTTATAAAGTGATCCTTTGTGATGTAATTACAGAATAAAATCTCTAGGCTGAAATAGGATTTTCTCCCATGGAGATAACATTAAAAAGAAATAGAGATACTAATAAACAATCTGAGAACATAGATGAGTAGCAATGAAAGGAAGAAAAGTCATTTCTTTAATTCTCTTGAATGCTGTCAAAAAATAACAGCACTCAGCTGAAACAAGCAATTTAAACTAGGCTACAGGAATTGAGAAAGCCAACTGAGGTATTGCCAAAGTCCCAGGAAAAGACAGTTGTCTTATGACAGAAGACATCATTATGGTACCTGCCCAGCACGCAACACTGCTCTCTGTCAATTTGCCTGCTGAACAACAGGATGGGTCCCTGTGGAGAAGATGATTCTATTTCTTTCTTCCTGGATTCATGAAGAAACCTAATTTCTCAGCCTTCCTTGTGTTTAGATCACCCTGTGATTAAGCTCCAGCAATAGAATGTGAGTAAAAATTATGAATGCCACCTCTAGTCCTGGCTTCTAAGAACCCTTCCAAGAACTCCTCCACCTGTTCTGTTGCTTCACCCATTGGCTGCCCAGTTGAAGAAGAAACAATAGAGAATTCTGACATCATAGAGAAAGCCAAAGCTATAAAAGCCACCGACTGTGGTGGTGTTGTTACAGCAATCAGGTACAGCTGACTAATAAAGTCGGTATAGCCATATGTTTGCCATGTGACTCTGGGACCCAAGTTAATTTCACTGAGGGCAAGAAGTTCACTTTTACTGAGCCATGTCCTGATTCCCATGTCCTGGATAGAAGAGTTCAGTGCTCTTGGCCCCTGGAACTGAGGACATGTCAATTTAGAAGCTTGCAGCAGCCACATTTTTTCACCATAATTTCACCCATAAGTGGGTGAAACAGATAAAACCAGGCTGCTGAAGTGATTAACAAGCCAGAGTGCCCATGAGAAAGACCATGAGGCATGCTGTGAAATGTGTCAAAAAAAGCTTAGTTTCCTGAAAGTTTGCTTCTTCCTGATTTGCTTAATAAATAAATCTTCTTTTTAATTAACAGGTTATCTATTTTTAATTTTTAGCATGCTCCATCTAGTTTTTACGAACTAGTCAACAAGATACCTTTTACTTATTTAAATTCATGTGACTGATGATCAAAGCTGGGATTTGGGACAGTTCTTAAAGCAGGCCTCAAAACCAGGCCACTTACTGCTCTTCTTTCCAGAGACTCAGGATTGAACTTATTCTAAAGAAGATTCAGGAACTCAAATCATACTGTTTCTGTTAAGTAATGCTGGCTATTCTTCCATTTTGCAACTGGAACCAAGAACCCCAATTCTATCTGGACTGCCTGTTGCTTTATTTCAGATTGCATGGTTTCTTCAGAACAGGGTCCATTAGCTAAACAAAGACCCTGCGGGCTTCAGTGGTGGGAAGAAAGAAGGAAAGTGTTAAGATATTCTGATTCCTTTAGGAAGAAGGAAGGAAAGAAACAAGACAGAAGTAAGCTGTGAAATATAAAAAATAGATCAGAGGTATCTAGAAAGAGAAAAAAATGAGGCAGAAAAAAAGGAAAACAAGGAGAAGGAAAGGACTGTTGGTCAGGTTTATCACTGCTCGTGCGCAGGCCAACAGACACTGAATGAAAAAAGAAGTTGCCTCTGTAAGCCTCTACAAGTCTAATCTTCAAAACAAAACACAGTTATGAGAAAAAGAAGAGGTTCCTTCTGTGTTTAGAATGTTCAGGAAATAGGAAAGACAGTCTGTTAATATAGCTATTTTTTGTATAATTTTAAAACTGTGTCTGAAATGCTATATATACGTATATATGTATATATACACATATATATACGTGTATATATACACATATATACATATGTGTGTGTATGTGTGTGTGTGTTTGTGTGTGTGTGTATATATATATATATATATATATATATATGATAGAGTGGAAGTCTACACACAGATAGAAAGGGCAAGTAAAATTTTGCATGCTACTAAATAGGACCTTTAGTTAGATAAGATAATTTTTGAACTAGTTGGCAAGCCAATAAATGATTTTTAAGCGATGATCACAGTTACCCCCGTTTTGTTCTGGATTTTGCGGCCCTCTCTAAGCTCTCTGTCTCTAGTTTCTTTTATGCTCAATTTTTCTTTCATAAAGCAACCAGAATGATATGTTGACAGCAAAAATTTGACTGTTCGTCCCTGGCATAAAAATCTTCAGTGACTTTCTATATATTTTGAGGAAGCAAAATCTTATTAGCCCAATACAAGTTGTCCTTAGCATATGTTTGGACCTACATTTTTATTTTTATCCCATTTGCAATCAAACTGAGCTACTACCTCCTTCCCCTAACATTTAACATGTTGTTACCTTAGCCTGAAGCTGCCCTTTCTATCCTCCTCTCTCAATACATCACTGACGGTCTTTAAAGGGTATCCTTTAATAGCAACTGTTAGTTCCTTTATTGGTCTTTGCTTCCTCTTAACCCCATGACATTTTTTTCTCCTTTGCCATGTGTTACTGACATTGCTATATGACAAGCAGTTTACTCAATTAACTCATTTTCTTCCAAAACAACTCTATGAGATAGGTATTCTCATTATCATTTGTTTTATAAAGAAACTAGAATGTAATCTATCCAAAGACACAGGAATGTTAGGAGTCAAAACCAAGATTTGAATCCTAGTATCCTGGCTACATAGCCCACTATCCTCACCATGCTGCCTCTTTCACAGCTCATGTTCTGTCCATGGTTATTTGCAATTTCTCTCTCCCACTAGAATGTAAACTCATTGAAGGCAGATATATCTTGTTTTTGTTTCCCAAGCAGTGATTATAGATTAAAGTGCATATATGCATGTATAGATTTTTCCTTAATTGGATAGAGAAGGATGGTATTATATTTGGAAGTCTATATGTATTATAGACAGCTACAGAATTTTACACTGCAATGAAGTATTCATCTGAGGTGCCTCTAGTAAAGGTAGATAATCAACTCATAAGCAGCAGATAAAATAAAATCATCTACACTCTGTGGTTTAAAAAGGGGAATATTCATTTTTGTTACTCAAAATCTTTGTGTCCTGAATCCTTTTTCTTACTAGAAAATGTGAAACAGGAAAGACTTCATTAGACCTAAATGTGAAGGCATTTTTAGAACATAAAACTGTGACCACATTCCAAAATTTTGTTTTCCTGTCCTTACTTCTTCTACTTTCACATCATTACCAATATTCTTTTAGTATAATTAATCTACAAAACATCATTCATCTAAAATATGGTGGAAATGTAAAGAATTCACCCTAGTTCCTTTGACCATGCAGATGACCAGATATTGTTTTGATCTAAATGGTTCCACTGAATTTTTATCATTAAACTGGAATGACCCTTTTCCTGGCTTCTTTTCATGCTCTCCATCTGAAGCTATTTGTATTTGTTTGTTGATTTTTATATGCCTCATAAGCAAGTCTCAGCAATAGCATAAGCAGCTTATAGTTCTTTCAATGAAGGTTATGGTGCATGCTGTCCATTTCATTTGTATCTTTAAAAAATAATTGCTGAGAAGCGTCTTAATCCTATTACATTTAGTAAATGTTTTCAAATTCTGATAAAATAACATGTAAAATACTAATTAAAAGTATAGATGATTTTTCTGATAGTTTTTAAAACTTTCATTATTTCATTAGATTACTTTGTGTGATGGTTTTAATTACTATTTACTGGACACAATGCTGCACAAGCAGGCAGAAGTGGATCTCTGCTGTGTTCCCTTCAGAATGAGCTATCTGTCTTTCATTATTCAAGTCTTGTTACATTAGATTCGTAGCATACTTCCTCCAAAAAGAAGAAACATGGCACAGAAAATTGCGATGGAGACAATATAAGAAAAGCTCATATTGCCTTTTTCCAGAGCACCAGACCAGAACATTCTAAACTTGGAATGCTGCACTGCCATCTGGGGGATAAAAATCTTCATAGTACATTTACTGTTGAGCTGAGATGGAGGGGTGAGATTCCACAACAATCACAAGAAATAGGGAGCAATGGGAATTTTTCTAAAATACAGTGTGAAGTCCACTATTAAATTTTGGGTTATTTTCCCAAAGCAAAAAATATGTATCTAAATCCATCCCTATCCTTTAAAATAGCATTCTGTCATGATGATGTATTACTTACTTTTATTGATTACATTTTATTTTCTTTAAATCATAATTTGAACCTAAGGAGTTTTAGAAATTATTTAGCATATTTCCCTTATTGCAGAGATGACGAAATGGAGATGCAAGTATTTCTACACTTTGCCTTGTCACATAACTAGCAGTAGATCCAAGAGAAATACATCTCTGATTTCCCAATTGAATGTCCTCTCTTCTGCAAGATACTGTTCCCAACAATATCAGAACTTAGATGCTTCCCCACCTGGTAAACAGCCACTTACCCAGTCTCCCAAAACACATGTACAAGTAAGTCAACAACAGTGTTGATTTTCAGATTCTATTACATACATTCCTCCAGTGGAAGGCAAATAAAGATATTAAGGTGGAAGAGTAAGTGGCAATGATTAATTTTCTGTACTTATTTTAGAGACTAATGTATTTGTTTGTTATTAATCTTTTGGTATTTATCTCCCAGAGTCCAGAGATGTCACTGATTTTAAAAAGGAAATAAAAAACTTTGGTCAATAATTACCATTATAATAAATAAAACCTAAAATATGTTAATTTGGTTTTTGTTGGTTTTTGCTTAATAACATAACTAATCATTGGGTTATATGGAAAGTAAAAAATAAACCATAAGTAACCAAAAAAGGTAGCTTCATGTGGTCAAGTAATTTTAGTATTTTTCCATTAATTTTTAACCTATTTGTTATATGTAAGTAATAATAACATCATTCCTTTACTAATCTATTTATTAATGTTGTATTATTCCTATTTTTAAAAGATTGGGCAATTCATTGATATGAACTAAAGTCATCTTTACCTGCACTAAAATTCAAAATTCCTAAGTCATACTTTCTAATAAATGGGATTTCCAAGGGTCTTATTCTTATGCACAGGGAATAGCTGCAGCTTCCTGGGAATCCCTCCATGGCTTCCTAGCATCTGTCCAAACCCTAAGAATAACAGGTAAGATACCTTAGTCCCTAGCCATGCCTTTAGTAGGCTGCAAACTAGAGGGTTCAAAGTGCTTTAAACTTGAAGTGATTGAATACAGATCTTATTTTTAGGGGAGAATGACAGCATAATTACCATGGAGAGACACTGAGTTCATGAGCTCTTGATCCATTGAGGTAGCATGAAGAAGAAAACATTTAGGATAAATGAATGAATATCATATTAAAATAATATTAAGAGAATATAGTAGAATAGTTAATATATACCCTTAAAAATTGTAACCCACAGCAAAAGTACATTTTACTGCAACTACACACATATATATGCATAAGTTAAGCACAGGAACAGGTGTTCCTATGCTTTAACAGAGAGATATAAAGTAAAGAAGTTCATTTCTCTCATGAGAAGTTCCAGATGGAAGAATCAGGCCTGGAATGTTGAGCTAGGTTTCTTCTCTTTTGGTGTCTGGCCTTCCTCATTACACCACATTTTTGTCTAAGCTAGGTGCTTCACTGCCCATCACCATGCCACACTCAATCAATGACAAAAAGGAAAAAACAAAAAAGAGGGGACTATTTAATAGATAGACATGATTTAATATTCTTTTTTTTCTGCTATAACATTAATACCACAGACTGGGTAATTTATAAAGAAAAGAAGTTTATTTAGCTTATGATTCTGGAGACTGAGAGGTCCAAGAGCATTGTACCAATCTG
Organism: Homo sapiens; assembly: GCF_000001405.40. Lineage (NCBI taxonomy): Eukaryota > Metazoa > Chordata > Mammalia > Primates > Hominidae > Homo > Homo sapiens. The sequence continues at coordinate 78,391,235 of NC_000012.12, read as the reverse complement.
GCAAAGGCCTGAGGTGGCAAAACGGTAGAAGGGCAAGTGAGTGTGAGAGAGAAAAAAAACGGGCCAAACTTCCACAATAACTAACCCACTCCTGCAATAACAGCACTTGTCTATTCATGAGGCCAGAGCCCTCAAGACCTAACTACCTCTTAAATGTTCCACCCTTTAATACTGTTGCAATAGCAATTAAATTTCAACACGAGTTTTGGATGGGTTATTCAAACTACAGCAAGGTCATACTCTCGCCTTAAAGTTCATGCAATAGAAGTTATACGTTTCAATTCAGTTCATATCCTACTGGCAGGGCTTTATTATGCAGTCACATCTAGAGGTACAAGGGACTGGAAAATACCAGTTTTAGCTGAGTGGTCATGAGCTGAGTTAATATTCTATTAGGTGGAAAAAGATGTGTAGGCTAGGGTAATGCTAGCTTCTATTTAAAAACAAAAAAGAGAGGTCTCCTCAAATGAAAAATAGGTCAAACACAATCAAAGTTTATTTCTCATCTGTGTCTGGCATTTGTCAACAGAAATAGGCTTATACTGGCTCTGCCATCTTTAATACATGGGTTCCATTGCTGGGGAGGTGAGAGAGGTGTTCTCTTCTTTACATGGTTGAGGAAGTAAGAAAAGAGGATGGAGAAAGTATTCATGTTTCTTAAACACCTTCACCAAGAAATGACAGATTTAATGTGTCATTTTTATATCATCCATTGGCAAGCAGTTTTGTGATCCTATTTAGATGCAAAAGGGGCTTAAAAATGTCCCTGGATAAGCACCTACTTCCCAATATCAACTCTGTAGTATGCATGACAGCATGAATTTGGGTGGAAAGGTAGTTTTCTCTGGAATAGAAAAGAAGAATGAATATCGAAGTCTACTTCAGTCTCTGCCATCACTGCCGATTTAGGTCACACTTTTCAACGACAATTAAAACATGCTCTTCCCCATCCCACCCTCCAAGAGAGACAACTGAAAAGATCTATTCAGGTCCTGCATCTTGCTAAAGTTATCTTTCCCCTGCTCCCCAACCTAAACCATAGTGGTGAATAACAGGATAGACATAATATTTAAAAAGCTCAATTTTTAAAAAGGAAGAATAGAAACAATACAGCAGTAACTGGATTCAATATCATGGCAGTGGAGTAATTTCCTATGTTAAGCTATCTGGAAGCACTTTGAACCACTCTCTGCTGCACACCTTTCTTCGTTATTATCCTATGAATTTATGGCTTTGCCTTTAGGGAGGTTCTTGCATATCCATTATCTCCATGGCCAGATATGAAGTAGACATTGGAGAGTCTTACCAACTTGGTATGACTCAGAATGCTGGCAGGCTTCTTCCTGATGGTTGGTACAGGTTTAGGGAGACACAGTTTGCCTGAACGGGTAGGCTATGACAGACTTTTGTAAGCCTGGCCCGAGGTTTCTTTGGCAATGCAATACTGCAAAAACCTTTGGTAGGTCCACAGACTCTATTTCCACCAGTTCTGGTTGCAAGTAAATAAAGCCAAAGTTCTCATCTCAATGTTGTTTTTTAGCCTGAAAACTTTGGCCTTTAGTTACTTGCTTCCATGTCCTGTCAATTTCCTTCTTGCTCAATTTAATAGTGACCAACTTAAGGAGAAATAAAACAATTGGTTTTAGTAGGAAGGCAACATTCTTAATCTAATGTTTCCCACTGGGCTGGCTCCTATTGTCTGGCAGTCTTAATGGTTTTGTCCAGCCTTACTTATCTTCTGCTAAGACTATTTCTTGATTTAGAGACTCATTTTATCACTGCCTCAGTTTGGGCACAGAAGCCTTTGTTTTTCTGTCAGAATTGATTTTTAAAGCCCTGAATCATAAGACTCTAGTCAATTTAGATCACAGGCCAAAAACAAGTAAAGAAAAATAAAAACCCCAGAAAGCCTATCTTACCACAACTACATTTTTTTCCTTTTCACCTTGCAAGTGACTAGTTCTAACTTGAGTTGTCTCTCTAGTAAGACTCTGCTATGTGGAAAAAAAATTAAAAATTAAAAACAAAACAGCCAATGCAGGCAGCAAGAGTATAAGAGTTAAAGGCTTGGTTGGCAAATGGTCTTATGTCCAAGATCTCTCCAAGTCAACTTTCTAAAATGTTTTGCCATAATATACGTATTGTCAACAGCTATCCAGTCCAATATCTGTGTCCTCACTTCCTGCCACCTAGTCACTAAGCCAATATAGTATTTTTAAGTGTTGTTCCCATGGCCCACTCAATTTAACCATGGTCAGAGACAATCCGAAATAAAGCTTAAACAAGACAGATGCTTGTTTATGTCTTAATTAGAAGTCAGCTAGGTGGTCCAAAGATGATATGGAGGCACCATAATCATCAGGGTTTCAGGGTCATTCAATCTTCTTGTCTTGCCATTTTCAACACATGATTTCTATTTAGTGATACAAGTTGCTACTTCAGCTGTCACCACTATGTCTGCATTCCAGCTAAAATAGAAGTCAGGAGAAGAAAGAGGCCAAATTTCCTTCTCTCAAAGGCACAACCCCAAAGCAGCATACTTCCCTTCTGTTTATATTCTTTCAGGGGGAAGTCACATGGTCTTTCCCAGCTAGAGGGAGGCTGGGAAATGTAGTCAAAATGCAGCTGTCTATCATTTAAGAAGAAAAGAACAGGTATTTGAGGAAAATCCAGCAGCCTTTTTCATTTGTGTATGTCACTGAAACAAAAATTTAACACAAAATCTGCCCTAACTATTTACAATACCCCCTGATATTTCTACTCAAGTCCATCTAGTAAAAATGCTGATCAAACCCATAAAAGTAATTTCTCTACTTATTAATGCATAAAACCATCAATATGTGGGTCTAGAAGGCAAGCTTAAGCACCATACCCTTCATTCTAATTCTGCATCTTTGATTATTAAAAGGACTCTTAACCTTTAGGGATAATCTCAGTTTGTAGAAGACTTCAGGGACAAAAAACACACCTACTCCCAGATACAAGGCAAAATAACTAAAACAAAAAAAGAAGAATGGAAAAATAAATCTCTCTTATCAGCCTTTAATTAGAGACTAAGTCCTTCACAATTAGAGATAAAAAGCTTAAAGAAGATACAAAGACCTCGAGGTGTTAACCATGACTCCAAATTAGTTTCACTAGGTTTTATATCCTGCAGGGTAATAATAATTTACTAATTTTGCTATTCAAAATAAATAATAATACCCCTATTATCATACCCAAATTCTTAGCATCCCTCTGAGCTAACAGTCAGATCCTTTTCAGACTGAATTTATTGCCAGCATATGAATAGGATCTAGAAAATTGGCTGTCTTTTCTTAGCACAGGTCTGAGGGTGTACTCCATATGGTTTCACAATAGAAAAAACACAAATTTGCATCTTTGAAGAACTAATTATTTTGCCTTTTTTGATTTTTTCAAATTTAAGATTAGGAATTGTATGGCATCTTGAGGAAAATAAACACCAATTCTCAGTGGATAAAAATTTTAAGAGTGAATATGGTTTTGCAATTGTCCAAACAAAAATGAATGAATCTTAGACAACATTTAATTTAAAAAAATATAGCTTGAGGCAATATATTGAATTTTCAGGGGAGGTGTTGGTGCTGAACTGTGATGCTTCTGGGCTTTAAAGAAAATTATTATTTAAATAAAATTGCTTGTAAAATAGCATAAGCCACTATGATTTTGGGTTGTAGAACTAGGAGAACAAATGCAACATATCCTAAGTATTTCCAAAGCAAATATAAAACAGCAACTCCGTTTCAGAATAATGTGTTATTTGTCCGTTGTGACAAGCTAACAGAGAATCTCTGCTCCTTCTCCAGCAGCCTCTTCTGTAATGAGGAATCTGTCTCACATTTATCACTTTTCATTCTTCTTTAGTTCAACTGAACTTGGTAATTGATGACTACCAGTCTAATATCTCCAGTATTTTCACATAAAATAGTATAATATGCAGAAACAAATTTGCCATTGACAGTTAGGAGATGCTGTTTCATAAAGTACAGATTTTCTATTAGCACATACTAAAAGACAAAGGGCAATTCCTAACAGATGGCATTTAGATAATTATATCGTAGAGTTATGTTTCTCTTTTATGTTCGCCCCCTCCTTTATCCCTACCATGCTTTCCTTTGGCCACCATAGAGTGATGTCAAGCTGACCTAGCTGTGTTGTTTGGCTCACACAATCTGCACAGTGACCTACATTAGTTCAATTAATACATGTGAATGTTAGCTTCAAATCTCATCCCTCTTTATTTTGTACTGGAAGCCTGAGCAATGCTCAATCAACCTAAATATTGTGTGGCTATGGCTCAAACTTTTGTTCATGGCATCTGCTTTATCTGGAATTAGTTTTCTTTTGGTAATCACACCCACTTTTCTCCTGTGTGCTCCCTTACAATGTCATGTTAACCTGGAATTTGTATTTAACACATGCACTGTAATTACTGGGTTTTATACCTGTCCTTTTCTTTAAATCATGAATACATTAAGAATCTGTTTACACCTACTTAATCTTGTTTATCCCAGCATCCAGAACAGTGCCATACATAATAACACCTTAATGAAGCCTTCTTAAATGAAGTCATAAAGTCAAGAATATGAAAGCACTCATGACAGCCAGAACACACAGTGCCATGGAGTGGGAGTGGAAGGGATGGGTAGAGTCTAGGGTTTTGGAGAGGGAGAATGCTTCACAAACTGTGTTACAGGAAAGTCTCCATTAAACATTCACATCTTGTATTCTGACTCATGGACATTTTCCAAACTTAAAGTTGATTTGGATGCAATTACAACTATATTTATACAATATAGAAGTACTAGATTGGGTAAACATATTTATTCTCTCAATTAGCAAACTGAGATTTTGTCCAAGCCAAGTAACAGGCATCTTAAGTATGAGAATCTGATACTAAATGAAGTTTTATAATCTGATGTTTATGATCTGGCAGCTAGAGCACCTGAGACAGCTCACATTGGAGACTTTCTGGTGACTGGTATTTATCTTTGAAGCCATCAAACAACCTTCCAGAAGAGCCTAGAATTGGTCTTTCTAAGCACTGTGGAGAAGTCAGTAGAATGGACTTTGCATTCCAATAAAAATGTAACAATAGAATATTTGGCTGAATACTGAATTTACTAAGAACACATAATACATAATGAAGAAAAGCAATAGATAAATGAATTAATTTTTGTAACCAAACCCCTTTCATGTGTGTTTTTGTTTTATATCTTTCTGTAGCATCTTAAGTTACAGCTATCATTTATACAGTTTTCTCTTAGGCAGACTTTAATTCACAAGAACCAAGACATGAACTGAAATAATATGGGCTACCTTAAAAGGCATTCACTCACATGGTCTTATATTATTTGCAAAAAAAAAAGTAAAAAGGAACTATAATGGAAAGCCTCCACTTTGGTCTCACTTTCTCTGGAGAAGATATGAAGGCAAGAAAATCTGTTTTCTTCTTGGGAAGGTTTGCCTGAGGCATTCGCTGAGTCAGACTGCTAAGAAGTGTCATTCCTCTTTTTTGCTCTTTCTAAAATGCTGGAGTTTTTTTTTTTTTTTTTCTTCCTTTCTTAATGTCAGAGAGGGATTATTCGGGGGAAGAAAAGAGCAAACAAAAAATTACTAGATAAAGAACATGGATCTTGAACATCACAAGGGGTGCCTGCAGAAATTAGCCCCAGTACAAACCCACCGCCAATTCTGCATGGCATGAAAGTTCCTAAGGAATTCAACCCTCCTCATAACTCTGCTTTGTCTTACAACTTGCAAGACACCTACACCATCCTAAAAAGTGTACTCAAATAGAGTATATACATACATTTTCTTTATTCATTTATCCATTGATGGACATTTAGGTTGATTTCACAGACTATTATGACAAGTTTTGCAATAAACATGGAAGTGCAGATATCTCTTTGACATATGTATTTCATTTCCTTTGGATATATACTCAGTAGTGGAATTGCTGAGTTATGTATTAGTTCTATTTTACTACAAAGCCATAGTAACCAAAACAGCTTGGTACTGGCATAAAAACAGACCCAGAGACCAATGGAAGAAAATAGAGAGCCCAGAAATAAATCCATGTGTACAGCCAACTCATTGTTGACAAAAGTGCTAAGAACACACAATGGGGAAAGGACAATCACTTGAATAAATGGTTTTGGGAAAACTAGATATCCAAATGCAGAAGAATAAAATTAGACCCTCCTCTCTCACCATATGGAAAAATAAACTCAAAATGGTTTAGACTTAAATATAAGATCTGAAACTATGAAAGTGCTAGAAGAAAATATTAGGGAAAAACTCCATGACATTGGTCCACACAATGGTTTTTTGGATATAACCTCAAAAACCACAGGCAACAAAACCAAAATAGAATTCGATTGCTTATTCACTTGTTTAGAAACCGAACTCACTGAGTGCTTGGTATATAGCTCATATACAAGGCCCCCTGAGGCTACAGTCACTCAAGACAAGTTGCTCGTCATTCAGTACATTCAGTAACAGGAGACAAACATGTAAAGTAATACAGTACAATTGGCCCTCTGTATCCATGAATTCTTCATTTGTGGAGTCAACCAATGGCAGATCAGAAACATTCGGGAAAAAAAAAAAGAAGGTTGTGTCTGTGCCAAACGTGTAAAGACTTTTTACTGGTAGTTATTTCCTAAATAACGTAACTACTATTTGTATAGCATTTACATTATATTCAGTATTATAAGTAATCTAGAGGTGATTTAAAGTATACAAGAGGATATGCATAGATTATATGTAAATGCTACATCATTTTATATAAGAGACTTGAGCATCTGTGAATTTTGGTATCCACAAGAAGTCCTGGGACCAATCCTACATGGACACTGAAGGACAATTGCATATATAATCAGTTTTTCAAGCGCTCAGATAGCAGTATTTCAGCATACAGTGGAGGACACAAAATTCTACCAATTTGGCCAGTAAAGGCTCCATAACATGCAACACATAGAGAAATGTAGAAACGACCTAAACGTATAATGCTAACAGATAAGACAGGTAGAGTAGTCAGGGAGCTAATCCAGTAGTCTAGGAGAAAGATAAAGACCTGAATGAATCAGGGACAGTAAGAATGGATAGAAAGTGGTAAAACCAAGAGATGTTAATGAGAAAACACATATAAGCTCTATCTCTGTCTGGCAAATAGAAATTGCTAGATCCGTTTTGGCTATATTTGTTGTTTAATTCATTGTGTACAAACAGATTACTTTGAATAAAGTAGTGGGCTCAGGAAAAGCCCTTGATTGTTTAAGGAATGAATGAGGATCCTTCTATTTCCAGTAATATAACAGCAATAATGGCAATAGGCCTAAGCATGAGGGTCCCCATGCATGAGCCCTGCACACTGGAGGGCCTGAAATGGTCCTTCCCTTCTTCCATTCATCTTCACAAGGTAAAAAAAACATGTGTTCATGGAGATCCGATTGTCAGAGTCTCTGTCTCTCTTCTAGAGCATGTTCCTGGGACACAGGAACCAAAATTCCCTGCCCATATGACTTCAGCCTGTTCCACAGCATACTTAGGTCTCCTCCCTGCATTGGTCATCTTAAAGGCAGCCTGAGCCACTGAGCGACTGCTGTTCACATCTCTCAGCTGGAAGGGTAGCTAAGGAATAGCTGTTTACTGGGGCAGGGATGGGGCCTACATGAATGAAAATGAATGTAGTATCTACATGCAAATGGGGAAATCCCCTATAGTATGGGATGGACACAATGATGGTAGAGAAGGGAAGTAGATTGCAGGCTATAATCCAGGGGCTTTGGGATAGGGGCTGGTTTTCTATGTGCAACTACATTCCAGCACAAATATATGAAAAGTACAATTCTAAATTCGAGCCTTACCTTCCATGTCATTATGAAGGTTTAATAGTCAAGACTGGAATAGAGAAGATATTTAATGACTTAATTTATGATGTTTAAATATGTAGACATAAGATATTTAGGCCTCTATTTATAGACTTGTCCTGAGCCCTGCAAAGCCCTGCAAAGATTAGTAAAAATTTATGGAGAATAATTTTCTTGAAAAACTTTAGCAAACAAAATTCTTATATTAGATTAAATTCAACAAATACAAATGCCGAGCTGATTTCCCAAGAAGGTAAAGAATAATTCCAAAGTCACAGAAAAACAGATGGAAAATATGAAAAAGATTAAGAGTTATGAGGGATACAATGAGATATGCCTTCCAGTTCAAAGAGGAGAATTAAAAAGGAGAGAAGCAAAATTTTTAAATAATATGTGAGAACTTCTAGAACTAATAAGAGATCTGATTCTTCAGGTTCTGGGATGCTCAACAAATCCAAAGCTGGATAAATATAAACTAACCCCAACCTAAACCCTTAACAATAAAAATTCAGAAACAAGAATGGGGAGGGAGATTTTCAAAGCAATTATGGGAAAAGCTGTAATATGCACATAGAAATAAAGACGGGCCTGACGATACTTCCCACAGCAACAAACGAAGCCAAAAGACAGTAGAACAGTGTCTTCAAATGTCTGAAAGTAAGTAACTGTCAACCTAGAATTGAGTACATAGATAAACTATCATTCAAGAGCTAGGGCAAAATAATGACATTTTCAGATATAGGTGGGTGTTTTATCACAAATAGAACCTCACTAAAAGAACTTGTTTTGAGAAGTAATCAAATCCAAAAAGAAATATTTCAGAATCTAACATTTTAGAGCAAAGAATATGATAAATATGGGTAAAGTAAAACAAACATCGAGAATAAAAAATATGTAATTGTCGTAATAATAATGTCTAACTTTGGGAGTATTATTAGTCGAATTGTGCCTCCCCTGATTCGTATGCTGAAGTCCTAACCCTTCTGTGTACCTTATTTGGAGATAGGATCATTACAGAAATAATCAAGACAAAATGAGGTCAGCAGGGTGGGCCCCAATCCAATATGACTGGAATCTTTATAAAAAAGGGAAATTTAGACCTAGAGATACACACAAAGGGAAGAGGATGCAAAGAAACAGAGCCATCTACAATCCAAGGAGAAAGGACTGGAACAGAGGGTCTCCTTGGAAGAAACCAATCCTGCCGACACCTTGATTCTGGACTCCAAAACTCTAAAAAAGACAATAAATTTCTGTTATTTAAGCCACCTAGGTGAGATTAAAAAAAAAATTAGAATGACAATTTTGAAATTAATGACATGTAGGACTGGGAGGTTATAACATTTTCTAAGGTCCTTTTGTTGTTCCAGAATACATAAATTGATTAATATCATATTTTAACTTAAGCAGGCATGTAAAAATTCTGACCAATGCATGATGAGAATAAGGAATGTACTTTTAAATCAATTGAGGGGAAAAATAAAATTTATACCTAAAACATAAGTTGAAAAAAATGCAAAAAAATGAGGAGGAAACACTAAGATAAACAGACAAAACGTACACAGTGAAATGGTAGAAATAAATGCAAATAATAACATGTTATTTATTTTAAAAAGTAAATGAACTAAATTCAACTGTTGAAAAGATACATTGAATAATAAAATCTGGCAGTATCATTTACAAAAGATAAAGATACATCTAAAATATAAGGGCACATTCACATAAAACTAGAGATCTACAATGCTTGACAAGCAGTTTGGAAAAAGAATTATGAGAAAATTATAGAAGTAGGGCCAAGTGTTCTGGATCATCTGTGTAATCCCAGCACTTTGGGAGGCCAAGATGGGAGGACTGCTTGAGGCCAAAGCTTCAAGACCAGCCTGGGCAACATAGCGACACCCCTGTTCGCACAAAAAAATTAATAAGTTAGCCAGGCATGGTTGCCCATACATGTAGTCCCAGCTACTCCAGAGGCTGAGGCGGGAGGATCACATAAGCCCAGGGGTTCAAGGTTACAATGAGCCATGTCTTGTCACTGAACTCCAGCCTGGGCAACAGAGTCTCTTAAAAAAATTATAACTTATAAGTAAAATATCTTTTGGATATGTCTTTCAAATGCCATTGCATATTTTTATAAATTATTTTTGTAAATCTTTTAAGATTTTAAAAGATTCCACAGTCCCTGTGCCAGTAAATGGTATTTTTATAACAGGGAGAATATATTTATTCTGATATTTATAATTAGGAAAAAAATATTAGTTATTTTTTCTTTTAATATCTAAAGACACTGGATTTTTAAGTAAGACACTTACTTTTCTTAATAAAAAACACTGATAGTTCATAGAGACAAAAATCTACTTTCTTAATTGTTCATTTTCTGCTATAAGAATAAGTGAATATTATACTGTTGTTACAATAGGAGATAACTTTTCAGGCAACTTGGATATTAATCAAATTATTATTATTGTACTTGCCTAGAGACTTAAAAAAATCAACTAGGAATATCTAATATACATATTTTCACATTTTTTGATAACCCATGTTCTAGGTCAGCTGAAAATTAATATAGTAAATACCTGTAACTTTGACAGACAGAAAAATTACTATTTATAACTCATTTCACTAGCAAAGAATTAGTCACTTTAAATGAGTGAAAATATATAATTTTTAAAAGAGAAAATAACATTTTTAGATTTGCTAGAAAAGCATTCACTATTGACTGATCTTTTTAGGGATATAGTGTAACTATCCCAAAAACTTAATTGAAACTAGAAAGACAGAATTTTTCTATATTTTTACATATAATGTATACCATGTAAATAGAAGTGCTAAAATAAATGAAATTGTGGGAATGTTTGACTGTCTCATATTTATTTTTTTCAAATTAGACTTCACTATGTTGTACTAAAAAGAAAATATTAAGGTAAGGATTAATAATATCTGAATAACAGAACATCCATTTTTCTTGTTGTGTGATTTAATTCAGGATTTGGCAAGATAGACACTTTAAACCACATAATTCTAGGTTGTGTTTGGGGAAGGAGGAAGGTTTGGCTGTGTCCCCACCCAAATCTCATCTTGAATTATAGCTTTCATAACTCCCCCCATACTGTGGGAGGAATCCAGTGGGAGATAATTGAATCAAGGGGATGGTTTCCCTGATATGGTTCTTGTGGTAGTGAATAAGTCTCATGAAATCTGATGGTTTTATAAGAAGAAACCCCTTTCACTTGGCTCTCATTCTCTCTTCCATGCCGCCATGTAAGATGTGCCTTTTGCCTTCTGCCATGACTGTGAGGCCCCCCCAAGCCACGTGGAACTGTGAATCCATTAAACCTCTTTTTCTTTATAAATTACCCAGCCTCAGGTATGTCTCTATCAGCAGCATGAAAATGGACTAATACAATAAATTGGTACTGGTAGAGTGGAGTGATGCTGTGAAGATACCCAAAAACGTGGAAGCAACTTTGAAACTAAGTAACAGGCAGAGGTTGGAACAGTTTGGAGGGGTCAGAAAAAGACAGGAAAATGTGGGAAAGTTTGGAACTTCCTAGAGACTTGTTGAATGGCTTTGACCAAAATGTTGATAATGATATGGACAATGAAATCCAGGCTGAGGTAGTCTCAGATGGAGATAAAAAACTTATTGGGAAGTGGAGTAAAGGTGACTCTTGCTATGTTTTAGCAAAGAAACTGGAAGCATTTTGCCCCTGTCCTAGAGATTTGTGGAACTTTGAACTTAAGGGAGATGATTTAGGGTTTCTGGTAAAAGAAATCTCTAAGCAGCAAAGCCTTCAAAAGGTGACTTGGGTGCTGTTGAAAGTATTCAGTTTTAATAGGGGAACAGAGCATACAAGTTTGGAAAATTTGCACCTGGACTACATGATAGAAAAGAAAAACCCATTTCTTAATTTTTCTGAGGAGAAATTCAAGCTGGCTGTAGAAATTTGCATAAGTAATGAGGAACCAAATGTTAATCACCAAGACAATGGGGAAAATGTCTCCAGGGCGTGTCAGAGACCTTTATGGCAGCCCCTCCCATCACAGGCCTGGAGGCCTAGGAGGAAAAAATGGTTTTGTGGGCTGGGTGCAGGGCCCCCTTGCTGTGTGTAGCCTAGGGACTTGGTGCCCTGCATCCCAGCTGCTCTAGCCATGGCTAAAAGTGACCAAGATACAGCTCAGCCTGTGGCTTCAGAGGGTGCAAGCCCCAAGCCTTGGCAGCTTCCACATGATGTTGAGCCGGTGGGTGCATAGAAGTCAAGAACTGAGGTTTGGGAATCTCCAGCTAGATTTAAGGTGATGTATGGAAATGCCTCAAAGGCAGAAGATATCTGCAGGGGTTGTGCCCTGTTAGAACCTCAATTAGAACCTGCCTTAACAGAACCTCTGTTAGGGCAGTGCTAAAGGGAAATGTGGGGTTGAAGTCCCCACACAAAGTCCCTATTGGGGCACTGCCTAGTGGAGCTGTGAGAAGAGGGTCACCGTGCTTGAGACCCCAGAATGGTAGATCCACCAATAGCTTACACCATGCATCTGGAAAAGCCACAGACATTCAACACCAGCCCATGAAAGCAGCCAGGAAAGGGGCTATACCCTGCAAAGCCACAGAGGAAGAGCTGCACACCATTATGGAAACCTGCCTCCTACATCAATGTGACCTGGAGGTGAGACATGGGGTCAAATGAGATCATTTTGGAGTTTTAAGATTTGACTGTCCCACTGGATTTTGGACTTGCATGGTGCCTTTAGCCCATTGGTTTTGGCCAATTTTTCCCATTTGGAATGGGGGTATTTATCCAATACCTGCACCCCCATTGTATCTAGGAAGTAACTAACTTGCTTTTGATTTTACAGGCTCCTAGGTGGAAGGGGCTTGCCTTGTCTTAAATGAGACTTTGGACTGTGGACTTTTGAGTTAATGCTGAAATGAGTTAAGACTTTAGGGAACTGTTGGGAAGGCATGCTTGGTTTTGAAGTGTGAGGACATTTCAAAATGTTCTCATTTTGGGTTTTGGGATTTGGGATTTGGGAGGGGCCGGAGCACAATGATATGGTTTGGCTCTGTCCCCATCCAAATACCATCTTGAATTGTAGCTCCCATAATTCCCACGTGTTGTGGGAGGGACCTGGTGGGAGATAATTGAATTATGGGGGTGGTTTCCTCCATACTGTTCTCCTGATAGTGAATAAGTCTCATGAGATCTGATGGTTTTATAAGGGGAAACCCCTTTCACTTGGCTCTCATTTTCTCTTCCTTGCCACCATATAAGATGTGACTTTCACCTTCCACCATGATTGTGAGGCCTCCCCAGCCATGTGGAACTGTGAGTCTATTAAACCTCTTTTTCTTTATAAATTACGCAGTCTTGGATATATCTTTATCAGCAGCATGAAAACGAAGTAATATAATCTACCAGATGCCAAAAACACCTCCTCTTCCTACCCCATATCCTTCAAATTGTGATAATCAAAAGTATCTATAGACATTGCCAAATGTCCCTTCTGGGGCAAAATCACCCTTGGTTGAGAATCACTGACATAATTTTAGTGTTTCTTGCTAATTTTCTTTTCTTAGTGACACTTCTCCAATAGTCTGTTTTATTTATTTTAGATTATACATATGTCCAGCATATAGCACAGAAAACTTAGTCTAAGACTATCATGGACACTTGAATGGAAGCAGTGATGCCTAAATAAAGCATGTCTTTTACAAGATATTTTTTAAGTAGATTAAAACATTTTCAGTTCTTTAATATTTCTTCTAAAAAAGCTCATTGGCATTCTGTTTGATTGGCTATATGTATTAATTAGAGATTTTGGTTGCAAAGACAATCTTGGTGCAAGTTTAATTTAAAGAAAGAGCAGTTTGAGGATACCTCACGTAACCTAAGGGCAAGATAGTAGCTGGGCTATGTTGATAAGCTAAGTTATTGTGAGGACTAGAAATAGTCTCTTATTTCTGTTTACATGTTTGCCTTATTCTGTTAAACTTTTTATTATGTAAAATTTCAATTATACACAAAATTGAAAGCAATAGTTTACAGATAACTTAGCCTCATCAATTACAATATTCTGCCATTCTTTCTTCACCTCTTACTTCTTTCCATATTATACTCTACTTCATGTTGTGGAGGCAGTAAAAGAAAAATCTAGACATTGTAACTTTTTTTTTTTTTTTTTGAGACAGAGTTTCGCACTTGTTGCCCAGGCTGGAGTGCAGTGGTGCCATCTCGGCTCACTGCAACCTCTGCTTCCTGGGTTCAAGTGATTCTCCTGCCTCAGCCTCCCAAGGAGCTAGGACTACAGGCCTGCACCACCATGCCCAGCTAATTTTTTTTTTTGTCAGTCAGGCTGGTCTCGAACTCCTGATCTCAGGTGTTCCACCTGCCTCGGCCTCCCAAAATGCTGGGATTATAACATTGTATTAGTAAGTATTTCTGTATGTACTGCTAAAAGATACATGCCCTTTTGTAACATAATCATAAAACCATCGTTAAATGTAAATTCAAAATAAAAATAATTTATTAAGATTATCAACTACCCAGTGTTCAACTAACCTTGACTGTCTCATAAATGTCTTTTAATAGTTTTATTTAGAGTACAAACAAGTTCAACACTTAATGTTTTGTTGATGTGTCACTTAAATCTGTTTTAATCTATTAAAATTCTCTCATTTTTTTCTAGTCCTTCTGCTTTGTTAAAATAAGGTTATTCTCTAAATTTATAAATTATAGATTTGACTGACTATATTATCTTACCATTTGATGTTCCTCTCTCCTTTGTGTATCTTTTACTTTGGGATTTAGATCTAGATGCTAATCAGACACATGTTCAAGTTTTTGTCAAGAATATGTCATCTATTGCACTATAAAGTTCTTATTGCATCACATCAGAAGGTTTAAAAAAATGCCAGACATTCCCTTTTTTGTGAAGTTAAACTAAGTCTTCCCATCCACTCTATTCTTTATTAAATGTCCAATTGTCCCAAATTATATATTTAGCACTATGTAGGTTTTATGTGTGCTAGTATACCATATTGACAACTAGTTTTCATTAAAATCACAGTATATTTAGTGAACCCTTTATCAATGTTTTTTTCTTTTTGAAAAAAATATTTTTATTTGTATTTTTAATTTGTGTGGGTGCAGAGTAGGTGGATACATTTATGGGGTAACTAAGCTGTTTTTATATAGGCAATGCAATGTAAAATAAGCACATTGTGGAGAAGGAGGTATCCATCTCCTCATGCATTTATCCATTGAGTTACAAACAATACAATTATACTCTTTATGTTAAAATATATAATTAAGTTATTATTGACTATAGTCATCTATTATGCTATCAAATAGTAGGTCTTATTCATTCTATTTTTTTCTTTCTCTATTTTCAAATGGATTTGAAACCATTTTAGAGCAAATCAGAATCACTGGACTTAGTGGATAACTTCCCAAATATTATTTGAAGAAGCAAAAATGCATTCAGATGTTTAATTGCTAGTAAATTTGTTTAAAACAAAAATGTCATGGCCTTATAATCACACTGTCAATCCAGTGACAAAACTATTAATAACTAATCTCTGGATGTGACTAGAGCTTTAGACCTTACTAAGAAGTTTTACATCCATAATTTCATTCAGTTCTCAAGGCAGATGAGAAGTGATGCTGGCAACGTGGCTTGTGCATCCAGAATGGATGTGGAGCAGTGCTCCTACCTGAGAGTCCATCTGTTGTTGTTTTCCAGAGAAAAAGAGTTTATGGTTAATAACATGATTATTTCTTTCATGGATACAGTGTTACTATCACAGATTGCTTACTCAATTTTAATACTCACTTTAAAATATAAGAATAAAAGTGGCAAAATTAGACTGAGTCTTCACAGATGATATTAAAATAGGCAAAAAAATATTAGAAGGCACAGGCTGGAAATGACTGCAGGAAGCATCCACATCATATCATGGAGGAGGAAACTCAGACCAAAAGTAAGAAACATAACAAAGAGACCACCATCTGTGGGTGTTATTTTGATTTGTATTGATTTATAAATAAAATTCTAATTTTCTAAAATTACTCTAATTCCAATTCATAATTCTAATTTATAAATAAGATTCTTGTTATTTGTACATGAAAATTTAGCTTTACTCAATACTGCACTAAACTGAGAAATTAAAAATTCAAAATTAGATCTCTGTGAGAAAATGTTGACAGAAGGCCTGTCACTGAGATGTATGCACTAATGCCTCGCCAGGCTGTTTCAAAGACAGGAAAGAAGTTAAAAAAAAAAAAAAAATCAAATATATGGATGCCATGAACAGAGGAAAGATTATTTAACTTCATCATATTAAATATAACTATATCAACACTGGTTTGATAAATATTTAAGGGTTTTGCTCATTCGAGGGTCTAAACTTGTACTGCAGAAGGGATAGCTATGAATTAGAATAAATCATTGGTTAAGCATGTTCGTTAACAAGAAATGTGATAAACAGTTGTTAAAAATATTAGTTGAGAGGCAATTAGGCTGAGGCAGCCCCAGTGCCCTGGGTTCCTAGTAAGCAAACAGAAATACAACTCAGTATAAAAGGCACAACAAAACTTAACCTTAACAATCGGGAATAACCAACTAACTTCGAACTAGGGACTTTCCACTGGAATGATCTAAATAAGGCTACTTGCAACACTTTCATTAATCAAATATTTTCTTTTCCTTGCTTCAGTGTTCCTCTTATAAAAATCTTCCAACTCCTTCCGTACCCTGCCTCCTTGCTAGAGCCCCAAACTGCCTGTAGTCTTTAGGCTGCCCCATTTACAAATCGATGTCTGCTCAGATCTACTCTTTACAACTTTATGGTATCTAAATTTATCTTTCAACACAATGGAAATAAACAATGGGGATAAAATGATAAATGTTGTAAGTGTTGTTAAAATGTTATAGAAAATTAATTCCAACCCCAGGTAGTTAGAAAGACTTCATGAAAGAGGTAGCAATTTTAAAGGAAGAATAGGACTCAGACATTCTAGGCAGAGAAAACAGTAGGGACATAGCACAGAGATTTTTGAAAAAAGTTTAG
Source organism: Homo sapiens (assembly GCF_000001405.40). Lineage (NCBI taxonomy): Eukaryota > Metazoa > Chordata > Mammalia > Primates > Hominidae > Homo > Homo sapiens. Next base: position 78,374,273 of record NC_000012.12, on the reverse strand, counting down.
GTCATCGAGAGAGAAAAATGAATAACCTGGTTTGAGGACAAAGTAACACAGAGGGATAATAGTACCAAGAGATAAAAGCTCAGTGGGGTGAAGTCAGGAAAGCTTTGAATTTCATGCTAGGAAATGGGGCTTTATTTGATTGACAATGGCGCGTTATCAAAGAATTTTTAGCAGAGACATGCATGTTTACTACAGTGACGTAGAATGATTTTTCTAGGAGCTGTATTAAAGATACATGGAAAGGGAAAGACAGTGGAGATGTTCACAGAGAGAACCAGCCAACCTCTAAATTAGGAAACAAAAGTAGGGGCATACAGACATACAAGAGAGTTGAGGAAATGAATAGCTAAGCCATGGCTCCATAATGGCTGATACTGCTTGTTACATCAATTTGCTCTTTCCTCTTTTCAGCTAATCAATTTTTTGTGTTTAAATTTCAATTTAGATTTCTAAATAATGTAATTTTAAAATGCCAAAAATTATATCAATTGAATAATAACATAGATGTATACTGTTTTTTGTTTTGTTTTGTTTTGCTTCCTGCCATAAAGTGGTGGCAAGTGATGCCTGGCAAACATAAGTATTTAATTTTTTTAAAGGTGAAGTGTAGACTGCAAACACCATATAAACAAAGGGGATAGTGGCACTTACTTGCCTTTGTTTTAGGTTTTAGTGACCAGCTGAGAAACAGTGGAAGACCACAACCATCAAAAAGCCTATCTGCATATTCATCCACAGAAACACTCAGTGTTCATATGTAAAATATGTGGTTAGAGATAACCTATAAAAATATATATCTTTTGAGGCCAGTATAAGTTATCAAGACCAGAAAAGATTTCTTACATGAGAAAGGAGGAGAATAATTAAATATTAAATTTTATATCTGAGTGAAACATTGACAAAATTTGCTAACATCTATAAAGAATACAAGTACAACTATATATAAATCAATGTATAAATATTTGAAAGAAAAGATCAGCATAGTTTATGTGTCTCCATATGACAGAGAGGCAGGCACACTTGATGACAGAAAAGTGAAGCCCTTAATAGATCATGTAGTCTCAGAACTTCAGTCAGGCTTTTGTTTTCACCATACGTAATATTTCTGTACACAATTAGAATGCTTGTTAACTGGTATTGTCTCCATGTCATCTGGGTCCCATGGGGTCCTACTGGACACTGTTGCCACTCTATCAGGCAGTGCAGGGTAGTCCCAGAGTGACTGTCTCTCTTTTGTATTATTCTTTTTTGCTATTAATTATTCCTTTATAAGAGGAATCATAGGAATCATATACTTTTATATGTAAATGGGATTCTTTCTTTCACATTTAGATATATTCAAATCCCTCCCAAATCAGATTGAAGCATGTGTCTCTATGGGCAGTGGGGCAGGGGCAAGGCAGGATTGTTACAACAGTAACAAATATTAACCTTTAATTTCTGATCACCTTGTGCATTGCCCCTGGACCAACCTGGCAGTAGTCAAATTAATTCATTCCTTCATTCATTCGCTCGATCAATAAATGTTTCTTAGATGCTGATTTTATTTCAAATACTATCCTAGGCCCTGGAGATATATTGTGAATTATTATTTTATCCTTGTAGAGCTTATGTCTTAGTTGTTTTTCTAGAAACGCAAATAGATAATATTTCAGGTGGTGGTAAATTCTTTTTTTTTTTTTTTTTTTTGAGACACAGTATCGCTCTGTCACCCAGGCTGGGGTGCAATGGCGTGATCTCGGCTCACTGCAACCTCTGCCTCCCGGGTTAAAGGGATTCTCCTGCCTCAGTTTCCCGAGTAGCTAGGATTACAGGTGCCTGCCACCACGCCCAGCTATTTTTGTATTTTTACTAGAGTTGGGGTTTCACCATGCTGGTCAGCTGGTCTCAAACTCCCCACCTCAGGCAATCCACCTGCCTCAGCCTCCCAAAGTGCTGGGATTATAGGTGTGAGCCACTCCACCTAGCCCAGGTGGTAGTAAATTCTATGGGAAAACAAAGCAAACTAAGGAGACCAGAGTGTTAACACAGGCTGAGGGGAGGTGAAGGGAAAGTGCTATTATTAAACTGGCCCATGCAGTGGCTCATGCCTGTAACCCCAACACTTTAGGAGGTGGAGGCGAGAGGATTGCTTGAGACCAGGAGTCCAAGACCAGCCTGGGCCACATCATGAGCTATCATCTCTACAAAAAAAAAAAAAGCTAGCTGTGGTGGCATGTGCTTGTAGTTCCATTTAGTCAAGAAGCTGAGGCAGGAAGATTGCTTGAGACCAGGAGTTGAGGCTGCAGTGAGCTATGATGGCACCACTGCACTCCAGCCTGGGTAATAGAGCGAGTCCTGTTTAATAAATAAATATTAAATACATAAATACATAAAAATGGTAGTCAGTGAATACCTTGATCAGATGGCATTTGAGCAAGTCCTGAAGAAAACAAAGGCTTGAAGCACGCAAATAACCGTAGGAAAAGAATTCCAGGCAAAGAAAAAAGCTAGGCAAATGTTCTGAGAGAACATGCTTGGGTCATTTGAGAAACAGTAAAGAGATCAACCAGTGAGGCTGGACAGGAAAGAGAGGAACAGGGATATTTGTGTTTAGATCTTAATTTTTCTAGGTTACCAAGTGACAAAACAGAAAGGCTAATATTTAAAAAAAGAAAAAAAAATTACAGTTCCAGAGAGAAGGGAGCATAACTTGCCAGACAGGGCCACAAAGGGAAGCACCAGGTTTATTCAGGAGGCAAAGCAGGAACAAGCGGAAGGCACTGGCCAGAGTTTTATTGGGATTTCCATGATAAAGGCAAGGCAGGGTGGGGTAAAAAGCTTAGGACCCACTAGTTTGAATAGTTGTAGTGGGATTTCGGGCATAGAGCTGTCCTTAGTTGTGTGGTATCTGACTCTGGGTTGGTTTAGTGCGGAAGAAATACTGGCTCAATGTGTGACAGATAAGGAGGTGGTTGGGGGTACAGACTTGGGATTGGTTATAGGGTTGGTGATGTGATTTTCATGCGCTGTGAAAGCTGGATCACAGGAAAGATATAAATAAATTTGAGTGTTCATTTGGCCTTGTGATGAATGACCACAAAATAGACAAGACAGAATTGAAAAAAACAGTTAAAACACAGTGATAGGGCGGGCACGGTGGCTCACCCCTGTAATCCCAGCATTTTGGGAGGCCGAGGCGGGCGGATCACGAGGTCAGGAGATCAAGGCCATCCTGGCTAACATGGTGAAACCTCGTGTCTACTAAAAATACAAAAAATTAGCTGGGCGAGGTGGTGGGTGCCTGTGGTCCCAGCTGCTCAGGAGGCTGAGGCAGGAGAATGGCATGAACCTGGGAGGCGGAGCTTGTGGTGAGCTGAGATGGCGCCACTGCCCTCCAGCCTGGGTGACAGGGCGAGACTCCGTCTCAAAAAACAAACAAACAAACAAACAAACAAAAAAACACACACACGCAGTGATAGGCAACAAAACCAGAAAAGGAAAAGGGAGCAGATGATTGATATGAATATCTGTAAGTCATTGTAGGTATTTTAAATTTTACTCTAGGTGAAACAGGAAAGCAGTTGGAGAGTTTTGAGCAGAGGAATGGCACAATCTGACATATTTTAAAGGGATCTCGGCTGGGCATAGGGGCTCACACCTGTAATCCCAGCACTTTAGGTGGCGGAGGCAGGTGGATCACCTGATGTCAGGAGTTCAAGACCACCCTGACCAACATGGTGAAACCCCATCTTTACTAAAAATACAAAAATTAGCCAGGTGTGGTGGCAGGTGCCTGTAATCCCAGCTACCCGGGAAGCTGAGTCAGGAGAATCACTTGAACCCAGGAGGCAGAGGTTGCAGTGAGTCAAGATCATGCCACTGCGCTCCAGCGTGGGCAACAGAGCGAGACTACATCTCAATCAATCTCTATGGTTCCTGGGCTGCTGTGGTGGAAATAGTTTGGAGAAATAAGAATTTAAGTAGTTTGATTTTTAAGTTTGAACTGTCCAAAAAAGAAAAGGTGGAGATGTCAAAAAGTAGGTTAATACATAACTGTTCCCGAGTAGAGATTTGGAAATCTTTGTTGTATTTTAGATAGTGTTTAAAGCTGTGAGATTAGATGAGATCCCTCCAGTGTAGGCTAGCTGGAGAACTGGAATGACCAAGTTCTGTGGAACTGCAGCACTGACAGATTAGGGTAAGGAGAAGAAACCAATAACTGACTCAGGATTAGTCAATGTGGAGAGAATGAAACCCTAAATAGTGCTATGGAAGCTATGTGAAAAACATGTTTTGAGAAGAAGGGGTTAAGTGTCAAATGCTGATAATGGTCTTTTTTTTGGGGGGGTGGGTAGGGATGGAGTTTCGTTCTTATTGCTCAGGCTGGAGTGCAGTGGGGCGATCCTGGCTCACCACAACCTCTGCCTCCCAGGTTCAAGCGATTCTCCTGCCTCAGCCTCCCGAGTAGCTGGGATTACAGGTATGCACCATCATGCCGGGCTAATTTTTTTGTATATTTAGTAGAGACAGGGTTTTTCCGTGTTGATCAGGCTGTTCTCAAACTCCTGACCTCAGGTGATCTGCCTGCCTCAGCCTCCCAATGTGCTGGGATGACAGGCGTGAGCCAGGTGATGGTCTTAATAAGATGAGATCTGCTAATTGAATGGATTTAGCATTATTGAAAGCCTTTGGTGACATTGATAAGACCTGTTTTAGTGGAGTAGCATTGGTGAAAGACTCTTTGGAGAAGATTCGAGAGAAAATGGGAGGAGAGAAATTTGAGAAAAGAGTATAGCCAACCTTTTTGAAGAATTTTGTGGTACAGGTGAGCAGAGAATTATAGAGCATATGGAGATAAATATCGGGTCAAGAAAGTTGTTTTGTTTTTAATATGGTAGATATTACAATGTGTTTTTATGTCTGTGGGGTTGACCCAGTATACTGGAAAATAATACACTGAAATTAAGAGGGGGAAATTAATGAAGAAATGTTCTTAAGTAAAAAGGGATAAAATCAAGTGACCAAATAGGAGGGTTAGTCTTAGATAAGAACAGCAGGGACTGCAGAGTATAGGAATATAAATACAGAGTTATAATGATGGGCATGATAGAAGTTATTTCCTGATTGTTTTCTATTTTCTTTAGTGTAATAGGAAGCTGAGACTGGAGAAGGGAACAGATATGATTTTTTCCCTTCCCACACTGAGGCATAAACCATCCTTCCATCACTGGCAGACAATAACACACCTAGAATAGTGTCTACATCCACTGGAACACATCTCCGGAGGAAGATGCATTAGAATACGCAACCGTAGGGGGTAGCTCCACTCCATGTAACTCAGACATGCCTCTTTGGAGAAGGGTTGCCACCCAAACTCCACTGGGAATCTATTATCTAAATGAGTTTTCTCCAAAGATACTCTCTACTGCTTGCAAATATGTTTTTACTGGACTTGTCTTCATTGTTTACCAGACATGCCTGGGCTTTTATGATTTTTAGAAATAGATTCAGCACTGGTTCCAGCTAATATTAAATGAATAAGTCACAAATATGCAATCACAATTCTGATAAGTGCTATGAAAAGGAGAGATATAATTTGAGCAGAGATCTGAAGGAGACATGAGATAAGCTAAAATGAAGAGAAGAACATGTACAAAGTCATCGAAGTAGCTATTGAAGACAATGAACCCAGCGAGGCAAAAGCACAGAAAATGAAGGAGAAACAGGTGATAGAGATGGGGAGTGATAAAGTTGGGGAGATAGAACAGGGCTAGATAGTTCAGAGCCTTGTAGGTAACCTTCTTAATTTTTGTTTTTATCATAAATTCAATGGAAATCTATTGAGGTCACTTAAATAAACGTGCGACATTATCAGATTTACAATGTAAGAGCAGTCCAGAACTAAGCAGCTGGAAGTTCTCACCTTGAAGCTCACTGCATAAAGAGGAGAGGAAGGAAATTCCTCTTTGTGCAGTAAGCTTCAAGTGTACATACGGTAGTTTAAAGGAGCCATGGAGAATCAGGCATGTAGGATCAAAGTGCTATCGATATTTAAAGACCAAAAGAGTGAATATATAAAACGAAGTTGGAGAGGTAATATACAATTAGTCCATCATTTAATTCTTCTACCTTGCAATTCTGTATTCCACAGACTCGATATCTCAAATATTTGTCTTACCAATAGTTTCCATTCCTGATTTTCCATTTGTCTTTCCTGAGCCCAGTAGTGGTTTCTTCTACTTTCTCACTGAATCATAAATACTCTCTTTTCTTCAGTGTTCCCAAAGGTTTTAGAAGGTCAGAACTTAAAGTCCTTTTGCATAGCACAACCTTCCCTTCACTATACTTGCTCCTGAATTTCTACCACCATACCTACATTAAGGTAAGTAAGTCATAATATATAGCCTATTAATTAGAGTTTTTCTCTCCCTTTATTTCCCTGTAGAAAATGCTCAAATGAGGGCAGGATTCAGGGACCAACTAAAAGCATTACCCCAAGGCCAAGCAATTATTTACCTAAAGGAAATCAGGCAGAATTATTTTGGCTGATAATTTGATTAATATAGTACTTTTTATTAAAATAACAATGTGCTGAATGATTACTATTACACTAGATAATGGTTTTCAGCTGTGAATCATCGGCAACTATTTAGCTTGAACCAAAATTTTACTGTATAGCTGAAAACCTCAGCTTTAGAGGAGGGAGAGTTAGATAGTTTTCCTTTTAATATGAGCAAAAGTTACTATGATGAGTTTTAATCAAGTTGTTAGGATGCCATAAGCAGTAATGAGAAGGAAAGAAAGTGTTAAAATTTTATTTTAAAAATTATAATCTAACTGAATAATTTTTCTAAATGTCCTGCTTAGGTTAAAAGTCATGTGTTACTATTCCAAAGCATAACAACTTTGTGAGTTTAAAGTATCTTTGGTTTAATTTGTTCAATAATGAAAATAATGCTACCTAGACTTTGTTTACTTTTCACATGTAAATAGGGTTATATATACTATGTCATCATGATTGTTAAATTACAGACCTTCTCATAGTGATGGTGAATACTAATGGGAACCACAGAATAGCACTATCCCAAAAATTTATCCAAATCATCTTTGGGACTTACTTTCCAGCTCAGCTGAAAGATTAATTTGATTTAGGGATACCCTGAGTTAATGAATGATTTCTTGTGTGTAACTCCCAATATTCTCCAGACAATGGCATTTTATCAATGTAATTTTATCAAACATCAGTATAGGAGATTAAGTCTGGGCTAAGAAGAACTTGTGCAGAGTTGTAGAAAAGACAATGGTCTTGCTCTTTATATCTGCATTAGAAATAAAATTTATAAGGTGCGGAGAATACTTTTCATTGCTTAAACAATAGCTGCTCCATCCTCTGCCCTATTATTCTTTCCTGGTAGATTCTACTTTCCACACTACAGAGGTAGAAAATGCCAGATAGTCAATCTTTCCTGAGTAGACCATGGGTATGTGACAACCTATGTCAATGGGACCCAAGATTAAGTTTGCTGATAAACTTCTGGGAAAGATTTTCATTTTCCATAAAAAGTGGATGTGATACCTGGAGTTGCAGTAAGCTTCTATTGACCATGAGAAAATAAACCTAAGGATTAAATCCAGCACATTGAAATTGTAGAGAGGAAGGAGAGAAAGTGCTTGTCCATGGTGTTACAATAAAGACTCTAAACCAACCTTAGAACTAGCTTACATCTAAGCTCTGTGTTATATGGTCTATCATATTTTCTCCTAGTGTAAGTCATCTTTACTTGAGAAAAATGACCTAATTAATTCTCTAAACGCAGTATAGTATATAGTATATGAGTGTAACAGTAGTCATAAGTGGAAAAATAATGGACAGTTCTTATCTCTGGATGCTTTTAAAATAATTTATCTTGATTGTTTATGTTGTTAATGGTAAACAAACCTGGAATTCACAGATTTATGAAGGATGGCTTGCTGCAAAATGCCATGTCCACTGCGTAATTAACAGAGTATAAAATGAGTTTGATGACCATAACAGCTCTCTTTGTGTCAGCAATGCCACACAGGTATCACTCAGATTTCACAAATTAAATCTGAGGCAGGATGGATGCTAATGTGCAGAGCAAGATGTAGACAGCTGTGTCATTAGTCCCAGACTTTGACGCGTTTCACCTTCGTTTCTTTTGAATTCTTAGTTAAGTTTAATATTGGTCTAGTTCTCTAGATTTTGTAAATATGATTTGATAATTCAACCGTTAATGACATCTCACTGACACTCCTTTTAACTTTCATTTTCTAATGTGAAATACAAAATGACAACTCAAGCAGGACAATATTTTCAGAAGAAGCCTAAAGGATAAATGTATTAGAAAGAAATTTTGCTGTAAAGAAATACCTGAGACTGGGTAATTTATAAAGAAAAGAAGTTGAATTGGCTCACAGTTCTGTAGGCTTTACAGGAAGCATGATGCTAGTGTCTGCTTGGCTTCTGGTGAAGCCTCAGGGAGCTTTCAGTCATGGAAGAAGGTGAAACAGGAGCAGGCACTTCACATGGTAAAGCAGGAGCAAACAAGAAAGAGTGTTGAGGGGGGAGGTGCCATACTTTTAAATGTGCAGATCTTGGTAGAACTCACTATCATGAAGACAGCACCAAGCCATGAAGGATCCGCCCCCATGATCCAAACACTTTCACCAGGCCCCACCTCCAGCATTGGAGATTACAATTCAACATGAGATTTTGGGCAGAAACTAATATCCACACTATATCAGTACAACTTGATGTCTTCTAATTTGCTCTGTATGAGTTACTTCTAACAAAAAGCCAGATTTTGAGGCTGGCCACAACTTTTCTAAAACTGTAGTTTGAGTTCTGAAGAAGACCATATATTTTCCATAAATCTTGGATTTTTAGCTGGTTACAGTAAATAGTCATCTGATTTGAGGAGGAGGAGAGCATGCTTAAAGTAGATGTAAGAGTATGTGCCTGGATATTTGAGTGTCTTATTGTAGAGACTAGTATTTTCCCTCTCAAAGGCATATTTTCTCTCTTACGTAGTAATAAGATTTTTGGATACACACAGAGATGCTCAACTTAAGACAACAACTCTCAACTTCTCTTGAAACTAGGTAAGAGAGTGCGATGAAGTTCTAGCCAATGAATGTGAATGGGCCTACCATGTGCAATTTCCAAATCATGGCTATAAAGAAAAGAAATATGTCCTCTATTTTCTGTTTTTATTTTCTTTTCCTCTGACTGGCAAAATCCATATTGTGTCATTAGATGGATGCTGTTATTAAAGATAAAAGGCAACAAAATAAAGGGAATCTAGATATTTGATCATTACAGATTTAGCATGCTAGCCTCAACCAAACTCTTATGCTTTCACATGAAAGGGCAAAAGGTCCTTTTGATCAAGCCACTATAATCTCTGCTCTCTACTATTGGGCTAAACCAGGATTCCAACTAATATATTCAACCATCTCCATAATGATTTGGTATTCATCTTCTTTATATACATTATATTTGGTCCTATCAAATATTAAGTTTGCATGTACTTTCTTCCTATTCCCTCTTTAAAACTCAGTATGTTCAACTAAAAGTTCAACTTATTACTTTGCAAAAAAGGGAGAGTAGATATTGGGGAACATCTAGCAGTCTCTGTCATACTGAATTATTTTGATAAATGAACAAAATAAAATTTTGGTAGATACAGTGGCTTAAAATGTTCCCTTTTAATGTTTATTTGAGATGCAGTCTTGCTCTGTTGCCCAGGCTGGAGTGCACTGGTATGATCTCGCTCACTGCAACCTCAACCTCCAGCATTCAAGCGATTCTCATACCCTCAGTCTCCGAATAGCTGGAATTACAGGTGTACACCACCATGCCCAGCTAATCTTTGTATTTTTAGTAGACATGGGGTTTTGCCTTGTTGGCTAGGCTGGTCTTGAACTCCTGGGCTCAAATGATCCACTTGCCTCGGGCTTCCAAAGGGCTGGGATTACAGGTGTGAGCCACTGCACCAGCCTTAAAATATTATTTAACAAATTGTATTTCTCAATTATCACCATCCACAGATTTTCCTCACCTGTTATTTTAAGAAAATGTTATAATAGCATTTGCCTGAAATTCTTAATATAAGTTATTTTTTGGACCATAAGCCTTCTTCAAATAATCAGGTAGTTTTAAATTTTTCCTAAAAAATCATTTTTGTTGGAAGGATGTCAATACAAAAGTTCCCACATTTATACACTTTTAAGTGAGGAATTATTATGCATGTAATAAAAGTTGTGCTCTAGGGCAAAAGCACCTTAACTCTCATCTTTTTACAAGCATTTGGAAGAAGGGTAGTAAAAGGTCATTTTATTTACTGCACATCATTTTCTATCTTTTTTTTTTCTACCGTTGCTGATTTTGATGTATTATATTAACTTTTGTTCACCATTACCTAAAAAAGCACAAAAGCAGTGAGAATGAGAAAAGTGCCTGGAAAAGAAAATTTCTGATTTGAAATAAAAGTAACAATAAAAATTAAGCAATATGTGAGAAAATAATGTTGCATGAGAAATAATTATAGGAAGTATCATCTTAAAAGAAAAGAGTAAATCATGCAATGTGTGGTAACAGCTATGTGCCTTTGCAATATAAAATAACAAAGTGATGAGAAAAAATTAGTGACAAATGGGAAAACCAGATCTGTGACTGGATCCAGAGTTCACAAGCTTTGCTAGATGTTGGAATTACTGAGAGGAGAAAAAAAAAAAAAAATACTGATGACTGCTTGCCATTCCTTAAAGAGCCTACTCTAGTTGGTCTTTAATACAGCATATAGCATGTGGCCTAGATATCTAGATTTTTTTAAATCGTTCCACTGATTCTATTGTGCAGCCGAGGTTGAGAATCACTGGATTAAGGTAACAGCATTAATGTCAGATGACAATTAGGTTAATACTAACGCAGAATAAGGTTGGGAATTCATCTAAAATCTTAAATTTAAAATTAGAGAGGTGTCTGATTATAAAAATATCTTAAGCCACACAGGGTCAGTGCCTGTTACCCCATCAGTAATGAAGTAGCTTCTAAGATTCTGTAAGATAAAACTAGCCAACCGAATTTTCTGCAGCTATGGAAATGTTCTAATTTGTGTTGTCCAATATAATAACCACTTGCCACATGTGACTATTGAGGATATGAAATATGGCTAGTGCAACTGAGACACTAAGTTGCTAATAGTATTTACTTAATGAAAAATATTTTAAATTAAAAATATGATCAAATTTCATTTATATTTAAGTGTAAATAAACATCAGTGGCAAGTGGCTATCTTCTTGGATGTTGCAGTCCCAAAATAAACTCAGAGGACATTAAGTTGGAGCATTACCTGATTCTACAGATTTTCAGTGTTGAAAAGTAGGTAGCCTATTTTATATAAAAATTCCAGATACAACATATATTTTCCAGATGAACATATAGTAATCTTTTGCTTACAGAAAGAACTAAAGCTTTAATTACTCTTTGCAAGTCTTGGAACACTGAAAAAATAGGTATATAAACAGACTTTCAGAAAAAAAAATCTGGTTGTAAATATGAGTTTATATTCTGTTTTTATTTTAGTGATTTTAATTAAATCAACCACTTAATTTTTTAATATAAAAGTATGGCAGTAAGCTTCATGTCTAAAATAAATTCCTATGAAGAGACACATATAGAGGTATAAATTAGGACTCTGTGCCAATAAAATAAGCATGTGCTTCTTTTTCTATCTTTATACTAATAAATTGGACTTGTGTGCTTACATACTAGGCAATGGGTTAACAGCTTTTTATGCACATTCTTATTTTATCTTCACAGCCATCTTTTGAGGTAGGTACTGTTACGCACATTAAACATGCAGAAACTGAAGCACACAGCAGTTAATTTCTTCAAATTCACCCATCTTATGAATGTTAAAGCTGAATGCTGCATTCTACCTTTATTAGTAGTAATAATTGGCACACATCCTTATAACTATGTAGGAATAGTTAGTAGTGTTATTTTTATTGCTAGCCGACATTTCGATACCACTGCTAAAATAAATGCTCTATCAACAGAAAACAATTGGCCACTGTCTGAACAGGTGTTACTTATTTTTGTACTTGTGAATGTATATTTACTTCATTAATACCACTTACATTTCTATAGCTCTAGCTCTCCAACAGTAGTTTGAATAAAGCCAAATTCTAGAAGCCACAATAATAAAATATTTATTACTATTCAGAGATTAGAACAATTCGTTGCTTTTCATTGTCTCCTGTAGTTTTGCCAAGGTAGCATGAACAACAATAGGAATGTGATTATTACGCATGCCTTTTGTTTAAGAGCTATTTGTTAAGTAAAGATAATTTAGCCAAAATGCACTTCAAAAAGAATATGCTGATTTGCACATTTCTTCACCAAATGACAATGGCATTGAAAATCTAAATTTATAGTAAAGACGTATCACAGGAGTTTGAAGCAGCAAAGCCATTTCTAGCTGCTGAAGTGCAAGAATGAAGAGACAGAATAATAAAACCTTGGGGACATGTCTAAAAACGTGACACTATACACAGAACATCCATCTCAAGGTGTCTCCAGAAAACTTTGATGTACACTTAAAATGCAGGATACTGCCACAGCAGGGCCTTTTTCAAAATGTATCACTTGATTTGTATATTTTACCCTAGATTCCACTAGAAAGATGTAGGACTAGCCAAATTATAGTCATCAGCCAGTGAGTTCTTTCAAGGTTATTTTCTGGATACTCTGGAGATGAGTATCTCCAAGGCCTCATCTCATAGACCAAAGTTGCTATTTTCAATCAGTGTAATGAGACAACACATTTTAAAATTCATATTAGCTTATGATTCAATGCTTCCTTTATTTCTGGTTAACATAAATGGTTATATTCCTAATCATATTTCAATCTTCAAAAAAATTATGAAATCACGTGAAATAAAATCCAACTTCGATAACTGAAAATAGTTATTAATTGAATTTCACCATATGCCAGCCACTTTGCTTAGCACTTTATCTAATGTAATCCTTTACACTTTATGAAGAAAAAATTATTTTCCATAGTCTGCCTATAAAGAAACTGAGGCCGAAAGTTAAATGACTTCCCAAAAGTAACATAGCCAGTAGGGAGAGGTGCCTGGTAGCAAAGCCCATGTTCTCAATTTTTCTCTTCTATGCTAAAGTGAGAAAATACCTGGATGGGGTTAATATTTTCTAGTCTTTTCTTGTCTGAAAGTAGACTGCTATGCCTTTCACCAAAAAAAAAAAAAAAAAAGGCTGTCTTGAAGAAACCAAGGACACTAGTCATATAATCTACTCTTCCAAAAATATTTGTACTTTCTCACAAATTATCCAAAAATTCAACAAGAAATTATCCTTCATTTTCATAACATGTTGAAGCCTTATTTTACCAAAGAAAAAACTGAAAATAATAAATTCATGAACTCAGATGTTTATTATTTTTATTCTATACTATGTATTTACTCTTTTCTCCCTGAGATCCCAAATTTAGTCAGCACAGGACTGTCACATTGTTACAGACAACAGGACAGGTGGTAATTAAGTTTGAAGGAGAAAACAAGACCATATAAATACTAGAAGAAAATACAAGGTCATACCTTTATAGTGCTGGAGGAGAGAAGGCCTTTCAAATTATGACCTCAAATCCAGAATTCATTAAAAGTTTTATAAATTCAACTTCATCAACAGATATAGACAAGACATACAAAACTTTTGTATTATTTAAAACACTATAATCCAAAGCAAATTACAAAACTCTCAAATCATGTACATCACAGAGAGAATATATGGAAGCTCCTTAAAACTAAGTAGTAGAAAACCGGCACCCAACAGAAAAATGGACAAATATGAACCTGATGTTTATAAGTTAAAAGAAAAAAAAAAACAGATGTCCCTTAAATATATGAAAGCATAGTCAATGTCTCTCAAAATAAATCTGATTTTGGGATCAGAACAAAGGAATAACAAACCCAAAACTACACCAAGATATAATTTTTAACCTATAATATACATGACAAGAACGTAAAATTTACAACTCTATTGGCAAGTTTGTGAAAAAAAATAACTTCTCTAATATGTTGCTATTGGGTGTAAAATAGTGAGACCCTGTGGAGGCAACTTGAGAATGACCATTAAAATAAAAATGCCTTCACTGTTGATTTATTAGTCTCTACTTCTGAGAATTTATTCTGCTAATTTACATGCATGTATACAGTATGATATATGTAAATGTGAATTCATTATAATACTTTCTTTATAATAGCAATAGACTGAGAAAACAACAACAAACATCTAGCATTAGGGGCATATTATATAATTGACTATCTTCCTATTGATACATTTTTTTTCTGTTATCACTTTTTTCTCAACATAATATGCCCCAGCCTTGTTCTAGAAGGCAAATCACATAAACTGGCCTGTGAACACATGGAATTCTGGGACTAAGACCAGACAGAGTCACAAATGGTTGCCTGGAAAATATCAGAACAGAACTCACACAAGCTCCCTGCTCTCAGGAGAATCTGGCACAGCACCATCACCAACTCAGAGGGAGGGAAGCAACCTTGAGTCAGCTCCCAGGCAGTAATGAGTGTTCAAGGGAGATATAACTCTAAGGAAAAGGATTGAGGTCAAGGAATTAGAAGAAACAGATGGAAGAATCATTTGAACCATATCCAGGTCTTTTGAAAATGATGAGACAGAAGAGAAAGCGAAAATTGCTTCAGACAGTTTTGCTGAGAAATTTGTCTCAGATAAATTTTGGAGTAAGGTCAGAGACCTAAGATAAGAAAACCCCTAGGCAGAGGTGGGAAAAAATAGAAAAAAGAAAACGAAAAGAGCAAATACATTCTTCCTTCCTATCTTCCACTTGCCAGAGTAGCTTTACTAAGATGCTGCCTGATCATTTCTCTCCAGACACTTTTGCCAATGATATTAATACTATAAAGGAGCATTTCTGGACTTGATTCATTAATGATTAGAAAGCTCGTAACAGATTAGATGACCAGGCTACAGTCTCACCTGCCAGGCAGTGCAGCTGCAGATCTTGGCTGACCATCATGTCAGGTGAGAAAGAGACTAATACAAAATAATTGCTTTTATAAATTGCAAGTTAATCTTCTGCTGATTGATATTCCTGAGTAGAATTACTAACATAGATTTGGGGAAGAAAAAAAGAAGGAAAGACAAAGATAGGCATTAATTATATTTTTGTATGTGCCAGGCAAAATGTCAGCATGTTACTTGTGCTTTCTGTTAATAGTCTCATAAATATCAAAAGTTAGGCATTATCCTCCATTTTGCAGATGAGAAAATTGGGACTTAGAAAAGTTTTTAGTCTTATCTATGATCACATAGAGGCAGAGATCAAATTTGAATGTGAAATGGTCTGATTCTAAAGTTTCTGTTCCTTCTAAACACATTCTATTGTCTCTATTTCAAATGTCAAAAACTTGGGTTTTACCCTATTGGCAACCTAACAGGTTGTCTGCCATGGATGCTGGCAGAACCATGAGACTCCTGGGTCAGGGACAAATGACAGTTTATTACTTACAAAATAGCAATAGCTAGTATGTATCATTTTTCTTATATGAGTTCCTCAGGCCCCAAATACCATAGGTGACATGAAAAGGGGGTGGATGACACCTGCACATGCCATCGGCTCTGTTACAGGAGAAGAACACTGAATTTAAGGAATCTAATTGTTTTATAATGTGCAATGGGCATAACTGCCGTTTGCCCTGGAGAAACACATTTTTCCCTATAAACAGTACAAAAGACCATATCTATCTTCCAAGACTGTTATAAAAATATCCTTGAAAATATTATCTAGAACAAAGACCATCACTGTTTCTGTTCATAAGGTGTACAGAAGTAAAACAGACCTGTGGAGAATCATCTCCCAATACCAATCCAATAATCATATTATAGTATTGCTTAGCATAGACTTTATAACAATTTCTCATACTTTCTAAAGGGTATTTGTGCTCTTCCTTTCCAAAATGGTGGTGGAGAAGCAAGCTTGCTTCACTCCCCAGAACAGAAAATCAAAAACAAATATATATCACCAAGATTATTACCGGTAATATCCCACAGCTCAAATGTAAGAATGAGTAAGTTCCTGGGGACGCAGAGAGGTGAACAAATTCAAAAATGTAGAAATCATACCCAGTGTCTTTACAGACCATATAAAATAAAACTACTAATCATTAATAAGAAGAATCTTATAAACTAGAAAAACACATGGAAATTAAACAACATCCTCCTGAATAACCTATAGGTCAATGAAGAAATTAAGAAGGAAATTTTAAAATATTGAAACAAATCAAAATCAAAACACAACATACCAAAATCTAAAAGATAAAGTAAAATCAGTACTAAGAGTGAATTCTATAGCAATAAATGCCTACATTACAAAGTTGAAATATTTCAAATAAACAACCTAATGATGCAACTCGAGGAACCACAAAAGCAAAAACAAACCAAAACCAAATTAGTACAAGGCAAGAAATAAAGATCAGAGCAATAAGAAATGAAATCGAGATTATAAAATACAGAAGAGAGGTGACACAACAAAAGCTTTTTTTTTTTTTTTTTTGGAGGGTAAAGATAAACAAAACTGAAACTTTTTGTTATACCAAGAAAAAAAAAAAAAAAAAAACTCAGAAGACCCAAATAAAGAAAAGCACAAAGAAAGGAAACATAACCACAGGAATACAGAGAATCATTAGATATTATTATGGACAAGTTTATGACAACAAATTGTAATTGCTTTATTCTGTTTATGTTTTAGGATTTTAGAACACGTATAGTTTGAGCTCTTTATGTAACATTAACTTCTTATACGTGGTGTAAGTGTTTTCCCATTTTATATGTTATTTTTATTTAATTATGCATCATTAAAGAGCATAGAATTTTTGGAAACATAGAACACTCTATGAACAGGTTTTCATGATTTCTTCTACTGCATCAAAATAAGCAAGTTATCACATAGCTTGATAAATATTAAATTGTAATTTCAGCTGTTTTCTCATAAAATTTACATTTATGTTAAATGGCTTCTATATCAATCTGGAGTTTCTCATTCCTGTGAGAATAAAGGAATCATTCTTTTCAGCTTCCTCCTCTAATCTTCTCTCCTGTAGCATTAACATACTTGGTGCCTTGAATCTTTCCTTGTGTAAGTCACTGTACCATGTAATTTGCTGTAAGCTTCAACATTTGAAATAAAAACTTCAGTCATAAACTCCCAATGAAAGTAGAGTGTGATCATGTTTCATCTCAGTTTGAGATATTGTACTACCGTTAATTTAGAAAATGTTCATTTATATTTTAAAGTCTTTTATTGTCAATTGTTGGTTCTGAACAATATCTAAATTGGAGTGATGTTAGGGAAAAGTTGAAGTCTTAGTACCTGATTTATTGGATTCAGCATGAGGACAAATCTCTGATTTTTTTTTTAATTGCTCAAATTCCTATCTAAGGAGTCTGGCAAGTCATAAATTCTCACAAACCATAAATTCTCATCAGAATGGGTTTTATTTAACCCTGTATATCATGACTTACTTTCCAATCTGGCTCTGGCATAACAAGGAAAAACACATTTCTCTGCCATATCTTGAAATGGCCCTGCAAAGGTGAGCTTTGTGGGGGAACTCGCATCTGTAAAGAATCTCTACTGACATAGCTCGATCTTTTTCTTCCGGGCCCTCCCAATCCTGAAGAGATTAACTAAGAGATTAAGTCTAGCACCTTTTAAAGATCTAAACAGGACCGGGCGTGGTGGCTCAGTCCTGTAATCCCAGCACTTTGGGAGGCTGAGGTGGGTGGGGCTCATAAGGCCAGCCTGGCCAACATGGTGAAACCCCGTCTTTACTAAAAATAGAAAAATTAGCCGGGTGTAGTGGTGCACTCCTGTAATCCCAGCTACTCAGGAGGCTGAGGCAGGAGAATTGACAGAGCAAGACTCTGTCTCAAAAAAAAAAAAAAATCTAAATAAGAAACATTTGTCATCTGTTGTCTCTAAGGGCAGCCACAATAAGACTTCAAAAGGACCTTGGTCTCTTGGTCTCCACAATCTTTTATCTTAACCTGAACATTTCCTTGAGATAGAGTCTCTGTTACCCAGGCTGGAGTGCAGTGGTGCGATCTTGGCTTACTACAGCCTCTGCATCCCAAGTTCAAGCAATTCTCCCATCTCAGCCTCCCAAGTAGCTGGGGCTACAGGTGCACGCCACCACGCCAGGCTAATTTTTGTATTTTTAGTAGAGATGGGGTTTAACTATGTTGGTCAGGCTGATCTCGAACTCCTGACCTCAGGTGATCTGCCTGGTTCGGCCTCCCAAAGTGCTGGGATTACAGGCGTGAGCCACCGTGCCTGGCCTGAACATTTCCTTTCTATTGATCCCAGGTCTTCAGACAAACCCAATCAATTGTCAACCAGAAAATGCTTAAATTTATCTACAGTCTGGAAGCCCCCACTTTGCTTTGTCCCACCTTTCTGAACCAAACCAATGTATTTCTTAAATGTATTTGATTGATGTCTCATGCCTCCTTAAAATATATAAAACCAAGCTGTACTCCAACCACCTTGGGCACATGATCTCAGAACCTCCTGAGGGCTGTGTCACGGGCCATGATCACTCATATTTGGCTCAGAATAAATCTCTAAAAGTATTTTACAGAATTTCACTCTTTTTGTCAACAAGCACAAAAGACGTTGAAGGTATTTTGACATCTTCGTATGGAAATATAGTGCATTTTAAAATTCACATCCTTTATCAAGAATTTTGTTAGTATGCCTATAAAGTCTCCATAGGTAGAAACAATATTGGATAGGGTAGACCTCTCTAGTTCCTGACTAAACACTTCTTTCTTACTAGCAATGGTTATAATTATTTTTAATCATTTATAAACTTATCTTAATTTTGCTGATATTCAAAGCTTAAACTTGAGGTTTTTACGGTAAATCTTCTTAAAAGTCTTGCTATGCTTCAGATGTACTGTTTTCCATATTTCCATTTGCTAAAGTATCAGAGATATAAAAATGCAGTTATTTATAGAGTTGGCATTGAAGCCTAGAGTTAATTATTCCAATCATATTGGTATTAATCTAGGCAATTGTCAATAAATCAAAAAGATGGAGAAAATGAGTGGCAGTCAGATATTCTGGATATTGTAGAGACAGACCTGAGTCAATTATTTGAAAATTTGTTATAGCTATACTAAAAATAACCAAATAAATTTGCAAAGAATCACTTAAACTGTGCATAAAGAGGCAAATTGAATTTTTCTGTATGTATAATTTTAGTTATGTATCCAGAATATTACATTTTATTTTCTGTGATTATTTAAAATAGTCTTACAAGTGTTAAGGCTATAATTTCTGAATATGTAAAGTTCAGCATACCATATTTTAGCCACAGATATCTGATTGACTAAATTATTTTCTACTACATAATTTGAGTCTCAATATATTAAGACAGTATAAGAAATGATTTTATTAGATGGAAGTTAGTAGAACTGGGACTCTAGGAGACACGGGCTTTAACTAAACAAGAAATCAATATGAATACTTTGGGTCAAATGACTAATCGATCAGTCAATCAGGACAAAAAGCAGTCAAATTAATTTTGTTTGAATTTACTAGAATATTTTTATTTAAAAAAGATTAGTCAAATTAATTGACCATTTGATGCAAAAGAGTCTATTGTGTGAATAAAATTGCTTTTGAAAATCTCTATGTTTTACAGATAGATAAAATGAAATTTGATCACTCAATATAATAGATCTAATAAGTATTTGTTCATTTATTTAATCTAATAACAAATATTTGTGATGTTTCAATATGAGATATTGAAACTCATATTGTTATGAGATACAGTAAGTTAAAGGACATATATATTAATGTGCAAAATATAATAACACAGGATGATGCAGGATGTGATCTATTATTTCAAATTATGTCTACTCATGAATAAATTACAATTTCATTAGAAGGACTCTGGAGAGCCTGGATTTTTGGACTGATTATTATTATTATTATTATTTGAGACGGAGTTTCGCTCTCATTGCCCAGGCTGGAGTACAAAGGCGCGATCTTGGTTCACCGCAACCTCTGCTTCCCAGGTTCAAGTGATTCGCCTGCCTCAGCCTTCCCAAGTAGCTGGGATTACAAGCATGCGCCACCATGCCCGGCTAATTTTGTGTTTTCAGTAGAGACGGGGTTTCTCCATGTTGGTCAGGCTGGTCCCGAACTCCCAACCTCAGGTGATCCGCCCACCTCGGCCTCCCAAAGTGCTGGGATTACAGGCATGAGCCACTGCGCCCAGCCTGGAGTGATTATTTTAATAGTCTTGCAATATACTATAAAGTTATTACAATGCCTTATGGAACTTGAACTGTAAGAACTGAACTAAATTCATCCTGAGCCAGGCAATGTTATTAAATCACATAAGACCTTGCCAGCGCACTGCGTACAATGTCAGGATCAGACAGGATATTGTAGAAAAGATTAATTTAAACTAAATACAAAAATATGTAGATGAAAAATAACTATTATAGGGAGATTTCGATAAAATCTTATGCTGGAGCTTAATTAGATGATAAAAATATGGTGACTCAAGTGCTTTGTCTATGAGAAGAGATGAAGAGAATCACAACTTGAACTCTTCAATGGTTAGGGGAAAAGGCTTCCCCAGGACCAGAAGCCTCATAGCAAATGGGTGAAGATAGAGGCCCAAAACCAACTTCCTTCTTTGATTTTATGCTGCACTTACAAAATTTCAAAAATGTCAGATTGTCTATACATCTGCACAGATAGAAATCCTCAGGGACTAAAAGATTTTAAAAACGAGTAGTCAGAAATGACTAAAATACAACTCCAATGCTTATATATATACCATAGTGTATGCGAGATCTAGAGAGTTGATTCTTCTCGCCCTTCTGATTGTAGAAAATGTATAACTTAATTATCCAGCGGCATTGTTAGTTGCTCTCCAGATAATTTTTAAGAATGAAAATACTGATATGCTAATATTTTATATCTGTGGAAAACTGTTAGTTGTTTCCCAACATTTTTCTTTTCTTTTTTTTTTTTTTTTTTTTTTTTTTTTTTTTTTTTTGAGACGGAGTCTTCCTCTGTCGCCCAGGCTCTGGAGTGCAGTGGTGCGATCTCAGCTCACTGCTAGCTCCGCCTCCCGGGTTCACGCCATTCTCCTGCCTCAGCCTCCCGAGTAGCTGGGACTACAGGCACCCGCCACCATGCCCGGCTAATTTTTTTGTATTTTTAGTAGAGACGGGGTTTTACCATGTTAGCCAGGATGGTCTCGATCTCCTGACCTCGTGATCTGCCCGCCTCAGCCTCCCAAAGTGCTGGGATTACAGGCGTGAGCCACTGCAGCCGGCCTCATTTTTCTGTCTTCCATAATAAAATGATTGTATCTGAATATATGACTGCTCAGCTAGAGGCAATATTTCCCAACCCTCCTTGCAGCTGGGCATGCTAATATGACTAAATTCAGAACAATGGAATGTTGAGCTTAATGGTAACTTACTCCTCACTTACTTAAAATGAAATCAATGCCATCCATTTGGTGTCTTCCTCTTCTTTCATGGGTGAACAGACATGCACACGACCTTTCAAGGGTGGAGAAACGTGGAGGGAGGACTGGGCCTTCACACCTTCTACAGCAAGTCTACTTCACCAGCTCTGACTGACTGGACTATTAACTGAAAAAAAAAAAAAAATCCAGTTTTATAGTACTAAGTTGTAAAAGCAACTTAGCCTTTATTCTAAGGAATACAACCATCCTCACCCTGTATCAAGTCTGTGAAATTCGTAAAGGAAAGAACTACGATTTATTTACCTGGTCTAGGGCCTGGTTCATAGCAGCTTTCAAAAACTACACATTTGTATTGAATAGGTAATAGTCCTCTGAAAGGTTATTCGGTTGTTTTTTGTTTTTTCAGTCTACCTCAGTATCACATCAAGAGAAAAAAAGGACTTAACATACAATTTGAGGGTAGTAATCATTTTGCTCCTTTCCAGGCTAAATGCCAATTATTTTAACCTTTTTTGTAAGACTTACTTTTCAGCCCTTTAATCATTATGTCACTGTCATTTTCTCTAGATGCTATCTAATTTCTCAGCATTTCTTTAAAATGTAATGATCAAATATGCACATATAGTGTATAAGAAGTGTTTACATAATGCAAATTAGGATGGAAGAATTATGTTGCAACCCCTACATGTAATACTACGGCATATTTAACTTAATAGCCTGGTTAATATGGTTAGCTGTTAACCCCAGAACCACAGTAATAATCATATTTACCTAATGATTGACAAAAATGCTCTACTGTAGCTATTTCTTTGCTACTATAAATTACCAACTTTATTATTAAGACTTATTTGTTGATATTTCTACTCCTTTTGAATCCATTATGTTTTTATGGGACTGTATCATTTTTATTATTTATAAATAAAATTATTGAATTTTGATTCATTTAATTAGGTCATCAATAAAAATATCAAATAAAATAGACAAGAGTTCTGCGAACTATCACCTGAACTGTCACTCAGGTTGACCTAGAATCACTGATAATGACCAATACCTGATCTTGCTGAGTATCAATATGTAAATCACTTCAGGGATTGAATGTAACCTCATATAGTAACACTTTCTTTAATCAAATCAGGTTTATTTTTTTCACCCAATAAAATGTCTAGGAAGAGAATAAGGGAATAAATCAAGACTGGAGTATCCCCTTCACAAGGCCAGACTCCTGTCTGTTTTTGTTTTGTTTTACTTTGTCATCCTTATTGTGGGTCTGTCATCCTAATGGTTTTTAGATAGCTGCCATGAACACACAAAAGGGTAAAAGGGACATATCAGTATGACTACCATTTTTAATAGAGATAATGGAGATTTTTCCCATAAGCCCCCTTCCCCTCAGTAGACGTCTGCCACTCATGCTACCCATGTCACATGGCTACCCCATCACTAAAAAGGAGTCTCAGAAGGCAAATACTTGAACTCGGCATAGGGCCACCTAGAACAAATTTGGAATATGTTAGTAAAAAAGAGGGAGTCATTAACTGTGAGTGGACAGTTTACCATATCTGCTATGTCTTATGCTGCAGAATCCAGATTATAATTCCTACATTATGGACAAGTATTTGCCGATGAGTAGAAAAAGAATGAAATCAATAATTATCTCTTCTTTCTCATTATTTGGCATACGTTTTCACTAATCACACTATAACACTGATCTAGGTTGTAGTATGATAAATGTTTGCTGATATATTGAATATTTACATAGAGCTAAAAATTCTGAACTTTCTGGCTTTATTCCTTATGAGAAACGACAGTATTTTCCCTTAACCAACCCTCTGGGGATATGAGGAGCTTGATGCCAAGAAACATTGAGAAACACAAATGTTTTTAAACTGTTAAGGTCTCCACTCCAAAAAAAGATTTTTTCAAGGTCCCCATCCCTCTCCTCAATGGGAAATTGTTAAGAAGAGGATGGATGTAGATTTGTTTTCAATCAGTTGTGTCTATTTAGATAGGCTAGAAATGCCGATTTTGATGCCAAGCACTTTCAGCATGTGAGACTATTAGAGATTTTATACATATATATGTATATATATGAATATATGTATATATGAATATATGTATATATGTATATATATGAATATATGTATATATGTATATATATGAACATATATGAATATATGTATATATGTGTATATATATGAATATATATGTATATGTTTATATATATGAATAGATATACATATATATATGAATGAATGAATGAGAAAGCCGGGGAGAGAGAGAGAACAGATAGGTACCACACAGGAATCTTTGAAGAGAGAACAATACAATCTTATGGTGAATATTTTCTATCTTTTGGTGTTGCTATTCAAACTGCTCTGTAATCTAGTGGTTTAAGAGGCAATTTCAATACCTCCTGCATAGTTTTGATTCAGGAGTCCTTTGACAATTTAATAATACCTAAGAAACATAAGAACATTCTGGCCATATGGCAGATATAGTGGGAAAATGTCCTTGCTTTGCGATTAGACATGCCTGGAATTGAATTCTGTATTTCCTATTATTAGGTGACACTCACTAAATCATTAAATCACTCAGACCCTGCTTCCTTTTCTGGGAATTGGAGTTTTGATATTCCTTTACAGGTTAGGAATTGCAATGGTCCTTCTCCATTATTTTCAAACCTCACACTCTACCAGAATGATTTATCAGAACTAGGATTTAATAGCAATTATTTCCAACTTTAGCAAAACTTTACTGCAAATAATTTAGTAAAAGACATCCTTGACAAGCTTTGCACCCCTGAAAATTGACAATCTTTAGGAATGGTACATAAAAGCTATTATTTTCCATCGTGCTCATCTCTAGAATTATAGATCTGTAGGTACATAGTAGCTTTTGTCATTTTTGAAAGTGTATTGAACATTTTGCTAAATATGGTGTACTAAATGTTGAAACGCTGACAGCTAAAAAGATACAAATTGTAATTTTACCTACTCATTGTACTTTCATTGTAAACTCTTTGCCTCACTGATTTGTTTCTGTCTTCTATTTTGCTGCTTTGTTTACCATGTACTTTCAGCTCTTAACTGCCTCTGGTTTTATTATATAAGCTTGAACACTACAGTATTTTCAAAGCTTAATGATTAAGTTATTTCAAAATTCTGCAAAGTTTCTATTGTAAGGATGGCATCCTTTATTCACAATATCTGGTGGATATTTTTTAAGGTTTTCAGTTCATATTTCACCCACAAAAACGTTCACGTCATCGTTAAAAATACAACTGCCCCATAGTATTCCTCAGTTTGTATGAATCATACATAGTTTTGCATTCAGTTATTTAATATACACCTGCACTGAAACCCTAGGATGTACCTTATATGCCTATTTCTTTCATTTTTTATTGATATATAATTGATGTGTTTTGGGGAGCATGTGATAACTCAATACATTCAAATATGTGCAAAGATCAAATCAAGGTGATTGGGATATTCATCACCTTAAATATTTATCTTTTCTTTATGCTAGGAATAGTCACATTGTTCCCTATTTTTAAAATGTAGACTAGATATTATTAACTAGAGTCATCCTACTCATCTATCAAATACTAGGTCTTGTTTCTTTACATAGCCTCGTTAATCAACCTCTATTTATTCCCTCATCTATGCTTCCTGTTCTCTGGTAACCAAAATCTACTTTCTATCTTCATGAGATCCACTCTTTTAGCCAACAGATAAAATGAGAACATGCTATGTTTGGCTATGGTCATTTAGCATAAATAACCTCTAGTTCTATCCATGTTGATGTAAATGACATAATTTTATTCTTTTTAGTGACCGAGTAATATTCTATTCTCATTCTGTGTGTGTGTGTGTGTGTGTGTGTGTGTGTGTGTGTGTGTGTGTGTGTGTGTGTGTGTAATATTTGCTTTGTCCATTTATCCATTGGTGGGCATCTAGGTTGATTCCCTAGCCTGGCTATTGTGAATAGCTCTGTCATAAACACAGGAGTTCAGCTATCTCTTTGATATATTGATTTCCTTTCTTTGGTCGCATACCCTGTAGTGGAATTGCTGGATCATGTGGTAGTCCTATTTTTAGTTTTGTAAGGAAATTCCATACTGTTTTTCATGGTGGATGTACTTACATTCCCACCAACAATGTAGTGAGGACTCTCCTTTCTCAACAACCTTGCCAGCCTGTGCTATTCCCTTTTTGATAAAAGCCATTCTAAGTGGAGTGAGCTATCTCACATTGTGATTTTAATTTGTATTTCTCTGATAATTAGTAATGTTGAGCATCTTATTATATATCTATTAGTCATTTGTATGTCTTTTTTTTATAAAAACGTCTTTTTACATCTTTTGCTCATTTAAAAATCAGTTTGTTTCTTGGCTATTTAGTTGTTTGTGCTTCTTATACATTCTCGTAAATTCATTGCCAGATGGATATATATACACATTTTTTTCTCCCATTCTATGGGTTGTCTCTTCATTCTGTTAATTGTTTCCTCTTCCGTGCAGAGGGATTTTGCTTGATGCAATTCCATTTTTTTTTTATTTTTGCATTTGTTGCCTATGCTTTTATGGTCTTACACAAAAAACATCTTTGCCCAGACCAGTGTCTTGGAGCATTTCCCCAAAGTTTTCTTCAAGTAGTTATATAGTTTCAGGTGTGAGATTTAAGTCTCTAATCAATTTTGATTTGATTTTTGCATTTAGTGAGAGATAAATGTCTATTTTCATTTTTTCTACAGATGATTAGACATGTTTCTCAGCATCATTTATTGAAGAGACTTTCTCCATTGTTTGTCTTTGGTGTCTTTGTAAAAAAATGAATTGAAAAAAATAAATGTGTGGAGTTATATCTGGGTCCTCTATTTTGTTCCATTGATCTATGTGTCTGTTTTAATGTCAATACCATGCTGATTTGGTTACTATAGCTTTGTAAGGTGCTTTGAAGTCAGGTAATGTGATATTTTGTTCTTTTTGCTCAGGGTTGCTTTGACTATTTGGGATCTTTTGTGGTTCCTATAAATTTTTTTTTAAAATATCTATTTCTGTAAAGAATGTCATTGGTATTTTGACAGGAATTGCATTGCATCTATAACTTGCTTTGGATGGTACTGTAATTTTAACAATATTAATTATTCCAATCCATGAGCATGGAATACTTTCCATTTTCCTGTGTCCTCTTCAATTTTTTTCATCTCTCTTTTATAGTTTTTCTTGTATAGATCTTTCATGTCTTTGGTCAAACTGATTCAAAGTATTTTATACTCCTTTTAGCTACTGTAAATGAGATTGCTTTCTTGATTTCTTTTCCAGATTATAAATCTAAAAAAGTGTAAAAATGCTACTATTTTTTATATATTAATTCTGTATCCTGCAGTTTTACTGAATTTGTTCATCAGTTTTACCGGTTTTTGATGGAGCATTTACATTTTTAAAAAATATAATATCATTTCATCTGCATATAAGCCTAATTTGACTTCTTCCTTTCTAATTTGTATACCTTTTCTTTCTCTTGCCTAATTGCTCTAGCCAGGACTTCCAGTATCACATTGAATAAAAGTGATGAAAATGGCACCCTTGTTTTACAGGAAAGGCGTTCAATTTTACTCACTCAGTAGGATGTTGGCTGTTTCTTTTATACCAGGTTCTTCAAGGTTTTTATTATAAAGAGATGTTGAATTTTATCAGATGACTTTTCCACATATATTGAAATGATGTTTGTTTCTTTGTTCTGTTAATGTGATGTATCATATTCAATGAGTTGCATGTATTGAACCATCCTTGTCTGCCTGAGATTAATTCACTTGATTATGGTGAATTATCTTTTTAATGTATTGTTGAATTCATTTTGCTAGTATTTTTGCTGAGGATTTTTGCATCTATGTTCACCAGTAACATTGGCCTTTAGTTTTCATTTATTGTTGTGTCCTTGTCTGGTTTTGATATCAGGATGATGTTGGCCTCATAGAATGAGTTTGAAAGTATTCCCTCCTCTTCAATTTTTGTGAAGAGTTTGATTAATATTGGTAAAATGTTTGATAGAATTCAACAGCAAAGCTATCAGGTCCTGGGCTTATCTTTGATGGGAGACTTTTTATTAAGGCTTAAATGTCATTACTAATTATTGGCTTGTTGTGATTTTCTATTTCTGCATTATTCAATCTGGATAGGTTGTATGTGTCCAGGAATTTATCCATTTCTTCTAGGTTTTCCAATTTGCTGATATATCCTTGTTCATAATAGTATAACAATTTTTATGTCTTTTTGTCTGATTTTGAGTCTTCTCTTTTTTGTTAGTCTAACTAAAGCTTTGTCAATCTTTACAAAAAAAACTTTTTGTTATGTTGATCTTCTGTATTTTTGATAGTCTCAATTTATTTTTGCTTTATTCTTTATTATTTGATTTCTACTAATTTTGAACAGTTTTCTTTTTGCTTTTGTAGTTTCTTGAGGTGTATCATTCAGTTATTTGAAGTATTTTAACTTTTGTAATGTAGGCATTTATTGTTTTAGACTTCCTTCTATTACTTTTGCTTTATCCCATAGATTTTGGTATGTTGTATTTCAATTTTCATTTGTTTCAATAAATGTTTAATATTCCTATTTTCTTCATTGATATATTGGTAATTTGGCAGTATATTGTTTAATTTTTATGTGTTTGTATAGTTTGTGAGGTTCAACTTGTTATTGCTTTTTGGTTTTATTCCATTGTGGTCACAAAAGATACTTGATATGATTTCTACTTTTAAAAAAATTGAGACTCATTTTATGGCCTAATATTTGGTCTACTCTCGAGAATGTTCCATGTGGTGATACAAAAAAATGTGTTTTCTGCAGCAATTCGGTGAAATGTTCTGTAAATGTCAGGTAGGCCTATTTAGCCTAGTATATTGTTTAACTCTGATGTTTCTTTGCTGATTTCCTGACTGAATGACCTGTCCATTACTGAGAGTAGAATGTTGAAGTTCCCGATTACTGTAGTACAGACTATCCCTTCCTTAGATCTATTAATGTTTACTTTATATACATGGGAACTCTAGTATTATGTGCATAGATATTTATAATTGTATCTTCTTGCTGAATTGACCCCTTTATCACTATATAGCCATCTATTTTTTTGATAGTCTTTGACTTGTAATCAATTTTATCTTATATAAGTATAGCAATTCCCTCTCTTTTCTGGTTTCTACTTGCATCAGGTATCTTTTTGCATCCCTTGAGTTTGTCTATGTGTGTCTTTAAAGTGAGATAGGTTTCTTATAGGCAGCATGTAGCTGATACCTGTTTATCTATTCAGTGACTCTATGTTGTTTAGTTGGATATTTGAGCCTGTTTACATTCAGTTTTATTACTGATAGGTAAGGACTTACTACTGCCATTTTGTTGTTTGTTTTCTGATCATTTTGTAAATTCTCTTTCTTCCTTTCTTACCATCTTCCTTTGTGGTTAGGTAATTTTTCCTGGCAGTATGTTTTGTTTCTTTTTACATTTTTAGTCTATCGATTATTAGTTTTTTCACTGTTTTAACCAAAAAGCTTACAAAAGTAATTTTACGGTTATAAAAAGTTATTTTAAAGAGATGACATCTTAGATCACAAAAAATGGAAACAAAGAAAAAAACTAAAAATAAAACTGTACATTTTAGTTTTATACCCCTTACATTTTTTATCAATTTACATATTTTTATATTACCTATTTTTAATAGGCTGCTGTAACTAACATTTTTATAGATTTATCTTTTAGGCTTTATACTAGAGTCATGAGTGCCTTGCCTACCACAATTACAGTATTGAAATAGTCTCACATTATCCTTTACTTAATTTTACCAGTTTTATACCTTCAAATGCATTCTTTTTGCATATTAATTTTTGTTTTCTCTCAGATTGAAAAAATACCTTTATCATTTCTTGTAAGACAGGTCTGGTGGTGGTGAATTTACTCAACATTTCTTTGTCTGGAAAAGACTATCACTGCTTTATATTTTAAATAGCTTTGCTGGATACAGAATTCTTGAATGGTAGTTTTTTTCTTTCAGCACTTTGAAAATATCATCCTACTTTCTCCTGGACTCTATGGTTTCCCTTGAGATGTCTGTTGCCAGATGAATTGGAGCTCATTTTTACGCTATGTAGTTCTTTTCTCTTGCTGCATTCTTAGAATCTTCTCTTTGTTTGACCTTTGAGCGTTTGATTATTATATACCCTGTGGTAGTCTTATTTAGGTCAGACCTGTTTGGTATTCTCTGACTTTCCTGTACCTGGGTATTTATATCATACTCAAGTTTTGAAAGTTTTTTAATTATTATTTCTTTGAATAAGTTTTCTACCCCTTTTCTTCCTCATCTGACTCTTAAATGCCAATAATTTTTAGATTTTGTCTTTTGAGGTAATTTTCTCTATTTTTTAGGTGGTCCTTCGTTCTTTTTTATTTTTTTTTCTCTCTTTGACAGTATTTTCAAATAGTCTGTTTTCAAGCTCACTTTTTTTTTCCTCTGTTTGATTCAACTAGCTGATGAGAGACTCCAATAAATTTTTCAGTTCAGCAAATGTATTTATCAGTCTCAAAATTTCTGTTTTATTATTTCAATTTATTTGTTAAATATCTTTGGTAAATTTTTGAATTGCTTTTCTGTGTTATCGTGGATATAGTTTTGTCCCTTAAAACTGTTATTTTGAATTCTTGTACAGGAGCTAACATATCATTGTCTCATTAGAATCAGTCACTGGTTCCTAGTTTTGTCCATTTGGGGAGGCCATGGTTCCCTACTGCTGTTTCTTGTGGATATACATCTATGTATTTGTATGAAAGGATTAGTCATTTCCTCCAGTCTTCTCTCTGTGGCTTGTTTTTTTACTGTTATGTTTGCTTAGAGATTCTCTGTAATTTACCTGTTGAATTTCTCCTCCCATCCCCCCCACTACTAGGGAACTGCTTCTTTTTTGGCACCAGACAGCATCTAAGCCCAGGTTTTCCTCCATTGCTGCCTGTCCTGAATGAAGGTGGTCACAAAGAGAATAGTCCATCAGTGTGGGAAGGCCAGCTAGGGGATTGTACTCATAGGATCGTAGGACACACCTCTTATATTGTTCTCCTGCTGAACCAACACTCTGATCTGGTGTCTCCTTTAGCCAAGCTACATAGTAATTTCTAGATCTTGGAATGTTAGTCCTACCTCTCCCCTTTGTCTCTGATTGTCTTCAGGAATATGTCTCCCTTTGTGATGCTTCCTATGGATTGAGGCAGTGACAGGTCTTCCGCCTTGTAACCCAAGATGGTGAACAAGCTGATTCTCCACCTCAATCTCACATTTTCCAGTGTAGAAATCATGAGTCAGGTGTCAATTCTCTATTTGCTTGGTGCTGGACAGATTGGAAGGAGGTACAACGTGGCTATGAAGTCTGATTCTCTTACCATTTGTTCAGAATATTTTCACTGCTTTGCAGCTCCAGGAACTGACTGATCCTCACATGCGAGTTGTAGAATATCACTGGTGATAATCTTGGCATTGTGTATTTTTCTGTTTTCCATGTTGGGGAATGAGGCCAGTTTGCTTCTACACCGCCATTTTGGAATCAGAAGTTCTCTATAGCTATTTCATAATTAAAAGCATAGTTTAAAGAATTAAAAACCCTTGCAATATGTTCTTCTTAACTCACGTAAAATAACAGAGCCCCAGAGATGAAAACCTATGAAGTTTCCAGTGAGAAACGGAAGGATTTACTCAAATTTTATCTGAAGGCTAAGGAATGAGGCTGCATCCTGAATATTTCTAGCCATATTGGGAAGCCATAATGGCTCACATAGTTTGGGAAATGTGGCTGTCTAGAATGTCTCTGAAGACAGCAACAATGCTATACTCCTCTGATATGCCCTCAGGTTTCCTGTATTAGTTTGCTCAGGCTGCCATAACTGAATACGACAGACTTCGTGGCCTAAATAACATAATTTTCCCCACAGGGAAAAAATTCCAAAATCAAGTTGCTGGCAGATTTGGTGGTATCTTTGAAGCTTCTCTTCTTGGCTTGCATGTGACTTTCTGCTGGCCCATGACCTCTCATGGCTTTTGTTCTATGTACCCACATCTCTAGTGTCTCTTCTTCTTCTTATAGAGACAACAGTTAAATTGAATTAGGGCCTTACCGTTATAACCACACTTAACCTTAATTATCTCTTTAAAGGTCCTATCTCCAAAAATAGTCACATTGGGGGGTAGGGATTCAACATATGAATTAGGAGTGACACAATTTAGTTCATGATAATGTCTGTGCTAGCCATAGTACAGGGAAATATGTCTCCTTTGTAGTTCCCAACTCCAACACCTCAACATAGCTTCACTGATGAAGGATCGGAAATGTCTTATCTCTACGGTGGCTATTAATGCATATTGCATGGAAGGGGAGGTACAGTAATGGTGCAACTGGTCCCTTGTATGTGCTTAACTGGAAAAACCTCTTTTCCAATTAGGGTTTCAACAGATACTTTCATTCTGAATTATAAATAATTCTACTATTATACTACTTTACATTATTATTCTATTACTTTATTTTTGGCCATAGAAAGAAAGATCAGTCAGGCACAGGACACATATTTGCATGCAGCAAATGTGTTTTGAATGCCATTGCTATGTGCTAGCTACAGCAGACACAGTCATAATTAAATGACATTCAATCCATGTATTCAAGACCCTTACATTCTAATAGCTCTTAAATATCTATTAATATTTTTAAGGAGAAGAGAAAAGGTAATTTTTTTAATTTGAAAAAAGAGACTAAAGGGAGAGAGGAGAATGGGGGTTGATAAATAATTGGTTCAAGGTTTCCTTGGAGAAGGATGAAAGTTCTGTAATTAAATAGTGGTGATGGTTTCACACTTCTGTGAAATAAAACATTGAATTGTATACTTTGAAGGAGTTAATCTTACCACATCTATATTCCATTTCAATAACCGTTATTGAAACAGAGAGAGACTAAAGAGATCCCCTATCTTGATCTTCTCTTCAGGGATGGTTTAAGCACTTCCAAACCACTACTACAGGAATTTCTGTTTCCTCTGAATTTCATTACACTGATAGTTGCTGAAGTTTATGAAAATACACTTGAAAGAGTGACGGTGCACTGGGGATTTATTCTATAGCTATTAGGGGGCAATATTGTATAAATGGTTAACTTAAATTTAAGAATTAGTATGTTATGTTCAAATTCTGGCTTTACCATTTGCTGGTTGTATAATACATGACAAGTTATTTAACCTCACACATTTATGCACAAAAATTTTAGGCTGAGTGTACTTATTAGCCTCATTTCACATATGAAGAATCAGGCTTGATCAAGGTCACAAGGCAACCACCAAAAATGTTGACAATGGAAACAAATAAAATATAGTCAGTAAGAGAGAATACTCTGCAATGAAATAAAATATGAGTTAAAATCTTCAAATTTCGGTTCTATGACTTACTCTGTGACTTTTGGCAGGTTACTTAATGTCTTTAGTCCTCTGCTTTCTTACCTATAAGGTGGTGTTTCAGGTACCTGTTGCTACATAATGAACCATCCCAAAACTTGAAGGCTTAAAATGGGTTATTATTGTCTTTCCTGCCTCTGCAGGATGAGTGGGCACAGCTGGGCAGTTCTCTTTTGGGGTCTCTTACTCTACTGCAAGTAGGTGCTGGCTGGGGCTGCAGTCATCTGAAGACCCACCTAGGCTGGATTTCAAAGATAGCTGGCAGCTGCTGGCTGTAGGCAGGAGGGTCAGCTAGAACTGTCAACTATGGCCACTATGTGTGGCTTAGGTTCTTGAAGCATTATGACTGGGTTGCAAGAGGAAGCTTCTCAAACAGGAGTGTTCCCAGAGGCCCAGATGGAAGCAATAATGTTTCTTATAAACTAACTTTAGAAGTCCCTGAATGTTACTTCTGCTGTATTTTATTACCCAAGCAGGTTACTCAGAGTAATCCAGATTTAATGGAAGGGTACATGGATGTGCTTTGGTCAAGGAAGAGGCTGAAGCAGATATCCAGGCTTACATGACTCAGTGAATTTGGCGTGCAGATGCACACCTCCATTTGTTACATAACCTGTTTGTGTAGGTTCATGCTTGGCTCTGAGCCACTATGGTCTGTAAAAGGTATAACTGCCCTGTTGACGCTGTGCACAAGAGACATGGCTCTTGGGGCTTAGCTCGGCTCAACGTGGCTCTTGTGCAGGTGCTGATACCTAGAGAGAGCATCAAAGAGAGCCAAAGAGGAGGGGCCCAGGACACAGTTTGGCTACCTCGTGCCCAGAGAAAGAGTTAAGCTGCTGACCCTGAAGGCAGGGGAGAGCCAGCCATGCAACTGCAGGCACAGGGGCAGCAGGAGCCGCAGAGCCAGAGCAAACAGCCAAGATAAAGGTGGACAGTGTAAGAAAAGTTGCTTCTAAGAGAGCTAGAGTAAGAAAACTGTTAATGAGAGCTGCTGCTAAATACAACTATCTTTCACCTGCCTACGCCTCCACCCTCACCCTCACCCTCACCCCCCAACCGGCCCCCAGGTGTTCTTTCTGATCATCCACCCACCCCACTCCCCTCAGACTTCAGCATGGGCTGGACCTGGACCCTGAGATCTGACAGGAATTAAATCCCATTTCTTCAGGTAGTGATTTGCATGTACATACCAATGGAGAAGGACTTAGTAGTTACCATTTTGCAAATTAATAACCATAGCCTGCCCTTCCACTGGCCACTGTAATCACATTCTCCCCATGTGCAAAATATACTCACCCTCTTTCCAGGAGCCTCAAAATCTCATCACATAATGGCATTGGCTTGAAATCCAGAACCTCTCTGCTAAATCAGCCCCTCATACAGATGGGGCTCCTCAGGTGAAATTCCACAGTGCAGTTCCACAAATGCAGTTTGACTGAATCTGAAGACATACAAACCAAAAATTTTCTTTAGTTATCTGCCCCCTACACACCCAATATACAAAGGTGAGGTAAGCATAGAGTAATGGCAAAATAACTCACTTCCAAAAAGAGGATGAAAAGAAAGCACTGAATCATTACTGGTCCACAGTAGTTGTTAACACCCTCCAAGGTTGACTTTGGTGACCCACTCACATGCTTACGTAGCACCATAGGCTTTTTTTAATCTTAAAAATAATCAAATTACATACAATTGCTTCTTCTCTTATCTAACCTGTCCAACATGTGGCAAGAGTTTGAAGAGCAAAGACTATTTTCTTGATCATTGTTCACCTAGTGCCTAGCACTTAACGGATGCTTAATCAGTATTAGCTGAGTTAATTAAGGCCTGAAATATGAACTTGTATTCTGTTAATGTATGATCTCATTTCTATCATTTAATTTCTTCATTGTTACATTTCCTCATCTGAAAAGTAAAAAGTTCAGATTAGACTCAAGAGCTCTGGTTTGCTCTTGATTCTTCTGTCACTTCTGCTTTGACATGCTGTGAACTCCAGCACCAAAACTACATTTTTCTCAGATGCCCCAACTAGTCAGCATTTATTCCAAAGAGCTCCACTCCCCGATGGGTGCTGACTGAAGAAAATAGAAACATGTGAACAACATTTTCACAAAGTGATGGGAAATTAGGCTCAGGTGCATGCCGGATTGAGCCAAGGGCCAGCAGAAGACAATGACACCCAAGTAATGTTTGCATTGCTCCTCAAGCATCTTACAAATTTATCCTGGGGCTAGAGGAAGGGTCTGAGGACCATAATCCAGATACATCACAGTGCATATCAGCAGATGGCAGAGGTGTATGCTTACACTCACCACTGTCACAATTCTCTGAAGTATCTCAGATTTCTGTACTTGGTTATCCTGTAGTGGGATGGAATATGTGGGCACAGTGTCTCCTTTGAATTTCTCTGAGTTTTGATTGTTGATTGATTGATTTATTTTTTTTTTTTGTGAGCCTTGCCTCTGAATTCCTCTGCAATGGGTTGCTAAAAAGACAAGTGCCTACCTTTGGAGCCCTGATTGTATTTATAATTCATTTCCTAATTTTTTTTTTTTTGAGACAGTCTCACTCTGGTATGCAGTGGCACAATCTCTGCTCACTGCAACCTCTCCCGGTTAAAGGTCTCCCGGGGTAAAGCAATCCTCCTGCCTCAGCCTGTGAGTAGCTAGGACTACAGGCATGCCACCATGCCAGCTAATTTTTTTTTTTTTTAGTAGAGATAGGGTTTCACCATGTTGGCCAGGCTGGTCTGGAACTCCTGACCTCCAGTGATCTGCCTGCCTTGACTTCCCAAAGTGCTGGGATTACAGGCATGAGCCACTGCACCTGGCCTCCTAACTATATGTATATTTTAATTAGCTTTCTCTATGTTTTATATCACTGTTTCACTTTCTTTCTTGGAACAATTAACTCCCACAATAGAATCTGTAGGCTGTTCCCTCTTTCATTCATTTTATTTATTCTTTGTCTATAAACTCCAGGGACATGGTTCTCAAATTTCAACTTACATCAGAATCACTTGGAAGGTTTATTAAAGTACAGATTGCTGGGCCACATCCCCAGAGTTTCCAGTTCTAGAGGTGGGTCTGATAATTTGCATTTCTAAATATTCCCAAGTGATGCTGTTGCTGCTTGCATAGGGACCACACTTTAGGAACCAAGTGCTTTAGGGTATGCACCAAAACCCAAGTTTAAAAGTGTTATTTTTTACTTGTGGAACTGAGTTGTCTTTTTTTGTTTTTTGTTTTTTTTTTTGAGACAGTCTTGCTCTGTGGCCCAGGCTGGAGTGCAGTGGCATGATCTTGGCTCACTACAACCTCTGCGTCGCGAGTTCACGCCATTCTCCTGCCTCAGCCTCCCAAGTAGCTGGTACTTGGGAGCTGGTACTACAGGTGCCCACCACCACGCCCAGCTAATTATTTTTTTAATTTATTTTATTTTTGTATTTTTAGTAGAGACAGGGTTTCACCATGTTCGCCAGGATGGTCTTGATCTCCTGACCTCATGATCTGCCCATCTCGGCCTCCCAAAGTGCTGGGATTACAGGCGTGAGCCACCGTGCCCCGCCAGAACTGAGTTCTTAACCTGTGGGGTGTGCACTAACCCCAGGTAGCTAATGCCCAAATTTTGAAAAAAAACTTATTATTAGGGATATATAATAATTGCATGTGTTTGTGAGGTACATGTGGTATTTTGATACAAACATACAATGTGTACTAATAAAATCAGAATTTGAGCTATCTCTACCACTTCAAGCATTTAGATTTCTTTGTGCTAAGAACATCTAATTACACTTAGTTATTTTGAAATATGCAATCAATTTTTTGTTAGCTATATTCACTTCACTGTGCTTCCTAACACTAGATCTTATGCTATATAATTTTATTTTTGTACCCATTTACCACTTCCTCTTTATTTCTCCACCCCCACTACCCTCCCAGACTTGGATAACCATCATTCTACTCTCTATCTCCATTAGTTCAATTTTTGGGGGGTCCCACATATTAGTGAGAACAGGTAATATTTATCTTAATGAGCCTGGCTTATTTTACTTAACATTATGTTCTCCATTTTCATCTATCTCTTTGTAAATGACAGGATTATGTTCTTTTTTATGGCTGAATAATATTCCATTGTGTATATGTACATTTCCTTTATCCATTCATCCGTTGGTGAGCACTTAGGTTGATTACATATTTTGGCGATTGTGAATAGCCCTGCAATAAACAATAAAAATGGGAGTGCAGATATATCTTCAATATACTGATTTCCTTTCTTTTGGATCTATCTCCAGAAGTGGGATTGCTAGATCATATGTAGCTCCATTTTCGGCTTTTTGAAGAACCTCCGTACTGTTCTCCATTGTGCCTGTACTAATTTACATTCCCACCAACAGTGTACAAGGGTTTGCTTTTCTCCATAACCTTGCCAGCATTTGCTATTGCCTGTTTTCTGGATGAAAGTCATTTTAACTGGGATGAGATGATATCTCATTGTACTTTAATTTACACTTTTCTGATGATTACTGATTACTGATGTTGAGCATTTTTTTCATATACCTGTTGACCATTTCTATGTCTTCTTTTGAGAAAAGACTATTTGGGTCTTTGGCCCATTTTTAAAATTGGATTATTTGTTTTGTTTAGTTGTCTTCTGTTGAGCTGTATGTATTTCGGTTATTAATCACCTGTCTGATGGGTAGTTTGCAAGTATTTTCTCTTTTTCTGGGAGTTTTCTTTTCACTTTGTTATTTCCTTTGCTACCCAGAAGCTTTTAGCACTATGTGATCCTCCTTTGTCCATTTTTGCTTTGATTGTCTGTGCTTCTGAGATCTTACTCAAGAAATCCTTGCCCAGACCAATGTCCTGGAGTATTTCCTCAATGCTTTCTTCTGGTAGTTTTATAGTTTTGGCCCATAGATTTAAGCTTTTAATCCATTTTTAAGTGATTTTCTTATATAATGATATATATCTTTTTAATGGCAAGCTATTTTATTGCCTCTCAAATATAATTTTTGCTAAGAGCACAGCTTTTTTAAAGCCTCTTTTGATTTCTCACTCTGTGTGAAAAGTCAACCTGTTAGCCTAATTGCCGAAATTCTTGAATTATGCAAAGTAACAGGATAGCTGAACTAACATCCGAGATTAGCCGTGGTGAAGTAAAGTTCCATCCACTTTGAGTTGTTTCCTAGAAACTTTACTCCAAGGGTGGGAAAACAGTTCCTTCTCATTTTTTTTGTGTCTCCCTATATAAGCGTATACTCTGTTTTTCTTTCCCATAACACCATCTAGAACATTTATAAACACATTAAGATAACTAAATTTAGGGCACGAAAGAAAAAGAAAGGTTCGTTCTACCAGCTAAAACTGTTTCCCAGCGTTTCTATTCATCGATTATCATCACTTCAATCTTAGACTTTGGTAAAGTAAACAACCATTTTTTTTAACCACTTAAAATTTAAGGATATTGGACACTTTATTTAACCTCATTGAGCCTCAATTTATTCACTCATTAAGTGAGAGTATTGGTACTTACCTTCTAGTATTTTATGAGAACTTAATCTATATATACTATCTTCATTCCCCCATTGAGACCTGAAATTCTGTTGATTGCCATTTTTTTCTTCTTCCTTTGATCTGATTTTAATATTCTATAAAAATAAAAACAAAAATATGGAAAAAGGTGGTCATGCTTTACTATATTTAATGTTTTATATTGGAGTAGAGCATAATTTTTATAAATTCGGGGCCTCTGTTGATTCAACACTTTTTCATGCTGTTAGTTTCCTGAGTTGACTTTAACTCATTCTCTAATTTTATTTATTAGTATTTAAATTAGGCATGACTCCATGAAAAAAAAATCCTATTTTCCTTTGTGTCTCAATCAATTCCTTTTCCAGTGTGTGTGGCTTTTCTCGATTGTTGACAAGACCTTGCGAGCAGGGCAGGTTATGCTTAACTGATACCAATTTACATGTTCCATTTAATCTTCTCTTGTCTTGTGCTAAAAAGTATAGTTCAGGATTTCTAGGGCTTTGATGTAGAGAAATAGCAATAAAACACATTTATTGAGCACTGTTAAGACAATGATACTCTGCTATGCATCACCTCCTTCGGTTTTTCACAACTGTTTGAGGTAGGTATATATTACCATTCTAGTGATGATGTAGAAAGTGAGGCACAAATAAATAAGTCAGATGACACACAGGCATATATTCTAGAGCCAGAATTTTTAATCCTGTCTGATCCCAAACATCATGAGCTTAGTTATTACAAAGATTGCTCTTTAAACTTAGAAAAGCTTGAGACTATTAATACAATTTCCAACTATTATGTAAGAGAGCAGTTCCAGAAGAATTGCATCGTAGATAAGTGGGATTTTTACCAAGTGCTTCAAAAAATAGTATTGAAATATCTTATTAATATTTGATATTTTAACTATTTTATTGTCAATTTTTGTCCATTCTTAGCTAATAGGCTCCATGTTCTATATACAGTCAAAACTATTGTTAGAACAACTCCATATTATCACCTACCACATATTAAAGTCTAACTTCTGCCACTACATTTCTACATATAAGGAGACCAAGAATGAAGCCATGAGAATTTATATCCTTATATACCTTCTTAAAGCATTGCAATTACAGATATATCTATATCCCCTGATGTGAAAGCAAACATGAGTAAGCAATCCATTTCTTCTAATTATTTCATATAATGCTTGAGAAATTATATTTGTTGCTATGAAGACAAACCACAATCTCGCTCCTCTTTTCCATGGCCAGAATTTCTCTTAATTGCCTTTAATCTAAATATCATTTAAAAAAAAAAAAACCCACCCGTTACTATTCAATCAGACTGCTATGATTTTCAGGAGGAAGGCAGGGGCTAGCCATCAAAGGCATTGACAATTACCAGGGGAAAAATACACAGATCACTAAAAACAGAAGCAACAGAAGAGATTGCACTGGGCAGCCACCTCTTTCCTATATATTCTATTTGATTGGCATTCTTCTATGAAAAGTAAAATCTAACTTTTTGAGAAAAGGACAAAAGTTGCAAGAGCTTTGATTTTAAAGACTCAGATTTTAGGAAATACAAATAACATTTTATTGGGAAAAAAACTATATTTTATTGACATAAAACCCTGGGATTGATAGTGAGATCAAAGATAGGGCGGGAGAATGTAAATGCAAAGTGGATGTCACTGATGCTGAAATTTGTGTATTCGGAGCAGGATGATGCATATGAGCCAAAGAAGAGGGTCTTCAAAAGCAAGCAGAAATAACTCAAAGCCACCCTGATGGCTTCCTCAATGTCCAACCAGTTGCTTCTCCCCACGGGGAGTTATGCTGGTAAAGCAGCAACCACACGTTCATTTGAGTCAGGTAGTGTGACTGCTGTAACAAATTATAAACTTGGTTGCACCTAAGGCCACTTCAAACAACAGAAATTTGCTATCTCAGCTGTGGAGGCCTGAAGTTTGAAATCAAGGTATAGGCAGCACTCTGCTCCCTCCAGAGGCTCTAGATGAGATTCTCTTCCTTGCCTTTTCCAGTTTCTGGTGGCAGTGGGCATTCCTGGGCTTGTGGCTGCTTCATCCCAGTGTCTGCTTATATGATCATATCATATCATATCGTATGATCATATCACCTTCTACTTTTTGTCTGTCTCAAAGCTCCCTCTATCTTTCTCTTATATAGACACTTGTAATTGGATTTAGAGCTCACCTAGATAATCCAGGGTGATCTCATCTCAAAACTCCTAACTTAATCACATCTGCAAAGACCCTTTTACCAAATAAGATAACATTAATAGGTTCTAGAGATTTGACATGGACATATGTTCTGGGGAACCACCATTCAACCAATGATAACATGATTGCATATTCCTTACAAATAATAGTCTTTGAAGAAGTGAAACTCTCTTTTTCTGGTGATGATTCTACGTCCCTCAAATTAGTCTGAGCTCATTCTTCCCTTAACGCAAGCATGGGAAAGAAAGGGGAGGAGTAGAAAGGAATCCAGCTGTATTTTTAAAAGACTGGACCTTTACTGCACCCCACCTCAAATAAAATACTGGCTCTTTGAAAACAATGGTATAAGGATACATACTTAATACAATGGTAATATCAACAGAAATATATGAAAAAAAATTCCATCACCAAAAGCTATCTCCTTACAAGAAGCTGGATATTTAGAGAAACAGTACCCTCTTTCAGGTCATCAGGGATCTACTGAGTGTTTATAATAAATGGTCCCAAGTTTGAGCAACCTAGAAGAAAATTGTACAGTCAAGGACCTTGAGGAAATCATATACTTGAACATCTGGCTTGATGTGCTATTGAAATGTTTTGTCTATCTTTCTGCAATGGGCATACTGTATCATCAACAGGAATATTAGAAGCTTAGTCAGTTTCCCAATAATAGAAGTGAAGAACTAACTTTTGGTGACCAAACAGTTGTTTCTCTATTCTTATCTAACACAATACTTCTCATTTGCTTTCCTAAACCATATGGGTAATGACTTTAGGTGTTACAAATACTAATTACAATTAGACTCACAAATTGAGTGTTTAAAAATCAAATTATAAATTATGAAATAAAAGTTATGTTTCTTGGTAAACTGATAGTAGATAAATGGGCATAAGAACTCCAAGATTTTAACTCTTGTAATCTACAGTATACCTAGGAGGAAGTAGAAAAACATCAAATAAAAATAGTGACAAGACAAAAACACCTAAGGCCCACTTCAAAACCATACTGAATATCTTGAACCTTATTTTTTTCATCACCCATGTATGTATGCACGGAGACAAGTAATCAGCAATAAAAAAAAGGCACACAGTAAAATTTTGTTCCAGTTTATTTATTTAGTTTTTTTTAATCTACAGTTGCCTTTCCTTTTAATTCAGGATTAATATCATCACAGAGGACCTTCTTTATTTTGTATTCACTCCATAACCTTCATCTGTATGCCTCTTTAAAGACAAAACTAACTTTCAAAAGCAATTTGCTTCACTGGAGGGAATAATATAGTGCATATTGATGTTTAAGATTTCCATCTTTAACTCTTAAGGGGTTAACAATTCAAAGACAACAACAAATACTCATCTCTTTCCTCCTACCTCCTCTCTCCCTTCTCTTGTCTCCTCTGCTCCCGCTTATCCACCCTCCTTTTCTCCTAACCCTTTGTGGTTCCTACCTCCCTGGCTCTCTGTTCTCTGCTTCCAAATGAGAACCCAGCTGTCAGCATTGTGCTGCAATGCGAGGGATGTCAAGGACGTTCTGCTAGGCAATGCACAGAACCATTGATCATTGTTTTTCTTCACTGTTTACAGAGAATCTCTTGGCAACAGAAGTGTCTTTGCCATGCAGAAAGAATTCAGAGTGCTGCAAGGTTTTGGCTTTTTGGAACAACACATTAAGGTTATTAAGTTTTGAATATTCAGCAGGTTAAAATTCCTGTTTTTCATTATTGCCTCCATAAAATAATATCTGTATTTACATCCAAAACAAAAATCCAGAGTCTCACTATAACAAATATAGGGAAGAAAATTTTTCTCCTCACAGTTGTATATATAGAAGCAACACAGTGACAAAACAAAACACTCAGGCATAACAATCTTAGTTTGATAACTGTACTTTGGAGACCAAAAAAAAAAAAAAAAAAAAGTAAAGAACACTCAAATTACCATTCGTGAAATAGCCATGAATTTTAGCATATGGCATCAACCACAGAAGCAATACAACTTGTTCTTTAAAAGCTCTGGATAAGCTTTTAAAGTTATGGATCAGCAACACAAACAAATTTAAACCTAGGAAGGCATCCTGTTGCCATGACAATATGGTACACTAGCTCCCTGCCATGATGAGTCCCAGGCTTCGGGAATATGATCACACCCTTGCAATTCAGGGTTCTTTGATAACAATATGCTGCTTTTAAATCTTATTAACATGTTACTTAGATATTTGTTTTTAGCTTTAAGTAATAGATATAATATCATAGTAAATAACCTGACAAAAAGTATTAAATATATTTATTTCAAAATATGTTATTATCTGATGTTAGTAATAACTGTGAACTTGCAACCAAGATGTTTAGATTAGAGAGATAAAGGCTATTGTTCAAAATGAAAAAAGTATCATTTGTAGGAATCACTCATTTTCAGTGCTTCCATGGAAAAGTAAAGCAGATACTAATTCAAAAGCTTGGAAAAAATCATCGTGATATATTATTCATTACACGATGATGCCTGCAAACGTGCTTTAAAAACAAAATAAAGAAACAGAGGACAGGCCTTAACTTGTCACAAACTACATGAGCTAAAAAGAATCTCTTTTGAGGCACAAAACAAACAGGGTGAGAGGTTTCTTTCTGTCAAGGCAGATGGCAGCTTATTGTCACCAGTGTCTCACTTTCTTCCCATTTCCCAAGATTGTTCTTGCTTTCTCCTTTCCTTATTATATTGCAGCCGATAAGTAATGAAAGGCTACACTGAGTTACCATTAATTCATTCTCTCAGGAAACATGTAACAGGCCTTCTCTTAAAAAGGCAAGAGAAGAATAAGCTCAGCCTAGCAAGGAGAGCAAATATGAGAAAAATAGACATAATAAAATTCTTAAAGGCCGTAGTCCTGGAATATAAAGGATTCCTTAAAATCACAGATGATTATAGGCCTCAAACAGTCCCAAGGCACAATTTATGTTTGAGGTGAGCATCTTCCTAGGTAACGAGGGGTGAAAAGGAGAGGAAATATTTCAAGGACATGCACAAAGGCAGAGAATTTTGGAGTTCACTATCTATTTTGGGAAATCCCACCAGGCCTGCATGCCTAGAGTGAGGTGCATATGGGAAAGCAGCATGAAATCAGCTTGCCATAATATGAGGCTTGTACTTTGTCCTGCAAAGCACAGGAACCCATAAAAAATTACAGGCCATGGGAAAGGAAAGTCCAAAAATTGTAGAAAGATCACCCTAACAGAATGGGAGAGGATACATTGGATTGAGGTGAGATTGAACACAGGAAAGTTAAGAAGCTCCTATAATAGTTCAAGTGAGAGAGATCTGAACAAGGACTGTTTATGGAGAGATCTGGGGAATATTAGAGTGGTTCATTTAACAATCCTTGGTAATCTATTCAATGCAGAAAATAAAGAGGGAATATTTCTGGCATGAGTGATTAGGTGAATGCTGTTATAATTTTCCACAGTGAGGAATATGATTTAGTAGACAGGCATGGTGAAAATAGATTAGTGTATTACAGGAAAATTCCAACAAGTAAAACTATGAGGGAAAAAGAAGATTGAAAATCAAATGATAGTCACAGCTACATTGAAAAGATATACATAGAAAGAGGATACAAGAAAGGAGAAACAAAATAGATAGTTAGAAATTGGAAGGCTTTCTTTCAACAAAAGCATTTCAAGAGAGCCCTCCATATTGAAATGCATTTGAATAATGTTTCTAGTGTGATAAAGCTATCCATTAATATGAAAAAACTGTATATATTTAACAGTTCATCCTTGCACCATGTAGAAGCATCATTTGATATTTACCACAAAACTGTGTGCCTAGATTAGGTATTATTATCCCTCTTATTATTTATAAGAAGAGATTCTCATATCAGAGATCTCATATCTCTTCTTATAAATAAGAAGAAGGATAATATTTACCACAAATCTGTGTGCCTAGACTAGGTATTATTATCCCTCTTCTTATTTGTGGAAGAGAATGCTGAAGGTCAGAGAGGTTGGCTAACTCCCTCAAGGTTACACAGCTGGTAATCCAGGACTGCTGACTCTATTTTCTCAAGATATTTAAATATATTATCTAGTTATTCCTGAACCATATACAGGGATTTATTTTGTTGAAAGAAATGCAAAGTCATTCAGTCAATTAAAGCTATTTCACATCTTCTC
The DNA here is from genome assembly GCF_000001405.40 of Homo sapiens. NCBI lineage: Eukaryota > Metazoa > Chordata > Mammalia > Primates > Hominidae > Homo > Homo sapiens. The sequence goes on along the minus strand of NC_000012.12, from coordinate 78,329,291 downwards.
TAGCTTAGGGATGATTTAAATATCTAAATAAATATTTTGGGATAACTGTCCTAGATATGACTAGAAGCTCATTTTTACCCTGAATTTGTGGAATTGAGATATGACAGTCATAAAGGGCAAAAGGAAGAGTAGAAAAAGTTTTCACAAACATATTGTGAACAAGATATTCTTACTCAAGTCAGAGAATCAATGTAATTTTTCCTCTCGAGTACTGCCAGACTCAAGGTGATATTACCCATTACCTGTTTCAGATATATAAACAGGATACTCAATTTTAGACTCACCAAGTAATATAGCAATCTCTTAAATGAGCCAAAGAATATGATCAAAAGAAAGGGTAAAATTGTTCCAAATATTTCCTTAAGATAATAAAAATCGCACGCATAAATTTCTTGCATAGATCCATAAAGGGTAAATGGCAAAACGCTTGGGAAACCTATCTGTTTTCAAAAAGCTTATATAAAAAATGATAAAAACATCAGATTGAGAACTGAAACCAAAGCCACATTTGCACAAATGTCTCTTAGAGTTGTGATAAATCCATCCAGAGCCACATAGAAATCAGCAGGTGTCATAAGAATCACTTCCATTTCAGTGTGGTCACGGAGAATATCTCACTCTTACTAATACTTTGCAATAACAAAAATTAGTATTTTAGAGCATAACTTGCATTCCATTAATAGGTTCTTTACAATTTAAAATTTTTAATTTTAGTTATGAAACTTCTTTGTGATAGGTAAATAGATATTGTTTCCACTATTTAAAAATGAAGAATGGTGGCTCAGAAAAATCAATATTTGCTGAGTTTTATCAGAAGAAAAAGGCAGAAAGCCAGAATGTGAATTTATGTGTTTTGACCCTAAATCTTTTATGTAAGATCACTATAATACTCTGTACTCCATTTCATAACTTTCAACTTTAATACTCTCATGATAAGGTCCAGGAAATAATCTTTTACAGGATAGCAAATATCAAATCATATTGAGATGTTAATTGTCTCACAGCAATTATGCTTTATTATGTGATTACTCATCTGATACATAAAAAGTTAATTTCTTTTTATTCTCTAAACATAAAATATGTTCACAAATAGCCAAGAGTGGGTCTGAGGTTGCTTTAAGCCCACTAGCATGTTACTACAGGACTCAGAGACTCTGCATTTTAATTACATGCCATGATTTCATAACTCAGTCCCATGGCAAATCATTATAATAAACACATCAAAAGAAGCCTCATCTCTTTATGCATAATGCCAGCATCAGATACAATGACCTTTCTCATATTTGCACATAAGTAATTTTATTTTTGCAAGGATAATGAATTCCTTTGCTTCTCAATTTATTCTTTGTTTTTGTGAAATATTAATCATCTGGTATTCAGAGTTCTTCTTTGAAGTCAAATTTTGAAGTTTCTTTGCTACATCCAAAAATATAAACACAGAATTCTCAGATAATAATTATAGATTGCCTAAGCTTCTTAACAGTATCTCAAGTAGTCCAGCTAGAACATGCCCGCGAACAGCGAAGAATATTCACTCTTCCCTATCCCTATCCCTAGGACATTCTTAAGTAGTGAAGCAGTTTTGAAAAGTGTTGGGCCTTTTTGGAGAGTCAAATGAATTTGTGCATAGGGTCTTCAATATAAGACTTGCAGAATGAGGTGAATATTTACATTATTGTTTAAATTAGATTTGGAATCTGTCTGTGAGGTGTGTATGTGTATGTGCTTCTGCCTTTTGTGAGATGTGTATGTGAATATGTTTCTGACAGTAAGTCACCCAGAATTGATGAGACTGAGTTTAAACACCATCAACAGGTATATTGCACAAATGGGTACTGATCCACATGCCATGATTATAATTATACTTATATAACTCTTATAATTACTGTTATTTTGTCTTTCAACAAATTTTAAGCACCTACTATGTGCCAGTCACTGTGCCAGGAGTTGGAAATATGAGGAAGACCGTAATTCTCATAATGAGAATACAAGGAAGACCATCTCTCAAGAAAGGAACATCATAAAACATGTTTACTGTCAAGTCCTTGTCATTATCAAAAATATCTCCAGATTGATGTCATTCTGAGAAAAGTGATTTCATACTGAAAAAAATTCTACAAAAATAGTAAAACTCTTCTTCTCAATTTTCAGAACTTGGATGGGGTTGGGGGCAGGTGCTTTCATCTATTTTCATCTTGTCCTGGTAGAAATTATTTGCTTGATTAACATTTTGGTGGAGAAGTTCAGTCTCTAAGGCTACAGATGAGAAGATCAGTTACTGGATGGGTTCCTAACTTCAATGTCAAATCCAAGAGCCTGAAAATAAAGGATGGAAAGAAAGGGAAACAAAGAAAAGTTATCAGACAATGTGAAGACATTTTATGGAGAGGAAGAAAGAGTGAGTGAGCACAGGAAAAATCACAAAGCAGTATATGAAGAAAAGAAAGAGATAACAGTTATTAGTAAGTAAAGAGATAATTAAGAGATAATCCTTTCAGTGGCATGAACACCATAGTTTGTGACATCACTGGTCATTAATGATTTGTGAGAAGCAGTGTCTCAACTATGTTTCTGTTACATTAATTATACCCAAAATAAAATATTTGCACACCTATTGTTCCACAGTTATTCCTATATTATTTCATGAAAAAGTTAATAATGAATAATTACTGAATACTTAGTAGGTCCATTCAACATGCTAAATGGTTTATTTACATTAACTATTTTTAATATGCAAACTCCATAAGATATATGCTACTATTAGGCCAATTTATAGATACCAAAATTGTATACCATAGGACTTAATCACATTTCTTTTCATCTGTCCTCCTTCTCCTCCCTCGATAGAAGCTTGACATTAGTCTGAAGTTAAGTTACAGACAGTTTGCTGCGTAATTTTGAGTAATTCTCTAAGCCTTCATTCTTCATCCACAAAATAGATAGGACAAAATAGAGTATACGACAGCATCGTTGTGAGGATTAAATGAAATAATTCACATAAAATCATTTTATTTATAGCTGAAACAACATAACACTCAATAAGTGAATTAAAAGAATTATCATTATTATTTTAGATGGCTGATTGGAAAACAATATTAAGCATCAGAATTTTTTTTTTTTTTTGAGACAGAGTCTCGCTTTGTTGCCCAGGCTAGAGTTCAGTGGTGCGATCTTGGCTCACTGCAACCTCCTCCTGCAGGGGTTCAAGCGATTCTCCTGCCTCAGCCTCCTGAGTAGCTGGGATTACAGGCACACACCACCATGCCCGGCTAATTTTTTCTTTGTATTTTTAGTAGAGATGGGGGTTTCACCATGTTAGTCAGGCTGGTCTCGAACTCCTGACCTCGTGATCCACCCGCCTCAGCCTCCCAAAGTGCTGGGAGGCATGAGCCACTGCGCCCAGCCTAAACATCAGAATCTTAAGAGTGCTACTCATGGTTAACTGGCAAATATTTTATAATACATCAGGGTAGATGCTGGCTTAAAAATGAAATGCTAGAGTTCCAGATCAGATTATGGATTTCTGAAAAAGCTTCTTTAAAAGCATCTCAAATATTAGCCCAGAGCAAATAGCACAGGATTTAATATAATTAAATAGACACCCATAAATACTGCAATGTTTGGCATCACTGTAAATGCCCATAGGCCTCTCTGCACTGCTGCATATGCTGCTCATGCCTGTGGGTTCTGAGAAGAGTTATAAGTGACACAGTAGCATCATACCTTCTGCTATAGTATAAGAGGCCAATATAATATTACATATATTAGATATATATATAATGGTTTTCATGTATGTATAAGTAATGAATTATTTTTGATATATTAAACAATCTCCCCCTTGTAAATTCCCTCTTTTCCCTCTGCTCAGCTTCTGCTCTTCCCTCACAAACTTCCTCCCCTACTTCATGTCACTGTGGTGTTCAGTACTCAGACAGTGGAAAGGAAAGCAACATGGAAGCCATTTAGCCTTTGATTTGTAAAAGCACAGAAGCCATTTACAGAAAGGGGGAGAATTTTAAGCATAAAGCAAACATTTGAGAGAGTAGGTTGAAGAGACTCGGGATGTTCCAGGATTAGGAATCACAAACAAAAAAATAGAGGACTGGTGGATCAGGGCTCACCTGGCCAGGTAGATAGAATAAGGCATGTTTTTTAACAGAGACCTGTGTCGACAAAACAACTAGTCAACTTAATGAGCGCCAGCACACTTAGGCAACATGGAAGATCACATGCCTTTCCTCTACAGAGGTAGTATATAAGCTCCCAGAATTTACCCAACAATCTAGTGAAGTCCCAAATTGTTAGTACATTTCTATCATGTGAATAGAATGAATGCTCAGATTACAAATTAAATTTGCATATAAAATACAATGTGATTTTCTCACACACCCATGTCAGGTTCATATCCACACATCCTAACTGACTGTATTATGCATGTGCATATTTCTGTGTGTGTGTGTGTGTGTGTGTGTGTGTGTAAAACACATATAAAGACATATCAGTGTGGCCATAAAGTTATGCATTTAATTTCTAGGAAATTCTACAGAGTAGATACTGCATAAAAATTTCCCCTGGGAACATATAAATGTCTCAAAGGCAGGAATTCTGTTTTATTCATTTTTATATTAGCAGAGCCTGGCACAGCTCCTGAACTGAATAAGTATTTATAATATCTGTTAAACTAGCAGTCAATGTGCATGTGTAAGAAAGCAGCATCATGAGAAAATGTACTTTGAAGGACATTAATTTGGAAACCATGAGTAAGACGCCTGGGTGGTTGAGCTAGGAGGCTATTGAAACGTCAAGGAAAGGGTATGAGGTTCTGAACTAGGATGGTAGCCTTGGGAACAGGAAGGAGGGCATGAATGAGATCACTAAGTGGTAATTGATGGATTGTGGCAACAGTTTTCTATTATAGAACTAGAGCCCTTGTGGGGTTAAGCCTAGAATGGTTTCTATCCCTTGGCCAAATGCTTAAGAGTATAAAGTAAATATTAGCTATCAGTGACAATAGGAACTTGTAGAAACAGCTTTTTAGAAAGAATGGTATTCAAGAAGCTCATCCATTAAAATTGATTGCATTTAAATAGTCTATCTAGTTAAAACACAAAATACAACCATTAAAACTTTGAAAATACCTTTTTTATGTTCAAAATCAGGTCATTAATATTGTTCTAAGTACTCATCTTTAAAACAGCAATAATAGTAAAGTCAGTTATTATCTATGTTCAGTGAACAATCATATGAGTAAACACATACATGATACAGCTTGCATTTTAAGAACGATTATATATATATTCATTTCAAGCTGGAATTGTAACAGTTGCCAGTTCCACACTTAAAGAAATAGGCCAGTAAGTGCAGACATGCTGAAATGCCTGGGGTCCTTACTATCTTTGAGCTTCAGTGAAACAGAATCTAAAAGGAGAAATAAAGAGATTCATGTCTTCATAGACAGATCAAGATGAAAAGTAAACATTTATCATTAGCTCCCCTTTGCCTTCTGCCATGAGTGGAAGTTTCCTGAGGCCCTCACCAGAAGCAGACACGGGTGCCATACTTCTGGTACAACCTGAAGAGCCGTGAGCTAAATAAACCTCTTTTCTTCACAAATAACCCAGTCTCAGGTATTCCTTCATGGCAACACAAACGGACTAAGACAAGAGACAATGTCACTATCCCTGTAAAAAAAAAAAAAAATTGGCAATGCCATTCTAAAAAGGTGATTATATGTATGTATAAGATTAAACAATCCTGATGAAGGCAAAAAATGATTTCTGATTGCTATTTAAAGCATATGTAATGAGTAGAGGAGTCACCCTCAGAATAAAGATTATTTAAACTATTCAAAATACAAAATGGGTGTAACTCCCTGTGTATCAGAAGTTCATAATGTAGATCATGCAACTGTTTTCCCCTTCATTGTTATCATGACTCAACACAAAAATTAAAGAGTTTTACTGATCAAGGTCCTGAACTTGGAAGGTCAAAGTTATTACTTTCTCCTAATTTATGCCAGCTTTTTCAATTCCTAGTATTGATATAGTAGACAATATTTGGTGATACCACATCAGTAAATTAATTTGTTCACTTATCAAGAATGGTACAGCTTTCTCACCTTTAACGATCTAAATTTCATACATGAGAATTTGCAGAAGTTTCTACTGAATAGAATCTTAGCACTTTTCCCTTAAAAGATTTCCAAGAGGAAAAAAAACTTCAGGAAATTTGTATTATATGAACCGAAGTATTAAATAAACAAATTATCTTCCTTTCTGAATTAATCTCAGATAAAGCAAAATGGCATTTGTGTTGTTTAAAGTGAGATCAGATTTCATAAAATGGAAGACATTCTACCCTGAGATAGAGTTTAGGGAGAATAATTGCTTGTCTGTGGAAACAGAAATTCTACCTGCAAGGAAATATAAACTATTTGAACTCTACATCAAAAGACTTCATAGAGATTTTAGTGTGGTTCTGAGAGCAGTTAAAAAGAGAAACTGCCTTTTTTATTCCTTTTAGATTTTGGTAATCAGAAACTAACTGCAACAAGAGATTATTTCATGTGGTCCATGAAATAATCAAGTTCAAAGAAAAGAATACCAATATAGGCTTCTAACATGTAAAAATATATGCTATGATCTAACAGACTCAGATTAGTTTAAATACAAAGTAATCTGAAAAATTAAACAAAGCATTATAAGCAAAAGGTCCTACATATTCAGATGATAAAAATATGTTCCAAAATTTTATTAACATACTTGAATAAAAGACAATTATGAGTATTCTTTATCTTTAATGTATTTTTAAATAAATTGTATTGTTTCGGGTCATACAACATAACATGCTCCTTACAAAAAATGAAAAAGCACAAAAAGCTTAAAGCAAGCAAAAATGAGAATAAATCTAACCGTTCAGTGACAACAGCTTACACTTGGGCCACAGACTTTGAGATGACTCTCCATGCTTACATACTATTAGAATATTACATAAATTTGACAAAACAATAGACACATTCTCTAACGCATTTGTTAGAAATACATTTTGAGCAGCTTTTAATATCCATAACTATCAAAATATTTATAATAGTTAAATAATATTGCCCTGTGAGATTGTATCATAATACATTTAATCTTATACTGATCAAAATATATTTCTATTTTTTTTTTTACTATGAAATTCTGAGAACATCCAATGTATAACTTTTGTGTGTCTGTCTAATATTTTTTATGGTAAATTTTTCAAAGTAGAATTGTGGTTTAAATTTATCAATTTGAAATTTGAACATACAAGCTGAATAAATAATAAAACTAAGACCAAACTATATTCTGGCTACAGGAGAGTCACTTTGCCTATAAGGACTCACATAGACTGAAAGTAGAGATAGAAAATAATATCTCATGCAAATGGAAACCGAAAGAGAGCAGGAGTAAGCAATATTTGTGTCAGATAAAACAGACTAACTCAAAAAATGTAAAAAGAGACAAAGATAGTCATTATATAATGATGAAGGGAGGGGTCAATTCAGCAAGAAGATATGTCAATTTCAAATACTTATTCACGCAATGCCAGAGCACCCAAATGTATATATTATACCTAAAGGAAGAGATAGCTTGCAATACAAAATAGTGGGGGACTTCAGCATCCCACTTTTAGCAATGGACAGATCATCCAAACAGAAAATAAACAAAGGAACATTGGATTTAAACCTGCCCTGTGGATCAAATGGACATATCAAACATTTACAGAACATTTTATCTAAAAGATGTAGAATGTAGCTGCACATGAAACTTTCTCCAGGATAGATAATATGTTAGGTCCCAAAAGAAGTCTCAACAAATTTTAAAAATTCAAAGTCATATCAAGAGTCTTTTCAGACCATAATGGCATGAAACTGGAAATCAATAACAGAAACAACTTTGGAAACAACACAACTACCTGGAAACTAAACAACACACTCCTGACTAACAAAGGGATAAATGAATACATTAAAAAGGAAATTAAACGTTTCTTGAGACAAGTGGAAAAGGAAATATAACAGACCAAACCTATGGGATACAATAAAAACAGCTCTTAGAGGGATGTTTACAGCTATATCAAATAATTTTTAAAAATCTCAAATAAACAACCTAACGTTATACCTTAAGATATTAAAAATAAATAAATTCAAAAATAGTAAAAGAAAAAAATAAAAATTAGAGCAGAAATAAAATAGACACTAAAAATACAAAAGATTAACAAAGCAAAGGGCTGTTTTTGGGGCAAGTTAAGTAAAATCAACAAACCTTTAGCTAGACTTAAAAAAAAAAAGGAAAAGATTTGTATTACTTCGTTTTCAAACTGCCGATAAAGACATACCTGAGACTGGGTAATTTACAAAAGAAAGAGGTTTAATTGGACTTACAGTTCCACATGGCTGGGGAAGCCTCACAATCATGGCTGAAAGCAAGGAGGAGCAAGTCCCATCTTACATGGATGGCAGCAGGCAAAGAGAGAATGAGGAAGATGCAAAAGCAGAAACCCCTGATAAAATCATCAGATCTTTTGAGACTTAATCACTACCATGAGAACAGTATGAGAGAAACCACCCTCATGATTCAATTATCTCCCACTGGGTTCCTCCCACAACACGTGAGAATTATGAGAGTACAATTCAAGATGAGATTTGGGTGGGGACACAGAACAAATCAGGTCAAGATTCAAATAAATAAATCCAGACCTGGAAAAGAAGACATTTCAACTGATATCACAGAAATACAAAAGATCATAAGAGATTATTATTATTGTATACACTCATAAATTGAAAAACCTAGAAGAAATTAATTCCTGTACATATAAACTTACAAAATTTGATTCATAAGGAAGTTGAATATCTGAACAGAGCAATGGGTAACAAGATTGCACTGATCTACTACATATACAATGCACCCTCTTAAAATACCAAGATTGAATCAGTAACAAAATGTTTCCCATCAAAGAAAAGCCCAGGATCTGATGGCTTCACTGATAAATTCTACCAAACATTTAAAGGACTAATACCAATTACTTACAAACTATTCCAAAAAAAGTTGATGAACAGTAAATTCTTCCAAAATCATTCTACAAGGCTAGCAGCATCCTGATACGAAAATCAAGCAAGGACATAACAAAAAAAGGAACTACAGGCCAACATCTCTGATAAGCATATACGTAACAATCCTAAACACAACACTAGCAAACCAAATTCAACAGCATATTCAAAAGGTCATTTACCATGACCAAGTGGGATTCATCGGAGGAATGCTAGGATAGTTCAAAATATGCAAACAAATTCATATGCTACATCATGTTGACAGAATCAAGTATAAAAATCATATGATCTTTTTAGTAGATGCATAGAAAGCATTTGATAAAATTCAATACACCTTTATGATAAAAACTCTCTACAAATTGTGTATAAAAGGAATGTATTTTACCTGAACACAATAAAGACCATGTATGACATACCCAAAGTTAAGATCATACTGATTGAGAAAAAGTTGAAAGCTTTTCCTGAGACCTGGGACAAGACAAAGATGCTCACTTTTACCATGCTTATTTAATATAGTACCAGAAGCCCTAACCAAAACAATTAGATAAGAGAAGGAAATAAAAGGAATCCAAATTGGAAAGGACTTCACACACGCACACACAAAAATTAGAGCTAATAAATGAATTCAGTAAAGTTGTAGGATACAAAATCAACAAACCAACTCAAAAATTAGTAGTATTTCTGTGTACACAATCTGAAAAATAAATCAAGAAAATATTATTTACAATACCTACAAAAAATTAAGTAATATACCTAGGAATAAATTTAACCTAAAATGATCTCTAACATTAAAGATCTCTAAAATGAAAATAAAATATTTATGTAAAAAATTGAAGAGAATATAAATAAATAGATATTTTATGTTCATGGATTGGAAGAATATTGCTAAAATGTTTGTAGTATTCAAAGTGATCTACAGATGCAAAGCAATCTACAGATTTAATGTAATCTCTCTTAAAATACCAATGACATTTCTCGAAGTAGAAAAAAAATCCTAAAATTTGTATGGAACTACAAAAGACACAAAATAGTCAAAGCACCCCTAAGCAAAAAGAACAAAGCTGGAGGCAATCATGGTATCTGACTTTAAAATACACTACAAAAATATAGTAACTGAAATAGTATGGTATTGGCATAAAAATAGACCAATGGAACAGAATAGATAACACAAAATAAATCCATCCACATGCAGAAGAGTGAAAATAGAAACCTATCTCTCACCAGACATAAAAATCAAGTCAAAATGAATTAAAAACTTAAATGTAAAACCTGAAACTATAAAACTGCTGGAAGAAAACATCAAAGAAACATTTCATGACATTGGTCTGGGCCAATATTTTTTTGGATAAAGAACTCAATGGAATAAGTCACAAAAAATAAAAATAAGATTATATCAAACAAAACAGCTTCTGCACAACAAAACAATCAACAGAATAAAGAGCCAACCCACAGAATGGGAGACAATGTTTGCAAGCTATGTATGTGAAAAGGGGTTAATATCCCGAATATATAAGAAACTCAACTCAGTAGTAAAAAATTAAAAAATCAAATTTAAGAACGGGCAAAAAACCTGAATAGACCTTTCTCAAAAGATATACAAATGGCCAAAAGGTACATGAAAAAATGCTCATCATCACTAATAATCAGGCAAATGCAAATCAAAACCACAATGAAATATCACCTCCCTCAAATTAAAATGGTTATTATCAAAAAGACAAAAAATAACAAATGCAGCCATGGATGTGGAGAAATGGGAATCCTCATACACTATTGGTGGAAATGTAAATTAGTATAGTCATTATGGAAAATAGTATGGAAATTCCTAAAAAAATTAAAAATAGAACTACCATGTAATCCAGCAATCTCACTACTGAATATTTATCCAAAGAAAATTATGTTGAGGAGACATCTGCACACCCTTGTTTACTGCAGCAAGGTATGAAATAGCCAACATATGGATTCAACCTAATGTCCACCAATGGATGAATGGATAAAGAAAATGTGATAAACATACACAATATTTACATACAACACAAACAGCATGGAATGCTATACAGCCATAGGGGAAAAAAAATGAAATACTGTCATTTGTGGCAATGTAAATGAACCTACAGGACATTATGTTAATTGAAATAAGCCAGGCACAGAAAGAGAAATAACCCATGATCTCATGCATTTGTGTAATCTAAAAAAGCTGATCTTATAGAAGCATAGAATAGAACAGTGGTTACCAGGGATAAGGCACAATGCAGGGCGGGGGTATGCATGGAATGGGGAAAAAATTGTTTAATGAGTATAAGTTAAATAGGAGGAATACATTCCGGTGTTTTATTGCACAGGAGGGTGACTCCAGTTAACAATATTGTATGTTTCAAAATAACTAGAAGAGAGAATTTGAAATGTTCTCACCACAAGGAAATGATCTATATTTGAAGTAATGGATATGCCAAATACCATGACTTGATCATCATACAATGTATGCTTATATTGAAACATCACACCATACCCCATAAATATGTACAATTATTATGTCCCAATTAAAAATAAAATACAACAACAACAAAAATAAACGCATAATGCCAAACCACTCAATCGGAAGCCTGGATATAAATATTCAGGAAAAATTCTTAACCATAGACTACAAATTTCCCAAACTCAGGGATTGCTACTCTCTTGGATTTTATTCACAGTGTCAGAAGCATGACTAGCATACAGTAGACACACAATAAATATTAGTTGAATAAATTAATATTGAGTAAATTAGATTTAAAGAGTTTAATTTGCATCTAATTAGTTCTTTATTTGAAACTGAGTGCAACCTTTTTTAGAGCCTTCCCTTTAATATAACCATTGAGAAGCTTTTGACTAGGAAATACAGACGGATTGGATTCTCTCTCCTCACACTCTACATGAATTATGCACCCCATAGTGCTCTGCCACCACTCTGCATGACCTTAGGCTAATTGATTATTTTTGAGTCTCCCATTTTCCATCTGTAGGATGAATATAGTAAAAACCCACTTTGCCTGTCGGGGTTATTCTGAGATTTAAACAATATAATGGGAGGTAAAAGCACTTTGTACACAATAATATTGTCTACAAATAAATGAGATTAACAATTAAAGACAGGTTTAATGTTTTGGAATGCATTATACACAACTCTTATTAGCCTGAAAAGATTTCTATAAATATGCTAAAGCTCCAGGCTCAGAGGCTACTGTTTCCAATGTCCAAATGCACATGATGTATCATAATAATGATTTCTTTAAGATTGGAAAATTGCATTTGTTTTCACTTTTATCTGCCATAGTTAGCTGAACAATGCTTCCTATTGATTTGTGGCATCTAAGTCACTTCCTTTCTTCAAGCATGACATTTGCTATTATCTCTTTGTAGGCACAGAAATCTAAAAGCAACACCATAAAAAAATACAAACCTCACAGCTTAAGTATTGATTTAAAACACACTTGGTTCATTAAAAACACTGCTGGGATTTGAAGCACTTAGAGGTAATCTTTTCTTTTCCTCAGCATTAAAAAATATAGTGATTTATAGATCTTAGTGACTCTCAGGAGGAGTTAGTTGTTATTTAAATGTGCATTGGATTAAAAAAAGAAAAAGATTATGAGTTACAATCCAAACTTCCCCTTACTCTATTTAGTACCAATGTATGGCAAAGATAATTTTTCCCTTAATAATACTGACATATGTTGTTAATGTTTGTATAGACTTTTTAATAAGAGGTTTTATGTCATGTATCCTGTACCTCTGTCTCATCCTGGAATTTCTTGGTCCTCCTCCCAAAGGGACAAGCTCAGGAATGCAGGAGGGCTGAGGCAGAGTACTCACTAGCTTCCGTCTTTAGGGATCTTCCCAGAGAGGGGAAATCTGTGCTCCTGTCAAAAGGAAATATAGGGTCCCAATTGCAACCAACAACGTTGTCATGTTCCTCCCGCCAGCCAGCTGTCATGGTGGTGGGAGGGAAGAGTCGGGAGTCATAGGATGACCCAGACCCTTCCCTTCCTAGAAGGGCATTCAGCTAACACACTACTATAAATAAAGGATAATAAAAGAGCTATCAATTGAAAAGGATCCTTATACTTGTTTAAAACTCTTTAAAATTCTTGCATTTATGCGCTTAGCTCTCTACGATTTAAAAAACTAATTATTCTACACATCAGTGATGTTAATCTTCAGTATTAACACACATCCATCAGTTTTGGCCACATGCATGTATCGACTATACTATTATCTTCTTGATTATTTTAATTGACGAATGTATTTACTTAGAATGTATTTTAAAGGAAGTTTCAAATCTAATGTACTTTATCAATATAAAGTGATTAGAAGTAAAAATGGAACAAAAGCCAAACAAAAATTCCTACTTCTACTTTGTTATAATTGCCTGTGCGAAAGCCATTTCTCTATTTCCTTTTATATAAAGTGCAGTGATAGAAAACTGTTAAGAGCAATAAACAGTATCAAAAATACTTGATCTTGATCAGAGGATTGAAAGATAATTTAAAATGGAGTTATGCTTTGTCTTTGATGTGTGACCCCTTGTCCATCTACCACCTTAAATATTTCTCTTATATCCAATGATATTTTTCTCATCCTCTGGGAAACAGCAGTGCTATATTTTTTGGTCATGTATCTCTTGAGCTGTATAGCCTCCAATTATGGTGTCCCTAGTTGAATGTGTGAAGCAGAAGCATGAGAAACATTTTATGCTGCAGGCAAAATATCCAAAGTGAGTTTTTAAATTTTTATCCACATTTATCGATTTAGGTATTAACTGTCCATAACTGAAAAACCACGTGTAACAAAGGTTTTATGAACATAAGGCAATTTAGACTTTTAACCCAGAATGAACTCACCCGCAAAAAAAGCCTTGGGTGCAGAAGCAGTGTGCAGTACTTCTCAAATTTTTATGTGCCTATAAATCACTTGCCAATGTTGTTAAAATTCAGATCCAAGTGAGAACTAACATGTTTGCATTTCCAGCGTGCTCTAAGATAATGCAGTCACTTATTGTTCATGGGCTGCACTTGAGTGGCAACAACTTAGAACACAGGTTCTCAATTCAGGCTCTGGACTTATCCATTGAATCTCAGCTTCACTGTTTCTACTTGTATGAATAGAAACAAGGTATTTCAATATTTGCAGCCAATTTACTTATCTGTTAAATGGTATAAGAAGTGGTGGAGGCTATTTAACTGGATTGTGGTGGACAACAAATGAGTTCCTACATGTAAAGACACTAAAGTGTATCTCATACTTATAAAACCCTTAATAAATAAGTATCAGTTCTTATGATGAAACCACAGATGAGGATAACAAATTTTCAGCAGTATTGCATGGTTCTTGGAACAAAAGCTTTGCTACTACATGGGACAAATTTAATTACCAACAAGTCTCAGAAAATACCTGCAGTATCTCATTGCTGTACTTTGGATATTTGATCCTCCAAACCTCATGTTGAAATTTGATCCCCAGTTTTGGAGGTGAGGCCTAACGGGAAGTGTTTGGATGATGGTGATAGATCCCTCATGAATGGCTTGGTGACATCCTCAAGGTAATGAATGAGTTCTCCCCCTCTTATCAGTTCCCATGAGAGTTTCCCCAAAAGTTGGCTGTTAAAAAAAAGCCTGCCACCTTCCCCCTCTCTCTCGCCTCCTCTCTCAATATGTGATCTCTGGATAGTCTTATCATGTTGTTCTTCCCATTATGCCCTGCATCATATATTTTTAAATGAGATATTTACTCTCTTGATTCTCCAATTATTGTGTGTTATACATCTTGAGCTGTATCATCAGTACCAGGGAGAACTGTAATTTAAGTGTTTATCTCACTGCTTCAACACAGTGACACTAAATACTTGAATTAATGAAACTCAGAAACTGAAAAGGTATATGCATGCTTACAATGTCCTTCTTTTTCATTCCTGTTTCAGAAATATTTTCATTTATCAGTAATATAGTAACATTTAAATATCCAGCACTCAATATGTATTAAAGGACTTCTACTTTGAAGAATTGGTAAAAGGATGCAAAATTTATCCATTACTCACAATTAGTAATTCTCATACAAAATAACTTTACATATGTCGTGTTAAAAATTTTGTGTACCCTGTTATGTAATATGTCTGTGTTCACATATTTTTAAATAAAAACATTTTATATTATTATAAAATAATTTTTCAAAGTTTCTTATGTCTTCCACTAATTAATGTACTTTTTAATATGCCTGTCAACTGCAGAAATATGACTGGAGAAAAACCCACATTGTATATCAGATTGTTATGACAGGCAAATTTCCTCCTTTGCCAATATTTTGAGATATTAAGTTTAATCTTAAAAAACTGTTTACTATTTGAAATTTTATATTATGTAGTTTTATATTACTATATGGCCATTTTGGAAATCAAGAAGCATTTAAACAATCTTTGTCACCTTACAATTATAATTGATAGAATTTTTTCTTTATATTGTGATATAGAACATGGTATTTCTTAAAATTAATGTCACTTTAGACACAGTATAAATTTAGTATATGGGAAAAAATGGCAAGAGATTTTTACCAGTTGATGAGCAGGTTAATGTGATCACAGAAGAGAAATACTCAGAGTACTGTCAAAAAGGTGGCATAAAACAGATCATCACTAAAGGAAATTTTAATGTGCATCTTCTTGTTAGACAATGAAGCTGCAAAAAGTTGCCAAGATTGTCTAGGATTCACTTCTTAGTCACTTTGACTATCTCATGTAAATATTCTCTAAAGATTTTTTTCAAATGAAGAGGGAAGAGTGCCACTTCTAATTCTGGCTATAATAAACTAGCTTATATCAGTCCAACCCCTTCACCGATAACAACATAAAACATGTTGAATATATATTAAAAACATCAGTTTGAAGGCATGGGAGAGCCACGAAGGTATCCAAACTTACAGCCAAGGTCTTAAAGAAAAA
The DNA here is from genome assembly GCF_000001405.40 of Homo sapiens. Classification (NCBI taxonomy): domain Eukaryota; kingdom Metazoa; phylum Chordata; class Mammalia; order Primates; family Hominidae; genus Homo; species Homo sapiens. Next base: position 78,313,254 of record NC_000012.12, on the reverse strand, counting down.
TGCAGAGGGACAATCTGACACTTAGTACATCTTTCGTCTTTGAAGCATTCATGAGCACATTAGTGATGTATGCGCCACTGAGTAGCTTTTAGCAATTTCAAGGGGCTTGGAAGAAAAAAAAAATAGAGGCTATCAATGAGGTAAGGGCATGGGAAAATCTCCAAATTTTCAACTGAGATGCTTGAAAGGTTACACCAGAGAATTAATGGAGAGCCAGGAATAGAGAGTCTTTACAATAACAAACTCAACCTCAAATAAATTTAATCTGTGTTTGGCTTACATAATATTCTCCAAGTCTAACTACTGCCAGAGGAAAGGGAAATTCCCCACTGAAGAAAGATAATATCTTCAAAATACTCAAATTATGTATATAACCTTTTATACATGATACTCAGCATTCAATCAAACATTGCCTGACACATCAGCCAAAAATACCAAATTACCACAAACAGAAGTGAAAAAGAAAAACACCTACGGGAGATTCCAATATTGGAGATACCAAGCATGGACTCCAAAATAGCTATGGTTAACATGTTAAAGAAAACTGAGATATATAAGGTTAAGTCAGCATATACCTGGGATCTATGAAGCAGAATTACTCTGAAAACCTTAGAAAATCCAGAACTGAAGAATACAATAAATGAAATATCAAAAATAAATAACTCAGATAAATGTGATAGCATATTAGACATAGCTCAAGGAAGGATTCACTGGAAGATAGGTTAGTATGCTAGATCTAAAGCATAAACCACAAAAAGAAATCAAAATACAGAAAATAAATGTACACACAAAACTATAAACCCTTATTGTGATGTACAAGTAATTCACAAATAGTTTAACAGAATTTCATGAATTGGAATGCTCAATAATATTAATTTCTGCCAAAGTGGTATATAATTTCAATGAAATTTCAGTTAATAACTCAGAATATATTTTTCTTTACATTTGACAAACTGATTTTTTAAATGATGTGAAGATGCAGGGAGAAAATAGCTAAACAATATTGAAGAAAAATAGTGTATACAATAACCTTAATGTGGGTTACCATTCACAGTCTTTTTTCATACAAATTTAACCCCTATTTTTCTCAACAAATGAACCTTTTGAAGAATCAATAAATTATTATATATCCCATGTTTTTCTTTACCAACTAACATATTCTATCATTCTGTAAATTTTCATGTTTTCACAAATATCATTGTTAAAATACATCAAAAGCAAACGTAATGGACAAATAATTCATATTAATATTGGTCTTAGCCTATTGATACTACTATAACAAAATACCATAAACTGTGTAGCTTATAAGCAACTGAAACTTATTTCTCACAGTTCTGGAGACTGGGAAGTCCAAAATAAAGGTCTTGACAAAATCAGTGTTTGTTGAGGGCCCATTTCCTGGTGCATAGAGGGCACCTTCTTACCTTATGTTCACATGATGGAAGGAGAAAAGCAGCTCTCTGGGGCCTCTTTTACATGGGCACTAATCCTACTCAAAAGGACTCTGCCTTGTGACTTAATCACCTCCAAAAGACACCGCCTCCTAATACCATCACATTGGTAATTAGGTTTCCACTGTGACTTTTGGGTAGAAACAAACCTTCAGACCACAACAATGATATAATCCAACTATAAAATACAGTCAAATTCACCATAGTTTGTCATTTATTTTTACATAAAGGTTTCCCACCACATTCAAATTGTAATTAAATAGCATTATTTAATAAGAATGTTTTTCAGTTTTGCTGCCTCTTTCTGACCCAAAACAATCTGATCATTTCTATAATAGTTTCATTATATCTATAGTAATAACGACCTAAGAAAATATGCTCATTTACGAGTCTAGAATGTAACCTCCTTATGTAGTTCTACAGCTAACCTTAAAATAAGGTTCAAGCAATTTTTATTTGCTATTTTGACTGTTGCTATTGTGGTATTGTGCTCTATAAACAATACTTTTCTTTTTTTCTATAAAATCTTCTGGTGAATTTCATTTAATTGTCCATAATTATCATGCACCTACTACAAAAGACACCTGAGTTCTGAGCATCCCCAGTTGGTAGCCCTGGATTATGTTAGATTTATGATTGATAAGCCCTATCAGTTAACTAAGAAAATAACCCTGACATGATCCTTTCTGGAGACACTCCTAAATTAATTGGAATAAATGAGAAGCTTTGTTACTTAGGTAATTGAAGTACATAAAGAAGGAATTTATTGTTCAATTCCCACCTATGAGTGAGAACATGCGGTGTTTGGTTTTTTTGTCCTTGCGATAGTTTGCTGAGAATGATGGTTTCCAGCTTCATCCATGTACCTACATGTTGTGCACAGGTACCCTAAAACTTAAAGTATAATAAAAAAGAAGGAATTTAATATTTTAAAGTTTATAATTACAGTTTAAAATATTTAAAGTTAACTAACATTCTAAGTTTATGAAAAGGATCAAATGTCAATCAAAATTCCCCTTAAAAGTGATTGTTCATATTTGCTAAACTTACAATCAAAATAGCAATATTTATAAGCTATGCTTAAAATCTTAAGAAAAAACTAGCTTCTTTATTAAATCAACTATAAATATTTAAGATCAAATTTGATCTCTGAATAATTTTTTTGTGTCTGTGAAAGCCACCTTTGAAGGCACCAAAAACTCTAACAATACAAAACTTAAAAGTTAATGAGGTTTTCTTCATAATCACAATTTGCATTATTGGTAATTCTCAACAAAACTTATCAATTATTGTATGGTCTTTATTGTGCCTCTTTTCGGAAAAGAGGCATGCAATTGATCACATGCAATTGATTACTTGGTGATCTTCACTAGATACGGTATGAACTATGAAAATTATTATACTGGTAATGATAAAGGAGCACACATTCATCAATATGAATAAAGTCACTCAATCTATCTCATAACTGGGCGTCAGATCTTTTCAATGGTATCTTTGTTATACTTAAATTTCAAACATTACATAACACATATTTAAACTTATGTTTCTCTTTGTTGTGATTAGACTGGCTACAACCAAATGTCTATAGACTGCCCAACCCTAGAGAATGTCTTTCATAATGCCGTTTATACAAATATTGCCACCCAAGATTAGCAGCTTGGCCACTATTATTACTATAGTAACTTTTCCAAAAACAGTACAGTTTCAAGAAAACTTTCATAAAGTTACCGAATTAAGTGTTCTTTGCTTCCTGTGGTTCATCTGAAATGTTAATTTGTCCACCTAGAACATTTTAATTTATGAGCACAATATTTTATTTTTGATTTCTCAATAGCATGCTGTTGTAACTACACATTTTTTTCACAGCAAAGTGAATTTCAGATTCTCTAACGTTGCTTGGTAATGTTGTGAAAGAAATTATAGGCATTGAGGTAATGCACAGTACTCCCACATCTTTCACCTCACTGTGCAGTCAGCCAAATTATATATTTATTAATATTGTTAAGCTGGCCTCATGAGTCAATAGATTGAATAGAGTCTCTGTTAATTAAGTTTGCTGATGAAATGACTAGAAACTTGGAGAATAGCTTCAGAATTAAAAATGAGTTTAACCAGCTGGAGGGGATTTAGGCATTGGATAAGGATTGGACCAGATGACCTCTGTGGTCTTTTTCACCTCTGGGATTCTGTGAAAGACTGAGAAATCAATACAGGAATAATTTATATGAAAAAAAGTTCAATGTAAAAATAGGTTGGATTGAATGAATTTATTAAATATGTATTTTAAATATCAAAATCTTAAATGGTTATACAGAGGCATAATAGTTTTATATTCTAACAGAGAGACATTCTAAACTTGTGTTACCAGGGTAGGTTGATTCAATTATGACACTGAGATGCCTTGCTTTCAAAAAAAGCCTTTTCTATAAAACGTTTTTTATGGTGTGCCAGATAGCAACTAGGTGGTTCAACAAAACCTGTGTTCTCTACTTCCTGCCCAATCAACAAGATTACTTTTTTTGCTAGCTAAAATTCACATAGCCAAATTAAATTTTAATCAATATAATGTGTATATAAGTTCTGTAAATCAATTTCAAGCTTTCCCTGTAAATATATCCTCATGAGGTTTTCCATTCTCTTTTTTAGCCCGGCTGTCATAGACTGATATGCCAGGCAATGCAAACTTGGATTCTCTGTCTTAAAGATGACATATCTTAAAAAAACACATACACACATGCATTATATTTATTTTTTTTCTTATTGTAAAATTTAAAATGGCAGAAGTCATGAATAGGTATTTTGGAAGAAGATATCAAAATATCCAATAAGGATATAAAAGGCTAGTAAACTTCATTAGTCATCAAGAAAGTGCAAGTTAGAACCTCAGTGAATACCATTACACCTCTGCCAGAATGGTTACAATTTAAAAAAACCTTACAATGCCAAGAAGTGGCAAGATTGTGAAGCAATAGAAATTCTTATGCACTGAGAGTAACAAGGTAAACTGAGAGTTTGATGGCACTACTAAAAGAAATCAGACACATACTCTATAACCTAGCAATTCCACTCCTAGATATTTTCCCAACCAACAGAAATTCTTAAATACATTTGCCAAATGCATCTACAGAAATCTTCAAAACAATAATATTGATAATAGACAAAGCAGAAAAGTCTGTCTACAGTAAAATAGGTAAATAGTGATATATTTACAATGGAATCTCATAGTAAAAAAGAACAAACTTTTTATTCTGAGCTGAATTATATAATATTGAGCGAAGAAAACCAGAAACAAACACCAACATATATAATTTCATTTATATGAAGTTCAAATGTAGGAAAAAATAAGTATAGTAACAAAAACAGTGGCTATGTTGAGTGTGTATGTAGGGTAGATACTGACTTATAGGGAATTGTGGGAGGCATCTGGAATGCTAGAAATGTTTTTATTTTGATTTAGGTTGTGATTCCACCGCTGAATTTGTAAAAAAATTATAGAGTTTAAACCTAAAATTTGTATACTTTCCTGCAATTAGGAAGAAAAAAGTTTACAGCAAGAGTTATGGTCTGATGAGTCTAGGTTAAATGTCCCAAATATATATCTGAGATATTAAAACAGTAGAAATTCTGTACAGTTTCCTTTCTCAAAGGAGATTCAATGGTTTAAATCATGCCCAGAGGCAGGCTGGGAGATTAGATGACTTTCTGGGGACTCTTTCAGCCCTATGATTCTATGATATTTCCTATAATATGTTCTTTTTCTTGAAACCCCCTTCAGTCTTTCTGTTTCTCTAGTATGAAGTTGTCCTGGACTGAATTTAATACCCTAGGGGGTTTCTCACAAGGGCGCCATAAGTAGAAAGTCTGTCACCTCCCTAATAGGTAATATGATGAAGTTGTATCCAGTGGGAAATGTCAATGGCATTTTGTCCAGCCCTGCTATGGTTGGATGGATAATGCAAGGTCATATACAATTTTCTCTCTGCTCTCGCCTCTGGATATTTTAACATTATTTCTTCACAAGTTTCCCTTTACACTGCATGCTTCGCACTAGATTATATTTTTGCCAAGAGGTACTAAATTGACTTCCCTTTTGTCAACTTTGGAAGAATTTTGTAAACATTCTCAGTGTGAATATATGGAATGAATAGTGGTGATTTCAAGAAATTTTGTGGAAAATATCCGTGGATCCTTTGTCATTACATAAGCAATGGGTTACATTGATGAAGTATTTTGCTTTGAAACACATTTCAGTGTTATGTGGACACAGCCAAAAAGATATAGGCTAGAAAAGAGATTGAAAAAATATTGTATAAAATTATTTTATCATAACCATAGATATTTGAGATTTCACTCCTTGAATATTTTTCATGGGAATTATAAATGTTACTGTCAATATTACTTTAAAACTCTTGATTGACTCAGTTTTGAATATTTATTAAGTGAAGCAATTCACACTGCTACAATATAAATCAAATTATTTCTATTAACGTATTGCAACTTTCAAATAAAATTTAATGTTAATTTCTCTTTAGTTTTGGAAGTGTGCTACATATATTTTGCTTGGGCTTTGTTGAATATATTAAAAAAAAACCCCCCACTAATGTGTTAGCTTCCTTTCCACGTAAACATTTTAGGAGCACTTTTAGTTGGAGAATCCATAGCCTATTATTTCTGGAAGTTCCTCAAGCAAAATATTTACTCTGGAGAAATAAGCTTACAGATTTTAATACATCTACATTAATTGACACTAAAACATTTGTTCCTAGCCTCTTAAGGCTCTCCAAAGGCTGTAATTTCAGGACACCCATTCAAACTTTATGCCACTAAATGCTTTGGGGCAACTACAAAAAGCAGCATTCCATTGGTACTGTGCATCTGTGTATATAGCAATCTCTAAATGCAGCTAATGGAATCTCAGCATGAAACCAGAAAAGATTTTTCCAAACTCATTATAGTTGCAGGTTACCCTAGTTGAAAAATTGATTTTGCACTGGAAAGTGAAAATCTAACTTCACAATGTCATCGATCATTGGGAAAACATGTAATAGAATAATTACTTCTATGCTCTGAGGCCTGGATGCAAACTTATCCATTCACAATTCAAGGAAAATTTTTTTGTTATTCAAATGCAACCAAAATGTCAATAAATTTGAAAGATGATTTATAGGAATGCAGATAGAAAAATCTGTATTTATTTTAAAGAAAAATACTTAAAAAGAAAAAAAAAAACCTCAGGGCCAATTACTAGATATTCCAGTCCCTGCAAAATTTGTAAGAGTACATAGCAGCTAGAATTAGTTTCAATTCAATAAAAACCTCATTCTTCAGATGACTGATGCCAGAGATAAGAATTCTAAATGATATTCATCCTATTGGCATGCATAATAGGCAAATAAGTTTCATTTATTCATTCATCTAGAGATTCATTTAACAAGATTTTCTTGGATGCAACTGTCTAAAAGGCCAATAAAAGAATAGATTTTATGAATCATAATTTTTCTTACCTGGATCATATTTCAAATTTTATAATCATATGTATGATCTAATTTCCCAATTCCAGTAGACTATCTACCCTCATGTTTCTAAAAGCAAAGAATTTTGCTTCTAGTATTTGCTAAAAGTATTTATTTAAAGCACAGCATTTTATGGATCCTTGATTGAAAAACACTAATTTAGTTGACTAATGATAATCATGTACTTACAGAGAGTTTTGTGACTGTAATTCCACAACCAGGCCCAGAGCACCGTTGCATCTGTCAACCATACAGTTCTTTATATAGGTCAGAGGAGAATCTTGCTTAATGCCCATTCCATGAATTTGTAAAACTGGTTTATTAGACAACATCTACTTTAACATGATTCCTAAACTGTAGATGGCAGCCTCTGTTGACTGCCAACATCCTGCTTCTTGGTCTCTATACCTTGGTGTCTCTTCCCTTGAGTGTGAACTAGACTTATTGAATCATTTCTAACAAATAGAAAATAGGAAAAGTATTGAGAAGGTCCTTTCTGAGATTAGGTTCTAAAAAAGTCTATAGCTTCCATATTGGGTGCTTGTTTTCTCTTGTTCTTTTACTCCTTCGTTCTGAGGGCAGCCAGTTTCCATGTTGCAAGCTGCACTATGGAGAAAGCTAGGTGGCAAGGAAATGAGGAAGGTCTCTAGCCAGAGAATGGTAAGAAACTAAGGAAATGAGAACTGTCTCCTACCAACAGCCATCAAGCAATTGAATACTCTGAGGAACGAATCCTACCAATTGACAGAGAAGGAGCATTGCCATCTTGGACAAGCACCACCATTTTAAAGTTCACCTTGATCAAAAACTGCCTAAATCCAAAGGGCATCAGCCTAATGGCTAAGGTTAGCATGACCATAAGCCACAAATGACATCTCTGACCAGAAACATTCCAACCCTAAGATAAACCCCGCCCCTAACCAGAGACATAAAACAAGTTAAGAAACTTTTGCATTTTTGTAAACATACAAAAGTAAAGAACATCATACACCCAATATACCCGTAACCCAACTTTAGCAATTATCAATATTTTGAAAACATTTATAAATTCAGAGGCTAATCACAAGATGTAATAAAATGACCTCCTCTGAGATAACCTCCCCTCCTGCCAGAGAGATGTCAGCCCCAAGATAAACTCCCCTCCGACCAGAGACATTCCAACCCTGCAATAAACTTTTCTCCCACACAGAAACATTCGAAGTCCATGATAAGCATTGTCACCCTAAAACCAGTAAACACCCTTAGTCTGTAAGAGACAGCACTCCTGACCAAAATCGGCCAGAAGCCCCTCTCAGGTTTGTTATCCAAAATAAACCTATCTTTAACTGTTGAGCCGCTTTTTATGTTTCTTTCCTCTTTAACCCCTACACCAATAACCATGTTAGTGAGTTTGGAAGTAAATCTTCTCCCACTTGAACCTTCAGAGGAGACCACAAGTCTGTCTAGCAGGCTGACCAAAATATCCTGAGAGACCTTGAAGCAGAGGCACTCAGCAAAGTTAAACTTAGATCTTACACCCAGGGAAATTGTGAGATAATAATTGTTTTAGACCACTAAGTTTTGCGGCAATTTGCTCTATAGCAATAGATAACTTACCTTTTTATAACTTGTGTAATTAACTCATTTTATTACATCTTGTGATTAGCCTCTGAATTTATAAATGTTTTCAAAATATTGATAATTGCTAAAGTTGAGTTATGGGCATATTGGGTTTATGATGCTCTTTACTTTTGTATGTTTACAAAAATACAAAAGTTTCTTAACTTGTTTTATATAATCAGAAAGAGAATCCACATTTTCCCTTCCCTCTATTTCTTCAAATTAAATGTTATTTCCTTTTACACTTCCTCATATGAAATTTTCATCATTCTTTAGTTTTTTCCACATATTTTAGAGCATATTGGTATAATTAGAAACATTTGTCTCAAAACAACCAGAATTTTTAAAAAAAAAAACCCTAAAAGATTTTTTTAAATGTAGGATCTGTAGGAGAAAGATATATCCAACTCACAGGTCTGCATAACAAGTATAAACCTTATTATTAAGCAAAAATGAGTCCAAAATAATACAAGAATAGTTAATATTACTAAACCTTATTTTGTAAATCTTTAAAAATGATTTAATAAAACTTGCCTTACTGGCCTGTGATAGAGTATTAACGTAGTATTTGCTACTAGTTGGTGAGTACTTATTATGTAATTGGCAAATAGTTGCCTTGTTTTATTTCATAGAAACCCTAATAAAAGCCAGTAAGATAGAGTCTATTTTTTCTATTTAATAAAGAGAAACTAGGCATTAAGATATTAAGTAACTTTTCTAAGGACATATAGATAGTAAGTGATGAAGCTGGGAATTAAACTGAGATTTTAATCACTAAACTATACAATACATATTACATATCTAAAACAGTGTCTACCACAGAGAAAGTGTTATTGTAATTTTTTCTCTTCATTTTCCTCATGCAAAGATAGATTTGAGAGGCAGTGAAATAACTATCTGCATTTGTCAGGTTTCTACTGACATAGATCATACAGCTACCCCCAAACCTCCATGGCTTAAAACAACTTTCCATGCTTTCAGGTCTTTAAGTTGGCAAGAAAAAGCCCTGCTTTGGACTGGAGATCATGTCCAAAACCTTGTGTTTCTTATCCTAGTCCACTAATACCCATAGAAAATGCTTTTCATTTCAGATGGAAGAATCTCCAAAAAACTTAAGCAAAAGTATTTAATGCTTCTTGAGATTTCAACTCAGAACTGGCATGTTCTCACTGTACCTTCATTCTATTGTCAAAGCCCAAAGTCAACGGGACATGGAAGTAACTAGCCCACAACGAATCATGAAAGGGAGGGGATGAAAGGAAGAATTATAGATAAACAATACAGTTTGAAACAGCATTCATAAAAATTGTTATAAAATAAACATTGAATAAATGAGATATTTGATGTTTAAGTTGTATATACTCTAAAATGTTATAGTTTTAGCATAATAAAAATGTTGCTTCGTAGCAATTTTTCTGATCATTCTCATTCAATTTTACTAGTCATTCTGATTAATACATCCATTAACACAAGTCATTTTGTTTTTTTTTTCTTTTTTAAACCATTTTTAAATAAGGAAATATAGGGATCTTTACTCATTCTCAGGAAACTCTTTCTTCCATAATTACTCAAGTTAATGCCTAATGGCTCTAAAGTAATACCTGTAATTACTAAATTACTTTAGAAATTATGTCCTTGGTCACCATAAATCACTGTAAATTTAAATGTATTATGTTTTCTAGGTCCCTCTAGGTAAAAGCTTTCACAAGTATAATCAGATTTCCACAGGTAAATACAAATGATAATTTGTTTTCACTAATGCTCTATGTCTCATCTCTTTTGCACTAGGCAACTTAAGGAACAAAGGAATTTGTTTTAACTGCCCTCTATTTTTAATTATCCATCTTTGATGATCACAAAAACAGAACTGCCACTTTCTCTTATCTTGCAATAAGATAAGATAAGCACTTCCTTGGTGCTTCTTTACTCATAGTTTTGTTTGTTGGTTCGTTTTAGAATAAATGGTTTATGTATCTGTCTCCTTCACTACATTGTAACCTCCTTCAACGAACAAATTGGATCTTATTTATCTTGGTATCATTTGTGTGTGCCTATTCCATGCCTGTTCCAATCTATGCCTATTAAGTGAAACTTGGCTGAACAAATAGATGACATAATTATTCACTAGACAGCTGACACTCAAAGTTATAGAAAAAAAGTGCTATTTTAAAAATAATAGCTTTTGACTAAGAAATATTCCAATTAATTCACTTTTAAAAGAGTTGAATGTTCATGTATTAAGATTTTAAAAGGCTATCATTTATCAGTGAATCAGACAAAACATGTTGGGATCGAAATGATAAATTTAGAGAAATCTGTACACAATTAGTGGGACCCCCCACCAGTACACCAGGAGGAGCTATAATTTCAGAGAACAAAGACTGTTACATTATGTATACTATCAAGCACTACAGCTACATCCTGAGCTCACAGTAGGTTTTCCAGCCAAATGGAAAGTGAAATCCTAAGAGGCATTACCAAAATATAATTATTACTGTAGTAAAAGAGCAGTCAGTATCAAAGGCTGTCAGGATTTATGCCCTAGGTTCACCTCTAGCACATCAGAATCCAAGTCTTACTGTCAACAAATCTCAAAGAACACTCTACTTTAGCAATGAGAAAAAAGAAAATAACAGGAAAATATAGCATTATTATATACCAGAGTTTTTCTAAGAAAATAACAAGAATATATAGCATTATTATATACCAGATTTTTTCTAAGAATTCCATTAAATGTCTGCACATTTATTCATTCAATACATGTTTATTCAGTGTCTACTTGTGCCACGTACCATTTTATGTGCAAAGAATAAAATGAGGCAGAATAGAGGAGAGTATCAAGTCCAGTGAAAGAATAAAATACATAAAATAAGACTTTTTTTTTGAGACAAAGTCTTGCACTGTCACCTAGTCTGGAGTGCAGTGGTGCAATCTCAGCTCACTGCAACCTCTGCCTTCTGGGTTCAAGCAATTCTCCTCCCTCAGCCTCCTGAGTAGCTAGGATTACAGGTGCCTGCCACCATGCCCGGCTAGTTTTTGTATTTTTAGTAGAGACGGGGTTTCACCCTGTTGGCCAGGCTGGTCTTGAACTCCTGACCTCAAATGATTCACCCTCCTCAGCCTCCCAAAGTGCTGGGATTACAGACATAAGCCACCACACCCGGCTAATAAGGCATTTTAACTGCAGTTTGTTTTACGAGAACATAGAACACCCAACCTGAATACAAAGGATAGGGAAAGCTTACAGTAGAGGAAGTGAATTCTAAGTTCAGAACTGGAAGATGAGTGACAGTCAGCTAGAAGAACATTCCAGAAGAAAGAAAAACATGGGTAATTCAATACATTTCTTCTATAAGCCACATCGTGGAGTTTGGACTGGAGAAAATGAGTACCTGTTAATTTTTATTTGCCATATTGACAAATCAAGGATTCTTATGTCTAACATGAACAGTAGGCAGATATTCCCTCTCCTAAACCCTGAATAGCTAGTGTCCTACAATAGGTCAAAACTCAGTCAATCCGGGAAGACTGTGCCTGTGACATAGTCATGACTCCACCTTGTATTCCTTTCGTTCCACACATTTTCTGAGCCTTGATTGTATCAACTGTTCGATATTCTTAAAATGAATTCCATTTCTGCTCAAGTTAGCCAGAGTTGGTTTCTCTTATTTTCAATCCAATTCCCTGACAACTTGGTCTTTAAAAGATTTTAAGCAGAAAAGTAGCAGATACATATATGTACTTCAGAACAATTTGTCTAGCTGCAGCATTGATAATGGAAAGGAGGGTAGCTATCTTGGAGTCAAGGAATTTGTGAGTTTACAATCAATCAAACTAGAGATTGCGATGGCCTCAACTAGAAGGGAGAATAGCCAGTGGCTTTGAGAGGTATTGAAGTAGAACTTACAAATATGTGGGCAATAAAGAGAGGTAGAAATAATGGTCTTCTTCATTCTCATGAAAAACATTTACTGACCAATTTCTCAGTACACATTTATTATATAGACAATGAACTATGTGGAAACATTACCAAAGAAGTCTGAGGACAAAAATATAAAGTAAACCTAAAGAACATATAAGAAAGGAAATAATATAGATGCAACAGTTAGAATTTAAGCAAAAACCTACCACAAAATAGCTCAAATGATAAATAACTTTTTGACCTATCTATCTTAGAGTTCAAAGTCAGATCTTTGATTTAATCTAGTAACTGAAGTTAAATCTCCCTAAATTATACCTATCTTTAAAAATCTTTTTGGGGTGGCTTTTCTAATTAGGATGGTATGAATAAAGTTAGTGTAGGTTGGGGGCACAGATTTGTACTAAAAAATGCTCAGAGAAAAGAGTCCGTCTCCTTTTGTGTCTATCTCTTATAGGAAAGGCCACAATTTCCAGAAGCTCCAGAAAACTTCTCTCCCTTAATCATTGCTGTACATTAGGGTATGTGTCCATTCCTGAAATAATTATTGTAATTAGAAGAATTTCACGTGTAACAATCTTAGACTTGGGTTCCTCTAGTAAGACTAAAATGGTATTAGCAATTTAAAGGGTCAATGCAATGACAGTATATTAGGGATTTTTAAATTATATAAATGTATTAAAAATAACTTTATGCCAATATAACTGAAAACATAAGAGCAGGCAATTTTGTAGAATAAAAATAAGTTACCAAAACTGATTTAGAAAATAGAAAAACTGAATAGACTAGTATTCTCTGAAACATTGTATCACTTGGAGAATAAAAAACTTTCTCTAACATAGGCCACAGACCCAGATCATTTCTTAGGTAAGTTTTACCATATCTTAAAAGGCACAAATAACCCTACTATCACCAAAACAAATTTTTAACATGTTTATGGAGGTATAATTGACATACAAAAACTGCACATGCAATGCCTAATGTGTACAATTTAGTGAATTTGGACATATACAAACTCCTGTGATACCATCACTACAGTCCAGGTCATGAATATATCCAATACTTTCTAGAGATTTCTTGTGTCCCTTTGTCTTTGTTTTCATGGTAAAAAACACTTGTGTTTTTGTGAATGTTTTGTTCTAAGGATACTTTGACATTCAAAATTAACAAACTTTGAAGTGTGCTAAAGCACTTCATTGTAAACCGAAGGCACTATGTTGTACAGCAGATTTCCAAAACTTATTCGCCTAGCACAACTAAAACTTCAGGTCCATGGAACAACTCCAGTACAGTTTAGAGGTAAGAAAATTATGGAAAACTATTTTAATCTTATGAACCTAACATATGTGATAAAATTAGACAGCAACAGTATAAAAATTAAATCATCGTTAAATATCACCTTTAAAAAGATGAAATAAAAATTTTAAAAACATAAAAAGCAAATTCAATACAATGTAATATTTTTAAAAACCTCAAAAATACCAAAAAAGTCTTTATTCTAAGATTGCAAGAATAGTACATCATTTGTTTAAATTAGCAAATCCATATAAAATGTTAATCCATTAAACTGAATCAATGCATGATTTTAAAAAATTGGGCAGAGAAAAAATCATTAGAAAAATCTGACATCCCATTATGAACTGGATAGCCATACGTAGAAAGCTGAAACTGGATCCCTTCCTTACACCTTACACAAAAATCAATTCAAGATGGATTAAAGACTTAAATGTTAGACCTAAAACCATAAAAACCCTAGAAGAAAACCTAGGCATTACCATTCAGGACATAGGCATGGGCAAGGACTTCATGTCTAAAACACCAAAAGCAATGGCAACAAAAGCCAAAATTGACAAATGGGATCTAATTAAACTCAAGAGCTTCTGCACAGCAAAAGAAACTACCATCAGAGTGAACAGGCAACCCACAAAATGGGAGAAAATTTTCGCAACCTATTTATCTGACAAAGGGCTAATATCCAGAATCTACAATGAACTCAAACAAATTTACAAGAAAAAAACAAACAACCCCATCAAAAAGTGGGCGAAGGACATGAACAGACACTTCTCAAAAGAAGACATTTATGCAGCCAAAAAACACATGAAAAAATGCTCACCATCACTGGCCATCAGAGAAATGCAAATCAAAACCACAATGAGATATCATCTCACACCAGTTAGAATGGCAATCATTAAAAAGTCAGGAAACAACAGGTGCTGGAGAGGATGTGGAGAAATAGGAACACTTTTACACTGTTGGTGGGACTATAAGCTAGTTCAATCATTGTGGAAGACAGTGTGGCGATTCCTCAAGGATCTAGAACTAGAAATGCCATTTGACCCAGCCATCCCATTACTGGGTATATACCCAAAGGATTATAAATCATTCTGCTATAAAGACACATGCACACGTATGTTTATTGTGGCACTATTCACAATAGCAAAGACTTGGAACCAACCCAAATGTCCAACAATGATAGACTGGATTAAGAAAATGTGGCACATATACACCATGGAATACTATGCAGCCAGAAAAAATGAGGAGTTCATGTCCTTTGTAGGGACATGGATGAAACTGGAAATCATCATTCTCAGTAAACTATCGCAAGAACAAAAAACCAAACACTGCATATTCTCACTCATAGGTGGGAATTGAACAATGAGAACACATGGACACAGGAAGGGGAACAACACACTCTGGGGACTGTTGTGGGGTGGGGGGTGCGGGGAGGGATAGCACTGGGAGATATACCTAATGCTAGATGACCAGTTAGTGGGTGCAGCGCACCAGCATGTCACATGTATACATATGTAACTAACCTGCACATTGTGCACATGTACCCTAAAACTTAAAGTATAATAATTAAAAAAAAAAAAAAAGAAAAAGTTCTTAACAAATTGGGTGTCAAAAGGAACATCTTCATTTGATAAAATGTTACTAAAAATCCATAGAAATATTATTCTTAAAAGTAAAATATAAGAACTATTCCCACTAATGTCATAAATGAAACAAGTGTTTTATTATCATTCAATTATTGCACATTGCATTAAATGTCCTGGTCAATAATGTAATTCAAGAAAAATAAAAGTTATCCATACAAATTGTAAAATAATTAACAAAATAGTTTTTATTTACATAGAAAATCTAAAATAATTATAGACGGCATTCAACCTAAAAGAGCTTAGTACTTTTGCTGTATAAAAAACCCAACATACTGGCTGGGAGCAGTGGCTCATGCCTGTAATCCCAGCACTTTGGGAGGCCGAGGCGGGCGGATCACGAGGTCAGGAGATCAAGACCATCCTGGCCAACACGGTGAAACCCCGTCTGTATTAAAAATACAAAAAAATTAGCCGGGCGTGGTGGCAGGTGCCTGTAGTCCCAGCTACCCGGGAGACTGAGGCAGAATGGCGTGAACCTAGGAGGCGGAGCTTGCAGGAAGCCGAGATCGCGCCACTGCACTCCAGCCCAGGCGACAGAGCCAGACTCCATCTCCAAAAAAAAAAAAGAAACCCAACATATTGAAAATGCTATTCAAAATGCACACATTCACAATAGCAATGAAAATTAGATTTATCTGTAGTACCTTTAGGAATAAAGCTAACAAAAACTGTGAGACCACCAAAGAAAAAATTGTAAGATGTTATTAAAGGACACAAAATGTAAAAAACTGGGGAAATACATTAGATTCAGATTCATATTTATACATAAAGCAAAACAATAGCATGTCAATATTGGCCAATTCTGTGTGGTGGGTACACCGGTATTTGTCATATTTACTGTACTCTCCTGTATTTTCTTTAACTTTTCAAAACAAAGACAAATCAATACAAAGAACTGTGTTTTTCTGCAGAGAAAAATACATCTTCCTTCATGAATCAATGAAATAAACTTCTTAATGCTTTTTCATAAGTAAAAGTTTGACACAAGTATTAATTCTTTCGAACCAAAGCCAAAGTTTTTCATGTAGAGTATCTGACTAAAAACATTTGCTGTTTGACAAGGAAATACTAAAGTCTGTTTAAAAGTATACAAGGAGAATCGTACAGTGAGATTAAAATCCTTAAAAATTACCAGAATAATTTTCTGCTCCCTTTTTTATTAACATAATTATGTCAACATATACATATCAAGATAGGTATATAAAATCGGGACCAATATTTTTTCAGTCATTTGGAAAGCAATTAAATAGAGCCATAAGCTAACATGACTAAAAAATATCTATCAAGCAAAGTGAGGTTAATTTTAAGGAAAATAATATTTTTCAAGTATGTTAATGTATTTTCTTTAGCAGTCAGTTATATTCTTGAATATTGGATTCACATCTAAGACATTGAATCATATATATTTTCTATCTGAATATAGTATTAGAACCTTTCAAAGTATCCATAAGGCAGGATTATTTTTCCATAATTAGTGAGGGATTATTTTCTCACCCTATTTCCAAATATTATTAGATATTTGACACTTTTGGATGACTTAGATTATTTTTGATTAGCTCAAGATAAGAGTTTTATCACACTGCATCCTGAATCAAGAGAAGAGAAAATCACATATTAGCTTTATGTTCTGCCAAGTCTAGACTAAACTAAAATAGAAATAATAAATTTTTTTTTTAAATGTGTCTTTTGGGTTCAAAGCCGACACATACGGGAATCTTGACTTTAGTTGTTCCCCTTATAAAATCTGGGGACTTGAGAAAGCATTGGTGGTTAAACACAAAATCCACAGACAACATCTCAATAAACTGTAAATCCTGAATATTTTTCTGTCTAAATTCTTATCACTATTATCACAACTATTAAAATTCTACACATTATTAAAGTACAATTTAAATTTTGTTTATAAACTGTCTGATTAAAATGAGATATGAAAAGGCCGGGCGCGGTGGCTCACGCCTGTAATCCCAGCACTTTGGGAGGCTGAGGAGGGCGGATCACCTGAGGTCAGGAGTTCGAGACCAGCCTCAACATGGAGAAACCCCGTCTCTACTAAAAATACAAAAAATTAGCCAGGCGTAGGGGTGTATGCCTGTAATCCCAGCTACTCGGGAGGCGGAGGCAGGAGAATTGCTTGAACCTGGGAGGCAGAGGTTGCAGTGAGCCGAGATCGTGCCATTGCACCCCAGCCTGGGCAACAAGAACGAAACTCGGCCTCAAAAAATAAATAAATAAATAAATAATAAGATAAAATGAGATATGATCTCTACCTGCAAACCCAGTTGAGGTTTTGTGTAAACCATGCTTAGAATCACACTCTGCTAGATTTGGAGAGTAACATTCAGGTGATTTAGGTCAAGCCTCTTTCCAATGAAGAAACGACTTTCTTAGCTAATAATGCTGGCAAATATTTGAGGCAGCTTCACCTTAAACCCTGCTAAGTACTTACAAACTGAGACATTTCGTGTGGACTCTTTAATATCCAATTATGATTCTCCCCTTTCTCCTTACTCTCAAGACCAGAAATTGAAGTGACAAATAAAAGCAAATCCAAACTTAGATGAGGAAAGACTTTATTTGGAAGAAAGACTACTGCAAAATGGAGAACTCCCAGATTCCAGAAATCTGCAAGAATCTCAAAATCACAAAGAAAGTCTCTTCTTTTATAGGGAGGGCTGAGTGGTAGGTGAGGGGAAGTGAGGCAAAGGAGAGAGTAAGTACCACATGTTTGGAGGTTTGACTAGAAATACGTCTTGTTATGGTCAGTCAATTCCCAGGATACACTGATAAGGGGGCATGTTCTGCATTTTAGGGCTCATTCAGGGTTGGGGGCAAGCTGATGTACAGCGGCTTGTGGGAAAGAGAGAAGCCTGACTAAAGTTTGGTCAAGACAAAGCAGGGGTTAAGAAATAGAAAATTGTGAGCTGTTATTCAGAAGATATGATGTGTGTCAGAAGCGTGGCCATGTGATATTGTCTTGGCTAACAACATGCAAGCAGATTACTTCTGTTTTATTTTCCCGATAAAAAGTGGCCCACTGAATTGGTAAGCAATTTTTATAGACATGATGCCTGGAAGTAGAGCAGCAATATTATAAATATAAAAAAGAAACCACAAATGAGGAGCCAGATCACTTTTGGCACCATACAGTCAGCAGGAAGATCTAGACTACCTCAGAGTTCTTTTTTTGCATTAAAAAATAAACTATCATTGGATTAAGTAACAATAGTTATATTTCTATTACTTATAGCCATCTTAACTTATATGAAAAGTATGTTTAACAGTCTTTCCTAAAATTCTGCCAAAAGTCAATATTAACTTACAAGTTTTTAATATACCTGAAATCAGCTGGGTGCAGTGGTTCACACCTGTCATCCTAGCACTTTGGGAGGCTTAGGCGGATGAATTGCTGGAGCACAGGAATTCAAATCCAGCCTGGCCAACATGGCGAAAACCCACTTCTACCAAAAATATTCTAATCTATCTATCTCTATATATCTCTCTATATATATAAATATATACGTATATTTATGTATATATTTATATACATATACATGTATATGTATATTTATATACATATACATGTATATGTATATTTATATACATATACATGTATATGTATATTTATATACATATACATGTATATGTATATTTATATACATATACATGTATATGTATATTTATATGCATATAAATGTACATGTATATTTATATATATATAAATATACATGTATATACATGTATACATGTATATTTATATATATATAAAAATATATGTATATTTATATATAGTATAAATATATATTTATATATGTATATAAATATGTATAAATATATATTTATACTATATATAAAAATATATATACATATATAAATATATATAAATATATATTTCTAAGAGGTCAAGTTATTGCATGTGAAAATAATACATAAAATACTACAAAAATGTTAGTTAATGTTGGCATATTGTTTTGTATTCTGTCACTGTTTTTTGGTAGATACTCATGAACAATTTTGAGTAATTGCATGAAATATCTAATTCTGACAAATTATAAACATTGAGAGGACTTGGAAAGCTCTCACTTAGTTTTAATGGTATTTCAAAATATCACCACTGTGCTAATATCAACATGAAAAGAATTAACTACAACTAACTATGGATATCCTTCTGAAAGTCTTTTTAAGTTAATTGAATTATTCCAATTGCCTTAGAGAAATATTTAGAGAAATCCTGTAGTGAAACCTTTTTACAAATACAACAAGTATTCCTTCATTCACCTATAATTTATCTGTTGAGTTTGTTTGTTTTAGGTAGACTTTGTAACATACCAGCACTCGCATTAGTGAGTTATATAAACTTTAACCAGGATGTCCAAAAGCAATTGAAATAGTTGTCAGGGAGATGGGAGAGGCAAAAGGTAACTCTGCAGGGGAAAAAATATATAAGCTGAAACTCTTCCAGTGAAGAATTCTAGTACAAGGTGGTTTTTACCTGGAAGCCACTTGATCTAAGGACCAGCATTGCCTAGGGTCTAGAGGCCACATTACAATCTAGGTCAGAGGTCCCTATCCTTTTTGGCACCAGGGACCAGTTTCATGGAAGAGGATGTTTACATGGATGGGTGTGGCAGGGGATAGTTTCAGAATGACTCAAGCACATTACATTTGTTATGCACTTTATTTCTATTATTACACTGTGATATATAATAAGATAATTATGCAACTCATCATCACATAGAATCAGTAGAAGCCCTGAGCTTGTTTTCCAGCAACTAGACAACTAGACAGTCCCAAAGTGGGGGTGATGGGAGACAATGACAGATTATCAGGCATTACATTCTCATAGGAAGCAGGCAACCTAGACCCCTCACATGCACAGTTCAGAATAGGGTTCACACTCCCATGAGAATCTAATGCCACCACTGATCTGGCAGAAGGAAGAGCTCGGGCAGCAATGCAAGTAATGGGAAATGGCTATAAATACAGATGAAGCTTTGCTCACTCAAGCACAGCTCACATCCTACTGTGCAGCCCTAATTCCTAACAAGCCATGACCCAGGGGTTGGGGACCCCTGGCCTACATAATGCTCATCCCCTACATAAATCTATATCTCTTCTGGTTGTTTATGGCCCTCCTTATATGAATGAAGTTTTGAATTTTAAGAACACAGATTCCATTTTATCAGATCCTGCCTTCATGTGGATTAGAGGGTAATCAAAGTTCTGGCAAATGGAGGATCTGATTCAAGCCTTGATACTGCCTAAATAGAGTCCTCTAGGGTCTGTATGGTGTTACATAAGGACAATTAAAATGCACACCAGACAATATAAACTATCACTGTCATAGTCAAAGAAATTTTCTCAGGGGGAACAAAAACAAACCTAAATTGACAGTTTCTTAGTTTTGGTTTTCATCTGGGCCAAGTCGTCCTCACAAAACATCAAAGTAAGTTTCAAATTTGGTTCTAGATAGACTAATCAGTGGGATGCTCAGTGAGGAAGATTAATCCAAATAGGAGAAATGTCAGAATTTTCACATATATCAAAAAATTATACCTTAAAGGAAGGTTAACACGGTCTATTATAGGTTTTTAGATGTATTTGTGTGAATAGGAAAATGGTTTATAATTAGGAAATAAATTATATATAAGTACTTGATGCTTACAAAGTTCACAAGGATCTCCAAAAGCATCTTTATATTTTAATTATTTTAGAATATTTTCTTGTCAATCTACCCTGTGGCATTCATTTTGTGTACCAAACTTGTAATCACAAATTGCAAAATTAAGCTTCCTGTTAAGTGCTATATGAAAGACAATATATTCTAAATTAATAAAATCTCAACTTACATGTGTTAAAATTTAAACACCAAGTTTTCTATAAATATATTCTATACATCTTTATGTAAGGACAAAAAAATAGAAATTGGTGGTAAATTTTAAAACATTGAAACTATCACCAAAACCATTAAATAAAACTGTCAAATATCAGAAAATTTTTTCTATTGTCTGAAAGGCATTCAATTCTGGGCACTTTTCTGGTACTTATAAATAATTTCCATCTGAAGAGATATGTTTCTTACAAGGAAAGAAAGCACTAGATTTTTAATGTTGTTTTTATAAGCAATATTCAACTATCATATGGATCATGTTACAGTACTCTTCTGTCCTGTTTTTACAGACAGGATTTGTAACCATAAGAATTCTGAAAACCAAGTTTATATAACATTTATTATTGACAATGTCTGCAGATTGAGTTCAGGGAGGAATAAGAAAAAGAGAGAAGAACTGGAGGGCAACCAAAAAAGAAAAATATCTGTAGTACACTAAATGTGAATGTATGTTTAACCTGGAAAAAGTAATATTTTTTCTGTCAAATCTATAATATTTTTGTAGTATTAACTGAAAATTATTTAGGAAGAGGGAACATTATTGTACATTTTGATTTCATTATCTTGTATTCTTCTCACCTTTCGTAACTGAAAAATCTAGAAAAATATGTTATTTGAATTGAATAGTTACACCAGGCGACTTAAAAGTTTGAACACTGCTTCCCTTGAAAGCTCAGGGTATGTCAAGCTAGACCCATTATGATGACTAATGATAAGGTTCCCTGTGACTGGGTTGGCCACCCTCAGCTGAAGACCTCTGCCATGCTGTCATAATCATGGGCAGTCTTCTGGCTGGGTGACCCCGGGTTCCTACTCCACAGCCCATTAGTACTCAATGATTAATGGACTGTAAAATAAAAACCAGTCTTTGAACAAGTCAGGATTCCTTCCCACGAATCCTGAAAGGGAATACAAAGTTTCCTCCCTGAAGTTGTCAAGATTTTCTGGGAAAAACTTCATCTTTTTTTTTTCTCTCTCTCTCTAGCTATATGACTGTTCTGTTACCAACCAGTTTTGAAACCACACATCAAACTAGTTCATCAAAGACCTTTTTTTTTTTCCATCGCAACCCTAAAGAGCTGCTGTATGTTTTTCATCAATGTATTCCAAGTTATTCCAACCACTATGATTCATGATTAGCTCTTTCAAAACTTCCATTTCAGGGCTGTACTTTGGCATCAGGGGCCTTGCGAAAGAGAAATAATTCAGTGAAGCAAATGTAATTTTAGAGCTGAGAACAGGCTGACTGTAAAGCTTGTGCAACTGAATCAGGAGTGTGTAATGTACATAGCAATGCTTCTTCTAATAATATTGTTTCCATAAGTAAACAAAAAGTCTAAATAAAATAAGAACCGTAACTAAAAAGTTCAGGAAAACAGGAAATAAAACAGAAAAATTTAAGAAAAGAGAGATGAGACCTGGTTTAATGCTAGCATATTGATTTCTAGACTTCTCATCCAAATTGCATTTCCTAGCAAATTCTTCTTAAGAATTACAATTCCAATTGATTTAAGAGATTATCATGGATATTGAGTATGAACAACTAAAAGCTAACTTTAGCTCTCAGTAAATTTGAATTTAGCAAACATTTTGCAATTAAATTCTTCTATGAATAAAATAAATCTCTTCACTTTAGAAACCATGCCTTCTCTGTAGTCCCAGCTATTCAGGAAGCTGAGGCAGGAGAATGGCATGAACCCGGGAGGCGGAGCTTGTAGTGATGGAGATGGCGCCACTGCACTCCAGCCTGGGTGACAGAGCGAGACTCTGTCTCAAAAAAAAAAAAAAAGAAAGAAAAAAAAAAACAGAAACCATGCCTTCTCATTCTCCTTGTTATAGAAAATTAGTAAATGGTGAAATTACACATAATATCCCATTATTATAAACCCTTGTAGTTCCATTACTGCTTTTTGAAATTGCATTGGTCAAAAACATATGTCATCTTTTCTTTTGTATTATCTTTTCTGGCTTTTGAAATAGCTACACTTAGATGCATTATTCTTGTTGATTATACTTCAAAAATACATATTTCAGTGTTCTTTGATCTGAAAATCAAATTCAAATCACTACAAGCATTCTAACATGAACATTTCTTTCTATTCCTTCAAATATGTATTCTTCCTATCAATCTAGCTCATATATGTATGAGATAATATTTTTCTGAGACATGTGGATTCACATGACACATCAGGATAGTTTAGGATTTTGGTAGAATTTGTGAGAATTTAGCACAAACATTAGTTATTCAATGACCAATCAAAAGACTTGAGAAATAGTGGCAAAAAGAAAAAAAAGTTTAAAAACTGCAGGCATCAGAAAATGTTTTTGTAAAGTTGCTACTTATGAATGTTTCCTAAAAATACGCTTTGTTAACAGAAAATTCTTATATTTTTCACTCAGTGTGAAAAGGAATCTTTTTTTCCATGAAAGTTTAGCTTTAGATGCTTTTTACGGTAGCTGCAGTACCACAATCATTATCTTCAATTTCTCAAACAATGTAAAGAACAACATGAGACTGACAGTGACTGAGAACTGACCCACTTAGGGTCAGTGTGGGTGTTTGGACCTTTTTACACAAACGCTTTTCATAAAAATCAAATAAGTAAAAGAAAAATAGCTGAAGATGCCAGGCATTCAGTTTTTTCAAATCTGTGTTTTCCTCACATAGGTATGGCATTAGTGTCAGGGTAGAGATGCTCAAAAATGCATAATACATGTCTAAAAGCTTCATAAAGATACCAGATTTTTAAATAATTATCTCAAGAGATAGAATACAAGAACAAAATTTTAGAAAGCTCAGCACAGTTTGCTATTGTTTTTCCTTTATTTTTGCATGTTTTCTTACAGTTTTTTCAGAGGAAGATGTTCTCCCTCAAGAGCACAAAGTAGTAGCAGTACTCTAATGACCGAGGGAATGTGGCTGCTATGCGCAAAATTCTGCTCACTGGTTGTGTGGCATCATGTTGAGAAAGCAACTAATTGTTTGGCTTCTTCTCTTACTAGCCAAGTACTCCCTGATATAGCCATCAACTCACCAATTCTACATGTATGATAGGAACTACCTATGCCAAAGCAAAGCAAGGCTCTGACAGACAAAAACAGAAAAATCACAAAAGAGTGACAGCAATAGAAATGTTTTCAGTTTTACTTTTTGGTTTACTTCACTATCCTTATTTGAAAACAAAATCAAGCACATACAGTTATATACTCTAGAGATTTGTATTTTCCACAAGGATATATCAAAGATTGGTTTATTGCTACCCTAAATTGGTCAAGGTTTGGGATATATACCTATAAGTTATTCAAAATAGACAGGATGGCCCCTTAATATGTTCATTCATTCATTGATTCAACAAATATTGATAACATGTTGATTCTTAAGCATCCCTTCATGTGCCAAAAATACAGTGATACACAGGGATAATAATGGTTCTTAACACCAGAAAATTTCCATCGAAAGGAAGATGATAAAAAGAAACTCCATCTAGAGGATAAAATAGAAAACACATAACTTGGCAAACATAGATGCATAGATTCCATTAGTGTTCTGAATAAAAATGAAACATGACATAATTCAGTATCTAAGGAAGAGAAACTACTTTAGGATATACAAGGAAGGATTTTCTAAGAAAACATCATTTGAATTATGACATGAATTATGACAGAACCTGGACAAGCAAAAGTTCAGGTGAGAGCACCCATGAAGAAGGCAAGGGCTTAAAATGGAAACAAAACTGGGGTATTCAAGAAACTAAACAAACTTAATAAGGTGTTGTCTTCCTTCTTTCTTTCATGCCAAAATTGAAGACTTTGCAAAGGACAGAAGACTTAATATGCTTAGAGCCTTTGAGAGACTAAGACCGTAATGTTCTTCTGCAAGTATAGTAGACTTTTTTACATTTTAAAACTGATACATAAAGACTTTTAAGAATCTTCACTTTCACATCAATCATTATTTTGGAAATGAATTCTGGACTCGCACCCTTTCTGAACCCAAGCTCACAGCCCACACAATCAATATTTAAGTAGTTTTACATATATAAGCACATGTAAACCTCAGAATAACCTACGTGATTAACATTCTAAAATTTTTCATAAAATTTTGAGAGTGGTTCTTAAATAGCTGAATTGAAGAATATTAAATTCATAAATACATAGGTTCTAAAATACCACTCTTATTTTTATCTCTTCTCCATTTCTACTGCATAATCTGCCTTATTTACTTTTCCTTCAAAATGTCTTGCATTTATCTTTTTTTCTTAATCCAAGTAGTAGTATTTTACGATTTTTCATCACCTCATGTTCTTCCCTATGTTTAATGCCTTTCCATTTGTGTCTTCCTGGCTAAATCTTACATATCTTTCAAAGCCCAGTTTAACTATTCTCCCAACTTTAATGTTCTTCCTATGAACTAGACCAAAAGAAATAATATAGTTTATGTCTCTTTGGCACTTAGCACTTGGAGTATCAGCTCCCCTTCTACCTGTGTATATCTCATGGCATCTAACATTGCCCACCCAGAACAAATACTTCTGGAAATGGTGAGGATGGAGGAAGGTGGAGATAGTACTCTATCCCATTCTTTTCATATGGAGGAGAGAAAATGTGGGCATTCTAGAAGAGAAAAGCATGTGGTAACATGCAGGCCTCTCCTTCCCAAAAAGAAAAAGAGACATCAATTGATTAATTAGGGGAAAGGCCTGAAATTGTAAATTCCTGTTTCTGTATTTCTTCAAAGCAGTTGTGTCTCAAGGTGCATGCTTCCTCTGCTTTTCTGAAAGCAGGCTCTGTATCTGCTAATGCCTGCATTTCTGAGCATATACATTTTACTGTACAGGGAAAATATTAGGAAGCCTGATTATAGCTACATATCTGAAACACATTTTCTCATTTATTAAGCTGTAGTATTTTTATCTCCATCTTTATGATTCTCTACCTTAAAAACTTTCAATACATACTTGATGAATGAATAAATGAGTGAATGGACACCAAGTAGAGGATGATAACCCACCCACTCATCTCAGTTTTGTATTTTGGCCTTATTAAAAGGCCAATCTTCCAATTACCTTTGGAAGGTTCACAAAATGAGACAAGAATATAAATAAGCATTCTCTGTAGCATAATTATTTCACTTGGCCCTTGAGACAACGCATCAGTGTGGCAAAGTTATATTTTGAGGTTCCTTTAAAAATTTCTCCAAAATAAAGGCCTTTTCAATTTTAAAGACTAGAAGACTGAATGCTAAATATCTTATCCACCAACATTGATGAGAAGTTGTATCAAATAGAATGCTTTAGACATATATAAAGAGGCACGTTTCATGCACTACTCATCAGTCAAGCACTCTCATTTATTTCAATACACCATTGTGAACCTAGAGACTGATATTTAGACACTAGGAAATTTACATTTCCAAGAAATTGAAATAACCCCAAATACTGCATAACTAAATAATTATTACACTGAAAATAGTGTCTGTTATTCTTTCGTAAAACTAGAATTGATGCATAACCAATACAGCCCCATTCCTCATGAGGCTCCTGGGAGAGTCCCTGCTGTGCTATACTTTAATTCACTATTTAATCCGAGCTGCAGGTGGGCGGAGGGGGGCGGGGGGGTGGGGAGGCGGAAGAAAAAGAGACATTTAACATTATCAAAATTAAAGTTGAAGAAAGCAGTCATAGTAATTCTCAGTATCAGTGCAATTGTTACCAACAGCTAGTTTAAGACAATTCTCTGCATTCTATGCTTAAACAGAATACACTACTAAAATAAAAATTGTGAGTCATACCAAAGAACTAGAATTCTGAATTCATCAGCAAAGAAAAATACAAGTGAAAAGCATATTGTCTTTTTAAAAAAAAAATTCAAATCTTTTACATTACTTCTCTGATTTAAATGTTTTCTAGTAGTGTTTTTTCTATAGTGGCCACAATTTCCTCTGTAAAAAACACCAGTTTCTGGGAAGCACATTGTACCAATATCATTCTGCTAGAATATAGCAATTACCTAACAGCTTAACTGTCACCAAAAATATTTTTAACTAAAATTAAAAATTCACTACACATCGTATTCTTGTAGGACTTTAATTTATATTTTAATTTATATATTTCACTATTTAGAACCTTTCCATTTTCCTCTCCATGAATTTGCCATTTAGATTTGAGTTCACTGGAGGAGAACTAAAACTTAAGCTGTTATGGCCAGGTGCAATAATAATATTATCCACCAGTACAGAGGTTCACCTATTAATGATTCCCAACAATGTCTGAAACAGAAATGCCACGTCACTGGGGTTATTTCATTGAAGCTAGGCCTCATTCCGCTGCGATCTCACCATCTAATCGCATTTTTCTCAAGTTATAAAAAAGACAGTGCTTGTTAAGGTGGAAGAAGCATCAAGCTTTTCCAAGTCTAATAACGTCACCATCAAAGAAGCAGCAATTTATTGTTGTTAGCCACTTGTCATTGCATGAATACCAGTCTGTTTAAAATATTACCTCTGTTTGTGTGCAAATTGCTGTCCATTTCATCCAGAGTCCTATTAGCAGCCATCTACTCTACTGCTAGAGTCCTGGCTTTAGAAGAAAGGGATAGTTAGGCAGCTTTTGATGAGAAATAAAAATTAGCCTAAAATTTATCATATTTAAAGGAATTTTACTAAGGAGAAAATTCAGACCACGGATATCTCTCCAACACTCCTACCATACTATACTCCATATGATCTAGGTTTAGCTTTACCCCCTGAAACCTCCATGTAGGAACCCAGCAGAACCCATGAGCTGGTTCACTTACGGGTTTTCACCCTCCTTCATAATGGAGACATATTAGTCCCAAGGCTATTATGTTTTGGTCCTATTTTCTTTATCTTTCCAAAGTCTACATGGCAAAAGCAATGCTTTGTCTTCTTCCAGTAACATTATTATCCTCTTTTTTCTAAACCATTATTTTCTTTTCTTCTTACTGTCTACAAGTAAATTAGGCATGTTTTGAACATTTTAATTAAAAAATGCTTAATACTTTGTTAGACTTAATCTTTCACGCAGGTCTAAAATAACACTAATATTTTCTGACAATTACTGATGTCTATAGTACAAGATAGACAATGTATTTTTTAAAAAAATAGCAAGACTAAAACAGTAAATAAATATGTTTTATTTTGGGGAAGAGATTGGGAGTCATACTCCAATCTCTTATTTAGGGGACTCCAGTGTGATTAACAGCCTAGGCTTTCTATGTCTCACTTTCCCCAAGAGATAAATATTTACTAAACTAACCGATGATTTTGCAGTGAAAAACTGGAGAGAGCAGTCACTTCCTCTTCTCTTTCATTCTGGAGACAGGGTATTTTTGAAGGAAAGATACATTCTGCATTATTCATCTATGCTCTTACCCTAAGCATGAAGATCTAGCCCCAAGCCACAGTGGCCTGTGGCTGGGTCTGTCTGGTTCTGTGTTAGATATACCATTTTCCTGTAAATATAAGCCACCTTCTGCAGTATGAACATAATTAATAAACAATGTTATTTATCCATCCTCATCTGTTTTAGTCGTTTGTCTCACATTTCAGTTGTTCAGAACAGTATTAGGGAATTGACAGTTTCAGTTCATAGACTCCCTAACCCAGCACGTTTGAAGAATTGTATCTTTTCTTAATTCGTCTACCACTTAATAGAAGGGATAATCCAAAGATCATCACTGTATGTTTGGGACCATCAAGTAACTTAATACCCATTTTTTTCTCAGGTTTGTTTTTAACCGGTCAGCCTATCAAACAAGTGTTTTGGTATAACAAAGAAATTACATGAATAACCTGCTTAAATATATAACAGAACATTAGTATTTGCATAAGTTAATTTATCCCAGAGCAATAAGTTAACATAAGGTAATAAGAGTTAACATATTAAACAAATGATGGTTACTAGCTGATATTTATTGAACACTATGTGATGATAATACTACTGAAAACATATTGTCTTATTTAATTTTCAAGCAGCCCTAGGAGAGGAACTATTATTATCTATACTTTAAAAATGTTAAAATTCAAGCTTTAAAACCCTGTGTGAGGACACAGAACTCTTCCAGGATTGAAAGACAGGTCTGTTTGACCTCAGAGTCCATGTGCTCTGGAACCACACTTTATATTATCTTTGCAAGAATTATCTTGTTAAACTGGAACATCACATGGGAAATTAATTCTGTTTTATTCAGTTTGAATTTGCTGGTCAAATCTTACCAATATGTAAAAATATACACAAATTAATCAAGGATGCAGCACTGCAAAATTCATAGATGTTATTAGGAGCCTATTGTCTTTAAACAAAAGATTCGTCTAAAAGATAAATGTAAAATGGGGATCCTTTATGTTTTGACATTTCCAGGAATAGAGATGCAGAGAGATTGTTTCAGTTATTTGGGATCCATCTTAAAGAGTTATGGGAAAGTAAAACAAATCGGAAGCAGTTCCAACTGCCACATAATCAAATCTTACGGAGAACTGAGACGCTATGCCATGTGTAACAGCAGCTCCAAAGCCCAGTTATCCTGTTACCCTTCTCAGCAGCACCCCAATTAACTCAAACCTCTTCTATCCTGCCATAATGGTGACTCAACAGCTTTATTTTGCTTCTCTCTTAATGTGTTTTTTTTTCCTGTTCTGCTCCTGATCGCCTTCACTCTTTTTCTATGAATTCTGCTTTCTTCAGATATCAACTGGCTTATGACTTTTGCTCTAGATGAGCTCAGCTTAAAACATCATTAGATTTCCAACTTAGACTCAAGCTGTTATAGGCTGATGGTTTATTGTTTTCATGCTTTTGATTTTATCCTACTCCAGTGGTATATACCAAGCAGTTTTCTTCCTAAAGCAATCAGACCTCCCTTTGTTTATTTTGAAACTTCACCTTTGATGTTTCATGTTTTATTCCAATTATTTCAGAGAAAGACAATGCCTTTGATGATATATTTACTTCATTTACAGGCATATAGTTTCCTATAAGACACAATACGCCTGTATTTAATTAAAAGTTTTTTTAACTTCAGTTTCAACCCAACAGTTTTTTGTTTTGTTATTACCGAGACTGAGTCTTGGTCTGTCACCCAGGCTAGAGTGCAGTGGTGTGCTCTTGGCTCACTGCAACCTCCATCTCCCAGGCTCAAGTAATTCTTGTGCCTTGGCCTCCAGAGTAGCTGGGATTAAAGGCCCCTGCCACCATGCCTGGCTAATTTTTGTATTTTTAGTAGAGATCGGTTTCACCATGTTGCCCAGGCTGGTCTCAAACTCCTGACCTCAAATTATCCGCCTACCTTGGCCTCCCAAAATGCTGGGATTACAGTCATGAGCCACCATGCCTGCCCAGCCTTGTTTTATTTTTAATCATCACTGATGATGTTGGCCAGTTTACTGGTGTAGCACGTATCAGTGTTAGCATGCAGCACAACCATACTCTTGTAAATATATGTTTTAATCATTACTGAATAATAAAATTGGGAGGCATAATCAAAACTGTGGTTTCTTTTCTCTATAGTCAAAATGTTTCCCTCTACCATACTTCTAGTAATACATCCCACCTTCCTATCCATAGAAGTGAATCTTAACCATAGTGACTCTTGCCTCTGACCACAGTAAGTGGTTCAGTAATAGATTCATGACCTAGACCAGACCAATCATAGCTCTTATACAGATTTTATGTAACTGAGGCTATTAGTTCCTTCTTTAGAAAACTCTCTAATAATGTGATTCCAAAGTTGTTCAGCAATCACAATTCTTAACACATGGGGAAAGTTTGCCTTTCATAGAAGAAAATACTGTAGAGCCAATTAACAATAAGCAAAGAGAGCTGGAGGGACTGAGAGAAAGAGTTCTGGCTTTGACCAAGTTCAAGTTCCTGTTCCTTAAGCCCCTAGAACTGTCCAAGTCTGAGCTATAGCAATATTCTTCCAATAAATCTTCTTTATTGCTTAAATTAATTCAAATTGGGTTCCTGTAATTTATAACTGAAAACATAGTAATATAGCATTCTTCATCTATCACACATTTTTACTAATAAAGAATACCCTGATTGTGACTCTCAGTCTCTATTAATCATAGTGTCTGCATTGAACAGAATTCTTATCCAAGCTTACTTGAAAGTACCTCTACTCCAGCATGTGTAACACAAACTTATCCTTTATCCCCCAATTACTTTGACTATGTAACTTTCAAAGTATATCAGTGATACAGTCTTGAATTTTGAGAAACACTGCTCAACTTCAGATAAGATAAAAAAAAAAATCTACACTCTACAAATAAAATCCAAACTTTTTCAACTTGAAATTTGAAGCTATTTTTGTGGCCTATACCTACCATTTCTACCTAAATTCTCATTGTTTTCTATCACAAATCCTACAATTATCTGTATAATATTCCCTAGTCACATATTGATATTTCTATCTCTGCATCATTCATTTTACCTAGAATGCCTTTCTTATTTTCATCTTATTTTCTAAGCCTCGTCTAGCTCAAACACTATCTTCTCCTTGGAGAATGAATTTGCCTGGAGGCAAGCTAAACTAATCAAGAGGAATTGAAACTAAATGTGATGAGGGAGGAGAAAAACATCCCGACAAATATGTAAATCAATTTACTATGAAAAACAGTAGCTATAACATTCAAAGAGGCAAATGTTGTGGGTAGTACCAATGAGTCATATGAGAAAACAATTGAACCTAAAACCAGTGATAATGCTTATAACACCAAATGCAAATATACATCCTTATACAAATTCTAAGTAATGTGAATCTTAAATTTTAGAGAAAAAGCAATTTTTAAAAATGTAGACTTGCTGGATTTTTGTAAAAGGAGATTACAATGTTAGAAGGACATATAGACCTACTAAGAAATAGAGAAGAGTGATATAGAGTGACAAATACTATGTCCACCTGGAAACCATAGATTCTGAAAGATAAAGATTACTGGAGACTAGAGGATACTTTTTAAAAAAGAAAAGGTTAATCCAATATATTTTGCTATGGGGTTAGAGCTTGTATCATGGTTAGGGTTATTGTGAGGTTTATTCTGGGGGTGAAGTTTAGGATTAGGGAATACCAAATAGGGAATAAGATATTTGCAGAGGGAAGAGCCAAGCTTGTATCATGGTTAGGGTTATTGTGAGGTTTATTCTGGGGGTGAAGTTTAGGATTAGGGAATACCAAATAGGGAATAAGATATTTGCAGAGGGAAGAGCCAAGATGGTCAATTAGATGGAGTCAGGAAGAACTTCTCCCACCGGGAGAAGCTTATCACTGGTTTTGGGTTCAATTGTTTTCTCATATGACTCATTGGTACTACCCACAACATTTGCCTCTTTGAATGTTATAGCTACTGTTTTTCATAGTAAATTGATTTACATATTTGTCGGGATGTTTTTCTCCTCCCTCATCACATTTAGTTTCAATTCCTCTTGAATTGAGGCATTGAGGGTGGATAGAGAAAGAATGCAGACCCCAGGACTAGAAGGAGAGGAAGCTGGAAACCCTGCATAGGATTGCCAAGTACCAGGACTCGTTCCTGGCCCTGGAGTGGCTCTCATTGAAAGGATGAGTGAGATCGGCATGGAGTGGCACACTCTAGGCACAGAACTCCAGGATCCTAGCTTCAGAAGACCCGTGACCTCCACAGACATTTGCAGTGAGAATCACCTGGAGAATTGGCAGAGTCAAAACTTCAGTCTGCTTGGAGCCCAGAGGGTTTGGCAAATTAACAAATGCAGTGGAGCACAGCCATGGGTGCCTATCCCCTGAGGCTTGCCATACTTCTCTCTAGGTGGCTTTTGCCTTTGTTAATTGCCATACCTGAAGAGATCAGCGTTGTCTGGCTTGTAGGACAGGGCCAATCTGATCTAAATACCCCAATGTCTGCTGGACTTTCCCAGGGACCCTGCCTAGCCTCACCCAAATGCAGCACAGCCTCAGCTGCCCCATCAAAACAATTCCTAGAGACTACCACCATAGCATTTTGCTGGCAACCCCTGCCTTCCTGTTAGAGCACTTTTGCAGATGGACCCCTACTACCATGCCCTCCTCCACTGGTGCACACTCGTCTACAGACTCCCCTCATTGCTCTATTGGCATGCACGTATCCATGGCCCCTCTGCCCCACACTGGTGTACGTACACACGCATGCCTGCAGCTACCCTCTAATTCCAACCTCCCCGGACCCCCTGTTGGTGCACACTCACCTGTGGCCTCCCACTGACCCACTGGTATGCACTTACCTTCCCCTGACCCTTCAACTGTAGCACATTCTCTTGCAGACCCTTGCCATGCTGCCACAGTGCTTTTGCTGAAAGCCCCCTTTAAAGGGTTGTTGCCATAGACTTGAAATACCTTGGCCCCTCCAGTGCACCAGGTGCTTGGCCTGCAGGGGCCAGAGAACAATGCCACAAGCCTGGGCTCAGCCCCCAGAGATACAGCACACAGCAAAGGAGTGCTGATCTGAGCCTCGGCCCCATGAAAGCATCCAGAAATGAAGCCAACTGACTAAACCCAATGTATTAGTCCATTTCCATACTTCTATGAAGAAATACCCAAGACTGGGTAATTTATAAAGAAAAAGAGGTTTAATGGACTCACAGTTCCACATGGCTGGGGAGGCCTCACATTCATGGAAGATGAAAGAAGAGCAAATACACATCTTACATGGCAGCCAGCAAGAGGACATGGGCAGGAGAACTGCTCTTTACAAAACCATCAGACCTTGTGAGACTTATTTACCATCACAAGAGCAGCATGAGAAAAACCTGCCCCCATGATTCAATCACCTCCCACCAAGTCCCTTCGAGGACACGTGGGGATTATGGGAGCTATAATTCAAAATAAATTTTGGGTGGAGACATAGCCAAACCATATCATTCCACCCCTGGCTCTCCCAAATCTCCTGTCTTCACATTTCAAAACCTACCATGCCTTTCTGACAGCCCCACAAAGTCTTAACTCAGTTCAGCATTAACTCAAAAGTCCACAGTTCAAAGTCTCATCTGAGACAAGGCAAGTCCCTTCTGCCTATGAGCCTGTAAAATCCAAAGCAAGTTATTTACTTCCTAGAAACCATGGGAGTACTGGCACTGGATAAATAAACCCATTCCAAAGGGGTGAAATTGGCCAAAATGAAGGGGCCATAGGCCCCATGCAAGTCCAAAATCCAATAAGGCAGTGATTAAAACTTAAAGTTCAAAATTATCTCCTTTGACTCCATGTCTCACATCTAGGTCACACTGATGCAAGAGGTGGGCTCTCACAGTCTTGGGCAGCTCCACCTCTGTGGCTTTGCAGGGTACAGCCCCCCTCCCAGCTGCTTTTATGGGCTGGAATTGAGTGTCTGTGGCTTTTCCAGACACACAGTGCAAGCTGTTGGTGGAGCTATCATTCTGGGGTCTGGAGGACAGTGGACCTCTTCTCACAGCTCTACTAGGCAGTGCCCTACTAGGGACTCTGTATGGGGGAGCTCCAACCCCATATTTCTCTCCTGCATTGCCCTAGCGGAGGTTCTCCATGAGGTCCCTGCCCCTGCAGCAAAGTCTGTCTGTTTCCATACATCCTCTGAAATCTAGGTCGAGGTTCCCAAACCTCAATTCTTGACTTCTATGCATCAGCAGGCTCAACACCACATGGAACCTGCCAAGGCTTGGGACTTGCATCCCTGAAGCCAAGGTCCAAGCTGTACCTTGACCCCTTTTAGCCACAGTTGAAGCATTAGAGCACCAAGTCCTAAGGCTGCACATAGCAGGGGGGGCCCTGGGCCTGGCCCACAAAACCATTTTTCCCACCTAGGCCTCTGGGCCTGTGACGGGAGGGGCTGCCTTGAAGGTCTCTGACATGCTGTGGAGACATTTTTCCCATTGTCTTGGTGATTAACATTCTGCTGTTTATTACTTATACAAATGTCTACAGCCAGCTTGGCTTGAATTTCTCCCCAGGAAATGGGTTTTTCTTTTCTACTGTATCATCAGGCTGCAATTTTTTTTCAAGCTTTTATGCTGCTTCCTCTTGAAAACTTTGCCATTTAGAAATTTCTTTCATCAAATACTCTAAATCATCTCTCTGAAGTTCAAAGTTTCACAGATCTCTAGGGCCAAGCAAAATGCCACCAGTCTCTTTGCATACCAAGAGTGACTTTTACTCCAGTTCCCAACAAGTTCCTCATCTCCCTCTGACACTACCTCAGTCTGGACTTTATGTCCATATCACTATCAGCATTTTGGTCAAAGCCATTCAACAAGTCTCTAGGAAGTTCCAAACTTTCCCATATTTTCCTGTTTTCTTCTGAGCCCTCCCCATCTGTTCCAACCTCTGCCTGTTACCCCGTTCCAAAGTTGCTTCCACATTTTCAGGTATCTTTACAGCAGTGCCCCACTCCTGGTACCAATTTACTGTATTCGTCCATTTTCATACTGCTATAAAGAAATACCTGAGACTGGATAATTTATAAAGTAAAAGAGGTTTAATGGACTCACAATTCCACATGGCTGGGGAGGCATCACAATCAGGGTGGAAGGCGAGGAGGAGCAAGGGCACATCTTACATGGCAGCAGGCAAGACAGTATGTGCAGGGGAACTGCCCTTTATAAAACCATCAGATCTCATGAGACTTATTCACTATTATGAGAACAGCATGGGAAGAGCCTACCCCCATGATTCAATTACCTCTTGCTGTGTCCCTTCTACAACATGTGGAGATCATGGGAGCTACAATTCAAGTTGAGACTTGGGTGGGAACACTGCCAAATCATATCACTCAACATATACCACTATCAAACCCTCAAGGATATTAAAGAATATAAGAGAAAAAACACCCATCCAAAGGACAGCAACTTCAAAGAGTAAAGGAACATCAGCCCACATAGATGAAAAAGAACTAGTGCAAGAATTCTGGCAAATCTAAAAACCAGAGTGTCTTCTCACCTCCAAATGATCACATTAGCTCCACAGCAATGGTTCTCTACCAGATTAAAATGGCTGAAATAACAGCACAGAATTCAGAATATGGATGGAAAGGAAGCTCAATGAGATCCAGGAGAAGTTTAAATACATTTCAAAGACAACAGTAAAATGATCCAAAAGTTGAAATATGACAAAGCCATTTTAAGCAAGAACCAGAGTGAACTTCTAGGAATGAAAAATTTACTACAGGAATGTTGAATGCAATTGCAAGTGTTAATAACAGAATAGACCAAGCTGAAGAAAGAATCTCAGAACTCAAACAATTCCTTCAAATCAATGTACACTAACAAATTTTTTTAAGTATTTTAAAAAAATGAATAAAACCTGAGAAATATGGGATTATAGGGAGACCAAACCTATGACTTATTGGCATTCCTGAAAGTGGGGGGAGAGAGAAGCAACTTGTAAAACATATTTGAGGATATTTTCCACAAAAATTCCCCAATCTCCCCAGAGAGGCTGCCATGCAAATTCAGGAAATTCAAAGAACCCCTGTGAGATACTATACAAATGATCATCTCCAAGACACATAATCATCAGATTCACCAAGGTCAACATAAAATAAAAAATCTTAAAGGCAGCTAGAGAGAAGGGGTTAAGTCACACTCAAAGGGAACTCCATCAACCTAACAGCAGACTTTTCAGCGGCAATC
Organism: Homo sapiens; assembly: GCF_000001405.40. NCBI lineage: Eukaryota > Metazoa > Chordata > Mammalia > Primates > Hominidae > Homo > Homo sapiens. Next base: position 78,276,314 of record NC_000012.12, on the reverse strand, counting down.
TTACAAGTCAGAAAAGATTTGGGGCCTATATACAGTATTTTTAAAGAAAAAAATCCAACCAAGAATTTAATTTCCAGCCAAACTAAACTTCATAAGTGAAGGAGAAATAAAATCCTTTTCAGGCAATCAAATGCTAAGGAAACTCATTATCACCAGACCTATCTTACAAGAGGTTCTTAAGGGAGTGCTAAACATGGAAACAGAAGGTTGATACGTGCTGCCATAAAAACACACTTAAGTACGTAACCCACTAACACAATAAAGCAATTATACAATCAAGGCTACATAAGAACCAGCTAACATCATGATGACAGGATCAAATACTCACATATCAACATTGACCTTGAATATACATGAGCTAAATGCCCCTCTTAAAAGGCACAGTGTGGAAATTTGGATAAAGTAGCAAGATGCAACTGTATGCTGTCTTCAAGAGGCCCATCTCACATGCAGTGACACCCACAAGCTCAGAATACAGGAATGGAGAAGAATCAAACAAATGGAAAGCAAAAAAGAGCAGGGGTTGCTATTGTTATTTTAGACAAAACACACTTTACACTAACAATGATCAAAAAAGACAAATAAGGGCATTACATAATGATAAAGGGTTCAATTAACAAGAAGACTTAACTACCTTAAATATATACACGCAACATTGGTGTACCCAGATTCATTAAACAAGTTCTTGGAGACCTGCAAAGAGGCTTAGATAAACACACAATAATAACAGGAGACTTCAACACCCCATTGACAGTGTTAGACAGATCATCAAGGCAGGAAACTAACAAAGGTATTCAGGACCAAATCTTGACACTTGACCAAACAGACCTAAAAGACATCTATAAAATATTCCATCCAACAACGAGAATATACATTCTTTTCATCTGCATATGGATGATACTCTAAGATCGACCATATGCTTGGCCATAAAACAATTCTTAACAAATTTTAGAAAACTAAAATCATACTGACCACTCTCTCAGACTGCAGTGCAATAAAAATATAAATAATAAAAAGAAGATCTCTCAAAACCATACTATTACATGGAAATTAAACAACCTGCTCCAGAATGACCTTAGGGTAAAGAATAAAATTAAGCCAGAAATCAAGAAATTCTGTGAAACTAATAAAGATACAACATATCAGAATATCTGGGACACAGCTAAAGCAGTGTTAAGTGGAAAGTTTAGAGTGCTAAATGACTACATCAAGAAGTTGGAAATATCTTCAATTAGCAACCTAACATCACACCTACAGTAACTAGAAAAATAAGAGCAAACTAATCTCAAGGCTGGCAGCAGAAAAGAAATAACCAAAATAAGAGCTTAACTGAATGAAATAAAGTTGCAAAACTCCATACAAAAGATAACTGAAATCAAAAGTTTGTTCTTCAAAAGAACAGACTACTAGCTAGATTAATAAAGAAAAAAAGATTCAAATAAACAATCATAAATGACAAACGTGACATTACCACTGATCCCACAGAAATTTAAAAAAAAAAAAAAAAAACTCAGAGACTGCTACGAACTCCCCTATACACACAAACTAGAATACCTAGAAAAAAATGGATAAATTCCTGGAAACAATGTCTCAAGATTCACCAACAAAAACAGAAAAAAAAAAAAAAAAAGAAAGAAAGAATGAGATCCTGAACAGACCAATAACAAGTAACCATACTTGAATCAGTAATGAAAAACCTACCAACCAGAAAAAGCCCTGGAGGCAGATTTCACAGCCAAATTCTACCAAAGGTACAAAGAAGAGCTGGTACCTATCCTACTGAAATTATTCCAAAAATCTAGGAGGAGGGATTCCTTCCTAACTCATTCTGTGAGGCCAGCATCATCCTGATACCAAAACCAGGCAGAGACACAATGAAAACCACCACCACCAACAACAACAAAAGACTTCTGGCCAATATCCCTGATGAACATAGATGCAAAAATCCTTAACAAAATACTAGCAAACCAAATCCAGCAACACATCAAAAAGCTAATGCACCAAGATCAAGGAGGTTTCATTACTGGGATGCAAGGTTGGTTCAACAAACAAATTAATAAACGTGTCTCATCACATAAACAGAACTAAAAACAAAAACCACATCATCATCTCAACAGACACAGGAAAGATTGTGATAAAATTCAGCATCCCTTCATGTTAAAAACCCTCAACAAAGTAGGCATCAAAGGACCATACCTCAAAATAGTAAGAGCCATCTATGACAAACCCACAGCCAACATCATAGTGAATGGGCAAAAGCTGGAAGTATTTCCTCTGAGAACCAGAACAAGACAAGGATGCCCACTCTCACCACTCCTATTCATAGTTCTGGAAATCTTAGCCAGAACAATCCGTCAAGATAAACAAACAAACAAAAAAAAGACATCCAAATAGGAAGAGAGGAAGTCAAACTATCTGAGGATATGATTATATACCCAGAAAACCCTGTAATGTCTGCACAAAGACTCCCAGAACTGATAAACAACCTCAGTAAAATGTCAAGACACAAAATCAGTGTATAAAAATCAGTAACATTTTTATACATCAATAACATTCAATCCAAGGGCCAAATCAAAAACACAGTTTCACACACAGACCAATGGAACAAGATAGAGAGCCCAGAATTAAAACCATACCCCTACAACCATTTAATCTGTGACAAAGTTGACAACAACAAACAATGTGGAAAGAACTCCTTATTCAATAAATGGTGCTAAAATAACTGGCTAGCTATATACAGAGATTGTATGTAACTGGACCCCTTCCTTTCAACATATACAAAAATTAACTCAGAATGGATTAAAGACTTAAATGTAAGACCTAAAACTATAAAAACCCTAGGAAAAAAACCTAGGAAGAACAATTCTGGACATAAGCCTTGGCAAAGATTTTATGACAAAGTCTCCAAAATCAGTTGATACAAAAACAAAAATAAAGTGGAACCTAATTAAACTAAAAAACTTAAACATAGCAAAAAAAAAAAAAAAAAAGCAAGAAAGAAAACACCACCACTATTAACAGATTAAATTGACAACCTACAGAATGGAAGAAAATATTTGCATGCTATATATCCAACAAAGTTCTAATATTCAGAATCCATAAGGAAATGAAATCAACAAGCAAAAACAAACAGCCCCATTAAAAAATGGGCAAAGGATATGAATAGACACTTCTCATAAGACATACACGCTCCCAACAATCATATAAAAAAAATGCTCAACATCTCTAATCATTAGAGAAATGCACACCAAAACCACAATGATATGCCATCTCACACCAGTCAGCATGGCTATTAAAAATTCAAAAAATTATAGTTGCTGTAGAGGTTGAGGAGAAAAGGGAATGGTTATACACTGCTGGTGAGAATGTAAATTAATTCAGCCAGTGTGGAAAGCAGTTGGGAGATTTCTCAAGGACCTTAGAACCAACTGACCCATCAGTCACATTATTAGGTACACACTGAAAAGAATACAAATTGTCCAACCATAAAGACACATGCATGTGTATGTCCATCATGGCACCATTTACCATAGCAAAGACACGGAATCAACCTAGATTCCTATCAACAGTAGACTGGATAAGGAAAATATGGGACATATACACCATGGAATACCATGCAGCCATAAAAAAGAACAAGATCACGTCCTTTGTAGCAACATTGATAGAGCTGAAGACTATTATCCTAAGTGAATCAATGCAGGAACAGAAAACCAAATACCATGTTTTCACTTATAAATGGGAGCAAAACATTGAGTACCACCTGGACACAAAGATGAGATCCTGGAGCCTAATTGATGGGGGATGGTGGGAAGAGGATGAGAATTGAAAAAGCACTAATTGACTACTATGCTCACTACCTGGGTGATGAAATGATTTGTACACCAAACCCCAGCAACATGCAATTTATACGTTTGATAAACATGCATGTGTACCCTTGAACCTAAAATAAGAAAAGGAAAAAAAAATGATTTGCACACAAGCAAAGTAGAGTAGTATACTTAGAGAATCACTTGACTCAAAACAGAGTTTATGACAAGTTCTACCATATTGTTCCTGAAAATTTGAAGTCCCAGAGAAGGGTAGGATTTACCACTGGAAATTATTTAGAACCTGATTTTGACCAATAAGGAGGAATTGGATAAAAAAAATAAATAAAATACAAAACCCGACAAATGATGTTAAAGTATCATGAAAATGTTAACCTGAAGAGAGCTGGCATGGTTGTATGAATAGTAAGCATACTATGCTTTAAAGTAAAAAGAACAAATAGTTAAAAAAAAGTGGTCTCTACTTATTAATAAACATAATACTTAGGAAAACACGACATGTTAAACCAGTATATATGCAAGAACAAATAGCCTATAATTAAAATGATTATTCAAAGAAATTAAAAATGTTACTTTCATAGTGGGAAATTTAAAAATAGTGGCTTACATCCCTTTGAATGAATAGGCACATTAACAAATAGTAAGAACATAAAAAAATGAACATATCAATTACCAAACTTGCTATGATACTACATATACAGAATCATGCATGCCAAAATTAAAGATTGCACAATTTTCTCAAGTGCATGTGATTCATTTACAAACAATTCATCAAGCACCAAGCACTAAAATAATTTCAAAAACCAAAAGACAGTTAACATATAAAGCATATTCTTGAATAATAAAGCACTTCATTTATGTGTAGTTAATTTTAAAAATAACAAAAGGCGGCCAGGCGCGGTGACTCAACCCCTGTAATCCCAGTACATTGGGAGGTGGAGGTGGGCGGATCACAAGGTCAGAGTTCAAGACTAGCCTGGCCAACAGGATGAAACCCCACCGCTACTAAAAATACAAAAAAAAAAAAAAAATTAGCTGAGCATGGTGGTGCGCACCTGTAATCCCAGCTACTCAGGAGGCTGAGGCAGGAGAATCGCTTGAACCCAGGAGGTGGAAGCTGCAGAAAGCCAAGATTGTGCTACTGCACTCTAGCCTGGGGGACAGAGCAAAACTCTGTCTCAAAAAAAAAAAAATAAAATAAAATGAAATATAACAACAAAAGAAGAAACACAGTTGAAAAAGTGAGCGGGCATGGTGGCTCACATCTGTAATCCCAGCACTTTGGGAGGCCAAGGCAGGAGGATCACTTGATGTCAGCAGTTCCAGGACAGCCTGGGCAATGTGGTGAAACCCTGTCTCTACTAAAAACACAGAAATTAGCTGGTTGTGATGGCAGACGCCTACAATCCCAGCTGCTAGGGAGGCTGAGACAGGAGAATCACTTGAACCCAGGAGGTGGAGGTTGCAGTGAGCTGAGATCACACCACTGCACTCCAGCCTGGGTGACAGTGCGAGACTCTGTCTCAAAAAAGTGAAAGAAAAGAAAAATTTAAAAAGCATTTCTAAATAGATCATAACTGAAAAAGTAACAAATTAGAATAAACTTAAAATAATCAAATGTGAAAATGCTGCATGTTAAAACAAGTGAAACAAGTAAGCATTACAAGTATCCTTCACTACCCAACTTTCTTGATGTGAATAATCCAGCTAATTTCTGTATTGGGTGAAATTAGTAATTTTACTCTACAATTTAATTGGTTGTTTACGTGATAGACAAGTTCTTTTTATGTACATAATACAAATGTCATTTATATCTGATATTGCAGCATTATTGTATAGTGAGAAATCATAGAATGGCTTCTAATGCTTTCTATATATGAAACACTGATATTAAGAAAGTTTTACTAGTAAGTAGAGAAACTGGTTGAGAGCATTAGATGGCCTAAGAATGCCATTTGTACTATTTAAAAAGTGAAATATAATAGGCATATAATATGCAAAAATTTGCTTTTCAACATATTTTCAGGTAAACATTAAATATAGATAACAAAGGATGCATATATTTATAATCATTATATAAAAACAATAAAACCTAATAGAAATATAGATATGAACAATTAAAGAAAGAGAAATACTGCAAGAATTATATTTGTGATCATAAAGATAATCCTAAAACATAGGCAAAGAGAAAATGTTATTGTACATAAAATAGCATAAAATTAAGGTTTATCTAGGTATGCAAAGATTGTTTAACATTTTAAAATGAAACTAATCATGCTAATGGATGAAAGAAAAAATTAACATCATTACAACAGATAAGGAGAAAGAACTTGAAAAAAAAAATTAACTAACATCAAATGAAAACTTTAACCTGTGAGACTTTAAAAACAAACTACCAGAAAATCTACAGGAAACATTTAACCATAGAAAACAAAACTACATAAAACCATTATGCTTAAAACATTAGAAGAATTACTTTTAAAGTCAATAAAGGTAAGGATCTTGCCATCATCACTGTAACAGTTACCTATTGCTGTGAAACTATCTCAAAACTTCTTAGCATTTTATAAAAACAGTGATTTATTAATTCTCAGGAGTCTCTGAATTGTTTGGGCAGGACTCAGATGGGATAACTTGTCCATTTTGTTTAAAACCTTTGGAGCTCGCTCATATGGCTTCAATTTGGGCTGAGAAATTCAAGATGCCTCTCTCACATGTCTAGTTTCTAAGCTAGTGTAGTTGGGTCCTTTATCTTTCACTTCTTTAGATGTTTATCATCTAGGAGTTATCTCCACTGATATTCCTTCATTTACTCAGATCTTTCTCTCCATGTGGCCTCTTCAGTAGGATAGCTCATGTTCCTTTACATCACATCTCAGGGATCTCAGGAAGCCCAAAGTGGAAACTGCTAGGTGTCATAAAGCTTAGGCTTTTAAACTCAGACATCATCACATCTACTTTATTCTTTTCTTTAAATCTAGCTAAATGCTAGGCCAGATTCAGTGTGGGAGATTACACAAGGGCATGAATAAAGCGATGTGTCCTTTATTGGGGGTCATTTTGTAGAAATTTATCACAGCCACTTCATTTCAAGTTTGTATTTGAGATTTTGCCTATCATATTGTGATGAGGAAGGGGATAAGAATGATGATAGTGATATTAAGAATTGAGGGGAAATCTCATTTGGGGATTATATGATTGCATATAGAGAAAATCTTATGGAATGAACAAAAAATATTAAAATAATGTAGGTCAATGATCTTAATATGAGTAGCATATTAAAAATGAATTATATTGGGACAGCATGGTGAATATAGGCTACATGATAGGGCATGCCTATAGTACCAGCTACTCAGTAGGGTGAGGTGGGAGGATCAATTTAGCCCAGGAGTTTGAGGCTGCAGTAGCTTAGATCATGCCACCACACTCCAGAATGGGTAACAGAGCAAGACTCTGTCTCAAAATAAATAAATAAATAAATAAATAAAAATTATACTTCCATATATCATAAACATAAAAATTTAAGATTTGTAAGATAATATGTACATCAGCAAGAAGTCATCTGAAGTATGTTAGAAATGCCCAGCAAAAATGTTCTAGACCTTTATGAGGACACTGCATACATTATATTGAAAGACATTAAAGAAAATCTATATAAATGAGGAGAAATGGCAAATGGATAAGAACTCTCAATATCATTAATAATTTTTCTACTAGCAATATATAAATTTAATAAAATTTTAAATCAGAATTACAATAAGATTTTTCCTGGAACCTAAAAAGTTGATTCTATAATGTTAAAGTGCAAAAAGCCAAGAATAACCAAGACAAATTTGGAAAAAAATGAACAAGGTTTGGGGTCTTGTCCTACCAAATATTAAAACTAAACAGAGGTGTTAATTCAGCAAGAAGCACAAGAATAAAGGAAAAGACTGATAAACTGTACTGTATTAACAATTATAAACTTCTGTACAATCAAAGAAACCAAAGAAATAGAAGATACAAGCAACAGTGTAGAAGGCATATGCAATGACTCATCTAATACATCACTATCAAAAATATATTTTAATAAAGCCTTCAAATTAATAAGAAAATGAAAATAAAATAGAGAAATGGACAATTACTATACACAGGAAATTGAAGACAAGGAATACCAAAATGATCAATAAACAAATTAAGGGTTACTCAACTTTTCTAATGATGAATGAAAACAAATCAATAATTATTTGGTAAATTGTAAGCCGTTTGATGATTCTACATGTTTTTAAGAAGGTAGAGACTCTAATAGAGTGCTCACAGAAGTACAAATTAGTACAATTTATTTGAAGAGTGACTTCGCAATGATATCCATTTAAAAGTGCCTAGTGAAACCTTTATAGACTTAAACTAGGAAAATATGTACAAGAATGTTTTTTCAGCATTATTTATAATAGCAAAGAAATGAAGCGCAACCTATGAGAGAAGCATAAATACATGTGGAATACCCATACAAAGGAATTGTATAAAGCCATAAAAATTGATAAAACAGACCCATGCTTATAAACACAGATGAATCTTTCAAATATGTTGAGAGGGAACAAATAAAAGTAAGTTGCTTGGGGGCTATAAAATTTTATACCAGTTTTATAATTTTTTAAAATTTCAGCCAGTCATAATAATGCTCACATATTTTATAGGTATTTGTGTATGTAGTAAAACTATCTTTAAATGAATGAAATTTAAAAACGTATTTGACGCAGTTGTTGGCTCAGTTTCAACTAAGCTAAATAAGTTTTATTTTATATTCTTGATGGTAGGCACATGGATATTCATATTATTCATATTTTTGTGTGCATGCCCTTGCATATTACAAATGTAAAAAAAATAGAATTATAGTGATTGGGAGGGATTCTGAGAACATAAAACTTAAAGCAAATGATTTCCTGTTTTTAAAAATAAAAGAATAAATTGTTTTTCATTTTTCAACAGATACTTATAATTCCAGGATATATCAGACACTGTGCTGAGTGCTGAAGAAACAGTCATGAAAAGAAAGACCCAGAAAATCCAGTTACCACTTTCATGGCATTTAAAATCTGATTATCACTTAACCTACAGAAAGTGGTGGTTTGTGACAACGTAAGTCACAACAGGCTGCTTATTTGAGAGCCGACTTTATTTCTTTGAGGGGGTCCTTTTTATTTAACGGCAAAGAGAAATATCATGGAATTCAGCAAATCCATGACAATGTATAGATTAACTGGTATCAATCTGAAGGGAGGTTTGTTTTTTTTTTTTGAATTACTGCATTGCACAGTTTTTATCTATTAAGAGTTTATTTGTGCTTAATGGCTTGAGAACAGATACAAATGATAAAGTTGAGTTTTATTTTTCTACATAAAACTTTGAGAATAGAGAATGTTAATATGCAATATAGTAGTACCTATAGACCACATTTACCAGTAATATACCAAAATTCTATTTTCAGTAGCGAGAAAAAAAATTGCCCTAAAGTAAGAATACCAAGGATATCTATTTGCCATTTCATTGATCATTATACTGAAGGTCCTAGGAAGTGCAGCAAGCCAGAAAAAAATTACATACTGGAAAGAAAAAGTAAAATTATCTTTTCGTAGATGGTATTTTTGTCCTTATAGAAAATCCTAAGGAATCTCCAAAAGGCTACCAGCATTAATAATGAGATTAAGAAGTTAGCAGAATAAACATCTATATATTAAAAAAACTATATTTGTAAACTAGTAAAACCATCTGAAAATAAAATTTTAAAATTACTATTTTCTAGTGCCCCAAATATTAATTATGAAAAATTTAACAATGTAAGTAAAAGATATATACATTGATAAACACCATACATTGCTGAGAGACTTGCGAAAGACCCAAATAAAGATAATGGCCATGTTTATGGATTAGAAGATAAAGTATTATTAAGATATCAATTCTTCCCACATTGATCTACAGGTTGAAAGTAAACCCCATCAAATCTCAGTAGGCTTTTTTAAAAATGGAATTTGGAAAGCTTATTCTAAAATTTATATAAAAAGATAAAATACATTGAGTAGCTAAAACCTTGTTAAAGTAGAGCAAAGTTGGAGGAATTATACCACTGAATTTCAAGACTTAGTATAAAGCTAAAATAATAAAGATTGAGTGAATTTCATGTAAAGTGGATATAATCCGAACAAAAAGTTCAGGGATTGTGCTATACTTTAGTCAACTGAGGGTGCAAAGGTGCAAACGTAATTCAGCGGGGAAAGGATACTCTTTTCAGGAAATTATTCTAGAAAAACTACCCTTCTTAAGAAAAAAATATGAAAAATAATCTATATCTCACCCCATGTACTAAAATTAATTTAAAATGGATTATATATCTAAAAGTAAAGCTGTAACTATAAAATTATTGGAAGAAAATATCTGCAACCTAGAAGATAAGCAAGTACGGACATAAAAGGCACTTCCCATAAAGGAAAAAAGGTCAATAAAGTCTTACAGCCAATAAGTTACAGAACTTGGATCCAAACGCACTCTGATTGCCAAGGCAAAGTCTGTAACATTATACATTATATGTTTTCTCTCATATTTGTCATTTTCTCCCCAATTCATGTGAACTTCAGAATATGCCAGAAGCAAAGCAATTCTCAATTAGAATAAGTAATGACAGAACATTATTCCTACTTCAAAATCTGGTTTCTTTGGATTTCCAGTAAAGTTTCGGTTTGACTATGAGTCCTCTAAAATGTTTGTGAACACAAAACTGTTGCAGAGATTTTTATACAATAGAATAAGTTTCTAATAGTAGAGAATAATACATATTTGTGCTTACTATGTACCAAGTCCAATTCGAAATGTTTTATGCTTACTAACTCATTTAATCCCAAAAATAAATCTATGAGTGTGGCACTTTAATCCTATTTTTATAGATGAGAATATTTAAGGCAGAGAGAGAGAACTCACTCAAGTTCACATAGCTTAGTAAGACTTCCAAACAGGATTTAAACTCAGGCAGTCTGACTCCAGATTTTATACTCTTAACCATGGACTGTGTGCAACTGCTTCTACTGTATAGCTCAAGGCTCTTCAAACTTCCCAGATATACAAATCACCTGGAAGACTTATTATAACACACATTCTGGCCTACAACCTGAGATTCTGTTGGTCAGAGAATTTGCATTTCTAAAAATCCCTGCTGGTCTCAGAGCATGCTCTGGTATAGACCATGTTTTGGGATTTTCTTTCTAATGATCTTTAAAACAATAGAGACTTTATCAGCCCAGTGCAGTGAACTATAATCTCACTTCAGGGCAGCAAGATGAAATAAACCCCTTCAAATCCCATGACCACGTGAAATTCTTCCCTAAGTCAATATGATTTACACCTAGAGACAATCAAAACATGATTTATATAATACTAAAAGTATTCTTTGCCAGTCAAAAGGCAGCAAAAACAAGTGCATACTAAGTAGAGAGCTTTTTAATGAGTTTTCTTATAAACGTTCTACAATGAAAAAGGAAGGTAATAACAGTAAACTCTGAAATCTGCTGGCCTTAAGGGCTAAACTCTGTCCACCATTAGCCTGCAGGTACAAAACTCAGGATCTGATGTTTCAGCCAGGACAGACTTCAGCTCTATAGACAGGATGGGCATTTTATAGTAGAAGCTTCACACATGCTTTTTTTTTTTTTGGAAAGAGGAGGTTTATTTAGGAAAAACATACCAATCTTAGCTCTAGGAATAAAGTAGGGAGAGAATGCTTTGAAAAAACCCTGAGCATCACATTGGGCATGTTCTCTGGGGCCCAGGCTATCTGTGGAAAGACAGCTGCTTGAATTTCAGCGAACACAGATTTTTGCAGGTGTCAGTCAATTTGTTTCACAAGAACAATTAACTCATTTACTCAAAAAGTTAATCAACTCCGTATTCTATTTAAGAGAGAAAAAAAGGATATACTGAGGGTCCCTAAACATAAACAGCAAATATTGGGGAAAATAATTTTTAAATAAAATGCCGGTAGAGGTTGGGTATAAAACCTCCACCAAGAGTCAGCTGGATATGTCCTAAAAGTGGCCAATTTGTCAGCTGTCCTCCAGTACATGAGAACTTAATGGTTCATGACTTAAAGACATGATTTTCTTGTGTGCCTTATCTTCTTTTTACTGCCATGTCTTGGGACATAGTGGTTTCTCAGAATGTAAAAAGTGTTTTCATAATCATTGCTACTTCTATATTGGCAAAAAAGAAAAATCACTGCATTTGAGACTTGAATTTCCTCTATTTGCAGACACAATGAAAAACATATATTTCTTGACATCTCCATTGGCTAAAAATGAAACAAAAGGCGAGACATGTGAGGGGAAAGGGAGTACAAGCATTAATGCCTGCCAGTTCACACTTCATTTCTAGCATGCTATTGTTAATATTTTGTTGTGTATAAAAAAAAAATAGTTTGGACTTCTAGTCTCCAGAACCACGCAAGAATAATTTTTTTTTTCTGGAGGGAAATTTATAGCACTAAATGCCCACAGGAGAAAGCAGGAATGATCTAAAATCGACACCCTAACATCACAATTAAAAGAACTAGAGAAGCAAGAGTAAACAAATGCAAAAGCTAGCAGAAGACAAGAAATAACTAAGTCAGAGCAGAAATGAAGGAGATAGACAAAAAAACCCTTCAAAAAAAATCAGTGAATCCAGGAGCTGGTTTTTTGAAAAGATTAACAAAATATTCATAGACTGCTAGCCAGACTAATAAGAAAGAGAGATCAAATAGACACAATAAAAAATGATAAAGGGGATATCACCAATGATCCCACAGAAATGCAAACTACCAGAGAATACTATAAACACCTCTATGCAAATAAACTAGAATATCTAGAAGAAATGGATAAATTCCTAGACACATACACCCTCCCAAGACTAAACTAGGAAGAAGTCAAATCCCTGAATCGACCAATATAAGTTCTGAAATTGAGGCAATAATTAATAGCCTACCAACCAAAAAGAGCCCAAGACGAGACGGATTCACAACCAAATTCTACCAGAGGTCCAAAGAGGAGGTGGTACCATTCCTTCTCAAACTATTCCAAACAATAGAAAAAGAGTGACTCCTCCCTAACTCATTTGATGAAGCCAGCAGCATCCTGATAGCAAAACCTGGCAGAGACATAACAAAGCAAGAATAAATTTCTATTGTTACTGTTGGTCTTTAAATGTTTTTGTTAGCGCTTAAACAAGAAGAATGGTCTATTGCTTGGAAACCAAAATGTAGGCGTACAAAATGCTTATAAATTATATTAATGTATTTGGTCAATGTACATACATACCTCACTAGAAGCCTGCAGAAAAGTTAATGCTAATGGTTAAAGGAGTTTAATGCAGCTATGTACCTAGAAACTCAGCCAAGATCTTTTCCCATTTGATTCCTTAGATAATCCAGAATATACCCAGATGATTCCTTTCACAGTCCAGAGACAAGCCCAGGAGATGCTGTAATTCTACAAGTTAAATATGTTTTAATTTGTCCCCTGTTCCTGAGCATTGAAGCACTATCAGGAGAGGAAAAAATGCCTATTTGCAAAGTACTTGTGCTTACTACCGTATCTTAATTGTCTTCAAACTGCTATACCAGAAGACTCATTTTGAAATAAATATAACGGTTCAGGTTTGCATCTGTGACCCCACTAAATATTTGTTTTGAGGAGCCTGTGATATTCAGTGTAAACTCTTATATGGAGTCCATAAGAGCTTTATATCCAAAGTGGAATTTTTTTTTTTGAGACGGAGTCTCACTCTGTCCCCCGGGCTGGAGTGCAGTGGCGCGATCTTGGCTCACTGCAAGCTCCGCCTTCCGGGTTCACGCCATTCTCCTGCCTCAGCCTCCTGAGTAGCTGGGACTACAGGCGTCCGCTACCACGCCCTTTTTTTTTTTGTATTTTTAGTAGAGACGGGGTTTCACCATGTTGGCCAGGATGGTCTCTATCCCCTGACCTCGTGATCCGCCCGCCTCGGCCTCCCAAAGTGCTGGGATTACAGGTGTGAGCCACAGTGCCCGGCCGGAAAAATTTTTTTAGTGTATTATGAGGGCTTCCCTTTCCCCATGTAGCTGTTTTAGATCATGGCAAAAATGGCCACACTTCTATATCCAGTAAGTTTCAAAAAGTACTTAGATACATATACCTGGTGTAAGTGCTAGAAAAAAAAGAGTCCTAAGAAGCCCCCACTAGAATGGAACAGGGGCACCTGGCCTGACAGGGAGGGAGCTTTTTCTAAGGAATTGACTTTCAGTCTGAAGCTTTCTAAATAAATACAGACCAGCTAAGGCATGGGGCCGGTGGAAATGGAAAGGAAGGCCATGATTCAGCCATAACAAACATTGGGTGTAAAGGCCCTGAGGAAAGATGTGGTACAAAGAACTTGAGAAACAAAATGAAGTCACTGTGGCCGAGGTGGAGAGAGAAAGAACAAAGAACATCACATGGAGCTGGTAGGGTCAGATCAAGCAGAGCTTTTTCAGCCACCTTGAGGATTTCAGGGTGACAGAGGGTTTTAAACAGAGAGATGCTGTTACAGACTTACCTCTTTAAGAAAATCTCCCTTGCCACTATAGGGAGAATTGATTGACAGGGGAGAGTTGAAGCAGAGACACCGTGAAGAGATTTTTCCTTTGCCCAGGAAGATGATGATTTCACAGTGCACCAAAGTAGTGGGAGTGGAGATGGATAAAAGTGTTTACTGACAGAAGAGAAATAGGTGAATCTGAACGTTAAGGAAAGAGATAGGAATATACATTATTCTTAATTTCTGGATCTCTAGCAGGCAAATCCAGCTAACATTTAACATGAAAAAGAAAGAAACCTTTGTGTTTAAGCTGCTGAAATGTTGGAGCTATTTTGCTACTATAGTTAACTGATACAAAGATTTAGAAAGATTTTGGCTAAGTTTGAATATTTGTGCATTCCACTTTAAATCCTACCTTTAGAACCTAATCCCACATAAAGTGGAACTCCAGGTACTTTTAGGAATTTTCAAATACCCTTCAACTAGAAGTGGGGTCAAATCTCATAATTGTGGCAATACAATGGAATATCTGCTGCCAGGGCATATTATAAATGTTGTTTCTTGTCCTCCAACAAAAGCTGAATGTTTTAACATGGACTGGTCCTAGACCCCCATTCTGACCACTAGCTCCAGTAACTTGCACTGCTTTCCCCCACCCTTTTCTTTATCCCTTCTTGTAGCCTTAACAGCTTATTATGAAAGCTTCTCTGAAGAAAGGGAATAGCAGCAGTAACAAAATCTGTCTCTCTCTCTCGCGCGCGCACGCGCACACACACACACACACCCCCACAATCACGCAGAGGCATGCATGTACATGCACATTTTAACTATACTTTTGTTTTTCCTGGTCTTGGTTCACATAATGAATATTCCATCTCCATTTTACAGACAAACAGCTGGCTGCTTGTCATGTTTTTTAGAGTGGAAATGTGATTTATGCCTTGCACAGGTGTAATGAATGTTCTCTTCATGGAGTCTATGCTACCCATATACCTCTTCAAGGTCCTTGTATAAACTGTCCCTCATTCATATAAGAGCTTCTGAGCTTTGCTGAATTTTGTTGTTAACATCAACTAATGTCAGTGCTTTTTGTCAAATTCTCTCTCTCACACACACACACATCTTTTCATATATGTGCACACACACATATGAGTGAGCCCACAGGCCATCTCTCACTCAATATTTCTGAATATTCTCTCCTGTATTTGATGTCTGGTAACTACCATCGTGGCCTACCCAGTACAGAGTGAAGAAGCTTTGCCATGGTGGATCTGGAGCACAGGTGGGGGCACTCAGATCTAGGCAAGCTGCAAAGGGATGAAGTGGCACCAGTGCAACAGACCTGCAGGCCCTGGGCAACATGAGCTTAGCGTGAATAGCCTGAGATATAAGAAGGACAGAGAGACGACATCATAGGATATTTCTCCTGATGATGAATAAATTATGAGAATGCTAGTAAAACAATAATCACGACCTAGATGAGGCTTGAACACCAATTATCTCCTCAGCCCTTGATTTTTCTACCACACATACAGTTACATAAAGAAATGGTCATAGACATTTACCCAAGAAGGGAGGAAATATGTGAATAATATTAGCAGTAATTTGAAATTAAACAGTACATCCTAGGGAAATGAGGTGAAATAAAATTATTTTGACTTGAACTCTGACAAGCTGCAAATGAGATTTTGGTTCACTGCTTTCCTGGTCATTAAGTGGAAAGAAAATGGCTCTTTTCCTTAGCCTTATTCTCAGTCTTTCTATGACAGTCTTGCTTGTGCACTATGTTTTTCCCTTAAAATTTAAACACCCTTTTCTACCCACCCACAGGATAAGATGCCAAGTGCTATTCTCTGATCAGTTATTGATTTTGTGCCATCTGTCACCTATAAAGCTTGATTTCAGGGAAAGCAATGGTGTGGCATCTCTTAGCTTAAATTGTTCTAGGCAACCACTCCTTCCAAAGTGCTAGACAGAAACCTGTTTATTCCCTGTCTACCATCCTGATTTGTTTATGAACTTTATTATTTATATCTTACAACTAAATAAATTCACGAAATATAGGGGAAATGTGCGTTTGAGCTGACAGGTTAAACAGTAGGTTTAAAAACCATTATTTTTCTCAATCAGGAGGTTCTAATGAATATGCCAGACCCCTAAATGAGCTTTTCAATAAAACGTTCCTTCCTACAAGTTTTCTTTACTTACTTCTGGCTATGCCAAATCTTATACTTCTTTCTCTTTGGATTAAAAACAAATGTCAATGAAAAAAACTATATCATTATTCAATTTGAACTTTCACCACTTATTTAAAAAATTGTTTTGTGTTAAAGGATATTCTAATTGCTGGTCAAAATAGAAAGTTGATATAAGAATCATAACTGCACTTATTTTAAGAAGATATAGCAATGAATGATTGAATATCTTTTATTATTTTACCTGATCCAATTTCTACTTTTCTAAATTTTTGGCCTTTCCCTTCTTTGTTCACCTAACCACTTACTTTCACCACATTCTCCCTAACAATCTTTTCTTCATTTTCAAGAAACAAATGTATTCAAGCAAAACCAAGAAAGAAATGGTGAGGTTATTATAATTAAAAACACGATCATTTATTGGACACTTAGATATAAAATCCAAAGTACGATTGTATCTAACTGTGGCCATGTCAGGAACTTGCCTCCAGGATTAAGGTAACTAGCCCTTCTTCTCAAGTCAGAGTTGACTACAAATACATATTGAACGCTATCTATGTGCTAGGCACTGTCTAAGCAGCATAAAATAGATGAGAAATTGTCTCTGCCCTTTTGGCATTTACAGTTTAGGGAAGAGCATAGACATTAACATTAAACCAATTATCTAAAAACTTTTGAAATAGTAAAATTGAACACAGGTGACATATTAAATGCAGAACCCAACTAATTTTTAGAGAATAGTAAAGGCTTCATAGGAGAAGGGATGGTGAGGTTGAAATCTAAAGAACAAGGAGAAAATAGTTAGACAAGTGCTGCTATCAGCATTAAATTCTTACAACTGTGTTTAAATCACTTGGTATAACTGCATCATTCTTCCATCAGTCTCTTTTGACTACTCATAAGTTTTTTTTTTTTTTACAGACCTAAAATATACGTGACTTCAAATCTGGATATTACATAAACATACACATGTCTCTGTTGTTAAAATGGATAATCTAATTGACTTAGTCTGGTCTTTGGAGGCTTTGGCTTCTATTAGGTGCCACTAATGGCCTAATCAACTTGAGGCAAGATTTGTTGGGGAGGTGGAGCAGGGAGTATCTTGAAGCAAATGTCTTTGGCTGTGGTCAGGGAGGATAAGCAAAAAGAAAATGTGAATTGTAGCAGGTGAACTGATTGGCATGTCTAGGATACAGGTGTTTTTGTGCACACACATATGCAGTCAATCATGGGCAGTATGCCCTGTCACTTCTCATTGGTCATGAAAAGTTGTACACACACTAATCCAGCTCCCTGTGTGGTTACTGGACCTGTAGCTGTATCCGAGAAATGGCCAGAGGCACCATTAGATTGTGGCTATAGAAATAAATATGACTCCCTTGGGAAAGATACTTATGACTTTAGTTTGACTAGCTCTGCTCTCTAACCCTCTATGACTTACTATTGCTGCATTGAAAATAATTATGTTGTTCTCGGGGTTCCAAGATGGCTGAATAGGAATAGCTCCAGTCTACAGCTCCCAGCGACACAGAAGACGCATGACTTCTACATTTCCAACTGAGGTACCAGGTCATCTCACTGGGGCTTGTTGGACAGTGGGTGCAGCCCACGTAGTGTGAGCCAAAGCAGGGCAGGGCATTGCCTTACCCGGGAAGCACAAAGGGTCAGGGAGTTCCTTTTCCTAGGCAAGGGAAGCTGTGACAGACGGTACCTGGAAAATCGGGACACTCCCACCCTAATACTGCACTTTCCCAGTGGTCTTAACAAACGGCACACCAGGAAATTATATCCTGTGCCTGGCTCAGAGGGGCCCGCACCCATGGAGCCTTGCTCACTGCTAGGACAGCAGTCCAAGATTGAACTGCAAGGCAGCAGTGAGGCTGGGGGAGGGGCGTCCATCATTGCTGAGGTTTGAGTGGGTAAACCAAGCGGCCACAAAGCTCGAACAGGGTGGAGCCCACCACAGCTCAAGGAGGCCTGCCTGCCTCTGTAGACTCCACCTCTGGGGGAAGGGCATAGCTGAACAAAAGGCAGCAGAAACTTTTGCAGACTTAAACATCCCTGTCTGAGAGCTCTGAAGAGAGCAGTGGTTCTCCCAGCACGGTGTTTGAGCTCTGAGAACAGAGACACTGCCTCCTTAAGTGGGTCTCTGACCCCTGAGTAGCCTAACTGGGAGAAACCTCCCAGTAAGGGCCAAATGACACCTCATAATCCAGGTGCCCGCCTGAGACGAAGCTTCCAGAGGAAGGATCAGGCAGCAACATTTGCTGTTCTGCAGCCTCCGCTGGTGATACCCAGGCAAACAGGGTCTGGAGTGGGCCTACAGCAAACTCCAACCCACCTGCAGCTGAGGGTCCTGACTGTTAGAAGGAAAACTAATAAACATAAAGGACATCCACACCAAAACCCCATCTCTAGGTCACCATCATCAAAGACCAAAAGGTAGATAAAACCACAAATATGGGGAGAAACGAGAGCAGAAAAGCTGAAAATTCCAAAAATCAGAGCTCCTCTTCTCCTACAAAGGAATGCAGCTCCTCGCCAGCAACAGAACAAAGCTGGATGGCGAATGACTTTGACAAGTTGACAGAAGTAGGCCTCAGAAGATCAGTAATAACAAACTTCTCTGAGCTAAAGGAGGATGTTTGAACCGATAGCAAAGAAGCTAAAAACCTTGAAAAAAGATTAGACAAATGGCTAACTAGAGTAAACATCATAGAGAAGACCTTAAATGACCTGATGGAGCTAAAAACTACGGCACAAGAACTACATGACACATGCACAAGCTTCAGTAGCCAATTTGATCAACTGGAAGAAAGGTTATCAGTGATTGAAGATCAAATGAATGAAATGAAGCAAGAAGAGAAGTTTAGGGAAAAAAGAATAAAAAACGAACAAAGCCTCCAAGAAATATGGGACTATGTGAAAAGACCAAATCTATGTCTGATTGGTGTACCTGAAAGTGACGGGGAGAATGGAACCAAGTTGGAAGACACTCTGCAGGATATTATCCAGGAGAACTTCCCCAACCTAGCAAGGCAGGCCAAAATTCAAATTAAGGAAATACAGAGAACGCCACAAACATATTCCTTGAGAAGAGCAGCTCCAAGACACATAATTGTCAGATTCACCAAAGTTGAAATGAAGGAAAAAATGTTAAGGGCAGCCAGAGAGAAAGGTCGGGTTACCCACAAAGGGAAGCCCATCAGACTAACAGCTGATCTCTCCTCAGAAACTCTACAAGCTAGAAGAGAGTGGGGGCCAATAGTCAACATTCTTAAAGAAAATAACTTTTTGGGAGGCTGAGGCAGGAGAATGTCGTGATCCCAGGAGGTGGAGCTGGCAGTGAGCCGAGATCACACCACTGCACTCTAGCCTGGGTGACAGAGCAAGACTCTGTCTCAAAAAAAAAAAAAAAAAAAAAATTTCAACCAAGAATTTCACATCCAACCAAAGTAAGCTTCATAAGTGAAGGAGAAATAAAATCCTTTACAGAAAAACAAATGCTGAGAGATTTTGTCACCACCAGGCCTGCCCTGAAAGAGCTCCTGAAGGAAGGACTAAACATGGAAAGGAACAACTGGTACCAGCCACTGCAAAAACATGCCAAATTGTAAAGACCATCGAGGCTAGGACGAAACTACACCAACTAACGAGCAAAATAACCAGCTAACATCATAATGACAGGATCAAATTCACACATAACAATATTAACCTTAAATGTAAAAGGGCTAAATGCTCCAATTAAAAGACACAGACTGGCAAATTGGATAAAGAGTCAAGACCCATCAGTGTGCTGTATTCAGGAAACCCATCTCACATGCAGAGACACACATAGGATCAAAATAAAGGGATGGAGGAAGATCTACCAAGCAAATGGAAAACAAAAAAAGGCAGGGGTTGCAATCCTAGTCTCTGATAAAACAGACTTTAAACCAACAAAGATCAAAAGAGACAAAGAAGGCCATTACATAATGGTAAAGGGATCAATTCAACAAGAAGAGCTAACTATCCTAAATATATATGCACCCAATACAGGAGCACCCAGATTCATAAAGCAAGTCCTGAGTGACCTACAAAGAGACTTAGACTCCCACACATTAATAATGGGAGACTTTAACACCCCACTGTCAACATTAGACAGATCGATGAGACAGAAAGTCAACAAGGATATCCGGGAATTGAACTCAGCTCTGTACCAAGCAGACCCAATAAACATCTACAGAACTCTCCACCCCAAATCAACAGAAGATACATTCTTTTCAGCACCACACCTGTTCCAAAATTGACCACATAGTTGGAAGTAAAGCACTCCTCAGCAAATGTAAAAGAACAGAAATTATAACAAACTGTCTCTCAGACCACAGTGCAATCAAACTAGAACTCAGGACTAAGAAACTCTCTCAGAACCGCTCAACTACATGGAAACTGAACAACCTGCTCCTGAATGACTACTGGGTACATAACGAAATGAAGGCAGAAATAAAGATGTTCTTTGAAACCAACGAGAACAAAGATACAACATACCAGAATCTTTGGGACACATTTAAAGCAGTGTGTAGAGGGAAATTTATAGCACTAAATGCCCACAAGAGAAAGCAGGAAATATCTAAAATTGACACCCTAACATCACAATTAGAAGAACTAGAGAAGCAAGAGCAAACACATTCAAAAGCTAGCAGAAAGCAAGAAATAACTAAGATCAGAGCAGAACTGAAGGAGACAGGGACACAAAAAACCCCTCAAAAAAATCAATGAGTCCAGGAGCCGGTTTTTTTGAAAAGATCAACAAAATTGATAGACCACTAGCAAGACTAACAAAGAAGAAAAGAGAGAAGAATCAAATAGACACAATAAAAAATGATAAAGGGGATATCACCAATGATCCCACAGAAATACAAAATACCATCAGAGAATGCTATAAACACCTCTATGCAAATAAACTAGAAAATCTAGAAGAAATGGAAAAATTCCTGGACACATACACCCTCCCAAGACTAAACCAAGAAGAAGTTGAATCCCTGAATACACGAATAACAGGCTCTGAAACTGAGGCAATAATTAATAGCCTATCAACCAAAAAATGTCCAGGACCAGACGGATTCACAGCCAAATTCTACTAGAGGTCCAAAGAAGAGCTGGTACAATTCCTTCTGAAACTATTCCAATCAACAGAAAGAGAGAGAATCCTCCCTAACTCCTTTTATGAGGCCAGCATCATCCTGATACCAAAGCCTGGCAAAGACACTACAAAAAAAGAGAATTTTAGACCAATATCCCTGATGAACATCAATGCAAAAATCCTCAATAAAATACTGGCAAGCCAAATCCAGCAGCACATCAAAAAGCTTATCCATCACGATCAAGTCGGCTTCATCCCCGGGATGCAAGCCTGGTTCAACATATGCAAATCAATAAACTTAATCCAGCATACAAACAGAACCAAAGACAAAAACCACATGATTATCTCAATAGATGCAGAAAAGGCCTTTGACAAAATTCAACAGCCCTTCATGCTAAAAACTCTCAATAAATTAGGTATTGATAGGATGTATCTCAAAATAATAAGAGCTATTTATTACAAACCCACAGCCAATATCATACTGAATGGGCAAAAACTAGAAGCATTCCCTTTGAAAACTGGCACAAAACAGGGATGCCCTCTCTCACCACTGCTATTCAACATAGTGTTGGAAGTTATGGCCAGGGCAATCAGGCAGGAGAAAGAAATAAAGGCTATTCAATTAGGAAAAGAGGAAGTCAAATTGTCCCTGTTTGCAGATGACATGATTGTATATTTAGAAAACCTCATTGTCTCAGCCCAAATCTCCTTAAGGTGATAAGCAACTTCAGCAGTCTCAGGATACAAAATCAGTGTGCAAAAATCACAAGCATTCTTATACACCAATAACAAACAGCCAAATCATGAGTGAACTCCCATTCACAATTGCTTCAAAGAGAATAAAATACCTAGGAATCCAACTTACAAGGGATGTGAAGGACCTTTTCAAGGAGAACTACAAACCACTGCTCAATGAAATAAAAGTGGACACAAACAAATGGAAGAACATTCCATGCTCATGGATAGGAAGAATCAATATCGTGAAAATGACCATACTGCCCAAGGTAATTTATAGATTCAATGCCATCCCCATCAAGCTACAAATGACTTTCTTCACAGAATTGGAAAAAACTAAAGTTCATATGAAACCATAAAAGAGCCCGCATTGCCAAGACAATCCTAAGCCAAAATAACAAAGCTGGAGGCATCACGCTACCTGACTTCAAACTATACTACAAGGCTACAGTAATCAAAACAGCATGGTACTGGTACCAAAACAGAGATATAGACCAATGGAACAGAACAGAGCCCTCAGAAATAATGCCACACATGTACAACCATGTGATCTTTGACAAACCTGACAAAAACAAGAAATGGGGAAAGGATTGCCTATTTAATAAATGGTGCTGGGAACTGTCTAGCCATATGTAGAAAGCTGAAGCTGGATCCCTTCCTTACACCTTATATAAAAATTAATTCAAGATGGATTAAAGACTTAAATATTAGTCCTAAAGCCATAAAAACCCTAGAAGAAAGAAAATCTAGGCAATACCATTCAGGACATAGGCATAGGCAAGGACTTCATGTCTAAAACACCAAAAGCAATGGCAACAAAAGCCAAAATAGACCAATGGGATCTAATTAAACTAAAGAGCTTCTACACAGCAAAAGAAACTACCATCAGAGTGAACAGGCAACCTACAGAATGGGAGAAATTTTTGCAATCTACCCATCTGACAAAGGGCTAATATCCAGAATCTACCAAGAACTCCAACAAATTTACAAGAAAAAAATCAAATGACCCCATCAGAAAGTGGATGAAGGATATGAACAGACACTTCTCAAAAGAAGACATTTATGCAGCCAACAGACACATGAAAAAATGCTCATCATCACTGGCCATCAGAGAAATGCAAATCAAAACCACAATAAGATACCATCTCACACCAGTTAGAATGGTGATCATTAAAAAGTCAGGAAACAACAGGTGCTGGAGAGGATGTGGAGAAATAGGAACACTTTTACACTGTTGGTGGGACTGTAAACTAGTTCACCTTCAACCATTGTGGAAGACAATGTGGTGATTCCTCAAGGATCTAAAACTAGAAATACCATTTGACCCAGCCATCCCATTACTGGGTATATACCCAAAGGATTATAAATCATGCTGCTATAAAGACACATGCACATGTATGTTTATTGTGGCACTATTCACAATAGCAAAGACTTGGAACCAACCCAAATGTCCATCAATGATAGAATGGATTAAGAGAATGTGGCACATATACACCATGGAATACTATGCAGCCATAAAAAAGGATGAGTTCATGTCCTTTGTAGGGACATGGATGAAGCTGGAAACCATCATTCTAAGCAAACTATCACAAGGACAGAAAACCAAACACTACATGTTCTCACTCATAGGTGGGAATTGAACAATGAGAACACTTGGACACAGGGTGGGGAACATCACACACTGGGACCTGTTGTGGGGTTGGGGGAGCGGGGAGGGATAGCAGTAGGAGAAATACCTAATGTAAATGACAAGTTAATGGGTGCAGCACACCAATATGACACATGTATACATATGTAACAAACCTGCACATTGTACACATGTACCTTACAACTTAAAGTATAATTTAAAAAAGAAAATAATTATGTTGCATGCCACATAATTTGGATATTCACAAAATTACTATCAATATATTAACCTAAATCTAGTATTAAATTACTGCATTCTAGAATCAAACAGATCCCAGTTTGAATCCAAACACTGACAATTACTAGCTGTAATAAAAGTTACCTAACATGGTTAAGCTGAAAGATTCTTCATTTGTAAAATCGAGAAAATAATAATACCTGTGTCACAGCTAAGGATTCTGTGGAGTAGCATAAGATAAATTATCCAAAATAACAGTGGCCTAAACACATATGGTTTGGTATTTCTCATAAACTGAGTACAGATCTAAGAAGTCCAAGCTGGCAGTGTGGCTCCAGGAGATCATCCAGGACCCAGGCTACTTCTGTTTCTGCTTCCCCATGCTCAGCACTGGATTCCATCCTCAAGCCACCATGCTGGCAGCCAAATCATTAGGTGTCATACCTGTGTTTCAGATTGTAAAAAGGAGAAAGTGGGGTTGGGGGGTAGGTTCAAAGGAAATAACTCCCAACAACCTAAGTTCCACACAACTGTTTTATGCACATCTCATTGGCCAGTACTCAGTCAAATGGCTGCAAGAAGCTCCAAGATACACCTTCAAATGGAGTCTTTGTCACTTTGGGTAACATTTTGGTTATAAGGAATAAAGGAGAAATAGATTGGTAGGCAGCCAGCTATCTCGGCCACAATATTCTTCACAGGATTATTGTGATGATTAAATTAGTTAATACCTCTTAACATCTTAGCACAGTGTCTGATACATTGTCAGCACTCGGAGGCTACAATTATTATTGTTAGACAATTGGCAGAGACATTAGTTTCTATTATTTAAAATACACAATCACATTTAAAAAGAAATTATCTATGATTCTGGAAAATGCAAATTGCTTTATTCCACTTGGAAATGATAAAATATTAAAGGAAATGAATCAAACAATGTCATAGAAAAAATACGTAGAAAAAAGTTTAAGCCAGTAGTTAAAAATTGTAGATTGGAGAGTTTATAAATGAATAAAAAATTGGTTTATTAAATGAAAGATCCAAAGCTAGGAAACTACAGAAAACTACACTAATAGGAAAGGAAAATAGTTCTCTTGAATTCTAGAATAATTCTCAATAAATATGTTAGAAGAGATGGTAATAGAATGTGGGTACTTACTCAATACTTCAGATTTTTGTATAGTTCAGTACAAGTGCCTATGTTGGTGGAGATTGAAGGAGAGAGGTGTTCCTGTTCTTTAAAAGTCTTTGGTCTCTGGTTTCTGATTTGCCTTCCTCTATTTTGACCAGCATTTCCTTTTCTTTCTCTTCCTCTTAGTCTCCCTTTTCTGTCTCTTTCCCTTTGCTGTTTTCTCTTTGCTATGTTTTTGGGTTCTGATGCAAATAATAATCAATGTTTTTTATTCTTTTATGGAGCGCGCGTTATCCTGAACCACTGCTTCCAGGCAGAAAATGATGCCAGACTCTCTTAATGCTAATTCTCTTTTAATGCTCTCTCAAATCTAAAATGGAAATATACTGCTGAAAATATAGGAGAATGGGTTTCAGCAACACACAGACCTAGGTGTGTGTCATCTTAGGCAATTATTCTTGGCATCAGTTTCCTATTTCCTAAAACTAGTGAAATAATGGCATATATTACGTAAAGGCTTTTCTTACAGATTCAATCTGATGATATATAAATGCTATAGTTTATATGAGTAAGAACATGAAGCAAATAAATGATAGCTCTGTTAATATTATGATAATAAAACTAGATACAAAAGTTCTACAGTTAAGCTTTTGGTATCTACAAAGTATTGTTGTTAAATAATATTTTTAAAATTGTTAAATAACAAGTACTTTACAATGCTGTCAGATCAGTAAGAACTTTCTACATGAAGCAAAACAAAAAAAACTCAGGAACAAATATGTTATATCTGATTCATCTGTTGTATAAAATCCACTGCTTGATAGAGTACTGCAAATTGTCCAAGTCTGTCCTTGTAACTCTAGTCCAATAGCAAATACTGTCACACATTTTCGTTATGAAGGACTCTGATGCCTTCCCTCAACCTTCCATCGTTTGGTCTAAGAACATATCACCTAATGAGTTCTTTTTCTTGGAGCTTGAAGTTTTATTTCCTCATGATTCATTATCCTCTAGAAGGAATAATACAGACTTTATCAGGTATTCTATATATGTTAATTCTCACTGAAAACACCGTTAGTCTAGTTAGTCTGTTTGTGTTTACTTTTTGCCTAGTCATCTGAAATAAAAGCTCCCACTCATTCACTGCCTTCTAAAGCACATATGGTGTTTTCCTAAGTCTTTTTCCCAAGGCACTGACATATCTTGACAGACTTTTCCTACCGCCATCAACAGCAAAGGTTCTTAAATGGTTTTGGCTAATGGATATTTCTAAGAATCTGATGAGAAGTGCAGCTGAAAATGAATGTACACGCGTACTTGTTCTGTCTCTGAAAAGCAAGTACACATGTACGTTCATACAAAAATTTTACAGTTTCAAGAGATTCACAGATAGACCTCCTGATACCTACCAGTTAAATTTTAGAGTTCATTCAGAAAATGTATTTTATCAGTTAATTTGTATATATACCATGAAAATCTAAATGTTATCATATAGATGAAAGTCATAAAAATGTGAAGAAAATTTAGCTTCTCTAGAACCCACAACCCAATTTGGCAGTTTTATTCAATGGATGCATGTATTTTTTTTCTCCTCACTTCTAGTGTTGACATCATCCTTTATTTTAGGAGACTACTTATATCCCTCAACACCTCAACCTTCACAAATGATTTAAAAACAAATGCAGTAATTATCTTTATACTGTAGAACTAAATGGAAAAAAGCCTTTCTAAAATTCATATGAATGCCCACCTTATTTCAAACTATTATAAAGCCAAATTCATTTTTGATTTCCAATCACATTTTTATATCCTGATTCATGAAAATGTTTATTAATTCCCTTATAGTAAAATAAAATAACTTGGCAAAATTGTGAGTAAATCTTCTGATAAGACTCCCAAGAGACAGGATAAGTATAGTTCATAATTTTTAACATATATGTAATTTAATATCTGCCAGTGTCTGCAATATACTCTTATTTTCACTGAGCAGATACTTAGAGCTTAAGGGACTCAAGAGGCATATAGTTCTTAAGTGATGGGAAACCTACACTGCAATCCATTTCTTTTCAAATCCGAAGTCTAGGTTTTTCCACTGTGCACTTCTACATAGAATATATATTCATCCTTCCATCTGTTTATCTGCTCCTTCCCCAACTTTTGTTGAATTGCCATAGCAGATTATTTTAGTTAAGGAAATATATATTTGATGACAGCCTGTGTACATTGAGTATATGGAAATTTTATTATATTCCTTCAGTGAGAAACAAAATAATTTGAATAGTTCAAGTGGTTTTGCTCATCATTCTATTCAATGAGGATGTGCCCAGAGACAGTCTCAAACGAGAGATATGAATCTGTGGAACCCTCAGTAGCTCTCAGTTCTGGCATGCCTCTCATAGTGAAAGCAACTAAGTATGATTCATCATCAAAAGATGGTATTGCAAATTTATATTTTGTACATATATTCTGTTGTATTTATACTTTACTACTACTACAGTAGTGTTTATATATAAACATATTCAAAATCCTTGTACTCTGAGCTCATTTACAAATTTAGGGGGTAATTTTGACTAATAATAATTTGACTAATAATTTTCAAGTCAGGTACTCAGGTGCAATAGGAAGATGGTCTGAATTGCAGCTCTAAAATGGGTGTCCAGAGAGACAGATGTTGAGAGTTGGACTTCAACTGTATCCAGGGAAGAGGACATCCTGGCCCATGAATACAAGCATCTAGTTAATTTTGCAGTATTAGAGGTAGATAAATCTGCTTATACCATAGTTTGACATCACAAATCACTGAAATCATCCAAGAAATGCTCCCCTTACTCTGGTCTCTTTTTTTTTTTTTTTTTTTTTTTGTGATGGAGTCTCGCTCTGTCACTCAGTCTGGAGAGCACTGGCACTATCTCAGCTCACTGCAACCTCTGCCTTCCAGATTCAAGCCATTCTCCTGCCTCAGCCTCCCAAGTAGCTGCGATTACAGACGCCTGCCACCACGCCCAGCTAATGTTTGTATTTTTAGTAGAGACAGGGTTTCACCATGTTGGCCAGGCTGGTCTTGAACTCCTGACCTCAGGAGATGATCTGCCTGCCTCGGCCTCCCAAAGTGCTGGGATTATAGGCGTGAGCCACCGTGCCCGGCTGGTCTCACCATTTCTGTATACAACTTTGTAACTTGATCTTCATATAGATTTACCTATAAAAATAATACAATTTGTTATTGCATGCAACCAATGTAATTGCTTGGTATTCTGAGGTTTTCTGGTTTTGTTTTTACTTTGTCCAATGGCATTTTATGTCCAATAGCTTTTTATGAATTTGAATGAAGAGACTCAATTTACCTATGACTCTAATGGCATCTAAACATATAAAGAGAATCTTAAAATGTAACTCTAAGCCTTCCAACTAGGAATAAGCTCCTGGAATGTGGTAATCCCACCAAGGAATTATATTTGAGAAAACCTGAAAAGATTGATGTGTCATGGAAAAGGTAGGAGATAGCAGGTCATGGGGAGTCTTGAATGTCATGCTGAGTGTAGCTGTTAACATGTAGGCAATTGTGAGTCTGGCTTTCATGTAGGAAAGAAATATGTCTGTTTGGTGAATTTGTTTCCTTAGGTTGGGGAGTAGAGTTGTGTGTCCTCTGATGTTTTGGTTCTCTCTTGTCTTATTTTTCTTTTGCTTATTCCCCCTTTACCACCGAATTACCAGGTGGCACTTTCTCCCTTCCTTCTTTTTTTGCCTTTCTTTCCTCCTCAGAACCTATGCCTCTCAACAAAAGACTCTAAGAGCCCTTTCAAATTCTACCCATGTTTAAATTCCTTCCTGTGGTTCATGTTCCTGCCTATCAGATACACTTTTAGTTATTTCTAGACCTGCTACTGTAGCCTGGTCTTTCTGGTGGTAGTTTTAGACCAACCCTAGGCTAATCCTGGGTTCCCTCTTCTTTCTCTGTCAATGGCGCATGCCCCCTTTTCTCACTGAAGACCTTTCTGTCAGAGGAGATGGAAGGTAGCACGAGAGATCCTGGGCTGAGTTTGCAGTTTGTTTTCTCAGGTGTTGTACAGTTTAGCTTTCTTTGTCTCTAAATTATGTTGACAGTGTGGCTTTGGTATACTTTTATTTTTCCCTCTTTGTTGATCTGTGCTGTTTTTTTTGAGAAAATATTGGCAGATAGGGACATAGACAGCCTCCATTGTCTCCAACTATCTGTAATTGATCAAAGATAATTATGCTGCCAGTATAGAGGATGGATTGGAAGAGAGGCTGAAAAATAGACTAAATAGAAGGCTATTTTAATAGTGTACGTAAAATCTAATGGGTGACACAGTTAACTTTGTAGATGAAAAGGTGAGTTCAGATAAGAATTTGGAAAATGTCAAGCAGCAGAAGGAAGAAAGGGTGACCCCTAGATTTCTGGCTTGAGCCACTGAATACCAGTATACTATAGTAGAACTATTCTGAGATAAAGAAGACAGGATAAGGACTGACTTTGGGAGATGGGAATGTATATAGACAGGATTAAATTATTTCAGAAATATAAGTTCAGAATGCCTGAGAAATTTCCAAGAGGTCATAGTCACTGGGAATTTTTATATAAAGAGCACCCCCCAAAAATGTTGTAATTAAAGATAAAAATCTGGGAGTCAACAACAAAAGGCTGATAAGAGCTATGTTTATGTTTCCTTGTAAAACCAAGGAAAGGGGGTTAACAGAAAAAAGTAGAAAAATATGCCAGGATAAAACCTTGGGAGACAACCCCATTGATGGTGTACGTAGAGAGGAAGAGGAGCAAGTGAAGACCAGGGTAAAGGAAGTCAGCAAGGCAGGAGGCAAGCCAGGAGAGGCCTATCTTGGAAGTTTGAGATAAATTCAGTTTCTTGATGTGAATATTGCTTCATCTTAGTGAATAGGTTATAAAAGAAGAAGTAAAGGGATGTATGAATACCACCTTTCTTGAAGACTGAACATTTGTTAAACTTTTCAACAGTAGGATGTCATTGGTGGTGTTTGCAAAGACCATTTCTACAGGTTGGTGAGGGGTGAATATCAGATGATATTGAGTTGAATAGTAAAGGGTGAAGAATTGGACGCAAGAAGTGTTGATAAGGCACTCTTATCTATAGTGCCTCATCCCTTGCAGTTCCTGAAGGACAAAATAAGGACAGTGAAGTAAAGTAACATTTTCACAGCATTTACACTCTTGGCCTATATTACTTTTACTATGTTTGTACATGCCTTTTCACCCATTTAAAATGGAAAGTTCCTTTAGGTGAGAATATGTTCCTAGACCATTTTTGTGTCATGCCATAGTTTGCACCTACCATGAATTCAGTAAGAATCTATTGGCCAAATGAATGAACGAACAAAAGATTCAAAAGAGCCAAAACCACCTATGTTCCAAATTCCAGGCACCATAGTTAGTCCCATTGCTTGTAAAAAACGTTTAGCCTTTGATTTGAAACAATGAAGAGATGCTGACTCTTTGCTTATTTTATGATCTCTGAATGACAGTTCTGGCAGACACAGCAGAGGAGCTATTAGGATGCACAGAAGACTCTGGCACCCAGCTGAAGGATGTAAATGGCCACTCTGACAGCCCTCCTCCAAAAGAAGCTTTCAAACCTTAATGTGCTTTACCATTTATCTGTTGTCTTACAAGAAACATTTTTTCCTGTGTAACTACTCACA
This sequence comes from Homo sapiens, assembly GCF_000001405.40. Taxonomy (NCBI): domain Eukaryota; kingdom Metazoa; phylum Chordata; class Mammalia; order Primates; family Hominidae; genus Homo; species Homo sapiens. Next base: position 78,245,194 of record NC_000012.12, on the reverse strand, counting down.
GACACTTATTTAATTTTATTACTGCTCTCTGCAGTGCTGTCAGACAAATCTCCTTTGAGCCCATTTTGATTAATAAGGTTTGCATTTCTTGTTTGATTTCCAAGCCCATCTCAAAGCAAGACTCCAGTACAGACCTCCAGATCTTCTCCACATTGGCTCTGTTTTGAAAGGAAGGTTCTGATTGATATAGGTGTCAGAGAACGCCCTGCTGAGAATAAATACAAAAGCAACAGCATGTGCATGGAGCCACAGAAAGAAAGAAAACAACCCACAACAATGTGCCAGAGCTTAGTTTTTAAGAAGAAAGGTCCAAAGGAAAACTGTCGACTAAAATATCCAATGCAAGATTTCATAATCCTTTCAACTTTCATGCCAGGTATGTCTTCCTATACAGGCCAGAAATTTTTTGGTGCCAAGGGGAGAAAGGGGGAGAGAAAAGGAATACATAAAAAAACAGAATAGAAATGTTTCCTGTTAAATTTACAACCCAAACATTTGCCTCCTGGACAGACTTAATTTCTCCAGGTGGTAATATATTTAATATTTGCATAAAGTTGGCTTGAATTCTTCAAATCCCTTATGATTATTTGGGTAGAGATAGGGTGGGCAAGCTTGCATTTCTCCAGGTTGGTTGAGCTTTATTCTCCATCTCCATTTCAAGTGACAGTTTTTATGTTTGCAGGCCCCACTGCCCCACTGAATCTTACTCAATGCCTTTATCTTCCAAATTTCTCCAACTCAAGGCTATGTGTATTTCAGATTGTACTTAAGAATTTAGAGAGGAGGGGGCCGGGCACTGTGGCTCATGCCTGTAATCCCAGCACTTTGGGAGGCTGAGGTGGGTGGATCACGAGGTCAGGAGATAGAGACCACCCTGGCTGACACGGTGAAAGCCCGTCTCTACTAAAAATATTTTAAAAAATTAGCCAGGCGTGGTGGCAGGTGGCTGTAGTCCCAGCTACTCAGGAGGCTGAGGCAGGAGAATGGCATGAACCCAGGAGGCAGAGGTTGCAGTGAGCCGAGATTGCATCATACCACTGCACTCCACCTTGAGCGACAGAGCGAGACCCCGTCTCAAAAAAAAAAAAAAAAAAAAAAAAAAAAAAAACTTAGGAGGTGAGAGGTAAATTTATTTAGCTACATAGGAGGACAAACAACCTAACATTGACTATGGGACACACCTGGCCTTCAAAGTTAAGTAGGGTATTTGTGATGGTAATTTTCCTACTACAATCATGGACTTGCATCATGTTGCTGTCCCTTTTTCTCCTCAGACCAAGCTCACTTAGCCGTATCTCCCACCCAAGGTTTCAGATAATTCCTGCTGCAGAATAGTTGGGCTAGCCCTTCATTAGAAACCATCTGCTCATGCCCAAGGGGCCATATCCTGATATTTATGACTGAATAGGGCTCCTCTCTCCCTAGGCAGGATTCTGTTTCAGAACTTAAAGTAATGTATTTTTTTTCCTCCTTCTGCTACTTCAAAATAAAGCTCGTATGCTTTGGACTCGACATAAAAGAAATTGTGTGTTTCTACCGTTGCGTTCTCATGAAAAAAAAAAAGTGAAGGTATCAAGATTTATTTTACTTCTTTTGTTTTTGTCCCCAAAGGATTTATCCTAATATTTCCCACATTGGTCTGTTCTATCCTTCAGCAGTCCTTGCAAAATAGGGAAGGCAAATTAGGAACCCTTAGTTGGAGCACTTGCTCACCTCTCACCAGTTCCATCTCGGTACACTACTTCCAAAAGATTTTTTATAACCTCCTCTAAGCAAGCTCTCTCTCTTATTCCAGGATATTCAAAACATACACATTCTTGAGTTCAGCGTCCATTATATCCTCCATGACTTCTTGTCCTATATTCCTTTCCTTTTTCACACCCCCTCTGCTAAGAGATACCCATTTGTTCCACCTCGTTTGCTGAGTGAATTATTTCCCACAGTTACCAAACAAACAAAAAGTCAACTCCCATGCAACGTACTTCACTGGGGGAAAAAGAGAAACAAGAAAAAACAGATAAATTATATAATATGATGAAAAAAGCTACGGAGAAAATTTAAAACACAGAGAAATAGAGTGGGTTGCAATTTTGAGTAAAGTTGTGAGAGAAGGGCTCACTGACAAGTTGATATGTGAGCAAATATTGGTGTATTGGTTTACTATTGCTGTTTTAACAAATTCTCACACACTTAGTGACTTCAAGCCACACAAAATTATTCTCTTCTAGTTCTGGATATCAGAAGTCTGAAACCAGTTTCCCTAGGAGAAAATCAAGGTGTAGGCAGGACTGTACTTGGTTCTGGAGGCCCTGGGGGAGAATCCATTTTCTTACCTTTTCCAGTTTCTAGAGCTGCGCTCCTTGGCTCAGGACACTCCTCCATCTCCAGGGCCAGCAATGTGGCACGGTGCTTCAGTAGTCACATCACCTTCCTCTACAGCATATCTCCCTCTGCCTTCCTTGAAAAAGCACGCTAATCATTGCAATTAGAGCACACCTGAGTAATCCAGGCTACTTTCTTCATCTTAAAACCCTTAACTTAATCACATCTGAAAAATCCCCTTTGCCTTATAAAGTATTATTCACAGGTTCTGGGGATTAGAACCTGGATGCCTTTGGAGGCCAAAATGGAGACTACCGCAGATAGTAAAAGAGCAAGCCATGCAACAGTGTGTAGGGGAGATAGTTCCATGCCCATATAATGGCAACTACAGAAGTTTTGAGGATACACTTCAAAAGCGCCCATAGATGGGCACTTGATCAGAAGGAAAGCCAGTGTGGCCTGAGTAAAGCAAGTAAACAGAAAGTACGTGAGGTCAGAGAGACAAGGAAGAGGGTCTAGGGACAGAGTACATCAGCCAATGAGCTATAGCTTAGAAATCCATTGTAAAGATTTTGGCTTTTATTCGGAGGTGAGAGACAGCTAATGTGAAGAATCCATTCAGGTGAATGCATTAGAAATGCTAAAATGCTTGATTTCTTTTCCAGACATTGCTACAGTCTTACCACAGTGTTATAATTCTTTTTGACTTTTCTCTTTACTCCGCCCAAAGCACATATACCCAGTGAAAAACTTCTCTATTCTAAATCATCAGAATTTGCAGAGCCAAGGTTTCTAGAATGTCTGTTTTTTCTTTCCCCCAAATGTATTTTTAAAAGCCTTCTAACATAGACGTTAAGGGTTACACCACTGCTCCAAGTAATGTACCATTCTTATTACAGCATTATTAAATCTGCGGATTTTATTGTGCACTGCATTCTTTTTTGAGCATTTGATATACAAATATCCTAGGCAATTAAAAAGGGGAGTGAGAAAAGGAGTGGCTGTCTACATGAGGCTATTCAAATAGGTGCCCTCAAAGTCTTCAAGCACAGTGGGCATCACCTGGATAAGTGCAGGCAGTTTTTGATGTTCGGATGGAAAACTCACCTGCCACTGACAAGAACCGTTAATGAGGCTCTTCAGCACTGGGAACACGATGAGCTTGCTCAAATGGCACTGATGGCCTGCAAGCCTTGGCTTGTATCCCACACTGCTCCGTGGCACGGGAGACTGATAGTGTTCAGCAGTCTCCTGGTGATGACTATTGTGTCTGATGTGGGCTTGGAGAGCCAATTTGGAAGTCAAAAACTAAAGCTTGTCTCTTTCTCTCTGCATTCCTGCCACAACAGTTTAATTCTCCAGGCAATGTGCATGCTTCTGACTACCTAGGGAAAGGATCATACACGAGGAAGTGTGGGTTCAGTATTTCAATGTATTATCTCACTGCACCGAGCGTCTACATTTGCAGTTGCATTCATTCCCCAGTAAGCAGTGGACAACTAAAATGCCCAAACAAGTGAGAAGAGGCAATTTTGATGACTGGAGAGTTGCTACATAGGTTTGTGTACTTAAGGTGGCCATTAAAACCTCAGGAAGGAGTAAAAAATCTGTAGTTTAAATTTCACAATTATTTGGTTACTTCTGCTCCCTTGTCCCCAACCATGTTTCCTGCCCCATTACATGCCCTTTGGAGGTGTAGATGAATTAACAAAGAAATGCAGATGAATTTTGCTACAGGGCCTAATCCTCAGGATCTTTTTAAGAGAGTTTCCTAGGTCTAATAAATATTCAAAACAACCAGGTTGAGCAAATCCTAAACCACTTATCTGATTAGTAATCTTAGCTTAACCCCAAGTCTCCAACAAAGCTTTTGTTACCACTTGACAGGAAGGTATTTGTATTTTGGACCGAAAGGGAGGGCATTGAATAGAAGTGAAAAAAATCTAGATACAGGGAGAGCAAGAAGATTTAGAAGTGGTTTGTCCAGTTGGTACAGATATCAACCAGCATAGGAGCTACTGGCCTGCAATTTCTGCCTATTTCTTGGTGCCCTGAAGATCAGGTGTTTTGCAGTTTTAATGTGTACATGAATCACTCAATACTAATTCCACATTTTTCAGCACCTCCTATGGTGCTAGCCTCTTTTCTATGTTGAGAACTCGCATTCTAGTGTTTATGGACCATGTACAATGACACTATTATGCAGATCCTTCTCTTCCTCACTAACATGTAGGATGGCAGCTTAGTGTGCAGAGAACATTTTTTGCTTAGATTGAACAATTCTAGATTCTATTCTTAAACTTCCCTTTAAGCAAGTCTATTCAATGCATGGTATCTCAATGTCCTCATGTGCACAACATGCATGTTAGTTCAGCGTTAACTTGCTCTTAAATGCATTTTGTATTGACTTCTTGCTCTTCCCTGTTTCATTTCTCTACTGCCCTATTGGCGCTTCTTAAGATCACCCCCCCACTCCAAATAAACTACTTAGACACAAGTTCTTATCTCAGGGTTGTCTTTCTCAAGGAACACAGCCTATGATAGATATCTAGCTCTATACATGATTTATAAAACTCTGCCCACTGACTAAAGGTGAGACTATGAGTTACAAAAACTGGAGGATATTGGGTAATTGGCTCTAATAATTTTAGAGTTCAAATAACAAAGTTCACAATAAATAAATGGAAGAGTTAGAAGTAAAACCCAAGATTGGTGAATATGACAATATATAATTTTTATTTTAGTTTGCATACACACAAAAACCCACTAAGTCTAAAGGAATTTAACAAACTGGAAGAATTTATCAAAACACATACCACAAATGACTAAAATCCCTAGCACATATAAAACTCTTAAAATTGAGAGAGAAAAATAAAAACCAAAGGAAAATGTCAAAAATATTTGAACAAACCATTCTCATAAAAATGATACAAAAATTATTTTCAAACAGGAAAAACTGTTCAAAGTCACTTGTAATTAGAGAATTGCAAATAAGACAATACTAAGGTACCATTTTTCACCGATCAGACTGGAAAAAAAATTAGAAACACAACAGAACATTCTGTCATTGGGGCCCTGGGGGAAAAAATTACTCTCACGCATTACTGGTAGGAATGCAAAGTGGTACAACCCTTCTAGAGGGATATTTAGCAACACCTAACAAACTACATATGTAATTACCTTTCAACCCAACAATCACAGTTTTTGGAATTCACCCTGAAGACACGTCCAATGATGCAGAAATACATATGCAAATATGCATCATTCATTGATACATTACTTGCAAAATTTCAAAGTATTGAAACAAGCTAAATATTTACACATATGAAAATGGTTGAATAAACTAGCATTTCCACTCAATGGTGTACTGTGCAGCTATAACAAAAGAATGAAGATGATCTCTATAAACTGATAAGGATTTTTAGGATATACTACTAAATTAAAAAAACAAGTATCTACAGTATGCTACCTTCATGCAAGAAAGGGATAAAAGACAATTCACATGCATCTATTAATAGTATTTCACCAATGTTAATTTCCAGATTTTGATAGTTGCAACACAGTTAAGGATTATAAATAAGGGCTGTACGAAAATTATCTGTGCTATTTTTGTAAATTTTCAGTAGGTCTAAAATTATTTCAACTTTAAAAACCTTTTTAAAAAAGGGTGAAGTCTGATTTATCTCATCAGTAATGCCCTAAAGAATCTAATTGTTTCTTCTTGCCACCCAAAATTTCAAAACTACACTATGATCTACTTTTGGAACTACACTATGACCTACCCTTTAGAAGGCCCAGTTATTCAGCTTTTTCTTTGAGTGTGTGTACAGCCATCCCACAGTTATTCAATATATCTTTTTTTTCAAGACAAATGAAGTTAATTTTTATTTGAATGTAATCAAAGAAACATAATTGACACTGGCTAGCTTAAAGGATAGACTTTTCAATTCTATTTCAAGGTTTAATGTTTCCGTGTTCAAGTGGAAAATTTGTTGTAAGAAAAAATTTAAAATGGGTCCAATGTGATCTTTTTTCTTTCTTTTAATACAAAATGCTGACATCTTATTGTCTTAAGAATTGAAATATGCTTTGAAATTTAGGGAAATTTTTAATTTAAAATACAAGGATGTAGACAGAAGAAGCGATAATAGAAGAAAACTTTCCTATTTGGTAATAATTGTTACTGCTTTCAATTTTAATGTGCTATGACTCCACTTCTTGTCTCACTCTGCCTGGAAGTCCCTTTTACACCACTCTATCTGCATCTCAGAATGACATCAAACAGAGTGGGAAGTGTTTACTCACCAGCATGTATCTATTTTCTCATTTTAAATCTTCAACACCAACTTTCTAATTCATTTCTCTCTTCATTCCTTTCTCTGCAGCTTTTGTCATCTATTGTGGCCCCTCACACGTTTCTATCTTCACCAGGGATTTAACAGTATTAATTAAAAAAAAAAAAAAAGAAAAGAAAAAAAAAGCTAAACTACCTTCACCTTAAATGAGCCTCCAACAAACATTACCTGATTCGATACGGGCCAATGTTAGAATGCAAATATGTTTGGTGATAGTTAGGACTATATTAGGAACTAGGAAAAACTGTGAAGACCAAAATTTGTACAGGTTTCTTACCCTCCTGGTCGGTTTTCTTTTCCCCAACAGACAATCATTTACTTATTCATTTAAAAATAATAAAATTGTAAAAACATGGGCAGGCAAATGTGAATACATTCAGTAGGATCTCATACTTTGAGCAAAAGACAGGCACATAAACAAATACAGTATTATATAAGGGCTATAATGTTTGCATGAACCTTCTTTGATTTAAACAACAAAAACCACAGTAATCCAAATAAAGTATGAGATTTAATTTAAAAACATCAGCAACAACAAATATGATTGTATAGATCCAACAACCATTAGTTTAAACCCTTCATGAATCCAGTTGCAAGCAATTGATCTCTTCCCACAACACTAATTTTTTACCTCTCCTGTGCTAAGTATAGCAGTGCTTTGTCCAAACTTTATCTTCAAATATTTGTTTCCTTTTATATTTTAGTGGTATTTTGAGAGTGCTATATAGCATAGCCTTCACTCTCAAAATATATATATATATCTCTTGTATCTCGAGTATTTATATATGTGTATATATATAAATATCAAATATATATATAAAAATACTAGAGATACATATCTATATCCCTGTGTGTGTATATATATATATGTATATTGCCTTGTATCTCTAGTATTTATACATATGTGTGTGTGTGTGTGTGTGTGTGTATATATATATATATATATATATACATATATATATACCATGATTGCAAGTTTCCTGGGGCCTCCCCAGCATTGCTGAACTGTGAGTCAATTAAACCTCTTTCTTTTATAAATTATCCAGTCTCAGGTATGTCTTTATTAGCAAAGTGAGAATGGACTAATACAATTGGTTTTGAGGGATTTAATCAAATAAAAATATTGGGTTTTTATGTTAAATGTCCTGTTTCCTCTGATAACATGTCATTCTGTGGTAAATTTCAGAGGAACAAGGGTAGTTATTTATTCATTCATTCATTCATTTTTACTCAGTGACACTCATGGAGTGCTATAAGATGAGGCTGGAGGTAGAGGTAGTACATGTTAGTCTTGTCCTAATCTTAAAAGTGTAGTAAAAGCTATTGATGGCTAATTGAGGATATAATGGGAATTAGATTTATATTTCCAAAGGATCAACTTGGTGAGTCAATTTGTAAAGTGGCCACTGATAGAGCAGATATTATTATAGTAGTCTAAGCGGACATAGAGAGAAGTGAGTGAATTCAAGAGAAATCTAAAAGATAAAATTGGCAGGCCTCACTAATGGACAAAACTTGGAGACAGAAAGAAGCAGGAATGAAAAATGAGTCCCACATTACTATCTTGAGCAACTATATTGCTGGAGGTTTCTTTCACAGAGATATGGAAATGGGAGAAATGCACCAGACTTAGGAAGGTTAATCATGAAGTTGAGTTACCACTGAAATATGGACGAGAAACTGTCAATAGCATTTAATACTATTCATCACATTTTCCTTAGAATAATTTCTTCTTTTGGCATCTACCTGGTATTCTTTATACCTTTTTATATTCTCTTACTAAATATATTTTGCCTATTTTGAACTCTAAATCTTGGAGTCCCCAGGGCTTTGTCCTTGGACTCCATCTCTTTTCTATCTCACTCATTCTCTCTATGAGCTCATCCAGTGGCATGGCTTCACACACCATCTACCCTGTGAAAACTCCCACATTTTGATCTAAATCTTAAATGTTGTGTTATATAGAAGCTGGTATCTATCTCACACAAAAATTTTATGCTCTCTTTGATGCACAAGGTCTCTCACTACCTAGCTACTTCCCACACACAAATGCGCCCAGGATTGCTTTATGACTCACAAAACAGGCTGGGCCTTGAACTCACAGATAAACTTTAAAGAGGCTATTTGAAAGAAAGCATTAGTTTGAAAAGTAGTCAAATATACAACTGAAAATATGGGGTAAAGCATAATATTTTTTCAGATCAAAAAAGGATGTGAGATTGAACATTATTTAAATGATCAAGATGAACAAGTGATTAAAACAGAGGATCTTTCTGTTATGTGTGATTGCTTTAATGTGTAAAACCGGTTATATGAAACTCTGTTGAATAAAGAGGGCCTCATTTCATAATCTCCAGATGAGACCACTCTCCAGAACTTCGGACACATACATGTAACCTCCACATCTCCACTTCAATTTCAAGTAAGCATCTTAAAATTAATATGTCAAACTTACACTCCTAATAGTACCCACCAGCCAACTGCTTAGCTGTAGTGTCATCGTTTCACATTTCATCTTTACATGGCCAAAACCTTTGGAGTTGTATTAGTTAGGAGTCAGGATTCTCCAGAGAAGGCACACACACACACACACACACAGAGAGGGAGACACTGTGTGTGTGTGTGTGTGTGTGTGTGTGTGTGTGTGTGTGTAAATACAAAGGAAAAGAGAGAGGTGGAGATTTTAAGGGCTTATCTCAGCAGCAATTGTGGCAGCTAGTAAGTCTGGATTCTATAGACAAGTTAGCAGAGGCTGGAGATTCAGGTAGGAGTTGATGTTTTAGTCTTGAGTCTGAAAGCTGGAAATTCAGCAGAATTTTTATATTCCAGTCTGTAGTCAGAATTCCTCAGTCTTTGCTCTTAAGATATTCAACTGATTGGATGAAGACCACCCAGATTATGGAGGGTAATTTCCTTTAAGTCAACTGATTGTAAACATTAATCACATTTTTAAAAATACCTGTACAGTAACATCTGGACTAATGTTGACCAAATATCTGATCATCACAGTCTAGCCAAGTTGACATAAAATCAACTATTCCGGGATTGATCCTTGACTTTTCTTGACCCAAAAAATCCAATCACTCCCCAACTCCATCCACTCCACTTACCACTCTGGTCTAATTTATCACCATCTTTCTTCTGGATTATTGCAATCACCTCCTACTAGGTTTCCCTCCTTCTACTTTTGCATCCTCTAGGTATGCTCCCAAACTTAGGGCCTTTGCCCTTGGTCTTCTCTCTGCCAGGAAGACTTTAGCCTTGCCTATCCACATGACTGACCCAGCCACTTCTCTGGTCTTAACTCAAAAGTCCCCACCCAGTTCAACCTTCCCTGGCCCTATCTGTCATCTGTCACAACGCATACTTCACTTCCCATTCCCTGCTTTATTTCTTTTCTAACTCTGTGTAACTTACCTACTTAAGTATTGTCTTTTTCCCAGTAGAATATGAGCTCTGCAGGTAAAACTTGTGTGTGTGTGTGTGTGTGTGTGTGTTTGTGTGTCTGTGTGTGTATGTGTGTGTATCGGAGAAGAGAGGGTGTTTATCATTGTATCCTAGGACCCAGAATACTGCTTGGCCTATAGTAGGTACTCAAGAATACCGGTTTAATGATGGAAGTAGCTTTTCGAATTTAATCAGAATTAAAGGAAGTTTTAGAATTTGGGGTATCAGCAATGTAAGTTTGTTAGGGATTATTCAAGGCAGAGGAAATAACAAAAACAGAAACTTGGCCTAAAACAGATAACATGTTAAAGGGACAATAAGAGTTCAGCATGACTGAAAAATGTAAAGTTCAGTGTGGAGGCAAATAGTGTAGAATGAATTTAGATTAATCTGCAGGAGTTGATTAGAAAACGTCTCATGGGAACTTTATACTAGATAATGGGGAAATATTGAAAGATTTTAAGAAAAAGAGTGACAAGGTCATATTTTCACTCTAAAATCTAATCAGAGACTGCAATTTAGATAATATATTAGAGAGGGGCTAGGAAGAGGAATAGTTGTTTCCAAAATGATCTTGCCTACAATAAGATAACTCTCAGGGTTACTGTGTCTTAAGGAGAGAGAGAAAAGGGATAACAATGTTATTAAAGATGAGAATCTATCCCCTACAGTAAATGAAAACAAAAGTTAGTAGAAAAAAGTTCATCCCATTATAGGTTTCTAAGTCTGTGTTGCACTAAAATAAAGTCATTTTGAAGCAATAAACAAATTTAATTTTAACAATGATTCAGGTACATGTGGGAGCTGAGGAACTAATTATTTTCACCCTCTAAAGTACCTACTGCAGTTTATCAAGTTTGCAAGATAAATGTTTTAATTCACTACATTTACGTAAATCCCCTTGCCGCACCTTTTTTAATCAGTGCACTTACAAAATGAATTGATTTTCTAACGTTCTCCAACTTTTTTCAATTAGCATACTTACATTTGCACTTTTCAAAATTCATTTTTTCATTACATAAAATACCTTATCAACTTATCACCAAAAATATGGATTTCCAGAATCAATCAAAATGTGAAAATTTAATTTCCTCCCTTATAATAGAGTCCATCTTGTCTTACCTTCTACGTCATACTCACCGCTTTCATTAAATCAAAGCTAGTAACCTTGCTCTTAGGTTTAGATGCTAAGCCTTAGAAAGAATTGAAAAAATTAAATTGTGAGTTGGTACAAAAGCTCAGACCATCATGAAAAAGACTACTAAGTAAATCTATATTTTTCAACAAAATAAAACTCTCCAAGCATGAGTTTTTTTTCAACAAAATAAAACTCTCCAAGCATGAGTTTTTTTTCAACAAAATAAAACTCTCCACGCATGAGTTTTTTTATACGAATTGTTCATCCTCTTCATTGGAACAGAACTTTGTAAGGTGATCTATAATACTAACTACATTACAATCAGAAAGCAAAATTCTACCCTTTATAATGCTCGCTAAATATATTAGAATAACAAGTATCAATACACATTTTTGTGCTTATTGTGTTCTTTAAGTACCTCCTAAAAGAGGTAGCATTTGAGAGATGGGAGGAAGAAGCAGAAGGATGAAATTATACCTTTAAGCACATTAAAGAAAAGATTAGAATAGATTTAAGCCTGATCTATTACACAAATAGCTCTTAGACAACCCCAAATATTAGCCTAGAGGAGAGAATGACTGCCTTTTCCTCATTTTTTCTCTCTTGGGTTCAGAGTAGCTCAGTTCTGATTCCTCAGATTAATGTTTTTATCTATATCTGAGTCTTCTGGGTGCAAAACTGGAACCAACCAACTGAGGTCAGACCAAGAAGAATGTAATGTTTCTCTCAGCTTTAGACAGGTTAATCCCTGACTATAGGCCCTTGTCCTCCCTTTTCTTATTTACTTTAGGAAACTTGCAATTGCTAATTTTTGCCCTATTGCTTCGAAATGTAAATGTTCTACAACCCAGTCATGGCTTTCTCTAAGACCTGGGAAGTAGAAACATTAAGAAAAGTAGAGCCCCGGTCTCCAAGTCTTTGTGAGAGTGTAAGAGCCTAACTAGGGGAAAATGCCAATTAGCAAACACAGACGGCCTAATCATATTGCCCAATGCCCCATCCTAGGTCTTCAAGGATTTACCCAATAGCTCACTCCAGTGTTTAACAACTCTTCTGCCTTTTGTTTCAGTGGAATTGAATTCATTCTTTCTCTTTATTCCAACAGTCTTAACTACTGTTGAAACAGTAGAAGACTTGATGAAGTCTTCTCTGCCTGTTTAACTGCACCCAGTGCAATTTTTCTTTGAGAAGTCACAGGCTGATATTCTCCACTGATGGAGACAGTCACAGCCCTATTTGGGCCATAGTTTTAATAATTAGGCCCCAAGCATAACAAGAACACAAAACTAGAGGGTGTTTGTGTGTGTTTGCATGAGTGTGTGTATGCGCACTCATACAAATGCATTGGCTGGGCAAATTAGACCCATCTTTTCCTTGGTTTTACCTTCCTATATGCAGAAGTTCCTGTAGATAACTGTTCCATCTCCTCCTCTTCAGGGGAGGAGTGCATTAGCTACTTGGTAATATTGGGAACAATAGATCTGTCTGGCTGTGTGGCCAGCTCAGTGGGGCAGTCTGAGACAGAATAAGCACTGTAAAACTGTTACATTAATTAATTGTGAAATAAATAACTACATTTCAAATTCAGGCAAGAAGCAAGGAGATCATTTTTGAGGTTCTCAAATGCTAATAGTTTGTCAGGCCAGTACTTTAAAAAATTGAAGTACTTAAAACACTAAATTTAGAAATTCAGCTTAACATGTTTAAGGGGATTTAATTAACTAATTTATTCAAGGAATTAATTGTTTGAGAGTTTAAACCATTAAACTTGAGCTGATCAAATGTTAATTAAATGTTAATGGTAAAGGGTGTCTAGGTTCTTGGCATCTTGAACAAAGAATTGGACAAAACTCACAAACAAAGCAAGGAAGGAATGAAGGGATCTATTGAAAATGAAAGCACACTTCACAGTGTGGGAGCGGGCCTGAGCATAGTGGGGCTCAAAGGCCCTGTTACAGAATTTCTGGGAGTTTAAATACCCTCTAGAGGATTCCATTGGTTAGTTGGGGTACACCCTACGTAAATGGAGAGAATGAAGTAAAGTTACAAAGTCATTTACAGCCTACGCCCTATGGAGAGGATATTTCCTGTCCTAGCTGAAGTGTGAATCCACCTTAGCTCCTCACCCTATTTTCCTGCCTCCTCACCCTATTTTCCCTGCCTCTTCACCCTATTTTCCTGCCTCCTCACCCTATTTTCCCTGCCTCTTCACCCTATTTTCCTGTTTCATAAAGAGTAAGTAAAAGAGTATAAGTGACTGTTCTTTTTCAAATAAAATGTATTTAGATTTTTGAATGACATAAGATTTATAAAACATAGCTTGAAAACCTAAGGCAAATGTGATTATTGAATTTGTAACTCTAATAAATTGAATATCAATTTAACTGCAAAAGGTAAGAGTGTTCATTGCTAAAAGGCATTGAAATACTTACATTAACTATTAAAATAATAATCTATCCAGTCTTTCAGGAATTATTTTGAATAGCTTGAGAACAGATGTGAATGTCACTAAAGGATCCATGAAAGGATTTTGAATATTGGTTATGAGGAAATTATCTATATAAACTTCCCTGCATACTTCTTTAAAAAGAAATCAACAACAAAAAGATAAACCCTTTTAAAATAAACCTTCCATATTTTAAATATCAAGGAAAATATAATCTGATAATTTTATAATTTTATTTATTTATTTTTTAAGACAGAGTTTAACTCTTGGTGCCCAGGCTGGAGTGAATGGTGCAATCTCAGCTCACTGCAAACTCCACCTCCCAGGTTCAAGGGATTCTGTTGCCTCAGCCTCCCAAGTAGCTGGGATTATAGGCATGTGCCACCATGCACAGCTAATTTTTTGTATTTAGTAGAGACAGGGTTTCACCATGTTGGTCAGCCTGGTCTCCTGAGGTCAGGAGTTCGAGACCAGTCTGATAATTTTAAATTGATGTTTATTTTAGCTAACATATGAGATTTCAATAGGTCGTTCATTACTTAATGACCCAATTCTATACAAATGGACAGAGTTTTATTTTTTAACATTTTAAGAAATAGGAAAGAGCTTTGTACAGAAACAAGTATGATGCAATTGTGGCCATTTAGAGCACTGTCACCTAACTTTACTATTTTAAATTACAATCAAGGTAGAAGTCACTGTGCTAAGTGATTAATCTAGAAACACTCTGAGTGTTTCTATTGCAATTGTGAGTGTTGCAACATACATACAAAATAATATTTTAAAAGAACTAGAATGAGATAGTATATAAAGTACAGTAAAATTTCATTTCTTCTTGGGTGTCCCCAAATAATCAGGTGTATTTGTTCTAACTCTTACAAGGTAGGTAAGCACTTGACCAGGGATGTGACGCAATTTGTTATACCTAACTAAATGTTCATTGTCAGATTATGTGACTTCCCCAGTCATAAAATTGTTCCTTTGAGAAATACATTATGTTTCAATGAGATCTAATTTATTCTGATATTCAGAAAATAATCTAGTGAGAAAATAGGCACTTCCTTTATTCAGACATATGAAGGCAAGCCCTGTTTCTTCTTTGAATGCATATGTCACAAAGATAACATTACCATTTAAGTAAATGCCATCAATGGGAAGTCAGTAGCAGTCAGTAAAAAAGCTAATTGCAACACTTTCAGGATGAAAAACGTGAAGAGAGTCTCAGAGAACTAAAAAATATTTACAGCTTAGTGTAATTAAAGCAAAAAAGAAATGAAGCAAGGATAAAGAATGCAGAATAGGGGGAGGTGACAAGACAGAGTGGAAGGAAATGGACCTGAGGGAGAAAAGAAGGAAAAGAGTAAGTGAGATTGGCAGTTACTAAAAGCTGTTGGGTTGTTCCCATCAATAACAGGGAGAGGCATTTCTCAAGGCCACTCCATGACACAGGAAAAGAGGAAGCTGGAGAAAACAGCAGGTCTCAAAGCCAAGCTGTTTTACTCAGAAAGGGTTGACTTAGCTCTGTGTGCTGTTGGAAAGAATTAACACGTGCATAGCTGAGGGAGAAATTCAGACCTTTTTACTTTTCACCGGATTCAAATAAAAATCAGGACACAATCAACATAACAAAAGATATGCCGATTACTTAATATAATTCTACTGCATTCATCAAAAGCCTTTCTCTGTTTAGAAGCCTGTTCTTCTCAATAGTTAGGTGTCTCACAGAGATAATGAAATGCATCATCAAAGAAGCACTTACATTCACATGCATTGGCAAAAGTGTAGGTGAGGCCACCTACTGGGTATGCTGTGAAGTGCAAGAAGTTCCTCCATTTTGAAATACCTGTTTCATCCGTGTGTCAATGTGAAAGAAATTTCCTCCAACAAGATCTTTCAGATTTAGGCGTTCTTTTCTTTGAAGACCCAGGTTAAAATACAAGTCTGTTAACTGAAGGTGAAACTCGACTTCCTTTGTAGGCCTGATCCTTATCTGTAATGGTTAATTTCACTGCAGATGGCAAATTTGGGGTATTCTCCCCAGGTTTCTTCTTTGTAAAGTTTCCCAATTCAAATAAGGTGGCATGAGAGAATTATGTATAGAATTATTATATACTGAGGCATGTATAACCTTAAAAGTGTATTTGTATTTATAACCACTATGCATCTATAAGATCAAAGGCAATTACAAATACCAGTAAAATTATAAAATTGAGACTAGTCAAATGAAGAGTATAAATTTAACATAAAGAGAATATTGTCTTGCTTAAAGTGAATTGTTGAATGCTTAATGAGTCATGTGATGAGTGAATTTTTCCACTACTGAGTTTTCACTCAGAGAGCATGCTTGACACCGTGGACTGAATTCATCACACACATTTTAATCACCTATTGTTTATGCATGATTTTGACTCTGTCCTTTTAACAATAGCCCTCAACACTTAAGAGTAGCACAGTCTGCCTGGAACTCCATCATAAACATAAAAATTCAAGGTCTAAAATCGAGCACAGAAATCAATTAGCAAAACTTGGTTTTAAGATGGTTGTCCAAATGATCCAGAGTATGTTTATTTTTTAAAAAAATCTTAAATACTTAAATTCAAAAATTTACAACATTCAAAAATTATTCATGTTTAGTATTTGCATTTGCAGGCTCCAATTTAAACTACATTGCTACAGAGCAATGTTGTCTAACGGAACTTCCTGCAATCAGCCGGGTACAGTGGCTTATGCCTGTAATTATAGGTATTAAGAAGGTTGAGGCGGAAGAATTACATGAGGCCAGGAGGTCTAGACCAGCCTGAGCAACATAGTAAAATCCTGTCTCTAAAAAAAATATATTTTTTTAATTAGCCAGATATGGTGGCACGTGTGTCAATTACTTGGAGGGCTTAGGAGGGAGGATTGCTTGAGCCCAGGAGTTCAAGGTTGTAGTGAGCTATGTTGTGCCACTCCAGCCTGGATGACAGAGCTATCCCTGTCTCTAAAAGTAGATAAATAAAAATAAAGAAAGAAAAGAAAAACTTTCTGAACTAATGAAAATGTTCTATATCTGCACTATCCAATACAGTGCTAACCACATATGGCTACAGAGTTCCTTCAAATGCAGCTAATGCAACTGACAAATTGAATATTTAATTTTATTTAATTTTGACTAAATTTAAATAGCTACATAGGGTCAGTGGCTACTGGAATAGTCAGCACTGCTGTATTTTTTATTAAACCCTCATTAAATCCTGGCTTTCCAAAATAGTACTAAAATAACATGGTATAATAGAAATTAACACAAGTTAGTAACTTAGAACAACAAGCATTTATTAGCTCACACAGTTTCCATAGGTCATGAATTTGGTAGCAGCTTAGCTGGGTGAGTCTGACTCAGGGTCTCTCATGAAGCTGCAGCCAAGATGTTTGTGTGGGCTAACAGCAATCTGAAGGCTTGACTGTGGCTGAAGGATTAACTCTAAAATGGCTCACTCACAGGATTGCTGGCAGAAGGCCTCAGTTCATTGCTGGCTGTTGCAGGAGACCTCATTTCCTTGCCAGGTGGATTTCTCTATGAGGCTGTTCAGTGTGACCTCACAACATGGCAGCTAGCTTCCCCTAGAGCATGTAATCCAAGCTTCCTCCAGAGTGTGCCATCCAAGAAAGGAAGTCAACGTGCTTTTTAAGATATTGTCTCTAAATTCACATCCTGTCACTTTCTTTACTAGAAACAAGTCACTACGTCCAACCTACTCTCAAGAGGAGAGGAATTAGGCTCCATCTCTTGAAGGCAAGAATATTAGAGAATTTGTGTGCATAATTTAAATCCACCATAGACATGTTAACTTATCTAGAGCAATGGAACTAATAAGTGGAAAAGCCTGCATTTGAACTTATTTCAGTCTTAGTCTGGAACCAATGTTTTAATTGCAGCTCTCCAGTGCCTAGGAAAACTATATATTCTAATGTATTATCTCTTGAGAGCACATTTAGAAACCAAATGCAATCTAAATGTAAGTATCTACTTTAAATTTTCTTGATTTTAAAAAGACATAGCATTTCAAAAATCTATTTATAAGTTCCCAAGTGCAATTTGACATTATAGTCTCATCATTTGAAACTTTTCCTCTTTCCTAAGAAATTGGGTAGATATTAAGCTCACAAAGAAGGTAAAACAACCAGCAAGTTGTTTGGAATTCCAGTATCTATTTCCGGAAATTCCAGTTAAACTTCTCTTTTTTAGGAAACCTCAGAGTGACAGCCATGCCCAAACTCCTCTTTGACAGTCTCTTCTATATTCCTGCTTAAGATGTGCCCCACATAGTTATGCTCAGGGAAGTGGTACAATCAGGGAAGCACAGTTTGAATGATGTTTACAATCTTTACTTGATCTCTCAAAAAATAATAAAGGTGATTCAAGTACATAGTTGACATGAATTCTTACTAAAATTCCAAATACCAAGGAAACGCCCCAGAGCCTCTCATCATTCTGAGGAAAGAATGCTTTGCATTCTCTCCACCATTCCATGCCCCACTTTCTCCGCCTCTCCCACTCCACCCACCATGTGTGCTTTCACACGTTTTTCTTTGGGCCTGTAACTGCTCAGAAGTATATTAGCTATGCTTTTCTCCCCACTCTTGCTGAAGAATTTGGCAACGGAACTGTTGTCCTTTCTGCTTCTTCACGCACAGACTCTTCGTCACCAGAGCCCAAAGCACCAATGACCATAAGAGCAGTAGAAACAGCAAAATAATCTACTAATCCACAACCTTTCATGGCAGTTAGAGAGAAGGGGGATCTACATATATGATTATTTTCTCTGCTACTCCAGACATAGGTGACTGGACCAGGAACTGGTGTCTGACATAAAGGCAGCCATCTGCAGGATGAGCAGGAATCTGAGAAGTGGCTTGGCAGAAACACAGTCCAGGCTAAGGGATCCAGAGTTAATGGTGACTGAGAAAACCCCTTGCACTCTTTTTTTTTTTTTTCTAGGAAATTTAACTGTGAAACACTTAGTAAGGAAATAAATGAGTAGAGAGAGCAGAAGCCTAGAGATGAAGACCTATAAGGCAGTAAGCCTTGTGTGATTAGCCCTGAGTGACAAGGAAGAAAACTAGGTTTAAAACAAAGTCTAATTAACTGAGAACTCAAGTGTGACTCTTCCTCGCAATGGAGGGATCTTATGTACCTACTAAAAAGGATATAAATTGTGTTTTCTATCTTTCGACAACTTTTATTTAGGGTTTATCATTTATTCATATATTTATTTACCTCAATGTCAGCGCTAACCTGGTTTCTACAGTAATAATGATAGCTAACATTTCTTGGATGGTTACTAGGCATCAGCACTGTTCTAAGTGGTGAATTATATTAGCATGTGTCTGTTACACTTCTCACTTTATATGAAGATGTGAAGACATGGTATCAAACTAACTGGCTTCCTGTCATATAGCTAGCGAGTGGCAGAGGCAGCATCTTTGTCCATTTGTGCTACTATGACAAAATACCATAAAGTGGGTAATTTTATTTTATTTTTTGGCTAAAAGAACAGAAATTTATTTCTCACAGTTCTGGAGGCTGGGATGACAAGATCAACATTCTGGCAAGTGCAGAGAGACAGAGAGCTCTGGTCTCTTTTCTTATAGTGACACTAATGCTATTGGATCAGGACCCCACACTTATTACTTCATTTATGCTTAATTACCTCCATAAAGACCCTACCTCCAAATACAGTTATATTGGGGGTCAGGGATTTAGCGAATAAATTTGCAGAGGACACAAACATTCAGTTCATAGCCACTAATATCGTCCTTTTAATTGGAAAGTCGCTGGTAGATTTATCAACTTTGTCTAGGTCCACAAAGTAAATTGGGGTTAAAGAAAAAATTTAGGAACAATAGAAATATATTTCTCATAATTCTGGAACATGGGAAGTTAAAGATCAAGGTGCCAGCAGGTTTGGTGTCTAGTAAGGACCTGGTCTCTGCTTTCAAGATGGCACCTGGTTGCTGCATCCTCCAAAGGGGATGAAGGCTGTGTCCAGAAAGCAAAAGGAAACGAACACTAGTCGCCTCCAGACAAATTTATAAATTCACTAATCCCTTTCATGAGAGCTCCACTCCGTGACTTAACTAGCTCCAAAGGCCCCACCTCTTAATACTACTGCACTGGAGATTAAGATTCGACATAAATTTTGAAGGAACACAAACACTCATACCATAGCGGTAAGGTTTGAAACCACATAGTCTGGCTCCAAAGGCTGTACTTCTAACTGTTGTATTCTTCTGCTGCTCTAAATGAAACAGTTGCCTCCTCACTGTGAGATAATTTCCAAATGTCTTACCCTGACATGGAAGGCTCCCACAGTCTAGCCCACAACAATCTTTATCAAATCCCATTACTTCAATTTTTATAAACCCCAGCATCTCCCCTCATAGTTCCCTAAGAAATGAGCCTGCAGGCTTTGTGCTGCCTCTCTCTGCACCTTTATGTCTCCTGAAACTGGAAAACCTAACTAACTACAGGTGCGATCACAGTAAACCGACACATAAAAAGCAGCAGGCCTTCCGAATGCTACAGTCTCATACATCTGAATGCTGAGGCTGTAGAATCCAACTTTGACAAACAACGTAATCTTTCTGACTGCTTTATAAGTGTGTATTTAGGTTCTCAGCTGAAGAACAAGAAAAATGAAATTTAGTGCCAAGCTGTGTGGACATGGTCAGACTCTTGGATAATTTATTTTTTATGACAGATTCCATTTTCTGCTGCTGGCATGATTACACGGGAAGACATTTATCCACTGAGAGTACGTTTGTGTCTTTTGAATGGGCTAACTCAGTGGTAGGATTTAATTTGTGCAATATTATTCACTTATTAGACCAAAAGACTAAGTACATGCTCGGCATTACTAAGTTTATTGAAATGTTATTACAAGAATTCGTCTTGAGAGGCAAAAGGAACATCAGTGCTTAGCCTGAGATTTTCTCATTATCTTCGAAGTGCAGATATCATTGAGATGATTAGTTTCCTGGATAAATTTAGATTTGAAGAGGTGTGAATATGTGCTCTGTTAGAAATGTTGTGTTGCAGTATCGTTTATACTGTAAGGCTGTTGCTGAAAACTGAAGTACGTAGAGAGTGAACTGGGTGAGTGTGTGTTAACAGCGAATTGCAAACTCTACTTGAGAATGCTCCTCGGAACAAAGGGACTGTCACTTATCAGGTCTAGCCAATTGTTGCAATGGTGGAATGTAGCCCAACATTGACAGATAGCCTCATTTTTAAGAAAAACAAAATTTTTGGATATCTATATAAAATACCCTGATGTTTAAATGTTGGTAAGTATGGTAGACAGAATTCTAAAAATGACTTCTCTTGGCTGTCTTCCTTGTGTAACCCCTCCCCTTTGAATGTGAGTGGAATTTGTCAATATAATGACGTATTACTCCTGTGACTGTTATGTGCCCAAAGGTGATTATCTAGATGGGCTCAATCTAACCACGGAATCAGAAAGAGGAAAATACAAGAAGGATACCACAGATCTTTGCTGGCTTTGAAGATACAGGGGGCTATATCTTCAGCCTCTAGGATCTGAGCACAGTCTGGGGCTGGTAAGCTAGCCAGAAAATGGGGACCTCAATCTCACATTCACAAGATACAGAATTCTGCCAACAACCAGAATGAGCTTGGAAGTGAATTCTTCCCGAAAGCCTTCAAATAAGTGTTCATCCCAGCCGACATTTTCTTTTTGATCTTGTGAGATTCCGATCAGAGAATCCAATGGAGTGCAACATAAATAATGACTTACAGATTTGTGAGCCAATAAATGGGTATTGTCTTATATTGATAAGTATATGGTTATTTGTTATTTAGCAATAGAAAATTAATGCAGTGTATTAGGCTGCTATGAAGAAATACCTGAGACTGGGTAATTTATAAAGAAAAAGAGGTTTAATTGACTCACAGTTCCACATGTCTGGGAAGGCCTCTGGAAACTTACAATCATGGCATAAAGCACCTCTTCACAGGGCAGCAGGAGAAAGAATGAGTGCAAGCACGAGAAACGCCAGACATTTATAAAACCATCAGATCTCATGAGACTCACTCATTATCACGAGAACAGCATTGGGAAAAACACTCCCATGATTAAATTACCTCCACCTGTTCCCACTTTGACACATGGAGATTATTAAAATTCAAGGTGAGATTTGGGTGGGGACACAGAGCCAAACCATATAATGCAGTAAGCATTTAAAATAATTTAAAATCTTTAGTAGGAATATTAACACATACCAGTCAATGAAGGATCTGTTTACAATCTTTGGTATAATTAAGGTAAGGTAAGAGTTCAGATGAAAGGGATTATGAGCATTTTTTCATCTTCTAATGTAACCAACTGTGCTATGTGCTTCTCGTGATCATCATTTAAAGTCAGTCTGAAATAACTTTTGATTGAATTCCTTTGATTAAATGGATACATTTTGATAGAAATGAAAATAAAGTTCACAAAGCAATGATGGGTAAAAACATAAAATGGTGAAATGTGTAAGAGCATTAAGAGAGACAATTTGCTTTGGGAATATTTTTTGTATTTGGTTATTTGAGGTAATCTAGGTAAATCAAGTAAAAGGAAATTTTTTATCATTTTTTCCTAAAAATAATTCCAGTATAATTATTTTTTTAAAACTCTTTGTATGCCTCCGTAAATCTGCTTCATTTATTCTTGAGGATGTTTCTTTAAAATATATGGCAAATATTTGCATTCCCAAAGATCGCCTAGCTTGAATCACATGTAGTAAAAGTAGCACAAGTTCAGAAATTCCCTAAGATATTCTTTCTCTTTTAGTAAACAAACTTCCAAAGATTATTTCCAGGGAATACATTTATTCTCATTTCCTTGCCCCAATAATATTCTTCAACCAAAGTGGTTCTTAAATATCAAAACAATTAATCAGTAAGTACTGTCTCTTGCAGCTCTCACAAGACTCTCTTCATATATTCAACATCATTAATTGAACATCTATTTTGTTGAGGTCACTGTGTTATAAAGAGAATGCTAAGCACAAAGAAGGCCAAAAAGATAGGATGGCTATCTAGCTTTAAGTAGCTTACTATCTTCTTCTCTTTTAAAACTTGTCTATTATAGTTAAGAAGTGGACATTTATTGGCTTTATTAAAGATGCTACTGAGATTTCCTAGCCACCCTTTCCCTTCCACCAACCACACACACAAACATCAATTCGAAGAAGGCAGTTGAACCCACTCAGTTGCAGGTGAAGCTGAGGGTTGGCAAGATTTCCGTCTCCTCCATGGCTGGAGAAACCTGCCCAGGGATGCTGACTACATAAAAACCGGTAAGCTGGATTACCATTCTGCCCTCCATGGCAGATGCATGTGACCACTTGCATGCCTTATCATTCACATAAGTCATTCCTCCTGCTCTGGGAGAGTTTAAGGAGTAGGGCTTCAAGAGCAGACTAGGGCCCTAGAGAAAAACTGGGGAAAATATGATTAATGTTCTTTACATGCAATTTTTACAAACGTAACATTTTTGGGCCCTGGGTCCTACATATTCACCCTTCCTTTCCAGAATGCCAGGCCCTGTTATTTGTACAATCCCCTTGCTTTGGCACTAGAGAGGGACAGACAATCCCTCCATGGTTCTTTCCTGATGAAATTTCTATTTCCTATGGCCCAGAGCCAAAATGTTTCTCTTTCATGAGTACTTATTTGGTCTTTAAAAATCAACCATTTATCTATTTAATGAAATTTAAAATAATGTACGTTCAGTAAATCAAACAAATTCCTTATCTTTAGAGGCTACAGATGATTATTAAAATCTGGAAATCCCAAAGCTTATGTCAAAATATAACTAACTCTGTTTTATTTTTTGGAATTTTCCTATTAACTTCCTATATATACTAAATAATGCATGCATTTAACTTTGATTGCACGGTGTATTTACGCTGGGATTACAGACAACTTTTCTTCACTTTACATGCCATGTTCTATTTGAAGAATAATATAAGGTTATTTAATAGATACTTTTGTGTATTTTCTGGAACTTGGCTACAATATTTAGTAGCTATGCCTCTATGGTCTTATTAACATTATGACATGCTAGAAGTTACAATTGCTTAACCACAGTCTTTCATGTTTTTGTTTTTAAAATTAATACTTGGACTGATTTCCCAAAAAAGGAAATTACTTGTGGCATTTTCCTATGATTATTTTCAAACTTCTTTTCCATTCTTGCCTTACTGATGTTGTTGAGATCTGCAACTTGACCTTTCTTTGAAATTAATAGTCACATAGTAACTGTAGGTCTGATTCTAACAGTATCAATATTTGCTTGGCTGGAGAAATGTTTTCATCTGTTTGCACATGATCTATTTTCTAGTTCTCTTGAGGTCTTGCATATCTTTTGCAATTCATTGTGAGAGAAGGAAATTTCCAGAGCAGACTGCAAATCCATGGTGTCCCGCAGGATTAATGTGGGAGTCCGCCCTCATGTAGTTAGTACACCAGCTGGTCACCCAGAAACTTTCCTCCACTATTGTCCTATGTTAATGGCATATAAACATTTTATTTTCAAGTTGGCAATGTAGATAGCATTAGTGACAATTATAATGTTATTTGATGAGATAATTATTTTACTTAAATCCTAATGCAGCTGTGTATTGGGGATATTAATAATTTCAAATTTCCAAGTGTGCCCCTAGTATAAGAGACATCTCTTCCTCAAGCTAGTTCCTAAAAACTCTCAGTTGATGCTGAAAAAAAAAACAAACAGCTAAAGGGCACACCATAAGAAAAAAAAGGCTAATTACTGTGTTGCATTCACAGAGGGATTACTTACAGCCTGTTCTCTATCGCCAGCCCCAAGGCTTCTGCAGATGAGCAAAATTTCTAGTAGCAGATATTAAAGAAAATGTATATTGTTGAGGAAATATGGTGTTTTTTATTTTGGAAGTAAATAGCCACTAAATTTTAATATGTAAGGAAAAGAACTTTAATATATAAGAAGAAGCATTACATTTTAGAAGTACCTTTATAGGTTCGGGGGTTCTTAGGAAATCATATTAGCAATTAGAATGTTGTTTGGTGAATAAGGGATGGGGACAAAAGCAGCTGATAGCCCTGTGTGATATTTTATCCAGATGAGGAAAAGTACTACTTTAATCTCTCTCTTATTTGTCATATTCAGTCTGCATGTCCATTTTGAGTGTATATGTAGATTTTTCTCTCTTATACTGCTTTTTAAAGCATTGTCTCTTTACATTTATTGATAAGTCTGCAGTGGTGATCTGATCTTGTTCTGGGAGTCATTATTGTATTTCAAATTTCTTTGGGTAGTTGTGCTTTATACTGTTCCTTTCGTTTTTTAATCTAGAGAAGAGAATCATTTTCTATCTTACAAAAGAATATTTGAGAAGGGTCTTTTTAATCCAAATGTAGAATACGTAGGTGCTATGGACCAACTTTTTGTGTCCCCACAGAATTGATATGTTGAAATCCTAACCCCACACTATGATGGTATTGACAGGTGGGGCCTTTGGTAGGTGATTAGGTGTTGAGGGCAGAGTCCTCATAGATGGGACGGGTGCCTTTACAAGAGAGATCCCAGCGAGCTCTCTTATCCCTTCACTCATGTGAGGGTACAGCTAGAAGACAGCTCTCCATGAGGAAACGGGCCCTCAACAGACACTAAATCTGCCAGAGCCTTGGTCATGGACTTCCCAGCCTCCAAAACTGAGAGAAATACATTTCTGTTGTTTATAACCCCCACAGTTTATGTTATTTTGTTACAGCAACCCAACTAGACTAAGACAGTAGGAAACTTTCATCCTGGGATTACAGAGCAAGAATATTACATATATAAAATTTTGAGCTTTTCTGGAGAAGGGGTGGACACGTTTATTATGGAGTCCATGTGTTTTTACCTAATAATTGAAGTTAAGGGAAAGTGTTACAAAAGATCACCAAGGTGATCTTTACCAAAGCTTGAGAATAAAGAAGGGTAACAGAATCCCTGCAATAGTTACAATGAACTACTGGAAGCCAGCACTGGGTATGAAGGGAAATGTGTCTGTACTCGGTAAGTTGAAAAACTTCCAACTCAAAGCCTCAGGTTAGCACTTCCAGCTGGGAAGATGCGCTATAAGTGATCGAGAAAGCTCCTTACCAAGTGTGGCTAGAGCTATGCTATTTAGTAGCAATCACTGGGCATATGTGGATAATTAGCATTTGATGAGTATATCAATTTAGGAATACAATTTTCAGCCTTATTTCATAGTAATTACCTAAGTTTACATTTAAAATTGATAATTTACTTTAACTGTATTTGGAACAACCGAAGCATGCCAATCTATCAACTGTAAATATTTTCAATTCTAAATACAGATCAAATTGTTCTGATGAAAATTTAGCATATGAATTCACACTAGGTATAAGTGTAAAAATACATGCTACATTTTGAAGTTTTAGCACAAAAAAAGAAAAAGAGAGAGCAGTATGTAAAATATTTAGAGGATCTTATTTAAAAGTATTTTAGCTTGATTTTACGTTGAAATGCTAATTTTTAATACATTTAAGTAACAAAATATATTATTATAATTAATTTTACCTCCTTCTTTTTACTTTTATCAATGTGGCTACTGGAAAATTTAAATTGCATTTTAGCCAGGCATGCTGATGCATGCCTTTGGTCTCAGGTACTCCTACTCAGCAAGAGGCTTGCTCGAGCCCAGGAGTTCGAGATTATAGTGAACTCTGACTGAACCACTGCACTCCAGCCTGCACAACAGAGTGAGACCCTGGCTTTAAAAAATAAAATGAGTTGCATATGTAGCACTCATATTTCTCTTGAAAATGCTGCTCTAGTCTAAAATCATAAAGCCTTATGATTGGGGTATATAGTTCAGGTGAATTTCCCTCCCTTGAGAAACCACTAATATTGGAAAAGACTCTTCTCTAGCTTTTATGTGGTAGCCAAATTGGAGACTTTATCTCCAACCACCATGCACCTGACTCTAGCTCTTCATAGTGCTGGCTTTCAGCCTCAGAAGTTCCACCAAAATCTGGCTTCTGTGTAGCATTGCTTCATCGCTGAGTCCCTAGCCCCACCAGTAAGAGGCTGAAGAGAATCTCTAGGCCTACATTCTGCTGCAACCAGAGGAAGGGCTGAACCAGGAATGTAAGTAGCTTATCAGGAAAGATTTTTGCCTGGGAAGTAGGGATCCCCTGCCCCCTCAAAGAGTTGCTAATGCTAGGCAAATGGCCACTCTACCACAAAGAGCCTATAAGGGAGTTTGGTCCAGCTTCTACACTGTGAACATCACCCTGCAAAACCCGCTTATATACTCAGCTGCCTCTGCACAGCATATCAAGTTAGATCAAACTAGACTGAACACAACTGTACTCAAGTGTTTTTGGTTGGGCTATTACCAGATACCTAGAGTTTTTACTCTCCCCCGGAATATCTGATAGATACACATTATTTGTATCACAAACAATGTATAGAACCACTCCAGTGACATTGGGTGAATTTTAATATCTGTCATCATCTTAGGGTATAAAATCTACAAGAACACAAATAGCAGATCAGGTGATTTTTCTAGGAGAAATCACAAAACTTAACTAGGATACAGATTTTTCTGACTCTTATTTCAATGGTTTTCCCCTTATATTCCTTTATAAATGTTATGTTAAATGTGCACAAATATATTAGGGAAATTGACAAATAATGACTAAAAGAACTATGAAGATTTTCACCATATTCTTCAAGATCTATTCTCAGTCTTTACTTGGTCAAGGTCTCTCTTGTGGGGGATAATCCCAAAGTGAAATTCACATCCTCACTTCTCATTTCTGTGCCAAAGATTCCTATTTTGATTTTTCCAGCCGCCACCTGTCCTCTAGGCTCTAGCATTACATTTCTACTGCTTGGTGTATTTTCTTTGTTCCCCCAGAAAACCCCACACATTGAAATTGCACTATATATAACTAAGGCATCTTTAAAAAAAAAAACTTGAAAAGCTGAAAGAAAAAGAAAACTTGATAGAAAGTATGGAGCACATTATATCTAAAGGGGAAAAAAAATTCCCAAACATGAGGCAGTGCTTTAAATAACACTAGTCCTCAAGTTATCTGCTTCTTCTCTGGTCACCCAGTCAGCATTCGAATTACTAATCTGGCTTCCCGAGACGCTGGACACCTGTATAAGTCATTCTTCTCAAATTTAATGCATTTGCTTAACATATGCTAAAATTCAGTTGCTGTCTCCATGTTCAGAAATATTTTTATTCCACAATATTATATGAAATAATTATATATAAATAATTAAATATATCTATATATCGAATATAATTCCATGTATATGTGTATATATATGCATATATGTATATATGTGTATATATATGTATATATATATACACATATATACACACACACACACATATATATATATACACATATAATTTTTTTTCTGGAAAAGCAAATAACATAGATTTTTGACCTCATCTGAGGGATCAGAAAGGTTTGTCTAAGGAAACGACATTTGAGACTGTATAAAGGTCTTGGGGTAAGAGAAAGGAAATGACTGTAAAAGAAATATTGTACCAAACCTGGTCTGGAACAAAACATTATTTATCTCTTGATGTAGTTTGTAATCTCCTTCACTGAATAAATTTGAATTGTGATAAAACATTTGGGAATTTTAAATAATTATTTAATTATGAGATGATATTTGTCACAAGGAAGGAACTAGTCACACCCTCACCTACCTGGCAGTCAAGAGTTTGGGGATGTTTAAATTTTCTTCTCTATTTTGTCTAATTTTCCTTTCCCATAGATGTCTCTATTTTAAGAGAAACTTTAAATTGGCCTCCTAGAGACTTTCTACCATCCTGCAAGATTATAACAAAACTTTGACATATGGTCATAGCTACATTGTCTGGAAAGTTATAAAGTTATTGTTGTTATTGTTTCAACAATTACTTCTAGGTTCTACAATTAGGCTAATGTACCAAAATAGGGGTGGTGGATATGGTGATAAAGGAAGCCGAGGGATAAGCAAGATTCAGTTTAAGTACGGAATTGTTGTCCTTTGGTATTTGAGTCTTATTTTTAAAAGCAAAATACAAAAGAGATGAGAGAGATGATCACATTTATATTTTGTAAAGATCAGTCTCTCTATATCAGCATTAATAGAAATATCAAGCAAGCCACAAATATGAGCAACATATTTAATTTTTAAATTTTTCATTAGTAGCCACATTAAAAAAGTAAAAACCAGGCCAGGTGCAATGGCTCATGCATGTAATCCTAGTACTTTAGGGAGCCAAGGTGGGAGCATCTGTTGAGCCCAGGAGTTCGAGACCAGCCTGGGTAACATAGTGAGACCTTGTGTCTACAAAGAATTTTTTTTAAAATTAGCCAACTGTGGTGGCATGGGCCTGTAGTCCCAACTACTTAGAGGGGCTGAGGTAGGAGGATTGCTTGAGACTGGGAGGTCGAGGATGCAATGAACTGTGATCATGACACTGCACTCCAGCCTGGGTTACAGAGTGAGACTGTGTCTCAAAAAATAAAAATAAAAATAAAAAATAAAAAGAATCAGATGAATTAATTTTAATATTATAGTTAATATAGCCTAATATATTGGAAATATTACTATTCTTAACATGTAATCAGTGTAAAAAGTATTTACTCTGTTATCAAGTTCAAATCTACCATGCCATTCTGGAATATTAAGGACAAGTGTTAAAAATTTAAATGATGGAGAAAGATTTATTTAATATTAGTATTTTGTTTTTACAATTTCATGGAAAATACTTGGAGAACTTTCATTTTTCTCTAATAAAATTCTAGTTTAGAATGTGCTCTGTTTAATTTCTATGAATAGGTTTTCTTATTGATGAGTTCCTGGGTAATTGAGAGATAATGTATACTTTATGTAGAGAAGAGATCCTCTTAATGATTACTTATCCAAATCATATTCACTGAATTAAAAATAATAGTGAATTCACTAAGGCAATATTTTACCTATTAATTGCTGTCCCTCCCAAAAACAGAAAACAAAATAAAAACATAATCCAAGCTTTTTTTGTTTGTTTGAGATGGAGTCTCGCTCTCTCACCCAGGCTGGAGTGCAGTGGCACGATCTCAGCTCACTGCCACCCCTGCCTCCTGGGCTCCAGCAATTCTCCTGCCTCAGCCTCCTGAGTAGCTGGGATTACAGGCACGCACCACCACGCCCGGCTAATTGCTAATTTTTATACTTTTAGTAGAGACAGAGTTTCACCATGTTGGTCAGGTTGGTCTTGAACTCCTGACCTCGTGACCCGCCCACCTCGGCCTCCCAAAGTACTGAGATTACAGATGTGAGCCACCGCACCTGGCCTGAAGCTTCCTTTTAAACATCTTCACTGATCAAAGAAATAGAAATAGACATTTTTAAGGTGGCCTATTATTTATAAAAATAATATTTTTCTTTTTTTAATGTGAAAAATCCAAAGCCTGAAATAAAGATAGTACTTGAATTTCTCCAAATGTAAACAAAATTCACTGGTATCATTGATTCTATCAGTATCTGAAAATATATCCTGTACAACTATTCAGTGGACTATTCACAGGGCTTTTTACAGTCAACCTCATAGTGGAGAACTTAGGTATTCATCAAAGGAAGAAGTGAGAGGAACAAAGACTCAATTTTACTGATTGTTTTTTTTGAGACAGAGTCTCGCTCTGTTGCCAGGCTGGAGTGCAGTGGCACAGTCTTGGCTCACTGCAACCTCTGCCTCCTAGGTTCAAGTGATTCTCCTGCCTCAGCCTCCCAGATAGCTGGGATTACAGGCACACACCACCATGCCCGGCTAATTTTTATATTTTTAGTAGAGATGGGGTTTCACCATGTTGGCCAGGCTGGTCTTGAACTCCTGATCCACCCGCCTTGACCTCCCAAAGTGCTGGGATTACAGGCCTGAGCCACCGCACCCGGCCAATTTTACTAACTGTTAAATCCTTTAGGACCATAGCCTGTGTCTCAATGGCGCTGATTCCTAGGAAAATTGCCTGGCACATATTAGGTATAATAACAGCTAACACTTAGGTAACATTTAAGCCAGGACAGAATCTTTTCTGAGTATTTTACATATTTTAAAATATTCATTATTCAAAACAATCTTATGAGTAGATAGATACTATAATAATCTCATTTTATAGATGAGTAAATTGAATCCTGAGACTATTACATTACTGATATTACTCATTTATAGTAACGGCAGTGTTAACATAGAAGCTAACAGTTATTGAAAGTTTCTTGAGTGATAGCTATTATTCTGATTACAGATCTAAACTCAATCCTCTCCACAGCCCTATGAATAAGTACTATTTCTATGCCCATTTTATAAATGAGGAAATTGAGTTAAAATATATATTCTTTCAAAACCTTAAAATAAATTTATTTACACCTTATTCTCAAGAATGTTTGAAAATAAAATAATAAATATTTCTTACTATTTTGTTAATTAATTGTTGTTAAAGCAGTTACAATTTATGGAGGGCTAGGCACCGTTTAAGGAATTTCCATGTAATAACCCATTTGATCTTCAGAGTAATCTGTGAGAGGTGGATACTATTATTATCATCACTTTATGAGTGAGGAAAATGAGGCACATAGAGTTTGAGTAAATTGGCCAAGGTCACACAAAGAATGACAATATTAGGATGTATACTTAGGCAGCCTGAAATTGCATTTAGCAGAACTGTACTGAAGTTTTGGCTAAATTCAATGTTTGTCTGAATAAGATAAATTGTGGAAATTTCCTTATCTCCCAATTGAGTGAAGGAACAAATGCACTGATTATAACCCATTATGGATGATTGGTCTATTTTAACTAATACCTTTCTTTTTTGCTCTAAAACTATTCTAATTCGGAAGTTTTCCTGCTTTTAGAATTAAAATCCTACTTATACCATCAGAAATATACATTCCAATTACTGAGGTTAAAGAGATTTCCAAGATACTTAAAAAGAAATTATAATTTTAAAACAGGTTCTTTTTTCTTTTTTTAATCTTCTCTATTAAAATAAATAAACTACCACCCAAATAATTAGTTTGCTTTAAAATAATCTTTAGAGCTAAAAGTTCAAAAGAGGATTTAATGCAATAAAAACAAAGAAACATTTATTGAGTTAATTTAACTCAGTGAATCTCAACATTTTATTTTATATTCTTACTTTATCATCGGCTATTTAGGAAAACTATTCAGAGTTTTCTAAAATATTCACTAAATAACTATCATTGAAAAAGATAAACTGATTACCTTTATTTACTTGAAAGCTGAAGCCCTTTTTATGTTTATAAAATAGAAATTTGCATACAGTCCTATTGATGGCATATTAATAGTGCAAGCAACATTTTAAAGCTTGACACTTCTTGATGCAAAATTATTCATTTTTTTCCATAAATAGAAACCACACCATGTTGTCAATAAATAATTCCACTTTAATGGCAAAGTAATAATTTAGACAGATACAGGGTGCACATTTGCAAAAAAATATATGCAAGCTGGTTTACAAGCTAGAGGAACAATAAACCAATAGAAAATACATCATCCAGTTAAGTCCATTGACACCAAGTACTTATTGTTGGGGCTTTACAAAGACTACAAAACTTTTCAGATGATTTATTTCACTGTTTCTGCCTATTTACATGATATGTTACATCAAAATGTACAAAATATAAAATGTATACAGACAAATGTTTCACAAACTAGTTTAAGTTGTAAACTAGGTGGACCTACTGGGATGTATTGCAGGAAATTCTGTTTATGCTCATGTTTGGACTGTGTTTCTCAAAATGGCAGGGAAAGATTAGCAATTTTCTTAGATCACATATTATACAAGGGAAACTAGTCACTCATCCAGCTACATATATTGATGTTTCACAACAGATTTGATCCATGTTTGAGGCTTCAAAGTCAGGGTGACAATTCTATGTGCATAAATTCAGTTCGGATTTCCCTTAGGGCAATAGCACCGTGTAAGGACCTATTGACTTTGTGACACTCTGAAAACTGCACAGATGTTTCGTGGTGTTGTTGTTCTATAGCAACTGACCCATTGGTGGTCACAGAGAGTAGCACCAAATACACGTCCTAAAAGTAACACATTTTCACACACTCATAGAAGAAGTCTATACCATGGCCTAGCCCTTGGGTTTCATAAACTTAAAACCTGTCCTTTGTGTGTGGTGGTAACTTCTCCAATGACTGATCAGTTTTCATGCACTCTCTTTAAAGCCTGCCATGACAGATGTACTTTCAGACAGTTTTACTTATCCAAAAATATATTGGCTTCATGTACAGTTTTGAAGCATGCTCACTCTAGCACTGATAGCTCCTGCATAGTCAAAAACAACTGTAAATACAGGACAAACACACCAGATAATACAGCTTTGAGGGTTTGCATTCTGTATTTGTTTGCAATGTACAGGAAATCTCAGCAAGTGAAACACCTCTTAACACCAACAGGATAAAATACAATTTTGTTTGTGTTTGTTTTGATTTGTGCAAGTTTTAAAAATTATTATTTACAATACCTACCCAGTAGACTGTGCAAATCTAACCTTCTTTTACAGTATAAACGCTTCCTCTTCCACAGTGACCTTACCGCTTCAGTGTTCTTTAATGCTGAATTTCTCATGTACAACAATAGCAATCAAAACAACATGCGTCAAAACTCATTAAAAAAACAAAAACAATAGGGAAGGAAAGCCGAATAGTTGTGCTCATGCTGCATCTAGTGCTTCCAGCCCTGCTGGATAATAATTCAAAATCTTCTGCCTTCTGAAACTCTTTCACTTAGAACTGGATGGAATTTCGCCACATGTCTTAGGTTTTAAGTGACGGTCAAAGAGCATTTCTGGGTTATTTTAATATTTTGGAGGATAGGCAAAGCGATCTATTCACAAGGCTAAAAATACTGATCTTTCTCCTATCCATTTCTTCAAAAAAAAAAAAAAGAGAAAGATATATAGAGATGAGGCTACTATGTTAACTGGTGTTGCTTGGTTGTAAATGAAAAGACAGTGGAAATTACCAATGGTTTAGGATTTAAACCAACTGTTAAACTGTCATAGAAATCTGTTTTAAGGCAGTGAGACAGCACCATAGGAAATGTTCCTTCTTTCACTGAAAAGGCTCAAACAAATAAAGCCCTAAAAAAGCCTTTTATCAGTGTTGACTAATAATTGGTATAAAACTCTTGTTAAGGGAGTGGGCAGGTGGTTTAAAAAGACCACTGTGGTAAAAACAACCTTATAAAACCAGTGACTCATATACTAAAAAGTTGGTGGAGCACATCATGAGAACGTGGCAGTTAGAATTAAATTGGCACTTCTCCAGTTTGCCACAGTAGTGTTTTTCTGGTGGTTGCACAATTCCATTTGTGCTTATGGAGGACTGGCCTCTTGGATTTGTTCTGGAATGGGGTGAGCGCACAACACAAACACTACTGAAGCCCTGTGACCAGCACCGTGTGGCACAAAGGAGGTTGGACAGATCAGAAAGATGGACCCTGCCTGGGGCGAACAGCCCCTCAGAGGAAACAAAAGGAAGGGACAAAAAATGGTCTGCATTGTAAACTTTTAAAGAGGAAACAAAGAAAGTCCAGTTTGGCTATCCCATGTGCAATCTGTTCAGTTGCCCTGTCATTAGGGTCCTTTCCAGTTGAGTAATGGAGCTTTCTATTACTCCACAGATATAAAAAATGCTTAGAAATAAACTAAAGTTAAGCTTCCATTGCAATTTAGCATCTTGGCGGTTCAGACTTAGTTCTGCTGCCTCCTTGGAGACCACAACTCTGGGTCAGGGCCCTTGACAGGGTGCTTTTATACTGGCAGTGGTTTAGTGAAAATACCTTTCTTTTGAAACATTTTTTTAAAAGCAAAGTCTTTTCCCTTAACTTTTTTCACCCTCTAGAGGGTAGATTCAAGAGATGAATCCAAAATGTCTTCATGGTGGCTGGTGCTTTCGCTGTCGCAGCTTTGTGTGCTCGAGTAATTGGCTGCTTCTTGGAGTTTCATTAGCATATTCATCTGAAGAAAGAAAAAAGACATCGATGTAGGCAATGATGCATTGAGTAAGCCAGCCCATAAAAAACAAGGCCCTGAGCCACACCGAAGAGCTATCTTATCCCATCCAAGTAACAGGGGAAAATAATTTTAGATTTTTACTCGTTGCCCCTGGCTCCTATGCTGTTTCTCCCAAACATGACTACAACACCAAACCATAAGGACAAAATAGGGCCTCTGGATAACTCTTTTATTTGGGGTTGTGAATGAATACTGCTCCAGCAGGGAGACTGGAAAGGAAACTGTATCACAGCTGGACATCTGGGTTCGTTGCTGGAAAGTACGCCAAGCTTCCCAGCTTTTTGGCTGGGAGAAGCAGAAAGCATTGAATGGCAACTGAAAGTCGTGAATGTTCATACACACACAGACGCACACAGAGGCACACACGCACTGTCCCTTGAGAGAAGGAGGGTATGGAGAGGAATGAAGCCAGCTGCTGCACACAAGCACACCATCTGCTGTTTAGGAGCTGACCTCGGGAGGAGGTGACTGAATGAAGCAGACCATGAGTGTTTGAAGAGGGAGAAGGAAAGAATTACTGTCAAGTTTGTGTTGTTAAATTTCTGGCTAAAATATGATTGATACATCACTGAAAACAAAAACTATCATCTGGAACAATAGTGGCTGTCTCAAGTTTCCCAGCCTTATAGGAGAATGGTAATGTTTGTTCTAGTAAAAGGGACATATGCATGAAAGCACCTGGGGAGAAAGGCAGCTAGCATTTCCATGTATTATAAAATAAAGAGCAGTCACATTGCTTGAATTTTGATAGATCTGGAGCTCCACTGTTAGAGATGGACTTTTTTTTTTTTTTCGGAAAAAAAGTGTTTAAAGGCAAATTGTGAATAAATGGTTCAATGATTTTAGAAAGCACAGAAAAATTGGCACATGTCTTTACAAGGGTAGTGGACTTGTTTTCATATCAAGGGTTTTTATAAATTGTAACAATTTTTATATTACCTAATGCATACTAATTTTATTATTCTATAATCAAAAGTTTTTTTTTTCCAACTTACAGAAATAGAAAGGAGAAATCTAAAAAACGATTCCTTGGTCATATGTTAAGCTATGCATGCTTGTGTGCTCTTTACAGAAAGTGTGCTTGATAAATGCTTGTGAAATAAATGATAAACTGGTAATCACCAATTTCAGCAAGAATTCCTTTCTGACAAAGAGACTACAGTTACAGCATAATTTGAAATCATTTTAATAGTCTCAGGAAAATATGTTTTAACCTAATTTTCAATCTGACTCTCCTAATTTATTAAATAAGCTACATAAGGTTATGAAATAAAAGTAGTAGGTGATAACTTTTTAAACCCAGTAAGCCAAAAAGTCAAATGTCTCCTTCAACATAGTTTCTTTCTCTCCCACTCTCCTCTCTCTTTCTCTGTCACCCACACCCCTACCTTCCTACTTTCATGTCCATTCATATTCCTTCTCCCATTTCTTTTATCTATCTGTCACTCATTAGCAGCTGCCTGTATGTTCAAGCATTTGGGTGAAACTGATCTGTAAAATAAAACTGAGTTTTGAGCACCCTAGTGATTTAGTAAGAGTAGAAATGATAAATGATATCTTTTAAAAAAGATACAGTTGTATCTTAGGCACAAATGTTTGAAATCACTTGAATGCTGGATGTTGTAAAAGTTTCACTGTGTAATAGTATTGTTATTAAAGTCTTAATTTTTTAAAATGGTGTCATATAGTAAATATGTTCCATTATAATACATTCCACATCTCAGATTCATAATAAATGTATACGTGGGATTTACTTTGCCTTTGCCTAGTATTATTTTGTGCATTCAAATCAAGGGAGTTTACAAGAGAAGATTACGTATGATTTAGTCATTATCGTGATACATCACAATTCTCCAAAAAGTATTAATATTTTTCCTCTCTTCTTCCCCACTTCTTCCCCACACTCACTGCTATGGTTTGCGTGTGATATATCACTTCCGAAACTCTTGTCGAAATTTTATCCCCATTGTGGCAGTGTTGGGATGTGAGTCGTAGTGGGAGGTGTTGAATCATGGGGGTGGATTCCTCATGAACAGATTAATGGCATTCTGGTTAGGGGTCAGTGAGTTCTCACTCTGGAGGGAATGGATTAGTTCATGTGCGAGAGCAGGTTATTAAAGAGTCTTGCTTCTTTTCTCACCATGTGACCTCTCTGCACACTCCCACTCCTCTTCCACTTTCCACCGTAAGTTCATGCAGCATGAGGCTCTCACCAGATGCAGCTGCCCAATCCTAGACTTTTCAACCACCAGAACGATGAGCCAAATGAATCTCTTTTCTTTACAAATTGCCCAGCCTCAAATAGTCTGTTATAGCAACACTAAATGGAATAGGGCATCTATAGCCATAAATTTAATGTTTATCATTTCTAACACCTTGATCAAGTCCTTATCATCACTGGTACCATCTAATCTGCTAAGCTTCCAGATTCCATCCTATCTCCTTCAGTCTGTCCTCTCTCTACTCTGTTATTAAAGTGATCTTTAGAAACTGCAGATCTAACTAGGTAAATCATGGCTCAAACACCTTTGACAGTTCTCCACTGTCTCTGTGATAACGTTTTAACTTCCTGCAATGATAAACAAGGCTTAGCATGATCTAGCAATTGTATACTTCCACAGTTTTAATTCCTACCACCAACTGGTGTATAGTTCCCTAAACTCATCATTTCTATTACACTGTCCTCTAATGTTTCACATTCTATTTCTTTAATTTTGGATGTTCTCCCTGCAACCATATGGTGAACTCCTATTAATCATTCAAGATCCAGCTCAAGCATCTCCTCTGTAAAGCTTTATTCTAACTGCTTCCTCAATGAACTCACAATTTTACTTAATATGTGCCTCTATTATGTTACTGCAGTTCATATAGGTAGAAGTCTCTCTTCACTACTGGATTTTAAGCTTCTTGAGATCAGAAATGATACTGTAGTTATCTCCTGATCACCAGGTCTTAGCATTAAGGACATACTTATTAACATTCTCTTTGTTGTTAATGGTGAATACACATTGTATTTTTAAAATAATGTGAGATATACCAAAAACTTGCATCCTCATTCAGATTCAAAAAGTCTCTCTCCTCTCTTCTTCCCTGTTTCTTTGCTACACTCATTGCTATGGGGATTTCTGACACTAAATAGTGGATGTTTCTTGACACTAAATAGTGGATATTTTGTAGGATTTCTGATTTAGAATGGACTGAAAATATATGTTGGCTTCATGCTAGTAATTACAAAAATACATAGAAATAAAAACAGATAGATCGTCACCAGTCTGATCAACATAGAGAAACCCCGTCTCTATTAAAAATACAAAATTAGCCAGGCATGGTGGTGCATGACTGTAATCCCAGCTACTCTGGAGGCTGAGGCAGGAGAATTGCTTGAACTCGGGGGGCGGAGGTTGTGGTGAGCCAAGATCGTGCCATTGCCCTACAGCCTAGGCAACGAGAATGAAACTCTGTCTCAAAAAAAAAAAAAAAAAAAAAGTAAGAAAGAAAGAAAAAAGATAGAAATATTTATTTTTTTAAAACCAGAGAAAGCCTGCCAAATATTTAGTTTTAGATGACGTCTTTTACCATTTAGCATGTAAGACCTCATAACTCCCTGTTTCTTAAGATGTTTAATAGAGCAGCAGGTTAGGAACCAGGAAATTTTTTTACCCCAATTCTCATGCCAGAAGGGAAAACCTTGAATTTGTTTCCTCTACTAGAAGACAAGTGCATTCAGAACCAGGAAAAAAAGTGCTTTATGGGGTGAGCTGAGCTGGACTATGAGAATTGGGAAAGTTGTGGGCATTTCCTAAGGGTTTCATACTCTACAGACTAAAACTGAGAACAAATCTTATAAACACCTCTCCTTATAAAACAGACATATTATATAAAAACTGCAGAGGTAGGACTGGAATTTTTGAGGAATTCAGATTAAATAATCCATACTCATATTCTAAAGCTTATATTTACTCTGTTAATCATTCTATCAGCAATTATTTAGTATATGCTCACAATTATGCTGAATCCAAACCAATTTCATCAGCACTGTTGATTCCTAACTATGAATCATCTAAAAGGCCAGGTACCATGTTATAAAAATATAAGTCTGGGCTCTTAAGGAAGATATCGCCTAGATCAGAAATCAGCAGGAAATCCCTGGAATCTAAGTAGGTCTATATATATACTTCAGTGATTTTATGAAACTCTTAAAATTGTATGCCAAATTTTCAGTGTGTATGCATTTTGCTGGGTAAAGGATCTTGAAAGTTTATCAGGTTTTCCACAAGAAACTCCCAAAATGTTCAGCTGAGATGATGATGATGATGATGTGTGTGTCAGGGTTGTTGGTGTAAGGGTATTCCTTAAAATATCAAGTAATTTTATATCCTTAGGTATAGCCATAGGTTATGATTTTTAATTATTTATGTTTTGTCTTAGTTTGATTTAAGCAACATAATGAATTTTTATTTCAGTATCTTTTCTTTCTGTACTGGTTGTAAAAGTCCAATAAGCTCTATACTCATAGAATGGTGAGTTAGTAACACTTCACATTTGATACCAATATATTGAAAGTAATCTGTAAAAATAAAAATAGATATATAAAAAGTGTTTTTTTTCCTAATAATACTACATACTTAAAATTTTCAGAATATTCATACTTTGGAGTTTTACAGACTTTTATTTCAATTATTCCACTATTTTAGAAAGTAAATAAACCATAACTTCCATTTGACTTCCAAGTCAGTTTATCCTTTGCTACAGTAGGCAAGAGAAGACCCATTCTATAAAATTAGTCAGGTTAGTTGATATAGGCAAAATATTTTTTAGTTCTCCATGAGTACATTATACCATAACTTTTGTTTTTCTATTTAAGAAAAAAATTGAGTTTTCTCTTAAATGCCTATTGAATTGAGTCATAATATAGAAAATTATATTTATTTAATTATATACACAATTTAATGCATAATAAGAGAAACATTATAGTCTAGGAGTTCATTCTGGTTGTAGCATTTCTTGATTTCTTTTTAAGCATACAAGTTTGGTTTTCACTTTAAGATTTTCATCCATGGAAAGCAGGCCAAAGATAATAGGGTTAAAACTGTTCCAAATGTTGCTTAGGATAACAAATGTCTTCGCTAGAAATAACTAAATATTAATGACTATACACTGTAGTCAAGATTACATAGGAAGAAATGAACATCTGATTCTTACCAGGGGATCTCCTTCTGTGTCAGTTTGCGGAATGTGCTTTGAGGTTGTGGCTTCCTTAGTGGATGTGCAGCTTTCATACCCAACATCTTCTGGTCGCAGCTGAAGTAAGGCTGGGCTCTCCTGAGGCAGAGTTGCTGAGCTCCATGGATATGTGTCAAGCACCCACTTTGAAGGATCTTCCCATGGTGTGCGTTTCCCATACATCTAAAAGTTGACCACGCGTTTAGGATATATATAAAATGCATTTCTATTCAGCAAAAAAGGGGACTGCTAGTTGGATGTGATTTTTTGACATATTGAGTTCTTAAGGGACTTTCAAGAGAATTAAGTATCTGTATACAGTTTTGCAGATTTAAAACATGTATCTGTCTACATAGCTCACTTTAAACTTGAAGGCTAGACAAAATGAAGCTGAATATTTGGAATAGATGTCAACTTTTGGGGGAGAATATACGGGAGGTTTATTATAAATAAACATAGAAATGACTGCCCACATTTACTAGTAATTTGACAAACCAAGAGAAAACTAAAGGTTGAAAAATAAAAGCTTCAATTATGGAAGATTTTAAAAAATATGCTTGATATTAAGTAGAGTTCTCTACTAAAGTGTACCTTGGAAAGATGGAAATAAAATAAAAGTAACTTATTTTTCTCTGCCTAATTCACTCTACTCAAACTGTCTTTTAGAGTAGGAAAACTTTCTCTGATAACAATTTTCCTGTGATCAACTTGCTCTTTAATCCCATTGCTTTCTGTAAAAACTCTTTTTTATCTTATTTTATTATTATACCTTAAGTTTTAGGGTACATGTGCACAACGTGCAGGATTGTTACATATGTATACATGTGCCATGTTGGTGTGCTGCACCCATTAACTCGTCATTTTGCATTAGGTGTATCTCCTAATGCTATCCCTCCCCCCTCCGCCCCACCCCACAACAGTCCCCGGAGTGTGATGTTCCCCTTCCTGTGTCCATGTGTTCTCATTGTTCAATTCCCACCTATGAGTGAGAACATGCGGTGTTTGGAAAAACTCTTTTTAGATGTTTGTGTTTCAGGCCACTAGTAAAAGAGGATAAAAAATAGGAAACTGAATTATCAACTTTGCAAGAACCCTTATTGTGCAATTTGCCCAATAAGTAA
The DNA here is from genome assembly GCF_000001405.40 of Homo sapiens. Classification (NCBI taxonomy): domain Eukaryota; kingdom Metazoa; phylum Chordata; class Mammalia; order Primates; family Hominidae; genus Homo; species Homo sapiens. Next base: position 78,203,996 of record NC_000012.12, on the reverse strand, counting down.
GAGCTGATATAGCCTGGTTAAAGTACTGGCAGTGGAATGGAAGAATCAGATAAATCCAAGAGATGTTAAACATTTTTAAGCTGCAAGCAAAGCTGAACCCAAACTAGAAAGGGCAGCCTGAAGAGAAGAATGAGACATTGTGAAAAAAAAAAAAAAGTATAATATTACAAGGGCACAGAAAAAAAGTGAAAATTAAGAGAAGGGGGCAGTAACATAGGGACACTTTTTCCTTAAATTACTTTCCCTCCCCATTTGACTTGCTTTACCAAGGACAATCCTGGTTAGTAGGTGCCTATTTGGTCTCAGATGACATACTTTGGTTTGTTGTTAGATGGCTGTTTTGTATAGTTTGTTTTGGTTCAGTAAAGACAAAAGGGAAAATGGTGGACATTAACACCATAAAAACTTCATGGACTGCCTTGGAGTTTTCTTTTGAGTTTCTTCTGGAGAAGTTGGACTTACCTAAAATAAAAGGGAGTCTAGGTACTGATATCTGTGCATTTCCTTAGGAGATGGTAACAGAGGTACAATCATTATACTTTTTTTAAAAATAGTTATCTTGTTTTAGAGCAAAAGTTTCCTCTCAGTTACAAACTTACTTTATAGATGTAACATATAGCATGCTACACAACTTAAACCAATTGAAGAAAAACATGTATAATTCTTGGAAAGCTTAATTATGTTTGTTTGTTTTAATGTAAGTCTAGAATCAATTAATTCTAGGTTTTTAAAGAACCATCCAGGACAGCAAAATTGGAAGAGACCAGTGAAAAGCTAAATGGGCCAAACACTATATTTCCGAGTGAAACACATATTGTAGAAAAAATAATTGAACAAAGAGAACTCTAAATATTCAGAATGAGATGAATTGATAGCTGACTAGTTAAGAAAGAATCCACCAGAAAAAAATCAAAATCCATTGTATCACCAACATTTTTTCCAACTAAAACATCTGGCAGAGTGCATTCCCCATAAGGTTTTTCACCAAAAAAATCCGCCTTCATCTGAAGATATTATTTTATTACTCTAAACTTAAGAGTGTCATTTTTGCTACCAGGCTTTGTTTCTCCACTTCTTTCTCCAATCCAAGATTCTTTGTTGCCAGTAAATCCATGGGAATGGATCACGACAGATATAATTCCTTTGCTTCTTGCTCCCCTAGAAATATTTTCAGCTGATAGACTTTTCTGGCCCAGCATAGTCTTCAATAGCAATGAAAACTGTCTACCCACAAAAGGACTTTCCAATTTTTCCCTTCCCATGTGCTGGATTCCCCTCCCCCAAAAAGCCCTAAATCACGGTTGATTCATCTTTCACACTAACCTACTTCTAAACATCCTGAACCATAGCAAGAAATGAGACATTTTTATCCCTCTTCAAAAATAATTTTGAAATATCTCTCAGTTTTAGTTTGAGAAACTAATCCTTAAGTGATTATACTTTTGCCCAAATGGAAACTTCATAGAATTATAATTCTCCAAATAATGTTCTATAAATAATATTAATTTAAATATGAAAAAAGAACCCATGTACCTTTTGAAATAAGACCTAAGGATGCTAAGCATTTTAACTATTATCATTTCAAGGTTTTTACAAAGATTCCTTTGCTTTCTATTAGTAAACAAATATTAAATGAGGAGAATTTTATTTATAAATACTTAGATAATGGTTTATTAAAACCAAAACCATAGCTAGAGAACAAATAATGTATCGAAATATTAACTTCAAAATTATGAGTTCTAAAATTTTCATAAAATGATTTTTTTTGGTACAAATAATCAACATTGAAAGATCCAATGTATATCCTATAGTAGTTTTCTAAGAATTCTGAAACACAATATGTTATACTTGAAAAATAAAAACATCTGTATAAGCTTTTATTTTATTGGAGGCTTCTGCTTGGGGTAGATTGGCTCATACCTTTAAAAGTGTTAAATTTGGTTATTTAAATCTAGAGTAGAACCAATCAATAGCATTATTTAGGATCTTAGCTTTATCTCTGAGGCTTCAGAGTATCCTCATAAAATTCATCATGTTCACCAGAACTATCATTTTAGTTCCAAATACTGCCATGCCATTCAATAGATAAAGAGAGCCTGACAGTAAAAGGGAGTAAAAGAGGGAAAAATAGATGGACAATTTTTTTAGATAGCAAAATAAAGACAACACACTATTGTAGATGACTGAATGTGGAAAACATAAACTATATCTTAATTCTAATAGTAGTTGTAAAAACCAGAAATAGAGATGTCTTGGCTGAGTTACTGAAAAGGAGATGAGATCCTTCCTCAATAAATTGGGTGATTATGTTACACAGATTTTAAAGAGTTTTATAATTCTACAATTTCAAATCAAACTTAAGGAAATAGCAATACTTATGGAAAAATGACATGTATTTTGTTGGAGAAGTAGGGATTTTTTTTAGTGATACATTTTCATCTTTTAGTTAGGAAAAAATAGAAGGGCCTTGGTTGCAGGGCCTCAAGATAGAAGGCACATGAAAGGAAGAGCAAAGATGCTGTGAAACCAATCTGTCATAGATCAAAAGACCAACTGACTCTCTTAGAATTTAGAGTACTCTCTCCAAAATAGTAAAGGATCCTGCAAGTGACATTAAAGGGCTTCCAACAATGAAGTATACTAAAAACAGGAAACTTACAAGCAAAAGCTACTTGTCAAAAATTATGTGAAAAAAAGGAAAAAGCAATTCCAGCCTGAGCAACCTAGCGAGACCATGTCTCTAAAATAATAATAATAACAATACAAATAACTGAGTGTGGTGGTGTGTGCCTATACTCCCACCTACTTGGAAAGCCTCATCACTGGAGCCCAAAAGTTCGAGGCTGCAGTGAGCCATGGTTCTACCACTGCGCACTAGCCTGAGTGACAGAGTGAGACCCTGTCTCAAAAAAAAAAAAAAAAAAGAAGGAGAAGAAACAAAGAAAGAAAGAGAGAGAGAGAAAGAGAGAGAGTGGGGAGGGGGAGAGGGAGGGAGGGAGGGAGTGAGGAAGGAAGGAGAAAGAAAAGAAGAAAAAGATAAAGGAAATTATGTGATAAGAATATAAATGGTCAAGGCTCATGTAAACATGGCTGTGTCATAAGATGTAGAACTGTGCAATTAACTAGCTGTCTAATAAAAACAACCTGTAAACATCCATGACAACCATTTGGACTTAAATGTATAGTTGTTGAAATAACTGTGCCTTTTCTTTCTCTTACAAATTTGTTCTCAGAACAGGCAAAATATTACAAACTATTTGCTCTTGAAAACCTTATTGCTCTATTCATATAGTTCATGCCTTTAGTTTTCTGCATAAATACCCAGATATTTTTTTTTGCTTTTAAAGTAATTTTTTTTGCTTTTTTTTTTTAAAAAAAAATAGCAATGAAAATTGAGTACTATACCTGAAGACCCTCTCTCACTGCCTCCAGAATATAAGGTACTAAAGAATAGTTCCAGAGATCCATGAACCATACTCTAGAACCTTCTACATCCATGGGGCAAGGAAGGAATAGTCGGGGACCTGATAAGAAATAAATAACAAAATATTTTAAGAGTTATATTTAATAATCTAAACACATATCTAGACACCATTTTGGAATATAATATATTTCTTGCAAAATTCCTAGAAAATTGTATTATTGGCCAGCTTGATTATTATTAAAGCATGTTTACTGAAGACCCAATATCCTAGCCTATTCTATCTTTTTACAATAAATATTAATCTAGGGCACAATATACTAGAGTCAGGAGAAATGATAAAAGTCATAATGCAGTTATCCTGTTTCATTTTACAAGCAATAAAGCTGTGCTGAAATGAATTGCCAAATATAAAACACGTCATTATTTGCAGAATTGGGACCTGGCATGAGTGTTCTGGTCCCAGTGTAGAATTCTTCTTCCTAATCTAAACTGTGTTGACAGTGAGTACATTTTTATGATGCATAACAATGTGAAAGAGACTTCTGTACATGCAATTAAAGAAGGAATAAAAATGTAAATATCTTTATGCAAACTAAAAGAGAAATAACTCAAAACAGTTTTGTCTTCATGAAAAACACAAAACACTTAAATTATCTACAAAGCGTTTAAGTTATCTGTAACTAACATCTTTCCTCACAACTTTATTTGACATGAGCTATTTAGCCAAATTTGTTTTTAGCATAAAAAGTATCCTAAATCGATACTATTCATTTCCAGTGGTTATCTGATTTTTAGATATTTGCCCATATTGAACTTATCTGATCTCGGTAATATTTTAGTAAAACATAACTGTCAAGACAAAATGGATTTAATTGGAGATACAAAGAAGAAGAACGCAAACTTTCAGAAGGGAAAAAAATAAATCTTTGGAAGCTTGAATAAGCATTAGCTTTGCTTGTTATTTTCTACCATCCAATCTGGCCGTCTTTACCAAGCACTGTTAGTTCCTGGAAAATGGCATATTATAATTTTGGAACTCACCAATGGTAACGTCAGAAGAACTGTGTGTTTCCAAAAAACTGTTGAGATGATGCCACGTCTTCGGAATCCAATCTATAATTTTGACTAGGTCATTATTGCGAATGTTCCTTTCAATTTCTATCTCTATGAGTTTTCTTCGAAGATATCTGCCTAAAAAGCCTTTCACTGGTTCTGTATGATTTGCACATAATACCCACCTACAAAAAGAAAAAAAATCAGACATTTTTATATAAATTAAATTTTACATTCACAGTGATTCTTTATCATTATTATTTATTTATTCATTATTACTTTCCAATAGAAAGTAATAATGTTCCCATTTCAATTGGTGGCCACCTTTTCATGATCAAAGGTGTTAGGAGGTCTACTAGGATGAGAGCTATAATGTAGCTAACTCTACTTTTTGAGCTAAAAAGAAGCTCATGTGCGTCAGAAGTGAGTGGGAGTCTAAATGCTGATCACTCTTCTGTAGGAGAATCACAAATCCTGAAATAGCAACTCTCTTCACATTTCTCACACTTAGAAGGAATATGCTCTACTTTAACCAGGGACATAGTGAACAGAAAAAACATCTACTTTACTTTTCTTTTTTCTTTCCTTTTTTTTTTTTTTTGTTTTTGTTTAAAGAAACACATCTGATTACAGGTTGAAGATCACAAAACGTTGGCTTGAGAAAGAGTGTCAGAAGTGAGAATTATTTTCACACCACAGGTCATCTCTGGCAAGATTTGTCAAAGTACAAATGGAAAAACAAACCACAAAAACAAACAGGAAGAAACAATGCCAACCCCCTCCCCTGCCCCCCCCAACACAAAACAAAAAAACAAAACAAAAAAACCTTCAACTTAACTTTACCTGAAATTGTGATGCAGCTCTAGATTTGGTGATGAAGAAACTCCCTGATTCATTGTTCCAATAATATATGGACTAGAAAAAAATAAATAGAAAATTTTAATTTACTGGAGGTAAAAGTGATTAATTCATTAAAATTATCTTGGAAAACTACTAGGATAGATATGGATTATTCCATTTCAATATTTGTCTTTTAAAGGGTAATTCTGTAATGGAAAATGACAAAGATCACTGGACTAGAAATTGATACTTGAGTTTCTAATTCCAGTTCTGGAATCAAGGCAAGGCATTTTCTCTCTCCGAGCCTGAGTTTATTTGTAATTTACAGTATTTGAGTAAAGAGTTTAGTTAGTATAATCATAGGGGTTTTGTCCCACTCTAACATCTTATAATGCTTATGATAAAATTTATTAACTTTTACTATTTTAATATTTCATAGTTATGTTAAAGAATATTAATATTGTGAGAAAATTTGTATTCTTTCATTCCTTATTTTATGCTGATCGTTTGTAACTTCCAAAAATCTCTAGCAGAGATAATTGGAATATTTGACACTATTAAAACTATTTATTTTATGTTGATATTCTTATATGTCCTTTCTTTAGAGGCCATGCCACAATGAATCTTTAGTGGGTTTTAAGATTTTTTAATACCTTACTTTAACCTTTCCTTTTATTGTAAATAGTTAAAAATCATACTCATTAATAGAGGGAGCTATATCTGAATATATTAAGTTTATCTCTATAGAAAGGTTGAATTTAAACTTTAATATGAACTGAGAATGAAACCAGAGCTCTAAAGGCTCCAGTTAGTTTTTAATTTTCCTGATTAAAACTATTCCAACGTTGTTGTTGGTTTCGCAAATGTTCATCATGTCTGCAGAAGCTAACATCATCAAGGAAGTAATGTTTCCATAAGAGTGCCTGGGATATGGTTGTTGAATGAATACATAGATATTCTAAGGAATGCATATGGAGTCTTTAAAACTGTGGTATAATATTAAAGAGGGTTTCTCAAATTAATGACAGCCATTGTAAGTCTAAAAATAATAACTACTGAGGTAGTTCACATGTTAATTAGCTGGAGTTAATCATTCTACAGTGTACATTTACTTCAAAACATCATGGTGTACACAATCAATATGTACAGTTTTATCTGTCAATTTAAAAAATAAAAATTAAATATTAAACAAATTTTAAAAATGCATACAGGTACAAGAAGGCAAATTTGATGATAATTATTTCATATTTCATTATTCAGAATATTTGATAAGCATACCATTTGTTGTATTTACAATTGAGAAAACCATTGAAGATATCACTCAGAGAGCCCACATGATGAAGATTATCAAGAATTATTACAACTGGGAGCTCCACTCCATTATTATCAGCACTGCACTGTTCAGCCAGGTTAGCTAGATATTGTTGCAATTCCTTTTAAAAAATGAAGAAAACAGATACGTCAGTGATAAATTTATACTAATAGGAAGCAGTTAATATTTTAGGAATAGCACTCTTTGTCCTCTATTCCGTTTCTTTCATTAAAGTCATAGATTATTCAACTGATGTAAAATCTTTTCCTACAAATCAAAAACCATATATTGCTGACAGAATAATTTTTTTAAATGAAAGCAAGAAAAAGGAAAGCAATAGAAGATCCAGTACCAAACACCTGCAGCAAATATAAAAGTATAAACATGACGGCATATTTCTAAGTGGTTTTCTCCCTGAAAGAAAAGCCAAAATGAGTTCTGGATATGAACTCTTATGATAAACCACATATATTGAGATTTTATTCTGAGTTTTGGTATTCAATGATAAAAGTAAATTTTAGCAACCTTAATATTTCAAGTATGAACTAAATTCAAAATGGCATTTCTCAGGTTCCACTAATATTTTTAATGTGTTAATTCTAATTCAGGTAGATGGGGTATATCTAAAAGTACAGCCATAGGACCTTGATAAAAGTATGCTTATTATTTATTTATAATCTGCATGCAATTGCTGTAATTTTAAACAAAGACAAAATTTAGCATCTCCTGAGTTTATTGGTTCTTTTACAGGTATTATTCCTGTCTAATAGCTTTTAATCTAAATATGATAACCAGTTTGCTGATTGACTGCTCTCACAGATGGGTAGGCCAGGAACATAATTAGGTTTCTTAAAATTATCCTAATCAGTAAGAACATTTCCATAATATTTGCATATTTACAATGACATTTTCAATTTGCAAATCGTGCTCAGGGTTATAAAACAATTCCATGATTTTGGTTTCTGGCAGCCAGGTAAATATGTGAATTGCTCACTCTAGATGCAACCTCTCTCTGTCTGTAACACCACTGCTGGAAATAAAAGTAGGAGATAAAACAACGGGCCAGGATTTTGAGGCATTTAGTAATTTTTATTTATGTTCAAATATAAAAATGTATTAAGGAAATAAAGTACTATTTGTTTTCTATTGAGCTAATCACATAAAATAAATCTTGCCTAAGTCAGAGAATGCAGAAAAAAATATGTTTAAAACTGTTGAATATTCTGGAGAATTCTATTTACTTCAAAAGAAAAAATAAAATTTATGTCACTAATTTAGCTACATTAAGTCATTCATTCGTTTATAAAATATGCACTGTCTATCTACTGCGTTCATAGCCTTAGACCAAGCCCTGGGTATACAAAAATAGTGAAGTCTGATTCCTGCTATCAATGGAGTTTAAGTAGGTTTAACATTTATTATGAACTGCATCAAGTACTTTTCCGGACATGAGGACTAAAAAGGGTAATCAGGCTGGTTTCCCCTGCAAGCTCTAAGAGTTGTCACATTAGGGACTGGAATTTAAATGTTACAAATGATATCAATATAATATCATAAATATATTATGAGATATGAGAAGTCAAGGGAAGAGATTTAGCCTAGCTGCTGGGTGTCAAGAATGGTTTTCTGGAGGAGGTAACACTGGAGCCTGAGTGGGGTGGTAGGCACACATGTAAATAATGATGAATTTACAAAATGCAAGGTAAAACATTCCATGAGAGAGGATAAAGGAGGCATGTGGCCTATAGGAGGGAAAGAGATTAATTCCAACTGGCACATCCTGCTGGCACCAGGGATTTAGAGATAAAACATAATTTCTGTCTTTCAGAAACTTAGAGTTGATAAGCAGAGAAGCTGGTGAGCAAGTGATTCACAATACAGTGTGCTAAGTGAAATGCACAAAACATTATAGGGAGACATAAGAGAGGCATCTAATCCAGACTTAAGGTTCACAGAAAAACAGAGTACAGTGGTTAAAAGGGAAAAAAAAGCAAATAATAATAATAATAATAAAAAGGATTGAAATCTAAAGAATAAAAAGTGAAACCTGAAAAGTGTAAGTGTATGATGTGTTTTGGGAAATAAGTGTTCTGTGGTTATAGAAAAATATAGTACATGCTACTGGTGGTGGCAATAAAAAAGAAAAAAAGACTTTGAATCCATGCAGAAGAAGTTGCATTTTATTATATAAAGAAGTGTGGAACATTGATATGTTTGTTTGCTTCTTTGTTTTCAGTAGAGGAAAGCAATTTATTTATCCAAGGAAACAGAAATGTGAAAGATAGAAGAATTAATTAGAAAAGGAAATAGCATTTAAGAAGCTTATTACCTTCCTGGAATAGAAGGTCAGGCATATACATATATAACAATAATTCACAGTCAAAATAATACACTACTTCAAAAAAGTATAGATCAAAGATTTTGTTTATAGTATGTAAAGATTGATTGTAGCGTCTGGAAAATGTACTGTGGTGGCAGTATGATTTGCTATTATTCCCTTATTTTAAAGATTGGGTAATACCTTGATGCTTAAACACAACAGAAGAGCTTTCCAAATAGAGAAGAATAACCAGTCAGAAACACGAAAATATGATATCCATGTAGGAAAAAAGCTAAGAATATGTGTTTTGTGAAAGGAAATGGTGGTAATGAAATTGTAAAGGAAACTGCAACCTTAAATGATTAGTAAGATCGCTGGACATCTCCTTTTGGCAGTGAAGAAACATTCTTCTGGTGACCTGAGTAAGTAGTCACAATGGTGATTTAACATGTGGTGAGCATATTGAAAGGAAGAAGCAAGACCAGCCAAGAGAATGTTGAAATTATTGAAGCCTAGAGATACTAAGGGACTGAACAAGGAACAACGTGATGTTTTTGATGTAGTACAGAAATCTATAAGAAAACATTGAAAAATTTGATCAGATTTTAATTATGAAAAGATATTCTATGTTCCATGAGGTGAATGAATATATCCCAAAAAAAGAGAGAAGGGAAATTTAAAGGAAATCGTGTATCAAGTAGTTAAAAAATAATTGTAGAAATCCAAGAAACAACAGAGGAGGATGTTAATCTGGGGTGGAGGGTGGTTTTGTTGGAAAGCAATGGAAGAGGATAAACTTATAATATGTGTTTGGGGCTGAAATTGTCAATTCTCAACAGGTATATTTAGTAGGTGAATAGAAACATATGTGTAGGATGATAGAAAGCTTACAAATTTGGGAGAATGGGCATGGCTGATAGTGTTTAATTGAAGTCAACCACACAAGTCAAGCCAAGTTGAAGCCACAAGAGTCATCCAAAGGAGAATAAAAGTGAGAGAGAACAGAATAGTTCATTATAAAGAAAAACAGTTTCATTTACTGGGAAGTGAAGGAAGAGCAGAGAGAAAAAAACTGAAAAGCAATTTACCAGGGAGCAGGAAACAAGGAGAAAATGATAACATGAATGTCAGAAAGAGAGAGAGAGAGTGGGGAGGCACAAAGGAATTGAGTTTTGTAATTAGCAGGTCACTGGGTCATTTTTGGACAATCAGAGCCTTTAGGTTCTAATTATAATGTGGCTTTCTTTCATCTTGAGAGGGTAGTGGATCCCCTGGGAATCTGATGGTAGGTATAAAGCAATGGATGTAGAAACAGGCAAACATAAATAAACTTTTTTCCTATAACTTAGAGGAGTTTTTCACAGATTCCCTTGAAATAACTTCATGATACCCACTCTAGCTTGATGAAAATGAAATCTTAGATTGAGGCACTGATGCACCGGCATTAAAAGTCTTTTTTCCAGATCTAGTCAGGTAGAAGGAAACAGGCATATCTACCAGATGGGAGTTGGCAATGAGATGAATCCCATACTCTGAAACTACAGGTGGAACACCACAGTTACATAAAAATGGTAGATCACTGCTTTCTCAGATGCTGACTCCAGACACACTAAAAAGGAATCTATCAGGTACAGTTTTCTGATCTTTTCCAGCCTAACATTCCAAATGGCTTCAGCTGACCATGTATTCTCTACTAAATCCACCTCTAGCCCTCTGGGCCTACTATATCGAATGTCACAAAGTGTAATTGTTTATGTGTACTGCTCTCAATCAAAATATTCCAGCTGGCAGCTTGAGGGAGGGCTTGAAGTGTGGGAAGAGGAACAGAATGTAAAGTGCAGAGGTACTGAAAACATGAAAAGATGTTTTTCATTTGATGATTTGTGGTTTGAGTTTCTTCTTTTTTTCTGAATCAGTAAGTGCTTTTTGGATTTGTCTCTTCAGTGCTATCTATGGCACAGCATAAAATGCGTCAGCATTTACACAGCTCCAGGTTTTCAGGAACAGGATTTATTATTTCATGCCTCATTATCATGTTACTTCAGTAAATCTACACTGTTGGTATCCCTAACACAATCTCAACTTGTCATCCCCTCTTTTTTTATATTTATCCTCACTTACCCTCACCCCCAACTCCCAGGAAAATAGTGGGTATTCTCTGTCAATTTGGCAAAAATTGTCCAAATTTTCTGGCAACGAGTTTGTATTCAGCATTACTGATAGCTTGTTCATATCTTCAAACCATAAGGAATAACATAAAAAATAAATATTTTTTAGTTATAATTTGTGTTTTCTTGGGAATGAATGCTATTGTGATTTGTTCAAGAGTTTCTTTCTGGGCTGGGCACAGTGGCTCATGCCTGTAATCCCAGCATTTTGGGAGGCCGAGGCAGGTGGATCACGAGGTCAGGGGATTGAGACCATCCTGCTAACACAGTGAAACCCCGTCTCTACTAAAAATAAAAATTAAAAAAATTAGCTGGGTGTGGTGGTGGGCACCTGTAGTCTCAGCTACTCAGGAGGCTGAGGCAGAAGAATCGCTTGAACCCAGGAGGCAGAGGTTGCAGTGAGCCGAGATCGTGCCACTGTACTCCAGCTTGGGCAACAGAGCAAGACTCTGTCTCAAAAAAAAAATAAATAAAAATAAAATAAAATAATAAAAAATAAAAAAATAAAAACAGTTTCTTCCTATGACTGTTTCCTAGCATCATTAGCTCTGCCAATGCTTGGCAATGCTTTTCCCCTGCCCATTATTTTGCAATGAAGTACTGAACTGGCCTAATAATGGCACAAATAGCCTGTACTCTGAAAAAGCAAAAAATAAGAGTGTCGGAAATATTTCATAAAAAAGTTAATAGGACACTAACATGTTCTTAACAGAACATCTCTAAGCAATAAACTTTTTTTCCTAAGCTGAAATATATACATACATATATAGATAGATGGATAGATAGACAGATAGATATTTTTTAGGGAAAGCTATGTTTTAAAATTAATGGGAATTACCTATTTTGTTTTAGCATGTTAACTACATTCTAATGAAACTTCATCTATTTAATTCAAAACGATTTTAAGTGATCCTCAACTTTATCAAAATGTCATGGTCTCCTCCAATAAATCTATTTTGCTCTTATTTTCTAAACACTTTTTTATTCCATAAAAAAAGTACCTTGTAAAGAGTTTTGTCATACCAACATTGAGGAAAAAACAAACATTGAGGATGACTAAGAGGCCTTTCAAACCTTTCATATTTTTTGGCTGAAAATATTTAAAACTGTGCTAAAAGGCTTTTATATAAAGATATGAGGAGACAGAATTCACAGGAAGCATTAAACATGTCAGCTGAAGCAAACAGACAATTGTGCTCTTCCTACTTTTGCTCAGAGAAGAGCCAAATACTCTACCTCAGGTTCTATGTCTTTCTTTAGATGGTGGTTCAACCACATTTGAATAGGTCTGAGTTCCAAGGAAATATTCAGAATTTATGTATTGCATTTATTTAACTTTAAGAGATCCCATTGTGCTTTATGTACATCGTTGTTTTTGAAGGACACATATAAAACGGTTTTGAACAAAGATGTGTGTGTGTGTGGTTGTATGTGTATGTGCGCGTGCACTGTGCATATGTGTGTGTATGCTTGTGAGAGAAATCTTCACTGGGAGCCAAGGGCTATAATTAAAAATTGCAAGCAACTCTTATATCGTGCTTGCTACTTGCGCTGTTCTCTCTGTCTCTCTCACACACACACAGACACACACATGCATATACACACTCATTTATTTAGTCTTTAGAATAGCCCTACTATTTCCCTCATTTTACAGGTGAGAAAATTAATACTTTTTGTTCATTAAGCTATATGCCTGGCTTATTTCAAGAATCTAATGGGTTTGGGCTGCTCTTGGGAGTCACATTTATTTCTGAAAATTTGCAGATTTCAGGTTTCTGAGAAACTGGGACAGTTTAGATCATTGAACCAGGTTATCCTTGAAAGAGTAATATGACCCAGTATAATTGGGATTCCCTCAAGGTATTGCTTATAATAGTTGCATTTTCCCGACAGAAACTTTTAGGTTTCATTGATTCAGACTTTAATAAATAATTACAGGTAAAACTAGGTTAGTGTTAAAAATATGTTAGCCATCAACTATTTCCTTTTTAGGATTTTTTGTTTTACTCAGAAAATAAGAAAGTACAGGCTACGCCGTATAGGCCCTCATGCCTTTTTAATATCTGAGTGTTCAGGCTGATTACTATGGCACATTAGACCGTAGATGGTGGTGAAATTGAATGTTGTTAACTTTCCTAAGGTTCCTAAACAAAAATTTTAGGGAGATGTGACATAAGCAAATTGCTGCTCCCAGAATATCTGCTTGGAATATTCTAATTATTGCCAAATCTCCATTCCTGCAAAACCCATGTTATTTCCTACTTATCTATTAAGATCCAACAAACTATTACCCCTTTATAAAGCTCTGATGCCTCCAAGAAAAGTTATTCTTCCTTGTTGCTTGTGCACGGACCTCTTTCTACTGTAACAGTTTCTAGGTGGATGTCTAAGAGAAACCATGCCATAGGAGACCTGTCATATTATTCTGTATATTCCCAATATCTTAGGGAGTACCTGATAACTGAATGTTACTGAAAATAGTAGTCTTGTTCAAATTCATGAAACAGAGTTTGATCACTCACCAGGTTACAATTCTAGTAAAAAAAAGATGGATATTCTTTTCCATGTACAACATGGAAGTCTCACAAAATCTTATAATTTGATTGCTTAAAACACTTATGGATAAATTGTAGCTGTTCTCTTAGAATTCTGTAACATACCTTACTTGACTTGTGGTCCACATTAAAAGTGGCAATTGCATCCTCTGTTTTTTTCCTTCCAGATTTGGTTATTACATATTCAGCAAGTTTGTTTGCCAAATAGGTCTTTCCAGTACCACTCGGTCCTGAGAGTATAATTCTGTGATGCTCCATCAACAAGTTAAAGTACCTTTGGGTAATTGGTTTAGGAATCAGCGTATCAAAAACAAAACTGTCCAAACTATTTTCTTCTACCCCTGAAAGAAGAAACAAAAAAATAGCATGATTTATTGTTCTACATAAGCTAGAATTTAAAATATCATGCTAAACAGCAACAGCATTGTTAGTCATAGGAATAGAGTCCTTGAAAAATAATTTCCTAGATATTTCTATCCCACAAATATGCGTTGCCATTTCAAGGAAGAAAATATATCAGTAATATGGCAGAGTGAACATCTAAACAAAAGCAAGCTGTTTCTTTTTCTTCAGGCTTCACTCCACTGTCTACTTCTTGTTTTCATTTATGTTTCCAGAGAGAAATGGAAGCATTATAAATGCTATCATAACATCTTTTATTGAAGATGATTATCTTTGTTAAGAATAAATGTGAAGACTATAAGAATAAATGTGAAGAATAAATGTGAAGATTATATACACACACACCCATATATATATATATGGGTGTGTGTGTGTTCTTTCTTTTACTTTCTCTTCACCCCATCTCCTTATTCTCTTCTATCTCTCATTATGCATCCTAGTTGTACAACCACTCAAGCTTTTGAAGAATACAAATTGTTACGTTTGGCAAGGAATTAAGAAAGGAGCAACAGTATCTCATTTTACGAACTCAATTACCTTCATCATAAAATCAAATATTGACAAATTCCTCTATTAACTCACAGTTTATATAGATGTATCCTGATTCTTTAACATAAATAAACAAGGAATTGTGAAGACAAAGATGCTTCAGATATTACATTAGCCTATAATTAATCACATCATCTAAAGCAAAGAAAATTCTCAGAACTTTCCATCCTTGATTCTTAACTTCTATTCCCTCTTCCTGGGGGGTATTTATTAGGCATACACATTTTAAAATCAAAGATATATCAATGAATATGTAACTTTGGAATACACACTAAATGTTTTGAATCCTCCTGTAATGAAGGATGATAATGAAGAAAATCCAGAAATTTGAAATTCCTAAATCACATTCCTTTTTGTGAGTCTTGAATCTTCAAATCCCAGAACCCAAAGAACTAAATTTCTTTATATTCTAGTGTTTTTAGTAGGATTGTAGTATTTAATAGTTTTGGTATGAAATGAGTCATATTGATTTTTAAAATACTACAGAGTTTTCAAATAGAAAAATTTTAAGGGAAACTGGCCAAAAAGGGGCGGGGGGCAGAATAAAATGTTGCTAAAAATTATATTTCTGCCTTGCTTTTCATTATTGCTTTTACCTTTGAGGTTCACAGTGATGATGTTATTATCTCCAACAAGGTATCCACAAGGCAGCAATTCAGGCACTTCTAGGTTATGGGATCTAATTAAGTCTCCTATACAGTAGCTAGCAATGCAGTCAGAGCTCAGACCAAGGCTAGTGGATGTATCAATTCGGAATACATATTCCTACAATGGTACACACAAAAAATAAAATCAAAACAGAGGTTCAACTCATCTACAACAAATACATAACTCACAGGGATATAGAGCTAGTTGTCAAGAATATTAGAAATGGGTAATATAAGAACTGTTAATATCAAATAGCACAAACAGAAAGCTTTCCTTATTTGAGGAGAGGAAAAGAAGATGTGTCTCTGCTATTGAAGTTATGGAAAACAATTAAAGAGAAACATATTTGAAAAGTACTATTAGGGTGTCTTGCACAACATACCTTAAAGAGACGTCTTATTACACCATCTAAGACATCCCACTTGGTTTTTCCACTAACACCAATGGATCCTATCAAATATGCCTGAGATTTTTGGTCCTAAATAAGAACAAAATAAAGTAAGATAAAATCCAACCGTGTATCTTTTTTATTACTACATTTTCTACTAAAATTAGTTAATGTAGTTGTTGTTAAGACTAAACTATTTGTTAAACCTGTGGCTTCTATAGTAACAGACACACATGGTGGATTATATAACATAAAACATATTTCAGCCAACTAACCAACCAAACAAATAAAGTAACAGCAATAGCAACAGCAACAAGAAAGAAAGAGATGAGATAAAGCAGCATGTCGAGGAAAACTGATCCATGACCTGTTCTGTAGAAGGCAAAGGTGAAGGAATCTGAAAGAATACTCTTGCATTATAATGCAGTGCATACTTTCTTAAAGAGAAGCAGCTTGGTAGGAGGGAAATGGTGAGAGAGACAGAACAGAACCATATTATATGAATTCTAGAACTTTATCTTACTATTTTGTGATCTTACCTTTGATAAGTCCAAAACTCAGTTGTTTTATTAATTTTAATCTAGAATCCAATCTCGCTTTAAAATGTGTTATCTATGATAATATAAGGTATTTGCATACCTACAAAACAGGTTCCATTTTGAATTTATCAGAAATTCTCTATTTAAAAGACCTTGCCAGAGAAACCTACAGGATTCGTTTCATCAAACAAGTAATTATTTTATAATAAACATAATGGTTCCAAATCTATCTTTTTTGTAGGATGGGATTTTGAGAAATTTCTACATATATTAGAAAGGTAAATAATTCAAAATTTGTAGTCTAGCTAGAGCCTCTATTATGATGACCAGAAATGGTTAACGAAATAGTGATTATGATTCCAGTAGATATAATTAGATAGTTGACATATTATAATCCTGGTTCTAGTCACCAAGTATGTTATCATTAACGGGTGGTAGAATAATCACTGAGTCATGAGTTAGAAGATATGGATTCTATAACACATAATACCTACCACCTAATTAAGAAATGTGACCTTAGGTAAATCACTTAGCTGGCTCAGACCCTCAATCTCTTAATATGTAATATTTAGCACCATAAGGATAAATGGTTATCAAAATTATTCAGGTATAATCTGAGTTAGAATCTAATACCTTTTGCAGAATAAGTTGAGAAATCCACAGCTGACAATTGTGATTTTTGTTACTATTGTTATGAAATGATATTTGTGTCTCCTCAAAATTCATA
The DNA here is from genome assembly GCF_000001405.40 of Homo sapiens. Taxonomy (NCBI): domain Eukaryota; kingdom Metazoa; phylum Chordata; class Mammalia; order Primates; family Hominidae; genus Homo; species Homo sapiens. The sequence continues at coordinate 78,187,071 of NC_000012.12, read as the reverse complement.
CATCGAAGCCCTAACTTCCAAATTGATGGTATTAGGAGATGAGGTCTTTGGGAGGTAATTAGGATTAAATGAAATCATAATGGTGGGACTTTCATGATGGGATTACTGGGTAAAGTAGATAATTCAGGATTTGTAGTCTTTCTCTCTTCCTACCTACAGACACTGAGGTAAGACTGTGTGAAGACACAGCATGAATTCCACCACCTGCAATGCAAAAAGAGAGCCCTCACCAGGAACCAAATCAGCTAGCACCTTGATCTTAGACTGGCTAGCCTCCAGAACTGTGAGAAAATAAATTTCTGTTGTTTAGGCCACCTAGTCTGTTATTTTATTATGGAAGTCCAAGTAGAATAAGACAAGTACTTTCATGGAAGCTTTTTTAGAAAAAAGTGTTCAAAGGCATTGTCTGTTAGAATTACTGTGAACAGGAAATCTTATTTTTCAGTGTGTTTATAACCCAGTTAAAATTACTGCTTATGCAATACCTTATAAAAAGCTGCTTTTAAATCAAAGTTAGTTTATGTTTCACTAAGAGTATTACTGTCTCTCACATAAAGACCCACTTGGGAAAAGTAGGTACACATCTGCAGCTCAAGCAGAAAGTTGATGGTATTGGAATCCTTGGAACATTGGCTTAAGGTAAGAATTCACAAGTGCTATCTTACTTTTCAAACTTAAGTACTTTATTTTAAAATTCTAAAGAATTTTTATTTGCTTGATGTAAAAAAATTGGATACTTAGAAATTTGTATTTTTGGCCACTCAACTAAAATTTTAACTTAAAATTTGTTTTTGTTGTTGTTTTAAGAAAGGGATAGAGTCAGAATGGCATTGCCAATTTGAAGGCAATATTTCATTGCAAAAAAATTAAAATACTTGTCTGGTCATCTAGGACCTTGCTTAAATAGACAAGTAACATCAATGGAATTTGTCCTACCAAGTTCAGTAGAACATGTGTCTTTCTGATTTCTAAAATATTCATTTAGTTTAGAGTCTTCCCTTTGTATAAAGACCATATTGACAGCTCTAGCGACTGCACATCATAAACATTACCTATAACAAATAAGTGAAACCAAAAGAATATGTCAGACAAGATGTTTGCCAAAGAAATAACTATTTTTTAAAGTTTTAGAAATGAGGGGCTGTTAATATTATTTTCAGTGAATGAATGTGAGGTACATGTAAGACACATTTCTACCTCTATGATGATGTCATCATTTTATTGTCCTTTTCATGTTTGTATGACATGTTAAGCTAATGCCAATCCACAATTGTTGTAGGATATTTACCAGATCAAATATTCACACATAAAATACACTTGACTCATGGTAATTCTCATTGTTAGTAATAAAGAGTTTAAGATTAAAGAAGTACCTTTGCTCGACCATAGCCCTTGCTTATGGAGACTATAATTTTCACACTGCGGCCATCTTTATGTCCAGTTGCATCACCAGCATCATCTAGCAAAATATCTATCAAATTTTAAAAGAAAGACATACACAACAGTATAACATTAGCTCAGATTTGTTTACTGTCATTCTTTTCTCCCTCATAGTTTTATATCTTTCAATGGGATTTGCTTCCCATTCTAGCCTAACTGATTTGAAAAGCCTCAGCTTTCCAGAAGATGAATTACTGTGGTTGGGCTAAAGTTTCAATCTAAGAATTTATTTCTGCTTGCAAAGATCTTCACTCAAGTGTTGGGCCACTCACTGACTTTAGATGAGGAAATAAGAATTTTCTTTTTCTATTACACATAGGTCTGAGTAATACCTGAGTAATATTTAGTCACCATTATAACCATGACAAACTGACAGCCATCTGATTTTTCTATCCAATCTAAAATATCCAAGCTCAATATCCATGTAATTTATAAATGTAAAGGTGCTGAAATTGACTGTCAACTGAAATTATTTTCAAGCATTTGACACAGCCAGCTATATAACTACTCACCTTATCTTTATAATTATTAGGTACTGTTATTGAATTTCAACTGTGGCATTATACTGGAATTATGATTGCTCTCCGGAATCCTTTATGCTAATAGTTTCAAAACCAAAATAGTATTTCTAGTAATCAGCTAAGAGTTACAGAAGCATGATAAAGTTAGCTACCTTTAAAATATCAGCCTTTAAATGGTGATTAAAGATTAACTTTCAAAATATATTATACCAGATTAATTTCCAATTTGGAGAATTATTAAGGCAAACTATTCCAAATATATGCTTTCCTTTAATAATAATACTATCATAGAACCATGCTTAATATTAAGACAATGTTCTGTGGATAAATGAAACTCCATTACATTCTAAAGAGCACATGTTCCTGGTGAAAAGAGGACTCAACTGCTCTGACAATAAATTTATAGAAAAAAAGATTACGACTATAGCATCATAGAAATCAACACTCTAATAAGATGGCCTCCAAAAATAGAATGGTTTCTATTATCTTAATAATTAAGTATATGTAATTTTGAAAGTAAGCAATAAAAATACTCTAAGATCATAACAATTAAAAACAACTTTCAGAGCTTGAGAACTTTTAGAACTTTTAGAGCTTTGCAATAAATTTTTAAATCATCAAAGATAATCTCCTGCACTGGAGTTTAATTATTTTCCCAAGTTAACATCTTAATAGTCTTTCACCTTTTCACCTACTCCACTCAAAAATAAAACTCTTCCTTAAGTGTCATTTTAATTATCTTGCTCCTTTTTAAGAAGTTTAGAGTGGTTTACCATTGGCTATTCACATCTAGACTTCTGGTAGTTTGTGATCAAATTACTTTAGTACTTGTCTTAATTACTCATAAATGCTCAAAAATATTTGACCAATATTTATTAGGTATAAATGGTATCAGAAATTTTGCTGCATATTGGGAATGAATACCAAGATGAGAAAGAAAGTGAATTCCTTGTTTTTTTGGAGTATGTATTTCAGAATAGTTTAAGCACTCTGCTAATATAAACCAAACAATGAAACAGAAAGTAACTGAAGGGAGCCTGCTCTAGATAGATAGGTCATCCTGGAAGGCTTCCTTGAAGAAGTGGTATTTGGAGATAAGACCAGAAGGCTGAGGAATGCTAGATAAGTGAAGAACAAGGGAAAAAGATTCAGTCAACAAAAACAGTGCAAAACCCTGAGATGTGTAAGCTGGGTATGTTAAAGGAACACAGAGATGTTTAGGGTAGCAGGAATGTAGAGACAAGGGGAGGGTGAGGAGTAGTATGAAATGATGTGGATGGAAATAAGTATGGACCAAATCACACATGGCCAAGTAGTCCATAGCAAAGGAGGTTGGCCTGATTGTTGATCCACATAAGCTGCTTAAATTTGCCTTGGAATATGTTATTCATTTCATGCCATATTTACTTCTAAAAACTACACTTACAATATGAAATTTCTCCTGACAACAGTAGGATAAATATTTACCAAAGATGAGTGAATAACTATTCTTTGCTTTTATTATGTGGCTATTTAAAGCAAAATTAACACAATAGTGAAAAGTCCAGGTCCTGGATTCATCCAAGCCAGGGTTTGATTATTAGTTCTGCTGCTTACTAGTTTCATGATCTTGAACAAATTGTTACAGTCACTTTCCTAAGTCTTGGCTTCCTCAGCTATAAAATGGGGCTTTAACAGCACCTTCCTGGTAGAGTTATTGAGAACATAAAAGATAATACTTTTAAAGCACTTCATCCTCAGTGTTTACTAAGTTTTGCTCTTCCAGCCATTATTTGTGTTTATTCTAACTCCTTCTGTTGACTGTGGGTGGCTCACATCATGACTCCGAATCTCCCCAGTTCAGAGAATATTGACAGGATGGTCACCTGATGAAACAACTCCAGGAAAAACAGCAAGATTAATGTGAGAGCCTTCTGTATTTTTGTTTGTTTGTTTTTGTTTTGTTTTGTTTTTTACTAGAAAATAAGTCATGGTCCTCTGTCTATATTTTGAAGGAAAAATTAAAGAGGTCTGCCATTCTGGCTATAATTGAGTAAAATTCTGGCCAAAAACTGAAGACTTCTGAAATGTCTGTCTTTACTGGATGCAAGGAACATGCAATTAATATTTCAGGAACTAGATATTTGCCAATTATCCTCTCTCCTGCCTACTTTCTTTATCTTAAGATTAATCATGAAACTTAGAAAGTCTGTCTGTTAAAAAGCCCCAGCATAAAGGCAGTTTTGATTTCCAAGTGTTGAACCCACTCCACAAGAGTGAAAGTAATGAAAACAATATTCTGGTTGTGTGATTTAATTTTTTTAGTTCAGACATAAGTATCACTATTGAAAAATAATTAAGGAAATAAGATATATTAAAAATAACTTAGGGAATGGGTAAAAAAAGGTATTAAAAAAACGTAAAACTTGGCTCCTCCTAAAAAATTGCCTTAAATTCTTAATCATGGCCATCAATGTGTTAAGACCAATAAACATAGAAATTGTAAATTTAAACTCTTTGATTTTATATTTATCTTTATGAGTTCTATTTTTCCTAGATACTAAGTTTTTTTTATATGTGTCTGTTTTTTCTAAACCACCTTCAGTATTAAACTTGCCTCCTTCAAACCTTATCATATTTTCATAAAATAAAACAGAATTTTATAAAAGGCAGTGAAACCCTACCATTAGTCTGACCTATAAGGTACTGGCCTTTGTCTTTTCCTAGGAGACAAGCCTGAGGATCCAGAAATGCACTGGTCATTATGAGATGTAGATCTTACTTCACTTCTCTGTCAGGTCCATCAGCAACAAGCCAACATAGAGGATGTTGTTCAGAACTGCCAGATTCTATACATTTAAACATTTGCGTTCTTTCTTTTGCAGAATATTTTGTTGAGTGTGGATAATACTTTATGTGTAATTTACAAACTCAAATTACCATCCACTTCCACAGTCTTATTTTACCTAATGATCTATAAGTTCATTTAATTCTGAAATCTCTTGCTTTTTACTTGGCTTCTGACATTAGTTGTACTTGATGCTTATTCTCAGAATTTATTTTCTTTCTCTAATCCCCACCAGAAGTTTACAAAAGTTGTTTTCTTAAATTACAGGGAGTGCCCACTTGTCTTTTACATATAAGATGAAGGCCATTATTTTATATTATGAAGAGCAGCCATAATAGCAGAATTTTTAACATTCTGTCTTTTTAGAAGAGATGTGATTCATTGGAAATGTAATCAATATCAGCATGCCATGTCATTTCCCTTCTCCTTCTCCTTCTGTATTTTAATATGATTTAAGGCAAGCAGTGTACTATCTCCATTCTATAATGGAATCTAACGTTGGCTAGGAACATACATATTATTGGTTTCCAAGCGTCATCTGGTGGCCGTGCTTCACAATTACCATAGATCCTCATGTAAATATTATATAGACTAAATTCTCTATCCTTGAAATGATTCTCTTGAATGAACTGTTCCACAGAAACAGCTACACTTTATGCTTGAATGGTTCATGAGATATTAAGATGACATTATGTCATATGATTCTATTTGCAATCAAATCAAAACTGTACCCTTGTTCCATCACTAGTACTGTGTTCTTTATCTTTGTTGGAAATTTAATAGAGCTGCAGACTGGGTGACAGTAGCATTATTGTTTTCTCAGAGCAGCATCACACAGGTTCATCAAGTCAGATTTAGAAAATAAAGCCTGCTACACTTATAAATGGGTTTTGCACACTTAATAAAAGTCATTGGGGTTATTATTATATCCATAAGTACTAATTATCATCACTGAGAGTATTTCTTCATCATCAGAATCATGGAGAAAGTACTTCCTAGGGAAAAGTGATTTCTTAAAAATATTATGAAGACCATATCTCTAAGACTGACTTTTGGACAGAGAATGTGCTTTTAAAATTATAACTAAGTAGACTAGATTTATAAGATCAAACTAGGACTATTTCTGAGAATTAGAGTGTAACATTTTTAAGAGTACGTAAAGTTCTCCAAATTCCAGGCTTCCCACCCGTTAACTCATGGGTATGCTGTGATTCAGGCAAGCATGTGCACTAAATCACCTGAGCTAACAGCCTCTGTGATGTTCAAATTGTTTAGAGAAAGTCCTAATGACTGCCTGGAAGATGAAGAGGAGGTGCTGCTTGAGGATTCTGACGGTGGCCGAGTAGGCTTAGCTGTGTTACCAGTTTCTGCCTTCAACCGGTCATTTTCAGCTTTCAGTATTTCAATTTCATTCTGTTATGAAGATGGAAAACATGAAAAAAACTGAGTTGGTTTGATTGAGAAAATAGCACCAAGTCTTTTATCAGAGTTAATTAGCTTGTTTGTTAAATAAAACATGTTAATATGTTAAATAAAGAAATATAAGATATGAAATAGGATTTCCTTCCCAAGAAGGAAATTTAACCTTTTTCTCTCTCACACATTATACATTCCTGAATTCACAAATATAGACAATCCAACCATTCGACATGCTTATCATTATTTTTTAACTAAATCATGAGGACTTGGTCTCATTTGAATTAAGAAAAATATGATGAAATCATTCATAACACTTCTCATTTTAAAGGTGATGTTAAAATCTTATAAGCATATAATGCCATTTGTAATATTGTTATAAATCTGTAGACAGTTGAAAGACAGAGCAAAACAAAAATAATGTCAATAAGGTGATTTAAAATTACTCCAAAATCATATCTAACATCTGAAAAAGTTTCTTTTTTTCCTTCCAATCGGGACACTAAGCTCATAAAAAAACAACAAAAGTCTTTAGATGAACATATACAGTGGCAGATGAATCTGCTCAGCAATGAGCTTTTCTTATTGCAGTCATCTGTGGTACCAAGTGATTACTGGTATACAATAATAAAATGAAAACTTAGTCTGAGCACAGACTGGTTCTGAATTTAGCCTTTAGATGTTTTTCAAAAAAATACACAAGCCTTACTTTTACAGATGGCATTCTAAATCACTTTTACTTCTGTATTCAGAAAGCTTGTGTTGAATTTCTATAGTTTCCTCATTACTTTTGTATTTCAGTAGAAAACTGGTGAAAGTATGTGAAAATCAGATTTCAAAAGAACAGGCAAAAAGCCAAAATAAAAGTAAATGATGGAAAAGTGAAGAAGCAAGAATTGTAGTAGCTTCTCTAAAAGCTTAGCTCTCAACCTGAATCCAATTACTAGTACAGTATCCTGAATGGTTCTTGAATACAACTTGCCAGTTTGCACTCCCACTTCCAAACTTGGATTTGACAAAATTCTCAATTCAGTACTAACAGATGAGTTGCAAAGACTGAATAAACAGAGTACATTTCTAAGGTGGGTTTCCAAGTGGAATTTATTCTGTGTTAACCAAGAGAACAGAATAAGCAGCATTTTTTTGTTTCTCCATTTTATTCCTTGAAAGTGCTTCAGTACCAACCTGCATCCGGTTCATGGCTTCCCGGATCTGATCAAGATGATGAGCAGAGCTGAGGGCCTCCAGCCGAATATCCGTTAATTTTAATTCCTTTTCTCTGAGCTCGCTCTTCAGCTGCAGAATTATCTCTGCCTCAGCTTCTGTGCATTCACAGATCCTGAAGAAGGAAACAAACAGAATCAGTGGCCTGGGGAAGCCAGAGGATTAAGAAAAGCACTGCCTCTTTTAAAGGCTGCACTGCAATATTCTCCAGCAGGTACAGATATGGTGTGCTGCTGGCAAAACCTAGAGAAAAGGAGAAGGAGTTTTACAAACGGTTATGCATTCACAGGTTCAAAACGGAAGTAGCTTTTTCTTTTAATCTTTTTTTCTATTTTTTAAAGTTTAAAAATAGTCTACTCTTACTGAATATAAAGTAATCCTAAAAATTCTTTTATTGGTGATATTTATAGGCAGAAAAGTCATAGATTACTACATTTCATTCCAACATTTTCAAGGGACTTAAACCTCTATTTGCAACATGTGACTATTCTTTTATAAGAGCAGTTATTACATTCTTAAAATGTTGATTTCTTCTTTTGTAAAATTGTGCAAAAAAAAAGCTTTGCCACAATACTGTCTTTAATTACCATAAAAATCCAATATAAACATTGTAGAAAATAAATTAGAGATATTACTTTTGGACATTTAAATAATGGGTGAGTTATATAACCTCCCTACTGGGCTCAGCTGATTTAGGAGATCACAGCTAAATCAAAGGTTTCAGCCCCTGTTAGCAGGCTAGCTGAGGGCTGTTTGAAGGAAACACATTGTATCCTTGTTGTGTTTTTATTGTTTTGTGGACAGCTTCGCAGGAAATTTGCCAAAAAAATTGTTTTATATTAACTAACATATTTTCCATTTAAAATTTGACAACTAGTTTACTGGCCACAAAATGACAGTGACATGTTCTTCCTTTCTGCATAAATGATAAAATTATGTAGGCAAAGCACAGTGGCCCTGTTCTATATGAGTTCTATGCTAGTTGTTGTCATGGGCATACAAGGAAATTAGATTTAAATAGTAAATAACACAGAGAATTATCTCACCAGAACACTTTTCTATATTCGAAATGTGTTCGTTCTTGTACAGTAGTCCCCCACAATTATAGTTTATCCACAATTTTAGTTTCTGTGGTTTAAGTTACCTACAGTCAAACATGGTCCAAAAATATTACAGTATTTTGGGCCAGGTGGGGTGGCTCGCACCTGTAATCCCAGTACTTTGGGAGGCCGAGGTGGGTGAATCACTTGAGGTCAGGAGTTCGAGACCAGCCTGGCCAACATGGTGAAACCCCATCTTTACTAAAAATACAAAAAATTAGCCAGGTGTGGTGGTGCACGCCTGTAAACCCAGCTACTCAGGAGGTTGAGACAGGAGAATCGCTTGAACCCATGAGGCAGAGGTTGCAGTGAACCGAGATCTTGACATCGCACTCGAGCTTGGGTGACAGAGTGAGACTTTGTTTCAAAAAAAAAAAAAAAAACACTATTTTGAGGAAGATAGAGACCACATTAATATAACTATTATCAGAAAATATTGTTGTAATTGTTCTATTATTGCTGTTAATCACTTATTGTGCCTAATTTTTAAATTAAATTTTATCATATGTAGGTATGCATGTATAGAAAAAAAAAACATAATATACATAGGGCTTGGTGCTATCTATGGTTTCAGGCATCCACTGGGGGTCTTGGAAAGTACCCCTGGTGGATAACGGGGGGCTACTGTACTACCAAAAAGTGGGCTATCATAAAAATGCTAGGTTAGATTAACTAATAGAATCAAAGAAAACTGGATTGCAGGTTGATTTTAGGAAACCAAATTTTAGTTGAAAAAACAGAAAGAGAAGGTATTTATTGTTGAAATGCATGTGAGTGATTTTAGAAAAAGCAAAAGCAAACACTACTTAGGTTAGAACCTGGATCTTTGCAGTATTCATGCATCGCACTCCACTTTACCGAGATCTATGCTTGTAGATCACAGGGCCATTTTGTCGTTTCTTTGGTGGCCAGACAAGGGGTGACCTGTATGTACATACAGTTAGACAGATACATGGACAAATGCCCATGAAAAGAAGTGAGAATCATGATTCAGAAAACTGGAGAATGAGATCAAGAAACACTTGAATTCTAACATATGAAAATGAAAAAGAAAAATGAAAATGAAAGAAACCAGTGAAAGAGAAATATGAAAAGAGAAACTAATGCTGTCCATCATTCTCAGAAAAATCTGAAAATAATTGGTACAGATATGGTTAGAACATAAATAAGGCCTTCATCTAAAATTGTTTTTAAAAAATATGTCTGCATTTTGCAGAAGGAGCAACTTACGCTGAAGCAGATTGTGAGGGCTTCATGGATGCTGAGCCACAGTCACCAGCATTATGGGGTAACTTGGGGGATGCCGGAAGGGATGAATCAGTAAGCTCTTCAATGTCAGAATGTGATGAAGGAGGCTTGGTGGACTTTTTCTTCCCAAAGGCTTGTTTGAAAGAACTTCTCAGCTGAAACAAGGACAGAAATTACCCTTCTTGTCTATTTGCACTTGGAGAGCTTTTGCTTTGGGGCGTTAGTTTGCAGATGCCATCCTAGCCACTGCCTGGGGTCAGTATGTACAAGCAGAGTATTAACAATTGCAGCACAGTATCTCTAAAAAAAAAATGATACCGTGTTTTGTGTGTTCATTTTATTCTTGTATTAATCCAGCGCAGCGCAAACATGGAAGGCTTTTAAATAGTGCAAGGTCAAGGGCATGGCTGTCAGAGCACTCATTTAAAACTAAGTACCTTGAAGGGATCTCCATTCCCAATGCTTCTCTCTTCAAGGCAATTTGTTTTAAATGGCCACTTTAGCGCTACAATCAAGTCATGTCCTGCTGACAGTACAAACTTAAAAAGCAAAATGAAATCAAATTCACCTAACACTTCATTAATTGTGATTTTTCTATTCAAATTTTCCAACCCCAGACTACTCAAAACCAGAATTGGTATCCCCTACAGCTCTATTCAGAAAGTGGTTTTACATCTCTTTAAAATTTGAGATTAAAATGAAAAGACACAAAGAAAAGACATACAAGGTAATCTGTTTTAAAAGGTATAAAAGCCTACTGCCAAAATGGATAGCATTCATGCCAAGGTAGGGTTTTTTTATAGATGCATGCCAAATTGTCCACGGTTTATATTCACCTCACTTCCTCTAGAGTTCACCTTGCAGAAACATGAAAGAGTGTGGAATTACAAATCAAGGGAATGAAGGCTGATCAGTATTTTAAAATATTACCTGTATAAACATTTTTTAAGATAAAAAGATATTTCTTTCATTATTTGTAGAAAGCACTCCAGTAAAATCCTCTGATAATTATGTCTGGATTTCATCAAGAGTTGTATTTACTCAAAATCTACATTTTTTTTTTGGTATTAAAAGAAATCATTGACTCCATTGTTTTTAAATTTTTCGCAGTAACAGTATCTTCCCCTGGGCTATTTAGCTATTGATCAATATCATAAATTATATCACTAGCAAACTTAAGGTACAGTTCTGTTAAAGTGCATTTCTATATTTCTGCTATATTCTCTTGGTTAAAAACATCAAGCAGACACTAATGTGGTTGATTTCTTTTAGGGTGAAACTATTCACACGGTAAGCCCTGTCGATTCCAAAGGTGGAATGAGAGTTTCATTGTTTATTCTTTCCCTTTATTAACTCCCATTCTCCTTTTCCTCCAAGACCACTATCACCATCATCATCACCATCATCATCATTTTTTCACTTTTCCTTCATCTCTATGCCCACAATAAACCCCTATTTTAAGCCATTTATTCACAGATGTTATCTTATTTTTCTTTAGTATAACTCTATAGTTATACTACATAGTTTGTATAGTTATACTATAGAAAAATTAGATAACATCTGTGAATAAATGATATTCACAAATAAATATAGTTGCTATTAACTGTCTTTTTATTGGTTAGAAAATTCAGGCCCCTCAAAAGGTCTAGATATAGTGGTGATTCAAACCCAAGTTTAGTCCCAACATTAAAATGTATGCTTTTCAGTACATGCCACTCCAATTTTGGTGATGAGTGCAGCATTTGAGGTCTCAGTAGCTTGAATGGGACCCTTTGTAAACTACTGCAGATCACTAAAGCCCCAAAGAAAAAGGCCTAACACATTATGCATTAATAAGCTTCTGAATTAGATGAAGGATGGTAACTTACCCAGTTTTTCTTTTTCTTCTTCTTGGAGTCGGCATCATTACCACTGCCAATACTGGAATGGCTTGTGGCACTGTTGATACTAGAAACACTTTCAGAGGAATGCTGTCTTCTGATGCGAAGATCTAGCAATAGAGGGAGAGTATCACATCGGCTCATGAAGAGTCTCGATCTGAACAAATAAGTCTTTTAGGTCTTTTGAGAGGCAGTTCTCTAATAAAGGTCAACAAGGCTTTGTACAGATAATTTCAATGCAGTTTTGACTTTAGAAGTTTAATAAAGTACAACCATATTTGTTTTAATTAACTGAGTTATCTACATTAAGATTTAATGAGAATCTCATATAAGTCCATAGCCCTGGCAGTTTAATGAGTTCTCAGTTTTGTCTAAAATTAAATGCTATGCTAGTGATTTCTACTGAATACCTGGATCAAGCAGCTCTTCCAAAATGATTTATTCTGAATGATTAATTTAAAAGAGTAAATGGAAACTCAGAATGAGAATTAATTGTGCTTTTTAATATTTGTGCTTCAAATACAGTTACTAGAGCCAAATGTATTAACTTTCCATTTCATAGAATCATACCATATTAGAGCCAAAACAAAACCTGAAGTCATGTAAGCACATAATCTCACAGATGAGGAAACTGAAGTGAAAAGAAGTTAAGTAACTTGGCCAAAGTCAAACAGCCAATGAAAGGCAGATCCTCCAAAGAAAGCCTAGGTAGACTGAGTTTGTGAGTTAAACAGAGGACATATTTAAGACAGTGCAATTCTTCCAATGTACCCCTACTGCCTGCCCATGACTTATTATAGAATAGTAATAGTAATACCAATAACAAATAATAATCAAACTAGGTTTTACAATATGCTTGATATGCCCCCGGAGTACCTAATTTTATTCTTAAAGCAAACTACTGAAATGAGTTTAATTACTAAATGTAACTTTCACATGGTCACATAGCTGAAAAATAGTGGAGCCAGTCTCAGCCTTAGGCTGTTTCTAATATCCATTGTGTTAAAAGCCATGTACGCAGCATATGGTATGGCCTTGCTTAACTTCTAAGAGCAGGCAGTGCTTCTTTAGTTAAGATATTTTGAAGAGAATAGCATTTGATATTTAATCATGTTAAAGGTATCTGTTTCTTTTATACAAGCAACTATAAGATTTATAGTTATTTAAAATAAAACAAACTGAAAATTTTCCTACCTAAAATGCACTAGTATTAAGTATTACTGAGACACTAAGAAAATTTACAAAATTGTGCTTCAAGTCACATTTGCTTTTAGTCCATTTCCGTTAATATACTTATTGGCATCAAGGCAGATTAGTCAAGCAAAAAAATCTCAGTGGAAGTTGTAAGATGTCAAAATTTACTATAAAGCTGACAGTTTCCAAAAAACTAATACCATAAAATCAAGCCTCTTCAATTGACTGATTTACTGAATAGTAAAAATGATCCATGGCAACAAAACTATAACTGGTTGCTTTCAAAACGTATAATAAATGAGTATGTATGGATTGATAGACATGTAATATATGTATTTACCTACATATATATGTGTGTGTGTATATGTGTATCCTCACCTTCATATACATATATATCAATAAGTCCCTTAATTTTTCTACTGAGGCAATCATGCTGAAAAATTTTATAGGAAGAAACACATACAGCTTTTTTTTTTTTATAATCCCTAGAATTCATCTCTTAACATTGTTTTAAAAAGTAATGATGAGAACATTAACTGGTTTTGCATGCCAAAACATTACCAACTTCTAAACCTAAATCAAGGTTTTCATGTAGGAGGTTTTAATTCAACAATAAAGGAATCCGGTATCCTTTAATCAACTATTATGGAAGTCATATAAATGGGCAATAGAAGAATATGTGTAGGTATTTCTTAGTGCTTTAAATTTTTGCTGTGATTGGCCATTAGCTTTTTGAAAAAGAAGTAGCATTTGCTAGCTCGTTCCTAATAATTAACTTTCACAAATAGAAAAGCACAAAGTATTAAAGTATTTCAGAATTTTTATTATATCCAGAATTAATAAATTGTGTTTGACTTCTTTAATACTAAATTTTTAAAAAGATAGTAATCCTAGGTCAAAAGTAGTCCTTGGAAGTATCAGTTACCTTCAATTATGACTGCATTCACCAATAAAGATTAGCAAAGCCATAATATTAATAATATTGTGAAATGAAGGAAATGCATTTTACTGTTCCCTAACAATTTCTTTTTTAGTGCTTGTAAGTATTTAATTCAGTATATGGGGCATCATAAAGTTCAGTAAAGAATGGCTAACCGAATGAATATCAGCAATCTGAATTAATGGAGAGGTCTATTTTTAAACTTAAATTTTCAGGTATGTGTTTGTTCACTCGTCATTTTCCATCTCCCATCCTCTGTGTCACCACTGCCCCAGTTCAAGCTACCAACATAAACTTTACAGCAAGTATAGCTATTGGACTTATTCATCTTCAAACCATTCTATAAACAATAGCTAGAAAAATCTTTTTTAAAAGGCAAACTTCATCATCACTCCCCCACTTAAGACCTTTCAATAACTTCTCACTTTAATAAGAATAGATAAAAAATCCAACTTCTAAATATGGCCTACAATCCTTCAGTAATCTTGTCAGTTCTTAACTCATCAACCGTGTTCTTCTTATTACATGTTTGCTTAGTATTTTCCTTACATTAGTTCCATAAAGGAACTAATTTATTTTCCGCCTCAAAGCTCTTTTGAAATACTCCTCCCTCAGTACTTATAAAGTGATTGACAATTATTCCTTGGATATTCACTTAAATATTACTACCTTGGAATAATCTTCCCTATGTAACCTCCAGTAGGTTCCTTGGTACCCTCCTTCCCTATGGCACCCATTATTGTCCATCTTGGAACTTATAACTGTTTGGGTATACATGTTCAGCTTCACCAATGATCACATACATTCCTTTACCTTCTGCTCTCCCACTAGACTAAAAGTTCTATGGAGACAAAGACCGTATCTATTTTGTTTACCATTATAAATTCCAAACCTTGTATTGCTATACAAGCATATGGCATGTGGTATCAATCAGTACACAGTGTTTAATAAATTTGATTCTAATTTTTCATTCAATATAACTATGTTTGCCTATCACTATGTCTAAAAAACAACTTAGTGCTGACAGAATTTTAATACATGCGTTATCCAACTATATTTGGTATATCTTAAGGAAAAACAATTCCATATTTACACAGAAGTAGTGACTTAGAAAGCAATGGTACATTTTGAAAAATAAAGGTAAAATTTTCTATTACCTTCAACTTTCAAATTTCTTATCACAAACATTATTTTTGCAGTGGATTGTGAGCTCCATGACCACAGGGTAATTTTTTAAATCTTTGTATTTTAAGATCTGATAATGCCTATACTTAATAGCAGGTGTTTAAATATGTTTGTAAACAAAAATATTTTATTATAGACTATAGTCATTTATCAAACTTTGTTAATGAATGTGATGCATTAATTTAGAGGAAATAGAAACACATTCACAAATTGGTGTGTGGTTGTGTGATAGTCAGGCCTGTCTATAAAACTGTTGTGTCATTCCAAATATATCTTTTAAGATCATATGTTAAAAATATATATTACAGAAATATTTTAAGGGCCTCTAAAAGTGAATTTCAATGTGATTTCCAGTATAAATTTATATGCCATACAATTACCTTAATAACCCATGGAAAGACACATAATTAGTCCAACTGACTATTTTTTCCATGTAATGTCAATGGTCAATGTGATAAGAATCACTTTGTGTTCATTAAATTTAATGCTGAGTTTTAATATTACAGAAATACAATCTAACTATCCTATATATATTCAAACCTTTATAACCATGGTTTTTGTTAGTTTTAAAACCTAGCAAATTATTTTTTCATATTTCTTGATCAATTTAGATATTAACTGTTATTTTTTACCTTAAGCTCCACCCCTCCCACATTTCTGAGCAAAAGAATTCCAATTTTTCAATTTCTGTAGATATATTCAGCTACCTGTTGCCTAACATAAAAGGAATCCTTTCAGCAAGTTTCACTTCAGTGACTTGTGCTGTGTTAAAGTAAGGATTAAGGCTTTTTAAATCCCTTCTGGACCTATTTACGACATGAAGATTTAGAACATAAGCTGCTTTATTATAGCTCTAAGATAAGCTTTAAATATGCAGTAATTTTCCATGCATCACATAAATCACTCCCCCACATGGAAAGTTGCTAAAGTCTTGAAAGAAGTAGCCCCTACAGAACTACTTTGTCCTTCAATTTAAGCATATCTCACTTTATATAATTGTTTTCCTAAAATTTAAATTGAAATTCATTTAAAAATTACTTTATTCTTCTTTTAAAAATTCAAATAAACCCCTGTTACATGCAAGACATCATCATGGGCATCTTGATGTCTTTCAAAAGGGTGAAAAAACAAGCTCTACTATTGTAAATCAGGAAAGACATACCTTAAATAAAAGCCCCAAAGTATAATGTAATTTTAAGAAGGGAAGTATTGCTGCTTCCAGAAACATATCACAGGGGGTGTCATTCAATGTAGGGGTCAAGGAAACATATTTAGGTTCACTGCTGCTGCAGTGTCTCGAAAAGTCTTTATGCTGATCAAACAAGGTAGAATATTCCAAATGGAATGAACACAATTCATAAAGAACTTATGAATAATTGAAAACAATTCAGGATAGCTGAAATATGGAATATGCAATGCAACAACAGAACAAGAAGTCTATATGTGCATCATCTGGCACTTAATTGGTTATGAATAAATATTTGTTGAATAAATGAAGCTGGTGAAGAGAGATTATGTCATGCTGAGGAGTCTGTATTCCATTCTAAAGGCAATGAATGGGATACCTGTAGATGTGTTTCTTAATGACTATTCTGGCTTCAGCGTGAAGACTGGTGTAAAGCAGGATAAGATTAAGAAGAGGAAGGCTATTTAGGGGTTTGTGGTCATGGTTCAGGAGAGAGGTGATGGATGGCAAGAGTAAAATCAGAGAAAAGTTAACAGATCCAAGAGATATTTAAGGAATGGGATCAACGGATCTTGGTAATTTATTCAATGAGGAGAGGAGGAGTTATGAAGAATACTTAGATTTCTGGCTAAATGGAAGGATGGTGGTGCTATCTACTGAGGCAAAGAGCACTGAAGGAGCAGCAGGTCTGAGACAGAAGACAAGTGCAAATTTGGAGAAGTTAGGTTTAAGATGCAAAACAGACATCCAAAGATATCCACGTGGAGTTCTCTCTTGGTAGCTGGATATACAGAGCCTGGCCTGGAGACCTAGATTTGACAGTTATTAGCTATTAGCACATTAATAAAAATTACAGCTAGAGTATGAGATGATTTTCTATATATTTTAAATAGGATGCATAGAATCATAATGGAAGAGAGCTTAGGATATCAACAATTAACAAATGGATACAAAAGAGTGAATTTACAAAAGAAATATTGAAAAAATATTTCAAAGGAACAGAAGAAAAACCAAGAATGTATGATGTCACGAACATTAGAAAAACCGGATGTTTCACATAGGAAGAAATGAATATCAGCATCAAATGCTGTTTCCATGTCTGTCTAATACAATAAGAATTATAAACGTTTTACTGAATTTAGTGTCATGTAAGTTTCTGCTGATCCTGGAGAGCATTGTTTTGGTGGAGTGGAGGGAAAAGGAGCTACACTCCAGTGGTCTAAAGATGGCTGAAGACATTGAAAGACTTCATAAAATTTTTCTCAGAATTCTTCTGGAAATGAAAAGAGAGATAATAAGGCATTCATGTTTTAGGACAGGATTTTTTAAGCTGGGAAAGAGCTGAGCTCACTGAAGGCCATTGAAAAGTGTCAGGAAATGAGTAAATAGAACCAATGTAAAGGAAAAAAATGACACGATATTAATAATGAGCATTTCTTCAGTGGTGAACCCAGGGGTAGGGGCAGTGGCAGAAATACCCCTTTCATTGTTTAGAATTGCTTAAGCATAGGAATAATTTAAAACAGAGCTACCTTTCACCCGTTGTTTTTATTGTTTCAAAATTATCTACAGGAAATGTACCTTTTTATAGCCTCCATCCAGGAAAAGTTGTTCCCAATGCCCACTGCTTACTATATCATCATATTGACTATTTCATTTTTAAATACAGATCTAGATTATCATACTCATTAATGGGTTTGTTTTGCCTGAAGTCAGATATGCATGTATTAACCAACCACTCCATCTCCATCTCCACTGAATCAAGTAGAGAGATGTGTATACAACTATAGAACCAAATTTCTTAAGATCAGTTTAAAAATTATCTGATAATGGAAGTCACTGTTCTAAAATTCTAGGATTCTGATCACATTAATACCAACGTAGTATGTATTAATACTACTAGTATGTATTAATACAACTATTAATACAACTAGTATGTATTAATAATGCACAGTGACACTGAGTAAATGCAGTTCTACTGTAATTAATAAATAAAATAGATGTCTATTATATTGGGTGGAAATGAAATGATTTCTAAATATACCTTTGGGAGGATGGTCTGGACCATTCAGTGCTCCCTGAATAGCCGCCTGGGCAGCAGAATTCTGAGCCTTCAGCATTTCAATGGTTTCTCTTAGTTCTATAAGTTCAGATTCCTGTGGAATAAACAGAGTTTGGAAGCTTTAGTACCCGAAAGAAAAATAAAATCTCCCTGCTCATAGTTGAATTAAAAAGGTTTGATTTTATGTAGTAACAACCTCCTGGAAGATTTGGATGCTTAGCTGAACTTGTCAAGCTGTACCTAATAACTTCTTTCTCAGCTAAAGTAAAGGAGGTGGTTTTTTGTTTGTTTGTTTGTTTGTTTTTCTTATTGTCTTATAAAAGAGATATGAATAGTCTTTATTCCTTTCAAAGGTGGCACCCAGAACTCACCAGTACAAAGTAAAGCAGGATATCACACCACTCATTTCAGATAACACACTTACTAATATTACCTATGATTACATTAGATATTTAGATATCACTATTGCACTGTTGCATTGTATTGTATTTATTGTCAACTGCAAACCTGAAGTTTTGTCAAATGAATGATTTCAGATTTTGTTTGAAGTATTTTGTGCCTGCAAAATTGATTATTTGTATTTAAGTGTAAAACCTGGAACTTACCCCTAATTCCTATTAAATGTCATCTTATTAAATTCTGATGCCATATCAAAGTCATGTTACATTCTGATACTTTTTCATTCAGTAAAACTCCTAATGTGGAGACCTAGTCTCACCAAGCCAAAGCAACACAGGAATAAAGTAAATAAAATATATGTATTATACAATTTTTATATAATAGTTAAATTACAAACAAAGCAGCTTACAGATCAAATTTTAATAAAGCATATATTTTCTTTTTGAATTTAGAGTAATTTTAAGATGTCCCAATAAAAATATTTGCACAAATTTGAACTTTCATAATTATTTAAGTGAATTATTTTATCAGAAATAACTCATTTTTGGAAGATAAAATAACTCAAAAAAAGATAGAAAGAAAAAGAACTGAGAATTGTTTCAGTATAGACCATATTTCCATTAGAAGCTCAGTGACAAGGGGTATCTTCTTGGTGGTAATATAATCCTAAAAATCAGATCTTTGTCAGCCTCTTAGAGGGAGAATTCCTTGGTAATGTATTTGTCATTCATCACTGCCTTCAGCATCTTTGGCAGAAAGCCAAAGAATCGGGCCTCGGTTCTTCATTCTCTGGTAAATAATTTCTCTTTACTCAATGTCTCCCAGAATATATATTTTAAAAAGATCATCCACAGCGGCCTTTGCAGAAAATTGCTTCATACATGGGAATATCTGGTGACTATTCTAACCTTAGACACTTTAAAAAAAAAAAAAGATGATGCTAATTGAAGTGATATCCAAGTTTGGAATAGATACCTGGCACCTCATATATCTATTTTCATCGGATACCTGACATTTTCCTGATAGAGAACAGTCACATTTAAAACAAACAACCAGACCTTCTTTATGTACTTTTAGTAGCTTATGAGTGGAAGAATCTCTCATAATGAAAAATCAACAGTAACCGCCTAAATTTATAGATGGGTCTTCAAATACTTGACTGCAATTCATTTCGACTATATTTATTATAAAAGAAGAATATAATATTTGTGGGAAATTTCCAGTGTCATGACAAAAGTCAGACCCAATTCATCATAATGACTCAGTCTCTCCAATTTTTATATTCTGTCCACTGCCAAATTAGCAACAGATTTTACCGAAACTTAATATATTTTCCATTTAAAAATATCCCCCAAGAAATAAAATATTCACTGAAAATTTATTCTGCTCCTACTGGAAATTTATTCAAAAAGAAATAAATGGTACATAGTGGAATCATGGAATGTAAATATTAATTATACAACGTAAATACTAGAATGCATATTAAATTCTAATTAAAATCAGGTTTTTATCCTTAAATTTAAGATCAATAATGCTTGTACTACGGATTAAAATCTGTTAAAACATTTGCCTGTGGCTTTAAATGAAAAAATTGGGAATGAGACCTCATGCCAACAGTGTCAAAAAATTAAGCTTAGCTTTGAGTTAGCTGACTTATTTCAGTGTCAGAACGTTCAGCTTTTCACAAGAAATCTCTTATAAAACCTGTTTTCAAAAAGATAAAATGTAGAACATTCAGGCAATGTTGCTTTTTCAGAATATCATGTTTAATATGAAACAGAAAAATGATCACTTTCTAATATTAATTATCTTTTAAAAACCAATAGCTATTAGCAGGTTAGTTGTTACTCAATGTGGCACAATATATGTAAAAGGAAGAATAACTAGTTAAGAAATATATATGCTATATAACTTGGGAGAATCCTATCTATGAAAAAAATTAGTTCAACCAAATTCATACTGTTATTTCTTTAAAACTTTGAGTATAAGCAAACACCTATAAAATATTCCATAGTCTTTGATTAAAAAGATAGCCAAATTCTACATTGATTGACATAATCTGTTCAAACTTGCACTAGTTATCTTTCCATATTTGCAAAATTCCTTCCTTCTCTCTCATTTCAGTTAATGAGATCTGCTCTCACCTTGTCACTCAAGCCACACCCATCTCTTTTCTCTGAGCTTTCCATATAATTTTTCCCTTTATTTAAACATCCTTCCTCACTGTTAAAAGCCATGGTAAAATGTCTCCACACTTGTGAAACCTGTTTTCCTGTCAGAAAAAAAGTGAAAATGTGCTTTGAGACTATTTAATGTAGTTTGTTTAGTTGTTGATGAATATATTTTTTCGCTTGATTTATGATCTCCATAAATATTGGGATGACTTTGTTGAAATATTCTGGTCTGTGTTAAACAGATGTTTCTCCCCTTGAAAGAATAACATAAAACTTTAACTTTATTGCATACGTATTTTTTTTTTTTGCAGGAGGGTGTCTGATCACCTAGTGAGTGGGGTACCATATAAAAAACATCAAAAACTTTATTATTTATTATAACCAGGAAGTCTTATTTTGGCTAAATCAGTGGAATCACCTCCTTTGGATGAGAACAAAGTCAGGTTTTCCTTTCTCTCTTTCCCAATAGTATTATAGAGATAAACATAAAGAATTTTAAAATAAAAACTTAACTGATACATAGACATTTTTCAATAGTTTATTTCTAGTTTTCATTTTTCTTCTTCATAATTATGGTTAGTTGTTCACATTTATTTTTTAAGATACATTTTCTCAGGTTTCTATAATGCATAGAAATTGTAATGTGGCCTTCAGATGCAACTAATAATTTTTATTTTATTTTTGTCCATAGTGGGGAGTTTGGATGAGGTACATGATTAGAAATGAATTCCCAAGATAGCTAACTATAAAATCATTAGAAATTTTTAAAATATTTTCATACAATTTCTTTATGTTGAAGGGAAACATAGAAGATACTCAAGTTTTGAGAATCCTCATTAATCATTTAGAAAAAAAACTGAAAAATGTATATGCCATCAAGATATGGATTTAAAGTCTACTCTTCCAATTCAGTCATTTCCAGTTTCTTATTCTCATTAAATACTAAAGAGAAGATTGAGGCTGGGATAATTCTGCAAAGGATTTTAGGAATAAGATAATCAGATCATATTTTGTTACTTCACACTTTTCAAAAATGATAGATATTTTAAAACCTGAGAACCAAACTAAGATTTCATTTTCCTCCAGTGAGCTATTCAAGATAATGATGCCCCCAACACCAGCTGAGCTTGTAAAGTTCTAGTTTTCCACGAAAGTTTCTCATGTTAAAGAAGCTAAATTGAGTCAATGTCTCTTTTCACAGTTTTATGCATGTATCTGAGGCTAAACAATTCGTTCAGGTCAGGCTTGAAATGCTTCCAAATAAAATGATCAAATTTTGTGTCAGAATATTCGCCTTTCCTGGTGGCCTTTCCAACCCAGTTTCTTAACTATACCTGATCTCTTTCCAAATTTCTCACTAACAAAGACTTTGTTGAGAATCCCAAAGCTTGGGACAATCTCATCAAGTGTCATCAACTAACTTGACCTTCTAGGCAAGCCTGTTTAAATTTTCCACCACATCTGCTTTTTAGGTCCTCACATTGGCACTAAGTTAATCTCACACTTCCCAGCTCTAGTTTCCTTAAACAGGTCCTCCTTTCCCCACTCCACCATGCATCTGAAGTCTTGCTAGTTGTTCTACTGAAATAACCTGGCCATCCCTATTGCATCTAGTTTCAAATAAATTACATTGACCAAATACCAGTAGTGTAAATAATTTGAAAATTTTAGATTCACATTATTCTATGCCCCAAAGATTAATGGATGCATCATCTGACTCCAGCAATATATTTTTTAAAAACACTTCTAGATGGCAAATATCATAACGTAAATTAGGGAGAGTTAATGTAAAAATCCTATTCAACTAAATTTTTAGTTGCAGCATTATCTATTTTCAAAGATTTGGTTTCAAATTCCCTTATTTTGAAGGTTTCAATTCCTGTTTTGTAGTCACCCAAAAAAATGTTTCAGAGAGGTAACAAATGAGCAAACTACTAGGCTTTATGGTTAGCATAGGAGTCAATATCTGAGCTTCATCACTCATACAAGGGGCTACTTCTCTGCCCTGCTCTGACCTTCTAACAAGAAAAACCCCTCATACCTTAACATATGTTCTAATTGCCTTGGCATGACAGCTACAGGGAACTAATTTGAAAGTCTTTTAAATTTTAAATTCTGAAATATTTAGCTGTGAATATAGCTTTAGTAAATTTGAACACAAGGATTTAGAAGTAGTTCTGTAAAAATGTTACTTATAAAAAATATAGTTTGCTGGATTCCTAGAAGTTGAGCCTTTCTCAACTGGCCTTCTGTGAGAAAATTAAGCTGCACAATGATTTGAGTAGCAATTTCCTTGATTCTGACAAGAGTGGTACATAGCTAGTACCATTCTAGATGGTGAGAAAAGAAGTTATTTCAGCACATATAATGGATGCCTCAGGGCATCAGGTTTAATTTTTTTCATATAATCCTGGTGAAGAAGTGCTGGTGAAGAGAAAACGATCTGAAATCAGGATAAAATTCTTGGTCAAACTACGCCAATATCATAGTCTACTGAGTCCTAGGTTAGGTATAGGGTAATGCCTAGAGATAATTTCACTCCCCAGCAAGCACATTAACAATTCTCTTAATTTTTACCTACTTACAGACTTAGTATTATATAACATGTCTTCTTTTAGCAGCTATTGGGAATACTGCTTAACTTTCAGAAAATGCTGCCAGATTGATCACTATTTTTTATTTTTTATTTTTGTAATTTTTATTTTTTTGAGATGCAGTCTCTCTCTGTCACCCAGGCTGGAGTGCAGTGGCATGATCTCAGCTCAGTGCAACCTTCACCTCCAGGGTTCAAGCAATTCTCCTGCCTCTGCAGATGTTTCCTTTGAGAATGCACATGACATTGTACTGAGTCTAATAGCATGATAATTTTCTGCCTTCTAAGTTATTCATACATGTCTTTTCTTTCTTACCAGGCTATAAGTATATAAAACCAGTGTTCTGCCACACAAATTTGGCAAGAGATTCCGTGTTATTTGGCATCTGGAAATAGGAAAAGTGTTAGGAGTGAATCCCTCTCTATTCAAGGGAGTTATTTTGGTCTATAAATCAAATGACAATTTTGATGTAGTTTCAGGCTATTAATGCCATGTGATTGCTGAAAATCACACTGTGAAGCCCAAAGACTAGAATCTGAGTCTTAATTTAGTTTATCCATTTTTAAAGTATGTAATCAAGAACATGTAACCACCTTGGCCTTTGTTACTTTGTGTTTTAGCTTCCAAACCAGCTTCTCAGTATCCTCATTCTCAGCTTTACTTTTTTCAGTAGTGCTTATCATCACCTGAAATCCTATATGTTTTAATTATATATTATATATATAAATTACATATTTATAAATATGTAATTTATATATATATTATATAATATATATATTTATATATATATTATATATATTATATATATATATTTTTTTTTGAGACAGAGTCTTGCTCTGTTGCCCAGGCTGGAGTGCAGTGGCATGACCTCGGCTTACTGCAACCTCCACCTCCCAGGTTCAAGTGATTCTCCTGCCTCAACCTCCTGAATAGCTGGGACTACAGGTGCCCACCACCAGGCCTGGCTAATTTTTGTTTCTAGTAGAGATGGGGTTTCACTATGTTGGCCAGGCTGGTCTTGAACTCCTGATCTCAGGGAGTCCACCTGCCTTGGCCTTTCAAAGTGCTAGGATTACACGTGTGAGTCACCACACCTGGCCTGTTTTAATTATATTTTTATTATCATCTGTGACCTCCTAAAATATAAACTCCATGATAAAGAGATACATATATATGAGATATATATGAGAAATATAAACTCCATGAGGAATATTACATACATGTATAATATGCTTTTAGAGTTCTAGTAGATAGGTATGTCTATAGATATAGACCTATATCTATCATTCTATATCTATATTGTCTGTACTGTTTTGTCATTAGAAGAGCACAAATTCAATATAAACTTGATGAATGACTAAATAGACAAATGAAACTTATAACTTGGGGAAGGGAGTTTAAGAATCTCTGCTCTATACTTCACAAGCCTTTTCTCAGGATTGTTGAATCACCAGAGAGCAATATACCCTTTTATCTCAGCTCCCTGAAGAAATGCCTTTAGTGAAATATGATTAAATGTTATGCCCTTAGCTTTTAGAGAAATGTCTATTTGAACAGTGATTTTGTCTTTTGTTATTCCATGACCCCAATTTAAAAACCTTGGCAATAAATTCGTCCTTGAATTTAGTGCCAAAGAGTTTTCTCCTCAGTCTAAATTATGCTCTCCTGGTCAGAAAATGAGAATAAAACACACCTAACAATCTCCCTTTGTACTATAGCTTCCTTGAAATTCAATTCATTTCAGTGCCTTGCAGTAGTAATTATCTAGGCTGAGGTATATTGTTATATACATTATTCTACTGGTTTTAATTAGATTCTGTCTTTGAATTATACCATTTCACATTGCAAATAATTTTATAGGCTTTTAAATATCACTTTGAGAATAGGCAAGTTATAATCTCAAATTAATAAACTAGTTAACCATGATTGTTGTGTGTATACAGTTTGCAATTCAAAAAGAAGTGATTTTATTTTCAGTTAAAAAAGTGATAAGGACAATATGAGACATTCTGATATCTTCTGAGAAAATTTTATAATTTTGGCAATGTTATTTTAAGGATAATGTAGACACATTATAAAATCTCTTATGTTATAGAAATTATTTTTAAATATTCAGGCATTAATCATAGGCATTATACATTAACATACCTCTACATTTTTTTCTATATGTATATGAGAAAATTCTCTGTATGTTTCTATGAGAAAATTCACTTACAGATATAACAGAGTTCAAGAAAATATTGGGTGGAGGACAAAAATTCTATTAATTTTGACTTATTAAAGATATTGAGACTTAAATTCTAACACTCATTTCCAACAATATGCTTGGTATATGCCCAGTGAGGAATTTGGTGTTATCTTATAATTTTCAAGGGAAAAAGAGAAATGTAAAGGAAGGTAATATTTTTTGGTAGCCCCTAGCATGTGACATGATAACAGTATCTGATTTACTCCTCATGGTGATCCTACAAGGTAGTCATTATCATCCCCACTTTTAAGAAGGTGAATTTGAGGTTCAAGAAAGGTTAGATAAACTTGCTCAAGATTACCCAGCTTTTAACAGACATAGCCAGAATTCTCATTCAAGAATACTGGGGCCCAGTGTTTTTATTCTTTCCCGTCAGCTGCTCTAAAAAGCCTTCTAATTCTATTTGCTGGGTTCTTATATTACATAGTGAAGTGACAAGCTGCAGCAAAAAAGAAAGAGAGGGAGACAGAGGGGGAAAAGAAGGAAGAAAGGGTGTAAGGGAGGAGAAAGGAAGGATAGAAAAGAGGCAGGAAGGAAGGAAAGAAAAGGAAAAAGGAAGGAAGGGAGGGAAGGAGGGAGGGAGGGAGGAAAGAAAGGAAAATTTATGTTTCAAAAGGAGTTTGTTAGCTGTGCTAGAACAGATTTTCCAGGAATGGATAATATTCTCTCTCACGGGCAGGGTATACGGAGAATATGAGAGAGAATACAATGTGCTAATAATACTTGGCAATTATAAGAATATTCGATTTACTCTTTTGATTTCATTGAACTATTCATTCTGTTTTAAAAATAAACTTTTGTAAAGTGACAAAATTTGGTAATACATACTACTTTTGTAAAGCTAATCACATAACTTACAGAATCTAAAGACAAAACTGAAGCCATTCCTATGGATAGATAGAGGAACGCATTCTTGAAAATACCCAAAACTTTTGATATAATGGGTCTCTTTGAGAATTAGATGAAAGCTCTGGACACCTGATCATTTATGCACATTTACAGTTTTCATACACACACACACACACACACGCACGCACACACACACACACACACACTCCATAGAATTCTATAGGTTTCACCTATCTCTGATACCTATCCAAGGAAGTTAAGGCCACTGGACTAACAGCAGAGAAGTAAGCTAACTGGTCATCACAGGAAAGGTGACCAGGCTTTCTATGCAGTATGGACCTTTTTAATACATTTGTCTTCGTGAACTAAATTCTCCGTTCCTTTCTTTTTGGTATACCTTCTTTCATACCATAAAATCCTTTAGGTTCATTTTAAGTATTTTGATATAACAAATGACTTTTCTTCAAAGGTGATATCCCTAGATGGCAACTAGTTCTTGTTATTTCAAAATTACACAGGATTGGCCTTTGTTTCATAGCTGCTGTAACCTGAAGTCCCTTACTTGGCAGAGTCCCAGGCATCCTTCCTGTGTGTCTTAGCCTACAGCCATGCCCTATAGCTGGATTTAGTGACCATGTATTTGTGAAAGTTCTTATCAAAGTGTGATTCTTGTCAACTGCATAACAGTTTGCCCCCAGAATATTCTCTTATGTGACTGTTTCTCTTTCTTAACATTCAGTATTCTTTTACTAGTTCCATCCAGAAGTAAATTAATAGACTGCCCAGCAAGGATTTTGTTTGCCTTTGTGTGTTCCAATATGGAGTAAACTGATAAAATCTTTAAATTAAAATCTGAAAAGAAAGGTATTATCATTGTTTTAATTTAGTATAGAATTGAATATTATTTTATTATTATTATTCTTTTTTTTGTTCTGTCTCCCAGGCTGGAGTGCAGTGGTGTGATCTTGGCTCACTGCGTCCTCTGCCTCCTGGGTTCAAGTGATTCTCCTGCCTCAGCCTCCTGCGTAGCTGGGATTACAGGTACCCGCCACCATGCCCAGCTAATTTTTTGTGTGTGTTTTTAGTAGAGATGGGATTTTACCACGTTGGCCAGGCTGGTCTCGAACTCCTGACCTTAAGTGATCCACCCACCTTGGTCTCCCAAAGTGGTGAGATTACAGGCATGAGCCTCTGCACTCAGCCTGGAATATTATTTTTAAGGAGCTTCAGGTATTATTTAAGAATCCTATGCAATTTGCTGTCTTCTTTCAGTCTCCAGTGGCAATTTCTGAACATACCTTTTGTTCCGCTGTCATAGTTAGACTTTGCAATCGGCCAGTCATATTCCCTAAGCTCTTTTCAAAAGCTGCTACAAGGTGAGCCTGTGAACAGAATGGAAGAAACATAGTTTAAATGTCAGAATCTTATGTGGATGGATGAAAAGCCTTCATTTTACAAAATGCTTAATTTCATGTGTTCCAACTCTTTAAATACTATGACTATCATAGTTAGCTCTGACTGGTGACTCTTCTTTAACACACATTTTCATTCATCTTTTCTAAACTTTGTCTTCTTAAAATCAGTGTTTCAGTCTCCTGGCATTTAATGTGAGTTTAACTTCTGAAAGAAGATGGTATTTTGCAAGTAATAACTCCTTCTGACTTGCACATCATGTAGAGATTTGACACTCAAAATGCCGAATATAAAGTTCTGATCTGCCAAGATTTTTAGACTTAAAGCCCAAAAAGAGGTCACTGAAATGGTCAATGGACAAATATTCCTCATTTTTATACTTTCATGATGACCTTTGCAGATATTGTTAGCTGCTCTATTGTAATGATACGCTCCATCAAGTGTCAGACATCTGCTGACAGCTAGAACATTATCTTTACTCTTTTTCTACTTACAAAGAATTGAATTGAAAAGAGTTATCTTTACTTTCCAAACTCTTTTCAATAAAAGGGCTTTTCTACTTCATATTCCCTTCAATGAAGGAAATACAGGTAAGCCAGTTAGAAATAATATTCCATCACATTTTATTTCACAGTAAGCTTTTGTGGCTTTCAGGTTTTGTTTTAAATATTAGAGAATTATACATATTGTAGTACATAACTATAACTCTTAAGATTAAGAAGTATTTGACGATTTTATTAAAGCTCAAAAATAGGCCAGTTTCCATTTGCATGCCCTTATGCAACAACTTGAACCCAAAATGTTAAAATGAAGAGGCACTTCAATCTCTCACCACGGCCTGAGGTAGAACTGCAAGTACATTATCTCAAACTTATAAAATTTTATTGTGTCCCTAAAAGGATATAAGGATTTAATATTTTGCAAACGAAGTCTATAATAAACTATACCTATATATGGGGCAAAATTTGGAAATCCTTGGCCAAAAATGAATTTCTTTTTGAAAGACATGAATAAGATGACTTAAATAAAATATATCTCCATGTACTTATAGCAGAGTGGAAATGCTGAGGCACCTACTATCAAATGGATCACAAAAATACAAAGAATTAAAGCTTATTACTTAATAACGGAAATATATTCCATTATTGGTAACAGTTAGAATGTACATGTTCCTTCCATTAGCATTATGATACAAAGGTGCATGTTCCTAGCTCTGAATTCATCCTGGGATGCCTTTCTTTACCTGACACTGCAATATGGAGAAAAACAATTTGTAGGGAATACATCTACTAAAGATTAATCTATCAGAACAACTCTTTATTATCTTTTTCCATTCCTTCCCTCTTCCTTCTTTTTCTCCTCCCCCTCTTCTCTCTCTCTCTCTCACACAAACACACCCACTCTCCACATACCCTTACCCTTGAGATTTATACACCAAATTTGTTAGCAGATTTAATTGGATAAATACCACTAAAAAAAAGTATCATAGTTTAAAAAATTTTCAATGACAAGCAAGGAATGTGATGATATCAGACCTAGTAACTGAAAAATTAGCATAAGGCTATGCTCATTTTTTCCTATATTTTAACTTTTAATTATTTATTTTATTCTTTTACTCAGTGTCTTGCTGCCACCCAGGCTGGAGTGCAGTGCCACAACCCTAGTTCACTGCAGGCTTAAACTCCTGGGCTAAAGTGATCCTCTTGCCTCAGCCTCCCAAGTAGCAAGAACTATAGGCATGTACCAACATGCCCAGCTACTTTTTTTTTTTTTTTTTCATTTTCTGTAGAGACAGTGCCTCACCCTGTTGCCTGGGTTACTCTCCAACTCCTAGCCTCAAGTAATTCTTCCCACCTTGGCCCCGCAAAGTGTTGGCTGGGATTATAGGTGTGAGCCACCACACCTGAACTTTACCTTTTCAACTGTGGAAAAATCCACACATATATAAAAGTGAACAAAATGAAAACAGCCCCCTGACTTATCACATAGTGAACATTCATGCATTCACCAGCCAAGTCAAGAAATAGGACATTTCAAGAACCAAGAAGCTCTTCTTTGTCCCTCTCTTATTATTCCCTCTTCCTTCCCCAAAGATAACCTCTACATAACTTCTGTGGTAATTATTTTCTTGCTTTTCTTTATAGTTTTTCCTACCCAAGCTTACACTTTAAAGCACTATGTTTAGATATGCCTGTTTTAAAAACCACCCAAGTGTAATCAAATGGCATGATTCTTTTGTGGTTTTCTTTTGCTTTACATGGGTTTTGAGATTCATCCATGTGGTATGTAGCATAAGTTAGTTTTTACTGTATAGTATTCATATATGTGAATTTAAAATATATATATATGCCCATGATGGTCACTTCAGTTTAACCTGTTAGAAATATTCCCACTATGCCCATAAAATTGGTTACTAAAACCTAAAACTAAAATTGTGTGTTTTCTTTTAAAATAAGGAAAATTATGGCAGAAACCCTTTATTAGCACTTACTAAATGAAATGTAAGATTTTACTCAATATTTCCATTTTAATTCTCCTTATAGTGGAGAAATGTAAGGTTTAATCATTCTACTATGAATCCTTAAATGTGAAACTTGAAGAAAATTACTCTCCTTTACCCTTTGTGTATACTTTATCAATTTAATATGAATTAAAGTTTGACAAAGAAATCGGGATTGTAAAGAGTATGCTGTATAAACTATATTACTCACATTTTCTAGCTATAAGTAACCACAAAATGTTTATGATTAGAATGGCAGTTTGTAATTATGCACAAAAAAACTTATAACTGGTTACTAAAGAACATTTTGAGTCGTGTTGTTTTCAATGAAATGTATGTTATGATTATGTTAGTGAAAAACACCTACAACCATCTGATCTTCGACAAACCTGACAAAAACAAGCAATGGGGAAACTGAAAAAACAATTAATAAATGGTGCTGGTAGAACTGACTAGCCATATACAGAAAATTAAAACTGGACCACTTCCTTATACCTTATACAAAAATTAACCCAAGATGGATTAAAGACTTACAAGTAAAATCCAAAAACTATAAAAACCCTAGAACAAAATCTGGGCAATATTATTCAAGACATAGGTAAGGGCAAAGATTTTATGACAAAAACTCCAAAAGCAATTGCAACAAAAGCAAAAGTTGACAAATAGGATCTAATTAAAGACCTTCAGCATAGCAAAAGAAACTATCATCAGAGTGAACAGACAATCTGCAGAATGGGAGAACATTTGTGGAATCTATCCATTTGACAAAGGTCTAATATCTAGAGTCTACAAGGAACTTCAACAAATGCGCAAGTAAAAAACAAACTTCCCCATTAAAAAGTGGGCAAAGACATGAATAGACAGGATATGAATAGACACTTACAAGAAGACAGTCATGCAGCCAACAAACATATAAAAAAAAGGGTAACATCAAAACCACAATGAGATACCATCTCACAGCAGTCAGAATGGTGATTATTAAAGTCAAGAAATAACAGGTGCTGCAGAGGTTTCAGAGAAAAAGGAATGCTTTTACACTGTTGGTGGGAGAGTAAATTAGTTCAACCAATGTGGAAGACAGTGTGATGATTCCTCAAAGATCTGGAAGCAGAAATTGACCCAGTAATCCCATTACTGGGTATATACCCAAAGGAATATAAATAATTCTATTATAAAGATACCTGCATGCATTATGTTCACTGCAGCACTAGTCACAATAGCAAAGACATGAAATCAACCCAAATGCCAATGATAAACTGGATAAAGAAAATGTGGTACATATACACCATGGAATACTATGCAGCTATAAAAAGGAATGAGGTCATGTCCTTTGGAGGGACATGGATGGAGCTGGAAGCCATTATCCTCAGCAAACTAACACAGGAAGAGAAAACCAAACACCACTTCTTCTCACTTATAAGTGGGAGTAGAACGATGAGAACACGTGGGCACATGGTGGGGAACAACACACACTAGGGCCTGTCAGTGGGAGTTAGGGGAGGGAGAGAATCAGGAAGAATAGCTAATGGATGGTGGGCTTAATATCTAGGCGATGAGTTGATCTGTGCAGCAAATCACTATGGCATATGTTGACCCATGTAACAAACCTGCATATCCTGCCCATGTACGCCAGAACTTAAAAGTTGAAGAAAAAAAATATTGTCTTAAATTTATCTCACCTTGGTTTAGTTTATCAGATTAACATTGCTACTTTAGAAGTTATGAGAGGCTAAATTTCTCACTCAATAGGGTAAATGGAAAAGGAGGCAAATAAGGGAAAATTTTTCTACTAATGATAATCTTTATCACCTTAATGAAGAGAAAATGGAAAGTAAAACTGATTAAACTTATAGGGTATCACATCTTGTCTGAGAGACTTGATAAAATGACTTTTAAAAAATATGGATTTTCAGGGGGGTTGTTAATGACAGTTTATTTGGTTCTGATTTTTCCTTTAGCAGTTGCATAATTTTAAGGTCAGAGTAAAATTGTATTAATATGATGATAAATATCCCCTGACTTGTGTTAGGTGAAGTCTATAAAGGTAATAAAATAGACAAGACTGAGTATTAGTAAAGGGAATATCATTTCAATCCATACTCTCTTTGGTTTTGGAATCATACAATGTATTAGGCTGGTGCAAAAGTAATCTGAATAGATATGTAAAGAGAATTACTATGATGCCACACAACAAGATGAAATATCATTATACATAACGTCTACATTTTATTTCTTCATATAGATTACAGAGACAGCCCACTGACAAATTAAAAACACTCTAGGCATATATATATATACACACATATATTTATATATTATATAGTAATATATTACTATATAATATATACTATATATATACTATATATTATATAGTAATATATAGTAGTATATATAGTAATATATACTATATATTATATAGTAATATATAAATATATAGGTGCATATATAGGCATATATGTATACCTAGAGTATATATAATATAGTATTTTATATATGTATGTTATGAAGGTATATATATATATACATATATACACACACACACATATATGCCTAGAGCATTTTATTATTTATATGGGAAAATATTTAGTATATCATGTATAAATATATAGTATATTATGTATAAATATAAAACATATATTATATGTAATATATATTTACCCATATAAACTTTATATATATTTAAGACTTTATGTTTTAAAATTAGTAGTTAGTTGAACCAAGAATGATTCTGCAACATAAAGTTTCACATTTCTTTTCCACTACAAAAAATTGTCCAAACACTGAAGTGTTTCTCATTAATAATATGCACCAATTGTTTTCTCTTAGAAGAGATGCAAAAAAGCAAGAGTAACTAGCAAATTTTATGAAAATATTAAATAAGCAAAGAAGTAGAACACAATCTCAAAATACCCAAGAGATTTTTGGTTAAAAGACTTATCTGCTGAAAGGCAAAAAGGACCTTTTGTTTTCTTACACATTCATTCAGTAATGTCTTTAAAAATGTTAGTAATAACTAGCCTTGTGTCCATTTCCAAATTATGTAATGGCTGAGATTTGTAAAGAAAATACGTTAAAAGACAAACAAAAGCATCCCACCTGACCCAGCTGCCTTAAGGTGTGGGCGAGAGGCCAGAGGCTATCTGGCTTATTGTTTGCTATTACCATTTATTTAGTTCTGCCTTTCCTTGTGCGGCTTCTGTTTTCTGTTTGTTGGTGAGTTATTGATCAGAAACGCCAGGCAATAGGACCTGCCAATATAACCGCTCTCCTTTCTAAGGACATGCTAGTAGAATCAGCTTAACACTTTACCTGTGGTTTTATGCAGCTCTGTTCAGAACAACTTTACAAAAGGGAGGGAAGGCTTAACACACATTCTACTGAACAAGGGCTTTACTCTGCCAGTCAAATGAGAGGTGAGCTAACTAGAGACTCTCTTGACTTACCATACCCCATTTGGGCAAAGGGAAAGAAATGCATTTTAACAGAGACATAGATGCATTTCAAATTTAAAAATTAAAATACAAGTTATTGTTTAGAGTCCATATAAATGTAATTATGCCAAGTTTAAATATGCGATATACCAATTAATATATAAAAAACACCCCAAATAAAGGAAAAGCACGTAAGCTATGAGAGTACAT
Organism: Homo sapiens; assembly: GCF_000001405.40. NCBI lineage: Eukaryota > Metazoa > Chordata > Mammalia > Primates > Hominidae > Homo > Homo sapiens. Next base: position 78,153,030 of record NC_000012.12, on the reverse strand, counting down.
GTCACATACTGAGTAAAGATGAATATCTGATACTTAAAAATGTTGTTAAAACCAACAGATTATTTCTTAGAACCAAACTCATTGAAATTCATCCCTATAAATTATAGCTATTAGAGTTCTAATATAACAATTTCTCACTGTGGGGGCTGCACTCACATTTAACCAAAAGGTAGAAAGTTTACTTGTACTGTGAACAAACTAGTAAACAAAGACTTACTTTTACTTTCAAATGGGAACTGTAGATTTAAAAAATCCTTGATTATATTTAAAATATCCTATAAATAAGTAATTTTACCAAGTCCCTATAATCAATTTAAGTACATGCATGTTAAAAATATGTGTATATTACATACATTAACAGATATTAATTCAGATGAAATGAAACATTCTGAATGAAATTTAAACACAGCACTTCTTACAACTGAGGAAAAATCAAGTATTAACTAAATTATTTGATGGCTGATTATGATGCATGAAATCTAAAATGACATTATAAAGCAAACACAAAGAAAATGAATGAGTTCAAAATGACTTGTAATTAATAGGTGACTTGAGAGTAATTCAAATTCCTGGATATGTAAAAATGATTATTTCCTTAAGAACAAAAATGTTCAGATATATACAAAATTTTACCCCCATAGTTATAACAATATTATTAAAATGTTTAAAATATAACTGACATTAAAATTGTTTAATAGTCATTTATATACATATCTATTTATATAAATTCCCAGATACTGCATTAGTCTAAAAGAGAATTTTAATAAACTTTTTTTTAAAAGTAGATGTTAATGCATATCTTCATTACCTGTACCTTTTGACTGTCATTCAATTTGTACATTTTTACAATGTAAATTATTTTTCTATTTTTAGTCAGTAAATGTATTTGATGGTAAGAAGCTTTGATAGTCCCTATCACTACCAAATAAAGAAACACTAAAGAGAGGATTAAGGTTGAAACTCCTGGGAAATTAAAAGCAAGATTTTTTTTCAAAAGAACTGTCGTAGATCTTTAGGTGATTTATATTTTAGTTTGAAACTAAAATACCACAAATAAAGGAAAAGCATGTTACGTTATGATAGAACACTTCATATACTGAGTAAAGATCAGTATCTGATACTTAAAATATTATTTTATACATTTTAATACATTATATATTTTATAATTATATACACAAGAAGTTGCAAAGATAGTACAGGGAGGTCCCTTGTATCCTTCATCCAGTTTCCCCCAATGATTATATATCTTATAAAATTATATTATATATCAAAGCCAGGAATACAATATTGATTTACATTAATAGATTGACATATGTGGATTCATGTGATGGCCATCTCATTCAAAATACAAAACTAAAGATCTCCCTCTTCCTATAGTCACACTACCTCTCTCTCTCCTTCATCCTTAGCCCTTAGCAATCACTAATCTGTTCTCTGTTTCTTTAATTTTGCCATTTCTGGAATGTTATATAAATGGAATTATACAAAATTTGACCTTCTATAACTGTCTTTTTTCACTCAGCATAATACCCCTGGGATCCACCCAAGTTGATGCACGTATCAATAGTCATTTCTTTATATTGCTGAGTAGTAGTCCATGATATAGATGTATCAGAATTTGTTTATTAACTGGCCTATTAAGGGATATTTTTGGTTGTTTCCTTTCTTTGGCTATTAAAAAATAAAGCTGCTATGTACAGGTTTTTGTGTGGATCTAATGTGATTTGAGAAGGTTTCTAAATTACATTATAAATTGTTTAAAGGAACATAAAACAGGATATATATCAGTCTCCCATCAGCGTGCAAAAGTTAATACTAATGATAACACATACAGCTGAGTGGAACCTAGAGCAATTTGGGCGTTTGTCTCCAAGACTAGCACTTTTTAAATTAACACAAAGACTAGCATGAATTATCTATTTGGCACTGCTGCTTCTAGTCTGTGTTCCTTATTTTTATTTTTTTTTAAATGATTGTTCCCCTAGGGAAACACTATAGATGTTTTCTTTTCCCTAATTGTGCTCTTCTTCGTGATATTTTAAAGCCACAGATATGCTGGATGTTCAGTTATGTATTATCTGCATATCTGTGCTTTTCACATAAAAAGAGTACTTAAAAAAATGCAAGAACCTGTTTTCACCCTTTGTTGGTCATATTAACACCCAGCTGAGAATTCATGCCCTAAAGTCATGAAAACACATCAGTGAAAATAGTGTGACAAGCATAATTAGAGCAGACGAGGTGGGTAGCCAACTGCAGGAACCTTTCTAAAATTATATCTCCATTTTCAAACAGCAGCACAGAGTTCACTCCGAAGATTATTCCCCTATGTTAGAATTTGGTTCCGTATGTGTGTGTATGTGTGTGTGTGTGTGTGTGTGTGTGTGTGTGTGTGTGTGAGGAAGCTTTTGCACGTGTGTATTAAGTATATATACACATTAGCATATAATAGAAAAATGTTGAAATGGTACACAAGAAACCAATAATCATGAGTAAGAATGAGATTCTCAGAGAAAAAAAAACAAAAACAAAAACAAAAAAATGTGAAATACCATTTTAGTTTTTTCTTTTGAAGACAATAAGCATCATTACATTTCAAATGGAAAGTATCAGCCCATCTTCCACTATGTCTAGCAGCCATTTATTATTCCAATATCTGAATTATATGATGAGCTCAACCAAGGGACATTAAAAATAAAATGAAACCCTGAGTAATCATTCAAGACATCTGCAAGTATCCTGACAATCTAATAAATAAGGTTTGCCATTGAGCCTTTCTTATTGCAGATAAACACAACCCAGGAGGTTCTGACATTTACATTATTCTACTTCCTCTGGGTACAAATTCAGGAACCTAGACAACAATATTTCATACTTCTATACATGTAGCCTATATTATAAAATTTACGGTTGCCTCTGGACTATCTCTTTAAAAACACAACAAGGTTAAATAATACCCTTATTTTCTCATATTGCTTAAACAATTATCTAAAAACTGCTATTATTTTCAGGAATCTCCTAACACCATCTATTAAAAATAAATAGAATAAATCCAAAATTAATTCTCCCAAATTTCAGAAAATAAAATCAATTCAAATACAGTGCTAAAATGAATACATCGTGAATGAAATGATACACATACTCAGAATTTATATTGCACAATGATAGCTTAAAAAAAATTTAAAAATGGCTCTTATTCAAGTCTTACACTGTGGGTCTGCACCTGCTCACTCTTGACATATCATGCTTTGTCTAGGAGATAGAAAAACTCAGTAGAGGAGCAGCGGGAGGGGTGGGGAGGCACAGAGCAGGCCCAAAGCTATGCAGCAGAACTGAGCAAAGGACTGTTGAGTGAGAGAGGTAAGACATATGGCAAAATAGCAGGCATTTCCTTACCCCTCACTGCTGTTCTTAACACCATTGCTCCTCAGGACTGGGAACAGTGCCACATTTCTCCTTTATCATTCTGCATCTACTCTGAGTGCTCCCTGACACAGTGGAAGATATTCAGTAAATGTTAATTTAATTGACGGTCTTCATTGTCATCATTTCTGCCATCCTGGGCTGCTCTGGTGCCAGTAAAAGTGTACCCTTTTAAATTGCTATGAGAAGGCTGCCAAGGTTTTTTGAGCAAACCATATCTCATCCACAGTGCAGCTAAGCTATCCCTATTTAGACCTAATTTCATATTTTAGAATTAACTGGATGCTTAACAAATTGTTCAATACATTGAGATGAAGGAGGCTGGGCACAGGAATATTTTATCTTCCAAAGTCAAACACTAACAACCCCTCTTACATTGTCAGAGAATCTTATGCAAGAGGAGTAATAAAAATAGCAAACAAGAAAAGAAGTAACCCATATGGCTGTTACTATTGTTTCCAATCTTATTAGAAACAACAAGCCATTTTAACCATATTGCTGCCTCTCATCAGTTTGGATTTACATTTTATTACTGAGTAGGCAAAAAATGTTAACTTTTTATGAGTCCTGCTAGTTGGTAATCTAAGTCTGTATCAGGCACTGAAAATTTGTAAGTTTGTTACTAAAATGATTTCATTTTCCTCTATAAAAATTTGTTGTAATATATTTTAAAAATGAAGTGACTTACATTTGCTGAAAGCTGAGATGTGAGGGTAGCAACTTTTTCTTGTGATGCAACCAGCTCTCTCCGCAGTTTATGGATTTGCTGAATGCAATTAAAAAAATCAATGGAATAGGCAAGTAGATTTTTACTTAAAACCCAGAATTCAAACCAAGAAAGCAAATGCTGTATTTAGCTCATTCTAACCCCATTGTATCAGCAGCAACTCCTGAAAATAAAGGATATGAACACTGACTCCACAGTAACAAGCAAATGTCATTCAAAAGCAAAGTGTTATGTGTCAAACTCTAATCTACAAATCAAAGTACGCTCACTTGCTCCATTTGCCATCCCTCAAATGGCAAATGACTCAAGAGCAGTTTACCCTCTGTATTGATTCTTCTCCTTCTAGAAAAACTGTGGTAATAAAACTGTAGAAAAATATTTTCTTTATAAAAACTGTATATACACACATATTTTTCTTGTTCTTTTTTAGTAAAAGATACTCCATGTTCTTTTTCAGAAAATCTTAGGTTTTTTTTTCCTCTGTACATTTTAATTTCTCATAGTTTGAAAACTTCTCAAAGGCTATGGAATATCCTGCAATCACTAAAACTTGGGCTTAATTCAACATTTAATCAGTTCACATTTAAATTGTTATTGGCTGGAGTTTCAATGACTGCAGAGAAGCCTTCCCAAATCTGTATTATCAAGACCTTTATTTAGTGAGTTATTATTAGCTCAGAGATGCTTTATAGCTTATCCACATCTTAAAAATCAGGGGAAAAAACCAATGATAGGTGCAACTAATTAGATAAACCAATATAATGTATATTCTAAGGTATCTTTCTTTTTAGTTAAGTTCACACTCCAATAAAACTGAAACAGAAAAGGGTAAGGATATATTATATCATGTTTAAAGTTTTAATTCAAGCACTTTCTGCAGTTTGTTCTGCAAGTCTCATGTTGTGACTAATAAGGATAGAACATTTATAACAATCTGACACTAGGTTCTATAAGTATATATCTAGTCTCAAGGGATTTCAGTTACTTGGATGTTAAACATTCTACTTTTGATGCTTCTCATTTCTTCAAAAACAAATCTTATCTATAGTTGTAGTTGAACTTTTGGAATGCTGTCTCAGTTTGAAAGAGAATTCTTGACATAGTTTATTAACTGTCTAGTTTTTGCCCCGGGCATTAGATTTTGTTGAAAATAAATGGTGGTCAACTCAAACACTCTAACAAAGTAGAGAACTCTAAGCTGGAAACAGTAGACACTTATATAATTTCACCAAATGTGATTCTACTTCGTTCCTGTTTTTTTTTTTTTTCCGGAACAGATACACCCCAGTCTAAAATAACATTTGCTTTACATTTATAAGATAATGACTATGAATGATTTCAGAAAATACAGCGTCTATTTTATTCATAAATGAATCCAAACTCAAAGAGCATTTCTCAAATTAAATAGTCTCTATTACATGATTCCAGTATCTTTAAAATATAATCCAGGAAACTGTAAAGTGATTGAAATTGTTTTTTTAAACCATAACTCATGATACAGCATCAATGATAAAAGGGGAGTTGAATAACTACTACTAAGGCAAATAGATGTAGCATTTCGATGCTTCAGTAGCTATACTATGATCAGTGTTAGAAGCTTTGTCATGTCCATGTGATGTAAATAAAACCACTTTGATTTTTAAAAATCATATCCACTCTTTGGTTCAGAGATTATAAAGACAAATTGGTTTAATCAATAATTTTCAAATATTTTTAAACATAGCACAAATTTTATTTTTAAAGGCTAATAAAATAAGACTTCAAAGGAAAGGAATACTTTTGCAAAAGCTGTTGTTAAGGCATTTTTTTTCTCTGTTGTCTGATTGCCTCAGTGTAAACCAATCAAACAGCCATTACCTCACCTTGAATAAAGTCATAATTAAAGTCCTCCTGCTCTCTTTGACCAGGACAAATGTTTTACCAAGGGAAATTAAAATAGTATTCTTTCCTGAATGCAGTTTGATTTGCTCACGAGTGCAACCAAATATGTATTTGTGAAATATGTGATTAGAACAATAGGTGACACACCACACATAAAATGGCAGTTAGAGGCAACAAGATAATGACACAAAACAGATAGTCTGAGATGCTAGTATCCTGTGTTGTGGAGGCTTGGTGCCCAAGTTTCAACCATTATCCTGTGTAGATGGTCTTACAGGGAGTGGGAAAAAGACTGTAATAAAATAGGAAGACCATAGACCTTCATTTATCAATGACTTAATGAGTGCTTACTATTATAGAAAACTTATTAGGTGTTGAGCTAAGACTCAATCTAGAATGTGAAAGGACAGCTTGCTATACAAACTTCCTTTCATTTTATTTTTAAGAGGCAATATCAAAGACCATTTATCAATTAGCTGCCTTACTTCAGCAGTCCTGTGGAGTTCTGCTATTGTATCACAGAGCCCTCTAGTGGTCACAAGACTAATTTCATCATGAATGCAAACTAAAATAGAAAATATTAAAATATTGCATATTTTTTTTTTACCTCTGAATGAGCCTTTTCTTCAGCCTGTAAAACAATAAAAAGAAAGACTTTAACTATAAAAACTATTTTCAATTAATTCCACAAGTATAAATGAATACAATAATCATGATGTACTTTTTATTATCTACTATGAGAAGAATAGAATGAAATACATTAAGTTATTCAATTGAAATAGTACAAGCAAGTTACTTTAGAATTTTATATAAATGTTTCTTAATATATAAACCATAAGGTATTCTTAAAATATAGGTCATTTGATCCATAATATTCCTTTAAGCAAAAGACAGAATTAAAAGACTCTAAGATGTAAATCATAAGCAACATAAACCAAATAGTTATAAAATTATACTCTAAAAAAGATGGGTGCATGTAAACTTAAAATATTGAAGTATCTTTCATACAGATTGTAGGAAACAGACTCCATAAAATTATAGAGACCTCTAGCCAAGGTTTAGATGTCAGAATTTTATTCTGTGATTTACTGATCACAAACAATGTCAAATAAAGCTGGGGTAACATACAGACCTCTACTGATAACCACAGATAATTAACATTATTTACTTCTACTTTTTCTTTCTTTAATGATTATTAATAATTTTAATTATCACAAGTCAGCAAAACGCTTAAACAATGAAAACACTGAAACACCCAGTGATAAAAGTGTCTGGCAAACATTTTTGGCTATGCAGCTTATGGAAAGGAGGACTGCCATAGGAATTTGCAGGGTGTTTTTGACTTGACTTCCAGAAAACTCCTAGCTCTGTTTTTCTTCTTCATGCTGGGCTGCAAAATGCCAGAAAATGAGTTATGTGCACCATTGCATTTGGGAAGCTCCCTTATTCTGGGAAAAGCTGAAGAATGCATAATGTTGTTGAATAGTACAAGTCTGCTTATTGCCATAAGCAGATCCAAAGCTGAAAAACAATCTCTCGTTTTCTATGTCTACTTTTGGTATAGTTCTAGATTAATTGACACAAAACTACCTGAACTGTTTTTTACTGCTTTTCTTTCAGAAAACATAAAGCAAAGTAGTCTAACCATCAGGATATATTTTATTTGCCAGAAACTCTTTTAACCTGAGCTTTGTCTTCCCTATATTTTCACTACCTTTAAAAATATGTAAACTTAGTAATATAGTGGCTAAATAATAAAGTGGCTAAGTGGTAGAATCCTAATAGCCTTTATAAGAAAACTGTTTTAAAAAGCACTCTTGAATAATTTACATCTCAATTTTAGATTTTTAAGGAAAGATTTTATTTTTTAGATCCTAATAATTTTAAGGTTTTATACACAGTTTGGTTTTTGAATAAAAAGTAAGCAAGGAATATTAAGATAAAAGTTTCATTGCCTTAAAACATATGGCACAATTAACTATGTAACTATGTCTATTAGTTTTCCCTAGTACTTTGCTTTTGTTTTTGTTGTTGTTTTTCTTTCTTTCTTTCTTTTTTTTTTTTTTTTTTTTTTTTTTTTTTTTTTTGAGACAGGATCTTGATCTATCACTCAGGTGCACTGCGCATTCACAACTCACTGTAGCCCACCGTGCCCGGCCTACTTTTTACATTTTTTGCCAGTTTATCCTGCCCAATTCTGCTTCTAGGCTTCCTAGAATTATAGAAAGCTGGTAAAGATTCAAGAATCAATAAATAATTCATGTATTTTTAAATAATAATTTATTCTTTTAAAAAATAATCAAGAAATATACTCACCGCATTTTTGTTAATCTATAATAGTCCTGTTACATATACTAGTAGCAAGCATAATCATTAAATATCTATTATATACATACCGTATAGCATGACTTTTTTCACTACCAATTTTTCAAAACTATTATTTGCTTTAACCTTTGCCTTCTTTCGTACTCTGTGGTTATTAATACCAGGTGGGTGTTACCATAAAAATAAAGCAATGAGCCAGAATATTAATATATTTTTTTCAGTAGCTTAGGTGTGGGATTAATGATATCATGATGGAACTGGATTATTTGCCATTTTTTTTTTAACAATGGTTTTGAGCAAGCCCAATGTCCTGGAGATGATAAAAAATATGAAACACTTGACTGAATAAAAATGTTTTTATTTATTCTATAAGCCAATAAGTGGCCATTTATCCATTCAAATTTATTAATTAAAAAGTTATGACGTTAGTATTAGCTATTTGTTAGGCAACATGTTAAACAATCCACAATGAATCAAAAATGACACTTGCTCTCATGAAAAAATACAATTTAGAATTCAAATTCAAAACAGGTTAAATATAGTTTTTAATATACAGTTAATCAAAAAACATCTATTGCAGGGATCAAAAATTTAAATGCCTAACAGGACAAGGCTAATAAAGAATAAATGGACTTGAAGTATTTAAATAGTCACATGATCTTCCTTGGCTGTCTTTCATTTTCCCATTTGACAGCAATATAAATAGCAAAGGGTATTTCTTTCCCATGAGGAAAGCAACAGCACAATGAAAACTAGCCACCCAAATTTAGCTTCAGTGTCAGGAAGAAAAGCATTGGTGGAGGCTGTGGCTTCCTGAGAGCCCATGCCAACATCTAAAGGTGTCAATTACAGGTGACTGAAAACCCAGAGGAATTTCATCTTAGTATTGCTAGATATTCCATAGATATTCCAATTATTTTTAAAAGGAATTTAAAATTTTGAATTTTTAGGTAGAAGCTCCATATTTCACAATATTTCACAGTGTTGGCTTAGATTCCCTCTCCCTCTCCCTCCCCTCTCCCTCTTTTCCTTTTTTTTTTTTTTTTTTCTGAGACAGTGTTTGGCTTTGTCGCCCAGGCTGGAGTGCAGTGGCGCTCACTGCAGCAGCCTCAGCCTCCCAGGTTCAGGCGATTCTCCTGCCTCAGCCTCCCAAATAGCTGGGATTACAGACGTATGCCACTACACCGGGCTAATTTCTGTATTTTTAGTAGAGACGGGGTTTTGCCATGTTGGCCAGGCTGGTCTCGAACTCCTGACCTCAAGTGATCCACCCGCCTCAGCCTCCCAAAGTGTTGAGATTACCGGCATGAGCCACCGCGCTTGGCCTTAGATTTCAAAACAAACACAAAAACCATAAGTTTGCCAAAGGTAACACCTCTGCAGATCAGGTTAGGCTTGTGATTTCCAACCACTTTGCAGACATCCGGAGACAAATGGGTTAGATCTAGCTAATATTTTCAAATTTTATTTTATAGGTATAGTCCAAAGAAATTTGGCAACTTGCCTGATGTCACGCGATAATTTCTTGATTGAACCAGGCAAAAATGCAAATCAACTAAATCTCTATTGAGAGTTATTAAGAAGGCATGAAAAATAATAAGTTGCTTTTTCATGTGATAGTTTAAAAAGCATTTTCATAGGTATTTTCTCATTGCCAATTAAATCCTAAGGCCTGATCATGGCGGACTGGGGAAAGAATGACTCCTCATGTTTTATGATTTTTCTCTTAAGTAGTTCCCCAAATATTCATTTATTTGAATTATTTTACTACAGTTTACTTTTCAATTCAAATATATCATTTTCATCATCTCAAATACAACTTTCAATTTTCTAATAATATCACCTTCTCATGTGGCTCGATCACCTAATCCATTCTTTACTCACTTAACACTAGGATATACCCTACCTCCATATATTGGCCTATAAATATATATATACACACACACACACATATATATGTATATATATACACATACATATGTATATATATACACATATATATGTATATATATACATACTCTATTTTAATCTGTGTTCCCATTTCATATTCTACTCTTAAAACAATATTTCTCATGTATGCTTTCTAATTATCCTCATCATTTTGACATCCCACTCCTATCTACAAATGTACCCCTTGTGTTCTCTATAAACTTGCACTATCCAATCTAGTAGCTGCTAGGCACATGTGGCTATTTCAATGTAAATTAATTAAAATAAAAAAGTCAATTCATCTCTTTGCCAGATATACTTCAAATAATCAATGGCAACATATGGTTCATAGTTACTATATTAGATAGTGTAGATACAGAACACTTTTATTAACACAGAAAGGTCTACTGGACACTGGTAGACTAGTAATCTGTTTTTTCTTAAACTCATGATCCTTTTCTTGAGGAATAAATTTTTCAAAAAAATCTTTAATATTGGGATACACAATAGTTGTATGTATTTATGGGGTGCATGTGGTATTATACAAACATATGCTGTGTAACGATCAAATCTAGGAAAGTGGAATATCCCATTCTTCATTTAGGAAGAATATCATTTCTTCCTGTTAGGAACATTCCAAATCTTCTTTTCTAGCTATTTTGAAATGTACAATAAATTATTGTTAACTATAGTCACTCTATTGTGCTACCAATCACTAGACCTTATTTCTTCTATCTAAGTGTATTTTTCTTTCTTTCTTTCTTTTTAATTTAGTTTTTCTTAGGTTTCATGAAGGTAGCTTTATCCAAATATTAATTATTGTATGTATTTAGAATAATAATGATGCTACATCTTTTGATGTTACACATAGATGTAAATGGCAATGGTTTAAATCAGAATACAATTCCCCAACAAATGGCAGTGCTGGCCCAACAGGAGGAACACTAAGTCTTAATATATTTCTTTTATGTGTTTTTTTCATGTGTGTTTACACATTCCTCACTTTATCCATTTGCACAAAAAGTACATTTACCTAAAAACTAATCGTGATTTCTTAATTTCTAGAAGCTATGGGTAATTTTAATCATTGAAAGGAGAGATTAGAAAAATATTACCTCTGCCAATAACAGTCAGATTTTGAATGACTATGTAAGGCAGTAAATATATGAGATTAATCTATAAAGAGAAGGTTCAAACAAACATTTGAACCTAATGATAATGAGTGAAAAAAATACTGCCCATGATGCTCAGTTGATCAGTGACAGCAGAGGCTATGAACTCTTCATGAACCTTACAGTACAGGATTAAGGCTTATTCATAGTACTCAAGTCCCATTGAGATTCAGTAGGCTGCTTTTAAATATACCTCACTGTTAACCTAGCTCTAAAAAGACTCACTCATAAAATATAACTTCCTGTAGGCTACTTTTTTAAAAAAGATAGAATTGTATTTACCAAACAGAAAAACTCTCCTTGTCAAAAATGAATTATAATGTCACACGTTTGCAAAAGAACTTGAAACACTGGTATTTTTCTCTTAATAAATAAAGTTTCTATCTAAGTGTGCTGGCTTACACCTGTAATCCCAGCACTTGGGGAGGCTAAAGCAGGAGGAATTGCTTGAAGCCATGGGTATTGATCAGTCTGGTCAATATAGCAATGACCTTGTCTCTAAAACAATTTAAAAATTAGCTGGGCATGGTGGTGCATGCCTGTAGTCCTAGCTGCTTGACAGGCTGAGGCAGAAGGATAACTTGAGCCCAGGAGTTCAAGGTTGCAGTGAGCTATGATTGTGTCATTGTACTCCAGCCTGGGTGACAAAGCAAGACCTCGACTCAAAAATAAATAAATAAATAAATAAAATAAAATAAAAATAAAAGTTAAAAAAATCACACTCTTTCAAAAGGTATATTTAAAAAAAAACATCTCTGGTTCTTTTATGCTTTTACCCTTTACCCTTACTGCTTTTACCCTTCGATAATCCTCTCAACAATAAACTTAAAAATAAAAAATGAGAAGAAAATACTATAGAACAATTAACAGTCACGGCTCAAAGAACAAAACATGGACAACTCGTCATTACTAAAATGATAGTATAGCAGACTACATACATGGTTTCAGAGACTCCAAGTCATACCTCAGTAGGTTTTATGAAATCGAATTCTACATCCACTCATTGATTATGATGAGTGCACAAAAGCCAAGTGAAAGCACATGTAAGTGACCAAAGAATGGCAGGTGGAGCACCTGGCACTTTATTGGGTATTGGGCAGCTTAGAGTATGCCGTTATTTTGCTACACAACTCCTGTGCAAGTCATAGATGAATGTGATCTGTTCACAGTAAAATGATCTATTTCATCATCTGTGTGCATGGCAAAAGCACAAGCTTTTTCTTAACAGCCATTACTTACTGTAGAGTAAAGAGAAGAAGTGCTGGACACCAGTGATAATGAAGAGCCATGAACTGGAGAAAACAAACAGAACAATAGAGTTAAAACAATAAGGTCTACTCAAAAATTCCAGCCTTTACAGAAAAAGTAAAGAACGGGTGGTTAGGGAAATTAAGTAATAACAACTAACTATAAGATTCTGAGAACCAGCCTGCTATAATTTTTTGGCAGTCAGGACGTTGAGACATGGAAGAGCCCCATCCATACTCCCTAAAGTACCTCAGTTGCCAAGTTATTAGACAGAAGCCTACAAGCATGAGCCCTACCAGCCTGTTTCGTACATGTTGAAAGCTACAGTAAATTCCCATATAATAAATAGAATAGCATGGAAACCCAAACTAAAGTTGCCATAAACTTTCGAACCTTAAAAAATGTATGTACCTTATTTATTTCATTTGTATCCAACAAAGGTCCACTTTCAGATTTTTTTCTCCATATAATTTCAGGAAAATAAGCACTTTTATCTAATGTGTTATTACAACATTATCTGTGATGCGTTGATCATACTCTTATAAATGTGGAATTACTGTTCCTTTACTAATTTTAGGAAGAGAAAAATACTTTTTTTTTTCAAGGTGATGTCTCAGAGAAATTGAGAATGGAAATGTCGCACTGGCTTTTATCTATTTCAAAATATCACTGTAAACATTGGACATTCTGCTTTATACTCCTATACTTCCAATGTACTAAACCCAAAAGGTGGATAAAATGGTGCTGATTAATATTTGCAGAAAAGTTCATCCTCTTTTTACTATGGAGTAGTATGTTTATTTCTGCTCATTGTGCATTAAACAAACATTAGTTGAGTATGAACGATGTGACAAGCTGTTGCTAGATCCTGGAACTACAAAAATAAATAAGATAAAATCCCAAAAGCTCAAAGAGAAGATAATAATTTAAAAGATATTTACAATAGAGTACTGTGATTGCTACTGAGATCAATATGGTGGGTACTACAAGGACATATGGGAGGTGCTTAAGACCTGATCAGGAGACGGCTGGAATAGCTGCACTAGGCTTGTAGATGAAAACATGGGGATGGAATTGAAGGATACCAGGAAGAACCTTTTTAAAACTGAGTATATAGATGTGGTCAAAAGAGGAATAAAGAAGAACCCCCAGTTTTCTAACTTGGGCAAAGCTATTACTCTATGTAATGTGCAAAATGTTGGTATTTGAGTCAATTATTTAAAAAAAAATTCTTTCTATCTCTAATAATACCCTCGTAAACTAAAGTGTTACCCTGATGTACCATAGGAAAGGTGGACAATTAATTAGACCATCTCATTCTCATTCTTTCTGTTTATGACCTTAGAACATGTGGCTCAGTCTCTTCATCTGTCAGTGTGAGCATTAGGTAGGATATCAATAAAGTCCCTTCAATCTAGTTCAATAAGTCTTGAATCTAGATCGCCATTTAAGAACTAGAATAGTTCAGTATTCAATGCGTGAGCACAAAAAAGCCATCTTGCCCACTTAGGCTAGCTTTCAGAAATTCAGATTATTTAATCCTGATACATTGAAGGCCAGAATTTCCCAGTATATAAAAATCACTTTATTTGTCAATGCCACACTCTAGAAAGCCATCTGTATGCTTAGCAAATTATTTTAAAAGTATTATAAGAAGCCTATCTGTGAAGAGAGCAACAGAACCATTTCAGAAAGCAGGGTCCTTACATTTGAGAGTAGTTATATTTTGTCTATCTACATGGAAAAAATCAGTGGAGTCATTGGATATAATTCACTGTCTGTCACAGTGAACTGAGTGGTTTGGTTAATATTGCAAAAGGCAATGACAACTATTCTCTACTGATTTAATGCCAGTATATTGAATCCATAGTGGTGACCTGAAAAACATGAGTCAATTTTCATTGCTGCCTAACCCCTCAGTCAGAAGATACTTTAAATAAGAAGGTAGGAAGGGAAAAGATCATGGAACAGAATTATTCTTTGTTCTCATATTTCATCCTTGTGACAAACCTAAGAAGTTACAGATGCAGAACTTAGGGATAAGAAGGTTAAGAAACTTGCCTAAGTTTATACCACAAGTAAATGGATGGCTGAAGACTTAAACTCTGGTATGTCTCAAGATTTGGAGACTTTTCTTTTAAACATAATTATTAGGGTTAATAATTTCATTCTAATCAGTTTGAATTTGTATGTCTAGTTTTATTTTATCCTTAGCTGACATGCTTTATAATATGTATGCTGTAAGTTTTCTTTATGGATACTAAAAAAATTCATTAAATCAAAGAGAAAAGTCTCTCAAATTATTGTTAAATTTGACATTTGAGCTTCTACAGTTTACAAAAATATATATATTTGAGCATCAACTCAGCTTCCTGAGGTTTTCAAGCTGATTTATTTGGAGTATTTACATAGAACTATATAACTATAAAGATATTTATTAGGTTAGGTGACAATTTTATTGCCATTGGATGAAGAAATAGTGACTTATAAAGCAAAAAAGTAGGTACAATATGAATTCTAAAATGATATAATAAAAAATTAGCACCAGAGGGAATTCCTGGGAATAAAAGTCAGCAACATGTGGTATTTTCATAAAATAATGTTTCTGGTTTGTGTGTCTTTATGGCTCTTTAACCAAAATGTCAAACAAAACATTTGCTCTGATATTTGATGCACCTGGGAAAATAGTTTATATGTATATTTCTGTATTGGAAAAGTAGATTTAGTCTAAACTCTTCTACAGCCAAGTATTAATATAAACAAATTCTGGCATATTTCCAAATACATAAAGAAATAGAAGATAATACAGAATAAAACTTCTTCAAGCTTCTAGTTTCCCAAATGATAATTACACTAGTTTATTTTCCTCTTCAGGAATCTTTGTGATGTGAGTGACACAATGGTTTCCCTCTCAGGGTTTAAATAAAGTGACTTCATCTTTAATCCCCCTCAACGCTTACCTTCTTCCATGCTGTCTCTGAATGAGCCCGAATGACTGATGGCACGAGGTCTTTCCTCCAGAGAAGTGGCACTCCCACAAAGCTGGGAGTCATCATAGAGATCGAAGGAAGAGTCTTGGGCTGGGATGCTGTTTGAGCGCATCATGCTGGGCCCGGGAAGGTTAAACTGAGACAAATTTGTTGGGCTCACTGAAAAACAAAACACACAGAGCCTATTACTCTTAAGCTTGAAAGATGAAAATAGCAGGTTGATAGAAAGTAAGAACATGATCCCAATACTTATGAAAACATGAATGTATAGTGAGTCCCTATTTAAGGTAAGAGTCTGCCTCTGAAATGTTCAATAACAGATCCCATTGCGTCCCTCTTTTCCTCTGGCACGTTTATGGGAAGCCTTACATCAATTTCTAAAGCAACAGTACACAAAACCAACAAGTCACCTCTACTGCTCTTGCTAGAAATGTAATAACATGGTGTTTTCTGCTACCTGTTATGAAGAAAAGATGGTCTTTCTAGAGTTTTCGGTTTTCTCTTTAAAAATAGTAATCACTTTAATGGAAAAAGCAAAATCAAAAAGAAAGTAAAATATAAAACATCTAAATTTCCCAAGAAGGGCTTTAAATGCTTCCAGGCAAATACTCTCAGTCACTTCAAGCTCTTAATTGATGTAAGTTCATGATTAGGACCATCATTATTATCAAAGTTAGATTATAAGGAAATAGTGTATAATAAACATTTTTATAACTAAACACAATGTAACATACATGGTATCTGCAGCCCACCATAAAGTTAATTATATGAAATGATTTTCTACTCTGTTTAAGATGAGCATATCATGATGAGATGGTCAAAAGTCACAAACATGTTATATTTCCAAAGAAGTATCTTAAGTCTGTAATTTTTAATAACAATTTATTTTCTTATTGCTTATTGCCAAAGAGTCCTCACCTGGTAGTCATCAATTTAAGGAAAGATTTGGTTGATTGTATGTACAACTACATTGGAAAACAATATAGTTGTGAAATTTGGAATAAAAGCAAAACAGAAAAATTGAGAAAGATATTCTAAATGCTCATATTTAAGAAAAGCAAGTTTGTTACTGGTATATGAGAAAGCAGGCAGGAGCCTCTTAAGATATAAAGGGAACTAACGAGTATTTTCAAAACCCTGTGGAATCCGTCAGTGGCTTAGAGTTGTTCTGACATCACTTCAAAATTTACTAAGATTTTTTCTGTGACACAGGCACTAAACTTCTTCTTAATACAAGTACTGGCTCTCAAAACAATGTAAAACAGGAAAAGTAAACCCAGAGGTAACCGGAGAGAAGTATCTCACATTTGGAAGGCACTGTGCTTGATAATCCTGGTATTAACCGAATTAACACACAGAACAACCCTCTGATAGAGCCAGTTATTGATTGGAGTAAAAGGAAGCATAGGACTAAGAATCACATATTTAAAATGTAATGGAAAAGGAAGAAAATATGAATCTCCAAAGTGCACAATCTATTGGAAAAAAAGAAGAAAGGATGGAAAGGCGAAAAAAGTAAAAAAGGGAGAGGGAGAGGATCTGCCTATCTTTCAAGCATATTCCTTCAGCCTGCAGTGACCATTAGTACCATTTCGGTCTGATTAGTGACAACAGCCAGTAGGTACACTGTAGGACATTGAAGACTTAAAATGTTTATGTTTAAGGTGGCAAGATTGGGGTAAGTCACCCTATTCTTGGTTCACAGTATGAATTTACTCTTGTTTAAATTAATGAAGTATTAAACAAATTTGCAAGTGCATCATTTTAGTATACGTATCTATAGGGTTAGGAGGATATTTTATTTGCTTTTTGGCTTTGTATAATTCTTACCTAAATGATTGCAGAGATATCCAAGTGAAGTGTACTTCTACAATTTCAATACATAATACTTAGCTCTATCAAGATGAAACATTAATGAGGATTAGGATAGATTTTAAAGGGAATAGTTTGCATTTACAAACCCTTTTGATAGCTTCTGCATTGGAAATTACACCTAACTATTTAAGAGTGTTCAATTAAGTTAATAACTATGACAGATCTGCTTTTAGATGTTGTAGTTGAATAGAAGGAAAAATATGACACAGTCTCTGATTTCAAGAGTAGCCAGTAGGGCAGATGTCTGAAGAAGGAGAAAAGTTAATATGTAAAATAGAACAAGAAAAACTATACAGTAGAAGACAAATGTAAGACATACAAAGATAATTTTTTGAATGGAACACAAATTGGTAAAGAGCTTCTAGTGGTAGTTTTGCTTTCCATCTGCTTTGGGCAAATAACCCAATCACTACCCTTCAGTTTTTTTATGACTAAAAAATGGAAGAATAAAAGGACTATAAGATCCATTCGAAGCCAAGAGACACACAAGAATTTCCAAATAGAAGAGAAACAGATATGGCAATGTATTAGGAAAAAGAGGGCTACCAACTTTGTCTTAAATTGCATTTGCATAGCCAAGCCACTATCTTGGCAAAGCCACTAACCTTTTATTAAGATTATATATTTATTTGTAGTAACTTGAGGAAAACAGGATCCTATATAAATGTGGACTGGGTTTTTATGATATTATTAAATACTATTATTGTGAGACAGGGTCTCACTCTGTCTTCCAGGCTGGAGTATGCAGTGCCACGATCATAGCTCACTGTAGCCTGTAACTCCTGGACAAGGGATCCTCTTGCCCCAGCCTCCTGAGTGCTGCTGGTATTACAGGCATGATCCAATGTGTCTGGCTGGACTGGGTTCTTAAATAACCCCAAGTCACTCTCTACTTTTGCATCTACAGCTAGACATTAACTAGTGAGTTTATTATATTGTTTTAAATATGAAGAGCTGTCATATGCAATCTAACTTTGACTTATTTTGTAGAATCTGGATATATATAACTAGGAACAATAGGTGAAGATTCAGGAAAATTTTATTTGATCTCTTAAAGAAAGAATTTCAAAGGTGTTATTTCTAGATTTTAGTAGTTTCTGTCATTGGTGGGTTTAAAGAAGAAGCTAGAGATGTCATAAAATTTTACATAAGAGATGAAGGGTTGAACCAGATGTGGTCTCTTCTGACTGTGAGATTCTATGCTTCCGAAAGAATAGAAGACAGGAGTTCATTCTGAGAAGATTGAAGGTTGAACACGAAGATGGGAAAGGATTCAAGGTAGAGGAAGATTTGAGTACAAAAGCATAGAAACTGTTCCTATGCAAAGGTGTTTAACAATCACCATATGCAAAAGGATCCATCGAATTTAGAGAATATTAGATGGATATTAGAAGTGACAGGTTGACATTAATGTTCCTGCATGTAACCCTTGTGGCAAGATGAAAAATGAATCTGAGCGATTGTTATCATGCATGGAGGCATGACAATGAGTCTCACCAGGTTATGAGATGGCTCACAAGAACTATGACCTCTTCTGTTTCTCTTCTATTTAGAAATTCTTGTGTGTCTCCTGGCTTTGAATGGATCTTAGAGGCCTTTATTCTTCCATTTTTTCATTCATAAAAAATTGAAGGGTAGAGATTGGGTTATTTTCCCAAATGAAGTTTCATCCAAAGACTTTTTGATTTATGTAAGCTATACTTTGTTAGTCTTTCTTGAATGGGAATGGTTTCTACTAGGGCTAGCATGCTGGGAACGACACACGAACCATAGTTTACTGTGGCAGTAGCTCACAGTAGTCTACTAAATATGACATATTGTAGTGATCTTAATTTTCTAATATATGTTGTGATTTTTTATAGTAAAATTTCTAAAAATTTTATATATTAACACATTTTAATTGGTAGAAAGAATAAAGAAAACATGAATACTGCAACTTTTGAACATTAATAATAATTCTGTATCTTACTGATTATTCAGAAAAGATAATGGTCAAATCAAAAATGGGTGATGCTAAAAGACAACAAGAGGACATATTTAAGGTAAGTATATATATATATATTTAAAATTTAATAATAAAGTAACTTTAATTTATTATTGCATTTTAAGAGTACTCATTTTCTTGCCCAATGAACAGAGGTTCAGGTGAACTGTAAATACAATAAAAACTCTTTAAATATTATGTTTTTGAATCAATCATTTTTTCCACTCTGAAACCATACAGCATAAAGATCTCAAAATGCCTGATTTGAAGCCATACGTGTTTCTAAGATCTGGAGAGGTACATGAGATTATGTTGACACGGACAGGAATATCTTCTTTTATACCTTCCAATGGGTGAAAATGTTGAAACATAAGGGAGTCGACAGAGTAAGATCAATTTAAAATCTGCTGCAATTGTCTATAGTTAAAAAAGCTTCAGCAAGGACAATGTCCCTGAAAATGAGAGACAGATGTAGGAGATATTCTGAAGATAAAATCACAGGTTCCTGTCTATTGAAAATGTACAATATGAAGAGCACAGTTTCAAGTAAGACTATTGATTACACAGATTTTGTGCTAGAGTAGAGAGAAGGATGATACATGAAATTATAAGACAAATAGAAGAAAAGAACTTAAGAAAAGACTTTGATTTCAGGTGGCTATATGGTCTAGCACACTGATGGGATTTTAGTTTTAGAGCTGAAAAAGGTCTCAGACAGAAAGTGAAATGTTGATTTGAGAGATTAGAATTAAAGTTGTGAATGAGAACATAGAAAAAGGGTTTAGGATAAAAAAAAGTCTACAGGAAAAACAACTTGGTAAACACATAAATATAAGGAGGAGATGGAGGATGAATTGCATTGCCCAGGGTTTGCACCTAATACCTGGAACAATTATTAATATAGTCCCATTCACTCTCAAAAGTGACCTTGTGTCTACAATAAATGATACAGCTATGTTAAGATGAGCAACCCCAGGAGAAAGAATTGTAGTTGGAAAAGTATGAAGAGAATCAAGAGGGCAGTGTCACTTAAGTCATGGCCTGTCTGACACAGCTGAGAGATCTCTGATATAAACCACAATAGATTAAGGGGGGAAACCCACATCCTAGAAAGGTAAACTTAACCTTTCAGACTTGGTTTCTATAGCAATGAAATGTAAGGGATGTATTTGATCAGTGGTTTTCTAATTCATTAGAACATTAAAGCTCTACAGAGAGCTTTGTTGTCAGTAAAAGTATAATTCACATTTCATTTATTAATTGTGTTTTAACTCTGAAAACTATGTAATAAAATACATTCCCAAGTGTGCTACAGAACCATTCATTTTTTAACACATTGTGACCATGGACATGTTAGCTTCAGTTGCCATGTTAACTTTAATTTATGCAAATCTTAGCATAAACTTATCTTTGCACAAATATTTGATATTTGTGGTAAATGAGTCCTTGATAACAATGTCATAGTTTTGTACTTCAAAAATACAATCTTTCAAAAACACAATCTGTGAATGTCTTTTACATAAAATCCTGTGGTTACTGTGTTGCGAATTACTACTCAATTAAATGTAGACAAAGCTCAGGCATATCTGATGAATGCTACTCTATGATCGTGTAAGACATGCTTTCCAGTGAAAATAATGATTTGGCAGAATCTGTCAAGTCTTACACACTTCTCCATCTTTACATACACTATATCCGTCATTCTTTACAATATAACCTAGGTATTATGTATCCATTCAAGAGATAAGAAAATTAAGTTTAAACGACTTCACCAATGTCAGACATAGTTAAGTGGTGAGTCTTTTTGTTCCTAAGGAATAATGAAGGTGGATTTAATCAGAATAATAATGGTGAGGAAAAATAGAAGAAGGAGTCAACTAATCAAATTAACGTCAATTAATGAAAGAATTGATAGGAGACATGAAGTACTTAGCAAGCTTATAGCACTTTAGGTGATTTGGGTGTGTTTTAGATGTTGTATAAAATTTTTTCATATTCCTATGACCTACACAAACATTTTAAATTCATTTTTTGAAGTTAAAGTGTTAGGCTTTTCGCTTTTTTAAAAAATCAACTGCATCTTAAAGCAAATAAAAGCTATACATTCTTTGGCATTATAGGTAAATTCTCTTATCACTATATAGGTTAGGAAACAAAAACTTGGTGTTTGATATGAAATCATTAGCTTATATGAAACCATGACCAAAATAATTGTTTTCAATTGCTAAAAGCCCTACTCAATATAGTGGGAAGGGTTGCAATAGAAAAGACATAGCCTTGAGTCTTGTCCTGGCTGAAAGCTGGAAAGTCCAACTTACTGAAAAATGTCAATCTTCTGTAGGTGCATGATTAGAATTTTTTTTCCAGTGAAAAAAAGAAAAAGTAATGAGGCCCTTGGAACCCTCAGGGCCCAGGAGGGTTTGACCCCTTAGTGTCTGGGCTTCAGGTTTGGGAGAAGGGAAGAAGAGGGAGGCACTTGAGGACCCACGGTGCTTCTCTGTGTGGATGTGGTCCATGGGTGCAGGAGCCCTTGGAGGCTGCTGCCTTGGCACTGATGCTGGCCAACACAGATGTATTTTTGTCCAAGCCCTGGAAAGAGGTGCTGGAGTACCTGGAGAATATAGACCTGAAAACACTGGAGAAGTAACCAATGAGTTTCAAAGCAAAGGAGCTATCGGGAGAAGAATGGAGTTGTGATTGTGTCTGTGCCAGGATGTTTTCTCTGGCAAGAGGGGCTGCAGATCTGTCCTCCCTGCAACCCAAGTTGGATAAGCTGGGCATCTCCCTCTACGCAGTCATTAAAGAGCAGGTCAGGACTGACATAAAGTTTTTCCAGCCTTGTTTCAAAAGAGAAATCTTCCTGGATGATAATAAAAAGTTCTATGATCTACAAAGACAGAAGATGATGTTTATGGGATTTAGCCCTCTGGGAGTGTGGTACAACTACCTCCAGCCAGGAATCGAGGCTTCCCTGGAAGCCTGGAAAGCCAAGGCTTCATCCTCAGGGGAGTTTTTGTGGTGGGATCAGGAAAGCAGGGGATTCCCGAGCATGCAGAAAAAGAATATGGAGACAAAGTAAACTCACTTTCTGTTCTGGAAGCTGCTAGGAAGATCAAACCAGAGACTTTGGCCTCAGAGAAAAAAATGATCGCATGAAATTGTCCAACTCAGAGAAACTAGGGGCATTCATTCACCTGTGTTCATGGAATGTGTTGTCCCCACTTGTGTCCCTAAGGAGTTAGAAACCTGCATTTATCTTATTCTCAGTATGGCTTATTAACATATTTTAATATTACACTCTGTTTAGGCCCAGTAAGGCAAAATAGTCCCCAAACTAGACTGGCAAAAAGCTAAGAAAGCAGTGAAGATTATTCAGCTAAAACCTGGAAAATACAAGGCTCAAAATTGACTGTTGTGCCTCATTACAAATGTATATGGTGTTTGAGTTCTGTTATTTGAAATTATGTTTATTTTCAGGTCTTCAAAAATCTAAGAGAAGTTGATGATTAACTTGAAGTTTAGAAAATATAAGGTTTTGGATTGTGTGTTTTCTATTACTAATTTTTTATATAATGTCAAAGGAGTACTTTCATGATGGAATTGATGTGCTCTGGGATAGTTTGACAAAGGTAAATTATAAAGTGAAATTTCTTGTTTCATTGTCCTCCGTCCTAAATTCAGAGATGTGTTTTTCTAGAAGGAATGATCGTCTCTGGCTCTAATAAGATTATGTATCAATACTCATCTTTATGTACAAGTTTTTCTGATAAACTAATAATAAAAATATTTACCATAAAAATAATGAGAATACTTTATATGTGACTTTATAGAAAATAAATATATTTTTAAAGTCATTGAATCTATTAAATGGTATCTGGCATGTTTAGTTTTCTTTAATTATTTTGTTACTCAGAGTGCTTTTAATGAAATTTTATGCAAATGATTTTATATTTCATACAAATGATGTTAAATACAAAGTAACCCAATGACTAAGTTGGTAATTTATTTTTCATTGTATCTATTTGAAAATGTTCAGAGTATTGTCTTAACAGAAATTCTTGTATGAATTTTAAGGAGTTTTAACTTTAACAGTGTTAAAAGAAGTTAACTTTGAGTCATGGAATTACATATTTTTTTCTTCCTAATTGTTTCTATTTTCTACAAAAGATTACTAATTTTGTTTTAAGGATGTTTTAATATTTCAGACAAATAAATAAGGAGATGCCTTCCTGTTTTTTAAGAGGATTCTTAAATGGAATGGAAAGGCCCCTGGGATTAAAGTCAGATGTTCTGAACTGGTTACTGCCTTGAACCCTTAGTAATGGTAAGACTTTTTCAAGTCAAGTGAACTTTCTGAGCCTCTGGAGCCTAGACTAGAAAACAACCACAGTATTAATCTATGTTAAGCATTTGTCATGAGCAATAAATAGCATAATGTTTGGAGATTTTTCTGTGAAGAGTAAACAATGACACAAATGAAAGGTACTGTTAAAGTGCTTTTATCCCTCCCTTTAAATGAAAACGTGTTGTGTTATGGAGAGATTCCAGGGTTTCTGTGAGAGTGGGTGGTGAAAGAAACAAAACAAAATCAATATTTTAGAATATTTTACCCAAGTTAGAAAAGTGGTATTTTCCAGCTGCAGAAGATGACATGGCAGAAGGGGAAACCAGAGGTGACTGGTTGCCAGTGTCCTGAAGCCCTCCAGTAGAATGAGAACGCAACCACTCTTTGCCCTCTTCTTGGTTGGCCTGCCGAGATGATGGGGTATATCTGCAAAACAGCACAGCTATGACACTTAAGCACATCTACAAGGGCAAGGCAATGCCAGGACAGGAAAACAATTCAGAGGAGGTTACTATTCAGAATGAACAATTTCAAACAGATTGAATCTAATTATAATTGCTCAGTTCTTCCAGATGATCTTACGCCATCTGTTTGAATCACATAGGGAAAAAAAATAAGATAAAGGGTTTTGAGGAGAAAATTATGCTTCTATCAGATATGCAGTTGGAAATCATAAGCAATGAGCAGACAGCCAAGTTAATTGAGAACTCAAAAGCACAGGGCAAGAAAGGATGTAAAGAGGGTGAAAACATGGACTACAAATGGAGGACAGTGGCGGGCCAGGGCCAAGGGAAATGAAGGATGGTCACAGAAGGCATAGGGAAATGGAATACATATTGGCAGCTTTTGTTTTTTTTTTTTTTTAAAGGAAAAACAGTTCTTTTGTTAAACTGCCACTTGACATCATGCCTAGATTACAAAAATAAGGAGGGAGATGTGCTCGCTTTACTGGAACATAAATTTCTGGATCAAAATATTAACATGGAATAATTGCCAGCTATTTGCTATTGCTGAAAAATTGGAGAGAAAAAAAATAATGGAGAAAGACCTAGTTTCGCCATTATTCAGTGTTTCACCAAACTAAGTATATTCTTTTTCTTTTTGTAAGTAAATTCTTAGCACCAAAATTAGCCAACTTTTCATACACATACAGTGTTATACCTCTATTAGTAGATCATTCTATCTCTTCCTCAGATAAAAGTACACAGTAAAAGATGGCCATAAGTTAAATTTTTATTTTATTTTTTATTATGGATGGAATAATTATTTTGAGATTATTAAATATTAGATTAATTCAGATTTAAATTGATCTGATAGCAGTACCCCTGCAAAATAGAAATTAAAACAATTTTGAGATTTTATCAAAAGGATTCTATAAAAATCACACCTTAATTACAGCATTTGTCCTGTGATGATGAAAATATGTTTTCTTTGATTCAGATTGTAGCATCCTTCAACCTATCAACATTAACTGCCCACATCTGTAGACTGCATGGGTTTTGAATATTTGCATGCATATGACTCTAATAGGCAAAAGTTAGAAGAGTTAATTTTATTTTAATTTGTTGAAGTGAGTTCTGCATTCTACCAAAGTTGCTGCCCCCAAAAAAGTAATGCCTGGGACAAGTTTTTTGTTTGTTTGTTTTTGTTTTGTTTGTTTGTTTGTTTAGTATTATTTCTTCAAAATAGTGATATTCACATTGGAATTTATTTAATTTGAGAGACAGCCTCAATCTCTACTAGTATCTCTACCTAAGGGGCTATCTCACCAACTGTTCGGGCCAGAGAAACCATCAAAATTAAAAGTGATTTCGTCCTCAATGTCATGTGCTACATTGCAAACAAACAAAGAAGGAAGAGAGACAGCACACAAAGTTTACATAACAACAGAGAGGTAGCAATTGTGCTGAGAGGAATATATACCTTAGTCCCTTTTTGGGTAGTGTATTTCTGTCAAGCTGCATGCTGTTAAAACAAAGAAAACCCCTAAGGACATAATGTAAACAAAACTTCCAAATTACACATCCAACAAAAATGGTTCTCTGAACTATAAAAAATAATTTTTTGGTAACACACATATAATGCTTAACTCATTGAAAAAGGCCAACTAAAGGTGACAAGATGTCCATTGCCGTCACACATATTTGAGTTCCTTTCTAATGCAGTACAATTCAATGACAGTTTAGTGATAGGATTACTAGAAAATAGATTAAATCACATTAGCATAATTTTCCTCTGAATCCTATTGATTAAATACTATCTTAGTTTTTCCTTCCCTATGCAACTGATTAGACTTTTGCTATGATATCACATGCAAAATGAGATAGATCTGCTCTGGCTAAGTTAGAGTGACAACTTCCAATTGACAGAGATGGTATAAAACATTGTTTAATACTTATCTTTTGTCTTCAAATTATTTTTAATAAAAAGGCATGTTTATTTCCCATTTATACATGTGAAGAAAGATATATGAATGTTTGCTTAAAACTTAATTGATTCTAGTATCATTTATTTGAATATTTTAATGAAATTAAGCTATACCATCTTTTAGAAATCATAAATTAGGTATTTAAAAGGCTATAAATTTTATCATCTCTATTTTAAGGAATTCACAATTGGTAACAAGAAGGAATGAAAAGCTATGTCTAGAGAAAATAAGAAATGGCCTCTCTAAAAATACAGGAAGAGGATATCAACAACTAAGTGGGACAAGTTTAGGGATTTCTTTTATAATCTCTGGCATGTGGATAAGCAAAGTGTAAAATTAATTAAAATTGCAGAATTATAGCTTTCTTCCTTTAGGACATCAAATGATCAAAATTAAATACACAGGATACGCATAATGGGGATGATATAACATGAATGTAAAAAGGCTGACCTAAAATTTGATCACTCAAACCAAAGCTAAAATGTTTTCTTCTATGTGTACTCCATTATTTAGCACTGAAATCAAAAGCATCCAAAGGCTTTATACAACTTTAACTTTATCGGTAATAGCCATGTAAGGTAATTGCTTATACTGTGTAGAGGCCAGTTACAGTATATATGTTGACTATAGAAGTTTTCTTAAGTACTGTGGATAAACAAACAAAATAAATTATATTGAACAAATATGAGAAATCTCCAAATATGAACCACATGTGCTAAGGCATTTATGTGGTCATAAGTCATTTTAAGGATTATTTATTTCCATGTGTACAAGTTAAAGTTTAATGCCACAAAGAATATGAAAAGTTGGTATTCTTCTGCCAAACTCATCCAGTTGTATAAAAATTATATATTTATATGATGAAGAGCAATTTAATGAAAAAAATTAGAATAAATACATTTAAAGTTACCATAATAATTTAAAGCTTTATTTAGAAATATGTTTGAATCTAGATATTAATGATTTTCTAACATAGACAATTTCTGCAAATCACCAAAGGTTGCAAACTCATATGCCAGCAAGGGCCAGATAGGGCATGAAAACGAATGGGGATTTCAGTCAACAGTCTGAAGCAGACAGGCACTGACTGCCTAGAGCCAATAGTTTCTAGGCAGAAATGTCAAGGCAGCGTTGCCAGATCTGACATTTAAAGACAAACCCAGAATTTGCAAAGTTGGTTACTACAAATTATTTAAAAATTTAGTTGAGTCAGACACATGAAACAAAACCCAAAACAAATATAGACTAGTTATGGCTCAATGGCCACCAATGACCTAGAGCAGCTGCAGAAGAGAAAACTGTTAAAAAGTGTATTTTATTATTTTATTTAATTTAATGAAGAGGAATTTAAACAAAAATTAAAATCTATAGGAAAAGCTACCGATTTAAATATGAGTATCAAAAAATCATCTAAAATTGTAGACAAACAGGTAAATCATGAACTTATATACATCTTTATTATATATCGCTAATTAACTTGCCTTAAAATTTACATTAACACATTTTCTCTCTGGTGTAGTTCTTTGGTTTTCTTAGCATTTCTGACATTCTACTGATCAATTAATTAACCATAATGAAGCCAGTATCACCCACTAGATCTACTTTTCTCTTCAATAGGTCATAAACTTTCTTAAATGTACTTGAAAGGATTAGAGCAATTTGCTATTGCTTGCATTTCTATTGTCAAGAAAACAAAAAGCTCAGTGTCTTATATTAAAATTTATTTTAATCTAGTAATTTACTGGAAGGCACTAATTAATATTAATATTATACACTATAGCTATGTAGTTAACATGTACTTTTTACAGCTTAATATTCATTAATGCATTTTATTAAGGCTCAAAGGCAAAACATATTTATCCAAAATTAGTTTAAAGTTTATTTTAGAAAAAGTCTTTATTTGGCCATTTTAATGTAGGAATACTCCCATTTTAAAAATTGGCCTATTTCAGGCTGGTGCCACGGCTCACACCTGTAATCCCCACACTTTGGGAGGCCAAGGAGGGTAGATCGCTTGAAGTCAGGAGTTCGAGACCAGCCTGGCCAACATGGTGAAACTTCATCTCTACAAAAAATACAAAAATTAGCCCAGCATGGTGGTCCGCTCCTATAACCCCAGCTACTCAGGTGGCTGAGGCATGAGAATTGCTTGAACTCGGGAAGCAGAGGACGCAATGAGCTGAGATGGCACCACTGCCCTCCAGCCTGGGCGACAGAGTGAGGCTCCATTTCAAAACAAATAAATAACATAACATAACATAACATAAATAAAATTGGCCTATTTCAAAGACTGAACATGTACAATAAATAAATCTGCTTAAAAAGAATAAGAAATTGCATATTTTCTAGTGTATTTCCATAGTGAAAATTTTATTGACTTCAGTTAAAATATAGATTAGAGTAAAATATTAAAACTGCATTTTGGTTATAGCTATGCAACTAACCAATCTTTCATCTAGTTTTGATTTGAATGTTACTTGGTTATAAATAGTTACTTGACTTTATTTCTGAATCTTGGATTAATGTCTAAATGCTGAAGAAATAGGCTGATGGCTAAATGGCCAACTTGTTGCAGATTATCTTAATAATTAAAAAATGACCAGTTTTGTGGAAGGTGGTTGTGGTTAATAAAT
The DNA here is from genome assembly GCF_000001405.40 of Homo sapiens. Classification (NCBI taxonomy): domain Eukaryota; kingdom Metazoa; phylum Chordata; class Mammalia; order Primates; family Hominidae; genus Homo; species Homo sapiens. The sequence goes on along the minus strand of NC_000012.12, from coordinate 78,124,070 downwards.
GATAACCTATTTGCACTATGTTTGGTTTGGTTATCAAGTTGATATTTAGAATCCTTACATATGAGCATACAATCTAGGATACATTCATTAAAACTATAGGTTGTTTATCTATTTTAATATAATTCATTCATTAGAAGTTTTATAAATGACATGTGAAGATGCCCATTTACCTTAGAAGTGCTGAAACTAGAATCAAAGATTTTACAGGAAGCCCGACATTTTAGGTGGAAAAATGAACCCTTACTGGTCTTTACGTATGCTGTCTATAATAGCATATAACAGCAAAACCATAGGGAAATGGTTACATTTTATTTGCTATCACTGAGCTGTTTGCCTTGGCCCAGTTTTTTTCTTTAGGAGGAAAAATGTATTTTGTAATTAGCAGCCCACCATAGGAAACACCAATATTTTAGTTAGTGTTAAAATTACTTTATCATCGGGAAGCCCCATTTGCACGGCTGTCCCTGTCTCATTGTTAGGCAAGTAGGAAGTAAAGAGGGAAAGAAGCAATGTTTTGCTCTGGGTTTTGTTTTTACAAAGTCAAGAGAAAATGGGGAATTTCAAATTGGGACATCCTACATTAAAGGGAAACTGGCGTAATGCAGAGAGTGTCTAGCTAAGGGCTTTAATTGATGTTTAAAAATATCATTCCGGGAGTAAGGCTGAAGGTCTAGAAAATAAATGCCATCATCAATATCAGAGTTAAAAAATAAAAATAAAAAAAAAATAAAAAAAACAGGGGAAGACATAGAAAGATATATCAGGTATTTTACGTGACCAGTATTTCTTTCCACATGTGGCCAAGACCATGTTTAAAGCTTTACTTATGTCAAGAGACAAATAGCATTGCATTTATCAGGAAAAAGAAGTGGTTTTAAGACATTTTCCTGGTGGTAAGAGTCAGTACAGTATAATCAAGAGAGGATCACTTTGAGGAGAAAATTTAGAGTGATTTTGCTCAAAAGGGATGCTTCACAGTAAGCATATTAGGTAAGAAATGCCTTGCTATGTCCTCTACTTTAAGTTTATATATATATATAAAGCCAATGAGAAACACTTTGTAATATGATTACTTTTTAAGCAGTCTATTGAAAATGGCACTGACACTATAATTTTCTCTAATGATTCATGGCTGACAATTGATTTTTTTTTTTTTTTTTTTAACCAGGCCAACTAGGATTTCCCAGCAATCCATCTGCTATTTTTTCATAGAAGTACAAATGGAACAAATTTAACATATTGCTCTGAGCATAACTATAGAATAATTTCAATTTGGTCTTTCAAAATGCTTAAGTCATCATAAGGAGCTAGTGTTGTTCTGAAGCTTAAGCCAAATCATTAAAATGTCTTCAGGAGACCTCATTCAATATCTAAATACATTCCTTGAATTTTATTCACATTGCCTACTGGGTATAAATGTATGCATTCATATTAACAAAATTATCCACTCACCCTACCTTTAATGATTCTATTCCTCTGTAAATTTGGTAATGAGAGCAAATGAAAGGCCCGGTTTCATCAGTCTTACATCTTTTTGCACCGGGGCACTCACAGTGAAATCAAGGGAATTTAATGGGGTGGGGGTTAGGCATAGTGCAGGGAAGAGGGGGAAGATGTTATCAATGCCTCCAGGAAAGCTCACCTTTCTGAGAGAGTAGATCTCACACTACCCGTTCTCATGAGCAGGCTCTGGACCTCGTGAGTGCCTGTGGTCAGTCCAGACAAGGAGCCATGATGGCTGAGGGGGAGGTCAATGGACTCAGAGCTCGTGTGGAGGCTAGTCATGGACTGGTAGCTCGGAGTATCCTTGCTGCCTGCAGAGGAACTGCTCATATTGGCAGCCCACACGAGACCACCTGATGTGAAAGAGTGAACCGATGCTGGGCTGGAGGCCAACGAGTGACTTAAGCTTATAACATCTGTAGTTAAGTCTGAGGGTTTATTGAAGAGAGGGCTGCTGCTGCCGCTTAGCCCACCAGCACTGCCCATGCTGCCCGTACCGGACGACGGTGACTCCAGACTGCCTTGCCGCGCTAATGTGGTACTAGGGCTGGGCATTACTGAGGAAGATTTCACACCCTCAGTATTAGGTGCAGAGGCAGATTTGCCACCTGCCTTGGCACCAAACAACCTAAAAGAAAAACAAATAACAACTTCAGTTGTTCCAAGAAGCTAATATCCACATTTAATATTTCGGGTTACAGTACACAGAGCCAAGTGTGCTTTGATGTACTGAACTACAAAGCACTTCCTGTCTCTATGTTAATGAACTTTTATAAGCTTGGACTTCTTTATCAAGTGCAGAAAATCTCTCATATAAGGGTAGGTCAGTACTGAGCTGCTACTAGGGAAAGAGGGGAAGTGGGTGGAACAAAAGTAAGTCAAACATGAAAACCCCTGGTTTTCATAATTTAAGTGATCATGAGACTTTCACTCAAAGTCAGTAGTTTGACCATATACTTGCTGTTACCTATTTACAGAACCATTATAATGAAACAACTTCTACGCATTCGATAGACAACACTTAAATGAGCTCTTCTCTTTTTTTTTTATTTTTAAATTTTTAAACAGTTTATTCAAAATCTAGATGGAACGCTTAAAGCAAGTTTAGGGAGTTGTGTTGAGTATCTGGTGGTCTGAGTCACTGTCAGGGAGCAGTTGGTTGGAAACAATATTGACATTGTCGGCAACAAGTCAGTTTGTCTGTATTTTCCCCAGCAGAGGCCAAAGGGTTTTATGTCAGTTGCCAGTGCTATTCAAATACATTTTTTAATAGTGATTTGAAACAGAGCTGGTGCTGTTAGATTTTGGAGTTTAGTTCAGAAAACATTTTAGTTTTGTAAATGAAGCAGATGGTAGAATCAAATTTATGTAAATATGGAAATACAATGATATGAAGTAATGGCATAATGATTACTAATTGAGTTGCAATGAAATCCATATTTCCTACAGTGAAATATTTTATGACGAATATGAGAAATTGTTTCATAGGTAATGGGCCACAGGAGGGCACTATTGGCTTTTACTTAAGAAACAGAAATATTTACTCTCCCTATACGCCATAATTCATTCTTCCCAATGAGAATCAGTATTTTAAAAAGACAGTTCTGCAGCATTAATATTACTACGGAGGAATAAAGCCTTTAGGTTTTTCAAACAATCAGGTATCTGAAATTGCTTTATTGTAAAATAAATGTTTCAAAATCTTTCCTTTCCAAGATATCAAAGTTCTGGGTTTAGTCAACAGAATAAAAACAAACATTAAAAATATTGAACCCATAATGAACTATAAACCACACTCTACCATTTTGCAGATGAGAAAACAGACTCAGAGAGGTTTAGATATTTGTCCCCAATTTTTAACTGCATTTATTTTCCTACCACTTAAAAACACATGGGTATTTAAAAACAGTGATATCTTAGAGCAGAACTTCACATATTTAACACCAAAAACAATCCAGGAACAGAAACCAAGTCATGATCCTTACCAGAGTCATGTCAAAGAAAGCAGATGAAGAGTTAGAAAGCTTAGCCCACTCTTCAGTTGTGATACTGTACCAAACACTGGAATAGTTTCAAATTATGTCATATCTTGATTGTCTTTAATGTGTCAAGATATGACACTGTATAAATCTGTCCAATGGAATCTGTTACAAGGAAAACAACTTCATCTACATTTATGATCACCAACTCATTAAGAGCCAGCAAGAAAATGACACTGGAAATGAATGCCAAAAGTCATGAAAACCTATTTGGTTTTAATTTTTAATGTGAAAAGGAGGAATGGAAATCTATAGAAATTTTACAAGCTATTACTTTGCCTTATCACTACACTTAGGTATTACCATCAGCTTTTAAGTCTCTTAGATGTTGTTTGTGTTGCTAGTATCACAATGACAGTGAAACTTTGAAGTTTGACTGTTTCTCAAAATGAGAACTATTTTTTTTGCTAGCTGTTTATATGATAAGCTTCATAGAGCTCACTGTGTACTTTAAAGAATTCTAAGATATATATATACCTTATACATATTTAAAATATATATATACACACATTTATATGTAATGTATGTGTCTAACACATATTTATCCTTTATATTTTTCCAGCATCATTTTATACATCCTTACCTTCGAAATGTGGGTGAGGCAATATCTGGATACTTGGATCCTGGCTGCCTGAGACCTTGTGCACCACAGGCGCTGGCAGAGGTGGGGCTGGATTTGGGGGAACCTGACAAAGAAACACTTTCTGAATCTGAGACTGCTACTTTTTCCTTTTCCTTGTCTGTTTGGTTGACGGTGACAGGACTCGAGCGCCCTGACCCAATTTTAGTTGGTTCTCTCAGTTTCGAGGTGGTGGCCCCAGCAGACTTGCTGCTGACGTTGGAATCAATACTGCTGGTACTGGATCTGTGGCCTCCTCGGCCAGGAATGCCACTGGTGCTGGATTTTGAAGGGCGGGGCAAGCTGCGATATTGTAGGGTAGTCTTTGAGCTAACATGCAGCACAACATCATCCTGATTCTGTGAACCGTCCAAACTGGTTTTTCTCCCTGCATTTGACTTCCCGCCAATGGCAGCAGATTTTGGAATTTTACCCAGTGTTGCAGAGCCACTTGTTATGGTTGCTCCACTGCTGGTGATCATGGCAGATGACCCTACTCCACTTGGTTTCTTAAAGCCAAAGGAGCTGGTGGCAGTCGATCTTCCAATGCCTGAGGGGGGCTTTTTCCCTTCATCTCCACTGCTTTTTCCTGCATCTGAAGGAGATCTTTGTAGAGATGATCCTTTTAGGGGAGCTTTTCCTTTCTCAGAAGCTTTGGCATCATCGGTTTTCCCTAATTAAGGAGAAATACACAAATATATGTGCCTGTAGAGTTTGATATCACCACACTTCGTGAAACAATGTGTAAAATGTGAATGCTTCTTTATATTATTTCCCTTCCTAAATGTATTGTCTTAGATCAAAAATCTCATATATTGAGAGGACTGAGTGCATAGCTACAAAAATTTGGCTGTCAGAAGAAACATTATGAGAGATGGAAGAGATAAAATGAAAACATATGTTTTGCTATTTGTTAATGTCTTATATTTTGCAACTCTTTTTAAAAAGATAACACTTAACCCTATCAAGCTAATTACTAGAAAAAGAATTCATTTGAATATCTGTGAGATGATTATATTTGGAGTACCCTGTTAATTAGTGCTTCAGGTGGCACTATTTATAATTAGGCATTATTTTAAAAATACGGGGAGAGTCTTTTTAAAAAAAGTATGGCACAATTTTGAAGAACTATTTCATTCTCTTCTTTCATGAAGTCTAATACACAGACAATATTTCAAATCTCCAGCATTCCAATTGATTAGTGTCATTGCTTGTTCCTCTCAGAGTCTGTAGTGCAATTCAGTGGCATATTTAGTGTAAAAATTCCAAACTTTCATTAAGAACGCAGAACAAAAACAAAAAAACTTAACTGTTGCTTTAGCAACCTAATCTTATTTCCCCATTACCTGAAATAACTCTGGCAAGGTAAGGCATCCAGTACCCCTAGTTTATGAGGAGGCTTTCCAGAGAATGCCTAGATATAGGCCCTACTTGGGCTTCTATGACGAGTTTGTGAAACGTAGACAGAAAAACTATTTAACTATTTGACTCCATGTTTAATATGGATAAGAATTTGGTATTTTAGAAATGCTATTGTTAGAGAAAACAAAGATTGAATGGAAACAATAAAGTAAAGCACTTTTGCATAACAGCTGGCAAACGACAAGCCTACCGGGTGTTTTGAGTGCACTTGTTCCAGCTTTCTGCCTAGATGGCGCCCCTCCTTGGGCAGACATGCCTCTTCTCCAGGAACCTGTCTGTGAAACAGACAGGGAAGCTTTCTGCCCTGCCTTCTCGGGGTCTTCAGGAAGTCCAGAGGACACAGTCTTCCACTTGCCACCAGCATCCCCATGGCTGTCAAAATCTTCTTCTGGTTTTTTCAGTTCCTCAGGACTATCCCAGGTCTCGTCTGTGGTGGAGCGTTTCTCTGAATCTGTCCTCAGCTATAAAGACAAATATTACAGAAAAACTTTATGTAGAAAAATTTATAAAGTATGAATTAAGGCAATGAAATGTACTTTCAGATAACTGGATAAATCCAAAGATTCTATTTTGATTTACCTTCACTTACATTTTATTAATTTTAGCCACATAATTCCCACTTGCAGATATTAGAGAATTTCAGAATAAATACATGCAGAAAACACCAATTAAACGCTACAGAAAGGTAGAAATTTTCTATATCAAATGTCATAAGAAGTAGTAAGACAAGCTAGAACTTAATGATGTAATGTCCATTTTTCATTTTTGATTTATCATTCACAACAGATCCAGTGATATATTTCAGAGATCATATAAAATTAATCAAGAACTATCTAAAATTAGACTATGAAAATAATTGCTGGATTTTTAAACAAACATATCGATATTGTAAGGAGAGATATGGCAACATAAATCTTTCTGAATTAGATTGTAATCAATTGAATATATATTATATTAAGTATTGATATGTTACTATTATATTAATATAGAATTATACATTATATATTAATATATACACACCATATAGCTTGGTGGTGTAGTTATCTATACAAATATAGTAATTCATCATTAATATATTAAATATATAAATATATATTTATATAATATATAAAATATATATCTATTATATGTTATATATTTTTATATATTTAATATATATAAATATCTATTATATAAATAGATATTTATATACTCTATATATTAACAATAAATAAATATATTTGTATAGATAACTATACCACCAGGCTATATGGCACATATATTACATATATATAAATATGTAATGTATATCATATATATATATATATATATATATATATATATATATATGCTGCTTCTGTTTATTCAAAATTGGCTGCAGTGCACATTGTTGCTCCTCCTAAGGGTTGTGGCTTTAGGAAAGACTAAGATGAAAGATGCTTCAGGGTTCAGGAGTGGCAAAGGGAGTCCTTATTATCTCTGCATTTTCCAGTTTCTGTAATAATTTTGGATTAAGGGCTTGTGCTATACCTTAATCTAATATTAAGTAATTTTGGGGAAAAAGCTGGCAGAAACACTGGAAAAAGAAAGGTGGTAATTCTCACCTGAGTATTCTTCCTAGAGGGGACGGTGATGTTGGAGTAAGAGCTGACAGAGGATGTGGTGTTCAGGTCATCAGTGCTGATGTTATCAAGGGTGTCACTGAGACCACTGCTCACTGAACTGCTGTCATCCCAGCTAAAGGCAAGACATGCAAGAGCAGTGAATCAAACACAGGATGCACAATGCAAGTCACCTACATTTCCATGCAACATTCACAATTTATTATTAAGACATTCTTTTAAAAAATATCTTATGAAAAGTCACTTATTTCACATTTTGGGAAAATCATATTTATATGAACTGAGGGTCTACATAAGAATAACCTTATCTGATATTTGGAAAGAATCAGTGTCTAGAGCAGTGTCCAGGTTCAAGAAGAATGTGTGTGGAATGAATAAGATCACTGATACAAATACTGCATGGTATCAGGAAAGAATAATATTACAGCTGACTTTTTTATCCTTAAAAATTCAACCAGGAATCATAAAGCATGTACAAATTTATTCTTTGTTCTAAAAATCCAAAACTTGTGCTGTAGTCAGGAACCAGAAAATCATTCCTCATTCTTCCTCCTAGCTTAGGAACTACATTCAATCATTCACAGAGTCTTATTGCATGAGTCTCATTATTCTTTGATCACCAAGAATATTGAGATTCATTCAATCATAGCATCTCTCCTGCCATCCCTCACATTTCCATCCATGATAACATACAGTATCCTCTTATCTGGCCTTCATGCTTTTGATCTTTCCCAATACAACTTTATCTGCTAACATGGAGTCACTGATCAAAAATTCACATCTGGCCATGTCATAACCTTGCTCAACATCCTTCAAAGACTTCTCCTTTCCCAGACTGTGGTTACTAAAATGAAATGCCCGTGCCACACAGTGCATAAGAAAATCCATTTGAAATATAAGAGAAATAGCTAAAATTCTGAATATAGTCATGTATTACATATTGTACTAACTGTATTGTTACATACTGTATTAATGACAGGGACATGTTTTGAGAAATGCATCATTAGGTGATTTTGTTCATTGTGAGAACATCATAGAGTGTACTTATACAAACCTAGATGGTATAACCTAACTATACACCTAAGGTATGTGGTATAGCCTGTTGCTCCTAGGTGTACAGCATGTTACTGTACTGAATACTGCAGGCAACTCTAACACGATGGTAAGCATTTATGTATCAAAACATATCAGAACAATGAAAATGTACAGGAAAAATATGTTATTATAATCTTATTGGACCACAGTAATAGATGTGGTCCTTCAATGACCAAATGACTGAAGTGTCATTCTGTGGCACATGACTACTTATTTATTTTTAATCTAAAGAAGGATAAATTAAATAGGCTGTATTAATATCATGTGGAGGCTAACACAGCACCTTCATTTAGTGAATGCATTAGATTATGCAGAAATAGTGTTGAATAAGCAGCATAAGCTAAGGAAAATGAGAACTCCACAATGAAAAGGTGGACCACAGTTCTCTCATTTACCAGCTGGTTCTCAGTTTATTGTGATATATAGTCTTTATTAGTAGCATGAGAATAAACTAATACAGTAAATTGGTGCCAGGAGTGGGGCACTGCTGTAAAGATACCCATACCTGTGCTCTCTCAAATTAATCCATGCACACTGAATAAACACATTATATACAGACAAAAGCTAAGTCTCATAAAATGGACACATGGATTTAAAAGGCTCCTGCAAATAATCTGTACATTGATGAGAATATTCATCATGAAAGCACAAACTACAAAGAAATGGTGAACTGATACTTTATCTGCTCTTCTATATGTACTTTAAGAGCTACATCATATATGTACTTCAAGAGCTACATCATAAGTCCAAAATAATGGTAATGTATTTAGATCACATATGAAGTCAACTAAAATGTAACTATCAGAAATAAAGAAAATTAAATTTATAGAATTATTGTTAAGGCTGATTCCTCTCTAGGTGTGTATTTTGCTTGAAGTTTTAGCTGCTGAGAGCATAATGCATCATAATTATCCATGACATTTATAATTCAGATTATCAAGAACAATTATATTTTTAATAAGAGCAAAATGGTATTTTGCACTACTATAGCACATATCTGTCATTTGTGGTTGCTCAAATCTTTTAAAAACCTTCCCTACATCTTAATTTGATAATTTCTCATATCATGACTGACATGGTTTGGCTGTGTCCCCACCCAAATCTCCTCTTGAATTGTAGTAGTTCCCATAATCTTCACGTGTCATGGGAGGAACCCGTTGGGAGGTAATGGAATCATGGACATGGTTACCCTCATGCTGTTCTCAAGAGAGTGAGTTCTCATGAGATCTGATGACTTTATAAGGGTTTTTCCCCCGTTTTGCTCATTCTTCTCCCTGCCACCATGTGAAGGAGGATGTGTTTGCTTCCCTTCCACCATGATTCTGTTTCCTGAGGCCTTGCCAGCCATGCTGAACTGTGAGTCAATTAAACCTCTTTTTTCTTTATAAACTACCCAGCCTTGGGTATGTCTTTATTATCAGCATGAGAATAAATGGATATGGTAAATTGGTACCAGGAGTGGGGCACTGCTGTAAAGATACCCAGAAATGTGGCAGTAACTTTGCAACTGGGTAACAGGCAGAAGTTGGAACAGTTTGGAGGCCTCAGAAAAAGATAGGAAGATGTGGGAAAGTTTGAAACTTCCTAGAGACTTGTTGAATGGCTTTGACCAACATGCTGATAATGATATGGACAATGAAATCCAGGCTAAGGTGGTCTCAGATGGAGATGAGGAACTTGTTGGGAACTGGAGCAAAGGTGACTCTTGTTATGCTTTAGCAAAGAGACTGGTGGCATTTTGCCCCTGCCCTAGAGATCTGTGGTACTTTGAACTTGAGAGCGATAATTTAGGGTATCTGGTAGAAGATATTTCTGAGAAGCAAAGTGTTCAAGATATGATTTGGGTGCTGTTATAAGCATTCAGTTTTATGTATCCAGAAAGATATGGTTTGGAATTGGAACTTAATTTTAAAAGGGAAGCAGAGCATAAAAGTTTTAAAAATTTGCAACCTGATGATGCCATAGAAAAGAAAAACTCATTTTCTGAGGAGAAATTCAAGCCTGCTGCAGAAATTTGCATAAGTAACTATGAGCCAAATCTTAATAAGACAATAGGGAAAATGTCTCCAAGGCATGTCAGACAGTTTTGTGGCAACCCTACTCATCGCAGGCCCAGAAGCCTAGGAGGGAAAATTGGTTTTGTGGGCTGGGTCCAGGGCCCCCCTGCTGTATGCACCATAGGGACTTGGTGCCCTGCAACCCAGCTGCTCCAGCTTTAACTAATAAGGGCCAAGGTACAGCTAAGGCCATGGCTTCAGAAGGTGAAAGCCCCAAGCTTTGCCAGCTTCCATGGGGTGTTGAGCCTACATTTGCAGAGAAGTCAACAATTGAGGTCTGGAAACCTCCGCCTAGATTCCAGAGGATGTAAGGAAATGCTTGGATGTTCAGGCAGAAGTTTGCTGCAGCGGTGGAGCCCTCATGGTGAACCTCTGCTAGGGCAGTGTGGAAGGGAAATGTGGGATCAGAGCCCCCACACAGAGTCCCCACTGGGGTACTGCCTAGTGGATCTGTGAGATGAAGGCCACCATCCTCCAGACCACAGAATGGTAGATCCACCTACAGCTTGCACCCATGTGCCTGGAAAAGCTGCAGGCACTCAACACTAGCTTGTAAAAGCAGCCTGGAGTGGGGCTGTACCCTGCAAAGCCACAGAGGCAGAGCTGCCCAAAGCTGTGGGAGCCCACCTCTTGCATAATCATGACCTAGACGTGAGATATGAAGTCAAAGGAGATAATTTTGAAACTTTAAGGTTTAACAATGGCCCTATTGGATTTTGGACCTCCATGAGGCCTGTAGCCCCTTGGTTTTGGTCAATTCCTCCCGTTTGGAATCTGTGTATTTACCCAATGACTGTGACCCTATTGTATCTAGGAAGTAGCTAACTTGCTTTCGAATTTACAGGCTCATAGGCAGAAGGGACTTGCCTTGTCTCAGATTAGACTTTGGACTTGGACTTTTGTGTTAATACTGAAATGTGTTAAGACTTTGGGGGGACTGTTGGAAGGGCATGATTGTATTTGAATTGTGAGAACACGAGATTTGGGAGGGGTCAGAGGTGGAATGAAATGGTGTGGCTGTGTCCCCACCCAAATCTCATCTTGAATTGTAGTTCCCATAAGCCCCATGTGTTGTGGGAGGGACCTGGTGGGAAGTAATTGAGTCATGGGGGCAGTTACTCTAATTGTGTTCTTGTGAGAGTGAGTTCTCATGGGATTTGATAGTTTTATAAGGGGTTTTTCCCCCTTTTACTCATTATCCTTCCTGCTACCATGTGAAGGACATGTGTGCTTCCCCTTCCCCCATGATTATAACTTTCCTTAGGCCTCCCCAGTCATGTTGAACTGTGAGTCAATTAAACCTCTTTCTTTCATAAAGTACCCAATTTGGGGTATGTCTTCATTAGCAGTTTAAGAACAGACTAATAGAATGACCTTTACCACCCAAAAATAGGATATAAAAAGCTCACATTCCCAGACTCTCTTACGAACACCTATAGCATGCAGCACAGGGACTATCTATCATTTATAGGCAAGAGGTCACAAATGAGAAAAACAATCTTCTGGCAAGCAATGTGGCAGAGTCATTTGATTCTTTTCTATTATCTAGCAAATTAAATTATTCAGTTGTTTTCTATCAGCATGGGCAGATATCTGGCCTCAAGTTTCAAGTGTCAGAGGTGTCAGTGGAGGTAGCAGTGAAGCCCTAGTGCTATGATTCGCTAATAGCCTGCAAAAAGGCTGGTTCTAATCATCCCAATAAATGAGAACCTTCTACTATAGTTTAATTCCTTAAATTAGCCAACGTAGATTATTTAGTTTGCAACGTGGAACACCAATAAATACATTTATAAATTTAGAAATATATATTTCTTTACTATATCTTTCTTATATTTGTACATGTTGAACAATGCATACAGTATCTTTTCACAGGAATATATGCATATAAATTATAAAAACACAAATATACACACTTTGATGACCACTGTCTAAAGTAAAGCTCAGCCTCTTTGAAAAGACATATATCAAGAGAATGAGAAGACAACCCACAGACTGGAAAAAATTTTTTCCAAAAGACATATATTTTGGGTGAATAAAGAAACTGAAAACTTGTTTTTTCAATGTGGTTATATAATTGTACATTCTTACCACAAGGAATGAGAATTTCAGTTGCTCCATATCCTTGTCAATACTTGGTATTGTCAGTCTCTGTAAAAGCCTATCTAGTAGTATTTCATTACCATTTTATTTTGTATTTCTCTGATGACTAACGATGTCGAACATTGTTACATGTATTTATTGGAAATTTGAATATATTTTTTGGTGACATGTATGTTCAAATCCTTTGACCACATTTTTATTGGGTTGTCTTAATATTATTGAGTTTTGATAGTTTTTCTAATTTTTTGGATTTTAGTGAATTTTATTTCATTCTATATGGCATTAACATAAACAAGAAGTGGTTCTTATAGTAGTATTGACTTAATGCCTATCCACCTGAGTTAACATTGTCAGTGAATGATACTGGATTAGTATTTTATTATTTTTATTTGTACGCATTTAATTTTACACGTATATAGTGCATAGTGATTTTGTTACACGTATATAATTGCATAGTGATCAAGTATTTAGGTGTTCATCACCTGAGTATAATACATTTTGTTAACTGTAGTCACTGTACTCTGCTATCAAGCATTGAATTTATTTCTTTTAACTATATGTTTACACTTTTTAACTCTCTTCTCTTCACCTTCCCTCCTACCCTCCATTCATCCTTTCCAGTCTCTGTTTCCTACCTACCTTTCCATTCTCCACCTTCATGTAATCAAGTTATTAGCTCCCACATATAAGTGAGAACATGTGATATTTATCTTTTTGTGCCTAGATTATTTCACTTAAGATAATGAACTCCAGTTTCAACCATGTTGCTGCAAATGACAGGATTTCATTCTTTTTAATGGCAGATAGTCTTCCAATTCTATATAACCTATATACAGAAATGGAATATGTATAATGGAATGGAATATAAATATTAGAACATGTAGAAAACATTATATATACACATTATATATACATGTATGTGTGTATACACACACACACACTATATATATATATATATGGCTTTATTTCTGAGCTTTCTATTCCATACCATTTGTCTAAAAATACCATGCTGTTTTGGCTACTATAGTCTCCAGCTTTGTTCTTTTTTTACATTTTTTTATTTGTACAAATTGATAAAATCCATGTTCAATTTTGTTACATGCATAGATTGCATAGTGATTAAGTCAGGACCAGATTTGTTCTTTATGTTCAGAATTGCTTTGGCTATTTGGGCTCTGTTCTCATTCCATACTAATTTTAGGATTATTCTAATTCTATGAAATATGACATTGGTAATTTGGTAGAAATTGCATTGAATGTGGAAATTGCTTTGGGAAGTATGGTCATTTTAATGATATTAATTCTTTTGATCCATAAACATGGGATGTTTCTCAATTTGTTTGTTTAATCCTTAATTTCTTTCATCAGTGTTTTGTAGTTTTGTGCAGAGATCTTTAACTTCCTTGATTTATTCCCAGGTATTTTAATTTTTTGTAGCTAATTTAAATGGGATCACTTTCTTGATTTCTTTCTTAGCTATTTTATTATTGGGGCATAGAAATGCTACTGACTTTTGTATTTTTATTTTGTATCCTGAAACTTTACTAAATTAATTAATCAAATCTAAGAGGTTTTTGCTGGAGTTTTTAGTATTTTCCAGATACAAAACCATATCATCAGCAAAGAGGAACAATGTTACTTGCTCTTCCCAATTTAGATACTTTTTATTTCTTTTGCTTGTCTGATTGTTTTGGCTAGGACTTCTAGTACTATGTGGATAGGAGTGGTGAGAGTTTGCATCCTTGTCTTGTTCCAGTTCTTAGAGGAAAGTCTTTAAACTTTGCCCCATTCTGTATGATATTAGCTCTGAGTTTGTCACATATGGCCTTTATTATATTGAGGTATGTTTCTTCTATGCTGAGTTTTAGAGTTTTTTTTCATGAAGAGATGTTGAAATTTATCAAAAATTTTTTTCTGCATCTATTGAGATGATCATATATTCATTTGTCTTATATTCTGTGAAGATGCTTATCATGTTTATTGATTTATTTACATTGAGTCATACTTGTATCCTTGATACAAACCCTCTGGATTGTGGTATATTATTTTTTTGATGTGCTGTTGGATTCCGTTTGCCAGTATTTTGTTAATGATTTTTGCATCTGTGTTCATCATGGTTATTGGCCTGTAGTTTTCTTTTTGTGGTGTCCTTGTCAGGTTTTGGTTTCAAGGTGACACTGGTCATGTAGAATGAGCCAGAGAGAATTCCTTCCTCTGATTTATTGTAATAGCATCAAGAAGACTGGTATTCTTCTTTGCATGATTGGTAGAATTAGGCTGTGATGCTATTTGGTCCAAAGCTTTAAAAGAGTTGGGAGATGTTTTTTATTACTGATTCAATTTTGCTAATCATTACTGATATGTTCAGGTTTTCTATTTCTTCCTGATGCAACAGCTTGGTAGGTTGTAAGTTTCTAGGAATTTATCTATTTCTCTATATTTTCCATTTTTCAGCATATAGTTGTTAATAATAGTCTCTGATGATCCTTTTTATTTCTGTGGCATCTGTTGTAATGTCTCCTTTATCGTTTTTGATTGTGTTTATTTGGATATTCTTTTTCCTTGTTTAGTCTATCTAGTGGTTTATCAATTTTATTTATCTTGTTGAATAACCAAATTTTAGTTTTGTTAATCATTTGTATTTTTTTAGTCTCTATTTGATTTAGTTCTTTTCTGATCTTTATTATTGTGTTTCTTCTGCTGATTTTGGGTTTGATTTGTTCTTGATTTTTTAGTTTCTTCAGGCACATTGTTAGGTTGCTAATTTTAAAATATTTCTACTTTTTCAGTGTAAGCATTTATTGCTATAAACTTCCCTCTTAGCACTGCTTTTGCTGTATGCCACTGGTTTTGATATGTTATGTTTCAATCTTTATTTGTTACAAGAATTTTTTGATTTTCAGCTTAATTTCCTTATTGTCCCAGTGATCAACCAGGAACATGTTGTTTAATCTGCATGTATTTGTATAGTTTCCAACGTTATTCTTGGCATTGATTTCTAGCATTATTCAACAGTGGTCTGAGAAGATATGTGATATGATTTCAACTTTTAAAAAATTGCTGAGACATGATTTGTGGCCTAACATATGGTGGTCTATCTTGGACATTGTTTCATGTGCTGATGACACAAATTTCATTTTGCAGTGGTTGGATGGAATGTTTTGTAAATGTCTGTTAGGTCCATTTGGTCTAAAATCTAGTTTAAATCTAAAATTTACTGGTTGATTTTTTGCCTAGATTATCTGTCTAATACTGAAAGTGGAGTGTTGAAGTTCTCCACTATTACTGTATTGCAGTCTATTTCTCTCTTTAGGTCTAATATTTGCTTTGTGGATCTGAGTTCTCTAGTGTTGAATGCATATACATTTAGAGTTGTTATTTCCTATTGCTGGGTTAATCTCATCATTATATAATAACATCCTTTGTCTTTTTTATTTTACTCTTTTTGACTTAAAGTCTGTATGATCTAATTTAAGTATAGCTACTCCTGCTCACTATTGCTTTCCATTTGCAAGGAATATCTTTTACCATTCTTTTACTTTCAGCCTATGTATGTCTGCCTGGTAAGTTTCTTGTAATCAGCATATATTTGGATCATATAGTTTTATCATTCAGGCATTTCATAACGTTTAGGTGGAGAATGTAATTCATTTACATTCAAAGTGATTACTGATATGTGAGGCTTCCTGTTATATTGTTGTTTATTCGTTGTCTTATATATTTTTGTTCCTTTCTTTTTCCCTTATTGTTTGTCATTGTGGTTAGTTAGATTTCTCTGGTGGTAACATTTGATACCTCCCTTTAGTTGCTTACCAGGGAGTTTTATACTTTCATGTATTTTCATGATGATAAATGTCGTCCTTTCACTACTAGTTTCCAGACCTCCCTTGAGCATTTATTGTAGGTCCAGTCTAGTAGTAACAAACTACCTCAGCATTTTCGTGTCTGGGAAACCTTTTATTTCTCCTTCATTTATGAAGGATAATTTTGTGGGCTATAGTATTTAAGGCTGATAGTTTTTTTTTTCTTTAAGCACTTTGAATATATTGTCCTATTCTTTCTGGCCTGTAAAGTTTCTGCCAGAAATTTGCTGTCAGTCTGATAAGGTTTACTTCATAGGTTATCATACACTTTCTCTTGCTGTTTTTAGAATTTATTCCTTATCTTTGACTTTAAACAGTCTGATTGTAATGTGCTGTGTATAAGACCTTTTTGCGTTTTATCGGCCTGGGGACCATTGAGCCTCCTGCATCCCAAATATCTAAAACTCTTGCTAGACTTAGGAAGTTTTCATATATTATTTAATTAAGTGGGTTTTCTAATCTTTTCTTTGTCTTTTCACTCTCAGGGGTATCTATAATTCGTATATTTGGTCACTTTAATGTTATCCCAAATGTCAGGAAGGATTTGATTATTCTCTTTTAATTTTGTCTGACTAGATTATTTCAGAAGACCTGTCTTTACCTTCTGAGATTCTTTCTTCTGGTTGAATGTAGGATATTGTTGAAGCTTTATCTGCATATCTGTTGTAACAGTCGCTTCTTCCTATATTTGAATTCGCTTTCATATGGGAAAATTTTTTCCTTTAGATATACCTGTGATGTTGTTTGGATAGGGTACTGTGGCTTTGATTATGGGTGTGTGCAGTAATGTAGTCTCTCTATGATTTCTTTGGCTACAAACAGTGTCAGTGACATTTGTGATTTCCTTGGTAGGTTAGGGTGTGGTTATTAACAGAAGCTGTGATGAAGCTGTGCTGAGGACTGCAGTGTCAGGTGGGCCAGGCTTCAGGCCCTAGTGGTGGCAGAGGTGGGCTGACTACATGCCTATCTTTGTTCCCCAGGGTAGTGTACAGTGGTACCTCTGTTGGCAGTTACCAGTGGGCTGATGGTGGCTTGCCTGGATGCTGGTAGCTGCAGCAGTGGGCCAGGTGTGAGGAGTTTCTCTGGCTTCTGGGCAGCTGTCGTGATGTGGCTGACAGAAGAGGCAGTAGTGAAGTAACCTACTGGAACCCAGACAGTCCATGCTGGTGTTGGCAGTGACTGCCTTTTGCATTTCCATTTGAATTATAGAAATAGCTTGTCAGCTTCGACAGAACATCTTCTGGTGTTCTGTTCACCATTATATTGAATCTATTGATTAATTTGGGAAATACTGATACTTTAACAATATTGTCTCTCAATCCACAAATGAGTATCTCTTCACATATATTGGTCTTCTTTCATTTATTTCAGCAATGGTCTGTAATTCCTGGTATAGGAGATTTCATTTTATAAATTCCTAAATACTTTATTGTTCAATATTTTGATGTTATTGTAAATGGCATATTTAAATTTTCAAATTTCAAATAGTTTTTGTTAGTAGATAAATAAAATGGAATTTTGAATCTTGGCTTTGTATGCTATGATCTTGCTAAATTCACTAATAAGTTCTAGTTGTTTTATTGATTTTTTTGGCTTTTCTTTATACATGTTCATGTCAACTATAAAAAAAGGCAATTATACTTTTTCTTTGCTAATCTGTATGCTCTCTACATTTAAATATATTAATGCAACAATAAGATGAAAGCCTTTTATTCATAGCTAACAGATATTTTTTCCTCTATGATAATATTATACTAATATTTAAGTCTAGGAAAAATAACTTCAGAAAAAGCATTATAAAGGAAACAGAAGAAACAATAGAAACCTGGATTAGATTATTAAGTAAATATTTGTTAGAAATTTTGAATATCATAAAATATAAAATTAGGATTTATATCATATGCCAAATTCAATTCCAATGACTTCAGAATGAGTAAAAGAAGAGAACTATTTCATCAAATATATATTTTGGTTCTCAGGACAAGAATTTTCAAATCACAAAGCAATAAAAAAGATAAAGATACCAACTTGATGAAGAAACCTTTTGTTTTTTTTACATTTTGCAAACATTATCTGAAAGAAAAAAGATAAAATGCAGAAAAAGTTTGCTAAAATGTGATAGAAAATCCTTAAAATTCTTACTAACTGAACCTGAAACAAACCAGTAAGAATAATACCAACTTGTCCATAGAAAAATAGACAAATAATTTTATTGGAAAATTCACTAAGAAAAGTTTCAAATATCCCAAGCATATAACGAAACTGAGCTTCATTAATAATTAAACGTGTTAGATAATAAACAAGTAATACAGAGAGAGTCCTTCCTGGTGACTAGATACCATTCTAAGCATTTTCTATAGTAATTCAGTTAATTCTCACAGGAACCTAATATGATTGGTACAATTATCCCCACTTTATAGATTAGGAGACTAAGGCATCAAGAGATTAAATAGCTCACCTAAATTTTCACATACAGTAAATAATGAAGATGGATTTTGAACCAAATATCTCTGGCTGTACAGTACAGTCATTCAACCACAATAATAAAATGCTAATAAGGATATAACATTTCTGTCCCATCAAATTAGCAAAGAATATTTTATGTATTATCATTAATGTTGTCAGTTGGTATAAGAAAGACACATTTATCCCATACTGTCATAAATGTATATTGGTAAAAAATTTGAGATTATTTGGCAATATGTATCAAATATTTTAAAATTATTTGAATGTTTGACCTAGTGATACCATTTCTAGGAATCTATCCTAAACAAACACTCAGCATTGTGAACAAAAACTCATTTAGAAAGATATTTATCCCAGCATACATTTTTTCTTAACAATTAAAAAGATTGAGCCATTGATACATGAAATGACATAGATTAATTTCAAGCGCATTAAGTTAAAGATGCCAGATTCAAAAGGCCACATAAGGTATGGTTTTATTTATGCAACATTTAAGAAAAGGAAAAATGCTATAGAGATTTAGAACAGATCAGTGATCAGGAAGACTGTGGTAGCAGTTGCATGGCTTGATGCATATGTCAAAATTCAGAACTGAACAATAATAAAACAAATTTTACATGATATTAAGTAATTAAAAATGTAGCTAGCGAAACTGCTGGAAGATTATTGTTTGGATACACATAGGTTAATTAATGATTCCAAGAAGAAAATAATTGTTGAGGCATGCCTTTTAGTTTTTAGATTTTTAACGTTCAGTAACTCGATGGGGCCAATCTTAGTTAATTTGTAGTTCTGGATTCACTCCTGGATTCACAGTTAGAGGCAGGCTTGTTTGAAAACAAATGTGTTATACATTCAAGGACTTTTGCCTTTTGCCTGCTTTTTATGATGAGGGATTCTGAAATATTAACTAAACAATTATTAAAATGAAATTCTGAAGATTTAAAATTGATTTGAGGAAAATGCCATTTGTAGGTAATTTTTCAGCACACGCCTCTTTTTTGATGTAATAGCACTTCATATGGCAGGTATTCGAGTCATGCTCTTTGATATTTCATGTTACTGGGGCTCAACAGTCCTACTTACACATGTACATGTAAAACAGATATTTTGTTTACATAAACAACCAACTCTTATACTTCAGGCATTTAATAGTAACCTCAATCTCAATCAGCTAGGCTATTCAAATTTTCCATTAATCGAAGAAACATGCTTACTACTGAATCTTCTAGATGTATTCTGCTCTCTAATTCAACTACAATCATAAGAATACTGTTCACTAAGGTGATATTATTTTTGATTTCCATAAAAACACCTTCTCACTTCTAACCTTTTAATGATGTATTTTTTTGTTTGTGTTATTAAAAGCAAAAGTATAAGAAATCCATGTGATATAGTTTGGCTCTGTGTCCCTACCCAAATCTCATCTTGAATTGTATTCCCATAATTCCCATGTGTTGTGGGAGGCACCTGGTTGGAGATCATTTGAATCATGGGGGTGGTATCACCCATACTGTCCTAGTGGTAGTGAATAAGTCTTACAAGGTCCGATGGTTTTATCAGGGATTTCTGCGTTTGCATCTTCCTCATTTTCTCTTGCTGCCATCATGTAAGAAATGCCTTTTGCCTCCTGCCATGATTGTGAAGCCTCCCTAGCCATGTGGAACTGTAAGTCCAATTAAACCTTTTTTTCTTTCCAGTCTTGGGTATGTCTTTATCAACAGTGTGAAAACGGACTAACAAAGTAAGTTGGTACCAGTAGAGCGGGGCATTGCTGAAAAGATATCCAAAAATGTGGAAGTAACTTTGGGACTGTGTATCAGGCAGAGGCTGGAACAATTTGGAGGGCTCAGAAGAAGACAGGAAAATGTGGGAAAGTTTGGAGTAGAGACTTGTTGAATGGCTTTGACAAAAATTTTTATAGTGATATAAACAATAAGGACCAGGCTGAGGTTGTCTCGGATGGAGATGAGGAACTTGCTGAGAACTGGAGCAAAGGCGACTCTTGTTATGTTTTAGCAAAGAGACTGGTGGCATTTTGCCCCTGCCCTAGAGATTTGTGGAACTCTGAACTTGAGAGAGATGATTTAGGGTATCTGACAGAAGAAATTTCTAAGCAGCAAAGCATTCAAGAGGTGACGGGTGTTGTTAGAGCATCGCATTTTAAAAGGGAAACAGCATAAAAGTTCAGAAAATTTGCAGCCTGACAATGCAGTAGAAAAGAAAAACCCATTTTTTGAGGAGAAATTCAGCTGGCTGCAGAAATCTGCATAAGTAACAAGGAGCCAGTGTTAATCCCCAAGACAATGGGGAAAATGTCTCCAGGGCATGTCATAGGTCTTCATGGCAGCCCCACCCTTCACTGATCCAGAAGCCTAGGAGGAAAAAATGATTTTGAGGGCTGGGCCCAGGGTGCCCATACTGTGTGCAGCCTAGAGACTTGGTGCCCTGTGTCCCAGTCACTCCAGCCATTGCTAAAAGGGGCCAAGGTATAGCTCAGCCTGTGGTTTCAGAGGGTGCAAGCCCCAAACCTTGGCAGCTTCCACGTGGTAGAGAGCCTGCAGGTGCACAGAAATTAAGAATCGAGGTTTGGGAACCTCCACCTAGATTTCAGATGTATGGAAATGCCTGGATGCCCAGGAAAGAGTTTTCTGCAGGGGCACGGCCCTCATGAAGAATCTCTGCTAGGGCAGTGCAGGAGGGAAATCTGGGGTCAGAGCCCCCACAGAGTCTCTACTGGAGCACGGCCTAGTGGAGCTATGAGAAGAGGGCCATCATCCTCCAAACCCCAGAATGGTAGATCCACCAACAGCTTGCACCTTGTTCCTGGGAAAGCCACAGACACTCAATGCCAGCCTGTGAAAGCAGCTGGGAGGGGTGCTATACCCTGCAAAGCCACAGGGGCAGAGCTGCCAAAGATTATGGGAACCTATCTCTTGCATCAGCATGTCCTGGATGTGAGACATGGAGTCAAAAGAGATCATTTTGGAGTTTTACAATTTGACTGCCCAGATGGATTTCGGAATTGCATGCCCTGTAACCCATTAATTTTGGCCAATTTCTCCCATTTGAAACAGCTGTGTTTACCCAATACCAGTACTCCCATTGTATCTAGGAAGTAACTAGCTTGCTTGTGATTTTACAGGCTCATAGTGGAAGGGACTTTCCTTGTCTCAGATGAGACTATGGACTAACCTTAGATATTCATGAGACCATTTCGTGAAAACTTCTGGGTATGTTTCTTGTTTTCAGAGGAAAACTAGGTAACACTTAACAAAATCAAGGCACCACTTTTAAAAGATCCTATCACATTTCAGTATAACTTTTTCGCACATTTTTATGGTAATTTAAATAATACCAAGAAAGAGATATACTTTTTAAATATTATATAAAATATTTTCATATTATTCGGCACAATAATCTTTGCAATAATAATTTAAAATACCAAGAATTAACTGTTAGGCTTTGGGTTTTAGTATCAAAATGTTAAGTCAATTATTTTCTCCTGAAAGCTAAATGAGCACAAAACCACTTAGCCCTACATCATACCTCTTATATCAGCAAACACAGTGCATTACCTGTCAAGTTTGAGCATTGCAACCGCTGAAGTGTAAATTCTGTATTACTTCAGGGTCATTGATAGAAAGCAATAAAACGTATTTCAAGAAAGATTTATTCAGCACTTCCTGGGAAAATGTTTTATTACCATGAAGAAAAGCACAAGTCATTAAAAGAGGTTTTAAATGAGAAAAACCTAAGTCTATATAAACACTGATATACTAAAATGATTTTATGTTAAATACCTTACTCTCGACCTACAAAATGTATATGTAATGATTTTTATAGCAGTTTAAAAAAGATTCCTTTTACTTTCTAAGGTATGTCATCCTGCCACTGCTCATTTACTGTGCAACCTTGTGGAGCTTGAATAACTGGTTTAGAATCCAGTTGAAATGTCATTCCCTTTATGAATCTTTCCATGATTTTCAAGGACACTTTACCTCTTCCACATCTGTGTTTACTTCTAGTGTGCTTTCATTCTGTAATTTATGTACATTCTGAGTTGTTTCACTTTGTAGTTTATGGTGGGGGAAGCAGATTCTCTTTCAGAGTCTCACTGCCCAAGATTGGCATTTGGCTAAATGCAGTGCCTCAGTGTTTGTGGAATAAATCAATAACGAATCCAATCTTACATAGTCACAAACTATAGTCATTACCTGTGATTTATTCCCTCATTCTAACACTCCAAATTGCAAATTATTACAAATTGTGGCAAAAACCAAGGGAATGAAGTGAGAAGAAAACTCCAGAGAAGGACTAGAAGATTTGGGTGAATAAATAACTGCTTCTTTGAGGAGATAACTTTAGATAGCCATTATCAGGAAAATGAAGACTAAACATTACAGGAAAGAGCAATAAAGACAAATAAGAAATATTTGTAGATATTGTCAAAAAGGGTATTTCACATTTATTGTAAAAATAAGTGTAAAAACCTGGAAGTAACAAAAATCAAGAATCCAGTGGTACAAGTACAGCAGGCAAAAGGAAATACATAGTTCTGAGTCTGAAAAGGTGAGCAGGGAAGCCCTTAAAGGATTTTATATAGAGTGCTAAGAAATTAGAGTATCTTAGAAGTGCAATAGAAAATCAGATAGTATTGAGCAGTAAAATGACATAAGCAGATATATGTTTTAAAAACATTTTAGTGCTACAAATATATTAAAGGTAGAGTGCAAGTAGGGAACTTAATGAAGTATTGTGACACTCTTCAGTTTTTGATGGGGAGTTACAAGTAAATCAAAAGAAGGGAGTTTCAAGATATATTTTGTGGTAAAAATGATAGGATTTGCTGTTGATTGGAAAGTGATGAAAGAAAAAGAGACTCTAGGTCTCTTGCATGGTCTCCTACAATATAGGCATAAAACAATTTTGGGGAAAGTGTGGGGGAAAAAATCCATCAAGAGGACTCAAAGAATAATTTTAAGCTCATCTTCTGTTTGTACTTAGTACCATTATTTTCATGTATCAAGGGAAGTCTACATTAGGTTACTATATCATAGCCTAAGACTTTATAGCCTATAGCCTATAAACTTCTTGATAACCTAGAAATTCATATAAACATAAGGTTAAAGTCTTTCCATTCTTATTGTTTTTAGTATGCACTTAATGCTCTGATTTTATCCATGAAATATTCATAGAGACTAACATTAATACCATGTGGGTTTTGAGTAAAGAGAACAACCAATAAACTTTATACACTGACCTTTTTATTTGCTTTTATTTTCTCTAGAATATAAATAATGAAGATTTACAGCTATTCTGTCGTGGCATCAGAAAGGGCTAGGTAAACAAAAAATGGAAAGCTCTTGTTCTTTATACAAGGAAGCCCTAGGTAGACTTAGTTAAACGTAATAAGTGATATTAGTTTAAAAGGGATTTATGCAGTCAGGCACAAGTTTATGTTTTAATGATATCTGAAGGAGAGTAGAAACATCTATTTTTTTTAAATGGGCTGAAATCACAAAGGAGATAAAGTAATTTTATTACAAATTCTTTTGTTTAAACACATTACTTGAATAATCCTCATGATGGTTGGTTTTGGTAGTTTAATTCAATGCTCATTTTAAAGATGCTGTTATATAGTTGAAATAGGTACAAGTTGATTTAAAGTCTTCTATTTGTGATAAGTTTAGAATATAACATATGACACACATGAAAGTTAACTCCAGGATTCATTGAAGACCATTTGGTATCTTTTTCCATCTTATATAAATTTAAAAACCAATATATGCTCACTGTGGAAGACTGGGCAGTGCAGAAATACATAAAAGGAACAAAGTAAATCATCTGTATTCCCACCCAGAAGTAACCACCATTAGCATTTTGATGATTTCTGTCAAGTCATTTTTAGGAAGTAGTATATACACACATAAAAATTTACCTAGTTAACACTCTGCTGATTATAGTATCTGTACATTATTCATTCACTTCATATTACCTTATAATTATTTTAATGCTCTTAAATTATTTTCTAATTCATTATTTATAATAATGATATAATTATATCATATGGACTATTATATATTCAACAATTTATATTTTAAGATGCATAAAGCATTTTACAATTTTCTAACTATTGTAAGTAACACTGCAGTGAATAACTTTGTACATATATATTGAGATTATGTTTAGAATTATTGTATTAGGATAAATATACAAAAAGAGAATTACTGACTCACAGGTTTTGGACATTTGAAACACTGCAGATGCAACTTAATAACTGAAGAAACAACATCACTTCAATTCCTGCCACCCATATGACAGTGCCAATATTATAAAAAAAAAAAAAACCCTGGATACTTTCAGGCATTGTGGTTTCCTTTAGTAATTCAAAAATTTTGACATGTAAAAATAGTTACTAATTATATTAATAGTTTTCAGTTACATTTGTCAAATTGTGAGACTGAGTTTTTCTATAACTTACTTAGCTAATTTTATTTCCAGACATTGTCAATGTCCTTTGTGTATTTTTGCAATGGAGTTTAAATAATCCATTTGTATTACATTTTTAAATGCTAAAAAAAAACCAGTTTCAAATATTTCCCAAATCTGTTTCTTTGTTTTTCCTTTTAATTAACGATATTTTTATGTATAGGATTCAAAAATGTTTCAGTCAACTCCATAAATCTTTCTTATTTTCTTCTGTAATATTTTTGCCCAGAAAATTTTATGATATAATTTGATTTCTCCTCCTCTTCCTTCTTTTATATTCCATTTTTATGGTAAGGTTTGAAAGGTGAGAATCCCTTTTTAGACAACTATTTCTTTTCTATTTATTATTGTGGTTTACTTATCAAGTCTTAATATATGACATGTGAGCATTTTTAGTGATTACCATGTTTTCCACTGCCCTATTTGTTGATGTTTTATAGTAATATCATGATGTTTTAAATACTACAGTGTGTGGAGAGATTATTTTTAAAGACAGCCTACAACTTAAAATGTGTACATTTAACAAGAAATTCAAGCCTTTTAAAAACATTTTTATATTTAAATTTTTAATTTTTAAAAAACAAAATTACAAAACTTAGCTGTGTTTCTAAAGAATCATTACCATGAATAGTTTTATTCATGTATTAGTGCATCAAACATTTATTTAGTGACATTATTAAGGCAGAATGAGAAGATAGAAATCAGTAAGATGCTACAGAGACAAAACTTTTACCTTAACTTAGAAAATGTGTAATCTTCACTTTTGAGAATGTACAGGCTGTTTTTTGGATATCTGAGAATTTAGTTATAGGCGTTCTGCTTAATAAATAGCAATCACAGCTATTAAGTCTGAGCTAAATTGTCTCTCCTTTTAAAAACCTTCTTTCTCCCTTGAAATATCTTTGGCATTAGCTTTCTCTTTCAGAGGAATAGAAGTTCCCAAATTACTATAATTTCAAGGTTAAGTGAAAAGGGAAACGTTATGTAAAAATAAAAAAGCTTAGATAAAGCTCAACAACTTAGTTACAGAGCTAACTGTGAACAAGGTTGAAAACAGTAATCTGTTCTGTTTTATCTTACTTGAAACAGCTACATTAAAGTATTAATTCAATAAAATATTTCTTATATTTAAAAGGAAAATATTATTAAAAACAAAATTACAAAAGTATTAACCATGAAGAAATTGATTTTTGCTTTGGGATATACAAAATGTATTATAATAAAAACATTCCAGATTCTTCCATTTTAAAACATTCAGAACATCGCCTTGGTGAGGAACATTGCTTTAAAAAGGCACTTCAGTAAGTGAATATCTCTAGATGGGGGTGAAAGATAGTTCAGAATTAGAGAGATGTTTGCCAAGAGATTCACATCCCAGCACTGAAGAACAACAGATGGCAGCAGTAACATTGAAAACTTGCCGCAGATCCTGTCTGGCATGCTTTCAAAATGGCCATTTATATTTTCTAGCACAAACAGCCAACTGCTGTCTCCTTATATTGCAAGCATGGATATAGAAGAGAAGACAAAATGCAAGAAAGACACTTGAATCCTCTTAACAGAGGAAAGGGATTCAACTTGAAAAGGGAAGTGTGCTGGTGATATGACCTTGCCTGACCAGATGTCTTAATTTTCTAGGATTTTCCAGGCAGTCTCCTCATTGCTGATGACCTAACCTCCCTCCAGGTCTAAAACACTGCCAGCTGCTCTCAGGCTACTACCTTACTTCCCACACCCTGGTCTCTGTTTCTGAGCTTTGTTTAGTAACATCCATCTGAATTTTGCTTCCTCCCTAAAGAGGATTTTAGTCCACAGATTGTTGTTGCTAATCTGGACCATCTCTCACCTCAGGTGGGCAAACTAGAGTGAGTGCATGCACAGAAAGGGTCAGGACAAAGCAGAAGCAAGGCAGAGAGAGGTCACTGAGTCTTAGCACAGACAGGAGATAGAGGAGTTACAGTAACTGGAAAGGCTCAGAACCTCAACAGAATGGATATGGTACCCAGTAACAAAGAAAGAACTTCATATGGTTTGGCGGTATCCCCACCCAAATCTCATCTTGAATTGTAGCTCTCATAATCCCCATGTGTTGTGGGAGGGTCCCAGTGGCAGGTAATTGAATTGAGGGGGCGGGTTTTCCTGTCTGTTGTTCTTGTAATAGTGAACAAGTCTCACAAGATCTGATGGTTTTATGGAGAGCAGTTCCCCTGCACATGCTCTCTTGTCTGCAGCCATGTAAGATGTGACTTTGCTCCTTATTAGTCTTTCGCCATGATTGTGAGGCCTCCCCAGCCATGTGGAACTGTGAGTCAATTAAACCTCTTTCCTTCATAAATTACTCAGTCTCAGGTATGTCTTTATTAGCAGCCTGAGAACAGACTAATACAGATCTGATAAACTGGGCAGCCCTTCATCTCAAACAGAGAGCTTTTATATCACTAGAGGAGAAATAAATTTCCCAGGAGCTGGTGAGAACAAACAGAGGGGCCTGCCAGAATGAATGATATAAAGCCTTGGAGAGAAGTAGCTCCTACTCAAGCAGTTTGTAGCATAGGTTATGATATTCTTCACTGTTCCTCTCCAGAGAAGAGAACTAGATTTTATTTATAGGGGAAGCCATATAATTGGTTGGGACATATCCTATGAGGTGTTGATTCATCAGCTTGATCTTAGGACTTGATCCCTTTTATTTGCCAAATAGTGAATCTAATACTACTCTGTCTTACCTTCAGGGATATGAAGTACTGAATACTCTTCTTGGGCTAACATGAGTCAAAATAATAGGATCAGGAAATGAAATTTATCTGTAGGATTTATACAAAAGCCACCTCATTTCCTATATACCATATAGGTTACTTCCAGATCTGCCACTAGCCTATGTAGCAAGTGCCTTTATACAGTTCCATGAAGCATAGCTTAGCATACAGAGTGTCATCTGGATTTCAGCTAGACAGTCACTCTATTGTGCAAACATGGGTGGGATTCAACCTGTACAACTATATGATTCATTCTGAGTACTATCATGGAAACACCTACCCAAGACAAAAACCTAGATTGCTCCATCATGCATAACCTCAACCTCTATCCAACTGGCCAACAAGCTCAACTGGATCTTTATTTCCTCCATCTGCATGTCTTCATCTGTGTTGCCATTGTCTTCACGAAACACCTCACCATTTCCCAGTAGAGTATTGCTGTACTCTCCTAACTGGTATCTCTCCCTCTAGCCTGGATTTGCAATGCACCCTCAAAGAGCAGGAATAAATTCTGTAAACTTTAGCATGGTACAAACACTCTTCAAAGTCTGATCTTTGCCTAAGGTTTAGCCTCGTTTCCCATTGTTTACCTACGAATAGTCACATTGAGCCACTCTGTACTTCTTCAAGTGTTCTCTTTCTTGTTAAACATGTACAAATATGTTTGCACTTTAATTGTGTTTATATTCATATTCTTTCTCTTTTTCTCTCTCTTGCTCTCTCTTCAAGAGTTGAGTTTGAATTGATTGAGGACATTTATAGAAGTCAATTTCAGAAATTAGTTATCTCATTATGGTGCCTACATAAATTGTAAGACATTCTGGTACAGAGGTTTTATTCACTGTGCTGTGGTAGTATACTGACAAAGTAAATGCATTACATGAAACATAACAAATATGCTATCAAGTCACATATACATACGTATGTATATACATATGTATGTGTATATATATATGTGTATATATATATGTGTGTGTGTGTGTGTGTGTGTGTATATATATATATATATATAATTTGATATGGAGTCTCTGTCACCGGGCTGGAGTGCACTGGCATGATCTCGGCTCACTGCAACCCTCGCCTCCTGGGTTCAAGCGATTCTCCTGCCTCAGCCTCCCAAGTAGCTGGGACTACAGGCACGTGCCACCACACCTAGCTAATTTTTGTATTTTTAGTAGAGACGGGGTTTCACCATGTTGGCCAGGATGGTCTCAATCTCCTGACCTCGTGATCCACCTGCCTAGGCCACCCAAATTGCTGGGATTACAGGCATGAGCCACCATGCCTGGCCAAGCCAAGAAATATTTTTAATATTTTTGATGTACAAGGAACTAATGTTAGATATTATTTGTTTTGGATTTATAACCCGGTAATTAAAAATATCTTCACCGTTTCCTCAATGTTCATCATATTCCTTAGTATTTTAAAGAATAACTGAAGTAAATAAAATAGTACATATTTATAATTGTATATTTACAAAGTCATAATTAGGTTAAATGCTTTAGGATATTCTTGGTTGACATGACAGTCTTAGCATCTTCAAAGTTTACACAATTTGCAATCATCTTAGTAATTTCTTGCATTTTACAAAGTACAATTTTTTGGCTTGGGAAATTACTTTCCTCTCATTAAAATGTTACACCATTATATCCATTGACTTGTTTCAGTTAAAAATAAACAGTCCACTGTTTAACAACCTGGCCATAGGTTAAATCTCAGGCATTTGAAATAAATATTTTCTAGGTGTCTTTTGGTATAAAAGACAAGCTGATTTCAACTGGCTCAAGATTTCACAAGCCATTTTTGTTACAGTGCTTTCAGTTAAACTCTTAAATCAATAGACATATAGCATAAACATCTAATCCTTGGATTGTATTCAAAATTGATATGTTAGAAATTCTCCTTAAAAAGCAAAATAGGTCAGACATGGTGGTGCATGCCTGTAATCCCAGCACTTTGGGAAGCTAAAGTGGGACGATTGCTTGAGGCCAGAAGTTTGAGACCAGCCTGGGCCACATGGCGAGACTTCATCTCTAAAAAAATTAAAAATTTAGTCAGATGTGATGGTGTGTGCCTATAGTACCAGATGCTGGAGAAGACTGTTTGAGCCCAAGTGTTTGAGCCCAAGTGTTTGAGGCTGCACTGAACTATGATTGTACCACTGTACTCTAGTATTCCAGCTTGGGTGACAAAGTGAGGCCCTATCTCTAAAAAAGAAAAAAAAGTAAATAAAATTATTATTTTTAAGTCTTGTCTCTGTAAACAACAGTCCTTTGGGATTAATATATTTTCTAAATTTAAAATTAAAGATGATTTGGGGTAAGAAACAATTTTACTTGGTAAATAAGTTTGTATAATTCATTTTTATTTTTTTCTAATAGTTAGATTTTCTACTTAATACTGTACTTTTTTTTTCCCCCAGAGTGTCTTTGTCTTGGCAAACTAAAACAGAGGGTTTATAGTCTCTATTCCCTATAGCTTTTCCACTGCTGTACAAATCTTTACACCATAGTGTTATGTGTTTTATTTCCAAAAACAATATCTGGACTTGCTTCCATTACAACGTCATGCCCTATGAGATTGAAGGGCACTTTGGATTTCCTAACCAGAGATCAAAATGTTCCCTCTGTTCTTGTACTCCATAATTGATTTATTTAGTACCTGCTATATTTCTGGCTCTGTACTAATTGCTGATTACAGAAAGGTAAGTAAAAATTAGCTTTTGTCCTTAGTGAACATATGAAATGTAGAAAAAGATAGATGAGTAATTATCTGTAACTGAGATTCTTAATTTTAGCCCATTTATAACAAATAAATAAAAGTGCATTATGTAAAACCTACACCTGAATTTGCTTGCTTACAGTAAAGACTGTCACAAATTTTGTCACAGAAACTTGAAAATGTTAATGATTCATATTCATTGTATATTGTTAACTCATTCTTCTTTTATTCATTCATACTTCAGGAATTTGCTAGGTGCATACAGGTCTTATAAAGATGAACAGAGCAAAATCTGTACACCAGGATTTGACCAAATGAAAATTATTGCAAGAAGTAGACATGGTTTGGCGTGTTTCCCCAGAGGATTTAAACAACCAACCAGCTAATACCTAACATATGAAAGCCAAGTTACATACATTGTTCTGTGCTCTGCAGCAGGGAGAAACAAAGTCTATATTTCCTAACCTAAGATAGCCTTAAAATTTGACTGAAGACCCAAGCGAATATGGATGAAACACTTTAGAAAATAATTAACACGGCCGGGCGCGGTGGCTCACGCCTGTAATCCCAGCACTTTGGGAGGCCAAGGCTGGCAGATCACAAGGTCAGGAGATCGAGACCATCCTGGCTAACACAGTGAAACCCCAGTCTCTACTAAAAACACAAAAAATTAGCCGGGCATGGTGGCAGGCGCCTGTAGTCCCAGCTACTCGGGAGGCTGAGCCAGGAAAATGGCGTGAACCCGGGAGGCGGAGATTGCAGTGAACCAAGATCGCACCACTGCACTACAGCCTGGGCGACAGAGCGAGACTCCATCTCAAAAAAAAAAAAAAAAAAAAAAAAAAGAAAATAACTAACGCTTTCAAAGGGTGAAATGAGTTTCTTTCTGGTATTAGAAAAATATTACCATTCTAAGTGTGAGCAAATGTTTAAAGATCTATTATTTTATACACTATGGCCCTCCCTCAATATCAACAAATTATTTTACCTGAGTCAGGCCTCTTCCCACCCCTCCAACGTCCTTTCTGTTTGATAAGAAAAGACAGTAATTGAATGAGTTTGTATTTAAACCTGTTATACTTTGTTTTTAATATGTCATTCATAGATTTATTTTTCTTCGCACGCATTTCCCCCAATTTCCACAGATACCTGTTTGCAATGTTAAAGTAACCCTGAATTTGAATGTCAACTTTCCAAGGATTCAAGAAATTTTGCAAAATTCTAGGTTATATGAAATCTGTGTCCTGGTTTATCTTGTGCACGACTGTGTCCTCAGTGCTAATACCGTAGGTGTGGATGTTTGGTGAATGAATAATGAATGAATTCTGGGGTAAGAAATATTAGCAAAATTAAATTACCATTTTCGTTCTTTCCATTATGACAACTCTTTAATTTAGAGTGAGTGAGTGCTTTATTGGGAATGTACTATGCAGGATAGTGATTCTGTATATTCTGTCTTTGTTTAAAAATGAAAATAAGAAAAGGAGAAATTGCACAAGAAATGTAGCCAATTAACAGGTGAATTTTTTTTTTTTTTTTTTGAGACGGAGTCTCGCTCTGTCGCCCAGGCTGGAGTGCAGTGGCGGGATCTCGGCTCACTGCAAGCTCCGCCTCCCGGGTTCACGCCATTCTCCTGCCTCAGCCTCCCAAGTAGCTGGGACTACAGGCGCCCGCCACTACGCCCGGCTAATTTTTTGTATTTTTAGTAGAGACGGGGTTTCACCGTTTTAGCCGGGATGGTCTCGATCTCCTGACCTCGTGATCCGCCCGCCTCGGCCTCCCAAAGTGCTGGGATTACAGGCGTGAGCCACTGCGCCCGGCCACAGGTGAATTTTATGGACTCTGATTAATACACTGTTTTCAGTTAACATTTGTTTTGAATTAAATTATTGGTCAATTGAGCATCCGGAGTAGTGAATATTTCTCATAGAATCAATTCCTGAACTTTTAATGCTCTACAAATTAAAATTATCAACATTAATCAAAGAGTTATGCCTTTTAGCAAGATAGGGCTAATAATGCACCTTCAAGGAATCCAACATAATTCTATTCTGAAGTCAACATTAAGGACAAAAGTAAAGTTACTACTATTGTTATATTCGACTGAGCTTTTCAATCCCAAAACATCAATAGAAATTACAGATATTATTTCTATGATCTTGAACCCTTAGTCGCACATTATAAGTAGAGTCTGCATTAGTTAGCTAGGTTAGCAATCAGGTCTATTTCAAAAATGCATTTTTAAACGTAAACTACATACTTTGGAATTATATTATGTCATTTCCCAGTATTATAATTGAGTAAAAAGCTAAAAATTATATCTGTTTGGACATATTCACACACACACACACACACACACACACACACACACACACACACACAGAATACAGCACAGCACAGAAGTACTTCTGACACCTTGCAAAACACCATTCATCTTTCACTTTTACTGTTAAGAGTTTGAAAGTGAAAAAATAGATCCCATGAAAAGACTGTTACGGAATTTTCACATCTTTTTGACTTTTATCTTTGAAGTCAATGAATTTTAGAAATATGAAAGCAACTATTGTAGTAGCTCTTTGTATCACTTTAAAGATAGGTCATAAAGACAGTGGTGTGATGTGTCAACCGTAACAGTTTTTGTTCCTGAAAAACTTAAAATATTTTTAAAAAATATATATGGTGTCAATTACAACCAGAACCTACAAAGGAAGTGCCCAGGGTTACTCTGTAATGAGGTACACAATACTGGCAATAAGGTTCTATTTAGAATTGATGGCACCAAGATCATTGAGAAAATATTCCAAAAAGCTCATCATATACTTTACATTAATCTAAGAACTTGGAATCATTTAAGACAAAGTTTCTGTGGTGACATCAGGCATCTTCAGGCAATATGGTTAATGTTAGTAGAAAAGGTTTTAAATTCAAACAAGTTTAAATTAGAATTTGGATAAACTGCTTAACATGTTTGAATTTTTTATTGCTTAGTATTATATCATCCACAATCATTTGTAGTACTAAAATCAAAGAAACATGTGTATAGGAACACTTTCAATTTAATTCAACTTTATTATATATATATAAAATTTGATATATATATATAATTCAACTTTATATATGTATAATTCAACCATATATATATATATACACACATATATATTTACACATATATATATGTATGTATTTGGGCAGGGGGAGGAAGCCATACACAAAGTATAGTAGCAATTGCTTGATGCAGGGCATACTGGAGATAAGAGACATAGATAAACTTAGATAATGATTCTAATTTTGCAACAAGGCAATAGAGGTAAATTAATAAAATATGCAAACAAGATCATATAAATGTCAGGCAGTCCAGAGTAGAAGAGAAAGAGCTTAAATCCAAATTTGAGAGGTACGTAATTCTGAGTAGATTCTGAAGGGAGAGCAAAAGCTTAGAGATTTAGGATATTAGCCCATCTGGAGATCAAGGTTTAAGTTAAAGAGGAATGGAAGATGAAGTTGGATAGATACATTGGATCCTTTGGGATGACAAATTATTCTTTATGAGTTAGACGCAGTGTCAAAGGAAGTACTGTCAACAGGATGGATGTATACTGGCTATCACAAGTATCAACTTACACATGGTGAGGAGGCAGAGGGGAATCAACTAGTATCTCATCATACCTTGAGTTCTAATTTCCATTCTTGATCCTGTAACCAACTGATACATTCAAACTGAATAAACATTACAAAAATCACTCATAATAGTAAATCTAAAAATCAGCATCCAAACTAATAAAAATAACTGGTTTATTTCATCTTAAAAATAAAGAAAAGAAACCTCTACAAAGTTAAATACAGTATATTTTTGATAAGCCTAAGTATTTAGGGGCTTTATAGATTAGTTTTTGATAAATCAGAAATACCAGTATGCCTGTTTAAACAAAGCAAAGTGCTGTGGTTCTCTTAATATGCTAAAATAGTGGCTTTAAAAAATATGTTAAAATGGTCATCTGAATGCTTTCATAATAATTCTAACATTACTTTATGGTTTATCATGTATTTTTTCCTTGTTTCTTCCACCTGCATTCACTTATTTTCTCTACTTGAATTAAAACCTCAGAAAAAAGAAATCTGAACTTACAAATTGGTTGAATTCCATAAATTGACTTTTTTTTGGGAAAAGGGGAAGGGAATGGTGGTATGGAAAAAAATGGTAAAGTGATTGACTAAATAACAAATATAAATTACCTGACCTGCGATATTTGCAAAGACAGTGCAAGGCACAAACATTCCTATTATGTTGATTTCACATGTGGAGAATAGAATCCCTTCATAATCCCAAATGCTAAGAGATCAATGAGCAACTATTAGCAATAAACTGTGTAGTTCCTAGTGAAAGGTCCAAAGCTAAAATTACTAATCCAAATGCTGATAAGAGAAGATGTTTGGGGTTTCAGTAAATGTTTACATGTGTCAGTGTTTTCTTGGATCCTGTCTTTGCTAGTATGACATGTCTATTTTTGGTCCCATTATACAGTGATGTGGGACACACAGTGATTTTCCAGCTCATACTCTCGGATTCTGGGTAAGCAGCCCATCTTCAAATTCTCTGAGGACCCCTGTAAAAGTATGTATTTGCTGCCTAAGATAGGCAAGACTTAGAGAGCTGCTGTGGTCACAAGAACAGTAGGATTTATATAGAGTTCCGGATTAGAGGTTTGCTTATTTAGTTATTTCCTGATCTCTCTTAAGAGGACAAAGAGAGAAGAAACAAGTAGAATGAAGATTTTTTTATTTTTCCTTTAGAATGAGGACACTATTAGCAGCATCTGTGATTTTTTACAATAGCGCATGTCAACAAACTAAGGGAAGGTGAAAGTGAAAGGAAAAATTGCAAGACCAATGTGATCACTGGGTCTTCCCTCTTGTCCACTCAGTTGAGATAACATTGTTTGCAGTGATAATCTATTCACACATTCTATAATAATAGTGTCTAATTCTTTGTTGGAAACATATTTGGAAGGAAAAGACAATAATTGAATGAATTTTATATTTTAACCTGTTATATTTGTCTATGTCATTTATACACTTATTTTTCTTCACATGCATTTCAGAACAATCAACTAATTGATTTTAATGTATTTTATATATTATGTTAATTGTATACTTAAAACAATAAAGTCTTGCTCACAAAAATTATAAAAACCATTATGTTAAGTGGATAAGAAGTATATAAAATTGAATGACCCTCATAAGTTATATGAGGTCATTCATAATATATATGAGATATATCATGTATATCATATATATATATATATGAAGAAACACTAGAAAGGAAAAGAAAATGGTAGCATTAATTATGCTTGGAAGAGAGGTGTGTTGTTTTTAATTTAGCAAAAGCTTTCTGTGATACTGTTCTCTGATACTCCTTTTGCAATAAACATAATAGTTCATATTAATTATGTTGATCTATAAGTGAATATTCAAATTAATCTGCTATAATTTGCTATTATTATAATTTATCTGTGAAACTGGGACAAATAAATAGACCCCTAATTAAATCTAAAGTATACATAGAACCATAAAAATAATTAGCTGGCCATGTTATTTCTAAAACACTGAAGGAATATGTATAGAAAAAATTTCAAAAGAAGAAAATTCACTTCACAACTTGCATTTCATGAACCACTATTTCTAGAGAAAGACAAGAAGGTTAGAGCTTACATTTTATAATTGTCTCCTTGACCATTGCTAGATTATAACACACTAACATTGCTGTCATATTTTTTTAAGTCAAATGACATAAAACCAAGCATTAAATCCCACTCAGGTTACGACCTCATCTCTGAAATACTCATTTCTTGCTGTAGATTGCAATTTCCAGGGTGGTTACTTTGGTAACATCTAGATGCTTTGGGGTTCCTTCTGAATGTGTCCAGTGATTTTCCCTACTCCTCTGTGCTATACAGGACAAAATATTCATGTGGATACCAACATAATCTTTAATCTTCCTTTAGGCTGTTGATTTTCAGCTAGAAGTTTGTTTTCTAGAATTAGATTATACATGTCAAGGTCTGTTACAAAATCAGTTCTCATAGAAGATTTATGTATCTTGGCAGCTCAGCAAAGAAATCCTTGATTTCAGTGAGATCAATGGAACCACTTTTAGAAAATCACTGCCAGACCTGAAGCTAATTTTCTCTAATTCTACAACATCTGTAAATCTCATATGGAAGTCTGGATTTTAATCAGCTCTGCAGCCTAACAAATGCCTAGTGATGCTTAAAGAAAATAAACACCAAAAACTATTTGACAGGAAAACCACAAAAATAACATAAAAGAGCAATATGGGCTACAGGCTGTAGAAAACCTATTGTTTCATTGACAGTTTTAAAGACTTCATAGGCAGTTAATTCAAAAATAGGAAAAAGTGTTGGTGTCATATAGGGTGTCTTCTTCATGAAAGATTATTTTTTACTACTATGAAAGAAACCCAGTGAAACCACTGGGATCCCAACACATAGATGAGGACATGTAATGATTGAAAGAAGTGATCATAGAGGAAAGAATAAAATGCAAAGTGAATCTGTACCACAGGGGGTGCTGCAGAAATGTCAGCAGTAGAATAGCTATATCTTTCCAAGTCTTTAATTCTAGCCAACTTCCAAGGTTGGCAAAGTGAAAAGATCCCTCAGCAATGATTAATTCCCTTAAATAATGTTTATTACCATAAGACTTCTCATTAGGCATACAAATTTAAGAGGTTGCAGGTAAATAGTATCCACATTGTCCAACAAGACTCTCATAAATTCACTGTGATAAAAATATTGGTAGCAATAAGTATGTGTACTGTGTAGCCATACTCTTGCAAGGAACAAGACCTGAGCATTTTGGCATAATGAATCAAAAAATAAACATGTTATTACTTAAAATGCTGCATATGTTTTATAATTGAAATTAATATTATTTGCATTTTTCACATAATTGCCTAACAATACATATCCCAGACTTTCTTATTAAGTTGTCAATAAAATTTTCAAAACTAGTAAATAGAAAACATATACTTGAAGAAGAGACTCCTATTAAAACAAATGTAAACAAAGGCAGATTTAGTGTTTTCTTTTATGCAATTTTGGTAGTAATACTACTTATACCAATTAATTGCTTAAAATGAACCAGGAACTATCTGAACATTTTATAGGCATAATCTAATTTAATCCTCTCAACAATCCTGCACGGGTAAACGCCAGTGTTAATTATTTTGTAGAAAAGGATACAAGCTTGGAGAAGTGAAGTAACTTACCCAATCTTGGCTAAGATTTACAAAATGGCTGAGCAGGAAGGGAAACCCAGCGTTTGCATTCCTGAGCTTGTACTTTTAATTTCTATGACACATTGTCTCTGACAAATTTACAGAACTCAAAACCCACTGCTGAATGAGTCTGGATGACTTAGTTGTAGATCATCAATTGGCATTATTATCAAGATGCATTTTACTCAACATTTGAGTTTGCTAACCAGCTACTCTCTGTCTTGTAGTTATATCTCCTCATCCTCCTTTGCCAAAATGCTGTGTTCCCAAATAATCTGTTCTTGGCTGTACTCAAAATTTTTAGCCTGTCCTTTTTCCTAAGTGCCAGTTTTCCATTTCAAACTGCCTGCCTGACATCTCCTCCTGAATGTTCAGCCCACACGCAATATGTTTCTTACTGAATTCATCTTCTCCCTTCCCAAATCCATCCCTTCTACTACATCTTCTATTTCTGCTCATCATTTTCACAATCACTTTAGAAGGAAAGAAACTAGTGTGAATTGCCACTATAGTAAGTTGTATGATTATTTACAAATATTCCATCTACTTTCCCTTTTTGTGGATTATACATTATCTATCTCATTGACTTTTGGCCTTGGGCATGTGATGTGTTTTGGCCAATGGAATATGAACATACATGGAATATGCCAGAACCTTTAAGGGTCTGTGTAAGTTTCTGCTGCCTCTTTTGCTCTTCCCCTCTGTCTCAAGAAAAGACATCCCAAACAGGGGTTGCTTCTTCAGTCTGAGTCTAGTAATAAGAAAACAAGTAAAGTCAAGCCACAGCAGGTAATTCACAGCTGTGCCATGTATTGTGAATAAGGAATAAATGTTTGTTACTGTAAGCCACTGACATTAGAGGGTTACTTGTTATTGCAAATACAGGTTTTGTTTACTCTCACTTTAATATCAAATCAGCTGCAATTTGCATTAGTTGTATATTTAAAATATATCTTCTATACTTTATTTTTATAGGAACACAATCTAATTATGTTGATTATTACCCATCCCTTTGATGATGGCAATGCTTTTTATATGTCTTTTTCTCTTTTTTTATTTTATCAAGATGACTCTTCTTGAAGTGAAATTTTATCATTTTACTCTTCTATTCAAACATCATAAATAATTTTACAAGAGGAAAAAAAAGATCTCACAGAAGACTAAGTAATCAATCATATCAAAGAGTGCTGATAGGCCAAGTCAGGAGAGACACGAAAATTAAACAATGAATTTAGCAACATCGATTTTATATCAATGAAAGCCATTGCTAACCTTAATAAGAAAGTCATTGATTAGTTTAGTAAAAACAGTTTTAGAAGAGTGATGGGGTAAAACACTGAATGGAGTGGATTCAACAGACAACAGAGAGAAATTGATGATAGCAAGGTAACTTTAAAAAATATTTCAAGGGATTTATTGCAAAGGAGAGCAGAGAGAGAGAGAAAGAGAGAGAGAGAGTGGTGGCTCAAGGGCAATATGGAATGGAGGGGTGTTTGGGGTTTATTTTGTCTACTTTGTTTATAGTGAAAGAGAAACTTCAAAATGTTGGTGTGCTGATGGGAATGATATAGTAAAGACAAAAAAAAATTGGTGATACAGGACAGTTTAGAAATAACTAGAGCTATGACTTTGATCACAGAGAGGGAATGGGATCCAGTGCCTAACTGGAGGGTTTAGCCTTGGATATTTAACTGAGACAGTTCATACACAGTAACAGGAGGTAAGGCTGATATAAATGTAAACCATCAGTAGGGAGGTAGCTGGGATGATGAGACTGATATTTGGATTTCTTCCATTTTCTCAGGGAAGCTGTAAACATGCTAACTGAGAAAGGGAAAGAAAGACTGGAAATTTGAGGAGAAAGAATAGTTGTGAATTATTTGTTAAGAGAATGAAAGAGTGGAGCAGGGAAATGTAGGATTTCTGTGCACACCACTAGTCCACTTGAGATTACTAGTCATGAACATACTATGAAATCAGTCTGCATGATATTTATAGTTTTATCCAATCACATTCAGCTGGACAGGAGCAGAGTAGATAAAATGTTGGTTTTAACTGAAGTTGAGATTTTTCTAGTCAAATAAGCAAAAGAGAAAGGGGCAGTGGAGTAGAAAAAATATCCAAGTAAGGTTTTTTGTTTGGCTGGTTATTTTGAATAGATCATGGAACCTAACTTGTACAAAGAAATATATGACAACTCAGCAAGTATTTAGGATTCTGACGAGTTAAGTATCAATGAATTGCAGGCACTGGTCAGATTATATTATTCTTGGAGCCAGAATAAGAAAGGAAGCGAACTGGAAAAATAGGGGTAGTTGTTAGCATGATACTCAACCCTGTTTGAATGGAGAAGGTGAAGTTTTCACTAAGGACAAGTTCCAGGGTGTGACAGTGGGAGTGTGTGACTGAAGTACAAGTAGAATGGAAGGCAAGATCATTAAAGGATAAGGTGTCAAGCTTCTGAGAAGTGAGGCTATGGGTCAGTGGATGTGGATATCACAGTAAATTAAAATAACAGTAGTGTTAGAAAGTCAAAAATATTAGAGTTAAAATCTTGAATAACTCAGGGACAGTAACATAAGTTTCTTGAAATGATAACTAGGAGGGATAGCAGGTGGTCTATATTGATGGTAGGAACTTTGTTATGGCTTGAATGTTTGCTCCCTCCAAATTCACATTAAAATTTAACCCCCAATGCAGCTGTATTGACAAGTGAGACCTTTATGAGATCACCGGGTCATGAGGGCTGAGCCCTCATGAATGTATCAACCTACTCATAGATTAGTGGGTTAATGGACTAGTGGGTTAGTGTGTGAGTAGGTCTGTTATAAAAGCCAGTTTGGCTCTCTCTCAGCTGCCCCTCACCATGTGATGCCCTGCACTGCCTTGGGACTCTACAGAGCATCCCCACTAGCAAGAAGGCTCTTAACAGATGTAGTGCTCAACCTTGAACTTCTCAGCCTTCATAACTCTAAGATGTGAATTTCTTTTCCTTATAAATTATTCAGTTTCAAATATTTTGTTATAAGTCATAGGAAATAGACTAAGACAGGCTTCAACATAGGTATTTCTTTCAGAGGAGAGGTGATGATGAAAGTAGACATTTAACCCACCCCCAGGCCCAGGAGGAAAAGAATGTGTACAAGGACTACAGGGAGTCTTCAGGGGAGAGGCAGGTTTCAGTGAAAAGAACAAAGGGAAGGGCATGTTTCAAGAAGAAATTACTAATAGAGGCAATTCAGCCAACAGTGGATTATGAATTCTAAGCAGCATAGTAAAAGGGTTTCAGCTATTGGGAAGAAATTAAAAACATGGTTTAAAAGTAGAGAATTTGGAGGGTTATAAGTTTGTAGGGTTATGGGTATCAGGGATAATCTTTTCTCCTAAAAAGGTGATATATGTCAAAACATACCTTTTCAATTAAGTATGTTCTATTGAAATGCTAATGGTGGGGGGGGCTATATCACACAGTGATTTTGTTTAACAATAGACTAACAGAAATCATACACAGCGTGCTTAAAACCAAATACCAAAATATTCAACACTGACTACCTTCAAGGGAAAACTTCCGAGAAAAATCAATTTTTAATTGATCTGAAACAACAAGATTTTCTAAAAATATGTGCACAGATATTTTCAAAACGGGTGATAAATTGACAAAATAACACAAAATAATTCATCAGCCAATATTTATATTTGAAAATATAATGCATATGCCTGTGTATTAATACGTGCCCTTAAGCCATGTATTAGTCTGTTCTCATGCTGCTCATAAAGACATACCTGAGACTGGGTAATTTATAAAGGAAAGAAGTTTAATTGACTCACAGTTCCACATGGCTGGGGAGGCCTCACAATCATGGAAGAAAGCAAGGAGGAGCAAAGCCACATCTTACATGGTGGCACGCAAGAGGGCTTTTGTAGGGGAACTCCCCTTTATAAAACCATCAGATCTCATGAGACTTATTCACTAGCAGAAGAACAGCATGGGAAAGCCCTGTCCCCATGATTCAATTATCTCCCACTGGGTCCATCCCACGACAGGTGGGAATTATGGGAACTACAAGATGAGATTTGGGTGGGGAGACAGCTAAACCATATTAGCCAGGGAATGAGATCAATGAAAGAACATCCAGGAAAAGATCTACTTAAAAGTCTTGTTTTGGGAATGTTTAGCATTCATATTGAAAGTTTATCTTTGTGGTGTGGGTAGATTCAGAAATACACAGTGTGAGCTGCCCGGGGAAAGGGGCACTTGAGTGTGGAAGGCTCAGCACTGAGGAGCCTTAACTCCAGGGAAGATAACCAAAGCCTTAGGCCCTTAACTTTGAAAAGGGAGAAACTTCGTTTCCACAGAGAAAGAACAGCATAACACCTCAGAT
The DNA here is from genome assembly GCF_000001405.40 of Homo sapiens. NCBI lineage: Eukaryota > Metazoa > Chordata > Mammalia > Primates > Hominidae > Homo > Homo sapiens. The sequence continues at coordinate 78,081,657 of NC_000012.12, read as the reverse complement.
GAGCCTCTCTCCCACTTCCAGATTTGCCCCTGCCTATTTACATGGGTAAATAGATCCAGGTCAGAATTTTAGGAGAAAAAGCAGCAAGAAAGAAAGTGAGAGGAAATGGTGACAGCCTGCAAGAGACTGCCAGCAAGATGGACAGCTGACTCAAGCTCGGAGGAGCATCCACAGCACAGCACACCTCCCCGACTCATCTCTTGACATTCACGTGCTATAAAGGGTTGCAATCCAGGGCCCTCAAGCCATGCTGAGCACCAAGACCTTCATCTATACTCAGCCTTCACCGGGCTCTCCATGAGCTTTACGGTACTGAACTACCAGGTTCATTAGTTGTACCTGCACATGGAGAATCATAAAAGGCATAAGAGTGCCTGTTGACTCTGACCAACAGAGATTCTTTCAAGAAAAGAACATTCCTGGTAGTCAAAATAATCAACCTCTCTCTCTCTTAACGTATTATCACGCTATAGTTCATAAGATGCTAGAGGTGTTATAACAATAGACCTAACTGAATATTTAATATATACATTAAAGAAAGACTCAAAAGACTTACATAGCCTGATAGGCTTTTCTCCTAAAAAATTAATAAATCAAATTCTGACTTCTCTATTTCCTGTCTTATGCCTTTCCTGTTCATACCTGCTAGCTTGTCAAATGGATACGATCTCTAAAACACACCGGACTTCACTTATGATAACTAAATTGCCTGTGGTTGACAGGATTTTGAATTATCCTACTTGTTATTATCAAATGCATGTGCTCAGCTAAATAAAGTCATAAGACAAGCAAGTTTGAGGTAATTAGATGGTGCTGATTGTACCTGCAGTATGCAGTTCATTTTCATGATTAATTCTGCATGGAAGGCTACACATACTATTCTATTCCACAAAACAGAGCATCAAATAGGAGAAAAGAGTCCAGGGTACCTCGTGACTGCCAGTGTCAATTTGAACACTATTATCTCACCATGAGTAAATGGTCCAATATCTTAGAAAAACTCCAAAGCAGCAGCAGATTGAGAATTATGATCTATTTTAGACAGAAATTAAACTATAATGGGAAAAAGTAAAGTCTAAAAGTCATAATCAATACTGATACCCACTGTGTTAATGAGTTTCTGTCATTACAACAACAATGGAATCAAAAGGGTAGGAAAAGTATCTCTGGAAATTGTGGTGATTAAGTCTTTAATCCAAAGAGAACATTTATGCAGGTGAAAATTTATTTTAAAAGTATATTTCAAGATAGAAAACTTTTAAAAGTTAATTTAAGGCTCACTCTGTGTATCACATAGACTACTTAATATTACAAAAGGGTTTTTAATGATCTTTGGAAAACGAGAGAATGCTTGACCTAGTCTTTCTGTTCTCTTGCTAAGGGGACATGATACTTTCATTTTCCACTTTCTACTGGCCCTTGGTACTTTTATACTTTGTGTCTCAATCAGACCACATGAGTACCTACTATGCAAGAGATAAAACTTCTAAGTTAGAAACAGTGTAAACTATACCCTGTCCCCAAATTATTTTTGTCTAAAATGCCAGGTTTAAGAATGTCTAGATGGCTATAATTTAAGATTTTATTGTCAACAAAATGGGTGGGGAAGAGGGCAACAGGTTCATAACATATTAAAATATAGACAAAATACATTTTTGTGGTTAATATATTAACTCTCCATGCTTCAGTGGCCTCATTTACACAATGCAGGATACAATATCTTCGATTATGAACACAAGGCTTAACACATATCTGTCATATTATTATTTAAACACGTACAAGTGACCTTCACTTTCTTTACTGTCCTACGTAGGCAAGAGAGTAACCATTATTTATCATGCATAGAATCAGTAGAAACTCCACTTAGAGGGTAGGCCTAATCATTTGTACAGTGTTCTCTTTGGAGATGGTTCTATTCCAGATATAAAACCAGGGCACTGGGGTATCCAGCCATTCTCTAAATAAAAAAGCCTCCTGTTTATTGTCTTATTTGTAAAGAAGTGAGAGTTTTCAAAAATTAACTGATTTCTGATGTCTGCTAATAATTTTTTCTATGAAGAGAAGAAAAAGGATTGTGACTGACACTGTATAATATACTTATGGTGTGCTATCTTATGTAATCTTTATAATCGTCCTTTTAAAGTAGGTTTGGGATTGTGAAACAGATATCAAATACCAAATAAAAAATATCAAAAAATACAGCCTTTTTGCTGATAAAAATGTTATCAGTCATGAAAATAATGAACGCATCAATAGCAGGCTAATAAAACTTCAGAGATAAGAAATAATCATGCTTTGTTTTAAAGCAAATTTCTTTCAAAATTTATGATTCTATTTTTTTCCAAGGCATTTCCAGCTAGCTAAGCTATAAATCTGAGTCTTTATATCTAAAAATCTCACACTGTCTTTTCATTTAAAAATAAAAAAAAGACATCTTTAGAATTCTTGTGCTAGCCCATCCTTGCGCAGGATGTAGGACTCAATGGCACATCAGTTCTTCATGCTGTGACAGTTCTAGCTACAAAAGGTGTGACACTTTCTAACACCAAGGCATACTCACAGCTGGGGTTTTCAAATAACAGTTTTATTTTGGAGTCAATTCTGAGTGCTGCTAGGACATAGGAGGATGTTATTTGTGTATAAGCCTTTTGATCTATTTAAGGAATCACCAAGTCAAGTGGTTAAAAACCAGCAACATTATTTGTTAGAAATATGATCAAAATTAATATTTGTCTTTATAATTTGATTTTTCTAAATACTTCTCTCTTGCTAAAGTGGTTAAGTATTCAGATGATTTCACTATGCCACATTATCTTCTGGGTGTTTTGAAGGGAGGGGAAACCAAATCTCAGAGAGTCATCTTTCCATGGAGAATTGTCTCAATGCAGTTCTAGTTGTCTATTATTGTGCTGTGAGGTTATTGAGAGAGAAGCTATGGCTTTAAATTTAAAAGAGTGGAAAGAGGCCGGGCGCGGTGGCTCACGCCTATAATCCCAGCACTTTGGGAGGCCGAGGTGGGCGGATCACGAGGTCAGGAGATCGAGACCATCCCGGCTAAAACGGTGAAACCCCGTCTCTACTAAAAATACAAAAAATTAGCCGGGCGTAGTGGCGGGCGCCTGTAGTCCCAGCTACTTGGGAGGCTGAGGCAGGAGAATGGCGTGAACCCGGGAGGCGGAGCTTGCGGTGAGCCGAGATCCCGCCACTGCACTCCAGCCTGGGCGACAGAGCGAGACTCCGTCTCAAAAAAAAAAAAAAAAAAAAAAAAAAAAAAAAAAAAAAGAGTGGAAAGAGTGAAATGCAACTCTCATACTTGTTACTTGGGTTCATAGAAATTAGGTCTGATGTAGAGCAAAGAGAATGAGAATGTTATCGGTTGAATTGTGTACCTTCCAAAAATTTGGTTGTTGAAACCCTAACCCTAGAACCTCAGAATATGACCTTACTTGGAGATAGGGTCTTTACAGAGGTAATCAAGTTAAAGAGAGCTCATTGGAGTGGGACCTAATCTAACATGATGGATGTTCTTACTGAAAGGAGAAATTTGGACACAGACACACACAGGGAAGACAATGTGAAGACACAGAAGCTAACTACAAGACAAGGAGACAGGATCCCTCACTCGTGGCCCTCAAGAGAAAACAAGCCTACCAAAGCATGGATTTCTAATGTCTAGCCTCCAGAAGGGTGAGACAATATGTTTCTGTTTTTTGTTTTTGAGGCAGAGTTTTGCTCTTGTTGCCCAGGCTGGGAGTGCAAAGGCGTGATCTTGGCTCACTGCAACCTCCGCCTCCCAGGTTCAAGCGATTCTCCTGCCTCAGCCCTCCAGGTAGCTGGGATTACAGGCACCCACTGCCATGCCCAGATAATTTTTGTATTTTTAGTAGAGACGGGGTTTCACCATGTTGGTCAGGCTGGTCTCGAACTCCTGACCTCAGGTGATCTACCCGCCTCAGTCTCCCAAAGTGCTGGGATTATAGGCATGAGCCACTGTGCCTGGACAATATGTTTCTGTTGCTTAAGCCACCCAATCTGTAGTACTTTGTTATAAAGTCTTAGCAAACTAATACAGAGAATCAATGTTAAACTTAAGAGTCTAACAGTTAAGATTTGGATTTGTTTCACCACCATGGGAGTCAGCAAACTATGGCCATGGAAAAAACCCAAATTGTACACTGTTATTTAAGAATGTCTTTTACATTTCTAAATAGTTAGAAAAATTGGGGACAATTTGTTTTCTCTCATTGTGTAAACAGATACACAATATCTTGATTTTGCCTCTTGGCCCGTAAAGCCTAAAATATTTATTGTCTGGTCCTTTATGAACAAAAATTGTAAACTCTGGCCCAGATAAGAATCAAGCTGAGTTGAAATCCAACTTAATTTAGTTATTGAAATTTGGGTTAACTTTATTGAGCTTTTATATTTTTATTTGTACAACAGAGCTTTCTAAAAATTTTCATTATTTTACAGAATTAGTATCAAGGAGTAAAAACAAATGAAGAATATGAAAAAAACTTAAGAAGAAACTTAAGAAATATGGAAAGGTCCATACATATAATTGTATTTTTTCAGAAAATATTTATATAAATTACATATACAACAAATATTAGAAGTCTATCATTTCACTCAACACATTTTCTAAACTCAGAGATGAATTCTTTGATGTTTTAGACACAATCCAAAGATACTTTAAGCAGAATTTCTAAAGTAAATTACCATCAGATATCCTAGTATTATACTTTGCTATTTAAACATATTAATATCTTGGTCAAAATATTTTAAAATTACCACAAGCTAGAAAGCCTTGAATTTCTTAAGCAAGTAAAAGCAGGTAGCAATATTTTGGATTATATGGCTTCTATAGAATTTCATACTCAATAAATTTTCCTCCACAATGATTTCAAATGTATTTTTTCTTTTGAGATAATACCCTAGCTACATGCTTTTCATACCTGTGTTTTTTTTAAAAAGCTCTCAAAAGAAAGCATGTCATTCATTCATTCATTTACATAAACGTTTATTGAGTACTAATAGTGAATCAGGTCCAGTGCTAGATGTGAAGAATATAAAGTCAGAAAAGACATGAAATAAATACTTTCGAAATAATATGGGAAACATTAAGATGCATATGATGGCAAAATATACATCACATGTATATTTTGTGATAAGAACTGCATTCGATTCTGGGAGTCCCTGTCTTTGGGTATGTCATAGGTTTCTGGAAAAGACAGACACAGAGTCCTCAATATAACATGGCGAATTATAAGATTGACACACAACTAGCGCACAGAGAAAGAGCACTGAGTCTATGAGGTTTTGAGGAGAGTTCACAGAGAAGGCAACACCTGAAGTGAGTCTTGGAGGATAAATAAGAGATACGAAGGAAACCAGAATTGGTATTCCAGGTTGAGTATGGGATTTCAGGCATAAGCAACGCCACAGAATAGCTGGTTTTAGGATGGTGGTGGACATCAACAAATAGTTACACATTTTCATATTGTAAACTGTGGCACCAGGCAAACCAAGAGATAAGGTAAGCCTGTGTGCCAGACGCCAGGATGCTCAGATTGGGAAAACAAGAAGGGAGAGAGTAGAGAAAAAGTGCATTGGGAATTCCATAGAGTAAGCATGTTAAGAGGTAAGTAAAGACTTAGGCTATGAAGATGCTTCTTTGGCTTCCGTGATTGTTTCAGGATGTCCTAACCTGTTCAATCCACTTGACTCTTGGGAACCTTGCAGAAGCTTGTTTCTCTCCCACTGGATTTGAACCCTGAATTATATAGGACTGAGAGTGCATTGTTTTAATCAGAGGAGGGCCTCACATTTCATGTTAGTAGTCATGAAAATAATTAATAGATCAATGGCAGGTTAATAAAACTTTGGAGGTAGGCAATAATTATGCTTTGTCTTAAAGCACATTTCTTTCAAAACTGATGACTGTGGATTAGTTTTCCCCAAACCGTTTCAGGTAATTAAGCTATAAATCTAAGTCTTTATATCTAAAAATCTCATACTCTCTTTTCACTTAAAACTAAAATTTTAAAAACCCTTTAGAATTCCTGTGCTAGTCCATCTTTGCATTGGATGTAAGACTCCATAACCCCCAAATCCTATCTAGGAAAAATACCACAGCCAGGCCAGGAGATAAAGGTAACCAAATACTGTTCTATTCAGCCACATCCAAATTCATAGTAACTATGGACTTCTCAGTTATACAAACAATACATACTTTTTTTTTCTCAAGTCGGTTTTAGTATGATTTTCTGTCACAATCTAAAGAGAACTATTCTTGTAACTGTTAGTTTCATTCATTTTATAAATATAAAAATGAGGCCAGGACAGCTAACTTTCCAGACCCACACAACCAACCGATGGCTTAGATGGGATCATAAACCAGGAATCTAAACTCTAAATCCCCTTTTTATGATTAATTATGTTAAATTATTTCTCACAACACTATGTTTTCTTCATATCTGTACTGCTTACAATGATGTACAGACTTGCAGTCAGTAAGCACGTGTCAGATATACAGGGAAAGTAAAGGATCAGTGATAGTCCTGATCAGGTAGACTCACACCAGGTTGCCAGGATTACAGGATCCAAGGAGGGAAAAAAGTTCTTCTCAATATTTAATTAACCTGTGTTCAGCCCTCAACTGTGCAGTGTGTCCCATCCAGATTACATTTCTTTTTTTCTTTTCCCAGAGGAAACTCTCTAGTCTTTTGCTAAGATAGAAAAGAGACAGTTATCTACTATTTCAAGAGTTGGGTTGGACAACTGGAGGTCTGACCACTTCTTAAAAAGCTTCTGATCCAGTTCCTCCTGTTTTTACTTCATATTCATCCCTACATCTCAAATCAGAATTAGTAGAATACCAAATGCCAATTGGCATTGGAATACTAATTCTGTCTTGCGTCATATCTTCATATCTTCATTTGTTTGTTTGTTTTGAGACAGAGTTTTGCTCTTGTCACCCAGGCTGGAGTATAGTGACACGATCTCTGCTCACTGCAACCTCCACCTCCCAGGCTTAAGTGATTCTCCTGCCCCAGCCTCCCGAGTAGCTAAGAATACAGGCACGAGCCACCACGCCTGGCTAATTTTTGTATTTTTAGTAGAGATGGGGGTTTCACCATCTTGGCCAGGCTGGTCTCGAACTCCTGACCCTCAAGTGATCCACCTGCCTTGGCCTCCCAAAGTGCTGGGATTACAGGCATGAGACACTGCGCCTGGCTACATCATGTCTTTTATTTATCCTCCAAGACTCACTTCAGGTGTCGTCTTTTCTGTAAACTCTCCTCAAAACTTCACAGGTTCAGTGACCCTCCTCTATGTCCTAGTTGTATGTCAATCTTATAATCTGCGATATTATTTTTGAAGACTCTGTGTGTCTTTTCCAGAAGTCTATAAAATATCCAAGAATAGGCACTGTGTTCTACTATTTGATCCTAAAATTCCCAAGCCTTTTTGGGATTCCTGTAGTATAAACTGCCTCCTTCTTGACTTTTCCCACAGTGTTCTCAGTGCTTTTGTGGGCCTGCTAAATCAGTTACAATTCTTCTTCAGTGTTGCCACTTTCATAGCTTTATTGCTTTTATTTCCTTTTGCATTCTGGACTTTACATATTTCTACATTTAAGACATTTTTTCAATAATATATTTGTACAGTTTCAGAAGCAGCAAAGCTAGTATAATATTTGAGTATGAACATATCTCTGCTATAAAATCATCAACTGTACCAACATATTCCACAAATTTAGTATTAAATTGAAATTTATTTCTGAGGGCTCTGTTCTGTTCCATTGATCTATATCTCTGTTTTGGTACCAGTACCATGCTGTTTTGGTTACTGTAGCCTTGTAGTATAGTTTGAAGTCAGGTAGTGTGATGCCTCCAGCTTTGTTTTTTTGGCTTAGGATTGACTTGGCGATGCGGGCTCTTTTTTGGTTCCATATGAACTTTAAAGTAGTTTTTTTTCCAATTCTGTGAAGAAAGCCATTGGTAGCTTGATGGGGATGGCATTAAATCTATAAATTACCTTGGGCAGTATGGCCATTTTCACGATATTGATTCTTCCTACCCATGAGCATGGAATGTTCTTCCATTTGTTTGTATCCTCTTTTATTTCCTTGAGCAGTGGTTTGTAGTTCTCCTTGAAGAGGTCCTTCACGTCCCTTGTTAAGTTGGATTCCTAGGTATTTTATTCTCTTTGAAGCAATTGTGAATGGGAGTTCACTCATGATTTGGCTCTCTGTTTGTCTGTTGCTGGTGTATAAGAATGCTTGTGATTTTTGTACATTGATTTTGTATCCTGAGACTTTGCTGAAGTTGCTTATCAGCTTAAGGAGATTTTGGGCTGAGACAATGGGGTTTTCTAGATATACAATCATGTCGTCTGCAAACAGGGACAATTTGACTTCCTCTTTTCCTAATTGAATACCCTTTATTTCCTTCTCCTGCCTAATTGCCCTGGCCAGAACTTCCAACACTATGTTGAATAGGAGTGGTGAGACAGGGCATCCCTGTCTTGTGCCAGTTTTCAAAGGGAATGCTTCCAGTTTTTGCCCATTCAGTATGATATTGGCTGTGGGTTTGTCATAGATAGCTCTTATTATTTTGAAATACGTCCCATCAATACCTAATTTATTGAGAGTTTTTAGCATGAAGTGTTGTTGAATTTTGTCAAAGGCTTTTTCTGCATCTAGTGAGATAATCATGTGGTTTTTGTCTTTGGCTCTGTTTATATGCTGGATTACATTTATTGATTTGCGTATATTGAACCAGCCTTGCATCCCAGGGATGAAGCCCACTTGATCATGGTGGATAAGCTTTTTGATGTGCTGCTGGATTCGTTTTGCCAGTATTTTATTGAGGATTTTTGCATCAATGTTCATCAAGGATATTGGTCTAAAATTCTCTTTTTTTGTGGTGTCTCTGCCTGGCTTTGGTATCAGAATGATGCTGGCCTCATAAAATGAGTTAGGGAGGATTCCCTCTTTTTCTATTGATTGGAATAGTTTCAGAAGGAATGGTACCAGTTCCTCCTTGTACCTCTGGTAGAATTCGGCTGTGAATCCATCTGGTCCTGGACTCTTTTTGGTTGGTAAGCTATTGATTATTGCCACAATTTCAGCTCCTGTTATTGGTCTATTCAGAGATTCAACTTCTTCCTGGTTTAGTCTTGGGAGAGTGTATGTGTCCAGGAATTTATCCATTTCTTCTAGATTTTCTAGTTTATTTGCGTAGAGGTGTTTGTAGTATTCTCTGATGGTAGTTTGTATTTCTGTGGGATCGGTGGTGATATCCCCTTTATCATTTTTTATTGTGTCTATTTGATTCTTCTCTCTTTTTTTCTTTATTAGTCTTGCTAGCGGTCTATCAATTTTGTTGATCCTTTCAAAAAACCAGCTCCTGGATTCATTAATTTTGTGAAGGGTTTTTTGTGTCTCTATTTCCTTCAGTTCTGCTCTGATTTTAGTTATTTCTTGCCTTCTGCTAGCTTTTGAATGTGTTTGCTCTTGCTTTTCTAGTTCTTTTAATTGTGATGTTAGGGTGTCAATTTTGGATCTTTTCTGCTTTCTCTTGTGGGCATTTAGTGCTATAAATTTCCCACTACACACTGCTTTGAATGCGTCCCAGAGATTCTGGTATGTTGTGTCTTTGTTCTCCTTGGTTTCAAAGAACATCTTTATTTCTGCCTTCATTTCATTATGTACCCAGTAGTCATTCAGGAGCAGGTTGTTCAGTTTCCATGTAGTTGAGCGGTTTTGAGTGAGATTCTTAATCCTGAGTTCTAGTTTGATTGAACTGTGGTCTGAGAGATAGTTTGTTATAATTTCTGTTCTTTTACATTTGCTGAGGGCCGCATATCTACAACTATCTGATCTTTGACAAACCTGAGAAAAACAAGCAATGGGGAAAGGATTCCTTATTTAATAAATGGCGCTGGGAAAACTGGCTAGCCATATGTAGAAAGCTGAAACTGGATCCCTTCCTTACACCTTATACAAAAATCAATTCAAGATGGATTAAAGACGTCATGTCTGAAACACCAAAAGCAATGGCAACAAAAGACGAGATTGACAAATGGGATCTAATTAAACTAAAGAGCTTCTGCACAGCAAAAGAAACTACCATCAGAGTGAACAGGCAACCTACAAAATGGGAGAAAATTTTCGCAACCTACTCATCTGACAAAGGGCTAATATCCAGAATCTACAATGAACTCAAACAAATTTACAAGAAAAAAAACAAACAACCCCATCAAAAAGTGGGTGAAGGACATGAACAGACACTTCTCAAAAGAAGACATTTATGCAGCCAAAAAACACAAGAAAAGATACTCATCATCACTGGCCATCAGAGAAATGCAAATCAAAACCACAGTGAGATACCATCTCACACCAGTTAGAATGGCAATCATTAAAAAGTCAGGAAACAGCAGGTGCTGGAGATGATGTGGAGAAATAGGAACACTTTTACACTGTTGGTGGGACTGTAAACTAGTTCAACCATTGTGGAAGTCAGTGTGGCAATTCCTCAGGGATTTAGAACTGGAAATACCATTTGACCCAGCCATCCCATTACTGGGTATATACCCAAAGGACTATAAATCATGCTGCTATAAAGACACATGCACACGTATGTTTATTGCGGCATTATTCACAACAGCAAAGACTTGGAACCAACCCAAATGTCCAACAATGATAGACTGGATTAAGAAAATGTGGCACATATACACCATGGAATACTATGCAGCCATAAAAAATGATGAGTTCATGTCCTTTGTAGGGACATGGATGAAATTGGAAATCATCATTCTCAGTAAACTATCACAAGAACAAAAAACCAAACACCGCATATTCTCACTCATAGGTGGGAATTGAACAGTGAGATCACATGGACACAGGAAGGGGAATATCACACTCTGGGGACTGTTGTGGGGTGGGGGGAGGGAGGAGGGATAGCATCGGGAGATATACCTAATGCTAGATGACTAGTTAGTGGGTGCAGCGCACCAGCATGGCACATGTATACATATGTAACTAACCTGCACAATGTGCACATGTACCCTAAAACTTAAAGTATAATAATAAAAAAAAGAAATTTAAACAGCATATCTATTAGTTTTCACTATGATTAACCTGTTCTAGTCACTAGCTTGTGATCAAGAGTGAAGCTGGAAACAATTTCAAAATAATTAAAATATTATTGACGTCATTATTCTTATGCACTTTAAAAAAAAAAAAAAAACTTCACCTGAGTATAAATCCCAGCATCTGGCATTTACTAGTGGTGTAACCTTGAGAAAGTTTTTCAGTCTCTTGTGCATTGCATGCCTCATTTGCAAAAAGGCATTGATTATAGTATCAAACCTAGAAGGTTGTTATGGGAATTAAATTAATTCGCACATGTGAAGTACTCAGCAATATATGTGGCACCAACCAAATATTCAAGAAGGGAACTATTATTATAAATAATTTTATTTTTACCTAGCAAATATTTGAACAGTCAGGTAGATGTGGCTAGTCCAACGTGTCTGACGTTAGAGTAAAATATACTCTTAGAGAAACAAATGATAGAGTTTTGTTCTGTAAAAAGTAAGGAACTCCTGGATATTTAATTAAGTTTCATAAAGAAGCATAGTTTCAGTAAAAAGGTTTTATCATCTATCTTGTCAGCAGGAAAACCTAACTGACAAAATATTTCATAATTGCAACAAACTATAATTCCTGATAGTTTACAAATACATACTTGAAATTAAAAATCTAAAAATTGTAAATCTTTATCTCATCAAACAAGTATAGAAAAATACCAAATGTGTATGTATATATATACATACACATATACCCACACTAACATACACACACGATATGTGAGGCATCTCCTAGTAAGTTCAAAATTTGATCTTTTTAGAAAACAAATTCATGAATATAGTCATACAACCAGATCAGATAGGATTCTGCTAATTGTTCTGCATATAAATCAGAAATGTGATGAATACCTTAAATTTAATGGTTTATTGCACTAGCTCTTTAGATATGTAATTTATTCCACATAACAGAAGGACATGCAATCATTAAAAATCATATTCAAAAATAATATCTAATATTACACAGTATTATTTATTATATAAATACAGTGAAGAAAGCAGGGTACTATACTATATATATGATGTAACCAAACTATGTAAATAGAAAGGGTAAAGAAGCCTAGAAGGAAATATCTTAATGCAATATTCTTGGTTGTCTTTGGGATGAGAGGATTACAGATTCTTTTTAGATTCTTCTTCACACTTTTGTATACTCTGTGAATTTTCATTAATAAACCTAGAAAAGTTTTGTAATAAAAAACGATTTAGTTTAGAAAATAATTTTATAATGAAAACACTGTCATTTACAACTTATCCTAAAAAAACATATGGGAGCTCTGGTAAGGCTTTAAAAAAAACCAAGCTTATTGCAAATAACTTTAACTATTTAAAATGCAAATTAAGTCAAGCAAGAAAAAAATATAAATGGAACCCATATGCCTCTAATAAATAAGTCCATGCCACCCACTCTATGCAGCCGGAGTGAGGAAGATGCAGAATTTATCAGCTGCCGGCCAAAATGCCTTCAATTTAATGATCCCAAATTGAAAATCTGAACCCATTAGTTAGCCTATTAAAAAAAAAAAAGAATTCATGCCTAGTTCTTGAAGGCAAAATAACGAAGTGTTTCATGTATAGATATAACTTCTTAAATAAAATTAACCATTTAATTAGCTAGGATATCTCTCATCATGAAAAGTAATATCATGTAATATAAAAGGACCAAAATTCCTTTTTCCCTCATATAAGTGCTCTTTTAGTATTTTTCATTTTATGAGCCAAACATATTTCTCCCTCTTCCATTTTTCTATTTCCTGAGCCTGTTAGAAATAGATATTTCAGTAATAATTAGATTTCAAGATAATGACAGATTTATATATATTACATCCATTATATATAAAATATATGTATTATAAATTATATATATGTAATTATATATAATTATATATTATATATAATATATATAAAAGAACAAAACACTGTTAAATTGCTTTATTGATATCAGCAAGCTAACTAGCTTTTTAGACGCTCTCACACATGTGAAATGACTGTTCTGTCACCTGTGTTTTAAGATCTATTGACAATCTGCAATGGAAATAGATACCATTATACATTGAATTAATTTACCAACTTTTTTGAAGCTGAATTTTAAAAAAACTATTTATAGTATAGATATGTTTAGGTCAAAATGGAAAAATTAAATAATTTATGAAGTCAAAATATTTCATCCAGGCATGATAAAAACCTTTATCTAAATTAATAATTTTATGAATAATACTTAAAACATAAGATCTAAATTCAAATTCTGCAATTATTATTTATTAAGAAAGTATCTATGGGTAAGCTACTTGATGTAAGAATTATTTGCCTCAATGGTAGTAATAAAACCTACTTTATAGGGCTATTGTAAAGATAAAGTAAAATAATATATTTAAGTAATATGGTATGTTAGCTACACACACTAGGTCCTCAATACTTATGTCTATTATAGCTATTGTTATTATAACAAATTTGACTACTCTTCCTCCTCTTCGTTCTCCTCCTTTTCCTCCTCATTCCTCCTCTTCCTCCTCCTCTTTTCTCCTCCTTTCCTCCTTTTCTTCTTCCTCTTTTCTTCTTCTCAATATGTTTACCATCCTCATAAGATTCATTAGTAAATTCTATTATAAGCAGATAAGATAAAAATTATACATCAATAAGAGTCCTGGGAACCATCTCTTGTATTGGGAGAATCATTCTATAATGGTAAAGTTAAAAATTGATCAAGTTTAATGTCAAGGTGAGTCTTATGAAAAAATAGCATTTAGAGCTACAATCTACAACTTGGGCCAGTTGTAGTGTTGAAGGATCTTTTGAATTTCAATGGCAATTGAGGTTTAACAATCCCTATTCTAATGCTCTTCTAATATAAGACTCTTGAATAAAAAGCCCAGGATTGAGCACAGTGATTGGCAGAGAGTAGGTTCTCAACATGTGGATGTGGTATGAATTAATTTCCTAAGGGGCATTATAAAAAAGTACTGGAAGCCTCTGAGGTTATTCACAATGGGCACAGTTAATTTTAAGATTTGAAGAGAAGTCCAGAACCTGTTCATATTCTTGCAATCATGAGCAGAATGGCAAAGGGAATTTGAGAGGGCATCAATAACAGTTTTTCCACGTCCCTATTATTTTGCATTGGTCTCTTAGAGTAAAGAAATGTGGGCAGAAAAGGCAGGCCATCTGATTATAAAATGAAGTAATTATATTTACTTTGTCTCTTTCCATCTCAGCCTGTTAATCTTTATTGTGTTTGCTTTTAATTACTATGGAGAGCCAGTAAGCTAATGAAGGAAATAGTTAAGACATGGGAGTATACTAATTCTGTGATTGTACTGGAACAAATCAACATGGATAAAATGAATGATTAGTTTACACACACTAGTGACAAGCATCATGAACCTGATCCCAGAGATATTTGCTTGGCGGCTTAGGAAAAATCTCTGTTGCCTTTACTTTTCCTAGTTGGAAAAGGCTTGGAAATCATAAAGGTCTCCCACCCTTATAACTGATGCCCCCATGATTTCATGAGAACTGGCATGGTGCCCTTTGTCATGGCAATGTAATTTTCTGCACATTGCTAACAATTGCAGACTTAGATATTTAGTGTTAACTATGTATTTAGATTTGAACTTAGGCCTGCTTCAATATATGATGAGTTACAATGGCAACCTCAGAGTCACATAAAAACATGACAATCTTTAATGCCTTTTGGAAACTGTGATTTCAGCATCTGGATTATAGTTTCACAAATCAAAACAATCCATCAAGTAGTACAATACAAAAATAATTTCTATGATGTATTATGCTTTTATACTTTCAATAAAAGCATGATTATATATGAAAATAGTATAAATGTGAAGTTATATTGATTAGTTTATAATTAAAATTAGCAATCACTATATTTAGGAATATAGTTTAGATAACAATGTGACAGACAACCCAAAATATAGCTTGAAAGGTATCTTTGTTACCACAAGTTGTAGAATTTTGTTCATATTCAATATAATATATGGTATCTGGAGCTTTGCCTTTCTCTCCTTTGAGATTCATTTTGCCATCATATTGACTGAATAGCTACCTGGATGAATCATCTACGTAACCTAATTTTGACTTCTATTATCATTCTACTTCAGTAACCCAGGTTATAGCTTGCAATTTGTTCAACCAGTCAGTAAATCTCTACCTCTCAAATGTGAAATTTATTATTATTTTATTTTATTTTGTGGTAAAAACCTTCTAATCAACCTCTTTGATCCCCTTCCTTTCATTAAACATGCTCAGGGACTTCAAGGTAATGTTTTCAGAAGCCTTTATCAAGGTGCCAGCAGATTTGTGTCTGAAGAGGGCCTGATTGCTGGTTCATAGGCAGCTGACTTTTTGATGTAACCTCATATGGCAGGAGAGGCTAAGGGGCACTTGCTAGTGATTTCTTTTCTAAGGACACTAATAGCATTCATGAGAGCTCCACTCTTGTGATCCAATCACTTCCCAAAGACCTTACCTCCAAATATCATCACAAGGGGGACTAGGTTTTAACACATGAATTGTGGAAAGGAGATAAATGTTAAATCTACAGCAGTTCTAGTAATCTTTTCCCAGATTCTTCTATCTTCCTTAAGACTTATCACCTTATTTTGTCTAGGAATTCACTCTCTGTACCAGATCAAATTCCTTTCTCCCCAAAACAAAACAGAGCAAATCAGCAATAATCTTCATCCTGTCCCTTTTGTTGACTTCTATCTGATCTTTCTCCTTACCTTCCCTGCAACTTTCCTGAAGATCTCCCTTTATTGTTTCAACCTCCTAACTTCTTCACCTTTTCATAACCTAGCATGCTCCTTCAGTATTTCATTGAAACTAACTTTGATAAAGCCACTGATAAGAAACTAGTTGCCAGTTGTCAAACATCACTTATCCATGGAATTGTATAGTATTGCATATTTCCTCTTCTCTCCATTTCAAAAAATATCAGCTAACCCTGGTTGTCCTTTGATCTTTGTGTTAAAGCTGATTTCTCTGTCTCTCCAATGGTTGTTCTTCCTTTATTCACTCTTTCAATGCTAAGAATTCATTCTCAGGGCTTGTTTTCTTACTGTACATTTGAGATACAAATGTTCCTAGCTTGCACAGTGCAGAGTCACAGAGTGGTTTAAACAAAATTTAATTCATTACTGTCATAATCGGCCTCAGGCAGGCAGGAGGCCAGCTCTACTGAGTGATGCTATGGCTGGGAAGCTGACTTTAGATTTGTGCTGTCTTGCATTAAAATCTCCAAAAAGAGCTCAGATAGTTTTGCCACAGTTACCTCACCTGCTGGGCAGGCTTCTCATGACTGGTGGAATTTTCACTCTGCACAGGTGGTATCATCACCAGCTCTATCTCGGTGAGAAACTTCAAGGAACTAGGACAGTTACAGGACCATGAGTGCAATCTTCACTCTCTCCTGCTTTATATAACCATGTCTGTGAATTTCTAGATTTTTCTCCCACTGAAGAAAGTTTTTTGTCTTTAACTGTATCTATTGATCTTACGTATCTGTTAGGAGAGTTCTAATACTTAAAAATTGGGAAACTTCTCATAAGAGTCCAGACTCTTGGCTTCACTTGAAAAACAAAATCAAATGGTTTGGCAATCCCTGGCTCTCTTTTCCACATTTACGCATTTCCAAAGGCAGCAATTTACAATATAAATATGCATATATACAATCTAGAGCTTGTATACGAGCTAATTTTGTATACACTCGTATATATGATCTAGATTATATATATGATTATTATACATACTAATACTTTAATCCAGCACATATATAGTGACTGACCTTATATCCCCAAGGACATATCCACCTGGGAGTTACACAGGGTTATGAATTGAATTATGTCTCCACCCCCTAATTTATATGAATTTTTAACCTGCAATGTGACTGTATTTGGAAACAGGACTTTTACAGAGGTAATTCAGGTTAAATTAATACATAAGGGTGGAATCCTAATCTAATAGCACTGGTGCCCTTATAAGAAGAGAGAGGGACACCAAAGACCTCTCTCTATATAGACAGACAGGCAGGCAGGCAGGCAGGCAGGCAGGCAGGCAGGCAGACAGACAGACAGACAGACAGACAGACAGACACAGATAGATAGATGTCTCCAGGAGCACAGAGGAAAGGCCATGTGAGAATACAGCATGAAACCCACTCTCTGGAAGTCAGGAAGAGTTCTCATCAAAAAACAAATTTGCTGACACCTTGATCATAAACTTCTAGCCTCCAGAACTGTGAAAAACTAAATGTCTATTGTTTAAGCCACTCAGTCTGTGGTATTTAGTTATGACAGCCAAGGATTATCATACACATAGACAAAACCCAAGTTCCTCTAGAAATAGATGGTGTCCCCAGCCCCCTTCCCCACTGCCATTCTTTAGTTAGGTGCTCATCTAATTTATTTTAGTCACTTTCTAAGCACTCTACCTGTCTTTATCTCATCCCTCTTCAATGTTCTTACATTGCTATGAGAGTTCCTTTTAAAATACAATGATTATAGCATGTGCTTTTGCCTTGAAATGAAATAAAACTAATTAAACTTAGTAAAATAGCTCCTTATCACCTATAGGTCCAAACACCCTAGTATGGCCCCCAGGTCCTTTGTCTCTCGTCTCCTTGTCCACATTCCCAGTGCACTTCAGAATCCCATTACTGGTTCCTCACACCAAACTCTTCTATGCCTTTATGCTCTCACTCCCCACATTCCTTCTGATTTCTCCCAGGCTGGATGTCAAAAAGTTGTATGCTTTCTTTAAGACCCTGCTTAAATGCTACTGTGTTTTGAAGTCTTTCCTTTATACTCCCAGGTAGGAGTAACTGTTTCTCTTTGGTGCTTCTAAGGCACATTGTATAGACATCTATTAAGAGGGGCCTTTGTTTACATTACTCTCTCTTACCATTAAACTGAGGAACTTTCACCCATACTGTTTTGTTTTATTTTTACCCAAGGTGCTACTATGATGACAGGCACTTAGGAAGTAATCATATATTTGTTTATAAAATATTTGTGATTGTTAGCATAGAATCTAGAGTAAGAACAATAATAGGAGTTAATAAAGGTCAAAACCACAATCATCCTGCAGTCCCCAAAAATGTACCCTTTAAACATAGCCCAACACAATGTATAAAACCCACATATTTAACTGCCAGCTATAAATGTATCTGTGAAGTTGCTGGAGAGTCTCCAACATATCTGCAAGGATTATACCCATTCTGCAATCTTTTTTTTAGTCAAGTAAATACAGAAATGGGGTTGGTGTTGGATTGATATGGAAAGTAAATGAACTGCAATATCTTTAAGCAATAAAATATTTAAAATATACTACAGATGGCTGCTGAAAGTCCTCATTTTTCCTTTGGGGCCTTTTTAATGTGCTGGTAAGAGGAATTCAGTTGTTCTCTAATGTCCATCACATTTTAACCAGAAGTTGATCAAAGGGAAACTATAGCCTTCACTATAACAATACAAACAATTCAAGTCCATTGCTATGCTAGGTAGCTGGCTGGCTGCCATTGTGCTATGACTCTGCTTTTGCACTTACACAGCTTTTAGAAAGAATAACTAAGAAAAAAAAATGCTGTGGATTTTTTTTTCTTTTGACTTTTAAGCTTTCTTGTCAGTGAATTATTGCAAGCCTTATCATTTACCCATTTACTATAATGAATCAATCACTAATATGTTTCATATTATTTAAAAGACCTTTGGCAAAAGTAGTTGGGAACCACAAAATAGGAAGTAAAAGACCTGAATCCTTGTACTATTAGCTGCATGATTCTGGGTAAATAAATATTTCTGAGTTTCTGCTATTATATTGGAGAAGTGAAGGCATTCAACTAAATCAACATTTCTTAAAATGCTACAGGAACAAGTTAATTATTATCATAAGAGAAAAAAGGGAGGGAATCAGTGATAAAAAAGCTCATGGAGCACTGAATTAAATACAATTAAGCAGATGTTACTTTGAACTTTAAGACTTCTCTGTACCTTTGATATGTTAATATCCATCATTACTCTCTAAGAACAGATATGATATTCAGTTTTTTCAAATGTACACAACCCCAGAAAACTATTTTTGATTTACAATGTCTACTATTGTCTCATGATACAAGAAACACTGGAAAAGTCCAAACTGTATGACATCTGAAAGGTCTTTAAAAAAATGGTATAAAAATTTTTTCATATGTATAATTGTTTTCTTTTTAAACTCACATTTCTATATGTTATAAGCTGATATGGTTATTTCCACAATTTATCTGATATATTTATTGAGTTCCTACAGTATGCTAGCTACTGGTGATAAAAAGATGGATTGGATATTATTCTACATTTAACTGTTTCGTGTTCTATGAGTGAAATAGACATGTAAACATGTAATTACTTATGTGACTGCATAACAGAAAAATCAACGGCATGCTGCAGGAGCAGAGAGAAGATATGCTTTGAAAATAATCTGAAAAATTGCTATGAAAGACTTTTTGGCCTTTAAAATGTGATTTGCTATGTTGTATGGACATAGTTTTTAGTAGAATAAAATTTCCCCAGTTGACATTTTCTGCAATTGTCTTCTAATTCCTACTATGTCAAATTTAAGGTGCCAGGATTAAAAGGTTAAGACAAATAGACAGGAAACATGTTTTTACATGATCTCAATTACAGTAATTTTTTTTTTAGTAAACATGAACAAAAAAGTAGTATCTTATATCTGTTCTTGCCTATCCTACTTGAAATGGATAACAGAATTTAGAAAAATTTTTGAAACAATTTTTCATAGAAGGAAGTATTTTAAATTAACTGAAAGAGTCATACAACTACAACATTTAAGACCATGTATTTTAAAATGATATACATCCCGAGTCACTTCCTGAATATAAGATTTTAAAAGACCTTCAGACTTATCTGTAATTTTTTTAAAAACCTTCTATCTCTGCTAATAGGAGGATTTATACTATGACCTTTTTGCAATTTAATTTATGCAAGCAGCTCAAGTTAAAATTATTCTTTTAAAAATGACTTATATAATTCTCAAAAACTGCATCTACCAAGCTGAACCAATTTATTTCAGGTATAACAAGTCATTATTTGATCTAATTTAAAAATTAGTGCCATCAGTGTATTCTAACATATCAATATTCTCATTATCTTGACAGAACACAGCTAATAGGGTAAATAAGAACTATGAAATGTCATTTTTAATGTTGAAATATTTATGCTAGGCGTTACATGTATTTATAGGCCTGGCATCTATTTGTTCAACTTAATATAGTGATGCTTGAACTTAAGAATCACCTTGAGGGCTAGTTAAAGCTCAGATTACCAGGCCTTACCTTGAGATATTCTAATTCAGTAAGTCTTGGATGAAGCTGAGAATCTGTCTTTCTATGAAGTTTCAATGGCTGCTGCTGCTGCTGCTGCTGGTCCAGGTACCACACTTTAAGAGGCACTGTTTTCACAGGTCCCAATTTATTAGATACCTATCTAGGTCTTTACGTTGTTCTGAGTTCCTCTGCCAGAGCCCAGTCTGGGGCCCTGATGGAGCAAGGAGAGTTGATTATCCCACTGTCCCCAAACCAAAGTCACCTTGTGTTCATTTCTTGGTTCTGCCATCACAACATCCTTTACCAAAAACTAGCAGATATTCCCTCCCATGACGTTTTCTACTTTCAGCTAACAATAATAGAATAATAGGTCATTAGTTTCAAAATGTGGCCCACACTTTGGGATTCTTTCCCTCTTATCACTGTCTCCTATTTTTCACATAACTCATTTTTCTCTTTCATAACATCCTTGTAGTACCTTAGTTCTTTCTGGAACTCATTTACCACTCTATTTAATTAGATGCGATTGCCAGCCTATGTGACTATATTGCCTAATTAATAAATAGCCTATATTCATTAATTTGTTCATTCACTCCACAAACATTTGTTAAAACTCAACACGTAAAGAATATGACAAAAATTCTGCACTCATGGACTTACATTACAGGTGGGGAGATGCTTCACACACACACATACACATGCTTCACACCCACACCCACACACAAGAGTATATAGGCTAGGAGAGTAGGATACAGACAGGGTGGGAGCTGAGACTGTTCTAACCACTATGAGTCAGGATATCAACAGCCTGTGGGTAAGGAGAAACTGAAGACTAATATTAGAATTCCCTGGGTATCTAGCCTTTGGAGTTGACTGTACAAAAATGCACAATGAATTGTATACAGTTCCTATTTCAGAATGTGAGTACATTGCACCTTAACCTTTTGTCTTTTTCATAAATGCTGAATTAAACAACTACTCTAGGTATTTAGATATAATAATTCTGAAAATATGCAATCCCTTCCTGCTCAACAAAGTCAAAATTCTGAGTGAAGAGGGAGCAAAATCAGGCCAGAAATGTATATTACAACATTATCTTACCAAAGCAATGTTCTTAAACAGTGATGATTCTGATAAATCAGCAGAGCAATTTCCAGCAAAATAATTAGTTCATCACACACACACAGACACACACACACACACACACATCTTTAAGAAATTTGAGGCAATAAAGAAGCAAAAATAAGCCTAAAGTAAGAGTTTTTCTATGTTTACAACACCTTCAAGGAAAGCATCAAGCTTATTATACTAGATGATTTGAAATATATTTTAATCTTTATATCATTAGCTTCCAGGTAAATCTGAGGATATCTGAACTGAATGAAACTTATTAACCAGAGTTTCTTTCTAACAAGGAAAATAAGTCTATGTTTATAATTCTGCTTTTATAGATATTAACATTTGCAACTATGTTACCTGAAATTAAAAAAAAATCTCCCCAGCCATACATTTATTTTTGGTATTACAGAGCTAAAATGGCCTTGTAAAGAAAATCATCCTAGTTTTAAAAATATCCCCAAATAGGCGGGGCGTAGAGGCTCATGCCTGTAATCCCAGTACTTTGGGAGGCCGAGGCGGGTGGATCACAAGGTCAAGAGATGGAGACCATCCTGACCAACATGGTAAAACTCCATCTCTACTAAAAATACAAAAATTAGCTGGGCATGGTGGTGCGTGCCTGGAGTCCCAGCTACTCAGGAGGCTGAGGCAGGAGAATCACTTGAACCCAGGAGGCAGAGGTTGCAGTGAGCTGAGATTGCACCATTGCACTCCAGCCTGGTGACAGAGCAAGACTCTGTCTCACACACACAAAAAAAACGAAAACAAACAAACAAACAAAAAAACCCTAAATAATTATTTATCAAAATAAAATAATTATTTATCAAAATAAAAAGTCCTTTGATTTACACTGTTTAATAGGAGTTTTCTGTTATTTTCTTATTTATAAAATTACTTCATGCATGTCTCACCATCATATATGCTGATAGCATTACCTGTCTGCATCCACTGTCACATCGTGAACCCCTCTCTGGATGATGTCCCGGGAAGTTGCTGTGTCTGGTATTCGGTTCAGACTTCTAGTATATAGGTTAAGTCCTCCATCTGTCATGTACCTGAAAAGAAATGTCTAATTAATTCACAGAAAACTAAATCAACTCAACTGTACAATTTAACTTAATAAACAAACGGTGTCCACAATTTTCAATAATTACTCAAATATATTCTATTATCTTGTTTTTTATTCTGTATAAACATTCTACTCACCAGGGATAATTAAAATATTTTTTCAAGTTTACTAGGAAATCAATATTTCCTAGTATTTGTATCAATATTTCCTAGTAGTAGTTACTGCGACAAGTAACTAGCCTACCATAGAACCTATTTTTCCCTTTTGTTATTAATATTATGAATAGGCTTGCAGATAATATAACTCTTAAGAAATTAAAAGAAAGAAAATTTCATTTTTGAAATACTGTTTTTGAAGAGGTCATAGGAGTAATGGATCAAAACCTAAACTTCCACCATATCTGCCATCTTCCTAGAATTCTATGTTTTTATATTTAATACCTCATATCAGCTGCTGTCACTGCACTGTCACAACTAGCTGTGTCCCCACCCAACTCTCACCCTGAATTGTAATAATCCCCATGTGTCAAGGGAGGGGGCAGATAGAGATAACTGAATAACGGGGATAGTTTTCCCCATATTGTTCTCCTGGTAGTAAGTCTGACGAGATCTGATGGTTTTATAAATGGGAGTTCCCTTGCACAAGCTCTCTTGCCTGCGGTGTGCCATGTAATATGTCCCTTGACTTTCCACTATGATTGTGAAGCCTCCCCAGCCATGTGAAACTGTGAGTCAATTAAACCTCTTTCCCTTATAAATCACCCAGTCTCAAATATGTCTTTATTAGCAGAGTGAGAACACACTAATAGAGCCATCTTCCTAGAATTCTATGTTTTTATATTTAATATCTCATATCAGCTGCTATCTGTCACAATTAGTTAATTTGTAATTGCATGCACACACAGAGAATCTAAAGTGATCCTCACCACTCCCTTAAAGAAACTCCAGTTCAGCATCTTCCTTTAGAGTGGCATAGATAACATTTAAAAATGCCCCTTACATTAAATGTGCTAGCTACAAAATCCATGCTGATAACAAATGATTGCTGTGAACCTTTTTTAAATGATTGTTTGGAAAAAAATCAGGCACCTAGGAGAGAAACCCTTACATGTAGACATGCAGACAGTTTCCTAAGGTCAGTGTGTAAGGATGGTTGAGTGTAGACCAGAGCCAGACTGCTTAGGTTCAACTACAGTGCTGCTACTTACTAGCTGTGTGGGCTGAGGTAAGTCACTTAAACAAGCTATGTTTAAATTGCTTCATCTGTAAAATGGAAACAGCAATGATATGCTCACTTCTTGCAGTGATGGTGAGCTACCAGTGAGTTAATATATATATAACATGCATACAGCATTGTCTAGCACATTGTAAGTGACATATAAATACTATCTTTAAAAATACTAGCTATTTTATGCATTAGAGTTTCTAGAGTCACTAAAATAGCTCATATCCTGAAAGTGAAATTAGAGGAAGCATTAAGATTAGGAATCTGTGGTGCAAAAGATGGATCTTTTTAACACAGCTCAAGTAACTCTGACCTTTTGCACACTGTTATGCATACTTCAGTCATCACAAAGTTTACTAAATGAGAATTGAGGGAGGATCAAGGCAGAAGCAGGATTAAAGTATATCTACCCCTCACTTCTGTGCCTTATTTTTAATTTTTACTCCACAGAATTCTTAGATTAGTTTGTGTTTGGTCACGTGACTTAAAGTAGAATTTTAGGTTATATTCTTGGCCCAACTATTTATTACTGTGACACCTGAAGATAACTTCAATTTCCACTCAATTAAAATATGTAACTTTTATCCCAATTTTCCAGGGTGTTTTTAACTTCATAAATAGAGACTTTTCAAAGAGGTTCATTATGAGTAAGAGGCCTTTCTCTGACTAATTCCTAATTACTGACAGATTCATATCCCCCAGTGTTTAAAGTAAATTCAAAAAGAGGAGAAAGAGATAAGCCTTCGCATGCTTCAAGAAATTTTGAATTCTCAGAATGCTGATTAACTAACTTTCTGAGTTACACCTAGAGTACATGGAAAAAAATGAAACTTTATTCCCATTTAAATGACTTCATGACGTTCTTCGTGGTTACATGAGAAAATCCTAAATTAAACATCTTCATTCATTACTACCTTATTGAGCCTTTTGTTCCTTTAATCTTTAAAACATATTTTTAAACATTTTGAAAAGAGAGTTAAATTTATGATTCAACTTTTTCATGACTCGTAGCATAAATACGTTTTTTTTGAGATAGAGTCTCACTCCGTTACCCAGGCTGGGGTGCAGTGGTGAGATCTCGGCTCACTGCAACCTCTGCTTCCTGGGTTCAAGCAATTCTCCTGCCTCAGCTTACCAAGTAGCTGAGATTACTGGTGTGCACCACCATGCCCAGCTAATTTTTGTATTTTTAGTAGAGATGAGGTTTCACCATGTTGGCCAAGATGGTCTCGAACTCCTGACTTAAGGTGATCTATCTGCCTCAGCCTCCCAAAGTGCTGGGATTACAGGCATGAGCCACCATACCCGGCCAGCATAAATACTTCTAAGCCCCCTTTTCTTAAAGAAACACCATCAAATTAAACTTTTCCTGGGTATCTCCAGCCCTCTTGTCTTCTCACGTTTTAATTCTAGGCTGAGATTTTGGGGCTGCCTCCTACGTAAGCCAACAAGGGCACACTGCATAAGCTGATGAGCAATAAGTCCAGCACATCCTGGGTATCCTCGCACAATCATCCTTGAGCTAAGACCAGCCTCATCATCTGCTGATCAGATCTTAGCATCTTCCGCACAGGTAAGAGAACTGAGTCATGACTTAAATTTCAGTGTCTTGTACTCTAACATAGGAAAGAACAAATGTATGTGAGTAAACAGGGGAAGTTTCATGTAGGATTTGAGGTATTTTTACTTGTCAACATAAGACATGTAGACCATCAATGCATATTTAAATGGACTCATTTGTGAGACTATCCAAGACTTTTTTGAAAGATGTTAGGGAACAAAAATAGAGGAAACAAGAAGTCTGAATCATGTTTTAAATGAAGCAGAAACAAATAAGAAGGACAAAGTCTATAACAGCATTTTTTAAAAAATTAGTGAGTTCAGCAGAGACTAGCCAGATGTCATCAAACCAATTTCCCTCTCCTCCTGGGCACACAGCTGAACCATATAACCTAGTCTCTTTTACAGTCAGATGTGGTCATGCAGCTGTTCTAGACAAATGAATGCAGGCAGAACTCATATGCATGACTTCCAGGCCTGATACATACAAAATCTTCTCACACCCTGGGTCTTCCCCTCTTTTGCCATTTGCCTGTTGAATATCAATGCCTAGGGTAACACTGGAAATCTGGCTGGGTAACAACAGAATTACCATCCATCTTATTCTCTGAATGACTACATGGAGTGCATTCCCCAGGTGAAGATCAGAAACATCAGCGAGGGTTTTATGTGAAGAACAAATTAGCTTCTTTGTGTTAAGTTACTGAGATTTTGAGATTTCTCTGTTTTCGAAATCAATGTTAACTAATATAGTTAACATATTATGCATGTATTCTTGCATATATTGCATGTATTCTTGCAAAATATAAAGTGCTCCTGAGTACAATATGCCTGTAACATATATTATTATATGCAGAATTCAGTTGTTAAAAAACGTTTAAAACAACTATCTGTTTAAGAATACTTCTCTGTGTGTATATATATGTATATATACACATATGTGTGCATATATATGTATATATACACATATGTGTGCATATTACAATTAATTTACTGAATAACTGGACTGCTACAAAAATATGAAAACACCATCATGTGAGTCACATGTGGGCACGTACTATGTCTATATTATTCACTACTGAATGCACAGTGCCTGGAATGTTGCTTGACACATAGGATGAACTCGATAAATATTTTTAATAGACATATACATGTATACATACATATATACATAATTCAGTTTATGATCCCTGTTCTTTCCATATTCTTTTCCCAGGAGCCTTAATGCCTCCCACAATTCCTGCTCTCTTTTATTGAGATGAAATACAATAGATCTCTATCCTGGACAAACAATCTTCATATCTCACCGTCTCCAGCTCTACATCTCTAACTCTAAATTCATCATCTCTCTCTCTGCTTTCTCATCAAAAAATCCTCTCTCTCTCGCTCTCTCTCTTTCTCTCTCTGCCGATTTTCTCTAACGGTACTATTTTCCATCTCCTGTGCTTATGATGTAGGTATCTTAATTCTTGTCTGCCTTATGCCTTCATGGGTAGTCCATCTCTGGTTCTATAAACTTTTCCTTTGCAGTGCTTCCCATATCAATTACTTTCCTAATTTTATCCCTACAAATGCCACTACCATATTTCTAATCTTATGAGCTTGAGCCAGAGCTCTTGCACTAGTTCCTGAAATTGAACCCCCGAGTTTCTCCCCTGAATTCACTTTGCATATTTCCTTCCCATAAAGTGGCCTTCAAAAGCCATCACCATCCTCATGCCATGTTCTATGACTGTTTAGTAATCTCTAAGATATAGTATTTTACATAGCTTATAATGTAGTTTAAACTTCTTAGCATAATGATGTTAAGGTCTGTCAAAATAGTGCCTATCTCTAAGACATTATCTTTAAATATTCATGTTCCATGACTCTCAGTTAAGAGAAAAATCATCAATATCATCTAATCCACTGTCCCTTTGATTCTGAAAATTACATTTTATGCAAGTTTACTGAATAATTTATACCTTCTATGTTTGTACTTTTCTTATATATGTATTTTAAATATATTTCCTTTGTCTATAGCTCTTAAATCAGAAAAAATAACTAAAATGTTTCTTTTTCTTATTCACTGCTTTCTATTTCATGTGAGGGTTTAGTACTTTCTCCTCATTCTGAACTCTTAGCTCAATTTTTATCCCTATAAGCCTTTTGAAATTCCCAACATATTGCACTGTAGATGTCCCTTGATTTCTTATTCAAACTGCTCCCAAGATATGCTGTCACTCTACAGATAAACATTCTACATGAGTGTGAGTATATATTGTCAATCATCATTATTCACAAATTCTATATTCGTGAAGTTGCCTACTTGCTAAAATTTATATGTAGCCACAAAATCTAAACTCGTAGCACTTTCACAGCCATTCATGGATATGAACAGAACCGTGAAAAAAAATGAGTCTCAGACGTTTCCAGCTAAGGCTAAATAAAGTGATACTCTGTGTTCTTGTATCAGCTCTAATATCACAACAAATGTTCTTCTATGGCCTATTTAGTGCCATGTTTTCCACATTTTTTGTGTTTTTATGCTGAGAATTGTGCTGTTTAAAGTGGCCCCCAAACTTGGTGCTGAAGTGTCATATTATGTTCCTAATTGCAAGCAGTCTTCAATGCATCTCACAGAGAAAATATGCACTAGATAAGCTTCATTCCGGCCTTAGTTATAGTGCTGTTGGCTGGGAGTTCCACGTGAATGAATCAATAGTATGTATTAAATAAGGTGTCTTTAAAGAGAGACTTACGTAAAGCAAGTTTATGTATTGATCAGTTGACAAAAATATTGTGGCCAAATGCTCACAGGAACCAAAACCTATATCTCTACTAGGGGCAATAGTTCAGGATTCACTAATGCAGTGTTTGTGGTGACTTCATAGAAGAGAAGTACCATGAATAATGATATTGAGTGCACATAGGTATATATACATACATACACATACATATACATACATACATACATATATATATTATATATATATATATTTTTAGACGGAGTCTCACTCTGTCACCCAGGCTGGAGTGGTGCAGTGGTGCAATCTCAGCTCACTGCAACTTCTGCCTCCCGGTTTCAGGTGGTTCTCCTGCCTCAGCCTCCCAAGTAGCTGGGAATACAGGCACAAGCCACCATGCCTGGCTAACTTTTTTAGTAGAGATGGGTTTTTGCCATGTTGGGCAGGCTGGTCTTGAACTCCTGACCTCAGGCGATCCATCTGCCTTGGCTTCCCAAAGTGCTGGGATTACAGGCATGAGCCACCGTGCCCAGCCTTGGTATATATATCTTTATATATATTATATGGGTATACTTATGTATATAATTAGCCATATAAATATATTTGAATAGTGATTATAAAATTGAATTCACACATATGTCCACATCTAAGGAGATTGAGAAAAAAAAGAGAAGAGGGGATAGAGTGGAAAGAATGGAGAAGAAAGAAGAGAGAGATGGGAGAAAGAGTGTGCCTTAGACACTCTTGCTTTGCCATTATGTTTTCTGAACTGGGCATTGCCTCCTAGGCTATGTTAAATACATACAAAAATGATAATTATAACTAACAACAACCAAAAATTGGTATGGTTATTAATGATAATAAATGTAATAGTGATGATAAAGAGGAAGATGATAAATTTATTGAGTGCTTGTATCATGCCAAGCATTGCGCAAACTAAAATTTGTGGATGATCCTAACAACTTCATGAAGATGGTACAATTTTATCCTTATTCTAGATGACAAAAACTAATTTGGATACGTTAGGTTCCGAAGGGGTCCACAGATAGTGAATGGGAGAGATTCAAACTAGGCACTCTGAATCCAGTGGCAACTGAACAACAACCTATCTTAATTAATCATAATTAGTCTCTATAATTCTAAATTTTTAGAAAGTCAGGTAGGGTGGATACCAGGAATGGACTAGTAGGTATTGGGATATCAGAGCAAAGCTATAAATGTAATCAAAAGCTATTTTGTACTCTTTTTTAGGTCGTGTCACCCTTCAAACATAAGCTTTTCATGAATGAAGTCAGGAAGGGTCACTTATATAGAAGAATTATTTCCTACATGGGTCCTCTCAGATGCGTAAAGACAAAGAGTAAGTCAAAATCCAGACTCACACAAAGTTTATAGACAAAGTTAATTGGGAAGCTTTTCCACATATTACTGAGCCTGTGTTTGAAGTCAGACATAGCTGAGTTCTAATGCAGGTCTGCCGTTTCCCTAGCGTTAGTTCCCAGCCGGGGCCAATTAGACTCAGTTTCCTTATCCATAGAACATGTATAAAAACATCTACCTCATAAACATTGCTGGTGGTGGGAAGGAAAAGTAAAACAATATCTTCAAAGCACTTGACAAGAGCATAGTACATAACAGGAAATGCTAAAAATGGCAATTACAATTATTAATAGAATATCCTATTGCCTCCTTTTGGACCTATTCTCTGATTATGCCAAATATCCCAAATTGTTAATATACTCTAAGAGTTTTACAATCACAACATGTTTTGGAATGTAATAGGACACAGAAGAAAAACAGGGTCTGAGATGTATTGAAATCTGATACCATCAAAAGAAAATGAATAGAGTGAAACTTTCAACTCCAAAGTGATTTTTCCCTCAAGTTAAATTGGGGATGCATAATTGAAGACAGTAAGAAAATATTTGTTTCTCAAAGCAGTTACAGGCAGCTTCTAACAAGCTAAAAAAGAAAAAAAAAATCAAGCAAATCAGCAAAACTCCTCCTGTCTCCTTCCCACGTCCTTAACTACAAAATCTGTTACTTAAGAAGCATGTGAAAATCACTCTGAAAAACAGAAGCCACATGTGTTTCTCTCAACAACAGAAAAACTTAGCGGCTTATAATGAATTTATAGAAATCTTGGATTCTTTACTCTCCATGAATGAGCAGAGGAAGGGCCCTTCAACACTCTGAATAACCTCAGATATCTCATATGTTCTCATGACTTTCTGGGCAAACTTACACATTTGTTTATAGTGAATGCATTATAGTAGACCACCTCCCCTCTTCACACAATGCTGACGGAGAACAGGGTTACTTACCCACTGTTGATGTCATCAGTCCTGAGACTTTTCCCAAGGATATCACCATCACTCATATATCCACCCACATCGACCTCAGAAGACATGTCCAGGTCACTGCTTGCTTTCTCACTCATGTCAATCTGTGACATGTTTCCCAGCCTAGAGACAGCAGCTCGACGGAGAGGCGTGGTATACATGAACCTCGAGGGGTCTGTGTGGATGAATCGACTGGTACCACTGCGAGGATAGCCAGCACCCAGGGAGGGAGCATCTCCCGCCTGAAGTCGCGGACATGCCTGGCCCAACCTCCAGGTCATGGGGGTGGGTCGACTTGTCAAGTTGGGTATGGTCCTTCCATTAACTTCTGTTGTCACAGTGCTGTCAAATGTTGTCTCCAGGGTGCTGTCAAATAAAATGGAGAAATAACTATACTCTGGTTCACTTAGGGCCATAATCTAGAATGCATGAAGACAGAAAAGGCTGGAGTTGAGGGTCATCTCTTATAAACACGTCATCTTCCCGAAAGCTAAACTCTATATTCATTTTGAGGTCAAATTGTGGAAAGGGGCATACATTTTATAGCTTTTCGTTTGTTTTCAAAAGAAAGGCCATCAGTACACCTTGGGTAAAACAACATATTGTTTTACATTTTCAACAAATCCTTAACTCACTGTAACCTTCCCAGACCTATTCTGAAAGTTAACTACAATTATGTTTGAATGTCTCCCTACTACCCTGCCCAGATGCATTTCAAGTGCAACTTGTGCCACTGTTTTCTAGGACAGGTATTACAAATCCACTTAACAGTGATGGTGGTAGTTGCAGTACTGGAAATTATACTGAAAAAGACATAAATAGCAGATAGAGATAGAGATAAAAGATAAATAGGTATATACTGTGAATTCTCAGTTTAAGGATAATTACCAATCAATTTGATATAAAACAAGGGAGAAAATAGTAAGGGGAAACTGAAATCCCATCTCTGTCATTATAAGAAAAGTTAAATGTTTGTTTGTAATTATTTTTTCTTTATTGGCTCAAATATATGCAAAATTGAAAAAAACCTGTGGCTTATCTGAGTCCCACGAAGACTGGACATAGTCTCTTCTAAATTCTGCCTCAAGTCTGCTATGTTTTTAACTGTTCTCATTCTTCTTGTTTCAGGGTCTTCACCTAGGAAAGCAATATGATAAATTTGCTATTCATGACATTTAGTATCCTCAAAATAATTGTATACCTAGATAATTAAGTCACCTCTTCTTAAAAGTAAAAGGATATGTAATACATTTCAAATAACTATTATTATCTACAAATTATAATTCTTTCTAGCAATAAAATGTGAATAGAGACAAACATAGTATCACCAGTAATAATTTTAAGTGGTGATAACACTATAATATTTTGTAGATTTGACCTTAAAATAAAAAAAAATCACTTGGAAATATGCTGTTTACTAATCCATGTTGCTGGGATCAATTAAAAATCTATGATTATGACCTGAGAAAGATGGCTGAATAGGAACAGCTCCAGTCTGCTGCTCCCAGTGAGATCAACACAGAAGGCAGGTGATTTCTGCATTTCCAACTGAGGTACCAGGCTCATCTCACAGTGACTGATTAGACAGTGGGTGCAGCCCACAGAGGGTGAGCAGAAGCAGGGTGGGGTGTTGCCTCACCTGGGAAGTGCAAAGGGTTGGGGAACTCCCTCCCCTAGCCAAGGGAAGTCATGAGGGACTGTGCCTTGAAGGACGGAGCTATCCAGCCCAGATACTATGCTTTTCCCACAGTCTTCACAACATGCACACCAGGAGATTCCATTGGGTGTCCACACCACCAAGGGCCTGAGTTTCAAGCACAAAACTGGGCAGACACCAAGCTAGCTGCAGGAGTTTTTTTTTTCATACCCCAGTAGCACCTGGAATGCCAGTGAGACAGAACCATCCACTCACCTGGAAAGGGGGCTGAAGCCAGGGAGCTAAGTGGTCTAGCTCAGTGGATCCCACCCCTGTGGAGCCCAGCAAGCTAAGATCCACTGGCTTGAAATTCTCATTGCCAGCACAGCAGTCTGAAGGACACCTGGGACCCTGGAGCTTGGTGGGGGGAGGGGCAACTGCCATAACTGAGGCTTGAGTAGGTGCTTTTCCCCTCACAATGTAAACAAACCCGCTGGGAATTTTGGACTGGGCAGAGCCCACTGCAGCTTGGCAAAGCTGCTGTAGCCAGACTGCCTCTCTAGATTCCTCCTCTCTGGGCGGGGCATATCTGAAAGAAAGGTAGCAGCCCCAGTCAGGGGCTTACAGATAAAACTCTCATCTCCCTGGGACAGAGCACCTGGGGGAAGGGGCGGCTGTGGGCGCAGGCTCAGCAGACTAAAACACTCTTGCCTGCCAGCTCTGAAGAGAGCAGCGGATCTCCGAGCACAGTGTTCTAGCTCCGCTAAGGGACAGACAGCCTCCTCAAGTGGGTCCCTGACCCCCGTGCCTCCTGACGAGGAGACACCTCCCAGCAGGTGTTGATAGACTCCTCATACAGGAGAGCTCTAGCAGGCATCTGGCAAGTGCCCCTCTGGGATGAAGCTTCCAGAGGAAGGAAGAGGCAGCAATCTTTGCTGTTCTGCAGCCTTTGCTGGTGACACCCAGGCAAATAGGATCTGGAGTGAACCTCCAGCAAACTCCAGAAGACCTGCAGCAGAGGGGCCTGACTGTTAAAAGGAAAACTAACAAACAAAAAGGAATAGCATCAATGTCCACAAAAAAGACATCCACACAAAAACCCCGTTTGAAGGTCACAAACATCAGAGACCAAAGGTAGGTAAGTCCACAAAGATGAGAAAAAAAACAGTGCAAAAAGGCTGAAAATTCCAAAAACCAGAATGCCTCTTCTCCTCCAAAGGATCACAACTCTTCACCAGCAAGGGAACAGAACTGGACAGAGTATGAGTTTGACGAATTTACAGAAGTAGACTTTAGAAGGTGGGTAATAACAAACTCCTCCAAGCTAAAGGAGAACGTTCTAACCCAATGAAAGGAAGCTAAGAACCTTGAAAAAAGGTTAGAGGAATTATTAACTAGAATAACCAGTTTAGTGGAGAAGAACACAAATGACCTGATGGAGCTGAAAAACATAGCACGAAATTCTTCGTGAAGCATACATAAGTAGAAATAGCCAAATAGATAGAGGGGAAGGAAGGATATCCGAGATTGAAGATGAACTTACTGAAATAAAGCATAAAGACAAGATTAGAGAAAAAAGAATGAAAAGGAACAAACAAAGCCTCCAAGAAATATGGGACTATGTGAAAAGACCAAACCTAGGTTTGACTGGTATACCTGAAAGTGACAGAAAGAATGGAACCAAGTTGGAAAACACTCTTCAGGATATTATCCAGGAGAACTTGCCCAGCCTAGCAAGACAGGCCAACATTCAAATTCAGGAAATACAGGGACCACCACAAAGATACTCTTTGAGAAGAGCAACCCCAAGACACGTAATTGTCAGATTCACCAAAGTTGAAATGCAGGAAAAAATGTTAAGGGCAGCCAGAGAGAAAGGCTGATTACCCACAAAGGGAAGCCCATCAGACTAACAGTGGATCTCTCTGCAGAAACCCTAAAAGCCAGAGGGAGTGAGGGCCAATATTCAACGTTCATTTTTTTGTTTTGTTTTGTTTTGTTTTGCTTGAGACAGAGTCTTGCTCTGTCACCCAGGCTGGAGTGCAGTGGCACAATCTTGGCTCACTGCAAGCTCCGCCTCCCGGGTTCACACCATTCTCCTGCCTCAGCCTCCTGAGTAGCTGGGACTACAGGCACCCGTTGCCAGGCCTGGCTAATTTTTTGTATTTTTAGTAGAGATGGGGTTTCACCGTGTTAGCCAGGATGGTCTCGATCTCCTGACCTCATGATCCGCCTGCCTCGGCCTCTCAAAGTGCTGGGATTACAAGCGTGAGCCACCGCACCTGGCCTCAACATTCTTAAAGCAGAGGATTTTCAACCCAGAATTTCATATCCAG
This sequence comes from Homo sapiens, assembly GCF_000001405.40. Classification (NCBI taxonomy): domain Eukaryota; kingdom Metazoa; phylum Chordata; class Mammalia; order Primates; family Hominidae; genus Homo; species Homo sapiens. Next base: position 78,047,157 of record NC_000012.12, on the reverse strand, counting down.
CCAAACTAAGCTTCATAAGCTTCACGTGCAAAGACTCACATAGGCTCAAAATAAAGGGATGGAGGAATATTTACCAAGCAAATGGAAAGCAAATAAAAGCAGGGGTTACAATTCTAGACTCTGATAAAACAGACTTTAAACCAGCAAATATAAAAAAAGACAAAGAAGGACATTGCATAATGGTAAGGGGATCAATGCAACAAGAAAAGCTAACTATCCTAAATATATATGCACCCAAAACAGAAGCACCCAGATTCATAAAGCAAGTTCTTAGAGACCTACAAAGAGACTTGGACTCCCACACAATAATAGTGGGAGACTTTAACACCCCACTGTCAGTATGAGACAGATCAATGAGACAGAAAATTAACAAAGATATTCAGGACTTGAACTCAACTCTGGACCAAGTGGACCTAATAGACATCTACAGAACTCTCCACCCCAAATAAACAGAATATACATTCTTCTCAGAACCACATCACACTTATTCTAAAACTGATCACATAATTGGAAGTAAAACACTCCTCAGCAAATGCAAAAGAATGGAAATCCTAACAAATAGTCTCTCAGACCAGAGTGCAATCAAATTAGAACTTAGGGTTAAGAAACTGACTTAAAACTTCACAACTACATAGAAACTGAACAACCTGCTCCTGAATGACCACGGGGTAAATAAGGAAATTAAGGCAGAAATCAATAAGTTATTTGAAACCAATGAGAATAAAGAAACTACATACCAGAATGTCTGGGACACAGCTAAAGCTGTGTTTAGAGGGAAATTCATAGCACTAAATGCCCACAGAAGAAAGCAGGAAATATCTAAAGATCAACACCTTAACATCACAATTAAAAGAACTAGAGAAGCAAGAGCAAACAAATTCAAAAGCTAGCAGAAGGCAAGAAATAACTAAGATCAGAGCAGAACTGAAGGAGATAGAGACACAAAAACCCTTCAAAAAATCAATAAATCCATAGCTGGTTTTTGAAAAGATTAACAAAATAGATAGACTGCTAGCCAGACTAATAAAGAAGAAAATAGAGAAGAATCAAATAGATGTAATAAAAAATGATAAAGGGGATATCACCACTGATCCCACAGAAATACAAACTATCGTCAAAAAATACTATAAACACTACTATGCAAATAAACTAGAAAATCTAGAAGAAATGGATAAATTCCTGGACACATACACCCTCCCAAGACTAAACCAGGAAGAAGTCGAATCCCTGAATAGACCAATAACAAGTTCTGAAATTGAGGCAGTAATTAATAGCCTACCAACCAAAAAAATGCCCAGGACCAGACAGATTCACAGTCGAATTCTAACAGAACTACGAAGAGGAGCTGGTACCATTCCTTCTGAGACTATTCCAATCAATAGAAAAAGAGGGACACCTCCCTAACTCATTTTATGAGGCCAGCATCATCCTGATACCAAAACGTGGCAAAGACACAACAGAAAAAGAAAATTCCAGGCCAATACCCCTGATGAACATCGATGTAAAAATCCACAATCACATACTGGCAAACTGAATCCAGCAGCACATCAAAAAGCTTATCCACTGGCCAGGTGCAGTGGCTCATGCCTGTAATCCCAGCACTTTGGGAGGCTGAGGTGGGCAGATCACGAGGTCAGGAGTTTGAGACAATCCTGGCCAACATGGTGAAACCCCATCTCTACTAAAAATACAAAATTAGCCGGGTATGGTGGCACACACCTGCAGCCCCAGCTACTCGGGAGGCTGAGGCAGGAGAATCGCTTGTACTTAGGAGGCGGAGGTTGCAGTGAGCTGAGATTGTGCCATTGCACTCCAGCCGGTGTGATGGAGCAAGACTCTGCCTCAACAAAAAAAAAGCTTATCCACCACGATCAAGTTGGGTTCATTGCTGGGATACAAGGCTGGTTCAACATATGCAAATCAATAAATGTAATCCATCACATAAAGAGAACCAATTGCAAAAACCACATGATTATCTCAATAGATGCAGAAAAGGCCTTCGATAAAATTCAACACCCCTTCATGCTAAGAACTCTCAATTACTAGATATTTATGGAATGTATCTCAAAATCATAAGGGCTATTTATGACAGACACACAGCCAATATCATACTGAATGGGCAAAAGCTGGAAGCATTCCCTTTGAAAACCTGCACAACACAAGGGTGCCCTCCATCACCACTCCTATTCAACATAGTATTGGAAGTTTTGGCAAGGGTAATCAGGCAAGAGAAAGAAATAAAGTGCATTTAGATAGGAAGAGAGGAAGTCAAATTGTCTCTGTTTGCAGATGACATGATTTTATATTTAGAAAACCCCATCTTCTCAGCCAAAAACTCCTTAAGCTGATAAGCGAATTTAGCAACGTCTCAGGATACAAAATCAACATGCGAAAATCACAAGCATTCCTATACACCAATAACAGACAAACAGAGAGCCAAATCATGAATAAACTCCCATTCACAATTGCTACAAAGAGAATAAAATACTTAGGAATACAACTTAAAGGTATGTGAAGGACCTCTTCAAAAAGAACTACAAACCACTGCTCCAGGAAATAAGAGAGGACACAAACAAACGAAAAAACATTCCATGCTCATGGATAGGAAGAATCAATATCATGAAAATGGTCATACTGCCCAAAGTAATTTAGAGATTCAATGCTATCCCCATAAAGCTACCATTGACTTTATTCATAGAGTTAGAAAAAACTACTTTAAATTTCATATGGAACCAAAAAAGAGCCCGTATAGCCAAGATAATCCTAAAGAAAAAGAACAAAGCTGGAAGCATCATGCTACCTGACTTCAAAGTATACTCCAGGGCCATAGTAATCAAAACAGCATGGTACTGGTACCAAAACAGATATATAGACCAATGAAACAGAACAGAGCCCTCAGAAATAACACCACACATCTACAATCATCTGATCTTTGACAAACCTGACACACACAAGCAATGGGGAAAGGATTCCCTATTTAACAAATGGTGCTGGGAAAACTGGCTAGCCACATGCATATAACTGAAACTGGATCCCTTCCTTACACTTTACACAAAAATTAACTCAAGATGGATTAAAGACTTAAACCAAAGACCTAAAACCATAAAAACCCTAGAAGAAAACCTAGGCAATACCATTCAGGACATAGGCATGGGCAAAGACTTCATGAGTAAAACACCAAAAGCAATGGCAACAAAAGCCAAAGTTGACAAATGGGATCTAATTAAACTAAGGAAATTCTGCACAGCAAAAGAAACTATCATCAGAGTGAACAGGCAACCTACAGAATGGGAGACAATTTTTGCAATCTATCCATCTGACAAAGGGCTAATATTCAGAATCTACAAGGAACTTAAACAAATTTACAAGAAAAAAACAACCCCATCAAAAAGTGGGTGAAGTATATGAACAGACACCTCTCAAAAGAAGACATTTTATGCAGCCAACAAACATATGAAAGAAAGCTCATCATCCACTGGTCATTAGAGAAATGCAAATCAAAACCACAATGAGATACCATCTCACGCCGGTTAGAATGGCGATCATTAAAAAGTCAAGAAACAACAGATGCTAGAGAGGTTGTGGAGAAATAGGAACGCCTTTACACTGTCGGTGGGAGTATATATTAGTTCAACCACTGTGGAAGACAGTGTGGCAATTCCTCAAGGATCTAGAACCAGAAATACCATTTGATCCAGCAATCCCATTAATGAGTATACAACCAAAGGATTATAAATCATTCTATTATAAAGACACATGCACACGTATGTTTATTGCAGCACTGTTCACAATAGCAAAGACTTGGAACCAACCCAAATGCCCATCAATGATAGACTGCATAAAGAAAATGTGGCACATATACACCATGGAATACTATGCAACCATAAAAATGGATGAGTTCATGTCCTTTGCAGGGACATGGATGAAACTAGAAACCATTCTCTGCAAACTAACACAGGAACAGAAAACTGAACACCACATGTTCTCACTCACAAGTGGGAGTTGAACAATGAGAACACATGGACACAGGAAGGGGAACATCACACACCGGGGCCTGTTGGTGGGTGGGGGGATCAAGGGGAGGGATAGCATTAGGGGAAATACCTAATGTAGATGACGGGTTGATGGGTGCAGCAAACGACCACAGCATGTATACATCTATGTAACAAACCTGCACATTCTGCACATGTATCCCAGAACTTAAAGTAAAATAAAAAAAAAAACTATGATCATTAGGATCCTAATTATTTCAAGGTGTTCTGGGTGTACTCAGAATACTTGAGGTAAATTTGCCTTATGTAGAAAGGACACATTTGGAATCTGGGGAATAAACTAGAGGCCTTTTATTTTTTTATTTCATTTTCATTTTTAGACAGAGTCTCACTCTTTTGCTCAGGCTGGAGTTCAATGGCACCATCTTGGATCACTGCAAACTCCACCTCTGGAATTCAAGCGATTCCCCTGCTTCGGCCTCTCAAGTAGCTGATATCAGGCCCTCGCCACCATGCCCGGCTAATTTTTGTATTTAGTAGAGATGGGGTTTCACCATGTTGGTCATAATGCTCTTGAACTCCTGACCTCAAATGATCCACCTGCCTTGGCCTCCCAAAGTGCTGGGATTTCAGGCGTGAGCCACCATGCCCGGCTGAGGTCTTTTCTTATGGAAGCAATAGCTTTTGAAGTCTTTTATTAGACTCATGGACAAAGACTGACAAACATTGAATGGTTTTATTTTTAATTACTTCTCCAGTTTCTACAGTTCTACCAATGATACTAGAGTTCAAGTAAATTCCTAGGCATCTAAACCCAAAATGTTTGTATCTAATGAGCATGAAACAAATAGCTCTGCAAGTATGACTAACGCTGGCCTGATACAATCACCACCTATCAACTGGGGGCAGAAGTGTCCTTAAGCCATTTTGTTGATAGTCATACAATACTTCCCCAAGCTAGTGACCTTCTAAAGCCAGTGAGTCTAGATAATAGAAAGAACATGAAAAGAGAGTAGTGGAAGCACAGTTTTTATTCTGTTCAATCTGGACTGAAGAGGATGTCTAATGATGGGCACTTTCAATAAAAGTGAAAACAGAAAGGAGGAGGGAATTGGAATGGATAGATTAAGAGAGGGACAGGGAAGGAGAGGAGACAGAGAAAAAGGAAGTAGATGGGACGGCTGGGAAGGGAATGGAATGGAAACAGGATGGAAGAAAAAGAAAGGGAACAAAAAGAAAAGCAAAAAATAGCATGTATTAAATTACACTATGAAAATTGTCACATAGGGAAGTCAAGATGCGTATCTATAATCTGTTTTAGGAATATAGCTAACTATTTAATCTGTTAATTTACTTCCTTAATACTCAGGCCAGATTTTTAAAAATCTATAACAAATGTGCCCCTTTAACACCTATCATCACAATCATACAGTTGGTGGATTTCAGAGATTGTCTTGCCTTATCTCTTGGCCATAGCATTCATCTGTCTCACATGGGACAAGGCCATCTGCCTCTGCCTGAAAACTCCAACATTGGAAAGGCCTCCACCTCACCAGTAAGAGATGGCTCCTTCCAGTAGCAGGTCAAAATGTAAAATATTTATGGGGGATAAGCAAAAATTTGTCTCCCTTAAACTTTCACCCTGTGGTTCCAGTGGATCTGAAACCAAATGAACAAATTTACACTGTCTTTACCAAGGCAGTCACTCAAATATTGCAACACAACGGCTAATTCCTTTACTATATTTTTCAGGCAAACATTACTACTTTGTTCATTATTCCTCACTTTGGGTGGTTGACGAAACAGCCACCATTGTGCTGCCAGCCTGTAAATTTCTTCCCTTGAATTTACAAATCATTTGAACAATTAAAGTATACTTAATAATAAGATCATTATTTCAAACATAACGTACTAAGAAACTTTCCTGAAGTAAATATTTTTAAAGAATAATAAAACACTTGTTGGGATCTCATGCACATGACAAACTTTCTCTACACTAAGTTCACACAATCACTAATCCTATAGATTAACATTATTCTTTTAGAACTCAGAACTGTTAATAACCCTTGAGACTGATCACATTCTTCCTGGAAATTCTTCCCATACTTCTCCTCATACATATAATATAGAGTATTTCAGAGATGGCTATAAAGAATTCTATCTTTCACTTCCAAATAATCTGAGAGAACTATGAAGAAAAAGAAGTTTTGTAGAGAAAATCTTACAGACTGGAAATAAAATTATTACAGACAAGGAAGAGACATACAAAGAAGAAATTTATTCAAACTGGGTCAAAATAAGTAGTGAAGGGGACAAAATTGGAGAAGCACTAAACCTAAGATTCAATATGAAAGATTTCATACAGTTATTGGCATCTTAGATTGTAGGTGAAAGATAAAAAGTCATGAAAGAAGGAGTATATTGAGATGTCCTTTTTTTTACTTGGTGGGGGAGGTACAAGTAATTGACCTCACACAGATTCCTAGAACGCATCATTACATGTTCCTATCCCTTTCCCCCTTCCCCCAGGAAAACTTTTAAGTTGTAATCCAGCTGCATCTCAATCATTTGCCAACTGGAATATTAAAATTAATATCTCAATTATGTTCCATCTTTTCATATTAATTTTAAGAACGTTGTATTTTCAGACATGCTGTTTCACTAAATATATTTTCACATCTACTTCATTTCCTTTTCAATTTCTTTTTTCCAATCCAACAGGTATCTTAGATCCTTGGATTCTTCTAACTGAATTCATTGTTTATCTGGTTTCTCTCATGTTTTAGAACCAAAGCCTCCCTCATTCCTTAGGTTTTTTTCATCATGACATTCACTTATGACACTGCCCTCCTCATGACAGACAAATGGACCTTTTCTTTCCAACGCTTATTGAGCAAAACATAACTGCTGCCTTATTCATGTCATGAAAGATAATAACCAAAGAAAATTTATTGCAGTAAATGTTTTCAATGACCCACAAAAGGCAAGATAAAACTAAATGTACTTACAAACCCCCTAAGGACTGATTGCATGGTCTTAAATATCCTATAAATTTGTATCTGAGTGAGGTCCAGAGGCTTTGGGGGAAAAACACAATTGCAAAGTCTAAATATAAAAGCAAAAATAAAATTAAATGTTTAGCAACAATACAAGTTACCAGAAAAATGCACGTGAGAAATGCATTTAATCACAGCAATGTTGTGTCTCCTCCTGCTTGCATAATCTCAAAGTCAACCATTATTCCTGAAAGAGGCTTCCTATGTGTCAAACACAATGGAATGGCTTCCACACATCTTCCAGAATGGTATATTCTGAAATCTACTAGAGTTTTTAACATTGGTGCAAAGTGCTTTCTCACTGCTCATAAGGTGTTCTTAGTAGAGAAAAAAAAAATAACAGCATCAATTTGGTACTCCTACGTTACTATTTGGTGGCAGACAGACCATTTAATCTGTGATCTTGCTCTTAATTTTTAGGCTTTAATTATACACATTGTAATTAACACTGCCAGCATTGCCATCTTTCAATAGGAAATCAAATCTGTATGAATAAATCTTATTCTCAGAGAATTATGCCCTCTACCCCATCCATATTACAAATGTTATGTAGAGTACAGCTTCCTGATTTATTGTGTGAAGTAACTCTAGTTTTGTGGATGGCCCTAGTAGTGATTTGGATGAAAATTTTTAAACTCCTCTGGTTAATCTTGACACTTTGGAGAAAAATAGCAAAATATGGCCAAAAGCTTTATAGTTACTTTTAAAATGTGCTCCTATACGGTTATAGGACAAACCTTAATCTGTCTGATTTAGGAGGATATCTAAGAGTAAAGAATTAACCTCAAGGAACCCCACCTAAAAACTAACTTGGAAGAGGCCATTTTGAGTCGTAAACAGAACCTATTGAAGCACGTGGTAGAAATTCTGGAATTCCTGTGTGCTGTGGGCGTAGATATATTCAACAACTTAACATGGATCATTATTTAGGGAATTGCATCAGAATGCTTCATTATCTGGAGATATGATTATTCATATCACAGCTATTTGAATAAACTTCCCCTTACTTTTTCACTTGCATTTTTGAATACTGGCATAAGTAGGAAAAAAAATACTTAAACAGAATAATCATATAAATACAATAAGCAGATGCTCTTGAAAAACCAAGGCATACCGGCTTCTTTTGAGAGGTTACCCTCTGACCAAAATGCTTCAAGTTATTTATGCACAAAAAGGCACATGTCATATATACACCCACCCACAGCATGCTATAATTTAACTGAGTAAGCATCAAATGCTGTCAGGGGACTGCACTCTGTTCATATCTTTGTAAATACTTAAGAGATACTGAGAACAAGATAAATAATACCACTTCAAAAGCAAAAGAGGAATATTATCTGATTCTACAGTTTCAGAGGATCCAAAAAAGAAAAAGCTTCATAAAGATTAAGACTTTCTCTCGCCTTTGTGCTGCACATAGCCCTTTATGAGAAGCAGTTCATCACAGAAATCACACAATGGTGCAAAAGTAAATCTTCAGTGTTGGAGCACCTGGTGTATTCAGATTCAGAAATCACTATTCTGACAACTGTGGAAAGATTACTCTTCTAAAACCAAACTGACATGAAAAATTGAACAATATTTGCCTCTGCTATCTCTATAAGCTTTCTTCTTCTAAAACTGGTTCACTAAAAGAATCCAGAAAACCTCATAAAACATCTTGTAACAGGAGGGTCTACATTAAGAGTAAAAGCAAGCCTGCATTTAGCATTAGTTTCTTGAATCAGAAACAAAGAGATCACTTCCCAGGTTTAATTCCTTTCAACTTAAGGAGGCCAATATGAAGCCCTTTGTGGAAATACACATTGACATAAAATATGATATGGCCAGGAATTTAATACTTATGGAAGAAGGGACTGTGTGATGTAAATATATTTTGATACAAGACTGAATTCAGAAATAACAATTAAAATGTTCACATGTTAGCTGTTTAGGTAGGTGGCACAGTTGACATTTAAAGTTTAGTCACAAACTATAGAATCACTTGACCTCTTCTTATTTAGTTAAAGATTATGCCAGAAGTTACTACTGAAACTCATGTTATCAAAAAGGCCTAGTTTCTAAAGTATGAAAACAGTTCATAGTCATCTACATAGTAGCTTAAATACTTATAATGTGCACATGCAGAACTAGTTTTTGTCAAACACTGAAACAAAAGAGAAAAGAAAAAAGGTAGAAGCCAGCAGCGGCCCCTGTATTTCTGAAAGTGTTACTACAATAAAAAGGGCTTGTCACTGAGGTATAGAAGAAGCCTTCTATTCAGGTAGCACGGAGGCAGCAGAAGAAACTTAACTCTACAGAAAATTTACCCAGGAGGCCCTTCATTATTCATCCCTTATCTGTGATGAGGTCACCTTGAGGGAAGTTGAACAAATAGGCCCCTTTAATGAGTAGGTGAAAAACATGTTTGGAGTTTTAAAATGTTAACTTATTTATGGATGTCTAGAAGGTACTGGACACTAGGTGAGGCTAATAATGCCCATGGCAGATTTCCGGAATTTATTTTCTCCAAATGAACCTTACCAGTGGTGCTCATAGCTCAGTTTTACCAAAAAATTAAAAAAAAAAATCACTTCAAGAAACAGGAATTTAAAATGTAACTATGTATTTTTAAAAATCAGTCTAAAAACATGAAAGCTATTTGGCAAATGCAAATAATTTCATAAGAGACTATGAAATTTCTTAAGATCCCATACACGTTTTTAGGAGCAAATTGGACTTACCTAATAAGTCAGTGTAAAGTGCCTGTTCTAGATCACCCAGCATGGTAAGGATCACCTCCTCATCCAGATGAGCTGTCCCTTCCCGCAAACAGCTTTCTCCCTCCTCTTCAGCCCAGCTTCTGCTGATGCTGCTTGGCTTGGAGGACACGTTTTCATCTTCAGACCTACTATCTTCATCACTCTCACCTTCCAAGCCTCTTCTTGCAGACAATTCCTCTAAGTCTTCACTGTCTGACTGGCTGCCCCCAGCAGGCAGGAGGTTCCAGGCTGAGCTGCTGGTGTGATACAGGGACTGCACAGACCGCGAGAGAAACTTGGACAGTGAGCGCCGCTCTGCATAGTTGGCTTCTCTCTGGCTGGCCTTGGCAGCATTTCCAAACCAGTTGGAAATGCGCACCGTGGGTCTCCTCTCCCCATCACTGGTGAGGGAAAGATTGGTCAGAGACTTTTGTTTCTGAAGGCAAGCTCCCTTTCTCCTTACTTCTTTGCTCCGGAACACAGAGAGTTCAGCAGGCCGCTGCATGATTCTTCCAGTGGCTCCTTCCTTTCAATTGGACTTCATATTGTCTTGTTACACTGTGATTGTAACTGATCCATTTGATTTTGATTATCACATGCACTTCAATAAAAGCTCAAGCTCACACATTCACAGAAGATTCTAGAGATATAGTATATATAATTATTTGCCCCCAATTTAGCTTGACACATCACTTTACTAATCAGCAGTACTTACAAATATTTTGCTCGAATATATCTGAAGCAGAAAAGAGTTCACCAAAGACTCTCCTCCAGCTGAAAAGTAGTCCAGGAAGCCAACTACGTTTGCCCGTCTTCATCCAATCACATGTCTCAGCAGGAGGATGGGTCCACATTTCCCTCTGTTGCTTCTGTGTCCCGAAACGCCAGGAGGTGAAGCACGAGCTGAGGTCTCTTGCTTTTTGCTTTTTTTTTTCTTTCCCCTGCCTTTCACCAGCCCTTAACTGACCTAGGTCTGTAACCCTTTACTCTAACGAGCTGACACAGTGCAGCAAGTACAGCCTGCTCATAGGAGCCCAGGAAGAGCAGGAATTAAGCACTGACGCCCAGCCCTGCACAAGCCTCTTACATTTTAGTATTCCACCTGCATTCTCAGATCTATGGCTCTTCCTTGCTGCTGCAGTGGATGCTGCTGGCTGCCATGGCAGCAAACATCCTGCCAAATTAAAACAGAGGCACGGGAACGGCTGTCCAGCGTAGAATGCCACAGGTTTCTGAGCCAAGCCTGTACGAGATCTTCCACTATTAACCTTATGCACATTTAAATGACTCTCAGCCACCCAATCTCAAACACGGACACACACTCACACCCTCACATACACAACACACACTCCCCGATGCCGAGAATGACAGACTAATTCTCTGTAGCTGCAGGCAGCTGAAGCAGGCAGATCTCCCTTCTGAATGTTGGGATTTGTGCTGTAAAAGCACAAATCAAATTCAAGAGTGTAAAGGACCTAAAAAATGAAGCATGACACTCTCCACCCGCTAGGAGATAATGCTTTAAAGGGAAAGACTTCCCTAATCTTTTAAAGAACAAAGTCAAAGCCTTCTTATTTTGAATCCTAAAATCCTAATGTGATGATAAAGATTTCTTACAGCCTTTTTGTAAAAACAAAAAGGAAATAGAAAGAAAAAAATAACTCAAAAGGGTTTTCCCTTGATATTTTGACTCAAAGCTTAAAATTGAAAGTTTATGGTCAAGTGTGTGGAACATAATAATGTTACAGATAACACAAAATGCACATTGTGTCTTTTGATATTGCATTTTTCCAGGTCTATTTCATAAGCCTATCACAGCATAATCAGCTCTTATTTCTTAATGTTTTCATAAAAACAGAAAACCTAAAGATAATTTTCTTGTATTTACCTTGTACTGGTACGTACACTATACCACCACAAAATTCTGATTTTAGGACAACTTTAAAAAACAAATATATAGTATAGCAGAAATCATGGGTACCATTGACAGTTAAGAAGACTATCGACCTTTCAGTATTTAACTTCTGAAGATTTTCTGCTCACAAACAGAAAAATAGGGATTTCTCCTTTATCAAATGAGGGAAAATGGAGAAATATGCAGAGATATTATCTTCATCATTTTCAGAGCTAATGTGGCAAAATTAATTGTGATTTTCTACCTCCTATTGCCAATCTCAATAGAGGAAATACCCAATCTCATAACTATATATATTAGCATTATAATATGCATTGCCTATAACTTTACACATAATAACCACTTACTTTGTAAAGTTAATTATTCCTTATGCCCCACCTTTCAAGGTAGATCAGACTTAGACCCATTTTATAGATATGAAAAGGAAATTAGCTGGAAAGAACAGCAATTATTTGTGACAAAATTCTGCAATAAAGAAATCTGTGAATTATTGATACTCATTCTCAATTCTATACTTTTTAAATACTACTCGTTTATATAAAATGTGCTAAATAAAATTACAGTACAAATATCAGATAATTGAAACTGACAGTTATGCTCCTAAAAACACAATTTTGTAAAGTATTTTTTGGAAGACCAAAATGACACTCCCCTTAGAATTCCTAAGTAGAAAATCTTTTTTCTTTCATTTTGAGTTATTGTGACACAGTGAATTTCCAAGTCCTGAGACCATAGTGAAATTTGTTCAAATTATGAAATTTCAATGTATTTAACATTTGTTACACTAGTATATATGCTAATATACCCTAAAGCCTTACAGATTCACAAAAAATGCAATTCTAATGCTTTATATATCAAATGAGTTGACCTTATTCATCTGTAAATAAAAGCAATATTTATGCCCTTTCCTTATTCAAGACTGCTTATACATATACCAATCAGTTTAAACCTGTGGTTCTCAAGCTTCATATGTTCAGAACCACTCGGAGGGCTTATCAAAACACAGTTCGCTGTGCCCCAGCCACATAACTGCTCATTCAGTTGGACTCGGAGGGTCCTGGGACTTTGTATTTCTAACATATTTCCAGATACTGCTGGCTCTGAAAACCCCCTTTGAGAACTACTATGCTGAGATTAGTGGTTTTCAACTGGGGATGGTTTTTCCCCCAAGGGACATTTGGCAATATCTGGAAACATTTTTCGTTATCACAACTGTGGGTGTGGTGGTGACATCTAAGGGGAAGTGGCCAGTGATGTTGCTAAACATCCTACAATGATAAACCACCCCCATGCAAAAAAGAATTCTGCATTTCACAACGTCCACAGTGCCGAAGTTGGGAAATCCTGAATTAGATTGTTATATTGCATTTACAAATGGTTTAGAAACTTCAGTGGCATTCAATACAAAGATGTATTTTGCTGACATTAATGTCCACTCTGTTTGTTACAGCTCTCTCTCAGGTATTCTTTATTCTAACAACCATGCTACAAGAGCAATCCTAGTCTGGGACATGTTGATTTTATGACCAAAGGAAAAGAGAGGTGAGAGATCCAAGCAATGGCTCTTAAGTTTCTGCTCAGGAACATCCCATGTCATTTTTCCACTTGTATTTCATTTGTCAGATTAAATCACATGGTTCTTCCTGATTCAATGAGACAGGAAATTTAATCCTTCTGGAGGGGTGAACCCTGGAAAGGATGGGCTCAGTCCAATGGAGCCAGCAAGGAGGGGATTGTAGAGAAGGCTTATCAAAAGGGGGTTTCTGTCTCTTTGTTCAAAGATATTGTTATTAACTTGTGGTTACAGTAGGTTTGTCCCAGAACTACATCAGTCCACATTTACTCTGAGCGACAGTGGGGAACCCACTTATTCCTTCTCTGGAGAGCGCCATCCTGCTTGCTTTGGGGGTACATTCATATATGAATGTTTTTATATTTGTTTGTATTCACACATATAGATGTATGTTATACAAGGAAGAGGAGGAAGGTGCAGTGCAAAGGAGACAAATACACCCAGTCAGTAGGAAAAATGTGAATCATTCTAATTACGCCAAGACCTAAAATAAGTTATAGCTATTATAATGTGCTGGAAAGGAATGCTTTTCAGCTCTTTAGTAAACATAATTATAATGTGGCTATTTAAGTAAAAGACCTAAACTGATTTGAATTATCTGAGCTTGATCTTCTTGATCTTTATAAACATTCAAAAAAAAAAGGGCAATTTCAGTGATCATTTACAGAGATTGTAAATGTCAGATATTTCCCACTTTTAATACAAAGTCTGGTAGTCAGTAAAAGCACATGTAACCATTCGCTTATCCTTCTGGTTAACCTAAATTCTTCTATTTCTAAAATGGTTTCCTGAATTCAACCAATAATTTTAATATTACTTTTTTACAAATGACATGCCAGCTTTATTGATATTGAGCCAGTCCAGCACCTATGAACATTTTTCAGTTGAATATAAATTCCAGATAAAGGTTAAGAAGTGAATTAAACAAATGTGTTACATGTTGGTGGATAGTCTTATGCAAAAAAAAAGGGCAAGTGTGAACCTATAGAAGAAAAATTGAAAAACTTCCTTGAGTACCAGTGGGATGAAAATTTGGGCTCGCTTTACATTTGGCAGAATCACTTGGAAGATGATGAAAGGGATGGCCTCTGAGGACAAATTCTTTCTGTCAATGAATGTGAGAATAAAACTCAAGCCAAAGCAGTAAAATCTGTACCATTAATTCAGCCAGCACTGTAATATTGAGGTCATGATATGAATCTTAGAGGAAAGGCAGGAAGCAATAAGCTACTTCTTCAATGGCAGAAATTATATAATACATTTCACCTGACTATAATAATTATTGGAGCTACCATCATCAGATTGGGTAAATACAACTAGGTTTCTTCACAAAGAACATAATAAGCAAAAGCAAATTTAAGTGACGTACTTAAAAATTTTGGAGAGGTGCACTGAAGACTTATGAAGAATATTCAAATTGAAAAAGTCATTTATCCAGTATTCTACTTTATTGAGTGTCATGCATTTCTGATATTTATCTTCAAACCATAATTTATTACCTTTTTAAACTTTCATTACCATTTAATGGCAAAGACAATGTTTTTATAATGTCAAGTGAGTTACTGCATTGGTGAAAATTTAAACAGCTAAGCTCTCCAACTAACTTAGCAAATCCCTCTAACACATCTGCATTGCAATGTGAACCACTCAAGTTTGCTCTTTAATAGTATGGCAAATCTTTACATGTCATACATCCTGTGGGTCATGCAATAGGGATGATTTTCACATTTGTGTAAGCACAAAAAGACTTTTTTCTGGGTTACATAACTCAAAAGTAGAGGAGAAATAGTTTCAGACATGGATTTTTCAGGGGCTCAGTTATTTCCGACAATGGCCTTGAATTTGGTCTCTCCTGATTTAGGTTCTGTTTCCTCTATGTTTGTTTCATTTGAGGGTGGAGGTCACTGTTAGCAGGTCTAAGCTTCTCTTTTGTTAGTTTTAGGTGTAGTGGAAAAAGAGACCACTTCTCTTTTTTTTTATTATTATTATTTTTTTATTATACTTTAAGTTTTAGGGTACATGTGCACATTGTGCAGGTTAGTTACATATGTATACATGTGCCATGCTGGTGCGCTGCACCCACTAACTCGTCATCTAGCATTAGGTATATCTCCCATTGCTATCCCTCCCCCCTCCCCCCACCCCACCACAGTCGCCAGAGTGTGATATTCCCCTTCCTGTGTCCATGTGATCTCATTGTTCAATTCCCACCTATGAGTGAGAATATGCGGTGCTTGGTTTTTTGTTCTTGCAATAGTTTACTGAGAATGATGATTTCCAATTTCATCCATGTCCCTACAAAGGACATGAACTCATCATTTTTTATGGCTGCATAGTATTCCATGGTGTATATGTGCCACATTTTCTCTTATAACAACCTCAGGAAAAGTCCTGAGATTGAGTCTTATTTGTTCTGATCAAACTTGATTGGGTCACACATCCAGTCCTCAAACAGTCACTGCAGTCAATGAATAGATTGTTCTCATTGGCTCCACTTATATCAATTTCAGTTAGATCACATGAGCAGAGAATTCTCCCCAAAGAAAATCAAGGTGCTGTTATCAGAAGATGGGGCAATGGATACCAGACACACAAAACGACACCAGTACTTCCAGGTAGGCTTAATACACAGCAATAGAGCTTAAGCTATAGAACTCCTAACTCACCTAAACCCCTTTCTAGACACTATACATTTTATTTTCTGTACTATTTTCAGGACTCTGAATGTTATATAGACTTCACAAATTTATAAAGCCTGCATCTTACCCTGGCAAGACTAACTTCCTCAGAATTCTGTATCATGAAGGCCACTTCACTTGGGAAGCAGAATTATTCCTCACTGAGGCCCCTACAGCAACCATGAGCAATAAAAGTTCAACAATAACAATAGTGTTGAAGCTTGGGGTTGCAGAAAATCAGAGAACTATCGAAACCTCAGTAAGTTTAGGAGAAATGCCCAATTTTACAAAAAGAAACTAATGAAAAGAGTAAGTTAAGAAGAATTTGTTTCCCATTATTTTCATGTTATTCCACAATTTCATTGTTCATTAGAATTCTACAATATGCATGTCTGATCTTCTTTTAAGTTCTGCATGACTCTTTACAGCTAAGTTAGTTGTTTCCATGTGCCTATTTATTCATTTATTTGTGGTGTTAAATTTTATCTATTTGTTTCTTACTTTTTCAAAGGAGAGCTCACTTCTTAGTCACATTTGTTTTCCCAAATTTTGAGATGTCTGGCATGTGTAAGATGCCAGGTGATAATTACTGAAAAGACTGATGGAGGAATAATACCATACCTCACAACAATCTTCTGAGTTTATTAAGTATCATCATATTCACCACACAGAAAAGGGAACCAGGGAGCAATTCACAGTGCAGAGGCCAAATAATCGCTAAATAATTGCAGTGCTGAAGCCAAAATTTATTTTTTCCAATTCCTAGAACATTTCTCTTTCCACATTTCAAACAGTCTTGGAAGGGGTATTCTGTGGGCCAGTCTGAGCTAGGACCTGGCAATAAATTCAGGTGCTTAGTGCTTTGTGGTTTCACTAGCATCCAGAACTCAGAAAGATGAAAGCCAATAAAGGATGGAGATTCTGAGAAAGAGAGGCATCATTAATATAGAAAACATCTCATGAGCTTTAGAATTCTGAGAGGTTCATTCTTTTATAGGGTTATTCTATTACAGGCTTAATATCCCTTATCAGAAATGCTTGGGACCAGAAGTGTTTTGCATGTTGAATTTTTTCAGATTTTGGAATATTTGCCTATACATAATGAGATATCTTGGGGATGGGACCCAAGTCAAAATTCACCTATGTTTCATATGCATCTTATACACATAGCCTGAAGGTAATTCTATACATTTTTAAAAATTTTTTGCATGAAACAAAGTTTATGTGCATTGAACCATCAGAAATCAAAGGTGTCTCTATCTCAGTCACCTAACAGGATTGTACAATCTGTGGTTTTGTGGCATCACCATCATTCCTGACTGAATTTATATGCTACTAATAGGCAATTATTTTATTGCAATTATTTATACATAAGTACTTACCAATAAAAAATATGACATAGCATTAATGCAGTGAAAAAATAATGTGTTCAAGGTCACTAAGCAGCACAGTAGCATTGCCAGAATACCTGTATCAGCTATGAAACAACAGCAACCACAAACAACCACAAGCTTTCCATCTCTACATTCAATGCTGTATTTGGATTAAAAGGTTACTGTACACTGTATTTTTTTTTTAGGTGAGAAGAAACATCAGAAGCAGTTGAGGGACTGGGAAGTGGGCCCCTTAGGGATGAGGTGGCATTCTGCTGTGTAGCTTTTTAAAATGTTTACCCCAGAGTCATCTGCTTCATTAACAACAGTTTTTGTCTTAGAAATCTCTCTGATTTTTATCAACTGGCATAATTTATTGTTCTGTAATGAATGTACACTGCTCTAGTTCTTCACTAAGATCATCATGCATTTCTATCATGTTGTCTCTAGGCACTTTTTCTGCAGTGTTAACATTGTTATCTTCATCATTGCTATTATCACAGTCACCTGAATTCAGCACCATTTTGGCTATGTTATCAATGTTCAATGAATGAACAACTGGAGCCTCATTATCAATGTTAAAAATTTCTTTGATATCCACTTTTTCTAGCCTACTTATGGACTCTGAAAGTATTTTTTTTTTTTTTTTTGGAATAGGTAGGGTCAGACACCATTGTTTTTCTCATTTGACATATGGAATCCTTCAAAGTCACCACCTGGTTCATCATCATCATTGAACATAGATGCAGACCAGAGGCTGTGCCAGGCAGGTACAACCATGTCTTTAGTCACTGCATTCCAAGGCTTGACAACAGCATATATGACATCCTTCATGCTAAACTCCTTTTGAAAATTTTCCACACATATACCTCTGTTCACTGCTGCTGGCATGCTATTTAAGGAAGTGTTTTTATATTTATTCTTTTTCGATTGAAGGATCACCTCGTCACTGGGCTAAATTAACAAGTCACATTTCGGGGAAAGTACATGGCATAAACATTGTTTTTGATAATAATTTCAGCTAGACAATGAGTAGAATAAATATAATCAAATAAATTCTTGCAGTCATTCAGTCCAGCTTCCTGGCAGTGAGCAAGAATTGCTGATGCAAAATGTTTGCAAAACCAACAGAAAATATGTCCCTGGTGATCCAAGCCTTTTTGTTAGCATAATAATAAACTGGTAAGAAATTCACTCCCTGAAAACAGCAGGGATG
The DNA here is from genome assembly GCF_000001405.40 of Homo sapiens. NCBI lineage: Eukaryota > Metazoa > Chordata > Mammalia > Primates > Hominidae > Homo > Homo sapiens. The sequence continues at coordinate 78,028,613 of NC_000012.12, read as the reverse complement.
CAAGCTTTTGGTTATCACAGCAAGTTTTCATTTATGGGTTCCTGCTGTATAAGTACATCCAATCTCAGTTACTCCGTCCTTGGCATCCTTACTTCCTGTAGGGGCTGTCTTATCTTCTGTGTCAGTATCTTTCTGAGGCATCAAAACTTGTGTTGTTTCAGCATCAAAGATTTTTTCCAGAGTCAGTTTTTCATCGGCAATGATCTTGGAAAACTAGTCAATGTATGTTTTCACTATTTATCACCACAAATCTTTAAAAATTTAATGTCATATATTTTCTTAAATTTCCACAACCAGCCTATTGAATATTTAGTTTCCTTCAATTGCCAGTTCATTGTGAAAGATCTTTGCTTATTTAACCATCAGCATACCATTAAGTGGCATGTGTACACCGTGACACTGATGGATCCACTCTTTCAATACACAATTGAGATCTTCATTTTCAGCTTTATGCAGTGTTTTTCTGTTTTTCATTAATTCTGTTCATCACTTTCAATGGAGACCTTCAACAATTTATCCTTTGGTTGCTTCAGGTCATATATGGTGGTCATTCCAACACCATTCTCTTCTGGAAGATGTTTCCCACTTACACCACAGTCTAGTCTCTCCAACAGCTTGACTTTCTGTGCTATAAAAAAAACAAAACAAAACAAAACAAAACAAAAAAAAACGCTTCCTTTTTTTCTTATCACTGTTACCCATAGGGGTATCTTCAGGCCTTTTTGACATTTTCAACAATATCTTTATGCCACACAATGAAAAATAAGCAAACAAACAAAAACAAAAACAAAACAAAAACCACAGAGTAATGCGTATAGGTCTTGACCCAATGTGGGGCACTGTGGGGAACCTGCCATTGGCATGTCCATTCTGCACACATGCCATTGTATTACCCTTTGTGGGTGTGCATGGAAAAGATACATAGCAGCTAAAGGGGCTGACAGACTATTTTTTCCCCTGAGAATGCTGAATAAACTGTGTTGTGCACCTGCATTTTGACTGCAATTTGTCACAGGAGGTCAGGTTTGGAATTTTCCACTAGTGGCATTATGTCACCACACAAAAACTTATGACTTTGGGACCTTCTGAATTTTGGATTTTTAAATTATGGATGTTCAACCTGTGTTACAAATTTATTCTTCTCCCCCGGCCCCCCACCCTTTTTTTTTGGAGACAAGGTCTTGCTCTGTCACCCAGGCTTGAGTGCAGTGGCATGATCATGACTCCTGCAGCTTTGAACTTCTGAGCTTAAGCAGTCTTCTCTCTTCAGCCTCCTGAGTAGATTGGACTACACATGTGCTACACAGCACCATGCCTGAACAATTTGAATTTTTTTTTTTTTTAGAGACAGGGTCTCACTATGTTGTCCAGGCTGGTCTTGAACTCCTGGCTTCAGGCAGTCGTCCTGCCTTGGTCTCCTAAAGTGCTGCTATTCCAGGTATGAGCCACCATTCTTGGCTTTCTTCCATTTTCTAATGTGCTGTCTTAAAATCCCAGCTCAACGGGGAGAGCTTCTGAACTCTAACATTACTTCTGTAGAATAACTAAACATTTTCTTCCTCATATTCTTTGATTATTCAGTGATGGCATAATCAAAAGTAAATTTTTATTTTCCATTTATATCAACCCCTTCAGTTGAGTATAATTGGTCATAAGTTCACTGTGATTATTTCCTGAGTGCCTTCCAAAGCCAAAGATATAAGTCCTATCTTTTCTGTTTACTGTTTTCCTCTGAAAATTATTAGGTTCCTTTTTTAGCGTAGTTCTCATTTTAATGCTACATCCATTATATTAATTTCATTTTACATGCGTTTATTGAATGCTATCTATATACTAACCATCCATTGGTGATGCCACTTAATAGATAAAAGTAGAAAAAAGAAGAACTGGCAAATTCTGGATATATTTTAAAATGCAATTATTCTAGGGTATCTTAGTACCTTATTTCTTATAGTTAGTTCAATATTGTGTCATCTAAATTTTTTCAGTTTCTGAATTTCTGAGAAAATAACAAGAGTTCAAGTACTGAGAAATATCCTAAAAAGTTGATTCATATACACCATTTGTTTCTGAGTACAAATAGAAAACAATACTTCTGGAGCCAAAAATATACTATAATGAATAGAATATCAGGACATCAGGTGTGAGGCATTAAAAAGGAGCCATGAATAACTCTAAGGTTTCAGGCTTGGGCAACTGGAAGGATGAAATTCTTATTAATCAAAATGGAGAAGACTTGGGTAAAGAGTTTTCGAGGGGTACAATTTGCTAGGTTAATATCAGAGGTTCAGTTTGGGATATATTATGTTTGAAGTGTCTGTGAGATATTCAAGCGGAAAGATTGTGTTGGCAGTTGGATATTTGAGTCCAGAGTTCCGGGGAGAGAACTAGTGCAGAGAGAGACATTTGTAAGCCATCAGAATATAGATGAAATTTAAAGCCATGAGATAATATCGATATTAAATCACATTTATAGGTAGAGAAACCTAGAAGCAGAGACCTGGATCATTTAAATCATAAGAAATCATCAAGAAAAAAAGTATAACTAGAAAAGGAAACCAAAAAGGAACAGTAAGGTTTGAGGAAAACAGAGGGGATACATGACTCTGAAAATCAAGTATCTTAGTCCATTTGTGACGCTATAAAGGATTATCTGGGTGATTTATGAAGAAAAGAGGTTTATTTGGCTCACTGTTCTTTAGGCTGTACAAGAAGCTGCTTCCAGCATCTGCTTCTGGTGAGGGCTTCAGACTGCTTCCACTCACAGTGAAAGGCAAAGGGGAGCTGTTGTGCAGAGATCATATGGTGAGAGCATAAACAAGAAAAAGTGAAGGTGCCAGGTTACTTTTAACAACCAGTTTGTGTGGGACCTAACAGTGAAAATTCACTCACTCCCAGGAGAATGGCACCAAGCCATTCATGAGGAATCTGCCCCTGGGATCCAAACACCTCCCATGAGGCCCCACCTACAACATTGGGGATCAAATTTCTTTTTTTTTTTTTTTTTTTTTTTTTTTTGAGATGGAGTCTAGCTCTGTCACCCAGGCTGGAGTGCAGTGGTGCGATCTTGACTCACTGCAATCTCTGCCTCCCAGGTTCAAGTGATTCTCCTGCCTCAGCCTCCCAAGTATCTGGGACTACAGGTGTCTGCCACCGCAGCCGGCTAATGTTTGTACTTTTAGTAAAGATGAGGTTTCACTGTGTTGGCCAGGCTGGTTTCGAACTCCTGATCTCATTACCTGACCCCCTCGGCCTCCCAAAGTGCTAGAATTACAAGCGTGAGCCACCATGCCTGGCCAAGGAAATCAAATTTCAACATGAGAATTGGTGAGACCAAATAAACTGTATCCAAACTATAGCACCAAGGAAGAAACCTTCTTAGAAGAGGACAAATAGCTGCTGTGAGGTGAAATAAGATAAGCCCTGAGACTTGATCCTTGGATTTGGCCATGTTGACATTAGTGGTGACTTCAATAAGAGCAGTTCCAGTGGAGAAGTGGGGCTAAAAGCCTAAGAGACTGTGATTGAACCGTACTCTTTTTACAGCATGCCATAAGAGAAGGAGATAAATCACAACAGTACTTGAGGACAAATTTGGGGTCAAGGGAAGTTGTGGCTTTTTTTTTCCCCCTTTTTCTTGAGACAGAGTCTTGCTCTGTCTCCCAGTCTGGAGTGCAGTGGCGCTATCTCGGCTCACTGCAAGCTCTGCCTCCCAGGTTCATGCCATTCTCCTGTCTCAGCCTCCCGAGTAGCTGGGACTACAGGCGCCCGCCACCATGCCTGGCTATTTTTTTGTATTTTTAGTAGAGACGGCATCTCACCGTTAGCCAGGATGGTCTCGATCTCCTGACCTCGTGATCTGCCCACCTTGGCCTCCCAAAGTGCTGGGATTACAGGTGTGAGACACCGCACCCGGCCAGGAAGTTGTGTTTTTTAAATTAAGGTTGGAGAAATGATAGTATGCTATGGCCTAAAATAAGTGATTTGGTTGGGAGGGAGCTATTAAAGAGAAGAGAGAGTAATCTAAGTAAAAGCAGAGTAAATAGGTATTAAGTGGGTATATATGTTTTACTTGGGTAGATGTGATGACAGTGGTTCATGAACTTTTCTTTGTGCTTCACTTTTTTAAGTGAAGTACATATCCAGGTTGTCAGTTAAGAGAAAGGATGGGACTGGTGATGTCGGACATTTGAGAAAAAAAGGTATAAAAAATAGACTGACTGCCAGGAGCATTACATAGTCACTTGAGGTTGGAGGTCATATATGTAAAGTGAGTTGCATTGACATGCGGTGTGTTTTCTCCTGGTTCATTCATTGTTGGTATAGAATAGGTGGAGATTTAAATGTAACCAGGTCATGATTTCATCAAATGAGTACAATTAAGTGAGAGAGAGGCAATGGAGTTAGGATATATAAAAATAAAAATACATTCACTCATTACAGGAATTCAGCTAAGGAGAGAAGAAAAATATGCGGAGGTTGGTGAAGAACGGTAAAAAGTGGTAGGATCAATGAATTGGAAATCCTAGTGGAATCATTGCTGGAGTTAGGGAACAAAAGGAAGAATACTGAAATGATAGGAGTATATAATCAGTGAGAGTGCAGTGCATGAAAGTGAGGTCATAGAGAAGTAGTAGTTTCTGATGGTGCCTAGATCTAGGGTATGATGATGAGAATAAGAAGCTCAGGAGGGACTGCAACACAAAATTATGGGAGGAGAGGCCAAGGTGTTAGAAAGAACACCCGTGTAGATACTAAAATCACTAAAAATTAAGGCAGAAATGGTAAGAGAGTAATAGTGACCCATAAACCAAAATCTTAAAATGATGAAGATATGTAATCTAATTTCTCTGTGATAGTCATCTTATCACTGGCCTGCTCATATTTCCTCATCTAAATTTCTTCAATTATAGTACTCAATTTATAACTTACTAACTGCAAATAATATCACAATTCTTCCAGGAAATCTCAAGCAACGAGAGACATTTTCACTATCCCACTATAGGCTGCATTTAAACAGATGATAGTGAGATTGACATAATTAGACAAGTCTCACTGTACCATTTATTTTCTGTTTTCTTTCTTTTACTGAATTCTTATCAAAATCCTAGACTGAAAACTATGATTTTATGTAAATAATTGATTATTGCTGCAAAATGATATTATGCTCTCTGATAAACCCATTAAATTATTACATTAATTGCCAGTTTATATTCACTTTCAGGTATTCTATTAAAAATCAGAATGTTAAAAGGAAATATCAACTGGAAAAATGAAAAAGTGATCAAAGGGTAGACAATAAGGAAGTGGAGAAAAACATCAAATACAGACTATTCAATCAGATATACCGTGATATATTAGTTTCTGAAAACAGTGTTCCTTTGTGAAATTCACAAAAAAATTGCAATTCAAACTCTACTAAATTCATTTATCCTAAAGATTTGAGCTCTAGTGCTAAAACATGCAATTTGAGGACATTTATGTATAAATATATGAGGCATACACATCTTCATGCCATGCTAATTTTATAAAACATCTGGTCATAATAGACACATAGCATTATTTTGACCGTGGTACTACCCAGAGTTAATGGAAAGTCAACACATCCCCCATGTATTTGAAAAATCTACAATTATTAGCCCTATATCTGTGTCTTGGCATTACCATTTCTACCCCTACCTAGAACTGGCCTTTGTTGTAATCTCCATATGAAACCTCTGACGCCTAATGTTATCAACTAATGCTGATTCCAAAATGTACCCTTGGGATGTTGTTCTGTAATTGTTGTCAGTATCCACTGCAGGATGCTGTAGTCATGTCTAATGCTTGCCAAATATTTTTCAGGTCTGCCGAAGTGGGGAAGTTTCTTAACCCCCAAATTTGTGATAGAGTCGCTTGAGCTTCATAGCAATACTTATACTTTGAGTCTTTGGAGTACACAGTAATTTTTTAAAATTAAATAATTTATTTAGTTTTCTTCATTTGAACTTAGCTGTGAATACACAGGCTTGGACCAGAGATTTCCTGGAACAACAGACACACCCCTACTTTCATGCATTATTATACTTAGGAGCAGATAAAGTACTCTGTACTCTCTCACCCTTTAGGGGCAATATATTTTGCTAGGAGGTTACTTGATTCCTCACGAATATAGATCTATATGTAATGAAATTAAACTAAATGCCTTCCATATATGCTTAGGCTTACCTGGACCCTAGAGAAAACATTGTGCTCAAGCTGAGCATCCCATTTGATACACACCAAAAACATGATAACTGTGTCTGGGATATGTATTTTTTTTCTTACATCATCTATATATAATAAAATATTTTCCTTTTCAGAGTTTTTTAGAATGGTCATTTGAAGCCACCCTGTAGAGATGTTTTAAATCATACAGAATTGATGACAGAGCAGGCTGCATTAGCCATGGAGAATATACATGGCCAATCATTAGTTTATTTTCAATCTCCAAATGTATTATCCAGGTTTTCTCTGATTTTATTCAACTACTTGACTGAGGGCAAAATGACTTAAAGTCTTCACTTCTGAAAGGACTACCATTCCTTTTATAGTAACAAAGAGATCATCCTAAGCAGAATAGCCAAATAGTTAATGATCTTTGAAGCATGAGATGTATATAGTCCATTTTTGCACTAAAAACAGTATACCACATATATGATTTAATAAAAAGTCTTATGGAGAGAATACGGAAATTCCTAGGTTTGACCTATGCATCGATGAGGTCACTTACCAGATATCTCCTCCAGGCACTGCTTAGCAGTCTTACTATATGATAAGTCCATCTTTGTAGGACTGGTACAGGAGTCAGCCGATGGTAAAGCGGTACCTTCATTTTCTGAATGTGCCCTGAAATTAACCATGAAAATAGAAAGAAATAGCAGTTATAGTCACTAGTCACTCATCAAAGTGGAAGTTCTACAAGAAATATTAATTACAAATTTTCCATCAAGGTAAGTATTTCTTTATGACTGGAATGTTCCAGAGCTGTCTATGTATAGGAGAACTGTGTTATTTTTCATACACAACCTAAGTGGGAGTGAGATGTGGAATTAGATTTCTTAGGCTTGTCTAAATTTGGAAGCTTATAACTACCAATAGTTGATTATAATTTGGGAGCAAAATATTTTAAAAGATCCAACTTCTTTTGCTATTTTAGAGGAAATATGGCCAAATTACATTTTTTGTGAGAATAGTGAAAGTATTAAAATCACACCTAAAATTCTTTTTTAAAACAAAAATTCTATAAAATATATTTTAAAATATGTGTAAAAATAAAAAATAATTTTGTTCTAGACTTTATACATCATTATGATGACTTAATTACCAAAGATTTCAGAGCAATTAAAGTCAACCAGAAACAAATTCTCATTCTTACAATTACCTTTCATATCATCTGTTTCACATTTGTCTATGTATGTACATGGGTATGTATTTGTGTGTGTGGTTAACTTGTAAAGAGTGTGTCTAATTAAAAGAAAAGCACTCAACAAAGGTCCTGAATACTTTTGATATTCTAATCATACTTCATGCATGTTTCTTCCCTTTATGCATGGGTAAATATTTTAAGATATGCTTTCTATTTGATGCAGCTTCAAAATCGACGTATATTTGACACAAACTAACACACATTTTAAATGTTCACGGCATGAACTACTAAGACACAGAAGGAGGCGAGGTAATATAGGATTGCACACTGGACTGTGTTCTTTAGAGACATCTCATTTGCCTTACTTCTACCCTTTTTTTTTCTGGTAGTAGGTCTGGGCCATGACAAGTGATCTTTCAATATTTACTACTTTAAGAATATTTACAAATAATGTTCATATATGAATAAAAATGTATTATATTTTTGAATCAATGCTTAATTAACATTTTGCTTTTAATCTAAATTTGAGTTTCAAGAGAAAAAAAGTAATCATTGATATTAGAAATAGTCAATATTTAACTGACAGTCCTAGAAACTTAAAAGTTCACTTAGGTTTTAATAAAGTATGGAAAACTACATGTTGTCTGTATTGATATATGTGTTATATATGTGAATTAATATATGAAAGAAAGAACTATACAAGAAAGAAACTTTCCTATACAAAGTTGTGCCTTGGACTCCAATAATTTCTGACAGACTGTTCCTATTTTATTCTAGCTTAAAACTGAATATAAAGAGCATAAACAAATTTAGAAAGAAAATGTACTATTTAAATGATAGGATATATACCATTAAGGCCAGAAAAAAAGACCTCAAAGTAGCTAAATTTAAAAGATATTTTAGTCTTCCAATCATTTGGTATCTCGGCAGCATTTAGAACAGCAGCCCATTCCTTCCTTTATCAAACTGTACTACCTTGGCTTTTATGGCAAAAATTCTCCAGTGTGTTTCCCATTTTCTCTGGATTCTACTTTATTCTATTGTTTTCCTCTACATAATCATTAAATGTTGTGGTTCTGGGTAGTAGAAAAAGAAGTGGGGATACAGAGAGCAGAAGCGGGAGTTCAGCAAAGGAATATTCTATTCTTCTTCCAGTTTTTGTCTATAGTCTCTCTAAATGATCTCAATCATATTCATTGTATTGGTTATTATTTATTTATGCCTGAATTCTAAAATTCTAACTCTAACCCAGCACTTTACTCTGAATTCCCAATGTATATAAAGACTGTCTAATTGACATTTCTTCTTGGCTGTCACAAAAATACTTCAAACCCATCATTTATAGAACTAAAGTCATAATATTTTATTAACAAACCTGGTCCTGATTCATGGAGCCCTCTGGTGAAAACTTTACGGAACTTACAAGGTCTTGCATGGTTGGGTCCCACGCAACCTATGGGATGATGGTCTCCAGCATCATCTCACACAAGACTCCTCTCTCCTCTCTCTACTGTGGCCACCAGAGTCTTCTACCCACTTTCCACAGCTTCCTGCCAAAACAGGGTCTTTACACTTGATTATTTTCCTCCCAACTTCATCCAGTTGATTCCTTCCCTCCAAGTCTTAGCTCAAGTGACTATTTTTAAAAAATTCCTCCCTAATTTCGCTCATCAGGCAAAGTCTCCAATTATAAGCACTTCATACTTAGTATTCCCTGGACCTATGTTTTCAGAACTTCATACTCTTGTGATATGAGATTAATGTAATTAATTGATTAATGTTTAACTCCCAGACTAGACGCTATTCTCCATGTTTGAACTCACCATTGTATCCCCAGTGTCCAGTCTTGTATCAGAATATAAGTTTCAGTCAACAAATCTTTTATAAATATATGAATAAATAATATTAGCCACAACGGTAAAACAAAATTATTGGTGGGTAAAACATATGCAAGAAAGAGTAGCATATGTGTAAATATACTGGGTTTGGGTGTAAAACTTGACCCCATCACTAATCAGTTACTAACTCATGTGATGTTGGCTAGTTACTTCACCTCTCTGAACTTGTTTGTTCATCTGTAAAAATAAGAAAAAATGCCTGCCTTGCAAAATAATTGTGAAATCAACTGTTATTACAAAAGGACCGGAAATACATTCTCTCTTGTGAAATTCTGGTCAATATTAAAAGAGCAAATATATCTGCTCTTTGTGTAGGCTGTTTCTTTCTCTTCTGGACCCCAATTTCTCACATATCCCCCATCTACTGACAGTCCCTCCCCATTCGTTTCTAAAGTCTACTAAAGTCTGTTCTTCCACCTGGCTTCATCTATTGTGGGCCACTCTACCCCTCGCTGACCTCTTGCCTAACCTATTGTCTCTGAACGAAGGGAAAAACAATCCTCTGAAGTGTTCTAAGGATTTTTATTACTTGCTGAAGAAGTTTAAATGGAGAGTATGTAGTGAAACTGTGGACCCCAGGGAAAGCTGACTGGCTGCCTGCAAAGAAGTGTCACAGAGACACAGCACCTTGTTGAACTGGCTGGGAGCCAGGGTTGACCTCTAGTCCTGCAGACTTTGTATTCACAGATTTATCTTTTAGAAGCTGAGTCACATTAAGCATTTCACTGAAATATTTGTCTAAAGCCCACCGCTAATTGGTTCCTATGAGAACAAGACCAACAGCTGTCACAGGAGCAAGAATGTTTCTGGCCATGTTAGTTAAAAAAGATTCTATCTCCATCTAAGAAAGTCTGGAGTAAAAGAAAACTTGGAATGTATTTTAGCCGTATAGTTTTTGCTCTACTAAAAGCAAACAGCTCTTAAAAAGAATTCTTCAGAAGCTGACTTACAGCTATCTTCCTCAATATGTAAGACTTAATTCCATTGGTTAAGTTCCCATTCCCCCTGTCTGAGACATGCTTTTTAAAAAAATGTATTCCTACTTGTGACAGCTCAGTCTTGTCTTGGAAGCCTTTTTAAAATTTTTGTTAATGTAGCAGTGCATATTTTTGGCAGACTCACTCTTTTATGTCTTTTAGTTTAAGTCACAAGAGACTCTTATTTACCTTAAGTTCTCTGGTGTATTTCTCATCAAATTCCCTACATGAGTGATCTAACTTAGCATTAATAAGGAAATAGATTGATCGATGAAAGAAAGGAACATGGTGAAGGTAAACTTCAAATCACTGTAAAAAGGACTTAGAAGTCATCCTTGCTTTATATTCACATGGAAATGGGACCAGAAATGTCTACTGATGTTACAAGCCATCCGTTTCTCTAGTATTTCCACCTCATAATTTGTTATGGCAAAATTAGATTTTAACTCCAGTCTATAGAGGATCAATCAATGCCAACTGGTAAAGATGTACCTTTTATGCAAATGATCAAAGAAGTTGAGTTAAATCTCTGAAGACGCACAACATACCCTCTATTTTTATGCATGATTTGTACCAGTTAAATAAAAATATTTGGGTTGATTCATGAAATAATTTATAAAGACTTTAGAATCAAGAGTGTTTTCTAATCAGAAAGTACATTTTGACAGATATAGTGAATAATGCAGTGGCACATTCACTGTTTCCCCATAAACTGATAATGCATTCTCTTCCTATTAACTGGAAAAAGAAAAAATATGTATCATAATATTCCTTCAAAATATTCAGCAACATGGTCCTATGTAGACAATCTTACTGTGCATTTACAACATGGTCATCATGTTATGAGTAACTATTGAAACTATAAGATACAGCATTGCAAAAACAGTTTATCTGGATTTCTTTTATTTATTTACTTTCTGAGATAGGGTCTCACTCTGTCACCCCGGCTGGAGCGCACTAAAGCAACCATAGCTCACTTCCGCTTTGACCTTCCTGGTTCAAGAGATGCTCTCACCTCAGCCTCCAGAGTATAATTTATTTAGAATTCTAATAAGCCAGGTCCTTCATCTGTTACTGAGAGTTGTAGTAATTAAAAGTCATGATACCAGTGATTACCATGAGAGCTATTACCTGTTTTTGTGCACTTAATATGTGCCAAGTGTGGTGCTTAGTATTTTCCTAGAGCCTATCACTCAAAATTCACAATAATCTTGCAATGTAGGTGCTGCAGATAAAGAAATTAAGACATCTAGAGGTCAAATAAGTTGCCCTAGGTAACAATCTAGTAGATGCTTAACCAGTACTTGAATCTGGCTACCTGTAAATGTTGCTCTATTAACTACTACCCTGCAGTTTAACTCCATGAAAATGCCTCTGAACTAAGTATTTTACTGCATTTGAGGTTCCCTTAGCTAACAGACAGCTCAGTCACTCGGTCGTTAAATGTGACACTTCCACTGGTCTAACCTAAATGTTATTCTTTATGTACTGATCATTAAAAGGAACTCAGTAATAAATCCTAGACACTATCAAACCTCTAATCTTTAATGTCATAAACATGAATGTTTGCATACTGATTTGTATTCAAGAAATATTTCCCCCTGTGGATCCATCTTGATATAGATATGGTCACAAATGTAGACACAAGTAGAACTGATTTGAGTCAGAAACATTAACTAATGGTATTGTAATTCCTGTTTATAACCCCAACAAAAAGGAAAGAAAAGCACATATCTTTCAAAAACCACTAATGTGCTTGCTTTCCTATTTTCTTCATTCTGGAAAGGCAGACAGGTGACAGACAGGGCCAAGGCCAGGAAACTGTTGGGTTGAACAGAAGTCTAGTGTGGATGGAAGATTTACTCGATTCAGGGGAGTTGAGTAAATAAGAAAACATATTGAGAATAATGAGAGCCAAGTTTCTCATGGTTGACAAAAAGAGGCACAAGTATGGAAAGAAAAATAAACTGTGGTGTTGAGTTGGAATTGGAGGTATTATGAATGTATGTATATGTGAATAATCACATTGAATTATAATAAGGCATATATATAATATCAAAATAAATAATGCTTCAATGTATGTGTATGTATGTATGTGTGTGTATGCATACATAAATTTCTTGGTTTTGTCCACCAAGAAAACCTAGGAGCAATGAGATCTTGGTTTCTAAAATCACCCTATACAAAAAGACATACAAGTTCCTTAAAGAAAAGAATAGGATCTAAAGCCAAGTTAGGGAATGTGCAAGATGAGCCTAGAACACCTTGAGCCATAAAGAAAGAAAATTCTCAAAGAGTGATAGGGCAGTTGGAAAGGAGACACAGCCAGTTTGAAGGGGCTCCCAGTGGCCAAATCTTGGAAAATTAAGCATCAAAGTAAGTTGTGATAGTAATGAATTATAACAAATACAGTAGAAATCTATTTGTCCATACAATTTAAATAGATAGAAAGATCATGGGGAGAAAATACATCTCTTTCTTAAAGTAGAATGCCAGAGAGAAAATGCAGAAGACAGGATGGAATTAGAAAACCAGTTGTCATTAATTATTGACATTTTTTGCACATTATTAATTCAGGCAACAAAGCTCAACGGATGCTAAAACTTGTGGGTCAAAGTAGATACAAAATTGCGTTTTTACACACAGTCTCAAAATATCTTCCCACAAAAATACCTATTACATACAACTGGAGACAAATTCACTTAGAATATAAAATTGTGGCAGATATTATCTTAATCAGGCAATCAAATTCAACACAACCAAAATGGAAGATATTGATATTCATATCATGAAACACCCAATGAAATGCAACAGGAAAAACACAGTATCATTTCGATGACATTCCTGACAAAAAAAATACATTTAATATGTATCTAATAATGAGGAACTATATGACAAACCCAAATTAGAAACATTATGTAAAATGCCTAGCCATCAATATATCAATATCATGAAAGTCAGGGAAAGGCTAAACAGTTGTTCCAGATTGAGGGATATTCAGAAGATGTGACAGCTACTAGGTGCAATATTTATCCTGAATTACTAAAAGTGACCATCTTTGGTGAAACTTGGTGAAATATGAATAAGTTCTCTGAGTGCTCTGGGAGAAGTGTACATGAGAGTCATTTGCACAATTCTTGCAAATTTTCTGTAAGATTAAAATGGTTTCCAAAAACATAACATAAAATATGAAGAGAAGAAATAACAATGGTTTGGTTAGGCAATCTTGCCATGAACCTCGTAATCAAGCACAGAAAAGGTAGTTTGTGAACCTCTCTGCTGGCTCTGCTGGGAAAATGCCGACTCGTGGTAGTATTCTACACAAAAGTGCCTCTTCTAGCAGTGTGTTCATATTCCATCCTAAAAATACCGCTGTGCGAGGAAATGCAAATCACTACCTGATGTGCAGATACATATCAAACCTAGCAAAAGACGAGCTTGCAAGCCAAGCATTCAATAAGCTTTAGTTTTTACTGATAGTCAATTATGCCCAGTTCACATAAAACCATTACTGTGGTATATTATGTAGAAGTAGCTTCAGGGCTTACAAAAGCATTACCTGAATGATGGTTAAAGGCTTCACATTTCAATCTTTGTAAACTCACAGTTCCTCCTCCTCTTCATTATACTAGCTCGACAAATAAGCCAAACTTAAAACCTTGTGAGTAAGCATTTTCAAAACTAATGTTTTGCATTCTCCACCTTTTGGAAAATAGCATATTAAAATGTCAATTTCCCTGTCACATCCTAGGCAAATCTATAGTCCCACAGAAATATTTTATAATAAAAATCTCTTCTGAGAATCCATGGTGTGGTTGTATAAAGTACAGCATATTATATCAAAAGAAGGAAAAACTCTAAATTCAGATTTTCTTGACCTAATTTTACAAGTCAAGTGTTAATAGAGGGTCTCTGCTTATATTTAATTAATGGGCTTAAGAAGCATGATACTTTTCTCCTTATGAATAGTGCCTTGCCTTATCTAAGGGTTAGGTATTTTTCTTTTTTGAGAACTGCTCAAAACCCTGATTCTGCTCTCTTTGCCTCTTCATGTTTGCTTTATGTCCAATGCATTGTTTCCTTGGTATTTACTACAAATGGTCAGAAAAGAAAGAATGTAGACTTCAAAACAGCATAACTCTGGGTAAGCATTATTTCAAAACTTTGTTGGAGGCTTCTAAAGAGACAGGTTTAGGGAAAACACACAGGTCTCCCTTTTCTCTGTAATTAACCAATTATTATATTATTTTATTTCACATGTCCTTGAAAGCATGTAGAATATAGTTGTGATGTAATTAACACAAAAGCAATGGAAGAAAAATGACATATGGGAAAAAGGGAGGTATTTTTTGAAAGTCTGAAGGATGTAAGGTAACAATATTTGAACTCCAGGCAGGAAAAACAGGTTCAAATTATATAGCTCAGGATGGACACCAAGAAAGAAGAGGAACAATAAAAAAAGGAGTTTTAAAAAAACAGAATGAAAAAACTATGTGGTTCTCCTTTCTCTTTTCTTCCAATAACTGGAACCTCCTTCGAGATTTAACAAACCTAAGAAATTCAGTAAATTGCTCCTTCATCTATACATTTAACCTGGTTCATCCTACTCTGACCTCTCCCACAAACAATCCATTTTACATACTGAAGAAAGAATAACTTTTCTGATCATGCTTTCCACACACATGCTCATGTGCATGCATGAACACATGTATGCACACACACATATACATACATAAAGTCCAAGTTTCTGACATTCAAGAATTTCTACTACAACCAGGCTCCAATCAATCTTCAATGTTCAAGAGAAACTGACCTACTTGCCGACCAGCCTACGTATCTTTTATTGACTTTGTTTATGTGGTTCCTTCAGCCTTATGTTTCCCTCCCTGTCCCCCTCATCTCTGCATTACCAAATCCTACTTATCTTTCTGGACTCAGTTCAAGTGCCACTTTCCCTGATTCCAATAGCTAAAAGTAACTTTTCACTTTTTTGAAGCCTCAGTATAACAAATCTATTTCACTCCTGGGGAGCTTTACACTTCCAGCTGCATTTTGTTGTTCTCTTTGAGCTTGCCCCTTGTCTACCACATTGTGGATGATGAAAAGAAAACGACATAGGACGTATGATTTTTTCACTCAATTCTTGATGTCTCATGCATAAGAGATATTTAGTAGGTAGTTGTTGAAAGAAGATAAAAAATAAGTGAATGAATGTGCTGAAGAGAAGGTATGGTTTAATTCTTTAAATATTTTAAAGCTCTTTGTATTTCAGTTAAACCCTCCCATTTATAGGAAGTGAGAGACTTCAGAATTTTTTTTTGTTCCAGTGTACATTTTTGGCAGGTTTGAAAATTCTTCTATAGCAAGTGATTCTAACACAGGATGATAGTGTTTCATTCAACAATTTTTATTTGGTATCTACTGTAGGTGGCCTCTGTACTGGGCAATTATGCTACTAAATGAGAAAGACAAGACTCTTAATTTCAATGAACTTACATTACATTAGGAGGTGGCTGAAATCACACTAGTTAATAAGTAAACAAGAAAAGAACAGATAGTAATAAACTGTGTAAAGAAAATACAAGAGGATGATTAAATAGAATTCTGAGAAGGCGCATAATATATATTCCCCTGGAGTAGGTGGTTGGAGATGGCTGGAGATTAGCAGAGCTCTAATAACAAGACAGGCCTGCAGTGATCTAGAAGACAGTTGTTACAGTCATAAATGAACATATATGCCAAAGATATGTTCTAAAGCAATATAGGTTGGTTTGTTGAGAAGGAGGATGAAGGCTGAGATACAACGTGCTGGGGGAAGGTGGGACTGCATGTGGCTGTGGGGATCAATTGTGAACAGGGTATTAGATTACTTAGAACCTGGAGGGTCATGGTGCAATGTTTGAGTTTTATTTTTTTAATGTAATGGAAACCTAATAGATGGCTTCATTAATTAGAATAAGATATATGATTTACGCTTTTAGAAGGTCAAAATGCCATCTGTGTGAAGGATGTTACTGCAAAGAGCCCAGAGTGGAAGCTGGGAGACTCATTGGAAACTAGATGAGAATTGGTGGTGTTGTGGCTTGGACTAGGAGACAAGGGCTGGAAATGGAAAGAAAGTCTGATTGAGGGTATGTTTCAGAAGAAGGGTTAGGAAGACTAGCTGAAAATTTGATGTATGGAGAAGGGGTCATTGAAAGAGAAAAACAAAATCTAAATTATTTCCATTTCTTTTCTTCTTTAGTATCTTATATGGTTTGGCTCTGTGTCCCTACACAAATCTCATCTCAAATTGTGATCTGAATTGTAATCCCCATGTGTAGAGGGAGGGACCTGGTGGGAAGTGATGGGACCAAGGGAGCAGTTTCCCCCATGCTGTTCTCCTGATAGTGAGTGAGTTCTCATGAGATCTGATGCTTTAAAAGTGTATGGCAGTTTCCCATGTCCTCTCTTTCTCACCTGCTGCCATGTAAGACGTGCCTTGCTTCCTCTTCGTCTTCCACCTTAATTGTTAGTTTCCTGAGGCCTCCCCAGCCATGCAAAACTGTGAGCCAATTAAACCTCTTTTCTTTATAAATTATCCAGTCTCAGGAATTTCTTTATAGCAGTGTGAAAACTGACTAATATAGTCTCTCATTCATATAATTACAAATCCTAACCATTAGTGTCTATAGCAGTTCCAGTTACTAGTATTTGCATAGCAGCTCACAATTTACCTATTATTTTTCCCATCATGCCTGGATTATAAAATTGTAGAATATCAAATTCGGATGATAGCACAACATTCTTACCTCCTTGTGACAAACTGTAACTCATCTTTTATGCCTTACCCTTATCTTAACTTCTTGGTGATGCATTAGTTTACTCCATTTTGCCAGATTTGTAAAAAACCCTCTTTTTTTCTACATTAATTGTGTATGTTGCATACACTTCCATAACAGTAATGGTTTAATATTTTTGATGATATTGTTCTTACTACCCTTAGTAGACTGAGCTCCCAGAAGGCAGAGATTTTTTTAAAAAATCTTTGTATCTTCTGTTACACAGTATTTGTAGAATGAGGGATGAGTACATAAATGAAAAAGTATGCAGCAATTTCCCTTTGCTTAAACTGTAATAACTGGTCACTTTGCCACTTTTTAAATACTTCAGATGGCCATCTTAACACTATAAAAAGCAGCCTATTCCAATTTCAGGTAGCTCTAGTTATCAGGAACTTCTTAAACCAAAATAAAATATTTTCTTTAATTCTTGACATTTTGTCTTAGTTATATCTATTTGATAAATGAATAAGAATAACAGCAAATTTGAAACTACTTTATCACTCTGTAGAGATAATTGAATTACTGAAACTATGTACAGAATAATTTATATTAGATAGGAAGTTAGGCTAATAGGAAATCTATTAACTTCCAGAATCCACATTATATTTATAGAACTCTGAACACCCAGTGTGTGACAAAGAGTACTATGAAGCATTTATTGAAGTCTCAGAAGGAATAAGTACTGACCTAGAATTGAGAAAAAAAGTCACCATCAGCCATCAATCTTCCCATTATATAAAAGTTATTTAATTATATTTACATATCATATATATATGTATCTGTATACATTTATATAATTTATACTAATTAACAGCAATTACCATTTTCAATTATAAATGAGTTCTGATTGAGAATTTTGCAAGTGTACTATTGGCATTTTCCTAACCAGAATTTTCTCAGTAACAATACCTCTTATTTCTGTCACATAGATAGAACTGATAAGCAAAGCAAATTTCTACTAGCTTTATGATCTGAAGAGATTATTACTATTCTGACTTAATATCTCTGCTTCTTCATTTCTGGAAAATGGGGGATGACATTTTTTCTCATGAGTTCATGATGAAGTTTAAATGAGAAAATTCACATATATTTTGTGACACAAAGATTTTCACTAAGTAAGCACTCAACAAATGATAATACCAACATCAAAAAGTAAATTATTAGTCTTATCTCATCAAATGATTAGCAACTCCAAAAATAATTGTCAGGGATTTTATAGGAGGGATTCTTACATGGGGATAGAACAGTGAAAGTCAGAAAGAACATAAAAGGTTACATAATCCAAATGTCATGACTCTATAAACAAGCTTTTACTGAAAGCTGAAAAGAATGAATATTAACCACTCTGCCTTTTGAGGATTTACATATTATTTGTAAAATTGTTCTGCATTGATTTAAAAACTTTGAATGAATATTACTTTATATATAGACTTCAATGTGAAATTTTATGAGACAGTTTTAATTTATTTATTTATTGTAGAAACAGGGTCTTGCTCTGGTGTACAGGCTGGTCTCAAAGTCCTGGCCTCAAGTCATCCTCCCACCTTGGCCTCCCAAAATGCTGGGATTACAGGCATGAGCCACCATGCCAACCATAGTTTCATTTATTTTTAGCTATCTTATATTGTTGATAATAATAAAAATAATTACTGATATTCATGTAATTTGCTCAAAATCTGGCTGTGTGCTAAAAATTTTACATGGGATTATTTTCTTTAATCTTTCATACAATCAATCGAGGTAGGCATCCTTTATCAATCATACTTTATAGGATTAGAAAGTGAAGTTTAGGGAAGGCTGTTTACTATGTGGCAGATACTGTTCTACAGATAAATATCAACTCAATCTTCAAAATAGGCTAATGAGGTAGCTTCTACAATTATCATACCTATTTCACAGATTAGGAAATTGTGGGTCAGAATCTTTACATATATGACCCAAAGTAACACAACTGATCAGTGGTGGCATTGAGATTCCCACCTAGGCAACCACCACCACAAGATGCTGTTTCTGAACAATGGTAGAGTAAGACATATTCTATCGCCCTTTTTTTCTCTTTTTTTTTTTTTTTTTTTTTTTTTTGAGTTTCCCTCTTGTTACCCAGGCTGCAGTGCAAATGCACGATCTCAGCTCACTGCAACCTCTGCCACCTCCTGGGTTCAAGCGATTCTCCTCCTGCTTCAGCCTCTCTAATGCCTCTTTTCTTAGCTACTTGGCTACACTGCCTCACTTTTATAGTCTTGTTGTTAAAGAGGTCAAACAGAAACTCAAAGAGTTTCTCAAAGAACTCATCAGGTTCACACAGCGGATCCACACTGTAACTTCTAAGCTGTGCTGCTGTGCTGCTTCCTGTTTTTGATATTTAAAAGTTACATTTTCAAATGGAAACCACTAAATTTGTTTCCACTGGATATTTTATTGCAAACAATTTTTTTAAAAGCTTGTTGCTACTTATAGAAAGAAGCCTACTAAATTAGCAGTTCTAGATTTACACTTTCCTATGAAATTCACTTGTGATTTTTTGAAAGGATTGATGTTTTTACAGAATATATTTGTAATCCAAAAGTGTGCTGAGTATGACATATTTAAAACTTCATGATTTTTTTTCTCACGTTTTTGAAATGTGGATCATGATTTTGACATCTTAAATTCTGCTTTGTCAAACAGGGACCCTGGAGTCAGAAGGAGCTGCAGACTCCCATCTGATCCAAATACAAGTATTTTAAATGAGTTAGTACTATTGAAGTCAGAATAGCAACATTCAATTGTAATGTCCCAAGAGCTTAAATGTAATAATTATAATAATTTTGTTTTGCTGAGTGTATAAAAAACCTCAGAAAAAAAGCACTTACATTCCTCATTGAGCAAAAAAATAAATCAGTATAAACTGCTTTATTTTAAAAACTTTTACATTCAAAAAATTTAATAAAATTTTAAACTATATAGTTTTGACCCTTTCTTAATTATAGTGGGTCCTGCTTCCTATTCATAAAATTTTCTTTCTGTAGTTAAATTGCCAACCTGCCCGAAAGAGGGACAAAGCAGACATTATTGCTCCCCAGGCCATCTCCTTACCAACCAAGCAGTGAATAAACTGGGGACACAGCAGTTACTGACATATCTCTAATCGATTAAAACAAATCACAGAACAACAAGCAAAGTGTTGTCTTTACCATTTGGATGGTAGGATGCATATTTTAAAATGCATAATAATGCATTTAAAAATTTTATATTGTGTATTTCAATGCCTACAAAATAAGAATGCAAAGTAAAATAAACAATAAATAAATAAAAGGTAAAAAAAAAACAAATCAGTAATACAACCCAAATAAGTAATACAAATTATATATGTAACCCCTTTTACCTAGAAACCTATGCCTTGCTGTGGGAAATTAATATAAAATTTACACTGAGAAAGTAATATCTTATAAATAACATTTGAAGAACATTTGCAACACATCAGGATATACAGTAAACATGTTATATGCATGACCTCTGTTAATAGTCTCAACTCTACAAAGTAGTGCATGGTTCCTATTTGACAGCTGAAGAAAATGAGACTAAAGAATGTTAAGTAACTTTCCCAATGTCTTATAGCTGAAAAGTGGCAGAACTAGGAATGAAATCCGCAACTTTATCATTTCAGAGGCTGCCTCTTTAACCATTATGGTATACTTTCTCCCAAAGATGACAACAAAAATAACCGTAAACGATGTAAAAGTGAGAATTATTTTAAAAGTCTGCCGCTAGTAATAGAAGCAGTATAGTAGTAGCAATAATATGAATAAACACAAGAGAAAGTTGTGGCATCTGGTTTCTAGCTGGCTTTTGATAACAAGTAATTCAATTTTTGAAGGTCTCAATTGCTGACAGGGAATGAGAGAGGGAATAAAACTAGATCCTACTGGAAGTCTTTTTCCAGACTAAGATTCCGCACTGAATTCTAGGCCTCTATCTTTAGCATGAAACTTTACTCCAAAATGACGACATAAAGCACCACTTTATCAGCCTTCCCTATTACACTCTGAGTATGTAGGCCTGTAAATATATTTACAACTGTGGATAAACAGAGGCCACCTTACCTGTAAATGAATGGTGCCACTGTCGCGGTATTCGGGTGGCTATGTTGCTGCTGTTGAGGGAGTTGGACAGCACCATTTCCTGTGCTCTGCCCACTGCTTTGTGCCACTGTCATGGTACAGGAACCAGAAGGAGAAGCTTGGCCAGCTTCCCTTCCTTCCAAAGGGGCAGGACAACTAGAAGCACTTGCTTTCTCCATGGTTATAGGCTTAGATAAGGACTGGGAAGGGCTCCCCTTGGTAGTCCTGAATTTCTCAGACTCTTTGCTTGCTGTGCTGCCAGGTGAAATGGTTTGCTTTACTGTTGGAACTTTAGAGCCTGGTTTTGGAATACCACTGGAAGACGGAATTAAGCTTTCCTTCTTAGCTGCTGTTGTCTTGCTGCCCTTAGGGATCAAGCTTGCAATTTTGGAGGTCTTTTTTGGAGCCATCTCTGTCACCTGATCCTTCTCTTCTTTGACTGGTTTTTCAGTGCAAACTTTATTTTTGTCCCTGTTCTTTTCTTCTTTTTCCTTTGGCTGTAGCAAAGACTTTTTATTGCTGAGATTTTTGCTTCCAGCTTTTGGAGGGGCCAACTTAGGTGACACTTTGGGACTGCTATTTGTTGAGCCACCACTATTCAGACCACTGTTAAAACCTTCCATTTCACCAGATTCAGAAAAGGCATCATCATCCTTCCCACCATCACTAGGTCCTGAACTGGGAGGCTGCGGGGGGCGTAAAGCAGTCCGGGCATTGACTAGCTTGAATTTCTCAAGCATGGATTTCTGTCCTGAGGGAGCAGTTTTGACCCCTTCTGAGACAGGTGGCTTCAGTCTGTCTGAAGATGGTGTGGGGGAGGTGGCTGTACTTGACTGCTTTA
Organism: Homo sapiens; assembly: GCF_000001405.40. Classification (NCBI taxonomy): domain Eukaryota; kingdom Metazoa; phylum Chordata; class Mammalia; order Primates; family Hominidae; genus Homo; species Homo sapiens. The sequence continues at coordinate 78,006,586 of NC_000012.12, read as the reverse complement.
CAGTCAACATGGTGGAGGTGGCACTGTGTTTGACATTCATGGACTTGCTGCGCCAGGGCTTGCTGGCACTTGGAGAAGGGATGGCAGAGGCAGGAGGCTGCCCAGCAGTACTGGGAGGCTGCACGTTACCATTTACACCTGAAGACGATTGAGGTCCTTTGGAGGAATCTGGACATTGTTTAGAAGAAAAATAAAGAAAAGGCGATTAATCTTGATCATTTATATTACATAATTGAGAACTTCCAAACTATTGATGGATAGAAGTCTCTCTCCTCTGAACTGAAAAGAGACTGCAGCATCAATCACTTCTCTGATGTGATTTTTTTTTACCATATTTCAAAAATGCAGAGTGTTTGAGAGGCATTGATTCTGGGGTGGGGGCTGTGGGGGGACGTGTTTATTTTCCCCTCTGAAATTACTCTTACCCAAATAAATTTGCTAGTCACAGATATCCAAAGATGAACAAAACACTATCCCTCCTCTAAGCAATTCTCTTTGTTATTTTCCAACCACCACTGTAGCCCATGCTAGTAAATGGATATTCCACCTTGCCCTATAAAAATATGTTGTATAATGCTTGAACTCGGGAAGCAGAGGTTGCAGTGAGCTGAGATCTCACTGCTGCCCTCCAGCCTGGATGACAGAGCAAGACTCTCTCTCAAAAAAAAAAGTTATTTATGATATTTCGCTTTATTCTATAATGAATATAATATGAATAATTATTACAAATATAATTATGCTAACTGACATTTTATTGAAGGTTCTCTAACTGCATTATTTCACAACAGCCCATTGAAGTGGGAAGGGCTCATATTCCTAATTCCCATTTGTAGAAACCAGAGCTTAGTAAGCTTCATTCAATGATTTAGGTATCTAATGAGGAGTGTATGGTGGAGCTAGGCTTTGACCCCACATCTTGTCACTCTACAGCCCAAGCTCTATAATTTTCTTGGAATGTCAAACATTCTAAGTGTTTACCACAGTCATTCTCAAAACTTTAATGTGCACACATGATACTTGGGGATCCTGTTAAATGCACATGTGATACAGCAGGTCTGCAGTGGGCCCTGAGGTTCTGCATTGCCAACAATCTTCTGAATGATGCCGTTGCTGCTCACACACAAGTCATACTTTGAGTAGCAAGGGTTGAGTAGACTCACAAATTCTGAAAACTGTTGGCCTTTTCAGTTTTAAAGGGCTGTTTCTTAACACAGTCCCCCAAATTGCTAAATTCATTAAATGTTTCATAGCTATGCAATATTAACATTTTTTACTGAACTTTCAGAACCTTGGCTAGCTCTGAGTTCACCTGGATGTTTAGCAGTTTGCTTCAAATAATCTCTAAAACCAAAATAAACTCTTCAGGTTCCCCTAATGTCATTTTTTCTCATCTCTTTGTCCACATACTTGTTATGTATCTTCTGTGCATCTACAACTAGGTTAAGAAGTAAGAGTGTGCCTGGGAGCTTCGGTGGGGTTGATCGGAGAGGGTAGAAAAGAACCAGTCAGGATGCTTTTTTAACTGGCTGATGAACAAGGGACATAAGAGAAGGTGCTCTTTCCTTAGAAAAGAGAAACAAGTTGAAGACATTAGCTAGAAGACTGCTATAGAAGTTCAAGTACAGAAGAGGAATTTCAACATCACTGCACCCAAAACTGAAACAAGAGGGACTCTGAATTATGACATCCACATCCAACCCACAGTAATAGTCATAACAGCAGCTGTAACATCATTCTCAGGCGAGTACACACATATAAGATACTTCCTGAAGCTCCGCTCTAAATCTGTCCACAGCCTGTCCCTATACAGAGGCAATGAGATGCTTCAGATTTCATTAAGAGGGCAAATCATAGGTTGTTGTGCATCAGGAAGGCACTGGAATAATAAGAGTCTCTCTGGACTCCTCACAGTAAAGATTGCACAACAGCAGCTGAAATGGCAGCACCTGTAGTTTCTACAGAATGAATGTAGTCACAAATTATAATCGTTGCCATTTATATATTCAGGAATAAGTAGCCTGGTCTCAATGACATATTTCTGAATGTTGATTACTCAACTTCTGACTATGAATGAATCTCAGCATGGGGAAAATAACAGATTTCTAATGCACATATTTAAAGGCATTCCAAAAATGGATTTGTATCTTGCATTTTTATGGGCTATCTCTGCTTACAGCCTTACCTCTTGTCTATGGTCCCCAAATAGCAATTTGCTTCCACTCCCTGTCTTCTGCTTCCTCTTCTTATACCTCACCTACACTCACCATTGCCAACTCCACCATAACCAAATAATATTATTCATCTACTGCTTACTTTATTCCAAGTACATAATAAGTACTTCATACATGGTATCTCATTTAAACCCATAATAATCTACAATATGCTTATGATCTCTCTTGTTAAAAATGAGAAAATGAAAACTTAGAAAGATAATTTGTTTTCAATCATACATATGGCAAAACTTAGAAAAAACAAAATCTAAATTGGAACTCATTTTTATCTGACTCAAACATTTGGAAGATTTTCACTGTCTCTTCTTTCCACATGTTTACTGCATGCCAGAAATTCTGCTGAAATGGCTCTCCAGCAAGCCACATTTATCGCACAGTCAAGTTAATTGGGTAACTCCTTGTTTTCCTTCTTCCTTGGTGAGCAGGATATAAATGGGGAGAACATCACACAAGACACTTTATTCAGGTATTATATACCTTCTTCTTTAGCATCTTACTTGCACCTGTTCCTCTGAGTTGATGTGAGAATAGATATTCGTTCACACTTGCAAAACATCTAAATTCACAGAACTAATGTCTAGTTATCTCATCTTGTAAATAAACAATATTGATGACTTGGGAACAATGCCAACCAAGTTCTAAAATTAATACATGGATGTAAATGTGGCAGTCACAACAGGCATATGGAAAGTTTATAGTGGGACATTTCTCTCTGGAACCTCAGTTAGCTGTAGAGTTAGCACCATGTTACCAAGAGTGGTATCAGTCTGAGAAAGGACATAGAGATGATTCTTAATCGCTTATCTCTTTTTCCTCACTGAATAGTGCGTTGCTTTGACAAAAGTAAACTAGGTTCCAACTCTGAAATATAATAAGTGACAACAAAAATGATGACAAAAGCACCATTCATTTCTGAAGTATTTCCTGCATGGCAGGCATTGTGCTCATTGATATAGATGGTCCCTGCTGAATATAGGATACTTTAAGCATCACAGATCGTGGTGGAAAGAGGAAAATGATTAAACAATGTGGCTATGCCACTTATTTTGATAAATAATTAGGACTTTAATTCCACAACAACATACCAAATGCTTTAAAAAAATTAAGTTGAAGAAAAGTGGCAGTCAAATCTAAATATGTCTTGGTATTAAGTGGATCCTCATGCACCTCCTCACACTGCTTTGCATAAATAATTGCTCGTGTATTGCCTCAGTCATCAATTTTATAGTGACTCAAAAGAAACATGGGGTGGAGTTTTATAGGGATCCTAGAAGAGCTGTTCATTCTGCACATGCTTATATTGTACCTTTGCAATATTAGAGTGCCACTCTGTGGAGAGTTGTACAATTTAGAGAAGCTTACATTCACTCACCAGCCAGTATGTAATTTATGTACAGGCATATATACTTTGTGGACACCTCAATATTTGTGCATGTATGCATAAACCAACAACACATATGGCCAAGTCTATTTAGTCTTATAAATTGATATATACATAGATATAAATATATAGATATAGATATATACATATATTTACACATATGCACCTAGTTATGGTAACTCATGGAAAGAATACTAAAATCCCTGAAATTATGACATTAACAACGTATTTTAGGCTTATATAAGTATTAAGTAATAAAGCATTAAAATGCATAATTAGATCACCAGTAAAATAATAACTAAAGCACATTTGCACTGGCTTGAAAAGAAAACAGTTCAGTTCTTTGACTTTATTGTAATTTCAGAGTAATTAAAAAAACAAAGTGTTTAAGAGCTAGACATCTATGTTTTAGCTGAATAAGCTGCCCAAATTTAAAGACTAATGCATAATTCTCATTAACTCTGATACCTGTATAATGTTGAATTAAAATGTTGCTAAATCCTTGGCATCTATCTTATTAATTCTGTGTTGTGTGTAAATAAAAGCCAAAGCTTCCACACCAGAAGACACCTGATTAGAATCTAGACAAAGAGAAGGAAGCCCTGTTCAGTGAGTAAACAGGTACAATGTAAGAATCACGGTGAGAAATGGCAAAAAGATGGTAGGTAGTATCCCTTCTGGTGCTGGGGCATGTTTCTTAGCAACATGGAAAAACACCTCTCCACTAAGGAACTCCATCAAATGATGCATGTTTATAGATCATAATAAAGAAACTGGATTCCAAATAAAGCTATGGATAAATTCCTAATAATATTAAGCTTTTTTGCATTTTTAATTTTTTAATACAAGTTTTGTAAAACAAAAGAATGATTTCTTAAGGTAACTTGCTTCAGGCATGCAAAGTATATGTCCAAAGGAACCATGGCATGGTTTCTACAAGATTTGATTTACAGTTAACAGGTATTTGGTTTACTTCGGAACATATATCTGTCTAGAGTACTCTCATATGGTTCTGGGCAAATTGACAAATGCTGGTGTCAGAGTGTATTATTCATTGTCAGTTTCTGAATGGCAGGTCATCAGGAGAAGAAACTGAAGCACTCTCAAAAGAAATGCTTTACAAATGATGCTGTTTTCATTTTACCACTTGTTCTGAGAAATATGTTTCCGCGTTCCACTTCGACATAATGTTCAGATGGCAGTGCATCCCATTGTAACGTTTCTATTTCAGCCTTCTCTGCCAATGATAACCTACTACAATGTGTGCTGATATTTTAATTCATTTAATGAGACTGTAAAACGAGCACACTATTTTTTCAAATTTCATTATTAAAATGATATTAGATGTATCTTTTGAAGTGCAGTTTGTAATTCTCTACTGATTTCTTCTCATTAAGCGTCACATCACTTTAAAAAAGCTAATTTGTTTTACAAATCATACATATGAAAAGCCACTGTACTTTCAACAATTTGTTTTTTTAATATAGAAGTGAAATTGTTTTAATTGTGAATAAACCTTTACTATGTATTACAGATTCTATAGATTCCTGAACTGATTTATGTAACTCATCCTCTCAGAGTTGTTAAAGAATGTATAAAGTATATTTCCACTTAAAAGCATTCGAGGAACACATTACAGATAATTTGGTTAATCCTGCCAGTAAAAGATCTTGTTATTAATTTAAGTATTCTTATTTTTAATAACTAAAAGGGAAAAGCAATTAGAATAATAATATTCAAGTTAGTACTTTCTGAGTTCTATCAATATAATACAGTAAGTTTTAAAAGTTCTTAACTCTCACCTTGCTTGGTCACACCCAAGTTATATATGCAAACTAGTTGTGATAGAGGTCAACTCATCACCAGATGGATTTGTATATTTTTATAAACATTATTCTAGAACTAGAAATCTTCATATTCAAAAAGTTAAAACAAACATCTTTATTAAAAAATGTACCATTTGGATATAGAATAACTTATAATTTTTTTTTTTTTTTTAGACCCAGTCTCGCTCTGTCGCCCAGGCTGGAGTGCAGTGGCGCGATCTTGGCTCACTGCAAGCTCCGCCTCCCAGGTTCACGCCATTCTCCTGCCTCAGCCTCCTGAGTAGCTGGGACTACAGGCGCCCGCCACCATGCCAGGCTAATTTTTTGTATTTTTATAAAATGTTTTGGCCGGGCGCGGTGGCTCACGCCTGTAATCCCAGCACTTTGGGAGGCCGAGGCGGGCGGATCACGAGGTCAGGAGATCGAGACCATCCTGGCTAACACGGTGAAACCCCGTCTCTACTAAAAATACAAAAAATTAGCCGGGCGTGGTGGCGGGCGCCTGTAGTCCCAGCTACTCGGGAGGCTGAGGCAGGTGAATGGCGTGAACCCGGGAGGCGGAGCTTGCAGTGAGCCGAGATCGCGCCACTGCACTCCAGCCTGGGCGACAGAGTGAGACTCCGTCTCAAAAAAAAAAAAAAAAAAAAAATGTTTTAAGTGTAATATATTATTACCTCGTTTGCTCTTATAATTTAAGATAGTATTTTGGAAATACAGCATGACATAATGATTAATTTATGAACATTGTTATTGGATCTATTGACATAAAGTTTTAACTCCACGTTTAATAGCAAATTTCATATTGCATACAAGACAAATTCCAGATGTCTTTATTATATCGTATGAAAACTCTTGTCTAAGAAAATGTGCTTTATATGAGCAGACTGCATATTACACGACATCTGTCTCCACCTTGTGGTTATAATCAATATTGCTACTATCTAATTTTGCACTGCCTTCTAAGCATAGATAGGGAAGGTATGTATGAATTGAGTGGCCATGGAAAAATATTAATGCTTGTATATCATCAGAATTTTACTAATAGATGCCAGAAATAAGTTAAATAAAACATTTTCACATTACAGAAAAATTCAGATAAATTAAGATATAAAAGTGTTAATTCATCAAATGCATTTCTAAGTCTATTTACAAACATTGCTAGTAATTTCTTGCTAGAATATCAATAACGGTGGTATCGTGTTGCTTAATTGGACACTTTGGTAGTCTATTTAACACATCTTTATTTCTAAGCCTGTTAGCTTCCCCTAGAAATTTCCCACATATACAGGAAGTATTAGCCTGAACTTGTATAATATTTTTTAGAAAAGTTAGGAAATGAGGGCATTTTTTTTTTTCTGATGAGCGACTGTCACCTCCCTTAGCCCCAGGAAGAGTATAAGTCTTCAGTAATATTTCTTGTGATCTTAAATCTAAAATTTTATTTTATATTTTAAAGAAAACATTCCTAACTTCCAAATATACACTTTTGTTTTTCATTTTCCATTTAACTCAAGAGCTTAAGATATTGCAATCTTAACACACACTGCTCTGCTCTCAGGTGTTTAAAGTCTGTCCACTTTTGCTTTAGGCCAAAGGGAATATTTACACAAAAGAGTGTCTTGCTTCTAGATCACATCTGTCCGTTCACATTTGAGGAAGAGGAAGTTGTCTAATCATTTGCCTATATGAAACAATTCACAATTATCTATTTTGAGCAAAAACGTTCCCACATGGTTGAATTATTTGATCCCAATTAGCCAGATGTTCTACTAACTAAACATTTGTGCCACTTTTTAATTTCATGTGTTTTTCCATGTAGAGCCCAACACTCTGAAGAAAAGTTTGAAGTTCTATTGATTTGAAAATACTTCCTCAAAATCCAGCAGAACACCCTAGTTCCTCACACAGCCATACTACTTATAACAGCACAAGTTCTTCACTTCCTCATGATTGAGGTGTAAACTACACATACTCATCCCCGTCCTCTCTGCTACTCAGTGACAAGCATCAAATCAGCACCTCTTTAAATGCCCACTTCGTACATCACAGAGAACTGTGTGGCTTATGATTCATTTATAATATGCCTTTAACAGACACTTTCATTTAATGTCCTTGATTTTGTGATTTGATATTTATATTATGCACTAATTCAAGAAAACAAAACAAATATGAATAATTTGTCTTTTGGGGAAAACTGAGGTCATAATATCTCTGGGATCTGCTGCTTGCAAAGATAAAAACCTACTGTAATTATGTTTCAAATTTTGATGCTCCAACCTTAATTGTCAAAAACACTTATGGCTCTTACCTTAACTGAAGTTAAGGATTCAGATAAATTCAATATGGCTTTATGATTTCAGGATACATTTTCAAAAACATAAAAAGACATAAGAAAATGTGATTTACATGCATTTGGAAGGACCTGTTTTTGAGAAACAGTATTTGTACTTGCATATATAACTAACTACTTTAAAATGAATGAGTTTATTTGTTTAAAATGTTCTTCAGATAAGAAAGCTGGCAGTCAGGAGGGGACAGTTAGGAAACATAAAGAAACTCCACTGATAACATCTCTAGGCCCAAAGTTGTTACGCTGCTCAAATATTAGATTTAGCATGCAATTCACAAGACTCATGTTGGACTTGTGTCATAATGATGTAACAAACACTTACCTTTTTCGTTTCCATTTGCATAATTTGGAGGCTTGTTTTTGTCAATGCTGTTAAAGCTCTGACTTCTCCTATTTAAATTAGAGGCTCCCTGGACCTTGCTGCTGCTTCCTGCAGCAGGCACCCTAGAGGGCCCTGGAAGCCTGAAATAGTATAAGAAAAATTACATCATTATTGTACATTACAAAAAGGTAAGAAGCAGGAGGTGCTGAAAGTCAGAAATTTACAACATATGATGTTCTAAAATCTATTTAGCAGAAAATGGTGATAGATGTGACAAATAAATAGCTAAGCACAATGTTGCAGATCTTCAGAAAAATCTTGTTTCCCTTTTCAATGAACATGTCCCTCCAAAATTGTAATAATATACAATAATTAAAATAAATCTTAACTAAAAAAGTCATACTCACCCCATCCCTGATGAATAAAACTTTGCCTTAAAAGTACTGTAACAATTATGTGAAAAGTAAAGGAAACAATAACACTTAACTTTATGTTCTCAGCATATTCCTCAGCTATTTCAGTTATTAAGCTGTTCTTTTCAATGTGTAAGGCATTTGTTTTTATTGTAGGTAGTTATATAGTAAGTTTGCTTGGATATTAATCACAAGAAAGTTACTGAACAAGAAGGAATAGCTAATGCTCACTGAGTATCTAAGTTACTTAGCTACACTAATGAAAACATGGTACCAAGACCCAGGTCATGAGTTAAATTATATTTCACTGGTCTGCCCCACAAAAAACCTTTTTCATTTTCTTGCCAAAAATAAGCATCCAGACTTAGCTGGTTGTCTCACAAGTTTGGCCAACTGATCACAGAGGAGACGTGACAAGAAAGGATGCAGATCTCAGAAGAAAATCACTGTTAGCTGGATGACAATTTAAAATATGCTTACATGTAGTGACAATAGCTTTAGCTACTCTTTGTGTATGAAGGACAGGATATGAGGAAATATGAACAGACTATCTTATAATTAGAGGTGGTTTGACTGGAGGTAGTAACTTACTGCTGCTTTATTTGAACTAAAATATCAGTTTCGATCATTCATTTCACTCTTAAACAATTTCCACTTTAAAATTTCAATGACCGATTATGTAATGGATTGTGCCTAAAATGTGCAATTACTAGATTTTGATTTTATACTACTGACATATATTCTATAGGTATATTTAATCTATAAATTAAGAACTAGAAGTGAAGAACTAATATTGACATTCTTTTTTTTTTTTTTTTTTTTTTTTGAGACAGGGTGTCACTCTGTCGCCCAGGCTAGAGTGCAGTGGCACAATCTCAGCCCACTGCAACCTTTGCCTCCAGGGTTCAAGCGATTCTCCTGCCTCAGCCTCTGAGTAGCTACAATTACAGGCACTTGCTATCATGCCCGGCTCATCTTTGTATTTTGATAGAGACGGGGTTTCCCTGTGTTGGCTAGGCTGGTCTTGAACTCCTGACCTCAAGTGATCCCACCTCAGCCTCCCAAAGTGTTGGGATTACAGGCGTGAGCCACCGTGTCTGGCCAAGAACTAATACTGACAGTCTAAGATCTATTTAGAAAATATGATATTGAAAGTTTTGTTTAGTATTTGCTGCCACCATGTGAATGTCACTGTGTACTACTCTGAAATTTTTTATTTGAAAGGAAAACAAGAATTCAAAATCTACAAATATAGCACTATTTTTTATAATCATCTTATAAAATTTTAAAGCAAAGATTATTAATGTCTCTCATATTAGTATCCGATATACCAAAATTTCACAATCCAGTTGTTACATGCTCAACATTTAATTCACCTTTATAATACTACTAGACTATATCATTTTCACAGAATATTAGAAAATCAAACCACCTTCAGGAAATATAAGTGCTTTTATAATAGTAACAGTCATTATAAAATAGAGTGAATATCAGGAAAAAAAACAAATACTAACTTAAAAACAAAACTGTTGATTTCTTAGAACGGTTAATAGCTTCAAAATGTGAATTATATTTTAATGTTTAAATATATATGGCTGATAATTGGTCCCTTTAGCTATTTTGCTAATTGGACATTGTGTCATACAAAGTATTAGAATATTTTCCAAATGATTCCAGCATTTAACTTTTGCTTAAGAGAATCTACAAGGGTTTGTAAGTACAGCATAATAACGACAGATGCTAGGAATTTACAGGACCAGTGATTGCACTCTGTTGAAGGAACCCAACTAATGAATTTGGCCAAGTGTCCTAATCATAATAAATCTGAGAACTATTTCTGTAGACATAGGCATAGACTTAGAAAGTTCATTCCAAACTCACACACATAAACAAATTTTATCACAAAACTTGCCCTGCTTGTAATGCAAATTGACCTGTTTCAGAAAATAATTAAAATACATTTTAATCTTTACTGCAACCCATGAAGTCAAATGATCTTCAGTCCTTAGAAGAACAAATTAAAACAAATGTAAAAATACATTTGCTCTTCTCATTACCCTAATTTGACAGGCAGGCAGAGCAGGCCTTCAGATTATTCATCAAAGTAATAAAAAGGGAAATGAGATGAAGCAGAGAGGAGAGAGAGAGAGGGAGAGAGATCTATCAAAATACAGTACTTAAAAATATTTTACATGCCCAAGTCTTAGAAGGAGTAATAAAAATGCTCATTGTGCATGGCAGGTGACTGTTCCTTACCCATCATAATTTATATCATTTATTCTAGTTTTTAATTAAATACCTTTTAAAATTTGTCTTTCGAGAATTATTTTGGCTACTCTGGAAATGAATATAACTTAGAAAGCCAAGGCAAGGGGAAAGACACCTACCTCAAGTCAAAGCATCAGACGCAGTCTTTGTGGTCAAACACTGCATAATATGATTCATCAATGGAACAGTAATGAATAAACCACTGCTGGATACTTCCCCAGTGAGTGAGATGACACAAAGGATCACATACTAATCAGAGGTATAAAACTCTTTTGCTGTGGTTTTATTCAGCTGTTCCATGCTACCATCATGCCTTCAGCAACTTAACACTTTTAAAAAATCAAACTCTTTCAAAACATTTTTATAGGTCATTATTTTCCAAACAGTATATAACGCACTATCATTTACTATAACAGGCTGTCTTTATTATACCTGTGTCATAAAGAAGCAAAAAAATTAAACTATTATAGATAGAAGAACAGTCCAGACTGACCTGGTACTAACTTCCCCACTAAAATCTGCCAATGTTTTTCAAATCTCCATTAAAATGTGCAATAATTAATGCATGCCCATCTCAAAAAGCAATTACAATTTTGTTGTATAACTTCCAGATTATGTGACTTGGAAGGAATTGGGCATTCAAAGTAATGGTTTCCTTGATTGATTCTAAACCTAGAACCTAGACTTAAGCCCAGTTATAGCACTACATATCACAAAACTAAAAAAGATGCCAAAACCCATTTAATTATCTAGTACAAACATGCTCATCCCTGAGGCTATGTGTGAAAATCTTCCTGGAAAAATTTAGTGCTCTAAACTTCTCATTCAGAAGTGCATCATTAAAAAAAAAAGATAGGACAAAATATCACTGGGTATTTATTTGCATATCACTAATAAGCAATAAATTAGAGAATATTAACTGACCTAGTAGGCTTTTTTTGACTGGTTGCAATTCCACTGTGATTAGACTGAGTTGCATATCTGGCTGCCAGACTGTATGAGGAGAAACAGAGAAATTGAATTAAAGAGATTCTTTGAACATGGAAGGAAAGCACAAACTTACAAGAAAACTATGAATTAATGAAATGCAATTGGAACACGTATAAACATGTATAAAGAACAAATTAATTAGAAAATTATGGTAATGTTGTATGTCCAACATGACCTTTGATTATGAATGTACTATGAAATAATGCAGTGCACACCTTGTCATAAAATGTGTTATCACTGACTTTACAATTATGGCCATGTAATATTATTAATATTTTAAAAATACTATTATTTCATCATATAAAAAAATTCAACCTTGTAAATGACTGTGAAACTTCAGGGAAACTAAAGTTTCACTGACATGATGAAAGATCACTTTCTTAAAAAGTTTAAAATGTAAAAGAAGAGTATGAGATGACAGTCATTAGTTCCTTTAGTAAACTCTTCTAATTTGCTTTTTTCAATCTAAATATTATTTCGAAAGCCAAATGATTAAATAATCTGGTTTCTGTCTAATAAGTTATTGCTGATCTCTAGTACTAAATTGTTTTCAAGGAAGTCAATAAAAGATGTTTTGTCTTGGGGAAGATCTATATAAAAACAGAAATTAAAGTGGGCTTAAGTTCTTCATAAACAACTTAACAAATACTAATGACAATTTCTGGGCATTCTTGAATTACATTTCTCAATGATTTTTTAAATCAAAATCTTTGTTCAAAGGCACACAAGAAAGCATGATTTAAGCCAAATTTTGAAGAGCAATATTTTATATATAAAATGCACATTTATACATTAAGTTCAACTGATCTCTGCGTTACCTAAGAGTTCTGGAATCAGTATTCTGAAAGATATAGTTAGACCTGATAAACCCAGGACATGTGCACACACCCTGTGATGGTCATGGGTTGATGCCTAAGTGGAGAATCGCTTCTCAGATGAATTGGAATGGCTCGACATGAATCCGGTTGCTGTGCATGCACAGTTTTCAAGGCCTCCAAGGAAACAAGAACAACATGGGGGTGTTGGAATCAGGGTGGGATCACTTGGAGTCCTGATGTAGTTGATCCAATTGCTTCTCTGCCAAGCAGAGGGTATTTTAGTCAAGGAAAGGATTACTTAGGATGATGATGTGTTTACTAAATTAACTTTTACTACACTGAGCTAGTTGGTGGTGGGAGCTTGCAGGTCCTTAAAATTGCCTGGCTTGAGGGAAATATACCCTCATATAGAGGGAGCTTTTCAGATTCACAGAGCACATTTGGCATGTGATAAATTGTTATTTGTGTATAATGCAATCTGTATTCTAACTACACTGAGCACCAAAACAACTGGCCACAACTAGCTAAACTACCTCAGTAATAATAATATCAGAAAGTAATTCAGAAATAAAAACCAAACTGTCTCAATTCAGTGAAATAGCATTTTGAAAATTAAAGAATAAAAACACTCAAAGTGAGGAAAAGCCTTTTGTGAAATTCTCAGTCTACTTGTCAATTCAAGAGTAAGAGAACTGTTTACCACTATGTCTACCCTACTTTCTCTAAATTGAACACAAATATTAGCAAAATAGATGACAATGAAACAATATATTTTCTTTTAGTGAGTTGAAGCCACCTTACTGGTCCCCCCACCTCATTATTTTAAAGACGTGCCATAATATAAATCTTAGCACAGAACTGGATAAACAACAAAGTCCATAAAGTTTGAATGATTTGGCCAAAATCAATTTCATTTTATGGTCCATGTGTGTTTTCTGAATTATTATATAAGGATACTGTACTTTGAACCTGAATTCTTACACCAAACCCTCTCACTGTAATCCCTTGAAAGGCAGCTTCTGTTCTGCTTTCTTGCACTGGTGAAGCTGCTATCTTGTTTTCTTCAATGCTCACTGTGTTCTAAAGTCTTTGTATTTGACCATGTTGGTCCCTGCCTCTTTTTGAGCCTCTCCTATTCATAGACCAGGCATTATGGCATTCCAGTAAGCTGACCCAATTAGTTCACCATCATTTTTGTCCCATTTTCTCTTTCCTTTTTGGGGTGCTTGTTTCCACATCTCTTAAAGGCATGGTATTTTTCCCTCAAGAGTATATCCTCTTTCCTCAAATATTTTATGCATTGTTTACTTAGTAATTCACTTGCTACTAAGATTTAAACTAATATTCTACTCCTTAAATTAACCTCTGTTCATATTCCCATCCATCGGCACCAACTGAATGAAAGACTTGTCCATTTACGTGAGCTTCAAACTCACCACATCAAACTCTCCATTCTCCTTCTTTTATTCTCCAGCTCTCAATAAACTCCTTACTTAAATTTCTTTATTTCTATCCAGAGGACCACAATTTTCCTAATAATATAGGCTGAAAATCTCAACAGCTGACTCTTTCCATTTCCCTTTCAATTATTACAGAGGAGAAATCAATACCTAGTCATACTAATTAAATATCTATAATTCCATTTGTACCTATGTTTTCCATCAATTCCGATGTTTATCATGCTAACTCAAGCCTTGAATACTTCCCACGATACCTCTGACCTAGAGAAATTCAAATGTTGTATTGCTTATCTAATTCATACTTCAGAATCGAATATTTGAATTGAAATGAATGTATCTAGGCTTGTGTCTTGATATTATTCTCAAATAGATAAGTGAAATTATAGGTGAAGGAAGCAAAGGTCAAAGACATACAATAAATTTTCTAAAACATGCAGCTGATTAGTGAAGACTCAAAGTAAATTTTGATATTCAAGATCCTTTATAAAATATTCGTTTTTTTTTTTGAGATGGAGTCTTGCTGTCACCCAGTGCAGTGGCGTAATCTCGGCTCACTGCAACCTCCACCTCCTGGGTTCAAGCAGTTCTCTTGCCTCAGCCTCCCAAGTAGCTGGGATTACAGGCACCCGCCACCACATCTGGCTACTTTTTGTATTTTTAGTAGAGGCAGTGTTTCGCCATGTTGGCCAAGATGGTCTCAAACTCCTGACCTCTTGATCCGCTCACCTCGGCCTCCCAAAGTGCTGGGATTACAAGTGTGAGACACTGCACCAAGCCTTATAAAATATTCTTATGTTTCTGTGTTTCTGTTCTACTATCTTTGTCACAGGATAAAAGACAAGAGGGGTTTTTATCTCACTTGTACTTTTCTATTTTTCTGTGCCTTTACTCATGCTATAACTCCTATGGGAATACCCCCTACCTGTGTCTATTATACCAAATTCTAACCATTTTTCAAGTATCACCTTAAATTACACCAAGTCTATGCAACATTTTATCACCTTCTAGACACATATTAAATCTCTAAGCTTTCATAACTATGCTTTGTACCCTTTTTATGTAATGAAAACATTTAATTTAACTTTAGTTATTTAAATGTATAAACATAATGAAATTTCTTCAAAGCAATCTCTTCATCAAATGTACCAATACTATCATAGATATTGGAAATTTGCCTACTCTTGTCTCTTAAAAAATAAAACTAGGCTGGGCGCAGTGGCTCACATCGGTAATCACAGCACTTTGGGAGTCTGAGGCAGGTAGATCACGTGGTCAGGATTTTGAGACCAGCCTGGCCAACATGGTGAAACCCCATCTCTACTAAAAATACAAAAATTAGCCAGACCTGGTGGTGCGTGCCTGTAATCCCAGCTACTTTGGAGGCTGAGGCAGGAGAATTGCTTGAACCCAGGAGGCGGAGGTTGCAGTGAGCCAAGATAGCACCATTGCACTCCAGCCTGGGCGACAGAGTGAGACTCTCTCAGAAAAAATAAAAAAATAAATAAACAATAAAACTAATACATTTTGAAAATGTAATATGTCATGTGTCACCAAACCAGCACCATAAGTGTTGTAACAGCAAGTGTATTATTAACACAATTAATAGAGACAATTTTTCAAAGATCTATATTACAGAAATACAATAATAAAAACAGACAGTGGAGCACTCAATAGGACAAATGACCCAATTTCTTTAACAAATAAATTGCAAGAAAAATTATGAAGGGAAAACCTATAGAGTCTTATAAGAACTTAAAACCAATTGTAATGTACAGAAGCTTATTTGAATTCTGACTCAAATAAACAACTGTTAAACTTTATGAGAAAATGAGAAAATTTTAACACAAGGATGTTAAATGAAACTAAGCAATTAATATTAATTTTTAAAGTGTGATAATTATTTTGAATTGTTGAAACTGGCCTAAATGTCCCATAAAACTGATGTTATAGTTTCTTTTGAATAAACATAGAAATTGATCCTCACAGTTTTAAAATCTGAGAAACTTACATTTGTTTTATCTGAGTTCCTTTTCTCAGGAAACTGACCATCAGGCCTCTTAGATAGTATCAATGAACTGAAACTTACCAGATTGCCACAACTAGACAATGAGATGCCAGGTCCTTCATTTGTCAGGATTACTTTCTTACTCATTGCTAATTCCTGTTTTCCTAACAGATGACCTATTTCCTGTTGACCAACTTTTCTTCCTTACCTTTCCCTAATTCCTGCTTTTCTGCATGTAGCCACATGCCTTCCCCACTATATAAACCCCCAGTTTTAGTTAATTGGGGAGGTGAATTTGAGACTGATCTCCCATTCTTGTCAGCTGCAGCAACTGAGTAAAGCCTTCTCCCTAGGCAATTCTTGTTATTTTAGTGATTGGCTTTCTGTGCAACAGAGAGCAGGACCTAGACTAAACCCCTGGTGTTTGAATAACATTGGAAGCATATTAAAAATAAACTCTATCTTTCACAGATATATACTTAATTTGTTTTAAATAAATTGAGGTGAATAGCTGATTTGAAATAATCAATAGTGGAATTAGGAGCTTGGAATGGTTGGATACTCATTTTAAAAAAGGTAAATTGTGAGGTGATAATGCTTAAGTCAGATTGATGGGTCCATGAGAAATTTAAATGGAATTTAGTATGTTTTAAAAAAGCAGAATAAGAACTATTCTTATTTATATTACCCTTTAGAAAGTAATTTATCTGCCAAGTATAACTGCCACAAATGCTTAGTATGTCAAAAAGAATATTCTTTATGTTTGATTTATTTATAAGGCAACTTCACCATTCCATGGATCTATTTTCCAGTATAGAGAATAAATGTTATTTCACCAATTAACCCACTGGTCTTATCAATTTCATGATTTTTGTCCTTTATTTTTCATGATCTCAACTACTAACAGAATACATTGTACCAGCTGCATTTCTAAGAGGCACCTAGTCAAAAGTCACTGGCCTGTTGCTACATAAGTGTCTACCACTCTCAGATGTTTATAGATCAAGAACTTGGACTCCTTGGAAGACCAATTTATTTTTGTTTGTTTGTTTGGTTGGTTGGTTGGTTGGTTTTAGCTAGCTCTTTAGCTTCCATAGGAAGCCCAATGGGCAAACAGTTTGGTTTGGCCTAATACCTAATGTTTATGAAATACCATGCAAAGGTAAAGGCACTGTACACACGTATGTATGTGTAAGTTAGTGAGACATTTGTTAATTGCTGGTTCTAATTATAGTATTACTGCCATCCCGTTTTTATGTCCTTCTACTACTCTTAAACGTCTGTTGCCTCTCCTTGTTTTTGTCTTTTCACCTGAAAAGAGGTCTAAAAGAGAGCAAGAAAGGCTTAGTTGAACGTTTGCAATGTTATCTAAAAAATAAGCTATTACTGTAATCTTAAAAATCACTAGTAATAGAGGGAGGACAGAAATATCAAATCTTGTGGTTCAATATGCCTCTACTTTTCTCTCATTATTTTTCTTTCAAATTTTCACATGATCAATCTCTCCCCATTTCTCTCATTACTTGTTTGATGTAACTCAAAATCTTTCTCAATAGCTCCTTTATTTTTCTTAACATTATTGTCTATGCCTCACTGGACAGCAGAAAAGCATTTTATCCTCCACAGTGCTTGTAATACCATTTCCCAGGTTTCAAGTTTATAACATATTAGTAACAAACCAGGTGAGTAAGCACAGCCAACTTGCCGAGTCCTAGTAAAACAGACACAGGTGACATGTAGACACAGCTCTCAGGCAATGGGGGAAAATAAACTGAGTCAGAAAAGCAGTAAAATAAGGGTTTTTAGATGTCTGAATTGAAGAGTGCATTTTTTTCTGAAATCCTGTATGATCAGGCTCCTACTGTTTATGGTGGGCAAAAGATGTCAGAAACAGAAGCACAAAAGAAGTAAACATTTTGAGGCTCATTGTGGATCCTACTAAAAGAAGTATGTGATCATCTTTCTAGTAAACTGGAATATCAAGGGGCTGCTTTTTATTTTTCTCAAGCATGGAAGGGAAGAAGAGAAAACTATACACAGTCAACTATTTTTAAAGTATGGAATTCATCTGGTGATCAAAACACAGCAGGATCCAAACTGCCAGAGCTTCCTATTTCAGCTTCAGTGTAAATCCTCATGTGGAGTTATAAAATCCATTTATTGTAAGGAAAGAAAGCTTTTTAAGGTAAACAGGGCCGAATCTGTGGTTACACATTTTTACTAATCACTACAGCCTCACTACTCAAAATGTGGTCTGTAGACCAACAACACTGACATCACCTGGGGCTTGTTAGAAATATAGAACCTCAGATCCCATCTCAGACTTACTGAATTTGAATCTTCATTTAAACAGAATCCGCAGGTGATTCCTATGCATAATAACATTGGAGATACTGTGTGCTACAGAATATCCACAGATGTCTCCTTGGAAGGAGAATACTCACAGTTTCTAAAGTCAAACAGCATATTCCAAAATCTCAAGCCATGCCTCTTTAGATGTCAGCAGCCTCCTTCTTACAGACTTCATCATTTTAGCGTTCCTGACACAACAGCCACATCTGCAGCTATTACTACTGCTTCCCAAATACAGGTTCACTCACTGTCACCACCCACAAAATTTTACGCTGTTACCATAAATATTCTAAAAATTATAATCCCAGATATAATCGACTCCTTCCTTCTTGTATAGCAAATGTATATTTCAAACCCCAATCTCAATCCTAAACTTCAGAATCCCCTCTCTGAATATCTCGATATGTCTTGAATACTGTATCTTGATGGTGCAGTAATTAATCAGGTTAAGTATCTGTCTCCTAAACAGACTGCGTTGTTCTCCAGGGCAGGAATTATGTTATGTTAATTTTTTTTTTCATTCTTAGTTCCTATAATGGGGCTGGTATGTGTTCAGTAACTAAACAATTGATTGACATTTACTGGGTGGCATTTTCAAATGATGGCATGTTATATCTCTACCTTCTAAACAAGGGAAATTGTTCCAAGAATAGAATTATCAGAAGTATGTTAAAGGAGGGAACAGAAAGACACTAGTCATTATTACATCCTTAATAACTGGCAGCAATTTATCTTACTCAATCCTCACAACAGTCCTGCAAAGGTTATACTATACAACCAACTGACAAATATGAAAATTAAGTCTTTTAATGTTAACTCATGTGCATTTTATACATTTTGTAAATTAAAGTGCTGAAATTTGAACTTAAATTTGTTAACATTCCATAAGCTGTACTCCGTTCTCTTGTACCATATTGTCTGTATCAAATATCAATTGAAGTATTTTTATTGCTCCATAGATTTGTGAAGATTTCCAAGATATTATAGAATCTGTATACAGAATATGATCTCTTCAAGTATCAAACAAATCTAATTTCAAAATATACCATTTGACAGAGAAATAATATTTAAAAACTTCAATCTACTTTACATAGAAATCAAGAGTAAACAAAACAATTTTAAAGGTTAAAATAATTATAGTATTTAAGCAACTATTCTCATAGTCTTACAAGCAAATATTATCATTTAAAATTTTTAGCAATGTTTTATTCAGGGCTAATAAATGTGGAACATAATTTATAATTAGCCACTCCCACATCCATTACAGACATCACTAATCAATCATGGAACATTTTTTTTCTACTAATTCCTATGGTAGCCTCATAATCCTTGCAAAGGATTCAAACAGCCCTTATTGTTCAACAGGAATTAGAATGAGAGTTAAAATGTATTTGTATCTCCTCTCTATGCCTTCATCAATACACAGCTAAGAAAATTTTAATAATTTCATGTAAGATGTTTGTAGACTATTCTATTTATGTTATAGTTATTTTAACAGCAGACTTCCATGCAAAATGTGGTCATATATATGTATATATGACCTCATTCCTTAGTTTTAGTTTTCAACCTCAAGAATCAAATTTGCTTCAACATAATACACATACAGAATTCTATAAATCACCAAAACCTAATACCTCAACCTCATATAATGTATCGACTTTAGCTCTTTGGATTCTATCAAGCTTCTTACAAAAAATCTCAGCTGAGGAAGTTGGTATTTGAATTGTTTCAACTTATGCTTATTTATTGTGGTAATTATAAATATTTTTAATTTTCTTATTCATTCTACAAATATTATTATTATTATTTGAGATGGAGTTTTGCTCTGTCGCCCAGGCAGGAGTGCAGTGGCACGATCTCGGCTCACTGCAACCTCCACCTCTCAGGTTCAAGCGATTCTCCTGCCTCAGCCTCCCAAGTAGCTTAGATTACGGGTGCGTGCCACCACACCTGGCTGACTTTTGTATTTTTAGTAGAGATGGGGTTTTACCATGTTGGCTAGACTAGTCTCAAACTCCTGACCTCAAGTGATCCACCCGCCTTGGCCTCCCAAAGTGCTGGGATTACAGGCATGAGCCACCGCGCCCAGCCCTAAAAATAATATTTTAACATCTAGTTTTTTTCCAAGTGAGAATCTAGAAAGCCACAACAATTTGCTAAGGAATTTGGTATTTATTCTGATTGCATGGGAGACTACCAAAAAAATTTAATTTCGGAAGAAATACTAATTTCTCAGATTAGATAGATCTTTCCTTAGATATGTAAGAGTGAGGAAGAAATGAGGTTGGGAGATGTTAACAAGGCTGAAAACAGATCAAATAGGAAATCATGGCTAAAATTCAGGCAGGATTTTATATAGGCCTGAATGAAGACAGAGGCACAGGAAATAGAAGTAAATGATTAAAATAAGTTAAAATAGTGGACACAGGAATTGAAAGAAAGGGAAGAATCTAAGACAAATCCTGGGCCTCTAATTTGAGTTGTTCTACGTACAATAAAGTTACATAGAAAGGAGTGTGGGAAAATGAGGTTGAACATCGCTCGTGTAGTGTATGAAAAGAAAATTCCAATTCAATTATGTCTACATACAAAAAAAAAAAGTAGAGAAAGAAATAGAAACCCTGGGAAAATGGATATTCAGAAGTGACTAATCCCACCTTTAGAGTATTGACAGTGAAGAGCCATCACTGATGTTATTCTAAAGATTAACTTATAAAGTATATAAATACTTTTGGATACTGAATTAATGAATAAATAAGAAAGCAGCTTCACATTCCTAAGGTTTTCAAAGTGGCACATAGACATAGATATTGAGAAACTAAACTTAGTTCAGTGTTCTCGTTATTCTGACAAACATGAAGATTGATTTATGCAATTGTCCAATTAATTAATCATTGAAAAGACTTTTATTGACCACCTCCGATGTACTGGCACTGTGTCAGAAAGATTTAATTTGGAAAAATTTGGTTAAAGCCCACAGAGGTTACTGTTTCATTCGGAGAATTATAACCCCTAAAACCATGTATACTAACTAATATTCTTCATAAAAAGTATAGGCTGGGCGCGGTGGCTCACGCCTGTAATCCCAGCACTTTGGGAGGCCTAGGTGGCTGGATCACGAGGTCAGGAGATTAAGACCATCCTGGCTAACACGTTGAAACCCTGTCTGTACTAAAAATACAAAAAATTAGCTGAACGTGGTGGCATGTGCCAGTAATCCCAGCTACTTGGGAGGCTGAGGCAGGAGAATCGCTTGAACCCAGGAGGTGGGAGTTGCAGTGAGCTGAGATCACACCTCTGCACTCCAGCATGGGTGACAGAGCGAGACTCCGTCTCGAAAAAAAAAACAAAAAACCTATAATTTTATATTTAATGGAAATCAAATTCAAGTTTGGAAAGAGAAACAAAAGCATTTTGCAGATGTGAAGAAATGATAGATGACATTATTTATCTTCTGTGAATTAATATGTTGAAATGCCAGTAGTAAACATCGAATACATTGGTTAATAGCAAGGAATCTACAGCCAGCTGCCCTACCCACATCTCAGCTCAACTGCTTTCTGTGCCTAGTTTCTCATCTGTTAAATGAGGATGACATCTACCTAAAGGCTTTTATGAGGACCAAATTGCAGATCACTTAGAAGGGTGTCTGGTAAAGATAAGTGCTATAACAGGTAAAAAAAAAAAAAAATGCATACTTGACAGTCTCTGGAGGCACTGTAAATATTCTAATGAATCCTGTGTGAATTTTAGCCGCTATTACCCTGCACACCTGCACTTGGAAGTCTTCCTAATACCACATCCCTTGGTTCTCACTTACCACTTTTGATGTTACGTTATTCTTACTTGAAAGCACATAAGCATGGCTCTTTCAGGACAATGGCTGAGCTTTTAACTGTGGCTCTTGGTCTCTCAGTTTAAAATTACTTTGGGACTGTGATTCCTTGAAATCAAATACAATTAGGTCTTATTCTCCTTCAAAATTTTATGGATATTATTCATTATTCTTGTTTCCCAAAGTCAACAACATAAGTCCCACAGGACTTAGCCCAGTAAGAAATCATTAGAAACTGTCCCAATAAGACACCAAAGAACCAGCATTCCCAAAACAACACACACAGGGTGAGCCTTTCAAAACATAAATCTCAACACTGCACAGAATCCAAAAGTGTCTTAAGTTCAGGACTTAGTGTTTTGTTTTGTGTTGCAGTGATTAGATGAATATATGTTCAATATAGTTAATTTAATATTTCAACCAGAGTTTTGTATTTCATTTGTATCTAGATTCCAGGAATAATTTGAAAGACAAGAACAAAATGTCTCAGAAGACGAAGTACTTCTCAATAGAAAAACAATTTACACTTAAGAACTTAGCAAAAAGTTACCATAACTCAGTACATTGCAAAACAAAAAGAACATTCTCTCATTCTCCTTGTTTCCTCACTTCACCTGTAATTGTTTGTGGTCCCCAGAGTTTTGTGTTGAGCTCTCCTTTCTTTCCCCTACTTTTATACTTTTTTCCTGAGCTATTTCTTCCATTTCTATTGTTTCAATCAATAAAACATAGCTAAGCTAATGTTCCCAGGTCCATATCTCTGGCTCTGGCTTCTCTCCTAGGCTCCGGAGCCACATACTAGTCACCAAAGTTCCATTAAAATCTTAAACCTACGAAGGCCAAAGCTAAACTTTTTTTCTCTCTGCCTCCTTCCTCCCATCTGTTTCCACTATCATATTATATTTTCTGTCTTACTGAAATACATGATATTTCAATTCATCAATGAAAGTAGAGACGTGATGATTGTCTTTTACCCTTACTTCCAATCAGTCACCAAATTCATTGTTCCAGTCCAACTTTCAGATCTGCAAGCATTAAACTGTTCATTCTCTTGCCACCAGAGCAGGGTCCATCCCTATTCCCCTGCCCAAAGCACATCTTTCTCTACCCTGTCACCAGGGCAATATTTCTAAGTTATAAATAGTCTCATTTTTCCTCTGGTAAAAATTTCTCAAAGCAATTTTACTTTACATTTAGCAAATAAGTCCCAGCTCCTAGGCATAGAGTTCACAACTTCCACAAACTGACCTCTGCCTATTTCTCCAGTCTTCTCTCTCATTATATGCTATGACAATTTTAACACAGGGATACGATAAATTCATTGATCATCCTTCCATTGAGAAGTGAGATCTTTGTGCTATCCACCCATCTCTTAGAGTCTGAGTGGGCTTGAAGCTGCTTTAACCACTAGAGCTACCATGTGAGAAGTATGATACCACTAAGGCTGCCATGCTGGAGTGGCCGTGTGAATTTCAGTTAAGCTGCTAGACCTGTGAGTGAAGAAGTCATCTTGGAAGTGGATTCTTTAACCACAGATATTCTGTCTCTCACCAGTTTGTGACATCCCCGCCATTCCATCCTTCTCCATTGCCTGCCCTGGACATAGTGGAACAAGGACAAGCCATTCTCTTTATGCCTCGTCTGATTCTTTGGCTTACAAAATCCATGAGCATCGTAAAATGGTTACTGTTTTGTGCCATTAGATTGTGGGATGCTTTTGTAAAGCAGCAATAGATACCCAGAACCCATTTCTACTTTAACTTTCTCCTCAGCCAAATAACTCATTTCCTGAATGTGAAATGGCATTTCCTTCGTCAGTCCCTTCATATGTGCCCTTCCCTCTAACTTTGATCACTGAGCAACTTGTGCTTTGTTGAATTAATTAACATGTCTATTAAGCCATCTGCTTAAATATTTAGGTACTCTATAAGATTGTGGGTGATTTGAAGAGGAACATCACTTTATCTTAGCCACATATCTGATGTATCTCTTGGCTCATGGTGAGGGCCAATTTATTTGTGGAAAGGTCACATATGAACTTTCAAATCACCAGTGGAAAAGAACACACGGCTCTAATGTAACATATAAAGGATCAATAGCAACAAATCATCTTTCATTAAGCCATATGTTATGCATTGACTCTGCCCAAGTAGACAGTGGCTGGTTCATCAAAACATAAAAATCAAGTAGAAAACAGTAATTTTTAAATAGATGTATTTGATATAAAAGTAGTTGAATAAACTATATTTATCAAAGCAAAACAGAATGTAAAGACAATCTTTGACATTACATCAGTTTTTATAACTCTTCATCTATATTAAGAAATTTTATAGAAAATCATTTTAGAATCATCCTTGTTTCTGGCCCTATCTATTTACCCTCAGTCTTGGAGTCACATAAACATATCACAAGAGAAGAAATCCCTATTCAGAATCCGTATATAGTGAGACATGTAGTACTCTTGATTCCCAAAGAAAGAAAAAAGCATGCCTAATTATGATATCACATTTGTTTCTTCTAAAAGCACCATTCACAAGGAAACAAAGAGGAATATAAAGAAACAAAACTCAGAGTATAAAATAAGGCATTTCTTGGGTTTGAGTTTTAGTAGGCAATTTTTACCTCCCAATTTTTTCTTCTATAATACAGTATTATGTTAAAAAGACAGAAATTATTTCCTTTCAAATTCACTGAAAATGGCTTGAGAAAAAAAATCGGGAATAAAGTACCCAAGATATACTATAATTAAATATATTTTTTAAAGTTTAATGCTAAGGAATTTTAGACAAAAGAACAAACTTTAAAGACAGTTAAATACATTCACTAAGGGTTTTTAAGACTGAGATAGATGGAAATAAATTTCTTTATGTGTCCTATGATTGCTTGGGATAGAAATGAAACCATATATTCAGAATTAAGATTTAAAGAGCTCCTTAAACCAAATTCTTTCTTTAGTATAAAGACTTCTGCAGGATCCTTGTGAACTGCTATAAAATGATAACTAACATGCTATTAGCACTAAGAAAGAGAGAGATATTTAGCCACTTCTGCAAATATATCTTTAGTACCTCAAAACTATATGTGGTCCTTAAAAAATATTAAAGGCATTTTGCAAAAAGTGTCCTCACTGCAGAGTATATCATAAAATACGTTCTCCTTTTGCTAAGAGTTCACTGAAAACAGTTATTGCCTAATCCATAAATAAGTCAGAAACAGCTTTTATCCACATGTGTTTCTTTTTAGTAACCGGGTGGCTGAAATATCATCTGAATTGCATTTGGGACAGGTTACTGTGATAACTTATCCTTTTAGTGAAATACGGTATGAAAATATGTTATAACCTCTGTCTTATCTTAAATTTCCACAGGCAGTTAATAAGGCCACCTGCATGGTCTGCTTTTGTGGGATCTCAAAACAGTAACTAAAGAGGGAGAGGCCTGTGTAAGATATTACAGCATCAAAGTCTCTTGCTCTTTTAGGAATGTCAAACTTCAAGATAAAGGAGAATTCAGGAAATGAGGCTCATATTTCTTTTACAATATCACCATAAATTAGATTTTCCACAATGCTGTTACTTACACATAGCTCAAAGTACTACGCTACAATGCTGTTCTGTGGATGTTTCCCATTTTCAATTTTTAGTTTGGAGTAAAATTACATCTCAATACATTCAGAGCTTCATTCCAAAAGTTCATTTGAATGCAACCACCTTAAAAAAATTGGAACTTGAATACTGGTAGAAAAAGTTATTTTGTCAAACTAAAAATTTAAACCAACTTAGGCAAAGACCACACAGATCAGTGAAAAATCAGATTATTTAATACTTCTAAATACTTAAAAAGCATTGTAGTCATCATAAAATATGTTAAATTATTTCTTAATACATATATTCAGGAAAATAACTTTTATTACATTTAAAAGATGAATATCTATAAAGTATGTGAAGATTTGTGAGAAAATCTAGTCTATCAAGTCCTTATAATTGGGCTGCTCTCCATTTAATGCAAAGAAAATATAATCATCAATACAATCATAATCAAACCAGCCCAATTGTCCCATAGAACTGACGTTTATGGTTTCTTTTGAATAAACATAGAAATTGACCCCTCCAGTCTTAAAACTTGAGAAACTTACGGTTGTCTTATCTGGGTTTTTTTCTTGGGAAACCAACCATCAGGCAACCCAAATAGTGTCAAGGAACTGAAACTTATCAGATAATTATATCTGGACAATAAGACGCCAAGCCCCTCATCTGTCATGATTGCTTAACTGACCACCTGCTTCCTGTTGACCAATTCCTCTTCCTTATCCCTCCCTCATTCCTGTTTTCCCACACATAGTTACATTTCTTCCTTGCCATATAAACCCCTAATTTTAGTTGGATTTGAGACTGGTATCCCTTCTCCTCAGCTGCAGCACCCAGTTAAAGCCTTTTTCTCTGGCAATACTCGTTCTCTCAGTAAGTGGCTTTCTGTGTAGCACACAGCAGGACCTAGACCAAATCTCTGGCATTTCAGTAACAATATTAGTAAGCAGTGACTGGGGTCACAAAACATCTCTGATGGGTGAGCGTTGTTCTAGAGCCTGCCACACAGCAGAAAGAGAAGGCTTTTTTTTTTTTTTCTTTTTTTTTTTTCGTTTCACATCTTATGAGACTGAGAGATCAGTCAGAAAGAGGGAGGCACTTGGGGTGGTCAGAAGTAGAAGCATAGAAAAGGGCACATAAAGAGGTGTATGTTGAAAGTGTGCCCTTGACTAATGGTTAAAGTCTCATAAGCAAGATAAGTTACTGAAACATGCAAATCCCCTAAATCTAATTCCATGCTCACCAAGTTATCTCCTGATTTTCCATGTAGACTTGGCTACAGAAAAATAATCTAATGATCATTCTGACATAATCATTATAGCTTTTTTATTTTTAGTGTATTTTTTTCTATATATATATTTCAGAGGAGGAATCTCTGTGACCAGGCTGGAATGTAGTGGTGCAATTATGGCTCACTGCAGCCTTGACGTCTTAGTTTCAAGCCATCCTCCCACCTCAACCTCCCAAGTAACCAGGACAGCAGGCACACACCACCACTTCTGGCTAACTTTTTTTTTTTTTTTTTGTATTGTATTTTTTGTAGAGAGTAGGTCTCACAGTGTTGACCAGGCTGGTCTGGAACTCCTGACCTCAGGTGATCTCCTGCCTTGGCCTCTCAAAGTTCTGGGATTACAGGCATGAGCTATCATGCCCAGACAATTATGATTTTTGAGACAGTTGCAGTTTTTATTATGTCAGTAATTTTTCAAATTTGAAATTTGAAAAATTATAAGTAATTTGAAAAATTACTGACTTATAATGGAAAAAAGGTCCATAATTATTAATATGTTTTCTAGTGAAAACTAACCTCAACATTTTGAGGCTGAAGCTCTGAATGTATTGAGATGTAATTTTACTCCATATTGAAAATTGTAATGAATACAGTCAATCGTTATTTTGTTTTATATCTTATTAGACTGAGAGATCAATCAGAAAGACAGGGGCATTTGGGATGGTCAGAAGTAGAAGCATAGAAAAGGGATTATGAAAAGTTAATAGTTACTGACTTTATTAATTATAATTTTAAAAATTTATTCAAAATTATAAATATTGACTTTATTAATCTGCTTTTTTATAAAGACTAACCTCAAAAAATTGAGATGAGGTTAGTTTTTAGTAGAAAACAGATGAATAAATTCAATAGCTATTGACTTTAATAAGTTTTGAAAATTTTTGAAAATTTTTAATAAATGTTAACTTTTTGATGTTAGTCTTTAGTAGAAAAGATTAATAAATAATTTCATATAGTATAAAATGGCAAATGAAATAATTACATATATAATCAGTGCTCTATTTGAGAAGAAAGTGGCTCATACATGTCAAATACGTAGTACCTGTGGTTAGAATCAAATTTCTAGTGTTTGATAGAAAATATCTAACTAGGCCGTCAAAATGTCCTGTTATAAAATTTTAAATAAATTAATCACAAATTAGTTATCATGAGTCACAGCTGTATTATAATAACACTTCACATCTTAAAAAATATTTCATAGGACAAATAATGGCTCACCATTGTTGTTATCTACATATTTATGGCAAAAAGTGTGTCTTAAGTTCTTAAATTAAGAGTTAATCTCATACTTTCAAATGTATTTATATTCTCACAGTTCTTTTGGAAAGATAAAAGACAATTATGACGTTTTTATTTTATACCTAGAAAATCAAGTTTAACTGATTCTGACTTAGTTAAGAAAAGTAAAACTAAGAATTTTTTTTTTACAAACAAAACTAAACCAAAACCAACGATCTGAACATAAAAAGCATTTTAAACTATAATAACTGGATAATCCCGTAAAAAAGGCATTTTTTACGTAACTGGCATACAGTGATCCTTTGTTTACTTGGACTGATCTCCCCAAACTATCATAAAATGAGCTCTGGCCCTAATTCAAATTATCTACTATTTTATGCATCAATTCAAACAAGTATCAACTTTTACCAGACTTTCAGATTTTCAGATAGGCCTTAACTAGGGAAGAATCAGAGTATATTACTTGATTCTGAAGAGAGTGTGTGTGTGTGTGTGTGTGTGTGTGTGCGCGTGTGTGTGTGTGTGTGTGTATATATATATCTCCTATCTAAACACTCTTATTGATTTTCAACTTTTGGAATCAACCTATACTAAAAGCATGGAAGAATCAGCTACCTGTACAAAATAGATTAATCATATGAACATTGGTAACAAAAAAATAAAAGTGCCGATAACAGAGATTGGAAATTGTTAGTGGATGGAGGAGAACCAAACCGTAGTTTTAATATCCAGGTTTTACAAAATCGAATACCAAAAGATACTCTACAGGTGATTGAAAAAGAAATAAAGATGTTATTCCATTATATAAAGGTACAAAGTTAACCAATAAAAGAACTAAAGATAGTGGAGTGTAACTATGTTAGTAACACTCCTAGAAAGACCTGCCTATATTTGCTATCTCTTTTTTTAATTGACACATACAAATTGTACATCTCTCTCTGTAATTCCTCCCTCTCATTCTCTTTTGTACAGATTCCAATCAAGTTATCATAGCAACTACTTCACTGAAAGAGCTCTCATCAAAGTCTCCAGTGCAAAAGCGGTAAGTCAGTTATCAGTCCTCATCCTACTTACATGCAACATTTCATGTAGTTGACATTCTGTAAATAATGGATAGAAACACAAACTCTGTACTAGATTGCCTTGATCCAATATACAGCCTAGTCTCTGTGAAACTGTGCAATTTAATTGATCTTTCCATTTTCTGTTTCCTTATGTCAAAATTAATATTGAGAATACAGTACAGGCCGGGTGTGGTGGCTCACGCCTGTAATCCCAGAACTTTGGGAGGCCGAGGCAGGCAGATCATGAGGTCAAGATCGAGACCATCCTTGCCAACATGGTGAAACCCTGTCTCTACTAAAAATACAAAAATTAGCCAGATGTGGTGGCGTGTGCCTGTAGTCCCAGCTACTCGGGAGGCTGAGGCAGGAGAATCACTTGAACCCGGGAGGGGAAGGTTGCAGTGAGCCAAGCTGAGATCACGCCTCTGCACTCCAGCCTGGTGACAGAGTAAGACTCCGTCTCAAAAAAAAAAAAAAAAAAGAAAAAAAGAAAGAAAGAAAGAAAGAAAGAATACAGTATACACATCATAGGATTGCCGTGAGGATTGAGACAGTAAATGTATGTATAAACTATTTAGAATGGTTCAGAAAGGGCTCCATATAAGTTATGACTATTGATCTGTCTCTCCATTGAACGCTTTCTGCACCTGCTTTCCAGGACATCAAGTTCTACTTTTCTTCCTACGTTACAGGCTAACTCTTTTTGGTCTCCTCTATCAGGTCTTGCCATCTCCTTGATCTCTAAATATTGGTAAGCTCCTGATCCAAGGCCTCAGTTCTCTTCTTCAACTATGTACAGATTTTGGTGACTTAATCATGTCTAGCCTTATAGCTTTTTATTGTTGCTATCTGCTTATTTTTCCATGATTTTTATCTATAGGCTCCATCTGTCCCTTAAACCCCAGTTTTGCAATTCCAATGGCCTCCTCAGTATTTTGGATATATCTCATATATATTTCAAAGCTCACATGGCAATAAGTGAATATCTGACCTTCTCCCTACCAAACCTTTCCTCATATTTTTTTCTTCATTTCAGCAAATGGAAACGCCATCTTTCCAACAGCTAATACTATATCGATAACGTACAGTCTCACCTTTATAGCCTCCTTATCCATGCTAGAGTTTCCTTTCTGTTTACCAATTTCATTACAAGTCTATCAGTTTCTTCTGACACTACCTTCAAAACACATTTGGCATTTAACTTCCTCTCTGCACTTTCAACATGATAGCCCAAGCTTTTTCCATGACTTCTTGCTACCACCTTTTCCCTACTACACTCTATTTTCAACACAGCAGCCAATATGACCACTTCATTTATGTGCCTGTTTATGTTCCTCATGGCACATAGTATCTTCCCCTCTCTCCAGGAATAAAAGTCAAAGTCTTTACAATGGCAACAGGGCCATACTTATTCTTATGTTTCTTTGAATTATATCTACTCTTCTTCTGCCTCTTTCCCTCTGATCCAGCGCAACTGGGATAGATGTTTTCTCTTCTTGAAGAGAAGCAGACAGGCTCTTAATTCAAGGTCTAAGAGCATTTCTTCTCTCAGCCTGAAACACTGCCCTGAGATATTCACCGACAACATTCTGTCATTTTCTTTGTTTAGTCTCATCATCTGAATGAGGACTTTCCTCGGTCCTCATTAAATTTAAATTAGCAAAAAATTGTTCCCACACATCTGATTTGCCTTTTTCTGATTTATTTTTCTCCGTCATCAGCTGTCAAATTACTGGTAAATATTTTAATTAAGTTTGTGTTATCTCCAATTACTAGAATGAAAGCTTCAAGAAAGCAAAGATTTTTTAATCTCTTTTGTCTTCTGCATATCTCCAGTGACTAGAAGATTGTCTAGAACATACTACGTGCTTAATAAAAGTTTGTAGAATCAATTAATGAGGGTGGAGAGAAATAGAGATGTGTGAATCCAATGAAAATGGTCAAATTGATGAATAGAAACTAGTGGTAGGAGCATTCTATTTAGCTATATGGAAGTAACTAATTAAAAAAATCTAAACTAATTAAAGGGGTTATTCTGCTTATTTAGACTGGGCATACAAAGGACTGAGCATTATTAAGCTATTTTATTGGAAATATTATTACTTTAAATTATTTTCATATATTTAATTAAACAGTGGAATGGGCAGACTTGATTAGAGAAAGAGAGAAAAGGGAGAACAGTAATGAGGTTGACTTAAGGTTTTTAATGTGGGTCAACGTATTTTATTACACATGTGATATGATCTTCAAGTGAAAGAAGGGAAGATGGAAATAGCTGGTTTGAGTGTCTATTATATGCTGTGTTATGCTAAGTAAGCATTTTATACATAAACCATTTCATCTGGTCTCTTCAAAACCCTTATGAGAAAGTTGACACCATTCCAATATTAGAGGAAGAACACTGGAATTTGAGCAGGTTAAAATCACTTGACCATGCCACTGCGCTGGGAATTGGCAAGCAGGACTCCAACCCATACTTGCTTGACTCTGAAATAACCAATATAGCAAGATGTTTAATCTTTACCCACATAAAATACATCCAAGAATACTGACATAGCATCTGGGAATGATGGCTCAGGCCTATAATCCCAGCACTTTGGGAGGCTGAGGCGGGCAGATCATCTGAGGCTAGGAGCTTGAGACCACCATGGCCAACATGGTGAAACCATGTCTCCACAAAAATTACAAAAAAAAAAAATAATAATAAACAGCTGGCCGTGGTGGTGGGCACCTGTAATCCCAGCTACTAGGGAGGCTGAGGCAGGAGAATGGCTTGAACTCGGGAGGCAGAGTTTGCAGTGAGCTGATACTGAGCCACTGCACTCCAGCCTGGGTGACAGAGCAAGATTCTATCTCAAAACAAAACAAAACAAAACAACAAAAATACTGATATAGATAAAATCTTATTTTATATTACATATATTTAAATTTTTAAAAATTGATTACTGGGTTAATCAAGTCTTTATCACTCCAAATATAGCCAAATATTTTCTTGTAATGAATTTAAGAAACTTAAAATCTGAGTCCCACCTTTACTATAATATAATCTTCATCTATAACAACCGAAACACCAGTGTTAGAACGTAACAAAAGTGTGTGCACGTGCACACACAAACTTTCTCTTAATATTACATACTCTTGGTTTCCAAATGCAGTCAGTTAAGAATAACTTCTTTCTCTTCAATTATTTCTCTCTAGAGATAAAAAAATCCTGCTTTAAGTAATGATTTTATAAATATCCCTCTTCTTTTCTGTTTTTGTTTTATTTAAAGTTTAATCGATTAACTGACTTTTTTTTTAAAGGGCACACTATGGCCACAACACAGAACTGAGTTAGGCAACTAATTGAAGCCAGGTTCACAAGGGCTTAAATTACTAAAGCCTACCTGTCATCTTAAATTAAACTTCCTTATATACTTCTCAAGATTTATAACCTTTGGCCAAAAAGCTGTAAACTGTCCCAGTTTCAGAGTGAATCTCCCAGAAGGAAATAATGTTTCCTGGAAAAGATACCCTGGAAGGCAAATGTCCTCTATGGTAAGAGGGTTCCAAAAGCAATGTGTGTGGTAGGGGTCACGGGAACCTTGGAAAGGGGCTGCAAGGGAACAGCCAAGCCGTTCAGAAAACGTGTACCCGGGGATTTCACAGTTTAACTTGTGAATCCTGTAGGAGCACGTTCATCTTTGAAAGTGGACACATTCTTGATTTGCTCCCATAAAATCAAAAGCAAAAGGGCATATGATCATCTGCAGAGATCATAAACTTTCAAGTTCCCAATATATTTTTTTTTAATTCAGAAAGATTTATCACCACTGGTTTTGCCACCTCTATCATCTATCTATGTAATCTCTTACCTCTACTTTCACATTCAATTTTCTTCTTTTTACATGTTTTAATTGTATACTACATAAACTATTCATGTGATTTAATAACCACTATCTGTGAGTTGGTAAAATTCATCAACTATTTGATAACAGGAAGGAAAATCATTTAATAATCTGTTCAAAAATTAAGATAAAAGTATGTATTTTAAGAAAAATCACGTCTTTTAAAAAAGCTTTTAGCAAATAAAAAAATGTATCTTTTACATGTACTATCATCCTAACACCTTGTATATAACCAGGTCAGTACATAAGAAAAATTAAGTTTCATTTTATTTTTTTTTTACTGTAATGTTTTTCCAGGTATTCTTAGGAAAATCATGCATTCATTTACTGAGTGTTGTTGTCTGGTATGTGCTAGGTACTGCTTAGGGTTGAAATAGAATTTTCTTTTAGCTTTCCTGCCAACTAGAACTCTAATTGTCAAAATGCAACATATGAAAAAGTAAGGTTCACAGAAATAGCCTAGGATGAAAATGAATTTTATGAATTTTAAAATTGTAGGATTTATTTTTACATTGTTTCTTAGAATAAGAAATAGGATTTCCTTCATCTCCCAATGAATACCTGTGGAAAATAACTATGATACCAACATTTATATACGATTTTTTTTAGCATTTTATATTAAAACACTTCTCATATTTCCCCTTTTGGCTGGAGAGGAGAATTTTTATCTACCTTTTTCAAAATAAAAAGAAAATTAAGAAATACTGAATGAACTAGTTTTATTTCATATATTAAATAAATGCAAATAAGATGCTTAATATTTCGGAATATAGCAAGATATTGAATCTTTACCCACATAAAGTCCATCAAAAAAATACTGACATAGATAAAATCTAATTTTCATATCAAATATATTTAAATTTTAAAGAATTGATTACTTGGTTAATCAAGTCTTTATCACTCCAAATAAGCCAAATAATACCCTGTAATGAATTTAAGAAACTTAAAATCTGAATCCCACCTTTACTTTAATACAGATCCAGGTCCTGGCAGTCTGATTCCTGAGGTAAACTCTTAATAATTAGAACTCTAGGTGCCACTTGAGCAGGACACACATGCATGCACACTTGTGCACACACACACACTCAAGCTCACATATAGCACATGACCCATGCACCTATAGATACATACACTCAAAGGTGGAGAGGGAGCTGAGAGAGCAGGAGAGCAGAATTTCTTACTCTATTCTTTCCTCTTGGTCCATGTTTTATTTTTTCTCCTGTATATTTCACTTGTTAACCTTTAAATCCAAATTTCTGTTTAAATGAAAGCTATTCAACTTGAGGAAAAACATCTGGAGTTTTTTTCAAAATAGCAAAATCAAATTAAAAATTATTAATGTATAAAATAAATGTTGTGGAAATATGTAGAATTATGCCAATTTACTTTAAACAAAGAGAATAAAACAGAAACACTTTCACTGAACTGAAACAATGTGCCCTAAGAAATGTTTATTAGTCTACAGAGAAAAATATAAGAACATTTTCTGGCCAAATACCCAGAGAAGTATAGCAAGTTGAGATTTAAACTATTTACTTGGAAAGAACTTTGAAATCAATAGAAAGGCATCATAAATCATGATTTATGACTCACACCTCCAGCAAATGAAGATAAATTTGTCACTAGGAATTTTTCTGCATTAATTATCTTGGTTCTAACCCATAGATACTACATTATGTTCCTATGTATATTATCATTGTGGCCTTTTGAAAAATGCTTTAAAATATTGATTGCTACAGGTAAGTCCACATAAATTCTAATTTACATATTAATGTGATACACTAAATCTATATAAATAAAAATAAGTATTAATGTCTTAAATATCATATCCTTTAAACCATGTAAAAATTCTCTAAAAGTAAGACTAATGGAAGTAAGACTTGAACTCTTCTATATTCGGGTCCTGAATACTACTTTTATTAAAGCTGTTACTCTATAAACATTTATTAAATTATATATCAATTCAAAAAGTAATTAAATCCAATTTAGCAGAGAAAATTTTGCTAAAAGTCTACCACAGCCTTAAAGGCTTTAAAGGACACTGTTGAAAAGAATACTTTTCATAAACTTGTAATGAAAAATCGAGACATCCTTCCACAAAAGAGTATAAAAACCATGAGTATTATACATGGCTTTATATTTTAAACTACCCCATAGTTTCACAACAGCCATGTATATCCAGCAAGAAGAATAGGAAAATAAACAATTTCCTAAAAGGGTCATAACTACCAAGAAATTCTGGGCAAGAAATTCTAGACAATAAATTTCACATGGAAGATACAGAAAAAGAGTGAGGTAAAGCAATGTCAAATGATATTCCGTATCACTTCCAGAGTCAACATGCTTTACGTAAAATAATTTTATTTCCTTTATTTTTTCAGCTACTATTCTTGTGTCTTCTTTATTTAAATTGCTTAAACCAAACTCTAGTAAATATTATTTCTGGCACTTTTCAGAATCCATCTCTTTGTTGCAAACATCCACACAAAAAATAATAACACATAAAACACGATGTCATCCACTTTGTTCTTCTATATGCTTACAAACATCCAAGAAACTTAGCCTATAGAGATTTATTTTCCACTATGAGTCTTATACAATCTCACTTGATATAACCAAAAGCCAAGATGAGCTTAAAGAACAGTCAAATATCTGCATTATTTTATAATAAAAAATATCCCCCATCACTTCATAAGCTTTATATTTTATGCTATGTTTTTAGTAAAACTATAGCTTTTTAAAATTTATTTAAAAATTCACTGATGAGTGAAAATCTTCCAAAGGGAACCAAATTTACATGGTTGTATAGAGAAATAAATATTGTTTATTATGGAGTAACAAACAAAATCCATATGAGGGTTGGTTGGTAGATGAAAGAGAAGTGATTTCTGAACAGTTGAACAACTGACAGTAAGTGGGAGGTGGTCCATAAATGTACTTTGGAACATTATTTTAATTGTTTGAGTCATTTCTAATTACCAAACTCAAGGTTAACTGAATGTTAGTAGGTTTCAAGCTTGACTTCTAAGGTGGACAAAGTTAAATATTTACATTTGTTGACAAGTGTTTATATTTTCAAAGACGATGAAAGGGATTTTCATATCCTCTCTCCTCAAGAAAAATAATCATAACTATTTATGTAATAGAGCTAACTAACCAATACCCCAGTCATTGTTCAGGAACAAATATAGTAGCTTGTATGAAAGTTGTTAAGTGAAACTTCATTCTGTGATCATTTATTTTGATATGTAAACTATGTTAGACTATAGTCTAAATTATTCCTTCAAATACTAGTCTAGTTGTTGCTATGTAGATATTTTAAGGATGTAATAAAAGTCTATAATCAATTGACTTTCAGTAAAGTTTACTTTAGATAATCTGGGTGATCTTGATTCAACTAGTTGAAAGAAAGTTCTTTTGTTTGTTTGTTTGTTTACTTTAGACAGAGTCTCGCTCTGTCACCCAGGCTGGATCTTGGCTCACCGCAACCTCTGCCTCCCTGGTTCAAGCAATTCTCTGCCTCAGCCTCCAGAGTAGCTGGGATTACACGCACCTGTCACCACACCTGGCTGCTTTTTGTATTTTTCATAGAGATGGGGTTTCACCATCTTGGCCAGGCTGGTCTTGAACTCCTGACCTTGTGATACATCCACCTCGGCCTCCCAAAGTGCTGGGAATACAGGCTTGAGCCATCGTGCCTGGCCGAAAGTTTGGCTTTTCAAAAGCAGAACTGAGGCTTCCTTCAGAGGAGAAATTCTACCTGCGTACTGCAATTTCAACTCATGATGAGATTTCTAGCCTGCCCTTCCAGCTGGGCTGCCCTTCAGATTTCATACTTGCCTAACCAGTATGCTCAATCATGCTAAACCAATTCTTCACAATAAATCTCTTGTTATATATCATTTACTTGCTTGACTCCTCTAGTTGAACACTGATTGATATAATTCTATATTGGAAAAAAATAATAATAATGGAAGAGAAAAGGAAGTTGCCATGATTTGGGAGCACTCCACCAGGCTGTGTCTACATATGCCAAAAGACTCAAGCCAGACAAATAATACATGTATGTGCATACACACATACACACACACACTCATGCACACACACACACACACACACACACACATCAAAAACACTATGTTCCCAAACTTCAAACTCCTATGTTTAACAGACCTGAAATTTCTGACAGACTTAATTAATCAAAAATATCAATGAAAGATAACTACATGACAGGAGACTAGGACTCAATAGCACATTCTAAATACTAAAGTC
The DNA here is from genome assembly GCF_000001405.40 of Homo sapiens. Classification (NCBI taxonomy): domain Eukaryota; kingdom Metazoa; phylum Chordata; class Mammalia; order Primates; family Hominidae; genus Homo; species Homo sapiens. The sequence continues at coordinate 77,968,996 of NC_000012.12, read as the reverse complement.
ATTTGTAGAAGAAAGTAGTCATGCCACATTACTTACACCAAAGACATTTCACACTGTGATACAGAACAACAATCTTTAGAAAACAAACAAAATACGTCACCCAAAAGATGATAGATGTTGCTTGTCCAAGCAAAACAAGAGTGGTTTTAGTTTCTATTACACAAGTCAAATAATCCCATCACACTGATACAAGCACATGAGTACGTTTTTCAAACTCATGGACAATAATTTGTTAAAAACAAGTTGTATCTACACAAACTAATTGGAAACACATTCCCTACTTCCTTTCCTTACCTGGACTGCATATCTTGCTGGGTTTTGGCCTGGCTGGCTTCCGATGGAGGGGAAGCGTGAGTAACTCGCTGCTGAAGTTCCACCAAGGACTGATAGTACTGTTGTTGATGGTGTTGTTGCTGCTTGTAGCGAGATAAACTGAAAAACAGCCCTAGAATGGCTTTTAAGTTTCCATTTCTTATTTCTGTATGAAATGAAAAATACAAAAAAAGAATCATATGTATTTAATGTCCTTTTTAACAAATTCTAGATGCATTTCTCTTGAAATAAATCTATGAAGACAGAGATACAACTTAATTCTCTCAGTCACAGTTGAATCACAAACAAACCTGAATTTCTGAAACATGTTAACATTTCCAAATAACTTGGAATTTCAGGGAGAGAATAAAAGGATAGAGGGTAAAAAGAACAAAGCACACTCAGAAGTGATATTCTTTGCTGACCTTGAACTACAATTTTTCTCGAGTTAGCTGCTTCTTAGAAATAAATGAGCTCTCTCTTGTGCTAACCATTTGATTTAGCATGTTGATTCCCTCACAAATATACACAGCTGTTGCCAGCATAGCAGTGGCTACGAACTGGAGAAAGAAAGCCACTTAAATGTTGGTTGTCCTGCATTTATAAATATTGATGATGTGGGTGCACCTCCTAATACCAACTGGATTTGTTGCAATCAACTTTCTTTCTAAATCACCCACTCACCAACTCATTTATACATATTTATGTATGTATATATCCTCCAAATATATATCCATATATATCAAAATGTATGTGTAGGTATATCTTCCAAAAGCAGACATATCAATTTTTAATGTTCCAATTCTTTTATTTTTAATTTATGCTATATATTAATAAATAAGGAGGATTAGCTTACGTCAGATAACATAATTGAATAAGCAGAAATCCTTGTTCTAACAGATGAAGTTGCTGTGTAAGATTTTCAAATATTGAATAAAAAAATTCAATTCACAATGTAGGGTACACATAAGCCTACATTTTTCTCCTGTAGTTATAACTTAAAAAAATAGGAAAAGAGAAGGATGTAAAGCTTGAAAATAAGCTACACAACCTGTAATCATATTTTAAATAAAACTTGATGTTGGCAATAAAATGCATCCTCCTCTGAGATTAAGGTTTTATGTCCCCTTTTGGAGTTTAGGAAAATTAACCAACTCTTTGGATTTCTTGCTCTCTGATGGTTTATCATATAACTCAAACTATGCAGTAAAATAATTAATATAAAATGACCCTCTGAGTTGTTCTATTTTTCCCCCAAACATTTCTCATAGTTTTCGTCATATTGAAGAGTTGGCTTCATCAATCTGAGGCTACAGTGAGAGAGTGTTAATTTTCTCCTATAAACCTGAAAGATTTTGTTTAAAGAGTCTTTAAAAAATTATTGTTTTATTATTTTGCATGTTTAACTAATTTAGAGAGTAAATTTTGAGCATTCATGTATATTTTAAAGATGAATGAAAATCAATAGGCTGATATTAATAAAGGTTTTCATAAGGAAGAGACATAAAAAGTGAATAAATGGCAGCATTTCTAGCCTGTAACTACTTAGCAACATATTATCCTGGGGAATTTTACTCAAATGTTATTCGAAGTTACAGAACTACCAGTTAGGTTTGAACCTAAGCTTCTTGGTCATTAAATGTGTAATTTAATTATATATCATAACAAGCAAATATAAAAGAAATTTAAATATCAGTGTTCTCAAGTATGGCAAATTTTATCTTAAGTGTAGCAAGCTTTTGCAAACTTTTGCCACCTTTATAAGTGAAAGTAAAATAAACTCAGAAAAAAGATCAATGTCAAAATTTGTTCAAGTTTTCCCCATTTTGCTCTCTTTCAATTTTAGTGATGATCTTTTGAATCTTTAATGATTTAAAACATTTATATATAACAGTGATTAACGCTGTTAGTTCTAATTATTTAAGACTTCATAGTGACTTAAACTTACCAACTATTTTGACTATTTCTACCAACTTGAATATATTATAGAAATGTTATTGATAAAATAATATTTTAAGCCTTAATTAAAATATTTTACCTGTATTTATGTCCATCCAACATTTATCTAATTATCTATTCATCTACTTAAGAAATCTAATTATACTATAAACTAGTAATAACATAAAGATATTTTTTTGATTCACTCCTCTCCCATATAGTTGGTTAAGAAAAGAACAGTTCTGGCAAAATATGGAAAACATTTAAATACTTAGAGCACATATTAATAACCATTATGTTTATGTTTCGGTTGTCTTGAAGACTTCACCAATTTCCTTTATCATATTAAGGAGACGTATACTCCAATGTTACATTTCTTACATTATAAAAAATAATTTAAAAACATTGATGCCATTTGTGACAATTCAGTCATTCTTTTTCTTACCTTCAGCAGATAGACCTTGAACATTTACCCCTCTGGCTGCTAGAAAACTAAGGCAGACATCAACATTTTCAATCTGCAACATGAAAAGCAGTGAAAAAGCAACTTAGAGGATTATATTTTAACAAATACATGTGCCAAAATGAAACCAGAAAGAACGATAAAGAATGAATAGTTTACATTCATTTCATACTAGAAGTCTTAACCAGAGTTTAACTAGAATTATTTTGGCTAATTGCAGAATGAATATAAAGCTTTCATTGTACAGCTGGTACTTACAAACAATTCATAAAGGCCTGATAAAGAATGGCATTCTTGCAGATTAGCAACCCACCTACTTAACATAAAACTGGATCTTGTATTTTGCAAATAAGTCCCCGTGAAAGCATCCATACAGACTGAGATTGTTGCATGTGTGAGTCTTAGAATGTTAGGATGTGGGTAATTTAGATTCAACCAGCAGTGTTTGTCAAGTACGTCAAAAGATAGATAGATGGAGACAGGTTTGAAACAACATGAAAATGAAGCATATTTTCATCCTAAACATAGCAAATACTTATTTTAAAAATTATATTTGTATTTCTAGAGGTGAATAATCTGCTGATTAAATACAGGTATTTTGTTTGATATTTTAAAAGGGTGATTCCCAAGGCACTTTTTGTTTGTTTGTTTGTGTTTTTGATTTTGAGACAGAATGTTGCTCCGTCACACAGGCTGGAGTGCAGTGGCACGATCTTGGCTCACTGCAACCTCCCTCTCTCGGGTTCAAGCGATTCTCCGGCCTCACTCTCCCAAGTAGCTGGGACTACAGGCGCACGCCACCACGCCCCGCTAATTTTTTATATTTTTATAGAGAGGGGTTTTGCCATGTTGGCCAGACTGGTCTCGAACCACTGACCTCAAGTGATCCACCCGCCTTGGCCTCCCAAAGTTTTAGGATTACAGGCGTGAGCCACCATGCCAGGCCCCATGGATTTTAAATGATTGGTTTCAATATGATTACCAGTTTATATTCATTTAGGGTGAAAAGCAAAAAAATAAAAAAATAAAAATTTGATCATGACATTATATAGCAGTGACACAGCTAAGATTCGTAAGAGCATAGAAAGCTAAAAAGTTCCAATTCTTTGTGATCCATCTCCCTGGATTTGGGGGTATTCTATAAATCTTTAGATTCTACAATAAAGAAGAGATTTAAAATTAATAACTTGGCAAGGTCCTATTGTCTGTCTTACTAAATTCTCATCGAAAGCTATGCATGAGGACACACAGAGTTCTGCCAATGTCCTCCCTAGCTTAGCTTCATAGCAAGGTCAAAATGTCTCTTAAAGAAAATGAAAAGAAAAAAATAGATTCAAGAATCTATCCTTATAAAATAGAGAAACTATTTATGTTCCTTTAAAATAGTAATTTTATACAAAAATTGATAATATACAATGATATGCTGTTTGCTTAAAAATGACCACAGCCAAGATATACTCATTTATTTTGAGGAAAAAAAAATTTATATTAATTAACTTCAAAGTAAGTTTTACTGAAATTATTCTAATGAATAAATAATAGAGTTGAAGATGCTGAATACAACATAACATAATAAATCTTATTGTTCTGCAGATCACCATCTGAATATCCAATGAGGCGACAGTGCTGAAATATATATTAATTCTTTCCTTTCTTCATATTTCATTCTGCCGCTAGCTATAAGATTATATAAGGAAGGAAAAGAGGAGGAACAATAACAAGAAATGAGGTAAATTTGATGTTCTCTATCCATCCACAGTATTCTTGTAAATGTATTTCTTTAAGATCCATTAAAAATTAGTAAAAGAAAGATGCCAAATAATTATTGTGGCCTAATATTAAGAAAGATAATGTGATGGAATATTTTTAAATGTTTGCAAGAGCAGTCCTAAAGTTCTTGATTTCAATGCAATTATATGCCTTTTATAGAAAGAAGGAAGATTTCTGACCCAAATGTGATTTGCTACAAAATGTTAATAGGATATTATTACCTAAAGTTTAGTTACTCATATTATACATGAACAGATTAGCTCACTGAAAATCCAGAAAAGGCTCATTGAGTCTGTAACTAAGTTTGTAAGATAAATTTTTGCCTACCATTTAACCAGCATATAAAATAAACTGATTTCTAAATTGAGTGTTAGACACAACTCTCTCTCTCAACTTGCACCACAATCAGAAGGGGAATGCAAAAGAGAAGAAGAAGAAAAGGAGAAGGATAAGGAAAGAAAGAAGAAGGAGAAGGAGAAAAAGGAGGAGGAGGGAAGAGGAGGGAGGAGGAGGGAGGAGGGAGGAGGAGGGAGGAGGAAGGGGAGGGTGAAGGAGGAGGAAGGAGGAGGAGGAGCAGAAGGAGGAGAAGAAGGAAGGAGAAGGAGAAGGAAGGAGAAGGAGAAGGAAGGAGAAGGAAGGAAGGAGGGAGGGAGGGAGGGAGGGAAGGAAGGAAGGAAGGAAGGGGAAGGAGAACAACAACAACAAATGATCGATAATACATTCTTTTTTATTTTCAAATGTATTTATCAGGAGCATTCAACCATTTTTACTATTCTTTTATAGTCATTCATTATGAGGACCAGCAATTTAAGATAGTTAGTTATGTTCCCCATTATTGCCTGAGTAGCTAAGTTAGCGACAGAATAAGTACTTGAATACAGTTTCCAATATGACTATTAAAGGCTAGTTCATTAAAGTGCATTTATTTATTCAACATTTATTGTTAAAATTAACAGTTTACCAAAATTTATTTTCTCACAATGTATCAGCATAATAAACATGACTTTCAAGAAAATAATACCTTTTCCCCACTTAATTCTAGTCCTTCTGTAAATTCAATAACATTTGTTAGTATATACTAGGCTATACATTTTACAGTAAAAAGAAGTGGTTTTAAGATATCTTGTTAAATGCCATTTATATGGTCACTTTCTCACCAGAGGCATACTTTAAGATAATTTGAGTGGATTTTTTAATGATAAAATGATATTCTCTGGTTAAGAATTTTATTTCAAGAAATTGTAAAGATTTTATCATTCCTGTTTTTAATATGGATTTCCCTTAAACATCTCTCAGTTATTATAAATAGACCTAGTACAAACACTGTTTTAATTGCTTTTTTCCATATTTAATGTCAATTTTTTTAACTAAAAACCTCTAAAACTTTTTGGTAACTTACAAACAGATAAAAGTTATTTTACCATCAAATTGAGCCAAATAATTGTAATCTGTTTTATTTTCCTTCATTATTATTTGAATCGGATATCAAACAAACTAACAAAATTCAAATCATATTTTAACACCAAAAATTTGGGTGAAATTTTAATTAGAATAACTTCATGTACCTTAATATTTTCTAAAATATTGACTGTGACCCACAGCAAGAAATAAATTGAATAGCACAACCCAATATGCACATACATAATTATAATGGAGTCAAAGTTTCACGGAATAATACTTTACCTTACTAAATTCAGGTTACTGTGATGCTTCCTAGTGCACTGTACTGTCTTCTGTTTAATCTATTTAGATGTTGCTTAAAATCTACTAGATGGATTTCAGGGTCCATTAATGGATGGTAATCCACAATATGTAAAACACTGCCCTAAGAAGACCAGAGCATTGCCATGCCTACATTGCCTCTTTTCTGGTGGGGTTCGTGGCAGGTGGTATGCAGTACGGGGCATATTCAAGGGTAGCAACAAGGTTAGTGAAGAGACAGTGAAGGTGATGAGAAATGGTCAGATTCCAGATGTTTTCTGAGAGAAATTGATGGGAAGATATGGCATTTGAGAGAAAGAGAAGAGTCAAGAATAACTCCAAGGTTTTGGGCTTTAATCACAAGAAGGATGAAGTCTGTATCCAATGAGATGGAAAAGATCATGAATGGAAGTCGGAAGTTTCTTTTTCGACATGTTGGCTGGTCCATCAAACATTCAAAAGTAGATGGTTCGTAGGCAGTAGGACACACAATCTGGAGTTCAATTGAGAGGTTGGGGTGGAGATCTAAATTCAAATTTTTTGGTAATGTGAATGAAGTCTTGAGGGTGGATTATCAACAAAAGTGTGTAGACATAAAAGAAGAGGAACAAACATTGAGCCTTAGGAGATTATCCTTGGGAAGAAGAGGAGGAACCAACAGAGAAGAGTGAACAAAGCCACCGGGAAGTATGAGGAAAATCAGGAGAGGATGGGGTACAGAAAACCACCTGAAGAAAGTATTTTAAGCACAAGGGAAAGATGAGCTCTATCAAAAGCTGCTAACAAGTCATGTACGACAAGAGCTAAGAGTTGACTATTAGATTTAGAATTAAATAAATAAATTCATGAAAGGTGCTCATAATAGTGCTTATCAAATAGCAAATGCTCAAATATCTAAATTAAATATTAAAGTATATATCATAACATTATACACACATGAACTAAATATTAAAGTATATGTTACATATTACATGTGTGTGTTTGTATGTGTGTAATGTATACATAGAGGACCAGCCAGAATGTAACCTTCATGATGGTTTTTATTTTGTCTACACTCTCTCCCCAGTCTACTTTAATCATATATTACATATATGTAACATACATTACTTATATTATATAACATATATTACATATATTACATGTATGTAATATATATAATGTAATAATATATTGCATAATATATATTACATATATAGTAATATATATTCAAATATATATATTACAGATACATAATATATAATATTTACTTTAATAATATATATTACATATACAGTTATATATTATTAAAGTATATATTATATATTTAATATATTACATATATGTCTCATACATGTAATAGATACATATGTATATATACATATATTACATGTATGAGACATATGTATATACATAATATAGTAAACATTTATACTAAATATATAATGTATTTATATTAATATATTTATTATATTACATATATGTATATGTGTAATATTTATTATATTACATATATGTATATGTGTAATATATACATATGTGTATATTGCATATGTCATACAGATATGTAATATATGACATATACTTTAATACTTTAATATATTATTACATATATAGTAATACCTGTTATTAAAATATATATTATATATTGCAAATATGTCTTATGCATGTAATATAGACATATGTATATAGTAATATATTATTAAAGTATATATTTATTATATTACATATATGCGTATACATGTAACATATACATATATACATATATGCGTATACATGCAACATATACATATATACATATATGCGTATACATGTAACATATACATATATACATATATGCGTATACATGTAACATATACATATATACATATATTACATGCATAAGACATAGGCATGTATACACATAATATATTAAACACATGTATATTGAATATATGATATGTTCATATTAAATATCAATATATTATTATATGTGTGTAATATATACATATGTGTATATTACACATACCATACATGTATGCATTTTTATTACATATATGTATTGTATATTTATATACTGCATATGTATATATCATATATATGCATATATTATATACATGATACATATGTGTATGATATATAATATATAGCATATACTTTAATTATATATTACTATATATGTAATATAATCGTATATGTAATGCTAATATGTATAAACATTGTTAAAGTATATATAATAGTATATTACATACATTACATATATGTTATATATTATAGGTAATATATGCTATGTGTTATTAAAGTCTATATCATATGTGTTACATATATTACAGTATACATCATGATATATACTTTAATGTGTTATATATATATGTGTTTATGTATATGTGTGTGTGTGTGTGTGTGTATATATATATATATGACTGGCCAGAATGTATACTCCCTATTGATTCTTTTTAATTTTGGCTACTGCTCTCTCCCCAGTCTAAATGTATGACTTAGGTGATCTATAAACAATTGCTGAGGAAACAAATGAACTACAGCAAGAATAAAATAGTGTTTTCATGCTTGAAGCAGTCAAATAAAAAAGAGAAATAATTAAACCCTAATTGGAAATAATATTAGTAGTCAAATTAATTATGTCTCCTGAACATTGACCCTGATGAGCTGACTTACTTCTATGGCATCCTAAGCCTCTCCTCTGATATACATGAACTCATGTCTGCTGGTGGGAGCTGATGTCTCTCTTCTCACATTTACCCTCCTACCCCCAGGACCTCACACCATGGCCAGGCACAATCAATGCTTAATGCATTACTGTTGACTATCTGAATGAATTAATAAATTTAGACATAGCATCAGTTATAATCTGTAATAGCATTTGGCCTGCTATATGTCCAAAACTTAGTTTTTGGTCTTTTTTTTTTTTTTTTTTTTTTTTTTTTGTCGGGTCAGGGAGGAATATACTACTCTGGAGTAGAAAAGATGTTGATGAGAATAGAAAACCAAAACACGATCACAACAGGCAAATGAGTGAGAAATGGAAGTGCCAAGGGGTTAGTCAAGTTTTGAGCTTTTAATTAACATTTAGAAAAATCAATAGTCCATAAAAATTGAAATGATGTGTGGGGAAAATTTGTTACCATTATATTTTGGGATTAATAGAAATAAATGATTTCAAAAAAATTCCATGATGGTGGGGCCCATAATAATCATTTTAGCTGATTTTTTCAATTTAAGAAAAATTAAAAGCAGATAATATGTATAATTACTTAGAAGAGTCAGTTAAATTTTACATGTAAAACACTTAGCACAATACAATGTACATAGTAGGGATTCAATAACTCACAACAACAAAAAATACCTTTTGTTATTATAACAGTTTTTAATATTAATGGAGGGTAACAATGCTATAATGGTATAAATGATGCCATTTCACATCATAGCCCCTTTCACTTTTGGTATTACACAGAGTTTCCTGAGAATTATCTGTATCCCAGTAAACTCAGTTCCCAAATTTTTAATCTAGTATTTCTTAAACTCTACTACACTTAAGAATTAACCGAGGATCTTTTAAACCCATAGAGCCCAATTTACATTTACGAACTCAAAAGTTTAATCAGAATGTCAGCAGATAGAAGCCAGTTTCATTATACATTACAAATCTGCAGGTGATTCCAATTTGTAGCAAAACTTGTAAATTACAACTTCCAACTATGTTCTTCAAAGAAACTAACTGCAGATAATTTCAGTTTAATACCATGTCGTTGCTGGAATTGCACTGTTCACACTAGAGTAATACATTATATTTTTCTTATTTGGACCATAATACTATATAATTCATGTGTTATTCCTGTGATATTAAAACACGTATTCCTTTATAGCAGTAATACAAAGAAATTCATTATGATTTCAACGGACACCACATTTCTCATTTGGCTCAGGTAACAGTCAAATCTGTAGCTTATGGACAGTCACCTCAGGACATTTACTTGCTATTATTATGTCAGGCACAATTTAATGTCAAGCACAATTTCTTGGGCCCTTCTTTTCTACTTGTGGTTTATCTTTTATTGGCATGGAACACCTACTTTCTCTCTCTTTTTCATGTTAAATTTAAGCATGGCTTGATAACTATAAAAATGTTGGCTGTGTAATGAAAATAAAATGAAAAGTTTCTGAGAGCTAGATCTAGTCATTATTTTCAGAAGTATCCAAATGCATGGATACATTGAGCCTTGAGGTTTTGGGATTTCATCAAAATACTTAATCTTATCATAATGCCCTAAAGAAAAACAGTTTTGTTAGAGTAATTCTTCAAATGGACTGTTATTTTCTTTATTATAGAAACTAAACAAATGTAATAGAAATTGGTCCATATTTTTAGAATTGAGTAGTTTCTACCTATATACTTAATATTAGCATCCTGTAACACTACCATTGTTTCATGTTCTATCAAACACACTATTTATTTATTCACTCATCACACATTTATTAAACTTATTTTATGCCTGAAAATGTGCTCTGTGCTACAGAGATCAATTTCGAGACACAGCCACTATTTTCATATATTCTAAAGAGCACTGAATTATTTCAACTACTCACATGAAAAATGGAACAGAAATTTTTCAAGGCAGAATTTTTCTGATTGTCTATTTTCATAGCTGTATATTTATACTGACCCTTACATACTTGCTAAATATAAACATGTCTGATTGCTAAATTACAAATTGGGTTTCAGATGAGAAGAGGAAGAATTTTCATCACCTTCACATATGAAAACTCAAGACACTTACCAGTGTATTTTTAACTACAATTATTTTGTTAAACCTGAGAGTTAACACGTGTTCTTGACATATCAACCATAGAGTGTGTATTAGAAACACTGATATTGGCAGGGCACGTGGCTCACGCCTGTAATCCCAGCACTTAGGGAGGCCAAGGCGGGCAGACAACCTGAGGTAAGGAGTTCGAAACCAGCCTGGCCAACATGGCAAAGTCTGTCTCTACTAAAAATACAAAAATTAGCCAGACATGGTGGCAGGCTTCTGTAATCCCAGCTACTCCAGGGAGGCTAAGGCACGAGAATCACTTGAACCTGCGAGGCAAAGGTTGCAGCGAGCCGAGATCACCCCACTACACTCCAGCCAGGGGGACAGAGCAAGACTCTGTCTCAAAAAAAAAAATACTGATAGTTATTCATTTCAGTGATGAATAAACTATTCTAAAAATGTAGTGCTTTTAATTAGCATAGCTCTTTATTGAACTCATACATTTTAAGCTGTGTGTTTTATTACAGCCAGCCTTTTAGCATTTTTTACTGCAAATATAACATGTTTCAGGACATGTAATTGGAAGAATCTATCACAATATCAACAAAGTAATATCTTGTCTATTCACATTTTTTTACACTTATGGATAGTTAATGAACATTACAGTTTGGTACTAAATACCAAGATATGATTAATAACCTCCTTATAGTTTGTGATTAAATCTAAACCATGGCACAACACTTAACACTAAGTGATTAATTCATTCAGCAACTATAGACTGTTTATTATGGTCAAAGAGCTCTGCTCAATGGTGAAGGGATATAAAAATGAATGATAAGATCTTTGCCTTTGTGAGCTTGTAAAATAGCTGAGGAGACAGAAAAGATTTATAAATTGTCATAATGCAAGGCATAACATGATAAATTCCAAAGAGAATTATAAACAACTCTGTAGAGCAGCGAGGAGAATGGAGTTATTAATTTCCACTACAGATACAGAGAAAGCTTCATAAAAGTGTCATTTAGACTTAAAAGCTAAGTTGGGCCTGGGTGTGGTGGCTCACGCCTGTAATCCCAGCACCTTGGGAGGCTGAGGTGGGCAGATCACCTGAGGTCAGGAGTCTGAGACCAGCCTGGCCAACATGGTGAAACCCTGTCTCTACTAAAAATACAAAAATCAGCTGGGTGTGGTCGCATGTGCCTGTAATCCCAGCTACTCTGGAGGCTGAGGCAGGAGATTCGGCTTGAACCCGGGAGGAGGAGGTTGCAGTGAGCCGAGATCACACAACTGCCCTCCAGCCTGGGTGACAGAGTGAGACTCTGTCTCAAATAAATAAATAAATAAATAAATAAATAAATAAGTTGGATTTTATATAAGGTTAGACAAGCATCAGAAGGAGGAACAGGGCATACCAACCAGAGCAACTATAAGGAAAACTGTTCACAAGGATGCTTGAGAAGTGATCGCTCCAGTCCTTACCTTCTGCAGTTATGCTTATAGAGCTGACTTTGACCTTGGATTTAAAACACTGTGTTGCCCATTGGACTCAAACCCTGCTACAATGTAAAAAGTTAAATAATCATAAACCAGATAGCAGGTATAATACCTCAAAGATTTATTTCTCTCTCCATAAGAAATGCATCCAAGTTAGAAAATGGCTAAAGTGCTAGATATTGCTGTTGCCAATCATACATAGAGAATGTCTAGAAAAACGTAAACCAATCCTAACTTTGGATATTTCGGGAAGGTAGATTCTTTTGTGACTTGTGCTATTTTTCATGAACTATACTTCTCATTTTTCACATTAAACATGTAATACTAGCGCCATTACATAAATTAAATTAATAAATTTTCAATTAAAAAATAGATAAGATGTTTTAGTTTCAGCAAATGCCAATCCTAACACTGAATTCAAGTAATTACATAGAATTTATCCTAAGATTTTAACTAGACATAAATTTTTTCTGGAGAGTTAAAGTAAAATACAGTAATATTTTTGCTTTGGTTAAAATTTGTAGGATGCTTGTTTTCCTTCATTCATTTAACAATTATTGGTTCATCAAGACATTTCCAAGCCCTAAAAAGTATATAGTTTTACAGGCAAGGGAGGTAATTCCAATTTAATGCAATAAATATTATGACACAGAAACACAGACTCCTAGAAAAGAATGCAGAAGGGTCTATTTCTTTTTTCTTTCTTTTCTTTTCTTTTTTCGAGACAGGGTTTTACTCCCATTGCCCAGGCTGGCATGCAGTAGCACAATCTTGGCTCATTACAACCTCCACCTCCTGGGCTCAAACGATCCTCCTGCCTCAGCCTCCTGGGTAACTAGGACTACAGGTGTGCACCACCATGCTAGGTTAATTTTTGTATTTTTAGTAGAGATGTGGTTTCACCATATTGGCCAGGCTGGTCTTGGACTCCTGACCTCAAGTGATCTACCATGCTTGGCCTCTCAAAGTGCTGGGATTATAGGTGTGAGCCACTGCAGCTGTCCAGAAGGGTCTATTTCTGATCAGAGGCCAAAAAGACTAGGAAAGGAGAAAGTTATTAGTAACTAAGACCTACCTAACATAGTAACAAAGATATGTTATTTCGAAGTTGTCATTACTATACCAATTTATTATAAAAGTGTTGATCACAGAACTGAATTGCTATGCCCAAGGTCACTCAGAGCCCATGTTCCTAACCCCCACATTTTGCTGCTTTAAGGGAAGCCTGAGTTAGTCCCTGAGAGGTTAGGAAGGTTTTGCTGAAGGAGGGGATGTGGTACGAGGTGAACGCGGGAAGGAGCTATATGTGAACTGGGCATGGTTGAGAAACAGCGTAGGTTGAGGGATCTTTAAGAGATCAGAATAGCCAGGAATGTTGAATTGACTCTCATTTAAATCTTTCTCCACAACTTCCCATTGTTTATCACTGTGAAACTGCTCAAAAGGTTAGTAGCCTTCAAATCAGTTTGAAGAACATGGGTAGAAGGCATCAGGCAGAAGGAGCTCCAGAGCACAAATCCTGAAATCTGGAGAAAGGCAGTGGCAGGAGACAAGGCCACAGAAATAAGTAAGGGCTCAATGAGGAACATCCTCCATGCCTTGTTAAGGGTCAAGCTTGATCTTAAAGATCAGAGATCTAAACGTGTGCTTTAATCAAAAAAGGGAAATGATCAGTATTGCAATGAATACATCCATTTAAATGACCACACAGTACATACATAGATTTATTAACAGATAGTAATAAAAATTTCACAAATCAATTTTTACTCATATCTGAAATACACTCCAATTTTTTAAAAAATCCTATTTTAGTATATTTCATTTTTAAATTCAGTTGTAATACACTAACTCATAAGATACTATGTGAGCAATTTGCAGTTTTAAAAATCCTACTGTGCATGTAAAGAATGGAAGCAGGGAAAATGATTTGGAGCTTCTCTATGTTCTCCTCCACCACTCAACAACCAAGCACAGGAAGGAAGTTTACACAGAGTCATAAGCAAGTATGCTATTTACTCCATATACAAAACTCTTTTCATCTTCACTGTAAGTTTTAGTAAAGTCAGTATTATTTTTCTTATTCAGTAGAGGCTCAGAGAGATAGCATAGTTTATATAAGCTTACACAATTAATGAGGAGCAGAGCCAGAACTAAAACTTAAACCTGTCTTTCTGCAATGAGCTTGCTCTTCTGCCTCATTATGCTTACTACCACTATAATTTAAACATTCTCACTAAGCTATTCGCAGCCTCTGACTCAGGCTTACTACACAACTGGCAGATGGCTAGGAAATAGTGCCAGGTACAAACAAAGTAGGGGCTCAATAAATATATGGTTGAATGTAAGAATGAAAACTGTGTAGTGTAAAGGTAAAGACAGAAATGGGTATGCAAAAATCCACTTGTTCCACACATTTCATAAGTTCACAAGTTTAACTACTTGTATATTACTTCTCAAATATCCAATGCATTTTACATGGTGGTAGATTAACATACAGAATGGTTGATGTGGCCTCAAGCAAAAGAAAGAATGCTGGCATCCACCATAAGCTAGAAAAGGAAAGGAATGGATATCCCTACAGCCTCTGGAAGACGTACAGTACTGCTGACACCTTGATTCCAGCCCAATGATAGAGATTTCTGCCCTCCAGTACTGTGAGAAGTTAAATTTCTATTGTTTTAAGCCACCAAATTTGTGGTAATTTGTTACAGAAGCCACAGGAAACTAATACAAGGATCTACTCAGTAAAGTAGTAGAAATCAAAACTTTGGCAAGCCCAAAGCTGAGCAGGGATCATTGTGAGCATGCGTAATTCCAGGCCTTTTCCTCGAACTGTGATTTGTTGAGTCTTAGTGCTGGGGGCAGAGAGGATGAGAGGTGCAGTTTAATTAGTTACTCCTGTGTCATTGCAAAGGAACGCCTTGCGGGCTTTCCTTTCCCATCTCAAATGTGTTTGTGTTGCAAAATAGGGAGAGGAATAGGGGACAGTAATTGGGTTTTGCTCTTCGGTTTTTGTTTATTTGTTTAGTTGGTCTGTGATTAGATACAAGGAGTACGTTTATTAATTAGGTCCTATGGTGTAATTAAAAATTTTGCAGTTAAACTGGATTTGCATCATGGTATTACAATTTACACAATGTAAGAAACTGAGAAGTTTCTAGGCATGTGTGGGTGTGTGTGTATGTATACACACACATATATCCACACTAGAAATGGAGAAGGGTATATTCAATTATTTATATGTAAACATACTCTTCCTAATATGGAGCTAAGCTCTATAAACACATGTATGCTAGAACAGAGTTGTGTGTGTCTGTGACTAGCTGTATAGACATAGATATGGAAAGTTCCCGAGGATATAATCAGATAAAATATTTTGTTCAAAACCCTGCTATTCTTCTTTAATTTACTTGATAATTGGAGAATTATGAGCATCGTTTAATATTTTGTATCAGTTATAGATGATATTAAATCTTCATTATAAGCTATAATTGGCAAAAGTGTTATAAATATAATTTATTAAAAATTACATCAGTATTCATTGACCTGAAGATATATTCTTTTGTTTTTTAATAAATTTCTGCTTTTAAGTTTGTTCCAGAAAACAAAACCAAACAAGGGAATTTATTGTTTTATTATAAAGTTATTAAACTCTTCTAAACCTAAAAACATGTATGTATATAAAGAGCTCAAGTTACATATAACAACTTATTATTTGCCAAATTCATAATTTTACCATAAAATTTATAAATCATTATTTGTTTCACAAGACCACTCCCTCTCCCAGTTTCACGAGAGTTTATATCCCTGCCACAGATAGAAGAAACAAGTGTAATATTGAAGAATAATTCTTATTTATATTGCAAGTTTGGGCATAGGGAAGGGAGAAGCAGAGGAGCCAAATAATTTTTTTTAGAAAGAGCAATCTCAATCAAAATCCAGGAAGTTATTTTGTGGATATCAACAAACTAATTTTAAACTTTATATGAAGAGTCAAAAGACCTAAATTGCCAACAGAATATTGAAGAAGTACAAAATTGGAGGACTGACACAACACAGCTTTATGACCTACATGAAGTAAGTCATGTAATCAAAACAGTAATCAAGACAGTGTGGGGTTGGTGAAAAAATGGGAAAATAATCAGTGGAACAGAATAGAGAGCCCAGAAGTAGACCCATACTAATATAGTCAATTGATATCTGTTGAAGAAGCAAAGGCAATACAATGAAGCAAAGATCAACTTTTCAACAAATAGTGCGAGACGAGCTGGACATCTACATGCAACAAATATATAAATAAAAATAGACACAACACTAAAGACATGATGTATAAAATAAATAATTGATAAGCTGGACTTCATAAAAATTAAAAACTTCTGCCCTGTAAAGCAGTGTCAAAAGAGTGAGAAGACAAACCACAGACTAGCAGAAATATTTACAGAAGACACAATCATCATCCGAAGTTTACAAAGAACTCTTAAAACTCAACAAGAAAACAAACAACCTGTTTTTTTTTTTTTTTTAATTATACTTTAAGATCTAGGGTACCTGTGCACAACGTGCAGGTTTGTTACATATGTATACATGTGCCATGTTGGTGTGCTGCACCCATTAACTCATCATTTACATGAGGTGTATCTCCTGATGCTATCCCTCCCCTCTCCCCCTGCCCCACGACAGACCCTGGTGTGTGATGTTCTCCTTCCTGTGTCCAAGTGTTCTCATGTTCAATTCCCACCTGTGAGTGAGAATATGCAGAATTTGGTTTTTTGTCCTTGAGATAGTTTGCTGAGAATGATGGTTTCCAGCTTCATCCATGTCCCTACAAAGGACATGAACTCACCCTTTTTTATGGCTGCATAGTATTCCATGGTGTATATGTGCCACATTTTCTTAATCCAGTCTATCATTGATGGACATTTGGGTTGGTTCCAAGTCTTTGCTATTGTGAATAGTGCCGCAATGAACATACGTGTGCATGTGTCTTTATAGCAGCATGATTTATAATCCTTTGGGTATATACCAAGTAACAGGATGGCTGGGTCAAATGGTATTTCTAGTTCCAGATCCTTGAGCAACCGCCGCACCGTCTTCCACAATTGTTGAACTAGTTTACAGTCCCACCAACAGTGTAAAAGTGTTCCCATTTCTCCACATCCTCTCCAGCACTGCTGTTTCCTGACTTTTTAATGATCGCCATTCTAACTGGTGTGAGATGGTATCTCATTGCGGTTTTGGTTTGCATTTCTCTGATGGCCAGTGACGATGAACATTTTTTCATGTGCCTGTTGGCTGCATAAATATCTTCTTTTGAGAAGTGTCTGTTCATATCCTTCGCCCACTTGTTGATGGGGTTATTTGTTTTTTTCTTGTAAATTTGTTTGAGTTCTTTGTAGATTCTGGATATTAGCCCTTTGTCAGATGAGTAGATTGCAAAACTTTTCTCCCATTTTGTAGGTTGCCTGTTCACTCTGATGGTAGATTTCTTTTGCTGTGCAGAAGCTCTTTAGTTTAATTAGATCCCACTTGCCAATTTTGGCTTTTGTTGCCATTGCTTTTGGTGTTTTCGACATGAAGTCCTTGTCCATGCCTATGTCCTGAATGGTATTGCCTAGGTTTTCTTCTAGGGTTTTTACAGTTTTAGGTCTAACATGTCAGTCTTTAATCCATCTTGAATTAATTTTTGTATAAGGTGTAAGAAAGGGATCCAGTTTCAGCTTTCTACATATGGCTAGCCAGTTTTCCCAGCACTATTTATTAAATAGGCAATCCTTTCCCCATTTCTTGTTTTTGTCAGGTTTGTCAAAGATCACATGGTTGTAGATGTGTGGTATTATTTCTGAGGGCTCTGTTCTGTTCCATTGGTCTATATCTCTGTTTTTGTACCAGTACCATGCTGTTTTGGTTACTGTAGCCTTGTAGTATAGCTTGTAGTCAGGTAGTGTGATGCCTCCAGCTTTGTTCTTTTGGCTTAGGATTGTCTTGGCAATGCAGGCCCTTTTTTGGTTCCATATGAACTTTAAAGTAGTTATTTCCAATTCTGTGAAGAAAGTCATTGGTAGCTTGATGGGGATGGCATTGAATCTGGTTTTTAAAACTGGGGTCAAAGACCTTAACAGATACCTCACCAAAACAGATATACTGAAGACATATAAGCATATGAAAAGATGCATATTTCCACATCATATGTCATCAGGGGAATTCAAATTATAGTTACAATGAAATGCCACTACAAATCTATTAGGACGGCCAAAATCCAGAACATTGACAACACCAAATGCTAGTGAGGATGTGAAGCAGCAGGAACTCTCACTCATTTCTGGTGGGAATGCAAAATAAAACACTTTGGAAGACAGTTTGGTGGTTTCTTATAAAACTAAACAAATGTCATATGATCCATCAATCACACTTATTAGTATTTACCCAAAGGAGTTGAAAACTTAAGTTCACACAAGAATCTACCCATGGAAATGTATAGCAGTTTTCTTCATAACTGCCAAAACTTGGAAGCAACTAAGATGTTCATCAGTAGCTGAATGGATAAACTGTGGTACATTCAGACAATGGAATGCTATTCAGCACTTAAAAGAAATGAGCCATCAAGCCATGAAAAGACATGTAAGAAACTTAAATCCATATTACTAAGTGAAAGAAGCCAACCTGAAAAGTCTACATGCTGTATGACTCCAACAATATAACATTCTAGAAAAGGCAAAACCACAGGGACAGTAAAACAATCACTGGTTCCCAGGGGTTGGAGCACAGAGGATGTGTAGGGCAGTAAAACTTCTCTGTATAATACTATAATGGTAACACAGGTCATTATATATTTGTCTAATGTACAATACCAAGAGTAAACTTTAATATGAATCATGGATTCTGGGTGATACTGATGTTTCAATATATGTTTATTAATTATAACAAATATACTACTCTGTTGGGTGATGATGATATTGGGGGAGGCTATGCATGTGTGAGGGAAAGGGGTAGATAGGAAATCTGTACTTTTCTCCCAATTTTGCTGTGAACTTAAATTTGCTATAAAAAAAGTAGTTTTTAAAAAAATAAAGAGGGGGAGGAAGTGGAGGAGGAGGAGAAGGAAAAAAATAGCGGAAGATCCAAAGACCTGAATTCCAGACCTTATTTTGTTAAATTTATTTGTTAATAAGTCTAAAGATAATTTGGCCTAGACTAAATAAACATGAGTCCAAACCATAATTTTTCCACTTTACTAAATAAAGGACACAGATCGCCTCAATGAGACGCAGTTCCATTATAGGTTTGCCGTGATGGCTAAATGAAAAGCATAAGCAAAACACCTAGCACAGCACTAGGTATATACCATTGATGTTCAATAAATAAGTGATAATTACATCATTGAACTATCAGATCTTTCTCTAAATTTGTATGTTTTTATGTAATGATTTCCCAGTATTTCTTGTTATGTTTGAAACATGGCTAATAGAAGGCAGGTGTGAAATACGATTTTTCAGAGTGTAACAAGGAATGTCAATATATTTTCTGTGTCTATCCACACAATTCAGTTTTTAACTGAATTCATATTAAAATAATTTAAATATAATTTCATGAAGCAACTAGCTTTGGCATATCTACTACATTTCAAAATACTTATCTGATCAAAGATAAATTTTGCATATGATTACACAGAGGTTAAGTGAACAAGAGTTTCCCTATTTTATTTACTCTTTTTTCTTATTATTGAAAAAATTTAAATATATAAACTATCACA
Source organism: Homo sapiens (assembly GCF_000001405.40). Classification (NCBI taxonomy): domain Eukaryota; kingdom Metazoa; phylum Chordata; class Mammalia; order Primates; family Hominidae; genus Homo; species Homo sapiens. The sequence continues at coordinate 77,948,841 of NC_000012.12, read as the reverse complement.
GATTTTTTTCAGATAGGAGTATTACAATTCATATTGAAAATGGCCAAATATCTTAATATTTTGTTTCCTAAACTAAGATTGTTAAAATTATCCTACTGTTAATATTTTTCCACTGATTATTGTAAGTGATAATTTTATTAAGTTTGGCAGTGGTGGGGGGGCAATTGAAAAAGAAGGAGCAATAAGTTCCTTAAAAACACCAACTATTAAATATAAAAAGCTAAAATTATAAAAGGATTCTTACGAAATATGTCTTCAAATACAATGATTGTATTTTGTGTTTACAGTAATACTGGGCTACCAATAAAAAACAATTTGTAGCATTTTAAGTACAAAAAAAATCAGGATAAAAATATGCCAATTATTTATTAAAGTGGTCAATATTCAAAGATATAGTAGAAATATCAACTACATTTTGCAATAGTTATATATGCATATATAAATTTAATGTCCTTAAAAATTATTTCTTCTCTTCAAAAGCAAAGAAAAAATCTGTAATTCAAACCGTTACTTTATTCCAATTTCTATTTATCATATTAATTACACAAACAAGTATAAATATTGACAACAATAAGAACAACATTTAAGCTATTCATTCTATAATATAAAGTTAATGCAACAAGGCATTCTTGTATTTTTAACTTTTATTTAATTTCTAAATGGCAGACCAAAGAATTCCCACAACGAAATGATTTCATGTTGCTGTTTTTCTTTGTAAATTAGACTTACTAAAACTGAAGAGAAATCATCATCTTTGGCATTTTTTTTAATCAAGGTAGCAAATCAGAGTTCCAATTGACTTTAGAGTTTATCTGTCCAATTTCCTCATTGCAGAAATGAGCAGAGGCCTTGAGAATTTACTGAATGCCTTTTCCTGGGTCATACATACAAAATTGGAATTCCAGTCACCTTTGTTCTTTTAACAAAACACACTGCCTCTTAATGCCTCCATGTTATGTCAATTACTTCATTTGAACTTGACTAGTGTGTGGAGCAACCTCTAGAGACAGGCAGATTTAAAAATCATTTAGGTGATATTCTAATAACTTACATATAAATTCCCTGATACTAGTAGTTTATACATATTTTTGCGAAGTTTGTATAAAAATAATGAAATCATTAAGAAAAATACAAAGTAAAGATTTTCATTTAGTATTTCTTTATAGATCAGAACTCTACTTGTAATAAAGCATTTGTCTTCATTAAGCTATCTTTTTCTAGCCATTCCAGAAGATGAATATTTTCAAAGTCAAGGGATCATGTGACTGGACTAACTTAGCAATATTCCACTCCTCTGAGTCATAGTGCTACAATTTTGCAGTATGCCATATATAAGATTTTATTAAACCTTTAAGAGCATTCCAGTATTTTATCTCTTCCCTATTTGGTTAAGAACCTCATCTTCTCATCTTACCTAAAAAAAAAAAAAAATCCTTTAAAAGAAGAGTGATTACAAGCAGTAGCTGAAAAAAATAAAACTTTAAAGGACAGGCTACTGATAAAAGCATGGGCTTTTTTTTTACTATTAAGAATAGTTTCACTTTCCAGATAAATATAAGCAATAGAAATAGGATCAAGAAATTTCTATCCCAAATGGGATAAAGATGTGAATTCCATAACAGTAATGATTCTGGGAGCCATAACCCTATCGGACATGGAATCAGATAGGCAGTAAAGACCTAAATCTAATTTTCCAGCTACTAGGATTTAAAAAGGAATAAGAAGCCAAAAATATTCATATCAGCAAATTGTAAACAACATACATGTTATACTAAAACCTTAGGTTGAAGGTTGTGGCTGGAAAACAATTGAATTATTACGACAAAACAGAGCCAAGAAAGAGGAAGGACAAGCTGTGAAATACATTTGCCAGATCCTTAGCTGTCTTACATAGCCTAATACTTGGTTTGTAACTATTTCACATAATCAGATGTCCTCATTCTTCTGTGCATTTTTGAAGATCCTTAAATATAATGGTCTATTTAAAAAATGTTTTAAATGTCATTGAAACAACTTTTACCCTACATGTCTAACATTTTTGTCTAAGAAACTTGCACTTGTGTCTCTGCATTCTAAGTAAATGTTGGACATATTTTTGCTATTTTTAATTTGCTGGGCATTTGGGACATTCCTGGTATTTATAGTTTACTAATTTATTTCCTCATGTAAGCTCACCAAAGTTGGGACATGCAGTATATATTTTGAATCCTGATGCCGCCCACCTAGGAATTACTCAACAGGTGCCATCCACATTAGTAACTTCATCTTTGGATAAGGTTAAATTTAGTGTTGACTAAGCTCCAACAAACTAAGTTCTGTTTTCCAGGACCAGTTTAGTCTCAAGCTCATCAAAGAAAAATAACCATGACTTTGAAACTTAAGATAAATATGAACCACAATATCTCAGTAATTATATTAATAAAGTGCTAAAAGGACAAATTCATATTTTTCTTAAATATGTGCTCTTTGGACTATGCTATTCAAAAGAATTGTTGTTGGGATTATATATACATGTATTATATATATCCACACACATACACATATTATATAGAGAGTTAAATTTTCTTTATAAGGTGCACGCGCACACACACACACACACACATACGCACATATATTTACACATATATGTGTATGTATATAGCAATATTCCACTCCTTTGAGTCATAGTGCTATCATTATATATATATGTATATATGTACATATATGTGTATATTTACACAATATATATATATATATATACATATATATATATGGTGAATTTTTCTTTATTATAAGGTATCCATGGCCAGGCATGGTGGCTCATGCCTGTAATCCCAGTACTTTGGGAGGCCGAGATGGGTGGATCACCTGAGGTCAGGAGTTCAAAACCAGCCTGGCCAACATGGCAAAACCCGTCTCTACTAAAAATTAAAAAAATTAAAAAATATTAGCCAGGTGTGGTGGTGGGCACCTGTAATCCCAGCTACTCAGGAGGCTGAGGCAGGGAGAATTGCTTGAACTCGGGAGGTGGAGGTTGCAGTGAGCCACGATCACACCATTTTACTCCAGCTTGGGCGACACAGCGAGACTTCGTCTCAAAAAATAATAATAATAATAAATAAAGTAACCATTAAACCATTAGAAAATCACATGAAAAGCAAGCACATTAATATTATCTAAAATTCTGAAGTTGTTATATTAATTTAAATTCCTCTAGTTTCTATTTAATATACTTTCTTTTCTACTTTGAAATTATTTAGTATATTTGATGTACATAAAATAATACATGTAACACTTATGTAAGTTGTAAAAGCAGAATAATATAGTACATTATACCCTACAGAACTAGAATCCTTCAAATAACTTGCCTCTATTTATGTGTTTCTTCCCTGTTCCGGCCATAATCCTTTCAGTGGTAGCTGCTATGTAGAGATTTGTGTTTATACAAATATGTTACATACATACTTTTTTCAAGTATCCGTATCTTCACCCCATCATAACCTTTTATGACATGATACAGAAACAAATGTATCCCTATTGTTTTCCAATATCAAATCTTCCACACAGACCAAAATTTCCTCCTCTTCTACTTCCTTTAGGACTTGGTATAGTTACTTACCACTTCATTCCTCTGAACCCTTTCCTTTCCCTCTACTGCTTCCTCCTTCTATGCTTTCTTCCCCCCTTGCAAAAACTCCCCTCAACTCTGTCTTCTTCTCAAGCTATTTATTTTTTTTTTTTCTCTAACAGTGTCTTAACAGGACACTCTTAGAAAAATTATTCATGACTCAATGGATATTGGCACTTCTGAGTTACTTTTTAACACGTTATTCACTCTACAGAATATGTTCACATACAGGTAATCAATGCCTATCCAATTACCAAAAAGAAATACCACATTCCAGTATACCAGCTATTTAGCTGCATAACATTTGACAGCATGTTACACATTCTGCTCATCTTACTTTGCCCTGACTTGCTGGGGTAGTCCACGTATTAGAGCTTCAGCTACTGCATCTTCCCTAAGGATTAGCAGTCCACATCTGTGATTCTGTTCCTCAACAATAGTCTCACTCTCTCAACACTCTTTCCCTTTCCTGACTCCTATACCTCTATCACATAAATATTTATATTTCCTAGAGTGAAAAACCTCAGGTTTCTTCTCCTGTGACTTCATGCAGACCTCCTGTAAGATTCCATTCTTGTCCATGGTTTCAAATATTACCTATTTTTTCAGTATATTCTAACCAATACTCTTTTCTGACCTTCAGAAACACATGTCTAATAGCCTTAAGTTTCCTCCAAATTGATGTTTTAATAGATACATCAAGTTCCACATGTTAAAATATGAATTCATCACCTTCCTCCCTCCACCTTTTTAAGAAATTTTTTTCTGCTTCTATAATAATAATCTTGTTTAATGGTAATTACTTACCCATTCAGGCTAAAAAATTGGGGCCATTTTAAGCTCCCTGTACTCTCCGTCACCCACATTCAACTGGACACCAACACTTACTTACTTTATAATCCCCATAAAGCATCTAGGGTGATCTTTTAAAGTATTTATATTGGATCATACCACAGCCCAGCTTTAAACATCTTCCAAAGTCTTCCTGAGTTAGAATACCATACCAACTCCTTACTTTGGCCCTACACTATCAGGCTTCCTTGTTCCCTTCAAACAACTCTCCTTGTGCCTAATCCACGGTGCTCTTCTATTTGTTTGTGGAATGCACCAAACTTACTCCATTCTCAGTCGTTTTTGTTCTCGCCTATGTAACTGTTGCTGTTATTTATCTAAACATTTGCTCCTCCAATTCTCAAGTGTAGTTCATCCAAATGTTATTATACTTTGTACTCAGTGCTTAGTAAATATTGATTACATGTGAATTACCTGGCTACTATGGAAATTTATCAATACATTGTAGATTCATACAACAAAAGGGATCTTCTATTCTTAAAGGCTTAAAATGATTCAATAAAGGGTAGCAAGTTTAACATTTAAATAAAAACAATTCGTGATTAAAAATAGCAGCAGACCTAATTTTACTTTATCTTTTGTTATTAAGCACCAACAGCAACCAAAGGCCACAAGAGACCAGGTATACAAAAAGAGGTGGCCAAAGTAGTCCTATGAGCAAGTATACCACTCACTCTTACTAATGTAGCACCTCCCAGTGTTATGCAATCAAGGAACAGGCAACATCCTGTTTGGAGTAGATACATGAAATTCATAAGCCTAGTCATGCTATCATAATTATCTTTCCTTTTCATTCTTGTCTCAATTAAAGTCTGGAATTTTTATTCACTAATAGTGCTTACACAAATTCTTAAGAACAGAGGCAAAAATAATTCAGCCAAAAAAGTTACATTTATTTCATATGTATTTTTCTGAATCAAGAAATTGAAGGCATGCCAACTTCAGATTCAAAATTCAACCACATCTTAAAGAAATGAGGATCTAAGTCATTCTTAGTCAATATTCGATATGATTCCAACTAATGCTTTTTGGCTGAATAAACTACCTTTTTTATAGCATTTGCATTTCTTAGACTGTGGTCTTTCTATTTTGTTTTAATCAGAAGTGGAAATATCAACATAACTTGCATAATATCTGTAACATGATATTTTGCAGTTAACAGGAATAAGAAGTAATAAAAAAATTAACAGAGTCTGAAACTCAAGAGACTCTTCACAGATTTGTAGAATCTCTAGGAACAGCTGTTTCAGATAAATAGGTAAAAACAGCATCTCTATTAACCATTGTTATGAGCTTTGGAATTGTTTTTCCATCACTGAGTATAAGCTTGCCTGTTTATTGAATTCTCTGTAATCCCAGAATCAAATTGGAATGATAGCCAAGTAGGTAAGAGTTTCTAGACTTAAAATGTTTTATATTATTCAACACCTCCTCATGGTAAAAATAATGAAAGCAAAAGCAACCATGTTGGGTTTAAGAAACATAATTATGGTTTCAGGGGACTGTTGAGCTTTTTAACTGAAAGCCTTAAAAATCTTTTAACAGGTGTTAATCCACGCATGTGTCCTTTACAAAGTTTGTAGCAATACTATTCTGCATTGCATTTTAGTTGTGTTAATAAAGGATGTTCACATACATATCTCATTGTCACATTCTAATTAAGGTTCATTTTACAGATGAGAAAGCTAAGGCTCAAAGAAGTTACATATTTTTCTCAACATCACACAGCTTATTACTGTATCAAGGTCTAAATGTCTTCTGATTTGGCTTGTTCACAGTAAAACCTCAGAAAACAACTGTAATTAATTCCCACAGAGTCACTTAGAGTAATTAGATCAGGAAGTTTCCTTAAAACTGAAGGATTGTATAGAAATCCTTTCTTTTACAGTGATTTTTTTCACAACCATATACACAGAGTTCATGACATCATAATAGGTCCTGGGAGTAATTATTTTTTATTTATTTATTTTATTATTTGATTTTATTATTTATTTATTTATTTATTTTTTCGAGACAGAGTTTTGCTCGTATTGCCCAGGCCGGAGTGCAATGGCACAATCCTCGCTCACCATAACCTCCGCCTCCCTGGTTCAAGCGATTCTCCTGCCTCAGCCTCCCGAGTAGCTGGGATTATAGGCATGCGCCACCACACCTGGCTAATTTTGTAATTTTAGTAGAGACAGGATTTCTCCATGTTGGTCAGGCTGGTCTCGAACTCCCGACCTCAGGTCATCCACCCGCCTTGGCATCCCAAAGTGCTGGGATTACAGGTGTGAGCCACCACATCTGGCCAATTATTTTAAAAATATACATGATAGTTAATCACTTTTAGAAATAAATTATGTTTATTATTTTGGATTTCAGTTTTCTGACATTAAGTAAAGTAGGTCAGTATATTTTAAAAGTTCATAGATTTTTTTATTCTTCCAAGTTTCTGACAACTAAGAACTCATTAAATTCATTTAAAATGCCTATTCTGTGCTGAAGAGTTTTGGAGAAAGCTTCATCTTGTGGATTTCGGCTGTCATTCCTGATTATATCTGCTTGATGTAACTTTAGTTAAGGCATTTTATATTTCAGGTTTTCCTATAAAACTAAGTTGTGGCTTTTTAATTAAGAAACATATTTTTATCTCTATAGTTTATTACTCTTTGACTTTATTATAAAACTTGAAGTTTTTATTGGTTGATAAAGATAAGAGATAGCTGGGAAAGAGGCAGATATCCAGGCTGAAGGCTTTCTGGAAGAGACTACGAATCATATCTCAAAATCAGTCACTGCTCACCAAACTGACAGCAGCATGCCTTGAGAACTATTTCCAGAAGTGTTGAAGAGTCCATGTGTTTACACTGGACTTTGTTATGAACAAAGAAAATACTATTTATATATTTTAAAATGCCCATGGCAAAGCCTGTTCTTTAAGCCAGTTGTTCAGACAAAAATAATCCACTTAAAAGTAGAAATGAAATTTACTACCATTAAGACCAGTGTTAAATTATACAGAACAGCAGAACAAAAAAAAGTCAAGGATCTAATAAGACATCTGGAAATATGTCATGTGTATATAGGAGTCACTTAATGATGTTGATGTGCCTAAATTGAACCCACACAAATACATATGAGAGAATGGGATCAAATGGTTTCTTAAGCAGGAAGACATGCAGAAAAAAAATAATATCCATTTACAAATGCAATTAATTCTGGAAGTGAAGATCAGCATTATATATTGAGAATAAATATGATTCTTACCATCTGAGACTGACTTCTAGGACATCCATTGATATCTTCAACTTTTTCATTTGCTAAAGCCAAGAGATAAAATAAAAGAGAGAAAAAAAGAACGACATGCTTAAGCAATGAAGTGAAACACACACACGAAAACAGGAAAAAAAAAATACCAAGCAAAAATGCTCCTGCTACATATATTCTGTCTTCCAAGCAGTGTACAAGAAGACACACTTATTAGCAGCTGCCAATTCTATATGCACAAATCAGGCAAAAAAAAAAATGAGTGAGAAGGAAGTTGCTGCTAATTCTTTAGCCTGTGCCAAATGATTGCTGACATGAAACCTTTCACAATTGTCCCTGCTGGATCAGGATACAGTTTCAAGGCATCTCAGAGTGTATGAGTTGCTCCAGCTAACGAAATACACACATGGGAGACATATGGTTTAATGAAGCATTCATTTCTGACAGTTCGATTCAAATGATTCAATAAAGGTTAGCAAGTTTATGTATATAAAGATACAGTTCTAGTTATTTAAAAGTATGGCCAAACTGCCTTTTTCAAACATCCTCATATAAACATTTTAATTAAATCAGGGGAGAGCTACATGAATCTCAGAGACACATGGACCAGTTCAGTAAGGCGCTTAACTTAAGTTGTGCTTTACCAAAGAGATGGGAGCAGAGACTTTCATGCTTTCTTTCAGAAGGAAGGGCTTACCAATAATCTGGATGATTTCTGCTAGGAGTACTCCATCTGCAATGTCTTGTTGCAAGTCCTTGATCAGCCGCTTGTGGCCTGATTTTGCTAGGTAGTGGTTGGCCCAGTCAGTGTAAATCTGTTGAACAGAGAGAAGGAAAAAGTGAGATGGGGTGAGGGAAAACAGAGACAATAAAATGCTGAAGACAAATGTTGGATTCAAAGGGAAGCTATTCTGGATCACATTCCAGTTTAAGAAGTCATAGCTCTAAAGGAAATAGTTGTAAAGTAATTTTTAAACAGCTCTTTCCCCAACTTATCTCTCATTTCAAAGGGGATGATTCACTCTCAAAATTAAGGGCTAGTCACTTGTGACAAAGCAAAACTTCCCTCTGGGATGACTACTGAGGAAACTCCCATTGCAAATCAGTTTGGGTTTTCTCTCTCTTTATTGTTTCTATCATTTTGAAAACAATCTTGCTTGTTCATGTAAAAGAAACCCACCTGGACTGATTTACATAGAAACATTACTATAAAAAATTGTGTTTCTCTGAGAACACTATTGAATTTGTCATGTGAGATACTGTATGTGACAAGATTTTGGCATCATTTTATGAGATAATTACAAATACCTTCCTGTCTAAGAAATTTGATTTGGATTGTCGTCTTCCATTTAAGCCTCTTGAAATGTGTTTATATGAGAGAATAGAGGCAGCAAATGGAGTTATTACACAGAAATTACAATGTAGAATTCAGAAGTGGATTATAAGGCACAAAATTGACAATTTGACATAAAATAGAGGTGTCTCTTCAACAGCAGATCATGATATACAGAAAAGCTGAAACTCTACAAAAATTTCACAAAAATAAAACATTGTTAATTTTTTCAATTGAATAGAATACTTACTAATTGTAAGGGAAAAATAAGCATGAAGATTTCAGCTTTATGGGTGGTACATATGCATATATTAGTGGATTTATTACAAGGCACTCTATGATGTGGTGTAACAGAAAAACAAAATATTTGAAATGAGAATAGAAGAAAGAAAGTAAGAAATACGCTTGTTAAAATTATTGTTAGAAGCACTGGAATTAGAACTGGAAATAACATAGAACCTAGGCCTGAGAAGTGAGGAGAAGGACCTTCCTTGCAGTGGGTATAACATATAGAAAAGCCGACAGGCAAAGAAATCTAGGACACAGCAGTAAAAACTGTAATTGAGGCAGAATGTCTAAAATTAGGGAAAATTAGGCTGAAAAGGTAAGTTGCATTTTATAGTTATGAACACTAAATGCCAAGCATGTTAAAAACTTTTTAAACATTTCTAACAAAGCAAATTCACATTTAAAAAAGTAATAATAATAAACCAGAAGTATAGAAACTAAAAAATGAAAGTCTCCCCACAACTTTCAACCCTGTCCATTTTTGAATAATTTGGTATGAAGAGTTCCAGAATTGATGTATCTACACCGCACTTCACACCATGCCACAGAACACACACACACACACACACACACACACACACGAGATCACATTTTAAACCAAATTTGGCTCAAATTTTACATATTATTTTGCAGTTTCAAATTTATAAGTAACAATATTTTAACAGCTTTTCTAAGAGCCATTTCATGTATGTTCATCTATTTTTAATATTGCATTATATATATCAATCCCCCAGTTGATAGATATTTGACTTGTTTAAATGTGTTTCTATTATATCTAAAGTTGCAAGAGACAGCCTGACATATGTACCTTCCTGAACTCATATGCTAGTATTGTTATATGTCAAAAACCTAGAAATGGGGCTGCTAAGTGTTTTGAATGAATCTTGGGTCTAAATATCACAAGATTACAACACAGAAGAAAAAGTGTTCCTTTCTATTAGAAAATACAAAGTAGTCCTACTGGCATCATAAGACTAGTACATATCTGGTGGTGATTAAGTTTCTTGAAAGATGTAAACAACTGGAAGCATCCCATTGCATAAGAAAAATATATGTGAGAGCAAAATTGCATCTCCTTTTATTAATATCCATGATCTCTATGTTGAAGATATTGAAGGGTAAGAAAAATTACTTGCATAACTGTCTCCTGAATTAGCACACAAATACATGATTTTTAGGTGGATGCTTTTATTTGGTAATAATTTTTCTCAGTTAAGATTTGATTATATTTGTATGATCATACATTTTTTGGAAGGATTTTATACTGTTTAGAATTTAAAACATTGAGCACACTCCCCTTCTTAACACTTCATTTAAATGATAGAATTGTTTTGGCCTTCTAGTAGAAACTTCAGGTTAAGTCAGACTTGAGTTGTGCCGATCTGTCCATAGGCAAAGACTGGGGCCATGGGTTGAAAAAGGATTCACAAGGGTGAGGAGAATGAGTTCTGGAGTCAGACAGATCTGACTTGAGACCACTTACTACCAGTGGAACCCTGGACAAGTTACTTAACCTTCAGATTCCTCTTGTAAAAAAAAGTCTTGTTGTAAAACAAGGAGAAAAATAATACTTACATTATAGGATTGTGCCAGGACTAAATAAGATAGCACTTGTAAAGCATCTGTCACAAAGCTAGTCATGAAAAAACATGCTTGCTATTATTATCATCACATGGCATCTAGTTTTATTTTGCTGTGATAGCTTTCCAACAAATACTTGTTAAAGTTATAATTTCACAAATGTTAAGAAAATTGAGAAGGCTGGCATCAGAAGACTAAAGAAATTGTAGTAATTGCTTCTGACACTACTCCTATCACTAATTCTGCCTGCCTTCCACTTCACAGGTGTTGTGAATCTGTCTGCCATCTGAACTCAGGGAAATCTAAATAACAGATTAAGGCTGTCATATTCTCATTCAGACCTGTAATGTCTCTATTGTGGCACCACTTCCATCAAACTGTATTTCGTTGGTTTTGTTTTATGATAACATTAATTATACAAAAACATTTGTTTAAATAAAAAACAAAATGATATGAATGGAAAGTGAAAATAAGAATACTTTCATTCTCCAAATGCATGTCAACAGTTCCTTAGCCTTTATCCAAATTCATCCTGGGACTTAGGTGAGAAAACAAATGGGAGGCCAGCTAGTTGGCTTCAAGATACCTTGTTGGTAATACCTGTGTTTTAGCTCACAAATCATTTTTTGTTTGATCCAGAATTTCTTCCAGAGGAATCCCAAGCTTAAGGGCTTTGATATGTCCAGCATCTCTAATATCTGAAACTTTGCTCAGGCCGTATTTCTAACTTCAGCTGCAATCAGTGAGAGCAATGGCTATATAAAGAAATTTAATGCAAATTTAAAAATAATTGTAGTACACTTTATTTGTTCCTTCTAATAAACAGCTGTGTCTTCCATACTTAAAAGATACTTGAGACCCTCCAAGGAAATGACAAGAGAGGGAAAACCAGTGCCTTCCAAAAGGATATTATAATCTAGATGGTGAAATATTTCAAAAATTACAAAGTAACATGTAAATATATTTTAAAATATTATATACAAACATACTTCTCTCTTTCAAAATTGTATATGTGTAAGTTGAATACAAAGGTGGAAAAATGAGTTGTGTCTTTAAGGAGACTTCGAGCAAAGGACACATGGTATAAAAATGTATTTAAAACTCATCAATAAATGTACTGTAATGCCGTGATGAGAGAGAATACAAACAACCTTGTCAACTGTCATTAGAATGTGATCTTTAAATAAATACAACAGGATGGTGAAATCAGGTCCTGAAATTGGATTTGAACTCCAAAATTGCCCTCAGTTCATTATCACAAAAATAATAATCACAGTATTTAACATTTTAGTTTCAGCTGAATGAGTTACAAAATGTGCAGTAATGTATTTTGCAGGCTTATGCTATGAATTAATTATAGTTTTTTTAGTGAAGAAATTGGTATAATTGGGAACAATATCAAACTAATCATAATTCAGTGTTTGGTAATTTTTGTAAAAGGGTCATTGAAGATTTTAATCATGAATGTTCTGGCTAAAGCTTCCAATACGATTTATCTCTGGAAATCTGAAGCCAGTCTTCTTCGACTGTTTTGATGAACTTCAACGTGATGAATATAAATATCATCCCATCTAATAATTTTATCTCAAGGAATTCAGAAGAATTACTGAGATTGCGTTTACAAGAGGGCTACTTAGAAATTCTAGTACAATTGCATGCATAATCATTCATTAACCATAATTAAAAGTGATAAAAATCAAAGGTATCATGGTATATTTTACATTTATCAGTATGAATTTTGGGGCCTATTATGCAATAGCATGTATTCTTTGAGGAACAATTCACATTGTTGGAATGTCTGCTCTGCCACTTAATATTTGTGCAGACTTTGATTGAACATTTCTTTTCTCTAAATTCCCCAGTATTCTCATCTGTAAAATGGCAATAATATTATAACCTACTGATACGGTTTAGCTCTGTGTCCCCACCCAAATCTCATGTTGAATTGTAATTCCCAGTATTGGAGGAGGGGCCTGGTGGGAGGTGACTGAATCATGGGGGCAGACTTCTTCCCTTGCTGTTCTGATAGAGTTCTCATGAGATCTGGTTTTTCTGAAAGTGCGTAGCACATCCCCCTTGGCTCTCTCTCTTCCTCTGGCTCCCACCACGTAAGATGATCTTGCTTCTCCTTCACCTTCCACCATGACTGTAAGTTTCCTGAGGCCTCCCCAGCCATGCTACCTTTGGAGCCTGCAGAACTGTGAGTCTATTAAACCTCTTTTCCTTACAAGTTACCCAGTCTCAGGGATGTCTTTATAGCAGTGTGAAAACAGACTAATACCTCAACCAATGGAATTATTGTGAGGATTTAATGAATTTCTACTTTGGAATATGGACTTTCACTATGTTAAATATTGTTATTAGTAGCTCACTGCTTTAATATGAAATACATTTCCATTAACCATGAGAAATATTGTAAACCATTATTATTGTTAAACTCTTAAATCATATATATTCATCCAAATATAGTTTACCTAACTAATTAAGGAAAATTGCAGGAAGTTGTAATGACCTTGTAGCTTCATCATTTGCCTCTATGATATTTCTCTTACAGTGCTCATTATTCACTATAAATATGAGGATGAAATAGAAGGCAACATATATGATACCATATTTCTTTTGAGAAGTGAACCTGCTATGAAGAAACAACATCAGAAAAAGATCTACTCTGATTTTCCTTGAAGTCCTAAACATTTGTGATTTTTTTTTACTACTGACAGTATTACATACTATCTTTGTCTGTCACAGCAAGCTGCTCCTACATTTTTAAAAATTATTTATTTTAGCATTTGGTTAGTATTTTATAAGTAACCTACCACTCAGTTATATAAAAATGATTATAACTATTTTTGTTATTCCATACACTACATAGAGGTATATGTGTTTCAATGGGATAAAGTAACTTATTTTTAAGGAATCCTAAATAATCGAAGAAGTAGGGAGAAGTGATAGGGGAAAGACTGCCTCTTCATTGAAGTTAAAAGTCTGTTTGAATAAAAACACACTAATCTGTAACCTGATTAGAAGATATTATGAATATAATCAGAGGATTTAAAAATATTAGCTGAGCTAATTTTAACCCTGTACTTATTTAAAACATTATTGTTTTCCTTCAACATTCAAGCAGTAGCATTACATTTCTATAAGCACTGCTCCCTGGTATGTTCAAATTACTGGCTTTGTAAAGTTAAATGGGTTCTTCTAAGACATAACAGGAATTGTGTTGAAGACCAAGGGTTTCTATGATAATAACTGGACTTCTACATCTTAAAAAGCAGCAAAAGACTAAGCATATAAAGTGCAACCAGAAATCATACCTTAGGGAAAGGTGATCAGTGAAGTAAGTGTTTTTCCCACAAAAAGAAAAACTAGTATAGGGAAGAGAATTGGAAGGAAAAGGAGCCCTAGAACAGATTTAAGAGGTTACCTCTCTGGACTGAGTTTCAAAGTAGCATTTGGACCTGAGAATGGAATCACAAAGGACAACATTGACCACAACAGTATAGGAAAGCATACTTTTTTTTTATAATTTCCCAAGAGCCATATGGAATTTTCTGGAAGAAAGAAGTGATCCTAGAGAGCACTTGAAATCAGGACAGGAAGGATGTATAGAGCTGGCACAGAAAAGCAAAAAGGGCACAGAAGATGTGAGGATAGGTTAAAATAAGTCAAGTTATGTATGACAGGAATCCTACCTTCGGGCACTCATCAGACAGCAGCCTTGGTGGGTAGCAATGGCAATGAACAAGCTGTGTCACCCCTGGTGCCATGATAATAAGGAACCACAATCAACAACCCTCCCCAGCCCATCACTGCAGAAAGAAAAGGAAGAATCTGGAACTGAATGAGCCTGGCCCTCAAACACTGAGTTTTAAACTGAAAGTGATTATGTTACTTTGAACTGAGATAAATACATTTTCTCCTACTATACAGAGAAAGAGGCTTAAAAGGTGAAGTTATATATTTTTTCAAAGATATAATTTTGTACACCACAGTTTTAAGACTCAAAAATTCAAAAATGGTAGGCAACATTGGACAAAGAAGGTTGCAAAATCACAGTGTGGGATTAAGACACAATACATACTATTTTTAGATGTTTTGAAAAGTTGATCACAGACTGGATCTGCAGTTGTTGTTACAGAACTGATATGACCAAAAGATCTGTGAATGAGTCCAATCTCATGACTCTTGTAGGCCTTCTAGAAATCTCAATAGCTCATGTGGTATAATTATGAAACGAATCCATTAAAAGTTTTGGGTAACATCATATTGTCACAATATATGTAATACATTCACCATCTAGCTAGTTCACCTCAGTCTGTACAGATAGTTCACCTCAATATTCACATTAAAATGAAAGCTCACACTGTATGAAGTTTTTCAAAAATCTCAACTTTGGAGTTTGATTTAAAAGTGAATATTAATGAGTTGACTACCCCATAAGATCGGTGGATGGTCTATGAAGGCAAGTAAATTATAAAGTAAACATAAATTGAAGTCTGATAATTTCCTTTTACTTTTTTTCTGTCATTCTCTTTCAATCTCTGACCTAGTGCTGTTAATTTTATCTCCCTAACATCTCTTCACCCTTCCACTCCTCCATTGCTACTATCATTGCCCTGGGTCGCTTCTCATCATCTCTCACCCAATCACTCTAACAGTCATATAAACACTTTCTGAGTGCAGGCAGGCTAAGCATTATACTATTCTATACACTACAGATAGTGATTGCTTTAAAATGCAAATCTGATCAAGTAATTTAACGTGTTAGTAAAAATCACAAAATAGCTCCCACTTAACTTCAAAAAAAATGTCCCTTATGAAGTCAATTTATTCCATTTTTAAGAGAAAATTAGTTTAAATAAAAATAGCAAAAAGAGTAAAACATAACTATGAAGGTTACAGAAGAATGATGATTGAGAAATGACACATAAAAGGATGAGATTTGACAATCAGAAGGAAGGGGAAAGCATATTCCATGCAGAATATGCATAAATAATTACATCTACAGAGGAACAGAGCTATGAAATAGCCTCATGATTTCAGAGAATTTTGTATAGTTCTATTTGGCCAGAACATGGGGAAGGGGCACATGGAAACACTAAAGGAAGAGGCCAGGAATCAGGTAAGGGTTGGGCAAAAAGCAATAATATCTGAAGCTAAGAAGGCTTTATTAAGATTTTTAGGTGAAAGTTTATTTTCATGTAGGGAACATGAAAATGACAGCCATGCTCCTGTTACTAAACTTGAACTTGAGTGCAGCTATGGAGTTTAGAGTCAAGTTTAGAGTCAAGAAAGTAAAGACAGATTACTTACAAGACTTCTGTATTCTAGATGATAAAATAGTTTTCTGCCCTGTATTTACTAAGAAATTGCCCACAGGACAGCAAGAACAAAAAATCTTAACTCAAATTCTATCTTCCATGAACACAATATATGAGTGTGGAAGGCAGATGAAAGAATGATACACATGTAGCAGAGTAGTAAAGGAAGATGGACCCACAGAAGCCTGCAGAGGGAGACAGAGTAATGCAAACAGATTTTCCCACAGACCCCCAGAATGGCTCAGAAAGTATGAGCATCAGATCAAATGGAAGGTAGGATGAACCAAATTCAAGAGTTATATTGTTGCCGGCCTATCCATTCTCCCATCAAAAGCCAGGACATACTTTAGGGAAAATCCGGACTTAGGGTTATCAGGAAGACAAAAGGTAAAGGCATGGAAATGAAAACAAAAGGATTAAGTAAAATTATATATACTTATGTTGAGACCCCAGCAACTGATTTTTGCTTCCCTGGCACCCTCTCCTTCAGGAATATAGGATTTCATATCCTCCACCCTCACTCCAGTCAGATTTAAAAAATCTGTCTTTGACAACAATGATCATCCCTAAGATCAACAGATACTGACACTCATGGTACCCAGTGAATCAATGAGCTGGCCATCATTATAGGATGGCCTATAATGAATCACAAAAGACATTAACAACTATGTGCATCACACACACACACACACACAAACACACACGCACAAATAGCTTCCAAGTAGATTATTATTATTATTTGAGATGGAGTCTTGCTCTGTCACCCAGGCTGGCGTGCAGTGGCGCGATCTCGGCTCACTGCAAGCTCCTCCTCCCGGGTTCACGCCATTCTCCGGCCTCAGCCTCCCGAGTAGCTGGGACTACAGACACCCGCCACCACACCCGGCTAATTTTTTGTATTTTTTAGTAGAGATAGGGTTTCATCGTGTTAGCCAGGATGGTCTCGATCTCCTGACCTTGTGATCCGCCTGCCTGGGCCTCCCAAAGTGCTGGGATTACAGGAGTGAGCCACCGCACCTGGCCGCTTCCAAGTAGATTTTTATTGTCTCATGCTTGATACAGAGAATTGAGGTTTACCAGGGGTTTGATAAAATTCTCTGAAATAAAATGGAGATACCAAAATAGACAGATAAAAAGAAGCCAGAATAAAATACAGACAAAGCTGAAGCATAAGAGAACTTCAGGGAAATTAAAATTAATACCCTAGAAATGAGAAGTTGCATTCCTCAGCGGATGCAGAAGAAAATGAATGATACATACACACATATGCACACATGCACACTTACACCCACACACACACAAATACACACACATATATTTGAAGATCTAGGGATTAAGTAGAAGTTTTGTAAATTAAAAATATGATTGACTTTTTAAAGCTGAAAGGCTGGAAGGATAAATTGAGAAGGTTTATTGGAAGGGAGATCAAAATTGAAAAAGATGAGCAATAATAGAAAAATATAGTCATATTAGAGGATTCAGTAAGTCAAGTGTCAAAAAAATACTAGTTCCAAAAAATAAGATAGGAAAAAAATTATAGGAAAGAATTTTCAAAGTGTTCATCACTATTAAGAAGATAAAAATTGATAACAATATCAGGGATAAAAAGAATATTCTAAAAGCTTCAGGAGGGTGGGGCACAAAGAAACAAATTTTAAAAGTTCAAGTTACCTTCAAAGGATCAGAAATTATAATGACATCACAAGTCTCTACAGTGACATTGCAACTAGAAGATACAGAGAAATTCCTATGAAATTCTGGAGGAAATTGATTTTCAATCTCAAATTCTATGCCTAGACAAACTTTCCAACAGTTGGGATAATAAAATAAGGATATATTATACAAAAACATTCTAAGAGAAAAAAATATTTTCATACATCCCTTGTAAGGAGGCTATCAGAAGTGAAAATAATGGAATCCAACAAACAGGTGACCAAATGTAAGAGAGAGGCAAAGACATTTTCAGCTGATGATAAGGAAAGTTCAGTGTAACTGCTATGTAACAGATCTAGAGAGCAATCATTTTACATTGGAACAAAGAGAAATGATTCTAGAATTGTTAACACTAGGGAAATAATAAATCTGATGCACTGTGTGAGAATTGGATTATAAGGAAAATTGTATACGGATGGATTTTACAGATCTGTTGGAAACTGTTAAAAAAAAAAGGTAAATGTAGCCATAAAGTCAACATAAATTATACAATAAAAAAGTGAGGCAATTATTAGCTCTATAGAAAAAAAACAACAAACTCTGTTTAAGAAAGAGACTTTAATCCTAGGCTAGTATTAGTCTGGTAGTGAATAATATTTACATGGGAACAATGAAAACAATATAGATTTCACTGAAAATTATAGTGTAAGTATATTGGGGGTAGTGCAGAGAAGAAGGGGGTTATAAAGAAGCAAAGTCCTTATATACCATCCCAAAAAGTCAATAGTCTCTAAATTTCATAAAGTAGGATATTAAAGCATATTACTTGGAAATACAAAAATAATCACCATAAGAAATTGCTAAATGGGTAGAAATTCATTCTTTTTGTTGGAGAGGAGCTAGGGATAGGACTGCTCTTGTTTGTTTACCTGTAGAACTTTACATGTTATTTTATTTTAATAGTCTAATAACAATGAAAATCATTCATTTAAAAATAAAGTTTATAGACCAGGCATGGTGGCTCATGCCTGTAATCCCAGCACTTTGGGAGGCCGAGGCAGGCATATAACTTGAGGTCAGGAGTTCAAGACCAGCCTGGCCAAAATGGTGAAACCTCATTGCTACTAAAAATACAAAAAAAAAAAAAAAAAAAAAATAGCTGGCCGTGGTGGCGGGTGCCTGTAATCTCAGCTACTTGGGAGGCTGCAGCAGGAGAATCGCTTGAACCAGGGAGGCAGAGGTTGCAATGAGCCGAGATCATGCTGCTGCACCATCTTAAAAGACTCCATCTTAAAAGAAAATAAAAATAAATAAGTAAATAAATAAATAAAAATAAGGTTATAAAAAGAGTCTGAGCGAAAGATGATGAGGTAGGGATACAGAAAACCAAAGGTGTGGGGATATAGAAAAGCCGTATTTACGGAGTAGAATCAGCAAGACTTGAAAGTGAAACAGATTTGACTCAAGGTGGATAAATTCAAATTTCTGGTTTGGATTAGCTAGATACTGGTGTCTCCCACTTAGTAGACACTCAATAAAGACTGGCTTATAGCTTATAGGGTCAATGACATGTCCCTGTCCGTGACGCAGCCAGAGCTATGCAATGTGGTGGCTTTGACAGGCTAATGGAATGGAACTCTAAAAATGGAACTCTAAAAATTGGTTTTTAGGTTTTAAGAAAATATACATATCTCCTAATTATTTTTTAAAACGGTTTGATTTTAGTTGCAAAGAATACAAGTCCTTAATTAATATATTAAAATCCTGGTATATCTAACATATTACTAATGATATATTTCATATGAAGAGATTAGCTGTCTTCAGACAAAATGAATAAACTACATTGATATGCATAAATATCATTATTACAGCATTTAACTTTTCAAGTACTCTGAGAGTTATTTCCTACCCAAACAGAGAATTCACCACAGCAGGCTACTGTACTTCTTTTGACCATAAAGCCAGATGGACAAATAATCAACATTGACCTCCTGAACTCTCTGGCACCTACCCCTACCCATCCCAGTGACACTTTGTTATGCAGATATCAAGTGCACCCTTTAACTCAATTTCAGATTTTATCAGAGCTGAAATTACATTAATATTTTCATTTGCAACTGCATTTATCTGTTTAAAATTGTAGCCACAATTCACTAGCTTAGAATCTAGTTACATATCTCTATTATTAGATTGGAAATAGGAAATTTTTAGATGAACAGAAATACAGGTAAGTTGATAGGAAAAGAAAGGGTAGGATTTACTATGCTAACTACAGTATGTTCTGATTTTTCTTTACATGCAGTTTTTTAATAGAGAAAAAAGCTGAGGCCATAACACAAACCATGTCATTCATAGTCAAATCAAACCTGCCAACATTTATTGAGCAGTACTGTGCTTGGCACCATGGGCAGTACCAACAAGGATAAGGCACATAAGTTTTTCGTTAATGAGGAAGGGAGGGAGGGGGTCGGGAACAGGTCAGACAATTTTGAAATCCTAGTAGGGGTTCTCTGCAATGATGACTGCCTCATCTTTCCTCCATCTCCCTTATCCTTTGGCATTCTAGCTACCTAGTTCGTGTCCAGATCATCATTGTGAGAACCCCTCGGCATTCATTTAAAGCCATATGTGTTGTTCTCTAATCTTTCTTGCTGTTCCAAATGTACTGAATACTTTGGAAACTGAGTCAGCATTTTCCTTCCCTCTCTCTCTTTTTTTTTTTTTTTTTTTTTGAGGCGGAGCCTAGCCCTGTCACCCAAGCTGGAGTGCAGTGGCGCAGTCTCGGCTCACTACAACCTCTACCTCCCTGATTCAAGCAATTCCCTCCCCTCAGTCTCCCGAGTAGCTGGGATTACAGGCGCACACCACCACGTCTGGCTAATTTTTGTGTATTTTTAGTAGAGATGGGGTTTCACCATGTTGGCCAGACTGGTCTCGAACTCCAGACTTCAGGCAATATGCTCACCTCAGCCTCCCAAAGTGCTGGGATTACAGGTATGAGTCACCGTGCACTTCCAGCATTTTCCTTCTCTAACCTTTAGTGATGCAGTCATACTGGGCAACCTCATGGTCAATACAGACAGTCAATCAAACACTCTGGCAGAAATAAAATACATAATGAAGAACCAGCTACCCGGTCTTAAATGCATGGGGCCTGACTAATGATCTTTTCTTCTACAAAAAATGATATGATATACATTTTTGAAAAAGGAGTTGGCTATTATAATTATAAGGCACAATCTGGTGGTAACTTAAATTTTATTTCACTTTAATTGCATTTCCACTGCTACCAGCAGTATGACAAGAAAGGGCTACATAACATTCTTTCTCCAAGATGTAGTGTCTACTAATAACAGTGTTGAGAGTAAGCACTATTTTAAATACTTTAAATAGTTTAACTCATTCAATCCTTAAAGCTCCCTAAGAGGAAGGTACCACTATTCCGTTTTTAAAGATGAAGATTCTAAAACAGAGAAGTGAAGTATTTTCCCAAGGTGGCAACAGTAAGTGCTACATAGAACCCATACTTTCTGTCTCAAGATTTATACTCTCAGCTCGTACAAAAGGAAATGTTTTATTTATGAGCCTTTCTTAACTCCAGCCTTCTACCTTATTTCTGTTACATCTTATGTCCATCTCAAAATATGGAGAAAAGTCTCCTTTATTTGACTGCTGCAACATCTAGTACTAACAGAGAGCTCCATGGGGAATTCATCTTAACAGTCTGTGAAGTCTAATAATGCTGGTGACAATATTAGCTAAAATCTAAATATTAATACCACACAGTATGTTTTAAAAAACAGTTATGAAAACAGTCCATCTCTACCCTTTTCTAAGAAAACAAGTGAGAATACTTGAGATTCTTTTAACTTCTTCTTGTATCAGTCTGATAAATTGATGTAAATTGTGCAAGTACATTCAAAGTAAAATCAGCTACCATCCTCCAAAGACCAAGTAACATGCTATAAATATGCATAAGAAAATACTGTTAATAAAACACAAAGTTAAAAGAGAATAAATTCCGTTTAAGCCTTAGCAGTTCAGAGTTTCCAGGCTTCTGACCTGAGCATTTCTCCTTACTTTCCAACAATTAACAGAGAAAAATTGACTGATGGAAAGATTGGTTTAGCGTAGACCGTAGTTCTCAAAATGCAGGTTCTTGACCAATGCATCAGAATCATCTAGGAACTTGTTACAAATGCAACTTACCAGGCCCCATCCTAGATCTATTGAATCCGAGACTGGTAGTGGGGCCCAACAAATGAATTTTAAAAAGTCTGCCAGGTGATTCTGAACTGTGTTAATGTTTGAGAACCTCTGGCGTGGATGGAATGCTGTTCACAAATTACAAGAGATTTAATTCTAATACCTTAAACTGTCTTTCAATGTAAAGAATATAGTATTTTAATGTAAGTGAAAAGTAATAAAACAGCCATGGCATATCTATATCTATATCTATCTATGTATCTATCTATGTATGTATGTATCTATCTATCTATATCTTCCCTTACCTCCCAAGCCTCTCTTGCTAGGAAGAAATGCTTTGTAAAAAGAAGCTTGGGAGGTAAGGGAAGGTAAGATGCATAAGGTAAGGTAAGCATTGCCTACAACAATCCTCCTTGCAAAGCATTCATTCCTATGTTTTAAATACTTTAAATTGTTAGTGACAAAGATAGATATCTACCTCAAAGGTGTTTCAAGATAGGTTATAATTAATTAATTAATTAATTTAGAAAGAAGTGGCCAAGGGATTGTTTACGTTCACTTAGGCTAAAAACATAGAACTTGGAAGCTGAGAGAGAACACTCTGCCTGCTGTGTTTAAGAGCCTCTGTGAAAAGTAATGGAAATAAAAATGCAGTGCACAGGGAGTACTAATCCAGCCATCAGTTGACAGGGAGCAATAGAGAAATTTCCAGGAAAAAGTAAGCAACTTTCAAAAAATATTTGTTTTTTCAACAACTTTCTTTCCTTCTTTTTACATCAACTCTAAGCAAATATTAGACTACTTGGAAGATTCTGTTGATCCCCACTAGAGGGCATCCTATTTTCATAAATACCTGAAAATTTTAAAACTACAATAAATTATAGCAAAACATATTGGTGAGATCTGTCATCTAGTTTGCTATTTGCTAAGGACACTTTGATGGTTTCATTTTGTATTCCACTCATACACAATTATGTATCAGCTTTCTGCAGTTGGTGTCTCTCCAGTGACATGCTGTAGCTCCACATCACCACGGGTAGGAGCTAGATCCACATACCTGCAAGACCATCGGCTAACAGTGGCTGCTGCTGCGTAGCCTTGTCAAACCGCAAAGCGATGCTGCTCAAATAATGAGCCAACCACATGACCACTAAGAGAGCATGGAGACTTAGAAGTCATAGCATTAACAGCCACCCTAAACCTCCCCCCGCCTTTTCATCCTAAAATCCTTTCATTTGTAATGCACCACAATTGCTGGAATGCACAATTGTTAAAATGCTAAGGATTCCATTTGAATCTCTTACAAATTATTGGAATATATTAGCTAAAGGAAAATAAAAATAAAAACAGAAAACATGCAGACTGCTCACTATATGAACTTATACGGTTTATATACAAATATAAGATAATGAATAAAAGTCAAAGATTTTAAATTAGCCCCAAATTTCAAATTCAAGCCTCTAAACCAAATTTTAGAAAATTTCCCTTCTTATAAACCTATTCCTATGATTAAAGTTGACCTTCAAAATATATGTGAAATATGGTCTAAAACATTCATTCAACATGCAAGACACAAAAAGTAAAAATTCTCACTAGTTAGAGAAGCAGACATAAGTCAATCTTGTTTTTTTTCCCAACCTTTCACCCTCCCCATCATTCCCCCACCCTTCAAAAAAGTAAAGTTAAATTTTTGAAGGGTTTCAGAAGTGGAAAGTATGGAGCCTGGAGTCAGAAATTCTGGGCTTTCTTCCAAGTTCCACCACTAACTACTGGATCTTGAGTCTTGTCTTTCATGCTAGGATCATATCCTTATCTACCCTGCCTATCTCGTAGGATTATTGTGAGGATTAACTGTAATAGAAAACATGTGCAAAAGTAAAATGAGCTATACACTATAAGTCATCATTATTATAATCAATGGAATATGCTTACTCATGATTTACATTTAAAAACATATTCTCCCCAAACAAATGTGTAGTAATTTCAAATAACCATTGCACATGTCAATATTTAGATCGACTACTTTCTTTTTAATTGCATTGAGACACAGAAACTAATTTACTTTCATAGAATATCCTTATCTTGAATTTCTTCTTTGTCCATATCTGATGTATTACCTGATATATTACAAGGAACATTATACTTTAGATATCTATGTTGAAAATTAATGACTGTGCAAAAACTACTTTTTGTGAAGAGTTGACCCAAGCGGGGATACACTTCCAGCTGCCTCATGCCTGGAAGTCCCCCTACTGCCACCCCTCATGAGAGAACCTATTACATTTTCACTGTTCACCAAAATTTGTGCTCCACCTTCCATAGCATAAAATATTCTCTAGAAAGCAGCTTCTCACCAAGGACTTCATTTCCAGCTCTCCTCTCCTTGCATTTAGGTGGATAAAAATGGACTAGATATCACCAATGTAATAAGAGCTAAAGTATTATGCATCTCTTCCTACTCTAGCCCACAAAAATATACTCTAACCTATTCTTCGTTTTGCCCATGGGCCACCTGGGATATATCCAGGTAAAACAATGAGGCCACATAATGAAAATGTGTGTTTTCATTAGTCTGAGTTCTTGAGTGACTGTACATAACAAAGCATCTCAACTCCATACCCAACCCCCAGGAAACACTGTGGACTGCTGAAAGTCTACTGTGTACAGAGCCATTGAAATTCAGGAGTTTGTTAGAGCAGCTGGTTTTAATTTAAATTACAGAGATTCTCCTTGCAGCCAGACCCTTAGGAGAACAACTCCCTTATGTACAGGAATTCAATTACAACTCCTATAGAGAGCTAAAAATCCATTCCCCAAATCCCTATTTCCCTTGCAGAGATCATTGTGTTGTACCTACAGTTTTCTGGTTATCTTTTTACTAATTTAATAGCATCTTCTGAGCATATATTGTGGACTCTTCATCACTAGTAACTCCTCTCTTCCTTTTGAAGCTCTGAGCTTGATTTCCCAGCAGTTCCATTCATTTTTTACTGCTGATTCTGGGGTGGTAGTGTGAGCATTTGTTGGTCAAGTTTCCACTGCTGGGGTCCTTGGAACTTCATATAACCTTTTTTTTATTATTAAAATGAACTAGGTACTGAATGTATCTAATATTCTAATTTTGCTTTACAATTTACAAATAGGTCATTTTGTTTGTTATACTCATTTGAGGTATATACAGTAGATGTTACAGTCCTACTTTACAAATCTACAGAAGAGATGATACAGATTTAGGTGGGCTGTTCAAGAAAACTAACCATCATTTATGACATTATTTCTACATTAATGATGTTTCCAAATTTCAGTAAAATAGATTTTTTTAAAAATTTGGAAGATGATCACTTTCTAAATCTAGCTCTCTCTCTCCTATTTTAGCTCTGATATGTGTGTGTGAAATTAAATTCGATAGCTTAAAATATATTTAAAAACATAAGCAATGACTTTTAAATTCAAAATTCTTCACTATCATAATCAAGCTGGTAGAATACTGGAGCGATAGAAAATGTGCTTTTTATTTCTTAAATTGACTTTAGACTTACCACATACCACTATGACATTCCTTTATTCTCTTTTTATGTGAACTGATATTCCAAAAATGTAGTTTATATTAATTATAATATTTATAAATTGGAACTAAAACACCTAATGATAGGGAAATTGTTATTATCAAATTATGGTTTATTCACTCTTCAAAATGTTAAGTAGCCATCAAAAATAAAAATCGTGATACTTGTAGAGTAAAATGAAAAATATGATGCAAAAAAAAGTAGAATAGAAAACCATCTTAAGATGTACGTATAAAAATACTAGAAGCAAATTCAGGGTGTAATAGTATTTACAATAAGGGTGATCTGATTTCAGATATTGTTCTTTATAATTAAAAATGTTCTGGATTAATATATTACTCATAAAATTAAAATTGATTTCAAAGCATTACCTCATTGGTATTCTAAGGAAGTTAATGAGAACAGTTTAAGAGTATTTTTTGGTCTTCTAGAAAAACAAAGGTACAATGAGTCTTAGGATTCAAGTCAATAATAAAAACACTCATTATTATTCTCAAAGAGAGAACCACAAGTAACAAGAAGTTTCTGGTTGAGGAACACAGGCCGAGGGGACAAGAGTAAAGTCAATGCTGGACATAGGTGGGATCCTAAGCTGGAACAGTGGTCTGAAAGGGCAAGGCACTTTGGAGTGGCCTGTTCAGGTCCAGAATGTCTGAGCAACACCTCTGTAGGATAACAATGGAGTAGGGCACACAGGAATTGCAAAAGTCTTAATAAACACCCACGAGGGATTTTCCCAAAAATAGAGTAGTGGAGGTCAGAGAATAACTAAAAAATAAAGGGATCAGTCAAAAACCAAAACATTCACAAGAGCCCGAATGACCCGAAAAGCTGTTAGGAGATGGAAAAGAAGCGCTGGCCCTCCAAAAGTTCAAAAATTAAACAAACAAACAGACAAACAAATCAAAACAAAACCCAAAAAAACCTCTCTGGTTCACAGCTCAAAAATTTCAAAACACAGAGGCAGGGAACCATACCAAGGTAGCTATTTTGGCATCTTCTGGGCTAATATTTTTAATTGGAACTGGTGGCTAAATTGAAGTGTTTTCAGGGCTGACCAAGGAGGTAGCTTCTGCTACGCATATGACCAGGTCTTGCACTTCAAGTTCATTGACACAAAGATTCAGAGATAGAACTTTGATATAATTGCCACTGTTTCCACTAAGTCATAAAGGTTACCCTATACAGCATTCTCTGCCCATGTGCTGGGCACTTTACAGACCTTATTTCATTTATCCTCCAAAGGACCTTATGATATGGGCATTGTTATATTACACGTGAAACAATTGAAGCTCAGATTCATTGACTAATTTGCCCCAAGTCATTAAGTAGCAAGTCACAGAGCTAAGTTTAAAATTGCTTCTCTCTCTCTACAATACCCATACATTTTCAGTGGCACCATATTACCTTCTTTGTTGGTATAAAAAATAAAAAGAGAAACACTAAAATTTTTCAAGGTGTTTGGCCAAGTACTGCCTTGTATCCTCATAAAAATATATCATTTTAACCCTATCATTTCCACTAGATTTTTCATCTTTCACGTTAGAAATTGTAACTCTCATTTTAACTCCAAGGAAAAGGAATTTAGCTATGAGAAAACTTATCATAAGACAATCTTTCCCAAGTCGGTTCCAAACTGCAGTTCTTAACAACGGCATGATTTTCCTGCTCTAATATATTCATTTAATAATAGTCACAATTTGTTGGTTATTCCAGGCTGCCAACGTTTATGTAAGTATGGCTACTTCTCGGTTTCAGGATTTTTAAGTGAATGGTTCCTACCTTGGCTAATCCTTGTTCTTGAACATTTCTATGAATAATGAAAATAGAATTTTGAACTGCATCTCTATGACTTCATGAACTATTTCACAGTCGGTATTGCCTTAACTGAGGAACATTTATTAGTCTCAAAAATTCCAAGTTAAAATTTGAGTAAATATTAACATTTTTAGAATTTCATATCTTGAATATGCATATCCTCAGGCACTAGATTTATGATGACCAAAAGACGTTTCTCATTTTTTCCTCAAAATAGTTACCCTAGCTTTAAAGTTAAGCCTTTGACAAAGTCTGTTGAATATTTCACATACCACTAGACTTAAATTTCAGCTTCTCTACTGGCAGATGAGCCTTAAGAATAGGTATCCTTTTCGTTTTCTTATGATGAGATTGTTAGAAATCCAAATCTTCAAACACAGGTTCAAAATTCTCTAATTGAAAGTACCCACAGCCACTCTATTCCCTTTTGTGACAAGGATATGAACAAATAATTCATATGAATCCAAATGGTGACCTTGGAAAGTCTACTACTATCCGCATTCACAGGACGAATCAGTCATCAATCTGACATTATTTTCTGATAATATTTTCTTTCTCAAGACAAGAGGCATCTGCAGAGTAATTTTTTTTCGGATGACTTCCTTTTTTGTAACAAACATTGCTGGTTAACATTTGGACTCACACATGTGAATCAAGTGGAAAAAGATGACAAATATTCGCCTACATGAACCAGAAGGTGTTTGAGTATTGTACCTAAAAGTAAATTCAAAGGCTTGTACCTGTTTTTCTGATAATTCTAATTTTCAAAATATATATTTAGCTAAAAATGCATTTTAATTTTTCACAATAGCAAGTTAATTGTATTTCCAGAAAATTGTCATGAAGGGTTTTTTTGGTACTATAAAATTTATAAGTAAAAAGGTCAGATAGGACTTAATTCATCTTACAGTTTTGGGGCTTTTTGTTGTGTGTTTTTTAAATCTGACTTTTCCATTTTCTTCATGTCCAATTTTAAGCCACTGTTGAAACAAAATCCATTTTTTCAAACAAAATAAAACTGGTTAATTTTGATAAAGCAACTGAGAAAATTAAGTACAATATATAGCATGGTATTCTTTATTCAAATATTAATTATGGGATTTAGAGCACTAATTTTAATTATGGGGTTTAGAACACACTAATGTGACTCCTAAAACAACACATTAAAGAAGGTTTTATTGTTACTCTTATTTTACAGATGAGGAAACTACTATTTAAAGATACTAAGCAATTTGCTAAATGTCACACAGTAAAGAGTGCCAGAACCCGGATTATTAACCAAACTTAACAATCTCTAGAGTTCTTAACACCATGCTATATTTCACGTGCAGTTGATAAATATTGCTTCAATTAGTGGTAAGTTATAAACCTGCCAAATTACAGCATCATTTTCAAAACTAAAATATAAGTGATAATTCAGTCTTCTGGAGAAATCATGGGCTGTTCACTTCAAATTCCAATCTCAGAGCTCCCACAGTGACAAAAGGTCACCAAACAATCCAAGCGTGATTAAATTTTCAATAGGGTCAAATAAATAGTGTCCCTTTAAGAGCTAGAATTCTGTTAATCTGATCAACTATTAAGCAAAGGGAGTATAATTGCCATTGAGAGCAGTGTACATGCAGACTGTCTCAATGAAAGCATGCCTATTCTCATAAGGAAACAGATGTTTGCTAAATTAATATGAAGTACTTCGCCTTAAAGATATAAAGATGTCCTTCAATGGTTGCTAGGTAACATATTTGCGGTTAAGAAATAAGCTAAATTACAGACTTTGGAATACTTTTCTTACTTATGTATTTTAGTAAAATGGGGGATTAAGAAGTAGATAAATACCAAAGAAAATATCTTAATGTGACATGGTATCTTCCTTTCTAGCCCCATGTCCACAGATACGGAGTTGCAATTGTTACTGTGTGAGCATTTTCAGAAGTTAAGCTGGATACCCAACTCTTATATTCCAATGTAAGAATGTAGTAACATACAATTGAGCTTTCTGGTAAGGAAGTTCTAAATATATCAATTCACATAGGTTTCCTTCATTTGGTGGGACTAATGTGGAAATTCATGTGGATACCATGTCAAGATTTAACAAAGCAAAGAAATACTTGACCACACTTTGACCTTCACTTTAGATTAATTCATGATTAAGTGCCTGCTCTCAAAGCATCCATTTCTCTGGCCATAGACATAAAATATTTGTTGTTTGTTCACTTTCTGTGATATCCATACCCACTCCAATCCTAAGATAAAGTTTCTAATTCTTCCTCTATCTTGTTTTCTTTAAAAGTATTTTTTCTCATATGGTCCCTTCAAATCGGCTCTCTGCTTCATTCTTTTTCCTTGTTTGAATGAAATACCTTGCCCATTGTTTATATTCTCTGCAGATTATAATAATCATCACAAGGTCTACTCTTCCTATAATGATATAGACTATTTCTTCCCATATGATATGGAGTCTATTTCTCCAATCTTGAATTTGGGTTGGTCATTTGGCTGGCTTTGCCCAATGTAACCTTAGCAAACATGATACAAGCAGACCCTGGAAAATCACTTGTACGATGGCTTTGGCTTATTTGCTGCTCTTGGAACTCTGAGCTGACATATGAACAAACCTGAGATATCCTACTGGATGATGACCATATGGAGGCAAGCTCCAGTCATTCCAGCTGTACCAAATGAGACTATCATAAACCAGCTTGCTGAGAGCCATATCACCCCCCAGAAACTATCACCTAGCTGATGGGCAGCCGGCCACAAACTTGAGTAAGCCCGTAGAGCAGCAATGAACTTCCCTGATGAACTCAGCCCAAATAGATAACCCACAAAATTGTGAATAAATGGTTTTTGTCTTAAGACATGGAGTTTTGGGTTTGTATTCTAGCAAAAGCTACCTGATACATTTTCCAATAACTATGCTAGGTGTGGGTGTGCTAAGAAAATCAGTAGCTAACAGTTCTAGACTGCCTGACCTAAAAAGGTCCCTCTAATATTAGCTATAATGATACTCAGCCAAGCGGTTTTTCTTTATGGGTCTAACAGAATGTATTTGCAATTATGCAAGTTAATACAGTTTCTAAAACAAAATAGCCCTGACCATGGAAACTTGTCCAAATGGAGGGTCACAAAACAGTGTTAAATGTATTTTATTTAGGAAGAGCTTTAGTAATGACAGCCAGAAGAATCCTCAGCGTCCAGAGGGAAGAGTGTAATATCACAGTTAACCATTCCATATGGAAGGAAAGACGCCAAAATATTGTTCTTTAGGTATAAACTCAAGTCTTAACAATTTATTTTGATTAATTCAATTTGGACTTTTTTAAATTTGTTGACACTACTGCTGGCAAACAATGCTGCTGACTCTCTGCAGGTGAATTCAAGTTTTTTAAAATGCCATTCCATTTTTCTACCTTTAAGAAGAGAAGTTATCAATTATAAGGATCCTTTTGGTCACTGCCTTTGAATGCAAAAAGTCACTGTATGAGTCAGCGTCTAGTCAAGAATATAGAAACCTTTCTAGGTATTTTAAATAGAAAGTATTTAATTTGGGGCTATGGGCTGAAACGTTTGTCTTCAAACAAACAGTTAATGTTTAAATAATCCAGATTTCAGCAAGAATAAGAAGCCACCATCACCTGAAAAAGAAACACTCTGGCCTTTCTCTGCTTCCTGCCCTTTAACCTTCCATTAGTTCCATTCATAGCTCCACACATGGGCAAATTAAAATATAGCTTTCAAGAGAAGGTCGGTGAATGCAAGGAGGGCAAACAGGCAATACCCAGGCACTTCAAGTAAGACAATAGTAGAAAATAGGACCGTTACACATGCAAAACATTAGACATATTGCTATATAATCTTAAGCAGAGAAATAACCCTCGATACATAAATAATTGAACAAAACTGATGATATAAAAGATGTGTATTTCATCCATTTCTTGCTTTTTTACATGGTGTTTTTTAAAAGTTCTGAAAAGGTTATCAATAGTAGTTTAAAACTAATATTTAAAATAATAATGAAGAGAAGGGACTCTGGAGACAGCTTACTTAGGCTGCAATCCTGGTTCTGGTAATTCATACCTTTATAATCTTGGGTAAATTTGATAATTAAGTCACAGATAATAATACTATATGTGCCATTTAGTTATAAGGAAGGTTAAAGTACTAATGCAGGCAAACCTCTTCCACAGCATCTGGTTTGGAATAGACCAACAATAGATTTTAGTTATATTATTAGCTTTTATGTACTGAAATACAAGTTACATAAACTTTATAATATGTCAGATTTTTACATTGCTAGTTTTCTTTTTCATTATGATTTTTATATAATAATGCTATGTTTATAAGACTAGTTTATAAGACTAGTTAATTTAACACTAAATTAACAGTAAATATCCTATTGATGTGATATTGCCAGAGAAGAAACTGAATTTTGTTTTTTATGTCTCCTGGTATTGAATTCTATCTTCTATGTATTTGGTATTTTTTTAATATTTCACATTAAAAACTTCATCAGTCTGAAAAGATATTTTTTAACACTAATTGTAATCATAAAACAGTGGTGTCCTGAGCATTGAAATGAGATCAACAATTGTATTTTGATTTTCAGTAATTTCTGTTGTCTGATCATAATGAAAATCAGCACCTCTTCTGAGTCAACTCAAAAGTCTGACGAAAAACGTGCATTTAATCAAATGTGTCTTTGCAAATGCCTTTTCTTTGAGTATTGTATGTAGAATTCCATTCATAGGTTAAAATACCTTTTACTACAGGAAAAAAAGAAGACATTAGTTAGATCTTGTGCTTTAGAGTTTGTTGAAAATGTACAGTAAAATCAATGAAAAACGTGCCACTCCCCTCCCCACATGTCAACACATGCCTAATAGCCTTTCCTCTGTCTCTTCACATCTTTTCTTCTCTTGATAGGATTAATCATTCCTTCCTCTTTGTTTCTGTTCCTTTTAGTTGAAGGGTATGGACTACATGTAGTACAACCAAAAAGAGACTTATGTTTAGTCTTTCCTTTCAAAACGGTCCCTGGATTTATTCTTTCCTCCTCTCTGAAATAAATATTGGAGCAGTTGTCCATATTTTCCAATGTCTTTCAAATAATAAATAGTTCCTTTTGTTTTGTTATTTAAAACATTATGGTGCAATCTAAATCCTAAATAACTCCAGTCCAATTTCAGGGCTTTGCTTTCTCTGTTCCCTTTACTCATAATGCTCTTTCACCAGTATCCAAATAGCTTACTTACTCATTTAAGTCATGTCTCTGATCAAATATCACCATCTCAGAGTGGCCTGTCTTAAATTTCTTGATAAAACAGCCTCTTCCCATTGCAATTCCATCACTGTCTAACCCATTACATTGCTTTATTTTCTTCAAGTGCTTATCATCACCTAAAACACCATAACTTTGTCTCCTGATTACTTTCACTCATCTCATTGGAAGGTAAGCTTCATGTCATTCAGCACTCTGTCTTGCTCACTGCTCTATGGCCAGTGGTGGGGACAGGGTCTAGGTCACAGGAAATGATCAATAAACATTGATGGGACTAAATGAATGAATGGGGAATTCAGGAAGCCACAAAATACACATATCAAAGACCTTACCAATTTTGCAACTTTTTTGTCTTTACAGCTCTACTAGAGACCATAATAATGCAGTGAATTTAATTATTTCATAGAGATGAAATAACTATCTTCAGGGATATAGAAAATGTACCCTCCTCATCCTGACAAAATTTTGCAGGTATAACATAGCAAAATTACATTAAAAATATGCTAATAATATACTATCTAGATTAATTACTTGATTCTGGCTAGAAGATCTTTTTTTTTCTTTTAACATGAAGAGATCCAGTGGGAAATCCCTGGCTTGCCTGTTTTTGTCAAACGTTCAACAATAATTGATAATCTCTACATCTGTTATTTATTTGACAGATCTCTGGAGGGCTATACAAGAAGAAATTTCAGAGAAACCCTAAACAAACTCCACAGCTCTTTGCAATGCCAGGAAGAATTTTTACCATTATATAAATGTTAGGTTTAATTTAATCATTCACATAATGCCTACTGATGCATTCTCTTGCATAGCATGTGATGTGAAATTTGTGATTTGTCCACTATTGTATTAAAAAATAAGCATTAATTACACACTAAAATTAAGCCATTTGAATCTTGGAGGAGGCAAAAGCCAAAGAAAATGTGCAGCTGGTCAGGAAGTAAATCCAGGGTGGAGAAATTTTTGCAGAGAAGGAAGAGAAGAAGATCCTAAGGCATGAAGGAAGACATTCAGATTTTGTTAACGTGTTTTCAAGGATCTGACAACTAGAATCCAAAAGATGCAACATATCACTTAAATATGTATTTTGTAACTAAACAAAAAGATCTTTAGAAATTAATGGAGCTGCATTTGGCTTGGATTTTTTAAAACCATTTAAATAACTGATTTTGTAAATAATATGCATACCAAAACACAGGCATTAGGCATAAAGCTCAAAACATCAGATAATTAAAAAAAAAAAAAAGACAAAGAATCTCTGCATTTCTTAACCTGGTAAAAGGTTTGTGTTTATTGTTTTGAGCTTAAGATATCTGTTTACTGAATCAAAACAGAAATCTGAAAATTGATTTTTACAAGCTATTCAATATTAACTTTACTCCACAATAGACTAGACAAAACCAATAGACTAGACAAAACTACATGTATTGTCACTCCATAATCATGAAAGGGGGTGAAAAAGCAAGAAGTAAAGGTTATCCCAAAGAGCACTAGCAAACCCTTTGAGGGAATTTAGTCCATGCCTCTGACCATAATTTATTTTAATGGAATCTCCAAAACAAAATGTTGCCCTTCAAATGTGATTTTTAGATAAAAGCAAAATCATTTATCTTGCCATTTCATGACATGGAAACATCTGTAGGAAAACACTAGAGAGCATCCCTCACTAAGATATCAAAGTAACTACTAAACTCAGAGGACAGCTGAAGCACAAGCAGTATAAATCATCTGGGTACCTCCAAAAAACATCTTGCACATTCTCAAATGATTGACCGATGGACTGCCTGACGTGTGAATAAATGAATGAAGCCTTTGACAGTGAATCAAAGGCATGACCACTTTAAGTGCCAGTAAGACCAATAGTATTAGTCTGCAAAAGAGATTGTGAGATGATTCTCTCTTAAGGCAGTTTAAAAATTGGCACTGGTACAAAACATAAATTTATGGGAAGCATTAACCAGCTAAACATCTGCTGAAATTTTCATTCAATTAAAAGCAGAGCATCTCATAAAACCTCCACTTGGCTTCCTTAAAATCTCATGGCTCAGAGGTGAGGGGGAACTTCTGCTGTGGATATGATTAAGATCCACAAAGAATAAAGAAAAAAAAAAGGACAGTCAACATTCAATGAAACTATATTTTACACTCATCACAGCGCTTTTAAAAACTTACATGACAAATTCTAAATCCAGATCAGACTGAAAAAGTATCAAGCACAATCATCAGAAAGAAGGGAAACATAATTAAGGAAACATACTTTTAAATTCTCTGTCTGAAGCTTAGCACAAGCTAAGAATTATGTAAACATTTTAATTAGTTATATTGTGAAGATAGAGCTTAAGTGAGAGACTGTAAAAATACTCAACTCTTATTTTGCTTCCAGCCTCTCAACCAAGGATAGTATAGCAGAGTTTTTATCATTCACACACACACACTCCCTGAATTTTGGGTCCAATCTTCCAAGAAACCATAACTTCTCTAGGTCAAAATTTCCTGAATGAATTTAAAAAATCAAACTATGTTAATATAGTATGTAATGCAACTCTTAGAGTAATGCCTAGTACGGGAGGTTGCAGTGAATCGAGATTGCGCCACTGCACTCCAGCTTGGGTGACAGAGTGAGACTGTGTCAAATAAAGAAAAGAATAACGCCTAGTTTATGGTTAAATATTAGATAAATGTTAGCTATGATGACTGGATTATGGAGTAGGAAATTCTAAACAGTTCTAACATTTACTCTTTTTCATAAACTACTATAAGTTTAATATATTCATAATAAGAATAAAGGTATTATATGATCATAGCTAACATTTATCTAATATTTAACCATGTACTAGGCATTATTCCTTCTTTTAGTCTAGCTAAGTGACTTTCCTCTTAGCAAAAGAATTGCTGTGTACATGAGATATGGAGTAAAAGTACACGTATATGTAACACAAAACCATATAGACCATGTTTTGGGGCCAAGTATGCTACATTAAGAATTTTTTCACCATGCATTTTTTTCATGTCACAAGTTGACTTTGGAAGCTACTCAAACAAAACTGTGTCTCAAATATAAACTGAAAATTATTAAGGGTCACTGAAATAACTGAAGATAAAAGACAATAAAAATAATTATGAAAACACTTAAATGTACATATTACTTATTTCTCAGTTCTTGAAAAATGCATGTAAAACGGCATGGCTCACATCTGTAATCCCAGCACTTTGGGAGGCCAAGGCAGGTGGATCACGTGAGGTCAGGAGTTCGAGACCAGCCTGAGCAATATGGTGAAACCCCATCTCTAGTAAAAATACAAAATTAATTTTGTAATCCCAGCTACTTGGGAGGCTGAGGCAGGAGAAATGCTTGAACCCGGGAGGCAGAATTTGCAGTCAGCTGAGATCGCACCATTGCACTCTAGCCTGGGCCACAAGAGTGAAACTCTGTCTCAAAAAATGAAAACAAACAAACAAAAAACCCCCACAAAACTACAAAGATAATAATACTACTGTAATAATAGTATGTTTTAAAAGTAGAGATTGTTACAATTTTTAAAACTAGGACAAATGTGTATATGTAGATCACTGTCTTGATGTTAATTTATGGAAATATTCTAGCATAAATTACTGAGTAATTCATCTGTGAGCATTTTCACATTAAAAGATAATTTTAGCAGCCAGACCTTGTTCACTGGGAACAAGTCAACTCAAAGGAATACCATATTTTGTTGTCAGATTATTAGGCCTTTCTTGGCCTGTAGACACATGGCTTCATTCTCTGCCTCAATAGTTACATGTCATTTTCTCTGTGTGTGTATGTCTAAACTTCTGTCTTCTCATGAGGACACTAGTCATTGTATTATAGTCCATTCTAATTCTGTATGATCTTTAAATACACCTGCAAAGACCCATTTCCAAATAAGGTCACATTCACAGGTGGTGATGGAGTTAGAATTTCAACACATCTTTTTTGGTAGGCACAATTCCACCCCAAACAGTATTATATGCCAGGAAATTTACATTACCTTGCCTCAAGGAATGCTTGCCATAAACTCAATGCAGTAGGTATCATTCCTTTTTAACTTGGTGAAAAACAAATCTTGCTAAGGTTAAGCTACTTTTCCAGAATGACACAGCAAATGTGAGGTAAAGGCTTGATTTAAACATAGAACTGTTTGATAATAAAGACTGTGTTTCTGAAACTGGGGTCTGAACACCCTGGAGTTAAAAAAAATATATGATCAGTGGTATAAGAATATTTCTAATTAGCGTGGCTCAACTTGCTTGAAAATTAGTTTAATGACAATGATTTAAAACATTAATTTTAGACTAAAATAAACACATTTGGTCATAAAATGAAAAATTCACATAGGGTACTATAAATAATTGATCCTTCGAATACATTTTTTCAAGTTCAGAAGACTGAGTTTTGGTAAACTCTTATGAGTAATTTTTCACTCCATCCATCTGTAGGTATTTTTAAGTTAAAAAATTAAAGAAGCATTGCCAGAATAATTGATGTTTTTGCATATAGAGTAGATGATCATTTACCAAGATATTGTGGGAAAAGTCCAACATAGGATGCAATTCTGATTCTTGCATTGACAATAAACCAAAATACTCCATTATGTGTACTTATTAGTTGATCTTTTAACAGAAGCACAGACATAA
The DNA here is from genome assembly GCF_000001405.40 of Homo sapiens. Taxonomy (NCBI): domain Eukaryota; kingdom Metazoa; phylum Chordata; class Mammalia; order Primates; family Hominidae; genus Homo; species Homo sapiens. Next base: position 77,911,427 of record NC_000012.12, on the reverse strand, counting down.
GATTGAGATTGAAAACCTTGAACATTTCTGGCATGGTGGATCAAGTGCATTATAAATTTACTTGGTGGAAAAATGTTATGCTGGCCAACAGGTTAGATTAATTTTGTTAATGGCAGATTCTAATCCAGTTCTTTAAGGGAATTCTGGAATTTCCAAAGACTAGGACAGATCATCTGTTTCTGGCTGCCTTTTATCAAAAAGTCCAGAAGCATTTGATCACTTTTTACCTGGAGTTGGCTCTTTACTCCCTCCCCAAACACACTGTGACTTAGTTATTCTAAAGCTAATGTTGGGTTGAAATGGCACAGCACTGCCTTAAGGGTATTCATTCTTCCATTCATACACGATCTCTATAGTAAACACAGTACTTCCCAGGTAGAGTACCATCCTGGCCGGTTGAGGTATAAAAAGATAGCCATTCACTTCTCTCTCAAATACAAAAGTTTAAAAAGTTTTCCCTCTGCATGTCCATTGTTGTTTGTCTCTACTGATAAGTGTCCATACTACTTCAGTATCTCACAGTATCTTCATGTTTTAGGTTACTGTTTCACCTCTTTTCTTTCATGCTTCAGCTTTCAAGCAAAATGACTTTGGTGGCACACCACCAACCTATTAGGGTGTACCTTATTTCTCTGTCTCTAGGGGAATCTCCTGAACACAGAATATAAGGTGCAGCCTGTGTGCTTTCAGCCCTATTTTTCCTCAAGGGCTGACTTGTTTGGATGCCTGGGCTTTCTTTGTCACCAATCTTAGGTACAGAGTGAGTTGCTGGAACTGCAGCTCCTCAGAGATCAGGAATGCTTCTGGTGGTCAGACACTAGTCAATTGCTGAAGTTCAGGTCAAAATTAAACTTAGACATAGGCAAAAGATCATTTTTAAGTAATGATACCTTTTCAGCAATCTATTAAATATAAGTGTTTGTCCCCTCCAAATCTCATGTTGAAATGTGATCTCCAATACTGGAAGTAGGGCCTAATGGGAAGTGTTTGGGTCACGGGGACATATCCCTACTGAACGGCTTGGTGCCCTCCCTATGGTAATCAGTGAATTCTAACTCTGTTAGTTCAAGGAAGAATTGGTTGTTTAAACAGTCTGACACCTCCTCCCCTCTCTCTCTTGCTCCCTCTTTCCTCATGTGACCTGCCTGCTCCCCCTTCACCTTCCACCATGATTGGAAGCTTCCTGAGGTGCTCATCAGAAGCAGATGCTGGCACTGTGCTTCCTGTACAGTCTACAGAACTGTGAGCCAAAATAAACCTCTTTTCTTTATAAATTACCCGGTCTCAAATAACCCTTCATAACAATGTAAAATGAAATAATAGACATAAGAATACCCAAATTTCCTATCTAATTAAACTCCCTATGAGACATATTTTAAGTATGCCTTGAGAGTAAAATCGTGCTATTCTGTTAAAAATCTTAACATCGAAATATTAGGAACATTGTAAAGATGTCTCAAACATGAAAACAACAAAGGCATTTAAGTGATTGCATATATATAATGACATATCTTAGTTCTCTAATATCTATCCCACCATGAAAAATTTATATGAAACCCATTTTTAGACATTCATTTTGTGTGTCTAAAGTAAATTGTGATACCATTAAGATTTTATGTTCTAACTATAGACTCTGATGCTAGTCTATTTCAATAAAATCTTTAATAGTCATAAAAATTGATATTATTATATTTTATATAAAGCATCCATGAAGAAGCATTTATACAAGAAAGTCATAAATTAAATTCTCTATTTCCATTGGATCTTATAAGATAATGGGCAATGTATTTGAAAGGTGGCTGAACTTCATCCAGTAGCTTATTTTAAAAGACAAAAGTATGTTGCATCAGCTAATATTTTAGTAAAGAACTTGTTCTACCTGAAAGATAAATAACAAGCTAATCTGCCTTTTTTCCATGTGGTACCAGCATGCAGTGCCACAATTGTCTAATAACATACTGTTTCTTTTCTTTCTTCCCTTTTTTTTTGGAATTAAAGATTTTAAGTTGGTATTTCTTATGCTTCTTCTTCCTATCAGTATTCACTATGATCACCCTTGATCAGGGTGGAACAGTTGTTACCCGGATGGACAAAGCTCTCCCCAAATTGAACTGATGTTTTAGTAAGATCAGAGAAGAAAAATGTTCCTGAAAGTTTCTCTACTACATATGTTAAGATACAGATAGTGACTTTTATTTCCTGTTGAAAAAATTATCATCTTTAATTATCAAACTATTATAAAATCCTATACCCAATAATGTTAATCTAGCAAAAACGGTAGCCACATTTTGAGTACTTGTAACATCTAGGACATATATAAGGGGCTTTATATTCAGTATCTAATTTAATCCTTCCACAAAACTATCAGCAAACGTTATTATCCCCACTGTACAGATGAAGAAACTGAGGCTGAGAGAAATTAAGTAGCATGAGCAGGGTGAAACGACAAATGAAAGGGTCATGATTTGGATCCAGTCAGCCCATTTCCACATCTATGTTACTTTTACTGAACTATGAAATCTATAGCTTGATTTTAATTACACTACTTAGACTTTTAACTTCTTTAAATACAAACTATACAATCTATTTTCATAGGCAAAAATTAAGTGCCATTATTATAGAGAAGGAACAATCTGATCTATAAATTATGCAAAGCAGAAAAATTTCTTAGAAGGGTTGAATGTTTCTCTGACATATTGAAAATAGTAAAGCAGTGAAAAAAATCTACTCATTAATCAGATATTTTAATGATCTCTAAGCCAGTTATCAAAGAAAGCAATGTGCTTTTTAGATGAGTAATATTTTTGGGAAAAAAAGTACAAAATTCAAACACTACTATAAAACAAAATCAATACAATCATAAAAAACTAGACACTGGAAGCTAAAGAATAACAGGGATATATTCTTTTTAAATTGCTTTACCTTATCTTAAAAATACCTGTATCATTGTTTTTTCTCCTTCTAGAAAGCACATTTATGTGCATTTTGGTAAGTGATGCCCATTTGGAAACCATTTTATATTCCTTAAATAAGTGAATAAAAGACTTCCAAGCTTTTCAGTGAAGGACAATGTATTTAGCCCACAAGAAGTTATAAACCATATGTCAGCTCCAATACTTTCTTGAGGCATATGTTTTTGGCTTCATATTATATTTACAATACAGTGAGTTTAATATTTATGTTTATTTTCCAATATGTAATTAGTAGTCTATGTGAAAATAAACAGTTTTGAATATAAGTTGTTTTGGAACATCATGCTGACAAATAAACGTATAATTTGTGATTGCTACTTACATACAACAGCTCATTATGTTTTAAAATAATAAAATATAGTAAATATGCTAAAAACCACTGTAAACCACAACTCTATAGTATCTACATGGGAGTGGTTTAGTTCCAGCTTTCAAAAATATTATGGAAGGAAATTCTGTGGCAATCACTTTGTGTTTAATATGCATGTCATCAATTTTATTCAGCCATTTACTCTGAGAAAGAAAAGTTGATAAACATCCACACATCCTTACAAGTATGTGATACACATGTAACGTTATGTAGACAAGAAATAGTGCAGTGAGTTAACATTTACTGAGCCTGTTCACCGGCTCAGTATCACATATGTGTGGAATATATTGACAAATTAGCTTGCTCTTAGGTGTTTAGTCTTAGAAAATGGTACTGGAGTCTTAGCTTTCTTAACTAAAAATCAGGTGTAATGATACCTCTTCTATAGGGTTGTTATGAGGACTCCTACATATAAAACAGATAAATACAATATTGAAGATTGTATAAAAGTCTTTTCTCCTTCCACAAACACATTGCTACTTAGTTATTCTAAAGTTAACGTTTGGTTGAAATGGCACATCACTGCCCTAAAAGTGTTCATGCATTTTTCCATTCATGTGATAGAGATAGCTAGTGATACCTGTTACTAATTATTACAAGGAAATAATCAGGAAGTCTGAAGTGGGTAAGTTTTATAAAAGAGATGAAATTGAGCTCGATCTTGAGACATGAGAAGGTTACCAAAAACTCTCACCTGGAGGCAACTAGAAACTACTTCAACCAAAGTTCAACCTGTAGAAAGACAAAAAGCAATGGCTTTCCACATAGATGAATAAAATTGGCAAAGACACAGACTTGGGAATACATACATGTTACCTGAATGAGCTATCATCTCTCCTGATGCTAGGCCCTTGTACACGCTCTTCCTTCACACATGGCTTTCGCCACCACCCTGGAACTCCATTATGTAAGAGACTTTGATTTACCTTTGTTTATTGAGTAGCTAGCATGAGCCTGTCACACAGGAAATTCAAGCTGGACAAAGGATGTCAGATTTGAAATCAGATTTTAGAGTTTTTGACGGATGAGTGACAATCAGCATAGCTTCTTAGAAAGTAGAGATAATGGAGTCTGGGAGGGCTGCTTGAAGGGCACTGAAGCCATATAGATAGACCAGGATGGTGGCAAATAAGTGAAAAACAAAAGATGTAACTATTAAGTAATGACAGAAGTTGGCAACTGTATTTCATATAGGTAAAATATTTATTTTCTTCAAAATTATATAGGGTTAGCAGTTTTACTCCTGGTCAATATAAATGTTAGTAGTTCAATATTTAACACTTATACAGATTTACTATGTGCCAGACATTCATCCAAACTCTTATATGAATTAAATCATTAAGTTATCACAACATCCCTGTAATGTGGATACTATTATTATTTCCATTTTACTAAGGAAGGGAGATCAAGAAACATGTCCAAATCACATAACTAGTGTCTGGTGCCACTGAGATTTGAACTCAGATTGTGTGGCTCAGTCGGAGTTTTAATAGTCTGCTAAAATACCTGGACATTATTTCCTAATCCCTCAACCTAGTCCATTGCCACCAATATTTTTTTTTCTTTACTGGCAGTATTAATGATTGTCTCAATATATCATTCAAATATAAAATGCAGTGTGTTTTTTATACTGATTGCAATAAACATAAACTCATGCAAAGAAAATTTAGGTGAAAATGGAATTTATTATAAAGATTCAGAGGTTCGTCTTTCCTAAGGGCGATCTGCTGGCTCTTTCCAATAAGCTGTTAATTGGAAATTAATTGGAAAGCATTGGGGAACAAAAGCTTGTTTGCTTTCTCTCATTTTTCTTTGTCTCTCTGTCTCTCTGCCTTTCTGTGTGTGGATGTGTGTCTGTCTGTCTGTGTTTATCTCTAATGTATTTCAACCCTGCTTTTCCCTGCTTTATTCTTCTCTCATTGTACAGAAATTGGTTTTCTTTGCAAGTTTGCGGCAAATTCAGCTCCTATATATCTGAGTTAATCAATCCAGTGCCTATAGCTCTCTACCTTTCCTGCATGCTCCACAATTTTCAGGGAGAAGAAATGGAATTGGTATAGCTTAGATCAGAAGTTCACCTTTTGTCTAATCAGAAGTGACCAGAGGGAGCAAGGTCTAGTGACAGTTAACTACCCAGTAGATCGTGGGAACGGTACTCACGAAAGTGATGGGAGTTGGCAGGCCATCATGTCATGTCCAGTAGTTAACAGCAATCTAAATGTTCTAGTTAGCTCAAAATGTTTCCACTGTACTCAATGTACAAAAGTAAATTATTGTAGTAATTTTTGTGCTCATATTGTTATGGGTCTGGTCAGCCATATTTAATACACGTTTTAGTAAACAATAAGATAATTACTATTACAAAAGCTAAACATACTATTCCTGGATTGTGGGTTGTATTGTCATTTACTCCAAAAACTTCCAAGAGTAAGAAATGCATTAAATTTAGACATAAAATACAGAAGATATAAATATGTAACTTAATATGTAGAAAGAAAACATAAACAGAATATATTTGAAAGTAAATGTGAAAAAGGAAAAAAATACAGTAAGTTATGGCACCAAAGATTCATACTCTTAGACAAATCACACTAAGTCTCTGGATTCTCAACAGTCCTATAAGTGAGGGTCACTGGACTCATGTATTTTGAAGATCCTCTCTATTTTTAAAATTTTATAGTAATTTTTTCCCTATAAAGAGAAGTTAAGGTAATGATCTAAAATCTAAAGAGAATTCCTTTCAAACAAAATGAATCACTGATGATATAAAGAATGCATAGGAAAGAAAAAGCATTTTTCCCACTTAAATACTGCTAGTAATAAATACAGAGGCAATATATTTTGTGTTTCCCCCAAAGCAATTCTATAAATTTTAATACATCTATTCATCTTGAATCTCAAAATCCAAGATTTTGGTATTAGAAAAGCCCCAGATCCCTGAAGACATTGTTACCATTTTTGTATGACAAAAGGTGAACTTTCAATGAAATAATTTGAGATGAATTCAAATGCATTTGGAGACCACGGGGAGAATATACTGACTTCTCTATCACAAAGCATTAAATATGAGAATAACTGATTTCTGCATTGAATACATACTCATTTCAAATCGCTTTCTTACTTTTTTTTTTTAAATAAGATACTTCCTCAAATTAAAGCAACCATATGGTACAACCAGCACTTCAGAAAGCAAACACCAACTCTGACACAGATAAAGTATAGAAGAAAAATTACAGTAGACATAAGTGTAATGAAAAAGTCATGAAAACAACTTTTGGTCTTAAGTCCAAAATAAGATAGGATAGAATTAAAGTGAATCTGGCAGTAGTTCTGAAGTAAATTTAATAAATACTGCTGTGTCCTTCTGTTCCCTGTTAGCTTGGTTTTCACGACCACCTACCTTTTGGAATAATCTTTACCACATTTTTCTTTTTTTTAAAAAATTATACTTTAAGTTTTAGGGTACATGTGCACAACGTGCAGGTTTGTTACATATGTATACATGTGCCATGTTGGTGTGCTGCACCCATTAACTCGTCATTTAGCATTAGGTATATCTCCTAATGTTATCTCTCCCCCTCCACCAACCCCATGACAGGCCCCAGTGTGTGATGTTCCCCTTCCTGTGTCCATGTGTTCTCATTGTTCAATTCCCAACTATGAGTGAGAACATGCGGTGTTTGGTTTTTTGTCCTTGCGATAGTTTGCTGAGAATGATGGTTTCCAGCTTCATCCATGTCCCTACAAAGGACATGAACTCATCATTTTTTATGGCTGCATAGTATTCCATGGTGTATATGTGCCACATTTTCTTAATCCAGTCTATCATTGTTGGACATTTGGCTTGGTTCCAAGTCTGTGCTATTGTGAATAGTGCCACAATAAACATATGTGTGCATGTGTCTTTATAGCAGCATGATTTATAATCTTTGGATATATACCCAGTAATGGGATGGCTGGGTCAAATGGTAATTCTAGTTCTAGATCCCTGAGGAATAGCCACACTGACTTCCACAATGGTTGAACTAGTTTACAGTCCCACCAACAGTGTAAAAGTGTTCCTATTTCTCCACATCCTCTCCAGCACCTGTTGTTTCCTGACTTTTTAATGATCGCCATTCTAGGTGGTGTGAGATGGTATCTCATTGTGGTTTTGATTTGCATTTCTCTGATGGCCAGTGATGATGAGCATTTTTTCATGTGTCTTTTGGCTGCATAAATGTCTTCTTTTGAGAAGTGCCTGTTCATATCCTTCACCCACTTTTTGATGGGGTTGTTTGTTTCTTTCTTGTAAATTTGTTTGAGTTTATTGTAGATTCTAGATATTAGCCCTTTGTCAGATGAGTAGGTTGCAAAAATTTTCTCCCATTCTGTAGGTTGCCTTTTCACTCTGATGGTAGTTTCTTTTGCTGTGCAGAAGCTCTTTAGTTTAATTAGGTCCCATTTGTCAATTTTGGCTTTTGTTGCCATTGCTTTTGGTGTTTTAGACATGAAGTCCTTGTCCATGCCTATGTCCTGAATGGTGTTGCCTAGGTTTTCTTCTAGAGTTTTTATGGTTTTAGGTCTAACATTTAAGTCTTTAATCCATCTTGAATTAATTTTTGTATAAGGTGTAAGGAAGGGATCCAGTTTCAGCTTTCTACATATGGCTAGCCAGTTTTCCCGGCACCATTTATCAAATAGGGAATCCTTTCCCCATTGCTTGTTTTTGACAGGTTTGTCAAAGATCAGATGGTTGTAGATATGCGGCATTATTTCTGAGGGCTCTGTTCTGTTCCATTGGTCTATATCTCTGTTTTTGTACTAGTACCATGCTGTTTTGGTTACTGTAGCCTTGTAATATAGTTTGTAGTCAGGTAGCGTGATGCCTCCAGCTTTGTTCTTTTGGCTTAGGATTGTCTTGGCGATGCGGGCTCTGTTTTGGTTCCATATGAACTTTAAAGTAGTTTTTTCCAATTCTGTGAAGAAAGTCATTGGTAGCTTGATGGGGATGGCATTGAATCTATAAATTACCTGGGGCAGTATGGCCATTTTCACGATATTGATTCTTCCTACCCATGAGCATGGAATGTGCTTCCATTTGTTTGTATCCTCTTTTATTTCATTGGGCAGTGGTTTATAGTTCTCCTTGAAGAGTTCCTTCACATCCCTTGAAAGTTGGATTCCTAGGTATTTTATTCTCTTTGAAGCAATTGTGAATGGGAGTTCACTCATGATTTGGCTCTCTGTTTGTCTGCTATTGGTGTATAAGAATGCTTGTGATTTTTGCACATTGATTTTGTATCCTGAGATTTTGCTGAAGTTGTCTATCAGCTTAAGGAGATTTTGGGCTGAGACGATGGGGTTTTCTAGATATACAATCATGTCATCTGCAAACAGGGACAATTTGACTTCCTCTTTTCCTAATTGAATACCCTTTATTTCCTTCTCCTGCCTGATTGCCCTGGCCAGAACTTCCAACACTATGTTGAATAGGAGTGGTGAGAGAGGGCATCCCTGTCTTGTGCCAGTTTTCAAAGGGAATGCTTCCAGTTTTTGCCCATTCAGTATGATATTGGCTGTGGGTTAATCCAGCATATAAACAGAACCAATGACAAAAACCGCATGATTGTCTCAATAGATGCAGAAAAGGCCTTTGACAAAATTCAACAACACTTCATGCTGAAAACTCTCAATAAATTAGGTATTGATGGGATGTATCTCTTTACTGTATTTTTCATAGGCTCAGTTTCAAAATCATGGTCTGTTTACACAACATTAAAAAACAAAATAGTTCTTTCTATGAAATGGCTGGTCAGCCAGTCAAACCCCTGCTTTGATGGAACTGAACAATTCACAGAGTGAAAACAATGAGTCTAGAAACCAATTTCCGGCAAAGTAGCATCCTGATTACAGATGATTAAGTAAGAGAGATAATTAAGAGATGTTCCACTACCAATAAAATAACTCGACAACTAAAGTTTCAGGAGATAATTTTTGCAAACAACATATTATAATTAAAATTTAATGTCAGATATGAAAATTATGTATATATATCACTAGTTTCAGAGGTAAAGGTAGAGACAATTTTGAGAAAATCACTTATTAAATTCCTATATCTTCTTCCCCAAGTACTATTAAGCATATACATATGGTGGACAACTATTGTTACATCCAAAGGTCACCCCTAACATGTTACCCGGAAAAACAGTACTGGGGCATCTCAGAGCTGCATATCCAAGCAAATTTGGGGACTCCAAACAGAAACTAATGAGGAAGAGATGCCTCCTCTTTGAGGAGCCAAAGTAGCTCAGCTGAGACTGGTATCAACAGGCAGCCATGGGCCATACGAAGAAGAATGAAACTGGACCCTTACCTTTCTTTTCTTTTTTTCTTTTTTTGAAACAGAGTCTCACCCTGTTGCCCAGGCTGGCGGTGGTGCGATCTCAGTTCACTGCAATCTCTGCCTCCTGCGTTCAAGTGATTCTCGTGCCTCAGCCTCCCAAGTGGCTGGGATTACAGGCACCTGTCACCACGCCTGGTTAATTTTTGTATTTTTAGTAGCGATGGGGTTTCACCATGTTGGCCAGGCTGGTCTCAAACTCGTAACCTCAGGTGATCCACCCGCCTCAGCCTCTCAAAGTGCTGGGATTCCAGGCGTGAGCCACCACACCTGGCCTGAAACCTGTGCCTACCTTTCACCGTATACAAAAATCAACTCAAGGTGGATTAAAGATATACTTGTAAGAACTCAAACTCTAAGAATCCTAGAAGAAAATTTAGGAAATACAGTTTTTGATATTGGCCTTGGGAAATAATTTATGACTAAGTCCTCAAAAGCAATTGCAACAAAAACAAAAATTGACAAGTGGGACCTACTTAAACTAAAGAGCTTCTGCAGAGCAGAAGAAACTATCAATAGAGTAAATACGCAATCTATAAAATGGGAGAAAATATTCTCAAACTGTGCATCCAACAAAGGCCTAATATCCAGAATCTGTAAGGAACTTAATCAAAGCAAACAACAAATAACCTCATTAAAAAGTTGGCAAAGGACATGAACAGATACTTCGCAAAATGGACATACAAGGGGCCAACAAACATGAAAAAATGTTCCACCTCACTAATCATCAGAGAAATGTAAATCAAGGCCACTATAAGATACCATCTCAAACCAGCCAGAATGGCTATTATGAAAAAGTCAACAAACTACAGATGCTAGCAAGGCTGCAGAGAAAAGGGAATGCTTATACATTCTTGGTAAGAATATAAATGCTTATACACTCTTGGTGGGTGACCCCGTGGAAAGCAGTTTGGAGATTTCTCAAAGAACTTAAAAGAGAACTACCATTTATTTGACCCAGCAATCTCATTACTGGTTATATAACCAAAGGAACATAAATTATTCAACCAAAAGACATATGCTCTTGTATGTTAATCGCAGCACTATTCACAATAACAGACATGGAATCAACTTAGAAGACCATAAATGGTAGACTGGATAAAGAAAATATAATACACACACACACACACATACGCGTGTGCATGTGCACACGCCATGGAATACTATGCAGCCATAAAAAATAATGAAATCATCTACTTAGTTGTAACATGGATGCATCTGGAGGCCATTATCCTAAGTGAATTAATGCAGGAACAGAAAAAGACTGCATGTCCTCCTTATGAGTGGGAGCTAAGCACTGAGTACACATGGATACAAAGATGAGAACAGGCCAGGTGTGGTAGCTCATGCCAGTAATCCCAGCACTTTGGGAGGCCAAGGCGGGCAGATCATGAGGTCAGGAGATCGAGACCATCCTGGCTAACATGGTGAAACCCTGTCTCTACTAAAAATACAAAAAATTAGCTGGGCGTGGTGGCGGGCGCCTGTAGTCCCAGCTACTCGGGAGGCTGAGGCAGGAGAATGGCGTGAACCCAGAAGGCGGAGGTTGCAGTGAGCCGAGATCGTGCCACTGCACTCCAGCCTGGGCGAAAGAGTGAGACTCCAACTCAAAAAAAAAAAAAAAAAAATTGAGAACAATGACACTGAGGACCACTAGAGAGAGGAGAGAGGGACAGGGGCAAGAGATGAAAAATTTCCTGTTGGATACTATTCTCACTGTCTGGGGGACAGGATCATTGGTGCCCCAAACCTCAGCCTCACACAATATACCCATGTAACAAGCGTGCACATGTACCTCCTGAATCTAAAATTAAAACGATTAATAAATAAAGTGCTAGCGCATTAAGGAAAAAAGAAATATGTATTACTAATAGATATTAAGTTGGTTAAATGATGGGTTTCTCATAGCTAGTGAATTAACGCTTTATTTTTTGAAAAAGGCATACAAACTTTTAAATTCCGGACATGTAAAATATGCCTCATTTTATTATTTAGATACAGGAACACCTTGGAGATATTGCACGTTCCATTCCAGAACACTACATTAAACCAAATAGTGCAATAAAGCAAGTCACACAATTTTTAGTTTTCTACCTCATGTAAAAGTTATGTTTGTACTATACTGTAGTCTATTAAGTGTGCATGAGTATTACGTCTAAAAATGTAATGTGCATACCTTAATTACAAATACCTTATTGCTTAACAGTGCTAACAATCATCTGAGGCTTCAGGGAATTGTAATCTTCTTGCTGGTTGGAAGTCTTTTCTCAAGGTCAACAGCTGCCGATTGATCAGGGTGGTGGTTGATGAAATTGGGGTGACTGTGGCAATTTAAGTAAGATGACAGTGAAATTTGCTGCATCAACTGACTTTCATGAAAGAGTTCTCTGCAGCATGCAATGCTGTTGGATAGCATTTTACCCACAATAGAACTTCTTTGAAAATTAGACCCAATCCTTTCAAACTCTGCTGCTGCTTTATCAACTAAGTTATATAATACTGTAAATCCTTTTTGTCATTTCAACAATGTTTACAGCATCTTTACCAAAAGTAGATTCTATCTCAAGAATAGAAACCACTTTCTTTGTTCCTCCATAAGAAGCAACTCCTCATCTGTTCAAGTGTTATCATGAGGTTGCAGCAGGTCAGTCATATCTTCAGGCTCCACTTCTGATTTCAGTTCTCTTGCTCTTGCTATTCCTACCACATCAGCAGTTACTTCCCATGGTGGGTCATGAGCCCCTTCAAGTCATCCATAATAGTTAGAAACAACTTCTTCCAAACTCCTGTTAATATTAACATTTTGACATCCTTTCATGAATCACGAATGCCCTTTGACATCTATAATGGTGAATCCTTTCCAGAAGGTTTTCAATTTACTCTGCTCAGATCCATCAGAGGAATCACTATGGCAGCTCTAGACTTATGAAATGTATTTCTTAGAGTGAGAGTTGAAAGTCTTGAAAGCTATAGTAAGCTCATCTATATTTGTCCACGTTTTAGAAAATTATAATGATTATTACTTATAGAACGGACAACCATTTTGACAGGAAATTATGTTGATTTTATCTGTGTTCCTCAACCCATGATGTCAGGAGGCCTATGTTTATCATCTTCCACTGATCACATACTTTGCCTAAAACAGTGAATAATACTGAAGGGACACAATCAATAGTTGCTGAATGAATACGAACACTTTTTAATTCTTTCAATTATTTACTTAAATTAAAGTGGCCTACATCTTCATCAAGTTTATTTTTTTCTGAAAAATGTTCAATACCTTATTTCAATTTGTTTGCGTCTATATATTCACTCCAAAATTTATTCATTTTCTCTTATTGTAAATATAGTAGGATCATGTATTATATACTACATTTTTGCCAATTTGAAATATGTTTTAAATATACTTAAGTCTGTGATAAAAACTTATAATGTTTGACAAGTTCGATGATATTTAAAACGAAATGAAATGCAAATGTATTATTAGAGGCTTTCTGATGGTTGGGACGGAAATCATGATATAATATAAAAAATACCAAATGCCAAAAATCTAGTGTTTGTTCAAGTGTGTGTGATATTCGTCTAGGTAGTTAATTTCCATAATCATCTCATTTTCTTCTATAAAATGTGAATAAAAATAATCTGTAATGGTTATAAGAAACAAATGAAGTGAAAATAAAAAAGCAGCAAATCATCAAACAAATATAGGTGCTTAAAAGGAAAACTCCTTGTGACCTAAAGTCATCCAGCGTGAGTTTAGCTGGGAGGCCAACCACTCGGAGGCAGAGCTGTGAAGAAACAAAAGACTATGAGATTGGAAGTTGCATTTAACAAGAGTAGAATCCATGGTAAATACAAAGATACACACTCTTGAGGCTTCTTTAGTGTGGTAGCAATTCTCACAATGCTTTGGGTAGCAAGCATGCCAATGAATAAAGACATATTACAGATATATACTCCCACAAACATCTGCCAACAATCCCCACCCCTAAAAGAAAAAGAAAAAAAAAAAAGACAAAATAGGAGCCCAGGATTGGCCAATAGAGACTATAGGTACAACTCATGGAGAAATAAGTCAAAGAGGGAGCCACAGGAGCCAGATAAGTATGAAGCCTAGGACAGCTTACCAGCTTGCAATTCAAACTGCTGTGAAGTTACTTGAAACTGAAGCCAACAGAAGTACAACCAAGGTCTGGCAAGGAAAAGACCTCTTTGTTCATGGATATAGGAAATATCAAAAAGCAGAGATGAGGTGAAAGGGCAAAAGAGAATGGGGTCAGAGTTCTAGGATTACATGGAAAATGCCAGTCAATATTCAAAGCTATCGCATGAAAGGAGGCATGTGATATGTGTGCTAGTGTGCACTAATCATTTACTGAAACTGCTGGTAGCAGGTACCAAAGATTTACTTCCATGAGAATTAAGATTTGCTGATTTCCAAAACGGACCAAGTATTCACGATATAGTCAACAGTGGACATGGGAAATCACAATAGAAAATCACCAGGGAAGATTTAAAAGTCATGGTCTTTGGAGAAAAATCAATTTCTTCCTCTAGATGCCTTCCTAGACTGGTGCTTGTCAAATATATTATGAGACTACAAATCATGTGTGGGCTTGTTCAAATGCAGATTGTGTTTCACCAGGTCTGGAGCAGGATCTGAGATTCGATATTTTTAACAAGCTCTCAGGTGATGCCCATGCCTCTGGTCAACAGACCACACTTTGATCAGGGAGGTACAGAAGGGTGAGGGATTGAAGAGTCTGATGTAGATCTTTTGTGGCTGTTCATCTACCTCCCACAGGCCATGACCTAAAGCTTTGCTCTGTTTGGCCCAGACAGTTTAAAGTCTACATGGAAAAAGCAAGGGTTTCACATCAAAATTGGGTTTCCTGGCTCTCCTAAAATACTTAGGACAGCTGGCATTGAGCAGCTTGAAGTTCTACCTGGCAACCATCAACTGGAGCTGAGTGAGAGTTACCCCTTTAGAGGAAGCGTGTTCCCTCCACTTCTCCATAGCCACCTTCACTGCTAAGTAAATCCCTGATAGAGGCAGAGACCATTTGCTATTCATAATGCAATTGTTATGTTCATTTGTTTAGTAGAGAAATATTTTTCCATATTCCCCCATGTCTTTGTCAAAATTAAGAAGGAACAAATATAGACCAAGTTGGATCATATTCTATACTTTTTTCCACATCAATTATTTATATTTACCTGCCAATACTCTTTAAATTTTTGACTTTGTAACACCTGGTCTTATCCACCTCTCAATTTCTAGTACCTAAGACAAAGTCTGAGATATAATACTGTGAATTTGAATCTCTAATGTAAAACACATCTAAGGAAAACAGAGGATCAGAATTAAGAGCCCTAGTTTGGGATCCTTTTGTGGTATCCTGTTTTGTTACATTAATATTTTCACTATGAAACTGGTTATGATGTGCAGGCAGACCCATGAGCTATCTTACTATATCGACTTACAGTGAACTTCAGAGTTCACTGTTAATCTTTAGGTTAATTCTGTGGCCTGACAATTAAACCAGAGGATAAGGTAGTAGCGATCTGTCTCTTGAAAATGATTGTGGTTAGTGGTATTAGATGTGATTAAATTAAAAATACATCCTTACTATATTGTTTAATTCATTAATTTTCTAACATTGGCACTTTCTCATTTTTGTAAAAGATTTTCACTGTCTTAAAAATAGCATAAAAGAGTTCCTCTTTTTTTTTTTTTTTTTTTTTTTTACTGGAAATTGAGATCAAAAGGCAGTCTAAATGGCCATAAAAGGCTAGAATATAATTAGATCCCCCTGTCAGTGGTTATAAATTATAATTTATACTTTTATATGAGTTCTTTGAAAAGGACTGGGAAACATGACACCTTTTATCAGATCTGTGTATTTTGTTTAAAAAGGAACATTTGGGTAAATGTTTCCAGACAGGATTAAAAAAAAAAAAAAAACAAGAGGGTACATATATGTGGTAGTAGAGGATGGGGTAGCATTGAAGGAAAACAGATTTGAAACAGTCATGATAACTATTTAATGCAGATACTTTTAAATATTTAAGAAAATACAAAACTTAGCATGTTTTATACATAGCTCAGGGGTAAAAGTTTCCAATTAGAGAACTACTGAGAATATTAACATAAAATCAAAGCAAAAATAATAAAAAGGCAGGTTCTAATCATCACACTTAGCTTTTATTTGGAGAGTAGATTCTAAGTTTTATATCTTGCTGCATGCCCAAAACTCAAATAATGTTTCCTTTCTTGTTTACCATGAGATGGCTGGCCAGCAAGTTTTACAAATTATATCACCCACAATCTGCTATTCTCCACCTTCCTCCTCCCCACAAAATAAACACACACACACACACACACACACACACAATCATTCTAAACCTATTTTAAAATTAAAATGTCCTTTGACAGAATAGCAATTAATTTTCTGTTGACCTTCTATCTTCCTTTGTTGATTACTCTATTCATATTGAATATCTGCATTTCTGTCAGTAGGGTCATAGGAATGCAAAGTCTATGTTAGGTGAATCTGTGAGAATTTTTTTTTTCAAGAAACACTCCTGTCCTTTTTCTATCTCTCTTTCTTCTTTCAGATCTCATCATCACACATCTCTTTTGAATGTGCTTTAAGTTACTAATATTTTAATAAGTTACTCCTCTGCAGATGGGGGCATTTGAAGTCAAGAAAATAGGGATACCGGAGGAATATCTGCTAGAGCACAGTAGTGAACTGGATGAAGCTCTCCAAAGATGCTGTATTTGGCAAGCACAGTGTTTCAAAAAGATTTTAGCCAGTTTTTTAAACTTGAAACTTTTACATAAAATTCCAGGTTTCTGGCTTATTTTGAGAAATGAGATCTGTCTACACTGAGTCCACATTCTTGCATGTCAGCAATGAGCGGGAGCTTTCCCTTTCATACAGAGCCTGTACTCTTCAGTTACCCAACTCTCCCTACCACATTCTGTTGCTTCTACTCAGCGCTTTTCACTCATTTACTCTTATTCAAAATAGGGATCTTGTCTTATCTTCATAGACATTTATTTGAGTTTGCAACTTCTGTGGTAGCTACTGGCTAGTTCTTTCTAATTTTGCTGGTGGCCTAGTGAGGGTTGGTTAAAGTAATCAAATCTCGATAATTTGGTTCTTTCTATTAATCAAGTTTCTCTCTCATGTTGTTATTATGGGTAGCTTATTGTTGTTTTTTAAACTCGAAACTTTTACATAAAATTCCAGATTTCTGGCTTATTTTGCAAATCTAAATTATTACATTTTGCAAATCTAAATTATTAAAATGTTTATATTAACATGAAATATCACTTTGACCAAGATTTAAAGACTATAATAACAGATGTACATTTTCTCTAACCTTTATCTTGGGTTATAAACTTTATTTGTAATCTTATTTTGGGGATAGAAATCTCTCTAGGTTATGTTCATAATTGTCATGCTGGGGTGGGGGGTGGTGACAACAACACTATCTTGTTAGTCAATTGGCAAAAGATCTGGGCAAGTGCTGGGCAAAGTTCCAACATCAACAAACCAAAGTCCATCTGCTGTAGTTTCTGGAAGTCAGGAGGTAAGGAGGAAGCTGAAGTTCTGGAATTCAGTAGATCAAACTATGCATTTGAAAGAGGAAACCAGGTAAGGGTCAAGGAGTAAATTAGAGGAAGGTAACCTCACTGAAAGGCAAAAATAACTTGTCCTGTGTCATCCTTGGTATTTTCTGCTGAAAATGAATACACTTTGGGCTTTAGTTTTCTTGGAATAAGTTAGTGTAACTCGATAGAGGAGAGCAATATATAAGTAGTACACTTGTAGTTTTAACATCAACAATTAAACAAAAATTCTTAGAGCAACTTGAAGATATTTCTCTGGCTCTTGCCTTCCTTTGATTTAACCACCACTGGAAAAATTCTACATGGAAGTTGCTGTAGTCACTGTTCCAAAGCCTCATTCGAGTAAGGTATTATTCTTGCCAACTAATTCTACTTACTATTCTTGATTTTTGTCTTTGAGTAAAACTCATCCTTGAAAGTCAGAATAAGCTGGCGTACAATTACAATCCCCCCAAGTTTTCTTTTTTTTTTTTAGTTTGGCTATCTGAGTTTTTTCATTAATAAACTTTCTTTTTAATCAATTCATTTTTAATAAGATGCCATGTATCAATATACAGACATGACAATGTCAATATAAATATTCTATGCATTTCAACTCTAATATCAATACATTAGTATTATAAGCTTCAACTGTGTCTTTTGTTTAACAATCTCAATCCCTTCTCTCAGTTTTATGCTTGAGAAAAAACTTCATATTAGTCAGCATAGCATATTGGTCAGTTACTGTTACTGACTTACCAGTAAACTTCAAAGAAATGGTTTGCTTTGATAGAATGTGCCCTCTATAAACTTTGTGATTAGAAAATTTACAGCATAATGTAACTGTAGTTGGTTATCTACCTCATTCCTGAGGTTGTTAAAAATTCAAATTTTCCTTCTTTGATTCCTTTTTGTTTCTTTGCATCCTATTTTATATTTATAAAGATCCTTTACATGCTATGCAAGTAAAAATCCTACAATTAGAGATAGAGGAAATTCTTATAACTAATTCAGTCCATCCAAACCCATGTTCTTCAGAAACCTAACATCCAGTGAGATGTTAACAGGTGTCACTCAATGGCACAGAAGGAATCTCATGAAACTCGTAATTTATAGTAATGCTACTTCACTTAACTAATATCAAAATTAGTTACCCACCAACAATTATGGCTTCTATTTTCTTTTCCCTTTTAATAGCCAACATAAATTTATCACTTTTTACCAGGTACCACACTAAGCACTTTGCGTATATTTTATCCTCATCATTATAATTTTGAGATCAAGGAAATGACGTTTAATAGGTTCAAATAATTTTCTCAAAATCTACAGCCAGTAAATGGAAATGCTGAAATAAAATTCAGATAGTTGGGCCGGGCGCAGTGGCTCACGCCTGTAATCCCAGCACGTTGAGAGGCCAAGGTGGGTGGATCACAAGGTCAGGAGATTGAGACCATCCCGGCTAACACCGTGAAACCCCATCTTGACTAAAAATACAAAAAATTAGCCAGGTGTTGTGCCATGCACCTGTAGTCCCAGCTACTCAGGAGGCTGAGGCAGGAGAATTGCTTGAACACAGGAGGCGGAGACTGCAGTGAGCTGAGATCATGCCACTGCACTCCAGTATGGGTGACAGAGCAAGATTCTGTCTAAAAAAAAAAAAAAAATTCAAATGGTCTAATTTTAGGGCTTGCCCCCTCTATGAATTTGAGGAAACCCTTGGTGATCACCTAATGCACAAATAAATAATTTTCCATCAGCAAGAAAATATAGACAACATTTGCCAATTCACTTTTGCATTGAATGTTTCTACTCAATGATTACAACTATATCATGGACCCTGTCTTACAACTTCAACATCTTTATTGCACAATAAACATAAGTCAATCTTTGATCATTTATTTCAGCAATTAATAAATTTATGAGTGCATTTGCTTTCTATTTTAATGTCAGTTTGAATTATTTCCACAGATTACCTGTGAGTATCTTTTCAATATGAGAATCTGACAAAAATAATTATAAAAAGTGTTCCATGTCAAATAAGTTTGAAAAATTTCTGTGTAGGTCAATTTCTCTAAACCCATGAAACTGACAAAGAGTACAGAAATGACTTCCCTCCCCACAGGCTTCTACTAGACCAGTGGCTGAGGAACCACACCTGCAAGGCTGTTGGTCCTGGGGCAAAGAAGGGAGAGAATGAAGGGTTCAATGACACCTTCCAGGTAGGATAAAATAAATGGACAAGGGAGCCAGCACTTAAGATGAGTGGTTCTTCTCTGGAAGGCAGCAGAGTGTAACACAGAAAAGCATTACACTGGAAAGCAAGACTTTAAAGCCGTCTCTGCAGCTGCTGGCTTTGGGGTCATGTACAAGTCCTTAAACTCTCTAAGCTTCAGTTTCACTAAACAGTGTTTGTTAAGTTATTAGCCCTGTCTGTGATTTCTATGACCGAGTACATTTTTTAAAGTCACTTTAACTTAGGTTGTTGCTGTTCAAAAACATGTATCAAGTCATAAATAATAGGACTGGAACGTTATTTAAAAGTACTGAAAAAAAATCTGGATTTGAGAATAAGTGAAATGGCCACCTGTCCAAAAAGACTACATATATTTATCTGCAGAAGATATAAACAAAGAGATATAAAGACAAGGCACTTTTGAGGATATTTTGGGTTCAACATAATATGAAAAAGATGCTCACCATAGAAACATTTACTGAGTTAGTATTGAAGTAATCTTTATAAATTTATATTAAATTATATTATCTTTATAAATTTATCTTTATAAATTTATATTAAATTATATTATCTTTATAAATTTATCTTTATAAATGTATTTATCTTTATAAATTTATCTTTATAAATTGATATTAAATCACAGCATAGATACAAAAGGCCCTACCTAAATTACTGGGAAAATTATATTTAATTTAAATTATTTTGTTATTTGAGTTTGTTTTATTTGTCAACATTTAAGACAGGAATACCAAGAAAAACTTCTAATATTTCATCATGAATGCTAAATTAACAGGGAGTCCTATTTATGAAATGGGATAATCTTACTTAAAAAAAAAGGATGGAAAATATTTGACTAATCACAGTCTGCTTTGGAGAATTACCTTTTGTCTAAATTATGAAATCATTTATCATATTAGAACATTGTGTATGATTCCTCTCTTTGAACTAGTTTCTGCAACATTATAGGCATTTCAGATGTTGCTGTAACTTGAATTTACTTTCAGGAGAACTCGTGCAGCTTTCCTGCAGAGTTTACAGATAGCTGTGTGAGATGTTTACACATATTCAATGAATACTTATTGTGAAGTAACTACTTTGTGTAAGAAGCCATCTACATACTTTAAATTCTAATTTTATAGTTGTTATATTGTAATTTCTGGATATTTTTCTGAGTCAATATAGAGCAGGCATTTACTCGATGAAGAATCGTAAAAATATCAAAGTAAAAACAGAGGTTCTCACTACATTTTTAAAGAAAGGTAAGAAATAGACATGGAAACAACTATTGATAACCATGTAGGAAGCAAATACAAGCTAACATATAAATATTGTATTTATCATATTTATTTCATAATTCATTTACAATTAAAGAAATGAAAATATGTTGCTAATAGCAGAGTCCTCAGGAAATGCATTCATCAAAAAATTCAACTGAGGCTGGTACAGTGGTTCATGCCTGTAATCCCAGCACTTTGGGAGGCAGAGGTGAGGGGATTGCTTGAGCTAAGGAGTTTGAGACCAGCCTGGGCAACAGGGTGAAACCCCATCTCTACTAAAAATACAAAAAATAAATAAAAATAAAAATAAAAAGCCAGACATAGTGACAGGCAGGCACCTGTCGTCTCAGCTACTTGGGAGGCTGAGGTAGAAAGACTGCTTGAGCTGTGGAGCGGAGTTTGCAGTGATCAACTGAGAACTGAGACTTGATTCAATTTGAATTATAGTTTGTTTATAAGAATAATTTATAAAATAAAGCTTTATGAGACTAACATAAGATATAATTCGAGAATTCAGTTCAGCTTCTTAGGTTTCCCTCACCTACTGGTTTTTGTGTTATTTCCCTCACCTACTGGTTTTGGTGTCAGTTTTGACTGGTTATTCCAGTTGGACTTCAGATAGCTATAGGCCAAGAATGATAACTACTGTATGTACTTATACAGAGTTCAAACTTATAACGGCTGATCTATGTATACCCTGAAAAATATACCAGATGCATAAGAACATCATAACCATTGGACATATTTTCTTATGCTAAAATATGCTAGTCTTCAACTAGTATCTTCTTTCACACTATACATATAAATTGTACTTCAGAGTGATATTGAGAAAAACCTAAAGTTATTAATTAATTTACATCTCTACTAACAACTGTTTCAACTATTTAATACCATTAATCCTAAACAGAAAAGTCATGAATATGAATGATAAAGTACTTTATTTTATGTTCAACATAACAACTTATAGAGTTCAGTATAACATGAATCATTGCAAAGTAAAATAATATTTACTGAGTTATTATTGAATTAACTTAGAGTAGTTAAAATAGTCACATTTCCATTAATTGTCCAGTATTTCAGCCATAGATATGTCTACCTATATTACTCATGGTTTGCGAGAGAAACAGAACTAATTATGAAGGCTGAAAAGGCCCAAGATCTGTAGCCAGCAAGCTAGAGACTCAGGAAAGATGGTGGTGTAGTTCCAGTCCAAGTCTGAGAGCATGAGAAGCAGGAGAGCTGATGGTGCAAGCTGCAGTCCCAGGACAGAAGACTGATGTCTCAGCTCAAGTAGTCAGGCAGGTAAAGTTCCCTCTTAATCAGCATTTTTGTTTTACTTGGATCTTCAATTGATTGGATGAGGCCCACCAATAATAGGGAGGGCAATCTGCTTTATTCAGTCTACTGATTTAAATGTTAATCTCATCCAGACGCCTTCATATACACACCCAAAATAATGTTTGACCAAAAGTCTTGGCACTCCATTGTCCAGTCAAGTTGACACATAAAATAAACCATTGCACCACACAAAAGGTGGATGCTAACCATCATGCTGGGCCCAGCAGATGCAGGTTTGGAGGGCATTGAGGTTATTCTGAGATTAAAACACTCAATTGACCAAATCTGTCCTAAAATTTTTTTCAAGAAATCACTTGTCCATATTATATAGAACAAGATGGAGTTCCCCCTGAGTATGTATGTTATTGAGCAGAAGAACACCGGTCCTATCCACAGTCACACACATATGACTCACCTCTCTGAGAAAACAAAGATAAAAACATTTGAAGACTTAGAACATTCAGTGACTCATGCCAATTCCACATCCCACATACACAATGCTTAATACATACAGGTCATTCTTAATCAGCATAAACTATAGGATCTTTGGATACATATTAGATAATTCAACCAGGAATTGACTCCAACCCAAAGACTTACTTGGGACATAACATTTGAGGGCAAAACTTAATGAGGCTATTAACTTATGCTTCTCTTCATTACTTTGTCTTACTGTATTAAGATAAAGTATTTCAAAAACAAAATCAGCCATTAAGCTCACTGCAGAAATTATTTAATTATTTAATTGGTTAATTTTTAAAACAGGGTCTTGCTGTGCTGTCCAGGCTGGAGTGCAGTGACATGATCGCGGCTCACTGCAGTCTTGACCTCCTAGGCCAAAACAATCCTCCTGCTTCAACCTCCCCAGTAGCTGGGACTATAGTCACATGCTACTATGTCAGGCTAATTTTTATTTATTTCTTTGTAGAGATGGGGGTCTCAGTTGAGTCTCAAACTCCTGGTCTCAAGTAATCCCCCTGCCTCTACCTCCTTGGGATTACAGGCATGAGCCACCATGCTTGGCCTATTTGGATAATTGTATACAATGATAACCACTTTAGTTAGAGTATGGGTTTAAAATGTACATTTAAATAACCTTCCTAAATCTTTTGCAAACCCATGGTTAAAATCATCATATTTTACCGCATATTCCTCATTTAAGGAACCATGACCAGAAAGCACTTAAGGAATTCATTCCAGAAAAAAAAAACTCAACAACTTTTGTGTCTTTAGATACGCTTTATTGTTTGCCACTGTAACATTCGATCTATTCCCATTATCTCTTTTTTCCCTCTTAGATATCTAAAAACTGAAATAATTAAATGCATAATTACAATAACATGATTTAAAAATTTCTGATAACATCAATTTTATTGCTTTGTTGGATAATGTTTCATATCTTAAAAAACCTTGTTATAAGCTTCACTGAATTTTGTGGATGAAATGAGGTTTAGTTATTTTACAGTTTACTACTTACTTTTAAATTAATTTTTATATATTGAATTAGTTTAAAACTCTAAAAATATTTCACAAAAGTATTAGCACTCTCTAAATAAGTCTCTCAAAGTGGAAAAAGGAGATTAACGTGGAATAACTCCACTCATCCAACAAATATTTATTTTCTATTAAATCTTGGGGCTTTTGCAAAATGCTAATCACATAAGAATAAACAAAGTAGATATTGCCTTTGTTATCATGTAGTTTATAATCTAGTGGAGAAAAACAAGTGTCACATAATCACAAAAATAAATATGAATTTCAATAAAACTTAACCCCAGCCCTAATCATATTGTCACGATCTTTCCCTGGATACTGGTTTTGAAGTTACCACATAAGGCAATAAGTACTCATACTTGAATTTTCCCTTGAAAATTCTAAGTTCCCACTGAAGCAGAAGATATGTAGTTTTAAGGATTCAACCCTATATAGTTGTGTAGAAATTGAAGCCAACTAAGGGATCTAAGTCTTCCATCTCATGATTACCAAAGAGCAAAACTATATGGAATGGTGGGCAGAATTTTTTCATAGCATTTATATTATTTTCTCTTTAAGTCTACCCTCACTCTCTCCCTTTCTTACCAGCTCCTATCACTGAATTTCCTAATTAAATGCACCTATGCTGAAAAGCCACTGTGAGAGGTTCCTCTATTTCTCCAGAATGGGTTCTTCTCTAACGCAAGGTCAATATTTGTATCATTAGCTACTAACATTATACCTGGAACCTAATTCATGTTTGTTTAGTGAACATGAAAAACTGTTGTCAAAGTCCCATTAACCTGGAAAAGAATGTTCCATTCCCATATAGCTTGGAATCCACACTACATTAAATGAAAACAATTGAAAAATCTCATACAAAGGCATTTTAAGTTGACTATGATGATTAAAATCGAGGGGTATAAACCAATATCCGATTGGAACCACAATATTATAGCTTATTTCAGCTCAATGATTATTTATTGATAGGCACTGTTCTAGATATTTATGTAAGAAAAAAAGAATTTTTCTAAAAAGCATATCCAAGTCCAGAAAGATTAAGAAAATGACATTAAACATGGATCAAATTCAGCTGCTTTTATTCAGTAAGCTATGGTAGTTAAATGCAAGAATATCAGGAAAAAAATGGGGGCTCTATCTACATCCTTGAGAAAGATGAGTTCAACAATGAGTTGTCCAGGGGTGGAAACAACAAAATGCTTAAGTGACATTCAAGACCAATTTGCTATAATTTTAAATTGAAATAATCTACAACTATTGAACATATATGAAGACAAGATAGCCCCTATCCTTGAGGGATTTAGATTCCAACATGTTAGACCCATATGTACATTCTGTTTAGCATGTTAAGTTTAGCATACAGACTGACACATACATTGTGGTGACAGTGGGGAATGTATGGGAGTTCAAATGAGCTGGAGGGAAATAATTTAACCACTAAACAGCAGGCTGTATAAAGAGAAGCCCTTGAATGTTACTAGAGCGGAGAAATGAGGCTGTAATTGAATGCAGGACCAGGTCATGGTAGTTTTATATGCCATGTAGTGCTTAACCCTGCGGCTATAGAGAGCATTCATATGGGTGCAGAATGGTCAGATTTACATTTCTCAGGCAGCAGTTGAAAGATTGGTTAGGAGACAGTAAGCCTGGATTGAGACTATCGACTACCAACAAGGTGCCTTTAGAGAGAGATGATAATAATTGACACTAGGGCAGTGGTAATAGAGGTAGACAAGGGGAGAACTGAAGATTTGTTGTTTGGCTTAAATAAATAGATAAATTATGTTTCTTTTAATGGAGAGGAGGAATTGCCTAAAAAGGTTGTATTTATTTAAATAAAATTATTCTTATTAGAAAGATTTAGTTACTACCATTATCAAGAAAGGTGAGAAGAATGGTAGAACTGAAGGTATGTCTCCGGTTGTATTTAAACTCATCTTAAGCAGCAAGACAGCGAATAATTCAAATTTCAAATGGGTTATTTTGCTCAAGCAATGTTCTTTTAAGAATGTGGACACTCTAATGTATTGAAGTGCATCTTAACAGATCATTAACTACTCAACAGAGAAACTAAGAGAAGGAAATGGGCATAGGTAAAGAAATTTAGAAGAATACTGGAAGTCACTTCCAATTTAAGATCAGAACATTTTCTTAAAATTTTTGATTCACAAAAATACTCCTTTAGGGCAGATACAACCTGTAAAAAGCAAAGAAACTTCATATATGGCCAATACAACTTTTATTTTTATGTGGGTGTTTATTGCAACAAACCAACATGCATTTATTGAGTACTTATTCTGCGTAAGGTACTATTGGAAACTGCTATCGTTATCTTTTTCTGAAAATAAGAGACATATATACAAAACTAGTAGCAGAAAAAAAGCAGCAGTACAACCTTTGGCAAGCTATTTAGCTTCCTTAGACTTCAGATTAATAATTCATATAATTAGATCATTACATTTTAAGAGTGTTTCCATCTCTGTGACTCTGTGACATAAATAGAGACACTCAATCACATTTCAGTGTATTAAAATACTTATTAACTCCTAAAAAGTTTAACATTTTAATTGCTTAACCCATATAGGAATAATTTCGCTTTCAAGATAAATGATTAAAAAATGATGAGACTGATTAACCTTAAAGCAAGTAACATAAAGTTTGACATTATATACTAGCCCTGATAGATGTTGTGTTCCATGAATGTAGACTCTTCCAACAATAAAGATGAGATTCCAGAAATGCTCCATCCATCATTGACATCATTATTAACAAAAATTACTCTAAGACATATTTTCATAATATTTCTGAAAATGGGAGAAATTCATTAATAATTTGGAATTGTCAATCTTTCTTTTCCTTCCTCTTAAGTGATACTAAATTAACGGTGAACATCAGAATTACTGAAACAATGAAATAATCAGGAGTACCTGGGATGGAATTTTAGGTGTTAAGTTGAGTGGATTAAGGAATACCTAGAGAACTGGTAAAAGCATTCTTTCTGGGTATGTCTGAGAAGATGTTTCTGGAGAGACTGGTTTTTGAATTAAGGGACCGAATAAGGAAGATCCGCCATCAATGTAAGTGGACATCATCCCAACAGCTGAGATCCTGTTTGGATGAGAGAACACAAAAGGCAAAGGAAGGGTAAATTTGCTCTCTCTGTGCTGTAGCTGGGACACCCTTTTTCTGCCATTGGGCACCAGAACTCCAGGTTCTCCAGCTTTTGGGCTCCAGGGAATTACAACAGGGCACCCCAGATTCTCAGGCCTTTAGTTTCAGACTGAAGCTACACCATCAGCTTCCCTGGTTCTGGAGCCTTTGGACTTGGACTGAGCCACACTACCAGTATCTTTGAGCCTCCAGCTTGTAGACATCCTACTGTGGGATTTAGACTCCATAATTTGCATGAGAGAATTCCCAGGATATATCCCCTCTTTTCTATCTATCAATCTATCTGTCAATCAATCAATCATCATCTAATCTGTCTATCCATCCAACCATCCATCATTCCCTCCCTCCTTCCCTCCGTCCATCCATCAATTCTACTGGTTCTTTTTGGAGAATCCCAACTAAAACACAACCATTTTTCAAGAATTGACACTGCTTCTAGGCACCGTTCTAAAGATCATCCAGTTATTAAATAAACTAACAGGACTTAGGAGCCAGGTTTTCTTCCTTTACTTGAATGAATGAAACACCTATCAAAGCTATAGTTGGGTGCTATACCTCACAAAGAGGTTATTGGTGGCTTTATTTTAAATTATAACAGGATAATATAAACAAATATTTCATGTGGCCAAATACAGTTCATTTCATGCCTTGTTTATAAAATAATGTCAGGAAAATACAATCACATTTTTTCTAGGAAAGATTTCCATCTGGACACCTGACTTCCAATTTCCCTGTGGTAAACTGAAAGATAAAAGAAAAACAGAAAAACCAATAGAGTAACAACTGGTGATAGCAAAAACCCAATGGAACAAGACCATCTTCAAGATAAAAGAGGAAAAAACTCTCTTTATCATGAAATAACTAGTTAGTATGCATGTTCTCACCTCACTCTGTCTCTCTCACTCCCATACTCTTTCTCTCTCTCATTTAGTAAATACGTTAGAAGAAAATGGCTTTTTCTTTTCAAAAAATTCAACTTTTATTTTAGATACAGAGAGTACATGTGCAGGTTTGTTACATGTGTATATTCCATAATGCTGAGGTTTGTGTATGGACCCATCACTCATGTAGTGAGCATAGTACCCAATGTGTGGTTTTTCAGCCCTTGCCCTCCTCTTTGTCTAACCTATCTAGTAGTCTAGCAGGGTCTATTGTTCCCATGGTTATCTCCATGTGTGCTCAACGTTTAGCTCTCAGTTAGAGAGAACATGCGGTATTTGCTTTTCCATTCTTGTGTTAATTTGCTTGGGATAATGGCCTTCAGTTGCATACATGTTGCTGCAAAGGACATGATTTTGTTCTTTTTATAGCAGCATAGTATTCCACAGTGTATATTTGTACTTTCTTTAACCAATCCACTGTTTATGGACATTCTGTGTTCTTAGGTTCCCTCTATGTCTTTCCTATTGTGAACAGCATGGGGATGAACTTATGAGTGCATGTGTCTTTTTGGTAGAATAATTTATTTTCCTTTGAGTGTATAACCAGCAATAGAATTGCTGGGTCAAAATGGTTGCTCTGTTTTAAGTTCTTTGAGAAATCTCCAAACTGCTTTCCACAGAGGCTGACCTAATTTACATTCCTACCAACAGTGTATAAGCATTTCCTTTTCTCTGCTGCCTCACTAGCCTAGCACCTGTGGTTTTTTGACTTTTTAATAATAGCCATTCTGACTGATGTGAAAGGGTGTCTCATAGGGTTTTTGATTTGCATTTCTCTGATGATGAGCAATGATGAGCATTTTTTCATATGTTCATTGGTTGAGTGTATGTCTTATTTTGAGAAGTATCTGTTCACATCCTTTGCTCATTTTTAATAGAGTTACTTGTTTTTGTTTGTTGAATTGTTTAAATTCCTTATAGATTTTAAATATTAGAACTTCATTGAATACATAGTTTGTGAATATTTTCTCCTATGCTCTAAGGTTGTCTGTTTACTCTGTTGATAGTTTCTTTCAATGTGCAGAAGGTCTTTAGTTTAATTAGGTCCAACTTGTCAATTTTTGTTTTTATTGCGATTGCTTTTGGGGACTTAGCCAGAAATTCTTATAAAGCCTGATGTCAGGAAGGGTATTTCCTAGGTTTTCTTGTAGGGTTTGTATAGTTTAAGGCCTTACATTTAAGTCGTTAATCCATTTTGAGTTAATTTTTGTATATGGTGAAAGGTAAAGGTCCTGTTTCATTCTTCTGCATATGGCTAGCCAGTTACCCCAGCACCATTTATTGAAATAGAGAGTCCTTTCCCCACTGCTTGTTTTTGTCAGCCTTGTGGATAATCACATGGTTGTAGGTATGCAGTATTATTTCTGAGTTTTCTATTATGTTGCATTGCTCTATTTGTCAACTGGTATTGTACCAGTATCATGCTGTTTTGGTTACTGTATCCATAGAGTGTAGTTTGAAGTCATGTAGTGTGATGCCTTCTGCTTTGTTCTTTTCGTGTGAGATCGCTTTGGCTGTCCGGACACTTTTTTGTTCCATGTGAATTTTAGAATAGTTTGTTTTCTAATTCTATGAAAAATTCCATTCGTAGTCTGATAGGAATAGCATTGCATCTTTAAAATGCTTTGGGCAGTATGGCCAGCTTAACATTATTGATTCTTCCAATCCATGAGCATGGAATCTTTTCCCAATTATTTGTGTCATCTCTGATTTCTTTCAGCAGTGTTTTGTAGTTATCCTTGTAGAAGTCGTTCACCACCTTGGTTAGCTGTATTCTTAGGTATTTCATTTTCTTTACAGCTATTGTAAGTGGCATTGTGTGCTTGATTTGACTCTCTGCCTGGATGCTATTGGTGTATAGAAATGCTACTGATTTTTGTACATTGACTTTCTATCCTGAACTTTACTAAAGTCACTTACCAGTTCTAGGAGTCTTTTGGAAGAGTCTTAGGGTTTTCTAGGTAGAAAATCTTATCGTCAGGGAAGAAAGACAGTTTGACTTATTTTCCTATTTGAATGCCTGTTATTTCTTTCTGTTCACTAATTGCTCTGACTAGGACTTCCAATAATATGCTGAATAGGAGTGGTGAGAGTGGGCATCCTTGTCTTGTTCCAGTTTTCAAGAAGAATAGCTTTTTAACCAAGTATAATTTAAAATAATTTTGGTGACACAGTGGGAAAGCTGTAAAAGGTTGACTGTTATTTTCTATGAATGCTGAGAGATTATCAAATCTGATCCTGATATACAGTTCAAGGAAAAGTTCAGCTGAGCTACTGGCCATTTGCAAACACTATAGTGACCTAGGATTTCACCTCTAAATACAGAAAGCCAAGTATTAGAGTGGGCTAGAGAGACAGACCAATCTTAAAACAGTTCCTAAGGTCTAAGACATTACAGTAAAAATTCCACTAAAAAGTGTTATATCCATAATAAATTCTTATATCATGCACACTCAAGTTTGAGATCCACTAAGTAAAGGAAAGGTGACAGGAAAGAAGAAAGTACACATATCTAGGCATTCTGCCTTACAGACACAGTCATGCTGGGCTAGCTACTCAGGAGACTGAGGAGTTTGAGGCTGTAATGCACTATGATGGTTCTTGTGAATAGCTGTGCCTTCTAGCCTGGGCAATGTAGCAATAGCAAGACCTCAATTCAAAAATAAATAAATAAATGAAATATAAAGATAAAGCAATGTGTCACTTCATGATGGGGCTATGTTCTAAGAAACGCCTTCTTAGGTGATTTCATCATTTTGTGAACATCATAGAGTGTAGTTACACAAATCTAGATGGAACAGCCCACTACACACCGAGGCTCTGTGACATGTGCTATCGTTCTTATGTTAGAAACCTGTAAAGCATGTGACTAAATAGCATAGGCAATTGTTATACATGGGAAGCTTTGTGTATCCAAACATATCTGAACGTAGAAAAGACACAATAAAAATAAAGTACAGTATTATAATCTTATGGTACCACAATCATATATGCGGCATATCTTTGATGGAAATATCACTGTGCAGTACCTTACTGCAATTATAATATCTCTGGTCATAATTGGCAGAGTAGGTGGAAACAGCATCAATGAACCACATAACTCCAGAAGGCGTCACTCACTTTTCATTATCTCCTGATGGCGTCCAGTGATTAGTCTGAGCAATACAACATTGAGGCTCTGGATGGAGTAGTTCAAAGGATTTCTGCTTACTTGCAGGTTTTATCCATCTTCTACCCCAAATAGAGCCTCTATGAAGTTACTGTATGCTAACAAAATTGTCCATTTTCCTGAAAATCACATTTTATATGATGTGATTTCACTAAAAGACAGCTATTTGCCAAAGAAAGGTTTTCTTCCTCAGGCTTCCTGCTGGTATCTTCCCCAA
This sequence comes from Homo sapiens, assembly GCF_000001405.40. Lineage (NCBI taxonomy): Eukaryota > Metazoa > Chordata > Mammalia > Primates > Hominidae > Homo > Homo sapiens. The sequence goes on along the minus strand of NC_000012.12, from coordinate 77,880,242 downwards.
ATGAAAAATAAAATAAGAGAAACAGAATTGTGCGACTCATGACTTCTTTATTACTTGAAAATGGAGGTTCAGATATATTTTTATCACATGCCATTTGGAAGCTGAGAAGGCTTGGGCCCCTATTCATTGTCACCTATTGTTGAAGCATGAAAGGTAAACTCATTAATCATCACTACTGCCAATTATTAAACACTGAAGCCAGGTACATTTTTACAGATATGATCACACTAACAACATTCCTGTAAGGCAGGGATTATCAGGATTATGCATGAATAAGGAAAATGAGAGTAGAGAATTTAAGTCATTTAACCAATGTCCTGGAAGCACAAGCATTTGAACGCACATCTCTAGGACTTCATTATCACCTGCTGTGTACTACAAAATTATAGAAAACATGACTTTGGCTTAACATGAGATAACACTTTTTGAAAAGTTATAGCTAGCCAACATTAAAATAGATTAATTTGGTGGTAGTGAACTCTAATAACAACAAATAGTACTTGTAGATAGTTTTATAGCTGTGAAATAATTTCCTTTTTTTTTTTTTTTTTTTTTTTGAGATGGAGTTTCACTTCGCTCTTTCGCCAAGGCTATAGTGAAGTGGCTCGATCTTGGCTCACTGCAACCTCCACCTCCCCGCCCCAGGTTCAAGCAATTCTCTTGCCTCAGCCTCCTGAGTAGCTGGGATTATAGGTGTCCACCACCACACCCAGCTAATTTTTATATTTTTAGTAGAGACAGGATTTCTCCAAGTTGGCCATGTGCCAGGCTGGTCTCGAACTCCTGCGCTCAAGTGATCCACCTGCCTGGACCTCCCAAAGTCTTAGGAATACAGGTGTGAGCACTGCACCCAGCCTGAAATAATTTTCATATGCATGATATAATTCAGCCTATATAGCCCTGTTGATCAAATATTTTAATTCCCATTTAATATAAATTCTGTGTACATAAATCTTGTAGTGTGTAAAGAGTTTATTTATATATCTACTAAACAACTTGCTGCTCTAAAATCGCATGGTTCAATGCAGATGTACAGGAGACATTTTTGAGCCTGGGAAATTTGCAGGGTAGCTATCCAAGCGGGTTCGCAACTCTCCCTTACTCATAAATAGTTCTTGCAGCAGCAGCTGTATTTGGTGGCATAGGGCTACAAACCTCCACTGTGGGTTCCCTATATTTAGAGCTGCTTCTCCTCTGCAAGGGTCAGTAAAAATAAAGAAATGACCATCTGGGACAAAGTGTGTATAGGCAGCAGACACAAATATGCTCAACTGGGAACTAAAAATTTGCAAATTTGGTTCTCCTTCCTATAAACATCTTACTGGAATGTAATGAGGTTGGTACGAAGATTAGTTTATTTCAGCTATTCTGAGAAAATAATTCAAGTCCAAATTTCACTGCCAAAGACTATTTCAAGAGGAAAGAGTAAATACGATGGGAACGCTAAAAAAAAAAATGATAGAATTAAAATGGAGCAAATGTAATCAACATGTCTAAGCTCACCTGGCACCAGAGACTTCACAATCAGATCACATTAACTTTCTTTAAAAAAAGACCTTGTTTTTTTTTTTTTTAGAAGTTTAAGCATTACAAAAGATTGAGAAGATAATACAGTTTCCATATGCTCAGTACCCAGTGTCTTCTATTATTACATATCTATCTTATGTAACTATGGTGTGTATATTATAGTTAATACTGATGTTAATACATTACTGGCTGGGTGTGGTGGTTCACGCCTGTAACCCCAGCACTTTGGGAGGCCGAGATGGGCAGATCAGTTGAGGTCAGGAGTTTGAAACAAGCCTGACCAACATGGTGAAACCCTGTCTCTACTAAAAATACCCCCAAAATTAGCCAGGCATGGTGGCACATGCCTGTAATCCTAGCTACTTGGGAGGCTGAGGCTGTAAAATTGCTTGAACCAGGGAGGTGGAGGTTGCAGTGAACTGAGATCTGCCAGTGCACTCCAGCCTGGGCAACAGAGCAAGACACCATCTCAAAAAAACAAAACAAAACAAAAACAAAATTACTAACTAATTCCGTATCTCATTCAGATTTCCTGAGATTTTTACCTCATGTCCTTTCTCTTCCCATGTTCTCATTCAGGTACCACATTACATTTAGTTGGCATATCCCCTTAGGCTCTTTTTCCTACCAGTTTCTTAGACTCCCCTTGTTTTTGATGACCTTGACAGCTTTGGGGAGCATTGGTTAGATATTTTGTAGAATGCTCATTTATTGGAATTTGCCTCATACTTTTCTCATGATTTTACTGGGGTTATAAGCTTTTGGGAAAAAGACCAGAGATAAAGTGTCTTTCCTCACATCATATTAGAGGTAAATACTATCCAAATGATGATATTGATCTTGTTTACCTGGCTGGCACAGTGTTTGTCAAGTTTCTCCACTGTAAAGTTATTTTTCGCCTCTCCCTCCTCCTTCCCACCCCCACACCACAGTCACTTCCAATATGATACTGCACGCTTCGGAAGACAGTCTCTATGTATAGCCCACACTTAAGGAGTAGGGAGTTATTATGCTCCCCTCCTTCAGGTGGAGAATTTTCATCACTTATTTGGAATTCTTATGCATGGGGGATTGGTCTATTATCCCCATTTATTTATTTCCTAATGGGAAACTTGACACCAGCCAGTTTCTTGCTTCTATTTAGATAGTCCACTTTTTTGCTCCAGAAGTGTTGCCAACAAAGCTCTGAGAAAAATATCTATAAACCTACTTTTTTATATCCAGTCAAGCTATTTGTTACCTATAAATGCAATATAAAATGAATTTTTGACATGAAAGGTCTCAAAATATACTGACAGAAAAGCATACTAGAAATAATTGGTAAAGAATTGATCTTAGATTTTAAAAATAAATCTATTAAAATAGTTGAAAGAAATACTGGTAAGCAAAGCCCATTGAAATTATTAATTTAAAACTTCTATTATTTTAATAATAAAATAACTGGGACTAAAATCTCAGATTACACCAATGTAGAGATGGAATCAGCAAGATAGGGAAGAAACAAATGGGAAATATTCTCTTTTTTTGTTTTTATGGAATTTTTGAACTTTTTACAGCCTAATGTATTTTGACATTTCTTGTAAAACTTAAAATGTAGCAAATCAAGATTTTTACAATAAGTAACTTTAAAATATTACCTAAGAATTGTTAGTGAATTTTCTGCATAGCTTTAAGGGATGTAAATGTTTAAGGAACATATACAATGTTTTGTGGTATGATTCTTACACTTAAAATTAAGACAATTCTTAAGTACTGTAATTAACAGCACAAAGGTGTCCAGTCTCATAACTTTCAAATATATACCGATAATTCACACTCATTTTGACAGAGAGCTGAGGGAGGAAAAATAACTTTTCATTAGAAACATAAAAAGCAGAAAAAAATTTAAAGTAAGCAGCCCAATCTTAAGCCAAATTTTAATCCTAAATCCTAATAAAAAGCCTTGACTGGGCTTGATTAGCAAATTTAACTTTCACAGTAAACTGAAAGACTCAAAAAGTGGCTTGTACATCATCAATATTTCTTATACTTTATCATAGGAAATATGAATGAAGCATTTGTTTCAAAATATAGGGGTTTGGTTTTTCTACTGTCTATAGATTCCACTAATTGCAAAAGCACCTTCCTCTTTACATCTAAATGATGTTACAAATACAATTCATCATACTTAGTGACAGAGTCCTGTCAACTAAATTAAATGCACATGTGTATGCAGTATTGACTACCATGATAAACTATTTTTAAATCAGTTAGGAAACTAGCAAAAAGAACTGATTCGTGAAGAAACAGCCTCTTCATCTATTTAATGAACAATCTCAAATTATTATCCTTGTTCCTCCTACTTCCTATATTCCTGCTCAAGTGCCTTGAGTGCATTAAACTCTGTCAAAAGTTAGAGCTATATAGAAGTCTTATTGCACATTAGCTTTCTCTCATCTTTTCAGTATTGGAGAAGTGGGAAGACAATGAATGCCCAGTTCATATAATCATCAAATATGGAGGGAATGTTCACTTCAACTTTGGTGATCAGGTGTAAATTTCATATCCAAAACGATCGACTATAAAATCATTTATGATACAATATAATGATGTAATACATAAAATCATGGCTATAAAATACTGAGAGAAGCATAAATTAATTATATTTTCAACTTTATTTTCATATTTACATTAATTATTTTGGTATTTAGATGGAAATAAGAACAATAACAAATTTCAGTGTCATTCTATCTATCCTATGCCTTGGAAAAGGGCTGAGGACCTGAGCCACAAAGTTACTCCCTGAAAATGCTGTATTTTTCTTCAGGAGACTACAAGAGCAAGGAAGAAATGATTATGGATCCTCTTAAGTATTGCCTATTGATAGATGAACACATGAATAGAAAGTATAGACTACTTATTAATTACATATTTAAACAAGAACACGAGTGGAGACATAAAAGCACATTAGAGACTAATTATTGTTAATATATTTGAAATGTATAACCTAGCATTCTATTTACACATAGGCTAAATACAGTCAATTAAATATATAAATCATATGAGCAGGAATACAATAAAAATGCTATCTCTTTAGATAATCAAATTATAATTGTTTTCCTCATTACTTGACTCAATGTATTCATACATTCATAAATTCATTAATTTAACAAATATTTATTGTTTGTGTTCTATATGCCAGGCAGTATTTCAGGAACCGAGAACACAGTAGTGAATGAAACAAAGTCCTTGTTCTCACGGAACTAATATTCTAATTGATAAATTAATTGATAATTATAAAGCATTAAATACAATAAAGAACATTGAAGCAAGATAATGAGTAAGAAGTGAGGAGGTGCTCTTTTGAGAAGTGTGGTAAGAGAAGACCTTTTTGAAGAGTTGTCATTAGACAGAAAGCAGTATAATATACAGGGATGACCCTTGTGGATACCTAGGAATAAGGAATGTTAGGTAGAAAAACAATAAGTGCAAAGGCCCTGAGGACACCATATATGAGGTATTCTAGAATAACAATTTAAACATTTATAACTTGCTGGAAGTTTGAAGGTAAAGGACTTTCTCAAAAATATTTTCTAATAAAAATATTTTTAAAATATTTTCTTTTGCATAAAAGCAAGTAAATGTTCAGAAAGACCTCCATTTGGCTTCTACTCATAGCAGTTAATGTCTTGCCACACAAAACTTTAATCTTGTTAATTGGTTTGTACTCATAAGCTCAAATAAATGCATTCTTCCTACAATGAAATATAGATTAGTTGTGCCACTTTATTTCATTTCCTCTAATGTATACTTCTGTACACGTTTCATGAAAGATGTAAACTTCAGAGTAACAAATCTATAAAAAAAATACAGAATAAAATAATATTTTATTGATCCAGGTGTCTCTGATGCTTAATTCATTGATTCATTATAATAACATAGTAAGGATGGTATTATTAACCTCATTTGAAAGATGGTAATCTAGTGCATCACAGACCTGTGAAATTTGGTCCACAAAAGCTCCCTAGTGGTAATTAAAATATATAAACCCATTCTGAGCTGTTCTTACACTTTACACACATTCACTAATAAGACAATATAGAGTGAAATTAGATTTTTTTTTTTACTAACCACAAGAAATTGTTTACTAGTAATAAAGCAATGCAAGTAAGTTTAGATTTTTTTTAAATCTATGAATCTCATTTGCAAAGATTAAAAAGAATGCTGGCTGAGCATACTGAATCATGCCTGTAATCCCAGTACTTTGAGAGGCTGAGGCAGGAAGGACTGCTTGAGCCCAGAAGTTCAAGCCAGCCTGGGCAACACATCTCTATAAAAAATTTAAAAAAAATTAGCTGAGGATGGTGGTGTGTGCCTATAGTCCTGGCTACTTGGGAGGCTGAGGCTGGAGGATTGCTTGAGCCTGCAAGGTTGATGCTGCAGTGATCCGTGATTGCAGCACTGCACTCCAACCTGGGCAACACAGTGAGACTCATCTCAAAATAAACAAATAAATAAAAATAAATAGAAAGAATACCAACACCTAGTGTTGGCTAGGTCAGCAGTCCCCAACTTTTTTTGGCACCAGGGACCAGTTTCACTGAAGACAATTTTTTCACAGACTAGGGTGGGTGGGGGTTTGAGAAGAAACTGTTCTGCCTTAAATTCTCATAAAGAGTGCACAGCCTAGATCCCTCACATCGCAGTTCACAATAGGATTCATTCTCCTATGACAATCTAATGCCACTGCTGATCTGACAGGAGCTAGAACTCACTAGCCTGCTGCTCACCTCTGGTTGTGCAATCTGGTTCCTAAACAGGCCACAGACCGGTACCAGTCCATGGCCCAGGGGTTGGGGACCCCTGGGCTAGGTTATGGAGAAATGCACATTCTTACATATTGTTCTTGAAAAAACAAATTGACACAATATATCTAGAAATTTCACATAATGCATATGCTGTTATATACATATATATATATATATATATATACACACACACATATGTATTTAGATAAGCAAATCATGTATATATATATATATATATATATATATATACACATACAAATCATGTATATATATAAAAATACTATTTCTTTTCCTTAGGGGAAATATTTAGACAAGCAAATCATCTAGGAAAAGAAATAGTAAAGTCCTTTGCTAAGACATTATAAAAACTGCAAAAAAAGTTACATATAACAGAAATGCTAAATATTAGAAATGTATTAAAATAGTCAAATTATGATTTATAACTTCAATCATTAAAAATTAAGTTCATCAAAATATATGTGGACATAGAAAAATATTTAAGAAATATCATTTCATTATAAAGTAACGATTTGTCACATTTGTTACATCATTTGTTACAAAGTAACAATAAGATCTGTATCAATTGTTTATCTTCACATATATTAAAACTGGACATACATATACTAATATACTAAAAAGTAAATCTGAGAAATGGGTATTGTATTAATCCATTTTCATACTGCTATGAAGAAATACCCAAGATGGGGTAATTTATTTAGAAAAAGAAGTATAAGGGACTCAAGTTCCACATGGCTGGAGAGGCCTCACAATCATGGTGGAAGGTGAAGAAGGAATAAAGTGTATAAATATAAATAAAGAAATATAATGGTGGCAGCCAAGAGCATGTGTGTTGGGAAATGCCCTTTATAAAACCATCAGATCTCGTGAGACTTACTAACTATCATGAGAATAGCATGGGAAAATCCCCACCCCATGATCAATTACCTCCTGCGGGGTCCCGCCCATGACATGTGGGGATTATGGGAGCTACAATCAAGATGAGATTTGGGTGGGGACACAGCCAAACCATATCAGGGATAAAGGTTTGTAAAAACTTTTTTCTATATTTTTCAAATTCTCTAAAGAGCATACATTGCATTTATTCAACACAATAGAATATGAAAAAAATGACATAAATAAACAGCTCCTCATTGGTTAAAAGCAAAGCAACAGTCATATAGAGTTCCGAAATGTAAAAGTTCACAAAGGAGGGATATTAAAATCTTGGTAAACATGATTTAAATAAAATAATGTGATGCCAAAAGCCTTAATGCATTTTTCTCAGTACTTGGGCCTCTCTTAGACATTTCCTTGATTCCCTGGGATTGCCATGAACTAGTGGTTCTGTCCTAAACCTAGACCTTGGATCCTGGACTCTCCAACCAGAACTTCCCCAAGCATAAAGTCTCCTGCCCAAGACCATGGCCTTCCCCAAACACCAACCCTTCAAGGTTCACTTTTAGTTCTAACTCTTGCATTTCCACCAACTACTACCTATACCAGTCCCTTCTTTCTCTGAATGCTTTTGTTTTTCAGAAGCATAGCACTTCAAGTGGAGTTAGATGACATTAATGTTTTTTTTTCCGTATTAGCTGGTCTTACACACAAGCCTACTTTATTTCAATGTTCAGTTAAAGAAATGGCAACCTGTTCCCATGCTAGAGAAGAAACTTGACCAATAAGTTGCAAGTTAATATAGTATACAAGAATACCATGTGTGTGGTTCTTAATTTAAGAAAATTTCAAGTAAATTTGTTACAAAGAACTTAAACAAATTTACAAGAAAAAAAACACAACCCCATCAAAAAGTGGGTGAAGTATATGAACAGACACTTCTCAAAAGAAGACATTTGTGCAGCCGACGAACATATGAAAAAAAGCTCATCATCACCGGTCATTAGAGAAACCCAAATCAAAACCACAATTAGATACCATCTCATGCCAGTTAGAATGGCGGTCACTAAAAAGTCAGGAAAGTACAGATGCTGGAGAGGATGTGGAGAAATAAGAATGCTTTTACACTGTTGGTGGGAGTGTAAATTAGTTCAACCATTGTGGAAGACAGTGGGGCAATTCCTCAAGGATCTAGAACCAGAAATACCATTTGACCCAGCAATGCCATTACTGGGTACGTACCCAATGGATTATCAATCAATCTACTATAAAGACACATGCACATGTATGTTTACTGCAGCACTGTTCACAATAGCAAAGACTTGGAACCAACCCAAATGCCCATCAATGATAGACTGGACAAAGAAAATGTGGCACATATACACCATGGAATACTATGCAGCCATAAAAAAGGATGAGTTCATGTCCTTTGCAGGGACATAGATAAAGCTAGAAACTATCATTCTCAGCAAACTAACACAGGAACAGAAAACCAAACACTGCATGTTCTCACTCATAAGTGAGAGTTGAACAATGAGAACAAATGGACACAGGGAGGGGAACATTGCACACCTGGGCCTGTTGGGGGATGGGGATTAGGGGAGGGATAACATTAAGAGAAATACCTAATGTAGATGATGGATTGATGGGTGCAGCAAATAATTATGGCACGTGTCTACCTATATAACAAACCTGCACATTCTGCACATGTATCCCAGAACTTAAAGTATAATAAATAAAATTTTAAAAATAGAAAATTTCAAAAGCAATCTTTTACTAATTTTTTTCTTCTTCTTATATGCTGACTTAGAGAAGTTATTTCTCACATGAAATTTATCCTTTTAGATCTCTATTGGAATGTATTTCATGTAAATTTTGCTTTCTTAAATTAAGTATAAGCCACTAGGGAGTAAAGTTAAGCACAGACATGTTCCCTTGTAAATGCTTAGATTCAAGAGCTGAAATAAGTGGGCCTCCTATGATGGGCCGGTTACTTTCATGTGCTTATTTCATTCTTCATGTATCTCTGTCTTGCGTGTGAGTGTGTACATGCCTGTGCATGCATGTGTACAATTTTTTAATCTCTTTACCTCCCTGTTGTCTCCAGGAAAACTTTAAGGATAGAACAAGTCCTTGGTGTTAAAATGAACAAATGTTTACTTAGGCTTTCACTTTGCTTCTACGTTGTGGATGATGACTGCTCTTGGATTTCATGCAAATAACCTGTGCTTTTCACAATTCAATTTAAACCCTCCCCCTTTCTCAGTTTATATGATCCTCATGGATTAGATTCTTCTAGTCAGATTTCCCACTGTCTTTCTTCCTCTTCCCAATTCTCCTTGAACATGTCTCTTTTTCCCACTCTGTTCACTTCCTTTTCTTTCCCCAGTGTGTGGTAGATTCTCATCCACACATTCTCCAGCATCTGTAACAGAAGCAGCAAGAATAATTGATTTTCTGAGTTGTTAAAATCTCATTTTAACCCCAGTATTTCTCTTTTATCCCGATTCCTAAATGTCTAACTAATAAAAAACAAAATGTTCAAATTTTCTAGGCTTTATTCTGGATACGTCAATCTCTTAAAGCATACCAATTTGTCCCCTATATATTCTTGCTTGAAATTTTAGAGATGTAGCAATTATTAGAAACTTTTCTTTTTTTTTTTTTTTTTGAGATGGAGTCTCACTCTGTTACCAAGATGGAGTGTAGTGGCATGATCTCAGCTCAATGCAACCTCTGCCTCCTGGTTTCAAGCAATACTCTTGCCTCAGCCTCCCAAGTAGCTGGGACTACAGGCGCGCGCCAACATACTGAGGTAATTTTTGTATTTTTAGTTGAGACGGGGTTTCACCATGTTGCCCAGGATGGTCTCGATCTCTTGGCCTCATGATCCACCAGCCTCAGCCTCCCTAAGTGCTGGGATTACAGGAGTGAGCCACCGCGCCCGGCTTATTAGAAACTTTTATACAACTACTTTTGCATTTTTATATTGCAGTAACATTTAGATAATTCCTTGGTAAATTTTGTAGACATAAAATTTGAGTTGAGTAACAACAAAAGAGCATGTGTTTATCTCATAATCCAATGCAAAAATGATAGGTAAAACAGAATTGAACATATGCGTCATGCATTAATTCATTCATTCATGACATAGTTATTGCATGCCTTGTATGTGTTACACATTAGAAATACACTAGTGGGTCAAACCAGGTTTTCTCTGCATAAAGCATATTGTCTAAAGGAGAAGAAAGATATTCAACAGATAATTAAAACAATAAATATATTATTAAAAATTGAATAAGGGCTCTGAATGAAAGGAACATGATATTACAAGTGAGCATAAAGCAAAAGAAACGGATCTAGAATTGGGGGTGGGGACAAGGAGTCATGGAAGCTGGCCCTGAGAAAGTAAAGCTTGAACTGAGGTCTGGAAGTTAGTAAGAGTTAACGAGGTTAAGAGTAATGGAAGGAAACTGCAGAAATGGAATTTCCAAAAATTCTTGAGAAGAGAACAGACATGTCATGTTCCAAATAGTTGACATGAGTAGGGTCATATGCATTAAGACAAATTTTCATTTACTTAATGATATATTATGCGCAATTATAGTGGGCAATAAGATTGATTGCATTGAATGCCTTGTTTTGTAAAAATTATTACTTCCATAACACATTTTTCAATTCAAAATTGTTTTTACTTAATATTTATTAATGACTCAAAAACCTTGCCCCCAATAGAATATTTACTTACTATCTCTCGAGAACTTTATATTATTATTTGATCGAACCCTCATAATAGTTGGGGAATCAAGGCTTAGGTTAGGCAATTCATCCTAGGTCACAGGGCTAAGAGGTAAATCTAAGAACTGAATCAGCCCTGCCTATAGCCCAGCTTTCTTTCCATTTGACCTTGTTTCCCCCATATTAATCCTCGCGTCCTCAGCTAGTAGAGCAGAGCATTCTAAAGTTTTGTTTGTTTGTTTGTTTGTTTGTTTGTTTGTTTTTTACCTCGATCTCGGTTCACTGCAACCTCCACCTCCCAGGTTCAAGTGATTCTTCTGTCTCAGCCTCCCAAGTAGCTGGGACTACAGGTGCATGCTGCTACACCCAGCTAATTTTTTTGTATTTTTAGTAGAGACGGGGTTTCACTGTGTTGCCCAGGCTGGTCTCGAACTCCTGAGCTCAGGCAATCCGCTCGCCTTGGCCTCCCAAAGTACTAGGATTAAAGGAGTGAGCCACCATGCCCAGCCTCTAAGTTTTTTTTTCTTTTTTTTTTTTTTTTGAGATGGAGTCTCACTCTGTCACCCAGGCTGGAGTGCAGTGGCCCAATCTCAGCTCACTGCAACCTCCATTTCCCAGGTTCTAGCAATCCTCCCGCCTCAGCCACCTGAGGAGCTGGGACTACAGGTGTGTGCCACCATGCCCTGCTTATTTTTGTACTTTTAGTAGAGATGGGGTTTCACCATGTTGGCCAGGCTGGTCTGCAACTCCTGACCTCAGGTGATCCACCTGCCTCAGACTCCCAAAGTGCTGGGATTGCAGGTGCGAGCCATAATACATTTGGCTTGCACTGGTCTGCAATGACAGTTTTCAAATCTATTAAAGGGAATCATCTATTTTTCTTTCTTATTCAAGAGAAACTTTTCACACATCAGTTTTTTCCTCTTAGTTCAAAGTAAAATAAAATAAGATAAAATAGAATAACATACGTTATTATATTAACAATATTAATATATATTAAGTAACATTTAAGGCACTCATACAATTATTTAACCAAGTTTCATGGAAGGGTTTTTGTTGTTGTTGTTGTTGTTGTTTTAGGAGGGCCCATTTTTATATACAGGAACATATGCCCTGATTATTTCTCTTCACACTTGAAGCCTAGTAAGCTGCTCCTGTATTCTCAACTTCTTCCTAATTTTAATAGCTGAAGTTAGAACAAACAGCAAGGTTTGACTGGAAGAAAATGATTCAAACTTGGCTAAGATCACTTCCACTTTGGTTTATAATAGAACCACCAAATCTACAATTCAGACCATGTGCCTGAGATGTGGGACAGTATCTGGTGTAAGTCCACTTCCCTTTCTAATCCTCCCTAGTGATTTACTCAGATTTGTCCATACTTGAGGGGCCCTTGCCCAGCAATCTACTAGGTCAGTGCAGTCCAGAACTGCAGGTTTCTTACTTTGTACACGGTTTGGAGCCTGAGGCATAGGGTCACATTATTACTTTCTGGTCCACTCTAACACAATGAAAGTAATTTTTTGCTATACTACTGTATTAGTCTGTTCTCATGCTGCTGATAAAGACATACCTGAGGCCAGGTGCGGTGGTTCACGCCTGTAATCCCAGCACTTTGGGAGGCCGAGGCTGGTGGATGACAAGGTCAGGAGATCGAGACCATCCTGGCTAACACAGTGAAACCCCGTCTCTAGTAAAAATGCAAAAAAATTAGCCGGGCGTGGTGGCGGGCGCTTGTAGTCCCAGCTACTTGGGAGGCTGAGGCAGGAGAATGGCATGAACCTGGGAGGCGGAGCTGGCAGTGAGCTGAGATCGCGCCACTGCACTCCAGCCTGTGTGACAGAGCGAGACTCCGTCTCAAAAACAAACAACAACAACAACAACAACAACAAAAACATACCTGAGACTGGGTAATTTATAAAGAAAAAGAGGTTTAATAGACTCACAGTTCCACGTGGCTGGGGAGGCCTCACAATCATGGCAGAAGGCGAAAGGCACGACTTAGATGGTGACAGGAAAGAGAGAATGAGAGCAAGCGAAAATGGAACTCCCTTATAAAACCATCGGATCTCATGAGACTTATTAACAACCACAAGAACACTATGGTGGAAACTGCCCCCATGATTCAATTATCTCCCACCGGGTCCCTCCCATAACACATGGGAATTATGAAAGCTACAATTCAAGATGAGATTTGGGTAAGGACACAGCCAAACATATCAACTACAGTAACTCAGACTAGTTACTTGAGTGTTTTAGCTTTTATTCACCATTGGGTCTACCAAAGTGTTTAGTGTCACAACTCTAGAGATGGCCTCCTTGTCATGCTTGGAGCCTTTCACAGTTCATTCTAATACTCTAGAATATTCTACAAGCCTGAATCTAATTACATTAAAGATGAAAGTAAGTATATGTAAGTATATTTGAGAGGTTTTCAAAAATTTATTTTCATTAGGGTTGGATGTTTCATGTTATTTCATGGAAGAATTTGACTATAGATCTAAGCTTTGATTGGATGATAAGAGGATTTATTTCCATTTGAATGTTATTCAAGTTATTCATGAAGTTATACAAGAACAATATACAGTTACGATATACCATTCATTCATGCTTCAAACATATGAGGTTTTAAATCCTAATCAAAGGGCACACTTCTTGTAACATTAGCAGAGTAAATTTGTCACAAGTCACTTCTTAAAATTCATGTGTGATTGTAATTAAACTATAAAATCTTATTTATTAGTCTTGATGTGGGATAGGAGGAAATGTTTGGTTTAGTCTTGATGTGGGATAGGAGGAAATGTTTGGTGGCTGGATCATGTGAGTCTTCTGATTCAAATCAAAGTTACCTCTGCGGCTGCATAGACCAGGGGGCCTCTGGAGTCTACATGAGCCAGCAGGCACTCAAGTTAACACATTTGTGATGTAGTAAGTTCTTTTTAAAAACTGCATTCTTGTATCCACTAACATTGTATGAACTTTCAAACTCATTCAAATTAAACCTTAAGACTAATGTATTCACTTTCAATTCTTCAATAGAATGTAAAAAGAAAATATTCGAACACCCACTCAATTCCTCTACCACTATTTATATTTTATCAATTTTGAATAATCATTTAAAAATAGTATAGATGCATTCAAGAATTATTTTTCTGTTGTAGATTGGGATTTTTGCTTTTTGTAAAGTTATTTTCTGCTTTTGAACTATGTGCTTAGAAATTTTATTAATTACTCTTTGCAAAGTATATTTGGTAAACTAATATTGGAAAAATGCCATCTCATATTGTTTTGGTGGCTGGTTGAAAAAAAACTTATAATGTGAGGTCAATGGGTAACATTATAAGAGCAGCAGGCTCTTTTGTCATGCATTTTTTTAAAAGTATGTTGATTACCCACTATGTTCAAAATAATCACAAATCTTAGGAAAAACAGGAAATGGCAAAGTTTGTTTCAGAGTAGCCACTAAAAAAATTAGAACGACCACACACACACACACACGCATATATACGTGTATATGCATATATATGTAGTATATGTGTATATGCATATATATATGTAGAGAGAGAGAGAGAAGCAACGAATTGTTTTATATTATAGGGAGTTATATAGAAATTTTGTTCATTTGTTTGTTGTTAAATACATTATGTTAGAACGTCTAAATACCCTAAATATTATTCTTAACAATATTGTCTTAAATTATAATAAGTAGAAAACTCAAACAAAATTAATTTTTTAATTACTGCAAACAGCAGTAACCACATAGATTTCAAAGGGGTTAAACATTAATTAATGAGGATATGTTCTTATATTTCAAAGACAGCTATAGTTTAAAAGAACCTCAAATTCTCCCTTTGAAAATATATTTGTAATAACAGATGACTAGGCAATAAAAACAAGTTCCATTATGTGTGTTTAGAAGAGGGCTTGAAATATGTGGTACCTTATAGACATTATGAGGGTAAAGGAAATCATCTGTTTTTCTTTCTTATTCAATAGAAACCTTTCACATATCAGTCTTTTCTCTCGCTTTAAAGTAAAATAAAAGTATAATAATATACAGACACATCTACATAAACTACAAGAGTTCTGAAATGTAGAATGAATAAATTTTAGTAAAACTATCTATTTTTACAGATGAAGCTAACGTAATAAACATACCTTAGATTCCCTCACCCACTATTTATATTTTACCTGAATTCCTCATTTATTGCCAATACAAATGCTTTTCTCATAGATCTTACAAGGTTACATTTAATGCCCATAAGTGATTAGAATAAAACATAAAATATGCCCAATTCCAGGAGGCTAATCCTAGAGAAGAGTAAATGCTCTGTACCTTTGTGGAGATACTTCTGGGTCAGCTCACTCATTAATTCATTATTTGAATAGGTATTTACTGACTATTAACTTTGTGCAAGACACTACTCCAAACATTCTAGTATCAAGAATCAAAAAGAACAAGGCAGGTAACACTTCTTCCCTCATCAAGCATACATTCTTTAAAGGAAAAAACAACAACAACAAGGACAACAAAAACAACAAATAAATTAATAGGAGAACTACAGATTAATGTACCTATGATGAGGAAATTTTAACTGGGCAATATGATGCATGGTAGATGGACAGAGGGGACTTCAAATAGGAAAAAAGTTTGCTTAAAAATTGAGCAGAGACTTTATTGGAATATATTCCTGAGAGAAGTCTATTTCTAGTCAAGTTAGCCTCAAGAATTTACATAATCTTTGCTTCTCAGTCATCTCAGAAACTATGCCTCCTTGCATCAAAGCTCCATAAATATTTATTTACTATGTAGGGTGACATTGGGAAGGCAAGGCCCTACATCCTATTGCACCAGGGAAATTATTGCAGTGGATATATGCTAGTGTACATGTGATACTTTTAAAGGGGGTTTAAATCAGAATTATTTGACATGAAATGCACCCAAAGCCATATCATAACAAGGTATGTTTTAACAAATTTTACTATCATAGTTAAATGCATTTGTGAATCATTGGGCCCTACTGCTGAGAAGATGAGGGACTTACAGGTTAGGAAAAATACAAGTTGGCAGAATGCAGGAAAAGACTGAAAATGGAAAGAAAAAGAAAGAAAATATAAATAAGGGGTGAAGGAAGAAGCTATAGAATGGTGAAAGTACAAACCAAATTGGGGGTGTCCTGATCACAGGATTTAAATGAATCTTCATGTTTAGGCTTTTATTGTGTGTGATGTACCAAAACTGTGCACCAGTCTTTCCCCATTTATATTATAATCTCTGCCATAAAAGTTGTATTTTTACAGTTGCAGCTGAGATAAAATATAGTGTTTGAGAAATTGGAGATGTCTTACTATTAACTTGATTGCCCTGTATGACTCCCTCAAATAACTTTCATTTTCTGATTTTATAACCCTATTATAAAAACAAAGAATGAAAATAATTTGAGTAAACTGTCTTTAAGTAGCTATTTTTGTCTTAACTCTAGATTTCCCTACCTTTCAAAGGATTATCTTATTCTCAGAGTAGCCTTAAAACAAGCCTCTTTGTGGTTATATAGATTTCCATTTTTTTTTTCATTGTAAGAAATTCAAACTTCACTTAAAAGGACTTAGAGATTACAGAAATATTGCTAACTGGATGAATTCCGTAAACATTTCTGTCAATGAATCAAGAAATCATAGCAAAGAGAAAATTGCAGTTAGATGTGTCAAGACTCAGTCCAATAAATTTTAAAATTATCTTGCAAAAATGTCCTGTGGAATGACTTATGGTACAAGAAAATATAGGAGAATTTTATTTGTTTTTTTATTTATATTATAGGAAATAATAGCTGAAATAATTATGAAGACTTCAAAAATTTGTCCATCAAATAGTGACTATAAAGATGGAAATACTAAGTGACCAAAAATATCTGGTGGTCTGTAAAGTTAAACTAGTAGTCAGAAAATATTCGCCTAACATCTGCTGAAGGGACTTGAACTTCTACAATTTCAAATATAGACGGTTTATTGTAACAATCTTGAGATAAGTTAAAAATTAACCTTTTCATACAAATATGTATTCTGATCCGCATATCTATGGCAGAATTGTTTGTTTACACTTTGCATTTCCTTTCTGTAATATTTGGACAGTTGGCATCCCCAGCCCTTTCATTTTAAATATAAACTTGTTGGATTGGTCTGAGCAGCTGCAAATAATTTAACAAAGATTTTTAAGACATCAAAATTCCTTAAATATATGCATACAGTTCATCAAGTCATGGACAAAAAGTTTTTATTAACCAAGAAGAATGGGAACTCAGAATGTAACTAGCAGTGTTTAATAGTATAGAAATAACGAAATGGAACACTTTATTCCATTTTTTTTTCAAGATGAGTGAAAAAAGATGAAGCTTACATGACCTTCCAAAATTGAATATGACAGTATCCTCCTTCATCCTTTCCCTATTCAGGTCCTAAAATAAACAGTTGCTTCATCCAAGAAACTTCTGCCTGATTAATATGGAAACATTAGATAAGCTATTGTTTAATCAAAATAATGTTTTAAGAAGAAGGTCACATATCACCACCGATGAAATGATACTTTCCCTTCAGGCTTTCATTTATTGATAAATTCAAACAGAAAGAGAACAATGATGCTCCCTTTTTTATAATTTTTTGTTATCATTTGCTTGGCACACCCATTAGACCTTGCTGGGAAGGGTTACAGAAAGGATTATTAACTTAATAAACGTTTTCTCCTTTCATTCCATCTCAGAACAAAACATCAAGCCAAAATAAACACTTTCAAATTATTCAACTGATTCTGCAGCCTGGCCGCAGTGGATTCAGCATCAGTTATAGATGATCCTCCAACTTTCCCTTCACCTCCCCCAAAACTCTTCTGTCATTACAAAACTCAAAACAAATTCATCTTGTTGACAAGCAGAACTGATTCAAGAAAGGCAAGATAGCTCATCATCTTTGTCATTAAACTTTAGATAATTAAAACGTCACACCAAACTTCCCTTGAATTAGCTGATTAACTGCTCTCTTCTATATATTTAACTTAAAAACATTAAAAACCATTATTTTAATGATATAGAACATGAAATTAGAGGACTATTACATTATTCAGCACTCTTCAAAGACCCATGACCAAAAAAAAAAAATTCATTTTAATGTGTGTCCCACATCTGTAGAAATCTCAGAACTGCATTTGCCTGTGATTTAAAGTAACTATCACAATATTATCTATTGGAAAAATTAGAAAACATGACAGAAATGAGAAAGTAGAAAAGTATATTCATGTGTGTGTGGAATACCTTCTTGACTTTCGATAGTATTTATTTTAAAGGTATTTTAGACAAAAAAGCTATATCAATTGAAAAAATGGTTGAAATCCTACCTAATATGTATTCACATTGATTTTAGCATTGCGGAGTAGGGACTATTCTTCTAGTTGCTCAAAAGAAAGCTTAATTTTTACAATTGTGGACTCTAAACATAGAAAATGATAAAATATAGAATAGTAAATAAACCTTCATGAAAATTACTTAAGATTTCAGGAAGTTTCTTTATAGCCTCCCCTAAGATTTCTGTTTTTTCAATAATCTACCCCCTTCCCAGCCCCAACAATTTAAAACCAAATAGGCTTTCATGAATATCTGGACAGAAGGTAATAGCAACTCTAAATTATGCATCCTATTGCTTATGTAGCAGATTGTAAATGTCCAGGGAATTCAGCAGAGGTCATATTTCATTTGTTATTTAACTGTCTCTGCTTCATTTTTTCACAATACAACATGACAGTCTACTTGCAATGTTGAAACATTGCTTAAATAATTTGCTCTTAAGAGAGATGTATAAGCTGATTTTATTAGTTCAACCATTCCAGATTTCTTAGCATTTGACCAGAATATAAATGGCATTAATTTAACTCATAAAATAGTGTCTTCATGACAGATGCCATATGATAATAGAGAAGACTAGACAAAAACTCACAAAACTTCTGGTCAAGTTTGGCTAAGCAAGAGAGGGTCATGTAGATGGGTGCATATAATCATCTGTACAAATAGGAAAAAAAAGAAGAAAGATACACGGTTCCTTTTTTTAATCTGGGAAAGATTTTAATCAATTATAACCATGTAAATACCACAGAGCTATATGATTTTGCAACCACGTGCTAATTTTCTCTACTACATAGGAGACAATCATGGTTATGGCTTCAAGCTGAATCTCTCAGCTGAAGCAAATGAATGCTCGGGACAAATTTCTCTGTGATAAAGAAAGGAATTAATGGAATTTTGCAATGTTATGCTTTTAAGTGACTCTTCTGCATGTTTCCACAGACAGACATACACCATATGAATATTGTAGGGTACAGCCAAGTAATTCAGGCCAAATTGATCAAGTCTGCCCACTCTATGAAGGATAGTTTTGATCCTCAAGTCCTTTATTTCCCTTTTAGGACAATTAAAAGAGCTTGATTAA
The DNA here is from genome assembly GCF_000001405.40 of Homo sapiens. Lineage (NCBI taxonomy): Eukaryota > Metazoa > Chordata > Mammalia > Primates > Hominidae > Homo > Homo sapiens. The sequence continues at coordinate 77,860,827 of NC_000012.12, read as the reverse complement.
GAATTACTGGAATGCTACGTTCATTGCCACTCAAAATCATATGAGAAACTGCCAGCAACCCTGCCCATTTGGCTTTAAAATCATGCAGAGCTCTATTTAAAATTTTAAAACTGACTTTAGGCATTCACATCTGCATCTATACCCAGAAAACATTAAACAAAAAGGAAATATTATCTAGCAATCTTGTTTAGCAAAAATAAAAAAATAAATATAAGCATTAATTGTTTGGATACTTATGACTATCTGCTTTGGTGTAGCACTACTTTAGAGATGGCTATTTCTAAATCAAATATGAAAAGGGTGTAACAGTTATTATTTAAACCTCAGCAACATTTTAATAGAGGTTTGCTAATTTTTAATAATATACATTATAAAAAGCCTAAACAATATAAAACAATAGAAAGTGAATATATATGTGTTGTATATTTATATATATACTTCACTTTTGTATACATAATGTATATATGTGCATATAGCATATAAAATTATAAATAAAATACAAACATAAAATGTATATATATGTATATATTATATATAAAAGTAAAGGAAGCCCATCTCTACCCTTGATCCTTAAGTTTCTTAGTTGTCCTTTCTTTCCTGGAGACAATCACTGTTATCATTTTCTTATGTATCCTACCAAAGATGATTTATGCATAAATAGTGCATATGTGCACACATACATACAAATATATATTTTACGCGTTTGGCTACAAAAGTAGAAGCATGCTACTTACAATATTCTTCCCTTTGCTTTTTCCACTTAATAAATCTTGAGGCTATTTCATTATCAGTTCATATATAGCTACCACATTCTTTTTAACATACAGGGAAATATTTTAATTGTGCTTTACTTACTACCAGAAGTTGATGCAACTTGTGATGGAACTAAGGAACAAAAGATAATCAAAATTGTGATGGTGTGATAAGGAGAAAATTAAAAAATGAGAATTATGAGGCATGCCAGGGTTCAAATTCAGGGCAAAATTATCATTTTAAATAATTTCTTGAAAATTAGAAAGATATAGCAAAAAGATTATCAATTTAGTCTTTTTTTTTTTTTTTTTTTTTTGCATTTGAAAGCATGGGAAATGCTTGTTTTACTGCTCATGCTAGGATTCCATTCCTATGCATGTATTACATAATTCACAAAGAAGGAATTGGGCTCCAAAGGACTTTGATTTTTTTTTTTTCACTTTGATTTTTTTTTTTATTACACTTTAAGTTTTAGGGTACATGTGCACATTGTGCAGGTTAGTAACATACATATACATGTGCCATGCTGGTGCGCTGCACCCACTAACTCGTCTTTTCATCACCCAAAACACTGTTGTTCTAAGAAAGCCACATCTGATTTCCTTAAGCCTAAAAAATTACTGTCATAAAACCTTTGCCCTGGAGGCCAAAAGCCATATCTCAAAGGACTATATATTTCTCTTAGACAAAACTGAATAATTTTAAAGTAGGAGTTATGTGTTAGATTGTTTCTGAAACACGTTTACAGTAGTAGTTTCCAGGGCCTTACAATATAGTATCTAAGGTGGCAACTTAGGAATTAACTGAATCCCAAGGAAAGTTTATGAATATGATAAAATATGCTAAGATTTGCATGAATTAAAGGAAATTACAATTGCACTGAAATTTTATTCTCCCCTCTCTAAAAGACTGAAAAGAGATCTCAATTACTTGTGAAACTGACTTCTCATTCTTTGCTGGGCTGACTGATATTATTTTATTGTGAATGACATACACTTGTTCATTTAAAAATAAGAGTGAGGATCTATACTTTTTATAACTGCAGTGAAAGTAAATTAGAAGAAATATCCTGCCAACCTGCAATGCCAGTCAGTCAACACAAAAGGTTTATGAACTTAGGTCAGGGTAAAGAACTTTGCATCTCCCTCAGTAGGAAATCATAGCAGAATTATTTAAGGCAACTTCTCTGCTAAGCACTGCATATCCAGTTGAATACTTAATGAGACTTTGTTAGATTTTGTTTGGCTTGGGCTTTTGGTAGAACAGTTATTGTTATATGGATATAACATATAAAATATTGTACTTTACATTGTGGATGCTTATGTAGCAAGATTTTCTTTTTAAATCTCTTCCTGGGGTTTAACATGAACAAACTTGATTTGTGAACCTTTGCCTTCCCTGAAGAAAAGTGGTCAGACTAAAATGAAAGTGGAGAGGCTCCCCTAGTTCTGGAAGTCCAATTCCCACAGTGTGAAAAACCACAATGAGATAGTGTAATAAAATATGGCTGTGAGTTCCCAATCTATCTTCAACAGAACTGTTTTCTCACCAATTCTTCTGGTAAATCTCTATTAAACTATTGTATGTAAATAGCTGGTCTTAGATATTAACTTTAAGTTGGTGGTTATATGCATTCTACCTCCTGAGAACCTGAGGCATTGTTGAACTTCTGGAAATCTTAATTAACTACACAGTCCTCACCAAACATTTCCTGGAACATTTGTATTTTGAGTCAAATTCCTTATCCACATGGAACCCAATTCCGCTTAAACCCCCTGTTTCCCATTTTCATTTTCTTTTCATGTTTTCCACCTCCCATGAACAGTGAATTTTTCAAGCCATACTCCAGAGTTTTAAATATTGTACTTTACATTGTGGATGATGGATAACTTTTTGAAATATTATAAGCGATTGTGTTTTATTTCAGAAGCCACTGCCAAAAGTAAAACTCACAGGCCAGATTCCTAACTCCCTTGGAACTCTCCTATAGAAGTGACCCCTTAAAATTCCTAAGCTCATGAAATAAATATGGATTGTATTTTGTCTCAAATGCAAAAAGTATATTTTTTTCTTGGCAAATTGCATGGATAGCATTTGGTACTCGAAATGAATTTCCTTCTTATCCATGTAATGTGTGCCCTTACAAACATACCAGTAACAAATATGCAAACAAAACAATAAAACTCATCAACTCTGTGTCATAAAAACATAACAAATTCCATGGCATTGTAAATATAAATGTGTTTGGGGGGGTTCAGTTTTCACCCATTTTAATCTGTATAATGCATATTTTTACTATCCCTAGTTTTCAGACATTATTTTATATATGGATATTTAATTAGTTTTTTACAAGAATATTAAAATATCATTAATTCTTTTGAGGAAAAGATTGCTCAAGGCAAACTTTTTCTAAAGTCTTTTTTTCACACTAAAGTAATGTCATATATATATATAATTACAGATAATGGTTTAAAATTCAGACAAAAGGAACTGTTAGCAACCAAAATGATAATATTTAAATATTTATCAATATAAATGTTGCTGAATACTTGAAAGAAATGGAATTCATTACATTTTTATTTTAGTTAGGAAAAACCCTACTTTTCCTAAGTTAATGAGATTTTTTTAATAATTTAAAAGATTCAAACTTCTTATTCAATGCAACCGTTAACACTAAACACCAAAGAAAAATTACAATTATCACATAATTTCAAAAAAATTAAAACCAAAATCTTGGAATATATGATAGCTATCATTTATTAAAGATGCATGCTATTCCAGGCACTGAAAAGCCATGTCTAACTCTTATAAAAACTCTAGGAAGTTCATATTATGATCTTCATTTTAGAGACAAAGAAGCTGGAGCTCAGAGAGATTAAGTAACATATTCAAGTGTACTCCCTCATTAAAAGAGAGGGCTAGAATTTGCATGTAAAACAGTTGGATTCCAACTTTCATGCTTGAATTCCCCTCCAAATTTATCAGAAATATGTAGATTTGAATTTCCCTTGACTAGCGTCTCATTTTTTAGATCAGCCAAATAAATGCATTTGATGTTAAAAGTAACAGATTTATTCAATGCAAAGCCATAAAATAGTTTTAGATATTTGATACTGCTAAATGAAATCTAAAAAATTAGCATTTTATCATTCCTAGCCTTCCGTTGTCCAAAGTCTAAAAATTTAGATCCACTCAAGATCTGGAAAGCTTATTTTCAGAAAGTATAACTGCTTATTTTGAATTGAAACCATTCAAATTTTAAAGTGCATAATTCTAAATGTCTGGGTAAAAATGTTTTTAAAAAGCCATTTCATAATACTCAAACATTGTTTAGAAATGTGGATAATTAACTGTATTATTCCTCCTTTCAAGTTAACATTTTAATGTTATGCATTCACAACCATTGTAAAATAATTTAATATTAAGAATGTTATTTTATTATTTTACTTTTTAATTACATCATTTCAAAACTCTGTGGCATTGTTTCCACTGGAAAATTTTCTAAAATATAATATTTTAAAATTATTTCTGGAGGTAAGATTTTAAATTCAAAGATTGAGTTAAACCAAATATAGTCTTATTCAAATAAATACATATTTCTCATGTATGTTTTTACACCTTAGAACATAGGAAACAAATCTTGGGTGGACCTCCTGTGTAAGAAAACACTCCTTGGGGCCCAACAGCCAATGTGCACAATTTGTGAGCAAGTTATCAGTATTTCCTCCTAATTTTCACCTTGTCATTATCATTTCATAAAGCATTATTTATTCTAAGACTTAGATAGCTACATGTCACAAGAACAAATAATAATAATACTCTACTTCATAGACAGCCAAGAGCTGCAAGTCCTACTTCTCCTGAAACAGAACAAACAGCAGGAAATGAAAGCTCTTATATATATCCATTGGTAAAAAGAATTACCAGTTATATAGTGCTCATCTTCTCTCCACAACATATGTACAATAAAGAACGTTTCTTAAAAATTATATTGAAGTGAAGATAATAATACTCTACAGCCTATATAAACAGTAAATTCTAATAACAGACTTACATGGAAATAAACATTATAGCATTTATTATGAAAATGCAGTACGAATCTGTATCAGTTAGCACTTGCTATATAAAATACACCACCAAAAATTTAAGGAATTAAAACAACAATGACTTTTTAGCTCATGATACTGTAGGGTGACAATTTGGGCTAAGGTCAGCTAGGAGTTCCTTCTTCTGAGTTTGGCTGGGCTCACTCACGTATCTGCAATGTGCTGGCAGTCAACGACTCACTCATACATCTGGCATTAGCTAGCTGTCGGCTAGGGCCCTGCATCGATTGTCACTCAATATCCAGTGGACTAGCTCATGCTTATTTATATAGAGTGCCCACGAGCAGCAAGTGGGAAAGCTCTGGGCCTCTTTAGTCTGGGCTCAGAATTCTCACAGTGTCTCTTCAACTGCATTCTATTGCTCAAAGTAAATTCCAAGGCCAGTCCAGATTCAAGATGGATGTGAATACACTTCTGTACCCCACCTTGATGGGAGGAGCTGCAAAGTATTATAGAATTCTTATAATATATCACAATGTCATTGAACAGAGACCTTTTGAGAAAATAGAAAAATATTGTGATACCCTTTAGGGATATCACAGATTCACTAAGAATAGATTCTGTCAAACTGACCTTCTTTCATTTTGTAACAATGTTAAGTGGGAAGCCAAAAAAATAACAAAAGCTTAGAATTTTGATTTCAGACAATATTTGATGATTATTTTACTATTTTTGGCAAAAATATATTGAAATTTAGGCTATACCGAACAGTTGGATAACTGTATAAATATTTAGACAATTATAATTTTTAAATGTTGATTAAAAGATCATTCTCCACCTGAATTCTTTAGGACACATGCAAAAGGATGTTAGTCAGCATATATTTTTTATTTTTATTTTTGGAGATGGAGTCTCGCTCTGTCACCCAGGCTGGAGGGCAGTGGCGCGATCTCAGCTCACTGCAAGCTCCGCCTCCTGGGTTCAGGCCATTCTCCTGCCTCAGCCTCCCGAGTAGCTGGGACTACAGGCGCCCGCCACCACGCCCAGCTAATTTTTTGTATTTTTAGTAGAGACGGGGTTTCATCGTGTTAGCCAGGATGGTCTCAATCTCCTGACCTCGTGATCTGCCTGCCTCCACCCACCTCGGCCTCCCAAAGTGCTGGGATTACAGGCGTGAGCCACTGCACCCGGCCAGATGTTAGTCAGCATTTCTAAGTAATAAATGCTTACACTTAAAATATTTAGACGGTATATGATCTCATTTGTAGATTTAGAAAAGATAGTAGAAAGAGGCGGCATGATTGATAAGGAAATGAACTTGGAATTAGCATAAATGATTTGAAATTATATGTTGTTTTCTAGGATAAGTGCCACAAATATTCTGGCACATTTATTTCCAATAATTTTAACACACACACACAAACACACACACACACACACATACACACATACACACAATTGGCTTATCATGATTACATAGCTTTATTTCCTACCTTCTTCAGTTACTTTTACATCAAAAAGAAAACATAGTCCTATATCATAAAATGTTCTCGGAAAACAAGGTTTCTAATGATCAGCAAGTTTTGTACATTCGTAAATTAACTGAAAAAGTTGGAGGACACTTGTTTGATAATAATCATAAAAGTACGATTTAGGGGATTTATGCAGATTTATTCAAATTCAAGTTTAGTATGTGAACATGGTATGAGGTACTGCCAAAAATATGATAGAGCTGCTCTAAGCTGAATCAACAGAAACAGGCTGCCTTCCAGTTCTAGAAACTAATGGAGCCATATTGCTGATGAAACATCATGTAGGCTATTGCTTTCTATTAATTTTTAATCTTAATGTTAAATATATCAGTAACTAATTAGGCTATGTCTGAAAACGAATAACCATGATGATAAGGCATCTGAAATTCATATTGTGTGTGGAATAGTTGAAAGCCTTTACTCAAAGAAGAGGACAAAAAGGTGAGGCTTTTTCATTTTCCTACCAACTGGTATGACTATGAGCTCTAAAAATGTACACCTGCTAACAGACTGCTTCCCAAAGTCAATTCTGAGTTCCTCAATTATCCCTGAAACCTTTCCAAGACTTAGAAGTCATAGGATTCATATAATATGTGTTGAATAGATAAGTGAACAAAAGACTATATTAGTAAACTAGAACCAATAAGTGGAACTAACAGAGAGAGAATTTTCACCTCAGTATAAGAAAAATTTATACCTTATGAAATATTAACTCCTGATTTTTAGAAGTCTGCCAAACTGACTATAAAAGGTATGCATACGTTAAGAGTTTTACTGGATTCAGAAATCATCTGACACAAAATGTGGCTTTTTTTTAAATAGAGATAAGATTATCTCTATTCTGTACAATGACCAATTCTGCCTGTTTTATTGTGTATGTTGAAATGTTGCTATCAGAAGTATTGCACATATTCAATTTTCATCTCAAATAGTGCTTTTTGCATAGAATAGTTTTGAAATTTTTGAACAGTAGAGTTTCTTAAACAAGATAAAAATTGATACATTGGATTACACTAAAATTAAGAATTTATGTTTCCCAAAAGACATTATTAAGGGAGGGAAAACACAACCCATGGAATGGGAAAAGATATTCACAATATGCATATTTGACAAAGGACTCATGTGCAGAAAATGTTTAAAAAATTTCTATCTACCATTAAGGAAAGAGGCTCACTACTTATTAGAAAAGTAAGCAGAAAACCTGAATGAACACAACGGAAGATATCCAAATGGCCAGTTAAATACAGAAAAGATAATCAATTCCATCAGTCATAAGTGTATGGAAGCTTAAAACTACAACAAAATCACACTACATAGAAAATGCTAAGGACCTGTGGCCTCATAACAATGGTGATACCAGAGGGCAGAGATGTGGAGCAACTGAAGATGCATTCAGGTTAGTAAGAAAGCAATCTGGTACAACCACTTTAGAAATGGTGGCAGTAATCGTACTCATGAAAGCTGAGTATATGTCTTGCCTATTACCTAGAAGTTTCACCCCTAGGGATCTACCCAACAGACATCGCTTCTTATGTTCGCAAAAAGACATGTGCAGGAATGTTCACAGTGTCATTATTCATAAATCCCCAAGCTATAAACTATCCAAATGCCCACATTAAAAGCAGAATAAAAAATAAATTGTGGGAGAATTCACGTACTGGAATAATATAAATCTACGAGAATAAGGAATCTAAATTGTAATTGTAAATGTCAGACAGCAATTGTAAATGTCTGTTTCCTATTCTCTACTAGCTGGAAAAATGTGTTCATTTTCTACAAATTCATGAAACATATTTATGGTATGTGTACTTTATTGGTATGTGTCTATTATACATCAATAACAATTTTAAAATATTTTACTAGGCCGTTTTCACAAACTTATAATGCATATGTTTTGTTATTCTTCATAAGTATAACATTATTTATTTATTTATTTATTTATTTATTTATTTATTTATGAGAGGGAGTCTCGTTCTGTTGCCCAGGCTGGAGTGCAGTGGTGCGATCTCAGCTCGCTACAACCTCCACCTCCTGGGTTCAAGTAATTCTACCACCTCAGCCTCCCTTTCAAGTAGCTGGGATTACAGACATGTGCCACTACGCTCGGTTAAGTTTTGTATTTTTAGTAGAGATGGGGTTTCACCATGTTGGCCAGGCTGGTCTCAAATTCCTGACTGCAGGTTATCCCCCTGCCTTAGCCTCCCAAAGTGTTGGGATTGCAGGCGTGAGCCACTGCACCCAGTCAGAATAACAGAATTTTCAGAGTTTAAACTGTTATTTTGAAAATCAGTTATCCATTACCACACGTGAACTTTATAATGAGCAGGCCACATCTATCCCTACTCTCAAAAACTGCTTTTTATTTCCTAAGAGTCATCATTTTATTTATACTTTTGCTGTGATTTCCTAAATGAAGCTGTTGTTCAATTTCTGCTATTGTAGTAATAGTTCTTACTTCTCCAAGCTTAGTCCATGGGAATTACAAAATAGGCAGTAGCTAGGTCGTCTTTCTCATGTTTCTTAGCTCTAGTTATACTTTAGTCTCCTTATCTAAAAAGTGAAGATAACGGTAGTACACACGAAGACTAAATGAGAATGCATTTAAAGCACCTCTAACGGCATCTGGCAAGTACTACTTAATATTAATAAATGATAGCCAGTATTGTTAGTAGTCTTTCATGAAGTTACAGTAATATAGACACTGAAGCTGGTATTAGATAATGCTTTAAACATTCTAGGGAAAAATACAATTAGTTGTGAATTTTACCATATCATAATATATAAATTTATTATTCTTAAGTAGGAAGGAGTATGCATTTTTGAGATAATAGCATAGCATTTTTTGTTCCTGTTTCTTAGTTGATCTAAAGTTTCCCTAATCATTAAAATAACGACAATCATTATTACAAGAAGACAGAATTCAGTCTGTAACAAATAATTGATTGCTTAATATTATTGAAAATATTTTTAAGTTCATTGTGACAAAATAGTCTCAAAAGTTAGATTTCATTGAGCACAAAAGTGTTTTCCAAATTCAAGAACTTTTCTTTATCTATCAAATACAAAATCTTGGTTACCACAGCATACAGTGGCACTATTAACCACAATGCATAGGGTGCAAGATATATTTCAGAGAACCTGTGACAGTGAGGGTAAATAAAGGTTCAAATAGCAGTAAGGAAGCAAGGGGATTCAGAAGGGGTATTTCTAAAGATAAGATACAATTTGAATTCCTGAGAAAGAAGCTGGTGCCTCCATACCCTTGGGACTAGGCACAAGATTAACAGTTACATAAAAAAAATTCAAGATAGGTCAAAGAGCAGGGTGAAGGTTGAAAGAATTTGTGCCCCACTTCTCATTTGATAGCTGGGGGGATCAGAATGCAGGGGTGCTCCTTGCCAATATGGAATAGCCACAGCAGAGGAAAAATGATAAGACACAGTTAGGTAGATATGGCTTGAGACAGCGTATCCGATGTCTATGAATCCAAAAGTTCTTATGTGTCCCAGTGGTGCTATGCAGGAATGCTCTGAGGACTAGTATTCTAAGAGAGCTGGCATCAGGACAGGTGCAGAATATGAGCAATAGTTGCCAACAGAGGGTGTCCACATAGCCCAAGTCTCACAGCACATGTCCAGTGACCAGGCTGGATGGGGCCAACTCTGCAGAGACCAGCAAGGACCCAAAGAGTAGCAAGAAAACCAGAGACTTTTTTCTCCCTTCATCTGCCATTACCCTGAGGACACAAAAGCTTCCCTACACACACTGTATCCATCCATCTGAAGAAGCCATTTTAAAAATGAGAAAGAAAGAGAGAAACTTCATAGAAAAGGAAAAAAAGGTGCTGAAAAGAAATTTGACCTTGAAATTTACTAATCTTTTACTCTAATGAGGCTTTCTCAAACCAAAAGAAAATAGCTTAATTTAGGTTTCCCCCATCATCACCAACCTCCTTTGCAACCACCAGCAGCAGGAAAGGAGATTTGAAAGAAAGCAAGAAGAATATGTTACAGAAAATACTGAGTTACATTTTCTTGTACATTTGATAAGTATCCTGTCTGAAATCCCTGTAAGTAAAACATATAAATTACAATGCACTTGGCTGATTTACTATACTGCAACGGACTTATGATTACTTAGAGGAAGATCCATATCATACATCACCCTTGACAAGGAAAACTCTATTAACATCCATAAACCTACCCTGGCAATAGAGTATGGATATTGTTATTGAACAGAGGAATTTCACTAGTTACGTTCTGACAAGGAAATCAAAGAATGCCAAAAACACTTGTAAGTGTTGGAGGATGACTCAAACATGTTCCACCTCCTTACTGATTTTCTAGCACAAGGCTATGGCTGGCTTTCCATAATATTATGAGTCTTGAATTTTATGTTAAAGACATATTTATTTTTCTAAGCAGGTTTATTAGAGTAACCTAAGCAATAATTATCAATAAATGGGACGCTTAGGACACGGGCGTAGAATTTTATAGCCACTTTTTAAAATGCCATGGCTTTGAGATAACCCACTTCAATCTGCCGAGTCTTAATTTTAATCAGGTACAAAAAGGAGACACTTGTCTTAGAAGATCCTCCACTCTTTCTTCCACATTCAAAAGTCTATATTTGATGAGATAGGTTTGGAGACACACGTGACCACCATTGGATTGGGGTAGCATCGCTCAAGGTAGACTTAGTATACTCTGCTAAGGCCAAAATTATTAAGGTTTGGACTTTGGATCACTGATATATAGATTGAGCATTTCTTATCTAAAATTCTTGGGACCAGAAGTGCTTCTAATTTTGAGTTTTCTTTTCAGATTTTAGAATCTTTGCATATACATAATGAGGTATCTTGGGGATGGAAACTAAGTCTAAACAAGAAATTTATGTTTCATATACACTCTACGTTTAGCCTAAAGGTAATTTTTTCAGCAAATAATTTTGTGCATGAAACAAAGTTTTGACTGTGTTTTGACTACAACCCATCACCTGAAATCAGGTATGGAATTTTCCATGTGTGGTGTCATGTTGGCACCCAAAAAGTTTCAGATTTTGGAGAATTTCAGATTTTGAATTTTTGGATTATAAATACTCAACCTGCATAGAAATAGCATAGCTGGCATTTCTATCCAATAAATCATGAACAGTCTCTAGGATGGCTCTTTTTGCGATATAGACATGAAGTAAATCATGAGTCAAAGTAATACAATCATAAAAATAATTATTTTTTATTCAACACATATGTTTAAATCACTATTACATACAACACATTGTGTTTGGGAAGCTCAAGAGATATAAACATGAATCAAATCGGTTTCTCATTAAAGAAAGTTTAAAGAAATTTAATTAGAGTTTAAATAAATTTAATTTTAATTACATTGGGGGAAGCTTGAATGATTGCCAAGATTATGGCTATGCTCAGGAAGATTAGTTTGCCAACAATGTCTATGAAGGATTAGCCACCAAAATAAAAGAAAACATCACTATTATGCAGTAATTCCCAAAAGACTCAAAAGCTATGAACTATAAACTTTGACTGACTGGTAAACACAGCACATATCTCTTTCAAGTACATATGAAATTGCATGGAATCATATTGAAAATATTGATTTTTTTTAATCCTCATTAGGAGATTTCTCTGCTTTCACCTGGGTTTCTTCCTCCAAAAATAAAGAGCAATCATGAAATTTAAATCATTCAGTGTTCCAGTTCCTATGGCAAATGTAGCATATATCTTGTTCAACAGATAATAAGGCAGTTAACTCTTTATCCTGTATGCCACTGCCAGGATGGATAAACTGTTCCAAAGTTTAGTAAACTATGTGCTGTATTAAAAATGATATGAGCACATTATTCAATATTTGTAGTGGAGGATAAAGTTCCTGTGTGTCTCCAACTTGACTATATCCAGCAGAGAAAAGGTTTTGATTTATTTGGAGTAAAACACTTGGAATACAATAGAAGGGAGCAAGGACTTCTCATAGATTTTTCCCATTAAGCATTTTTGGGCAAGCCTTAGAAGTTACTCTGCAGGATGGATCTTATATTCATTCAGTGGCCTAGCTTTACAGCTAGTAGCAAAATTCATTGCCTTAACCCAGAGCAGTCTTGTTATTTTAACATGGCTGTTTCTATTTATAAAGTTACACAATCCAGTTGGTTCATTCTTCCTCCCTGTCTGAGACACAGTTTACAAAAAGAAACCACAGTCATTACAAAAATACATTGCCAGGAAATCCAAGTGTTGTTTTCTAGTGGAAACTGAAAGATCCACACCTTGACTTATGTCTTACTCATCCTAAATCACATCTTTGCAGCACTTTCTCCTGGCTAAAGAATGTGCTCTGAAGTTTTACTACGTTCATTAGAAGGCCATCTTTTATATTCTGACTATTCTTGTTGTGGTTTTATAGGTGTTCTGTAAATAAAAGTCTGCTGTACAACAGGAAGCACCCTCTGCCAAGTCTTTTGGAGAGAGTAGCAACACATCCACAAGAGAATCCAGGTGGCAAGACATTTGAACAAAAGGTTTACACAACAGCATTCAAAAGAAGAAAGTAAAAGACAAGACAGACATAGGAACTCATTCTAACTCTCCTTTCAGCCTCCTGGCAGCTGCACCAGCTGGATGTTCATACAGGTCAACATCGTGATAGAGTGCTATATATGGGAACTTTCCTCTGAAGGCTAAAACAAGCTACACATGCAGAGAACAAACACGGGGCTAAGACATCAGAGACTTTCTTGCAAGTCCTTGAAATATGAAATTTAATTAAAATTTAACTACCATTTGATCAAGGCTACAGAAGAGAAAGAAAAATAGTGGTGTTTGTAATACTTTGTGTAGCATCTTTGCTCATGCAGAATGAATGAGAAAATGTTATACAGAATTAATTGTAGATAAAGTCAGCACCTGGGGCACTCTCCATTTATTCTTCCTAGAAGGACTTCTTGCCTGTTGGATCCTCTGCCCTGTTGCTTTCAGTTGGATTTCATCTTCCCACCCTTTTCATTTTCTCAGCTTGATTCACATAGATCATACATAAGAGCTAAAGAAAATGTGTTTAGTGCCTGAGGGAATTCATTTTCTGCCTGGGATAACTAGACAAAATGTGATGCAATTCCTCCCCTGAATTTAAAATGTTTTGTTATCTTGAAGGCAATTTTCCTCATCCAATAAAAACAGAGAAGGAAAACGGGTGACCTTTAAAAACATATTTTTGAAATCGAAGATTCTCACACACAGAAATGCCTCTGATAATTTTGGGTGTAGACAGATGCTCTCTTCCTCTTTGTACTCCCCACACATTCTGTCAATGGCCTATTGTTAAAGTGTGGACTTTCTCCTAGACCACATCCTGTCTGTCTTACAGAGGAGAAGCATACTGTTGAAGTGAAAAGAAAGTCTTGATATCTGTGTGTAGTCTCTGAAGGTATAGAAAAAACAAATTCACTGCAGTACCTCAAGATATCATTATATTCAACTCAGGGCCCGTAAGATTTAGGTTGGAAATTTCCTGATGATGAACTCATGGAACTAAGACATGTTTGTTTTATTGACAAATCAAAGCTTTTTTCATAAAAGGAAAGTGTATTATTTTCATTGCCAACACTGGTTAAAAATGGTAGGAAAAAGGGATGAAGAGCAAATGTATATATTTGAACCTCATTGAAAAAAAATCATTCTCCTTTGAATAAAACCTCTGAAGAAGCTACTTCTAATTTGAAAAATTCCTGTTAAAGAAAGGACATTTCCCATTAAATCTGAAATAGATAATTGACAGCATCTAACAACGAATCCTTAATTTAACAAGGCAATAATATATTTAAAAATTGATAAATATGAGATCTCCAACTACTATAAAATTAGAACTAATAATTAGACTATTATAGAAAACTAGAATGAAATCAAGGAGAAAATCAAGGAAATTGGACTCATAACTCGAGTAACCAATCATCCCAGTTTGCCTGGGACTGAAGAATCTCCAAAACAAGACACTGCGCACTAAAATCAGCACAGTCTGAAGATAACCAGTACAGTTGGTCAGCCTATGTGATAACTCATTTATTCTTCCAACATTTTCGTATTTATCCTTCAAGAGATTTTTCTATTAGAATTATCTTCCTGCATATATTATCCTCACTATTTCTAAATACATTGCATTCATTCATTATGCAAACACAAAATGAATTAACTTTTAGAGAATAAACTCCTGACAGTGGATTCTCAGATAGTTCATACCTAAAGCAATAAACACAAAATCTGAATCTCTATTAATAGATTTTAATGGAGGAGGATCTGAAATTACAGACACTTTGTCATTTAGTATTGGATGTGTTTTTGGTTTTGGTGCTTATCAACTCTTGAGTGAATTCATTTCTCAGCTACATAAGCCTATCCCTTTCCTCTCCAATCTTCGTTCATCCGGAATTGGAGATATGACTCAGAGATCAGTAATCTTTATGTGCTTTTTGGAGTGCACTGCATTGTAAAGCTAGTATTTTGGTACACTTAATGTTTAAAGAATTAAACTAATCAGCCAGGCCCAGTGGCTCAAGCCTGTAATCCCAGCACTTTGGGAGGTTGAGGTGGGCAGATCACCTGATGTCAGGGGTTCGAGACCAGCCTGAGCAACATGGAGACACCCCGTCTCTACTAAAACTACAAAATTAGCTGGGCATGGTGGCATGTGCCTGTAATCCCCGCTACTTGGGAGGCTGAGGCAGGAGAATCACTTGAACCCAGGAGGCGGATGTTGCAGGGAGCCAAGATCGTGACATTGCACTCCAGTCTGGGCAACAAGAGTGAAACTCCATCTCAAAAAAAAAAAAAAAAAAAGTATTAGCCTAATCAAACTTAATGAAAATATGAAAAAATAGAAAACCTCTAAAAGATATCACTAATATCCAAAACTTCAATAGATGAGAAAATTTCTGTCTATTCCACATTGGTTTTTTAATTGACTTAAACATAGGAGGAAAAAACATTCAACAATGGTGAAGTAAAGCGTGATGATTTGTAGATATGCTTCTTTCTGCAATAAAATAAATAAAGTACTTGGGTTCTTTTAAGTGTTGTAGCAAAAATCTGAAATAAAGTCATTCAATATTAGGATGTTATAGGTTCTTAGTCAAAGTCCAAGAGCACATGGTCCTCTCTTCTAAAGGCAGTGCCAGACTGCACTGAGCCCCAATCTAAGCACAAACCCATCTGAGCTCTATCCCATAAATCACTACTAAGATTGTTTTTCTTCAAAACAAGACTGCCTGAATTTGGGAAGTGTATTTGTATTCCACAAGATTCCTTTTATTAAAATAGATGGATCCAGGAGCTATTGAATATCATATATATATATACACACATATACATATTTATACAAAACTGTGTGTAAATTTTTCTCGTTAGTTCTATGCTTATTGATATTCTAAAAAAAGAATAGCCTGTGCTAAAAATTGTGTGTTTGTAGGTCTCATTTGCTTCCAAAAATGATAGGTAATGTCTTAACGTTATTATGATGCTATAACAGTACGCTTTTATTTCTGGCTACAATTAAGTGAGGTTGCTATTCTTGTCCTAATCCCAAAGTCGAGAAAATTGAGTAAAAACATGCAAGATGACACAGTTGGAGTAAAGGACTCCAATTCAGGCCACCTGACTAGAAGTTTAGTGATTTCATATTAACTACTGCTGCTGTAATGCTGTATGCAACATATACTCTACATATTTAGACTACAGGATGAATAAGTATGCCCATGTATCATATGTAGGTATATGTATATGACTATATTCTTTCTGCCCAACGAAAAAATATTTAATAGAACCATTAAAATAAAAATTTAAAACAAGTCCATATAGAATGGAGGGATAAGGGGAGAAAATAATAATTAAAATCTGGAATAAAAATGTTAGTGAGAAATTTTTTATTTAAACTACATTGTATTATCCCTATAAACACAACTCAAAAAAATTTATTGCACACCTAGAAGCAAGTAAAGTTGTGACTCTCCTGACCAAATATTAGCTCATGCTTTGGGCATTGCTATGGTCTGAATGTGACCTTCAAATTCATATGTTGAAACTTAATCACCAATGTGATAGCTTTACAGGTTGGGCCTTTAAATGATGATTAAGTCATGAGGATGGAGCCCTCATAGATGGGAATAAGGCCCCTATAAAAGGGCTTGAAAGAGTGGGTTCATTCTCTTTTGGCCTTCTGCTGTGTGAAGACATGGCATCCCTCCCCTGTGGACGATGCAGAAACAATGTGCCATTTTGGAAGCAGAGTTAGCCCTTACCAGACACCAAACCTGCCGTCACCTCGATCTTAGACATCCCAGGCTCCAGAACTGTAAGAAATAAATTTCTGTTGTTCATAAATTACCCAGTCTGTAGTATTTTGTCATAGCAGCACAAATGCACTGATTAAAGCAACATTACTCACTTAATCTTAACAGCTCAACAGCTCAGATCCAAATGTGTGGACGACCCCTAGCCACTGTACAGAATTGCACAGCAAAAATTTTATGTATCGGCCTTTCCTCTAGCTTTATCCTTTTCTAGTGTTCTTTTCTTCATATAATCCCATTTTATTTGCATATGTTTTGAAATTTTATATATTTTGTATGTTTTTAATTCTACTAAATCTTTTTTTTTTTTAAACAAGACAGGGTCTAAATTGGTTGTAAACTGGGGCAATGCCCCCCGCCCTTTGTGAGATGTTTGGCATTGGCATTGTCTGGATATATTTTTGATCGTCACAATTAGAGACGGCAAACCTGTTCTAAATAAAACAATTACATCCAGACCTACAGTAAAAGCTATGATTGTTTAAAATCTGCATTATAATCATTTCTGTGGCTTCTAGGTAATATTGAATAGGAATTTAATATTGAAAAAATGAATATAGATTCCTAAAAAGAACCTAAAAAGACACCTAAAATGACTATAGATTCCTAAAAAAAAAAAATAGGAATTTAATATTCAAAGAACCCCAGGTTCTTTTTAGGAATCTATATTCAATCTGTTTTTCTAAGTATATTTTCTATAATGCCTATAAGATACACACACAAACACACACACACACACACACACAAATGATTAACAAAAACAAGGAAAGTTACCTGGGGTCCACAGTGCAGACCTGGAAGTGGTAACTGAAAGGGTTTACATTTACCGAAATAGTCTTTTTTTTTGTAATACAATAGGTCTAGCTGGAATCAGAAGACAATAGCTGAGAGAACATATTGTTGGAGATAATAGTAAACCTTGTATTCAATGGAGGAAGGCAACACACAAGTGTGGATATCAAAAAGCCAGCCAAAGGAAGGAAGAAATAGTATAAAAAGCAGGTGCTTTGAGGAGAAAAGAAATGTGAAACAGAATCCAAATAATATATGAGTCAAAATAATAACATAAAAAGTTCTGGCAAAAATATCACCCTGTAGAAATTCAATAAATTGTCCAAAAAAAAGGTACAGCAAGTTTATATGAAAGATGTGAGCATTCAGGGACAATAAAGAGAAATATATAATCTGTACATTTTTTAAGCCTAAAAAGTGAGCAATTTAACTTGATCCAAGCTGAAGCTAAACAATGAACACTGCTGAAGAGAAGGAGAAACCTGGATACAAATAGTCTTATACCACAACTAAATCTACAGACAAATTACCTTAGAAATTCACCTTGCATTTAAAAAGAGATTGTTCGGTGTAATATTCTTTATATGTGCTTATCATGGTCTGAAAGGATTGTAATATGAGCTTCTTCTTTTGATGCTGAGTTTTCCAGTGATCCATTCACACATTCCCACTCGGTGACCCTTGGAACCACTTTGCAATGAGCTGACAGAAGTTTCACAATACCTCCAAGCCAAGAGAGAGGACACCTCCTTACACAACAATGCAGTCACCTATTTGGCATCATCTAGTATCCCGCCAATGCCTCCTTCTTGCTGGATACTTGACTTCACCCGATTTGTTAAACTTCTCTTCTACAATTCAGATCGTACACAGTCTTGGCCTTTCTGGTTCCCAGCTCTGACAGAGAGTTTCCAGGTCCAGCAAGAAAATAATGCTAATAACAGGTATTGAAGCAAGTTGAAGCAAGGGTGCAGGACCAAGAGAGAGACCTGCTTTCAGGATGTGAGACTGGATGAGCAGGTTGGAACAGAAGAAATTAAAAATAGCTAGAAAGATCCTAAGGTGGGAAACAGACCACAGTGAGCTTTTTATATGGTATTTGTGTATATCTGGACCTGGTCTACTTTTAAAAGCTGGGTTAACTGCAAGATCTTTATTTAGTAACTTGAGTGTCATTATGGTTCTTCTCTTATTCAGTGTTTTGCTTTAAAAGATATATCCCTGTAATTCTGGACAACTTATTGACAATCTGAGCACCTTAGACTATTTTTTAAATGGTGAATTTTTGCTTAATCTTGAACATCTGACTAAATAGCCAGTTTCTAGCTAACTATATGCTGGCTAATAGTTTACCAAACTATTTCCCGTAATTTCTGGGTACACAGATACATGATATTTCCTAGTCTCTCTTGAAATTAGGTATTATCATCTCACTGAGTTCTGACCAATGAAATAGAGTGGAAGTGATATGTGGAATTCCCAGCCTCTTATGCAATCCTCCATTTTCTCTCTTTCACTGATGGCTGGCTAGAGGTGAGATGATGAAACCATATACTGGAGGGAACCTAGTTTCTTTGTTACCATATATATGTGTCAGCAACCATTTTCTATAAATGGCCAGTTAGTATATATGTTAGTCTTTGCAAGCCACATAGTCTCTATTGTGACTACTCATCTCTGCCATTATAGGATAAAAGCAGCCACAGGAAATGCATAAACCAGCATCAGGGCTGTGTTCCAACAAGATTTGACTTTAGGAAACTGGGCACCAGGCCAAATTTGGCCTTTGGGTCATAGTTTGTTAACCCCTAACTATATGAGAGCATTAAAAAAGTGGAGAATAAATTTCTATTGTGTTAAGCCACTGAGACCTAGGTTTTATCTGTTATAGAAGTTAGCATTACCTTAACTAGTGCAATGCCATTTTGATTGCATATAAAATTTGCTTGGTCACATTTCATTATGAAAAATTTTGAACCTGCCCACTCCAGGTTTTCAGTTTTACAGAAAAGTTACTTACAATATCAAAATACAGCAAAAAGAAGAGATAGCCCATAGTTTTTATTTATTTGTTTTTGCTTTTCGTTTATGGAGGTGGCATCACGTTGTTATACTGGGAAAATGTTACATTTTTACATGACTCTTTCATCTAGTGACTTTTTTTCCAGGCAGAATTGCAACACATTTTAACAAATAATTCTATGATTTGCAGAGGGGAGGTCCTCCATGTAACCAATTAATGAACTCTACCACAGATATCAAATTTCTGTATTGGACCCAGTAACTAGTAATCCAAAGTAAAACAGTTCTTACAGAAAAATGAAGTAACAGTGGGATTTGCAGAGACAGAAGAGTCCAAAGTGAAATTTGTCAAAGATTAATTCAGTGCTCCTGGTAAGAATTTATTATTTTCTTTGTTTTCTTATTATGTGACTCAGTATCCACAAAGACAGTAAAGAATAACATTGATTTTGACTGCTGATTGTCTATACATTGTTGTGAGGAAACATCAGAGAGGGAGACTCAGAGAGTAAGGACAGGGAAGTCAAATAGACCTAGGTTGGAATTCCAGCTCTGCCCTAGCATCTCTCTGAGATCAGTTGCTACGGCTGTTTGACCAGAGTTATAGCTTGGGTATAACTTCCAGCATGTGGGAGGCACTCAAAAAGTGTTAGTAATAATCCTTAATTTTAACTACTACTTGCTACCCAGTTCACACAAATTATCACTTCCAACTAAACTGTACATTTCTGAGTGAAGAAAATGTATTTATCCTCCAAGATATAGAATTTTTGGATTGCTGATGATTAATAGCTTAATCCAAACATCTATAGCCTGTTTTACTAGATTTGTCCCTCTTCCATTGCTCTTGAGCTTGGTACTTTAGTGAAAACCTTGCTCCATCATATTCTCCTCATCTGTATTTTGGAAATGTCCCCCACCCATTTACTGGCTCTTTATATATTTTATTTTGTTGTCAGCTTTCAAAATATGAACTTAATCATGTCACTTTGACATTTAGCATACTTCTTCCATTCTGTACAGAGTAAGTCCAAACTCTTTACAATGGCATTTAATGCCCATCTTCCCACTGACTTGAATAAGCCTCATCTCTCTTGGTTGCATCCTACATCCTAAGATTGGTGAGTAACCTGTAGGTTTATAAACACAACACACTATTTCATAGCCTGGTAAATGCTATTCCATATAAAATGTTCTTTTTTCCCATATTTACTTGACTAAATCAAATTCATTCTTTATTTTTATTTTTTTATTTTTTAGACAGATTCTTACTCTATCCCCCAGGCTGGAGTACAGTGGCGCGATCTCGGCTCACTACAACCTCCACCTCCTGGGTTCAAGTGATTCTCATACCTCAGCCTCCTGAGTAGCTGAGATGGCAAGCACTTGCCACCACGCCTGGCTAATTTTTATATTTTTAGTAGAGATGGGTTTTCACCATGTTGGCCAGGCTGGTCTAGATGAACTCCTGACCTCAGGTGATCCACTTTCCTTGGCCTCCCAAAGTGCTGGGATTACAGGTGTGAGCCACCATGCTTAACCTTCAAGACCTGGTTGAAATGTTACTTTTCCCATCTATAGAGAATTAATCACTGCTTCCTCTATTCCACTACCAATTATTAATTTTATGCACTTTTATGTGAAAGTATCAGATACTTTTATAATATTATAATACTAGTAGGTAATAAGTGTTGACCACCAACTATGTATTAGGCCCTCTTTTGACATATAGTTTATAAGCAATATCTCTTCTAATCTTCACAAAAATTCTGTGCTCATTTACATGATTATCCTCATTTTAAAGATGAAGAAACTGAGACTTAAGTATTAACTGCCTTGCCAAAGTCATTTTGCTAGTAAATATTGGAGTATTCCAAAAGTCAGAGTTTTCCAAAAGTCAGAGATCAAAAAAAGTGAAGCAAATGCAAAGCTTGACAGTGACCATGAACATAAACTGTGCTTTCAAGAAATGTCTCTGTGAAATAGGAAATATGGAGCAATTGATATATGGTGAAGAAAATTATTATTGTTGTTGTTATTACTATGATTTAAGTTAGTAAAGACCAAAGCATTATTGGAAGCTGATTCTAAAGCAGCATTTCTCAACTGTATTTGATTTTGCCTTTCTCAAATACAAAGGATGCCACTGGTACATAACAGTTTAATTGTGAAACCTGGAGGGTACATGGTGGATAGAGATAGACATGCTGCCAAATATCCTACGCTGCTCATAACAGACTCTATCCCTATGCCTAATACAGAGTTATCAGTTCTAAATGTCGCTGGTGCCAAGGCTGAAACATCTTGGTCCAATGATGCATTGGGGATGAAGACATTGACAATATGAGAAATGGGATCACTAATGGAACAAAATCAGGAAGAAAGAGAAAGGGAGGAGATAAAAATGTTACTCTTAGAAAAGTTTTATAAGCAACTATTATCCTCATTTCATTTCATTTTTTAACAAATACAGAGATTGAAGTCCAGAGAGTTTAAATGATTTACACTTTTAGGATCTAGCATAAGTTTAATTCAAAATTTGAGCTCCTAATACAATATTCTTTTAATTATACCACTTAATCTTTCAAGTTCAAAATTGGATATGGATAATTGTTGGTGATTTGATAGCATAAATATCAAACACGTAGCAATTATTTTGCCTGAAAATTAATGACATATCTATTGGCTTTATGTTTCTATAAACAATATATTTAGAGTCTTAGTTTTTATTAAAGGAAAGAAAGATGTCTACGACACAAGAAAAAAAGAAACTGAGAAGAATGTGTTCGGCAAATTGGCATCAAAAACACACAAAATACTGAAACTTTCAAAAAAATTAAAAAGTTGTATGAAATTTTCAGCAACATTTAATCATGTAATTAGCATCAACAATTTTAATAATTTCCAGTTCAAAGCATGAAATATAAGCCTTTAAAGACACTGTAAAGCATGAACTAAAATAATAGACAATAATACTGATGGCCACATTTCTACCAATTGTTACTCAAGAGCAATAAATGTACAATAATGAAAAGCTGAGCCTTCTGCCAGTAGAGAAAATGTTAAAATTCCAGCATTATTTCAACATTCTCCGACCATTGTTACCACAAAAGCAAAAACAATTAAAATGACCACGACAGTTTAACTGTGAAACCTGGAGAGTTATAACTAGAAAAAGAAATAATCATGTTTCTTTAAATACAAATAACTAAATGTGCAAGCACAGCAGAAACAGGCAAGAAAAGCAGAATCGTCTGGGGACCCAAGAGCTGACCTATGCAGCTGTAGGCCTGGCCAGCTCTGGAAATGCTACCATGTGAGCAAGCCAACAGGAGCATTGACAGTCCTCAGCAATCAGGCAACTTCTCCAAGAAGGAAACAGCTGGAGGCCAGAGCCAGTGATCTACTTTATTGACATCTGCTGCTATATTTCTAACATGGGGTTCCTTTTATTTATTTCTGTTACTCAAACAATGCAGTAGAGACCATGTGTCAACTTAATTGTCTTCTCCTGATAATTCTAGGCACTTCACACAACCACTGATTGATTTACAATTCACCAACAATGCTAATTTAATACCTAAAACAAACCCTACTATTAATTAAGTCAATCAGTAGTCCTCCTTCCCTTTCCCTAACCCCGAAAGAAGTATTTATTGCTGCAGTGTAGTTTCTTGGTTAAGAATAATGTCTTCTGTAACCATACAGCCTTAGTCTGAATCTCTATTCTACCACATTCTCGCATTGAGATATTGGCAAGTAATTTAACCTCTCTAAGCTGCAGTTTCTCCATCTGTAAAACGGGAAGAATAATAATTCCTATGCCATAAGGCTATTGTGAGGACTGAATGGAATACTCTATGAAGTGTTTGGCCCAGTACCTGACATACAGCCATTCTCTAACCATTGGTTAATATTAGACCTGTCTGCAATGATTTCTCCTAAATATCATTACCAGTGTCATTTGGTCTCATTCTTACATAAGATCTTTCTCCATTGTCTACCTGCTGTTTTCCATAAATATTATGCTTCATTTATAGTTGTTTACTTCCCTTTTGAGGAAAAGTTATGTAAACTTTTAAAGTTTAAAGTTTAAACTTTAAAAGTTTACATAACTTTTCCTCAAAAGAATGTTTTTACTCTATATATCTGAGTCCTATCTGCTCATTAAATTTCAAAAATTCGGTCTTTTCTGAATGCTCCATTCATATACAATTTCTCTCAGCCCTAACATTCTGCAAAAGAATTGTCCACATTAGCAATACTATTTATACAATACATTTGCATGACAATATTATTTATGCTTATTTTAAATATTTATTTTAACTACTGTTTTTGTGTATTTTCTGTTTTCAAAGCATTAGTGCCAGCTCTGTGTGAACACAACAGCAAGAAATAATTCTTACCATGGTTGCCCTTAACTAGCAGAGTGAATAGGAATTAAATAAGCATACATTCTACCATGGACATAAACGCCTCTACTCTTTGAATAAATTTCTTTGGATTGCCCCAAGCGGATGTAATCTCTCCTCCCTTATAGCATCCACACCAATTTGTCTATACTTTTATTTGACCTTTGAAATAATCTTAAATAGTGGGTAAGATTTGGATGATAGGGTAAACCCAGAAAAAATATTGCTGTTACATCATTAAGAGAAAGTATAAATAAAATAACATAGAAAAAAGTCTTCCTTTGAACAAACTTTAATTCAAATTTTGGATTTTGTTACTAGTTAACTGTGTGATCCTATGTATGACTCCTACTCTCTCTGTTTATTTCTCTGTAAATGTAGATTATAATACTTTCTTTGAAATGTTTTAAGAATAAAGTAAAAAATTTTCTATAAAATACAAGGCTTGTCCACAAAAAATAATTGCTTTCCATAATAATGTAAAACAGAATCTTGAGTTTGCACAAGTAATCTGAGAGGGAAGGAATGAGTGAGCCCAAGACTGGAAAGAAGTTGGAAATGAAAATAGGAGTAAAAGAAAGGTGGCAGACCAAGTTGGAAGGAGACTGGGGATTGAGATGTAAAAGCCAGGAAGTGCTCCACAGTAAGTATGGCCAAGAAACTTTCATGAACAGGGATGTTTAATGCTTAATTGGATGTTGTTTGCTGAGCTGTGACAAAATAGAACACTCTTTCTTAACCTTAACTTCCAGAATGTTAAGTAAAGGTTCCAAGGCAAAGTGACTCTGTTCTTCATTTGGGTGTATGCCCAGGAAGAATGGAAAAACAAATCCATATGAGAGAGATTAGAAAATTTGAGATAAGAAAGAAATCAGAACAAGATATAGCTAAGGAAAACATAAGCCCTTGAAATATTGTGGAGGATTTTCCAACTGCATATGACATAGAGTCTGGAACTAGTATTATTTATTTGTTAAAGGACAGTGGGACTAAACATTCTGAAGAAATTGGGACACCCAGGAAGAAGACATCTGGGATGTAGCAGCTAGATGGAGCTATGACGGAAATAGAGAAAGTGACAACTGGGAGACAAGAATGCCTGAATGAAGACATTATAAGATATGAGAAGCAAATAAAGTTTTCTTCTTAAGCAGGATGGTGAATATGCTGCATGGATGTGGGTAGAGAGACACAGGAGGAGACGATACCAATTTGGAATCACTGAAATAATTGATAGGAAACTTTAAAGGCCATCAAAGGATGAGCAATTGCAGAAGAAGATAAACCCAAGCTATAATACTGAAGTAAAATTCTCAACTTCTGGCAAGTTATGGGATGTGAAATGGTGATGTACTTTACCAGATAT
Organism: Homo sapiens; assembly: GCF_000001405.40. NCBI lineage: Eukaryota > Metazoa > Chordata > Mammalia > Primates > Hominidae > Homo > Homo sapiens. Next base: position 77,835,551 of record NC_000012.12, on the reverse strand, counting down.
TAGTCTAGGAATTCGGGATTAGATGACTGGAATGATGGCATTTGCACTAATTGAAACAACAGGTGAAGGGAGTGACAACTGAACACACATTTCTGACACTGTCATATGTAAATTTGTTCTCTCAAACCAGATCATAAAACTGTTTGGTACAAGGACTAGCAGAGTACCCCACATAAATGTTTCTTAATGACAGTCGTCTATTGTGGGTACTATCAATAGTATCTTTTCCTAGAAATTGAACCCATAATTCTTAGCTGAGCACATGGCTGCCTAGAACAAATACTACATTTTTCAGTCTCCATTGGAGCAAGGTAAGGCCTTGGAACTATAACGAGGCCAGTGTGGAAGAATATTTAATAAAACAGGGTGTATCTTTTTAATTAAGTGGAGTGCAATTATCTACTCAAGACTATGAGGTGTGAGCCACAAATCGATGATGGCAACCAAAATAGAGCCTGGTTCCCTGACAACTTCCTGAAGTCTCCCTACCAGCCATACATGGACTGCTCAACTCCAGATTTCCTTTACATGAAAATGAAATAAACGTCTATCTTCTTTATGCTATTGTTATGTTGACTTTTCTGCTTTTGCAGCCAAGTCTAATTCTCTCTAATATAACTACCTTGTTCGATTTTGCTATTTACTTCAGTTCTGGGTTTTTTTTTTTTTCCCAAAAGCTAAAATAACTCTACATATACTTCTTTTTAACATTTAGAAATATTCTGAACTGCTGACCAGGCATTCTTTACATTTGTTTGAAAACATTTTTAATCTGATAAGTGGCATGGTGAAAACATCCCTATAAATACAACTTTGCTTACCACAGAGGCTTATTGGGATATCAGATGTTTGATTAATATGTTTGCTAACCAAAGAGATCAACCAAAATTATATTGAAAACAGTGCTTATAGTGCTCAAATCCTAGGCCAAGGTCATTTAGCAAAGTGGAAGTTTCACTAAACCTACAGAAAAGATAGCCATGGTCAGCAGAGACAGTGTCTCTCTCTATTCTTGCCATTGAATCCATACAGACTTGTGGATACACAGAAGATTAGAATGGAATTTTATGGCATTTCTTTTAATTATTTGCAAAAAGATAAATATTTTTAGTATTTTGTTGATAATTTATGTTTCCCTGCTTTTTACTCTGAATTGTTCACTTTGAACTGAGAACTATAAACCCATAAAAAATATTTTATTTTAACTGATTTTTCTCACATGGACAATGCTATGTTAGACATAGAACTCCACAAATCATCCATTCCCAACCCCTTGTTTTATACATAAAATTGATACAGGAAGGGGGCAGGGAAGTGCTGTGTAGAGAAAGATGGGGTCCCTGGCTAGGGCTCCACCCCTGGGCCTGTGCCCATGGACCTAGTGAGGACAGGCATTTATGTTTTCATGCCCAAATGTTGCATTGTCTAAGACCACCCTGGCCCACCACCTCCCCATTCTGTGCCTATAAAAACCCCGAGACCTTAGCAGGCAGAGACAAAAATGGCTGGACATCGAGAGGAACACACTGGCGGAAGAACACACAAGCGGCTGGACGTCGAAAGGAACACATAAGCGGCTGGACGTCGAAAGGAACACACCAGCAGAAGAGGACACCGACAGGCACCTGCAGACACCGGCAGGCCATCGACTGCAGAACGACATGGACCCGAGGGGAATCTAGCCAGGGAGGTCAGAGGAGAGTCTGGCTGCTGGGCGGCCCAACTCCAGAGGAAAATCACCTTTCCGCCTTATGGCTCCCCATCCATCTGCTGAGAGGTACTTCCAACATTCAAAAGAACCTTGCACTCATCCTCCAAGCCCACATGTGACTCGATTTTTCCGGAACCAAGGCGAGAACCCAGAATACAGAAAGCCCTCTGCCCTTGCAATAAGGCAGAGGGTCTAACTGAGCTGATTAACACAAGCCACCTTCATACTGCAAAACTAAAAGAACACACTGTAACACACGCCCACTGGAGCTTCAGGAGCTGTAAATACTCAACCCTAGATGCTGCTGTAGGGTCGAAGCTCCACACCCTGCCCATCTGCATGATCCCTCTAGAGGTTTCAGCAGCGGGGCATTGAAGACGTAAGCCACTCCTGCTGTCACATGCCCTGTGAGGGGGACAAGGAAACATTTCCTGTTTCGAAATGATTCCAAAAGATGAACAAACTTAACTGAATCCTTCTCGGAATAACTATTTATTCATTCATTGATTCATTAATTGCTGTATTCATTCATCCAACTACTATTTAATTCTTATCATGCATAAAGCATTGTACAGGGAGAGAGCTGGAACACAGGATAAGATACGAGACCTGCCTTCTATATGTTTTCAACTTAGTGGAGATACAAATAAATTATCCAGATAATTAAAAGAAATTATCCAGATAATTAAAATACACAAGCATTTCTACAGAAAAAGAATTGGGAAGGAGGAATGGTGGGGAAGGGATAGCTAGCAAAGACTTTATGAATAAAGTTGGATCTGGGATAAAGCTTAAAGGATCTGAACAGGTGAAGGTGGGATGGGCATTGTAGAAAAAGGAGTGGCTTTCTTTTTCACTTCTAGAGTTGATTTTTGTATAAAGGTTTTTTCCTTAAATTATTTTAAACTAACATTTGGATAGCAGAGTAAAATGAAAATATTTCCTAAGAAGCCAGAGACGAGGCTGTGACTTTGGAAAGCTTGACATCATAGTTAATGCTGCATTAAAAAGTGATGCTGAGTAGAATGATGGTTACCAGAGGCTGGAAAGGGTAGTGGCGAGGGGTAGGGGGAGTGTGGATCGTTAATGAGTACAAAAATACATTTAGATAGAATGAATAAGATCTAGTATTTGATAGCACTATAGGATGATTACTGTCAACAATAACTTATTCTATATTTTTAAATAACTAAAAGAATATATAATGTTTGCAACACAAAGACATGATAAATGCTTAAGGCAACAGATACTCCATTTACCCTGATATGATTATTACACATTGTATGCCTGTATCAGAATCTCTCATGAACCACATAAATATATACACCAATATGTACCCATAAATATATACACCTAATATGTACCAATAAAAGTAAAAATGCACAAAACAAAAGTGACGCTTATCAAGGTACAAATGAATCCGCATGAAGTTCAGCAGCTTCAGTGCCATTCTAGCATGCGTGACTGGAGAAAACGGTTGTAGTATGCTTTAGAAACCAAGGGCTATGAGCAACTACTCACAAAATATCATAAATTAAATGACTGAAAAAGATGTCAGTAATAAGTAAAAGAGTAGCGTTTCAGTTTACAAGGGAAAGTCCATATAAATGTGCAGTATCAAGGAAAATAGTATGTCATTTTCCTTCATACTGCAATGAATTAAGCAGCCTATGATACAAATTTTCAAGCAGAAATTCTTTGAAATGCAAATGACATTTAGAGAAAAGTGATGGTGTCTATATGAATTATTACAAATAAATGTCTTTTTGAAAGTACCTATTTTCATACATTGCAGTATGGATGACAATAGGTTCTCTTTTTCTCACATTTGTGACTGATTATGATTATTAGTAATAGAGCAATATCTAGAACTAACTAGGCATTCATCAATAAGTAGTATTAAATGATTACAATAGATGCATATTCAGAAAATTTTGATCATGACTTTTACAACTCTAAACTAAGAATACAGTGTTTACATAAGCTAAATATTCAGCTTTTCAGCCATTATAACTACTTACATCCTTACACTGGTATTCCTCTACTACTCCCCATTTCATAACATGTTTTATAGTGCACTTAAAGAGAAATGTGCATTTTAGCTACACAAGTCTGCAGGTAACTTCAGCAACTAACCTTGCTGTCTTCTTTCTCCTTGGCTTTTCCTTGGAGGGGTTTCTTCTCTCCAAATTCACAGGTTGATTTTAACGCAAGCTGACAAGAAAGCATGGAGCTCTCTGTTTCAGTAAGTTCCAAAGGTCTTGAAGAACAGTGCTGTGACCCAGTAGTGCCAAGATTTGGTATCGGAAGAGCAGTATGCACAGGCTTTGACCCAACAGCTGGCTGCCTCAGTTTTGAGGCAACCCCAAGAACAGGCATGGCTTCTATAAAATTATCTTCTTGCTGCCAAAGAAAATGCTTCTAACCTCAGTCTGGTAGACTCCAACTTTAGTATTTCCAGAACAAATACTTTAAACAAAACTAGCAGTCATCCTGATTTTTAAAAAGCTAATAATATAATTTTCAGGAAGAGGCAAAACTTCCCTGCATCTTTAGTTAAGTATCTTTTCTTTCTTGCTGGCTGGGATTCATATTCATTCTCATTCTCTCTCTCTCTCTCTTTCTCTCTCTCTCTCTCTCTCTCTGTCTCTCTCTCTCTCTCTCTCTCTCTGTCTCTCTCTCTCTCTCTGTTCAGTGACTCAGTATCTAAGTAATACTAAATACTCCTTTGGGGAGTAAACTCTTCTTCAAGGTAACTGCTACAAAGCTCCTTCTTAGGATTAAAGAGCTCTTAGTTTTGCTTATTTTTTTTTCTCACTAAAGCAGTCTGAGTCTGAACTTTGAGATTGAAAAAGAGGAAAAAATCAAAAGGAAAAGCCCTTCAGTCCAACTGTCAGAGCAGCCAAAAGACCACAACAGTGGAAGGACAGGGGTTCTTCCTGATTTCAGAAATAGCCAGCCTGCATTCTCTTTTTAAAGAAAATTGTATTTCCCCCAGCTCAGAAAAAATAAAAAGAATGGACATGTTAATGGCCAAAACAAACAGCTGTTGGAAGAACTTTTAGCCCGGAAACAATCTCAGCAATAAAGTTGTTTGTCTGATTTCCAGCTATTTTTCACTACTGACAGCCATGAGCCACGATGTTCATTCTGTTGCATCCCATGAAATCAGGCTAAAATCATGCAATAGTGCAACTAGCTAAAGCAGTTAAATCATTCATCGGACCATAGCTGCCTAGGTTATGAAAATAGAGTAAACACAGGAAGCAGGGCACTAAATATGTAGTAATCATTGTTCCCAAATTTAATAAGTCATGATTATAAAAACATTCAAAGCTAACACTTATGTGGAATGTATTACAAAGCAGTTATGGAGCTAAGCATTTTATGCATTATCACATTTAATCATTGGAATGACTCAAAGTATAGGCATATTTATTTTCTTCACTTTATAGAAAGAACAGCTATGACTTGGAGACACTGAAAAAATTGACTAAAATGATGAAGCTAGAAAGGGGGAAAGAATGTATGATTTTAGTTTGTAAACCTGTCTTTTAAAATGGTTGAAAATAACACTGTTATTCAAGCTTATGACGTCCAACTTAAAATCCCAAGCTTCTAAAAACTGTCCAAACAGATACTCAGTGAGAATGAATGATGATGCTTCCATCCATAGAATTATTTTAATATAATCATAGCATGTTCTATTTCTGGTTAAAGCATGTCAGGAACTTTAAATAAACAAGGGGTAAACTTTTAAGAAAACATCTAATGTACCATGCATTATTGTTCTGAAACTGATTGCACTCAGAAAATGGATACAGAGAGCAATTATATACACCAAATATAAAAATTAGTAATAATGCAACCAAAGGTCTTAGAAAAATGAGTGGTGGACACTTAGTATAGACACAATGAATCATGGAAATTATTAAATCGTAACCATTTTTTATAGAAAATGTCTTTCTTTAGTGAAGAAATGGTCATCTTTGGCCTACTGTTTCCAGGTCTTTAAATCACTACGTACTTTTATCTAAGAAGCAGTAATTTATAGATGAAAGAGCCAATAACTAAAAGTATATGTTCTGCTGATGCAGCATAGAAGACAGGAAATGTAAGTTAGAAGTCTTGCAGGCTTTAAAAATAGTAACCCAAGTGGGCTTTACACAGCGGGGTAATACAAAACAAATACAACACTAGTGGTATCAAAGAAATGAAATAATCTCTCTGAGGAAGTAAGTTATTTTGCAATTTGCAAACCATTCAACACATTATAACTTTCAGAAACTATAAGGTAATACAGAGTTGGAGAGGTTCATGTTCGTAAAATGAGGTTTAGTTCATAATAAGACATATGCAACTTGTAATCCTCACAATGCAAAACAAAACAGCACCTAAATAATAGAACTTGTGGGAAAAATTGATTCTAGGAAGTTCACTCAAAACATATGCAACTTTGGGAGTATATTGCTAGCAAAAATAATATTGGCACCTCAGAAAATAATTTGGACCACTCAAGGAAGTGACTCAGAATTACATAAAAAAATAATTGGGTATAAATGCTGGCAACACTTTAACCAGAATTGGTGGAAGAAATCCGGTTGGAAGGCAAACTCCAAGCCAGTAGGCTTGCCATTGAAATGGGTACAGGGTCAGGGCAACTGCAAATATTTAAGAGCTGCACAAGGCCAGGGGCATGCCCCTTTGAAGAGGAAGCCCCAGATGCAGGCATTCATTTTTGTTTTTGTTTTTAGTTTTCTTAAAACTGAGCCAAAAGGGCTCCTGCTGACTATACAACATTCAAACTGAGGGCTTCTTTGCCCACCCAAGGTTATAATTCTACGCTGACTATTCTGCTTCCCTTTGCCTAGAATAAATTGTATATAAAGCTACACAACTTCTGCATTATACTAGTACAAAATTCCTGTTTGCCAATTACAAATGAGCTCATTGGTATTTTGGAAACATGCATTGGAGGAGAATGTATCGTAATTCCTGGAACAATTAGATTGAAAAAAAAGGATTCACATTCAATAAGATGTCTTTTCACTTTGAAATACCTTTTGCATATTAGGCAATATCTTTCACTCTGACTGAAATATAAGATGGTATTAGTAGCCACTGTCAACTAATTTTTTGCAGTAATATCTACCACCAAAAGCAACAAAACCAAACTAACTTACTATAAAAAATGTGCTTTGTGCCAGGAGTTGTCATCTCAATTTATCTTAAAAGAACCACACCGTTTTGAGACCTAGGAGACAAAGGCACCGAGAAAGTAAAAAATTAGCTTACGGTCACTGATACCTTGTAGATGAAGTTCAAAATGAGGTTTTACAAACTGAGTTCAACAAACCAGATGTGATGGTGACCTGAGTGCTTACTAAAATATAGATGATTGTATTCATCTCGAACCCACTGTGTTAGTCCATTTGTGCTACTATAACAGAATATCTAAAACTGGGTAATTTATAAATAACAACAGATTTGCTTCTTACAGTTCTGGAGGCTGGGAAGCATAAGAGTGAGGGGCCCATATGTGGTGAGGGTCTTCTTGCTGCATCTACCCATGGTGGAAGGCAGAAGAGCAAGAGAGCACTCATATAAGAGAGACAGAAAGGGCCAAGCTCGCTTTTATAACGGATTATACTCTCATGATAATCCCACTTCCACAATAACATTAATCCATGTATGAAGTTAGTGTTCTCATGGCCTACTCACCTTTTAATGTCTCCATCTCTTAATACCATTCACAATGCCAACTAAATTTCAACATGAGTTTTTGGAGGGGATGCAAAACTCATGTTGAAACCATCACGAGGGAGAGGGAAAGGTCTGAGAGTCATATTTAAGCGAATTGATTCTTCTAAAAACTAGAATTTAAGATCTGTAAATTATAGGATTTGTAGTTTGATAGTTCAGACAATGGGCTGTAAAGTGGGACTGCTTAAAAGCAAATCTCTGCTTCCTTACTTCCTAGTTATATGAATTTGGAAGTTGCTGTGTCTCAGTTTCATCATCTATAAAATGGAGTAAAAAAATAATTATTCTTCCTTCACAGGGGTGCTGTGAGAATTAAAGGAAGTAAATGTATGATGTTGTTAAGATAGTTTTCCACATAGTAAGTGTTCAATAAATGTTAGCTCTAAATGTTACAGGAAATACAGTCATGAGAATTAGAAAGATAAAGTCATGAAGCCTAATATGGTCATGATCATAAGGATTAATAGGACTGAACTCAGGAAAAAATCCTGAAAATTAAAATGAAATAAATTGGTTGTCATTTTATTCCTATCAAATTTAACAGGAAAAGTGGCAATGACCTTTGAAATACCTTCTAAAGCTAAGCTGGAGTTTTAGGCAATAAGAGAGTTCCAACCTGGCTAAATTTTAATATCAGTAATTTAAAAAAATAAGTAATAAAATCTCATAAAATGGCAACTTGCAAACCACGATTTTTAAGAAAGAGTAAGAGAAAAAATATTCAACTGTCAACACAAAATCATGCTTGCTGAAAGGAAAAATATGATTTGATAGTCAACTCTGATATTTGCTAAAATTGTAGAAAAGCCACATTACTTTTTTTTTTTTTTTTTTTTTTTTTGGAGACAGAGTCTTGCTCTATCCCCTAAGCTGGAGTAACTATATTTCATGATCTCAGTTCACTGCAACCTCTGCCTCCCGGGTTCAAGCGATTCTCATGCCTCAGCCTCCCAAGCAGCTGGGATTACAGGCGCCTGCCACTACGCCTGGCTAATTTTTGTATTTTTAGTAGCGACAGCTTTTCGCCAGGGTTTCGCCATGTTGGCCAGACTGGTCTCGAACTCCTGATCTCAGGTGATCTGCCCGCCTTGGCCTCCCAAAGTGCTGGGATTACAAGCGTGAACCACTGTGCCTGGTCTCACATTCCTATTTTTAACAGCTTGATTGAAGTGGAATTTACATATAAGTAAAAATTCAACAAATATAAGGAAATAATTCAATGTGGCCAGTACCACTATCAAGATGTAGAATATTCCCTTCATTCAAAATGTTCTCTCATGCCTACCGTAGATAATGTCTCACTCTCAACACAGGCAATGTCTGAAGTGACTTCTAACGCTAGTTTTGCCTTTTCTAGAATTTCATAGAAATGAAATCATTCAGTATTTTCGTTTTTGGCTGTTTTCACTTAGCATAATGCTTTTGAGATTTATCCATGTGTTATATGTAACATTAGTTCTTTCTTTTCTATGGCTCAAATGCATTCCATTGTTTGAATATGGCACAATTCGTTTATGCATTTATCTGGTAAAGGACCCTTGATTTGTTTCCAGTGTGGGAAAGTTCTATAATTTTTTGGGGGGAGGGGGACAGAGTCACGCTCTGTCACCCAGGCTGGAGTGCAGTGGTGTGATCTCGGCTCACTACAACTTCAGCCTCCTGGGTTCTAGCAATTCTCGTGCCTCAGCCTCCTGCGTAGCTTGGACTACAGATGTGCACCATCTGTATTTTTAGTAGAGACAGGGTTTCACCATATTGGCTAGGCTGGTCTCGAACTCCTGACCTCAAGTGATCCACCTGCCTTGGCCTCCCAACGTACTGGGATTACAGACTTGAGCTACATTGCCTGTCCCTATAAATATTTATATCTGTCTTATGTTGATATTTATTTTATTTTCTCATGGACAAATAACTCAAAGGGTATCTCTGAGTCATTTGATAACTATATATTTGTGTAAGCATGTGCCACACTATTTTCCAAAACATACCATTCTGAACTCCCACTAGCAATGTATGAGAGGTCCAGTTGCTCCACATACTCTATACTTCATATCTTCAGTCTTTCATTTTAGCCATTCTACTCAGGAGTAGGGGTGTATCATTGCAGTTTTAATTTGAATTTTTCTAATAATTTATTGATGTTGATTATCTTTTCATGTGTGTGCTTGTCATTCATATATCATCTTTGGTGAAATATCTGTCAAAAACTCTTGCCCACTTTTTGTTTGTCTCATTATTACTGAGTTTTATCAACAATTATTTATATATTTCGGTATAGGTCCTATCTTAGATATATATTTGAATAGATTTTGTCCTAGTCTTCAGCTTGCTTTTTGTTAGAAGATGATTCTCCATATATCTCTCAAACTTTTGCAGTCTTGTGAGTGGGGGTCCTAAATGTCCCTTTGTGCTAAACTACTTTTTCAAGGATTTTGATTAGTGTCTAGTGTCATCTTTCCGTTCTTTCAACTTTATCTGTATCTTTATAAAGTGGATTCTTAGTAGGTGACACATATTTCATTTTATTCTTCTGTTTCCTCTAGGATTTACTATATAAACCATTAACTTATTAGAATATGCCTTCAAATTACATTATGCCACTTTAGATATAATTTACAAACCTCACAGTATTTAATTTTACATTCCTGTTCACTTTCTTGTGCTACTGTTAGCATACGTTTTCTTCTACATATATTAACATAGCACATTATTTTGTTCTATTATCAATTCTGTTTTAAAAATTAAAAACTGAATAATCTTTATATTTATCCACATAATTTCCATTTCTGGTGCTCTTCTTTCCTTTGCTTAGATGCAAATTTTTATCTGGTATCATTTTCCTTTTATAAACAACCTTTTATAACATTTTTCAAATTGCAGATTTGCTGGCAATTAACTGTCTCAGCTTTTGTTTGGCTAAAAAAGAGTTTGCTTTGCCTCCGTTTTTGAAAGAATTATTTTCTGGGTACAAAATTCTTAGTTAACAATTTTTCTTCTTCAGTAAAGATGCCACACCATTGTATTTTCCCTTGCATAGTTTCTAAGAAGTCCATCACATGTCTGATCTTTGTTCCTTTCTATGTATCCTGACTGTATTATCCAACTTCTGATAAGATATTCTTTATCACTAATTTTAGCTATTTGATTTTCTTTGTTGTTGTTGTTGTTGTTGTTGTTGTTGTTTTTGAGACGGAGTCTTGTTCTCTCACCAGGCTGGAGTGCAGTGGTGCAATCTTGGCTCACGGGAATCCCTGCCTCCTGGGTTCAAGCCATTTTGCTGCCTCAGCCTCCCAAGTAGCTTGGATTACAGGCACACACCACCACACCCAGCTAATTTTTGTGTTTTTAGTAGATACAGGGTTTTACCATATTGGCCAGGCTGGTCTCAAACTCCTGACTTCAGGTAATCCACCTTCCTCGGCCTCCCAAAGTGCTGGGATTACAGGTGTTAGCCACTGCACCTGGCCAGCAATTTTATTTTTTTAATGTTTTGTTCAGGTTGTGTTATGTTCATTGGACCTTTTTATAGTTTATATCAAATTTTGGAAACTTTTTAGTTTCTTCTAAACTTATTTTCTACCTCCCTCTTCCTTCTAGGGCTCCAATTATGTATGTTGGACCACCTGCTTTCATGCCACGGTTACTAATGCAATTAATTTTTCAAGGCTTTAAAAATCTTACTCTCGGCCGGGCGCAGTGGCGCATGCCTGTAATCCCAGCACTTTGGGAGGCCAAGGCGGATGGATTGCCTGAGCTCAGGAGTTTGAGACCAGCCTGGGCAACATGGTGAAACCCTGTCTCTACTAAAAATACAAAAAAAAAAAAAAAAAAAAAAATTTAGTTGGGCGTGGTGGCATGCGCCTGCAGTCCCAGCTACTCGGGAGGCTGAGACAGGAGAATCACTTGAACCCGAGAGGCGGAGGTTGCAGTCAGCCAAGATTGTGCCACTATACTCCAGCCTGGTGACAGAGTGAGACTCTGTCTAAAAAAAAATTTACTCTCTGTGCTTCATTTTGCATTCACATAACTTCTATTACTGTTTCCAAGTTCATTAATCTTTACCTCTATATTATTTAATCTGTTGTAATCCTGTCTCATGTATTTTTAATTCACACACTATACTTTTTCATCTCTAGGAGTTCCATTTGGGTGTCTTTTCTTTCTTCCATGTCTCTCCTTATCACATTTGTTTTTCTACCTTCTTGAACATATGGAGCATATTTATAATAGTTGTTTTAACAACAACTTGTCTGCTAATTCCATCACCTCTGCCATTTCTTAAGTATGTTTCCATTAATGGATTTTTTTCCCTCCTGGATATGAGTCATGTCACATTGCTTTTTAACATGCCTGGTAATATTTTACTAGATGGTAGACATTTTGAATTGTACACTTGTATACTGGATTTCAAGTAGGATTTGATTTTGTAATGGCACATAGTTAAGTAGCTTTTGAGCATTTTAAATAAATTGTTAAAGAAGGTACAGATCTGATTGCCTAGAGCTAATTTTGCACCATTTGTAAAGAAATACAATTTTGTGAATCTAACACACACCTTGTGGTCTTTTCACTCTGGCTGGGGAAAACGTCAACTATTCCCAACCTTGTGTGAGTGCTAGCAATTATTTCTCATACTTCTTTCTGCTGGTCCTTTCTCTGGCATTTGCTTGTTTCCTCTATAAGTCCTCTGTCAAAGATTAGAAGAAACATCTCTGTAAGTCTCCAGTGCTCATCCTCATTCTCTCCTATCTCTTTGTATCTCTCTCTGTGTCTCTCTGTCTGTTTATCTATCTCATTTTATCTTTCTCTCTCTCTCTCTGCAGTTCCTTCTTTTCTGGTACTTTGGCTCCAAAATTTTAGCCCTTGAGGCTTTCCTAAACTTTGATCTCTATTTCTAAGGGTCAGCAAAACTTCTGAACTCTATTTGGGTTCTCCATCTCTACTCTGTGGTCTGGATATTGCCTCCAGGAAGTCAACTAGCACAGTTGTAAGCTTTCCCCTTTGATTACCCTTCTTTCAGGAACCATTGTCCTGTATTGTCTATTGTCCAGTGGCTGAATAATATTGCTTTATATGCTTTTGTTCAGTTTATACTTAAGGTGGAGGGAAGTAAATATGATCCCTGTTAGTCTATAATAGAAGCAGAAGTAAAGAGTCAAATTATTAACTGTTCTTTTTTTTCCAATCCATTCTGAAATTGTATTGTGCATTATCACTTTCACATTCGACCTTAAGAACCTTCATTTTTTAAAATTATCCTTCATCCAGGTAAGAACTTCCCTTAAACCCCAGAGAATAAATGACTCGTACTAACAAGTTGCAAAATGTTTGAATGATTTGAATAGATTGTCTTCAGGACTAATGAGGAAATTTAAATAATAAAAAATAAGATATGATATACTGAGCATGAAGTTTATTATCCAGGCCTGGCTTCACTGAGGAAATTTAAAGAATAAAAAATAAGATAAGATATACTGAGCATGAAGTTAAAACTATTCTCCAGACCTGGCTTCTAACACATAAGACACTAAGATCTGTTTTAGAATTTTTCTTACCAGTATTCCCACTGAAATCATTTTTTCAGATATCTCAGAAAAAAATGGATGCATAAAGAAGTATTAGGTATACTCTGCTCATACAGTGTATTTGTGGGCACAAGGGGCAATATGCCAAGATGTGTCTTTATTGTGGTATTGAATCAGTCAAAAGAAAGGTAAACTAGCTGGCTAAAACATAAAAGCAGGTGATGAGTACAAGGGATTAAATAGTAAGACAGCTAACGGATTTTTAAAGAATGCACACAATGTCCACCTAAAACGAGGAACTTCTCAGGAGAGGTGGAAATTGTTTATATATGCTCTATGACATGCATTTACTACCCTACAGGCTTCTTTACAACATGCTACTGATAGAGTTAGTTGAGCAAATAAAATTTATCAAATTCAGAGGGTCTCTTAACCATAAAGTATAATGAAAAGCAAATGTAGTCAGCTTTGGAATGGCATTGCATGTTAATACCCTTGCTTCCAGGATATCAGCTCCCCGAGTGAAAAAAAATACACATCTGGAAAAAGGACAACTATTCCATTAAAACAAAATCATTGGATATTCTTGCCAGATAAATTTCAGTGTTCCAGTAAGACAGCAGACCCTTAAAAATCCAAATGAATGCTAAAAAAATGCAACCTAAAAAAACAGTTATGCTTGAAAGAACTATTCTTGTTGGAATATGGGTACACAAATATACTGTGTTATAAAAAGATGAAGACATCTCAAACAAGTTTTAACAGTTTGGTCCTGGGAAATGCGGCCAAAAATGTTGAGATGTAACAATGTATAATAACAGTGTTTTATAAAGGTATCATTTTCACTACTGCTTCCTTTCCAATTTTCTTATTTTCACATATTTTTGAAGCTTATATACAAATAAAATTGGCTAAAACATAAAAGAGTGGCACACCAAAGCCAAGCCATTCAAAAGGTATCATAAAAATGTCATTTGCAATGGTTGTAACTTGTAATTGTGAAAGATTTATAGGATCACTTGGAATACTGCACATTTTCACATCCCAAGCACCATGTAACCATTGCTCTTACCCCTTCAGAATCCACATGTTAACCATCTCCTGCTTTATTGCAGATATTCTAAGGATGCATTAGGTTTCGTTCAGGGATTGAGAGTAAATCTTTTCTTAAACATTTAAACTTTATTCTTATATTTTAACACAGGGTAACACTATAATTAGCCTATGATTTTAATCTAAGTAATGAGTTAAAGTAATTGCTGCCTGTAATCAGTTCCAGTTCCCAGTTCCAGTACAGGTTCTAAACTTCAGATCTAACTAACATCCAGATCCTTTCTAGGAACCACCCAGAAAAGCTACCCCATCAATAGCTTCAAAAATTTGTCTTTTTCAGATCATGCAGCATTTTACTAGGAACTCTGAGGATATTTCAAAACAGCTGTGTGTGTGTGTGTGTGTGTTTGTGCGAACATGTGTGTGTGTACATGTGTGTGTGTGATGGGCAGAGACAGATAATAAGAAAGAGAGAGAGGAATATTGAGAGATTCAGCTAGATACCTCTTTTTCAACCTACCTGAAGTCATAAAAAAGAATAGGAAATTAGAAAGTATGATAATGAAAACATAAGATCTGATTATGACTCTTCTATTATTTTGTGTAATTTATTCAGTGCTGGGTCTATATTTAGTAAGTATAAATAAAATATAGTCACTTTAAGGAAATCTTATGGCACCATTTAAAAAGGCAGCAACATAAAATTACATATACATTATTAATATCTGCTTATTCCACTGAACAAAACCAGTGATGCAGAGTCAACAACCACTTGAGGTTGTAGTGCTTGTCACACACACACTGGTAGAGTGTGCGATCTTCCCAGCTATATGCAATGGTCATGTTTTTAATAGCCCAGACATAAAATGAGACCATTAACTGGAAAACCACATCTCTCTGTCAGACATTGCAATGGTTTGAATGTTTTTGTCACCTTCAAATTTCATGTTGAAACTTAATCCTCAATGCAACAATATTGGCGGTTGTGGCCTTTGGAAAGTGATTGAATCGTGAGGGCTCTGCCCTCATGAATGGGATTAGGTGCCTTTATAAAAAGACTTGATGGAGGGAGGTCGCCCCTCTCTTGCCTTTCCACCTTCTAACATATGAAGATGCAGCCAGAAGACCCTCACCAGATGTCAGTGCCTTGATCTAGGATTTCCTAGGCTCTAGAACTATGGGATATAAATTCCTGTTCTTATAGAAATTACCAGTCTGTGGTACTCTGTTATAACAGCACTAATGGACTAAGACAGGCATCTAATACATTAGATTCAGAAATATATAGAAACCTACTATAAAAGATGCAAAGTGATCAAAAAGTCTACGTAAACCCTTCAAAGTTTTCCTTTCCTTTTTTATCTGCTTCTTACCAGAATAGTGCGTGTGCACACACACACACACACACACTTCAATTTATTGACATTTTATTCTCTACTGACCTCACTGTCCATTTTCTTTAGCCAATCATTTTTCTTAGAAGAATGTTAATTTCCATATATGCATTCCCCTTTACTTCCATATTATCATAGTCTCAAGAGTTCCTTTTCATGAAATTTCACAATGATTTCTGACAGCAACAGAAGTAGTTGCCGAGCTCTTTCTTGCATATA
The DNA here is from genome assembly GCF_000001405.40 of Homo sapiens. NCBI lineage: Eukaryota > Metazoa > Chordata > Mammalia > Primates > Hominidae > Homo > Homo sapiens. The sequence goes on along the minus strand of NC_000012.12, from coordinate 77,819,886 downwards.
CCCTGCTTATTGGTTTTACGAACCACACATATGTTGCCCTAAAATATCTTTCTCGTTCCTGTTTTAAATGTGTGGACCATGAGAATTGGTGAGTAATAAAGCATAATGTTGAAAAAGCAGAATAGATTTCTGTAAATATGATTTTTCATGTAAAATTTTGTATCATTATCAACATAAGATATATATGAGGAACTTCTTCACTTTTCCTGTGTCCATATTGTCTTGCTAAATATTTTCATAAAACATTTCATTTTTAATCCCCTCCTCAATGCTTTCCCACTGTATTTGTAAGATTTAGGGTATAGAGCAACGGTGAGAGTAGAAAAAAATGGACAACTAAATTTGGCATCTAAAACTTAACTCTTATTTTACTTTATTCACTAGCTACATTTTAGTGAATTGAAGAAGTTTCACAAACTTCAAAGAAATGAGAATAAAGGAAAATTTGTAGATAACCTTTAAGTAATTAGTGACATACTAGATTTTCACCTAAAGAAGTTTGTACCCTGAGGGACCTCAGCTTAAAATCCTCATTATTAGTCAATGCTTGTACTTTCAGAATGTTTAGCATACTTATATTATAGTTATGTTAATATTCAGTTGAGACGTGAAGAAAAAGGGGATGAGTGAAGGGTAAACGTGAAAAATCTTATAAAGTTCCTATTGTTCTCATAAAACGTTCCCAGTAACACCTATTGCACGCATGAGTCCTCTTCTTCCTAATTTCTACAATAGCTGTGAGAAGATTTAAAATCCAGCAGTTTCCTTCTCACTGATAGATATATTTTTAGTCATTGGAAATGCATGTAATGCATTTTAATATTATTAAAGAAAGAAGTTTGCATAGCCAAAATTAAAAGGAATAAAGTTCATCAGATTTGCTGAAAATGGGATGGGCTGAAATCTATCAACAACTAGCATAATTAATATTACATATAAATGTGTAATATATACAATCCGGGAAATGAGCTATTTGTTTACTTTTAAAAGAATCTGACTTGGTCATTAATTAAACTTGGAATACTAATTAATACATTTATTTTCATATTCTTTATATAAGTAAAAGAAAATCTCTCACATATATTTCTGGAATAGAAAGAACAAAAATTGATTTCCTCAAATGCAGAATCGACGCAATATTAAATGTGAACGATGAGCGGTAATTTGTTATGCGTTTCCTCCCCTCTAAACACTTTTCTAATGGAGACCATCAGATACTAACCTGGATTATTGTAAATGCATTGATTTCCTCCAGACTTCCCTAACATTTACATGAGGTCATTGAAAGCAAAGTATGTTAGCAATCACATACCCCTCATCCCTGCAAAGACACTGCCAACTTTCCACACTTTCTGTCAAAAACAGGCAAACCAAACCAAACCAAACAAAACAGAAAACTTTGAGCAAACATAAATGGAAAGTTTTGTAATTCTAACGTGATGGGATGGATTCTTCTCCCATAAAAACAATTTCCCTGTTTCTTACTAAACATTAAAATTGCTCATTAGAGACTATATCATTTTCATAGGACAGTTTTAAAAATCATGACTTAATGCATGTACATTCTAGGAGTTTTATTTCTGCAAACTCTTTCTATAATAATGGTATATTTGCACTCTCAACGGTACAGACCTCAGATTCTTATGAAATAAAATATTTGTGATTTATAGGATAATAACTTTAGGGAAAATAAGTTCAGTTGCATGGCTTACTAAGTATTGGTTAAATTATTAAACTTGCATTTTCCTTAAATTGTTTTTGTTTATATTCATCAGGAAGAAATCCTTTCCTCCTCTCTTCCACCTATCCCACCTATCCCTCCAAAAAGCTAGTTTATACATATATTTATATCATCACACTTTAGCTTCTACTTTATTGGCTTATTGTATCTTTTATCTCAAAAGTACTATCTCAATAGCACAAAGTAACTAGTGGCAAAATCAAGTTCTAGAGAGGCAGACATTTTCCTTCATGTTGTTAGAGGAACTACATAAAAATATTTTCTGACAGGTGAAAGATGCTTAGGAACACATTTATCCAGCTGAATTTACCTTTGAGGATTAAAATTAGATAAATAGGAGACCAGTGGGGATTTTTCCCCAACAGCTTGCATCTATCAGCTGGGTGTTAAGAGCTATCTTACATAACGAGCATATGGTGACCATAACTGCTACAGTGTACATAAACAAGAAAAATAATTTTAAAAAGCCACAAAATTATAATAAAAGTGAAATGACCATTTAATTACACATCTGGCAGTGTTAAGAGCTTCTGAAAAGAAGAAAATGCTTTGCTAGAGAAACCTCAGGTGAAGTTAACATTTGCATCTGCAGTTTAAAAAAAAAAGCATAGTTTGGTCTTGACGGAATCACTAGAAGAACTTGGCAGAGCATTTTAATCAACAAACGACTCTGTCAAGGAAACTTTAAATTAAAAAAAAACTTCTTATATTAAGTAAACTCAGCAGCTATTTCTTTTGAGATTTTCTCCAGAGGATTTGATTTAAACAAAGCATCTCTGGCAAAGAGCAGGGCTTATTATTCTGCAGAATATTCAATAGAAGTATAAAATTACAAGTGAATCTTACAGAGGGTGTGGCAATTCCAAACCTAAAACTGTCTGCTCCATTTAGATAAGCCTTAAAGCTTGCTTGCTCTCATTTTCTCTTTCCCATTTATATTTTATTGATGCCATTTCTTCCTCAGCATCTGAGCCCTAGCAAGGATCCTTCCATAAAGTGATCACCAAAGTGTATGCAGTAAGTAAGGATTAAAGGTCAACAGATATCCACCAGAAGATAGAAAGAGGATAATAGATTGGAAAATAGAATAAAAAGTCAAAATGAAAAAGAACTACCAGAGTTTGACAGTTGCAGATAAAATACCAGCCGTGCAGCCACACCTTTGCCCAATTCAATTTGTCAATAAGGAAGAATTCTTAGAGTTAACATATACATGGCACTTTACTGTTCTCTCTGAACGGCAAGCTTTAAATGTTCCCTGGAAAGCTTATCCTGCCATAGTTTAGGAATCACAAGGATGTTTAGAATTGAGCTAAAACATAAAGTCCTAAACCAACACTATTTATTTCAAGTAACTTTTGCATTTCTGCATATTGATATACGATTTTTTTTCTCTCTGGTTTAGGGAAGCAGAGGTAAAGGAGTGACAGATGATAAAAAAGAGTAAACATGGAGGTAAATGGCACAACACATTGAATCCATAAGTGATGTCCAAAGCCTATTAGCTGCATAGAGGTGGCCGCAGATGATAGCCGAGCACATGTGGAGTTCACAACCAAGCACCATGCAAGAAGGCTGCAGATAACAACACTTTTCAGAAGCTACCTGGTGGCTTTACCTGTGCTTTGCCTGGTAATTTGTGCTTGCATTGGATAAAGAACTTCTGGATAGTACTTAATAATTAACTCAAAGGAAAGAGAGTCAAATGACTTCATCTCAGAGACTATCTGACACTACTGTTCCAATACCAATCCTATTCAAACTGAAAGCAGTGACTTCCCATTTTCACTTTACTGGAGGCTGTCAAGTGTTCCTCTCTCTAAAAATGCACCTTCTGCTGTTACTGAGTTAAAACACTTATTTACACATTGATCATATCTGCAGGATGTTGAACAAGTCTGAAACTATGGATTAATCCATCATAAAATCATGGTCTATGTTTCCAGACCTTCTGTGTCTAGTATTTGTAACAGTCTTCATTCTTAACCCTTTCCAATGAATATAAAGTTTATCTCCCTTGAGCATTCCTTGCAATTATCCATGAATTTCCACCAATTCACCCTTAATTTTTTTCCCATCAGGCTTCTTCCTGCCTTTGAAATTCTATCTTGTATTTCCCAGTACTCCTGTTCTTAGCTCCCTGTCCTCTAAAATCATTTGATATATGATACCAGCTTGACATATAATAATGCATTTCAACTTCTAACCCTCCTCTGGTGCATACTCATATGAGGTTCCAAAAATACCATAAAATATTAATATAAAATTACCCAGTTTTCTTTAGGCATTAGGTTGTTGTTTTATTGGTATATCTAAAAGTTGCTAAGTACCACACCCAAGTTCTCATTTTGATAGATCATACTTGGCAATCTAAAAATTACAGTGTACTGTTCAGAAAGGATGTGGAGATGCGATGTCGGGAAAAAAAAGATTTGATGAATTATGACATCTCAGTAAGCCATGACCACATTTTATATTACAACTGTGATGGTCTAATATAAAGTGGTCATTATATGGACTATGATGTAATTTTAAAAGCTTCAACTTATTGGAGATGATACACATGATAATTTGGAAATGCATTCATCAGGAGCTATATCAGGATTTTTAAATGCATTATATTTAATTTGTTTAATCATAGTAGAGACCCTTAGCCTGCAAAAATATTTAGAAAAAAAAGTCAATATTTACTGTGTGCTCCTGAAAATCTATATGCTGTAATTCTAGTAATGAGAGAAAACAGTAGCATAATACCATAACAGTAACTTCACAGGGCAAGATATTCAAATTTCACCAAGAGGATTTCTAAAGTAATTGCAACACTGCTCACTCCAGTAGCCTCCTGATCAAGACAGACCCTCATGTGCTTCAATATAAACAGTATAAGTGACTGTAATCCCATCATTAAGACTATACTAAGTTAAATAGTTTGTCATGACCAAAATTACTATCTGCAAGTTATTTGCTTTTTGCTTTACCTATTTATTCAGCCTAAAAATTTTACTGGGGAATAATGAAGAATGTCTGACTTGTAGTGAATAGAGCCAGAACTAAAATTCAAGGACTGTGTAACCCTTCTGCCACTGGGGCTCACTCGCTGCTATCATACTTCTTTACTCTGATGATCAAGATAGTTTCATTTCCTGACAGTTTTCCAAGATTCCTCCATGAACAGTGCCAATGTAAGTGATGGTAAAGTCAGCATGTCTAGCAGCATATATTTCCACTCTTAGAAAAAAGAAAAAAATATCTCTTCCTCTCCTGAAACTGGGGCTGCACACTCAAGAAGATCTTGAAGTCCCCAACCTCACTGATTAACAGCAGTGTATTAATTAGTGTCTTAAAACCATGGACGAGGTGAAAAGCTTAGACACAGTCTGAACTTGGTTTAAAGTTGGCACATCCAGTATTTTACTTTTTGCTTGTTGTTGGTTTTTAATCACAGGTGAGTGCCACTGATGGGCAATTTCAGTCTAATTAAGGACGAAAGTAGGCCTGTGCTATTAAGGCCTACTTTCTCAGTTGACAAGCTGCTTCTCCACTGTCCCTCCCAAGGGATGTTTATTGTGCCCTTCTTTAACTGCCTCTGCTTACCACACATCAGCTGTTTTAATTGGCTCTAACCCAGCCATTCCCTTTGAATTCAACCTCCTCTCCTTATTGTTGTTTTCTTGGTGTAACATTTCAAATAAAGATCTCCATGGCTTTATTTATTTCTCTTTTAATTTGCATGGTATAGAGTTTGGTAGAATTAGAGTTCAATGTCAAACCACGGCAGAAAAGCAGAATATTTGATTTGGAGGCCACATCTTCTCGAATGATTCTTGTGAAATTTGTCATAGGGCAGAAAATGTTAGGAGATGTTGGGATGTTGTATCAACATTAGAGTTTTTTTTTTTCTCCACATACGAAGGGACATGAGTCTTCCTGGGCAATGATACATTTCCTCCTTTAGGAAATTAGGCTTGTGAGTGCCTGAGGAACTCTGGCAGAATATTCGATCAGTGGTCCTTTACTCTTAGTGAATCTCAGGATCACTTAGAGGGCTTGCCGAAACACAGATGCTGGGCTCCGCACCCCAGAGCCTCTGAAACAGTAGATGTGAGGTGCAGCCTGAGGATCTGCTTTTCTAACAAGTTCCTAAATGCTGCTACTAATGATGACATGGGGACACTACTCTGTGTATCAGTTTTGTAGTGAGCTACAAGGAGAAGAGCAAGAAAGAGGTTTACTTTTAAAAATCGCTGAGATGTATTTACATTAGATGCAAGAAAACCATACTGAAATAAATGAGGGCATTAAAGTATTAGAGTGTGCCACTCTTCACTAAAATATTTTAGATCAGTGACAGGCTCTAATCTTTTGAGTACTTGCTATTAGTCATATGAAGGAATCTAATGCCGACTGTGTGGTTTCTGACCCATCCTATCTTTTTGCTTCCTTATGAACAACTTTTTCTTAGATACACATTTATTCTGTTTGCCCTAAGCCCTTTTATTTTGATGGGTTTTTCTTTCTCTCAGGTTATTATCAATGAGATAGCTTTAGGATTTGGGATAGGCCCTCCAAGTATAAATATAGCTACTGGGAGGTGATGCAGAATTGCACAGAGAACTGCAGGATAAGTTAAATCAATGATATCTGGTGATCTGAATGACAGGAACTAATAGGCAATTTCTTCAGGGTCTTCTAAGATCAATTCCAGATTTGCTACTCTTCTCAAACTTAACATTCCTGGAAAAGCAATTTGACTCTTGAAACTTGGTTCACATCCCTACCCAACAACCTGGAAAGGCAGAGAACCCTGATATATAGTTCCACCAAGACAGTAATCAATTGCAGAATGGCTGGTTCTCCAAAGTAAAATGAGTGTACAATCAGCAAATGAATGAGTAATCAATGTTGAGCTGAGAAAATCACATTGTGTCCCCTACACATAGGTTCCTTGCTTGTATGTAAACTCTAACCAGGCACTGATGGGCTAAGAGTAATCCTATTACCTATAAGAATTTGGTGTCTTTTAGGCCAGGCATGATGGCTTACACCTGTAATCTCAGCACTTTGGGAGGCTGAGGCAGGTGGATCACTTGAGGCCAGGAGTTCAAAACCAGCCTGGCCAACATGGTAAAACCCCGTGTCTACTAAAAACATAAAAGCTAGGCATGGTGATGCATGCCTGTAATCCCAGCTACTTAGGAGGCTGAGGCATGAGAATCATTTGAACCTGGGAGGCAGAGGTTGCAGTGAGCCAAGATCATGCCACTGTACTCCAGCCTGGGTGACAGAGTGAGACTCTGTCTCTAAACTAATTAATTAATTAATTTGGTGACTTTTTATTTATAAACAATATCTGTGTCAATCCCTGAGATTTGCTCAATGATCAAGTGTGACTGTTATCACATTAGAAATTAAATTCCTGACCAGGTGCAGTGGCTCTCACTTGTAATCCTAGCACTTTGGGAGGCCAGGCGGGAGCGCCCTAGGTGAGCAGATCACCTAGGTCAGGAGTTCGAGACCAGCCTGGCCAGTGTGGTGAAACCTCATCTCTACTAACGAGACAAAAATTAGCCGGGCATAGTGGTAGGTGCCTGTAATCCCAGCTACTTGGAAGGCTGAGACAGGAGAATTGCTTGAACCCAGAAGGTGGAGGCTGCAGTGAGCCCCGAGATAGTGCCACACTGCACTCCAGCCTGGGCAACAGAGTGAGACTGTCTCAAAAAAATAAAAGTTAAAAAAAAAAAGAAAGAAATGAAATTCCTCAGTTTTTCATTGGGATTAAATCTTTGATCTCTGAAATGATAATGAAAGTTTAGAGGAGGGAAATGAAAGTCATTTAATAAACACTATTTTTTAAGTTATTTATTTGTTTCACTCATTAATTGGGTTTCCATCAGAGGGGGTTTTCTAAATGCTTTCAGTCCAAGGAGGGCATAAGGTCAGTTGAAGGAATAGAAGCTAAAGTTTGTCTCAATTAAATAATCTGAACAGCATGGAGTTTAGCAACAGGATATGGGCTGTTGTTTCAAAGTAGAGGCAAGTAAAGGAACACAGTAAAAAATAGAGCACATCTCACTGAGTAAAGAAATCCAAGAAGAATAGAATAAAATTATCTATGCTTATATTTATTCATTTGCTGAATACGATGAAGAAGTGTCAAGGGTGAAGGTAAATAAAAATATAGTGATGATGGAATCATGGCTGGCGATAGCAGGTTACCTTTTAAGGTGATAAAAATGGGAACTAGTTTGAGTTGGCAAATTCACAATATTGTGAATGTATTAATGTCACTGAATTGTTCACTTTAAAATGCTTAGTTTTGTGTTATGCTGTCTTATTTTACCCTACTCTCAGAAAATGCTTCTCTTCCTTCTTTCCACCTATCCACTTCTTTCCCTTTGTTTAGTGTCAATTTAATGCCATTGTCTTAAGACCTTCCTTGACAATTCCAACCCCAAGTTAACTTATTTGAATGCTTATGTTGTATTTTGTATTCATTCAGTCATTCAGTCAACAAGTGGTTATTAAACACTCACTATGTGTTGTGCATTATGTTAGGTGCTGGGAAAGCTTAGGTGAGCCCCTTCTGACAAATGTGGAAGATTAAATAAATTAGGTATATAATCAAACTAACAAGGCCTAGTATCAAACTTGAAAAAGTGCTTTGATAAAAAGAAATATTCCTTGAAAATGTACAACCAAATAATTTGACGGAGACTTGATGGTGGTGGAGGTGAAGAAAGGCTTCCCTTAATACATGCTTTATAATATACTCTCTTAACTATTAAGTCCTATAATTAGTCATTCCAACTAGATTTTAGGGTTCTGGAGGGCAGGGGCTTTTGTATGCTACAAAACCTGGTCAGAAACTATGTAAATTATCATGCTCTTAAGTGATACTGAAACAATGAAAGTATGGATGAAGAATGAGTAGATATTCACATACAATAGGAGTAGATGATGAAGAATTGAATATAGAGAAAGTGGCACTACTACCTGTAACTATAATACAACTAAGTTTTAGAATTTGTATTTTAGTATTAGCTTTTATTCTTATAGTTTTAACAATCCTTCTGTGTGTTTATTTTGTCATTGTTTGAGGAAATGTTTTAAATTTTAAAAGTTAAATTTCTTTATTTCAGAAATCAAATTGCCTTGTATATTTGTTACCAGTAGTCACATCAGGGGATCTGATTACAGGGCTTCTTCTTTTGCTTTCGTCACCCTACAAGTTTTGAAATAAGCAAGTATTTTTGCATTTAAATAAGAAAACAATAAAACTGATTTGACAAAAAGGAAACCTTTAAGTGATAACTTAAGAAACCAACTTAATTTGTATATTTGCTTACTTTTATTTAAAGTGGTTAGGCAGAAATATTTGTTAAAGATTGAAAAAAACTAGTATTGAATGAAGAGGCTTAATAAGGAATACATTTGCTAGTATTTTAACTAAAATATCTTAGTTCTATTTTAATTAGCATTTTCGAAAACTACCTAATACCTAATCCTAGAAAGAAAATTCTGTTCAATCCTTGGTCTGCAAAGTCACTGAGTTTTAAAATATTTTTTGATTCTAAAAGTTATCAGTCTACAAATGGAATAATGTGTCAATTTAAACCATTCAATTATTCACTAAGTAATAAAAGATCAGATTATTGATATAAAAACATATAATGGGGGTCAGGCGCTGTGGCTCACGACTGTAATCCCAGCACTTTGGGAGGCCGAGGTGGGCGGATCATGAGGTCAGGAGATCGAGACCATCCTGGCTAACACAGTGAAACCCCATGTCTACTAAAAATACAAAAAATTAGCCCGGCGTGGTGGCGGGCGCCTGTAGTCCCAGCTACTCGGGAGGCTGAGGCAGGAGAATGGCGTGAACCCGGGAGGCGGAGCTTGCAGTGAGTGGAGATGGCACCACTGCACTCCAGCCTGGGGGACAGAGCGAGACTCCGTCTCAAAAACAAACAAACACACAAACAAACAAACATATAATGGGTCTTGTACAAAAAAATGTGTAAACTAAGTAAATTTCTAAACTTACTTAGAAGATTAGAAATCTACCCATAGAATTTGAAATTAAACTGAAAACAAAAGAATAGTTTGAATAGTCAGGTATTTGAGAATCTGGTTGTAATATATACTTAATTTATTATTTTTACAACATCAAAGGTGACAAACCAATAAAAATATTTTACAATTCAATTTTTTTCTGTACTGGAACAACTACGAACCCAACCAAAGGTAGATTTGATATATTAACCAAGTATGTATCTGACAAACACTAAGGTCAAACTGATTTGTAATTTGCCATGAAAAAAGCCATACAACAGTGGTTTTGCTATAAAGCGGAAATTAGCAATTTAACTCAATTTAAAGGGCAGAATTCAAATATAAGAAATAAACAACATACAATGACGTATGTTTTATTTTGAATTATTTTCATAAGTGAGAAAACAAAAAAGACTAACTCATCCTCAGGTTCACTGGGTAAAATGTTAAAAATACAGATCAAGTAGCTGGCAAGATGGCTGAATAGGAACACCTCTGGTCTGCAGCTCCTAGCGAGATCAATGCAGAAGGCCGGTGATTTCTGCAGTTAAAACTGAGGTACCTGACTCATCTCATTGGGACTGGACGCACAGTGGGTACAGCCCATGGAGGGCGAACCAAAGCTGGGTGGGGCGTCACCTCACCCGGGAAGCACAAGGGGTTGAGGAACTCCCTCCCCTAGCCAAGGGAAGCCATGAGGGACTGTGCTGTGAGGAAAGGTGCATTCCAGCCCAGATACTACGCTTTTCCCATGGTCTTTGCAACCCACAGACCAGGAGATTTCCTCAGGTGCCTACACCACCACGACCCTGGGTTTCAAGTACAAAACTGGGTGGCTGTTTGGGCAGACGCCGAGCTAGCTGCAATTTCTTTTTCATAACCCAGTGACACCTGGAAAGCCAGAAAGACAGAACAGTTCAATCCCCTGGAAAGGGGGCTGAAGCCAGGGAGCAAAGTGGTCTAGCTCAGCAGATCCCATCCCGCACAGAGCCCAGCAAGGTAAGATCCACTGGCTTGAAATTCTCACTGCCAGCACAGCATTCTGAAGTCGACCTGCGATGCTTGATCTTGGGGGAAGGGAGGTCTGCCATTACTGAGGCTTGAGTAGGTGGTTTTCCCCTCACAGTGTAAAAAAAGCCACCGGAAAATTCGAACTGGGCGGAGCCCACCGCAGCTCCGCAAGGCCACTGTAGCCAGACTGCCTCCCTAGATTCCTCCTCTCTGAGACGGCATATCTGAAAGAAAGGCAGCAGCCCCAGTCAGGAGCTTATAGATAAAACTCCCATCTCCCTGGGAAAGAGCACCTGGTGGAAGCGGGGGCTATGGGCACAACTTCAGCAGACTTAAACATTCCTGCTTGCCGTCTCTGAAGAGAGCAGCAGGTCTCCCAGCAGAGTGCTGGAGCTCTGCTAAGGAATACACTGCCTCCTCAAGTGGGTCCCTGATCCCTGCGCCTCCTGACTGGGAGACACCTCCCAGCAGGGGTCGATAGACACCTCATACAGGAGAGCTCTGGCTGGCATCTGGCCGGTGCCCCTCTGGAACGAAGCTTCCAGAGGAAGGAACAGGCAGCAATCTTTGCTGTACTGCATCCTCTGCTGGTGATACCCAGGCAAACAGGGTCTGCAGTGGACCTCCAGCAAACTACAGCAGACAGGCAGCAGAGGGGCCTGTTAGCAGGAAAACTAACAAACAGAAAGGAATAGCAACAAAACCAACAAAAAGGATGTCCACACAAAAACCCCATCCGAAGGTCACCAACATCAAAGAGTGAAGGTAGATAAATCCACGAAAATCAGGAAAAATCAGCACAAAAAGGCAGAAAATTCCAAAAACCAGAACGCTTCTTCTCCTCCAAAGGATCACAACTCCTCACCAGCAAGGGAACAAAACTGGACAGAGAATGAGTTTGATGAATTGACAGAACTAGGCTTCAGAAGGTGGGTAATAACAAACTCCTCCAAGCTAAAGGGCATGTTCTAGCCCAATGCAAGGAAGCTAAGAACCTTGCAAAAAGGTTAGAAGAATTGCTAACTAGAATAACCAGTTGAGAGAAGAACATAAATGACCTGATGGAGCTGAAAAATGCAGCATGAGAACTTCCTGAAGCATATACATGTATCAATAGCTGAATCCATCAAGCGGAAGAAAAGTTATCAGAGATTGAAGATCAACTGAGTGAAATAAAACATGAAGACAAGATTAGAGAAAAAAGAATGAAAAGGAACCAACAAAGCCTCCAAGAAATATGGGACTATGTGAAAAGACCAAATCTACATTTGATTGGTGTACGTGAAAGTGACGGGGAAAATGGAACCAATTTGGAAACTCTTCAGGATATTATCCAGGAGAACTTCCCCAACCTAGCAAGACAGGCCAACATTCAAATTCAGGAAACACAGAGAACACCACAAAGATACTCCTGAAGAAGAGCAACACCAAGGCACGTAATCGTCAGATTCATCAAGGTTGAAATAGAGGAAAAAAATATTATGGGCAGCCAGAGAGAAAGGTTGGGTTACCCACAAAGGGAAGCCCATCAGACTAACAGCTGATCTCTCGGCAGAAACCCTTCAAGCCAGAAGAGAGTAGGGATCAATATTCAATATTCTTACAGAAAAGAATTTTCAACCCAGTATTTCATATCCAGCCAAACTAAGCTTCATAAGCAAAGGAGAAATGAAATCCTTTACAGACAAGCAAATGCTGAAAGATTTTGTCACCACCAGGCCTGTCTTACAAGAGCTCCTGAAGGAAGCACTAAATATGGAAAGGAAAAACCAGTACCAGCCACTGCAAAAACATACCACATTGTAGAGACAATCGACACTATGAAGAAACTGCATCAACTAATTGGCAAAATAACCAGTTAGCATCATAATGACAGGATCAAATTCACACATGTCGATATTAACGTTAAATGTACATGGGTTAAATGCACCAATTAACAGACACAGACTGGCAAATTGGATAGAGTCAAGACCCATAGGTGTGCTATATTCAGGAGAGCCACCTCATGTGCAAAGACACACATAGGCTCAAAACAAATGGATGGAGGAATGTTTATCAAGCAAATAATAGAAAGCCAAAAAAAAGCAGGGGTTGCAATACTAGACTCTGATAAACCAGACTTTTTATCAGAGACCAACAAAGATCAAAAAAGACAAAGAAGGACATTACATACTGGTAAAGGGATCAATGCAACAAGAAGAGCTAACTATCCTAAATATATATGCATCCAATACAGGAGCACCCAGATTCATAAAGTAAGTTCTTAGAGATGTACAAAGAGACTTAGACTACCACACAATAATAGTGGGAGAATTTAACAACCCACTGTCAATATGAGACAGATCAACGAGACAGAAAATTAACAAGGATATTCAGGACTTGAACTCAGCTCTGGACCAAGAAGACCTAATAGACACCTACAGAACTCTCCACCCCAAATCAACAGAATACACATTCTTCTCAGCACCACATAGCAATTATTCTAAAATCGACCACATAATGGGAAGTAAAACACTCTTCAGCAAATGCAAAATAATGGAAATCAAAACAAACAGTCTCTCAGACAACAGTGCAATCAAATTAGAACTCAGGATTAAGAAACTCACTCAAAACTGCACAAATATGTGGAAACTGAACAACCTGCTCCTGAATGACTACTGGGTAAATAACAAAATGAAGGCAGAAATAAATAAGTTCTTTGAAACCAATGAGAACAAAGACACAATGTACTAGAATCTCTGGGACATAGCTAAAGCAGTGTTTAGAGGGGAATTTATAGCACTAAATGCACCCAGGAGAAAGCAGGAAAGATCTAAAATCAACATCCTAACATCACAATTAAAAGAACTAGAGAAGCAAGAGCAAACAAATTCAAAAGCTAGCAGAAGGCAAGAAATAACGAAGATCAGAGCAGAACTGAAGGAGATAGAGACACAAAAACCCTTCAAAAAATCAATGAACCCAGGAGCTGGTTTTTTGAAAAGATCAACAAAATAGATAGACAGCTAGCCAGACTAATAAAGATGAAAAGAGAGAAGAATCAAATAGACACAATAAAAAATGATAAAGGGGATACCACAACTGATCCCACAGAAATACAAACTACCATCAGAGAATACAATAAAAACCTCTACACAAATAAACTAGAAAATCTAGAAGAAATGGATAAATTCCTTGACACATACACCCTGCCAAGACTAAACCAGGAAGAAGTCAAATCCCTGAATAGACCAATAACAAGTTCTGAAATTGAGGCAGTAATTAATAACCTACCAACCAAAAAAACCCCAGGACCAGAAGGATTCACAGCCAAGTTCTACCAGAGGTACAAAGAGGAGCTGGTACCATTCCTTATGAAACTATTCCAATCAATAGAAAAAGAGGGACTCCTCCCTAACTCATCTTATGAGGCCAACATCATCCTGATACTAAAACCTGGCAGAGAAACAACAAAAAAGAAAATTTCAGCCCAATATCCCTGAAGAACACTGATGCAAAAATACTCAATAAAATACTGGCAAACCCAATCCAGCAGCACATCAAAAAGCTTATTCACCACGATCAAGTCGGTTTCATCCCTGGGATGCAAGGCTGGTTCAACATATGCAAATCAATAAATGTAATCCATCAGATAAACAGAACCAATGACAAAAACCACATGATTATCTCAATAGATGCAGAAAAGACCTTTGATAAAATTCAACACTCCTTCATGCTAAAAACTCTCAATAAACTAGGTATTGATGGAACATATCTCAAACTAATAAAAGCTGTTTATGACAAACCCACAGCCAATATCATACTGAAAGGGCAAAAGCTGGAAGCATTTCCTTTGAAAACCTGCACAAGAAAAGGACGCCCTCTCTCACCACTCCTATTCAAAATAGTATTGGAAGTTCTGGCAGGACAATCAGGCAAGAGAAAGAAATAAAGGGTATTCAAGTAGGAAAAGAGGAAGTCAAATTGTCTCTGTTTGCAGATGACATGACTGTATATTTAGAAAACCCCATTGTCTCAGCCCAAAATCTCCTTAAGTTAATAAGCAACTTCAGTAGTCTCAAGACACATAACCAATGTACAAAAATCAGAAGCGTTTCTATACACCAATAATAGAAAAACAGAGAGCCAAATCATGAGTGAATCCTATTCACAATTCACAAAGAGAATAAAATACCTAGGAATATAACTTACAAGGGATGTGAAGGACCTCTTCAAGGAGTACAATAAACCACTGTTCAAGGAAATAAGAGAGAACACAAACAAATGGAAAAACATTCCACGCTCATGGACAGGAAGAATCAATATCGTGAAAATGGCCATACTGCCCAAAGTAATTTAGAGATTAAATGCTATCCCCATCAAGCTACCACTGACTTTATTCACAGAATTAAAAAAAAAACACTTCAAATTTCATATGAAACCAAAAAAGTGCCCGTATATCCAAGACAATCCTAAGGAAAAAGAACAAAGCTGGAGGCACCATACTATGTGACTTCAAACTATACTACAAGGCTACAGTAACCAAAACTGCATGGTACTGGTACCAAAACGGATATATAGAGCAATGGAACAGAACAGAGGTCTCAGAAATAATGCAACCCATCTACAACCATCTGATCTTCGATAAACCTGACAAAAACAAGCAATGGGGAAATGATTCCTTATTTAATAAATGGTTTTGGGAAAACTGGCTAGCCATATGCAGAAAACTGAAACTGTACCCCTTATACACCTTATACAAATATATAAACTTACACCTTATACAAAATTAACTCAAGATGGATTAAAGACTTAAACATAAGACCTAAAACGATAAAAACCCTAGAAGAAAACCTAGGCAATACCATTCAGAACATAGGCATGGACAAAGCCTTCATGACTAAAACATCAAAAGCAATGGCAACAAAAGCCAAAATTGACAAATGGGACCCAATTAAAGTGCTTCTGCACAGCAAAACAAACAAACAAACAAAACAAAACAAAAAACTATCATCAGAGTGAACAGGCAACCTACAGAACGGGAGAAAATTTTTGCAATTTATCCATCTGACAAAGGGCTAATATCCAGAATCTACAAGGAACTTAAACAAATTTACAAGAAAGAAAAAAACAACTCCATCAAAACGTGGGTGAAGGATATGAACAAACACTTCTCTAAAGAAGACATTTATGTGGCCAAAAAACATATGAAAAGAAGCTCATCATCAGTGGTCATTAAAGAAATGCAAATCAAAACCACAATGAGATACCATCTCAGGCCAGTTAGAATGGCGATCATGAAAAAGTCAGGAAACAACAGATGCTGGAGAGGATGTCTAGAAATATAAACGCTTTTACACTGTTGGTGGGAGTGTAAATTAGTTCAACCACTGTGGAAGACTGAGTGGCGATTCCTTAAGTGTCTAGAACCAGAAATACCATTTGACCCAGCAATCCCATTACTGGGCATATACCCAAAGGATTTTAAATCATTCTACTACAAAGACACAGGCACACATATGTTTATTACAGCACTATTCACAATAGCGAAGACTTGGAACCAACCCAAATACCTGTCAATGACAGACTGGATAAAGAAAATGTGGCCCATATACACCATGGAATACTATGCAGCCATAAAAAAGGATGAGTTCATGTCCCATGCAGGGACATGGATGAAGCTGGAAACCATTATTCTCAGCAAGCTAATACAGGAACAGGAAACCAAACACCACATGTTCTCACTCATACATGGGAGTTGAACAATGAGAACACATGGACACAGGGAGGGAAACATCATACACCAGGGCCTGTTGGGGGATGGGGGGCTAGGAGAGGGATAGCATTAGGAGAAATACCTAATGTAAATGATGGGTTGATGGGTGTAGGAGAAATACCTAATGTAGATGATGGGTTGATGGGTGCAGCAAACCACCATAGCATGTGAATACCTATGTAACAAACATGCACGTTCTGCACATGTATCCCAGAATATAAAGTATAATAAAAAATGTTAAAAATACAGCAAAGGGGAAAGCTGTGTGTTGTGTTTTTATTGAAATGTCATTGAATATAGAATGTCATATAATAGATGTTCCCTTTTAAACTATCCTAAAGTGTCTTCAAAATACTAGGTGCAAGGCCAGGTGTGGTGGCTCACACCTGTAATCCCAGCACTTTGGGAGGCCAAGGCAGGTGGATCGTGAGGTCAGGAGATCGAGACCATCCTGGCTAACATGGTGAAACCCCATCTCTACTAAAAATACAAAAAACAAAATTAGCCAGGCATGGTGGTGGGCACCTGTAGTTCCAGCTACTTGGGAGGCTGAGGCAGGAGAATGGTGTGAACCCAGGAGGCGGGGCTTGCAGTGAGCCGAGATCAAGCCACTACACTCCAGCCTGGGCAACAGAGACTCCATCTCAAAAAAAAAGAAAAAAAGCTAGGTGGAAAAGAAGAGTGTTGTTTTTAAAGCTGTTTTTGGCTTTGTGTATATAGTTTACCTGAAACAGGCTTACATTACTCTAGAATTTATTGCTAGAGAATAATTACTCGAATCTCTCTGGAAGGACTTCTGTTTTTCGTAACTATTTAGGAGTAACAGCAAACACATTTCTTCATTGTCTGTCTTTCCTTCCTAAAAGTCACAGATGACCTTGATTAAGCTACAAATGTAAACCACACAATTAACCTAATATGAAATTCATGATACATCTAAATTCTCAAATAACTTCATGCTTGTGTCTCCTAGAATCAACTATAGTTGAAAGACAAATTATATTGCTTTAGAAAGTTACTCGTGTCTCTTTTGCCAGTTCCTGTCCAGTAACACCTGAACATCTAAGCTAAGTTGTAAAAGGAGAGAATGGCAGAAAAAGGTGATATATACAATATATACCAAAATATAAACAGAAATATATACCAAATTTTCTGGGCTGTAATTATTTCTTACATTCTTTTATTTATGTAAATACTTTAGGCCAAAGGCTCCTTCTAGAAGATAGCTTCTTTTAAATCATGATGTAATCCATTTTTGTATCTATATGTATAATCCAAAGATGTTCAAAATGGGGCCCCTAAGAGACTACATGATCATTCATTTATTCGTTCATTCATCAAATATTTAGTCAGCAGCAACTATAAGCAAAAATACTATGAAGAGTAGAGAGATGTAATACATGGTGTTTCTCACTCATCAGCTTAGTAACTGAAAGGGAGGCTAAGACAAGAACCATTTTGTTTAGAAATCATTAAAAAATAAAGATGAATGTCTCTGATGTACCAAGTCAGTTACAGGCAGAGAGTTAGGGAATGGGGTAGCTAGGACATCAGGAATAGATCTTAATTTTTCCAGGCAATAAACTGGGCATTGCAGGTCGAGTTACATAAAAAAATTCAGGCTTCTGTATTGGAACAAAACTCAAGAAAAATATTTTAAGTTTTATATACCAAGTTTTCCAATTTGGATGGGACATACTACTTCCTTAGGGTCATAGTGTAATAAAATATATCCCAAGTTCCATTTTTATTCACCAGAGAAAGAATGAAAAGACATATTATTACTTTGCACATCTCTGAAAATTTGTACTGTAATAACATACTATCTAAACAGAAATTTCCAGAAATCCTGAAATAATGGAAAAAAACAAAAACTCCCCTCTTTCTCAGCATGTATAGTGTGAGAGAGATGCACATAAATGTTAAAAATATGAATTTTAAAAATAGAAGAGGAAATCAAAATTCATGTAATAATTATTTTTTAAACCCAGCACATACCTAAAACTACTGTCAGTTAAAGTTTAATTTTGCTATAAAAGACAGTATATTTAATCTATGCTGTGGAATAATGTAAATAGAAAAAGAAACTAATATTAATTGAGCAATTTCTATGAGATACCCACTCTGCCAGGTTGCTGTCCTATATTTATTTCATTGAACCCTCACCACCACACTTTGATACAGCTTATCATTATCATATAAGGTTTTTGTTGTGGGAACTGTGAGATTAAGTATTGTACCTGAGGTCTATCTGGATTAGAATCTGAATTAGAAAATAATTTTTTAGACTCTCAATCTCAGGTACACAAATCAAAGAAATAGATATCAGTTCTAGGAGAAAATATGGTTGTGATATTTTTCCCTAATTACTTCTTTAATAAAATCTTATAATCTTCTCTGAAGAGTTCTAATGTTCTTAAAAGTGATGAAGAGTGTCCTAGATGAATAAAGGACTTGAAAGTAAAGAAAAATCTAATAATTGCTAGCATTTATCTTTCAAAAAAAAGCATAGAAAGAAATGAGGAGTTTTCTGTTTGTGTGTTTTATCTTACAAAACTGTATCTCCTAAAAAGCAGATCTTAAAAATAATCCCCCTACTAAATCATCACAACTCATTCTGGTATAAGCTTACATATATGGGCCAATTCTACAGATTCCAGTGTGTCGTAAAGATGCAGTTACACAATCAATTCTAAGTAGAACAGTAAACTTTAAACAGTAAACTTGTAAACTATAGTAGCTTCTACTGTACTTAAAATCCATAAGAACAAAATGTCTATTTTCTTTCGTTTGTAAGTATTAAAAAACTAAGACTCTAATGAAGTTACAAATATTTAGTAACTATCAAAAAATCCACATTCCCCAGGAAGAATGTGAGCACCAAGAACATTGAACCATTGTACAATCGCTAGGATCCATTAACTTTACACTATAGGAAAAAACACTTTCCTACAATGACAGCCTGACTGAAGTTGGTGTGATTTGTAGGTTTAAAAACCCTCAGATCTTTAGCTTTGGAAAATGAGTTTTATGTTCCATTTCTGCATTAGGAACACTTTCATTTCTAAAGCCCACCCATAAATACAAAGTCCTTTCCTGCTCTCCCCTTTTCCCTTTTGGCCTTTACTATGCTTAGCAAGCCAAATGGAATCTTAAAAGTGGCTGCCAAGTTCAAGGCTCAAGAGCCATTTCTTAATGCTACCACTGATGTTCCATGACAGGATGAGACTATTATTATTAAGCTATTATTCACTGATAATTTGAATGTTTTCACTAAGTTATATCTTTATGAAAGCAAGTAGATGCTATGGTGAAAATGATACATTTTAGGACATTGATCTAATTGTATAAGTTTTTGTGACATCAACTCCCAGTATTCACTGAACTTACTGTTGAGATTCTGGGGAATCAAAAACTACAGTAGCATTATAACTAATAAGATAATATAAAAGATTATAACTACATATCGTTATTGAATATTTTATATATATACATATGTAAAGATATATACATTCACATCCACATATGTAACATTTGTGATATGGTACAGTATAGTGGTCAAAAGTATGTGTTCTGGCATCAAAACAACAGATATGAACTATCACCACCATCTGCTTGTACACAACCCAGGGAAGTTCATTTGCCTCTTGGTATTTCATTTTCCAATTTGAATTTAAAAAATAAAAGGGCTATGGCAGGAACGAAATAAGGTAGTATGTAAAGAATTCAGCACAGTGTGTGACACACATTGAGGGCTCCTTTAAAATTAGGTGTAATCACCATCATTAGCATAATCATCATTGTCAAGGGAGGAATAAACCTTCTTAATATTTATCACCAATCATAGCTACTAATATTTGGCTCATTCACATTCTGACATAAAAGTTAAAATTGGGCAATAATTCTAAATAAGGAAGTATGTTGATTAAAGCTTTAAAATCAGGTACCATTATATGCCCATTTCATGAGCATGAATATTAATGAAAGCATTTCACATAAATTAAAATTTCACTAAAGCGAGGGAGGCTCAAAAGTTGTATTTGTGGTAGATGATTACAATAAAGAACCCCAATAAGTATTTTCTCCTATCATCTACATCCATGTGTTGTCTCTTTTCACAGTGACTTCTTCCACACTTGCTTTGGCCAATAGAAAATCAGCAAATACTATACAAAGATACCTTCATGGTGCCTGAACTTTGGGGTATTCCCTCTCTCTTGCGGCTCAGGTTCAAGATAGGCTGCTATAGACATGTGGCCCAACTGAGAGCTAGTACCAACTGCCATACATGTGAGCAAGGTTATCAGAGACCAGCGGCTGACTGCAAATGCAGAAGTGCAATCAAAATACATGGAGCAGAGAAAAGCCATCCCAGCCAAGCCACAGAACTATTTCCTAATAAATGGTTTGGGGGTGTTTTGTTCTGCAGCAAAGCTAACACAGTATTTCTCCTCCAAATACGTAATTTCTAAATTACTCATTTGGGTGAAACAGTAGTTCCATTTTATTAATGCCTTCATTGGTACATATTTATGTCACATCAACAGAGGTAATAAACACAGTAACAAACAAAGCCTAATCCTATGTGAATTTTGGCCTCAAGAACCTCCTCATAGTAATGTGAGGTCAGACAACAGGAAGTTTCCTCCAACAATAATTATAGCATTTGTTATAATTTAAATAAAAATAATTTAAAAACTAACATTTATATATTAAGGCTTCATACATTATTTCATTTAGTCCTCACAACAGCCCATAAAAGAAGTTTTACTATTATTCTCTTTCCTCATGTGAGGAAAGTGAGGCTCAAGGATTAAATAATTTGTCTAACATTATACAGCTATTAAATC
The DNA here is from genome assembly GCF_000001405.40 of Homo sapiens. Classification (NCBI taxonomy): domain Eukaryota; kingdom Metazoa; phylum Chordata; class Mammalia; order Primates; family Hominidae; genus Homo; species Homo sapiens. The sequence continues at coordinate 77,798,480 of NC_000012.12, read as the reverse complement.
AAATACTCTTCATAATTGCTATAAAGTTTTACAACTTTATATTTTATATTTTTGCATTCCAGTAAGTTTATAAGTGTAAAATTATATTAAATTATACTTAGCAAATTTATTTATATATCTTAATAACAATGAGTTTCAAAAAATATTAGTGGAAATGCTTAATTTCAGCTTGCCTTTACTCAAATAAATTTAGTTAAATATCCAGTTGGTGTTACCTGCTCTGAATCAAGCTTCTTTCTCACTCATCAAACAAAGTCATTTGTTTTTGGGGTTTTTTTGTTGTTGTTGTTGCTGTTTGTTTGTTTGTTTGTTTGTTTTTGAGACACGGTCTCACTCTGTGGCCCAGGAGGGAGTGCAGTGGCATAATCTCGGTGAGCTACAACCTCCACATCCCCGGTTCAAGCAATTCTCCTGCCTCAGCTTCCCTAGTAGCTGGGATTACAGGCATGTGCCACCACTAATTTTTGTAATTTTAGTAGAGACAGGGTTTCACCACGTTACCCAGGCTGGTCTCAAACTCCTGGCCTCAAGGGATCTGCTTGCCTTGGCCTCCCAAAGTACTGGGATTACAGGCATGAGCCACTGTACCGGGTAAAACAAAGCTATTTGAATAAATGATCTTTAAGGTACTTTTTTTTTTTTGAGACAGAGCCTTGCTTTGTCACCCAGGCTGGAGTGCAGTGGCACAATCTTTGCTCACTGCAACCTCTGCCTCACGTTCAAGCAATTCTCCTCCCTCAGTCTCTTGAGTGGCTGGGATTACAGGCACGCACCACCACCCCTGGCTAATTGTTGTATTTGTAGTAGAGACGGGGTTTCACCATATTGGCCAGGCTGGTCTCAAACTGCTGACCTTGTGATCCGCCCACCTCGGCCTCCCAAAGTGCTGGGATTACAGGCCTGAGCCACCACGCCCGGCCTAAGCTACTTTAAAAAAAAAAAAAAAAAAAAAAAAACTTTTTAAAGATTCTACGTTTAAGACTTAGGTAAAGAAGAGTAAATAAGGAAACTAATGTGTTTACCAATTTGCCCAAAATATATAATAAAATCTATAATAACAAACTTTTATTAAGTTTAATATATACATAATGAATATATTGAAAGTCACAAATGGGCTGTTTTATATAAAACCATATGTAGAAAGTAAATTTTAGGAAAAACAAATGAGAGCCTGAGAACTTGAGTAATACTCTTACTATTTCTGCTACTGGGTAGCTGGGCAATTTGAGCTCTTTGCTTCAGTTTACTAATTAGTAAAATGGAGACAATAATGCATATTCAGTGACAATTTTGTGAGGAGCAAATGAATAAAAAACAATAAGATTTACTGTTTATCTACCATTTAGTTCGTTTGTGGTAGGCATTGTACACCCATTATCTCCATTCTCACAAATAGCATGAAAGTGGACTATAATTTTTACCAAGGCTACACATCTTAGACAAAAGCAAGACACTGCTCAAATCCAGATATAGGCATACCTCAGAGATTTTGAGAATTCATTTCAAGTCCACCACAATAAAGTAAATATTATGATAGTGAGTCACACAAACTTGTTGGTTTCCCAGTACATGTAAAAGTCATTTTTACACTGTAGTCTATTAAGTGTTCAATAGCATTATATTTAAAAAAAAAAACCTTAATTAAAAATACTTTATTGCTAAAAGTCTTAACAGTCATATGAGCCTTCAGCAAGTTCTAATCTTTTTGCTGGTATAAAGTCGTGCCTCAGTATTGACTGCCACTGACTGATCAGCAAAGGTGGTGATTGCTAAAGGTTGGGGTGGCTGTGGTAATCTCTTAATATAAGATACCAATAAAGTTTGCTGCATTGATTAACTCTTCCTTTCATGACAATTTCTCTGTAGCATGCAATGCTAATTGATAGCATTTTATCTACAGTAGAACTTTCAAAATGGGACTCAGTCCTCTTGAACCCAGCCACTGCCTTATCATCTAAGTTTTTGTAATATTCTGAATCCTTTGTTGTCATTTCAAGAATGTTCACAACATCTTCACCCAGAATAGACTGTGTTTCAAGAAACAAATTTCTTTCCTCATCTGTAAGTAGCAACTCCTTATCTGTTTATGTTTTATCATGAGATTGCAGCAATTCAGTCACACCTTCAGGCTCTACTTCTAATTCTAGTTCTTGTGCTTTTTCCACCACAACTGCAGTTATTTACTCTGCTGAAGTCTTGAAACCCCCAAAGTCATCTGTAAGGATTGAAATAAACATTTTTCAAACTCTCATTAATGTTGATATTTTAACCTCCTCCCATGAATCATAAATGTTCTCAATGGCATCTAGAATGGCAATTTTTTTCCAGAAGGTTTTTTATTTACTTTGCTTAGATCCATCAGAGGAATCTCTATCCATAGCAGCTATATCCTTATGAAATGTATTTCTTAAACAATAAAACTTGAAAGTCAAAATTACTACTTGATCTTGACAGGATTCTGTGTTACCATGCACGGAAACAGCACAAATTTTCTTGCACATCTCTTTCAGAGCTGCGGAATTACTGAGTGGATTGTCAATGAGTCATAATATTTTGAAAATGTTCTTTTCTTTCCAAGCAGTAGGTCCCCAAAGTAGGCTTAAAATATTCAGTAAACCATGCTGTAAACAGATGTGCTGCCATCCAGGCTTTGTTGTTCTATTTATAGAGCACAGGCAGAGTAGATTTAGCATAATTCTTAAGGGAGTTAGGATCTTCAGAATGGTCAATGAGCATTGACTTCAACTTAAACTCATCAGCTACATCAGCCCTTAACGTTAGAGTCAGCCTACCCTTTGAAGATTTGAAGCCAAGCATTGACTTTTTCGTTATGAAAGCCTTAGATGACATATACTTCCATATAAGACTATTTCAATGTACTTATATGCAGTATAACTATACTGCACATACATATAGTTATACTGCATATATGTGTACATAATAATGTACAGTAAATTTCATTTACTGTACATTGAAAGTCTGTTGTTTAGTGTAGCCATCTTCATCAGATCTTCTGGATAACTTGCTACAGATTGCACATCATCGCTTGCTGCTTCACCTTGCACTTTTATGTGGTGGAGTTTGCTTCATTCCTTATACCTCATGAACCAATCTCTGCTAGCTTCAAAATTCATCTACAGCTTCCTCACCTTTTTCAGCCTTGTTACAATCGAAGACAGTTAGGGCTTTGCTTTGGATTAGGCTTTGGGTTAAGGGAATGTTATGGCTGGTTTGATCTATCTAGACCAGCAAAGTTTTCTTCAAATCAGTAATAAGGCAGTTTTGCTTTCTTATTCATGGAGTAGCATTTTTAATTGCTACTTAATTACTTTAATTTTCCTTTGCATTTGCTACTTGGCTAACTGGCTCATTAAGCCTAGCTTTCAGTCTATCTTGGCTTTCAATGTGCCTTCTTCAATAAGCTTAATCTTTTCCAGCTTTTGATTTCAAGTGAGAGGCATGTGACTTGTCCTCTCGCTTGAACACTTAGAGGCCACTGGAAAGTTATTAATTGACCTAATTTCAATACGGTTGTGTCTCAGAGAATAGTAAGGCCCAGGGAGAGGGACAGAGATGGGGAAATGGCCGATTGGTGGAGCTGTCAGAAACACACAGCATCTATCAATTAAGTTTGCCATTTTTTATGAGCACGATTTGTGCTGCCCCAAAACAATTACAACATAACATCAAAAGATACTGATCACAGATCACCATACCAAATACAATAATAATTAAAAAATTGGAAATATCATGAGTATCACCAACATCTCATATAGAGACAAAAGTGAGCACATGCTGTTGAAAAATGGCACCCATAGATTTGCTGGATGCAGGGTTGCCACAAACCTTCAATTAGTTTTTTTAAAAAATGCAACGTTTGTGAAGCACAATAAACCAAAGCACAACACAAGGAAGTATGCCTGTATCTCTGGCTCTGCCGCATTGTGCTTTGAAAAATATTAAAGTTGGTGTTAAAATAACATGAATTTAGATACATAACTGGCTAGATTAATCTTCTAGATCAACCGCCAGTTGACTGGGATCTTGACTAGAGACTGGTAAGGGTGTAGGGATCTTGAAAATGACTTAGTATAAGTGCAATAAGCAAAAGAAGACCCTAAAAAGTTTACTTATTTGATCAATATGTTACTGACAGCTAGAAAACAAGAAGGCTATGAACAGATTTCTGACCTCAAATTCAGTGCTTTTCTTCCCTAATATAATACATTGGAAACTATAACATATCTATACCTTAAATAGATGATATAATCTACAAGGAACTTTAAAAAATTTACAAGACAAGAAACAAACATCCCCAGCAAAAAGTGGGTGAAGTATATGAACAGACATTTCTCAAAAGAAGACATTTACATGGCCAAGAAACATATGAAAAAAAGCTCATCATCACTGGTCATTGGAGAAATGCAAATCAAAACCACAATGAGATCCATCTCATGCCAGTTGGAAAGGTGATCATTAAAAAAGACAGGAAACAACAGATGCTGGTGAGGCTGTGGGGAAATAGGAATGCTTTACACTGTTGGTGGGAGTGTAAATCAGTTCAACCATTATGGAAGACATTGTGGTGATTCCCCAAAGATCTAGAACCAGAAATACCATTTGACCCAGCGATCCCATTACTGGGTATATACCTAAAGGATTATAAATCATTCTACTATAAAGACACATGCACATGTATGTTTATTGCAGCACTATTCACAATAGCAAATACTTGGAACCAACCCAAATGCCCAACAATGATAGACTGGATAAAGAAAATGTGGCACATATACACTATGGAATACTATGCAGCCATAAAAAAGAATGAGTACATATCCTTTGCAGGGACATGGATGAAGCTGGAAACCATCATTCTCAGAAAACTAACACAGGAACAGAAAACCAAACACTGCAGGATCTCACTCATAAGTGGGAGCTGCACAGTGAAAACACATGGACACAGGGAGGGAACATCACAAACAAGAGGGCCTGTCAGGGTGTGGGGGGCAAGTGGAGGGAAAGCATTAGGACAAATACCTAATGCATGTGGGGCTTAAAACCTAGATGACAGGTTGATGGGTGCAGCAAACCACCATGGCACATGTATTTGTTACCTATGTAACAAACCTGCAAGTTCTGCACATGTATCCCAAAACATAAAGTAAAATAAAAAAATTAAAATAGAGAAATACTTACCACTTCTTTTTCAAATCTTAAGCAAAATACCACCTTTTCAATGAAATCTTCCTGATCTCAATGTAACATTGCCCAATTTTTTATAACTATACTGCTTTTTTCTTCTAAGGTTAATAGCTATAATATTTTTTATTTACTCATTCACACATGCCATTATTGTTCATATTTTTTCAACTACAGTGCATGCTCTGTATGTATTTTTATTTGCTGTGTGGGTGGGAGAAATTTGGTATTTGCAAGAAGAAAGCTTTTAGCTTCCTGGGATAACTAAGCACGTGGGACCATGGGAAGCCTCTCAGAATATCCCGCACTGAAATCATGCAATGAATTAGCCATGACCCAGCACACTTGAAGGGCCATAGTAACATGTCCACTGAGAGACATGCTTTTCAGTAGTAATTGGGGGATCAGATTATTTACTGGCCAAATCTCCCATCTATTAGTGTGGGCTTCTTAGAGGCAGACATCAAGATGAGATTAAGTGTACAAAGATTTTAAGGGAAACACCCATAAGAGAAAATATAGAGAGTGCCTTCAGATTGTAATACAAGTCTGATCCCAAAGGAACAGAGCAGGAAAGAAGGCTGAAATGAATGTGTCTCAGGCTACTGTGTAATCTAGGGAAAGTTCTGCAAAATTTTCCGGGAGTACTTGAACCAAAATTGCCCATCGAAGGAATCCTGTGTCTTCCAGAAACAGACTTCTCGTGGTATCCCTTAGCCATGCTTGATATGGCTGGGAGCAGCCCCTGGAAAGCATGTGTAAATGTGGCAATGGATTTCAGAGCAGGGCAGCAGGTTCCTTGTATGATGCTCCCTGTAGCTTGTGGTCTGAGTGACACATACTCATGGCCACCATGACTGACATCCAATGCCTTAGAACTACCTGATATTTGGGCACCATGGTAGGTGGGCACATAAAGGAACCTTTAAAAAGGCTTAGGATTAATTCTCCACCAACCTGACAGAATGTGGGTTAAAACAGAAAATAAAATGACTTATAAAGCAAAGGTTGTTTTATTTCTTGCCCACCTGAGTTTGTGAACTGAACTTTATACTTGCTACATGTAGGAGGATACAGCATTCCAAACAGAGTGAAATGCTTTTTAAAAAAATCCAGAGAGTTTTTTAAAAAAGACAGTTTGGAGGAATTGGAAGAAAATAAGTCCAGTTGCAGCATACAGAGTGAGGAAGGGAATAATCACAGATAATGATGAAAGACTTAAAGATGCCTTGTATTTAACAGGCTTTTAGAATAGAAGTACAGTTGTCACTCAATATCCACAGGGGATTGGTTCTGGAACTCCCCCAAATACCAAAGCCATGGATGCTCAAGTCTCTGATATAAAATGATGTAGTATTAACATATAACCTATGCATATCCTTACAGGCATACTTTAAATCATCTCTAGATTACTTATAATAAGTCACAGAATGTGAGTGCTATGCAAATACTTGCTATATTGTATTGTTTGGGGAATGAACAAGAAATAGTCTGTGAATGTTCAGTACAGATGCAGCCATCATAGGCGTAACTATATTTTTATCCATGATTGTTTGAATCTACGAATGGGGAGTCCTTGGATATGGAGGGCTCACTATATATAGAGATGTAAGGAGTGTTAGGCCCTGCCACATGCCTGAAGTCAACAATGGGATAGTGATTACCCTTTGCAGAGCCTCAGTTCCTCTTCTGTAAAATAGGAAAAAAGATAGCACCTATGCCACAGGGGAGTTATATGGTTTAAATGAGACAATATACTCAAACCACCAATATACATTTCTAAGAGCTAAGCCTGTTGGATCTTATCACGGGTCTTGTTTAATAAAGCCAGGAAAATGCCCTATTTTATCATTAGGGCCTATCCATAAGATTGAGTGAAGAAGAAAATAATAATGAAATAAAAGGGAATTTTTTTTTTTTTTTTTTTGAGATGGAGTTTTGCTCTTGTCACCCAGGCTGGAGTGCAATGGTGCGATCTTGGCTCACTGCAACCTCCACCTCCCGGGTTCAAGCAATTCTTCTACCTAAGCCTCCTGAGTAGTTGGGATTACAGGCACCGATCACCATGCCTGGCTAATTTTTGTATTTTTAGTAGAGACGGGGTTTCACCATATTGGCCAGGCTGGTCTCAAACTCCTGACCTTGTGATCCACCCACCTTGGCCTCCCAAAGTGCTGGGACTACAGGCATGAGCCACCGCGCCCGGCCAAATGGAAAATATTTTTATTGTCCTACAGGAACAAAGAAAGCACCAACTTGAGATCAAGCTTCCTGCTTTGTTGTTGTTGTTTCGTTTTCCTTCTCCTTTGAGGGAAAACACTAAAAGGGCATATGCAGAGTAGGGAGGAGAGAGTAGTAAGAGGGACGCCCTTAAAACCATCAGCAGAGGAAAGCATGAAGATACACAGACCTCAGTCAGCAAAGGTCGCCCTGAGTGAAGTGGTCAGGTGAGAGAGGAGAGGCTCTGGTTTGCACTCCTGAATGTTCTTATATTACCTAGACACTGAGTTGAGAGTCACTGGGCCTGCTGAAGTGCCCTCTTGATTATGAATCCCATAGGTTTAGGTAAATGGCCAGGTTCTCAGAGCCAGACAGATGTTGCAGAGTCTGAAAGTCTAGCAAGCCTCCAACATAAGCAAGAGTTAAGAGAAGTCCTAGTAAACTAGGGTACAAAGGTGGGCCCTGATCAAACCATGAAGCCAGATTGCAAATTACACAAGCCATTGATCTCACCTGCAAAGATCAGCAACAAGCTGGACAAGGATCATCATCCTGGAGATCAGAGGAAACAGGTGCTTCTGTATCCAAAACTAATTCTTTCATGACAAGATCATGAAAATTACTCACTCCATGATACCTTATACCCAGAACAATCTAGGAAAGAAGACTAAAATGAGGGCAGATGACTTCAAAATCAGAGATTGAATGTCTTCTCTTAGACATACTGAGTACCACCTAAAGAGCTAGTTGAACATATCGTAACTATTTTTTTTCTGGTGAGTCAAAAGATGTGAAGTTTTGTGAAGAAAACCAGTTTAGTTTAATATGGCATATGCCCACTGTGCATCTCAGTTGTAGTATGAATAAATTTGTTGCTTTTTAAAATTGTTATTTGTATTAGAAATGACAGTAGGGGCACTGAGAGGCTTATCACTGGTAGTGTAAGAGGCTTATTACTGGTAGTGTAAGCTGCTGTGGTGGTAAGAGAAGTTTCACAGGGGTGGAATCTGCCAAACAGACTTGCCACGTCTCAAAAGGTTACTGGGTGCTCACCAGGTAGTCACTAGGTAGATGAGGAAAATATATTCTAGACCAGGGTTTTCCAACCTGCCACCCACATTCGGCCCAGGACAGCTTTGAATGTGGCACAACACAAATTCGTAAGCTCTCTTAAAATGTTATGAGACTTTTTTTGTGAATTTTTTTTTTCTTTTCTCTTGTTCTCTTTTTTTTTTTTTTTTTTTTCTTTTCGAGACGAAGTTTTGCTCTTGTTGCCCAGGCTGCAGTGCAATGGCACGATCTCAGCTCACTGCAACGTCCGCCTCCCAGGTTCAAGTGATTCTCCTGCCTCAGTCTCCCAAGTAGCTGAGATTACAGGCACCCACCACCACACCCGGCTGCTTTTTGTATTTTTAGTAGAGACGGGGCTTCATCATGTTGGCCAGGCTGGTCTTGAACTCCTGACCTCAGGTGATCCACCCGCCTCCGCCTCCCAAAGTTGCTGGGATTACAGGCATGAGCCACTGCGCCCAGTTGACTTTTTTTTTTTTTTTAGCTCATTAGCGATCATTAGTGTTAGTGTATTTTATACAATTATTCTTCCAATGTGGCCAGGAAAGTAAAAAAATTGGACACCCCTGTCCTAGACAGTGGAAACAAGAGGATAAACCAGGCAGCAGGTAATAGCAAGGAGTTTTGGGGAAAAGAAAGAAGTTCAGTAGTAGCTGGAGTGTCATTGGTAAGGGAAGGAAGGGCTAAAGATTAATAAACCAAGTGATGCAGGGAGGAGGCAGCTGTTAAAAGGTTGGTAAGAACTTGGACAAAACAATCAGACATGCATTCAAGGAAATCTCACTCTGGCAAAGAAGTAGAGAATTTACTGGAGGGATTTTGGATCTGATTAAGGGAAATTGTTTAGTTAGAATAATCCAAGCAAAATAATGATTAAAGCCTGAACTAAGGCAGAAGCAATTGAATGGAAAGTAGAGGATGAAGGATTAGATATGTTAGGAACGTAGAAGAGTCTTTGTTAACTAAGTAGGCTGACTTTGTTAATGAATTACTATGAGTAGGGTAGGAGATAAGAGGAAAGCATCTCGGTTGGTTTTCAGAGCTCTTGCTGGGGGAGATGGAGGAGAGGAGAAACTGGTCATGAAGAAATAAGTTTGGGGAGCTAGGGAATGGAGAAGATAATTCAGTTAGGAGGCAGAATTAAACTTCCTTTCTGTTTTTATTTTGTCTTGTTTTAACCTAGTACAAGTACTTAATCTTTTGGAATCTCAATTACTGTGTCTTAGAAATGGAAATCCTATTATTTATCCAACATGACCGCAGTACTCATGCCTGGAATCTCTACAAATTCTACATAATAGAAGGAAGAAGGAAGAAAAGGGGGGTGGGAAGGAGGAGGAGGAAACACCTGAAAAAGTCTTTTTTTAGAAAAAAAAAAAAAAGCACCAAATGCTTTTAAGAGTATTCCATGTGTAAAACTCATTAAGTCAAAGTATACTGACAGATTCACAGACTTTCAGAGCTGAAAGACACCGTAGAGATCATGTAATCCAAGTTAGCCTTTTATGGATGAGGCCACAGGAGTGCAGAGAGGTTAAGAAACTTGGCCAAGATCACACAAGGGAGCCCATCACAGGATTGTTGTCCCAGCGGGCTTTGGTGTTGCATCTACTGGCCACACTTAGCACTGACTTAAGGCGAACACTGCCACAGATGAGAAGTAAATGCCGCATTTAAACCTGTTGCACTGCATTCAGGATCTCTAATTTTACTATAAACATCTCAACATCATTCTGAATAATCTCTCACAAAGGAAAGAAAAATTTAGGTATACATGTTATATACTTCAATCAAGTCCACCATAAAGATGTTATTTGGGTCTATTGATATTCAGTACAATTCCATGACGATGATTTATATTTTATACATGAAGACACAAAGGCACAGAGATGATAAATGTCTTACTCATGGTGACAGAATTAATAACTTGTGGAGTCAAGACCCCAACACTGGTAATCCAGCACCAGAGACTGGATTTTTTACCACTATACTACACCGTCTCTTAATCACCTTTTTTGTTTGTTTCCAAATAACAGGACTAATAAAACATTGTAATAATAGTGAAAATATTTTTAAATATGCTGCCATTTAAATCTAGACCTAATAATTGTCATAAGTCTGTGAATAATTTTGAAATGTACATATTTACAGATTTATCAGACTTTATACCCATGTTAACTTTTTGATGATCTGCAAAGCAAACTAGGTAAGTCACATTTACATAAAATAAACAGTTTTCCCCATGATATGGTTTGGCTGTGTCCCCATCCAAATCTCATGTTGAATTGTAGTTCCCATAATCCTAGTGGCATGGGAGGGATCAGGTGGAGATAACTGAATCACGGGGGCAGCTTCCCCCTCGCTGCTGTTCTCATGATAGTGAGTTCTCATGATAGTGAGTTCTCTTAATAGTGAGTTCTCATGAAATCTGACGGTTTTCTAAGGGGCATCCCCCTTTGTTCAGCACTCACTTCTCTTCCCGCCACCATGTGAAGAAGGATGTGTTTGCTTCTCTTTCCATCATGATTGTAAGTTTCCTGAGGTCTCCCCAGCCATGCTGAACTGAGAGTCAATTAAACCTCTTTCCTTTATAAATTACCCAGTTTCGGATATGTCTTTATTAGCGGCATGAGAACAGACTAATACACCCCACAATTTCTAAATAATAAAGAAGGCTGCTTTTAAAAACTATTTAACTTTGTTCAAGGAATTGTTAGTAGGTGGAAGCTTATGAAATCAGAACCATTCAAAAATGAATATATCATGAAGTATGCAATACCAGTAAAATATGTTGGTCACATCAGTGTTTTTATATAAATGACTCTCTAGACATCTAAGCAATAGCTGCTGGTCTTAAAGGACAAGTGGGACAGGTGAGCCACATAAGAACTTCTCTGCTTCTTCCCAGCTGTCATGGCATTTATCCTCTCTTCAACCTCAGGATATCAGATCAGAGGTTCAAGCAGATAGGGGGTTAAAGGGAGTACTTTTCAACGAACTTATAGTAATTAATAATTATTAAACAACAAGGCTCTTTTTCTTGGATAGTGTTAAGTAATGGGAAACAATGGGTGGAATCCGAGCAGAGGAAAGGCATGACAGCACTGGGGATGAGGTACATCGAGACTAAAGGTCAGGACATCCTGTTGAAGAACAATGTGGGCTTCAAGGCCTTAATTCTCATGGTGGTGGGACTGGGAAAGAGAGATTCCAAGTAGTCAGAAATGAAAAAAGCTGGTGACTACCTGGATATAGGAGTAGAAAAGAGGGCGATTTAAAACTTCAGGAATTCCTTCCACATAATCCTTCCGTCACTCTCACTCTCAACATCAATTTTAAGAATACCTTTTTCAAGTGTCCAGCTCCTATCTACCTCCATCTGAACTGTTTCAAAATGTTAAAAGAAATTATGCTTATTGCTTGAGTTAACATGGCTGTTGACATGCTGCCCAAATGAACAAAAATATTTTATTTGGCTCACTTTACCTTGAAATAGAATGATGTTTCAAAAACATTCCCTTTAAATTATCCTAGTGTTACAAAGACAAAAAAGAGTCACTTCAGTTTTAACATATGAACAATATTAAAATGACATATGAAAAATATTAAAATATATGTGTAACAGTCACCATTTGGAAATGATAGCAAGCAAAGGGGTGTATGATGAACAATTCAAAAACATCAAGTTTTAGGAAAAAAAACAAATAATATCAGTGTTCTCTTATTTCACTGTAATCAGAATTATCTTATTCTCTGCCATACTTCTCTAAAAGAAATAAATAGTACCACATAGCAGTTAGGGGCATAATATAATAGACACTTTCAATTACCCTGGAGAAATGACTTAAATAGGGATTTTTTTAAGAGGCGCTATTTGGCAAAAATCTTAACTGCAAGGATTTTTACTGGAAAGACTTCATGGGCTCCCCACAGCTTAGGTGAGAGAATTTGATCCCAAACCCCAAGCCAAAATTCTTATAAATCTACACTCATCAAATAAGATCACTCAGCTCCTGCTAAGCCATAACTTGTTTAAGGTTGAATGTAACAAACATCTCCTCATCTCACATACATAGGCTCTGTTACTAAGAAATTTGTAACAAGAAGTAAAATTGAAGGAGGGATGACCACAGGTTTCTTGGGTTTCCAAAGCATGTCATTTGCAAATTGTTTCTCATAAAAGCCATATTGAAATTAATACGGTAGCCCACATTATTCCTTTCATGAGAAAGACCATGAAGCAGGCAGCCCACGCCTACCACCACTCCGAGAATATTAATGCTTACAAACAAGGTAGCAATTATCATGAGACTTTGTGCTTCTACTCATACTTGTCCTGATATCTGCAATGTTCTTGTTTGTTCTCTCTTGACCCTCGAAAATCAGTTCAGTTTCTGCTTTCTCCTTGAACCTATCCCTAATACAGCAATTTGTTATCAGTACTGGAATTAATCTCCTGGAAGGTTACTTTTTTGTTTGTCCCTTTGCCTTCTTTTGTCCCCTCCCTCCTCCTACTTCTTCACCTTAATGCCTCTTAGGAAGACATCTGTCTGCCTAACATCCAAGCTCTTTTACAATTAGGATCCCAATCTCTGTTTAGGAGACCTCCTGGCACTGTACATTGTCATGGGAAATAGTGTCTCCCAGGAAGGAAGCCAAAGGGGTAATATCTTTATTACCCTGTACAGGACAGACAGAGGAAACACATGGGCAGAGTCCAGAGTCTCAGAGGCTCTCTGAGAGTCTTTTCAAATGCTGAACAAGTGATATCATGCTTAATATTTGGAGCACAGCATGGAGGCATAAGGACTACAAGATGTTTGCTGTAGTTGCCCTGTTGTGTGCCTGTGGTTCCTGTCTATTTTCCAAGTCTGAACCTCCAGCTTTCCATGGATTCACTGACCTGCATTATTTCTATTAATTCTCATTTTGCTTTTGTGAGTCAGCTTCTGCGGCTTAATGCTAAGATTCCTGACTGATACTTCTCCCAATGTCAACTGTACCCAAATTCATCCTTCCAATTTATTGCTTATCCAGCCATACAAGAACCTTAGAAAACACAAAATTCTAATTCACAGAACTGCTTCAGTAACCAAAGGGCTGAATCTGGTGTGGACTGAGTTCTACTACTGACTCTTACCTATACCTATATCCTTGTCATGCCCTTAGCAGATAACTACCTGCTTTCTGTGACAAAATATTAGTTATATTGTCCTTCCTTTAGATGTATTGTCCTGGTTTTGTGTTCCCTGAATGGCCTCACTTCTAATACTTATATCTGATCAGCGACCATATTTTCAGATCCTGGCTTTAATGAGGGTATAATCTGATCCTCCAGTCATGATGTGCTGTTATTCAGAATGACAATCACAGATTTATAGGAGAGGTGAAGAACTATCCTTCTTCTCTGTCCAAGCCAGTGAAGTGTCCCAATAGATTTTTCCCTGCCCTACCCAAAGCAACAGACTTCTAAAATATCTCTCCCAGATTTGCCACTTCAATGAACTTATTCTAGGCTCAATTTCACAGTCTTTCAATCTCCTTTAGTTTCCCTTTGGCTTTTGGTTGCCTTCTTTCCAGATTCTCCCTTCCTCATTGATAATTCTATTGTACATTCTACATGACTTTGATGTGAGTTTTTCTTAAAGATATCATGGAAGTCTGTTCTGAGTCCAGTGTTCTAATCCATCTGGCAACCAGCTAGGCCCAGCAGGATCAGTTTGCCTTATCTAGGGGAGAGGGGACATCATATTTGCAGCTAAAGAGAGTGTCTGTGTTGGGATTAGAGGAATTTCTGTCCTCTATAGCATGATCACATCTACTGAGTGTTGTTACTGAGTGGCAGGTCCTAATCTAAGTCCTTTGGGTACATAGTCTTATTTGTTCCTCAGAAAGTCTCTATTAAATTAGTATTATTGCTTATCATTTATTGATGAAAAAACTGAAGGTCAGAGTCATTACATATTCACACAAGTTGATATCACCAGGGAGAAGCAGAGTCATGATGGAAACCCATTACTTTGATCCCAAAGTCTGTGCTTTTACTCACTATAATTTTACCCTCTTCCCTGACACACACACCCATGAAAAAGTCACCAACTTTTATCCTAGAAATTAAGCCCTGCATGATTTTCCTCTATCTGCCTCTCTGAATCATCTCTCCCTTTGTCCCTACTCACCTCAGTCACATAGAATCTGCACTCCAGGCATATTAAATTGTATGTATCTGCAAAGAAGCAATACACCTACACAGCCATCCTTTCTTTAAATGTAGTTTCCTCTAAGTAAAATATTCTCGCTCTTATAAACTCCATTTCCAGTCCTATTCATTCCATGTGACCCAGATTAAACGTTCCCTTCTCCATGAAGCCTGCCCCATTTCCCCATTTGGAAATAACTGGCCCCTTACTTTAATTCTCATATCACTTTATTTACTCTCTACATAGCCAAATCCCCCCTCATCCCCAGCTAGATGTTAGTTCCTTGGAGGTTCCCACTGTGGTCTTCTCTTCTCCACATGCCCTCTGTGCACCACACCCTTCCATGGTAGGTTTAACTGTTGGATTCACTTAAGTGAACTTCTGCTTGGTCATATTTCCAGCACATCTTGTGGGAAGAGAATGTGGCTGCCAGATACTGGCAATCAGAGGCCACCAAATCTGCACTTGATCCTCATCTTTCACAGTCATGGTCTCCATGTACTCCATCTGGGAGGCTCCTTGCTGGATCTGGAAAGGTCATATGCTTACATTTTACAAATACAAAGGAGAATGCTCGCAGTTCTAATAAGCAAAACATCAAACAGCAACTGGAATCTATAGCCAGTACTGGTGTTAATCAGCACCTTTTAAATGGCTTTCTTAATACTACAAATGGAAAAAAAAAAAGCAATCATATATACAGTTGATGGTACAAATGAATTTTAAAAATATGTTTCAAGATGCTTGTGATGAGATGCCAAACAACATAATGAGAAAAACAATTGCTAAGGAACTGTTTCTTCCCAAGCTCCCTCCCACCTTCACCTCACGCCCCAGAGAGCCTGTAAACACAGCCTGTGACATTGCATCAGCATATGTTCAATTTTCACACTAAGAGGAAGGGAAAGATAACTTTGCAAAGGAAAAGAGAAAAAAAATTAAAGTATTCTTTCAAATGTGGAAATCCCAAATAAGCAGTAAATATTCTAGTATAATAGCAACATGATATTTTTTTCCCATTACATATGGATACTACTTTAAGCTCACTAGGATTTTCTTAGACTTTCCCATTACAAGTGTGATGATCCCTTTGGAAAAGATACAGCTATGAAAGACTTAAGGGTATGCAGAGGATGAAAACTGTGTAAAAAGGTTTGAATTGTTCTCTATGTGCCTCTGTGCAAAGTAAGCTACCAGTGTACAGGCTGTTTGCTCAAATAGGGAATCCAAGTTCTCCCCAGGACAAGTCGCATCATGACTATAACTGGTCAAATTCATGAAGTTAAGCATTAATTCATGAAGCAAGTTTTTAATTTTAAATTTTTATTTGAATCATAAGCTTTTCTAACTAATGTGATCATGGTTATTATGTGGTCTAATCCATTTTTAATTTTTTAAAAGAAATGGAAGACCTACATCAAAAGAAAGAAAAGAAGGAAGAAATGGAGGGAGGGAGGGGAGAAGAAAAGAAGGAAGGAAAGGGAAAGGAAGGGAAGGGGAGGGGAGGGGACGGGAAGGGAGGCAAGGGGGAGTTGGAGGCGGGGAGAGGGGAGGAATTTCATGAGGAATCTCAATGTGCTGCTTAGGCTGAAGTTGAGATAGGGACCCAGAGCTCTTGAACATGAGAATGCCTACTTCAATCAACAAACTGCTCCAGATGTGACTCTTGTTAGGAGACTTTTAGGAATCTAAGAAAATTATTACTAATAATATTGCTTTAGTTTGGCAAATGAAGAATGTGGCACATATATTTTTATAGTGGCTTCAAGTGATCTCCTCCTGCTATTTATATCTTCATGTAAATGCTCTCATTCAGTGTGCATGGGACATGGGACTTGTTTCTAATCAATAGACCATAGCAAAAGTGATGCAGTGTCACTCTCATGATTATTTTATATTACAGAAAACTTGTTCTTGCTAGCCAAACACTTGCCCTAGTCATTCTCTCTTCTCTTTCTCTCTTTGAAGAAGCAGATGCCATGAATTCACTAAATATTGCCAAGAACCATGCTTGTGGGCACAAAGTTGCTTCCCTAATTGAACTTCCAGATTGTAAACCAAAAGTATCTGGGACAGGCCTCAATCAATTTAGGAAGTGTATTTTGCTAAGGTTAAGGACATGCCCATGACACAGCCTCAGGAGGTCCTGATGACATGTGCCCAAGGTGGTCGGGTACATCTTGGTTTTATACATTTTAGGGAGACATGAGACATTTGTCAATAAATGTAAGTGTATATTGGTTCTGTCTGGAAAGGCAGGACAACTCAAAGCAGGGGGTGGGGAGGTTCCAGGTCATAGGTAGATTTAAAGACTTTCTGCTTGGCAATTGGTTGAAAGAGTTATTGTCTATAGAAAGGAATGTCTGGGTTCTGATAAAGGGTTATAAGGTTTTATCATGCAGATGAAGCATCCAGGTAGCAGTCTTCAGGGAGAATAGTTTGTAATGTTTCTTATCAGACTTAAAGAGTGTTTTATCCAGAATTCCAAAAGGGAGGAGGGTAAAAAGAGGCATGTTCCATCCCCTATTCTCATCATGGCCTGAATTACTCTTTTCAGGCTAACTTTGGAATGCCCTTGGCTGAGAAAAGAGGTCCATTCAGATGGTTGGGAGGCCTCAGAATCTTATTTCGGGTTTACGGAATGAAACCTTGGTCCTGGTCAACACCTTCATTGCAGCCTTGTGAGATCCTTAGCAGACTTCTAACCCACAGAAACCATGAAACAAATAAACCTGTGTTGTTTTAAGCCAATAAATGTGTGGTTATTGTTATGCAGCACAGAAAACTAATAATAGGGAACCAACACCTAGGAAGTATACTTAAGCCAGAGCCAAGGATACAACCACTCCTCATGGATACAATTCTCAATTTCCATGCTGCCTCCCAGGAAAAGAATTGTAACCAAAACAGCCTTAAACCTTCCCTCAGCTTGGCTAAATTTTACACAGGTTTCTTCCCCTACAGGCCTCTGACCTCCCTTTTCTTAGAGAACTTACTTAAGAAAACTTACTCCTTTGCGATGTAAAGCTTTTACTGATCACTTGCCAGTTTTACAACCCAGGAACCTTTGTGAAGGGCCTGGGAACCATCTTTTTGTAAGGCAATCATCAGGAAAGATAAGGCCCCTATCACAGTCCCTGTTGGGGGTTGGGGACCCAGGAGCCTAACTTCAATAACTCGCCTCATAGCAAACACACTGACCAATCTTCGCACAAACTTGCTTAAGGACTTTTCCACTAGCTCATCTGAGCTTAAAACCTCTCCTGCCTTTTGTTTCAGTGGGGTTGAAACAATCTATTCTGTTGTATAATCTTGACCTTTATTGCAATAAGTCTTGACCCTTATTGCAATCATTTTGAATAAAATCTGTCTCGCTTGTTGAGTATTTTGAAATTTGAAATAGTCAAAATAATGGGAAGTTGATTTATAAGAAGATTTTAACATATTGAGGTTCTTAAAATGAGGGTTCAATAGGGGGAAATACAATGGCTCTTGCCTAACCTGTGAGGGCTCTAGATAAAGGGGTACAAAAGTGCTCCACTTGTCCTCGGGATTACTGGCTTTGATTAAGACCAGGGAGAGTGCCACAGAAAATCTCAATGACTAGGTAGTGTCTACTGCACAAATATATTCTGCTCACCCGTGCGCCTCGCTCCACTTCCTCTGCAACTTTGTCTGACAAACCCTATATGGCTGAAATCTAGAAATTCACTAAGTAGAAACTGAAATAAGATAGAAAAAAGAAAAAGAAAAAAGATACACAAAATAAAAAACTAAAACACTGCATTCCAAAGAAACTATCCAACAGGAGAAGCAAGCGGGCATGTCGTAATGGGACATGTACCAATAACATGCACTGTGCCTTCCACAAGCATTGCTTCTTGTAGCTATTCAACTGTTTAAGATGCAAAGAGGCTGGATCAAGTTTAAACAACCACGCTGCCCCTTTCATATCAAATAATTGAAAACCACTGACAACCCAGGCCTCTCCTGCTTCTCCTATCTGCTTATTTGGCTGACAGAGAAAGAAAAGAACTCGCATGTTGATGAAGGAAGAAGCTGGGTGGGATGACAGTAAAATCTAGAATTACAACCAAGCTGGCCCAAGGTGTCCTGAAGGATATAAAAATACAGTTTAATCAGAGTGCCATTTTTTGGTGTTTAACTTATTTCAATTATTGGAATGTACAATTTTTAAATTATATAAATAAGTTATAAAACCTGAAAAAAAGAAAAAGGAAAATTATGATGCATAGCCCCATGTGTTTGCTCAGTTCCATGAGGGAACCATTCATACTTTATTCACATTGAACTTCATGGAGTTGTACAACATGGTGGCCTACCTGTACGTATTAGTTCTTACTAACAGTTTAAAGGAGTTGCAATTTCTCTTCTTCAGCGGTCCTAGATGACCTGAATATATGTAAGCTATATAGAACTCGGTTTTGGAATAAGTCCATTTTACTGGAATGGTTGGTTTTACACCCTTTGAGATGTTATTTCAGTGCTGGTTTCACCCAACCGATGTGCAGAAGCCAAAATTTTGATTTATATCCTTTGGGTGAGATTTTTGAGTGTTGTTACAAAATTTCAAATCCAAACCACAAATCTCAGTGGTTTCATAATATCTATCCCAAACCAATATTTGTAGCGGAAACAAGAAATATGACAGATTGCCACAAAAGTGTCATTACAAAACAAAATTTAAGTATGGATGCCAATAATTTATTTTCACATTTACAGAGTCGCACAAGGCTTGCAAGTAAAACTTTTTTAAATTTATATTTTCAAATTCCATTAATGTGTTTTCCTTAATAACTTGAGAAAATTACAAATTCCAACACACACATTACATACCACAACTTAGTCATTTGAGACATTCAATCTCAATAATCACTAAACAAACGGATTCAGCTTCTTTTTGTCCCAAAGACAATACTTATCCTCTGATTTTTCAAATTGCATAAATATTCTGCCTTTTACCAAAGAGAATACTTGATGTTTTATAATTATGTGAACATTTATTAGTGAGGATTGACAACTCTTCCCTTAAAGACAATTTTCCATTTGACTAATAGATAAAATTTGTTCTCCAGCAAAGCTCTTGCTTTATTAAAAAAATAAAGTCTCTTTCCCATTGTTAATATAAATGCATTTTCTTTTTTTTTTTTTTTTTTCTGAGACGGAGTCTCGCTCTGTTGCCCAGGCTGGAGTGCAGTGGCGCGATCTCAGTTCACTGCAAGCTCTGTCTCCTGAGTTCACGCCATTCTCCTGCCTCAGCCTCCCGAGTAGCTGGGAATACAGGCACCCGCCACCATGCCTGGCTAATTTTTTGTATTTTTAGTAGAGACGGGGTTTCACCGTGTTAGCCAGGATTGTCTCGACCTCCTGACCTCGTGATCCACCTGCCTTGGCCTCCCAGAGTGCTGGGATTACAGGAGTGAGCCACCGCGCCCGGCCTATAAATGCATTCTCATTACGAAATTTGGAAAACAAAATAGGGGAAAGGAAAGAAAGAGGAAAGGAAGCAAGGACGGGGGGCGGGGGGGAGGAAAGAAGAAAGGAGAGGAGAGGAAAGGAGAGGGGAGAGGAGGGGAGAGGAGAGGAGGAGAGGGCAGAGGAGGGGAGGGGAGGGGAGGGGAGGGGAGGGGGAAGGAAGGGAGGAAAGAAGGAAAGGAAGGAGGAAACTTACAATTTTGCCAAAGAAAATTACTAACATTTCTTTGGGAGGCCGAGGTGGATGGATCACCTAAGGTCGGGAGTTTGAAACCAGCCTGACCAACATGGTGAAACCCTGTCTCTACTAAGATACAAAAAATTAGCCCATTATTGTGGTGCGTACCTGTAGTCCCAGTTACTTGGGAGGCTGAGGCAGGAGAATCGCTTGAACCTGGGAGGCGGAGGTTGCAGTGAGCTGACATCGTGCCACTGCACTCCAGCCTGGTGACAGAGCAAGACTCCGTCTCAAAAAAAAAAGAAAAAAGAAAAAAAAAGTAAAGAAAATTACTAACATTTTTGGTGAGGTACCTTCTAGTCTTTTCTCCCCTCTCTGTGTAGTATTTGTTTAAGTTGCAGTTATACTGATGGAACTATTTTGTAGTCTACTTTATTATCCTAACGATATAGTAGTACCCCTTATCCACTGTTTCAGTTTCTGTGGGACAGTTATCCATGGTCAATCTCAGCTCAAAAATCTTAAACAGAAAATTACAAAAATAAACAATTCATGAGTTTTAAATTGCACTCCATTCTGAGTAACATGATAAAGTCTTGGCCCACCCTGCTGTGTCTAACTCAGGATGTTAGTCATCCTTTTGTCCAGTGTATCCACACTGTAGATGCTATACACCTGATAGGTCAATAGTAGCCTAACATGTCACAATGCCTACTCCATTCACTTCATCTCATGATGTAGGCATTCTATTTCACATCATCACAAGGAAGGGTGAGCATAGTATAATAAGATATTTTGACAGAGAATGATCATATTCACATAACTTTCATTATATTGTATATATATTTCATTATATTGTTATAATTGTTCTATTTTGTTATTATTGTTAATCTCCTAGTATGCCTATGTTATAAATTAAACTTTATCAAAGGTATGTATGTGTAGGAAAACAAAAAGCAAATATATAGGGTTTGGTGCTATCTGCAGTTTTATATTTCCACTAGGGGCCTTGGAACAAGTCCCCACAGATAAAGCGAGACTAGTTTATAAGCAAGCATTTTTTTCTAGGTGATTACTAATTTTTTGAAACATCATTTTAAGTTACTATACAATATTTCACTGAATAAATGAGTAATGGTTTACTCAATTCTTGCTTTCCTATTAAACGTATGCTTAAGCATCAGAATATACTAAGCAAAATCTCAACTACTGGGCTGGATAGATAAAGATGTTACAGCCTCCCAAGTAGCTGGGATTACAGTCATACTCCACCAGACCGGGCTAATTTTTGTATTTTTAGTAGAGACGGGGTTTCTCCATGTTGGTCAGGCTGGTCTCAAACTCCCAACCTCTGGTGACCCGCCCACCTCGGCCTCCCTGCATATTCGTTCCTATTAATCATGGTTTGAGTAGTGTAAAACTCTCTAATTTGTTTAGATTTGGTCAGAAACCATGTTTGTCAGTGGTACAATGACAGAGCATGCTTTTAGTGAGCCTAGATAGTACTGTGTTTTGAGGTACAGGGCAAGAGAGTGCAGATCTTCATAAGATCGTCCTTCTACTGAACAAAAAGTTGAATGAATAAATGAGCTCTCTACAGTTAATAGCTGGAATTTGTTACCTAAAATTGAATAACTTGACAGAAACTCTATAAAAAAAGGTTTGCTTATGCCTTTATGTGTTTTCCTATAGAGGGACTACAGCCTTCGTTACGTTCTCAATTGGTCTGTGACCAATCAAAATGTATGGAGCTGTTAAATACAGAAAGATTTCAACATGTATACAAAAAATTTAAGTTTTCATGTGGGATATATCTATCTTATATGGTCTTGTCTTCCTTTTATGTAAAATTAAAGCTGATTATTTTTATTTACATGTTTTTAAAATGTTTTACATTTTTCAAATATAAAATCAGGTAAATAAACACCTAGAATTTATTCCATTGGCTCTCAATGTTGCTTTTCTTGGTCAGGCACATGTGACAGATGAATTTTATAAGTAACACATTAATTGGGCTTCTATGAATGGTCCAGCAGGTTGTGCCTTCCCCAATACTTAACAATTCTTGGCCTGAGGGAGATAGGGGCTAGAATCCTTGCCATGCTCTGAGGACAAAGGCATGAACGCTGATCTTGGACTATATCCCTTGGGAAGATAAAATGTTCTTTCTTAATTCATGAAAAGATACTGCAAAGGCTCATGCCAATCATGCATGTACACAAAGGATAAACTTCTATTTACATGCTACTCCCAGCTTCAGATGTAAATTTACCTTTATCACACTCAAGAAAGTGAACAATGGTCCCATTTAGATCTCATTGTAAGAATCGTGCTTTATTATATTTAGTGACAAAAAGGATTGTCATTTGTGACTTACCTCATAGTACACTAATGTGCAACGTCATTGTGAGAAGAACAATTGTGATCACTACAGGTTTTGGAAGTTGTTTTTCTATTTATTTTTAATCTCACCTGTTCCCAAAAGTTCTAACGTGGTATACATACTTATATATAATGAAACAAGATAAAGTAACAGGCTATTATAAGATTTAAAACAAATGAATGAGGAAAGGATAAGATAACACCAGAAATAAATTGAAGACAGAATATATATTGTAAGGTGAGCTCCATTGGCTAGATCTTGGTCATAAATTGAGATTAAGTTTTGCAAGATACAGCTTAAAGAGCCAAAAAATGACACACTTTTTTCTTTTTTTTTTTTTCAAGATGGACTTTTGCTCCTGTTGCCCATGCTGGAGTACAATGGTGCAATCTCGGCTCACTGCAAACCTCCGCCTCCAGGTTCAAGCAATTTTCGTGCCTCAGCCTCCCGAGTAGCTGGAAATACAGGCATGAACCACCATGCCTGGCTAATTTTTCTATTTTTAGTGGAGACGGGGTTTCTCCGTGTTAGTCAGGCTGGTCTCGAACTCCCAAACTCAGGTGATCTGCCCACTTTGGCCTCCGAAAGTGCTGGGATTACAGGTATGAGCCACCGCACCCAGCCAAAATGACACACTTTTAAGTGGAATATCCATGTCTAAAGCAACTAGCTCCTGATATAAAATGGTAACGTCCATGCCTACTTATTTTATCCTTAATACAAGTCAGCCATTTGTTCACAGTGGAAGCACAACTTCCTCATACTATGACCAGGCATTCATCCAATGGGTCCTCATGGGACGACACTATGATACAGAAATATACTAAATGGAAGCCTTGGCTTTATAAGTCTTTGTCTCCTAATTTCTTCTATACAGACTGTTGAATTCACAGTACAATTACAATTCAAAAAACTGTATTTTAAGAGAGATTAGAATAACATGTTTTGGGTATATAGTCTTTCGCCAGCCCATGTTAATCAGAGGGAGATTATAATGTATTTAAATGCGGGGTGGCAAAGTGCTCATCTGCTTTCAGGAATTGACCTGCAGGAGTATTTTGCAGAGCTGAGGGATGACAGTCCCCTACATAAGTACTTGCTCTCCAGTATGCCACAGGCCACATAATTGCCTTAATTCAATTTTATTATTTTCTACACCTCTCTAGTCCTTTAAGATCATAATCCCCAATCTAGAGGGGTATGTACCCTGCCTCTCTTTCAAGGAATCCTCCATGTATACCCTGTCTCATTTCAGCTTTTTGTGAACATTTTGGAAAAGTGACTTCAAAATAATGTCCTCCGAGAAGTGCCTTGAATGTAGCTATTGTATATTGCTGACTGAGTAGTGATTATACAGAAAAGTAGGCAGGGATATGATCAGCATCAACTTGTGAAGGCTAAAATAGTCCATCCTACTGCTTCATGGAAGCGGATCAAAGGAAGGCAAGGACTGAATAATGGAAGGCACTTTACTTCCTATTGGGCCTTTCCTAATTTGGGAGAGTATAACCAACTGAATATCTGAAGATGGCATGTTTATTCTTTCTAGTCTCAACAGCTGGGCAACTTACATATGCTGTTTATATGGGCATAAAATTCACAACTATAAACTGATACTTAATCCTCAAAGGAAACCATTTCATTCATATTATCTCAGTAGTATTAATGTAAAAAAATATAAACACAATCATTCTTAGCTTGTGTAATTTCTGATTATGAGTTCATCAGGCAAGGTCAGTATAAAAAAATAATTTTTTGGCACATAATAAAAAGTATAATAGTGATTAATACTAAAGTAATCATACTAATGTCCAGCAGCTCCTGATACAGAAGGGTAGCCTATGAATGCAAGAAATCCTACTGCTTTTTTATCCATTAAATGAACACAGGGATTAGCTGACCTAAAAAAGTAGGAAATAGTGTAATTACACAATTAAGTGGATGAATACATCAAAACTATATATTATGTATACTGGGAAAACTGCATATAAAGTTGTCAAAATACATATTTGCGGGTTACTCAATGAGATGTACATTATTAAAATTGTAATCCCCATACTCCTCAATAGCATTCTTTTTTTGCCTTTCCTGCTTTATATTTATTCATAGGTCCTATCATTATCTAATATACTATGTATCTTCCTTATTTCTCTTAGTTTTTACTGAGTCCATCACTAAATTTTAAATTCCATCAGGACAAGAATTCTTTTTCTACTATGTTGAGCCAGAGGTTGTATATCTCCAGCATATATAAATGTTCCTACCATTTAGTAAGTACTCGGTAAATACCGGCAAATCATTTGCAGTTGATTTTCCTTAAAATGTATAACAGTCACAAATAATAGGGACATTAGAGTTTTTCCAATGGAAGATGTTATTGTTGATATTGCTTTTCTTTTGAGATTTTAGTACCAACAGTCCTAGCCCTTTTGCTTTTGTCTACAATCATTTCGATACATTTTTTATCTGTGACAATTATCACTAGACCAACCAAAAAAAAAACAATGCTTTTAGCAAAGGGAGTTCTGAAAAGATGATTCAGTAATGATCAACACTTTTGGTGAAAAACAAAATGTCTGATTGTTTATTACTGAAGGGCATGCCAACCAAATAAATCTCACAGAATGATGTCATGAATATGTTACTGGATGTTCTTGTAGTCAATGAGAGCACCCATCTGTTTCTGTCATTTATGATGATTAAAAAATTGGGATGATAGAATCTCAGAACCTAAGCTACTTTTTCACTATGATGATTTATTCACATAATATATATGCTACTGAAATGTCCAGATTTATCTGTTATTCATGACAAGTCATAATGCCAACAATGAAAGGAGAGAGGAACAGCTGGTAGGAAAGACTAGCAATCTGTTTAGTGCGTTAAGTCAGGTCTGAGTGATATCATGTAACATACATGTCCCAAAAGCACATTTTGGCCATTGACGGTCATTCTAAACCGCAGTAAAAATTCAACACAGATTCCAACTGCTCGAGCCATCAAGGAATTTCTTTTTAAAACAGGTTCTCGTGTGACCATGAGTTTACCCACAGAAATAGAACCTCTCAAACCAACCAAGGAGAATTTGAAATTTAAAGTAAAAGGATAACCAAACTAAAAATTAAGTTTGGCTTCAAAATAATATAAAAATATAAAAATCCTTACCTGCTAACTAGCATCTCCTTGCTAGTTTTGCTCAGTGAAGTCAGTGTCAGTGGTAGCACTATTTATCATAAGTCTTAGCATGAATTTAATTCTGAGCATGAATTTTTTATCCTTATAAAAAGATATATATTCATAAAAAAGTGACCAGTAGAGTTGAAGTTTATTAATAAAATATTTAATTTGATGGCAAGTCATTGCTTTTTCCTAATTAACTAAAATATTTCAAATTTAATTTTCCTTTATTGTTTATTTGAAATAATCTTTATGTTTTATTATTTGTTGCTCAGAGCATACAAAGCATGCAAAGTTCTTGATATGCCTTGACAGAATCAGTGTGCCATAGAAATCAGCCAGGTCTAAGTTTGAATACTAGCGTTGTCCCTCATTAGCACTGTTACCTGGACCAAGCTACACAACCCTTCTAAGCCCCAGTACCCTCATCTATAAATGGAGTTAATAATGTTATCAAATTTGTAGTTGAGGTAAAGTCTAACTGAAATCCTTTGCACCATGTTTAGTACATTACAAAAGGATGATAAATATTAGCTGTTATTAGTAGATACCAATATCAAATATTATTAATTTTTCATACTTGGTCATATTTTGAAATAACCTAAATCCAAATGGTTACATTTTTTTTTAATTTTTTTATTATTATTACACTTTAAGTTTTAGGGTACATGTGCACAATGTGCAGGTTTGTTACATATGTATACATGTGCCATGTCGGTGTGCTGCACCCATTAACTTGTCATTTAACATTAGGTATATCTCCTAATGCTATCCCTCCCCTCTCCCCCAACCCCACAACAGCCCCGGATTGTGATGTTCCCCTTCCTGTGTCCATGTGTTCTCATTGTTCAATTCCCACCTATGAGTGAGAACATGCAGTGTTTGGTTTTTTGTCCTTGTGATAGTTTGCTTAGAATGATGGTTTCCAGTTTCATCCATGTCCCTACAAAGGACATGAACTCATCATTTTTATGGCTGCATAGTATTCCATGGTGTATATGTGCCACATTTTCTTAATCTAGTCTATCATTGTGGGACATTTGGGTTGGTTCCAAGTCTTTGCTATTGTGAATAGTGCTGCAATAAACATGCATGTGCATGTGTCTTTATAGCAGCATGATTTATAGTCCTTTGGGTATATACCCAGTAATGGGATGGCTGGGTCAAATGGTATTTCCAGTTCTAGATCCCTGAGGAATCGCCACACTGACTTCCACAATGGTTGAACTAGTTTATAGTCCCACCAACAGTGTAAAAGTGTTCCTGTTTCTCCACATCCTCTCCAGCACCTGTTGTTTCCTGACTTTTTAATGATCGCCATTCTAACTGGTGTGAGATGGTATCTCATTGTGGTTTTGATTTGCATTTCTCTGATGGCTAGTGATGATGAGCATTTTTTCATGTGTTTTTTGGCTGCATAAATGTCTTCTTTTGAGAAGTGTCTGTTCATATCCTTCGCCCACTTTTTGATGGGGTTGTTTGTTTTTTTCTTGTAAATTTGTTTCAGTTCATTGTAGATTCTGGATATTAGCCCTTTGTCAGATGAGCAGGTTGTGAAAATTTTCTCCCATTTTGTAGGTTGCCTGTTCACGCTGATGGTAGTTTCTTTTGCTGTGCAGAAGCTCTTTAGTTTAATTAGATCCCATTTGTCAATTTTGGCTTTTGTTGCCATTGCTTTTGGTGTTTTAGACATGAAGTCCTTGCCCATGCTTATTTCCTGAATGGTATTGCCTAGGTTTTCTTCTAGGGGTTTTATGGTTTTAGGTCTAACGTTTAAGTCTTTAATCCATCTTGAATTAATTTTTGTATAAGGTGTAAGGAAGGGATCCAGTTTCAGCTTTCTACATATGGCTAGCCAGTTTTCCCAGCACCCAAATGGTTACATTTTAGACTTCATATAAAAGCAGGGAACAGCTGGATAAGCTCTAAACGCTGTGGTGTAGGTGTGCAATTGCTAGTCTATCATAAACTATTCAGAGCTGATTTTCTTGGCAACCACTGGGGCAAGCTGCCTCTAAGGCACATTCAGCTTTCTGAGTCTATTTCTTAAGAGCTCTAAAGAAGTTTAGGCAAAAATCCCTACTTCATAATATTCTTCTGGCTGCTTGGAAGGCCAGATTTTTTACTGGCCTGATTTCATGACATGCCCAAACTCAATGACATCCATCTCCAAGGCTACTTCAGCAGCAAACCTCTGGGAGGTCTCTAACTCAGCCGTCTGTTCATCCAGAAGTGCTATACCTCTAAGATTGCAAGTTCACAATCTACTATCCTGCCACAGGTACCTTAGCTTCCTCATTTGGGATTTCACCCATCACTCCTACAAATATTCTCCTCAGTGTCATTATTCCTTCTCATAAAGTAAAGAACAACTCCCCCTAGGATTTTAACAGCACTGGGGGAAAAAAAAAATTGGATCTCTAGCCCCAAGCACTCTGTTGAGCTCTAGCCTTACATTTTCATATGCCTACTGGTATCTCAAATACAACATACCCAAATACAAAGCCACCATTTTTTCTAAAAAGATATTCCTTTCATCTTACTTATTTCTCTAACTCTGTAAACAGAAATGTCTGACCTATAAATTTAACATACATTTTGTGTATTTGAAAAAGAAAAAAAATATCCTAGTTACCTGGTCAAACATTCATTTCACTAAACATACTTATTTATAATACATCACTTTCTCATAATAGAAAGTGATGAATTTTTAAAATTAATAATATTCACTGCCTAGTTAACTAAAAGATATCAATACAGGATCTGCTCAAGTACTGTCTAATAATAAAGACTGTAACTGTTCACTTCCTTGTTGACAAATCCGACTTTCCATAATGGCAGTTTATTTCATACCTTGGCATCAAAGACATTAATTAAATTACAAAAGTAATCCACTTGAGATAATTACTGAATTATTTTAATGACTCAAGTTTACTAATTTATAAGTCTGTAACAACTTGTGTTACACAGAATTGTATCTTCAAAC
Organism: Homo sapiens; assembly: GCF_000001405.40. Lineage (NCBI taxonomy): Eukaryota > Metazoa > Chordata > Mammalia > Primates > Hominidae > Homo > Homo sapiens. Next base: position 77,769,570 of record NC_000012.12, on the reverse strand, counting down.
ATTCCTATGACTTTGTTTGATACTATTTACTCTTTTAGAATAAAAAAATGTATAGAGAAAGCTTACAATGTCTAAGTATTTATTGGGCCAACTTTACAAAACAGATCAACATTCCTCTTTTCAAATACAGTCACTATTGTGCTATCAGAAAATGCTTCTGACAGATTGCATGACCACTCTGGGAGCTGTACTGTTCTGTTAGCTATTACTGATAAAATGGGCATTTTACATATGTCTAAGGTTATACTAGAAATTATATTTGAAAGGTTGGAAGTCATATTTGGCTGAGCTTTATATCAAATGTAATTTATATCAAACACAGTCTTGACTAAGAATTGTTTCATAAACATGCAGCAACTATATTGTAGTACTTAAAAACACACCCTGGAAATGACCTGCCTTGATTTAAATTTGGACTCAGCTATTTACCATATAAGTTACCTTGAGCAAATTACTGAACCTTTCCATGCCTCAGTTTTCCCAATTTTAAAATGGCAATGAAAAAATACCTGCCTCCTTGATTTTTTACAAGGATTAAATATATATCAATTCATGTAAAGGATTAATGTATGACTCACTGTAAAGATTCACTAAGTGCTATTATTTTTTGAGGAAGGGCAATGTTGATGAGTAAAATTAATTTAAGGAAGAAGAGAGTAATAAATAGTCATTGATGGCTGCAGTGGCTCATCTGGAGCAGCTGCTGAAAAGACACTGGCTGCAGTAGGGGAGGTGCTGCCAGGGTTGCACACTCCATGGAGCTGGCAGGAACCAGGAACAGGCAGGAGCCCTGCCTACCTCATTCTGAGATTGCAGGGCAGGAGCCCGCCCTCCCAGGCATAGCTTCAGCTCTCCAGCTGTAGCTATGGATCTAGGCAACTGTACTCCTGGCCCAGAAGTCCCCCTGCCCCCACAGGTTCAGAAGTGCCTGCTCCCTCTGCCTGGCAGCTCCCCACTCCCAGCACCTGTTCTGATTTCAGAGCAAAGTTGAGGCCAAGCCCAGGTGCTGTTGTGTTCATTCCAGCTGGATGTGCATGTGCTTGGGGTGCTGCTGACTCACTAGCCCCCTGCTGCCTCAGCCCCCTCCAGTCTTTGGGTGATGCTAAGCACAGAAGGGAGGCCGAGGGGGCACTAAGGGCAGCTTGGTGCAGGCCTGAAGGCATCCTCTGGCACAAACAGCCTGGGCACCCTGGATGACATGTAAATGGTGGCAGGAGGCAGACAGGCTCCTGGGCAGAAAGGGTCAGGTGCCTGGTGAAACCCCACCTTCAAGCCAGGGACAGCCTGAAGCCTGGTAGCCTGGCACTCAGTTCCAGATGGAGTCCAGGGCCTGGAGTGAGAACTTATGGTGCTTTTTCCAGGCTGCCCATGGCCACCCATGAACAAATCAGCATGTACTTCCTTCCCTCTGAAGCCCATAAAAACCCCAGACTCAGCCAGATTCGGGCAGATGATGGGATGACCTACCTGTGGATAGGTTCTACTGGACTCCTCTCCACTGAGGGCTGCACACTTGTTGGAACAACCTGCCTGTCAAAAGGAGCTACCCACTTCAGGTCTCCTGAGAGCTGTACTGTTGCTCAATAAAGCACTTCTTCACCTTGCTCACCCTCCAGTTGTCTGCATACCTTGTTCTTCCTGGATGTGGGACAAAACTTGGGACCTGCCAAATGGTGGAACTGAAAGAGCTGTAACAGAAACAGGGCTGTCACACACCTCCTTTGCTCACTGCATTGCAGGCAATGGGAAGGAAAAAAGAGTTGCAGCCCTTTGGGGATCTCAGACCTAGGTGCTCCCCAAACCAGGGCTATGACCCCCTCTTTGGGGCTCTGCAGTTTCTGGTGTCTCCAAGCTCCTGGGCGCCACTGTGTTCCCCTCCTCTAGAGGCAGGTGCCCACAGCTGAAGCCACTTGTCATGCATGTGATTTAGCTGCAGGCTTACATGGAGCCGGTGTCTGTGCTGGCACCTGGAGCTGCCCGCCCCACCACAGTGGCTAGTGTGCTTGGCTGTATGCAGTGGCCGGACCCCACACTCACCTACTCACACATCCCTTGCCACTCCATCCCTGGCTCCAGTGTCTTCAGAGGCATGGGATCTGGGCTGGTAGTGCTAGCCAAGTGCAGACTACCAGGCCAAGTGCAGACTACCAGGCCAAGTGGGTAGAATAAGCCCTGTGGGCCCTAGTAAAACTCAGGCTGAGGCAACACTGGCCACAGAGGTTTCCAGCTGGAAAAGCGACACCCTAAGGATCCTATGACATCATTAGGAATCCATCATACATCACATTTGAACTGCCTGTTTTACAAATATTATCTCATATGATTTTCCCAACAATCCTTTAGGAAATCCTAAGTCTGTCCATTATGAAAGATCAAAGTTAAGACTTAGTGAGTTCAAGTAACTTAAATAAGGATACAAAACTATCATACAAGTAGACAAGGTTTGGGCCTACCTCTCTGACTCTCTGACTTTCCATCGCGCTTCTTAATAGTCATTTTTCCCTTGTAAAAAAATTCTTGGCTGGGCACAGTGGCTCATGCCTGTAATCTCAGCACTGGGAGGCCAAGGCGGGCTGATCACCTGAGGTCAGGAGTTTGAGACTAGTCTGGCCAACACTGTGAAACCCTGTCTCTACTAAAATATAAAAATTAGCTGGGTGTGGTGGTGGGTGCCCGTAATCCCAGCTACTCAGGAGGATGAGGCAGGAAGAATTGCTGGAACCCAGGAGGTGGAGGTTTCAGTGAGCCGAGATCACGCCACTATACTCCAGCCTGGGTGACAGAGCGAGACTCCGTCTCAAAAAAAAAAAAAAAAAAAAAAAAAAAAAAAAAAAACTTAATTGCCTGTTTTTTAGAATCCTAGAATTTTTAAGTTGGACCAAACCCTAGATATGATTTGGTCAAGATTACCATTTTAAAAAATAGAAAGAGACTGAAGTTGAGAATTTAAGTGACTTGTCAGATGCCCTGTAACTATCCTTTTATTTTTCTTCAATACAAATCTATCAATACATTTTAAATGCTAAAATTATCCTCTCCTAATATTAAAAACATTCCCTTGGCCATTATCCACATTAGACAGCAAGTTGATGAATGTGTATTTAGGCCAAGATAATTGGGAAATAAAATTGGCCAGCCACTAGAGAAAGTGTGAGCCAAGTTCTGAGACTAAGATAAAAAGAATAGCTTTGTTGGTGACTTAGAGTTGTACCAAAGTGGGAGTTAAGTTTTCCTTTGAGAGGAAATGAAGAGAGAGAAAAAGGTGGTGTTCATGTGTGAAAGGAACTGAAAGATTTTTCACACCTTCTTTTAAAGTAATTATAATTTCTTCTATTTCCTGTTTCCTCACTGTCTTCCTTTTCCTCCAGCTCCTTCTTTTCCCTAGTGTGATAAACGTGAGCTAAGTTTATTTTTATTAGCTGGGAGGGGAAAAAATAGACAGCCTGGATAAGTCTTCATTTGCCATTTCCTTTCTCTCTTCTCCGTCAAGAAATTTGACCATTCAATATCTCCTCTTGCTCATATCCCTTAAATTTCTTAACTGATGGCAATTTCTGCCTCTCCCTCATGCCCATCCACTGACACAGATCTTGGTCTGAAATTCAACAATAATTTCACATTTCTCACTTGGTTTCATGTCCCTCGTGCAAATTTCACCACCGACTCCCTCCTCTTTTATTATATATTTTTTCTTCTTGTTTTTGTGTTATAATTTTATCTTGCTTGTCCCTCTTCTCTAATTTTAATCTCAGTATTCTTTTCATATCTAGTTGGATTCTTCAGGGCTTCTTTTTCTGACTTCTATTCCCAGTCTGCATGCCTAACTTGAGTGATCTTTCATTTCCTTTTCTTCAACTTTTTACCTTCTCTACTTTTCCATTCTCAGTTCTCACCATCCCCCACATGAACTCTAGGCTCTAGTCATAGTTGTTCTCTAATACTTCCTGTTCCTTCAGGACTGCATGTCTTTGTTCATGTTCTTTCTTTCATTTGGATTGCCCCTTTCATCTTTGGCTTCCTGATAAATAGCTTAAAAATCACCTTAACTGAGTGGCTCGGATAGTCATCTGCTGCTGCTTTTGTGCTCTTGTGAGTCTCTGCATCACCTACCATATTCTTTTGTAACGGACTTCTCTTCCAGTAGCATGTGTGCTTCAAAGGCACCTCATTGAAACTGATCATTCATCTCCATAGCATATGTAACTGGCATGGTACCTAGATTTCAGGGGATCCTTTCACAATTAGGTTTTGATCAGTGAACAAATTTGGAGTTATGGAGCAAACAGCAGACAGTGATATTTTGAGAGGCAATAGAGAACAGAACTGAGGCCAAAGTGGCTGGCAAAAGGGTCTCAAAGAGATCAGAGAATCTTGGAGCATGAGGAATTCAGATCTGGTAGCAAAACTAAGTCAGAAGTCTCCTTCAGCCCAGGTTATGAAAACATTATGTTCTTTCAAAAAGATTTTAGTAGAGAAGGAAGTTGAAAAGATCAGGATTTCTGGGGACTTCCCCTTTCCAAATACTATTTTAAAAATTTAATAGCCTTCATAATGTTTTATGATTCATGAAACCTTTTAAGCAGGTTTCTATAACACAACTGATAATGCACCATTAAGGGATTTTTACAAGAGGGCATGGAGAGGGCTGCCATGCAGCTACATACCCAGATGCTTCCTGAATGGGATGGATATATGTTACACGAACTGGGATAGTTTCCAAAACAATGACCTAGACTTGCTGTCGCAAATGTCACCTATACACTGACATGAATATACATAAAAATTTATGTAATTAGCTACTCCAGATCTCTTAGCTAATTCACAAGCATAGATCTCCTACAAGAGAGTAAAATAGTTAAGGAATAATAAAATTCAGTGAAGCTAACAATAATGAAACATTCTATTGGCTTTAAAAACACTGTAGAACTAATTTATTAAACGAGGCTCTCTTTTGAAAAATCCTATGAAGTAATATAGAAAATTAATTTCCTCTTCAAATAAATGATATATCAATTTAAATGTAGTTGAATTCTATTTTGGAACTTGATTAAAGTGATCTTGAAAGGTTTCTAAATTAAATTTGTCTTTAAATCCCTAAATCAAAATTGTTCAAACCTAGTTTATTTTCATATTCCTTTCAACATCACCAATGACTGGTACCAATTACAAGATGGCCAGGGTTCTGTAAATGACCCTTAAAACATGCAACAAAATGACTATGATTGCCTATGTGGTAACATTTGCATTTGACAAGTGGCAAGCAGGGTGATTTTATTGATTTTGAACAGATTCTATTACTCAGTATATGAATACCAAATAAACACATAAACAATGCAGATGATACAATGTACAACATAATTAGAAAAGACACTGCCTGTGCACAGATGGTAACACATATAAGAGAACTGCATCTAAAAATGTTGCTGTACTTCAGAAGGCATTCATCCACTTGTGGGAATAAAGAAGTTGAGAAGGACAAATTTAGTGGAAAGAAAAGATGACTTAGGGCAGAGAAGAAAACTGTTTCCACATAATTGAACATCTGTAGCAGGAGTGTCCCCTTCACAACCAGGAAAACGAGGCCCCTCTCCTGGATCCCAGGCCTCGGAGTATTCCATGCTTTGAGTGCCTTACTTGATATATTCACTGTCCCTCTCTGATAGCTGGACCAGCCAAAATCTGTAGTACTATCTGGATGGGGTGTTTTAAATTCAGACTGGAACTGTGTGGGACCCATTCCTAATTATGTCTAGAGCTCTCTCCAACACTTTATCCCAAGTATGAGGTCAACCAGATGCTCCAAGGAGCTTAATGACACACTTATCTCAGGATTTGGTGACCTTGTCCTAGTTCCAAGAGAGCATCCTGGCAAGGGGTCCCTCCCACAGGGCAGTGTAATATTTCCTTCAGAGAACTACACAAAATTAGGCTGCAAAAATGAAGCATACATAATTAATTTTGACTGATGTTCATTCAGGTTGGACAGAGGATGAGTTCAGACCTCTGCACAACCAATGGTGCATTACTCGTATTAGGGTTTGAGCCTCATGAGTTCACACCTCAGCTCTCACCTGCCCATATCCTAACAATGATGATGATGCTGGTCTACAGAAGTTGAGGGCAGCAAGGGTTGCAGCAGGCATTCTTTATCCTGTGAGCCCCTGACCCACAAAAACCAAAGCTGAAACCTCTCCTGTTTAGCAGGTTCTGTGCTAACAGTGAGGAAGTTCTCTGGTGATGACCATATTTACCTACTCCTCAGAGGCCTTTAAAGATCATTTTTTCTTTAACGCTAATGGCCCTTTTGATCAATGCCCTCTCCTACCTTCTATAATCTGTATGGTTAAGGGACCAATATTCCTTGCATAAATGAGACCACTCTTCTCTCTCCACCCAAGGACCAGTCACCTCTTCTCTCCTGGAGGCAGTATGTAGAAGGCAGGGGTACAGTCTATATTTACAGACATCCCATTCCATGAAGGCAGATATTACAGCACAAAAAAGTTCAAGATATGGTTGGAAAATGTGTTATTCTATGTTCATGCTCTAAAATTCTGAATGGGAAATGCAACATGACTAGAAACAAATTAAGGTTCACATTTCCCTCCATACTCTGTGTAAGTTATCCATGTGTGATTACAATTGTGTGCAGGAACAACCTCTCAGAGAGCCACTGGAAGCCTTTACTGGAGAGGTAAAGTCCATATTGCTTCAATATAAATAGGCTCTGAAGAGTAGTATTGTCTAGAGTAGTAACAACATTACTACCTTTTTCTCACAATGGAAAACCATCAGCCAGAAACTACACATTTAACAACAACAACAACAACAACAACAACAACAACAAAAAACCCATGAAGCCTGGGTGGAAATTTGAGAAGGAGTTCAATGGACTAAATACAACTTTATAACAACGATCCCTGTTTGAAAGTGAAATAGTCATCTTTTTAATTTTTTTTTTTCTTTTTTGAGGCGGAGTCTCACTCTGTTGCCAGGCTGGAGTGCAATGGCACAATCTCAGCTCACTACAACCTCCGCCTCCCGGGTTCAAGCGATTCCCCTGCCACAGCCTCCTGAGTAGCTGGGACTACAGGTGCACACCAACATGCCTGGCTAATTTTTTTTTGTATTTTTTTATTTTTTATTGTACTTTAAGTTCTGGGATACATGTGCAGAATGTGCAGGTTTGTTACATAGGTAGACAAGTGTCATAATTGTTTGCTGCACCCATCCACCTGTCATCTATATTAGGTATTTCTCCTAATGCTATCCCTCCCCTAGCTCCCCACCCACCGACAGGCCCCGATGTGTGATGTTCCCCTCACTGTGTCCATGTGTTCTCATTGTTCAACTCATACTTATGAGTGAGAACATGTGGTGTTTGGTTTTCTGTTCCTGTGTTAGTTTGTTGAGAATGATGGTTTCCAGCTTCATCCATGTCTCTGCGAAGGACATGAACTCATCCTTTTTTATGGCTGCATAGTCTGCCATGGTGTACATGGGCCACATTTTCTTTATCCAGTTTATCACTGATGGGCATTTGGGTGGGTTCCAAGTCTTTGCTACTGTGAATAGTGCTGTGAAAAAACATATGTGTGCATGTGTCTCTATAGTAGAATGATTTGTGATCCTTTGGGTATATACCCAGCAATGGGATGGCTGGGTCAAATGGTATTTCTGGTTCTAGATCCTTGAGGAATCACCATCCTGTCTTTCACAATGGTTAAACTAATTTACACTCCTACAAACAGTGTAAAAGCATTCCTATTTCTCCACAACCTTTCCAGCATCTGTTGTTTTCTGACTTTTTAATGATTGCCATTCTAACTGGCATGAGATGGTATCTCCTTGTGGTTTTGATTTGCATTTCTCTAATGACCAGTGATGATGAGCTTTTTTTCATATGTTTCTTGGCCGCATAAATGTCTTTTTTTGAGAAGTGTCTGTTCATATCCTTCACTCACTTTTTGATGGGGTTGTTTGTTTTTTTCTTGTAAATTTGTTTAAGTTCCCTGCAGATTCTGGATATTATCCTTTGTCAGATGGATAGATTGCGAAAATTTTCTCCCACTCTGTAGATTGCCTGTTCACTTGGAATAGTCATGTTTTAAACATTTTCCATGATAAGAGAATTTAAGCAATGCTGATTAAATATAAACAATGTTGGGAGATAGCAGCTGAACTGTGTGGCAGTTTGACATAGATGATCTTTAAAATACTGGCTGGACATGGTGGCTCACACCTGTAATCCAAGCACTTTAGAAGGCTGAAGTGGGTGGAACACTTGAGGCCACCAGCCTGGCCAACATGGTGAAACACCATCTCTACTAAAAATATTTTAAAAATTAGCCAGACACGGTGGTGGGCACCTGGAATCCCAGCTACTCGGGAGGCTGAGGCAGGAGAATCGCTTGAACGTGGGAGGCGGAGGTTGCAGTGAGCCGAGATAGCACCACTAACACTCCAGCCTGGATGATGGCATGAGACTCCATCTCAAAAAATAAAAATTAGTAAATCAATTAATAAAATAAAATAAGATGCTGCTGAATGGCCTTAAATCTCTCCTCTTTCAGTGAGAGACAGTGGAATTCCCGAAGTGGAGAGACAGCAGAAATAGGGTGGGGTTTCTTTTGCTTTTAAAGTGGTCAGGGATTGCTTCACATTAATTTTATTTTCTAGAAATTCAGTTCTCTGTGCAAAATGCTATCACTCAAAACTCATGATGGTCCTGCCTCCTAGTACTCGTAATTGCCTGACTCACACTTGAGCTTGATAAAAGTTTTGAAACATTGTGGCTGACAGCTTTGATTTTCTACCTTCTTCCCCCTCTTTGTATGCTGTGTGTTGTTCCAAACAGACACTAAAGCCTACCCTGTAACTCAACACTGAAAAAAGTCACATACGAAGCCTCATATGACTGATAATGTTTCTTTAATTTATACCAAGAATTTCATCCAAAATGGAGTTCATTTTCAATGCAACTTCTTCACAATGATGGCTTTGACGTTCTACTTACGGACAGCTAGACTAATATTAAAAACAAGGCTACAGATGCCTTTTCAAACTCTCCAACTGCTACTAGTACAAGTGACACTAAACAATAGCCAAAATCAACAGTGAAGGCTTAGAGATGCTAATGCAGCTTAGCGTTCTCCTTCGAAATTCACATGTATGGCAAGAAACTCTGTCTCCAAAACAAACTTGCATGCTGCTCTGTGGTTCTCCAGAACTCAATCTTCCCATTCCTACTCCACTTAGGACAGTGGTACCAAGGCCAAGATATTGCCTCAGCATAAAATTGATCTCCACCTGGATGTGAAACTAAAATCCTGACAATTGAAAAATTATTTGGAAGTTTTTACATGGCTACTCAGTGACTGTAAAAACACTACTTGCTTTATACACATGGATATTTCCTGCCATATCTGGATTTAATATTGGTTCAAAATGAGATTCAAAATATCAAGCATATTCTAACACCAGAGACATTCTGGTGCTCACAATGTTCAAAAGTCTCGAATAGTCAAATCACCATTGAGAAGATTCCAATTCCCTCAGATTTATAACTGATCCTAGAAAGAAAACACGTATTAATATACAAAGAGGCTACTTTAATTCCACTCTTTGGGTATCTGCTGCAAGCAGAAACCCAGTGCATATTGAATCATAACTTCAACCAAAGTTATGATACAGATCTTCAGAATCCAGAAAACAGCAATAAGGGGCAGGTCAACTAATTTACTAGGAAAAAGTCATTAGTTCTTTTGGAATCAAACTGGAATATGATCCAGAAATGTTAAAAAAAAATAAAAATCAGACCGTCTTCACCAATGAGCAACTTTATTTAACACTTGCACATTTGTTAGTAGAGTGCTGACTACCCACACCATGGTGGTCAATATTTGTTTCACTGAACTAACATAACAGGTAACTATATTAATGAAATTTAATCCATATAGAGCACACTTCTCAGGTTAACTTCAGCTACCTTTGGTAGTGACAATTATTTGATAAGTTATCTAGGCATCGGAGGACAATATTTAAAGCTTTACATGTATTTCAATTAACATAGTTTCATTATCAGATAAAGTTCAATTTATAGTTTCCTGGAATCTCAGGCCTACTAGCCCTACACCAATTCCTAAGTCAGTCAAAAAGAAAGACCTGAGATTGAATACCAGCTCCACCTTTTAATCCATGTGAATTTAGGCAAGCTTTGTAATACTTCTGTACCCCATTTTCCCTTTAACATCTTTTTGTCTTTTATGAAGAGCTAAATAATATTTGTAAGGCAACTACTACAGTTCTAGTATACAGGTGACTCTCAATAAATAACAGTTATGAAAAATCTTTGTAATAATAAAAAATGTAAATTAAAAACAATGAAACATTGTTTTGTGTATTAAACATAGAAAAAATCAATAACCAATATAGGGATTAAGGATGTCATGAGGAAGCATTCATATAGACTGGCGTGGCAGGGTGCAGTGGGACTGTGCTGTCCAATGTGGCAGCTGCTAGCCACAAACGCAACTGAGCACTCAGAATGGGGCCAGCCCAAATTGAGACCACATCAGCTTTGAAAGAATAATTATGAAAAGATGTAAATGATTTCATTAACAATTTTGAGATTAAGAACATATTGAAATGATGCTTTGGCTTAAATGAAAAATCCTAGCCTCTTAAATAAAAAACCTTAAATTCTCAAACTTTTCAAATGTTGCAAAATTATTTCACTTCTTTACTATTGAATTCATTGCTCTTACTTCAAAGTTTGATATTTTCTCTCATTTATTTCCAAAAACAGGTAATTTCTCCCCTATCTCTAGCTCATTTGCCTAAGTGTATTTTATATTTTAAACAGACCAATTTCTGCCTATAACAAAGAACATTTCAAAGACTTTTTTGAAAAAGTATTATAACACATATTTTGTACGGCTCTTTGTATTATCAGCAATTTCTAGCTATTTAGACTGCGTATAACTGGTTACTTGGGTAATAAAAGTATAAATACAAAAATTATGTATTAAGGAACTTTCCAAAGACAAACTTGGGGTATGCAGTGATAAAAAGAAGATATGGGGCCCCTGTGCTTGTTTCCTCTGGCCAAACATGTTGTTGATTTTCTTGAGTGACAGATTATATATTTCATGTATTTACTTATCATTTATTAACCACCCACTTAAGGGCCAACTAACATTGTAGGTACTAGGCTGTACAATGAACAAAATAGTCTCTGTTTTTTTTTCTTTTTTGGAGTTTAAATTCTAGAGGGAAGACAATGCATAAATCAGTAAACAACAAATATGCGTGTCAGGTGATAAGAAATCAAAACAGGAAAAAAGTATATCCAGGTAAAAGGATAGAGAGTGATGAAAAGATTTATATCTTAAGTAGAATGGTCACAGGCATCTCTGACGAAATGCAATTTATTCAGAATAAAATGATAAACCAAACTCAGACACTTAAGAAAAAATATTCTACTGGGAACAGCAGTGGCCAAGACACCAAGCCTGGAGTGTGCTTTGTGCATTTTGGATCATGAAGAAGTCCAAGGTAGTTGAAGCAAAGTAAGCAAGGAAAAGAGTCACGGGGTCAGATCACTTTGAAGTTTGTAGGATACAAAGAGAACTTCTACTTAATTCTGAGTGAAATGGGGTCTCAGAAGGTTCTGATGGAAGTGAGACAAGATATGAATTGCATAAGGCTTTATAATGCATCAAGCACTGAGCCAGGTGATTCACATATTCTATGCAATTTAATGTCTGAGGTTATAATAGTTCCACATTCCTTTGAGGAAACTAAACATCCAAGAAAATTAATAATTTGACCAAGATCACATAGCTAATAAATCACAGAGTTAGAATCCCAATCATATCTCTCTTACTTAAAAAGTCCAAATCATCTCTGAAATTTGGAATCATAAAAGGGGAGTGAGGTGAAACTTTCAGGGAAAACATTATAAAAATTATTCACTATGCATAGACATACCAGGAGAAGAGTTAAGAATGTTAGTAGATATTTCTTTCAGGTTACAACCCTTGATATTAAAGTTTACACAATTACTAATTATGTGGCACCTGTAATATATACTCAATATATGTTTAAGGAATGAACAGGTGATATTGTAGAATTAGAGAGAAGAAGGCACATTTCAACGTGCAAAGACAGCAATATGAAGGTAGTGTGGTAAACTAGTTTTGTCTAAATATTTTAGTGCCACCCCTCCCACAGGCCCATTGCTACAGGAAAATTATACTTTCCCATAAAGTTATCTTCAGGCTTGACTATGTGACTAACTTTGGCTAATGAAATGTGAGTAGGAGAGACATGAAACATGTGCCTCCCCTGAGCAGAAGGTGTAAGAACCGATGTGCAGTCTCACAACTTCTCTCTTTCCATCTGCCATTATCTTGGCAAGCCCCAGTTAAGGATTATTCCTCAATTTGAGTCTCAGGATGAAAAAGACTTTAAGAGGATCCTTGAATAATATTTAACATGAGCAAGAAATAAAACTTTGCTTTGATGGGGTTGTTACTGTTATACCTAGCAAGTGCCACCTAATAGAGGTAAAAGGTGAAAACTGAATAAATTGAAAATGGGAAGGTTTTCTTCTTATGGGAGTAGTAACTAAAATCTTTTGCTATGGGTGAGATTGGGGGATTCTAGCAAGTTGAATGACTAAGAAGAATCTGTTTAGCATAAAGATAAAATCTACTATATATAATTTTTTAATGGCAAGGAATAGTTCAATAAATAACCCAGCTGAAATATATGAACTAAATATAGGTGGATATGGATATTGCATATCTCAGAATTACAAAGTAATTTCATACTTTAGTTATTAGAAACTATTTACTTTCAAATAAGAAAATTAAAAATAATTTAGAATCTCATTTTTAAAGCATGACTAAAATATTCCATCTCAAAAGAAAGTCAACTAATAATCTTTCTATAACCTTTAGCCATAAAATATAGAGTTAGGAATATTTCTTTTGCATATGACATTCCAGGCTCATAAACCACACAGTTCCTAAAGGAGCATGTCTTACTGACATCACTGAATATAACAAGAGAATGGCCAAGATAATCTAGACATTTCCAAGCACCCCTTCATTCCTATGTTCACAATAATGAGTAGGACAACAAACTGAGTAGAAAAATAAAAATACATCTCACTGAAAATAGGAGAAGGAATTAAAATTTGGAAAAAAAAAGTGTCAGTTAAATCAGCATGATATGCATAAACTGCAAATGCCATCTGAGCCATAGGCTAAAGCTTATTTATGCCTATGATTTTCAAATTTTCATAACCCTATTTCTATAAACACTTGCTTTTAATAACAATAATGATAACATTAATAATGATACTAAAAAAAGGCACAAGCATTAAAAAACTACCTGGTGGCGGTCTTTGTATATATTATATCATATAGTCCTCACTCACTTCTAGAAGGATGATACTTTTATTATCTTTATTTTTTAAAGAGAACAAAATGAGTACAAAAAGATAAGTGTAATTTGTGCCAAATAAGTGAAGTGTGAGGATTCAAAAGTTGATCTATTTCAAAGACCATGCTAAGTTAGTATTTTAGAACTTTTTCTGTGCTTTCCTACAGGACAATAAGATATTTAAAGTGACATCTTATCTTCAAATATTTCTTAAAATTATTTTGAATTCGACATTATTTTAACCATAGTCTCAGCTACTTGGAAGGTTGAGGTGGTAGGATCACTTGAGCCTGTCAGGTTGAGGCTGCAGTGAGCTGTGTTCACGCCACTGCACTCCACCCTGAGTGACAAGGCAAGACCCTGACGAAGAAAAGAAAAAGGAAAAGAAAGAAAGAGAGAAAGAAAATAAAGAAAAAGGAAAGAAAATAAAGGAAGAAAGAGAGAAAGAAAGAGAGAGAGTGGAAGGAAGGAAGGAAGGAAGGAAGGAAGGAAGGAAGGAAGGAAGGAGGGAGGGAGGGAGGGAGGGAGGGAGGGAGGAAAGGAAAGGAAAGGAAAGGAAAGGAAAGGAAAGGAAAGGAAAGGAAAGGAAAGGAAAGGAAAGGAAAGGCACAGGGAGGGAGGGAAAGAGAAAGGGAGGAAGGGAGGAAGGAAGGAAAAGAAAAAAGAAAAGAAAAGAAAAGAAGATCCCATCAACGTAAGCAGAGGGCTTTGTGCTCCCTGGTATCCCCAGCACACAGTTGGTACAGAGTAGGTATGAATGAGCAAAGAGGTCAAAATATATGTGGCCTCTATTAAATTAAAGTCATGTATTTCATTCATATCTTACAAGAGCCATATTAGAAAGCTATAAACTAGAAATTATTAATTGTGATTTAAGAGACCTGTGATCTGTATAAATTTCAGAAATAGTCTTTGTTGAGATTAAAAAAACAGTAAGCATAAGTGGTTTCAGGAACAAATGAAAAGACTAGAAATATGAAGATGGTGAGATTCATATGTATATGAAAATGTCCACCTGTAGGCTGAGCTTCATCACTAACTGAGAAAAGAAGGAAAATTAAATTATTCAGGTTTGGAATTGTTTTTAATTCAGCAAAAAAACTTTTCCCGATATTGATAAAAATTATTCAGAATATCATATTTAAATATTTTGATAAAAGATTTTCTATTCTTGCCAGCAATTATAAGTTTATTTTCTTCTTTCACAAATCATTACCTGACTATGTCCTTGGTTTTAGTATAAAACTGGAGCCAAATAACAGTATTATAAGGAATATGACTCTGGCAACACATCTATCCCAAGGCAGAGGAAAACAAAACCTGATAGAATCACTGGTCTTGTAAGACATCCAGGCAAAGTTTCGCATAAACAGCTAAGCCACTGGAAGCACAGCCAAAAGGAACATTAACATCTTCGTAAGATTTTCACAAAGTTTCACTAATACTAGTCAATGGGGCTGCCATTCTTTCTGCTTTAGTAGCAGCAAGAAACACAAAATTGTATTAAGAAACATGTTTTCTGCAGCTGTCCAAGTTTTAACGGGTAAGAATGAGAAATTCAACTAAACTCAAATTCTGGGCTATACAGAAATAGAGAACTATAATTCTATGCTGTGAATTGATAACATGAAAAGGGAAGACTAAGTAAAGCAGTCCTTCAGGAGCAATGAAGGTCACCATAATAAGCCAATGTGGGGAAATGGTAATAGCCATAGCTTGTGTTGGAGTGTAGCTTGAAGGGGACTTTGGACTTTCACATACATTGTTATCCCTTTCCCACCTTAGCATACAAGGGGAATTAAGCCAGTGAGTAATCCAATTAGTCTCATCAACACTGGCTCCATGTGACTGGGGCGTTGGTATTCCCTAATCTCATGCCAATATCAGCTTGAGGAGAGTGGAGCACCTGAGAGTAAATGGCCAAAATCGGAGCTCTAAATGGATGAGCTGGAAGAAAGGTTCGCTCATTATTATATGAAATTATGAGATGCCTGTGATTTCTTTGGAGAGGCTATTCAAAAATACGTATAAAATAACATCAGTAATACACCTAATTCATAATTTAAAAGTATTAATTATTTCTGAAACAAACTTGGGCATACCTAGCCTACCTTTTTCTATATGACAAGACTCAAGATAACAGTCAATTATGTGACATTTAATTGCACTAAAGGTAGCAGTCTGATTAATGTGAAGAAATTTAAATCTTTCTTAGTAAACCATGAGTAGAATGACAAAACATCTTTCATTCAATATTTTTGAACGTATTTCAACTTATCCTTTCCTCAGTAAGTACCAATAATCTTCATTTGTAAAACAATTTTGCATTAGACAGGAATTTTTCTTACAGAGACATAAATAGTACCACTTGATAAATGGTACCACTTGTGTGCCATTTCTTAAAAAGCAATGATTTCAGTGCTGTGGAACAATAGTGATGGGCTTCCCTACTTCCCCCTCCTTTTTCTACTGACTGTGGCAAGGGATAAGAGAGAATAAAACACCTCATTTTTAATGCTATCATCATTCTCAATATGACCTAACTAGTAAAAACTGCAAAATCAGCAGTAGATGTAGACCTAGGGATTGTCTTTAAGAAGAGAGATGGAGATAGAACACACATGTGCTGCATCCAAGAAGCTGTCATTAGATTTCGGGATGAAGGTGGCTTTTGGCTACTGCTAAGTTCAACAGTTGCTACTGCCCCACTTTTGACTGGTTATCTACTTTAAAAGAAGTGATTTAGAGGATATTTTAAAGGGAACATTTACTGTGAAAAACACAGTCATAAATTTCAATTGAAAAAAAATGCATTAGGTGCCTACAATGTGCAAGACAGGGTGCTCATGAGAATGGTAAGTAGTTTTCTTCACTGCGTAGATTCTAGACACTCAATAAATATGAATACATGGATTGATTTGGCAGGTAAAGTTTGTAGGAATTCTTTTTTACTTTCTATGTGTTGTCAGTTTCTTGCTGTACAATTTTTACAGAAGATGGTCTGAAAAGCTTCCAAAATATGGATGAACTGAGCTTACAAAACCTAAATTATTCATAAAATATGACTGAAGTTTCACAGCTTAGAGGTTTAGTAGCACCTTCAGGTCATGGAGTTCCTGTTCAGTTTACCTTATAAAAAGTCTAAGACTGTATCTTTGGCTTAGTAAGTTAGAACTATATGGTAATGAACCCAGAATGCCCAAAGCCTGCTCTTTAAAGAACCCTAACCTGACAGTCTCACCAAAAAGGGATGTAACCTGTGCATTCAATTTTATTGTCACGTAGTTGTATTTTTTGTGCATTCAATTTTGAGAGATGAGGAGGAGGAAGAGGAGCATGATACTCTGTCAGTCACTGTATTCAGTCGCTTGCCTTATTTAATTATTATAAGAGCTCTATAAAGTAGAGACTATTAATATCTCATTTTACAGTTGAGGAAAAAAAGGCTCAGTGAGGCTAAATAACCTGCCTAGACATATGAGTGGTAGGGCCAGGATTCAGACTCAGGTGGTCTGGTCTATACAGTAAGGAGTCAGTTCGGTAGAATTGCAGCAGTGAAAAGCCATTGGACTTGAGACTAGTATCTGTCCTGATTGCTCTGCATTCCAGCGTTCCATTAAACTGAGTGATTTTGATGTGTCTTCATCTGTTTTTATCTATAAACTAAGAAAAATGGACTCTCGGCTACTTTTATTTGTTAATAGCCGTGCCAACCCTGAACTCGTGGGTATTTGTACATTCAGGTAGTAGTTGCGTCCCTATAAAAGCGACACAAACATCCTGTCTATAGATCCCTTTAGAAAATGTCAAACAAATAGTTTCCTTCCCAGCTTCCATGTCAAAACAGAGTATGTTTTATGTTTTACACCAAAGACAGGATCCGTGCCAAGTTTAAATTAAGAACAAAAGTCAAAGTAATGGTGCATCAGTTGTGGGTTTGGCAATGGTAAGAAAAGATAGCCTCAAAGAAAACTCATACCTTTTATGGAAACCAAATATTGACCACAATTGGCACACAGAAAAGCGCACAGACAAACAAAACTGCTGGATAAACAAATCAAAATTACATAGGAAGCTGACACCCATTCTTTACAGTGGAAAACCAAAGATAAAAATGAGTCACCAATTTTATATTCTTGGAAAGGAGAAATATTCACCCATCTGGTAATATGTTTTAAAAAATATCTCCCTGAAGACATCTAATATTTCCAATATTTTCTTAAATAACAAACCAAGAATAACTTCAATGTGTTAATGTCACAGAACAACTGCGTATAAGCTCGGTTATGAAAGAAAAAAACTTCAATTGAACAATGTGTAAATTGTATTGTGTAATTTAAGAATACAAAATGTATATGCTCACATTGATATAATGCTTCTAGATTATAAAGGAACAATGTATGTATTAGTCCATTCTCATGCTGCTAATAAAGACATAACTGAGACTGGTTAATTTATAAAGGAAAGAGGTTTAATTGATTCACAGTTAGGCATGGCTGGGGGGGCCTCAGGAAATTTACCATCATGGTAGAAAGGGAAGCAAACACGTCCTTCTTCACATGGTGGAAGGAAGGAAAGTGAGTGAGTAAAAGGGGGAAAAGTCCCTTATAAAAACATCAGATATTGTGAGAACTCACTATCATGAGAACAGCATGAGGGTAACCGCCCCCATTATTCAATTACCTCCCACCAGATCTCTCCCAAATGTAGTTACGAGAACTACAATTCAAATGAGATTTGGGCAGGGACACAGCCAAACCATATCAATGTGTATAGGTAGATATGCCTAGGCAGGGGTAGATACTGGATTTGAGGAGAAAAAGAAGTCCTTTCAAAGATAGCTCTACGAAAAGAGGCTACAAAGAGGCTAGTATTTTTGAAGTAGAAAAGCTCATAAGAGTATAACCCATTAGTCAACTTTTTTGTGCCTTTTATTATCCAGCGTATGTTTACCTTGTCCTGACCAACACCAAACTCAACTTTCATATGCCTAAAGGATTCTAAAGAAATAGGACCAGTTCATTCAAACTAAGATCTATGTGTTTGTGAAACTATACATAACAAAACCCTTTAGCCCAACTCGTTAATAAACAAAACAAAAAGAGAAAAAGAAAATTCTCACAGTTAGTTGTGAGACTGCAGGAATCTATAGCAAATAAGAATAAGTCTTGTAGCCAGAGGCACCCTCATTTTCAATTCTAAGCAAATTATAGTTTTAAAAACTGCCATTCTGTTAGTTCCTAAAAACTTTGAAAATTGATTATCACTTGCTGTGAGTGCTACATTCTGCCTTTCTTAAATTATTTTTTGCCAGATTTGGAATAAAATCTATATGAAAGTATTTATCTTTCCCTTTTTAATGCTAACAGCATGACTTGCCATATGCTATTGTATCACTTGTCACTGTATACCACAATTATTAAAATCCACTTCAGACTTTAAATGGAGCCCTGAGATCCATTTGCTTTACAAGGCCCAGAAAGCCAAACAAGACAGTCATGTCCTATATCCCTCCCAGCTCTGTACTTACCCAGGGTTATCTTTCATATTTCTTTCTTTTTACTTTTTTTTTTTTAGAGACAGGGTCTCACTCTATTGCTCAGGTTGGAGTGCAATGGCTATTCCCAGGCATGATTAGAGCGCACTGCAGACTCAAACTCCTGACCTCAAACAATCCTCCTACCTCAGCCTTCCAAGCAGCTAGGACTACAAGTGCAAGCCAACAGAGGTTATGTTCTGTTCTTGTATTTTTGTTGTTGTTGTTTTGAGATGGAGTCTTGCTCTGTCACCCAGGCTGGAGTGCAGTGGCGTGATCTCAGCTCACTGCAACCTCTGCCTCCCAGGTTCAAAAGATTCTCCTGCATCAGCCTCCGGAGTAGCTGGGACTACAGGCACCCACCACCATGCCTGGCTAATTTTTTGTATTTTTAGTAGAGATGGGGTTTCACCATATTAGCCAGGATGGTCTTGATCTCCTGACCTTGTGATCCACCTGCCTTGGCCTCCCAAAGTGCTGGGATTACAGGCGTAAGCCACCGCACCTAGCCAACAGAGGTTATCTTTACTCCTTCCCATAATTTTCATTTATACTGTATTAAAATAACTTGGCATCTTTGACTTTATTGAACTGCAGAATCACCTGAAATATATCTCTCTAGCAGCAGCTGCCCATGACTTCCCAGGGGACTCAAGTCTACTCCTTAAAGCTTTAACTTGAAAGAAAAGAACTCTAGCATCTGTTACATTGGTAAATCAAATATTTTAGAAAACACCTGGTCAGCCTCTTTTAGACCCACTCTGATATATACAGCGAGCACTCTCTTAAAATATGGCCCAAAGACAGCAGCACAACCTGCTGGATGTGGTCTAAATATCACAGAATGCAACAAGTGCATGACTTCTTTTGATCTTTACTGTATTGCTATTATGCCTAAGGTTTTTATTTTTATTTTTAGCAGGCACTTCATATTTCTGGCTCATATTAAACTTATAGACATTAAAAAAAGCCTAGCTGAACCTTTTCAAAAAATATTTGTTATCAAGCTATATCTTCACTATCTTAAATTGTCTAAATAGATTTTAAAACATATTTACATTTAAATTCAGTCCCATAATTTTGATGCAACCCATCAACTCAGCAGATTAACTTTGTGTATGGCCTTTCCCATCCATCATATTAATACTCATTTTCATCTTTTTCTCATCTGTAACATCTTTTATAACTTCATCTAAGTTTTAATATTTTTAAATTGTTCTAAATGTTAAGCCCCATTACAGGGCTGAACCCTACTAGGTTTGATCCCTGAATATCTCAACGTAACAGAATCGTTAGAAATGTGACATTGCCCTTCCATATATAATGATATTTCTTTTTCTGTTCATTGGACTCTGTTCTCATTAGAAATGTAGTTCATATGAAGTAGTCCTTTATCATGTCTGTCACTGTTGAACAATAACACATCTTTCCAGTAGTTCTGGGTAAAACTAAGGTGGGAGAATCTTTCTCACTTCACTTGGTGGCATGCATAGCTCATTTCCAACAACGTGGATGGTTTCTAGTATGAGTTTGTACATCACACTTACCTTTTTTTCTCCCGCTTTGCAGAAGTATAATTGACAAATAAAATTGTATACATTTAACATGTGTAATGTAACGATTTAATTCACATATATATTGTGAAATGATTATACAGTTAGACATCACCTCACCTAGTTGTCAATTTTACTTTTATTTTGTGGTGAGAACATTTAAGCTCTTTTCTCTTAGCAAGTTTCAAACACACAATACAATATCACTGACTAGAGTCACCATGCTGTACAGTAGATCTCTAGAACTTATTTATAACAGAAAGTGTGTACCCTTTGACCAACATCTCCCCATCTCCCCCAAGCCCTAGGCCCTGGTAACCACTATCCTACTCTTTAAGTTGGACTCTTGTAGACCCCACATCTAAGTGAGATTATTCAGTGTTTGTCTTTTCCTGCCTGATTTATTTCACTTAGCATCATGTCCTCAGTTTCATTTATGCTGTCACAAATGTTAGGATTTTCTTATTCATGGCTGAATAATATTCCATTGTATACATGTCCACCACATTTTCTTTATCCATTCATCCATCAACAGACACTGAGGTTGTTTTCATGTCTTGCCAGCATTCATCTTAATTTAAAAGTATAATGTAATTTAAAAGGGCAATTTGAATCTTATCCATAATCTTGAAAGCTTGATGTATACATTTATTTTTGTCATATAGAATAATGTAAATCTTGGATTTGACAGCAAGTAAATCAAACCACAGATGGAACATGCACAATGAATGTGGCAACCAAATTGCTCTAGCAGCTTTATAGAGGAACCACCATGACACTGAATGACTGATATAATTTTCCACCAAAAATCACAGATTGTATTTTATTATAAAATCACCAGTAGCAGGAGATAGCACTGGACCCTTCCAGAATGCTCTTCTATGATATCAAAATGAAGCACATATATACCATTGTTATATTCACATGCTACTTTCTGATTACTTTTGAAACATAATTATTAAGACTTAAAATCAATTTTTTTTATTTTTATTTTTTATTATACTTTAAGTTTTAGGGTACACGTGCACAACGTGCAGGTTTGTTACATATGTATACAGGTGCCATGTTGGTGTGCTGCACCCATTATCTCGTCATGTAACATTAGGTATATCTCCTAACGCTATCCCTCCCCCATCCCCCAACCCCACAACAGGCCCCAGAGTGTGATGTTCCCCTTCCTGTGTCCATGTGTTCTCATTGTTCAATTCCCACCTATGAGTGAGAACATGCAGTGTTTGGTTTTTTGTCTTTGCAATAGTTTGCTGAGAATGATGGTTTCCAGCTTCATCCATGTCCCCACAAAGGACATGAACTCATCATTTTTTATGGCTGCTTAGTATTCCATGGTGTATATGTGCCACATTTCCTTAATCCAGTCTATCATTGATGGACATTTGGGTTGGTTCCAAGTCTTTGCTATTGTGAATAGTGCCACAATAAACATGCATGTGCATGTGTCTTTATAGCAGCATGATTTATAGTCCTTTGGGTGTATACCCAGTAATGGGATGGCTGGGTCAAATGGTATTTCTAGTTCTACATCCCTGAGGAATCACCACACTGACTTCCACAATGGTTGAACTAGTTTACAGTCCCACCAACAGTGTAAAAGTGTACCTATTTCTCCACATCCTCTCCAGCACCTGTTGTTTCCTGACTTTTTAATGATCACCATTCTAACTGGTGTGAGATGGTATCTCATTGTGGTTTTGATTTGCATTTCTCTGATGGTCAGTGAAAAACAAACAACCCCATCAACAAGTGGATGAAGGATATGAACAGACACTTCTCAAAAGAAGACATTTATGCAGC
This sequence comes from Homo sapiens, assembly GCF_000001405.40. Classification (NCBI taxonomy): domain Eukaryota; kingdom Metazoa; phylum Chordata; class Mammalia; order Primates; family Hominidae; genus Homo; species Homo sapiens. The sequence continues at coordinate 77,747,217 of NC_000012.12, read as the reverse complement.
CAAAAGACATGAAAAAATCAATGTTTTAATCTGGCAAACAGTAAAATTTATCTACTACACTATTTTTTAGACAAATTTCACAAAACATAAACAACAGACTCAAGATATCTATTGTTACGTAAATGTACATTATAATTCAATAAAATGTTTACTTAAAGTTAAGAAGAAAAAGAGTCCATATCAAATGTAGCAAGATACTATTTTCAAGGCCTAAAACATTTTAGGAGACCAAAATCATACCTGTCAAAGTGCAATTGAGTTTGACAAGTGTCCCTCTAATTTTTCATTTTTCTTTGCATTTTAATAACTATTGAGACTATATGACATGCAGCAGAACTAAGAAGTAGAAATAGTAACACAGGAAAAATAAGCCATTGTTTCATCTCTCCAAAGAAAGAGAGTAGCTGAAATGATATATGTAAGAAGAGAGTTCCCAGTTGGCTACTTCTTTGAATCACCTCAACTTCAAGGGCAGAGAAATATTCCTTCCTAATGTACTAGCTTTCTGTATTCAAAGTCATTGTGTCACTTTTTATCAGTAAATCCACTGTTCAGCTATATCAAATGTTATAATTACTTCCATTCCCTCAATCCTCCTTTCTCCATCTCTTCCTCCAAATAGAATGACATTTCTCAGAAGACAAAGATTATTTATTTAATTTCTACATAATTCTCATAGGGCCCAACACAGTATTAGTTATGTAATATAGTATACACATACATATATGCACACATATAGATGTACTTGTAGGTAGATTGAAAACAGCTCCTTAACATCCCAGTAGGCCAGGAAACCCATTTTTACAATGCCCTCATCACTGTTTATACGAAACAGGTGCAGCTTGTCTGTGTTGACTTCTGATGGGGATTTCCCACTAGTGTTTCTAGGCAACCACTTGTGGTTTTCATGTTAATACATTTGTGTATTGTCTAAGGCTGTTTTCACAGAGTACTGAGGAGTAATTGTGACAGAGACCATATGGTTTGCTAAGCCAAATATATTTACTATCTATCCCCGTGAGAAAATGTTTGCCAACTCCTGATGTAGGTAAAGTACACAGCTCAGAGTAGCCATCAGCCAATGGTAGAAACCATACTAGAGATTTTTTTTTTCTTTCGACTGCTATTTTAATACAGTTATTATTATCAGCTTGCTGACTGTGCATCAGGTTACCATAATTTACTACTGGATTATAGGATAGACATGTTCCTTTTTTTTTTTTTTTTTTACCTTAAGTCTTTAACCAATTTTGTGGGTCTGCCTGGATTTCTAGTCTGTTTTTATAGCTGAGCTTTCTTGACCCCTGTGCCATTTACCCAGATAAATCCCTGGTCTCCTATGCACTTGAGAGTTCACTGTTATTCCATTTATTTTGGAAGTGTATTCTTCTTTGTCCCTCTCTGTCAAGGACTACCAGAGGGTTACAAAGTCATGCTGATTGATTCAGAATACACATGTAACCTCAACGAGACCTCACTGTTGCTCACAAGCCTTTGATTCAGTCCTAATTGACTCCTTATTGCATTCTTCACCACAATTGACCCCAAGCTCTCTTACTGTCATAAAATGTCCTCAGTTTTCCTTCCCTCCCAAGATGCCTTCAACTCATCAAGGAGTATTTACTAAGCAGATGGTCCTGCTTCTTAATTTCCAGAGATTATGGTCCCGGGCATGATGTCTTACTATCTCCTTTCTCTCCCCCTGAATATCTGGTTATCTTCATATCCATGTGTCCTTACATTCAACCACATTTTCTAAGGCAATATGTTTTATCTGTGTTCATTGCTTACCCCCAGTCTTCCCCTAGGCAATCTGTCCTATCAATTGGTCTTTGCTCCTTCATCATTGTCTCTTTCAGTCACCAAACTGACTCAAATATTCCCAGTTTTTACAAGAACCAATGAATGCCACCTGGCTAAGTGGTCCAAACTGCTATATAAGATGACAAAAGAAAACCTCAGTTGCATGCAGAAAGAATGATACAATACTTACCATTAACAAAGTATTGGTTTTAATGACTAATTTGATACTCAGATATTAAAACCAGCAAAAATTACTGCAACCCTTAGGTTTAAACCAAAAGACAACACTTCCATTCTAGATCATTAATTTTTAAGATAACATGAGGCGACATTAGTGTTCCTTATCACACTTATGTAGCAGCACCTCACTGTCCAAAATGAGACACACAGATAAGGTGATGGCTTACCCTTTGAAATGCAAATATTTCACAGAAAGATAGAGTTATCTAGTACCAAACAACACTCTTATGATGTATTTTAGGACCACTGTACTCTTTTAAGTTTACATCTTCAAAAAAAGTTCACTACAACTTCTGATTTTTAAATAAAACACATAAATATACTAAACATTATTGTTATTAGTTTTATGACACATCTTCCCTCAGCTTTTTATTAGCATATCATTTAAATCAATGAAAATTAAAAAAAAAAATCAAACCACATTAAAAGACTATGGCAAAGAACCTATCTAGAACATTACGGGAGGTTTGATACTCTATAATCTCCTTAAAATTCGGTTGCAAAAAAGCATTCAGTGTTCTATATATGCGTCCACTGATTAAACAGAAGTTGTTTCCTTGAAAGAAGTTTGTAAAACATGAGTTTTCTAGTTTACCCCTCTACTTCCTGTTCAGAAAATCAAAGCCTTGAAAAACTAGAACTACACAACAATTTTCCATCGGGTAGATACCTGTAATGTCTTCCTTTACCAACTACCCTTCACTCCAGTCTTTCATATTCCATTTGTAGTCAAAGTCCAAGCAGAAAATAAAGATGGGAAACAAATGTGTATGCATTCTGGGAGTAATAGTCTCTATTAAAAAATAAATAAAAGCTTTTCAATTGTTAGAGAACCATTTGTTGAAAAATCTTTCCTTGTCTCATAGAATTGCCTTGGCATCATTGTCAAAAATCAATGTACCATATCTGTGTGGGTCTACTTCCGCATTCTCTGCTCTCTTCCATTGATCTACATATCTATCCTTTCATCATATCACACTGTTTTAATAACTGTAGCTTTATAGTAACTCAATCAGATAATGTATGGAAATAGCTTTCTTTCTTATTTTGAAAAATAAAATGATTTGGTTATCCTAAGTGATTTGCATTTCCAAATAATTTTTGTTGATTTTTACAAAAAGAAAATAACATAGAATCTTTATTGGTATTGTTTTAGCTCTAGAGATCATTTCAGTTAAAAATGACAACTTAATAATATTAAGTCTGACAGTCCATGAACATGTGTCATTAAGTAATACCATCCTTTTATCTCTACTGATGTCTCCTTACAGTTTCTACCTCTTCTTCTTGTATTATACTGATGATGCCAAACAGTGTATTAGAAATATACTTCTTGTTTCCACAGCAAATGATTATGGAGATATGGTCATTATTTTAACTTTTATTGCATCCTATTCTTATTTATAAGATATGAAAGCTTATTAATAAGCTTTATTATAATATACATATGGAATCATATAGATGTACTATTTGGTGTCTTGTTTCTTTCATTCAGTATATTTCTCAGATCTATTTATTTTGCTATGGATATCAGCAGTTTATTCCTTTTTTATTTATGAGTAGTATTTCATTTTATGAATACATCACAAATTGTTCATCCACTCACTTATGAATGAACATTCATTTATGCTCTTTCTAGTTTCTGAAAATTCTGAATGATGTATCTATGAATATTTGAGTACAACTCTTAGTGTGGACATATGTTTTTATATCTCCTTGGGTGAATACCAAGGAGTAAATTGGCTGTGTCATATGTAGGTATATGTTTAACTTGTACAGTTGACTCTTGAACAACATGGAGTTTAGGGATACCAACCCCTAGTCGAAAAAATCCTCATATAACTTTTGACTTCTCAGAAAATTAACTAATATTAGCCTACTGTTGACTAGAAACTTACCAATAATATAAACCGTCATTCAACACATATTTCGTATGTTATATGCATTATATATTGTATTCTTATGCTAAGGTAAGCTAGAGAAAAGAAAATATTATAAATCACAAGGAAGGGAAAATACATTTACAGTACTATACTTATTGATACTGTAAGTTTATATTGTCTGTTTACAAGATGAATCATCCGTCTGAAATGGCAAGCAACCCGAACTGCAAAAATCTCAATCTATGGTAAGTATCAAGCAATTCAACTTTTTCTTGTATAACTTTTCTCTGCTTCTTGGGAGCACTTCCAGCATCACTAGTGGCACTTTGGATCCCATGGTATTATTCAGGTTTACAGTATTGCACTAAACATGATGACAAATACATGAGAACCATGAGAGATCACTTTTTACTTTTTTTTATTTGCAATTGACTGGAGAGATGAATGGCTCAGGGTCACGTGATGTTTTAAGCAAATACTTGCAACATTTGAGCTAATCCCAATAGCAACAGAAGGTAACTACAAAATTATTATACAAGTACAGTATGTACTACAGTTAATTTTATGCAGTTTTAATTTAATACTGCATCTTTATATTTGTTTATTTTTCTCTGGACTCCCAATAGTGCCATGTACAATTTGTGTTTGTGTGCACAAGTTTTGATACATTTTAACTGTTTATAATAAATTTTTTTGTGTTTTATGGTAGTAAATGATAAAATAGACTAGTATCTACATATATTTTATACATTTATGACATCCCTAACTCTTTCTTATTTTTTTTGATATTTCTAATCTATGTGGTTCATCTGCAATTTTTTCAAACTGTCACAAATCTCCAAAAAATTTCCAATGTATTTGTCAAAACAATCTGTGTAAAAGTGGACCTGCACAGTTCAAAGCTGTGTTGTTCAAGGATCAAATCTAAAGATGTTGCAACACTTTACATTGCCACCAGCAAAGACAATATGCTGGGATGAATTCAGTGAGGAAGGACTGCAAGGAAACTAAAGTTGTACCAGATGAAAAAGAAGCACAACTTATCCTGTGGATAAAACCCTAACATATACATCAAACTTGAAAAACTCTCCCAAAGTTAACAGAAAAAAAAGCAAACCTAAGAATTATGCAATAGGACAACTTGTATAGAGGATGAAAAATGGATCACTAATCAAAGATTTTTAGGTATACTAGTGAAGAAACCATAAAAATAAGCAATAAGATATTATGAATATTAATTGAGTACACGGTAATAATTAAAGAAAATGCTAATAATCAAAGAAAACTTTGTGAAGCTGTATATGAAGGTCAAAAGAGATTGTTGTCATGTTAAAGGAATACAAATTAAATAAATAAGATTCTAATTACATAAGATTCTCATTAAATGAGATTATATACCCATGGACATCTTAGATTTTCTTTTGTATAAGCATCAATTAATGCCAAAAAGCATTAAGACAGGAAAAGGAATTAGTGAGCAGTGATAAAACAACATGAATTTGTCATCACACTCATTTGTAAAACTACATTCCTAAGAAAATATTGAGCAGTGTCTACAATTTTAAGGGGAAAATAACTGGACAAACAATAATTGTTTATATTGCGCCACCCTTTTATTCAAATATAAAGGTAAGAAAAAGACATTTTCAATAATGCAAATCTTCTATTTATCAGACAAACTATTTGAAAATACACTCCATGTGGTTGAGTAATGAATCAAAACTGACAAGTCTTGAATAAGGAAGTAGGGGCATAGAATACTGGCAGTGAGACTAAAAACTAGTTAAATGAACTGGTCTAACTGTTGTCAAGATATCAAATACAAAAACAGAAAACTGACAGCAACACACAAACACAAAAATGAATGTGTGTGTGACCAGTATATGTGTGTGTGTATGTAAAATGTATGTAAAAAATAACTTAGTAACAATCTAAATACCAATCCTCAGACTATCATATTTATAATAATAACATGTAGTGGATAAATTGATGAGAATAAGTTTTTTAAAAATGTGTGAGGGGATTAAAACTTTATAAGGATTCTCTTTTTTTTCGGTTTCTCCTTCCCCCCGCTTCCTTCTCTATCTTTGCCAACTGGATTTTCTTTTTCTTTTTCTTTCTTTTCTTTTTTTTTTTTTTTTTTGTCTTTTTTTTTTCTTTGACTATTTCTAAAATCAACAAATAGTGGCTCCAATTCTTTATACCTAGTTAGAAAGAATATATCAAGGAATACTTTCCCCACAAATTATCCATCAGAAAGTTGCTCAAGAGTCTTCTACTCTTTTATCCCAAGCAGGAATCCTTAGTCCCTGGTATGGAGCCACCTCTGCTAAAGTACTCACAGCGTTTGGGAACTCACTTCTTTGCACGGCAACTTACACCATGCTTGGTGTAAGAGGCTTCAATTCTAGGAGCTGTCTTTGTCTTTGCCTCTCATCTTTTTCCACTTCTAATTCATCACCCAAGTAGAACAAATGTTCTACTTCTGCCTTCTCATAGCCCCCCAGTAAGCCTTCTCTTTTCCACAGTAATTACAGCAGCCTATCCTCAATAGAAATGGTTAAAGACTTCTTATCCTCCTATTTACCCTCTTAGAAAGTGGCTCCAAGTTTCAATACTCCAGATGCAGTCTTAACCTGAAAATGGGATTTATCATTACAGTACCATGAGTGAAATACATCCTTTACTAGGAAACATATCTTTATTAGTGTTTGATGAGCTCTAATTCCATTGTTATTCTTTTTGTGAACTATAATGTTTACAATACTGTCTCAAAAATAACTTGTACTGGAGTAACTGGCCCACCACCACCCCACAAACACCACACATTTTTTCCTATGGATTTTTTTTTTTCAAAATCAGGTTTCCTTCAATCAATAGCCAAGAAAAAGCTTTTTGATGTCTAAAATTGCCCTTTTCTCTGTTGCATATCATCTTATCACTTTCTAGATGGCTGTTTCTATAGCATTCTGATACTCCATACCAGTTTACCCCACATTAGAAATGTCAAATTAAAGAAGAAAATTTCCACACATTCCAAATATAGGAACTGAAAAGTAGTTGGTATGCATAAGAAATAGTAATGGCATGTAATAAATGGTAAGGGTATAATGGTCATGTTCAGTTCTCAGTCCCAAAACTGGAAGTAAAGTGGCATTCTTTCACCCTTTATTTTACAGCTAATATTACAATTGAAAGAATTGCCAACATTGTTATTTGATAACTTAATTGAAGAATATCAAAGCTTGTACATTTTCTTTTAAAGCACTGAAGAAATTATTCTAATTCACATAAATAACTGTTAAATCTGATTTTGCACTTTGTATTATAATTCAATTTAAATAATTTAAATTTATAGCGAAAAAATTACTGTGTGAGTCATTATAAAACACTGGGACACTTGTCTTTTAGATTTGAATATTTAAAGCTCCAGAATCATAGCCACTCTCTATTTATGAGACAATTATCCATGTGGATCTGAATTTTCCATCATCTGACATTATTCCAATTTAGTATTACTGTAATTTTCTGGGATCTGAAGAGTTGAGTAGAATAGTTGAGGTTAAAATGAAATCTGTTTACTTCTCACAAACTTATTTTCATAAAATTTTAAAATTTGCTGCTAAAGGAATAGTTATGCTTTAGGTGGATGTGATTTAAATCAGTAAGGTACAATTTTCACTACTAGTTGTGAATACTCAATTTAATCAGTTTTTCTAATAAAAACTGTTTTCTTGTTATCTGATATGACATTAATGTTCAGTCAGAGTCAATGAATGTTAATTTTGCTCTTATTAAATGTGGCATCAGATTAAATGCTAGAGATACACAGAATTAACAAAAAGGTATAAATCTTATTCTCTTCAAGAAGAAACATACTAACTAAGTATAGATATGCGCTATACACAGCAAAGGATACATAACCCAGAAATGTATAATGCCTTTATTTTAAGAAAATATATACTATCTTTTTTAAAGCATTGATACATTTGTCAAACTAATGTTGCAGTTTATCAGGATACAGAATGATATAAACAACAGCTGACATTTATATACTATATAAGATGTAGTAGGCAGTATTTTAAATCATATCTTTTAATACTCACAACAACTCTTTGAGATACATGCTTTTATCCAGATTTAACTACTGTGGAAATTGGGATAACGAAGGCTAATTCCTTGCCTCAAATCACACAACTAGTTAGGGCTAGAGCCAGGATTTGAACAGAAGTCTAGTTCCAGAACCTGTAGTCTTTTTTTTTTTTTTTTTTTTTTTTTTTGAGACGGAGTCTCGCTCTGTCGCCCATGCTGGAGTGCAGTAGCGCGATCTCGGCTCACTGCAAGCTCCGCCTCCCAGGTTCACGCCATTCTCCTGCCTGAGCCTCCTGAGTAGCTGGGACTACAGGCGCCCGCCCCCAAGCCCGGCTAATTTTTTTGTATTTTTTAGTAGAGACGGGGTTTCACCGTGTTAGCCAGGATGGTCTCGATCTCCTGACCTCGTGATCCGCCTACCTCGGCCTCCCAAAGTCCTGGCATTACAGGCGTGAGCCACGCGCCCAGCCCAGAACCTGTAGTCTTAACCACTCTCCTATTCTGCCTCTAATTACATTTTTTCCCAAGTAACTTATTGAAGTATGATTTCCATATAGAAAGCATAAATTGTGAGTACACAAAATGCATATGCCTGTGTAATCATCATTCAAATCAACGTGTGTGTATGTGAGTATATGTGAGAGTGTGTATGTGCTTGAACACTTCCTTCTGTTAATTATACACTGGTCAATTTATTTAGAAAAATGAATTAAACTTTGGAAGAAGCAGAGTTATACTTAAGAAGTCATGATAATAACAAATATTTATTGAGCACTCACTAACTGGCTGCTATTGTTCTGTGTGCTTTACATCTAGTGTCTCCTATAACCCTGTGAAGAAGATGCTGAAATTGTCTCCATTTTACAGATGAAGAACTGAAGCACAGAGAGGTTAAGGAGAAATCCATAGGATTTGGCATTTTCACTCCACTAACTGATTAATTAAATTTGTGAAGTAAAAAGAGATGATAAGATGGAAGGTTATTAGGAGCAATCTTAAAAACCCAAGAAAGAATTCTGCCATTATCCTTTTAAATTTAACTTGCCATCCAGAATCCAATTAGACCCGGACAGGATGCATATAGTAAGTGATTCACTATTAAACAAACAGAAAGAAGCTAAAGTTAAAGTAGACATCTAGAAACCTGAGGAGGAAAACGACCTGAAGACAGGAAATATTCTTGAAGGATGCGCAAATTCAGAAGGATGGGGTGGGATGTCAAGGGAGGAAAAGAGAAAGGAGCAAGAACAGTAAATGCTGCATGATTGAAAAATGGTAAATTTGTCACCAAAAAGGAAACTAAAGAAACACAAAAAAAGCATGTTTGAACCACTCCAGGATATGATCATATTCCATCACTAGACAAATGCGAAATACCGAAAACACACATATGTCTAGAACAACAGTGGCTGTTGAATTCTTACATGGTGGAAGGTAGACCAACTGTTGAAAAGCCCAATGAATGGCCATGAGACCTTACCAGAAATTACATATACAAAATTTGTCCTTTAATCTGTGACAGGTTTTTGTTTTGTTTTATTTAAATAGTTGTAGCTGCCATCTAAATATTACATTATCAGGTTTGGTCTTGCTCTTTTGACTTTTGTTGCCCTGGATGAAATGCTCACCCTTACTCCCTCCTCACTTTCCTTTAGTGACTCTTAATCCTCGGTGTACAGCAGAATCTCCTGGGGAGCTTTTAAAATTGTGTCAACGCCTATATCCCCTGGAAGAAAAAAGTAAAGCAGCACCTAGGAGCTTGTTCCAAGTACGCTTGCTTCCTACCCTACCCTTGCAATGTTGGGGGCCTGGGAGAGTATTAGAACTTAGAGTTGGCAATTTTCCCTACTGGACCCTGATACATGCCACCCTCCTTTTTAAGAAACACTGTTCTATGCATTTTTTGGGTGAACGCAGCATTTCCAAAGGCCTCAAAGACTAATGACCCCTCAGTCTTCACCTGCATCCTAGATCCTTCTCTTGATCCAAACCCACATAACCATCTGACTCCTACATAGTTCTACCTGAACACCAACAGAAACATCAACTTTAATAGATTTTTTTTTTAAATGTTTCCCCTCTGCCTCCCTCATCTGAGTGAATAGTGTTACTAGCCACAGAATTGTGCTAAATTTTTCTTTTCCCCTATATCCTTATTTCTTTACCCTCTTCAAGTTAGAAGGAGGCCAAAGGAAAGTTTAGGGGGAAAATAGTAACCTAGATTTAGGCTCAAATCATTTCTCATCTCAATTACGGCACTACTGTTGAATTGATCTCATTGTCTCTCGTCTTGTTCTGAAATCCATTCTCCACAGTGCTGCCCAAGAGTCCTACCTGACCATTTCACTCACTTATCTAAATTCATGCAATGGGTTCATCCACTTTGTTGGGCATAACCAACATTCCTGTGGTGACATATAGTGCCCCCTAAGGGCAGTGAGAATGCACACTGTAGCTTGAACTTAATTTCTTTGGCATCCTCCAGTGAAATCACAGCTTCCAGTATTCATGGCCTTGTATAGTTCTTTCCCCATGAATCTGCACTTCACTTTAACCATAACCAGTGCCAAGTCTAAATTTTTGCACCCCTGTGAGCCCTAAATTACCATGTAAGAAATATATCTATCCCCTTTGGAGTGGCCACATGGAAAGAAGAGGCTTTGGGATTACATCGCAGGGCAAAGAGAGAAGCCATGCTGTCTCAAGGGCCAGTGGATCCCAGACCCCTAGTTAATCTTTCAACTGGTACAACCACATAAGTTACCACCAGCAAGACCGACATAAGAACCATTCAGCTGAGCCCAGCCAAAGTTGCAGAATCATGAGCAAATAAAATGATACTGTTTTGAAAATTCTCTCTTGAGGTGTTTGTTAAGAAATAATAGAAAACTGAAACAGTTTGCTTCTGGCTCCGGAAAGGGTTTTTGTATCTATTGCCCATATAAGTGTGTGTATACATTGACCTTCGCTAGAATAAAATTGGTTTAATAGAACTTGACTGAGTATTTGATAAGACAGAACAAATAAGGTTGGCTTTTAAAGAAATAACTCCTAATGCATATGGCCTAAAATATGTTTACTTGTCTATATCTCACAAAGTGTGTAACAGTGGTCAACAATTACAGATATTTTTACAAGTTTTTACAAAGTGTAGTAAAGATACACTGAAAGACAATATAAGTTATTTGACATGTTAACAAGTTTGATAAATGCAGTTTAGAACCTGTTTTCAGACAGCAGAGGGGAAATGCAGACATCAGAAAGATGCAGGGAGACTAAACCCATGAATGGTAGCATTAAAAATGTTCTATTGTAATTTTAGTAACTCTTTCTAAATATATGTTTTATTTTTAAGCTCATGGTGTGTTGCGCATTTATGTATTGCATGTGGCATTCCATTCATTCTATTAAGGGAAGTGTTTGGAGATATAACAATAGATAGATTCAAGCAATGGGCATTTCTATGCTCCTTGCAAAATCCAATTTTAAAGTAAAATCCCATGTAAAGAAGTAAATTTTTACAATATGTCTTTCCAAAATCATTTTTTTATGATCATAGTGATAAAATAATATCTAATAATGCAGAAAATTGAAGGAATATTGAAAAATTTAAAGAAGGAAAAGCAACTACCCCAAAGCCTAGGAAGATCTTTTAATCAAACTAAAAGGAAGAATGTGCTCCTGTCAGGGAGTAACTTTTGTTTATAGGAGGGCTTAAAACCTTTTTCTTCTTATCTTTAAGTTGTTCAAATCTAGCTAACCATTTCTGAGCTCCTAGTGTGAGCAGTGACCTACATTCCTCTTTATGTTAACTAATTCATTAATGATATTCTTTACACATAGCCATTTGTATTGCAATTCAAATTCTAATTAAGAATTATTAAACCAAATGTTTATACTCAGAGGCAAATATTTTCTAGTACTCTCATTACTGAAATGATATATAAATAAATGATCAGTGGACTCATTTTCAATATGTATCTTAGAAGACTTTAAAATATCCTGTCAAGATTTTCATGCTTTCCTATAGTTTTAAATATCCTCTTCATTCTACTGTACATAAATACTTACAATTATGTGAGCAATATCATGTCCTTGATATCTGTACAAACACAATACTATGTAAGAGCCTATACACAGTATATTCACTGACATTTATATATCAATTCGCATATTATTAGCTTTTTTTAGAGAGAAAATTGATTCAACTTCATCTTGTCCTTGGTGAAATGAATTATATCTGACTCTTCTTGTAAAACATCAAGGCTATTAAAACAAACAGATTTTCAAAAGCAAATGAAGGAAATAACCTTGCTCCTGCCCTTCAGTAGTAATTCTGTTGTTTTTGCGTTCTAGTATTTACTTTCACTTAAAAGAAACTGGTCAAGGTTAACACATTAGGCAGTCCTGCCTAGCAGAAAATATTTTTAATAGTAATTTGCTGGAAGCAATGGCTTGGGGTTGTGCAGTGTCCCTGGAACTGGCAGTTTAAAATCTCAGATAGGCTGACTCATCCCTTCCACATTTGGAGGTTTAAAAAAATAAATAAATAAATGAGGCACATTTTGCAATTTATTGCATGCAGATTTTGAGGCCAGGTTGTAGATCATCTGCTCAGGCTGTAAAATTACAACAAAATACGCATCTTTAAAACCTCAAAGTTAGTTGTTGTGATTTGTCTAACTTCTATAAGGGTCATCAGCCAATGCTTCAAAATTTAGTTTCATTCTAGACCGGGTATTAATCATGTATAGTTTGAGCTATCTGCAAAATTTTCTTCAAAGATTTTCATGTGGCTAACATACACACAGAACCTGGAAATTAGAAAGACAAACAGGCAAGGTCTATGATTTCAGCTTCACAGTTGTCATAAAGATTTAAAAGTGTGCAAATGAAAAAGACCATGAATACAACAAGCATTGGAGAAAAAAAAAAAGAAATGACTGGTTCATCGAAAATAGAATGTAACAAAAGCAGAGTCCACAAAGTTGATGGATTGCTAGATTTTCGGCACCAACCTATACTTTTATCCTCATAGCATAAGTGAACAATGATATTCTCACTTCAAACGGCTCAGTCTGTACTCTGGATGCTATCCCATTGAAATGTTCCTCCATTATTTCTTTTTTATTCAGGGTCTTCTCTTTTTGTCTCTCTTTTCTAATTCTTTCCCTTAAGTCTCTCTGATCCTGAAACAAACAAACAAACAAAAATCTTGACTTACCTTTCCTTGCTTTGTCTCCTAACATCTTAAATATCTAGTTTCTCCACCAATTGAGTTTACTCCCTCACCTCTCATTTATTTAGAAAACTGAAAACAAGCTCTTAAATCAACCTCTTGCAAAAAAAAAAAAAAAAAAAAAAATCTAAACCAAGTCAATTAGGGCTTGCTAATTATCAAACAGTTGAGTGGCCTATTAGTGAAATTTGATCACTTTCTCCTTGAAACTACTCACAGTATCCTTTGCTTTCATGAAGCCATGCTTTGTTGGTTTCCCTCAGAAATCTGGCCCCTCTTCAGTCTTCTCTGTGGTCTTTGTTTCTAGCCACCATTTAAGTGTAACTTTTTCCCCGAAATCATAACCACATTCTGCTTCAACATTTAGCTTACATTTGTCAAGTGATCACAGATGATGTTCTGGAACTCTGCTGTATCTCTCTGAGATGGTTGCAACCATTTCCAATTTATACAGGTGATTTATATGGTGAAACCCAAAGCCAGATCAATAAAGGTCACACATATTCTCTCTCTCTCTTTCTCTGGCTTTGAACCAAGTACCTAGTGCACATTTTTATTTCTCCAGATCACACAAATAATATCTATCTCAAAGTATATTCATATTTTTCTTATCTCCCAAATGCTCTTCTTCCTGTTTTTCTCTTATTGATAAATGGTTTTTCATCTAATTATCCAAGCCACAAATACTCGTCATGCCCTATTCCAATCTTTCACTAAATCTTATTAAACGTACCTCCTTAATGCCTCTCATATTTGTTCCCTCCTCTCTGTGCCTACTAGCACACTTTGCCTCAACCAATGCCAGTCTCATAAATGTTCTCATTGCTATATCCCCTCCTCTGATATTTCCAATTAATTTTCCATAATATTGCAAGAAGGTGCTTTCTGGAAAAAAAATCAATCATATTATTTTCCCAGTTAAAATCCTTCAATGTCTTCTTCTAGCTGTCAGGCTAAAGCCCAAAGGTCTTCACTATGACAAGGCTCTTCATGAACCAGTTTCTCTTATGTCTTCACACTCTTCCTCCACCAATTCCCCACATGTACTCTTTAAATGTGCATCATACATCTATGCTCCAGCCTTACTTAGCTACTCTCAATTCCTCTGCTTTTTCAACAAATGCCATGTGCATTAGCTATTCCATCATCTACAGTGTAGTTACTGCAGATATAGGATAATGACTAATCTACATAGGCTTAGTAGTCAGGTTACTTAGGTGCAAATATCAGCTTCACTGCTCACTTGCTCAGTGACCTTTGCCAGTTAAACTATATGTGCCTCATTGTTACCATTTGCAAAATGGGAATGAAAACAATTTGTGCCACGCAGGGTTGTAGTGAGTCTCAGGTGAGACAATCCATATTTCACAATTAAATTAGGGTCAGCAATAACCTCTCAGTAAATGTTAGCAATGATTACCAGAACTATAAGTAATAAATGTCTATAGGAAGTACTTAATTCTATCTGTTTTTGGGAGTGTTTCACAAAAAAATTAAGCAGCTCACACGCACTGCTGATGTCCTATAGCTTGGAATCACCCACCCACGGAAGCACCTCATAAAGCAGTGAGAAGAGCCCTCTTCAAATCTCCCTCTGTATAGGAATTTTCCCTGTGTGTATCAAATTCTTCTACGTTCAGTAATGTCTACCTCCCTTCTTAAGTCCCTCCTCATCTGTTCTTATTCATTCCATATCAGCAACCCAACACCATGATCTTCTCTGAAAACTCTTCACCAACAGATAAACAGCCCCACTTCATAACTTCTGCACATGGGCTGCTGAGTAGGCCATTAAATTTGAGGAGGAAAAGGCACTAGGAATCCTTGATGAAGAAAAAGAACATAAATTAGCAGCAACCTCAGTCTTTTCCAGTGATTCCAAATACATGTTTTATCTTGTAAGTTTTTTTGTTTTGTTTTGTTTTTGCCTTATTTTCAAACTCTTCCTTTCTACCGACTCGTTCTCTGTAGCCTATAAACCTATTCGAGCTCCTCCCATATGAAAACTGTCCTTCCCCTCAATGCTAAATGTAGTAACAGTTCCTCAATTGTCTTTCCTCTGCCCCTGGTAACTTAAGTCTTGCTGCAATTGTGCTACATTTGCAATCTCCGCTTCTTCAGCACCTAACCACTATTTTTTTAATTAAAATATAATTTTATATTGAAAATTCTACACATAAACATTTTAAAAGTTGAATACTTTTGGAAAGATTTTTAATAAGAACAGCACTACTCTGTGTCACCATCAGGTTTCATTCCTGAAAGGCCACCATTTTAACTCTTTTAGCTCCGTCTTCTTGAATTTTTCTCAAGTTGATAAATGATATCCATGCTGTTTCCCATTAAAAGCTCAACAATCTCTTGAATTCGTATATGGAAAATGAAGATTCCTCTCTCTCTTAGTCTTAGTTTTTATACCCTGGCTAGAATTTGCCAATCACAATTTGGATAGTAATTAACATTCAGTGTTTATGTTATACTAACTAGGTAAATATGTTTCCTGCTGGGTTATATATCGTATCATAAAATCATTTACATTAGTGAGCAACTTTTTCTTTTTGTATAATTGAGCACCTCTTCAAGAAAACTGCACAATTTTCTGTGTTCTTGTCATTAATTCTTCTATAACTCTCTACAATAGAACATATAGGATAATCCATTATTGCAACTTATCTTTTTTCTCTGAAAGACCTTCCCCTGGAATCCTCCCTTCTCCTCCAAAACTCAGGACTGGCTGCTGTATGGGACTGGTATTCAGGTGTTATCCCTTTCTTCAACTTCATTGTTCTGGGATTACCTTTGCCTCTCTTCTGCACTGAATCCTCCAATTTCTGAATCTCATGCTATCTTCATTCTTGATTTATTCCCTTAGTTTGATGAACCACAAGTTGTATGAGTGGAAGAATTTTGAAACCGTGTGTTTTTTGAAATACTTTTATTTATCTTTGTTTTTTAATCCTTATGTCATTCAGAAATTAGCTGAATACAAATTCTAGGTTGGCAATCATTTTCCTTTTGAGTATTTGAGGCATTATTCTGTTTTTATTCTAGCTTCTAGTACTTCTATTAAGAATATTCAGCTTCAAATGTGCCCTTTACTTGTGAAAGCTGTTAAGATTTTCTCTTTATCCCAAGTATTTAAAAATGTCATGATTATGTGCTTTTTTGTCTTCTTTAAAAAAAAAAAAAAGAAAAAAGCACTATGCCATCCCATTCAATGGGCACTTTTAATCTGGAAACTTAGTAATTCAGAGAGTCTTGTTTTATCTTTTGGCATTATTTCACTCCTAATTATTTCACTTCCATTTGCTCAATTCTGTATTATTGGAACTCCTGATCATAGGATTTTATTTTATTCTGCTCTGATATCCTCAGCACCTAGAACAATGCAAGACACATAACAATGCTCAATAAACATTTATTGGATATATAAATTAGAATACTAGACTACTTGGTTTACTTTCCTCAATTTTCTTACCTATTATGATTCTCCTTTGTTTTCTTTTTAGCTGTTTCTAACTTTTTCTCACTTTTAATTTCCAATCCTTACATTATTGTTTTTTTTAGTTTCCGGAATCACGTGTTTTCATTTCTAAAAATCTTTTTGTTCACTAAATGTCTTTTTAAATTTCATCCTATTCATCTTTCCTGTGTCTTTTATTTTTCCTCTGAGCATATCAGTTATTGCTTTTTAAAAAGTTTTTCTTTTGCTAACTGTATTGTGAATGTTTCAATTTCTTCTGAGTTATTATTCCTGATTTTCCCATTTTCCTTTGTCTTACATTAAAGGAATTTCTCAAATTCCCTGGGATACTTAGCAATCTATATGTTAAAGTGAGGCTTAAAAAGTAGAGAGTGAGGTTTGTGTTACTAAGTAGAGTTTACTTGTTCACAGGTCTTAGAATAATTGGGTAGAGCCTGAATGTTTTCAACAAGCTTCAAATGTCAATATCTAGAAATTAATTCTATACCCCTCATTCCCATATACACACCTCTTCCTTGAAATAGGAATCTATTATGCTCCTGCCTAGAGAGCTAAATCTTGGATATAGCATCCTGGGTAAAGAAGGAGTTGATGGCTTCTCTACTTGGTATCTAGATTTTTCATCAATTATCTTGTTTTCAGGCCCTCTATTGTGTCTGATATCCTGAAGTCTAGAATATTTCTGATTTAATTTTACCAATAGGTAAGTCTCCTGCCTTATATCAGGATTTAGGAGGAGTTGTCATTTGGCTGTGGAGGAAATCTGAAAGATGAATTGCTGCTGCAGAATTTCAGCCTTCTCTCTTCTTCCTTGTTTCAGTGATTTTTGTTGCCTCCAATTCCAGGGCCCAGAGGTAAAACGTTGTTTATTTCTTGCAGGACCTTTCTTCTTCAGTTAGTTATAAGCTTCCTATGCTCTGATCACCATGTTTATCTTACATTTCACTTTCCAAATGTCATAGACCTTACTTTTTTCCTCCTTTTCCCATGCCTTTTTCTTGTAGGTTTTAATTCTTCACTAATATTTTAGTGGGGTTTGAGAGGAAGTAAACACACATATATGAACTCAGTCTTCTATGTCTAAGTAGATTTCCCTTCACTCTTCAAGTATGAAATCAGGCTTCTATGCCTTCCTTGCCATTAAAACTACTTTAGGAAGGATCAGTAATGACAGTCCACATTCTAAGACCAACACACTGATGATTGCCAAACCTATATATACCAAGCCTAGGTCTCTCTTCACATCAATATACACTTGATCCTTGAACAACACAGGGATTGGGGTGCCAACCCCCTACACAGTCAAAAATCCACATATAACTTTTCACTTCCCCCAGAACTTATCAACTAATAATCTACTGTTGACTGGAAGCCTTACTGATAACATAGCCAATTAACATATATTTTGCATGTTACATGTATTATATACTATATTCTTACAATACAAATAAAATATCAAGAAAGTCAGAAGAAATAGAAAAATATATTTACTATTGGTTAAGTGGAAGCAGACTATCATAAAGGTCTTCATCCCCATTGTCTTCATGCTGAGTAGGCTGAGGAGGAGGATGAGTAGGGATTGGTCTTGCTGTCTCAGGGGTAGCAGAGGCAGAAGTGAAGCGGGTAGAAGGGGAGCCAGGAGAAGAGGCAGGTACACTTGGTATAACTTTTGTTGAAAAAGATCTAGGTATAAGTGGACCCGTGTAGTTCAAACCCATGCTATTCCAGGGTCAACTATATGTAAGTGTGTTCTGGACATCACTTACAAAATTGGATTCATCATTTCCTCTACCACCCTCAAACTATTACTGCCTAAATGATACTCTGTCTACTGTACTTCTCCAGCCATAAACCTGTGCATTTCCTCCCTCACTCTTACCCTTTCCATCCAATAACAAAATTCAATCGGTATTACCCTATTGATGTGTTTTATATCATTTTGTCCATTTCCTCAGTGTAGAAAATGAAGAAGTGGACTAAATATTGAAGAAGTAAACTAAAGCTTCCTCAGTGCTGATGCTTTAGCCCACTTCTTCAGTATTCACTGGAGTTACAGAAATAGTCCAATTATTCTTTCTGTCTCTAGTTTTGCACTTTTCACACTCTTGCAAGTGTGACCTTTCTTAAACACAAGTCTACCCATGCCATTTGCTGTTTTAACTGTAATAAATCAGCAATATATTACTCAAAACACTTTTGACCACAAATCATCGTAACCAACTCAGACAAGCTTAGGCATTTTGTGATTCACATGACCAAATTGCTGAAAAGGAAGTCTTGCCCTAACAGGACTGGAGTGAGCTGGGGATTTAAGTACCACCAGGAGGCTCACTGGATCTCATCTTTTTATAAACTCACCATGGCTATGTCTACTAGGATGGAATCGTAGCCATTTGCAGTTTGGAGTACACATTTCACTAGCTTTGCTATCAGAGGAGCAGAAATATTTTGTTCTTTACTTCCAATTTTAAAACATCTAAAAAAAAAATACTGATGAGGCCAATTTGGGTGTTTTTCCCACTCCTATAGCCAGTGGGGATGGATAATATTGGCAGACTTCATTAGGATGAAAAGCGAAATAGCCACCCCTAAATGAGAGTAATTAGAAGAGTACTTGGCAATAGCAGTTGTCCATTATGTAATACAGACTGCCTGGGCTTGAATTCTAGCACAATTTCCTAACAGTATAACTGGGAAAAGTTACTTATCTTCTTAGTGCCTAAGTTGTCTCATACATAAAATGAGGTAATGATAGTAATTACCTCACAGACTCGTTGATTTAATAAGTGTAAAATTTTTAGAACAGAATTTTTAGAACCTGGGCCCTGTCATATCACACTTCTAAACTCTACTGAACAATGTGCAGCTCCATGCCTCTTGGCCATTGCCCATGTTATTCTGTCTCCCTGGAATACGCTTCCTTAAATCTGTCTGCCTGTTTTTCACTTACGTTTCATTTCAACATTAAAATATTTATACCCTTGACTTGGTAATATTCTAAATGATACAAAAAGGGGTCAATGATTCATGCAATTAAAAAAAAAAATTGTTCCTCTTAAGAGCTGAAATAAGAAGCAACCTTTTCCCTTTTTCCTGTTTACTTTTCTCCCATGCCTATGGTTGCTGTCTACAAAGCTTCCACAGATAAAGCTCCAGCCCACAACAAACTATCAGGCCTTGACTACACTCGTAAACTTCTCACTGGAACCTCCATGTTTATGACCCAAAAACCTCTCAAATACAATGCTTCCAAAATTGAACTCAGTCCTCCCACTATAACAGCTTTCTCTCAGCCTACACCAGTCCTAGTAAATGGAATCATGGCATCACCAACCTTTCAGTGGCTCCTACCATCCTGACCATCTCTATCGACAAATCTGTGGATATTCCTCAATATGGTCCCCACCTCCTCATGTCTCCTTCTGCTATCTTCATTCATGATGAGTGCTGTAGCCAGAGGGATCATTTTGAATAGAAGCATATTGTGTTTCTCCTTCGATTAAAACTGTTCTATAGCTTTCCTTGTTTTTAACATGAAATCCCATATTATTACCTTGGCATACGAAGTCTTACATGAAATGGCTTTTCTCACCTCTCCGTCTTCATCCCAAGCCATTTTTCTTATCACCAAACCCCTGCCAGTTTGTCCCACTTCACAATCATCCACTGTGCCAAGCAGCTTCCTGACTTGGGGTCTTTACTAGTGCTCTTTTTGTTGTTATTGTTGTTTTACTCAAGTCCTTTTTGTTGCTATTGTTGTTTTTTGTTGTTTTGCCTCAAACACTCTTTCCCTAGCTTCTAAAGTGGATAAATATCTCCACCCTCCAGACCCAGCAAACATGTCACTTTATTAGGAAACCATGCCTGACTCTCCATTGAAGAAATATTCTTTCCATTTTTTTTCATTCTTTCCATTTTTATGGTACCCTGTCTCCACTGTCATGCCCACATCAGAATTTTAATAAATTCATACTCTGACTAATCCCTTACTTTCTTTCCTCCTCTCTTTCCCATTAGTTCCCCTAAAGGCAGAAACTTTGTCTTATAAATGACTAAAATCCCATTTATTTGCAGGGCACCTGTCACACAACTGATATACAATAAATATTTTTAAATAAGTTAAGTGGCCAATGTTAGGTGAATGGGTAGGAAAATGATGGTAAATTCTTTCCTTGTAGTGTTCTGTGGCTGTGAAAAAGATATTCACTGAAAAGCACTAACACGAGAAAATCCAAACCACAAGTGTAAGTGAAAAATGCTAAACAAATTACACACATAGTATTTCAACTCTGGAAAAATGCACAGAAGGTAGATGTGGAAGGCAGAAAAATAATCCCCTCTCCAAAGATTTCCACATTCTAATCCTTGAAACCTGTGAATATATGAGATGGAAAGGGAAAATTAAGATTGCTAATCGGTTGACCTCAAAGTAAGGAGTTTGTCCTGGATTATCCGGTTAGGCCCAATGTAATTAAAAGTGTTCTTTCGGTGTGGAGAATGAGGCAGAAGGGTCAGATTCAGAGTGATGCAGCATGAAAAAAATTCAGTCAGCCATTGAAGGCTTTGAAGATAGAAGGGAAACACAGCCAAGAGACAGGGCAGCCTTTAGGGCTAGAAACAGCAATGAAATGGATTCGCCCACAGATCTTCCAGAAGGAATGCAGCCCTGTAGAGACCTAAATTTAACCCAGTGAGGCCCATTTTGGACTTCTGAATTCCAGAACAGTAAGATAAACATTTTTGTGGTCGCCAGCCATCAAGTTTGTGATATTTTGTTATAGCAACAACAGGAAACTAATACAATAGTTTACATGAGTATAGAAGAGTTCACTTTTTTTTTTTCCTTTCCAAATTTTGAATGGTTTGCGAGCAAGCTCTCTACAACTACCACTTTCTCTGATTTCCACCCTATTTTACCAGTATAGTTTGCAGCAT
Organism: Homo sapiens; assembly: GCF_000001405.40. Lineage (NCBI taxonomy): Eukaryota > Metazoa > Chordata > Mammalia > Primates > Hominidae > Homo > Homo sapiens. The sequence continues at coordinate 77,725,541 of NC_000012.12, read as the reverse complement.
TGGGCTTAAGACTGCCACATTTTTACTGAGCACATGAAATTAAAAGAAAAAAAAATCTGGGGAAACTATCTAACTTGCAAAGGCATGTTAAATGAAAATGTACACAGCAAATGTCCAGAAAAATATCCAGAGAAATTTTATACTTTTTCCTGCTGAAATGATAAATGAACACATTTTCGTCAGTTATATGAATATTACAAAAGAACTTTTAAAAATGTCTACATAGTTTGATGGCTTTTAGCACTGAGATACAGAAATAGCTCCCAGGATAATATTATTACCCTTTTACTATTTTATCCTCTTCTTATCCTTTTATAGTAGTCATAAAAATAAGCAGTGAAATTTGGAATCTGGGAAGCATGTTGTATTTCCCAAATGGAAAAGAAAAGGGAAATCCTCAATGGAAAAAAGTTTAATACCAGTATCGCCTAGATGCTTAAATTATCTTGAAATAAACTATGTGAAGAAAATACACACAGACACCTGGTGATATTTTTTACTTAGGAAAGCTTAAAGACAATAAACCTTTTAAGGTTAGTGAATTTACTGACAAGATTATAAAATGTACTCACTCTAGAATTATGCATTCCACAATAGCATTCTCAGTTCTACCATATTTTAAAGGGAGTGTAAATTCACTTTTGAAAGATTTGACATCTGAATTAGCACAGAACATAAACTTTCTTTATGAAGTTGACTTTAACAGAAATTGCAAAGCTTAATTTATACAGTATCTTCAATTACATGAATATTATGTTCTCAAATATTTCATATAATGCTATTTCTAAAGACTTCTCTATTTCCTGCTTTTTTTGCCCATGGTCAGCTCCTTGAAATTTCATAGATAGGATATTGATACCATATGAAAACCTATTACTGAATGGAGGAAATGATCTAGAGAGGACACCACCAAGAGCAAATGGAAAAATACTAGTACAAAGCATTCAAACAGGCTGGTTTTATTTCCCTGTAGCACCTTCTGGTGGCAAACACAGTATATTGCTGAATACTCTAGCACTGAAAGGAAGGATATCGCAAATATTATTGAGCACTTGAGATATTATTTAATAAACTGAATCCCCCCAAAGTGGCCTAAATATGTTTTTTAATTTTTTTGTTCCTCCAGTTATATATTCATAATATGAGCATATCAGGCAAGATAATTTGTAAGTTTCCTTCTAGAATTGAACATCTTTGAGTTAATTTATTTGCAGGCATTGAATGAAAGTTTTTTAACATTTCTATTCTCAGAAAAAAATACAGAAAAAGCATAATCAACTGATAGGTCTGTAAACAAATACATAAGTGCCCACATATATGGTCACAGCCAAAATTTTATATGAAAAATGCAATTTTTATAGAAATTTGTAATAGAGAATGTGGTATTATTTAGTATTAGTAATATCTAACATGTCTTGATACTTTACATGTGCATCTAGAATATGTTATATACTTTATCTCATTTATTTACACAGTAAACTAATGAGATAAGAGTTATCCCCATTTAATGGATGTAGAAAAGTAATAATTTATTTGGCATTTAAAATTAATGAATAGAAAAATACAAAAACTCAAATGTACTTTCATATTTTCAAGAACAAACGAATGAACACGCATATTCATCACTTTAAATCTCATATGTATGAAGCAATTCAACATGAAAAAGGCTTTTCACTATCCTGCAAGGACTTACTGTTTAAGTTGCAGAAGGTTGAAATAGAACAATTCTAATTAATGGGACCTATTATAATAGAGATATATGTAAAAAAAAAAAAAAAAAAAAAAAGTCAAGATTGCCAAGAAGAAACTCCTCGAAATCTGTGTGGAGACTCAGAAAGGGCATCAACTAACTATGGATCAGGATCTTCCAATTGACCCTCCTTTATTTTCATGACCAGTAAGCAAACAAGGTTGGCTCTGCACCCAGATTTCTGGCAGGGAGAAGGTGTGTGAACCAGAAGATTCAAGCCTTTCACAGCATGTCATAACTTGAAATGTATTTGTATCTGGGCAGAGATCCTATTTATTTTGTTTATCATTGGCTTCTTAATAGCCAGCAGAGTGCTGTTCACATAGCTTGACTAGTATCTGCTCAGTGGCTCCATGTAGTCTAAGCAGCATGCCAACCTCTTTAAGGAGGCTCATCATAATCCCTCCATAAATCAAATTTAAAAAAAAAAACTTTTCAATAACATTATTGTAAGAATTAATTATTATAGTTTTGCAAAACTGAAAAGTTGTTAAGGCATACAGAGATCTTCTCCTTGGTTTACTTTATTCGCAGTCACTTCTGTAAAATGTAGGGCTTAGTAAAGGAAAGAGGACTGAGGAAATGTTTGGTATATCACACCATCTCCCAGTACCATTGTCACTTCTACATGGAGAGAGCATGTGCTCTCTTTCTCTATGTCTCTGTCTCTCTGAATAGAGACACTATAAACATATTTTACAGAAAATTAATAACATAGTAGAAAAACATTTAGTAAAAACCCAAAAGGCAAAAAAAACTTGCAAAAATTACTATAGCTGATAACACAAAAGCTACAATCATGCCCCTCAAAAAATCATATTCAGAATGATAATCTGTAAACATTCACCTGAGCCTAACTTTACTGAGGTTTGTGCCAAGTATGTATGCATGAAGAAAAAGAAAAATCATTTCTAAAATTGGAGAGCTGAACTTCATGAGTGAGATTTTGGCTAGAAAACTGCTATCCTCATAAACACTGCATGATATCCAAGTAACAAGACAAAATTTCTATCAATAATGCCATAATATAAACATTTGGATTAATTCAAGAATAGTTCAGTTCATGCTTTTATTCCAATCATTTCCCTATATAAACAAAGCATGGAAACAGCCTGGACACTCTTCAAAAGACTCCAAAGAACTTAACAACCCATATAATAACATGATTTAACAAAATTTCTCCCAGACTGTAGAAGAATATTTTTTATTTTTTTCTATCACTGCAATTTACATGCAATCTGAATACTGCCCATTTTGTAAAATTACCACAACTAGGCCCATAATAATCAAAAGTTATTGCTAAACAGCTATACCAGCATAATGCTTTGTAAAAGCAAAGGCTTAAGTATCAAAAAGCTGAAAACTACCACACACAATATCAACAAGATTTTTATAGTACCTGTTGCTTTAACGTATAAATACACAGCATGTAGTTTTCCTGAAAGAGTATGAGTATATTAATTATAGAAAACCCTGAATTCATCTTTTCCTGAAAAAAGGATGATTATAATCCCTATCAAATAAAGTATGTTAGTCACAGCCCAGTACACAGTGTAGAAAATACTACCAAACACGATTGAATTCATTTTTATACCTTTCCTTCTACATAGAATTCCCATTCTAACAACCCAACAAGAGGATAAAGAAAAATATGCATCAAGTAAAAGGGTTGTTTGTGGGCTTCGTTGCTTTTTTCAGTTTAAACATTTGTTCAGCAGAAAATTGAGTTGGGGTTTTCAGTTCCATTGAAACACATGGAGCACACAGTTTATGACAGTTGGCTCAGTGTAAAATGACAATTCTTCTAGGTGTGCTATTTTTGAATTTCCTTCTGACAAAAACTATGAGTAGTATTGTGTGTTCCAGGTCTGGTTAGGGTTGGCTGTCCTGAATCAGAAAAGCCTATAAAGAGGCTTCTTGATTCAATTCATAGACTTTGGGATTTCAAATAATGACACATGTATTTTACCTCCCACAAATTACGTAAGGGCCACGAACTGCTCTAAATTCCTTGGGAAAATGTGCCATGTAAATTGCTACATTCCCATAGAGTACTTTCCAAAAATGGCTGTTTAGAAGCTTATATGACTCTCAGCATTACAGACCTTGAATTATTGTCTTAGTTATCTCAACATAAAAAATAAATTATGAAAATCACTAGTTTATAAGATAAATAACTGAGGCTATTCTTTTCACCTTTGATTATATTTCATGTTTTTATACCCATGTTCCTACCAAATATCTAGAACTAATTTAAGTGTAAAACATTTATATAAGTAATTGAATTTTCAGGTTCTCAGCATATCTTAAATGGCTATAAACACATTCAGATATATGAGAGAAGTAAGCCAAATACAAAGAAGAGCTAAAACAAAAAGGTTAATTACCCAGATTTTTCAATACGCTTTTTTTTTGCTGTGCTCATTATACTTAGGAAAAAGTAGTAACCAGTCAAAATGAACCAGCTGTACGAATTAGGTTGGTAAAAAACAACATCTACATCTTTTGGATCTGTCCTGTAGTTATTATATATAATAAATAACCTTAATTTGTTGTTTTACAGATTTACAATGCACTTACAAAGGTCCAGATGAATATTCGACAATATCCACACTTCATAAATGAAAGAATAGAGTTTCGGAGCTGTGAAATGAATAGTCCTAGCTTCTCAGCTTACCGTGGGTCCACTGGGTCCAGATATGGACTGTGGTCCTCTCACTCAATAGCACATGCTCCTCCGATTACCAGAAACAAAAATAAGCAAACAAATAAAAAACACAAACCATTCTAGAGCAGACTCAGACCACACTGCTGAGCTTATATCTATGGCCCTGAAGAATAAAAACTGATGTGCAGAATATCTCTGTTAATTAACATTTTAAGAATCATAGGCAGAAGTGATATTATCAACATGACAGAAGAGAAAGTCCCAGACCCTCCTTCCCTCCATGGACAATAGTACATGGACACACTCCCTTTGTGAGAAATCCAGAAACCAGTTAAGAGGCTCCTACACCTCAGTGAGCATGAAACCACTGCATCAAAGCTGGCAGAAAAACGTGTTGTACTCCCTGGCCATAGTTGCTTACTGGCTCCACATGGAACAAGTGGGAAAAACTCTCAGCTTCTTCCTAGAGAGGGAAAGAATTGGAGTTTGCATCTAACATTCTGGTTTTTGAGGATGCTGCCCAAGGGTCTGGTTATTCTATTTTGGAGTGCTGATGGGACTGGCATACTCTAGAAGCCAGGGAGTTGCTGAAAAGAATGGAGAGCTGAGCAGCATATGGCAGCTGCAGAGAACCTGTAGTACTTCAAACAGACACAAGAGGAAGAAAGAGAGTACAGTTTCCTGCAAAAAGAAGCCAGTAAATCCTTCTAATTGGAAATTTATGTGCACACTTCCTGAGAAGACACCCACAGAAAAACGCTTGAGTGGCCCCCAGAATCACTAGCCAGCTGATGGGTAAAGGCCTTCCTCTGTGAACAGCCTGGGAAAAGTGACTGTTTTTTCAAATGTGTAGATCGTAATAGAAAGTTACAAGGCACATAAAGAAACAGGAAAACATAACTCAACCAAAGAAAAAAAATTGATAAACCATTAGCCAGGTTAAAGAGAGAGAGAGAGAGAGAGAGAGAAACTCAAGTAAAGTAAGAAACTGATGCCAGAAATACAAAAGATAACAAGAGGCTCTTATGAACAACTATGTGCCAATAAGTTGGATAACCTAGGAGAAATGGATGAACTCATAAAAACACACAACCTATGAATACTGAACAAGAAAGAAATAGAAAATCCAAACATCTGTAACTAGTTAAGACATTGAATCAGTAATAAAAGAAAATAAATTAAAAAATCTCAGCAAAGAAAAGCCGAGAACAAGATGGCTTCACTGAAGAATTCTACCAAACATTAAATAAAATGAAAATTCTTCCCAAATTCTTTCAAAAACTTTAAAAGGAGGAAACACTTCCAAACTCATTTTAGGAAGCCAGTATTACCCTGATACCAAGGCTAGACAAAGACATTACAAGAAAAGAATACTACAGGTCATTATCACTGAATAATATCAATCCAAAAATCCTCAACAAAATGCTAGCAAACTGAATTTAACAACATATTAAAAGGATCATACACCATGGCCAAGGGAAATTTATCTCTGGGATACAAGGTGGGTTGAACATATGTAACTCAATCAATGTTATTTAACAGAACAAAAAATAAGTCATATGATTATGTCAACAGGGGCAGAAAAATCATTTGACAAAATTCAACACCCTTTCATAAAAACACTCAGTGTACTAGGTGTATAAGATAATTACCTCAAAATAATAAACAGCAATATAAAAACCCACAGCTAAAATCATACTCAACTGTCAAAAAAAAAAAAACTCTGAAAGATTTGCCTTAGAAAAAGGGCAAAGATTCCTACTCTCACAATTTCTATTCAACATAGTACAGGAAGTTTTCATAAAGCAATTAGGCAAGAAGGAGAGAAAAGGCATCCAAGTCATAAAGGAAAAGTAAAACTATCTGTTTTTGCAGATGATATACTCATAAATGTAAAAAGCCCTAAAGATTTCAAAAAATGTTAGAAAAAACAAATTTAGTAAAGTTGCAAACTACAGAGTCAGCATGCAAAAATTAGTTGCATTTCCATACACTAACAATGAGCAATCCAAAATGGAAACTAAGAAAGCAACACCATTTACAATAGTACCAAAAAGAATAAAATACTTATGAATAAACTTAACTAAGGAAGAAAAGACTTGTACATGAAAACTGCAAAACATTGCTGAAAGAAATCAGCGAAGGAATAAATAAGTGGAAAGACATCCTGACCAGGTGCAGTGGCTCATGCCTGTAATCCCAGCACTTTGGGAGGCTGAGGTGGGCAGATCACCTGAGGTCAGGAGTTTGAGACCACCTGACCAACATGCAGAAACCCTATCTCTACTAAAAATACAAAATTTTTAGGCATGGTGGTGCATGCCTGTAATCCCAGCTACTTGGGAGGCTGAGGCAGGAGAATCACTTGAACCCAGGAGGCGGAGGTTGCAGTGAGCCGAGATCATGCCATCCCACTTCAGCCTGGGCACCAAAAGCAAAACTCTGTCTCGAAAAAAAAGAAAAGACATCCTATATACATGAATTGGATATTCAAATAAATCTCCATCAAAATCCAAATGGCTTTTTTGTAGAAATAGAAATAATGTTTATGGAACCACAAAGGACCCCAAATAGCCAAAACAATATAGAGCAAGAAAAACAAAGCTAAAGGCCTCACACTGCCTAACCTCCAAACATATTACAAAGTTACAGTAATCAAAATGATGTGGCACTGACATAAGGACCAGTATATAAACCAATGGAGCAGAATAGAGAGGCCAGAAATAAATCCATGCATAAATTGGTCAAATGATCTTTGACAAGGGTCTCAAGGCTACATAATGGTGAAACAACAGTCTCTTAAACAAATGGTGATGGGAAAAGTGGAAAATCCGCATGCAAAAAAATAAAATTTGAGCCTTATTGTACACAGTACAAAAAATTAACTCAAAATGGATTAAAGATGTGAACATAGAACTGAAACCATAAAACCTCTCAAAGAAAATGGAGGAAATCTTCCTAAATTTGGTCTTGGTACTGATTTCATGGATTATGACACAAAAAGCATAAGATACAAAAGCAAAATAAAACAACTGTCACTATATCTAACCAACAAGCTTTTGCATAGCAAGGAAAACAATCAACAGAGTAAAAAGGCAAACTGTGGAATGGGAGGGAATGTTTGCAATTCACATATCTGATACAGGGTTAATATCAAAAATATATAAAGAACTCCTACAACTCAGTGACAAAATACCTAATAATTCAATTTAAAAATGGGCAAAGGGTTTCAATAGACAAAAGGGTCAACAGGTGTATGAAAGTTATTCAACATCGCTAGAAATCAAGGACATGCAAATCAAAACCAACTGAGACAGTGCCTCACACTTGTTTGGGTAGGTGTTATCAAAAAGTTAAAAGATAACACTTATTGGTAAGGATGTAGAAAATTGAGATTCTTGTGTGCTCTTGGTGGGAATGTAAAATAATGCAGCCAGTATGGAAAACAGTATGAAAGTTCCTTTAAAAATAAAAATAAAAATACCATATGATGCAGCAATCCCACTGCTGGATATTTATTCAAAATAATTATGAATATTTTGCAGCATTGCAACATTAGTCATACTAGCCAAGATATGTAAACAACATAAATGTCCACTGATGAATGAGTGGATAAAGAAAATGTAGTATATGCACACAATGGAATATTACTGAACTTTAATAAAGAAGGAAATTCTATAATATGCTATAACATGGATGAAACTTGAGGACATCATGATAAGTGAAATAAGCCAGTTGCTTAAGGACAAATACTGCATGATTCCACTTATATAAGGTATTTAATGTAGTCAAACTCATAGAAGGAGAAAGTAGAATACTGATTTCTAGCAGCTGAGGAGAGAGGAAAATAGGGAGTTGTTCAATGGGTATAGAGTTTTGGTCATGCAGGAAGAAAAAGTTCTAGATTTCTGCGGTACAATAATATGCATATAGTTAATAGTACTGCATCATACAGTTAAACATTTGTCAACAGGGTAATTTTATGTTATATGGTTTTTACCCCAATAGAAAAATAAGTATAAAAAGTCAGAGATGCTCGATAATTCTCCACATACACCTACACACACACTCACAAGCCCAGGCACAGACATATGTTTAATTTTTAGCAAGCTGCAAAGCATGATTGGTTTACATCTTTTCTTTTAATCATGATGCTCTCCTATAAAAAACATTACAGGAAATTTCCTGAAAGCTTTGTCCTATCGGATTTCTGCTCTCAACAGAAGCTGTCTAATTTGCTTCCCAGACAGCTTTTGCTTCATGCATATCACATTTAATATTCATGATAGCTTAGTATGGTGGGACTTGCAGAACCCTTTTTATAGGTAAGAAAATAAGGCATAAAAATATTAAGAGAGAATAAATGGTATGATTTAGGCTGAAATTAGATATGTCAAACTCTAACACCTAGAATACTATCCAGAATTATAATCCAAGAGAATAATTGGGAATTTTGATCATTTGTAATCTGAGTTATTACTAGGAGATCCTGGGCAAGAAAATAACTTCATTTATACTTCTATATTTATAGTGCAAAAAATTTAAGCAAAATATATAAAGTCAAGGAGTTATATAAGGATTAAAAATATAAAAATATGTTTATTACAATCCTTTAGAAAAATTATGAAAATTTTTTTCATAAAACATGAAATTACCTATTATGATTTTTGTACAATATACTCTGAACAATATTATGCCACTTGTACCATTTATTTTTAATAATTTTTCTCTTAAAACTCTGTGAGTTTCTTGAGAACATGGTACATTCCTTATTCATTCTTTTTATATCTAGCACAAGTGCAGTGTAACAAATAATTTCCAAAAATACCAAAGGAAAAAAAAAAACTTGCTATTACTTTTCTGGACATGTAATTAGATTTCTTGAAGTCCAAAACTTATAAAACATAAACACTTAAGATATCATGACATTTAATTTAAACTCTTATTTAGAAAAAATATTTATGACCTTAAGATTTACATAGATAGGAAAGAAACTTGAAAATGAGACTGTTTAAATTTCATCTTAGGAGTATGACAAATTCTAAGAGATTCAAAGTTACAGTTATAGATTTTGCACAATTGTAAATCTAACACATAGATACATGTTACAAGAGAAGTAAATGACTTTCCTTTTGCCTTTAAATCTTGATAATGGTCCCAACTCTATATAGCACTGAAAATTTTGTTCTAGGTATGAAGCAGTACCTGCAATGTACCTGAGGGATAATTTTATAAAGACCCCATGCTCTCATGATGTACATAAATGGCATTCTGCATCAATGATTGAAAGCTACAATAACTTTTTTTTACTCTCAGCAAAATAGCACAGTGTGCAGAAAAATATACAACATGAAGTAAAAAAATGACCAAATCAGCAGAGGTTTGATACTCAGCCTGTATGTGCCTGTTTCGTAATGACACACCCTGTGGCACAGCTACAAAAGACATTGAAAAAAGAACTCTGCTTCAAAAATTATAAATGGTTTAGTTTAATATATCTAAAAACAGTGTCCTCAGTAATTATATATTTCATTTCACTGATAATATCTTTATCCTAGTAATTTAATAACCCTATTTATTTTTTGGTAAAAATTATATTTTATCCACTATGAATTTTGAAAATTATATTGTAATAATTTATTAATGTATGTAAATGTGTATGTATATATAAATAAACATTTGTTGTTTTAGACAACTTTAAAAATATTAGACATTCATGTTGAAAAAGCAATGCAAATAAGAGAGATATAATACAAAAAAGACATAGAAAGCATAGTTTTAAAGATAATTTTAATACCTAAAATGTGTACAATTTTACTTAAGATTTGATTCCATTGTATACCAACAATATATTAACTAACTAAAGGTGTCATTTTCAACGTTATACTAAAGATTGGGTCCATTTTATTTAAATTTCATTGTCAAATTATGCTTTCTACTAAATATTTCTTCTTTGCTGTATGGATTTAATATCACAGTTTCTGGATTACCAAGACAAATATATGGACACAAAGTATTATAACTAAGTTTTTATAGTTCTTGCTTTTACAACTTCAATGGGAGAACCAAATCAATACCAAATTTAACCTGCCATTCATCTACACTTACAGGGTACCTAATACCCTAACTTTAAGCTAAATTAAATATTTGTGAGTTAAATAAATCATGAAAAGTAAATATCATATTTTTAAGTAAAGGTACTTCGTGAATCTAAAAATTATGTTATGTATTTTTAAATGTTTAACTCTTTATGCCAAGTAAGACTTTTAATAATACTTATGTACTTTTTTCTATAATCTATTTGAAATGGCAAAGATTCCCAAATTGTTAGAGATACTGTATAAAAGGAATAGATTAAATGTCTTTGCAAATTTCCTTCCAGGAAAGACATAAGATTAGAAACAAAACCTTTTAATGCCAAAATTAAAAATGAAATTCATAGATGTTTAGTAGACATTTGATTATAAGCAAAACTGTAGGTAAATCGTATGAAGTCTAATACATTTTAACAATTTTTCAATATTTAATGGGCACATGCCTTTTACGAGAGGTCCTATTACAGAAATCTCTAAAGGAATTAATTACTGGCGGAGTAAGACAAGAATGAAACCAAACCTCGAGCAAGGCTGTACCTTCAATTCTAAAAAGATTTGATGGGCTGTAGGACACAAAGTTGGATAAAGTCAGACAGATCAGGAACCAGATCTATTAACCTATGATTCTGTACAGGGCTCAGCACAGTTCCGCACATAATTAGCAAGCTAGAAACAACAACAATAAAAAAATAGCCTGAACTGAGGAATTTTGTAGGGTAAATTTTTGTATAGGATAGAGTTGCTTTGAACTCTCTTTCTTACCCATTCATGCAGCTATTTTGGATATTTCTTCACAGCTTCACTTCCCAAATTTCTAAGTTACTGAGATCTGACATCTCTGTGCCTTATATCCCCAACCTCTGAGGAAGATTTTGAGAAACAGAGCCTATAACATTAATTTATTTACAATTTCTCCAAAATTCCAGTCACAAGTCATGCCCTCTAGGTATAATATTATTCTATATTCCCAGAAGAAGCTAAGAAAATATATAGATCTGCAAAAAAATGTATATTTTCTACTATGCAGAAAATGTATCTTCAATGTAATAATATTATACAAAGTAATGATGACAATAATATTAGCAACTAATGTTTATTGGGCACATAATTTTGCCAGGAAATAATATCTTCCTAATTTCAGAAATGATAAAAATGAATCTAAATGGTTAATTACCTAGCCCACAATAACCAAGAAACTGGTAAGTGTAGCGGTAGGATTCAGATGCACAGTGTCTATGACCTTAGCCACTACTAGATATTATACACATTTGTTTTATTTTCAGTTCTTGCTGGTACATTTTTATAACTGATCTTAGACCAGAGAGAGATAAAATGCAAGGGTGCAATAGGGGAAACAAAGACATCAAAGGTCATACACAAAAAGTTTAAGGAAGATCATAAAAGGAAGCTTGAAAACATAAACAGAATAAGCAGTAGTACTTCTGCTCAACATTTAACAAGCTTCATATATTCTACAGATCTCATTAAACACCATTTCTACTTCTGAATTCATTCACTTTCACTTAAATGTATAATTAAGAATGGATACATTATCAAAATCAAGTTTCATTATAAGAAAAGTATTCATTATGTAAGTCACAAACAGTATATAAAACTGAATACACAGTATAAAACCAAATTTGAAAACTCTATTAATAAGGCAATATGTAGGTACAGTTGTATAGCATAGTCAGATAATTTCTGCTTACACCATACTTTAGCCACTGAAGAAAACGGTATTTTATAAATGGAGAGAAACACAAATACTTAAAAAATCAGAAGCCAGTACACATATACATCAAACTCTCTCTATAATAAGATAAATTACTTGTTGATATTTTTCACACCTAAATAAATGTGCAAACGCACAGAGCAGGCGTGCACAGGTGTGGCCCTTAAGTGAAGTGTGATCAATTGAAAAAGCCATTTCTTGGGCCTGGCAATCTCTCGGTTGGTAGAAACTGAGTTATGCTAGCTGCAGAGGTCTGGGCCTAAGCTAGCTTTTGTGGTGACCCTAGTATCAGAGGGGGTCAACATCAGACAGTGGCTGTGAGTGCTGCAGTCATCACAGACACCCACAAAGAACTGAGTCACTTGCTCACCTTGCTGAGAAAACCAGCTATTAGCCTTGGAGTGTGATCTGTAAAATGTGAGCATATGTAATCTTAAGTGATCTCCACTAACTTGCTCGCCTATATGTCAATAAGAGTCATTTGTTTGTATGAATTTCTTTTGTTTCTACACAAAATCTGGTTTACAGAACTCTGAGGCAATGATTGCTATCTCTGAGAGAAGTGAATTTGTTGGCATTTTATATTCATTAAAATAAACCCCATTTGTAAAGAAAAATCAATAGTTGGGGACTTACTGCAGTTATCAGTTGCTAAGAATCCAACAGGCAAAACAAGAGACTATAAGAACCATTGGGTCACTATGGTCACTATAAACATGTTCTGGTTAGGATATCAGGCTAACATTTATCTTATTGAAATCTCATTTCTAATGATAATGATTCCACTTTTTTACCCCAAATACTTTGGTCTCTAACTCATTAAAGACTGGCCTCTTTTTGTTTCACAAGCTTTGATTTAAGGATAGGGTCTCCAATAGATTTCACCATAGAGAGAGCCCATGTGCATTAAACTGGTGCTTTCTGGAAACAGTGTATATTCTCACAAGGAGAATAAATTTATGAAGGAAAAATAATATACAATAAATATAGAATGATATCCTCCCTCTATGTAAATGGTAGAATCTTTCATTGGTCCAGTGATTTTGTTTTTGCTGTCTCTCTCTGCTTCCCCTTAATTTCTGTTGATTATGTTCACAAAAATATAACCCTTTCGCTCTGAAAGGGAGATTGTGGCTTAAGGAGTGGACCAAAGTTAGACAATATAATATGCAATAATGAAAAATCATACAAAACAGCTAAAACTCCTGTTGTCTTTTAACATGCTCAAGTTGCAGGTGGTTTAAATGACCTGGGGTTTAAAGGACAGACATGCACAGACTTAATTCAAAAGAGCTAAGCTTTTTATGAAGTTGTGGGTTTTGAGAAAAAGAAGAGAAAAAGCATAGTGAGTTCATTGGAAGTAGAGGGCTATAGAAACAGCCCACCAGAGAAATCATAAAACCAAATACAGGAGACACAAATAGGATGCAGGAAGATCAAGACAAATGGGAAACAACCTCAACTCTATGGGTCATGATAGGGGCTTGGTAGTCAAACACAAAGCAGAAAATTTCCTAAAAGCAGACTTAATGGCTGCTTAGTTCCTAGTGGGATACCAGTAAAAGCTTCCAGTCAAAATCTTCCAGTCTGTGGGTGCCCACCTCCCTCAGAGATCCCCTGTTCCACAGACACCCTGCCTAATCTTGCTCAGGGCAGCTGAATAGGACTGACAGGACATCAGGGCACCTGCCCTTTAGCTGCTCCTGACACCGCATTCCATACCATGGCCAAAAAAGGACCAGATCCTGTTTGTAATTTCTTCCAGTTTTTAAGTGATAATTTTGAGACCAGTGCAAAGTTCTTGACCCTTTTCCCATTTTCAGCAATAAAGAGATTAAAAAGAAAATTAGCACAACATTCTCTCAGCTTTGACCAATTCCCCTGAAGTCAGGGAAAGGACATCATAACAGGAATAACAAAGACTGGGAATTTCCTATGGGACTAGAGATGCACAGACAGCAAAAGGTGGGGCAGGGGCCATAAGCAGAAAAAGCCTCCACTTCAATCCACAAATGTGGGGTTAGGCCACATTAACAAGACTGAAGATCACATGAGTCTTTGAGGATCACCCTGGTAATTCTGACGCAAAGTAAGAAAAAGACTACAGATCATTGGGAAAATCTAAGTGGGTCTGATATTTCACAAAATTCAAAGCACTCAAATAATTTTGCTGTGTACTGAGTTGATTCAATTGGCAATTATTTCCAACATACATAATTTCCGGTTGCGTCATTTATTTGAGAAGTGCAAAGTGACATAATACTTAAAGAGTGTTTTAATTCAGCTTGTTTTATAAGGTCATTGATTTGGGATGAGATCAAGAAATATCATGGTACAAAAGTTCTGACCAACAAAAATTAAATAACTTTAAAATTTGTAAAACAATTTTTTAAAATTATGTTAAAAAGTAGCTGCCAAAAAAAGCTCAAATAAATTTTGCCAAATAGATTAGTTCATTTAATCTATTGCCAAGAGCTAGATCAAAAAGAGGACTTAAATTTTTTTCTAGAAATACAAATAATATAAAGTGCCATTTTTCTATTATGTCAGAATTATATACAAATTCAAGACAGCAGAAACAAAGTACTCAAGTCCATTTCTGTGTGCATGTCTGAGATACTCTTCCATGACTTAGTTCTCAAAAAGTCACATCATTTTTATTGATATGCTAATTAAATAATGATTATGCCATATATTATATTTCTAAGCACTTTTAAGTAATTTCTACTGACATCTTTGGGGAGAACGTGCATAAATCAAATTAACATTCATTTTCCCAATTAAAAAACTGGTATAAAAAATACAAGTGAGTTTCAACATCACAAGAACATTGGTAGATTCAAATTTGAACTCAGTTTTTTATTTTTATTTTAATCTGCTGAGGCAGCAATCTGTAGAGCATCCAAAATAATAGTTATCTGGAAGAGCTCCACACAGGTAATAGTTGCCCAGAGTCAAGTCCAGGAAAACTCAACAGTTTTAGATTAACAATCTAAGCCTACATTAGGATTCATAATTTTGCTTCATAATTGAGAGAATCCATGCAAAATCCTTTTGTTTCTGAAATAATTTTAAGTGATCTGGAAAGAGCAGAACCTTTTAATGATTTGAAGTTTGTTATGTTTGGAATACAGCTGGGTATTTAAAAGAAAAAAGTGCACGCCCTAATAAGAATAATCATTGGCTTTTTTTATTAGAATCTATTAAATACTGGCTTTCAAAATGTGGATTTCTAAGACACAGATTACTATAGTTTTAAAGCTAATGCAAGCTGACATTTTTCTCTGCTGATGCTCATATTAGACCCACTTTAGAAGAGTTTATGATTCCATAATAGCTCATTTGGGTTCATGTTGTATAACTGGGTCTGCAGGGTTTGGCTCAGTCTTCAGTGCTGGCGGACTGCACAGAGATAGCTTAAAAGATAGTTTGAAACTACATATGGAAGAGAAAATAAACCTTTTAACTAAGTATCTACTCTATGCCAGGCACAATGTTAATTGCTGGAAATACAAATCAATATTACCAAGGTTGCAATTTGATGAGGGAGACAGAAGACAGCAAATAAGGAGTGCTTGTATCCAAAAGCTGTTTGCCAGACTATGATGATGGGCATGTTATGTAATTTCTCAATACTTTAGTTTTTAAGTTGTCAAATGGGAATATACTTAACTCGTCATTTTGTAAGGAAAGATTTTATACTTAGGGAAATTTTATAATTTAAAACACTGTTTGATATGATTCCTTCATATATCTAGAAAGCATCTTCATGGCACCCATAATAGTTTATTAAATTTATTTACAGAATGTTTTCCTTTTACTCTACTACAAGTCTGTTAAAGAAAAAGGCAGCACTTCCAACACTATGTTGAATAGGAGTGGTGAGAGAGGGCATCCCTGTCTTGTGCCAGTTTTCAAAGGGAATGCTTCCAGTTTTTGCCCATTCAGTATGATATTGGCTGTGGGTTTGTCATAAATAGCTCTTATTATTTTGAGATACGTCCCATCAATACCTAATTTATTGAGAGTTTTTAGCATAAAGGGCTGCTGAATTTTGTCAAAGGTCTTTTCTGTGTCTGTTGAGATAATCATGTGGTTTTTGTCTTTGGTTCTGTTTATATGCTGGATTACATTTATTGATTTGCATATGTTGAACCAGCCTTGCATCCCAGGGATGAAGCCCACTTGATCATGGTGGATAAGTTTTTTGATGTTCTGGCCAGGGCAATCAGGCAGGAGAAAGAAACAAAGGGTATTCACTTAGGAAAAGAGGAAGTCAAATTGTCCCTGTTTGCAGATGACATGATTGTATATTTAGAAAACCCCATCGTCTCAGCCCCAAATCTCCTTAAGCTGATAAGCAACTTCAGCAAAGTCTCAGGATACAAAGTCAATGTGCAAAAATCACAAGCATTCTTATACACCAATAACAGACAAACAGAGAGCCAAATCATGAGTGAACTCCCATTCACAATTGCTTCAAAGAGAATAAAATACCTAAGAATCCAACTTACAAGGGATGTGAAGGACCTCTTCAAGGAGAACTACAAACCACTGCTCAACAACATAAAAGAGGACACAAACAAATGGAAGAACATTCCATGCTCATGGATAGGAAGAATCAGTATCGTGAAAATGGCCATACTGCCCAAGGTAATTTATAGATTCAATGCCATCCCCATCAAGCTACCAATGACCTTCTTCACAGAATTGGAAAAAAAACTACTTTAAAGTTCATATGGAACCAAAAAAGAGCCCACATTGCCAAGACAATCCTAAGCCAAAAGAACAAAGCTGGAGGCATCACGCTACCTGACTTCAAACTATACTACAAGGCTACAGTAACCAAAACAGCATGGTACTGGTACAAAAACAGAGATATAGATCAATGGAACAGAACAGAGCCCTCAGAAATAATACCACACATCTACAACCATCTGATCTTTGACAAACCTGACAAAAACAAGAAATGGGGAAAGGATTCCCTATTTAATAAATGGTACTGGGAAAACTGGCTAGCCATATGTAGAAAGCTGAAACTGGATCCCTTCCTTATATCTTATACAAAAATTAATTCAAGATGGATTAAAGACTTAAATGTTAGACCTAAACCATAAAAACCCTAGAAGAAAACTTAGGCAATACCATTCAGGACATAGTCATGGGCAAGGACTTCATGTCTGAAACACCAAAAGCAATGGCAACAAAAGCCAAAATTGAGAAATGGGATCTAATTAAACTAAAGAGCTTCTGCACAGCAAAAGAAACTACCATCAGAGTGAACAGGCAACCTACAGAATGGGAGAAAATTTTTGCAATCTACTCATCTGACAAAGGGCTAATATCCAAAATCTACAAAGAACTCAAACAAATTTACAAGAAAAAAACAACTCCATCAAAAAGTGAGCAAAGGGTATGAACAGACACGTCTCAAAAGAAGTCATTTATGCAGCCAACAGACACATGAAAAAATGCTCACCTTCACTGGCCATCGGAGAAATGCAAATCAAAACCACAATGAGATACCATCTCACACCAGTTAAAATGGTGATCATTAAAAAGTCAGGAAACAACCGGTGCTGGAGAGGATGTGGAGAATTAGGAACACTTTTACACTGTTGGTGGGACTGTAAACTAGTTCAACCATTGTGGAAGACAGTGTGGTGATTCCTCAAGCATCTAGAACTAGAAATACCATTTGACCCAGCCATCCCATTACTGGGCATATACCCAAAGGATTATAAATCATGCTGCTATAAAGACACATGCACACATATATTCATTGTGGCACTATTCACAATAGCAAAGACTTGAAACCAACCAAATGTCCATCAATCATAGACTGGATTAAGAAAATGTGGCACATATACACCATGGAATGAATACTCTGCAGCCAGAAAAAAGGATGAGTTCATGTCCTTTGTAGGGACATGGATGAAGCTGGAAACCATCATTCTCAGCAAACTATCCCAAGGACAAAAAACCAAACACCACATGTTCTCACTCATAGATGGGAATTGAACAATGAGAACACTTGGACACAGGATGGGGAACATCACACACCAGGGCTTGTTGTGGGGTGGGGGGAGGGGGAAGGGATAGCATTAGGAGATGTACCTAATGTAAATGACGAGTTAATGGGTGCAGCACACCAACATGGCACATGTATACATATGTAACAAACCTGCAGTACCCTAGAACTTAAAGTATAATTAAAAAAAAAGAAAGAAAGAAAGAAAGAAAAAAAAGGTAGCAATTCAAGCTGGGTCTTGAAGAGGAAGTAGGAATTTCGTAGGTAGACAAGAGAAAGGAAAACAGCCCAAGCAGGTGAAATATGCACGGACTTGTTTAATATCAGTATGTCAAGAGGGCATGCTTTTTTTCCTAGTTTTTTTTTTTTTGGTTTTTTTTTTTTTTTTTTTTTTTGAAACAGAGTCTCACTCTGTTGCCCAGGCTGGAGTGCAGTGGCACTATCTCGGCTCACTGCAAGCTCCGCCTCCCGGGCTCATGCCATTCTCCTGCCTCAGCCTCCCGAGTAGCTGGGACTACAGGCGCCCGCCACCACGCCCTGCTAATTTTTTTGTATTTTTATTAGAGACGGGGTTTCACCGTGTTAGCCAGGATGGTCTCGATCTCCTGACCTCGTGATCCGCCCGCCTCAGCCTCCCAAAGTGCTGGATTACCGGCATGAGCCACCGCACCCAGCCTTTCCCAGATATTTTAATTATGGGTCTCTCATATATTCTGAATTTCACCGTGGGATTATTGATAACGATCAGCCAAGATAATCATAACTTACCAACTGGCAGACATTAGAGTGTACACATGAAAAGTAGAGTTTCAACGTAGGTCTCAATAGTGGATTGAAGGCATAGAGCAATGTATTGAATGGATCCCTAATTTGAAGAAAGTCTTTTTATGTGGAAAAGAGACAAGTATCTCATAGTCTTTGAATAACTATTGAGAAATATAGTATGTACTCCTAGAAGTTTAATTTACTCACTAACATTATAGCATTATTTTTTCAGCATTCATAAGGGAGATCTATTAATGTTAATTTAGTTTCCCCAAATGATTAACTAGGCTCTTTGGAGTAGTTTGCATGGTGATAAGTATACCTGAATTTCATTAACTTTTTATTAATTCATATCTCCTAGCTACCAAAAATCTTTTTTTAATTTGAAGTATGCATCATAAAAGTTAGAGTTTGTTTAATAACTTTCCTCTCTTTACAAAAGAACTGTATTTCCTCAACTTTAGATATCATGGACTATATGATCACCATCTATTACAATAGCTGTGAAGGGAAAAACACAACTACAATGGATGAACACATCAAATGTTTATTCTAATTTAAGAAAGAAATACATTTAAAAATATGCAACTTGCAATCAGAAATAAGATACTTATTATAAAATATCTGAAAACATAAGACAAAGAAAAAAAATCACCTGTAATCCAGCCATAATAACTTTTCATTAATAATAACAGAGAGTGATACCTCAATCTGTGGTCAGGACAAAACCCCCTTGATGGCATAAACTTGTACTATATAATTACCAGCCGTTAGAAAGCTCAAGTGACTTTGGAGGGGCTGAATTCATCTTTGACCCCCGGGGGAACAAACAATCCAGGCGAAATCAACTAATATGCCACATCTGGCTAGAGCTGCTGATGGTCATATTTATTTTGTCCTTTTCTCGAAAGTGTGCCTGATGTAGCCATGCACTGGAAGGCAATGCCAAAAAATGGAGAGACAGTATCCTAAGAGTATAACTTTGGGGACAAGGTCGAAAGCCATTTCATAATTTTAAGATCCCCTATTTTTTTAGCCCATAAAATCCCCTTTTAATTTCAGGGTAGTCTGAGATAGTTTTGTTTGTTTGTTTTTTTGAGACAGAGTCTCGTGCTGTCACCCAGGCTGAAGTGTAGTGGTGCAATCTCCACCTCCTGGATTCAAGCGATTCTTGTGCCTCAGCCTCCCAAATAGTTAGAATTACAAGTGTCCACTACCACACCCAGCTGATTTTTTGTATTTTTAGTAGAGACAGGGTTTCGCTATGTTGGCCATGCTGGTCTCGAACTCCTGACCTCAGGTGATCCACCTACCTTGGCCTCCCAAAGTGCTGGGATTACAGGCATGAGCCACTGCACCCAACTTGAGATTGTTTTTTGTTTTGTTTTGTTTTACTCTTAAAAGAGGGTCTTGATTAATACAATACATGAATGTTACAAAGACATATTCTCTCAGAGCTAAAATGAGACTACTCCATCCTGCTTCTCTCTGTCTCTTGCATCTTAAAAAATGACTTACTATTTCCTATAACACAGAGTTTCTAAAATAGTATCATAAAATCTTTTATTTCACAACTATAAACTAGATTTGAAATTCCAATATCCTAGGGGAAACCCACAGTGAAGTGGGAAGCTAGCACATATGCTAAGGGCCTTTGAAGTAATTGGACAAGACAGAGAGAAGAGAAATATGAATAAATATTCAAAATGTGAGAAGTAAACCATTTATATGCCTTCTCTGATCTACTTAGATTATGTTTTGTAACATATCTTTTAACCACTCTAATTTACTAATGCCCAGTCTCTTAAAGTGGAGTCCATTTCACTCCACTTTAGCAATGATTGAATGTTGGCTTTTTAAATTATTATTTCCCTTAGCAATTAAGGACTATGGAAAATCTGAAGACTCATTAATAGGAACATTTTCACCAGAAAAAAAAGATTATGTGTTTTGCTTTATATGAGGTAATTAAATCTGCAACAATTGCTGGATTGTCATAAGATTTCTAGACCATACGTACACAATACTATTTTGGATATCAAGCAAGTAGGAATCAGGGCTGCTTGACTGAGTAGCATTTGGGATACGGCAGCTTTCATTTGTTCTTCAAAATGTAATTTCTGTTAATAATATCTTAAAAACTTCAGATTGGCACTTCTGCTACAAATGTGATCTATGTAAATCACTTGCCAATTATTTATAAATGCCACACACACATGCACGCACTCACACACCCATACACAGACAAAAGCATATTTGTAATCCTAAGGCATTTTAATAACTTTAACTATTATTAAAACTAATGGAGTAGAAAGCTTTTTATCTAATTTAGAAATGGCAGTAAACAAAAGGCATTAAAATAGAATAGAAAAGGCCTTAGGCTCCTCAGCCTTTTAAATGTGTTTACTCAATATATGTTTAATTAATATTCTATGGCTCAGATTAATCACAGAAGCTCAAGATGGCAGTGACCTCAACAAGATATCCATTTCTTTGCGCTAGCGTTACAAGTGAGAACAATGTTATATTGAGAAGTCAAATGCGGTATAGAAGGTCATGAAATGATTATTGGTAAGCCAGGAGTCATATTAAAAACACAATCAGTGGTCCAACCATCTTCTCACTTCTGCAGCATTTTAACTAACTTAAGTTGCAAAAGATATCTCTGTTTTTATCTGCTCCACAGTCATTCTTCTACTGACAGGATCTTATTTTCATTTTGAAAATGACTACCTTCTCACAGAATTTAATTTTGTGGAATTGTCAAAAAGAAATTTTACTTTCTCCTGACCAAGGTGTGCACATATGGCCAGGCCAATTGGACTGGTTCCCTTGGGAGGGAATTTGAACCCTCATAGTTTGTTTGTGAAAATGGAAAATGTTATAACTATTTTGTAAAATTTAGGCAGTTTCTTAGAAGGTTACATATAACTTCTCATATTACTCAGTAAGCGTATTCCTAGACATTTATCATGATAATGTAAACATCTATCAACAAAATAATCTGTATGCAAATGTTCATAATAGCTTTATTCAGAATAGCCAAAAGCCAGGAACAACTTGAATGCCTCACACCTGAAGAATGGATAAATGAATTGTGGTTAATCTATACAATGGAATACCACTCAATATAATAAATGAAGTGCTGATACATGTAATAAGATGGATGAATCTCACAAGTATTATGCTATGTGAAAGGAGACAGACACACGATCATGTACTATATGATCCCATTTACATCAAATTGTGGAATAAGAGAAACTTTAGGGACAGAAAACAGATCAGCTTTTGCCAGGAGTAGAAAGGGAAAAGGGGTCTGGCTTCAAAGATGTCTGAGAAAACTCTGAGATAAAGAAATGTTCTATATCCAGATTGTTGTGGTGGAGCAGGACAGATTTATAAAACTTATCAAACGACATGATAAAATAAGTGACTTTTATGAATGTACATTAAGCCTCAATAAACCTGGCATTAAAAATTATTTAAAAAAATAAAGACATTAACCAAATAAAGAAAAATGGAGGCAATTGGTCAGCAGCAGACCATCACAGTACAAGAATTATTAAAGGTAGTTCTTCAGACTAAAGGGAATTGATACCAGAGGAAAAATCAGATTTACAGAAGGAATAGAGAGAAATGAAAATATTTCATATAGAGGCAAATACAAAATACTATCTATTTTTCTTCTATTAACTTATTTGAAAGACTCTTGTCTATTTAAAGTAATGATAATAATATTGTATAGTGGAATTTCTAATGTGTATAAAACTAAAATATAACAATAGCACAAAGAACAGGGGTAAGTAGAAAAATACTTTGTTTCTTACATTTCATGTGAAGTGATATAATATTAACCATAAGCAGAGTGTGAGAGCTTAGAATGAATATTGTAACACCTAGAGCAAAAAACAAAAAGTAAACAAAGGAATAATAAAAAATTCAAATCTGTTTTTATGAAAGAAAGCAGGAAAGAAAAGACGCACAAAAAATACACAAGACAAATACAAAACTAATAGCAAGATGGTAAACTTATTTCCAGAGTAAGAATAAATACAATGTAAATATTTTAATATACTCCAAATAAAACGGCAGAAATTGTCAGATACAATAAAGAACAACACCCAACTATATCCTCTGCGAGATAGACTTTAAATAGAAAAGGACAGAAAGGTAGAGAATAAAAAGATAACAAGATACACCATGCAGCCAGCAAGCATAAGAATGCAGGTGTGGCTATACTGATGTCAAAATAAATTTCAAGGCAGAAAGTACTACAAGAGATAAGGAAGGACCTTTTGCACTAATGATAGAGTCAATTTATCAGGGAGACAGAAAAATCCCACGTGTGTATGCACTTAATGACAGAATTTCAAAATACACAAAGCAAAATCTGATAAATAAAGGGAAACATTAATAACTTCACAATTATCATTGGAGATATTAATATCCTTCTCTCGGTAATTTATAACACAACTAGAAAAATCAATAAAGCTATAAGAAAGAATGAACCAATTTGACAACTGATGCTTTAGAACACTATGCCCAATAGCAATAGAGTGCATATCTTGCTCCTGGTACACATGGTGCATTCATTAAGGTAAACCATAGGCTGGGCTATAAAATAGGTCTTACTAAATTTCAAAAAAATTAACTCTTACAAAACATGTTCTCTGACCACTAAAATAATGAAATTTTAGAAATAAAGAAAATATAAAGCAAAGCCACCCAGATTTGGAATGAACATGCTACTAAAACAACCTATGAGTCAAAGACGAAATTACAATGGATACTGGAAAATATTTTGAACTCAAGGATAATGAAAACACAACATATCAAAATTAGTGAGGTGCAGTTCAAATAGCGTTTATGGAAAATTTATACATTCAAATGCTTATATTAGAAAAATTAACTAAGATAATTCTAACTGAAGTTTCTAACTTAAGAATCTAAAAGAATGAGCAGCTTAAAATGAAGAGTATGAAAAAATAATAAAAATGAAAACAACAGTCAAAAGTTGTTTCCTTGAAAACATTAATATAATTAATAAACCTCTAGCAAGACTGATCAAGAAGAAAGAGAAAATACATATCACAAGTATCAGGAATAAAAGAAGAAACACTGCCAAATATGTTCATGGGAGCTTACAGAGAATAGTATGGCTAACATTCTGCTAATAAATTTGACAACTTTGATTACATCATCAAATTCCCTGAAAATACAACTACCAAAATGATAATACAATACAAAGATAAAAACTAAATAGCTTTGTATCATTAAAGAAAATAAATTTGTACTCAAATATTCTACAAAGAAAACTCCATTTCCAAATGTTTCCAGTGGTGAATTCCATCAAGACAAAGAAAGAAACAATATCAGTCTTACACAATCTTTTAGAAACAGAGAAGCAGGAAATACTCCCAACTCATTTAACAGGCCAATATAATCCTGATACCAAACCTCACATGCAAAAAATAATTACAAGAAAATATTTTGGACAATAAACCTCATCATTATTAATATAAAATTGTTTAATGAAATATTAGAAAGTTAAATATAAAAGAGTTTATAATATATAATATAAAAGAGTTCATAGTACATAATGACTAAATTGGGTTTATTACAGGAATACAAGGTTGTATTTGAAAGCCAATAAATGCAATTAACTATATTAATAGAATAAAAAGTCATATGGTCATTTCCATAGACATATGAAGGCATGTGACACAATTAAATACCCATTCATAATAAATAATAAAAACTCTCAATAAGAACAGAAAGGAATTTCCTCAATCTGAGAAAGAACATTCATTAAAAACCTATAGGTACAAATCATACTCAATAGTAAAAGAGTACAAATCATACTCAGTGGTAAAAGACTAAGTGTTTTTCCCTAATATAACAAATGTGACAAGAATATCTGTTCTCACTATTTCTATTCAACATTATAATAGATATCTTCACCAGTACAGTGATACAGGAAGAATAAACTTTAAAATCATGAAGACTAGACAGAAAGAATTTAAACTGTCTGTATTCTCAAATAACGTGATTGTTTTTATGGAAAATTTTAGGGTGAAACACATACACAACTTTAATTTTAATTTATTTTCTCTCTATCAAATTGCTTATTTGTCTCTCCCAACTGCTCACAAACTCTCCTTCATGCTCCCATTTCTGCTTAGCATTGATATCCTCTATTTTGTGAATACAGCACATGGTGCAGATCCCTTCCAACTCCAAGGTCATTTCAAGGATGAGATTTTTGTATGTTAATCCTACACTATCTAAAAGCCAGAGTTTGCCCACCTCTCACTCTTTCTTCAAAGATGACTGAGTGTTAATCAATCATTTCAATACAAATTAGCTATAACATAGGAGTTAAGGTCTTGATCTCATTAGGTTTGTATCGAAGCACAGAAATCAAGTTACAGAATTTCAGAAAGAAAAGAATGAGGTATCCAAGTAATGTGGCAGTTTACATCCATAGATTAGACTATAGGCCTGTGCCAAAACAAAACTGGCTGGGTCAGAATTTCATGAGCTCTCATACCATCTGATTTTAAAACATAGCTGCAATTTCTTCAACATTTGTTCCATCTACAAGTGGGTTCTATATCCCTCCTCCCTGAATTTGGGTAGACTCCTTCAATCTATGGAGTGCTGTAGAGGTGACTGATTTCAGAGGCTTGTTCATTTAAAAAAAAAAAAAAAGGTCATGCAGACATGGCCTTGCTCACTGGGACATTCACTCTTGGTACCTTGAGCCACCAGGGAAGTTCAACTACCCTGAAGCCACTTAGCTGTGATAAAGCCCAGGTCACATATAGAAGCCACATGTAAGTGCTCTGGTTGAGTTCCAGATGAGCCCAGCCTGAAAGTCATACCAGACCTGTACCAGACTTAGAAACAAGGAAGCTCGAAGCTCTAGATGATTCCTTCCCCCAGCCATTCAAGTAAACTCCTGCCTTTCAAGTCTTTTCAGCTTAGGCCCCAGATATCATAGAGACAAGACATCCCTACCATGCTGTGTCCAAATTCCTGATTACAGAATCCAAGGACGTAATAAAATAGTCATTGTTTTACTCTGTTACATTTCAGGTGGTTTGTTTTGCAGCAATTGATATTAGAATATTTGACAACTACAAGATTTCATTGGGGAATCATATTAGAATACTACAGTAGGAATAGGCACTTGTGAGAACCAGGGCATTGAGAATAACGCACAAACGTCTGTTCCTCATTCAGGCAAAAAATACCCAGGATAGAATATGAGTTCAAGGCCAGACAACCCTGTTAGTTATCTCCCTAGACAGCCAGCGTGTCTTCTATTGCTTCATGTCCTGCAAGATTCTTAGGCATGAAATGAATAATTCTATATTCCATGCCAGTGAAATATATCAAATAAAAGTGGATAAAACACTAAATCAAATATATAACCTCTAAGAACTAACAGGGTATCCTGAATCTAGAGTATATATGTTTGCTACATAGTTAGGTTTATGATTTAATTTAGAATATTCAGACTATGTGGAGATGAAACATTCTAACATGAAGCACTTGGAAGAAATTGTGCACAAGTATTCTAGGACAAACAGTAAACAATAAAAAACCAAACCCCTGCTATTCCAACCTCACCTGATAGGGTTGATGGATAGGTGAATCATTTTAAAATTATTTACTAGCATATGTAAATTCCAGCTGTTAGGGCTTGAACATCAATAGCCATGCCATTCACATAGAGAATTTTACCAGCCTTCAGGAGGATACCTCAACCGTATTCTCATCCATTAAATAGTAATTATCTTGAGGGTTGTGTCTCTAATCCTTCCATGGTCTCACTTTCTACATATTCTGGGTGACCATACCCATTCTCACAGCTTCAACTAATAGCATTCCCACTTTGAATCTACTTAATCTACAAATAATCTCAGGCATTTCTCATCAACTCTTGGCTTTGATCTCCAGTTGCTTGGCTGACACATTTGGTTAGAGATCCACTGGACCCCTATAGCCAAATTCAACAAAATCATAGCTTGTTTTCTATCTACACTCTTCCTCAGCCCACAATCTGTTCCACCTGGATGCTCTATTTGCATTGACACTATCAGTCATTCTTCTTCCAGTGATGGGTGATATAATTGGAATAATAGTTGAGCCCTAGAAAAATAAATGGAGAAATGATTCGCAGGCAAGCCAGCTGACAGAAAGATATACTCAACTGGGCCTCCCAAAGCCAAAAAAGCTAGCCAAGATATTAACGCTGTGGTTGATCTCATAGAAGAATGGAACAGGATGAGATGGAGTAACATGCAGCTGAATGACAGGCAGGTAAATCAAGAAACCAGCTGCCAGTTGTTTAAGCTAAAAACTTTAGTCATCCTCCACTTCTCTATCGCCTTTAGATACCACATTCTGGATCATTCTCAATCTGATGACAGTTTATTTTGTCATCCCTTTATCCCCTTCCTGCATGAAAAAAAATTATCTTCTCAATTCTTTACCTAACATTCTAACTTGCCATGTTCTTGCATAATGCTGTGACTTTTACAGATTCTGTTTTCTCTACACTATCATCTCCACTGCTTTTTAACTTATAAATTCCTACTCATATTTCAAGTTTCAGTTCAAGTGTCACTTCTTCTGGGAATCCCTGGATTCCAAGCTAATCGTTCACACATCTATTTTCTCAAGCTCTTGGCACATATTTTATTTCTTAACTAATGGCATTATTTATAATTGTATTCCTTCCATTCTAGCTATAAGCACATTGAGGTCAGGAATAAAATTTCATTTTTCTTTTAATTCAGGGTGTTTGTTATACAATCTGCTATATATAACCACTTACTAAAATCTTAATGCATGAGTGATTAATAAAATGAGCCAGAGTGAAATTCAGAGCCATGAGTCTATACAATTCTGAAATGATGAAAATGTAAAATTAAAAAGATATTTCTGGAAGTTTAATATGAGAAATAAAGATTGGGGCAAAAAAGCTCACACAAACAGCGCATTAACATACTCATTTTATAGATTTAAAAATTGAGAAAGAGAGATTAAGCAACTTGCTTATGGTTATAGCTCATAATGAATCAGGAATTACATCTAGGACTGTCTTACTCTAACATCTGTGCTTTCAGCCACTGTGCTTAGGCAGTTAGTTGAAGCCATTTTGACCTGCCCATCACTGTTGGCAGATGCCCCACTACAAGCCTGAGGATAGTTGTAGAGAGAAGGAAGAGGGGGGTGGATGACTACATGGTGATAGTGCATCTACAGGCCAAGGTAGGGCTGGGAGAGAAATGGACTCAGGGAAGCCTGAAGAGAAAGGTGACTGGAAAGTAACAGGGCTGAAGGAGTTAGTTAGACATCCCAGGCTCCTCCAGTCCAGGAGAATTTACACAGGATACCAAGATGTGCTGACTTCTCTGGGAGAAGGAAACTGGGTCAGAAACAGAGAAACACAGCTCTATAATAAGGTGAAGCATCCAGCTGCCAGAAGGAACATGCCAGCAAGAGAAGGTTTTCAACTATATCACCAAAGATGAAGCTAATGAACTAAACAGGTACTGCTATAGAAGCGTAAGATTTTGAACTGGCAGTAGATGGAAATAATTAGTAAATGTACATGAGTCAAACTCTTTAACCAAGTAGAAGTTATTGAGGAAGCACAATCACTTCTAGTATGCTTATATTCAAGCATTAGATTATAAACAGGTGAACAATGAGAGTAGGAAGCCTATGCATGTAAGAAGCCTTGTCATTATTGACTTATTCAGCAAATGCAACTCTGTTCTATTTATTTAACCTCCCAATTTTCCCAAGGGCTAGTCTGGTATATTAGTTATATGTGGCAGCTTAACAAATTGCCATAAGCTTAGTAACTTAGAGTAACCCATGTTTATCATCTCATAATTCCTGTGGAACAAGAGACCAGGCCCAAATGAACCTCATCCTCTGCTTCATGGTCTCTCCAAAGTGCTAGACATGGCTTTGGTCTTATCTGAGGAATTATCTAGGGAGAAATCTGCTTCAGAACGCATATGGTTATTGGCAAAATTCAGTTATTTGTAGGCTGTTAGACTGAGGGCCTTGTTCCTTCCTGGCTGTTGTCCAGAGGTCTCTTTTACTTTCTCACCACATGAGTCTCTCCAACATAGCAGCTTGTTTCATCAAAGCCAATGAGGAAGAGACTCTACTAGCAAGACGGAAGTCACAGTCTTATGTAACCTAATCATAGAAATAGCATACTGTCCCCTTTGCCATATTCTATTGGTTATAAGCAAATCACTAGGACAGCATACACTCAAGGAAAGGGGATTACATAAGGGCATAGGTATCAAGAGGAAAAATTATTGGGATCCTTTTAGAGACTGCTTGCCACATGTAGTTTGGGGCATCTCAGTGTGATTGAATTAGGTAAGATTTAGTAGCTAATCTTTCTACTGTACTTTTTATTCTCTCTTCTTGGACTGATGTAGTGTTATTCCTACCTCTAAAGATAAGGATGGACACAAAAGGATTTTTGCATACCTTGAACCAAGGACATGACAAATTATAACTTCAAAATAAGGAGAAAGAACTTTCATAATCTTCTCTGGGGTAGAAAATATGGGCCATGGTGACATCTGATCACAAAATTCTCACCTTTCTTTATTTGAGGCACTGAGGGTAGGATTTTTTAAAAGTTCTCCCTTTAATATATTAAAAGGGAGTATGTGTATAATTTCTGGTCAGAGAGAAAGTCTCATAAAAACTTTACACAGCTTTATACTTCCCTTCAACATCTTGCAATATATATGGGATGGGGAATGGAGGAGAGGGGCATTTAGAGTTTTGTACATGATAAATTAGGAACCATACTCAGTAATTATTCATCGTATTTTGTACCATACAGGTGAACAAAGAATAGTCATCCGGCCAAGTTTTAAACAAGTCCTGGCCTAAAGAGCTACAGTAACCAAAACAGCATGGTAGTGGCATAAAAACAGACACATAGACCCATGGAACAGAATGGAAAACCCAGAAACAAATTCACACACCTAAAGTGAACTCACTGTTGACAAAGGTGCCAAGAATATACACTGGGGAAAAGACAGTCTCTTCAA
Source organism: Homo sapiens (assembly GCF_000001405.40). Classification (NCBI taxonomy): domain Eukaryota; kingdom Metazoa; phylum Chordata; class Mammalia; order Primates; family Hominidae; genus Homo; species Homo sapiens. The sequence continues at coordinate 77,695,395 of NC_000012.12, read as the reverse complement.
TAAATGGTGCTGGAAAAACTGGATATTCGTATGCAGAAGAATGAAACTAGACCACTGTCTCTTGCCATATACAAAAATCAAATCAAAATTGATTAAAGATTTAAATCTAAGACCTCTAACCATGAAACTACTACAGAAAACATTGGGGAAACCTCCATGACATTGGTCGGGAAAAAAATTGCTTGAGCCATACCCCACAAGCACAGGCAACCAAAGAAAAATGGACAAATGGGATCATATTAGTTAAAAAGCTTCTGCACAGCAAAGGATATAATCAAAAAAGTGAAAAGACAACCCACAGAATGAGATTAACAAAGGATTTTTTGAGAATGTTTTAGCATGGCTTATAAAGTTCTTAGAGCAGCTTCTGGCACTTATGTACTCAGTGAATGCCAGCCATTGTTGTTAGTGTAAGGATTATCCTCCACCCAGTGGTGTAATACAACTTCCATTGGAAAGAACCTTGCTGTGTCCCTGAGTTCCTATATCTTAGTCTCTTTCCATGTGCAGGCAACATGTTATCTCATGGATCTGACACTCAAAACATCTCCAAAATGTCTTGGCATAATTATGGACAAAGCCTAGAAAGGTAGATTTGCCTGGTATCCTTGTTGTGTTCACAAGTGACCCAATCTCTCTTCTCTATTGTGATAGTCTTGACATTGTTCACAATAGGTCCAAACAAAGCCTTCTCTACTATGTTAACAAATGTCAGAATACTTTTTTGACAATATTAAGTATCTAGAAGGGCCACAAAGACTGGAGATAACTCAAGGAGATACTAGTCATGTTAAGTGTAGATTGGTAGTAGGCTGTCATCTGTTATACACGGTCTGGACACTGAACTTGGTTGTTAAGGTTTGTGTGCATTAAATGTTATAGCTTCAAAGGAAGAAGAGACTGCCTTTTTTTTTTTTTTTAATTGAGATGGAGTTTGCTCTGTAGCCCAGGCTGGAGTGCAGTGGTGTGATCTCAGCTCACTGCAACCTCCACCTCCCAGGTTCAAGTGATTCTCCTGCCTCAGCCTCCTGAGTAGCTGGGACTACAGGTGTGTGCCACCATGCCTGGCTGATTTTTTGTATTTTTTTTTTTTAGTAGAGATGGGGTTTCACCATGTTAGCCAGGATGGTCTCCATCTCCTGACCTCAAGATCCACCCACCTCGGCCTCCCAAAGTGCTGGGATTACAGGCATGAGCCACCATGCCCGGCCAAAGAGACTTCTTTTATAATCACCCTAGGATAGAAATTATTGGCCATGATGATATACAAACATCATGAACTCTAGGATTATAGAAGAGAAAATAGAGATATATAGGAATAGAGATCACAGGTTTCATAAAGATTGATATTAAGGATGGAATAGGGGATTGCATTACTGTAGCAAAACCCCCAGGAATATGCAAGGTGTCCCAGTGATTCTGTTAATAAGGGACGTGAGATCATAAGTATTTATTTTATATCCTATCAGATCATTGTGTCAGTTGGGATTAAAGATTGTAAACACAGGCAGATGTCTTTGTATATGAAGAACATTAAAAATGGCACACAAAAAAAAGAAAATAAACTGAGTTTGGTAGTCCAGAAAGTTATGCAGCACGATGACTTGAGAGAAGAGTGAAAGTCCAGAGCAGAGGAAAAAAGGGGTCTTTTATTAACATTAACTACCAGCACAAGCAGGCTGTGAACTTGGCACCCTCAAGGCCAATCAGGCATAGCAAATGGTAACAGGGGTTGCCTCATGTCAGAAGAACTGGTGGAATAATTTGTTTAGCCCCAAGATTTCACCACAACAATATGAAAGTCTAACTGTAATAAAGTTCTCAGAGTCCTTTGCAAGTAACAAGAAGCTATAATGAGTAGCAAGTTGTCAATAAAATAAACCTCAATCTAGGAGCAATTCCATGGTTGGCATGAATGGAGCTTCACAAAGTAGTCATTCAACTGATACTAGATAGGGATGTTGGAGCAAATGATTTCTAGGTTATAGACTGGATTATACAGTGCAGAATATTGTACATAGCAAGGACTATGAGGTTTTATCATGGCCTAGTGTGGGGTTACTGGGTTGAGATACTGATATGGTGGTATTTGGTCATGGGCTACAGGTATCTAGAAGTTGCACACTATTATTTCTTTTGTAAAATAACAGCACTCAAGAACAAAAAATAACTGACTGAATGAACAGTGAAACATAATTACTATAACTTTATTTAAATAGCTAAACATGCTTCTTTTCTTAGATAGTCATGCAGAAGTCAGGATTCTGCATGGACTGGCACTGACTACCCCTTTTCTCTCGTTTCTCTGTGCTCTGGACACTTTGGCTTTCTTTCTATTTTTTGGAGGGCTTTTATACACGCTGCTTCCCTAATAGGAATGTTCCCGTCTTTATCCACCACATTTGCTTGGTTAACTCCTATTCTTCGGATTTTAACTCAGACATAACTTGTTTAGGGAAGCTTTCACTGATCTCCCATATTGGGTCAGGTCTCCCTGATGTTATGTTTCTAGTATTATATTATTCTATTCCACAGCTTTATTGTAGTTATAATTTCTGGGCTTCTTTGGTGTGTATCTTTTTCTCTCAATGGACTATTAAGCTTTATAAGGGCAGAAACATATTTTTTTTAAAAAAGGTATTTTTGCACACTATTATTTCTTTTGTAAACTAACAGCACTCAAGAACAAAAAATAAATGACTGAACAATGAAACATAATTACTATACCTTTATTTAAATAGCTAAACATGCTTCTTTACTCTAGGCATTGGTAGCAGCTCAGCACCTTTATTAAGTAATGGTGCTAGATGGTAAAGACAAGGAGATTTTATATTCATCATGATTAGTGCATAGAGCGAGGTTTACTGTATCATACCCCATGCTTAGTAAAGCACTTTGACAAATTAAATTAGTCATTAGTACAGCCTATTGGTGACATCATTGCCATCTTACAGATTGACAAACTGAGGGCTAGAAAGGAAATGATTTCCTTAATGGAATAAAGCTATTAAATGGTAGAACAGTGCCTTTGACCCAAGGTGTTTGGGTCCTGGTCTATTTCCCCTTCAAAATGCTATTATAAAATAAACTCTTGTATAGTAAAATCATAAATGTAAAATATTTTATTATGGATTCCTCATGGAACATTAAAATATAGTCATTGTATTCCTATATGAAATAATATATTCACTGTATAAACAGATATATTTCATGCTTAGTACTCCTAGTACTTCTTCTTTTTGTCTCCCATTTATATGTATCAATGTTTATTGCACAACGATTATAAACATAGGAACTTCCCAGCTTGGTTGTACACTAGAATCACTAGAGAAACCTTTATACAAATACAGGGTATCATCTGGCATCCACGGATAAACATATAATGTCATTGCTAATGGTGATGCCATAGGGTTAAAAGTATAGTCTCTACCTTTAAATATTCTCTCCTTTTAATAAAGAGGAATATCTATATAATTCCTATATAACATAGGAAAGTGATGTGGGTAACAACCTAAGTGCTTTGATTTCTGACAGATCTGAGTTCAAATCCCAAATCCTCCATTTACTAGCTGTGTAACGTTGGACAAGTTAATTTCTGAGCCTCAATATGTAAATAGTATATCATTACATATAAATTATGATATGAGGAAATCAACTTTAAAGCATATCTAATATAAAGCAATAACTCAAAAATGAAAACAATAAGATACACCTTAATAAAGGTACACCATTTGTGAAAATTCAACGAAGAAAAAACATTTGTTAAAAAGGGTCATTGTCATTAATGTCTGGTCATTCATATCAAGTATTTTTTAATCTGTCTATACTATGAAGTTCATATCATTCTTTCATTATGGAAATAAAGCATAATATTGAATAACTATAATAAGGATTACTTGCAAGAAATGGCAAGGAAAAAAGTCATCTTTTATGATAGAGAAGATTGGCCAGAACACTGAGACTTAACACTTAGTAAATAATAATTTCTGGTTAAGAAATAAAATTTATGTTTGAGCAGAAAAAGTACAAGAATGGATATGTATATATATATATATATACACACATACACAAATACTTATATATGACTATATAGATTCCTCTACCACAACTTTTCTAGATTAATTCATTATAAAAATTTGATATCAGAAAATTCCCAGAAATGTATGTAAAAAATTCCAAACCATAGACTCACAAAATGTTTCAATTATATTTATGAGATGGAATTACTTAGTTTTTTTGTGAAACAACATCCCATCTTATAATTTTCGTAGTTACCTCCTCTTGTAAAACAGCAATATTCAACCTTCCATACAGTGATGTCAGATCCTGTCATCAGAACTGCCATTTGACACCTAAACTGTTAAAGACACAGTTTCAAATAAATCAAGCAGAAATAAAAGATGCCATAAAAATATAAAGAAGAAAAATTAAGAGCACAATTTATTGCTAATCTTGAGGCATTTTGAAGACCTTAGTTTTAACTTTAGCAATCAAAACTAAAGAATCAGAAACTTAGAAAATTGTTAACACTGAATAAGTGCTCCTTTTTATATTAGGAAGAGAGAGAAAAGAGGCAGTTTTTGAGTGAATATTATTCTAGACACTATATATATATTATATATACATATATATAAATAAATACATATATAAAATCATTTACAATCATCCATGGTTGTAGTTTAGAATAATCCCCACTTTAATGGAGGAGAAAACTGAGGCTCTAGAAAATCATTAATAACTTCCTATGATCTTATTATATGACAGAGTTGAGCTTGGAATGCACAGATTTCTGGCCGCAAAAACCTAATTCTTTTCATTTCATTATATTGCCCCATTTACAGTAGAGATGGGATAAATATGCCTTTGACAGTAAGAAGAAGTAAAAATATTAAGTGTTAGAAATTTAAAACATATTTTAATGATGCTTACAAAGTGCCAAAACATTTTAAATGATTAATACGACTTTAACTACTTTGTTAGTAATGACATTATCCTTTCTAAACAATGAATTTTCTAGAAAATGTTAGTAGCCTTTTAATGTTCCAAATTCACACAATCACTACTAAATTTATCTGTATCCTTTGGAGTCTCTCATTTGTCAAAGTGACCCAAGACTTCCCTGGTGTATCATGCTGAGACAGTTCGTTTCTTCAGTATTTTGTAGGAACCATATGCATCAGAACAACTTGTAAAACTGAAAATATTCAGCCCCAGTTAATCAGGATGTTTGAGAACATGAACTGAAAATCTGCATTTTTTCAGGCACCGTAGATTACTCTGATACAGATGACCTGATGAACCTGTTAAAGCTGAATGTCATTATACACTAAAGTAACAGAACCACTTACCTATGAGAGGGAAAAAATAGCTTAATGTTGGTAATTATTCCATTTCATTCCAGAATGAAAAATGGAAAAAACTCCTTGTGATTATATTTATTTTTCATATGATCATTATTTTTACAGATGGGTACTGTAACAAATATTTAACATGCTATCATTAACTGCTGACTTTGCAATAATTACTTCCAGTATGATTTCTAAAAATATTAAAATATTAAAGTTTATGAAATTCTAGTAGTACTAAATATATGCATTATGTAAAATGTTTACTTCCCATTTTAATTATTGCCTTAAATAAAAATACCTAAAAATGAAACTTCAATTTAGTAATGGTGATTTGATGATGTCACCTTTATGATAAACCTTTACCTCAGTTTAGGTTCCTTATAATTTTTTCTTTTCACTACATCTGAACACTAGAATAGTATTTCTACAATCAGCTTTCAGAGAAAAACATCTAAGTATAGTGCACTGCAACAGTTGCTAAGGTAACCACCATCTGCTACTCCTTTAAAAGTTTTGAGTTCACAGAGATCTTAACACACCTTCCTGAAACATCCAACATAAAAGCCACTGCCTAGAGAAATTTGGGTTCTCTTGCATTGGTTTTAATCTCAGACTGGATGGTAGTATATGGCATCAAAAGAGGCTGATATTTTTAGTTACAATTTTCATTGCACTTCAACCACTGGTAGAAGACAAGATATGTTCTAAAATGGAATCTTGGATGAGCTCATCTTGATTCATTCAGTGATTTTAGTGCTACTTTGACTTGAACACTGGCATATAATGTTGAGCTTTCTGAGACTTTTCTTTCCCCTAGCAGCAGATGTTCAAGACATGAGAATAACATATTTTGCTCTGGAAAAGAGGCAATTTCAGCAGGAAATGTTTTTAGACTTGTTAATGCTTGGAAATATCTGCTGAGTGTGTTGAGATCTTTCATATTTGGTCCTATTGATAAAATCTTTAATAGTACACTCAACCCCATCACTTCCTTAACCCTTCTGCTTATGCAGTCCTAAATCCTGGACTGCCTCCATTACCCACTTCCTATTATCCTGGTTTCAGCTGATTTGTTTCAGAGAAAGTTATAAAACTATGTAAATTTGGCCATCTGAAAATTCAGGTTTTCCAATTTCAGTTGGCTTATCACTTCTTAGTAATCCTTTTATTTACCCCTTATAAATCATGCGGCACACTGTTCAGAGAACTTAGACATAACCTTCCTTTTCCCTACACCTGTATATCTCTAATCCATTGAATTTCTCGTTTTTTAGAGCCTCTCCTTCATTATCTATCCGTCTTTAAGATACTCTACAATCTAACTCTCATTTACACTATTCTATTAAAACTTTATTCTCAAAAGTCATAAATAGCCTGCCCATCACCAATGCAACTGCAATAAATTATTTCTAATAACTGTACTTTGATCACTGGTATTTGAACTATTCCACCCTCTTAGTCATATTTCTGTCACCTCATACTCTGTCTCCTTCACTTACTGATTCCTCAACCAAAATCAGTTGAACAAATATTCATTGTGCACCTACTATTATTTTGTCCCTAGACTAGGCCTTGGAAATGAAACAATAAGATAACAAGATCCTTATCCTCATCCTCATGGTACTTACAGCCTAGTGAGGAAAGTAGACAATAAAAAAGTAATCAAAATATTAAGAAAGAAGTGGCATAGGGTAGAATGTGTACATATAGTAAGCATGTCTAACCTAATCTAGGGGGTCAGGGGTAGTCTTTTTGAAGTGTCTGTGTCCCCTTTATCAAACACCATTTGAGCCATCTCTTTATCTTATTAAGAATTATGCTTCAGATAAACTTTTAGCTATGATACAAATTTTAAATTTTTTTTTAACTTTTCGGTACTAATATTAATGGGTAATGAACTGAAATGAAAGATTCAAAAACCAAACAGAATAATTTAACATTTCCATGTGTTAAAATTGAGCTTGTACTTACACTATTTAAAAGGAAATCTGTGGGTCTTAATTGGCTATGATATTTATATTCTGTTGGATACAGTAAAAAGTGTGATATAATGTCTTTACATACAACTAATATATACAAAATGCTAACAATTTTATCTTTATGGTACACATTGAAAACAAGACATGGATTAAATTGTCTATAAAAGTATTTTGAAGGACTATTCTGTCAAAAAGGTTAAAATCCCTATATGATATATTGATTTAAAATTTGCTATTAAGCCGTAATACAATGTGCAAGATTCTATCCTGATCCTCAAATGGCTTATATTCAAGAGAGGCATTGCCATTTCTTTGGTAGAGAGAGGCTTATGGAACCGATCTAAGTTTATATTACTTGTGAACTTAGTCTAATAGTCCAGTTTTTTCTCATGAGTTTCTCTTTTTATTAGGCTAGAACGCTTCCATATGCTGTTCTTTTTGCTCAAATTTGATCTGTTATTGAGCAACTCAATAGTGCGTTTAAAACTCTGGCAGATATAAGCTTGATTAATTAAGTTTCTTGCATTATCTCCAGGCATTTCTTGGGTTCATTGCCAAACTCTGGATTGTCCACAGATTCAGGCATTTTAGATCTTGGAATCTCAGAAATGAGTTTGGGATGGACCCAGAGGAGGAAAAATCAAGTGTATACTTAAGGACTCACTGATGAATATGGGCTCTAATACGGCTTTCTTATGCCCTCCTACCACCCCACAACAAGCATTCTTATACATGCACACATAGTGTGTCCAAATAATGAAATAATACTCCTAATAAAAACAAGGTATCAGATCTCAGGCAATAAAATGTGCCAGGCTACTTTCTGTTTTATAAATGGTTATCTTTCATACAAAAGGAGAGAATGCTGCACAACAGCCACTCACAGTTTTCCGGGCTGATAGTATAAAAGAAGTAGTAAACTAGATAGACCAGGGATAAGACATTAGAAAATGTTAGTAAGAAAAATCAAACCTTGTAAACAGGGAGAAATATGCATATGGTAATACTTGCAGGAAATTACAGATTTAGTTAATATAACTTGCCCAGAAGCTAATGGGATAGTGAAGATGTAAAGATTGTTATGGAAAAAAGACCCCACCGAGAGGCAGCATTGAGTCATGGACATGCACACATGTTTAGGCTTGTTTTGTTTTTTTAAAAAATTCTTCTACAACTCTGTTTGCATATTACAATACAAATTTTAATTAGAAAAAAGAAACTATTAATTTAAAGCTTCCTCAGAGCTTTGATTTGGAAAGGTGTTAAAATAGAGAAACAGGCAGTGGTGTATGTTAAGACCTCGTACTGTAAAGTCAGATGAACCTAGGTAAACTCGTGGCTTCACTCACCATATGCTTATGATCTGAATAAGTTACTTCGGCCATTTGTGCTCAGTTCCCTCATCTATAAATGGGCATAATAATGAAATGAAATAATACATGAAAAGTACTGAGCACCTATGGATGCTGTGTGTCATGGATGCATCATTGATTGAGGCTTAAAATATCCTGACAAATCGAAGTCTGATAAGTCAAATATTACATATATAGGAAAAGTATAAAACAATTTTTTAAACAGAGCCAAACTACGAAACCAACTTTAGAACAAAGCCTCTGTTTTTAAAAAAAAAAAAAAAAAAAAAAAGAAAGAAAGAAAGAAAAGAAAAGAAAAAATCCGGTGGGGCACGGTGGCTCACGTCTGTAATCCTAGCATTCTGGGAGGCTGATGCAAGCAGATCACCTGAGGTCAGGAGTTCAAGACCGGCCTGGTCAACATGGTGAAACCCCGTCTCTACCAAAAATACGAAAACTAGCCAGGTGTGGTGGCCTAGGCCTGTAATCCCAGCTACTCAAGAGGCTGAGGCAGGAGAATTGCTTAAACCCAGGAGGCAGTGGTTGCAGTGAACTGAGATTGCAAAATACATACATACATACATAAATCCATCCCTTAATAATCACTATATCTAGGCTCTGAATATATCAGGACAGTTAAAATCAGGCATGATGGGAGAGGAGGAATTCCACATCTAGAGAGTCAAATCCATCCATTTTATTCCAGTAAAACATCAGCTTTCAAAAACTAGACACTTCTGTTGACAATGTTAAAGAGACACTACTATACTGGCTAAGAATAGCTCTGTGCCTACAGCATATGCATTCAATGCTTTGTCAAAATTTCTAAACACTCTAAATGGCAACGGCATAGTGAGGCAAAATGTATTCATTGTGTTTAAATTTTTCTATTTATAAATTATCATATGTAAGCACAACATTGAAAGCTGTTAATGGAACCCATTAGGCTTAGACACTACACAGGGTAGTTTAATAAATACTAAAACTAATTATTTTTAATGAGGTTTGAAATGGGTTGGCAATGACCTGACAAACAGCCATTCTTACAGTTCTCTGAGGCTTGCTGGGTGGAGATGAGAATCTTCCGGGCTATTCATTTCAAGAAGCTCTTGAAAACGGGAAAATTGGTAATTAGATATGAAAGATAAAAGTGGATAGGAAGCAAAAAGATATAAATGGAATATAAAACCAATGGTGTGCGTGTGGGTATGTGTGTGTGTGTGTGTGTGTGTGTGTGTGTGTGCATGTGTATGCGTTGGGAGTATCTTAAAGATTTGAGCTGGAGAATCTGTCATTGAAGACAGTGAATGAACAAAGAGAGAAATGAAGTTCAGAGTTCTTCACCATGATATGATGCCATTGGAAATGTCGATCAGCAGATGGCGCACATGTCAGGAAACTTGTTTCACTGCACAAAAGAATTGCTCCAAGGCGCTTAGCAAATTTCGTGGCATGTTACACACCGCTTACAGGAAGCCTGGTTAAAAGATTTATGCATATTTATCTGTTTGATTTTTTTCAATAACCCATTCATAAAAATATTTTTCTATGAGAACATAGGAACAATAGTAGGTTTCATGTAAGTACTCAAAGCAACTCATTAAAAGTTTCAGCTTCAGAATCTTAAAAAGGAAGAATGAAATTAGAGGAGCAATCTGACATTAAGATATAGTATAAACATAAAATAATCACGACAGTGTGACATTGGTATTAGGATACATGAATAGACCAATGGAACAGGTTACACAGTCCGTAATGATTCTGACGAAGGTGTCAGCAACAGGGAATTCAATAGTGAAAGGAAAATTTTTTCAAAATATTTTGCTGGGTTAAATATATATCTGTATGGAAAAAAACGGAACCATGATTTATACCTCAGGCCATATGCAAAAATTTAACTCAGGGTAGATTACAGACCTTGGCCAAAATATAAAGTTCAGTGAAGAAAACATAAAAAGAATATCTTGGCAATGAGTTATATAAGATTTTTAGAACAAAAAAAAGGAATCATCAGAAAAAAATTATAATAAATCTGACTTCTTCAAATGTAGTAATTCTGCTCATTAAAACACATCATTAAGAAAATTAAAAGTAGGCTGGGCATGGTGGCTTATGCCTGTAATCCTAGCAATTTGAGGGGCTGAGGCATGAGAATCTCTTGAGGCCAGGAGTTCAAGAACTGCCTGGGCAACACAGTAAGACCCTGTCTCTATAAAAAAATAAAAAAGATAGGAGGTTCACTTGAGCCCAGGATTTGGACACTGCTTGCCACTGGACTCTAGCCTGGACAAGAGAGTAAAACACTGTCAAAAAACAAGAAAGAAAGAGAGAGAGACAGAGAGAAATGAAGAAAGAGGCAAGCCCCACAAACTGAGAAAATATTTATAATACATAAATCATACTTGTATCCATATTATCTAAATAACAACAATAAATAATAATAATAGTTAAAAATGGGCAAAAGACTTGGGCAAACCCTTCAGAAGAGTATATGTGAATGCCAATAAACACATAAAAACATGCTTAACATAGTCATCAGGAAAATGCAGATTAAATCCACAATAAGATTATCACTTCACACTCATTAGAATGGCTAAAATTAAACAGTAATAATGCCTAATGCAGGTCTGAATGCAGATCACTGGGATCACTCAGATATTGCTAGTGGGAGTGTAAAATTGTTCAACATCTGTAGAAAATCATTAAGCAGTTTCTTTTAAAATTATACTTACCTTATGACCCAGCAATTCTACTCCTACATATTTACTGAAAAGAAATAATAAAACATATGTCCCCCAAAATATTATACACAAATGTATGGAGTAACTTTATTCATAATAATCTAAAACTGAAAAAAACTCAAATGTCCATCAGCAGGAGGGGGATATACAACTGTAACATATGCATACAATGGAACAATATTCAAGAAATAAAAAGAAATGAATTTCTGATGCACAGTAAACAAAAGAATCTCAAAAACATTATGCTTAGCAGACTAAGCCAGACATAAAAGCACACCTACTGTGTAACCCATTTTTGCAATGTTTAAGAACAAATAATAATTAAAAATATTGTTTAAAATAATATTGTTAAAATGCCCATATTACCCAAAGCGATCTACAGATTCAGTGCAATCTCTATCAAAATTCCAATGACATTTTTCACGGAAATATAAAAACCAATCCTAAAATTCATACGGAATCACAAAAGATCCCAAATAGCTGAAGCAATCCTAAGCAAAAAGATCAAAGCTGGAGCCATCATATTACCTGACTACCAGTTTTCAAAATCTACTACAGAGCTTGAGTAATCAAAACAGCATGGTACTGGCAAAAAAAAACACATACAAAGACCAATGGAACAAAGTACGGTATCCAGAGATAAAACTATACATTTATGATCAATTAATTTTTGAAAGATGCCAAGAATACTCAATGGAAAAAGACAGTATCTTTAATAAATGGTGCTTGGAAAACTAGAAAACCACATGCAAAAGAATGAAATTAGACCCTCACCTTATACCATACAAAAATATCAACTCAAACTGGATTAAAGAACTCAAATATAAGATCTGAAACTATAAAATTATTGGAAGAAAACATAGAAGAAAAGCTCTATGACATTGGTCTTGACAATATTTTTTGGATATCACCCCAAAAGCACAGGCAACAAAAGCAAAATTACACAAATGGGATTATATCAAACTAAAAGCCTCAGTATAGCAATTGAAACAATCAGCAAAGTAAAGAGACAATCTGCAAAATGGAAGAATATATTTGCAGGTCATAGACTTGATAACAGATTAACATCCAAAATATATTATATAAATAGAAACTCAAACACCTCAACAGCAACAAAACAAATAATACAATTAAAAAAATGTGTGAAGGACCTGAGTACACAGTTTTCCAAATAAGACATACAAATGGCCAACAGACATTTGAAAAAAATACTCAGTATCACTAATGATTAGGAAATTGCAAATCTAAACCACAGTGAAGTATCACTTCACTACTATTAGAATGACTATTATCAAAAAAGGCAAATGATAACAAGTACTGGCAAGAATGTGGAGAAAAGAGAACCTTTGCACATGGTTGGTGTGAATGTACATTAGTACAGCCTCTATGGAAACAGTATATAGGTTCCTCAAAAAACTAAAAATAGAACTACTATATGATCCAGCATTTCTATTACTGGATATATACCCAAAGGAAATGAAATCAGTATGTGGAAGAGATATCTGTCCTCCCATGTCCATTGCAGCATTATTCCTAAAAACCAAGATATGGAATCAACCTAAGTATCCATCAACATATAAACAAATAAAGAAAATGTAATACCTATACACAATGGGATACTATTTAGCCTTTGAAAAGAAGGAAATTCTGTCATTTGTGACAAAGTAGGTGAATCTGGAGGATATTATATTAAGTGGAATAAGCCAGCCACAGAAAGATAAATACCACATGATCTCATTCATATGTAGAATCTAAAAGAGTTGAGCTTATAGAAACAGAGAGTAAAATGGTGGCTACCAGAGGCTGGGGATTGTGGTGGCCAGGGGCGAGGTGGGGGGTGGCAGGGGACCAGGGTGTGGGTTGGTCAAAGAACACAAAATTTTGGTTAGGAGGAATAAGCTCAAGGGATCTATCATCATGGTGACTGCAGTTAATAACAATGAATTCCATCGTTGAAAATTGCTACCAGAGCAGATTTTAAGTGTCCTCACCACAAAAAATTAACATGCAAGATAATGCATGTGTAAATAGCTTGACGATGCCATTGCACAATAGGCAAATATATCAAAACATCATTTTGTACCATAAATGTATACCATTTTTACTTGTCAATTTAAAAAAGGAACAAATGATAACATTCTATAAAGCCAGAAATTAAAGGAGTAATTTCCTCTGGGAGAGAGAGGTATAAATTGGAAAGAGAAATCCTGGTTGATGTTAGTTACATGAGTTTAATACTTTTATAAAAACTCATCAAAGCATACACTTAAGATTTGTGAGTCTTGCTTTTGGAAATTATACCTGAAAAAGGGAGGGAAAATCAGCCATCACAGAACACCTTGTGCCAGAAATTTATTGAAAAAAACAGTTGATTATTAACACTGCACGGTTTGTGGTTCCTTTCTCTCAAACTTCAAATGTTGCTGACATGGAGATGTTTCAACTAGGTGTGATTCTCTTTTAAATTAAATCTGAAAACAGTCATTTTTGTAATAGAGTAACCTTCACCTTACTGAAAATACCTAGTGACTACTGTCATTCGGCTTTGATGCTCTTTTACCATGAACTCACAGGAAACAAAAGGAATATTAAAAAAGACTTCCTGGGAATATTGGAGAATTACTACACACAAAAGATTTGGCATATTTAACATCACCAATATAATTACCTATTACTTGTTTGCCTTTCATCAAGTAGGTATCCAAATCATGTTTTCTGAACTGAATGTTCTTAACATGACTTTTAATTTTATTGCTCACAAGGGAGATGAAGTAAGTTGGAGAACTTACTGAAATTCTGGACTGAAATCTTTTCAAAATTAAAAGATGTAATAGGTTAAAGAGCTTATCGGAGAAGTGATCAAGCTATCTTCAAGCTGCTAACCCTAAAGATAAAAAAATACTAGGCAAATTTAAGTATGTACCAATGACTTCAGAAAAAGTTAAAGATAAGATCCCAGGGCCAGAAATCTAACAAAGAATGACTTCCGCCCCTCCCCCCAAAATCGGATCTCATCATCACAGTCAACTTTATTGAGGAATAAAAGGGAAAACTATTTTAATAGATTCTCATCTCCACTGGATAAAAAATGCTATTGAGTACTCTTTCTTGGTGTCCATATGTGACTCTTCCTTCAGCTTCTACTCCACTTTCGACTCCTGGCATTGGTTCTTGTCTCCTATATGAAACCAAGACTCTCTTTTAACTTTCCATTCTCGTGTGTATAGAGATATTTTTCTTATATTGTGCACCTACTTTGCACATACTATAGAAGAAAAGTTTCCTGAAAATCAATAAAGGGCACAAAGAAGACAGCATTCTTCTTCCTTGCTTGAATTCTGGGCCAACAGAGAAACAGGATAAAAGAATTTGGCAATGAAGTACAAAATACCATCTTTCTTATTGTGAATGCTAACATTGGCGACTGGGCTTAAGTGTGAAAGCTGAATAAGTCTCCTAATATTGAAAACGAAAGCTAGACAGTCTTACTAACCCATTCACAACTCTAACAGAGAAATAGAGAATTCCTGATAGGGAGAAAGGAGAAAAGGTAGCCCATGAATCCACAGTTAAGTAAATGATGCCTCCCTCTTCCCCTAGGCGAAGTGTGGGTGAGGTGGAAAGATGCAAACAGCATTACCCTAATAGATATTCTTTCTTCAAGGGAGGAAAAAAATCAGCATTAGGTTGGGAAAAAAGTACACCTCAATTCCCAGTCCCTTACCCTCCTGCCCATGCCCACATCACTCCCCACAGGCATAAAAGTGTCTGTTCTGAAATTTTATCAGAAGCAAATTCAGACACTGGAACTCTGGATCCTATTCTTCTGTCTGTCCCTCCATCAGTCAATACCCCCTTTCCCTGTGCCTTCTAACTTTCTTCCTCCCTCAGTATAACACCATGCAATCTCTATTGTTCAAAAGTTTCCCTTTCACTTGTGCATCCTCTTATTTCTATAAATCCTCTCTTTTCGTTCTCACTCAGTTCAGCTTATGAAAGGCAAGGACATGACGCGTACCTCCACACTGCCCATTACTTCTGGTTCGATGGTAAGCTGGCCTTCTTCCTACCCACTGATCCACTGACAATACTCTGTCTAAAGTCAGCAGTTGCCTCTGAGTCATCCAAGATTATGGGCATACGGCACTCCTAATCCAACTTGATTTTTCTGGGTCACTTGACACTGTTGATCGCTCTTGCTTCTCAAATGCATCTTGTCTTTTCTGACGCTGTCTTTTCCCACTACTTCTCGCCTCTCAGGCTGCTGTTTCTCAATTTTCTCAGAGTTCATTCTCTTCTTCCACTAGTTGGTGCTCCCCAGTCCCATCTCCAGCCTTCCCTTTTCATACTCTGCATCCTTGCTGAGTAGGCCCTTTCAGCATCCTGGAGTAAACTATCACTTAATAAACAACTCATTGATTTTTTTTTTTAACTGTCCTCTGGGCCTCTCTTTTGAGATCCAGACTTATGTATGTACCCCTGCTACAAGTGAAGCAAACTCAACATGACGAGAAGGGAACAACTCATCTTCCCTTTCATCCCTTTCTATATGTTCCATTTCCGTGAATGGCATCAAACTCTACCCATTCATTTGTAAGTTATCTTAAGGATTCAATCTCTTATCCATCTCCCTCCATCCAGTCAGCACCACATCCTTTTAAACCTTCTCATAATGTCTTCCTATCCTTCGTGTTGTTTCCCCGATAACCTGTTAGTGCCCTAGTAGAGGCCTTCAGTGCCTCTTGCACTATTATGATATTCAAAGGTATCATATTCAAAGGTATATTGCAACTTAACAGAGCTTTAATATAAAGTCCTGAATCGAGGTTAAAAAAAATCCAGAGTTAGTAACCTGCAAATTCAAAATGAGTTAACATTGCATAGTAACTAATGTAGACTATGCCTAAAGTAGACACAGTCGTACTTAAGATGCTTTTGTTCACAAGTAAAATAACACAAATTCAAACTACATTTTTGAAAGTTTTGGAGTTACTTAAAAGATAATGGAATACTTAAAGACTTTCAAAGGATAATGAGATACTTAATCATAAAGTTTCTAGATAAACAGAAGCCAGAAAGCTTTCAGGAACTGGGCACACTCCCTTAATTTCTCCTCTCTTTCCTCTCTGTCCTTCTGTCTTCCTTCTGATCGCTCTGGGATTAGATTTCTCTACTTCTTAGGGTACCATATGGTATAAGATGGCTGAGATAATGCTCCTGAGTTTTTACAGATCTATTAATTCTAACCACATAAAGAGACTGACAAGAATCAAATATATTTTAAAAATCTTGAGAAAGGGGTAAACAGCAGAAACAGCCTTCCTACAATTGAGCTGGTCATTAGAAATTTGAAGCTATGCCAGCAAATGGAACAAGTAAGCACCAGCTAGCATTCCGCAGAAAGTTGAGGAAATTCCTGTAAAGGAAGTAGGGGATTCCTGTGATCCCTTCAAGTCCCCAAAGAGAAAATACTATAAAGATATGATAGAATGACGACCTTGAGTCATTAATAAAAAATTATGCTTAATACATTCTATTTTTGGAATCAGATGCCTGCAAAATCTAAGATTTCCATAGAAACAATAATTTCCATTAAAATACGTTAGTAAACGTTAAAAGTTTAAGTGCTTAAGCTTCAGTTATTTAAAAAAAACAACAGTCAATCCATTCTTCTGGTGATGCTGAATAGGTAAAATATTCTGCTCCAATCCTTTATCAAATAAGATTGGTTATACATTTTTAAAATATAACATTACTGTATTATATATATTGCTTCCTCCTAATGTACCACTTCCATTTGTCCATGTGCTTCATCTGGTTTTACTTAGTGGAATTTGTGTGTACTTCATTTATTTATAAATCTATATTAAATATTAATGCCTTAAAATAGAAGCTAAATTGTCAAACTCCTAAGAGCAAATCAGTGCTAACAAGGCGTAACATCAGAGCCTGCTATCTGTCCTTTAGAAAATCATACTATTTAAGAGTCTTAAAGTTGTAAGAAAAAAATTATTTCAATTTTAATAAATCTGTGAAAAAAAATCTATTTACTATAAGAAAACTAACCAGTGACTAGAAAAATAAAGCAGGCAGTCTCAGCAATGTCTTGAATTTTTAAAAATGACTTTATGTAGCTTTTATTTTTGAACAGCGCAATGTATTTGTTACATTAGTAGGTTGTTTAGACCTAAAAAAATAGTTTGGTTCCAAAACACATTTATTTATGTAGTAGTAACAGCAGCAGCAGCTGCCAACATTCACTGCACGCTTGCTAATTACAAAGCAATGCGCTAATTACTCCATTCACACATCTCATTTTATCTTCTCAGCAATCCCTTTCAGGCACTGGTACATGTCCATTTTACAGATAAGACAATGAAGTTTAGAGTAGTTGAATAACTTGCTTAAGAGCTAGTAAGTGAAGTCAGGATTGGAAGTCAAATTATTCTGTTGAGGACAAGATACATAATTTGCTGGGCTGGCACAAAATGAATATGTGTTGGGACCCTTGTTTAAAAATTAAGAATTTTAAGATGGCAACAACAACCGGGCATTAAACCAAGTGCAGGGCCCTTCTAAGCATATCCATGGAGCCATCCCTACCATCAGGGCACAGAATGTGTGACATTCCATTTTTTCATCTATTTAAGTTATCTTTTTAAAAGAATAAGTTTTTGTAATGGATAAATAGCCAATTATAAACTGAGACCATTTCATATTATTCATGCATTCATTCAGTATTTCATATTATAGGCTGTGCCTAGATATACTAAATCAATATTTGTTGCATAAGTGAATTACTTCTTAGCCTCAAACTGAAACTATCTCTTCAATACTTCATGTTGAAAATACCTCTGGTTAAATGTGGGGATGGGTTAAGAAGAGATAAATGGATCATGAGGAATCAATCCCCACTACTGGTAGATACACTTCATGTTCCTTTGTGCTGGTTTAGGAGTTTTAATGAGTGTGAGAACCATTTTAAAATCTAATTATCATGTCTATCTAGAGTCAACATTTCAATTCTGGGGATCTAAGCAAAGCTTAAAGAATGTTGTGCTCACTTCCCCTTCCTCCTCATACACCTCACCCTTACCCTAACCCTAGGTCCTTAACTTTCCCTCATAAATAGGGTTTTTTTTGGAGGGGAGGGGGCCTTTTCTCCTCAATCCATGCCTGGTGAAGGACAACATGATTGATATTTAAACTGTGCTTTTCAAAAGACTTTAAAGGTTTTAAGCTCCACATGCATTAGGTATTTGTCCTAAAGCTCTCCCTCCCCCTTGCCTAGATGACAGGTTGATAGGTGCAGCAAATCACCCTGGCACATGTATGCCTATGTAACAAACCTGCACATTCTGCACATGTATCCAGAACTTAAAGTAAAATTTTTTAAAAAATTTAAAAAAAAAAAAAGGCTTTAAAGGGGTAGGCTTACCAGCCACACAGGACGAGTTCTGCAAAAAGAAAAGAAAGCCCACTTGTTTCTAACCCTGGGAGATTGGTGGAAGGAAAATAAAAGATAAAAACCACTATAAGACATGCTTGTCAGCTGTGCCAGCAGTGCTAAGGACAGTCCATCATCTGCCTGGAAGAGGCCATGGAGGACACCACCTTGTAAGCCACCCTCTGGATCTAGGGAGTGGCAATATCAAGGTGGAGCACTCCTTTCAGGAAGAGAGAGTAGCCTTAAAGCTAGCACAATGGGGCCTGTTGGTGGGTGGGGGGCAAGGGAAGGGAGAGCATTAGGACAAATACCCAAAGCATGCGGAGCTTAAAACCTAGATGATGGGTTGATAAGTGCAGCAAACCACTATGGCACATGTATACCTATTTAACAAACCTGCACGTTCAGCACATGTATCCTAGAACTTAAAATAAAAAAAAATTTAAAAAAAAAAGCTAGCACTCCAAAGCTGCTTGCTTCCCATGTGAAGTGGATGATGTGATGACAGCCCTTCTGGTGGGTGAGGAACTGTGGAAATTCCCAGGCAGGGCCAAATGCAGTAGAGAGCAGAAATCCAGAGGTCAACATCATTGACCACGGAGGGGAGACTGACAGTACTGGCCAGGATCAAAGTCCAGGACAGAAGGCCATGTGTCAACCAGGTAGATCAGGGCCAGAAACCTATAGTCCACAAACACACAAGGACCAGCACAGGAAGAAGCCTGAGGCCCTCCCAGGACCTCAGATCTCACAAGGCACAACCTTCCCAGAACACTCACCCACTGACAACTGGACACCATCACAGCAGGGGAAGGTGGTTGAGAGGAAGGTGGTCTGAGGAGCACATTTTTATCTAAATGAGAGGCTGATGTTTACCTAAGAGGATTGCCTAAATGTTCAAATTGGAAAAATTTAAATTGCATTGGTGTGATGGTCAGTTTTACATGACAATCTTTCTAGGTGCAGTCTCCAGCTATTCAGTCAAATGGGAATCTAATCTAGGTGTTGCTGTGAAGGTATTTTATGAATATGATTAAAATCCATAATCAGTAGGCTTTAAGTAAGAGAGACTATCCTTGCTATTCCGGGTGGGCCTTTTAGTTGAAAGGTCTTAAAAGCAGAGCTGAAGGAAATTCTGCCTTTGAATAGCAGCTTCAGCTCCTGCTGGAGAGTTCCAGCCTATCCTTGAAAATGTACTCTAAGAACTGTTGACTTGCCTAGCCCGTCCCCACAATCATGTAAGCCAATTCCTTGCAATAAATCTCTTAATATATATCTCCTAACAGTTCTGTTTTTCTGGTTGAAACCTGACTGCTACAACTGAATATTCACAAAGAAGACTGAATTAATAACAAACAATGTAAAATGCTACATTTTTCTTTACTTCTGATTTGTTGCATGAGTTATTTAGTATGTGTAAATAAGCCCTGTGTACCTCAAGGACGTCATTCATGGTCCCTGTCTTTGCCTGAAATGCACTTACCGTATGCTCTATCCTTTCAGTTCTCACCTAAAAATCTACTTCCTTGAGAATACCTTCTTTGACCACCCATCTGTCAATTCAGATCCTGCTGTTAAAGACATGACATTTGTTCTCTCTTGTGGCACTTAGTACAGTTCAAATACAAATACAGAATATTTGTTTGGCACTCAACTTTCTTTTCCTCCAGAGTTTAAGCTCCATGAAGACAGAAGTCAGGTCTGATTTGGTCACCAATATATCTTCACTATCAAGCCTAGAACATATAGTAAGTATTCAATGAATAATAATTGAATGAATGCATGGATATAAATGCATGTGCAACTTAACAAAAACCACTGAGTTTAAAATTGGAGTATAGACTGGGCATGGTGGCTAATGTCTATAATTCAGCACTTTGGGAGGCTGAGGTGGGTGGATTGCATGGGCTCAGGAGTTTGAGGTCACCCTGGGCAATGTGGTGAAACTCCATCTGTATAAAAAATATAAAAATGAGCCACGTGTGGTGGTGCATGCCTGTAGTGCCAGCTACTTGCTACGTGGGAGGCTGAGGTGGGAGGATCACCTGAGCCTGGGAGGTTGAGGCTACAGTGAGCCATGATCGTGCCAATGCACTTCAAGGGCAACAGAGTGAGACCTTATCTCAAAAAAAAAAAAAAGTATAATTTGAAAATATCTCCATTTGGTGTTAGTTGAACTTTAGCTATATCTTCCAAAGAACATGTGGGTAGAATTCAGAATGTGTAATTAAGGGGCAAGAAATCCAAATGTCATTTAGATTTGCCTATGTAGTCAGCCCACTGAATATTACAAACTTCTTTTTAGTTAAGATGACCCAAACCACATGAGCTAAAGATAGCCCAAAGCCAGAGTTGTATGAAGAAAACCTAATAAAATGGTTTGCTATTTTTACATTTATAAAGAAACATTGATATTATGGCTCTGTAAGACAGCAAAATGGCACAACATTTTATAATATTCTTAATAGTATTTTAAGACTCCTTTGGAAATGATGGTTCATTTCATGACCTGGGATATTAGTTTGAAAGTTAAAATTAGGTAATGAGAATTCAGGGAGTTAATATTTTTAACAAAAACATATGCAGTGTATTAAGACTCTGAAGGCTAACCAAATTCTTGTTCATTTGGTTTAAAAAAAAGTTGAATCTAAATATCAATTACCACTTTAAAAAGCAAGAGTTCATTGTGTGTTGATCACAACACAGTAAAAGAAAAATAGATATGCAATAGAACTTATGATTATTATAGGTATTTTACAGTTTATAAAATGAAATATTTTCTATAGAAAATTCTTCCCATAAGAGAAGGGTATGTAACTTCCTCCTCACCTATTTCTTTTTTTAAATGGGTAAATCTTAGGAAAGGTTTGATATCAAACACCATACAAAAGTTCAGGAATAGGTATTTGCTTTCAAATGAACTTGATGTCATTGTGTATCAGATTACTTGGAGGAGTGTTCAAAAAATTATTGCATCTTTCATATTTATCAAAATAAATGTCTTCAATGGCTCAAGGAAGATTTGTTGCTTTAAAATAAATGTAGGAAGTTGAAAATGTGAGTTATACCTTAGATATAATATTAAAAGAAAACCTTAACAGTTATTACTAGTTTTTATTAATGTTTCTCCTTTCAGTGAATAAGAAGAAATTACTATATATACTATAATAAGAAATTGCTATTATGTTCATTAATCTCTGTTGAATCATTCATGTGAGACGCTGAGTATGAATCTCTTGCAATGCAACCTGATCATAAAAGAGGACATTTTAAATGTAACATATGTGTGAATAGTAAAGCCAAATTCATTGTTAATGGAGTTTTGAGAGAAACACTCAGCAAAAAAAGATGAGCAAAAAAGGCTGATATTTCCACAAGTTTATATCCCTGGTGTAATGTTTAGGTGTGAACATTTTTAAAAAGTAAAAATGTATATAGCAAAATACACTTGATTACCTCTAAATATGAACAGACATACAAGTAATAACTACTTTCTACAACACTAAGAATTCTGAATGTACAAATACATATCACGAAAAAAGTGGAGAAAAATAACAAAAAGAACAAAAGGCAAACATTTCCTTTGGAAGCCCTTAGTTGTTATTTTCCTCATCTCTTACTATCCTTCAAAATAGTCATATAGTTTTAAAATCAATTTTACACTAACTAAAACTAGTAGCTCCTTTCCCACAATTTTATTTTTTTTAATTTCTTTTTTATTTCAATAAGTTTTTAGGGAACAGGTTCTTTAGTCGTGATTTCTGAGATTTTGGTGCACCTGTCACCTGAACAGTGTACACTATACCCAATGTATAGTCATTTATCCCTCACCCCACTCCCACCCTTTCCCCTGAGTCCTCAAAGTCCAATGTATCATTCTTATGCTTGTGTGTCCTCATAGCTTATACATATACATACATATGTATATGTGTACGCACCATGGAATACTACTCAGCCATATATACACACACACACACATACACACACACTTATCACCTTTTCTTTATCCACTCGTTGATGGATGGGCATTTGGGTTGGTTTCACATTCTTGTAATTGCAAGTTGTGCTGCTGTAAGCATGCGTGTGCAAGTATCCTTTTCATATAGTGACTTATTTTCCTCTGGGTAGATATCTACCTAGTAGTGGGATTGTTGGACCAAATGGTAGATCTACTTTTAGTTATTTAAGGAATCTCCACACTATTTTCCGTAATGGTTTTACTAGTTTCCATTCCCTCCAACGGTGTAAAAGTGTTCTCTTTTCACCACATCCATGCAAACATCTATTTTTTTATTATTTTTTGCTTATGACCATGCTTGCAGGCCGCAGTGTGGTTTTGATTTGCATTTCCCTGATCGTTAGTGATGTTGAGCATTTTTCATATGCTTGTTGGCCATTTGTATATCTTCTTTTAAGAATTGTCTATTCATGTCCTTAGCCCATTTTTTGATGGGATTGCTTGTTTGTTTCTTGCTGATTTGTTTGAGTTCTTTGTAGCTTCTGGATATTGGTCTTTTGTCGGAGGCATAGATTGTGAAGATTTTCTCCCACTCTGTGGGTTGTCTGTTAACTCTACTGATTGTTTATTTTGCTGTGCAGAAGCTTTTTAGTTTAAGTTCTATCTATTTATCTTTGTTTTTGTTGCATTTGCTTTTGGGTTCTTGGGTCATTAAGTCTTTGCCTAAGCCAGTATCTAGAAGGGTTTTTCTGACGTTATCTTCCAGAATTTTTATGATTTCATGCCTTAGATTTAAGTCTGATCCATCTTGAGTCAATTTTTGTATAAGCTGAGAGATGAAAATCCAGTATCATTCTCTACATGTGGCTTGCCAATTATCCCATCATTTGTCGAATAGGGTGTCCTTTCCCCACTCTGCGTTTTTGTTTGCTTTATCAAAGATCAGTTGGCTGTAAGTATTTGGTTTTATTTCTGGAATCGCTACTCTGTTCCCTTAGTCTAGGTGCCTATTTTTATACCAGTATCATGCTGTTTTGGTGACCACGGCATTATAGTATAGTTTGAAGTCAGGTAATATGATGCCTCCAGATTTATTATTTTTGCTTAGTCTTGCTTTGGCTATGAAAACTCCTTTTAGGTTCCATATGAATTTTAGGATCATTTTTTTCTAGTTTCTTAAAGAATGATGGTGGTATTTTGATGGGAATTGCATTGAATTTGTAGATTGCTTTTGGCAATATGGCCATTTTCAATTTGTTTGTGTCATCTATGAGTTCTTCCAGCAGGGTTTTCCTTGTAGAGGTCTTTCACCTCCTTTGTTAGGTATAGTCCTAAGTATTTTGTTTTTGTTTTTGTTTCTTGTTTTTTGTTTGTTTGCAGCCCTTGTAAAAGGTGTTGAGTTCCTTATTTGATTCTCAGTTTGGTCACTGTTGGTGTATAGTGGAGCTATGATTTGTATACATGAATTTTGTATCCTGAAACTTTGCTGAATTCATTTACCGGTTCTGGGAGCTTTCTGGATGAGTCTTTAGAGTTTTCCAGGTATATGATCATATCATCAGCAAATGGCAACAGTTTGACTTCCTCTTTACTTATCTGGATGTCCTTTATTTCTTTCTCTTATCTGATTGCTCTGGCTAGGACTTCCAGTACTGTGTTGAATACAAGTGGTGAAAGTACCCATCCTCGTCTTGTTCCACTTCTTAGGGAGAATGCTTTCAACTTTTTCCCATTCAGTATAATGTTGTCTGTGGGTTTGTCACGGATGGCATTTATTACCCTAAGGTTTGCCCCTTCTATGCCAATTTTGCTGATGGTTTTAATCATAATGGGATGCTGGATTTTGTCAAATGCTTTTTCTGCATCTATTGAGAAGATCGTCTGATTTTTGTTTTTAATTCTGCTTAAGCGGTGTATCACATTTATTGACTTATGTATGTTAAAACATCCCTGCATCCCTAGTATGAAACCCAGTTGATCATGGTGGATTATCCTTTTGATATGCTGTTAGATTTGGTTTGCTAGTA
Source organism: Homo sapiens (assembly GCF_000001405.40). Taxonomy (NCBI): domain Eukaryota; kingdom Metazoa; phylum Chordata; class Mammalia; order Primates; family Hominidae; genus Homo; species Homo sapiens. The sequence goes on along the minus strand of NC_000012.12, from coordinate 77,670,543 downwards.
TTTTGTTGAGGATTTTTGCATCTATGTTCATAGGGAATATTGGTTTGCAGTTTTCTTTTTTTGCTGTCTTTCCCTAGTTTTGGTACTAGAGTGATACTGGCTTCATAAAATGATGTAGGGAGGATTCCCACTTTATCTTGTGGAATAGTGTCAATAGGATTGGAACCAGTCTCCTTTGAATGTCTGATAGAATTCAGCTGTAAATCCATCTAGTTCTGGGCTTTTTTGGTTGGTAATTTTTTAATTACCATTTCAATCTTGGTGCTTGTTATTGGTCTGTTCAGAGTTTCTATATCTTTCTGGTTTAACCTTGGAGGATGGTATACATCCAGGAATTTATTCATCTCCTCTAGGTTTTCTAGGTTATGCATGTAAAGGTGTTCACAATAGCCTTGAATAATCTTTTGTATTTCTGTGGTATCAATTGTAATATCTCCCGTTTTGTTTCCCATTGAGCTTATTTGGATATTCTCTCTTCCTGTTTAACCTCAAGAATGGTCTATCAATTTTATTTACCTTTTGAAAGAACCAGCTTTTTGTTTCATTTATCTTTTGTATTTTTTTTGTTTGTTTCAATTTCATTTAATTCTGCTCTGATCTTCGTTCTTTTCTTCTGCTGGCTTTGGGTTTGGATTGTTCTTGAATAGAATGTATATTCTGCAGTTGTTGGGTAGAATGTTCATTAAATATTTGTTAAGTCCATTTGTTGTATAGTTTAAGTCCACTGTTTCTTTGTTGACTTTCTGTCTGGATGACATGTCTACTGCTGTCAATAGAGTATTAAAGTCCCCTACTATTATTGTTTGCCATTTATCTTACTTCTTAGGTCTAGTAGTAATTGTTTTATACAGTTGGGAGCTCTAGTGTTAGGTGCATATATATTTAGGATTGTGATATTTTCCTGTTGTACTAGTCTTTTATCATTATAAAACATCCCTCTTTGTCTTTTTTAACTGCTGTTCCTTTAAAGTTTGTTTTGTCTGATATAAGAATAGCTATTCCTGCTTGCATTTGGTGTCCATTTGCATGGAATACCTTTTTCTGCCCCTTTACCTTAAGTTTATGTGAGTCCTGATGTGTCAGGTGAGTCTCCTGAAGACAGCAGAAACTTGGTTGTTGAATTCTTATCCACTCTGTCTTTCTGTATCTTTTAAGTGGAGCATTTAAGCCACTTACATTCAATGTTAGTATGGAGATGTGAGGTACTATTCTATTCATCGTGCTATTTGTTGCCTGAATACGTTGTTTTTTTCTTCATTGTGTTGTTACTTAGGCCCTGTGAGATTTATGCTTTAAGGAGGTCCGATTTTGGTGTATTTTGAGGATTTGTTTCAAGATTTAGAGCTCCTTTTAGCAGTTCTTGTAGTGCTGTCTTGGTAATGGCAAATTCTTTCAGCATTTGTTTTGGAAAAGACTATCTTTCCCTTCATTTGGAAAAGACTGTAATTTTCCTTCATTTGGGAAACACGGTATCTTTTCTTCATTTACGAAACTTAGATTTGCTGGATACAAAATTCTTGGCTGATAATTGTTTCGTTTAAGGAGGATAAAAATAGGACCCCATTCCCTTCTAGCTTGTAGGGTTTCTTTTGAGAAATCTGCTGTTAATCTGATGGGTTTTCCTTTATAGGTTACCTGATACTTTTGCCTCACACCTCTTAAGATTCTTTCCTTCATCTTGACTTTAGATAACCTGATGACTATGTGTGTAGGCAATGATCTTTTTGTAATGAATTTCCCAGGTGGTTCTTTGAGCTTCTTGTACTGGACATCTAGATCTCTAGCAAGGCCAAGGACGACGTTTTCCTCCATTATTCTCTAAAATATGTTTTCCAAAGTTTTAGATTTCTCTTTTTCTTCAAGAACACCAATTATTCTTAGGTTTGGACAATAATATAGTCCTATACTTCTTGGAGGCTTTACTCATCTTTTATTATTATTCTTTATTCTTTTTTCTTTGTCTTTGATGGATTGGGTTAATTCAAAAGCCTTGTCTTTGAGCTCCAAAGTTCTTTCTTCTTGTTGTTCAATTCTATTGCTGAGACTTTTCAGTGCATTTTGCATTTCTCTAAGTGTGTCCTTGATTTCTAGAAGTTGTGAACATTTTTTATTTATGCTATTTATTTCACTGAAGATTTTTCCTTTCATATCCTGTATTATGTTTTTAATTTTTTTTAAGTTGGACTTCACGTTTCTCTGGTGCCTCCTTGATTAGCTTAATAGTCGACCATCTGAATTCTTTTTCTGGCAATTCAGAGATTTCATCTTGGTTTGGATCCGTTGCTGATAAGCTGATGTGATCTTTTGGGGGTAATCAAGAACTTTGTTTGGTCATATTACTAGAATGTTTTTCTGGGTCCATCTCATTTGGGTAGACTAGGTCAGATCCAGAACTCAAGGGCTGCTGTTCAGATTCTTTTGTCCCATGGGATGCTCCCTTGATGTGGTGGTCTCCCCTTTCCCCTAGAAATAGGGCTTCCTGAGAGCCAAACTGCAGCAACTGTTTTTGCTCTCTGGGTCTAGCCACCCAGTGGAGCTACCAGGTGGTACTGGGGAGTGTCTGCAAAGAACGCTGTGATGTGATCTGTCTTCAGGTCTTTCAGCCATGGATACCAGCACCTGCTCTGGTGGAGGTAGCAGGGGAGTGAAGAAGACTCTGTGAGTCTTGGTTGTATTTCTGTTTAGTGCACCAGTTTTGTGTTGGTTGGCCTCCAGACAGAAGGTGGTGCTTTCAAGAGTGCATCAGCTGTGGTTGTACAGGGAGGATGCAGATTTGCCCTAGGGGTGCCTGGTTTAGTATTCAGGTTTCTCAAGTGGTGGACAGGGCCATAGAGCTACCAAGAGATTATATCCTTTGTCTTCAGCTACCAGAGTGGGTAGAGAAAGACTACCAGGTTGGGGCAGGGATGGGTATGTCTGAGCTCAGAGTCTCCCTGGGTGAGGCTTGCCGTGTGACTACTGTGGGGGATGGGATTGTGGTTCCCAAGCCAATGGACTTATGTTCCCAGTGGTATTATGGCTGCCTCTGCTGAGTCATACAGGTCCCCAGGGAAGTGGGGGGAAGCCACAAGTCACAGGCCTCACCCCACTTCCATACAGCCAGCAGTCATAAAGGCTGGTCTTACTCCCGCCATGCCCGACCAACAGCATGGAGTCTATTTCCAGGCAGCCTGTGACCAGGGCTGAGAACTTGCCCCAGACCACCACCTGAGAAAGCAAGCTGACTCAGTTTTTTGGCATCTCAGGGAGCCTGCGGCAGCAATCCAGTTCCTTCAAAGGGTCTGTGGATTCTCTCGCCTTTCCTGGTATGTTCCTGCGGTATTTCTTGGAGCAAAAGTTCATGATGTGAGTCTTCACATGCTACTCTGTCTGTCTGAGCAGGAGCTGCAAGCTAGTCCTGCCTCCTACTCGCCATCTTAATCTCTACAACTCCATCTCCTGCAAAAGTTTTTGCATTCAGACTTTACGTTCTGCATAATTAGGAATGTACAATTAGAAATGTATTCTTCGGATTTGGACATGGGACTGATAAATCTAAAAAAAGTATACACATACACACACTCCATTTTAGTTCATAAAATTTGTAACAAATGTCTCATTTATAAGATAGCCTTATTTTAAGGTAGCCATTAAATGTTTTGACTTAGTTATGAAATTAAATATGAAACATCCATAAAATCTACTTCCAAAAGAAAGCCATTGTTACCCAACACGACAAGCAGCAGATAGAAAATACTCAATAGAAGTATGATTAATCAAATCAACCTTAAAAGAAAAACTTTGAAACAAATTTTCTCCTCCTATCTGATGTGAATATCAAAGAAAAATTCTAGATTAAATAAAATGCTAATCTGGATAGTGTAAATCTCAAAGAAGCACAATACATCCCTTTAAATAAGAGGATTTAATTCCTAATTCAATTTAATACCTTGAGCAGAATATTTAGACTTACTTAGCACAAGCCAATTGCTTTACAATCTTTGAATTTATTCTCAGAATGCGTTAAATTAAATCTGCCATTTTCTTGTGGAGTATTCTTTTTTTTTCTAATAGATAAACTTTGCAACATTTGGCTTTTTATTTAATAGACATTAGATTAAATAGCGTCTCTCTTCATATGATTCAAGTAATCTGATTTTTGTTTGTAGTCTAGCCATTATAAATTCATTCATTCATTCTATGAGTATCTGTTGCATGTCTACTATGTACAAGGCATTTGGTTTCAAAATGAGAAGTTACTGAAACACAAGTTAATGAAATCAAGATCTACTGTTTGGCCAATAATTAGAAGAGATATTATTAATGAGTGATTTGAAAGACTCAGTAGAGAGACCCCTGACTAGACAAAAAAAAAAAAAAAAAAACTGTAAACATGTTGCTATTGGAAGCAATTAGGGTATGTCTACATGAGTATACCTGAAAGAGTGGAAGATGGAATTTTATAAAAACAGAAGAGATTAGAAGAAATTTTACATATAAATTATGATTAACAGATAATAAACTAATTAAAGTCATAATTACATAGGTTTCTCATTTTTGCAATCTGTCAAAAAGAGTTTATCCTAGGCACTAGATAATTTTGAGTAAATGAATTAAAGCGAAATGTGTAAAGATTTTGAGATGTCACACAATGTGTACTTTTTCCTCATTTGAAAAATTACCAAAATAACATTTCTTTTGTGATTCCAGGCAAACTATATTAACTTGAAGTGGAATGGTTAGGATCAGCAGCTATAAATTCAGAGAGACTGACAGGGATCACAGTGTGCCCTCTTTGAGTAATTACTGACTGAGCCTCAGTTGCTTCAACTATAAATAGGAATTAGAAATAATCATGTATACTTCTAGTGTTTTTATGAGAATGAATGAAATGATGCTTTAAGCCTGGTATAAAGTAGATGTTTAATAGTTTATATTTATAACTCAAAAAAATCATATCAGATTTTAAAGACATTATGAGATCTCCTCAGTCCTTATCTTCCCAAGATACGGGAAGTTTTTACTGATAAAAGAGACTTTCTCACAACTTTCTAACAAAAGAGAATAAATATTATCTTCACATAAAAATATTTTTTGGAAAGCATAACTTTTTAAAAAGTATTAATTCTTATACAAAAATTAACATGAAATAAAACCATAAGGCCCTCATGTGAAAGAGAAAAGGAAATAAGAATTCTGTGATGCTGGCTAAATATAATTATGGAGTTTTTATAATTTTCCTTGGTTTACATGGAAGTATTAGAATTGGGTTTCCTAAAGAAGTGAGTTTAATAATATAGATATGTCCTTGACTGAGCTTAGGGGATCAAGTAATTCAGTCAAACTGTAAACACAATTTTATTTGCATATGCACCTACATGCTTTTTTCAGATGAAAAGTTCCAGGGGTTTATAAACTACAAAAGGTCAAGTATCCCCACTCCAAAAGTGTTGATATAAATTACAACTCTTTAGTGAGGAACAATGAAGTAGCACAAACTTGTTTACATAACTTTCATCAATATTTATTTTTAGCCAGGCGAGGGGGTGTGCACCTGCAGTCCCAGCTACTTGGGAGGCTGAGGCAGGAATAGCCACTGCAACTCCAGCCTGGACAACATCACAAGACCTTGTCTCTTAGAAAATAAATAAACAAATAAGTAAAATAAAAATCTGTGTTTACTGTACAAAAATAATGTGTTGTCACAGAAGAATCTATTACATGCAGATTAAGATTTTAGAGTGTTTTCTCTTTTTTGTTTTTTAATCTGAACAAATATGAATAAATTGAAGGTCAGGTTTTCTTGGTTTCTTTCATTTTTTAATCTGAACAAATATAAATAAATCAAAGTGGGGTTAAGATACTACATTTTAACTGACAAGTTTGAACAAAGATTTATTGACTAATACAGCACTTAACTTTTGAAGTTCAACAGAATTCATGACTTAGGAGTTATAATAGAACTGTAAGTGTAAACCTTATCATCTGTGACTTTAGCAGAGTACTATTAAAATAATATATTTTCCCTAGAACATGTTTGTCATTATTAATGATACTGTCAAATTATCGACTACTTTAACATAATTACAAGTGCACATTAAAAGTGTCAAAAAGAAAAAGTATTTAAATATCCTTAAGCATTGTGAGGCAGCACTGGATACCAACCTATTGAATATTTAGCCAACTCTTCCAGGAAATAAAATTAATAATACATTAAGCAGTACCTCATTCTTCATTGAATATCACAATTATTTGGTGCAGGACTAGAAAACTGTTCTGATATATAAGTAGGAAGATTTTCATGGATATTTAAAGGAATTATTTTCAGTTCTTATTGTATTGCTAAAATAATTTAGATCCAAACATCTCCATTAAATATTAATAATATTATTAGCTATTTCATGTAAGTATTTCACCATTGGCACATGCCAAAACCTGAATAATTTCATAATTTTTAATTTTGGTTAATGTCATGTTTACCATCGTGTTATGGTCACCAAACTGTACCATGCTAAAGGGTTAATATGTAGAAATGTTTTACATGACATTGACTATGACAAAGACTACACCAGGACTTTTCAATCAGGTTTAATAATAATGGTAAAAATATATTGATTGCTTATTATACGCCAGGGACTATTGTTCAAAACAATATGTACACATATATATCTACATATAACTATATACATAGATATACAGACACATATATTGGCTCACTCATGCTCACTTAAAAGAAATACTGCTGGCTGGGAGTGGTGGCTCACGCCTGTAATCCCAGCACTTTGAAAGGCCAAGGCGGGCGAATTACCTGAGATCAGGAGTTCGAGACCAGCCTGACCAACATGGAGAAAACTGGTCTCTACTAAAAATACAAAATTAGCTGGGCATGGTGGTGCAGGCCTGTAATTCCAGCTACTTGGGAGGCTGAGGCAGAAGAATTGCTTGAACTTGAGAGGCCAAGGCTGCAGTGAGCCGAGATCGCGCCATTGCGCTCCAGCCTGGGCAACAAGAGCAAAACTCTGTCTCAAAAAAAAAAAAAAAAGAAGAAGAAGAAGAAAGAAATACTGCTTTATATGTAGTATAAGCCTCACTCATAGTCGAAAAAGTTAGCTTTGCAGGTTATATCTTTTTGTTTGTATGTTTCTTTTGTGAATATTTTTTTCTTTGTGTCCTTAGTTTCCAACTGAGGCACTCAGTGTCAGAACTGACAAATTGAAAACTCCATAAACCTGTTTTTGACTTAAAAAGCGAGGGATGTTTTCATATACCTCACATAGTAGTCAGAATATGATGTATGTTTATCACTATATCAGTTATTACTGTGGGGAAAACAGGCATTTGTATTTTATGTAGTTAAAAATCTTAATTCAAAAATTATTTAAGAAAAAATATTCTCCTAGTTAAGTGTGAGATGTCTAAAATGACTCTGATTGTTAGTTTCACAAAAACGATAATAAAAAAGATTTGTGCTTAATGTATTCTTAAAGACTGTAATTTACAACATTTAAGTGAAAATTAAATAGATGTATTATTGTTGTAAATTACAAATTATGCAATAAACATAATAAGGCATAAGCATTTTTCTTTAATGAAATCAAAGCCTGACAGTAAGAAATGCATCCTTAATGCACTTAGCATTGATCACATACTCACTTAAATACTCATCCTCTGGGGAAAAAACGGAAAAGGTGAATTTTATCATCAACATGCTCTTGGATAAAACAAATCTATTAATATTTAATTGTCAATTTCTGTGTTCTTTTTTTTCTGCACATTGTCTAAGTAGCCTAGGAATGGTATTTAAAGCATGAAACATTTACAATTTTAGTCCTCAGGAAATGTAAATATATAATCATCAAACCTATGTGTAAAGTCTCATTTTTATAAAGTTAAAATACATATTAATCATAGTTAGGAAAAGCATAATACTCTGGAGAAATTTACGCAAAAATCCATTCTCTCACCCAACAAGCATTTATTAAACAAGTACTAGGCACAGGTATCTGTTTCCCAGTAGCATATAGTCTGTTTCTGGGAGAATTTCAGAATTAGACTTTTTTTTTAGTCCTATGGGATTTACAAAAAAGTTACTAATAAATACAGCAAGTTTACAAGATCAATATACAAAAATGAATTGTATTTCTATATACTTTGAATAATCTGAGAATGTAATTAAGAAACAACTTATAATTTAAAAGGGTAAAATAGTTCAGAATAAATTTAACAGAAGTGTAAGACGCATAAACCGAAAATTATAAAGCACTGCTGAGAGAAAGTAAAGATCTAAAATAAGGTGAGATATAGATAGATAGATAGATAGATAGATAGATAGATAGACAGATAGATATGAAGATATATAATAAGGTGAGATATGCCATTTTCATGGATTTTAATCGATTCAAGACTCAATATCGTTAAGATGTCATTCTCCTCAGGTTGATCTACAAATTCAACAGAATCTCTGTCAAAATCCCAGCAAAAATTATTGTAAAAATTAATAAGCTAATTCTAAATTTTATATGGAATGACAAAAACCTAGAATAGTTAAAATAATTTTGAAAAAGAAAGTCAAAGGTGGAGGATTTTAAAATTTAATATAAAGTTACAGTAATCAAGTAACAATGTGCAATTTTTATAAAGACAATGTGCAATTTTTATAATTTTGTTCTATGTACATGTACAACAAAATACAAAATCTAGAAATATATTCACATTTTATAAACTGTTTTTTATAAAGGTGCAAGGCAACTCAATGAGAACAAGGAATGCCTTTTCAATAAATAATATTGGGATGATTGGATAGCTGTATGAAAAAAGCACTTAGAATGTAGTCTCACACCATGTACCAAAAAAGAACTTCAAAATAGATTATATTTCTAAAGGTAAAAGCTAAGATTATAAACATCCAGAAGAAATAGGAGAAAATTTGGGGGGCCTGGCATTAAGCAAAGATTTCTTAGATATTATACCAAAGGCATGATCCATCAAAGAAACAAATGGTTAAACTGAACTTCAGCAAAATTATAAACCTATGTCTAAATGCCATTAAGAAAGTGAAAAGACAAGCCACAGAGTGAGTGAAAACACTGGCAACTCATATATCTAATAAAGCTCTTCTGTCTACAATATATCAATAACTCTTTCAACTCAATTCAAAATGGCAAAATATCTGAGCATATATCTTATTGAAGACAGTATATAAATGACTAGTGCAAAAAAACATTTTCAACATCATTAGTCATTATGAAATATAAATTAAAACCAAAATTAAGATACCACTACACACACTAGAATGACTAAAATAAAGAGACTGACAAACTGAAGCTGTTGAGGGTATGCAAAATTAGAACTCTCAGACATGGCTGGCGGGAATGTAAAACGGTACGTCCACAATGAAAAACAGTTTTCCAGTTATTCAAAAAGTTAAATACAAACTTAGCATTCTAGTCAACAATCTCTCTCCAGAAAAAATTAAAACATATATTTTAGACACATTTAAAGCCTTGAAGGTGAGTATTTATGGCAGCATTATTCATAAGAGCTTTAAACTGGAAACATTTCAAATGACCATCAGCTGGTGAATGGATAAACAAAATGGTATATCCAGACAATGGAATACTATTCAGCAATAAAAAGAAATGAACTACGGCTCATGCAACAACATGGATGAGGCTTTATAATATTACACTGAGCGTAACAAGTCATGCAAAAAACTGTGTATTGTATGATTTCATTTTACAATATTTATAGGAAAGGCAAAACTATAGAGACAAAGCTAGTTCCATGGTTGGTTGGGATGGAAACAATAAATGACTCTCAAACAGGCACAGAGAAACTTTTGGTGAAGGTGGATACATTCTAAAATTAGACTAAAGTAATGGTATACATATATACATACTTATACCTAAACATGTCTGTATATATGCACGTATATAATATACATACATATATATGCATACAATCATACCTGTTTCCTCAAAATTATTAACTTGTAAACTAATAATAGTGAATTTTGTGGTTTATAAACTGTAAAAAACTATTTAAAATAAAATGGATACCTTTAGATAATTTGTCTAGAAACACTTGGAATATAAAAATGAAGAAGTATGTCTAATCCATTGGAAGACACACAATTGGTTCATAAAAGTGAATCTCCCGATTTCTTTGCCAAATTCCCAGCTTAATAATTTAGTTTATGATACTACAATATTTGACTTAAATTCTGAGATAAAACAAATTTGATTCAAAATGGGAAAATAGGAACAAGACCTGCTTGGTAAAATTTTTGTGTTCCATTTAACAAACCATATATTTAAACTGATGGTAGTAGCTGAATTAAAGAACTTCAGTTAAACTTTTCTCCACCCACTATAAGTAATTTCTGATACATTAATTTTATATATTTAATCACCATAAAATAAGATGACTATCTCATATTCTTTTTTTTTTATTATTATGATACTTTAACTTTTAGGGTACATGTGCACAATGTGCAGGTTAGTTACATATGTATACATGTGACATGCTGGTGCACTGCACCCACTAACTCGTCATCTAGCATTAGGTATATCTCCCAGTGCTATCCCTCCCCCCTCCCCCTACCCCACAACAGTCCCCAGAGTGTGATGTTCCCCTTCCTGTGTCCATGTGTTCTCATTGTTCAATTCCCACCTATGAGTGAGAACATGCTGTGTTTGGTTTTTGTCCTTGCGATAGTTTACTGAGAATGATGCTTTCCAGTTTCATCCATGTCCCTACAAAGGACATGAACTCATCATTTTTTATGGCTGCATAGTATTCCATGGTGTATATGTGCCACATTTTCTTAATCCAGTCTAACATTGTTGGACATTTGGATTGGTTCCAAGTCTTTGCTATTGTGAATAGTGCCGCAATAAACATACATGTGCATGTGTCTTTATAGCAGTATGATTTATAGTCCTTTGGGTATATACCCAGTAATGGGATGGCTGGGTCAAATAGTATTTCTAGTTCTAGATCCCTGAGGAATCGCCACACTGACTTCCACAATGGTTGAACTAGTTTACAGTCCCAACAACAGTGTAAAAGTGTTCCTATTTCTCCACATCCTCTCCAGCACCTGTTGTTTCTTGACTTTTTAATGATCACCATTCTAACTGGTGTGAGATGATATCTCATTGTGATTTTGATTTGCATTTCTCTGATGGCCAGTGATGGTGAGCATTTTTTCATGTGTTTTTTGGCTGCATAAATGTCTTCTTTTGAGAAGGGTCTGTTCATGTCCTTCACCCACTTTTTCATGGGGTTGTTTGTTTTTTTCTTGTAAATTTCTTTGAATTCATTGTAGATTCTGGATATTAGCCCTTTGTCAGACGAGTAGGTTGCGAAAATTTTCTCCCATTTTGTGGGTTGCCTGTTCACTCTGATGGTAGTTTCTTTTGCTGTGCAGAAGCTCTTTAGTTTAATTAGATCCCATTTGTCAATTTTGGCTTTTGTTGCCATTGCTTTTGGTGTTTTCGACATGAAGTCCTTGCCCATGCCTATGTCCTGAATGGTAATGCCTAGGTTTTCTTCTAGGGTTTTTATGGTTTTAGGTCTAACGTTTAAGTCTTTAATCCATCTTGAATTGATTTTTGTATAAGGTGTAAGGAACAGATCCAGTTTCAGCTTTCTACATATGGATAGCCAGTTTTCCCAGCCCCATTTATTAAATAGGGAATCCTTTCCCCATTGCTTGTTTTTCTCAGGTTTGTCAAAGATCAGATAGTTGTAGATATGCGGCGTTATTTCTGAGGGCTCTGTTCTGTTCCATTGATCTATATCTCTGTTTTGCTACCAGTACCATGCTGTTTTGGTTACTGTAGCCTTGTAGTATAGTTTGAAGTCAGGTAGCGTGATGCCTCCAGCTTTGTTCTTTTGGCTTAGGATTGACTTGGCAATGCGGGCTCCTTTTTGGTTCCATATGAACTTTAAAGTAGTTTTTTCCAATTCTGTGAAGAAAGTCATTGGTAGCTTGATGGGGATGGCATTGAATCTATACATTACCTTGGGCAGTATGGCCATTTTCACGATATTGATTCTTCCTACCCATGAGCATGGAATGTTCTTCCATTTGTTTCTATCCTCTTTTATTTCATTGAGCAGTGGTTTGTAGTTCTCCTTGAAGAGGTCCTTCACGTCCCTTGTAAGGTGGATTCCTAGGTATTTTATTCTCTTTGAAGCAATTGTGAATGGGAGTTCACTCATGATTTGGCTCTCTGTTTGTCTGTTATTGGTGTATAAGAATGCTTGTGATTTTTGTACATTGAGTTTGTATCCTGAGACTTTGCTGAAGTTGCTTATCAGCTTAAGGAGATTTTGGGCTGAGACAATGGGGTTTTCTAGATATACAATCATGTCGTCTGCAAACAGGGAAAATTTGACTTCCTCTTTTCCTAATTGAATACCCTTTATTTCTTTCTCCTGCCTAATTGCCCTGGCCAGAACTTCCAACACTATGTTGAATAGGAGTGGTGAGAGAGGGCATCCCTGTCTTGTGCCAGTTTTCAAAGGGAATGCTTCCAGTTTTTGCCCATTCAGTATGATATTGGCTGTGGGTTTGTCATAGATAGTTCTTATTATTTTGAGATACATCCCATCAATACCTAATTTATTGAGAGTTTTTAGCATGAAGGGTTGTTGAATTTTGTCAAAGGCCTTTTCTGCATCTAGTGAGATAATCATGTGGTTTTTGTCTTTGGTTCTGTTTATATGCTGGATTACATTTATTGATTTGCATATATTGAACCAGCCTTGCATCCCAGGGATGAAGCCCACTTGATCATGGTGGATAAGCTTTTGGATGTGCTGCTGGATTCAGTTTGCCAGTATTTTATTGAGGATTTTTGCATCAATGTTCATCAAGGATATTGGTCTAAAATTCTCTTTTTTGGTTGTATCTCTGCCCGGCTTTGGTATCAGGATGATGCTGGCCTCATAAAATGAGTTAGGGAGGATTCCCTCTTTTTCTATTGATTGTAATAGTTTCAGAAGGAATGGTACCAGTTCCTCCTTGTACCTCTGGTAGAATTCGGCTGTGAATCCATCTGGTCCTGGACTCTTTTTGGTGGGTAAGCTATTGATTATTGCCACAATTTCAGCTCCTGTTATTGGTCTATTCAGAGATTCAACTTCTTCCTGGTTTAGTCTTGGGAGAGTGTATGTGTCGAGGAATTTATCCATTTCTTCTAGATTTTCTAGCTTATTTGTGTAGAGGTGTTTGTAGTATTCTCTGATGGTAGTTTGTATTTCTGTGGGATCGGTGGTGATATCCCCTTTAGCATTTTTTATTGCGTCTAGTTGATTCTTCTCTCTTTTTTTCTTTATTAGTCTTGCTAGTGGTCTATCTATTTTGTTGATCCTTTCAAAAAACCAGCTCCTGGATTCATTAATTTTGTGAAGGGTTTTTTGTGTCTCTATTTCCTTCAGTTCTGCTCTGATTTTAGTTATTTCTGCCCCTGCTAGCTTTTGAATGTGTTTGCTCTTGCTTTTCTAGTTCTTTTAATTGTGATGCTAGGGTGTCAATTTTGGATCTTTCCTGCTTTCTCTTTTGGGCATTTAGTGCTATAAATTTCCCTCTACACACTGCTTTGAATGTGTCCCAGAGATTCTGGTATGTTGTGTCTTTGTTCTTGTTGGTTTCAAAGAACATCTTTATTTCTGCCTTCATTTTGTTATGTACCCAGTAGTCATTCAGGAGCAGGTTGTTCAGTTTCCATGTAGTTGAGCGGTTTTGAGTGAGTTTCTTAATCCTGAGTTCTAGTTTGATCGCACTGTGGTCTGAGAGATAGTTTGTTATAATTTCTGTTCTTTTACATTTGCTGAGGAGAGCTTTACTTCCAACTATGTGGTCAATTTTGGAATAGGTGTGGTGGGGTGCTGAAAAAAATGTATATTCTGTTGATTTGGGGTGGAGAGTTCTGTAGATGTCTATTAGGTCCGCTTGGTGCAGAGCTGAGTTCAATTCCTGGGTATCCTTGTTGACTTTCTGTCTTGTTGATCTGTCTAATGTTGACAGTGGGGTGTTAAAGTCTCCCATTATTAATGTGTGGGAGTCTAAGTCTCTTTGTAGGTCACTCAGGACTTGCTTTATGAATCTGGGTGCTCCTGTATTGGGTGCATATATATTTAGGATAGTTAGCTCCTCTTGTTGAATTGATCCCTTTACCATTATGTAATGGCCTTCTTTGTCTCTTTTGATCTTTGTTGGTTTAAAGTCTGTTTTATCAGAGACTAGGATTGCAACCCCTGCCTTTTTTTGTTTTCCATTGGCTTGGTAGATCTTCCTCCATCCTTTTATTTTGAGCCTATGTGTGTCTCTGCACGTGAGATGGGTTTCCTGAATACAACACACTGATGCGTCTTGACTCTTTATCCAATTTGCCAGTCTGTGTCTTTTAATTGGAGCATTTAGTCCATTTACATTTAAAGTTAATATTGTTATGTGTGAATTTGAACCTCTCATTATGATGTAAGCTGGTTATTCTGCTCGTTAGTTGATGCAGTTTCTTCCTAGTCTCGATGGTCTTTACATTTTGGCATGATTTTGCAGCAGCTGGTACTGTTTGTTCCTTTCCATGTTCAGTGCTTCCTTCAGGAGCTCTTTTAGGGCAGGCCTGGTGGTGACAAAATCTCTCAGCATTTGCTTGTCTGCAAAGAATTTTATTTCTCCTTCACTTATGAAGCTTAGTTTGGCTGGATATGAAATTCTGGGTTGAAAATTCTTTTCTTTAAGAATGTTGAATATTGGCCCCCACTCTCTTCTGGCTTATAGAGTTTCTGCCAACAGATCTGCTGTTAGTCTGATGGGCTTCCCTTTTGTGGGTAACCCGACCTTTCTCTCTGGCTACCCTTAACATTTTTTCCTTCATTTCAACTTTGGTGAATCTGACAATTATGTGTCTTGGAGTTGCTCTTCTCGAGGAGTATCTTTGTGGCGTTCTCTGTATTTCCTGAATCTGAATGTTGGCCTGCCTTGCTAGATTGGGGAAGTTCTCCTGGATAATATCCTGCACATTGTTTTCCAACTTGGTTCCATTCTCCCCGTCACTTTCAGGTACACCAATCAGACGTAGATTTGGTCTTTTCACATAGTCACATATTTCTTGGAGGCTTTGTTCGTTTCTTTTTATTCTTTTTTCTCTAAACTTCCCTTCTCGCTTCACTTCATTCATTTCATCTTCCATCACTGATACCCTTTCTTCCAGTTGATTGCATCGGCTCCTAAGGCTTCTGCATTCTTCACGTAGTTCTCGAGCCTTGGCTTTCAGCTCCATCAGCTCCTTTAAGCACTTCTCTGTATTGGTTATTCTAGTTATACATTCGTCTAAATTTTTTTCAAAGTTTTTATCTTCTTTGCCTTTGGTTTGAATTTCCTCCTGTAGCTCGGAGTAGTTTGATCATCTGAAGCCTTCTTCTCTCAACTCAAAGTCATTCTCCGTCCAGCTTTGTTCCATTGCTGGTGAGGAAGTGCGATCCTTTGGAGGAGGAGAGGTGCTCTGCTTTTTAGAGTTTCCAGTTTTTCTGCTCTGTTTTTTCCCCATCTTTGTGGTTTTATCTACTTTTGGTCTTTGATGATGGTGATGTACAGATGGGTTTTTGGTGTGGATGTCCTTTCTGTTTGTTAGTTTTCCTCCTAACAGACAGGACCCTCAGCTGCAGGTCTGTTGGAGTTTGCTAGAGGTCCACTCCAGACCCTGTTTGCCTGGGTATTAGCAGTGGTGTCTGCAGAACAGTGGTTTTTCATGAACCGCGAATATGCTGCTGTCTGATCGTTCCTCTGGAAGTTTTGTCTCAGAGGAGTACCCGGCCATGTGAGGTGTCAGTCTGCCCCTACTGGGGGGTTCCTCCCAGTTAGGCTGCTCAGGGGTCAGGGGTCAGGGACCCACCTGAGGAGGCAGTCTGCCCGTTCTCAGATCTCCAGCTGCGTGCTGGGAGAACCACTGCTCTCCTCAAAGCTGTCAGACAGGGACATTTAAGTCTGCAGAGGTTACTGCTGTCTTTTTGTTTGTCTGTGCCCGACACCCAGAGGTGGAGCCTACAGAGGCAGGCAGGCCTCCATGAGCTGTGGTGGGCTCCACCCAGTTGGAGCTTCCTGACTGCTTTGTTTACCTAAGAGAGCCTGGGCAATGGTGGGCACCCCTCCCCCAGCCTCGCTGCCGCCTTGCAGTTTGATCTCAGACTGCTGTACTAGCAATCAGCGAGACTCCGTAGGCGTAGGACCCTCCGAGCCAGGTGCAGGATATAATCTCGTGGCGCGCCATTTTTTAAGCCCGTCGGAAAAGCGCAGTATTTGGGTGGGAGTGACCCGATTTTCCAGGTGCCGTCTGTCACCCCTTTCTTTGACTAGGAAAGGGAACTCCCTGACCCCTTGCACGTCCCGAGTGAGGCAATGCCTCGCCCTGCTTCGGCTCACGCACGGTGCGTGCACCCACTGACCTGCGCCCACTGTCTGGCACTCCCTAGTGAGATGAACCCGGTACCTCAGATGGAAATGCAGAAATCACCCGTCTTCTGCGTGGCTCATGCTGGGAGCTGTAGACCAGAGCTGTTCCTATCCGGCCATCTTGGCTCCTCCCCCAACTATCTCATATTCTTTACTTCAGGGGGTATCTGCATGCTTTTTCTTGGTTAAGAAAACTAGAATTTTTTTCATTACTTGTCCCACATATATGCATATATACATGTTCAAACATGAAAACAAATATGTGTGTATGTGTACAGAGCTATAATGCATTTGTGTATATTATATGTGTTTATATGTAAGAATATATTTCCATTGATGTATAAATATAAAGATAGAGCATTATGTTGTATTCACCCAGAAGTACTGCACTATACATTGGCAATATAGCATCTTCTGGAAACTCCTCCCAGCAACATCCCATTTCAAGAAGAAACTCAAGAAAATGATCCAATACTTTGTTTTGCACAAATCAATAGTGTTATATGGCTATAAAAAATGTGTTCTGTAAAATTTTTCCAACACACGATAATATCAAGGAATTCATTAATTCTCAGTTAATTTAAATTTGATTTTCAAATCCAATTAGAACTATGAACTTCCCTTTCTGAAGTCAAAAAGAACAATTAAAATATATGCATAATTTTAAGTCAGATTTGAGACAGCCTCCTCTTTTCAAATACATGTATGATCATGTAATCAAGATATTAGTCTATCTTTTTCTTTAGGGTTCTACTGAATATTTATTTATTCATTCAGTCAGTCAACAAATACTCAATTAGCACCTGTCAGTATCAGGCACTCTGCTAGGTACCAGTGATAGAAAGGGGAACAGGGACAGGTTCTGCTCTTGAACAGCCAAAGCAGGTGCTTACGTAAGTCTACCTGAGCATTTTGGCAGCTTAGAACATACCATTCTCAAGATTCATCATAGAATCAGCTTTTGCTATGTTGCATTCTGTAACCCTTCTTGAAAATCAGCAATATTAAAGGCTCTGACCCGTTTTACAGTAAAGAAATCTGTTTTATCTTCTGTATTCCAGTTTCTTAAATTTATTTGACTAGGTAATATTTTTCAGCCACATAACCCTATTAACATCCATTGAACACACTTTGAAAAATACTAAAAGCTTTGTAAATTCCCTGTATAAAATCAATAACTCTTTTATAACAGAAAAACAGACATATCTAGCATTGCTTTCACTTCACAGACACATGCTGATTACAGTATTTGTAAACTGACAAACACTGATTGCTTGATAATGGGCTCTACTATTTTTCCAGCCAGTGCTGAAGTATGGGAGTTATCTTGAACAATCTATAATTTTAAAAATCATTATTTTACTAAAGATGGATCTACTTAATTTTTACTATCCCTTAGGTCTATCCTTTGTCCTTTTCCAAAATCAAGGATTATTATACTTGTGTCTCAGGTATTTAGTTAAGTCTTTAATGGCAATGAATCTGGACATATGAATTTGGGTACATTTTGATAAATGTATGATTTTTTTCTTGGTATTACAGGCATACATCTTTTTAGTATTCTAGTTTGGCTTTTGATTGTTCCTGTCAGTTGTTTACATCTTTATTGCTTTGAAAAGAGAGAATGTTTGAGATTGTAAAAAGTGAAGGAGTAGAATTAAAATGTTTCTTTAAAATGACAGATATTAGGTACTAGGAAGACAGAAGTAGTACAATAAAGAGAAAGGTGAACTTTAGGGAGTAGGCTCTATGGACTTTGAAGCAACACGGCATAGTGTTTTAGAATGAATCTATAATGAAAGTGTCTGACTGCCAGCTTAACCAATCCCTATCAGTGTGACCTTGGGCGGGGTATTTAAACCTCTCAGAACCACAATTTCTCATCTGTAAAATGGAGATATTTATGATATTGGGAATTTGCTATTTGTTAAATACTGTTCTGAGTACTTCCAGTTTCACTGCTGTTAGCAACCTATGAAATAGGTGGTAGTAGTATTACAATTTTATAGGTAAGGACAGTAGAGTGATGTTAAATCCCAAAAAGCAGAGTAGAAAGCTGCTATTTTTTGCCTTCCCTGCATTTTTCTACATTTTTCTGGTCATCACATCCCCACCACTATTACTTTGAAAGCTCCGCTTTTCCCACTAGTACCCTTCCTTTCCCTAGACACAGTTGGAGAATTGACCAAACACAAGCTGACCAGATTTTCTCTGAAATTAGATTCGCAAGCCCAGGACACCAGTTGTTGCTACACCCAGCCCAGCACCTCTGACTCTTTCTTTTCTAAAGCCTGGATCTTCAGCTGTACTTCTATTACATGAGTTACCAATTTAATGACATGAGTTAGTAAATTTAATTTTTCCATGAATGGTCACATTTTACTCTGTTGTATACAACTGACGTAGACTAAAAAATAATAACCACCAGCTTGGCTAAAATTCCAATTCTAGCCCATGAAACCTTAAAATATGGAAAGATCATTGGCTTTCTGATGAAGCAGCCTCACAAACATGGTCTCAGGCAGTTAAGGGCAGAGGCAAGCACTGTACCAATAACATACAAGGTTTAAGAGGTTTTGTTTTGTTTTGACTTAAAGTATTTCAATATCCCTGTGGCTATTAAATGATCTATTCCAATCATCATTCATATAAGCAGTAAGAGCTGTTGAAGAAAAAAAAGGCACGGGAAAATATTTGGGGAGTAACAAGCTAAATCAACAACAAAATGGATAAAACACAAGAATAGATCAGTCAGAATAAGTCTGAAAGGATTAAGGGCTCACAGAGAAAAAGCATTTGAAATGTTACTTCAATCTTTTTAAAGTCAGTATAAACAGGGTAGGATGTTCTCTTGGGTTTTAAAGGCCAAAATTTTCTAAGGAATTGATGAAGTAATGTTTGCCAAAAAAGCAATTATGCAAGCAGCTAGACTGAAAAGTAGAATTTTTTTTTTATAATTAACCTGAGTCAAAAGAAAGGTATAGTCTCACACATTTTTCATGATGATGTATCAGCAATGTGCGATATAGTTGTACTTTGATGAGTTTAAAATACTGACCAGCCAGTTTTAATAACTGAGTCATTATAAGGATTAATTTACCTAGATTTAAAATAGTTACTATATATTTATAAAAAATGGAATTTTTATCCTCCGTGCTCAATCAGATCAATGTCTTAAAAGCAAGGTAGAGAGCTTTGAAGCTGTTCCTATCATTATCAGTATCTTCATTTTTATTAAGTCTGTCACTGAACTAATAATAGATATTAATAAGACTTTCTCTATGATCTTCATAAGTCTGTTTTAGACAATACCATAAAAAGGAAATTTAAGTCATTAACTAATGTTTACATGCAACTGATATCAGGCTCCAAGACACTTTCAGGTTTATAACATCCATGAAACAAAAATCTATTTACAAAAATGAATTTTATAATATACATAGTTTTTAAATTGAAGTAATAAACCACACTAAATAACTAAAGTCAAGCACATATAGAAATAGTATAATGGTTCATAATACATGTAAAATATTCTTTTCTGCATCAGATTTTTACATTTAAATCTTTTAAAATCCTGCATTGGGCTAATTAAATATATTTAAAATCAAAGCTTCCAACTGTACCTCCTTGAAACTCAACATCAAATGAAACTACCTCATGACAGCAGAGAAGTGGCAATCAGAGATTTTTCTCAGGTTGGTTGTTGGTCTCTCCAACTATTTACCAAGATTCGGCTTAAATACTGATCTTTAGGGAAGACTTTCTTGATTCACCCTCTCCTCCACAGTAGAGGGTTAACTTCCCCGATTGCACCTCTCAAAAACATCCCATGCTTCTTCTTTAAAGATATTAAAACAAGAAATTAAACTACTCTGTGTGTGATTATTTGCGTAAGGAACATTTTTATTACAAGTTTCATGGGAATCCAACTGACTGCTTTATGGCTACATCTGAAGAAGCCAGC
The DNA here is from genome assembly GCF_000001405.40 of Homo sapiens. Taxonomy (NCBI): domain Eukaryota; kingdom Metazoa; phylum Chordata; class Mammalia; order Primates; family Hominidae; genus Homo; species Homo sapiens. Next base: position 77,650,135 of record NC_000012.12, on the reverse strand, counting down.
ACAAAGCCTGGCACCTCGGAGGCACTTAGGAAATACTAATCTAAAACAGGAGGGAGCAATAGAAGGTATGACATGGGTCAAATCTAGGGAAGGCAAACTTAAGACAAAAAGAACACAGGGAGAAAGGACACCGGGGCCATACCACTGAAATGAGACAACATATCTCACTGTATGTGAACAAAAAGATTGCTGTTTCAGCTTATTCTGGCTAAATGATTCATGAAGGAACCCTAACCAAAATAAAATAGCAACTCAAGGTCTTCTTGGTAAAGAAAATAAAACTATTGCAAAGTATAAACAAAAGTAGAGATTGTCACTTAAAAAAATCGATTAAATCATTTACTTTCAAAGGCATATTTCAAAATCTTTTGTCATAAAAAATATAGCAGAAAGGAAGTGATACAGGCAAAATGATCTTATATTTGTCAAGACTAACTGCTCAAATTTAGTCTATTATTACAAAATCAGTTTTAAATAAGATTAAAATATGAAGGTCACAATAATGTTACAGTAAACATGAATTTCATTCTTTTATTTTAAAATTTAAAGACTATCTTTCTATTTCTGATTTACTCTTCTTATTAGTATGTTGAGTTGTACTTTTAGAATCAAAGATAATCCAAGAACTCAGCTGTATAATTAGATGCAAACAGCATGATGTGCTAATTTATGCCTTTTAATTAAACAAGATAAATTAAGACTTGAAATACCAATGGAACGAATGGAATAAAAAATAATATAGTGTATGATGTATTACCATACAGGGTTTACATTTAACCAATTACCTCTCTTATTACTAAAAATCTATATAGAAATAGAAATACGCAAATACTATAAGACTGTGAACAGCCGCAGATCAAATGACCACCTATGTAATACTCAGTAAATTATCCTCAATGCTTAGCGGTATGTCTACCATATAGTAGAAGCTCAAGAAATATTCATTGGTTGAATAAGTGAATGAATATTTCATTTCTAATCTGGGTCCATCTGTGAGCAGTGTGGTCTCTCTGTAAAGCTGTTGGCTTAAACAAAGTCCAAGAATATAGTTTATATTCCAACTATATTATAACATTTTATTTAGGAAATTAAAAATAGAACACTGAAGAAGCCCAGCTACTGAGAATAATCTATGATTACAGCAGATCTCCTAAGACTGATTCTATCTGGACCACCTTCCTCATACTGTCCTATTTCCCAATGACTCACTCTATGACTTGCCAGAAGAATGAATTATGTCAGAAACAATACATGTTACAATCAGAGCATTTCTAATCAGCTCCAGAAGAAATCCCATATTTACTCAATAGGCACCCTGACCAGTGAAATCTTCTGGCAAAAGGAGAAAATTCAGGATGCTGAAATCATAGAAATTACCATTAAAAACAATCTTAAAAGACCTCTTGAGCCCTACTCTTTCACATGAGGCAAAAGTCAAGCAAATAAAATAAATTGTCACCAACTTTTTACAATGGCAGATATTAGAGGACCCACTGGTTACAGATATCTTCGTAGTTTCCTTCATAACTGAATGAGCAATATGGAGTTCAGGATAGCTCTTCCACTGAGTGTTGTGCCATAAGCAGGAAGCAGAAATACTTGAATAATCAGTTTGGCCCTGGTTCAACTAGTACCATTTAATAACCAGTCAGTAATTTATTCTAAGACTCTGTAATTTGAGAGATATAAATACTGCTATTAAACTACTGGTGTGCAATGTTAACTACCTTTGATATTTTTGACATAAAACACCATACATGACTTAAAGTCTCCAACCAAGAGCCCAACTAATTAAGCAAAATTAAGGGTGTCTCTGTGTGTGTGTACGAGTATGTGTGCTTCTGAAAAGATAATAAAGATCAGGTCTCTAACTATAGCAGAATTATAGCACAATTCAGGATCAGACTGTTTGACAATAAATTCCAGCAGGTTCTTGGCTCTTATACTCCCCTAAAGAAATTTTTTTGAAACGAGGCCTTTACTTTTACTGGACAAAGTTGAAATATTCAATTTTATTTTGCATGACTTTCCAAATAGGCATGATTTTTCAAACAGACCAAAATCTGTTTGGCCATTGATAGGGAGTCCAACATCAGGGAAGTATCAGAACCTGTTTTCTTCTCTTTGTTGTGTCATTATTTTTGAACTGCTGCCAGGTTCTTCCTTGGTCTGAAGGGCCCAAAATGTAATATTATTGAATTTTCCCATCTGTTTAAGGAGAAGTAGAGATGTACACTGCAAATTAAAGTACAGAAAACCACATTTTTATTTTATATGTTATAGGAATGGTAGATCTGTGCTTTAAAATCAAGTAATTTCCTGAGTGGCAGGCTTTATTTTTCTGAGGTAACACAGTAAAACATAATATAGGAGTAGTGTCAATGGGAAAAAATGGTACATCTATAATACATTGTTCCATACATTAGAGAGAGTTGATATAGCATAACAACAGTACTAACTGTAAAATGTTAATAAATCACTTTATTTTATATGAAGTAGAATATGATCAAAACAGCACTAAACAGTGACTTGATTTTGTTCACTGGTCTTTTCAAGTGTTTCTAGAATGATACAAGGAGGCTAAAATAGACATAATATCTCAAGTCCTAATCTCAAATTTCTGAAATTAAAAAAAAATTCATCTAGTTTGGGCAAAAAAAAACAAAAACAAAACAAAAAAAAAGCATGCTACAAATCTGCAGCTGGTTGTAGCACAGAGCTGTTTCAGAAGATGAATTACTTGAGATGATTGGGATTTTAGCTGATGCAGAAACAAGATAAAATGTAATTTGGTGTACCAGCTAAGGCGTTTAAAGTCTTTCTATTACATGGGGAATTGCTCTCCTTTTACCAAGAAATGTTACTCCTCTATGTTTTTCTAACTGTAAATAAGTTACATGCTTAGCTTTTTGACTATTTTCATTGCATAAATATGTCATAACTTATTCATCCATTCTCTTATTAATGGCACTGAGATATTTCCAAAGTTTTGCTGCTACCGTCGTTACCTTTTGTACACATCGACAAATCTCTCTAAGGTACATATACGTGTGTGTGTGTGTGTGTGTATATATATATGTTCACACATACACCATGTATATATGTGTGTGTGTATGTCCATGTATATATATTTTAAACCTTTTGAAACTGCCATTTTTATAGGTCAAAAACGAAAACTGTAAAAGTCAAGTATCAGCAAGCTCGGATGGTTCAAACTAGTACTTAGAAGTGGAATTGATGGGCCACTTCAAGATTACTGGGTTTTTCCAAATTAATCTCCAAAATGATTTTGCCATTTACATACACATTTTAAATTTATTTTTATTGTATTTATTTAAGGTATACAACATGATCTTTTGATATACATAGTGAAATGATTACTACAGTTGAGCAGGCTTCAAAGTGACCCTCCTATCCTGCACACCCCCAACCCCAACATCTTGCACTCCTCCCAGACTCGCACCTGGACAACCAAACCCTTGGTGTTCTTCCACCTCTGAGAGTATTGTCGAGTGTAAGGGGCAAGTCTACCTGAATTTGGACCTTTCTACTTTTTGGTAAGGCCTAGACTTTGTTCAAGCTCTTCTTTCCAATCCTCCCTTTATAGAACAGAGGTGTCTGTCTCTGCCTACCTGCAGGAGATTTGGGTTTAAGGGAAAGAAAGAGAGAGAGAAGAACGCCTTCTTCACCTCTGCTTCAGGACAGGAGGTTTGGGTCACAGTCACACAAAGGGCTCAACAGAAAACTTCCGCTTTCTCTGCCTCTGTCTCACAGCAGGAAGGCTGGATTACAGTGCTGGCAGTAAAGCACCACAGGTTTCACTCTTTTCACCTAAAATTATATAGCGTGCTTTAGAAATTGCAGCTGCTTCCTATTGCTTTTAATTTGGACTTGTCTTTTAATTAGTGACCAATTCTTGTTAGTTTCAAACAGAAAGATGAATGAGAGTGAGTTCTCTCATTCTGAAATTAAGAGGCATTTGCTCCCTCTGGCCCATTCAGATGCTGTAAGTGACTAGAGACTATCCAGCAATGCCAAGACGTTTGTCCATGAAGCTCGTATCAAAACACCATGTTGTATACCTTAAGTAAATACAAAATAAATTTAAATACATATAGGGCAAAACCATTTTGGAGATTAGTTTGATAAAATCTAGTAATCCTAAGGTCACCCCTCAATTCCACTCCTAAAATGTTACTCCAACATGCCCACAAAGCATCACTTTGCCTGATACAGTGTCCTAGCCTTGGTCACTTTTTGAAAAGGAAATTCTAAAATTTATGAGAAACTCCTCCTCAAAACTGAGCTTTCCCTTAAGGTACAACCCTCTCTTGGAAACATTAGCTGGTTTTATGTATAACACCTATGGAGCTTCCGTCTTGCAAATAACCTAGGTAAATGAGACATTACTTGATATGACCACAAAATGCAATAACCAAGAATAAGGGTCTTTTGAAATTCCAAAATTAATATATTTGCAAACAGAAATAGAAAAAGCAGGTTTAGAACATAATGGGATGGGAGGACTGCTTTCTGTTTGTCCTGGCTAATACCTGAAAATTAGAGATTTGAAAGTTTTTTTTTTTTTTTTTTTTTTTTAGAGAGAGAGAGCTCTCCATGAATTCCCCAAGAAAGCCCTTAAATGCTCAAACTGCCTACTTGACTTAAAGGCTTCCCCAGGTCTTTTTCAGTCCCTTAGAGATGTAAATCTCACCCTCTTACACTGTCTTTGAAGTAGTAACATCCAGGGAATTAACTAAGCAGAATTCCAGCTGAGGTATAATTTGAAACAGAGTTAAAGTTATTTGGACCTACCACAAAATTCCATTTCTCAATGGATACCTTTAGCTCAGAAGAAAAAAAAAATCATAAGATTTAAATTATTCATTTTGAATTATTTGTGTGACTCTCAACCTTTTGTAACCCTTCCTACCCCCATCAGCAGCTTTTATTTTGCTGTTTTACCATCTCTTTTAATCTTCCATCTGGCCTTTGTGGGTAGATGGCCAGCTGAGAAGCTGAGATCCCAGAAAACATGGCCTAACAGACGTGGGTTTCACCCAACTTGTAGTGAACAAAACTTTCCCTTTTTTTAAGCTGTTTTTGGGAGGGGTCAGGATCTTGCAAGCACTGCAAATTTTTGCTCCCTTTTTAGAGACCTTGGGTAAAGCCATAACGAACTTAATCGTTTTGGTATTATATATGCTTACTTGTGCTGGTTTTTAGTCATTTATTCAGGTATGCCTTTGACTTAAAATTTTGGTTTATATTTAGAATGTGATAGAAACTTTTTTGTTGCTTTGTTTGTTTAGCCTACTCTTCTAAGCTAAATAAATCCGTATACTCAGAAAGAAAGGACCCAGTTTATTAAAAGAAAAATTTTAGAGACAAATGGCTTTAAACAATGATTACCATAGACCTCTAATAAACAAACATGCCCCACGTCAAAAATTCCTTCTTGGTGTAAATTTCAGACAGGAAAAGCCAAGACACAGTAATGCTTGTTATTTGCCCAGTTAAAACCTGATAAAAAAATATTTTTTAAGAGCTTTATCGTCAAAAGTCAACAATTAAAAGCTGACATTTAGGCTGTGTATGTACATATATATTTTTGAGGCCTCTGTTCTATGGAAGCTTCTCAGTCTACTAGGAATTCCTTTCTTCTTAAGCCCCTGATAATTCTGTGCACTCCTTCTGTTTGCTCCTCCTCTGGATATGATTTTTACCAAGAATAATGTAAAACTTTATTGGTTTTTCAGAAGACAAAATCTCAAACAGGCTTCTCCAAGACTTGTTGTTTCATTTACTTCTATCTGTCCCTCCTTCCTCTTGCCACCTTAGATACCACATGAGGGGACATAAAGAAATCTTCTAACATCTCGGGAACCTCTTAAAGAAAACAGAAAAGGTTCCACAGACTTTCCTCTTTTTTGGGGGGACCTCTGTTCGACCTCATGGAGCCCCAAGAATTGTGGGTGGACAGGTGCCTCTCAGGTCTAAAGTTCTACTTTCTTTTACATTGAACCCCTTGATCTCCAGCTTTTAGATGAATACATGCCTACATGTGTATATGTTGTCTCTATATGTATGCATATGTCTACACATGTGTTTATGTATTGTCTACATGGTACCAAATTAACTTAAAGATAAATTAGTGCTCATAAAAGTAATAAGTAAGCTCAAATATTTTTCAAGTTCATGTGACTTGAATAAATCTTTTGGCAAGGAAGACTAGTTTAATATTGCTGATTTAATAAAAACAACTATGTATCTGAGTTATTAGCAAAATACACATGTATTTAAATTTAAGGTTCTTGCTTTTATGATACTTGCCTAATATGCAATAACATAAAAATGATTAATAGGAAATGTAACTTGGGACAATGGTTAAGTTTATCTAATAACTCATGAAATTTTCCAAATATAATTGTTAAGAATGAATAAATTAAGTAAATGTAAATAGGATAAAAATTTATAAATGAACTTTTAATAATTAGATTTTATAATATGTCTACTTTAAAGGTTTCTCAAATCTTTGTTTTGGCAAATAAGGTTTCCCAAATCTTTTGGTAACTATACCATTAGAATTTTGCTAAACTAATTTAAATGAATGATATTCATTGAACATCTAAGTCATTTCCAAATAAGATATGATGCTAAGACAGTAATTACTAAATATGAGTTTAAGTTTATATACTTTTAGCTTCTTATTTCAGAGAAACAAAAGATATTTAGATCTGTTAGTAAATATGTCCTGCTCCACATTGAAAAATTGTTCCATTAGAAAGCTTTCATTTCTAAAATTTATAAAATATGTATTTATAAACTCATAAAGTATGTGACTAAGAGTTAAACACTGCTTGCTTCTTAGGTTTTCTATATGAATTTAGGTTATTAAAAGTTACAATTCTAACTAATATACGAGACTAAAGCTAGACATAAGAAGTAAAACAATTCTGTATACAGAACATACGAGGAATTTAAGACATGTTTTATCAAGGAGGTTATAGAGTATGAGAATATGTTTTTGTTGAGAAAAAGAGTGATTTTGTCTAGATTACAGATTATTTGAAGATTGTCCAGAACAAATGAAAGAAGAGAAAAAAGTGACATGAAACTTAATGGATATAGAAAGTTTGGAAAAGAAAGATAATAGGAAAAATTACAAGAGGTTATAAAAGATTTATGAAAATCCTATCCTGTTGGGTCAAAGCTGATTGCGATTAGATGGATATGTTTATAAGGTTTTATTAAAATTAGCTTTCATATTAATAATAAACTAGTATAAGAGTAAAACTTGGTTTTCTTTCTGAAGTAAGATTTTCATGAAGTATTAATAAGATATAACCAAAGACTTTTTTTCACTTTTTGAGTAAACTACAAAAGAAAAAAAATGATCAAATTTCTTTGTCAACTGCATCTTTAGTCATTGCCATTTTATGTCTTGTCCTATTCCTTCTGGAGGAGTTTCTTTTAAACTGCACAGCAACCAAGGAACCCATTTCCAGGTCATGTAATTCAATCTATTTGTAATATGTGACTGATTTTTAAGCATTCCCATAGCGCATACTACCCTCAGTCTTCCAGACTGTGGGAACACACAAAAGGGGTAATGAAAAATCAATTAACAAAGCTTATAGAAAGTTTTAACCTTCCCTGGCTGAGGTTTCTTCCATTAGAATTGCGTAATTTACCTTCTATCCCATTTTGGAAACATCTGCATTCTCCCTTTAAAATAATAACAGGAAAGCCCATGTGGCTGATTGAAGGAGTCTACAAACCAACGCTCCTGAAAGGCAATATTCTTCATTATTGCCAAGGCCATATCAAGCTGTTAATGAAAAAAATAATAATTAAAGATTTTTAAAACACTGAGCTCTTGGGAGACAAAGACATCACAGATCATGGCTTCCAACCTGGAGATTTTGTTTACTGGAAACACCATCAAATAAAAGATTCCTTCCAACCCCATTGGAAGGGGGCCATATCAGGTACTGTTGACCAATCTTTGTGACACTAAACTGAAGGGCAGTGTCTCATAGGATATTTGGTCATTCCTCTATCTATACATAGCTCTGAAGAAATCCAACACTAAACTATTTCCCTCAAATTTTTCTCTAGGCCTGGCTGCCGATCTATTTAAGACTGAGATTCTATTTGGGGGAACCTGCTAAGTATCTGCCTGCCCGTAATTCTGCCTAACAAGATAGCTCCATGCATTTCATTGGGAGAATGCTTTTGCCTTGGTTGGGTGTTGCTTTCCCCGAGCATATACTTGGAAATATTCCTATAAATGTAGGATATAGCTAATGAAACAGCTTGCCTCAACTGCAGCTCAACAAACAGCTGTGGGTTCCCTGGTTAAGGTTGTACAGACAATTGCATTGCTATAGATCATATATGTGTTGAAGAAGGAGGTGTATGTATAATGGAAAATACCTCTTGTTATGTATTCATAAATACTTCCCATGAAATAGAAGCCAGGAAAAATTAGAAAAGAAGCCACTTTGTTACAAGCTTCTAAAGAAGAACTGGGATATAATTTTCTTCATAATGTTTTTAGTTGGCTCCCTAATGGAAAAGGTTATTTTTTGTTCTAGCATACAAATTCCTTTTTATTATAATTTTTTATACATTTTATTTCTACTATTTCAATTATTAAAACTGTATATCTTTCATTGTTTTACTTCTTCTGAGAAAACTAAAATCACAGTATTCTGAAAACTAGAGATGATTCAACAAGTAACAGTAGCCTTGTAAATTAATGTCTTGACTGAGGTCTTATTTCTGCCGCTCTGTGATGTCATCCCAACTCGGCTTTGGGGCACTCTTAAAATTTCTCACTGAGATGTCTCCTTCTCCCCACCAACATAGGACAAGACCATCCAAGAATGAGCCTTCCCAGAGATGGTGGCAACTTGATACTCAGACTTTGCCTATAAATGCTTTTGAGAAAAAAAGATTTTGATCAAAAAGGGGAAATGAGAAAGAAAAAAAACTTTTGATCTGAGGAATGTAAACTTCCTCTAAATTATCAGGCCCAGAGAGGCATAGGAATGAGACAGCAATCACATCCTACTCCCCACCCTTGAAATAAGTAATCCTCTCTAGAAGCTGCTTGCTATGTAAAGTCTTGTATAGTCAATCACTAGTCAATGTCATTTCCACAAACCAATGAGAATTTCTGACAAACAACTTTGTATCAGCCCACTTCTCATACCTCTCTTTGCATTTAAAAACCTGCTTTTAACAAAAATTGCATGGAGCTCATATCCATGTTTACTTGGGTGTGAGTCTTAAGAGTAGCTGCCCTCATTTCGGCTCCAGTAAACTCTTTTAAATTATATTTTGTGTCTCAGCTTCTTCCTTTAGGTTGAGGCATTTAAATAAGTTAGCATATCTATAACCTTTCATAGCTACATTTTATATGTGTGATAAGAGCACATAAAATCTACTTTCTCAGCAAATTTTCAGTATACAGTATTATTAACTTATGTATTCATGCTGTATTTTAGATTCTAGACTTATTTCTTTTATTGAACTACCATTTGGGACAACATGGATTAAACTGGCAGATATTATGCTAAGTAAGCAAAAATACAGAGAGAAAAATACTGTATGATATCACTTATATGCATAATCCTTTAAAAATGTCAAATACATAGGAACACAGAGTAGCATGATGGTTACCAGGGATGGGGAAGGGATGGAAATGGAGAGAAGTAGGTGAAAAGATATCAATTTATGTTTTGTCTAAATGAGTATTTAAAGAAAGTTTTGCTTTATTTAGTTCTTCTCTGCAAAATGATTACTCTTCCTTAATTCACCAAGAAATTGCTTCTTCCTGTGTGTTGCACCACAACTTACACACACTCTCTCTCTCCCTCTCTCTCTCTGCTGTATGTCTCTGTGATTAGATTTCTAACTGCATCATTTCTTTTTTACAGTACACTTTGCAATTACAATCTTCTACTTTTCTAGAAGTTTAATACCATAATTTTGTTAAAGGGAACAAACAAACTACATGTGTATAACAGAGGAGATGTCTGATATAAGAATCATCAACAAGCCTTAATCTCTAAGATCTGGATCTAAGAATTTGGATGATGGTCAGAAAGACAACATACAAGTATCTTTGTCTGGGGTCATTCCCTACACCATGGAGATTGCTCTAAACTCTTCTCTAAAACTAGTGCCCCCCTTTTGACAGCTCAGGCTGAATGTTTCTCCTTGTCAAAATCTTTTTAGGCCTCCAGTCAGACTTGAGTCTCTGCCTCTTCTGTGCCATCAGAGCAACTGTGCATGTGCCACATTTCTGTGTAAGCAACTTTATTCCTCATATTTGAAGCACAAGGTTATTATTTCTCCTTTGTGCTTCTCCAGGCACCTAATGTCTGTCTCTGCCATTGCCTGTAACCACCTCTCAGTAGACTGTATGTTCTTACACCAGCTTCCCTTTGCCTGTGGTTCCTTTGTCTTTCTATAGCCAACACTGAGCACCCTCATACTTAAAAGACAAATAATAAATGTGTGTACCTTAATTATTCTCCTTCACATCAACTTTGCAGCATGAGCCAACCACTGTTCTAACATGGGAGTGGCGTCAATTTTAATGAACAAAGTAGAAAAATCTCTGTTCTCATACAATTTACATTCTGGTTAGACGAGATGGCTGATAAATAAACCAGTGAGTATATAATGTCTCAGATCATAATGAGTGCTATAGAGAAAAATAAAATGTGCTCAATAAATTAATGAAGTTTCTGCTTCATTGTTCCACTATAGATTATGAATTACATAAAAGCAGAGAGTGGGTCTATTTTGTTCATTTCTGAATCACTAGCACTTAGACAAGTACACCTGACTAAATTGTTGGCTAAGTTAATGAATGAAGGACATTCATGTAGTCCTTAAAACATACAAGATGAGGATAAAAAAAATTTTTTTAAATCTGTTTACAGATTCTAGATTTATTGGGAATCCAAATCCAAATGGAGATAGTCCAGCTACCCCAAACATAATCTCAACAGGCATTTTGCCTGCATCTAACTCTGTAGTTCAAAATGAGTATGCTCTGTGCCCATCTCTAATTGTCAACGTGTAAAATATTTTGGCCATATATACACACCATTACCCCTATGATCTTTAAATAGAACCTTGACCATGCTCTGCGGAATAGAGTGGAGGTAAAAAACATACCATGGTTCCAAATAAATACTGCATCCTTCCTACAGAATGTTTAAACATTGTCTCCTAAGTGCATTAGAAAGCACATTTAAGGCAAATAGTTCCATTCTAATAGTGACTTCATGTAAAGAATTAACAAATTCATATGATATATCTATGACCTGGCCATGGCAGACAATGCAGTATCACTATGGTGATGACACTATAAATATTACTGATTTTATTGTTTGGAGAATTTTAATCTATTCAAGTACAATGACAAAATAATTATTATATAAACTGTCACAAATTCAAAAATAGTATATGAATCCTCTTAAGTTGCTCCATTCTCCAATCACCCCAATATTCAGATTAGGTGCTTAGTAGATGAGAGAATTGCACTTCGTGCAGTAAGTCTGTAGGATTTTCTGAAAGACTGTGCATACTTAACTACAGACATCAGAGTGTGACTTCTCATAGAAAGCAGATGCAGCACTGCTTTGCTGGATGAGGCATCAAGGCAGATGAGATGTAAAGAATAGAACAGGTATGAGAAAGTAGTAAACTGACAATAAGCACACTGCATGAATTTCTAGTCTTCAACAAAAATAATGATGAAGTAAAGCAAAGCCTATCTTTCTTCAGGGTGGTAAGATCTATGAAGAGAAATCCCAATATTTTGTCCTTTGTTTTCAAAGCAGGGGTAACCATTCCCTCCTAATTCCCAGAATGAGACTGCATTATGAAGTGAAGTTTGACAATTCGAAAAAATTTATTCAAAGATTCTAGTTTTTAATTAATGCATCTAATTGGAACAAGACATTAATTTTCCTCATAAGACTTAGCTACACTATGTTTCTCAATTAATGATCAATTGCTAAAGAAATCCCTATAGACAAGAAACATTATGTTCTATGCTCTAGTGCACAAATAAGATGGCAAATGCCATCAAAGCACATCACAAAGGTTGCTTTATGATGCATCAAATAGTGCCTGTTGAGAACCTTTGACTTGTTAATTAAAATGTCAATTCAGAAATTTTCTAAGACACTAGTCAAATAAGGAAACACTATTTAAAAGCCATGACTGCCATATCACAGTACCATTTACAAAGTAATTACCTTCTTTGGAATTATGGCTAGCATACATCAGTTTCTTAATAGAACACATAACATTATGAAACATAATGTAATACATTTAAAATAAGAATACTGACTGAACTATTAAATTAGGCATTTAGAAGATATTTGTGAGAGGCAGCATTTAGCATAGACTCTGGAATTAGCTTAGATGTAAATTCAAAAGCTGTACTTGCTAGCTATTTAAATAGGAGCTAATTTTTATGCCTCATTTCCACTTCTGTAAAATGGGGATAATAATAATGCCTACTCCATGGGGTGAATATGAGGATTAAATAAGCTAATATTTATAACGTGTTTAGGACAATTACTTGCACATAGTAGCTGCTTATATATCTATATGATAAAAATAACTTTAAAAATACGTATCTTTGAAACATTTATATTATGTTTCAGTATTAGAAATTATGTTCAGTTTAGCCCTGAAGACAAAGAAGTATAGAATTTCTGCAATTTTCCTGATCATGGGGATATTTTCCCCTAATACTATAATAAACACTTAATCTTTAAAATTGCAAGTAAAGTTTCATAAATAATTTTTACACCTCAGTGATGGTTTGCAAATTCTATGGTCAATTTTTTGCTGTGGACCATAGCAAATTGCTATGGTCATTTTTTTTTTGTCACAAGCATTAATAATCTCCCAAAGTCAAACATTTATTAGACTTATTTATTTATTTTTCCTTTTTTTATTATACTTTAAGTTCTGGGATACATGTGTAGAATGTGCAGGTTTGTTACACAGGTATACATGTGCCATGGTGGTTTGCTGCAACCATCAACCCATCATCTATATTAGGTATTTCTCCTAATGCTATCCCTCTCCTAAGACCCCACCCCCCAACAGGCCCCAGTGTGTGATGTTCCCCTCCCTGTGTCCATGTGTTCTCATGGTTTGACTCCCACTTATGAGTGAGCACATACGGTGTTTGGTTTTCTGTTCTTGTGTTAGTTTGCTGAGAATGATGGTTTTCAGCCTCATCCATGTCCCTGCAAAGGACAGCAACTCATTCTTTTTCATGGCTGCATAGTACTCTATGTATATGTGCCACATTTTCTTTATCCAGTCTATCATTAATGGACATTTGGGTTGGTTCCAAGTCTTTGCTATTGTGAATGCTGCAAAAAACATATGTGTCCATGTGTCTTTATAGTAGAATGATTTATAATCCTTTGGGTATATACCCAGTAATGGGATTGCTGGGTCAAATGGTATTTCTAGTTCTAGATCCTTGAGGAATCGCCCCACTGTCTTCCACAATGGTTGAACTAATTTACACTCCCACCAACAGTGTAAAAGCATTCTTATTTCTCCACATCCTCTTCAGTATCTGTTGTTTCCTAACTTTTTTTTTTTTTTTTTTTTGAGACGGTGTCTGGCACTGCTGCCCAGGCCAGAGTGCAGTGGTGCAATCTCGGCTCACTGCAACCTCTGCCTCCAGGTAGACGTCATTCTCCTGCCTCAGCCTCCTGAGTAGCTGGGACTACAGGCGCCCACCACCACGCCTGGCTAATTTTTTGTATTTTTGGTAGAGCCAGGGTTTTGCTATGTTAGCCAGGATGGTCTCGATCTCCTGACCTCATGATCCTGGGAGCCTTGGCCTGCCAAAGTGCTGTGATTACAGGCATGAGCCACCGTGCCTGGCCTGTTTCCTGACTTTTTAATGATCGCCATTCTAACTGGCGTGAGATGGTATCTCATTGTGGTTTTGATTTGCATTTCTCTAATGACCAGTGATGATGAGCTTTTTATAATATGTTTGCTGGTCGCATAAATGTCTTCTTTTGGATTTACTTTACTTATTAAAGCAATTAAGTCATTCCTGTATGCTTATAAACTGGTTGAATGTTTTTAAAGAAAAATTAATTCTGCTACTTTTTTTATAATATGGAGAGTAAGAGGCTGACTTTGGAATTCAACTAAGATTCAAGTATTGTACTTGCTTTATATTAACTCTGTTACTTTGGGAAGTTTATTTTGTTTCACAGAGCTTTAATTTTCTCATCTTCAAAATAGGAATTCTAATTGTTCCTACCTCACAGCGGTTTTTTTTAGAAGATTAAATGAAGTAATTTAAGGATAATATTTATAGCAGAGTCTAGACCATAGTAAGTGCTCAATAAATGTTAGCTGTTATTATTAGTTTTTACAGTAAAATGCTCTTTAATTAATTTTTAAGGTGCCTCTTCAGTAAGCCAGATAAATTAATCAGTCCCAATTTATCAGGAAGTTCCAAGTAAAGCTCATTGTTATGAAGACTTAAGACATCTGAAAACATCCCCCGTATTTTATATTTTAATCATATATTGCTGTTGACACAAAACATAGAATATACCTTTAAAAACATATAAAGATTTCAGGAGAAAAGTTTATCTACATATATTTACCCAACTTATTACATTTCTCATCTTACATAAAACATTCCCTTCTTTTAGAAGGCAAATTTGTCCTTCAAATAATATTTGCTAGAAGCTGGGTACTGTGGCACATGTTTGTAGTCCCAGCTACTCAAGAGACTGAGATAGGGAGATTGCTTGAGCACAGGAGTATGAGGCCAACCTAGGCAATATAGCAAGACCACATTTCTCTCTTTTTTTTTTTTGAGACAGAATCTTGCTCTGTCACCAAGGGTGGAGTGCAATGGTGTGATCTTGGCTCACTGCAGCCTCTGCCTCCCAGGTTCCAGCAATTCTCCTGCCTTAGCCTCCCAGGTAGCTGGTTTACAGGCACACATCACTACGCCTGGCTAGTTTTTGTGTTCTTAGTAGAGACAGGGTTTCACCATGTTGGCCAGGCTGGTCTCGAACTCCTGACCTCAGGTGAACTGCCCACCTTGGCATCCCAAAGTGCCAGGATTACAGGCATGAGCCACCAGGCCCAGCCACAAGACCCTATTTCTTAAAAAATAAATAAATAAATAAATAACACTTGCTAGAGTTACAATATGAAGCTCACTATTCATAAATCCTTAAATATAAATGATATATTTTCTCATTGTTTTCCTTTTAGACTTTCATCTTATTAAATTTATCAGTCATATAGATAATACATTTTTAAAAAATTACTGTTAAAAATAAGAATTAAAAAAATTACCACTGAATTTTTTTAATACATAAGACTAGAACATAGAACTCCCATCATTAATATGCACAGATATATTTTTAAGGAAATTTCAAAATGGAAATAGGCGACACCTGTTCTAAAATTTTACACTATGAAGTTTCATGTTTTACATATTAAAATATAAATGTTCTTGCAAGATGCTACAAAAGGAAGAATGTCTCTTTTTCAACATTTTTTATAACCATCTTGCTTACAACTGACTGTGGTCCCAAACTAAGATTAACCTGCAGTTGGTCCCTTGTAGTAATGTTTATGATATGACACCATTTAAAACAAAGAAATTATTACATAGGCTACTTCAAAATATTATCAAAAATTACCTTCTATGTAAAATCAACTAATATAATTGCAGAAAAATTAAGATGAACTGCTTAAATCATAAAGTAGCAAAGCCTGCAATGAATGCTGGTGAGGATGATCCATAGATAAGGACAACGCAGTCTGAAAGTACAATCAGAAGTTATTAAAAGAGCCACTGTTTACTGAGCACCTGCTTTATGTCAGGGACCAGTTAAGCTATTTAACAGTGTCTTCATTTTAATGTTCTCAAAATCCCAAAGGACTCTGGTAAAAAAAAAAATGGGAGATTTGCCAAGGTGGTTGGAAACAAGATTAAAATACACACAAAAATATAAAAAATGGAAATAGAAATATTCCATTTACTTTAGCAATAAATTTATTAAACACTTACTGATAAATTTAATGAGAGAAGGTAGGATTCAAGAAATAAAACACCAAAATGTTTTGAAGAATATAAAATAAGATCTGAACAATTAGAAACACATTTTATATTCTAACATTGGAGAATTTAACACGAAAATGTTACATTGTCCAAAATAAATACATGAATTCGATGCAATTTTAATTAGCATTCTAATAATACGTTTTCCAAATAAAGTGAGTATATTTTAACACTCTTCCCAAACTCGATCAGTAATATTGTAGTGTATGGTTGAAATGTCTCGACTTTGAACTTCATATTTACAAGAAGAATTATCTAATACTTTAAAAATAACTCATTGCTAACAATTATTTACTATTACCAACTTCACTGCTAACATAAAATAGTATTTTTTTGGATTTAAGTTGGTTTTGTTTTTTCCTTAAATATTTTAAGTGAACTATTTAATATTTTGAAACTGTCTGAGATCTTTTAGACCGTATTTCTGGCACAAGTGTCAATACAATATACAGTTCTTTAATAAATAACTTTATGAATCTCATTGGAATGTTCATTTTAAGGGAAAAATGCCCGTTTTAGCTATTCATTTAATGTATCCATCAAGAATAACACTTGATATACAATTATAGATTAGCTTCAGGAAAATAACGTTATTTTACATTAGGTATATATTTGCTTTAACAATGAGTATTATGAAAACACTAAGTGTTTAAGAGTCTAATTATGGTAATGATGATTAATCTTTGAAACGATTCTGCTTAAGTGAAAAATATAGTCAAATATTTACGGATTTACAGGAGTATTATAGTTGCAATCTAACTTAAGTTACTAAATGGAGATAATAGAACACACAACTTTTAGGAATATTGTGAGAATATAATTAGATAATACTTGTAAAGTATTCAATGTTCTACCTAGCATATTATCTAAAAATCATTAAAATTCACCTAATAACTGAGTATACTCTAATAGAAACATTTTTTCATTTATCTCTGAATATGAACCCCTAAATCAAAATTGCAAATATCTTGAAAAATAATTTTGTTCAAGTCAGTGTTATATGAAAGAGAAGACCAGTTGCAATAATAGTTAACATTTCTAGGTACCTATCAGGCACAAGGCTAAACATTAGTAAAGATTTTAAATTATGATATATCTCTGTATTTGCCACATCCACTATATAATTATCTAAAAACGCTTATACCTGCCTTATTTAAAAATCAATATACATATAAATTGATAGAATAAGAAAAAAGACAAAAATTGGTGTATTACTTTTAAAAGTCTCATTACTATTATAGTAGTATAAGAGACAGATTTCAGAACTGTGTCCTTGACTTACCCAGTAAAGATAGTAACAATAATAAACATTTGACAGTGATATGGTTTGGCTGTGTCCCCTCTCAAATCTCATCTTGAATTGTAGCTCCCACAATTCCCACGTGTCGTGGGAGGGACCGAATGGGAGGTAAATGAATCATGGGGGTGGGTCTTTGCCCTGATGTTCTTGTGACAGTGATAAGTCTCACTAGATCTGATGGTTTTATAAAGAGGAGTTCTCCTGCACAAGCTATCTATCTTTGCCTGCCGCCATCCACGTATGACATCACTTGTTCCTCCTTGCCATCCGCCATGATTGAGAGGCCTTCCCAGCCACGTGGAACTCTGAGTCCATTAAACCTCTTTTTCTTCCCAGTCTTGGGTATGTGTTTACCACCAGTGTGAAAACGGGCTAATACAGATTGGTGATATATATATTAATATTAAACTTTTTTACAAAGAACATCAAAAGCATGCTTCATTTTTTCTCACAACCCCTTGGGAAAAACATGCAAACATCACCATTCTGATTGTAGCTAGATAAGCAGAAGAATAGCATGATTAAGCATCCAAGTTATGTCTCTCAATGGAAAGAGTAGGATATAAAACAATTTTCTGAATATGAACCCACCTCAACTCAATCCTTCCATGAAGCTCTGAATTGAAAAAGCAATAAATACCAGGGCAGCTGCCCATAACTCTGTTCACGTGTATATTCTACCACTACCCAGTCAATGACTGGAAAAGGAAAAGGTACTAATGATTTCCGGGTGCCTGCAATGTGCCAGGCAACATGGGTTATTTAGGCAAACAGTACATTTTGGTGGTTTAGGAAAGTGGAATAGGCCCTGGTATACCACTGATGGATCTTGTGACATTAGATCTCTTGCTTGACCTCTCTGTGCCCCAGTGTCTCTCCCTTCTATGAAGCTGAATTGTATTAGATTACTATTTTTAAGGTTAAAAATGGTTGAATGCTGACAATTTAATAAGGTTTTTTGCCTCTGACATAATCCATGTGAAGGGGTGGCACAGAGTGAGAATGTCAATGTCAATATTATTATCATTCCCACAGAAGGGGAAACTGGTGTTTTCAGTCTCAGCTTCTTTGTGGAGTGGCTTTGATTTGAACTTGGATCTCTGACTCCAAAGGCATTGCTGTCTCCTCTATAGCATGTTGTCAGCCACAGTTTCTGAGACTCTGCTAATGAGATCTAAGCTTTTTTTTTTTTTTCCAAAAGATTAACATAATGCCAATTTTGCTTTCCAGGGACATTTTACAAATTAAAGCAACACTGATTTAATCGCTATAAAATGGTCTTTGTTTCTTTTCTTTCTTTTTTTCTTTTTCCATGATGGATTTGTTCCCTGGAGTAGCTACTTGCCAAATGGTACCCTGGTGTCCTGAAAGAGTTAAGGCAGCTTGTACATTTGCATAATTTACAACCAGGGAGTAGCTGAGGGACTGGGAGAATCTGGTTCAGTAGGCCATTTAGAAATTCATTAAAATTTATTCAGCTTCACCAATAGTTATGTCCAGAACCTAAAAACATCAAAAATGTATTTCCAAAAATAAAGTAGAAAATAAGGTAAACTTGACATGCTTACATCTGTAACTGCAAACTCTTAAATCACCCTGTTGTTTGGGGGTTTCTCCTTAAACACAGAAACTTATTCATATATTCACATTAGGCAGTTAATTGAACAGAATAGAAGTTGCTATGGAAACAGTGTGGTATGCCCTAGTACTTAGTGAGGAAATGAACACTACTAATTATCACCAAATGTATGATATTTCTGCTCTTGTACTCTATAGTTTTTAATGTACAATCTGTTTAATGAGCAGCAAGTTGTTCACCTAGCATTCAGAGGGTGAAAGAAGCCTAAAAATAGAAGAGTAAATCCTCAGGTGTGAATCTGCAAATTTTATTGAAATAAAGCAATAAAAGATTTGTCTTTCTCCCATCTATCTTAGCAAGGATGGAAGACATACTGGAGCCTAAAGCCTTAAATATAAGCCATCAAGGTAATAGGAAAATACCGCCAAGAAAAAAAGAAAACTACCCTATTCTTCCTTCACGTCTTTAATGCATTTCACACAGCCAGTTATACTTAAAAGACATGTACGGGCAAGGTACTGGGGAGGAGGAGAAGCTGATCTGAAGGCACATGATTTATTCTGTTACAAAGCTGACCATATCAGGTGACAAAAAAGAGTTACAGCAATACATTCTATGGAGAGTACAGAAGATAAGCAGATTAAACCCAGGAAACTAAAGGAAATAGTTTTCAGTTGAAATCCTTGAAGGATGGTGCAACTCCTGGCAGACAGGTGCTCATAGTGGTTAGAAGTAATAATTTGCTAATCTATAGGAATAGTTCATAAAAAGTTGCTAATCTACAGGCACAGTCTCCCCCTTAACTCAACCAGCAAGACGGTATGGACACTGAATTAGGAGGTTCCTCACCACCAACGAGAGGAATTTGAAAATGATGTGGCCTGCTGTTCACACTCCTCCTCCCCAGAATTTCTGGAAGAGAATCTAGCTGTAGCTTCCCTATCTTACTTTAACCCTAGTCAGTTGACTCCTGGAGTCCATTGTCCAGATCCTAACTGTTTTTCTGTGATGTTGCTTTCATTAGCCTCATAAGTTAAATCCATGGGACTGCTTTCAAAAACTACTCTGTAACAATTGTTGCCATTCATTGACCCCAACACAGACTCCTCTGAAAAGACCCTGGTTATGCCATAATAGAAATTTTGAGGATGCTGGTGTTGGTAGTAGTATTTGTTTGCAGTACCCTATCAAGGACTCATCTTTTTATGGATTCGTCCAACCTATCTTCTCCCAAGCCTGCTTTGTTCCAATTTTCAACGTGGTAGGCACTCTGAGCTTATCCAAAAGGCAGAAGTAGCAAGCAGAATGTCATTTTCAGCAGAGGGGAGAGTTTTTAACTAATGTACAAAAGTTTACATGGCATATATTTAAGAAATATAGTACATCATGAGAGTAATATAGGATATTACTACATAAAACATTATTCTTAGGTAGGTTGGTGCCACATTGCAGAGAACATTTAATGTTTTGGACTTTATTTTAGGGAAAAATTAGAGTGAAAAGTTATTGCAATAGTCTAGTCTAAGCAAGAGATAAAGAGAACCAGATAGAAAAGAGCTATATTACCCAAAACTTTACAAGTGAAATTTTTAAGCTCCAATCACAATGCAGATTAAATAATGGGCACTGAATAAATATTTGTGGATGATCTCAGCATTGCCAGGTCAGCTTAAAAATGTCAAATGAAAGGCCAGTTATCACAATTACACTTTAAAAGCCACATTATTTTCTGCTCTGTTTGTATAATTAATTCAGCATTCTCAAAATTTCTATTTCACTTCATTTAGCACATAAAATTTATAATTAGAGATAAATCATGCTGCAAATATTTATTGAATACTTATGTCCAAGCCAGTTGGGATCTTGTTACTACACTGTAAAGAAAGACAATATTTATGGGCTTAAAAATAAATCAACTCTCATTTTTTACAACTTTATTGCTTTCATGCCAGGATAAATTGTTATGAAGTATTACAGATATTAGACAACATTTGAAAAACTGTTCTAGACATTCTTAATATTTTGCAACATAAAATTATTTTAATTGTATGAGCAATTAAGGTTTACCTACTAAGCACATTAAATTTAGTATCTCCAATGGATTTGAGAATGCATTAAGAAATTTGTAATTCTGTAAAATGCAGAGGATACATTTTGATTTTGGATTCTTTTTTTTTTTTTTTGGAGACAGGGTCTCACTCCCATCGCCCAGGCTGGACTGTGGACTGCAGTGGTGATGAGATCATGGCTCACTGCTGCCTTGAGTTCCTGGGCTCAGGGGATTCTCCCATCTCAGCCTCCCCAGTAGCTGGGACCACAAGCATGCTCCACCGTGCCCGGCTAATTTTTTGTATTTTTTTTTTTAGTAGAGATAGGGTTTCACCATGTTGCCCAGGCTGATCTCCAACTCCTGGGCTCAAACAATTCGCCTGCCTTGACCTCCCAAAGTGCTGGAATTACAGGCAAGAGCCACCACACCTGGACAGATTTTGGATTCTTGAAAAGCAATTTGCAAATAGGAAAGAAAAGAAAATAGATAACGTAATTAATAGTTTATAAAAATTACTATTGAAAAATTCACATATTTTACTGATAATTGTGTTTCTTCTCTCAGGTTACAAATCTAAATCATGTTGTTAAGCAACAGTAATCTATTTTTAACTTTGTAATCATGAATTTTAAGTATACCTTATTTCCAGTTACTCATTTTGACTTCTTTAGTTCATGGGTTATTGAAGCCTCTTGCTTCTGAAACCATCTCTTTCCTCATATTTTGGGGTGTTAAAATATTTTTATTGATACATAATAATTGTACATATTTATGGAGTACATGTGATATTTTAATACCTGCATACAATATGTAATGATCACATCAGAGGATTTAAGATATCCATCACCTCAAACATTTATCATTTATTTGTGTTGGGAACATTGTAAGTCTTCTAGCTATTTTGAAATATATAACAAAATACTGTTAACTATAGTCACCCTACTGTGTTATCAAACACTAGAACTTACTCCTCCTGTTTGTTTTTACCCAATAACTAATCACTCTTCACCACCTCCTACCTTTCCCAGCCTTTGGTAGCCATTATTCCACTTTCTACCTCCATGACATCAACTTTCTAAGCTCCTTCATATGAGTGAGAACATGTGATATTTTCGTTTCTGCTCTTGGCTTATTTCACTTAACATAATAACCTTCAATTTCCACCATGTTGCTGCAAAAGACTTTTAATGGCTTAACGGTTTACCATTGTATATATATACCACATTTTCTTTATCCCTTCATCCATTAATGGATACTTAGGTTGATTCCATATTTTGGCTATTGTTAATAGTGCTGCAATAGACATGGAGGTGCAGGTATCCCTTTGATATGCTGATTTCCTTTCCTTTGGATAAATATCCAGTAGTGGAATTGCTGGATCATATTTTACTTTAATTTTAGAGTTCGGAGAAACCTTCACATTGTTTACTAACTCATCCTCATTACTTAGTATTGGTCTGTTTAGTTTTTCTATTTCTTCCTGGTTCAGTCTTGGAAGGTTGTATGTGTCCAGGAATGTATCCATTTGCTCTTTTTCCAACTTGTTAGGGTATAGTTGCCTGTAATAGTCTCCAGCGATCTTTGTATTTCTGTACTATCAATTGTAATACGTCCTTTTACATTTTCTACTTTGAGTCTTCTTTGTCATGGTTAGTCTAGCTAGTAGTTTATCAATTTCATCTTTATAAAAAGTATTTTGTTTAATGATTGTATTGATTTTTAGTCACTATTTCATATAGTGGGACATATGTGTTCATATATTTTTTACTTAAAGTCTATTTTGTCTGATGTAACTATAGTTGTTCCTGCACGCTTTTGTTTTCCATTTGTGTGAAACTTTTTATTTCATCCCTTCACTTTCAGTCAATGTGTATCTTTGCAGGGGAAGTGTATTTCTTATAGGCAGCATATAGTTGTTGTTGTTGTTTTTATAAATCTATTCAGCCAGTCCATATCTTTTAATTGAGAAATTTCAACCATTTACATTCTAGGATGTTACTGATAGGTGAGGGCTACTTCTGTCATTTTGTTAATTGTTTTGTCTTGTATATCCTTTGTCCCTTTTTCTTTTATTGTTTGGCTTTACCATTTGGTATGTTTATGTAGTGATATCTTTTGACTCCCTTCTCTTTCATTTGTGTATCAGTTCTACTAGTGAGTTTTATACTTTTGTATGTTTTCATTATATTAGATATCATGTTTTTACCCAGAAGTCCTAATGACTCCCTTAAGCATTTAAGTCCTAATGACTGGTCTAATGGAGATGAGTTCCCTGTTTTTCCTTGTCTGGGGAAGACTTTATTTATACAGTTTTCATTTTGGAAGGATAGCATTGCTGGGAATAGTATTATTGGCTAGCAGGTTTTTTTTCTTCTTTATGCAGCACTTTGAATATATCATACTATTCACTCCTGGCCTGTGTAGTTTCTGTTGAAAAATCCATGTTGGTCTGATGGAGATGCCCTTATATGTGACTGGATGCTTTTTTTCTTGCTGTTTTTAGAATTCTCCCTGACTTTTGACAGTTTGACTATGTTGTGCTATAAAGACCTTTTTGGATTGAGACTATTTCGGAATCTTTGAACTTCCTGTATTTGGATGTTTATATCTCTTGCAAAACTTAAAGGTTTGTCAGCTATTATTTTGTAAATAGGTTTTCTATGCCCTTCTCTCTTCTTTCTGGAATTCCCAAAATTCATATAATTGGTCACTTTATGGTGTCCCATAGGCCCATATGTCATATATCATGTCCTGTTTTTTCATACTCTTTTACCTTTTTTTTTTCTGGTCTGACTAGATTATTTCAAAACACCTGTCTTCAAGTTCAGAAATTTTTCTCTTCTACTTAATCTCATCCTTCCTGAAGCTCTCAGTTGTATTTGTTACTTTTACCATTGAATTCTTCAGTTCTGGGATTTCTGTTTGCTTCTTTTTATGATATCTATCTCTTTGTTGATTTTTCATTTAGATCACGAGTTGTTTTTCTGATTTCTTTGCATTATTTATCTGTGTTCTCCTGTATCTCATTAGTTAATTTATTTTCATTATTTTGAATTATTTTTCAGGCATTTTATAGATTTTTGTGTGTGTTTACTCATTATTGGAAAATCATTGTGTTCCTTTTGAGGTCTCATGTTTCACTGCTTTTTCATGTTTCTTGTGTCCTTATGTTGATATATAAGCACTTGCTGTAACAGTTGCATCTTTCAATTTTAAGGATTGGATTTCACAGGGAAAAACTTTTTCCTACAGATTTATCTATAGTGTTGGTTGAGTAGGATACTTTGGCTTTGATTAGGGATGGGTGCAATAGTGTATTCTCCATATGATTTCTTCTGCTGTAATCAGCACCAGTGGTGTCTGTTTGTTTCTCAGTAGCTTAGGCTGCAGTAGTTAGTGAAGGCTGTGACGAGGCTTTGCTGGGTACTGGGAAATGAGGTGGATCATTCCTTGGGCATTAGTGGTAATGGCAGTGGGCCAGATGTGGATGAGTTAAGACACAAAATTTCTTCCTATAATCATTTCACGAGTATAATAAGAAACAAGTCTAGTTTTTTTATAGTCTTATTTTCTTTAAGGAGCTCGAGCCTTAAATCCACACCCTGGGGTTTCTCACAGATACTTTCCACTATAATTCTTTCTTCCACAAAGTATTTTCATATATATTTTAAAAACTAAAAGCAATTAGTTATTAAATGCATATGGTTCATATTCAGGGTTCATAAAGTACTCCTAGAAATGAGTAAAAATAATTAAAAACTCAGTAGAATAATAAACATATAACATGTTATTCTCTGAAGAGAAAATAAAAGTGACCATTAAACATATGTAGAGATACTGAACCTCATTTATTTTATACATATATATTAGTTTTATTGAAGACTTAAGTAATTACTTTTATTGAAGATATTAATGCAAATATTTTTACCATTTTAAAAGTTTTAAATTTCTTAAAAAAATTTTTTTCCACCTTTTAAGTTCTGGGTACATGTGCATGATGTGTGCTTTGTTACACAGGTAAACATGTGCCATAGTTGTTTGCTGCACAGATTATTTTATCACCCAGGCATTAAGCCCAGTATCCATTAGCTAAATACATATTTTTAAACCTCACTGTATGTGTTGACTTTTTTACTATAAACCTATGGAAGGCAAAATCAAAGGCTGGAAAAATATACAATCTAAAATAAGCCACTGAAATACTAAGAATTAGGGATGGCTGCCTTGAATTATACTACAGTATTTGAAAGGGCTCGAAGAGGTTAAATCTGATGGTTAATGTCAATTTTAATTTTGGGATAAATGTTACTTTCTCAAATGAACATCCCATAAATTGAAGAAAATGTATAAACTTTGGAGTCATTCTTCTCTCTCTCTCTCAGCCTGCATTTCATCCAGCAGCATATCCTGTAAACTCCACCTTCAACAGCCACTTCATACCTTCTGTATGTCCACTGCTTGGTCCAAGTCCAACCTCATCATTCATAGACTATGGTACTAGCCTACCTGCTTTCACTCTTTCCAGACCACAGGCTTTTTAATATAGAGTACAGAGTGTTCCTTTTGAAACATCAGACTGGATCCTTTTTATACTTAGGATCTTCCAGTGGCTTCTGAGGTGACTCTGAGTAAAAGCTGCTTCTATGGGTTACCACAGAGTTCCCACGTGTTTGGCACTTGGGCTACCTCTCCACCTTTATTTCTTGCAACTTTCCGCTAGTTCTCTCATCCCCTACTGTTTCTCACATGAACGATTATGCTTACAGCTTTTGCACTGAGTGATTGCTCTACTGAATTGATTTCCTTCCAGATATTCACATGCTTGTATCTACCCTTTATTTCATTTCTACTTTTCAAAACGTCACCTCTTCAGACAATCCTTTCCTGGTTAGCCCTTCTAAAATAACGTATTCTGTAATTTTCAACCCACTCATCCTGCTTTTCTGGTGCTTACTGAGCTATCTGACACTTTTTTCTCCCCATCTTCCTTTTATTATGTAGGTTCCCTTGACATTATTGTATGCCTGATTCCTAGAGCAGTGCATGACACACAATGGATACTTAAAAAGCATTTGTTGAAAGAATGGATGAGTTTAGATACAGAATTACTTCCTATAATCATTTTACTAGTGTGGTAAGAAATGAATCTAGCTCTTTGTAATCTTATTTTCTTTAAGGAGATTGATTCTTAAATTCATGCTCTGCAGTTTTTTACAGATTCTTTCATCTATAATTCTCCCCTGGGAAATGCTCTCGATTTAAAGGTTGAAATGTTCGTCTTTATCATACTGATAAGGCTTATCTCTCTCATTGTTTTCAAGAGAAAACTCAAGGAAAATCCTGGCATTTTAGTATTCTTCGAGACAACAAGTGTATAAAGATACCTTTCCCTCAGAGAACAGGCTAGACCCAAATAATGCTGAGCAGCGGTAAAATAGATTTCTGTGAATATTTTTTTATCTCTAATTATGCTGCCTCTTAGATAATATGCATCTAAACTCTTACTGATTTTGTTACAAAATTTGTGCAAGAGCTGTGTGGGCACTTTGGAAAGGAAATTCTCTGTTGTACAGGAGAACTGTCACAGTGCAGGAGGCTTCATTTTCCTGACTTCTACCAATTCAAAACCAAAGATATTCTACAAATTCAAAACCAATTCAAAACCAGAGTTGCCAATTCAAAATCAGAAGTATATCTCTAATCAAGATGCTCCCATGGCTCTCTGGTGCCTTAAGAAACACTGGGTAAAAACAGGCCTTTCTTATTTTTAAACTAATTTTGTTATTTTATTTTTGATCTTATCTAATTTTAATATAAAAAATCAATTTTTTTTCAGTTACAGAAAAATATTATATTTTAATTTGCAAAGGACATATTCATGCTCTTACAAATGTGTTCTAGTTTACAGTCCATCCTATACCAAGACATCCAAAACAGACACTGATGATTCACTTCTATCACTTGATGTTTAGCAAGTCACACTTCTGTCAACATGGTTTGGTATCCATCACTTTCTAATGTGACACTGTCTAACAAAAGATTGTATTACAGGTATTACTGACTGAAAGTCACTGTGAAAACCACCTTCTCTGGACACATACAAATATGCATTTTATGCACCAATCTAGATGACAACAGAATTGGTACCTCTGCATCTAGTCTCAATAGTGTTTTAGACACCAGATAATGTCCTTACTAGAAAGCTTTTAAACTATATAAGTTATAGATATACATTTATATATGTCATCCAACTTTATGTTTCATAAATTCTCTATATCAAAATTAATAAATGGAACACAATTTTACTCAGAGGTCACAGTGGTTCACAGTGATTAATATAATGTGTCAAAACCGGGAATTATGATATGAGGATTTTATTGCTTTTCTACATATTTTGGAGCAAGTACAACTAGCTTAAGTCTCCTGTCTTTTGTCTTTTGGATACTTACATAATCATTCTCTTTCAACTTCCAGTAAAAAAAAAAAAAAAAAAAAAAAAAATCCATATGGATGAACACGCTGCAGAGCACTAGGGACCTTGATCAATGTGGTGGTGTAGAAAACCAGACAGCTTGGGGGCCGGGTGCGGTGTCTCAAGCCTGTAATCCCAGCACTTTGGAAGGCTGAGGCGGGCAGATCACAAGGTCAGGAGATCGAGACCATCCTGGCTAACACGGTGAAACCCTGTCTCTACTAAAAATACAAAAAATTATCCGGGTGTGGTGGCGGGCACCTGTAGTCCCAGCTACTCGGGAGGCTGAGGCAGGAGAACGGCATGAACCCAGGAGGCGGAGCTTGCAGTGAGCCGAGATTGCGCCACTGCACTGCAGCCTGGGAGACAGGGTGAGACTCTGTCTCAAAAAAGAAAAAAGAAAACAGAAAAACAGACAGCTTGGTATCAGAGGCTATGAGTTTCCTGCCTTTTCTATTCAATTTTCTCATCAGTATAATGAAATAATACAAATAACTGGGGCAAGTACTTTGCTAGAAAGATAAGAAAGGCAGAACATTCTCCTCAGAAAACCATAAAACATAAATTTAAATATGTCTACCATCCCCAGTCCTCATCATAGATGCTCATATACTATATTAACCCAAGACTTATTATTCCTCTGATTCTAAGATATCAAATGATAAAATATCGGGTAGTGAAATATTAATTATATGATTGTCATTGTAGTATCATTTTCCTTTGCTGGGACTTCTTGAGATCAAGGAGGGTATGTAATCAATCTATGTGGTTAAGAGGTAGAGTTCAGGCCGGGTGCAGTGGCTCATGCCTGTAATCCCAGCACTTTGGGAGGCCGAGGTGGGCGGATCGCAAGGTCAAGAGATCAAGACCATTCTGGCCAACATGGTGAAACCCCGTCTCTAATAAAAATACAAAAATTAGCTGGGCGTGGTGGCTTGTGCCTGTTGCCACAGCTACTTGGGAGGCTGAGGCAGGAGAATCGCTTGACACGGGAGGTGGAGGTTGCAGTGTGCCGAGATCACACCACTGTATTCCAGCCTGGGCAACAGAGTGAGACTCCATCTCAAAGCAAAAAAAAAAAAAAAAGAGAAGAGAAAAAAAAGAGGTAGAGTTCACTGGCTATTATTGTATTAGCTTCTAGATTCTTCTTCAGAAGTTCAACAAAGTGAGTGTCAGATTTTACTCAGAGGTCACAGTGGTTCATTTCTCAGAGCTGATGGATGTCGAGAACTTTGATGGGTAGGAGGGCATTGCTTCTACATATGTTAGAGTCTGTAATCACAGCAACAAAATAGGGCCTAGCAGCTACAGGAGAGCTTCTAGTGTTAACTATCCCATGGGATTTAACAGTGCTTGATCTAGAAAATATAGGAGAAATAATTTTATAAATGGTAAACCTGTAGAAGATAAACAGAGTTGTTTGTTTATCATTTTAATGCATATCACAGAAATCTTGAGCCTCAGGATGAACTCAAACAAATCACAAACTCAAACCTTCTTCAAGAATATCTTATCTGATGCATTAAACATTTGAGCTACTTTTTCACCCCTTCTCAGTTTGTCCAACTTCTTTAACACTTGTGCCACCACATCTGCTCATTGTTTCAAATTTTTACCACAATGTCACCGATGTTTCTGAGCTCTTTTAATTAATTCCAAATACTTTATGTCTATTAGTTTTTGTAACTTGCCAAATTTTCAACTTCGCATTTAACTTTTTTGTATAAATGCCAAAATATTGTCTTTTTGTACTCTTTCAGCAGCCAGCTATCTTGGTTCCTTTTTCCTAGCAGCACAAGAATAGCCAGACACAATGGCTCATGCCTGCAATCCCAGCACTTTGGGAGGCTGAGGGGGGTGGATCACCTGAGGTCAGGCGTTCAAGACCAGCCTGGACAACATGGTGAAACCGCATCTCTACTAAAAATACAAAAATTAACCAGGCATGTTGGCATGCTCCTGTAATCCCAGCTACTCAGGAAGCTGAGGCAAGAGAATCACTTGAATAAGGAGGTGGAGATTGCAGTGAGCCGAGATCGCACCACTGCACTCCAGCCTAGGCAACAGAGTGAGACTTAGTCTCAAAAAAAAAAAAATGTTCAAATCATAAATCAAAAGTGTTAATTTGAAGACTTGACACAAGCATAAGTAAGGAGTTTTTACATGAATGAATTCCACTGGGATAACTGCATTTTTTCCTCAGCAACTATGTCCAGCATCGTCATGATTATCAAAAACTATTACATTTATTGAGCAACTACTATATATGAAGTAGCATGTGATAAGCAGTTTTCATCATTTTATAATGTTCATAAAACCCTATTATAAAGATCAGGAAACTGAGGCTCGAGGAGACAAGTTGCCCAAGGTTTCACAGCTAGTTAATCAGTGGCAAAGTTAGGGACAGGAGGAGGTAAAAGCTGAATCTCAGAAGTATGACTACATCATTTGTAGTCTTTCCAAAAATTATACTTATTTTTATTACTTGTTCTAAAAAGTCCTCTCCAAATGAAAAGACTCCTTAATTTTACAATGAAGAAAATCTGTTTGTTTGCAATTTGGTCAATAGAAGTAAATTCATAATGATCTACCTTTCATATCCTTTAATATCTCCTTTACTAAAATAGAACATTTAAACATTTGAAAATTTCCAAAGACTGTCTGTGTGTGTGTGTGTGTGTGAGAGAGAGAGACTTTTTGTCACATTAACGTGCAATTTCCCTCTCCCTAAAATAATTACTTTCACTCCAAAGTCATTTTGAGAATGGAATATCTCATGTTGCTTTAAAAAAAAAACGTGAGACACATGTGAAGATAAATGGTGATTTACAGAAAGTAATTCACACCATGACAACTCTACTTATTCATTTTTCTTTCCCACGTGTCCCCTGTGATAGCAAAGGCATTTATCCCTTCAATAGTCCAAAAACAATTAATGCCATACATCATGTGTGAATCAGACTGACAGGACACACCATCTGCAGCACCCATGCAATGCCTGCTTAGAAGGCCAAGCACACCTGCAATCAAAGCTCAAAGACAAGAAAGTGTGCTGAGAGTCACAGCTAGATTTTTAACACATATGTTTTATTTACTTTACCAATAGAGAAAATTGTCAACGCAAATGGAAAAATGAAATGCAATTGTTCTGGTCAGAACAAAGGGACAGTAGAAAAGATTTAGTCTGATTTCTTGATCTGCCTGACATCATTCATGGCCTTAAGCAGCAGAAGCTAAAGGAAGCTAAAAAATACTATTGATGGACATAAGTTATTTTTTAAATATTTCAGGAAGCTTCATGGCTTCCGATAGCATTAATAAACCTAAGGGGGGTTGACGAGAGAGCTCTATTTTCTGAAGAAGCACAAAGAATCACGGTTGGCAGTGATAATATGCCAATGTAAGAAACCACTTTTCAAAATATGACAAACTATAATAAATGCTTTTATGAAAGAAGAATATTATGCTAAGTGTCCAATATAGTACTAACCTGGGTTATAAAAATATATTCTTTTCAATGATTATGACAAGAAGATTCTTATTTTGGAAGCAAATCTCCTAAGGCAATTCTTATGTCCTTTAGATTTCAAAGCTATATTTTCTGGTTGCATAACACAAAGCTTATGCTGACAATGAAACTGAAAGAAACATAAGCCCTTTGGATATTAGAAGAAATCTCAAGTAGGCTACTGACAATCCATTTATTTAGATTCTGTGTGCTTTTAATTCTTAATTTGTAGACGATGAGTGCTAACAAAGTACAGCCTTGTCTTCCTTCCTATCTTCTTCCTTCTTTCTCTATTTCTCTGGAGCATTACAAAAATCAATGAATACATTCTATAAAATACTGACATAAAAGTAATATTCAAGGATTACTACCATTTTTATTAAAGTAGAATCTATTCAAGCTATTTTGTTGATATTATGAGAAATTATATATATACGTGTTAAACACACTGCAAAATTTTAGAAATAAATTTGATAGTATTTAGTTATACAACATTTTAATTTGATACTTTCCACATATCTCATTTATTTTAAACTTAAAATACTAACAATAGTATCAACTAATATAATTATTTTTCAATCGAATATTGCATGTCCATGAACAAAAAATGTATGCCATTTCTAGTAGACAAAACATTATGAAGAGTAATTAATATTTTGCTTGTGTTTTAGTAGTGCCTATCTATAAATTTAAAATCATTCCAATGAAGTACTGTATAGTTGACTATTGCTCAGGGTAACTAATTATTCCAAAACTTAATGGCTTAAAGTAGTAAACATTTATTTTGTAGTTTCTATGGGTCATGAATTTGTTAGTAGCTTAGCTAAATGATTCTGGCTTAGTATCTCTAAGGAGGCTGCAGTTAAGATGTCAGCTGAGGTTACAGTCATCTGAAGGCTCAACTGGGGCTGGGGAATCCATTGCCTAGATGGTTTACTCACCTGATCTAGATAGGAGTGAAACCAACTCCAAAAATTCTATACTACTAATCAGGCAAGAAGCGGAGAGACAAAACCAAACCAAACTTGTTGCACACTCAGCATTAATCATTAGGTCAGCTTGCTTCTGGCCTGCTTTCTCATGGTTGTTTGCTAACTATTGCCTCAGAATCACATAGACACTGTCACAAGATTATAGTTTCCCTTAACTGCTCTGTAGATAATGACTTGAAAATTGTAAAATTTAAGTTTTCCATTTGAGATATTATTTCAGGTCTTGCATACTGGTGAAACTACTGAGGTAAGATTACTGACACCAGCTGGTCTGAAGGAACCCACTAGGAGCTGAACAAAGAATGCAGTTTTCACATCTGTTAATTTCATCTATCTTACCCACACCAATCAATAGATCCAATTTTCCAGCCCCTCACTCTCCACCATACCCTTAAAAGCCCCAACGCAGAATTCCTCAGGGAAGTGGATTGGAGGATCCCTCCTGTCTCCTTGCTTGGCCGCCCTGAAATCATTAGACTGCTTCTCTGCTGCAAACCCTGCTGTCTTAGTATATTGGTATGTTACTGCATAGTGGGCATACAAACCTGGTGGTTCTATACAAGGAAGTCTCAGTTTTTTATCATATGCCTCTCTCCATAGTGCTGTTTAAGTCACCTCATAAGATGGCAGCAGGAATCTCCCCAGGACAAGTAATCCAAAGGAACAAGACAGGGGCCTCAATGAGTTTTATAACCATCCCTGAAGTCACATTCCATCTTTCTGGCAACTTCCCATTCATTACACAAGTCAGCTGTACTCCATTTAGGAAGGCATGTCAAAGGCAAGAACACCAGATGGTGGGGATCACTGGGGAACATCTGGGGACTGGCTACTACAGTTATCAAAACTTTAAAAATATCAAAATTCACATTTCAATAATTTACCAAAATTTAAAAATTTAAAAATTGTCCAGTATACCCTAGCAAAACAATATTCAGCCGTCCAAAGAGCTTCCAATACATGTGAAACTCAATGAGAAAAACTGTGAAATGTATTAAAGAGAAAGTCACAAAAGATGTGCTCGGGAAACTCACAAGAATAGAAAAGATAAGTGACTATTTAGTATCATGTCAATGCTATAGCGAATTCTATTATGTTCTTTTAGAGCTGCAAAAAATTTTGAAACCAGTGACAAGTTAAAATAATCAGTAATTCAAGTCTATTAGCAGTCTCTTAGGATTATAAAATATAAAAGAAATGTAGAAAAGTTGTTGAGATTTTCTGCAGAATATCATTCCACCTACACAGCTAGCAATAAGTTTTTAAAGAGGAGGTGACTAATTGCATGGAGCATATTTTAATACATAATCGTGTGTGTGTGTGTGTGTGTGTGCGCGCCTGTGTGTAGCACAAATAGCAGGTTTTGTGTGTGCATGTAGTACAAATAGCAAGCTTTGGAGGTAGGAAGATCTAGTCTCCCAGCTCAGTTCTGATATTTACTGAGTCAACTTAGGCAAGTAACTTAACATTTCTGAGCCCAATTTCCTCACCTGTAAACTGGTCCCCCCTACCTCACTGGTTATCTGTGAGTCACAGAAGCCTATGTATATGTTGGTGATTGTACCACATTATATATACAAAGGGTCTTCAAAAAGTTCAAGAAAAATGCATATTGTGAAAAAACTATGCAGGGATTTAAAATTTTTGCACCAAAATACCCATACTAACTTATTTTATTGCCCAGGCTGGAAGTACAGTGGTGTGATCTCGGCTCACTGCAACCTCTGCCTCCCTATTCAAGTGATTCTTCTGCCTCAGCCTCCCGAGTAGCTGGGATTACAGGTGCCCACCACCATGCCTGGCTAATTTTTGTATTTTTAGTAGAGACGGGGTTTCACCACGTTGGCCAGTCTAGTCTCGAACTCCTGACCTCAGGTAATCTACCCACCTTGGCCTCCAAAGTGCTGGGATTACAGGAGTGAGCCACCATGCCTGGCCTCATACTAACTTCTTATGTCTGAATACGATATAGTTTGAGGCACTAAGAAGGATAAAACATCAGTTAGAAAAAACACTCCAACATGAATTCTGCTAAAATGGAAGAACTAATATGAATTTTATGGTGAAGCTTGGGTGAAAGAATAGTGAAATCACTGATGCTTTATACAAAGTTTATGAGGATAATGTCCCCCTCTGCCCCGCAAGTTAGTGTACAAATGGATAACTCATTTAAACAAGGGAAGAGATGATGTTGAAATGAAATGCCACAGCAGCAGAGAGAGGGAACTATACCAATTGGAGAAGAAAAAATTAAATTTGTCTGTGCCCTAATTGAAGAAGACTGACAATTAACAGCACAAACAAGAGTCCACACTATAAACATCTCAACTGGTATATACCCAAAGGAAAATAAATCATTCTACTAAAAAGGCACATGAATTCATATGTTCATCACAGCAGCATTCACAATAGCGAATAATGGAATCAATAAAGATGCCCATCAACGGTGGACTTTATCAGGAGAATGTGGTACATATATACACAATGGGATACTATGCAACCATAAAAGGAATGAAATCATGCCCCCTACAGGAGCAAGGATGCAGCTGGAGATCATTATCCTATGCAAACTAACACAGGAACAGAAAAACAAATGCTGCATGCCTACACTTGTAAGTGGGAGCTAAATGCTGAAAACACAGGGACACAAAGATGGGAACAATAGACACTGTAAACACTGATCCATAGATCAGGTACTATCATGATCACTATCTTGGTAATGAGGTCATTTTTACACCAAGCTTCAGTGACACACAGTTTACCCATGTAACAAACCTGTACATGTACTCCCGAACCCAAAAAAATAAATAAATAAAATAAATACTTCATTAAAATGGTATAAATAATCCTTCATGAAATTTTTCTAATTACAAAATAAACTTTTATAAATTATAGAGTTGTGGCTTCAGAAATCCAAGTTGAAGAAAATTGATTGCATTTTAAAATATTTCAAAAAACCCAAGAAATATTTACTTGCTCCTATATCTCACATTATACATACAAAGAAAAAGCAACATCTGCATGTGATGTCCTTGCCATACTTCATCACCTAGCTATCTTTTGGCTGACCTTCTCATCCAGGGCTCAGCTTAGAGCTCATATTTTCCAATAAGTCTCCAGATGTTGCTACCACCTCTCCATTCAGGATTAGTAGCTGCTCTCCTGAAGGAGCACATCCTTGATGATAATACTATTGATAAAGATAATGATGACATCCACTATAATGCAACGAACTTTCTTAAAGTACTTACTATGCACCAATCGCTGGGCTAAGTACTTTATATCTATGATTGTGTTCAATCCTAACAAGTATGTGAAAGCACATAGTTTTACTACTACCATTTACATAGGTTAAAACTGAGGCACTCACTGTGGAAGGTCACACAGCCAGAAGGGCCAGAGCCAGGCTTTGAACTCAGGCAGTCTGACTCTACAACTCGTGGTCTTAAATGCTAAGTGAACACTACCTCATATGATTTGTTTTTGAATACTGATTGCATAGGACAGTGCCTGCTCAACATAGGAACTCAATTCCATTTTTCAAAGAATAAACGATTTAAAATATATTACATACTAGTGATAAATATTTAATATATTTTTTAAAATTTCTTTTTGCAAGGATAGTCAGGCTGAGGACAAAAGGGGCCTAGAAAATACAGGGCTACTAACATCCACATTGAAAGGGTGACACTTTCATTACAAAAAGCTGTCTGTTGAAGAGGTTGTCTGTGCCCAGGCTTCCTTTCCTTAAAGAGCAGTGATTATCAACCAAGGACAATTTCACTCCCCAGAGGACATTTGGCAATGTCTGGGTCCATTTTTGGTTGTCACTACCGGGAGGGTTGTGCTACTAACATCTGGTGGGTAGTGGCCAGAGATGCTGCTAAGAGTAAGTATCCCACATAAGGCATTGAATAGCGCCACTGCACCCCAGCCTGGGTGAAGGAGGGAGACCCTGTGTTAAAAAAAAAAAAAAAAAAAAAAAAAAAGAGAGAAAGAAAAGAAAGGCAAAGTCAAAGAGGCGTTGCTAGAATCACAGGTCCAGTAGCAAGGCCCACATCCATATGTGTTGAAAGACAATTCCCACTTTTACGTAATCATACACTTCATGTTATAGGGGGAAGCCCAGCAGGCAGAAGAGAAAACTAGAATCACGGGTTCATCATCGCATGGATCAGATCAAACAAGGGCCGTCAGGTAGACTTGGTTTGTGGTTAAATAAATGGTGTTTCAGAGAAAAACTTGGAAGTTCCTAACGGACAAAACGGTAACCCCAAAGGGAAGTTACAAAACTTCAGTAAATTGCCAAAGGAAACAGAAAAACAAATGGCAGTGTGTGGGGGTTTATACTATGAAAAGGCCATTTTTCTTCACACACTACCCTTCCAGCCTCACCCACAAACACTGAGAACAATATGCTTTTCTAACTTACGGGCAGGAGTGCTAGAAGAATACTGGCTGCCTTGAATACCAAGAATTTCCCTTCGCTGTACTCTGTAAAGCAAACATCAAATAATGACAAGAAAGAATAATAGGAAACAAGAAGGCAGACTTCAAGGACAGAGGACACCCTGAGTCTTTGAAACATGATTTTCATGTAAAAAGGCTGTTTACCCTTCACTGACACTGGCCCTGCTGCTAACTCTTCATTTCCCATACCTCTTTCTTCACTGCAATGCTCCCAATGCCCTCAAACTATGCACCACTGTGTTCGACTGATTTAGACACCAGCAACGCTGGTCAAGTGAAATAAAAGTTGTTGAGTTCTGTTTTAAAAAAAGAACACATTTGAAAAGTAGAAGAATCATATGTGCATAAAATGCACTCATTGTACTGTTTAGAATTCTATTCTGAGCAAACTCTGCCAACAACTATCCAACAAACATGTCTATAGGTTAATGAGATTGATAATTGCTGCTAAGGCAGACTATTTTTGTTTCATTTCGTTCTCATGCTGCTAATAAAGACAAACCTAAGACTGGGTAATTTATAAAGGAAAGAGATTTAATTGACTCACAGTTCAGCATGGTTGGGGAGGCTCAGGAAACTTACAATCACGGCGGAAGGGGAAGTAAATACATCCTTCTTCACATGGAGGCAGCAAGAGGAAGTGCTGAGCAAAAGGGGGAAAAGCCCCTTATAAAACCATCAGATCTCATGAGAACACACTCACTGTCATGAGAACAGCATGGAGGAACCGTCCCCATGATTCAAATATCTCCCACCAAGTCCCTCCCACAACACATGGGGATTATGGTAACTACAATTCAAGATGAGATTTGGGTGGGGACACAGCCAAATCATATCACTTTTCTTACTGAAGGGGTTGGCATTTTAAAATTGAGAAGAAATAACAGTTTATGAGAATCCTTCTGGAAAATTGTAATTCTATAAAATAAAGCAATGCTAGGGAAAAATATCTTCTTGTTCTAAAATCTGTTGTGGTGCCTTATGAATCTACAAGGTGTAGTGTTCAGTTTAGATAAAGGCACATACCCATTAAGCCAAATTATATGGGGAAAGCAATGCAGATACTACCAAAGGGAAACCTGGTCTCTCCTGCTGCCTCTCACCTCCAGGGTGTGTAAGGAAACACTAATTCTGAGGACAAAAGACTGAAAAGTGCAAAGCAAGTTGACAAATCCTCTTTCTGTGAGAACACATCATTTGCCTTCAAGTACCTCTGCCTGGAAATTACAGATTTATCCAGCAATGGATCAAATATTTAATCTCCACTTTATAAAAATTCAAAATTGTGTATTATCTACAAGTGCACATAATGATTGGAGACATTTATGAGAACTGATTCTTCCACAAGTAGGGTCAAATAATAGCTGTATTTCCATGCAAGTCACATAGTACAGTGTATTTAAAATAATATTATAATATAATTTATCCAACAATTATGCCATACTTTAAAAAGTCTGTTCACACTTTCTACTCTAGGATTATGAACTCATGCAGTCTAGTCTTTTCTGAAAAATAACCTAAAAGCATTTTTTTCTAACAGTTCATTAAGCAACGAAACTAGACATGTACAATGAAATCATAAGAATAAATACTTCCCCAGATATCTGGCACAATATTTGCAGGATCATTATCTGTTGAGCTCAACATTATACGGGACAACAAAAAGCAATGAATAGTAGCAAACATCTTTGAATAAATGAATACTAGCTTATTCAATCAATATATTAAAGCATGAAGAGAAGCTTGGTCCCTTTTCTCCCAATGGGCAGAGCACTGTTAATT
This sequence comes from Homo sapiens, assembly GCF_000001405.40. Classification (NCBI taxonomy): domain Eukaryota; kingdom Metazoa; phylum Chordata; class Mammalia; order Primates; family Hominidae; genus Homo; species Homo sapiens. Next base: position 77,611,811 of record NC_000012.12, on the reverse strand, counting down.
TGTTCAAGTAAAAAAAATTATACTTAATAACCCATACTCAATTATTTACTTTTATTAAAGCACTTTTTGCTCATCATTGTAAAGTATGCGCTTTTAAAATACTTCAGGAAAAATTAAGACTGTGTTATATATATATAGCATGATTCTATTTCTGATATATATAAATAGATTATAATTATTTAAGGATACATAAGGGCCTGTTAACTATAGTTGCTTCTAGGGAGTAGAACTGGTGATTGAGAAGAAATTTCTGAAAGACTTCATTTTATATTTTTTATGCATTTGAATTTTCTACTGTGTGCACATATTTCTTTTGAAATAAAAATTGGTTTTAAAATATTTTAAGAAAATATTTTATAGGAGAAAAAATAGCTAGTATTTACATTTAATGTATCAATATTTCGCCTGTCCTCACCAAACTCACTTGAAATTATAATTTCTTTTTTTCCAGAAAGTGAAGACATAAAAATCTAGGCCTTGCAACTAATTTTTTTCCAACTCAAGGAAAAGCTTTCTGACAACAAGAAAAGATAAACAAAATGGTCCAGTAAAATAAATAGAAAATTAGAAAACAAAATTGCTTGTCAGGATGGAGATTTTGCTAGGAAGCACTGACTTACAGAGTGCCCTAGTTAACATAATTTTGTTTTTACTCTCTGATGTGGCTTATTAGATATAAAACTAAACTCATCTTTTTTTACATTGGCATTTCAAATGAATAAAATATATATTATTAAACACTCAAAATTAGCAAACATAAATGTAACTATTAAGCAGAGCTAAACAGTTTTTTTTTCTAATAGGTTTTTTTTTTTTCTAATGGAGGTTTTCAATATTATCTGAAGATTGGACATCCTGTATTCCCAAAGGTTTAGTTTTTACTTCTCTCTTACTCTATTTTCTTGTCTATTTTATTTCTCAAAGTTTATCAATCACACACATCTTCATCAAACATACACGGACTCTTAAAATATCTCTTTGCAAATAAAAAGGCAAAAAAAGAGCTGCTTTGCTTCTCTTTGTACATGGAGACCAGGCTCACTTTCATTTGCAGCCTACTCAGCAGAACTTTGCTTCTTTCAGTGCTGTGGGGACACAGAAAGCCTCATAGTTCAGTCACATATGAAATGTTCTTTGAAATTCTGAGTGTCAATAAATGGAGTCCAGCTGATTCCAGGTCTCTAGAATTAGATCTTAACCACAGAATTACAGCTCTGTGACCACGTCTATCTGTGTGCAACCAGCACAAGTCTGAATGTACATGGCTTGTCTACGTATCTATAAATGAGAAATGGGATGAATTCCACAAACTGACACATCTCTTTCAACATTGCAGTTCTGGTTCTGAGGGAACCAGAGTAGCTGCTTTCTATTTATTTGCCCATTAGCAAACAAATTGAACAAAATGCCATATACTACCAAAGGCACTTATCCACACAGATACCTGACAAAGAGGACATAAAGATTAAGTAAAAGGTGTACTTAAATGTATATATATCAGAGACACGGCAGGAAGATAACTTCGACAAATGTTTTCTACATGACAGCACTTGAGGTTAATTAAGAGTGACTAAGAAAAGAGCATTTTTCAAAGAAGGTAGGCAAGTATTAGCATATCTCAGAAACCAATAGTTCAATAGCATCATTTATCCTCCTGAAAATAGTATTTGGCAGCCTTCTAAAATTTTAAACAATGACTATTCAAGAACGCCTTGTGAGATTAAACAAAAATACATTGAAAAAGGAAATGTAAGGCCATGAGTAAAATATCAAAAAGACTAGGAAAGAATAAATTTTCCTGTGGTTGACGTTCATTCAAAAATGTATATTGAACTTCCCCAATGATTGTACTAATCATTGGCCCACAGAAGTGGGGATATGATATTGTATGGGAAATGAAATAAGGGCTCAAGGAGCTTACAAATCTAACTTTGTTTAAAGTATGTGATAATATGATAAGAAAGGCCTAAATAAAGTGTCAAGCAGCATCCTGAGCAGAGAGCTCCTGAGACCTTGAGGATTGCCTTGTGAAGGCAGTATCTGAATGATGGTTCACATGTTGGTAGGTAAAGATGATTACAACTTGTCACTCAGGGAAAGATACTGGCATAAACTAGTGGTTCCCAAAGTGTGTTCTGCAGACCAACAGCATCAACATCACCTGGGAAGTTGTTCAAAATGCAAATTCTCAGGCCCCATCTCTAACTTATTAAATCAGCAACTCAGGGATCGGGCCCTATAAGCTAACTTTTAATAATCCTTCTGGGTCATTATCATGTGGACAGAAGTTTAAGCATCACTGTCATAAAGACATACTGAGGTAGATACAATGCTCTTCAAACATTTAACAGTGGATTAGCAGCATCAGAATCAACTAGAAGGAATAAAAGAAATTTTCCGTTCCACATTTGATGTCTCTTAATCCATAGAAAAAAATTCTCCAGGTAATATTGCTTTGTAGCCAGGCTCTGGAACTACTGGAGTTGTAGGAGCTTAAATGGGAATTTAAAGTGATGCCAGGTTGTTGAGGGGGCCTTAAATGCAAGTCTGATGTATCAGATTTCAGCGGGAGGCCACTGAAAGCATTTAAGAGTTTTTTGGTTTTGGTTTTGATTCTTTAATTGAAGCATGACACCCATGCATAGAATTGTACACAAATCATCTGTGTGAAACTCAAAGGATTACCAGAACATAAATAGTATTGCAAGATTTGGAAGCAGATAAAGCAATGTTTCCAAAATATTTATATGCCAGTGGTCAGAGGTCCTGTATTAGAAGGCAGAGAATCAGGTAGGGACACCAAATAAAAATGTGATTACCACTTCTATGTATGTATATTAAAAATATGTTTTCAGGAAAAATCACAGAATGTGATCTGGAAGAACCTTGAAAATGGGGAAACTGAGGCCAATAAATGTTAGGTGACTTGATGGAGGTCATACAAATGCCTGGAGAAAAAGCTAAACGAAAGCCAGACTCTCTGACTCCCAGTCTAGGGGTAGTTCTCCTGTGTCACACTGCATGCCAGAAAAAAATACAGCCAAGATTTTCAAAGGGAGGATTGATGGGACTTGACAAATGACCAGATGAAGAGACTTAAAATAGAGAACTCCCAGTTCATTCTAAAATCCTTGGATCTATGCAGCTGAGGAAATATTGCTACCAGCTTGGACAAATTAGGCTATAGACCTAGAAAATATTTTTACTGCATATAAGAAGGTGTGACCTCAGCTGCTTAGCATTTTGAGCCTCAGTAAGACCAGAAGATTCTCATTCTCTTATTAGCATCTTGTTATGGCCCAACTCCATATCTAAAATAAAGCAAATATTTTGCACATAGGATATAACAGTCTGCTTAAATTACATGCAGAGGATAATACTGTCTCAACTGACACTTGTGATTAATTCTACTAAGGACTTGCTTTAGAAGGTTTTTGGCAGAACATTCTAAGCTGACAGTTCACAAAAGACAAGGACTTCATTGTTTACAACAACAAATATGGGAACAATAATGAGATTGCACATCTTTCCTCATTTTCCTGGATCTGTTTAAGAAGAATGTTTGAATAACATTACAGTATGTCCATATCTTGACAATTTTATGGATTTTATGGAAGTAATATAAATGCAGTGACATACCCATAAAGTTTCTTCCTTACATGTATTTGGAAATCATTAGAAATCTGGCATTAGAAAAGCAGTGAAAACCTTTCAAATGGTTCTATTCCCTTTGAAAGTCTTTCAAGTCTCATTTCTTATTGGATCTTTTACTTTGCTTGTCAATATTTAAGTTTTAATATGTTTCTCAGCAAAAAGAAGTTACACTTTCACATCATTATAGTTCAACCACCTTTGTACAAATCACTGTGAAATAATAGATCATTTGATTTAATCCCCATAAACATTTATTCGGCACCAATTATTTACGGGGCAACTTTACAAAATGCTGGGGCTAATTCCAAAGGAAGATAAGACACAGTTCTTGTTCTCAAAATGTTTACATTCTGTGTAAGGAGACAAGACATGCAAATGAAAACAGTTAAATGATTTTGCAAGGCAGTCTGGGATTAAGAGGAGAATGGATCAGACAATAGAAATGGTATGGGGTTAAGACAGAAGAAAATAAGGTTGCAATTGGGATTGAATGCTTGATAATTAGACATTCTACAAGATAACTTGAGTTTTATACACAATCAGCACCACCCCACCATACTGGTTTTGGCTACCTGGCTACAATCCCCTCTCTTAGGCAATTTAAGAAACGTCCATCTCCTTTCAAAATGTAAATGCACACACAAAAATTCAAGTTTTAAAGATGTCAAAAACATCAGGGATAGCTCTAGGCAAAAATTTTGGATCTGAAAATTTTGATTCCCTTTATTTTGTCTTTTCCATGTTTGCTTTTCCTTATCCAGTTGTTCAGTCATCTTCCCATTATCAAAAGAAAGTGCATCCCTTGTTGAGACTAAAATTCCTCATTGAGTTAAGGGGATAGCCCGGTAGGGTCTAGGGTAGTAGAAGATTCTTCCTAAATTATAGCGTAGATAAAACTGCCCATTATAACTTTTCCATAGGTAACTCTTGAACTTTGGCTAATTGTACACAGCCAGTGTTATTACCAACAGATTTGAAAATTCTTACATAAATGTGTGAGAGTATTTTTGAACTATTAAAGGGCAGTATTTTTCAGACGTCTTTAAGAAAACTTTGAAAGAATGTAGTCTCATTTCTATACATACACTTTATTAAAATGTACTAGAGGCTCAGAATTCCATTCATTAATTATAGTGAATGTTTTTCATTGCTTCCTCGAATTTATTTGTCTCCTGAATCCAATCAGTTTTCAGGAGTAGAACACATAATCTCAGCAAAGTCAATCAACATATTCTATACCTTGACCACTAATGTTCAAGAAGGGCTTATGACCTAAAGGAATGCAATCGAAGTGGGTTTCAAGACTGTTCCTAGAAGTTTGGGACATAGATTCTCTTGCTCTAACGGATTACAGCCATTTTGCTCCCTTAAGGGAAGCCAGCATAAGGTTGAAGTTTTGACATGTGATGTAAAGAACTAAATGCACTGTAGAAAATATGATGGGAGTCTTCATCAAAGCAAGCCTAAATGATTGCATCAAATTCTTTTATTGTTGAAGACATTTCTCATGGGGTTTTCCTCTACCTGAAACTAACATACATATACATATAACAGATGAACTCAGTAAATATTTATTGAGCTCATACTATGTGCAAGGTTCTAGGACTGCAGCAGAGTGAGTCATAATTTCTGTCCTGAAGTTACTCACATTGTAGCAGAAAAGTTAAAAAAGCTAACAGACTAAATCAATATAGTGTGATAATTAACTAAGAAGGATAAACAGAGGATAATGAGACATGATGAAATAGTGGCACCTAAATCAGCACAACAAAAACAAGTTTAAAAAACTATAACAAGTGAGGCTAAGCTACACCATTATTTTATATATAACCATTGGCCAGTTAATAGCATGGTTTGTTCCTTCGCATTCAGCATTAAATGACTGTGGCTTAAATGGCAAACACTAATATTCTCACCCAGCATTGAGCCACTTGATTGAAATAACCAACTTATTCTTGAAACAAGAATTGTCATTTCTTGTGTGTCACGATAAAGACTTTCCATTAGACAAAACACAAAATATTAACTCTTAAGCCATTACCAAGTGCTCATTTTTACCTATGAGGTTTTTCAGACGGTATCTCTAGAGACCTGAAACTCAACAAATTCTGGGAGGGAAAAATTAACTGCTGTCTTAAAAAACCAAGGTAGTAAAATAGTGGTTGTATGTTAAAATATATTCCTGTATATGCAAAATGTTCCCTGTGGAATCGCATGCAATAAAGAATATGAAAGCAAGGCAAGGCAAAGATTATAAAGAACTTAAGACAAATGCCAGTTAATGCCATTATTCTAGGGTGTGCTTTTTTTTTTTTCTTGAGACGGAGTTTCCCTCTTGTTGCCGAGGCTGGAGTGCAATGCCCCAATCTCAGCTCACTGCAACCTCTGCCTCTGGGTTCAAGTGATTCTCCTGCCTCAGCCTCTCAAGTAGCCGGGATTACAGGCATGTGCCACCACATAGGATGTACTCTTTTACTACAATCAAAGATCCAAGAAGTATGATTATTTTGTGCACTTCCCTCTAAGAAAAGATTATATCTTTAATCTTACAGGACAAAATGAACACATTAAAGAATTCTCAATACAAGTTATCTTTAATCTTAAAGAGCAAAATAACAGGTTAAAGAAGTTCCAACACACATTAATGTGTTGAAATAAAGAACTGTTATATTTCTTCTTACTTGGGTTTGAACAAATACAACTAAATGGCCTGGAGCTTTGTTCCCCAACTTTTAGTCATTGAGAAAAAAATATAATGATAACCAATTGGTTGAACCTTCTCATATAAAGAAAAGTGGGCAAAGGACCTTATATTTATAGGTAATTAGAGGAGATTATGATCGGGCAGGTGCTATTGATTCTCATAATTATAATACCTATAATACTTTGTGGGGATGATTTTTCCATTTTACAGAAGAGTAAACTGAGAGTATAGAAGCTTTATTGAGATGATTGAATGAATGATTGCAGGGCATTTTGCAAGGCATGATTTTATTTTATCTTATATTATTTAGAATTGCTGTAGCTAAGGGACATTTCTACAGCATAGACAATTCAAGTGCTTTTGGAATGACTCATCATGAATCAAGATATAGCCCCTTTTCTCCTGTCCCCTTGGTATTGAATCCTCAGTCCATCCTTCATAATTTAAGCTTGATTTAAATACTAGACTCTCAGTAAGTGTTGAATGAAGAATGGCAACATGTAGTCTAAAGCAAACCATTTTGCAGTGTTCCATTTGTTTTTGTTTAGAGTTTAATGGAAGGAAGTTTAGTTTTTTCAAACAATGTAGTGTTAACACAAAAGTACAGTTCTATGCAGACAGTGATTAAATCTTAAGCTACCTAAATATCCCCAACCTAATTGGAACTTTACGAAAAAGCACCATTTAAATTTCGCTATCTAAATAAGGGCACAAGAAACAGAAATGAACTGAGCATTATACGAGCACCAGCTGACATAAACAGCTTTCTAGACACTCAAAGGAAGGAAAGTCATCACAAAAAAGAAACCTACAGTTCAGTGCCCAATTTGTATCTCAACTGCATTCTAAAGAAATATTTTTTCCCAAATGCACCCTCCCAAAAAAAAAACTACATAAGATTTAATTTATGGTTCCTAGCAGGAAAATAATAATTACTTATATATAAAATATTTATGGCTGCTCTGTGCCAGACCCTGGTCTAGGTTCTGTGTCATAGTTTTATTAAGGTATCTCTATACATGATTTTAAATGTTCTTCATCTTTCTGAGAATGTTAATCCTCTTTTTGTTCCTATTACTTTTTCATTTTCATTACAACTACACTTACTTTCCTAGATCAATTCTTCCAGCATTCTTGATTCAATTTTCTTTTGTCTTTCTGCTACACTCACTGATCCTTTCACCCTAGAAAAAAAAGTATCCAGTCTGTCCTGAATGCTTGAAACTGCAATTGTTGAAGAAAATTGTCTATGCAGATTGGTGGTATGATTGATGGTTTCTGACTCCATCTGGGTCTTGGCACTGCTCTGCCCTCATCATATTTATCCTTAGTGAGTTTCTTTTCATGTTTCTCTTTGCAGCCTGTCACTCTTAAGTCCTTCACTCCACTGATCACATTATTCTCAGTTGATACATCAGCTTTCTGATTCAGAAATAAAAATAGAATATCAACCAAGAACTCTCCAAACCTGTCTCTGCAAACTCCACCTCTAAATTTATCCAATACAGACTCTTTACTTATACCCTTTGCTTCTAGCTTTTGTATGAGGACTTCGTCAATTTTGTATGAGGACTTCGTCATTACATATCTCCCTCCTATAACTTAAGCATCTCCCTTTGTACCGGCTTCTTTCCCTCAGCCTATAAGCATATTTAAAGGAAGGAAAGGAGAGAGGAGGGAAGGAAGAATGAGAGAAGGAGGAAGAATATAATTCATTATCGATCCACCCACAATTCAAGGTTCAATCCTGCCTCTCCCTTCATCATGACGATCCATCCAGCTTCTGCTCATCAAAGTACCTGAAAGCAGATCTACATCTTCTGACTTCACTTACTCAATTTTTATTAATCCATAGATCAAGGTGCATTATTCCACAAATTATGATCCTCTGGCTTCTACTTATACCAGTGTACTAAAATGTCTTTTGATGAGATCACCAAAGAGTTCACTCATGTCATACTGCAGGCCCTAATCTTAGTTATTACCTTATTTGAAAGCAGATCTACATTTTCTGACTTCACTTACTCAATTTTTATTAATCCATAGATCAAGGTGTATTATTCCACAAGTTATGATCCTCTGGCTCCTACTTATACCAGTGTATTAAAATGTCTTTTGATGAGATCACCAAAGAGTTCATTCATGTCATACTGCAGCCCCTAATCTTAGTTATTACCTTATTTGCTCTCTCTTTATTACTTATTACTTCTGAACACTCACTTCTTAGTTTCCACATACCAAAGAGCATGAATTGTCGTGCTTATGGGTAAACCTAAGGGCACACCTCTGAGTCAATTCTAAAGTCTCCATCCTTGAAAGTCAACATGGACATCATCAGAAGGTTCAGGGTGCACCCAACATTGTTTTTACCATTCCCTTAATAAGAACGACTAGAGAGAAGAATAACAAAAGGTAATGTCAAGATAGCATGCTTATACTCCCTGCCAGGGTTGGCTGTGTTTAGAGATGCTAAGTGGTGAATTACAGCAAGAAACTGAGGGAGAGTATATCATTCAATTCTCTGAATTAAGGGCAAGAGCTTCACAATTTCTTGGAATTCCCTGTTGCATGGGGTCTTTGATTCCCATGAATAAAGTGAGCTGTAGATCAAAGATATATTTGAAGGTTATTGTGATTAGACCCTTGGGGAATTGGGAAGTTGTCTTCTGACAGGTAGGAGGCTGAGAGTGGACTCACTTTTATGGGCATGGTAATTTATGCCATGAAGTTAAAGACTGCTATTATGGGAGTAGAGTAGTGAAATCGGGTCCAAAACTTAGAAGGAGAATCCTAACACATTCCCCCCTATCTGTCTGCCCATCTCCCCCTCTGCTCTCTTTACAACATTTTTTATTGGCTCTCTGCACCTATTTCCTAGCATTCCTCCCAATGTTATCCTTTAGATCTCTGCTATTAATCCCCTCTTTAGTTCATTGGACATAGCTTCAAATTGCTGATGGCTGTCAAATCTATTTCTCTATCACAACCAAAATCCTTTTTCAAACAACCTATTGGACATAGCTATCAAGTGGTCTGACAAAAACTTCAAATTTAATATATCTAAAATGGAACTCATTATATCACCATGTCTCTAAATCTGTTCTACCTCCTCCATCTCAGATCTCTGTTAGTGTGGTCATCAGACAGTCTGTAGCTGAACTGCTACCTTGATATTCATTTGCCCTCTCTTTAATAATTCAATTTCCAAGTTTTAGCTGGGTACATTGCCATCCAGACTGGAGACTATAATTCCCAGACTGTCCTACTCCTAGAAATGGCTATGTGACTAAATTGTAGCCAATAGAATGTGAGCAAAAACTACCAGATCATGTTTCTTCTCACATTTGCTCCTTCCTCTCTGCAACACTGCAGAACTCCCTATTATCCATAGTTTGCTAAACCTGCAGTGTTTGGCTGACAGAGAAATAAACTTCTGCCTTGTTTAAACTAGACTATTTAAAATATGACAGTTAAATTGGATCTTTGGTACAGCAGCTAAAAAAGCCAGAATTTCAAAGGCATTGTTCCTCACAAAACTTCATCCCCTACCTTCAATCACTTATTAATCTTGTCAATTCTACCTGAGAAAAAGCTCTCAAATCCATTTCTTTTGTCCAATTGCATGGATACTGCTTAAGCCCTAGCTCCCAAAGTCCCTGGCTTAGAATTTTCTATGTCTCATAAGCAATGCCCCTCAAGACACAGTCTATTCTTCAGGAGCCTAAGGTATAATCTTCTATAAAACATGTCTTTTGACTCCTCTGCATCAAAACTTCTGAAAGTTTCCTACTATCTACCAAGTACAATACAAATCCCTCAGCTTGACATAGGTACATGTTTGAAATCCTTCTTACTTCTTACCACTCCTTACTATGCACCACATGCTCCTACTACATTGAAGTCCCATTACTTCTGAAATGATCTCAGCCTTTATGATATGATGCCTTTGCTCACAGAGTCTCTTCAAAAGTTCAAGGAGGCCTACAAGGTTTGCTTTAGTGCTTGTAAGAAAGCGTCCTGCCAGTGTGAAAATAAAAAATGGTTATAACCTTCCCTTATATTCAGTCTGGATTTCCCCCATCATATATACTTTCTTTTGGTTATAAAAGGGAGAAGCATTAGTTCAGACTGTAGCTTAGCAATTGTAAAGTACATGAGCTTTGAAACCACAGTACTTAGTTTCAAATCCTAACTCTGCCACTCATCAGCTGATGACCCTGGGCATGTCACTTCCCCTGTCTAAGCTTCAGTTATCTCACCTGAAATGCAGATAATAATTATCCCTACATCCCTACATCAGAGGGTATTTGTGCGGATAAAATGAGTTAATACATATAAAGCACTTAAATCAAGCACTGCCATACTAAGCACTAAATAAGCATTAGCTATTATTACAATTTCAGTAAGGAAATGGTACAAGAAAGGCTCAGGAGGGTCCTGGAAGATTTGAGTGATCAGTAGAGATAGCTGATAATTTGTATCTTCTTTCATCATTATCTAATACAGATACATTTCTAAAACCAACTAATTATTATGTAGATTATGTACTAGATTTTAAGCAGAAGCCTGCCACTTTAAGGCTCAGAATGTGTAAAAATACCCATAAATTTGCCTGAAAAGATACTAGGAGCCAGAGCCCAATGTCTGCTAGATTGGCCTTGAGTTGGACCCTTCACCCCTATCTAAAGGTCATCCATTATCATTTGTCCTGGGATGAATCTGCTGTACCCTCTCTGACCATGTTTCTATTCATTTCTCTCTAGCTTTGCCATCTAAAACACATGCTTTTCCTTTAGATCCTTGCGAGACACACTCATTCCCTGATTTATGACATGCACTTTTCCCCTTCTGAAATAATGCACTTGCCAAGTGTGTTTCTGATGAGTTCTCTTCTCTCCTGGTCTGATCTCAAGACCATATATACAATGTGGCTTTTCCCCATGGTGAGAACAGCCTATATGCAATTATCTTACCTACTTCCTGCATCAGAGGAACTAAAGCTTGGGGAAGACTTGAAGGTGACAAATGATGAGTTGGAGAGAAGTTACAGTCAAGGAAGACAAAAGGGCCTGGGTTAGAAACTTTAGTAAGAGAGAGAGTTGAGATGTCCTGGGCCAGTCAGTAGTCAGTATAAGATCACAGACCTAAGCCTAGCACATCAGTGGTTCTATATAGAAAGGAGCTAAAATAAGATGAGAATGCCAAAGATATGCTGTACCAATTCTGCCTAGAGCTGGTCCAGGTACTAAATATTTAAGCATAAACATCAAAACTCTGGTTTTGCATTCCCTGAGGTAAACTTACATTTATGCTGCATTACTTTCACCACATGTTTTACACATTTGCTTAAGCATCAATGTTTCTAAATATATTCTGACAGCAAGCACAGCTACAAAGGAGAAGAAAATCTGTGATGTTGTGCAGTTCTTCAAAGATCTGACAGGCTTCATTAATAATTAAAAAGCTGCTATACTGGCCTAATGGCAAAATATTTCTGCAAATTGACTTTCTATTCACAGTGTGAGAGGATTGGACTAAAAACTGGGTAATCATTAACAGGCCTTCCTGTACAATATTTCTTAGTATTTGTTTGTGTTTGACTTCCCATAAACTGAAAAATAAGCTGGATTAAAAATTTACAGTGTCTCAAATATGTCTCACAGTATTTTATAATAGAAGAAAACCTGATTTTAATAATAGTAATGCATTTTTAAAAAATAAGATGACTTAATTATTGAAACCTTATAAATTATCATTGTTAAGGAACCTATGATAACTGATGATAAAAAAAAGGGTTTGAAAATACTTGAACACATATATATCACACATATATATATCTCTACTAACCCCAAATTTAGAAATCTATCTTGGAATGGTTTTCAGCCTACAAAATTTTGTTTTATCTTAAACCAGTGAGATCATGGTATTAAAATTATATTTTAACAAACAGAATCAGCATTACTCTCAGAAGTCACTGTACTGGTAAGTATACCAGATAAAAGGTCACAAAGTACAATATTCAAAAGTGATACTTTTGAAAAGCATAATTTTTATGGTTATATTCCCTGCACCCAGGACAATGCGCAACACCCAATATTTCTTCAATTAATTTTGAATAAAAGTCTACTAAATTTCCTCCTTGAAGATACAATTGAATAATTCAAGATCATCTGAATTATAATCACATACATAGTAAATATAATATAGATAGTATCAATGGAATATTGAATATTGTGCAGCATTAAAAACGAAGAAAATCCTGCCACATGTGATGACATGGATAAATCTGGTGGATATAATGCTGAGGGAAACAAGCCAGTTATGGAAGGACAGATATTACTTGATTCCACTCACATGAGGTATCTAAATTACACTCATAGAAGCAGAGAGTAGAATGTTGGTTGCCAGGGGCTTAGTAGGGTAGGTGGGATATGGGGACTTGGAGGGATGGCATGGAGAGCTGCTAATCAATGTATACAAACATTCAGTTATGCAAGGTGAATATGTTCTAGAGATTTGTTGTACAATGTAGTACCTACAGTTAACAATACCATATTGTGCAATTTTAAACAATTGTTAAGAAGGTATATCTTATGTTAAATATTCTTATCACAAAAATAAACAAAAACCCAAAGGGACATGGGTAAACTTTTAGAGGTGATGGACAATTATATGGTATGCAAATTATATTTTTACAAATAAAATCAAAATGAGCACTACTCTTGTAAGTCACTTTACAGGTAGGTACACCAGACAAAATGTGTACTTTTATTACCTTGATTCTGGTAATGGTTTCCCGGGTGTATCCATATGACCAAATTCTCCAAATTATACACATTAAAGATATGCAGATTTTTGCATATCAATTATACTTCAATAAAGCCAGGTGAAAACAAATAAAGTCAATCAAGCTAAAATTGTTACAGGATTTCTGAAGGACAATCAGACCCTACTACAAAAAGCTTCAAATGTATGAATGTACTGTCATCTAACAATTCCACTTCCGCTAATGTATCCTAAAAAATTAAGCATATATAGAAGGATTTAGCAACTGTTGAGTTATTAAGATTGTCAATGGTATGATACATTACTGGACCAAATAAAAATAGAAACAATTTAATTCTCAACAATAATGAAATGGTCAATAGATTGGGATACATCCATACAAAGATTATTCAGCCATTTCAAATGATCTTGTAAACTAATATTTATTTTAAATACGGATACTTTCTCATGAAATGAGAATTTCCAGTGACAAAATAGCACTTAAGATCACAAATTTGCTGAAAATGTACATATAAATTTATTCAAAGATAACATTCTCAAAACAATGTTCTAGCTACAGTAAATGTATATGGGTATCTATTTTTACAATTTTAAACTATTCCTAGGATAGTGGCATACATTGTTATACAATTGAAATAGAGTGATTACTAGGGATGTATTTTTTTCAGTGTTCAGAGCCTTTTCCACAAATGTATTCCATCTGCACCTGTCTTGTTTCTTCCATTCCCCGTTTTACTTCTTCCACCTGGTCAGAGATATAGGGAGGCTTGCTTTCTCCTTTTTAAGACTGTCTCCACCATAAAACTGTATGCTTACCTGAAAAGTAGTATCTTGCTACAGGTAAAATGTTACTTCCTCTGTCAGTTTTTAAATCATCTGAAGTTGACTTGGGTGCTGCTTTATCTTATTGCACTTTGTACATCCTTCTGTTTTCTTATTCCATTTCAATTGTTTGCATATACTAGAGAGCAAAAACTGGAAGCTATTTAATATCAGAAAGCATGCATTTTCATGGTTAAATCTCCTGCACCCAGGAAAATGCCCAACACCCAATATTTGGTCAATGAATTTTGAATAAAAGTCTATTAAAATTCCTCCTTGAAAATACAATAACTCAAGATCGTTTGAATTATAAACACCTACATACTTAATATGCTAGCAAAAATCTTATTCAATTGATAAAATAGTGATATTTTTCTTAGCGTCACTGAAAATTACTAAGCCTCGTCTATGCCCTAGAAGATAAAGAGTTTGAATATTTATTGAGTACCTGCCATCTGCACTGAGGATATCAAGGCTCCATGGCTTACTGGAAGAGACAGGCCTAGAAGCAAGTCATTTCACATCATATGAGTAATACTGATTAGAGGCCACTGCAATGTGATACTGGAATACAGACAAGTGAGCAACAACATACGGTATCTTGTTGGTGGTGCCACGCTTATAGCAACAAAGAGAAAACAGGCTGAAGAAAGGGACTGTTACTTTAGTTCAGGACTCCCACCTCAAATGAGGTCTTCAACATTGCATGTGAGACATCACTATATACCTAAAACCCAGCAAATGTGCATCAATTTTGAGTAATAATGTACTTGGATCTCTATCAGAATACTGCTCTTTGAGTTAAAGAAAGTGATTATTATTCCATTCTCTTGGCTTGGCAAAGGATGGACTCGATGGATGCACATAGAAGTACTCAAGCCTTGACTATAAGACTTTTCATGTTTTCACTATTACCAACAACTTTTATTGTACCCCTCTCCACCATACCAATTTACTTTACTTTCTGACAAAGCCAGACTGCACATGGATGCCCCAAAATGCCAACCCAGTTCAGGTTTCTGCATCTTTAAACACAACCATGACTTTTTTCCCGCAAAAAGTCACCCAAGCCCACTCCTTCGATAGTTAATGACTACTTCCTCTATGTTATCTCTGTACATTATAGAAACTTCTTTCATTTAATTGATTACTCTGTATTAAAACTATTAAAATGTTTTTCTCTCTTGTTCTTTGAGTGCCTTGCAAGCTGAGAAAGTGTCATTATTATTTCATTAATGGATTTGTGCTAACCTTTATTTTAAAATAAAAATATATGCTAAAATATTCTGATATACCCTGTATAAAACTATTTCAACATGTGATTATCAAAAATAAATCTGAGAATAAAATTTTATGCAATTTTACTCGATATTTTAGAAATGTGAGCCATGTTTTATATACCTTAAGTATTTGTGTCACTGTTAATGAGCAAAATATTTATGTTCTAATATATCTAGAAATAAATATTAAGATGCATTTGATAAAAGGCTACACTTTGATTAAACAAGTGTCTGTAAAAAAATAAAAGCAGTTAATGTGATCTCAAATAATCAAAAACTACCATTTTTCAGTTCTTACAAAAAATGTAACACATTGCCTCATTTATCTCCTCAGCAACTGGTGTAATTGTTATCCTCATTGAATACAAGAGACTCAGAGAGATCAAGCCTCTTATGCAAGGTCAAACAGCGAGGAAAGTACCAGAGCTGTGATATGGACCCAGATTTGCTTGGTCCCAGAGCCCAGCCTCATTGTCACTACTAGTTATCTGACTAAAATGACACATTGCTCACAGATTGCTAGAATGGACCAGATAATTGAATGACAAGTATAAGTCCAGTCAATCCACAATGTTCTTAATTTAAGGTAATTGTCTTCCTACTTAACACAATTTAAAATTCTTCTTTCATAATATTTATGTCTAGGCAAATGCATCAGTCATAGATTTAATTAGAACAATGTGAACATAAATATTCAAGTTAAACATACACATGGCAAAGCAAATATACTTCATATTTTTATATTCTGGTTTATTTCTTTATAAATTTTTGCATGACACTATAAACTGTGGCAAAATAAGTATAAATTATGAAGGTATTTGCTCAATAGTCATTTAAAATCTACTATATTTAAGTAACTAGACTAGAAGATAAAAATTGGTAAGATATGTTCTTTTTTGTAATGAAAATTATATATATTTAGGGCTTATGACATGATGTTTTGATATTCATATACATAGTAAAATGATTACTACAGTCAAGCTAATTAATATATCCATCTTCTCCCAGTTATTTTTTATATGTGTGATGAGAAGAACTGAAATCTACTCTCTTGGCAAATCTTGAGTATACAATACGATTATTTATAGTCATTATGCTTACATTTGGTCTCTAGGCTTACTCATTCCAGATAACTTCAACTCTCTACCCTCTTATCAACATCTCCCCATTTCTCCCACCTTCCCAACCATGGTAATCAATTTTCTGCTGTCTGCCTCTATGTATTTTATAAGATTCCACATATATGTGAGATCATGCAGTATTTGTCTTTCTCTGTTTGGCTTATTGCACTTAGCATAATGTTCATCCAGGTTGTCCCAAATCTTCTTTCTTTTTTTTTAAAGCTGAACAATATTCCATAATATATACATACTACAATGTCTTTATCCGTTAACCCATCAATGAACACTTGGGTTATTTCCATATCTTGGCTATTGTGAATAATTCTGTAATCAACATGGGAGTGCAGATATCTCTTTGAGGTACTGATTTCATTTTCCTTAGGCATATACCTAGAAGAGGGATTGCTAGATCATATGATAATTCTATTTTTAATTTTTTGAGAAACCTCCATACTTTTTTTCCATAATGGCCACTAATTTATATGCGCACCAACAATGTAAGAACATTATCCCTTTTCTCAGTACTGCATTCCAATCGACAGGATCTTCTACCACAGAAGCAATTTAAAAGTATTACAGTTATTGGTAATGAATTATTTTATTCTCATAATGGAGATTTACCTACTGAAATTTATTAAAACAAAACTCCATTTAAGAAAAAGAATGGCTATTTACAAATTCTATGAAGTAAAATGATTATTCTACTGTATGTTGCTTGGTTTCCATTTTGAACTCCAGTAAGGAGATCCTGGGGGGAAAAAACGGTCTTCTAACTTCGGTGCATATGTGAAAAGTGTCTCATCTCTTTTTCATTTTCTTTTATGACTCACTCGCCTGTTGTCATCTATGTGTTTTATGCCCAGAGAACCCTAATCTGGCATGTTAATGCCCTAAAACCCAATAGCAAACTTAGTCCAGTTGGGGAACATTCCTTCCAAGTAAATATCCAGGCTGTTCTGCCAGATGTTCAACAAAATCAATTAGTGTACAGTATTTCTGTCCACTCTTGCTGCTGGCAGACCATTATTATACACAAGGATTTTTGACAGGTCAGTGGAAACTGGTTGAAATAATTGGGCACATTTACTTAAGCCCTGGAAGGAGGGCTAAACTGATCTTTTTTTTTTTCTAGCACAGATAGATAACTATGAAAATTTGAGTGAATCTTCTTTTCTCTGTGATAATACTTTCAATACAGAAGACCAGATACTTCCTCCCCACCTCAACATCCCCCATGGGTAATAGGAATAATTAAATAAAGTGCCTACAATTGTAAATATGTGAGATAATATCCATAATTCCTCTGCTAAAAGATGTGAAATTTATTAGGGTTTTTTGTTGTTGTTACAAGAAGCATGAGGACTTAGATTTTCATTTTATAAATTTTTTAGTCATTGGCATTAAGTAGACCTGCGAAAATGAGAACGAATATATATTAAGTAAAATTAAGTTCAAAAGTTAGTAGTAAACACCATGTGACAGAAGCTGGGCCAGTATATATGTAAATTTCACGTGTTTAGGATCGCAAAGGTAGAAGAATCATGTGACTTTAGAGAAAAATATTGAGAAATGAACATTAAGACGTTTGACAAACTAATAAGCTCTACACAGTTAATTTCTCTTCCTTTCATCTAAAATAAATCTCTCCTCCTCTAAAAATCACAAGGGAGAGGCTGGGCGTGGTGGCTCACGCCTCTAATCCCAGCACTTTGGGAGGCCAAGGCAGGCAGATCACGAGGTCAGGAGATCTATACCACCCTGGCCAACATGGTGAAACCCCATCTCTACTAAAAATACAAAAAAAAAAAAAAAAGTAGCTGGGATTACAGGTGCTGGGCATGGTGGCACGCACCTGTAATCCCAGCTACTGGGGAGGCCAAGGCAGGAGAATCGCTTGAACCCGGGAGGTGGAGATTGCAGTGAGCCGAGATCGCGCCACTGCACTCTAGCCTGGCAACAGAGTGAGTCTCTGTCTAAAAAATAAATAAAATAAATAATAATAATTAAAAAAACACAAGGGAGAACACCACTTTGGCTGTTTGGAAGAGAGAAAGACAGGGAGAGAACAAGGGGAGAGAGAAGAGGCAAATGTGTTAAAAATAAGTTGTAATCAGCTTTATACTGTTTAAACCCTAAGGAATACACACACACACACACACACACAGACACACATACACACACTCATACATATATATACCATAGAATTAATGTGTTAATAATCTTGGTGTAACAGTAGCATTTCTTTTAAGCAGATTCATTATTTTTTAAACTATAATCATTTTTAGACACCCATGGGTTGATTTGGGTTTCTCTTCTCTGAGAGGCCCACTCTTCCCTGAAAGCTGGCTTGTATGCTCGTTACAGGCTGGAAAAAAGCAGGGTTGTTTGCGTGGCACAGCACCAAGCCCTTTAACTTAGAGACTCATGCCATTTAGAAGCTCAGTTTTCACCACCTCCATCTGCTGCACAAGAAGAATTAGATCCCAATTGTCTAGGCCACTGAGAAAAGATATTTGTAGAATTCCTCTGGTATTTTCTAAAGCCTCTGGCCTTTCCATTTAAATGTCAGCCTTTTCTTTTTATTCTATAGGCTTTGCTAAACAAAAATACGCCACTGTATGAAATGATCTGATAAATGTAGGACAAATTCAGAATGCCCAATATACAGACAACCTGGGTAATCGACTGCCAGAAGAAATCATCCAGCCAAAACATTTGGAGGAATTTAGGAGAATTTAGCAATTTAGCGTACGTGAAAAAGTACAACACATGCAGGAGCACTGACCAAGATATCACACCAAATGACTAGTAACAACTGCTAAGCTGCAGGACATAATATGATTATCTCCATTAAGGGAGGCTAAAAAATAAATCACCCCTTGAGGCTTTACAATATTATAAAAAGGATTGTGTGAGCACGATTGGATGTCTGTAGGAAAAGTAAAGGGCAGGGAGCTACTTTGATTATCGCTTCAGAGTGACACAAAAAGAGCCCCTCGCTTGAGCCATAAAAAGGCTTAGGTGAAACCAAAGAATGACCATTCTCCTATTCTGAACTTTGTTCCAAATGTCCCCAGCTTTGACATGTATCAAAAAATATATAACATCCTGAAACTGATATTTCTTCTCTGCTTTAGATTAGGAACATACGTACCTAGTCCTAGGCAGCCTTAGCAAAGCCCTCTCTAGGTGGCTCTTTAGCCAGAGTGCAGACAGTGCACTTTCAGCCCCAGCCAGCCAGTCTCCAGCCCCATGTTGACTTTCACTAAGCTTCCTAATGACAGGCAGCAGCTGGCCTTCAATTCTCTGATCTGGAAACCTGGGAGGGAAGCCGAATGAGCTAGGCAGAATCCAAAGCTGGTTTTGGAGTCAGACACTGTGCGAACGAAGCTCCTGTGGTGCCTGCCCATTAAGTGGCCCAGAATTTCTAGTTTCTAACAACAATGAAGCAACCTACCATTGAATTCTATTTAACATGCCTTGCTTCATCAGAATGAAAAATATAGTTTACAATTTACAAATCATCTCAGAAATTTGTAACATTTAATTTTACCAAAAATCAGGTAGACTTTCTAATTAATCAGTAGTAAAGTTAATATGACATATGGACTTAAACATATATGTATACATTAGGATATAGATAGATACACATACATATATAAGTATACAAACATACACATACATAAATTCAATCTTAATATAAATACATGGGCATACATCTTTATATTTATATGGGATTGCCTCTTGGATACACACATTTTTAAACATGCACATCTAGAATAACATGTTATATGTTTAAATGGTTTTGAAATCAATTGACACACTTGAATATGGCTGATCAAATTGTTATGGATAATGTTTCCAGGTTCCTCAATTTATCTGTATTGGTTGGTTCTATAGACTCAAGAAATCAGTTATTCTCCAACTACAAGCTTCTTCCTTCTGTGTAGAGATAACACTATGAACTGTATATTTTATACACTTTCTAGAAATGTCTCCAACTTTGGAGTTTGTGTAAAACAATTAAATAACGAACATCACAAATATTTCTCATACTATAAATTTCCCCATAGGGAATAATCCTAAAAACCTGAAAAGGAACTACAGCAGTGAAGATTCATCCTATCAATCATAGAAGTAAATAAAACAGATGAATATGTTAACATATTTGAGACAGATAGAAGTAACAGATTTTTCCAACAAATCACTACCTTTTTTTAGAAATAAGGTTTCAAATGGAAAATGATTCATTGAGGGAATTTATTAAGAAGACAAATTTTAATGAGCAGTAAGCTTATGCAAAATACACAAAAGGAAGCAGTTTTTATCTCATATATTTTATTTTCTCCCAACATTTTCCAGTTGAATGACTATTAGCAGCATTCAGGGAAACTAATTTGGTGAGAAGACGAGTTGTCTGTCTGAAAACTGTATTTCCTCCTTCTCTATTTCCTGAGCCATTCTTACACAGCAGGTACTATACAAGAGTCTTCACATGGTTTATCACCTTTGTTATCACAACCACCTAATGATGTCAAGTATTATTATTCCCATCTTTCAAATGAATAAACTGAAGCTAAAAGAACTACAACCACAAGAAAAAGGAGTAATCTTTGCACTCATACCCAGATCTGTAGGACGCTACAACCTGCTTTCTTAATAACTATAAAAACCTGTGTCTATACACAAATTATTTTTAAGCTTTTATATATAAACTCTTGATTATAATCTCCATGAATGAGCATATTTGTGTGAATAATAACCACCACAAGTGTGCGGGTCTTTAAGTTTAGAGGTACAAGTGCAGGTTTGTTACACAGGTAAACTTATGTCATGGGGATTTGTTGTACGGATTACTTCATCACTCAGGTATTAAGCCTAGTACCCGTTAGTTATTTTTCCCCATCCCCTCCCTCCTCCTACCCTCCACCCTCTGATAACCCCAGTGTGTGTTGTTCCCCTCTGTGTGTTCAAGGGTTCTTATCATTTAGCTCCACTTACAAGTGAGAACATGTGGTATTTGGTTTTATGTTCCTGTGTTAGTTTGCTAAGGGTAATGGCCTCCAACTTTGGTGTGGGGATCTTAACTTCATTCCTTCTGCTGGAGAATTTGCTGTTAAGCCATCTCACTTTATCGGACTTTTGTTGAAGCCAAAGGCAGGCCAGGAGCTTAGTCCATCATTGATGAATCATCCATAGCTCTGTCCTCCACCCATCCAAGTTCTGTCATCCTAAATCCTGACCAAAAGTGCTGAGTGCAAATTTAAGTGCACAGCCTCTACTGGGGTTCCTTTGCCATTTATGATATGGAAAGATGACTCTAATCTATACATAGACAACTTTTTCTTCCTTTTAGAGGTTTAAGGTTATGTTTTAGTTGTACCATGCAGGAGTTACAGTAGCCAATAAAACTAATCTTTAATGGAGGCTTACTCTGTTCCAAGCTTACATAAGTTATCTCTCTTAATGTTCTCAAAAAACCCTATGGGAAAAGACTGTTACTGTCTCAATTTTACAGAGAAATGTGATTAAGCAAATTGATCAAGTTGATACAGCTAGGGAAGAGCAGAAATGGTGTCCAAATCCAGGCTAACGCCAAAGCCTGTTCTCTTCACCTCTACTCTGGAAAATATACTTGGTGGACAATCAAATTCAGAGTCAATTTAAGATGTCTGATATGGTTTGGCTGTGTCCCCACACAGATCTCATCTTGAACTGTAGCTCCCATAATCCCCACATGTGGTGGGAGGGAACTGGTGGAGGGTGATTGAATCATGGGGGTGGTTTACCCCATGGTATTCTGACAATAGTGAGTAAATTCTCATGAGATCTGATGGTTTTATAAGGGAATTCCCCCTTCACTCATTCTCATTCTTCTCCTTCCTGCCCCCATGTGAAGAAGGATGTGTTTGCTTCCCCTTCTGCCACGATCATAAGTTTCCTGAGGCCTCCCCAGCCCTGTTGAATTGTAGGTCAAATTAAACCTCTTTCCTTCATAAATTATCCAGTTTTAGGTATGTCCTTATAGCAGAGGGAGAACAGACGGCTAATACAGTAAATTGGTACCACAGAGGGGGGCTGCTACTATAAAGATACTTGAAAATGTGGAAGTGACTTTGGAACTGGGTAACAGACAGAGGATAGAACAGTTTGGAGGGCTCAGAAGAAGACAGGAGGTCTGAAGTTGAGGTTCAATGTGATTAACTCACTGAACAAAATCCACAGAGCCAGGATCTGAACTATTGTCTTCCTCTTCCCAAAGTGTTTTTCCTATTATTTCATGCTGCCAAGGTCTTCCTACGGGAGAAAAATTATAAAATGTTTCCTTCCTGGAGTAATTTTTGTCTTAGTACCTAGATCCTTTATCTGTATCCTCTGTGAGTCCACGTTGCTTTGGCTTTGATGGAGATTGAAGCTTCTATAACACTTTAAAAGCTCAGTCCAGGGTACAGGACTCTTAGTACTCATTCCCAGGTATAGCTCTGCTGTGTCCAGTCCTAACATTCAGACCACTGCCTTCATTCCCTAGTGCTCAGTATGCAGAGAGCCCACTAAAACTCTAGACCAAAAGGGATTTCACATTTTACAAACAGAATCAAAGTTGTAGAATTTTGTTCCTCTCAAATAAAAATATTTTGTCAAAATTATAATTTTTTCCTTAAAAATGTATTTTCACAATTCATACCTGTACTTTTCATGTGAATTACTTTCTTTATAAGTACTTGCCAAATTAAGGTCCCTATTATAAGGAGATTATAATCACTCATTCATTCAACACACACAGTAGATAGTCTGCACTAGGCCCTAGGCTAGGTACTGGGGACGCAGGGATGCTTAGGGCCTGGGACTTAAGGTGCCTGAAACCTTGTGATTAGAAACAAAAGGTATCCATGAAAAATGCAACATCAGGTGTGGTGTGAACACCAGTATGAGAAAGCACCAAGAAGGCAAAAGAAGCTCAATTTAAGTGCCCCACGGGGTTATTCCTAACCTATTACTGGTCAAATATAACAGTAAATACTTATTGGTTGGGTGTGGTTGCTCACACCTGTAATCCCAGCACTTTAGGAGGCCAAGGCAGGATGATCACTTGAGCTCAGGAGTTCAAGACCAGCCTGGGCAACGTAGTGGGACCCTTTCTCTACCAAAAAAAAAATAAAAAAATCAGCTGGATATGGTGGTGTGCACCTGTAGTCCCAGCTACTCAGGAGACTGAGGCAGATTACTTGAGCCCATGAAGTCAAGGCTGCAGTGTGCTGTGATCACACCACTGCACTTCAGCCTAGGTGACAGAATGAGACCTCATCTCAACAAAATAGATATTTTTACTGACCCATGACATTATGGCTATCTTTTCTAAGTATGTTAAATTTGGGAATGATGGATGTGCACAAATAAATGTTTAAAATACATATGGAAATTGTAAGATGTTAAACATTATATTAGCCTGATTTAAAAATAATAGAACCTACTTGATGGACTGGAAACTATTATATATGTGTCTTTGATCACAACTCTAACATTATCCAGCAGTTAACCTCGGGAAAGTTACATAGCCACTCTGGGCCCCAGATTCCTCATTTTCAGAGTGATCTATGTAATCTCTAAGGTTTTCATTGGCTTTAAAATTCTGTAACTATTACATGGAATGCTTCTACTTCAGTCTACCAAATCTTAACATTCCTGGCAAATTAACTATTCATGCATCTTATTTGTATCATTAAACTGCATGCTAATCTTTCATTCTTAATGAATGTAATAGTTTCACCAAGCTTTTCTGTGACTCCTTTAATTTTACATTTTGTAACTAAAGTTGTCTAACTCAATGAAAATGAACTTCTATAATATATATTTTTGAAGAACACTGCTTGGAATATAAACGTAACTAATGATTCCTTTGCTGATTAACATTTTACTTGTTCTAGCTTTAGCAAAATTTCTCTCCAAAAAGAGCTTACGAAACATATGGCTCTGTGGATCTTATCATTTGGCAAGAAAACAATAAGTATATGTGACAGATGAATTGCACTATCATATAAATGGATATAATCACAATTTTAAATCATTTGCTAAAATGATGGAAAATATTATGCATGTATTTTTGTAAGTATTTTATGGTTTCTTTTTACCTCAATACTTTTGTCCTGATACTAATTTATTGGCTGATCTTATTGTATTTGAAAAGTTGAAACAGCATTTCATCCCCCATGAGATCATGGAAAGCATTTTTGGAAAGTCTGCACATTAGTTCAACAGTGAAAATTTATTATCAAATAATTTATTATAGATAATAATTTATGATAATACAATTTTTTACATAGATGATGCAAAACTGATTATCTCATTCATTGCTTGTGTATATACTTCTTAAGTTTGGGAGCTTCTGGTTACTTTCACATAAGGAAAAATAAGCAATATAAATAATTCATTTACTAATTTAGTAATGGGTCTAACTCACCTCTAAAATCCTTTCAAACACTCCATAACTGTTCTTGTTCCTCTGGCTTTCATTGATCAAACTCTGATTCTCATTCTCCTAACTTCCCATTCTACATTGTATTCTCACCAGAACATTTCAGCAGCCTATTGAACTTTCCGCACGGATGAAAATGTTCTATATGTGTGCTGTCCAACATAACAGCCACTAGTCACATATGATGATTGAACACTTGAAACAGCTAGTGCAACTGAAGAACTGAATTTTTAATTTAATTTTGATTAATTTAAATCTAAATAGCCACACGTGACGAGTGGATACTGTATCAGTCAGCACGAAAAGATCTTTCAAATCTTTGCCAAGCTCCTGTTCCTATTTTGCAATAGTTAGTTGCTCTAGATTTACTTTCTCTTAGGCAAAAATCCTAAACTTCTAGTAGATGCTCTCTAAGACTTTAAGAAAAAAACAAATAACACTTCAGTTAATCAACATTCTATTAGAATTGAATTCCTCTCTACAAAAGCCCATTTTTAATTATGTTTGTAAACAAGTATATGAAAAGCCCATTATCTTTGAGTGAAAATAAAACAACAGTGTGTGCTAATGAAACCCTAGTCTTTCTGAATTTTGGAAAGAATCTTACCATGTAAAAGAAGCATATAAAAAGCTGATTATAATATTCATTTTCTTATCTGGGAAAGTGCTTTCCCAAGCATCAAAAATAAAGTTTCTCTTCCAGGGAAAAATCTTAATATTGGTCAATGATAAGAAGATACAGAATAGAGTACCAGGAGCAATTAATCAGTGTAAATTATAATCTTACAGCAATTTTTTTTTTCTTTTTTTGAGATGGAGTCTCGCTCCGTCGCCCAGGCTGGAGTGCAGTGGCGCGATCTCGGCTCACTGCAAGCTCCGCCTCCCGGGTTCACGCCATTCTCCTGCCTCAGCCTCCCGAGTACCTGGGACTACAGGCACCCGCCACCACGCCCGGCTAATTTTTTGTATTTTTAGTAGAGATGGGGTCTCACCATGTTCGCCAGGATGGTCTCGATCTCCTGACCTCGTGATCCTTCTGCCTCGGCCTCCCAAAGTGCTGGGATTACAGGCATGTGCCACCGCGCCCAGCTAGCAAATTTTTAAGAATAGACATTTAAATATTTCAGAGGTAAAGAGACAGAAAAGCCTATTGACATCATATACTTTATATCAAGGGTGCCCAACCCCCAGGCTGGACCAGTACTGGCTTGTGGCCTGTTAGGAACTGGGCCACACAGCAGGAGCTGAGTGACAGGCGAGGAGCATTACTGCCCGATCACCTCCTGTAGGATCAGCCAAGGTGTTAGGTTCTCGTAGGAGTGAGTACGAACCCTACTGTGAACTATACATGCAAGGGATCTACGTTCTGAGCTCCTTATGAGAATCTAATGTCTGATAATCTGAGGTAGAACAGTTTCATCCCTAAACCATCGATACCCTTCCCCCGTCCTATCAGAGAATAATGTGTTTTCATTTTTTGTCTTTTTCCTTTCTTAACAAGAAATTTTCTGGGAATTTATCTTGGAGTTATTGAAACCAACTCTGTCCAGGGTCCTAGGAAATTTTCCTAGAAGGCTGCTACCCAGGTAAAAGAGATAGAATCAAACACGCTGTGTTTGAGAGTAGAAAAGAAAAATGGTTGCTGACGTTTAGGAGTGAAGACCCTGGAAACAGGTCTAATGCAGGATCTCTGGTGCCAGCTGATACCTTGGAGGTGGTTATGTGACCTGAAGAGGATGAGCGCTGAGCACTGCAGCTACAGTTGCTGAAGTACCATCCAGCTTAGCCCTAGGAAGCAGGATCATCTTCTCTCTGAGACCATCCTGGACCAGCAATAGACAGGCATCACCAGTCAGGCAATGCAGAAACACCTGCCAGCACCATCTGCCAGCAAAAAACAATGGCATAGACATGTGAGAACGGGGTTTATCTTGTCTTGGATGTGTAGCAGGACTGAGGCTGCCCCTCCCTACTTTCAGTTGTATCATCCGTCAGGCATTCTTCAATGCCACTCAAGAATTAGATACCAGACTCTGTGCTAACATGGTAGCTGGAGGCATGCATAATTATTACAAAACTTAAACAGAATTTGACAATCCTTTTACCCTACATTTTTTTGAGGGGGGAAATCAAATACTAAATGTTAAATAACTTTAGCCTTTAATTTTTTATACAAGCCATATATAGATTGAGAGTCCAAGTAGCACATACTGTCTGTATCCAAAATTCTAAATCCTAAGTATGCCATCACTTCTGCCTATAAAATATCATGGATGAATTTATAATTAAACAGCTAGGTAATTTGTAATGGAAATTATAAAACATTTAAACCTGTCATTTTTCTCACTTGTAAGAGTCAGAAGGATATGGAGAGTCAATGGAAAATGCAGGAGGCTGCTTTGATAGCTTTGCCCTTTGAAAGTTCTGCCCTTCCCTCATAGGAAGAAATAAAGGTACATGGGTATGTAAAGACAGCATACCCATAAGCATTTAATCTAACCAAACAGACTCTGCTTTAAGATTTTCATTAAAAAAAAAATTTTTTTTTTGGTATACTATGTGAGAGCTGCTTTGGAGCAAGCTCAGTGTTTAGCTTATCTTTTTTGTTTACCTTTTATTAAAAAAATCACAACCCAATTTGTTAAGTCCTCATAAGACATTTGCTGAATTAATGGTATTTTATGTACCCACATAGGCTTTTCTTCTTTGTGCCATAGCAATAGTTCCTGAGTACGTATCATATGCAAGGCATCAATACGAGGATGAATGAGACAAGCAATGTCCCTGACCTGGTAGAGGCTGACTGCAAACAAACAATACATGAGTAAAAATACAAACAATCATTCTTAAGAAGGCAGACAACAGTGTGCTATTATAGAACATAATGATGGAGTGGTGGGAAAGCACTTTCTTGAGGAAATTACAGTAATACTGGATACATGAATGATGAAGCAACAGCCACCCATGTAAAAAATAGAGCAATGAGTATTCCAGGCAGAAGGGGTAGTCAGTACAAAGGCCTAAAGGTAAGAAGATAGGTAGTACTGTACTTGCATTGTTCAAGGAACTTAGAGATGGGTTGTCAATATGTCTGGAAGAGAATGAATTGAAGAAAGAATGGCAGGAGACAGGTTGGAGGGGGAATGGGATGAGATTATGTCGGGTCCCATGGGCCATGTTAAAGAGCTCAGATTGTGCTAAAAAGTCATCAGAGTTTTAGGAAAGTGAGTGATAAATCTGGATGTGCCGGGCATTTAAAAGGTCATTGCTATATCCACATATACTCTTAGTATCATATATTTAGTCAAACCACTAATTTAGAACCTGATGATGGATATGGAAGAAATTCATAAAATGGTAAGTGCTTCGGAAATGTCTGGGTACATCTTTATTTATCCTCATTTTGTAGTTTTCCCCCAAAACAACATGGTATGCTACATTAATTCATAATTACCTAAAAATATTTTACAGAGCAAAGCAGATTAACACATTAATTACAAAGTTCACATTGTTTTAAAAGTATAACCCCAGATCATTTTCCAATGTTAATTAGAAAATAACATGTACATACAAGGTGTTACTTATCTGTCATTTACAAACATTATAATTTGCCAATACCAGCAACTGTTAAAAGATGGAGGCCTTACTTACTGAGATAGTATGAGGTAAAACTGCTACATCGTACCTAACAATATTGTCTAATCAAGCAGCTGGTAAGAGTTTAAAGGAGAACATCTAATTTTAATGAAAAATATTAAGTAGAAATTAATTACCAGCAGCAAAATTTGAAAAGCAGGCAGAATTATTGATGTGGTTTGGTGACATTCTTAAGAGGCAGCCTCATCTTGGAACTGAATGTATACATTCTGAGGAGTACTCTACAACTCTAAGCATTTGCAAAAACACAAATGTTAGGAAAGTGTAATGTTTGTAAATGAAGCTCTTTTTAAGAATGTTTATCAAAGTGGAAAAACGAAGGAGCCATTTATATAGAACACTATTCTTACCCTCATTGTGTGTCAGACAAATCAAGTGCTGTAAATTAGGCACTTAAATGGTCACATATGTATTTTATTTAATATTTCCTCAAAAATGGTGTGGATATGCCTTGAATTGGCTAGCAGTCTCACCTCTGTGACAGGCCCCGGTTCCCATTCATTTCCACCATGGTGAACAAATACCAAATGTGAACTTGGTCCAATAGAACATCCTGCTTCACTACAGGAGAGCAAGGTGGCTCACATACATGCGTGTACTCACATGTGTCACTGGCACCACTAAGAGACCAGGGAGCCAAGCCTTGTGGGTTATCTGGTGGCTGATGGGCTGGCAAAAACTCATGGCCCTACCTGTGTGGACTGTTGATGAATTTTCTTTGTGTAGCTTATCAAATTTAAATATAACCTGGGTTTCTACAATACATTTTCCTAACAATTAATAAAACTTCCTAATGTAATTTTCCAAAATCTGTCAGCTCTAATAAGATAGAAGGAGAAACTTAAATCTAAATTCTCAGGTATCACAAGTGTAATATGATCAAACCGGTTTAATGTCATCAAAGAACTGTGGTTTCCCAAATCTGGACTATTTTTCACACCTTTTCAAAGTCATTTGGGGAGTAGCTCTTGAAAAACATTTGCACAAAGAAAGTATACTATATGCCAACGCATGTGGCATACAAATTTAATAGAAACACTAGAAAGGCTTTGTAGATTAATGTCCTTTAAACATACTTCTAACAACACATTAGTAAATTAGATGTTATTAAGGAAGGAATAATTTGATATGTAATTTCAATGCACATAGAAAGTGTGCTAAATACAAGTGGATTTAAAGAAACCACTAAGCAAAATAAAAAGATGCAACCTGGTGAGTTGTATGATCTTGGGAAAGTCCCTGTCCCTCATGTGGACGTAAAGATTACCTGATCTATAGTTTTACAGAGTTGTAAAGTGTAAGAATGGAAGAAAATGCAAGGAAAAGTGCTTTGTAATTGTATGTTGCTATTCACATATTACCTAGAAGCCTAACCCACACTGTTATGCAAAGGACAAGTGATGAGTATAAATGAATAAACCCATTAGTAATGCAGTTAACATGGTAGTTTTACTATTACCTACCACAGAGCATAAGTAGGTACCCCATAAATGCAGAAAACACATTAAGTTCAGCCAAAATATTGTATCATTTAAATCTGTGTGCAATTATTTTGATTTCCTTCTTCAAACAAAATATTATGTTAAAATCCAATATATAAAACACATTATAAGAGCAGGATTACTAATTTGAGTGGATCAAAACTATCTCAAGTTCTGAGACAATTACTTAACAAAACCTGGCGAGTTTACTGGAAACTAGCAAGCTAATATGTAGAAATGTCTGAATATACTGGAGAACATTCTTAGCAAAGAGCTATACCTACTGTGCACTAAAGAACTACTTTACCATTATACAAATATACACATAAGAAATTGATTCTAAATAAGCAATATAACATCACATTTTGAATTGATTTTTAACCAACTACACTATTCAGTGTAATATGTGGCAGGAAACATTTATAAAGGATAGTTCATCCCATGAAAGATGAAAAATTGATCATGAAGAATTACTAACTATAAAAAGTCATTTCTTTTTATTTGTTTAATGCTTGGAACTGACATTCCCAGATTTAAATCAGAGCACAATAAAAGTATTCTATGGAATGTACAAATGATTGAATATATAAAATACTTAAGGAAAAAAAGCAATAGATGTGGGATGGAGTCCTAAAATTGGTTTCTAAGTTGTTGAAAATTCATAGTAAATTTTCCATGTAGATCATGCAACAAATGCTGGTTAGCATTCCAGTACAACTGAAAAGAGTACATAGTACAGCTTAAAGGCAAGTAATAGCAGTCCTGGGCCAGCCTCCCTTAACTTCTCAAAAATCCTCTAAGCCCTCTTGATCCCCAAGTTACATTGTTAGGGAGAATCAAGTTTGGAGAAGTATGGCAGGGGAACTATAGCTATGCTACTAAATACCTTGAAAACAAGTATTACATCTTACTAACATATTCCCCCTGTGGATTTATAAATATTATCAAATATACAGAAAAGTTGAAAGAATTTTACAGTGAACATCTCCATGACTGCCACTAGAGTCTATAATTAACATTTTATTATGTTTGCTTTATCACGTAGTTTTTACATTCCTTATCTCACTTTGGAAATGGTAAAGATAAAAGATGAGTCAGTTCATGTATTGAGAATTTTTCCCATGTTCAATGTTCTTTTTCTCCTCTTGAAAATAGAAACAAAACTCTAATATTTAGGGTTTAGACAGTAAACACTATTAAAATGTACCATGAATTAAGGGTAACCTTGCTCTTGTCAATATGCCATGGCCATAAAGTATTTTGATTTAACAAATGTGTCATCCTAAGGGAAATAAAGTCTTTGAACATAGACTTCTCTTCTGACTAGCTCTAGGGTTGAGTTCTAGTTACAGGTGATTGATGTTGTATCCATATATTAGGATGAAATATCATAAGCACTAATTCTCCCTCTGACTCTCTCCAGGGAACCAGCAGACGGTGTCATGGCCTAAATGAACCACTAAGATGCAGCTCAGTAGAAGCCAGGAAGAATGACCAGACCCACAGGGAAATTCTGTCCTGGGGCTAGGGTGGAGAATCAAGGATTGATTTATTAGTTATACTTCCATCTTTGTGTGTGTGTGTGTGTGTGTGTGTGTGTGTGTGTGTGTGTGTTCCCACCCTACCCCCAAATAAAGAAAGTCTTCACTTTTAGGGGAGCCTGGTATTAAAAGTGCTTAAATCATTTGTTATATGCAGTTTGGAGAGGGAAATCTAAAATGGAGTGCCGTGATTTGAGCAAACTAGGAAGCCATTCAACACTAGCACTGCTGGGGCCCCATAGTAAGTCAGTGATGAGAAAGGAGTAATGAGTCTGCCCCCAGAAGACAGAACACAACCAACTCCTTAGCCCACCTCCAATAGCTACCAGTTATTGTTTTTCACATGTGAAGCACTGTTTCAACTGCTGTAACTATCATTTTAAGAAGTAACACAAATGAGAAAACTGGAGGAAGACAGAAGTTGAGTAATTTGACAAAGTGTCGGATTCGAGAACCAAAATCAAGTGGTCTTATTGTAGATTCTGTGCTTTTAACTCTTTGCTGTACTATGTTTTACTGGATCTTCCCAAAGACATTGCTAGTTTCATCAGGTCTTGAGTGAAATAGTAAGCCATGTTGTATTAGGAGGCAGTGGTTGTTTCTGCTAAAGGTAGTACTATGGTTTGTATGTTAGCCTCCTCCAAAACTCCTGTTGAAATTTAATTGCCATTATTACAGTATTAAGAGGTGGGACTTTTAAGAGGTAATTATGTACTGAGGGCTCCACCCTCATGGTTGGGTTGGTGCTGCTGTAAAAGAGTGATTTCAGCCACCACTTGCTCTTTCTAGCTCTCTCTTGCTTCTTCTGTGATGATGCAGCAAGAGGCCCTCACCAGGTGCCAGCACCTCAGCACTGGACTTGCCAGCATCCAGATCTGTGAGCCAAGGAATTTCTATTTCTTATAGATTACCCAGTCTGTTATTGCAGCACAAAATGAAGTAAGGTAGAGTCATGGGCACCACCACTTCTTTTCAATGTATTGCTCATTTGTGATAAGCTCAACTAACAGGGTT
The DNA here is from genome assembly GCF_000001405.40 of Homo sapiens. NCBI lineage: Eukaryota > Metazoa > Chordata > Mammalia > Primates > Hominidae > Homo > Homo sapiens. Next base: position 77,579,278 of record NC_000012.12, on the reverse strand, counting down.
CCCATCTTTGGGCAAGCTCTGTCCATCTTCAGCCACACAACTAATTTGGTTAGTATTTGGTTTGCTCAGTGAAGTGGTGATTCCAGCTTTGAGGGACTCAAAAACCCAGATTTGGCTTTTGGACCTAAAGTACTAAAGCTTTTTAGAAATGATCCACTTTTAGGAGAGTAGAGACATTCATACACATACTCTGTTTATAATGCCAGTCATTTTTTCCCATTTAGTCACTGTTTCATGTATATATAGCTTCCTCACAGGGAACTCTAAGAAGAAGAGGGGAATGAATAGAAAAATTTTGCCTGAAAACCCACTCCAGATTCCAAGCACCAAATATCTGATTCAATAAATGTCTCCTAATTGTGTCTTTTTTTTTTTTAACGAATAGAATAAAGGTTGGACGTGGAAACAGGTACTGGCAGCTCTGTCGGCAGCTGCTTGGGACAATGTCAGTTGCAGAGGCCATCAACAATGGAGAGGGCGTGAGTGATGGCAGCAGCTGTTCTTTGTGTGGGTCACCCATAAATTGCCTGTTTATTTTTAAAAATGACCAACCATACTGAACAAGTGTTGATATTATCATTAGTCTGGGTATGCACTTAGGATATCCAAGAATAAAACAGGAATGAATAATAAGGATGAAAGAATTCTTGAAAAGTTTAAATTCCAAACAGCTGTGCTAACAGAGTCCAACATTAGCTGACTGAAACAAATATGAATACCAGAACTGTAGATATAGAGTGTCATAGTTTAGGTTTCCTGAGAGCAGACCCCAAAACAATGATCCAAGTGCAAGTAATTTATTTGGCTGATGATTCCAGGAAATACTGGGAAGGGAGTTAGGGAGACAGAAACCAGAAGATAGAAACTAAAGGCCACTTCATTGAACACATCACAATGGTGAGTAACTAAAACTTAATCCTCCTGGGGTGCTCTCAGAAACTGTCTGTAGGGCAAGGGTTCTCAAATATTGCTGTGCATTAGAGTCACCGGGGGATCTTAAAATGCACATTCCCATTCAATAGGTTTAGTGTAGGTCCTGAGATTTTGTATTTCTTATAAGCTCCCAGATGACAGTGATGCTGTTGGTCCTCAGAATATACTCAGAAAATCAAATATGTTGATTTTTTCAACTTTGCAGTCATACTGTAAAAAATTATATGCAAAATAGGCAGAATTCCTTATGTCTACCACTTTTGTAACATATCTTTAAATCGGCTTAGTTTCATTTAATTCTTATCCCAGGCATTGCATATTCCTGAACTAGAATCAATTTTGGAGACAATTAGTCAGTCCCTCTGTAAGAAAACCACAAAAATTTTTATCCACCCTGTCTTATTGCTATTAAATCAGATGGCCCAGCTCACTAGCAGGCAGCCTGCTATCCAGAGAAACAAATGGGACATATTTTAGAAGAAAAATGTTAGTCTTAGTATATTCTTTCCTTTATGAAATGATAAAAGCCAGAACTCACATGTTAGTATCAAGACAGAGGAAAAGATTTAAGAAAAATCAGAATTAAAACTGAGAAAACTTTATATGTTAATAATAATTAGTATCATTATAATTACAGTCATAATTAATGGCAACTAATACTCAGAGATTTTCATATAATTCTGCCTTCAAAATGTTCAAAATATATTGAGTGTTATATATCTTGGGACTGTATATTTTATCCATTTATATGAAGATATAGGCTCACTATATCTATTGACGTCTTAAATCCACCAATCAGGAGAAAGCACATAGTCTAGTCTAGAACAAAATGGTGGAACCATAAAGTATGCATATGTCCCATTCACTTTTATCCATTTCCAGTTTTTTCTGTTATACCAAGTCCAAATACTTCAAAAATGTGTGCTGCCAGGTGCAAAAAGGCCGCCATATGAATTTTTAGATTTCTATGATATGGTGGAGAAAAAATGAAAGGAGGTTCTATCCAAGTTCAAATCTGAGAAAGAAGTTTCTAGAATCACTTCTGAGTGGAAAAAGAGTCACTTTATCTAATTCATCCTTAGAGGATGCCAGATAAAATAACTGGGAGACAGCTGTTTGTGGAATCATCTTATAGAAGTATGAAGCAGAGGTAGAAATTAGGGATAGTCTTAATCTGCATCCGAGTATGCTACAATCACAGCACGAGTTTCTTTGGGAACTTGATGTTCATGTTTATGTCTACACATTAATTCCAGATTTATATAGTAACATTATAAAATGGCTATGTTTCAAAAATGAGAAGTTTAGATAATCAACAGTTGAATGACTAACCACTTTTGTTGAAACTGACACTACAATTCATTCTTACTAGAGCCGTGCTTCAGGATTGGCTGATAATAAATGATACGATGTTGTTTCAGAAACCTCATCATCCCTCATGCTCCCTATAACTTATGTAATATACATTAAAAAAGGAAGTCAGGTAGATTTATAAAAATAATTAAATGGCCTCATTTAATGAGGCCATTCTTTAAGAAAATCAACAAATATAAGGGCTAGACCTATCCTCACTAAACTTTCTTTTTTTATTGATTTATGCTCATATTTTCTTTAAAGAAAACAGATTTTTAATTAGTTTCCAACATAAACAATCTTAAGTAGTCTACACCTGCAAGAATAATCTGAAGAACACTTTTTGACTTGTATATGATGTTATTTTATCATCACTGCAAGAAAATGCAAAAATAAAATGAAAAGAATCAGCACACTAAATGAAATAAATAGCAAAATAAGAACTAGGCTAGCTTTAAATTGACAAAGTACTTCTACTCTGTAGAGCTCTGGCAATCGTAAGTGGGTGATGTTTCCAGGAAAATTATTAAAGTAACCTAACACAGTCACATGCAGACACCAAGCCCAGACCACGCTTCTGTTTGATGTCAGTTGAAAGAGAAAGAATAAAACAGGTCCATGTGAATTGACATTGATGAAGCACTCATTGTTACTTGAAGGTGATGCTTTCTCTAACCCTCCGCTTAAACTTGATTTTCAGTCCAAAAAAAAAATCACAGGAGCCTAAAATAATAGGCTTTTTCTATATCAGTATTATTCCTATCAATTAATACAATAATTTCTCTCATTTTACATAACTCTTCACATCTCAAACACTATACCCAGAATATGTCACTTCTGAAGTAATCTGAAGTCTCATAGAAGGACGGAAGGACAGATGTGATGTGTTGGAATTTATCGTGAGCTTTTTCATGGCAAGGTGAAAATAACTCTGGCAAACTGAATATGTAAAATACGTGATTTGGGGAAGTGAAAAACTGAGATTGTACCAATCTTAAAACATTTCCATAAAAGAAAAATACCTCTAAACATACACAATAATATTGCTCATGTCTTTCCGGTTTACGGAATACAGCAACAAAATACATCCAACAGATCACCAAATACTTTTTGCACCTTTGTGCCATGATTCTGAAGTGTGTATCCTACTATCTTTTTATCACTACCTAGTAAAATATTGACTATGACAAATGCTTTGGTTTAATACACAAAATATTCATGGAGCAATAAAACAGTGTTCCAGGGTTGTCTGAATTGCAAACTGCTGCAATTAGACTGACAGTAAAATTTACCATGCTCTGCTTTTCAGTTCAAGGTCACGATTAATTACATAGCAGTATCATTTGTAACTATTGAGCTTTCACTGTTCTGGGTTTGTTTTGCAGAAATAATCCCACAAAGCAATAAAATTAGCTGGCAGCAATATGCAAACCTCACTGGATTTGATTGTGCAAACAAAGGTCAAAAAGTCATGTTATCAAAAATAAAACACTCCATTATGGGCATTCAGGTGGTTTGAGATGCCACGATAATTTTCCAGAATCTGAATGCCAAGAGCTGGGTTATGGCCCAATACCAGCTGAAAGTTCTACTGAAAAAATAAATCACAAGACTCAAAAAAAGCCATTAAATTTCACCCAGTCCTACACTAATCCAAGTTGACTTGAGATCCTTAAAAGTATTTTCTTCAACTTCTATAAGATTATTAGAAGTATTCTCTTTAAGTCCTATAAGATACACATCTGTAGTTTATCAGTAATGAAGAGTACTTCAGATAGAATTTGTGGATATAGCTTGTAACTTTCAAGTATGTGATCCTCTGTTCAGATTTAGTAAGGGGATGAGGCATTATTTAAAAGAAACCAATAAAGTCAAACACTTTTGAAGCTTTAATTTTGAATAATAGCATATATATTTTAAATACATATTTATATATAAAATATGTAAATATTATATATATATATTTAAGGAATAGATAATTATATTTACAAGACCCAAACTCTTAAGGAGATAAAAGCAGCTTTTATTGTTGTAGGAAGATACTATCTTAATAAAGCAAAAGGTATCATGCATGTTCCTGACATATGATAAGCACCCTATGAATGACCAACCTCATCCCTGACATTCACCTCCTCATTCAGTAGAACACATACTCACAGACTCATATAAACAGGATCCTAAGAGTTTGTACTTAGAAGTAGAATATAATAAGTACAAATCTACACATCTTAAATTAACAAAAGCTAGTGATTTATTGTAAGCTGAATAAGAGATCGGTTGTGTAGTGCTTAGAATAGGTGCTTATCCAATCCATTTCAATGTACCTTGCTTTGAATGTGTACAATATGCCAAACACCATGAGAAGATGACACTTTTTCAGTAATATTAAAAAATGCTTCACCTCTCAATGAAGCAGGAGTAGGCTAAATGCGTTCTGTTTCACCTATACCTGCTAAATTAATTCATCATGAAGGACTATAAACACTTGAAGTAATTAAATAAATGACCTTCTAATCTCTATTAGCGATTACTTGGTGGCAGGGCCATGGCCAGCACTTCATCTACAAAGATTTATGATGTTACCTTTCAATTTTTCTTTAATTTAAACTCACTGTGACTCATTGTGTCATTGAGACTAGGTGTTCCTGCTGACATTTCAGATTCAAAAATTTTGAATCTTAAACCTTTATCTATACATACCAAGTTTCTGGTTTATTTGCAGATCTTACATATCAAGGCTACTTTTTAGGTGCCCACACCAGCGAAGGAGCCAAGAGGTCATTAGAACTCCATTTTCCACTCTTGATACTGCTCATTGAAAACATTCATTCCTCTTCCATTCCTTTACCGATGAGAAGGCGAGGCTATAGTGAGATGGGGGTCTTCCTGTGCCACATCACCAAGGTAGTATTTTTACACTTCTTGCAGAATTATGGTTCTCCATGGTTTGTCTAAATTCTATTACTATTAGTATGTTATGTATGAGCTGAGCAGTTTTGTGTGAGTTGGCCTAGTAAACGAAGTGTCATTACAAACCATTGTTTACAGTTCCACACAAAGAACTCAGAGGATGACTCTAAGAATTCGTTCCATTCTTCAACTTTAATTCCTTTGGTGTTTGCAGAAAATCTCCCTTAGCCAGGGAATGAAAAGGCAGCACCTGCAGAGGTACTCATCTTTTTTGTCATAAAAGCAGCATCTCCATCAGAAATTATAACCCTGTAATTAATCACTTACCTATTACCTCCCTCCCTCTTTACCCACCCAATATAGTACCCAAATTACCATCAGAGTTAAGGACGTTATAAAAATGTAGATAGGAAAAGATGATTAAATGGCTTCTTAGTAGTTAAATTGCAGAGAATGCTTTAGATTGAAATTTACTGTGACATCTCCTCTGGGTAAACACTCCAGTGCCAGCGGGAAGAAAAGCAGGCTGAACATTTGGTAACACCAACAAACTTATTTGTAACACAAGTATTTGTGTAGAAATTTATATCCACATTAAAGCAAAAATTGATTTCAGGCACCTTGAATTTTATAGTATTTAGTATTTTCTGAGATTTACTGACACTGCACAAAAAATGAACCAAACTGGGAATAAACAATCTATGCATTTCTGCCTCTATTAATGACAAAAGGATTACTGTAGCCCCATGCCAGTTGCATTAATTATATTGGCAAAACAAAATTAATAAGCCATTGACTCAGCACAGCCTCTTCTAAACTTACCTCCACCACTGTGAAAGACCTAACTAGTTGTTTTTCAGGATGTGAGAAGTGAACAGTAAACAAAATTTCTAAGACTGATGTAAAAACAAAGCTTAATTATGGCCCTTAGATCCACATCTAACTAAAAATTTCCTTCCTTTTCTCCCATTTCTTGCCAGCACCATCGCTACTGGGTCCCCACACACCTATCCTGTACTAGCAGAGTCCATAAGAGCACTGCAAAAGATGATACATTTCAGTACGAGTGGGGCTCTCTCTCCTAGACGCCATCTCTAACCCTTCTGATAAGTGTTCTTTAGGTGGTTCTCACTCCAGTGGAGCAATTCAGCAGGTAAGAGTTTCTAAAAAGCTAGAAAAATGAAGGTGAAGTACATCCCTTAGTATTCAATCCCCACTTCTTACTAAAAAGCTCGCTAAACGCTTTCTTTTAAAATAAAGTTAGCACAGTTCTTTTTTCCATCAGTTCTTTTGACATCATGTAGAATCAAAACAAAGCTCGCAGTTGTCTCACAACTTTCTTTCCAGGCCAGCTGTATAATTCAGAAGGCCTAAGTTGATGTGTCCCAAGGATATGAAATTAGAGAATTTAAAATGCCACTTATGCTTTCTAATGGCAATAAGGCAGGTGTTCTATTTAAGGAGAGCTCTAGCCTGCTCCATTACTCCAGAGGTGCCTGTGACTCATGCCTCACCCTGGGTCTCAGAGAACTGTTCCTACGAGGTCAGTTCAACAGGTCACTAGTATGAAGTCAAGAGTGAGAGAACACAGTAGAATCCTTGCCAACCCACTGGATAGATAAATTCAGAGGATTTTAGAAACAAAATTACCAACTGGTAATGAAATCCAGACCCACAGAAACACATTGCCATACAGCAGGGTTGATTTCCGTGAAACAGTATGTTATTTTATCTCAAAAGGTGCATTCATTTTCAATTTCAAAAATTCTCTTTAAGTGTAAACAAAAAGGACCAAGCAAAGAGAAATTTCTTTTACCTTCTTCTGATCTTCTAGCTTGTGACTCACTGGATTCTTCCCATGTCTGTTCATTTCTGAAGATAAATCCATCACATTAGGTTCTTGCCCTTCAAAATGGAATCTCTTCAAAAAAGCAGCAAACTAATCCAAGATGCAATTTCTAGGAACACACTGGCCCGCCACGTTCCCCATCACACACCGTTTCCGAACTTCATCGACTCCAAGGAATGATTAAAAAATCCATTGATTGAATGGAAAAAATAAAGTTTGCAGTTTACTCCCAGGACCTTCCAAATCAGCATATCGTTTTTAAATGCTGACTCCTCAAAAGCAAAATAGTCATCCGAGAATTTTGACTTCAACTGCTATCTTTTTCTTTCTTCACAGTTTTCCATTTTAATAAAAAATGACAGATTTCCTGTAAACCTGTGATTTAAAAAAATAAGCACATAGTTAATTCTCTTTCACCATTTTTTGTTACAATTAGTAAAATAAATTATTATTTGAAAATTTCAAAATATTTTAGGCATAAACAATATTTGACTTAAAAATAATGGCATTATTCTTCACCCTTATGGCCTTTAAAACACCAAGCTAAAAAGTAACAAAGAAGACACAACTACTCATCAAACATGTATGTATGCTTTACTGTTCCACTCTTGAATTTCTGCATTTATAGAACCACAGAATTTTAGAAGAGGGACCAATATGGCCAGATATTATGTTGTAGTTTGATAACTTTCATAGATAATTTTATTTAGACTTCAAAAAAGATCTGTAAAATGGTTATTATCATTCCATTTTAAGATGACATAATTAAGATTGAGAGGGTAAATTTTCGTAAGTCTCATAAGTAACAGAACTAGAATTAGAATTCAGATTGCTTTGACGTCAAAACCCATTATTTCTCCTAGTTGTACTCTTCTTGACTCATATTACGTATTTTGTCCCACAAGGATAACATAAACAAATCTGTCAAGTGCCTTACTGGGTTACAGATACACTATGCACAGTACTTCTTCTTAAAGGGATCATATAATCCAGTGGTTTCCAAGGCCAGCTAGATAATAGAATCACCTGAGAATAATCATAAACATATAGATTCCTGGGGTGCGCCCTTATCTCTGCTAATTTAGAAGCTATAGAGAAGTGCTTGGACATCTGTATTCTTTTCATCTCTTTTAGATACTTGTGATATAGAAAAACCACTGTTGAAATCTCCCCTTAATGCAGGACTTCCTAAACTTTTCTGCACATTAGACTCACATAGGAGGCTTCCAAAACTACTGGAAGCCCCAGATACTGTGCTTTGGCACCACTGCCTCAATATATAAATTCCCTTTATAATTGACCAACTACTTCCTGAAGAAACCTATCATCTCAGGAGGCAGCCCTTTTCATATTGAGGCAGTTTTAATCTTTAGATAGTTCTTGTTAATTTGGAGACAAAATCTGTATTTCTATACTTCTGTCCATTTGTAATTATTCATAATCTTCATAGTCATCAATGTGCACAAAATATGTTTGTTTTATATGACAGTTCTTCAATATCTCCTTAGCCAGGTTAACCATCCCTAGCACCCCAAAAATTCCTTACCACCATGATTACTTCCTTCAGAAGAGGTTGCACTTTGTATGAGGCCCATAAACTGTGCTGTCCAGCACTGAGCACAGGGGTCAAGCACAACTTGCTCCCTTTAAGAATTCGCCTCCAGGTCCCTCAACACATGCCATGATAAGCATAAAACAACTGATAAACATACTTTAAGTCAACAGTAAATTAAATGTTAGTGAGTATGAAAAATCAGCTTCTAAATTGCCCTTTGCACTTCTCTATACGTTTTTTTTTTTTCTTATCTGGCATCATTTTGCCAATCCCTGTTCTGTCTTCAACAACGCTGCTCTGTCATGCAGATATTTTAGTTTGTGCACTACTGTGAAAGTTTTCAGCACAGTAAACAACATGGACAAGGGCTTTGGCATAAGAGAACATGATCAATTTGAGGAGCTGAAAGAAATCCAATGAGGAGTCACTGCAAAATTGTAAGAAGGCATGCACTATAATAGGGTTTGTGATTTTAACAGTTCACCTGAACTGTCATACAGAAAATAGAAGGGAGCCAAACTTGTGCCAGAAAAACCTTATAGGCATTGTTAGAGCAATCCGAGAAACATACAATAGCATCCTGAACTAGTGTAGGAGCCGACGAGGTGGGAAGAATGACAAAACTGAGTGATATATCATGTAAGAGGCAGAGTTGACAGAAATGGTAATTGACTGAAAATGAGTTTGAGTGTGTGGTTTAAGGGTGCAGGAACATTACCTAACACAGCAAACTCATGAGAGACACACTTTGAACAAGAGAAGAAGAAAGACATGGTAAAACAAAAAATGCTTGCTAAAGTCCAGGACATTATAAGATAATCTCACTGATGTTCATAGATGCAAAAATCCTAAACATTAGCAAACTGAATCCAGGAATGTATAAAATGAATTATACATCAATTCCAAGTTGATACTATCCCAGGAATAAAGGTTGGCTTAAGATTTAAAAATAAATCAGTGTAACTCACCACATTTACAAAACAAGAAAAATTATATGCCCATCTCTATGGGTGTAGACATATAATTTGATAAATTAAACACTGACTCATGACCTAAAATTTATCTTGGCAAATGAGGAGTAGAAGGGGACTTTCATAATCTTCCTTTATCTGATAAAGTGTATTCACCAAAAAACAACTACTGCAAACATTAAACATATTGGTGAAAAGTTAAAAACTTTTCATATGATCAAAAACAACACACAAGTGGCTACTAATATGACTTCTATTTAACACTGTACTTAAAGTCTAACCATGCAGTAAGACAAGAAAATATGAGACAAGGGAGGGAGAGGAGGGAGATGGGGAGAGCAAACAAGCAGTATAAACACTAAAAAGAAAGAAATAAAATTGTTATTTGAAAATGTTATGGTAATATATACAGAATATATTAAAGAATCAAGAGATAAATTACTAGGATCAATAAGTGAGTTTAGTAAGTTTCTGTATACAAAGTCAATATATAAAAATCCTTTATATTTCTTTATAATATCAACAAACATTTAGAAAATGAAAGATTGAAAATATACTATTTATAATAGCATTAAAAATATCAAATGCCCTGGAATAAATCTCACAAGAGACTGTAAAAACTTTATGATAAAGCAATAAAACAGCATCAAAAGAAAATAGAGATTTAAATAAATAGAGGGCTGTGCCATATTCAGAAATTCAGAAATAAGACTCAATAATGTAGAAACAACTCATACCTAAAATATTTATTGCATTCAATGCAATACCTAATCAAAATCCCCAGTTTTTCTTTATAACTTTAGAAGATGCTTCTAAAAGGTCTAAAAGGTATATGGAAATGCAAACAATCAAGAAAATCCAAGACACTGATGAAGAAGAACAAGTTGAAACTATTTGCTCTACTGGATGTTAAGGCATATTTTAAATCAACAGTAAATAAAATGATAATAACAAGGGTAGAAAAATCAACCAGTGGAACATAGAAATCCCCGAACCAGGCTTTAACAGATATGACCACTTTATTTGACATAAAGGTTGAACTGCAAAACCACGGAGAAAAAGTAGTTTCAAAAAAGAATGCCAGGTCAGTTGGATAGCCATATAGAAAAAAGTTAAACCCGACTTTTACTTCATACTAACAATTTCAGGTGGACTGCTGATATAAATCTGACAAAAAATAAAGCTTCTTGGAAAATGCCTTCATTAACTGAGGGTAGGGGAAAATTTCTCAAGAGTTCAAAAGCACTGAACACGAAGAAAAATAATAACTATATCAATATCAAAAACTTTTATTAATCATAAAACACCAATAAGAAAATATAATTCAACTCATGGACTAGGAAAAGTCACTTGTTATATATATAATTACATATAAAAACATCTAAAAGTCAATAATAAAAATACAATAGACAAAAATATCTGAATAGATGTTTCCAAAAATAATAATATAGATGAAAAACAGATTAATGGTTGCCATGGCTTAGGGATGAGGGTGAGATGTGTCCAAAAGAGGCAGGAAATAGGAGCCTTATGGTACGGAACAGCATTGTATCTTGATTGTAAGGGTGGTTACATGAGTCTACTTATGTGATTAAGTTGCATAGACAATACACATATACAATTCAGTATCTATAAAACTGGTGAAATATGAATCTGCTCACTCTGTGGACTGTACCAATGCCAACTTCCTAGTTTTTATCTTATACTATAGTTATGCAAGATGCTAACGCTGTAGTAAACTAAGTAATGGGTACACAGAACTTCCCTGTCCTTTTTTGGCTTATCTTGACACTTCCTGTGACTCTAAAATGATTTAAATAATTTAAACATGAAAAGTTAAAAAAGGATGGACAAATGGCCCATAGATACATGTAAAAATGAATACTCTTGTCTGGGCGCGGTGGCTCACGCCTGTAATCCCAGCACTTTGGGAGGCTGAGGCAGGCGGATCACTAGGTCAGGAGATCGAGACCATCCTGGCTAACACGGTGAAACCCCGTCTCTACTAAAAATACAAAAATTAGCCGGGTGTAGTAGCGGGCGCCGGTAGTCCCAGCTACTTGGGAGGCTGAGGCAGGAGAATGGCGTGAACCCGGGAGGCGAGCTTGCAGTGAGTGGAGATCGTGCCACTGCACTCCAGCCTGGGCTACAGAGCGAGACTCCGTCTCAAAAATAAAAAAAATGAATACTCTTATTAGTAATCAGTACAATGCTAATCAAAACTACATGAGATATAACATCTCATCTACCTAAGTTAATAAAAAGAATGACACTATCAACTGTTAGCAAAGACATAAAACAACAAGAACACTGCTGGTCAAAATGTAAATTAGTATAACTATTTTGGGAAAATGTTTAGTATTACCTATTAAGTTTAAAGATACACATACTTTATAACCCAGCAATAATATTCCTAGGTATGTACTCTTCAGAAATATATGCATATGTGCATCAAGAGACACAACAGCAAAGTACTTTCAACATAACCATAAAAAAATTCAAAACAATCTGGAAACAAAGTTCACCAACATTAGAATAGATAAATAACTTATGGTACGCTTATGCAACAGACAATTGTACATTAATTAATATTAACAAACTATGGACACTCACCAATATGTATGAATCTTGCAAATATTAAGGAAGCCAAAACCAAAGCAAAAGAAATATATATACTACATGATTCCATTTATGTGAAGTTCCAAAAACTGGCAAAACCCAATGGTGTTAGAAGTCAGGATACTGGTGACCTTCGGTGAGTGGGAGGGAATGATGTTTTAATTGCAATTTGATTACAGTGTTACCCATGTTCATTTTTTTTATTTGGGTGGGCGATACATTAATATTGGCCTTGTAACAGTTCACTGAGCTGTAAATTAAAATTTCGTATGGTTTTCTCTATGTAAAGTATGCTTCATGATTAGAAAAAAGCTAAGAAAAAACTTAGACACGTCTATGTGTTTAGTGTTCCCATAAATGGTCTCTCCAATAAGCAACAATAAAAAAAAAGTTAGACTGATTAAACTTGTTATTATTGGGTGTCATTCTTATTTTTTAAGGTTATGGACCAGCTGTTTCATTACGGCATAGAATTTTGCCATAGCACAATGTCAAGCTTACCAATAGCATGGTTTATTAAATATCAGAAAATGTATTTATCTCCTAACTTTCAAAATATCTCCCCCAATTTTTTTTTTTTTTTTTTTTTGAGACAGAGTCTCGCTCTGTCACCCAGCCTGGAGTGCAGTGGCACGATCTCGGCTCACTGCAAGCTCCGCCTCCCAGGTTCACACCATTCTCCTGCCTCAGCCTCCCAAGTAGCTGGGACTACAGGCGCCCGCCACTGAGCCCGGCTAATTTTTTGTATTTTTAGTAGAGACGGGGTTTCACCATGGTCTCGATCTCCTGACCTTGTGATCTGCCCGCCTCGGCCTCCCAAAGTGCTGGGATTACAGGCGTGAGCCACCGCGCCTGGCCTCCCTCTCTCTTTATAGTAGTAAGGCATTACAGTCTGTCAACCATATTTTCCATACACATTATTTTATATTAGCATGAAATAATTTTTCCAAAAGCATTACTAATGTTCTAAATTATTCAAATTTATCTACCTTACCTAATACCTTCCTCATAGTAGAAAAATACGTATGGAAGACAAAAAGCACTGTGTGCCTAATGTGTGTGCAGCACAGTGCAGGCCCCAAATCATCAGATTTTAAATACTCATCCTTGTCTTTATACAGTTTACAGTCCAGCAGGGAGTCAGATGTAATGAAAACAAAGGAGCACCAGCATATTCTTTTTCACTCTGTCAAATATCAAAACCTTAGAATACAAATGAGTTTACACCAATGATAAAAGGCAATTTCATGTGGACAGAATAAATTATGGACAATTATGCACATAAAAATTAATTTCAATATGATTTCAATTCATTTTAAATTAATAATTTAAGATGACTTATCCTTATTTTTGCAGAATAAAAATGATTTATGATAAAACTACAAAGCTGCTGGAATGTACATGAAGATATTGAAAAGTTGTTCGCTCACACGAAGGTAATTGTCAATACGTAGTATTAATTGTCTACCACTTTTATTCAATATAATACAGTGGTTGGGTTTGGTAGGGAAATCCAGTGACTTTATGTATAAGTATAAATAGTTTCATGTTTTTATAGCTTAAAAGAATGTTTCCATACTGCTCAGACTCACCCAGGAGTCTCTCATCAGATAAAGGATAAATGTTTTCAGTGAGATTTTGAAAGGATTTGTGAAGATTACTTACAGAGTGATCTTCAGTCTCTGACAGGGATTTTACAGGGACCACTCAGACAGATTGATGGATATTTTCTGCAGTTGAGGGGACACAGAAACCTAGTACCCAGGCAAGGTGAAGTGGCCTGTGGCCACAGGGCAATGACACACCTGAGAAGTAACTTGCAGTCTTCTCTGATCGTGAATCAAAATGTGCACATCTTAGGGACCTGATAAAGAATGTGTGGTAAAAATATTTTCCTGAACTCATTTAGTAAAAGCGATCCTGCTCAAAAGGGTAATTAGCCAGGGTAAGGGAACTCCTGAAGGAGGAAGCTGTGGGAACTATAGCTGGAAGGAGGAGCTGAGGAGACATCCAGAATATTTGGCTTAAAGAGAGGCTACTATCCAGTTCAAGGGAGATGAAGTGAGGGAGGTCTAGCAGTAAGTTTTCAAAATTCTCAGACAGATAACCAGGAAAGTCAGTTTTAAACATCTCCCTGGCCTACAGTCAATGAGCCATCTTACAACATTAAGACTTTCTTACCTCTCCTCTTTTCCTCACCTACCCTGCAAACGCCCTATTGAGTGGGGAGGAGGTGAAAGGAGAAAGACCTTTCCAAATAGCAGAAGTGTGGTAGCAAAGGGCATTAGTCTTTGGTCTTGGTTTGTGTAAAGAGGAAGAAGTTTTTGAATAAAGATGTGTTTACAGATATATTGAAAAAAATGTTCAAATTCTGAATTGAAACCTGTTTTGTGACCGACAGTGAGACAGTAATCATAAATCTTTTTTTTTTTTTGAGATGGAGTCTCGCTCTGTCTCCCATGCTGGATTGCAGTAGTGCAATCGCGGCTCACTGCAAGCTCCGCCTCCTGGGTTCACGCCATTCTTCTGCCTCAGCCTCCAGAGTAGCCGGGACTACAGGCGCCCGCCACCACTCCCGGCTAATTTTCTGTATTTTTAGCAGACACGGGGTTTCACCCTGTTAGCCAGATGGTCTCGATCTCCTGACCTCGTGATCCGCCCACCTCAGCCTCCCAAAGAGCTGGGATTACAGACGTGAGCCACCGGGCCCAGCCAATCATAAATCTTACACTATGTAAAAGTGAATGAAACACAATTGTATGATCCAAATTCACATCCATGGATAGAGAAGCAATTAATTCTCTGAAGAAGTTTAAAGAAACAGGAAAGAAGTTTGGAGTAGAGATTTAGATTTGTGAGTCATCAGTCTCAAAAGGAGATCATGCATAGAAGTTACATGGGTTGAGAAAAGTACCAAAGACAGGCCTCTTGAAAAGACTCAAATTGCCTTAGGTACTATTTTCAAAACTAGCTCTTAATCCTATCCACGTAGCAAACTTAATCATACCACTTAATTAAAATTCATCAATGGTTCTCTAATACCTGGAGCCCAAAAGAAAACAAAAATCAAAATTTCTTAGCATGATATTCAACACTCTACCCATTCTATTTTTTTAACTTCCCAGCTGCTATTTTATTGTAGCTATACAAAACAAGTTATAATACCTAAATATAACTTGTCATTTCACATCTTGGACATTTATAGATCCATGTATGCCACACAATCCACTTGGAAATTTCCTACTTCATGCTTAAAAAGTCTCCTCAACTCATTTCCTCTCTGAAGGCTTCACGTTGTATCCCCACTCAACCAGACAAGTTAGGCCTTTTTATCCCCATGTTCTACAAGCATACACACACACACACGCACACCAATCATTGCCTATAAGGCTGAAAAGGTTATGCCAAAATTGTCTCATTCTAGCAAAAATACATTTATAGTTTAGAAAGGCCATAGGTCGGGTGCAGTGGGTCACACCTGTAATCCCAGCACCTTGGGAGGCTGAGAGGGGCAGATCACAAGGTCAGGAGATCAAGACCATCCTGGCTAACACAGTGAAGCCCCGTCCCTACTAAAAATACAAAAAATTAGCTGGGCGTGCTGGCGCACACTTGTACTTGGGAGGCTGAAGCAGGAGAATTGCTTGAACCCAGGAGGCGGAGGTTGCAGCGAGCCAACATCACACCACCGCACTCCAGCCTGGATAACAAAGTGAGACTCCATCTCAAACAAAGAGAGACAGAGAGAAAGAAGGAGAGAGAGAGAGAGAGAGAGAGAGAGAGAGAGAGAGAGAGAGAGGGCATAGGCCCCTTCTGAACTTATTATTTTAGCTATATTCTCTTTGAGATAGTACATGCATACAAAAAAGTACAAAAATCTTTAGTACACAGTCTATGACACATTCATCTACTGAGTTAACAACCATGCATATCAAGATATAGAACATTTCCCAAATTCCAGAAGACTTCCTTATTTACTCTTTCACATAATAGCCCTAAAGGTATCCACTACTCTGAGTTTTATCAGCGAATTTTCCCTGTTCCTGAAACTTCAATATAACGAATACTACAGTGCCTTCAGTATGTACTCATTTGTTTCTCCTCTTTTCTTTTCTCAACATTAAATCTGGAAGTTGTGTCTGTGTTGTTACAAGTAGCAGTAGCTCACTCTTTTTTATTCCTTTATGGAGGAGAAGGTTGTGCTCATATGTCCCAATTCATGTAATTGACCAAAATAATGCTCAATTAAACTGGAATTTTTAATCATCCTGAATTCTGTATCCTAATTCAGGCTTTCTGGACTCTTCATGAAGAAAACAAAGAAGTTCATTTTACTTAACCTATTTTTTCCCAGGCTCTGTGACCTCTATTCAAGTCAAGAGAATACAAGAAATTAACAGTTCCTGTTACCAGACCGTTAACAGAGTAACAAATCTCAAATCCAGAAACTATTAAAAAAAGACTGAAAATTTATTTAGGAATTTTAACTATTAGTCAGAGGTGATATGGTCATTATTTACTCTTTAAATTCTCATATTGAGTTGTTGCTTCATCTTTATGTGGCTAAATCAGCATGTCTAAAGTGCAAAGGATCCAAGCCCAAATGGGGAGGGTTGAGAAGCTGTTCTAGCAGACCCAGGGCCTTGGGTCAGAGGTTCCACTTGGCCTCCTACCATGCCCCAGATCCAAGACTCATTGTTACACATAACAAAGTACTCTACCCACAGTAAAAATATTAGAAGCCTAACGGAATAATATGACTGTTCAAAAATATATTTTTTAAAAAAAATTAAAAATATTTTAAAGGGATTATTTTAAAAGGTTATTTAAACATCAACATCTATTTATGATTTAAATATTTTAAAAAGCAAAAAACATAGAAACAGGAATAAAAGAAAGTCAAATAGCTACAGCAGAAAATATTGTAGTTACTAGTAAACTATCAAAAGAATATGCAGAGTATGATACCATTTATATAAAGTTTAAAAATCATTACTAAATATTGTGTGTAAATACATACAAATGTAGTAAAAGTAGAAAAACATGTATGCAATGATAAATTATTTAAAAGTCAAAAATAAATAAAGATGCTTAACACTACCATTTAAATAAACCACCATGTTATAGGTGCTTATCACCATGTCAAGACAAAGAGAAATCAATACAAAATATAAGAATAGAAAAGGTAGAAAAAAATTTGTATGTATTATTGACTACAGACAATACAGGAAAATTAATAAACAAATTGTTTAGAATAAACAAGGTTATCTTTTATGATACACCAACAAAATATACATTTGTATCAGCAACGATAAAAACAGTAAAATAAAATGCAATTTTAGAACAAATTCTATTAGTAAGAGAAACAAAAATTATGTCCTTAGAGATAAGACTAGAACAATATATGACCTTTACAAGAAGCATCTTTTTGTTTTCATTGAAAGATATGAACTGTATTTATATAAATGGAGAGATATACCATGTTTATGAATAGGAGGATTCAATATTATAAAGGTGCCAGTGGTCTTTTATAATTCCCTAAGTTCAATTCCAATACAAATCTCCATATGTAACTTTTTAATGTAACTTAAAAAGCTGATTATGAAATTTATATGTAAGAGCAAAGGAATAAGAATAGGCAAGACCGTTTTGAAAAATGCATGCTTTCGAGATTTTCAAGATATCAAGATTTATAAAAAACAATGATATTTAAGACTGGGGAGGAATTGGCCAAAGGGAAAGGCAAATAAATTATTAGAATAGGCTATATTGCTCAGAAACAGAAACACAGTACACAGAGATTATTAATATGCAGTCCAATGAGAAAAAATTGACAATTAAAAAATGTTTCTGAGACAATTAGTTAAACACATGGGAAAATAAGACTAACAAAAAATAATTCTTAAATGAGACATAAAAAAATACAAACCCTAATGAAAAAGACTGATAAAACTGACTATATCCACGTGTACCACAAAGTGTCAGCATATAAAATAGAAAAACTAGAGACTGGAAAAATATAGTATATGTGTCACAGGATCCTTAGGGTGTCGCTTTACCACGCGGAAACCTCTGTTGCTGGTATTGCCTTTCCCTGAGTTTTACTTGGGCCTATGGGCTCCTTCTACTCACTTGGCCCAGCAGGCTGGGATGGGCTCCTACTACTGGTCGGATCCCATGCCTGCCAAGGGCGAGCCAGAAGTGCAGCAGTGAGGGGTGTGTGAGTGAGCACAAGGTCTGGCCACAGTGCACACAACCAGGATTGCTGGCTATGGCAGGGCAGGCAGCTCCAGGCACCCACAAAGATGCTCGGCTCCATGCAAGGCTGCAGGTGAACCAGGCATTCAGAAAGCAGTTTCCACAGAGGGGGCCAGGGAACACAGTGGTACCTGGAAGCTTGGACATGCCAGGAACCGCAGAACCCCAAAGAGGGTGTCACAGCCTGGCCTGGGGAGCCCCTAGTTCTGGGATCCCCAAAGGGCTACAGCTCTTCTCTCCTTCTCTTCGCCTGCAACATGGTGAGCAGGGGGGCATGTTTCAACCCTGTTTGTGTTACAGCTTTCAGTCCTGCCACTCGGCAGGTCCCAAGTTCTTGTCCTATTTCAAGGAAGAAGGAAGCATGCAGACAACTGGAGGGGAAACAAGGCAGAGAGGAGCTTCATTGAGAGAAAGAACAGCTCTCAGGATACCCAAAGTGGGTAGCTCCTTTCTGCAGGCAGGTCATCCAGACAAGAGTCCAGTTCTCAGCGGAGAGGAGACCCAGAGTGGGTAGCTCCTTTCCACAGGCAGGTCATGCAGGTGAGCTGAGAAAACTTGAAGTGGGTAGCACCTTCTCACAGCTGGTAGTCCCAGTGTCTCTGTGAGTCTGGCTGAGTCCAGGGGTTTTTGTGGGCTTCAGAAGGGAGGAGGTGCATGCTGATTGGTCTATGGGTAACCATGGGTGGGCCCTAAAAAGCACCGTAAGTTCTCGCTCTTGGCACAGATTCCACCTGCAACTGGCAGCCTGGGCCCCATGCTTCAGGCCATCCCTGGCTTGAAGATGGGGCTTCACTCACCCCTTTCTGCCCAGGAGCCTGTCTGCTTCCTGCTGCCATCAATCATGTCATCCACAGCATCCACCCAGGCTGTTCAAGTGGAGCGCATGTCAAGCCACCCTCACCCACCCTGTGCCCCCCACCATGCTCCTCAGCGCCCAAAGTCCGGAGGGGGCTGAGGAGGCAGGGGGCTGATGTGTCAGCACTGCCCTGAGCAAGCATACACCCAGCCAGGTTGCGACAGTGCCTGCCTGGGCTCAGCCTCAACTTTGCTCCAAAATCAGAGCAGGCACTGGGAGAGAGGAGAGGCCAGTCCACGGGGACAGACACTTCTGAGACTGTGGGGGAAGAGGGGCTTCCTGGCCCGAGAGTACAAGGATGCCTGGGTCTGGAACTGCAACAGGGCAGCTGCATCTGTGCCTGGTGAGCAGACAGACCCTGACCCGCCAACTTAGAAGGGGATGGATCCCCCACTCCTGCTCCCCATCCCCCTCCCCATGGGGCACGCAGCCCCAGACACGCCTTCCCAGCTGCAGCCCAAGTCTTCACAGTGGCCGTTCTAGACGGGCTGCCACTGCCATCATATATATGTGTGTACGCACTAAAAATAGAATTCTTACAAAGTAACTAAAAACAAAGAAGACAAGTGACCTAGTAGAAAAAGAAGCGGAGTATATACACATATATGATGAAGCAATTCACACAAGAACAAATATGGATGGTGATACAGTTTGGCTCTGTGTCCCCATCCGCATTTTATCTTGAATCGTAATCTCCACATGTTGGAGGAGTGGCCTGGTGGAAGGTGATTGGATTATGGGGGCACATTTCCCCCTCACTATTCTCCTGATAGTGGATAAGTTCTCATGAGACCTGACGGTCTACAAGTATGTGGCACTTCTCTCTCTGCTGCTCCACAATGTGAAAATGAACTTGCTTCCCCTTCACCTTCTGCCGTGACTGTAAGTTTCCTGAGGCCTCCCAAGCCATGCTTCCTGTTAAGCCTGCAGAACTGTGAGTCAATTAAACCTCTTTTCTTCAAAAATTACCCAGTCTCAGGTGTTTCTTTACAACAGTGTGAGAAAGGATTAATACAGATGGCCAATAAGCACATGAAAAGTAGTAATTGACAAATTATACATCTTTTTTTTAAAAAAGATACTAGCAGAGTCCCATCTAAAAGAGTATTTAAAAAGTTTAAATGTTACCAATATCAACTGTTGGCAAACATGGGCTAATACTAAAACTTCCATAAATTGCCAGTGAGTATGTAACTGATGCAAATACTTTTAGTGAGTTATGTGGCAAAATCCAGTAAAATTTAATGTCAACACACCTTATCATGTGTCCATTGAATTTCTCGGGAGAAATACATACACTAAAAGACATGAATGAGAATGTTCATTGTAGCCTCTTTGGCATTGGTAAAACATTTGAAATATTCTAAATATTCATTATCAGGTATCTAGATCAGTAAATTATGACATGTATCTGTATAATGGAATGTTTTATAATATTTAAAATTTATGTATTAAACTTCAACCTACCCACACCAACAAATCTTAATATAATCATGCATCAAACAAGTTGCACAAGAATAGAGAATGATGTCACTTAAAAATTTAGAAACATGTAAAACAGTAATAAATACCATTTGGATAAAAATACAGATATGGTAAAAGCATTAAAAATGTGTTAGAAATGACAAATCCTAAATCAGGATTGCAGTTCTTTTCTGGAATGAGAACATGGAAATAAAAAAAGAGTTACAACAGGAGCATTTAGTAATTCCAGTATTCCATTTAGGAATTGCACTATTTTATATCTTTAAAAAAATTCTGAAGCAAAATGTTAAAATATGGCAAAGCTAGATGTTGAGTACATGAAAGTTAATCATTATTATTCACTCTGTTTTTCTTAACACCTAAAATAGCTCCCCATAAATGTTAAGAAAAGTTATAGAATGCAAAATTATTTTTAATAAATAAGTCAACCAACCAACCAACCATTAGACTATAACATGTGGTTTTCAACAGGGATAAGATCTCTTCATGTTGCATTTGGCAATGTGCTGGAGGACTCTCTTTTTCATTGTACTGGAGAGTATTGCTGGCATTTACTGGGGTAGGGAGATGATAAATGTCTTGCAATGCATTGGTACAATCCAGGACCAATAAAAATTGCCCACAGATCTCCTATTGACAGACACAGCCACCACATCAATCTGCCTCAGAACATACTTGACCTGACGACAGACTTATCTCAAGCCCCTCACCATGAGAAGATGGCTTATTTCTCGGGATCCTTTCTTTAATAACATTACTTTCCCCAGAGCCTCCTATGTGTCAGAGGTTGTTCTTGGATCAGGAAGAGAAAGATGCATAAGGCTCTGCCCCAGTACCCACCCCGTAAGCTGAATTCCTACCTCACCCTCTCAGCTAAAGTGTTGGGCTCCATGAAGTCAACCCCAGAAAATCTTTATTGCCACCTGATTCAGATGCACACAATCAAACAAAGTCTCAGTGCCATTGGTTGCCATATAAATGCCCCTCCACACAAATGTATTCCTTTTTTTGGTATCATGAAGAATCAGACAACCAGAAAGTAAACACTAATGCAATATAATTTTGTGGGTGAGTTTTCAGAAAACTGTAATTGTAATATAAGACAAAACAAGCTTTTCTCTTGTATAATAAGTATTCATAAAAGGTATTTTTTAAAACTGCCTTGCATCGTGCTTTATAAACTAAGTTCTTGCAAAATTCCATCTTTCCCACTTGTGATACACAGGAGAAATAAAAACAGCAGGGGAAAACACTATGTTCCTTGCAACATGGCTGCTCTGCCTCATTTCTGTAGCCTGCAAATGGTAGGCTATTTGCCTTTATCAGATAAATTGGCTCTGCAGCCACATTTAAAAGAACATACACTGGTTTTCAGCATGAAGTTTGGACTTCATTACTTCAAGATAAAGGGATGCAAGGAAGGTTGAATATCATTTTGAGACAATAATTGTATGTGTAATGGAGATTGAACAGTATAATGCATCTATATTCTTAGGTACTAATGATAAGTAGAAAAAAGCTTGCATCTTTCAGCTAAATTTGTTTATTTCCTGAAAAGTCAATGTAGTAATTCAAGGCCAAGTGACAGGAAATTAGTTTCCTGGTTGACATCAATTCGATCTTCAGTAATAGTTCTTAAATGGAGTTTCTATGCTCAGAAGAGAAGGAAACACACACACACACAATATTTCCAATAACCCAGGTCACAACCCAGGTGATATGGCACACATTATGTGGATAATACTATGATGTATGCCTGCAAACATGCATTGCCTTATTATGTAATTTAATCAAACCTATTATTTGATCAGGTTCTTACATTTAGTCTTGTATATGAACTTGGTTATTTAGAGAATACAGGCTCTCATAAGCAAGATTTGAAACACATGGCTGTTTCTTATTGCAACATTAAATAGACAATCATTTTATCTAGGTAGTCATAAAAGTAAATACACTAAGTAAAGTTTTTCAAAATTAAAAACAAAAATTGATTTCTAGTCTCCTTGCTCAAGTGTTATCAATAATACATAGTTCTCTCTTGGGAGAAGAGAGCCTTTCTCACCTTTTCTACCCATGCTCAGGACCTCACCCTATATATCATCTGTTTAAACTCTCCTGATAGAAGAGACTACTAATTTTCACCCAAGATCCATTCTCCATTTATCCTCAAGGTTTCAGCTGCACATAGGGTCTCAAAATGGGAGACTATGTTCCCAGTTTCCCTCTTTGCAAGATCTGGCCATTTGATGATGCTGTAGCCAATAGAATGCACATGCCACTTTCAGATGACATAATTTCAAAAGGAAATTACAATTTTCTTTCTTTTCCCCAAACACATGGCTGTTTCTTATTGCAATAGCAACAAAATAGGTGATCAAGCCAGGTTAGGTAACATTATTGAAGCAAACCTAATAAATACTGAAAAAAAAAAATCTGATGACATATCAAAAGAAACAATTTGGACTTCATAAGTTTTGAATTAGAAGCTTTAAAAACTTCTATATGTGACTCATCATGGTTTCAATTCAATTTATTAATTTTCCAATAAAAGGGTTATACAATTTTAAGAATCCTTACAGTTTTAATATTCTAAGATTTTATACATTGCTTCCTAATTTTTGCCACTTTCTTAGCCAAAGCCTTTCATTACCTTGATTAGTGTGCTGCAACCTACAGATACTCTGTGGAGAAGCACATTCCCCTTGTTAAGAGATGTTCTCATCCTTCCTTGATTTCAGATAATCATAAGCCATGATTTGCTACCATTTATAACCCAGCGGTCTACATTTTACTTCCTATTATAGCCAACCTTTCAGCACTAGTCCAACACCAATAAAGAAGCAAATGCTATTTATCCAATATCAAAAATTCCAAATTAAGTAGAGAATAAGAAACCTAGCCAGCATATAAAACTGTAGAAATTTTCTACTAGAGAAACCAATGGTATATTTTGGAGAGGGAGATCAAAGAAAAACCAGCCCTCAGTAGAGTCATTCCTTTACGTAATACAATTTGTAAAAGGATGGGGAGGGGCGAAGGCCTTTAGAAAACAGTGAGTAGTATTTTATGTCCCATACAAATCCTGCCTTGCGTATCTTTTCTTCTTGATACAGCGGAGTATTTTTATACTTTACTATTCACAGTTTTAGAAGAGACTGTGCTGCATATTCTGCACATCATTTTTTCCTCCTGTGCATATGGAGAGACCGCATTTTAGCATGTGGTAAATAACATTACTCAGGCCTAATGAGTATGAGAACCAGAAGCTTGGGCTCATCCAGTGCATTTTTTGGGTTAGTGTACCAGATATCTCTGACAGACACCACTGGTTTTTTCATGAATATACACCATCCATCATTCCCTTCTTCCTTTAGTTGTGGATACCCCAAATTAAAAGTTGCAAATTAAAAAGACAAAGAACTGTCTTGCTAGAGACTCTTCCCAGTGTCCCTTGCAACTAAGGATGACCATATGACACATTTTTCATTAGTGGGATCTAGGCGGAATTCATTTGTGCCACTGCTTGTAGATGAAACGGATATATGCTCACCTGAACTTTCCCTTCCCACTAGCTAGAGTATAAATGCTACAGGAGGAACCAGAGCAGCCATTGTGGACCATGACATGAAAGCTGCATGTTAAGAAGGACATACCAATGAGACTGAGTGAGTCTGAGTCCCTGGGTGGCTATGTGAGTGGTAATACACTACCAGCCCTGGACTGTCTTTGGACTACAACATAAGAATGAATCACACAAACCAAAACACTTATCTCTTTGGGAGGTGGGCAAGATTACTTATAACAGCAACCTGGACTGTACCTTAACTGATACTCATCCTTACTCCATGTGACATCACCCTAAGAGTATTCCAGTGACTGTCCTGTCCTATTTTGGATTAGGGTTCATTCTACTCTCACTACCCCCAACTTCCAGAAAGTTTAACCACATTTCTCTTTCCTAGTTTTTCTTGGATAAATCTGTTTTCATGCCTCAGTTTAGAATCCTGATTTGGCCTTATATTCTGTCTCACTATCCTCAATCTCTCTTGGGTCATGCTGGCTGGATGTGTACTTACTCTCAGCAATGTCCCAGCTTCAATATGGCTGTGATGCTCTCACAGTCTTCCTCAAAAAAAGAAGTTTGCCTCATCTTTCTAGGCCTTAGGATCTCACATTTTCCCTACTCCTTTTTCCACTGAACCTCTTTCCCTAGTGCATATATAAATACATTACAACCACAAAAGAAAATTGCTACAGTAAGAGAAGTAAGGTAGACTCTTGGCAGTTTCATTTTCATGTTTGTAGTTTCAGCATTTGTCAGCTCTTTGCAGTTAAGTTTAAGTGGCCATGGCATCTAATGATCTACAGTTTTGCTTTGACTTTGCTAGTCATTGTTGTCATGGTATTGCACTTTCTAGTACAGAGGGGAAAGAAAGAGGTAGAGCGGAAGGAGATGGAGGAAATGCAAGATGGCCAGAGAGAGCAGGGAAAGAAAAGTGGAAAGAGAAAACAGAGCAAGGATTTGGAGAGACCAGGGGAGAGAGGCAGATGGGGTGGAGGACAGGGTGGAGAAGTAAAGGAGAAATGAGAACCCTCAGTCAAGGCTCTTCACAGGTTTGAAGCCTACAAAACAAATATAACTAGAAGATATGTTGAGAGGGCAGATAAATAGTTAAATGGATCTGCCCTTCTGTTGCCACAGCCAGAAAGGGAATAACTAAAATACTCCACAAATTCCTCCATTTCCAAGGAAACTGAAGGCAATTTTAAGAAAAAACAGTATGCCTTTTGCATCCCAGAAAAGATCTCTTACCAGGACCTGGCCTGAGAAAGTTAAAAAGAAGTGACTCCTCAGTAAGTGAGAATGTTCCACTTTCTATGAAAGCAAAAAAATACCTTATTGACACAAAGATTAGAAAATAAAGGCATTTTCTTGGCCATGTTGGAGGAATAGAAATATTTATTCCTTTATCATTCTGGTTTCCAGAATAACCTTTAATACTAGAAAGAAATGTGTTTCCCCTTGTAAAGAAAAATCAAATTCAGAAAGAAGAAATATTTTTAAAGGAACTAGGTCTGAGAAATCTAACCTATGGAAATGAAGTACAGAATCCTCCAAAGGTGGTTTAGAATCTGACTTTGATTAAAAATCCACTCCTTTGAAATAATAGGAATTCCTATTTTCCAATGAGAATTTCAAGCAAACATTTATTTTTAGAAAGCTACCAACTTAATGTTGAGAGTAGTCCAGGTCTGTGGACCTAATAGGAGCTGGCTAATGAGTGTTTTACTTTGGTTTGGCAGTACTTTTTAAATTATTAACAGTTTAGAAATGAGTCCAGTAATCAGTAAAAATTTTCAACAGAAATTTACTTATTATATAGCAAATAAAAACTTAAAGTGCACAATGGTTTACTAATTTCTTACAGGCTTTAAGGTGGATAATTAAAATGTAATTAGACAAAACAATGATAACATCAAACAATTGGAAGAAACATTAAGATTTTTAATAAATGTTGAGATATATCCTATTGGAAAAATATTTCTGGAATTATAGCAAAAGTCAGTATAGAATATGACACAATATAAAAATACTAAGAACTAAACACCACTTAGTTGTAGACAACTAAGTACAAGTTTTAAAGTAGGCATTAATGAAAATATCATTAGTCACATACTATGTCTGCCCAGTGATATCATTTAACATTTCTATCCAAACAAAACCAAACTGGCAACTAACTTGATAGTATAATTTGCGATAAACCTAAATTTTAAAATGCCTGGCTTTCTAAAAACCAGGTTAGACTTTGAAATATTCTATTAAGATATTCTAAGTTCCTGCCCCTATATCAGTGAACCAACATTGGTCACTGAGTTTAAGAACATGCACAAATGTGTTTGCTCCAAGCTTCTACAACAGAACTCACTGACACTTTTGCAGAGTAAAATGTTTTTGTTTAGTATCATAATTCCCTTCTTTTGTGTGTCTTGCTCAGAACTGCTTTACAGGTGCTGTATCAAGATTTATTATTATCACAGGGTAGGAAAAATTAAAAAAACACTCAAATGTTAACAGGGAATAAATGTTTAAAATAAATGGGCATTAAGAGAATGCAGAGTTATGTGGAAAAGTATACTATGAGTGTTGAGAACTTTGTATCTCTCTATTGTCCTGGAAGAAATAATCAAGAATGACTGTGCAAAGGAGGTCAGCACTCAGGGACATGGATTATACTGAGAAAAATACTTTAAAATTACACAGGCAATTGATTCATAAATCTAGATGTATTTCGCATAATCAATGTGATTGCTGTTTTCCATGCCTAAACCTGTATCTTCCTCTAGTTTTCTGAAGGTCAGTGTAGAAGTGATAAGGGCCAACTGACCAAGAATGCTTCTCCCACACTTGTAGGAAATAAACTCATTCCTACAAAGTTGGAATCATGTGTATTTCTGTCAAAGACCTAAGTTAAAAGAATTTTAGATATTTGTAATAAATGTCTGTATAGGAATTATCTTTTAGAAAGTTTATTAGCACCTGGAGGATCCCTTAAACCACGTCACCAAAGGATCTGTCCTGGAAGTTTTATTTTTAGAAAAAAAAAAATTTTGTTATCAGCCTGGGAAATGGAAAGAAACATGTACATATGAAATTGACATATGCTTGAGCTTATCTCAAATTGACATATGCTTGAGCTTATGGAGAGGAGGCTAGGGAAAAGAGAAGCAAAAGGCAGTCCAGTTCTTTTGCCTCATTCTCTGAATGAAACCACTCTAAGTTCTGTTCAGTTTTCTCTCCATTTCTACTGTCAGGGAGAATACGGAGGGGAGGATAAATGAAAGGAGAATAAATAGTACGAAGTACATATGAGAATGAGATAGCTTCTTATATCTTTTCTAGTTTTCCCCCACATCTCTTCCTATAGAAGATACTCAAGCTGTGTCTAAACACAGCACAAAAAACAAGTGTATCCTAAATGTTTGTCATAGTTTAGCATCAGTATACAGATCAGTTGTGTTTTGAAACCCAATAATTGAGTACACAGTACCTTTTTTATTCACCAAACCTAAACATCTAATAAAGAGTCAATAATCTCCAATGGACGCTCTGTACATGAGCCTATCCAGGGCATTTTAGAAGAGCAACTTAGGTCTCTATTTAACAACTGTGGGATAGCTCAACTGTCTTTAAATTTAAAAATGTAGGTTTGTGTAAGTGTATTTCTCTGCATATGTATATGTAGAGAAGAATTAGTTGTCTCGGAGAAGTATGACAAGTGTTTTTTTTCCTTTTTCTAACAGAAAATTTCAGAAGTATATAGAAGTAAAGAGAACAGCATAATGAATCTCTGTTCACCCAGTTTCAATCCTTATCACAGTCAATATAGTTTCATCTAGACCCCACCTCCTCTCCCATTAGAAACTATTTTTAATCAAATCCTATCATATTTCATTACAAATGCATTTTATTACTTTTTTACTTTACATATTTTCTGATGTTTTCCATATGAATACTTACTTTACATTAGAAAAAAATGTGAATGCTATCAAACAAAATTATGAAATCCAAAGCAGGACCAAGAGGCTATTAAAGGCTAAATAAAAATTATAATTTAATAAAGAATATGGCTCATTATTATAATACTTATTGCCTTGGCATTGGAGACTTTTTATTAAAATTTTCTATTTCGATTATCTTTATACCTCTTTATATGTTCACAATTTGGAAAGATGTGCAGAGCTTTGAATTGTGCTAAGGAACATAGGAAATATAGATACTTATGAAATACTTCTTCCTTTATACATGGATGTATATTTTCCTTCTGCCCTCTCTGCTTCACATTAGCAGTGTCTGCATGTTTTAGGATCTGTTTATACCTCCTTTGAGCAATCAAAAAAAAAATTCAAATGTTGAGGCAGTCATGATCTAAGGTATTTGTTTATTTAAAACCTACTGAGAATTATCTGCAATTCACTATGTAGTTTCAAAATATATGTTTCATTCAAAAGTGCTATTTGGGGGTTGAAATAAATATTTTTTCAAAAGATATAATGCCATGCCCCTTTAAGCCTTATGTTAATTTTGAGACATGAAATATAGAGTAAAATGAGCTTTTATCTAAAGCTACTACCTGAATCCAACCGTGGCTACCTGTTGGGAAACAAAGGGTAATCTGTGATAAGTAGACTGTCAGGCCCCTCATTACAAATGTGTCATTAAAAGAATGTACGTTCACTTTCATTCATATATCATTCACTTACATTCACACATACTCAATCACATTCTTCTGGCTTGGGCCAATGTGTGTTAGGGATCAAGTACAGAGTATAGTAAATGGTGTTGTTGGTAAGGAAAGACCAAGTGTGATACAAAGAATATAAATGAATATGTTCTCTCCAAAATGTTGTTAGCTGACAACAAAAATATAACCTCTAGCTTGATGCAGTCAGTGTAATGCCAATCACAACCTCTTCTCCATAATCAACACTCTTTACCTGAAGGCAGGCTTGATATGGGGGGACTGTGAGAGCCAACAGGAGAAAGTAGTGACACTTCTCATTTCAATTTATTTCTATCCAGGCAGTTCCACTATAGAGGACAGCAGTTTAAGAGAGGAATGAGCTTCAGGAAATAAGCAAAGATGCTTTCTGATTTAATCCTGAGTTTAATTAAATACCCACGGAAATCCTATTATGTGCCATTTTAAAATTGTGCACACTGCCTTATTAGGCCCACTAGAATAATCTAAAAGTGATGTTGCTAGTATTTCTAATTAAAACCAAAAGAACCAGTGATGAAAGCTATAAATAAACCCTGTCTGGAAAGACTTTTTTCTTGTCATTTGTCTTCCTGATTATGAAAATAAGGACTGTGTCACAACCATACTCCCTGCTGCATCTGTCCATGAACTGAGCATCTAACTTGCAGTGTTGCTATTGCATTTAGCTGTTGTCAGCCTCACCGGCCTGACTACTGATCACCGTTCACAGGTGGATTTGATCAATTAGTTGCTAAGCACACAAAAAAGGCAGAGGTCAGACACCATCATCAACTAGGGACAAAATGAGGCACAGATGTCCATAACATGGCAACAGGGTAACAGGCAATCAGCTGGGAACCACATACCATTGTTGATATTACAACCTGAATTCACATCACATAAAACAATTAGGAAGACCAATCCTTACAGCTGTTATGCAAAACAACAGAGAAGCCAAACAGTGTGCTGTGGAAGCACCTGGCTTATTTTTGAGCCAAACAATTTCTTAGGTGGCAACATGTAGAAGAGAGAATGTATTATTTATTGAACATTCATACTACAAGAGAGTAAGAGGGCAAAATCATGTCTCAAATGAAATAACGAATCAATAAAAACTCACTCCATTCTATTTCAAAAAAGAATCTCAGAGGATTATTCCCTGATTCTGTAATAAAAAAGGTGCATCACTCTATGCTAGTACTGCAATAATAGTTCATCTCCTCTACTTGCTATTTCAGTGGAAGGCAAGGGATTCTTCACACTTTAAAATGAAAATGATTCATGTGATGCTGCAGCTAGCAGTGTAAATAGAATGCTCACATTTCAGTTCATACATTTTCATGTCTTAATATTACTTTATAGAGGAAATTAGTCAGATCTTGCTATTCCTTTGCAGATCTCATTACTCTTCAAATATTAAGTCTAATTATTTAAAAGCCCTACATTCAAACAGCATTACAAAATAAAATTTCTAGCATATTCTAATAGTCATAAATATAGAACATTCAGAATATTAGTTTGTGACTGCTTGCACACACTAATTTGTTTTTAATAAATTGCTATATTTGGCTAAAAACATTCACAACCTACAAGTTTATTTTTGCCAAAGATGAGTCTTTGTAAAGACTTTTAGAGTTGAGCTTTTCTATGAAGAACAATGCTTTGGGGACAGAGGCTAGGTAGCTTTTCCTGATGGGAGTTGGATACTGGTTCCCTGACAAGAATTTTAATGTTTCTTCAAGAATAGCAAAAGTTTGCATCCTAGATGACCTCACACATCACATCAGGTACACTGATGGGACATCCACCTTGAAGGTCAACACTAGAAAAAATGATTCTACCTACATTCACATATGATGCATTTTTCCGCTGTGAACAACTGATTTTTTGTATAGTATTCTCAAAAACCTCACATTTCTATTGTGTTCTGGAATTCTATTTTTAAATTATTTTGTATTTTAAAAACATGAATACAAAACTTAGTACATATCAGGCATTGTACCCAGAGCATTAATATTATCTCACATTCATAGTAACCTTATAAAGTACCTGCCATTACTATCCTTATTTTACAGATGAAGGAAATGAGACACAATTGACAGCCTAGTAGTTTCCTAAGGTCACACCACTATTAAGTAGCAAAGCTGAAACTGGAAGCTAGGAATTTGTCTTCACGAAGAATAATTCTAAGAGTTTCTACTAATATGCAAAATACTGATAAGGTGAAGCCACTTTATACATCCTTTCACAAATCTTAATTTAGACCAATAAAATGATTCTAAAATTTACTTGAAGGCTAAAAAACATATATGAATAATAAGGAAAGTACAGAAAAAAGATAGTAACTTGTTCTACCAGCTTCCTAAAAGACATCAGAATTTAGAATACAAAGATGATAATTCAAATAAGTTATGAGAAGCATTCAATAAGTGGTATGGGGCAACTGGTTAATATTCAATCTGGGGAAAACAATTTAAGATGTCAGCCAATGTTTTGCATGATATAAATCTTATTTTAGTATAATACATTGATTATAATTAAAGCATAATATCTTGATGTTCTGAATTCTAGATTCCGCAAAGGAAGTGAACAATCGTACCTCTAAAAAAGTTTTGCCACTGTAGAAAGTTTCTTCTTTACACACTCAAAATCGTTTTAAAATACAGCTATTGACTTCAGAAACATTCTAGTAGAAATTTCTAGTGCTTACCACATGTCTGGTTCTCCTCTGCTTTCAGGCACATACATTTGGTGGGCAAAGTGAATACTTGTAGCCGATCAGCAGAAGTATGAAGTTGCAATGCTGTGACTAAATATGTGACATATCACAGACGACGTGTTTAAAAGAGTGTGGGGCTCCATTAGCCTGGATCACCAAGTGGCTATGTGGAGCAGTGTACTCTTATCAGCTCAAGTTGAATATGTAACATGAAAATAAATACACTTCTGTTTCATTGAGCTAAAGATTTCAGGGTTAGCAGTTGTGACATAATACAAACCGTATATTTGGTTTCTGCTCCCAGTCCCTTGTCCAGAGCTGCTAAAACCCTTGTAATTTCTTGGGAGACAGAAGTGTCTTTTTTTCTGACGAGGCAGTTCCTGGTGGCCTCCTGGATAGCTTTAGGATGGGGGCTGGTGGTTACCAGAAAGACCAAGCCATAATTAGAAGCCTGGGACTTTCAGCCCCTCCCCCATCCTCCAGGGAAGAGAGGGACTGGAAATTAAGTTAGTAATCTATCAAGCTTATGTTGTGAAGCCTCCATAAAAATCCTTGAGTACGGGGGACCAGAGAGCTTCTGGACTGGTGAACACATCCACGTGCTCAGAGTGTAGTATACCCCAACTCCATGGGAACAGAAGCTTCTGTGCTTGGGACCTTCAGAACCTCACCCTATGTACCTCTCCATCTGGCTGTTCAACTGTATCCTTTGTAACATCATTTACAATAAATGGGTATATGTATTTTCCTGAGTTCTGTGAGCCATTCTAGCAAATGATCTTATCTCAGAATTGTGTTGTGGAAATATCTAATTTGTCACTAAGTTAGACAGAAGTTGTAGGTAATCTGGGCACGCACTACTTGCGATTGGCACTGGAAGTGGAGCCAGTCTTGTGGGACAGATCCCTTAACCTGTGGGGTCTGTGCAAACACCACGTAGGTATTATCAGAACTGAATCGAATTGTAGGACACCTAGTTGATGTCTGCAAAGGATTAAAGAATTGGTTGACATAGGGGAAATCCCCATGCACCTGGTGTCAGAAGTATTGTGAGTATGGGAAAAAAAAATATGAACACTTTTCCTGCACAATTGTTTATTCCTGCAGCATAGGCTACTCCGTTCTGATTAGTACAAGTGCTGGTGTGTCAAAATAACATACCAAGGGGTTATATAAAAGAATGACAGATCATTTATAAAGGTATGGTGAAATTTAAAATATTAGAGATGGTAAATAATAAGTATAAAATTCAAAGTGGAAATTACAGATCAACTTTGATGGGCTTTCCAAAAATAGAAAGGAAAAATATAAAGTTGACTAGAATAAGAGTTGACGATAAAAATTAGAAATTATTGATTTTTCAATATGAATGAGAAGTATTTCCTTGATGAGACTAAGACAAATAAATATGACCTCATATATTTAAAAATCAGAGTTAAATAATGACCTGCATGAAAAGACTCAGCACATGCAAGTTAAAATTAATAGAAAGATTATAATTGTGCTGAATAGGGTTAAAGAATCCCAGTAACAATACAGGCAAAAAAAAAAAAAAAAAAGATAAGAAAAACAATAAGAAAGTCAGGACATAGACATTTATTTTAAGCTAATACATTATAAAATATAAGAAATAAATAGGATGTCAAGTATTATCTTATAGTTCAAAATTTTAAATACTGAGCCAATCTGTATCCATAAAGCAAGTTTTTCTAAAAATTAAATATAAACTGAATGTATAGGAAAGCAAGAAATTTTTCCTATTGATTAATTTTATAAAACACCTTAGACTATAAATTAAAGTGGAATCCCAGGTACTCTATAAAAATACAAAAAAAGAGACCCTTTAAGGAAAAGTGATTGTAAAACTTGAGAGCATAAAACTACTCGAGTGTTTGACTAAATCAGACATGTTTGCATGTAAGAGTTTGTGTATATGAGACTGTCAGCTCTGTCAACATTTATGCCCAACTAAGAAAACTGAAGAAATTATCATACGTTTCATTTTAATATAGTTTTCTTCATGCTACAGCAAAATATTTGTGCAGCTGGGAAGAATTTCAAGCTCACCATCAGAAATAGGAAACAGTTGAATGAGAGGAATCTGATTGGTATGGATTTATTGATAGAGACTTGATTATGTTTTATTTCAGAAAGTTCTATCTGTTGCTGTAATGAGAAAATAATTACCATGCAAAAGCTTTTTATCAACAAATACTCTCTTCACATATTGGTCCTCTGCATATAGTTGACATATAACAAAAATTATAACTATAGTAATTTCATGATTACTTCTTTACAAATTAATGATGAGAATAGAAATAGCTTCCAGCATATTTAACCTTCTAGGCCTGAACTATATGTTTGCTGTTTTAACTTTATATAACATTCATCCTTGCTATCATCCACATTTACATTCTATGTTACACATATATATATTAAATTTTAGATTCAGGGGGTACATGTACAGGTTTATTACATGGATATATTGTATAATGGTGAGGTTAGGGCTTATAGTGTACCTATTACCCAAATAGTGAACGTTGTACCCAATAGGTAACTTTTTAATCCTCACCCTCTACCCTCCCCACTCAAGCAGCCCCCAGTACCTATTATTTCCATCTTTATGTCCGTGCATACCCATCGTTGAGCTCCCACTTATATGTGAGAACAGGCCATATTTATTTTGTTTCTGATTTATTTCACTTAGGATGATGGCCTCCAGTTCCATCCATGCTGCTGCAAAGGATGTATTATCCTTTTTCATAACTGCATAGTATTCCATGGTGTATATATTCCACGTTTTCTTTATCCACTTGATCACCGATAGACACTTAGGTTGACTCCATAAAGTCACTGTTTTGAATAGTGCTGCATAAACATATAAATGCAGGTTTCTTTCTTACATAATGACTTCCCTTGGGTAGATGCCCAGGAGTGGGATTTTTGGGTTGAATAGTATTTATATTTTTAGTCCCTTGAGAAATCTCCATACTGTTTTTCATAGAGGTACTAATTTACATTCCCACCAACAGTGTGTAACAATTTCCATTTCTCCACATCCATGCCAACATCTGCTGTTTTTGACTTTATAGTAATAGTTGTTCTGACTGGTGTAAGATAGTATCTCATTGTAGTTTTAATTTGCATTTCTCAGATGATTAGTGATGTTGAATAATTTTTCATATGTTTGTTGGTCACTTGTGTGTCTTCTAAAAACTGTTCATCCACGTCCTTTGTCCATTTTTTAATGGGGGTTGTTACTTCCTTTTTGAATTCTTTGAGTTCCTCATAGATTCTGGAAATTAGTTCTCTGTTGGAGGCATAATTTGCAAATAT
Source organism: Homo sapiens (assembly GCF_000001405.40). Classification (NCBI taxonomy): domain Eukaryota; kingdom Metazoa; phylum Chordata; class Mammalia; order Primates; family Hominidae; genus Homo; species Homo sapiens. The sequence goes on along the minus strand of NC_000012.12, from coordinate 77,544,173 downwards.
TTTCTTCCATTCTGTAGATTATGTATTTACTCTGTTGATAGTTTCTTTTGCTGTTCTGAAGATTTTTCATTTAATTAAGTCTCATTTGTCTATTTTTGTCTTTGTTGCATTTGTTTTTGGGGCCTCAGTCTTAAATTCTTTGCCTAGATCAATGTCCAGAAGAGGTTTTCCTAGGTTTTCTTCTAGGACTTTTATAGTTTCAGGTCTTACATTTAAGTCTTTAATCTACCTTGAGTTGATTTTTGAATATGGTAAGAGATACAGTTCCAGTTTCATACTTTTGCATATGGATAGCCAGTTTTCCCAACACCATTTATTGAATAGAGTGTCCTATCCTCATCATTTATTTTTGTCAGCTTTGTCAAAGATTAGTTGGTCATAGGTATGTGGCTTTATTTCTGAGTTCTCTATTCTGTTTCATTAAACTATGTTTCTATTTTTGAACCAGTACCATGCATGCTGTTTTCATTACTGTAGACTTGCAGTCATATTGAAGTCAAGTAATGTTATGCCTCTGGCTCTTTTTTTTTTGTTGTTGTTTGTTTGTTTGTTTGTTTGCTTAGGATTGTTTTCACTATTTGGGCCCTTTTTCGGTTCCATATGAATGTTAGGATTGTTTTTCTCTAATTCTGTAAAAAATTACATTGGTAATTTGATAGACATTATGTTGGCTCTGTAGATTGCTTTGGATAGTGAGGCCATTTTAATCATACTGAGTCTTCCAATCCATGAGCAAGAGATGTCTTTCCATTTGTTTGTGTCACTATGATTTTTTTTCATTAGCATTTGGCAGTTCTTCTTGTAGAAATATTTCACCTCCTTGGTTAAATGTATTTGTAGGTAGTTTATTTTTGTGGCTATTGTAAATGAGATTGAGTGCTTAATTTGATTCTCAGCTTGAATGTTATTATATGGAAATTCTACTAATTTTTTACATTGATTTTGTATTGTGAAAATTTACTGAAGTTATTTATCAAGTCAAGGAGTCTTTTGGAGAAGTCTTCAGGGTTTTCTAGGTATAAGATCCTGTCATGAGTGAACAGAGATAATTTGACTTCCTCTTTTCCAATGTGGATGCCTTTTATTTCTTTCTCTTGCCTGATTTCTCTGGCTATGACTTCAAATACTATATTGAATAGAAGTGGTGAGAGTAGGCATCCTCGTCTTTTACCAGTTCTTAGAAAGAATGCTTTCAACTTTTCCCCATTGAATATTATGTTGGCTGTGGGTCTGTCATAGATGACTCATTATTTTGAGGTATTTTTTTTTTATTCTTAGTTTGTTGAGGGTTTTTATCATGAAGGGATGTTGAATTTTATTGAATTTTTTTCTGCACATATTGAGATGATCATATGTTTTTGGGTTTTAATTCTGTATATGTGGTGAATCACATTTAATGATTTGCAAACATTGAACCATCCTTGCACCTTGGAATAAAACCGACTTGATCATGGTGAATTATTTTTGATGTGCTCTTGGATTCAATTTGCTAGCATGTATTGGAGACTTTTGCATCTATGTTCATCAGGGATACTGGCCTGTAGTATTTTTTTGTTGTGTGTCCTTGCCTGATTTTTGTATCAGGGTGATACTGGTTTCACAGAATTAGTTAGGGAGGAATCCCTCCTCCTCAATTTTTTTGAACAGTTTCAGTAAGACTGTTACCAGATCTACTGTGTACATCTGGTAAAATTCAGTTGTGAATCCATCTGGTCCTTGGCTTTTTTGTTGTTGTTGGAAGATTTTTTAAATTACTGACTCAATTTTACTACTCATTGTTGGTCTGTCCAGGACTTCTGTATCCTCCTGGTTCAATCTTGGGAAGTTGTATTTTTCTAGTAATTTATTATTTCCACTATGTTTTCTAATTTGGGCACATATAGATATCTATAGTAATCTCTGATGATGTTTGTATTTCTGTGACATCAGCTGTCTGTCACTTTATCATTTCTGATTGTGCTTATTTGAATTTTTTTTGGTCGTTAAATTAGCCAGCAGTCTGTCAATTTTGTTTATCTTTTCAAAGAACCAACTTTTTTGTTTCATTGATCCTTTGTTTTTGTTTTTTTTGGTCTCAATCTCATTTAATTCTGCTCTGATCTTTGTTATTTCTTCTCTTCTGATGGGTTTCTGTTTGATTTGTCTTGTTTTTTTGTTTGTTTTTGTTTTGTTTTTTTAATTCCTTGAGGTCTAACATCAGGTTGTTATTTTGAGAGATTTCCATCTTTTTGAAATAGGCATTTAACACTATAAACTTTCCTCTTAGCACTGCTTTTGCTGTACACTAGAGGTTTTGGTATATTGTATCTCTATTTTTCTTTGTTTGAATTTTTTTTTATTTTTGGCTTAATTTCATTGTTTACCTGAAAGTCATTCAGGAGCAAGTTGTTTCATTTCCATGTACTTGTATAGTTTTGAGAGTTGCTTTTGTTATTGATTTCTGATTTTATTACATTGTGGTCTGAAAATATACTTGATATGATTTCATTTTTTGAATTTGTCGAAGTTTGCTTTATGAATAAGTATATGGTCAATTTTTGAGAATGTTTTGTGCACAGATAAGGAAAATGTATCTTCTGTGGTTGTTGGGTAGAATGTTCTGCAAATGTCTATTAGTTCCATTCGGTGTAGAGCCCAGTTTAAGTTCACAGTTTTTTTATTGACTTTCTGCCTTGATGACATGCCTAATGTTTTCAGTGGAGTGCTGAACTCCCCCACCATTCTTGAATTGCTGTCAATCTATTTTCTTTATCTAATAGTACTTGTTTTATGAATCTGGGTTCTCTGATGTTGGATACACATATATTTAGGATAGTTAAATTTTCTTATTGTATTGAACCCTTTATCATTATATAATGTCCTTTATTTTACTGTTGCTGGTTTGAAGTCTGTTTTAATGGTTGTAAAAATGGCTACTTTGTTTGCAAACCACTGGATCTGCAGCTGCTAAATGCAGGACACAGAGCCTTGGGGAGTAGGCACCCAGAGTGGTGTTTTGCTGCAGCTGCCCAGCACACTGAAGCTTTTTGGGCTCCACATACGTTTAAGCAGTGTCTCTATGTGTTCTCCAGGCAGCTCCCCCTGCCAGCCTAAAGGTCTGTGAGGGTTGTGGGAACTCCTGTAGCTATGATCTCAGAGGTCTATGGTGGTAATGTGGCACACTGGGGTTCCTTCACTCATCATATCTTTGGATCCAGTCTAGGAACCAGTCCCGGCACCCAGTGACACTGAGCAGGCAGCCCTACTCCCTCCCTCTCTAACCATGGTATTTTTTTTAAACACCTCTCTATCAAATTTCAGTGTTTTCTCTTGAAATATCTGTTCAAAGTGTAAAGATTTACTTGACATTTTGGTTCCTCTCCAGAGAAGATGTGCATCCCAGCTGCATCTAGTGAGCCATCTTTTGACTATATTACATATATTTTAATCAAATTATATTAAATCAACACACTCAGATATATTAATAAATACAGAAGTAATAGATAGTAAGGCATTCTCATGTGTTTATAATCACAGTAATAAAAAACAAAAACCAAAGACACACGAAAATATAAGCAAAATCCCTATGCAATTCAAAAATGATGTAACTGCGCTAATCTGTGTTTAAGTGTCAAAGTGATAGTCAATAATTTAAATAGTAATGGAGTCAGCTGGGCTTCAAGAGAAAGTTGACAAGATATGAACACTTTTTAAAAACGTTTAAATACATTAGCAGCATTGACAAAACGTAAAACTTAGGAGTAAAAGAGTTGACAATGTAAAATGTATCACTTTGTCAGACTCACATATGTTTATCTTTATGTCACAGAGGTGCTATTTGATTGAGAAGGGTTCATAGGCATCATTCAATTTATGGCCAACCCAGTGGCTAGCACCACCAACTGGTCAGTTTCTCAAGTCAAAAACTTATGCATTAACCCTAAAGTTCTCCCTCTTCCTAACCTACCACATTCACTTAATTACAAATCCCTGCTGATTCAATCTTCTAAATTCCTCTTCAACCTGACTTCTTTATAGTTCTGCTACCTTCAGCCTAACTTCAGGCTGCCTTCATTCCTAACTGGATCACCAAGAACTTTTCAAATGGTTTTACCTTCCCTGTCTTACATTTCTACAATATACTATTTACAGAGGAGAGTCACCCTTTGAAAATATAGATTCCATAATGTCACTTCCCTCCTCAAAGAGCATTCACTTGCAACTCTTTAGTATAATTTAAAAAGTCCCTTAAAAGTCTGAACCAAGCATCCACCTACCACATGTGCTCCAAGTGCACTGAAATGCCGAATGCCAAGTTCCCAAACCAAGCAACAGAAAGTAAGGCACTCCCGAGGGTTTAATAAAGGTAATGTTACTGCTTCATTTTTTTGGGAAACTTTCTTTTCCATTCTTTTAACCTAATTTCTGCTCCAAGTTCAGGCTTCAGCTTAAATATTACTTTCTCCAGGTTCTTCACACTGTCCTCCCACTATTGGTTAAGCAGTCCTTCTAACCCAGTTTCCACTGTATCTTTCTGGCATTCCTATCACAGCACTGACCACACTATATTCGCTATGGACTGTGTGTTTATGAGTCCCACTCCCCAGTTCATGTTAAACCCTAACCCATAATGTGATAGTATTTGAAGGATAAGCTTTGGGGAGTAATTAGGTTTCGATAAGGTCATAAAGGTGGAGCTCCATGATGGGATTAATGCCATTACAAAAAAAAAAAAAAAGGACAAGACACAAGATCTCTTTCTGCTTGCATGCACCAAAGGCTGGCCATGTGAGGACATAACCAGGAAGAGAGCCATCACTAAGAACTCTACCATATTGGTACCCTAGTCTTGGACTTCCAGCCTCCAGAGCAGAAATATGTGTTATTTAAGCCACCTAGTCTATGGCATTTGTCATAGCAGCCCAAACTGACTAAAGCAATATTGTAATTACCAGCATACATGTCAAAATCCACAACTGGAAATACTTCACAGGCACGAAGACTTGTCTATGTGGGTTCAACACCATTTTCTTAGCACTGATATGGTCTCTGACATAAGCAGTGTATAATTAATAATGAACCTTGCTGAAAATAGCAAGTTGAGTGTGCATGAATGTGACACAGTTAATTAAATGTCCTAATAGAAACTTCATTAAATAATATTAAAGATTCCTTGTTTGTGCTTTCTTATGTATTAAACATGCTTTTAAGTATAGAATTTACAGTGTTATTCTAGAATAAGATTACTAAGCATAATGTTTGGAAAAGGAATGAAAAATGATACCAAAAAGAGTTTGCAGAAGAGACAACTTCTATTTGCATACTTTCATTCAAAAATTTAATTCAACATAATTCTTCCTTTTTTAAAATGAGGCATTGTAGCTTTCAAATTCTACATTTATTCCACCTTAAGTAGCAAGGCAAATCATAGATTTAACCTCAGCTCCAAGAATAAGAAAGAATTAGTCTGTATCAATCATGGCCATTCTATTTTCTCTGCCAGTAATTACTTTAGAGATGCATCTGTGACTCAACTCTGGCCAATGAGTTGAGAAGCTTCAGGAAGGGTTAAGAGAGTCATAGGAAGTGGCTGCTGAATATGAACGAGGAGCAGGCAATTCCAATGGCCATTGCAACCATTTTGCTACTGCATGAAAGCAATCATGTGACATGCCAAACAAAGAGAAGGAAAGAGCCCAGTGACCAAAAAGAGTTAGAGCTGGGCCCAAACTGAATCACACCTGTAGCCCACCTTGCTGCTGGATTTTCTCCTGTGTGAGCCAGTAAAATTTATTATCCCGCACAGTATGAGCTGTATTTTTGTTACCTGCAGCCTCCCTGATAGTCATTTACTTTGCCTGGTCCACAGTTCACTCATCTATTAAATAAGTGCTTGAACCAGACTAGTTTCTAATGCGGTCCAACAACCATATGCACCAAAATAACCTGGGGCATGGTTTAAAATACAAATTTAATAGACTCACATCCAGACTACTAAACCAGACTCTTCAGGGATGAGTAAGAACCTCCATTTGAAGCAGCATCTTCAGGTATACAATAGAATTTGAGACTTCACTTAATACATACTGATATATGAGTGCTCTCAACAGTTCTAAGACCTTTTGACTTATGCAGCAAAATCATTTTATTTAAAATGATTATTAAGGATGTAGGAATATACATTCAATAATAATTGATGTGTTAAATTGTAAACTGAATAATTCTGATGAGGCAACAATCAAGCTTTCAAAAGGGACTTGTGAAATTGCTGATATGAGGCAATCAACATAAATATGTGAAATTAGAACTGCATCTTGCCTAACAGCTATGAGAAGAGATCATCTTACTCCTTCAGTCTTGTCACTAGCAGGACAAATGTCAGCCTAGGGTAGTTCTGGCGAGCTTACAGATTCACTGCACCTGACTCACTTTTAGTCTTTTGGTTTGTTCTTTTCCACTAGTTGAGTAAATAAACAAATATAATGCTAATAGGAAAGATGTATTAAGTACCTAATATGTACCAGAGCTTTGCAAAAAAATGTTTCTATGTATATGTGAGTGTGAGATAGAAGGTAATATAAAGAAGCAAACTGCTGTGTTATGGTGGCAGAACAATGAAACCTTTTAAAACAACTTTTTATTGATATTATCACATTTCAATTAAAAATGTAAAAAGTAAAAAGATCTATATATTGAAGTATATATATTCTAGTTGCACTTCTTGATGATTTGTATTGATATCCTTCTTCTCTCTGGTATGTGATGGATAGAATCAAGGCTAATATCTCTGAGAATGACAGAAGTGGGGAGAAATGTAACAACAAAGCTCTAACAGCTTCATTTTGTATGTTACATGTTGAAAATATTTACTCAATGTCAAATGCCAGCACTGGAAGATCCTTGGATGGTTCCTCCCTATTTCCTGTTCTCCCTGTGTCCCCTGTATCATCCCTCAACCAACACCCACACACCAACAAAAGAAAAAGTGTTGGAAATAAATGACATTGTATTATTCTGGAAACTGGTAACCATTTTTTGAACTCTCAAAATGTCAGATTCAGCTAGGTTCAATATGCTCTTGATTTAATGCTGTTATTAGATTCCTTCTTTTTGGTACGTGCCTAGACAATCTCTGTGAAACACATAAAAGGAATTTGTTCTCACTTTTTTCTTTTTCTTTTAGGAAAACAGGACTGAGTCCCATTATATGTTTTTGGGATAAACTTATACATTATCAGCTAAAATTTTAAAATAGTTTTAAAAATTTCATACCCAATGCAATTTTTATTCTACGGAATTTATTCTAGAATTATGCTGCTATATTCCAAAAATTGTAATAATTCCTGGGTTTCTGAATACAAGCAAGGTTCCTTGGCTCTCTGTTGATCACTAATCAGTACTTCTTAGAATATCTCAAAATACGGAAGAAGCAAGATTCTTTTCCAACCAAATTTATTGGCACTCATACTAAGACAGTACATACTAAGATTATCACTTGCGTAATCCAGAGGATTTAATGACTACCATTGAAAATGTATTTCTACAGGTAATTTGACCTCAACAACAGTCCTATTCAATTTACATATGTAGGCATTCTAAGCTTATGATAGGCTGATTTCAACATCTTTTAAAAGGTATGACAATTCTATCTGCTTTCTATCAGTTGTTCATACCACTGTTAGGAAACAACATTCCATCATATTTTCATATTTCCACAGTCAGGACTTTTTAGGCAAAAGTTACTGGTAACTGGAATTAGAGCAGGGGTGTCCAAGTTTTTGGCTTCCCTGGGTCACACTGGAAGAAGAATTGCTTTGGGCCACATATAAAATACACTAACAATAATGATAGCTAATGAGCTACAAAAAAAAAAAAAAAGGTTACAAATTTGTGTTGGGCCACATTCAAACCTGTCCTAGGCTGCACGTGGCCCACAGACCATGGGTTGGACAAGCTTGGGTCAGAGGATGATTGAGGGATAATCAAACATTCAAAGTTAGAGATAAGGAAGTTTTCCAGATATTTAAACTCTTATTCAGAAGTATTTGCTTACATTATAAGGGTAATAAAAATCTAGGGACCTTCCCCTCCTTTCCTCAAACAGGATTTGTCTCTCACAGTGGGGGAGGACATGCAGACAGCCATGCTGCCCTACATAAGCTCTCAGTTTCATAATTTTGGAGGCCCTCTCCTTTGTTGCAACCCCAGTATGCATAAACATATCTGGCCCTCAACACACTGTCTCATGGGGAATGGAACATGGGGAACCAGTGCTGCAAAGACGCTCTGTGAAGAAACTTTCTGTTCTCTGATCCAGAAGTATTGTGTTTCTAGTAGTGTATATACACACATGACTGTGGCTTGTTAGTTTCCCAGAAGACTGACATCTTAGATCCGAACAGTTTCAGATTCAACAACTTCCCACTAATGCTTTTTACTCAGACTCATGATTTTCCACCTGCATTATTGCCATAATCTACCTTATGTCCAGGATCTTCTACCACATTATCACTATCATACCTTCCCTAAAACACATCTCATATCAATTTATATTTTCCCTCTTTAAAAAATGCCATAAAGGCCAACAGAGTACTATATTGTTTAAGAGCAGAAGCTTTGGAATCTGACAGTGTCTGGTTCTAAATCTAGCTCAAGTCATTTGCTATGTGACCTTAGTTAAGTTATTATATTTAACCTCTGTTAGCCTCGGTTTTCATGTTTACCAAATGAGAATAAAATAATATATGCAAATAAGCAATTATTTCCTCATGGTTAGTCCCCAATAAGTGGTTGCTATTATTATATCACTGTTAGTACAACTGCTCAACACCTTAAAAATAAGGTCCAAAATGTATAAGATTTCCCATCAAAGGGAACCATAATTTGGCTCCTAATATTCTCACCTATGCACCCTGAACTCTAGACATGCTGTGCCTTTCATCATCCTCAAGGTATGCTCCACGCTCACAAGTCTAGGACTCTATTTGTGCTTTTATTTTTTTTAACCTAGAAGCATTTATTCTTCTCCACTTTGGAAGCAACTGCTCATCCTTTAAATCCTTGCTCCTCCATAAAATCTCCTTCGCAAGCCTTGGGCAGAGTCAGTCACTCATTCCCCTGAGCTCCAGCAGTACATCTCTAGCTAAGCATTCCCTGCAGAAGCTGCAATCACCAGGATTCATTTAGACATCTGTCTTCCACTCCCTATGTTATGCAAGATGAGGTCAGGGAATTCTTCCTATCTGTCGATATCTGATAATTTTTTAAATAGAGATATTATTTGTTCATCAGATTTTGATCATGGAAAATTTTCCTGGAGAAATAAAACTGCATAACAGTTTCTGCTTTTTGGTCATTACTCTGTCAAGTAAAAATTTTCCAGTTCAAAATTTGCAGTTCTAAATTGTTATAATAAAGTTTGATTCACACGTTGTTGTTACTGCTGACCTTTAAAATACCCAATTTTACCAAAGTTTCTGAAGAAAATTTCTCTAGTATCACCTCTATCCATCTCTGGGATAATGGCTGGATCTAAATACTATGTCACACTACTTCTGTATGCCCCAAGCATATGTGTGGATTTGTGTATGTATATTTGGAGTGCTGGGGTGGGAGGAGTTTGTGATAAAAATATGTAACAAAATTTACAATCTTAGTCATTTTTAAGTGTATAGTACATTATTGTTAACTATATGCATATTATCTTACAACAGATCTCTAGAAATTTTTTATCTTTCAAAACTAAAACTCTATACATAGTGACAATTCCCTAGCCCCTGGCAACCACATTCTATTTTCTGTTTCTTTGAGTTTGCTACTCCAGATATATAAGTAGAATCATCTAGCATCATGAAGAAGTTTTTTTTATGACTGGCTTATTTCACTTATTTCACCATGTGACAAACTTCCTTTTTAGTGCTGAATAATATTCAGTGATGTATATTTACCACATTTTCTTTATCTGTTGATGGACATTTAGGTTGCTTCTATATCTTGCCTATTGTGGATAATGCTGCACCAAACATAGGTAAACAAACATCTCAAAATTCTGTTTCCAGTTCTTTTGCATATTTAATAAATCTTGAGTGTGTAAGTGGCAATTTAGTAATATACTGTTGACTGATCAGAAATTTTACAATACTGATGTTTCTAGCTGAAATTATCATGCAAATTTGTGGTAGAGACATATATTGAGTAATAGTATAATAAGATTTTTCTTTATATCATGCAATAAAACAGGTCACATTGTGCCTTCCTTTCTCTATCAAAAATCTCCCAATTTATTAATAAAGTAAAAATATGACTATACTAGCATCCTCATTTTTTAAAAATGGTATCACTGAACATATATATTCCAGAATATAGCTGGTTAGACTAAATTTTGCAGGGCTTATACTAACCATTATATAAAAAATAATGTTTTTTAAGATACATCAAGCGTTATAGCCTCAGGTTGAATAACCATGTATTAAACTCTAAAACGCAGAGTAGTAAAATCTCTCTCCTCCTTTCTCTTTTTCCCTCTCCTTCTCTGTCTCTGTCTCTTCTTCCCATCAAATCATATTCATGTAATGTTGAAAAACATGAAATATACTTCTGATCCTATTTTCTATAAAATATTTTGTGATATTTTATTGCCATGATCAGAATCCAAGAAATTATTTAACACATCAATTAAAAATATAGAATGACATTTGCATCCTTCTCAAAATGTTCACATATATCTGCCCTTAAACCATCCTTGAATAGACTTTTAAGTTTGGGGACTCTATTACTGGTTAAATTCACTTTTTGTCATTAAGAAGTGTGCCAAGGAAATGCCACAATATAAAAAACAGAACAAAATTTTCAAGAATGTTTTTGCCTGTGTAATAAATATGTGATAATTGTCAAATTATCTAGAACTGGAAATCTGTTATATATGTGTTTCATAACATTTGCTTTAAATTATGGAGTTGTAGACACTCAATGTATTTTTAAAAATCACATCACATGGGTGGTGAAATAATACTGAGGTCTTCCTTTTACTTTTGACAAATGACTTCAAAGGGATCTTATGCCTCATAATAAAGATGAAAATGTAATCCATTGTTATATTAATATAAGCCAGATTAGGATAACCATAGAAAAGAAGTAAATGTGTCATCTTTTGGCATGTTTATATTTTTAGTCAATCAAATTATTATGATAAATAAAACAGTCTAGCTACCTGGAAGAATCATTTATCTGTAATAAGTGATCAACTTTTTCCTTTTTGCCAATAGAATTAGACATGCAGTTATATTAAATAATGGAATTATTCTGGAGTTTTCATATATTTTTAAATAAAACTATCTATGACAAGAGTAATATGTATATACTTACACAGTTTTCATTAAAACACATTAAAGAGAGCATATTTCATTTTTTAACCTTTACCGGAAACATTATTGAGTAGCACAGATCCATACAATTCAAAGTTACAAAATTTCATCAGCAGAAATAGCGACTGAAAGGAACCAAGGACATGGAAATATATCAAAGGGCCCCCAAAATCTGTTCTTTTCATTTATCTTAACTCACTCTTCCTATTTGTCCTGAACTCATTTACACTGCTTGCTTTTACTCCCTTCCTTGACAACCGTATTTTATATACTGAATACATGTGTTGAAATAAACTACTCTTATCTCATTCTTTTAATATCTTGTTATATTGAGAACAGTGCATACATTTTTTCCCAAAAGGGAAATATGACAATGGGAAGGAAACATCCACACAAAATAGATTTTTTGCCTTTAGCTGAATTAAGTTACAATGCATGATGATGTTAATTACTCCAAAGTAAAATATCACAGAATGTTATTTTATTGCAAATGCAGAATTACTTTTGAAATATTTTGAGCATATCTGTTGAAAACAGATCATAACTTTTAACATTTTGATATCTAGAGGCAGATTATTTCTACTATTAGCAAATATAATATACAAAATAAAGTAGGCCAAAAATTCTCATTTATTATTATCAGTCACATTTCTCTAGATAGCTAATTTGCTATTTAATATTTAATATATTTGCTATTTAATTAATTTAATATATTTAATTATATAGCTAATTTGCTACAGCATTAAATAATCAAATTAAGTGAATAAAGATCCTTGTATTATTTTTGTTTTTTAGAGACCAGGACAAGGTCTCATTCTGTCACCCAGGCTGGAGTGTAGTAGCATGATCACAGCTCACTGTAACCTCCAACCCCTGCCTCAAACAATCCTCCCAGCCTCCCAAATAACTGAGAGTAAAGGTGTGCAGCACAGTGCCTAGCTAATTTTTTAAAAAAGTTTTTTGAAGAAATGAGGTCTCACTATGTTGCCCAGGCTGGTCTCAAACTCTTGTCCTCAAGTAATCCTCCCAACTCGGCCTCTAAAATTGCTGGGATTATAGGCATGAGCCAACACCCAGGCTAAAATTATTCTTAATACAGAAATTAATAGCTTCCCATTAATTTTTATATAGTATAGTATCTACATTAAAATTCAGAATAGAGAGAATCCCTCCTGTTCTCTATCCTTTAGCAATTTTGTCAGCAGAGTGATAACTAAGACTATAAGCAAATGAGTTTTTGAATAACGAAAATGCCTCACAGCCATCTTTGTATTTTTGTCTAGCACGCAAGCCATCACACTAGCAGGTACTCAATAAACACTGTTGACTTGAAGCACGGCAGCTTTTTTTGTTTTGTTTTGTTTTGTTTTGTTTTGTTTTGTTTTGTTTTGTTTTTGAGACTGAGTCTCACTCTGTAACCCAGGCTGGAGTGCAATGGCCCGATCTCGGCTCATTGCAACCTCCGCCTCACAGGTTCAAGTGATTCTCCTGCCTCCTCCCTCAGCCTCCTGAGTAGCTAGGATTACAGACACCCGCCACCATAGCAGATACTTATTACATAATATTTTGTACTACCTTTTGTCATGACTCTAGAACGAGAAGGAAGGCCTAGATCTTCCATACACAGCAGCCAGAGCCAGCACAAGGCAGAAATCACCCTAGGTACCACCACATTCACTTTTAAAAATCAAAGCCAGCCAGGCGTCTTGTAATCCCACACCTGTAATCCCAGCACTTTGGGACTCTGAGGCAGGAATTTTTTTTTTTTTTTCTTGCTCTGTCGCCTAGGCTGGAGTGAGTGGTGCACTCTCAGCTCACTGCAGCCTCTGCCTCCCAGGTTCAAGCGATTCCCCTGCCTCAGCCTCCTGAGATCTGGGACTACAGATGCGTGCCGCCATGCCTGGCTAATTTTTGTGTTTTTAGTAGGGACGGGGTTTCACCATGTTGATTAGGCTGGTCTCAAACTCCTGACCTCAGGTGATCCACCCACCTCGGCCTCCCAAAGTGCTCAGATTACAGGCATTAGCCACCATGCCCAGCCAAGAGAATCTTGTGAGCCCAGGAGTTTGAGACCAGCCTGGGCAACACAGTGAGACCTCAGTTCTACCAAAAAAAATTAAAAAACAAAATAGCTGGACATGGTGGCACACACCCGTAAGTTCAGCTACTCAGGAGGCTGATGTGAAAGGATGGCTTGAGCCTGAGAGGTCGAGGCTGCAGTGAGCTGAGGTTGTACCAGTGCACATTAGCCTGGGCAACAGAGTGAGATCCTGTCTCTAAAAAAGAAAAAAAAAAAAAAGCAAGGCCAAGGGTGTCTAATCCAAGATTACTTATGATTAAGTAATCATATATTCTGTGATCTTTTGTGACTAGTTTCTTTCACTTACCGTGTTTTCTGGGTTCATCCATAATGTAAAATATATCAGTATTTCATTTTTAATTGTCAAATAATCTATTGTATGGATATATCACATTTTGTTATCCATTTATCAGCTGATACATAATTGGGCTTTTTTTACTTTTTGGCTACTTGAATAAAACTACTATAAACATTCACATACAGATTTTTGTGTGGACATAGGTTATCATTTCTCTTGGGCATTTATCTTAGGAATGGAATTTCTTTGTCATATGGTAAGTCTATGTTTAACATTTTGAAAAAACTACCAATCTGTTTCCCAAAATGACTGTACCATTCCACAATCCCACCAGTGATGTATGAGTGTTCTAACATTTCTACCTCCTCACAACACTTGTTATTGTCCTTATTTTAGCCATCCTAGGAGATGTGCAGTAGTATCTCATTATTGTTGTGACCTGCTTTTCTCTAATTACTAATATTGCTCTCAGGTGGTTACTGGACATTTGTATACCTTCTCTACAGAAACATCTATTGAAATATTGTGCCTATTTTTAAAAATTACATATATGTGTATATACTTTTATTACATTTTAAGTTCTGGGGTACATGTACAGAATGTGCAGTTTTGTTACATAGGTATACACATGCCATGGTGTTTTGCTGCATCCATGAACCTGTCACCTAAATGAGGCATTTCTCCTAATGTTATTCCTTCCCTGGCCCCCCAGCCCCCAATAGGCCCCAGTGTGTGATGTGCCCCTCCCTATGTCCATGTGTTCTCATAAGTGGGACTCAACTCCCACTTATGGGTGAGAACATGAGGTGTTTGGTTTTCTGTTCTTGTGGTAGTTTGCTGAGAATGATGGTTTCCAGCTTCATCCATGTCCCTGCAAAGGACATGAACTCATCCTTTTTTATGGCTGCATAATATTCCATAGTGTATATGTGCCACATTTTCTTTATCCAGTCTATTATTGATGGATATTTCAGTTGGTTCCAAGTCTTTGCTCTTGTGAATAGTGCCGCAATAAACATATGTGTGCATGCATCTTTATAGTAGAATGATCTAAAATCTTTGGGTATATACCCAGTAATGGGATTGCTGGGTCAAATGGTATTTCTAGTTCCAGATCCTTAAGAAATTGCCACACTCTCTTCCACAATGGTTGAACTAATTTACGTGCCCACCAATAGTGTCAAAGCATTGCTATTTCTCTACATCCTCTCCAGCATCTGTTGTTTCCTGACTTTTTAATGATCGCCATTCTAACTGGCGTGAGATGGTATCTCATTTTGTTTTTGATTTTCATTTCTCTGATGACCAGTGATGAAGCATTTTTTCTTATGTCTGTTGCCTGCATAAATATCTTCTTTTGAGAAGTGTCTGTTCATGTCCTTTGCCCACTTATTGATGGGGTTGTTTTTTTCTTGTAAATTTGTTTAAGTTATTTGTAGATTCTCGATATTAGCCCTTTGCCAGATGGATAGATTGCAAAAATTTTCTCCCATTTTGTAGATTGCCTGTTCACTCTGATGATAGTTTCTTTTGCTGTGCAGAAACTCTTTAGTTTAATTAGATCTCATTTGTCTATTTTGGCTTTTGTTGCCATTTCCTTTGGTGTTTTAGACATGAACTCTTTGCTCATGCCTATGTCCTGAATGGTATTGCCCAGGTTTTCTTCTAGGATTTTTATGGTCCTAGGTCTTACGTTTAAGTCTTTGATCCATCTTGAGTTGATTTTTGTATAAGGTGTAAGGAACGGATCCAGTTTCAGTTTTCTGCATATGGCTAGCCAGTTTTCCCAACAACATTTATTAAATAGTGAGTCTTTTCCCCATTGCTTGTGTGTGTTAGGTTTGTTGCAGATCAGATGGTTGTAGATGTGTGGTGTTATTTCTGAGGCCTCTGTTCTGTTCCATTGGTCTATAGCTCTGTTTTGGTACCAGTACCATGCTGTTTTGGTTACTGTAGCCTTGTAGTATAGTTTGAAGTCAGGTAGCATGATGCCTCCAGGTTTGTTCTTTTGGCTTAGGATTGACTTGGCAATGTGGGCTCTTTTTTGGTTCCATATGAACTTTAAAGTAGTTTTTTCCAATTCTATGAGGAAAGTCATTGGTAGCTTGATGGGGATGGCATTGAATCTATAAATTACCTTGGGCAGTATGGCCATTTTCACGATATTGATTCTTCCTATCCATGAGCATGGAATGTTCTTCCATTTGTTTGTATCCTCTTTTATTTCGTTGAGCAGTGGTTTGTAGTTCTCCTTGAAGAGGTCCTTCACATCCCTTGTAATTTGGATTCCTAAGTATTTTATTCTCTTTGAAGCAACTGTGAATGGGAGTTCACTCATGATTTGGCTCTCTGTCTGTTATTGGTGTATAAGAATGCTGTGATTTTTGCACATAGATTTTGTATCCTGAGACTTTGCTGAAGTTCCTTATCAGCTTAAGGAGGGCAGAGACGATGGGGTTTTCTAAATATACAATCATGTCATCTGCAAACAGGAACAATTCGACTTCCTCTCTTCCTAATCGAATACCCTTTATTTCTTTCTCTTGCCTGATTGCCCTGGCCAGAACTTCCAATATTATGTTGAATAGGAGTGGTGAGGGGGGGCATCCTTGTCTTGTGCTGGTTTTCAAAGGGAATGCTTCCAGTTTTTGTCCATTCAGTATGATATTGCCTTTGGGTTTTTCATAAATAACTCTTATTATTTTGAGATACGTTCCATCGATACCCAGTTTATTAAGAGTTTTTAGCATAAAGGGGTGTTGAATTTTGTTGAAGGCCTTTTCTGCATCTGCTGAGATAATCATGTGGTTTTTGTCATTGGTTCTGTTTATGTGATGAATTACGTTTATTGATTTGCATATGTTGAAGCAGTCTCACATCCCAGGGATGAAGCCAACTTGATTGTGGTGGATAAGCTTTTTGATATTCTGCTATATTCGGTTTGCAAGTATTTTATTGAGGATTTTCGCATCGATGTTCAACAGGGATATTGGCCAGAAATTGTCTTTTTTTGTGTGTCTCTGCCAGGTTTTGAGATCAGGATGACGCTGGCCTCATAAAATGAGTTAGGGAGGATTCCCTCTTTTTCTATTGTTTGGAATAGTTCCAGAAGAAATGGTACCAGCTCCTCTTTGTACCACTGGTGGAATTCAGCTGTGAATCCGTGTGGTCCTGGACTTTTTTGGTGGGTAGGCTATTAATTACTGCCTCAATTTCAGAACTTGTTATTGGTTTATTCAGGCATTTGACTTCTTCCTGGTTTAGACTTGGGAGGGTGTAAATGTCCAGGAAATTATCCATTTCTTCTAGATTTTCTAGTTTATTTGCATAGAGGTGTTTATAGTATTCTCTGATGGTAGTTTGTATTTCTATGGGATCAGTGGTGATATCCACTATAACAGTTTTTATTGCATCTATTTGATTCTTCTCTCTTTTCTTCTTTATTAGTCTGACTAGCAGTCGATTTTGTTGATCTTTTCAAAAAACCAGCTCCTGCACTCACTGACTTTTTGAAGGGTTTTTTGCGTCTCTATCTCCTTCAGTTCTGCTCTGATCTTAGTTATTCTTGTCTTCTGCTAGCTTTTGAATTTGTTTGCTCTTGCTTCTCTAGTTCTTTTAATGTTGATGTTAAGGCATCAATTTTAGATCTTTTCTGCTTTCTCTTGTGGGCATTTAGTGCTATAAATTTCCCTCTACACACTGCTTTAAATGTGTCCCAGAGATTCTGGTATGTTGTGTCTTCATTCTCATTGGTTTCAAAGAACATATTTATTTCTGCCTTCATTTCGTTATTTACCCAGCAGTCATTTAGGAGCAGGTTGTTCAGTTTCCATGTAGTTGTGGGGTTTTGAATGAGTTTCTTAATCCTGAGTTCTAGTTTGATTGCACTGTGGTCTGAGAGACTGTTTGTTATAATTTCCGTTCTTTTGCATTTGCTGAGGAGTGTTTTACTTCCAATTATGTGGTTAATTTTAGAATAAGTGTGATGAGGTGCTGAGAAGAATGTACATTCTGTTGATTTGGGGTGGAGATTTCTTTAGATGTCTATTAGGTCCACTTGGTCCAGAGCTGAGTTCAAGTCCTGAATATCCTTGTTAATTTTCTGTCTCATTGATCTGTCAAATATTGACAGTGAGGTGTTAAAGTTTCCCACTATTATTATGTGGGAATCTAAGTCTCTTTGTAGGTCTCTAAGAACTTGCTTATGAATCTGGGTGCTCCTGTATTGGGTGCATATATATTTAGAATAGTTAGCTCTTCTTACTGCATTGATCCCTTTACCATTATGTAATGCCTTTTTTGTCTCTTTTGATCTTTGTTGGTTTAAAGTCTGTTTTATCAGAGATTAGGATTGTAACTCTTGCTTTTTTTTTTTTTTTTTTTTTTTTTTGCTTTCCATTTGCTTGGTAAATATTCCTCCATTCCTTTATTTTAGCCTATGTGCGTCTTTGCACATGAGATGGGTCTCCTGAATGAACAGAGCAACTGATGAGTCTTGACTCTTTATCCAATTTGCCAGTCTGTGTCTTTTACTTGGGTCATTTAGCTCATTTACACTTAAGGTTAATATTTTTATGTGTGAGTTTGATCCTGTCATTATGATGCTAGCTGGTTATGTTGCCCATTAGTTGATGCAGTTTCTTCATAGTGTCAATGTTTTTGCAGTGGCTGGTACCAATTGTTCCTTTCCATGTTTAGTGCTTCCTTCAGGAGCTCTTGTAAGACAGGCCTGGTGGTGACAAAATCCCTCAGCATTTGCTTGTCTGTAAAGGATTTTATTTCTCCTTCGCTTATGAAGCTTAGTTTGGCTGGATATGAAATTCTGGGTTTCTTTATGAATATTGAATATTGGCCCCCACTCTCTTCTGGCTTATAGGGTTTCTGCAGAGAAATACACTGTTAGGCTGATGGGCTTGCTTTTGTGGGTAACCCAACCTTTCTCTCTGGCTGTCCTTAACATTTTTTCTTTCATTTCAACCTTGGTGAATCTGAAGATTGTGTGTCTTGGGGTTGCTCTTCTTGAGGAGTATCTTTGTGGTGTTCTCTGTATTTCCTGAATTTGAATGTCGGCCTGTCTTGCTAGGTTGGGGGAGTTCTCCTGGATAATATCCTGAAGAGTGTTTTCCAACTTGGTTCCATTCTCCTTGTCACTTTCAGGTACACCAATCAAACGTAGATTTGGTCTTTTCACATAGTCCCATATTTCTTGGAGGCTTTGTTCATTCCTTTTTATTCTTTTTCCTCTAATCTTGCCTTCTCTCTCTATTTCATTAAGTTGATATTCAATCACTGATATCCTTTCTTCTGCTTGATCAGTTCAGCTATTGAAACTTGCATATGCTTCGCGAAGTTCTTGTGTTGTGTTTTTCAGTTCCATCAGGTCATTTATGTTCTTCTCTACACTGGTTATCCTAGTTAGCAATTTGTCTAACCTTTTTTTAATGTGCTTAGCTTCCTTGCATTGGGCTAGAACATGCTCCTTTAGCTCAGAGGAGTTTGCTGTTACGCACCTTTTGAAGCCTACTTCTGTCAATTCATCAAACTCATTCTCCGTCCAGTGTTTTTCCCTTGCTGGCAAGGAGTTGTGATCCTTGGGAGAAGAAGGCATTCTGGTTTTTGGAATTTTCAGCCTTTTTGTGCTGATTTCTCCCCATCTTTGTGGATGTGTCTACCTTTGGTCTTTGATGTTGGTGACCTTCTAATAGGGTCTTTGAGTGGGCATGCTATTCCTGTTTGTTAGTTGTCCTTTTGACAGTGAGGCCCCTCTGCTGCCAGTCTGCTGGAGTTTGCTGAAGGTCCACTCTTAACCCTGTTTGCCTGGGTATCACTGGTGGAGGCTGCAGAATAGCAAGGATTGCTGCCTAATCTTTCCTCTGGAAGCTTTGTCCCAGAGGGGCAACTGACAAATGCCAGCCAGAGCTTTCCTGTATGCGGTGTCTGTTGGCCCCTACTGGGAGGTGTCTCCCAGTCAAGATACACCGGGGTCAGGGACCCACTTGAGGAGGCAGTCTGACCCTAAGCAGAACTCGAACGCTGTGCTGGGAGGTCCACTGCACTCTTCAGAGTCTTCAGGCAGGGACGTTTAAGTTTGCTGAAGCTGTGCCCACAGCCACCCCTTTCCCCAGGTACTCTGTCCCAGGGAGATGAGGGTTTTATCTATAAGTCCCTGACTGGGGCTGCTGCCTTTTTTTCAGAGACGCCCTGCCCAGAGAAGGGAAATCTGGCAGTCTGGCCACAGCAGCCTTGCTGAGCTGCAGTGGGCTCTGCCCAGTTAGAAGTTCCCAGCAGCTTTGTTTACCCTGTAAGTGTAAAACCACCTACTCAAGCCTCAGCAATGGCAGACGCCCCACCCCCGGCCAAGTTTGAGAGTCCCAGGTCAATCTCAGACTGCTGCTATGTTGGCAGCGAGAATTTCAAGCCAGTAGATCTTAGCTTGCTGGGCTCTGTGGGGGTGGGATCTGCCGAGCCAGATCACTTGGCTCCCTGGCTTCAGCACCCCTTTCCAGGGGAGTGAACAGTTCTGTCTCACTGGCATTCCAGGTGCCACTGGGGTATGGAAAAAAAGAACTCCTGTGGCTAGTTCGGTGTCTGCCCAGATGGCCGCCCAGTTTTGTGCTTGAAACCCAGGGCCCGGGTGGGGTAGGCAATGGAGGGAATCTCTTCGTTTGCAGGTTGCGAAAACCATGGGGCAAGCTCAGTATCTGTGCCAGAGTTCTTCAGGCTCAGTTGTGTCACGGCTTCCCTTGGGTAGTGGAGAAAATTCCCCAATCCCAAGAGCTTCCTGGGTGAGGTGATGCCTCACCCTGCTTTGGCTTGCCCTCCATGGGCTGCACCCACTGTCCAACTAGTCCCAATGAGATGAACCGGGACCCTATTTGGAAATGTAGAAATCATCCACCTTCTGCATTGATCTCACTGGGAGCTGCAGACCAGAGCTGTTCCTATTCAGCCATCTTGCCAGCCTCATGTCTATTCTTTAATTGGGTTACTTATCCTTTCATTGAGTTATAAGAGTTCTTTATATAACCTGTACAAGTCCCTTATGAGATGCATAAACTGCAAATATTTTCTCTCATTCTGTGGTTTGTTGGCTCACTTTCTTGACAGTATCCTTTTGAACACCACAGTTTTTAATTTTGATAAAGTCCGATTTATCTCTTTCCCCTTTTGTTGTTTGTGCTTGTGGTGTCATACCTAAGAAACCATTGTCTAATCCAAGATTGTGAAAATCTACTCCTGTTTTCTTCTAAGCTTTTAGTAGTTTTAAGTTTTACATTTAGATCTATATTTTGAGTTAACTTCTGTATATTTCATAATTTCTGCATGAAGTAGGTTCTAAATTCATTCTCTTGCATGTGACTGTCTAGTTGTCCCAGCCCCACTTGTTGAATAGTATTTTTTCACCACTGAATTGGCTTACTATCATTTTTGAACACTCTATGTCTTCTTAAAGGCAAACATAGTATCTGTTGAGATTGCAACCAAATTTTCTAATTTTTCTATTATTAGATATTTTTTAATGTAGTTTATCTTTATAAGAGTTTCTTGTGGTTCTCACTCCAAATTCTGTTAAGCTGGTACCAATTCCAAAATGATTTTCATTTCAAAGATAATGATTTTTTAAGATCTAATCTTTATTTGCTAGGTATTTTGCTAAGCATATCATAACACTATGAAGGCAGTTTTAATGCACACATTCAGTTTGTTACAAGCTTTACTTACAGTTGTTCACTCATTGGAAGATAATCTGTGCGCAATAACTGGACTAATTATGCAAAATTAGACTGCTTTTAAGCCCTTAAATTCATGAAGATAGAACAATGCATGTAGTAGATAGATCTTGCCTTGGAGCTGCCTGATAGGCATTTGATTTGCTAATAACATGCAGTTTCATTTTAGGAAATCACTTTCCCTCCCTATGTAATATCTTGGTGGAACAGTAAATCAAGATACTCTACCCTTCCACTACCCAAGGGGTTCCTGAAGGTTTCCTCTAGGTTCTTTTCTCTTGCCATTCATATACAGGTAATATGCAGGGGCAACTTGAAATATTGGCTCTTAGAAATTCAAGCAGGGTGATGCAAGGGCAGAATAAACCATTTCACTTCATTTATCTCCATAAAGTTGCCAGGAAAGAGATGATTAAAATGATTTTACTCCCAAGAGCGACATAGATATTCCTGGTTCCTGTCTATTGGAAGCTTTGTTTATAGAATTCCTTTCATCCTGGGAACTACACCATAAGCTTCAAATTCATGTATTTGCTTAAAGTATCCACAGTATTTCATGCTTGAAAAAAAAAATCCTCACTTATATCATCAGTTCCAAAGATATTACTAAAGATTTTTATTTTGTTTTCTAATATGATTTCTCCTTGAATGAAAAATAAACAGCTTTCTGTCTGTTAAATAGTTGGATCAATACAAATTACATAATTGCTTGATTTAATGGGCTTGTTTTAGCAGGTGGATTTTAACATCATTAATATTATCATAACTTGTCTTCTTGCCTGGAAGACACCACCCCACTACTTCCACAGATCTCTGTCCATGAATACATTCCTTACATGCTTTTGACTGAAGTTAGCCAAGCTGTTTTCCAAGCACTTTTCAAGTTAATATTAATTAGTAGAAGATGCCAAAACCAGAAAAAGAACTGGATTTTCACATGAGTTTTTAATTCAAAAGTAAGAAAAACAATGAGTTATGAGATTTTTTTTCCTGCCCAAACATATGGGAACTACCACATTAACTGGATGAAGTGACCTGTTGCTGGGTGACTAATCAGTGGCATTCATGATGCAAAGTTCCTCACTTCTGAGGGTCATATTTCCCATGTACTCCCAAAAACAAGAAGCAAGCACTGCCATGTAGGAACTGTGTGTATGATCATCAGTTAATGAAGCCCTCGACATTGACTAATACTATGGAAAGTTTAACTCAAACCATTCATCTACTTTTTAAGCACACTGTATTAGTCTGCTCAGGCTGCCATAACAAAATATCACAGATGGGGCAGCTTAAACAACAGAAATTTACTTTCTGATAGTACTGGAGGCTAGGCATTGATGTTCAAGATGGCATCAGGGCTGGTTTCTGATGAGGCCACTCTTCCTGGCCTGTAGATGACTGCCTTCTCGCTGTGTCCTCACATGGCCTTTACTCTGTGCACACTTAGAAATCCATCTCGGGTATATCTTTTTCTTGTCATGAGGATGTCAGTACAATGTGATTAGGGCACCACCCTTAAGGCCTCATTTAACCTTAATTATTTTCCTAAAAGCATTAACTCCAAATATAGTCACATTGAGAATTTATAGCTTCAATATATGTATTTCGGGGACACAATTCGCTCCGTAACTCACACTTATTTTGAAGCCTTCATTGTGTTTACTGCCACTCTGGTTCCTCTCTCTTTTTATCATTTGTTATATTCATTACACATTCCCTTCTACTTCTTATTTTCTTCAGCTTTTTATAGCCCAGAGATATCACAACATATACATAAGTATGCCTCCCTAGGGTGTTCACAATACTAACATTGACACATCACTGCTTCTCATTAGTAATCACTGAGTATACTTGTTTAAATAGAGAGCTAGCAACCAAAAAAAATCTAGAATTATTAAAATGTACACACTTCATTTTAGTATCTCCTATACTGTTAGTTTTCACATTATTTTTTTCTGGTTTTCCTGTAGAATATTTAGCATTATTCAATTCTATCATT
The DNA here is from genome assembly GCF_000001405.40 of Homo sapiens. Classification (NCBI taxonomy): domain Eukaryota; kingdom Metazoa; phylum Chordata; class Mammalia; order Primates; family Hominidae; genus Homo; species Homo sapiens. The sequence continues at coordinate 77,520,724 of NC_000012.12, read as the reverse complement.
ACACAGATATTAAGTGCATTAAAATCATGAATTGTCTATTTGTCAACGTGCCAGAAATGTACAGTAATGTGAGCAAAATATACATGGTGGTTTTAATATATGTTTGTAAATTATGTGACTCTCTTCCCATCAAGAAGTAGAGTCTATATCCCCTTGCCTTGTTCAGTGGAGAAAGGATCCAGTCTGGAGCTCTGGTCTCTTCATAGTGGTCATTTTTTCTCTGTATGAGCAACGAGTTTGTGTCCTTGCATGTGAGGGCCTTCTGTGCAAGGGCCAAGTCTCAGAATCTAATCCCTGCTCCTAAGAGTCACCTTCAATCTGGATGAGATTGACCTCAGTGGTCCCCAAAGATGTTCAAGTTCTAATCACTGAAACCTGTGAATATGTTTTGTTACATGGCAAGAGGGAATTAAGAGTCTAGGTGGTTAAGGTTGTTAATCAACTGATCTTGTGATAGGTGCGTTATCCTGGATTAACTCTGTGGGCCACGTAATAGCAAGGGTCCCTAAAGTCAAACAGGAAGGCAGGGAAGTCAGAGATTTGGAGATGCTATGATGCTGGCTTTGAAGATGGAAGAAGGGGCCATGAGCCAAAGAATACAGGTGATCTTTAGAAGTTATAAAAGACAAGGAAAAAGATTATCTGCTAGACCCTCCAAAAGGAACACAGCCTTGCTTATATCTTGATTTGAGCTCCTTGAGACCTATTTGGATTTCTGGCCTCTACAACTGTAAGAAAATAAATTTGCATTTTGTTAAGCCACTAAGTTTCTGCTAATTTGTAATGGCAATGATAGGAAACTAACGCAATGACTTTGACCAATAGAGTACAGTAGAAGTGATGCTAGGTGACTTCCTATACTGGGCCATAAAAAGCTGTTTAGCTTCTACTTTCTTCTGACTTGCTCTTGGAGTCCTGAGATAGCCAAGTAAAAAATCTAAACATTCCAATTTTACCACACTCTGGATAACTGCAGACCCCAGAGAGAGCCCATGTGTAGGCACTCTGGTTGGAAGCCCCAGTTAAGACTTCAAGTTATCCCAGCCTAGGCATTAGACATGTGCATAAAGAAGCCTTCAGAGGATTTTATCCCCTAGCCATTAAAATAGCCCTCTCCCCTTCTCGGTTTTCTGGGTAATGCCTTAGATACCATGGGACAGAGGCAATGTATGCCTACATTTGGACTATGCCCTGTCCAAATTCCTAACACATGTAATCCATGAGCATACAAAATATTGGTAGTTTTATACCACTACGTTTTGAGGTGTTTTTTTGAAAAACAGCAATTGGAACAGACTTTGGTTTCTGGTAGTGGGTGTTGCCATAACAAACCCAAAATACATAGCAATAGATTATCAGAAGAGATGTGGTCTCATGCCTAATGAAATTTACAGTCTATAGGGAGGTATAGATGAGTAAATATGCAATAGCAATAAATAATTAAAAGAGTCACAATATGGTTGAAGTGGCCACAATGGGTAGGAGCATCTAACCTTATCTGCAGTGCTGAGACGTTTTCCTCTGAATAATAACATCTCAATTGAAGGCTAACAGGAAGGGAGAGGATGTTCTAAACCAAAGGAAGGTCATGTAGGAAGGCTTGGGGGTCACACACTCATGTAATATTTGAGAACATAAATTAAGTTTCTATATTCCTGGAGCCTAGAATGCAAGGAAAGAAAGATTCTTAAATCTTTAGATTCTTAAATAAATAGGAAATCAGGACTTGAAACAATTTATATAACACACACCAAGTAATTTGTTTTTTATCCTAATGGCAAGACCAAGATGTTTTAAGCAGGGAGGTAGCATTATATGTTAAGCTTAGCAATATTACATTGACAAAGTAGGAAGAATGGGTTAAGAGGTAGTAGAGACAAAGCAGAAAGCCATTATTAGAACAATCTAGGGCAGACAGTTAGTGGGCTTAGTAGTGGCTATAGAGATGAAGAGTACTAAACAGATTTTAGAACACATTAAACAGTAAGAAACAGTGGATATCAAAAAGGAAGCCCAGTTTCATTCTTGGGCAAGTGATTGAATGGTGGCATCAACCTTTGACAAAGAGAACCAAAAAGACCAGCTAGTGAGAGAATATGGTAAATCACAATAAAATGTTTGGCTCCCTATAAATATAAAATTTTAAAAAATTATATTATAAGCATGAGAAACTAATTTCTCATATGAGAATATCTCTTCAGGGATGTTTTAAAAAATAGGTGTTTAAAGAAAAACATTAATAAAAAGCAAGCATATTTGTACATTAAAGATGAAAGCATTAAGAAATTCACCTTGCAGGAAAGCAGTAAGGCCAAAAATAATCAATGGTTGCTATTTCTAGCTTTTATATTCAATATATAAATACTCCCATCAGAAGGAAGAACCTATCCTTTAAGAGACTGCCTCTTCAAAAGAAAAGACACCAAGACTCAGCTGTTTAGTCTTTAAGGAAATGGAAATCTTCAGTCTCCTGAGTTTGAAATTACTTAGCAAGCCATCACATGGCCAGCCAGCCAAATTATCCCTCATATCACAATATAACACACCTACATTGAAAGGCCAGATTTGCTATACTCATCAACTAAAAATAAACACTTCCTTCCTTGCCACAATTTCCCACTTAGCTGAAACAACACAATATTCATTTTGATTGACAAAATATTTTCAGATCTAATTACAATTTCCAACAGTGTCTGAACATGCTGTGTTTTCATTAAGAATTCCATCACAATTGGATAATTCACATATCAATACAAGTCTAGGGCACTGGTGATATCAAACATCTGTATTGTTGTCCATGCAGTTGATAAATTGGTAGGATCAGAGTTAGCTTATTTTGTTACAGAGTATCATTAATAAGGCCAAGATCAAGAGCTTAGTTCCTTTCTAGAGAAGGTAAAATTGCTTTCTTCAGCCTAACAGAGGCCAATACATTCATAAATGTGTATCGCTGATTATGAGGACGTCCTTGCATCAAGGCTGCATTATGAAAAGCCCATTGACATTTCTAGAAAATCAAATTAGTGTTTATACCCGGGCGACTGTATCAGTAGCTCTCGTGTTGGCCCACATACTATTCAGTCAGCACTGCATATAAATAGTATTCTAACACCCTGGCATTTTTCAGTCTTACTGTTGAAGCATTTACCTTAATTTTGCCATACTTTATAATTTCCTAATTCCGTACACTTGTGATTTTCTAATTTTGCACTAAGAGCTCCATCTTGACACTCGCCCCTGACAATCAGCACCATTTCTCCAGCTATATCACTCTACTTCCTTACTCAAGCGTAACTCAGACCTTCCCTCTCACCACATGGCCTTCAATCCCCAGGACTCCATGTTCTACAAACTCCAGCTGGGCACCTGGACCACCCTCCTCTTGATTCAAGCCCTCATCACATTCCAACTTGTCAGGCAAAGCCTAGCTAAGACCACTCCAAGTTTTAGGGCAACAGGGTCAATGGCCCATTTAACATTGCCACTTGAATGTCTTCCAGGCATCTTAAACTTAAAATTACATTTGGATCCCATCTGCATCTTCCCACCCATCTTGATCAATGGTTCCTTCTTCTCATAGTTGCTTATCCTTGGGATTCTCCCTTTCCTTGCCCCGCATCAAGGTCTGTCAATCCTATCTCCAAAAACTAGTAAAAGCATTCTCCAGTTACCTAGCTGCTACATTAACCAATACTCTCCATTTCCTCTAGAAGAGCACATTGACTCAGGACCATGGCACTCTGAGTGCTTGCAGCTAATATGAAATTAATTTCTAGTATTATCCTATCTACATTTTCACTTCTTCCAGTCAAATGATATCCTTATCAGAAGTCAGTTGTATTTGTTTCCAAACCTGCTTACACCAGTTGTACTTATTATTGAAATTATGTATTTCCATGAAACATTACATAAACTGGTATAATTTGCACTTTAAAAAGTTTGGTTCTAGAAAAACTAGGTAGAATATTTTGGAAAACCACAAAGAAAAATTGCTAAATGAGTTATTTTTAAATCACATATGTGCAAAATTGGAAAAAAATATTTAAATAGAAATTTCTGGGCTCTCAACCTCATCCTTGTGTCATAAAAACCTTTACAGATGTCTTTTAAATTCTCGCTTCTCTTCAACAGAATTAAAACTAAAAATCATAGAGGATGTAACTATGGGTATGGTTCATACAAAATGAAACCAAAAAAAAATCAATTCAGAACTTCAACTCATATATTCACGTTCAACAAATGGTCCCAACTCTGCATCAAAAGATTGACAATAAGTATTTATATGCTTTAAGTTGAGATGAAATATTTAAGATAAGTGTATATTAATCAGTATTTCCCTTCTTTAACAAGTTTTTCAATTAACCAACCAACTAGTACAAATTTCATTAGGTAACATAAATAATCATAGCCAACATTTACTGATATCAACCCTATATCAAACACAGCAATGATCCCCAGTTTACAGATAATGAAACTGAAGGACTGGTCAAGATGTCTTCAATCTGTCCACTTCTATCCATTGCTTCCTAGTCACCCTTAGCTGTATTTCTTCAATAGCCTCATAGCCCATCTCTACACTTCCACCTGACTTCTTCTCTAGCTTTCATTAATCAATAAATAGCAGAGAAAATAATATTTTTACAATCTCAACTGTGATTATGCCCATCTCTTACTTAAAACTCTGAATGTTTTCACACTGGAAAAAAAATACCCCAAATCCTCACAATGGCTTCCAAGGTCCTTCATGACCCTGCACTTACATCTCTCTTCATTTTTATCTTACAACACATTCTACCTTGCTCAATGCAATCCAGTTACCCTGGTCGTCTTCTGGTTTCGGCAATATGCCAAGATTTTCCATTTCTCCAAAAATTCTCCTGAACTGTTTACTCTGATAGAGAGGATTCTTTTATTCCAGCTTATCTTCATTCTTTAGATTTCAACTTGACTATCAATTCCTCTCTGAATTATCAGTTTAAATCACCTCCTCTTGTCAATAACTGCTCACAGCACCCAGTACTTTTCTTTCATAAGATATCATAATTGATGAATACATATTTATTTGTGTGATTATTTTATTCCTGTCTTTCCAGGGGAACAAGGCGAATGTCTATTTTATTCACCTCCCCAGAACCTCCCACAGTGCCTCCGACTTAGTAGATAAATTCAGAAATGATTGCTCAATGACTCAATCTATCAATGTTTATATCTGAAGTAGAGAACAGAAGCAGGTCCCAGAGAGTTTTCAAATGGTTACCTAGCCCATGAAATCTTCACTACCAAAAAGTTGACAGTCGTTTTTTCAGTTTTGTTGTGAAGTATCTCCAGGGATAGGGATCCACCATGACCTGCTTTATATCCTGTTCCTATGAAAATCATTGTTATATTTAAGATGCCTAATTTATAAATTCAGAATTCTATTCCTCCTTTTTAAGGATTTAGCAGATCTACCCAGTAATATCTGTGTAATGTTTACATTTGCACTCAAGTCCTTCATTTAGGCATACATTAAAAATATTAAATATGGCCGGGCGCGGTGGCTCACGCCTGTAATCCCAGCACTTTGGGAGGCCGAGGCGGGCGGATCACGAGGTCAGGAGATCGAGGCCATCCCGGCTAAAACGGTGAAACCCCGTCTCTACTAAAAATACAAAAAAATTAGCCGGGCGTAGTGGCGGGCGCCTGTAGTCCCAGCTACTTGGGAGGCTGAGGCAGGAGAATGGCGTGAACCCGGGAGGCGGAGCTTGCAGTGAGCCGAGATCCCGCCACTGCACTCCAGCCTGGGCGACAGAGCGAGACTCCGTCTCAAAAAAAAAAAAAAAAAAAAAAAAAAAAAAATATTAAATATATAAGTCCTTTGACTGTATATTAGAATAGTGTACCAAAAGTCAAAAATAGTTCCTACAGCCAGTAGCCTAACTATATACAATAACACCTCCCTCATCTCATGAACTGCGCTTGGGAAAATATCAAGTCCTCACTCAAGCACTATCCTGGTGTTATTTAGACACAATTCTGGCATGCATGGCTTACCGTCAGAATCAGCAAATAAAGATTAGCTTTCTAGAAGTAGGCACATTGCCAGCAGTAAGGAATAAGAGTAGAAATGAGAATTCAAAAAAAGACAGCTGTCTGGATCCATTTAGTACATAGTAGAGTGGGGCTACATATTCTAATATACCTTGAGGACAGTGTTGTGTCACTCACGGGGCAGTAAATTAATACATATCTCTAATGGTGGCCCTTTATCATAAAGAGTTTATATTATATTTACTCTGCACTTCTTCAGAACACAAAGATGGGAGACAAAAACTATAGGAAAAAAATCACCTAAAAATTGTGTTTATTGGAATGCATCATTTTCTGACAACATGTCAGAAAAACCAAGGTATTACCATATCTCTGAGTTTTGTGCTTCATGTCTTATTAGAATAAAACAAAAAATATGCTCTATAAAGTTTGGAACATTATCCTAAATACTAGACACAAATATGAAAACACAAATTACCATAATGAAAGATTCGTGGTTCTAATTCAGTGATTTTATAATTGTGAAGTGTCCACCTATTGAAAGCATGACTTAGATAAACTAGGAATATAAGAAAATAGAACAGCATAGAGTTTTAACACAATTTTCCAAAATAGTAGAGCACTTTAACTTGACAATCTCCCAAATAGGAAACAGGTTGAAACACTCCAACATTTCAAATACAAAAATGCTAAGTGCTAACACACACACAAACACACAAACACACACACACATGATTCACATGTACAATACCTTTAGATTCTTTGAAACCATATTCTTTACAAATTGCTAATAAGAGCCCAAAATAAACACAGTAAATGGAAACCTGCCTCATCAAGAATTAGACTAATTCAAATACTCTTATTACTAGAAATGTAGTTACCAATCAAAACTATACAGAAATTATCAAACATCAAGGACAGAAATTATAATAAAAATCAAGTGTCCTATGTCCCAGAAATTGTTTTAACTATGAACTTCATCAGAGGGATCTAATTTAATATTCAGAATAAGGCTAGCAGGTAGATATTAATATAATCTCCATTTAAAGTTGAAAATGTAAGGCACAAAACTGTTTACAAGTTGCTTAAAATTATACAGCTAGTAAATGGCAAAGGTAAGATGGGAATCCTGGAAGTCAATCTTCAGGACCCACTTTTAACTACTACCAAAACATCATTAATGAAGTATTAAACATCATTAATGAAGTATTAACTGTGCCCATAAAATAAATAGCTTTATTTCATTTATATGAAGTTAAGCTGAATAGACATAAAGTGATGTAAAACAAAATTCGGGAAAATACTTTTTACTTAAGTGTGATTGTATATGAAGAAAGACATAAAAACACCAATGAGGGTGGGTACAGTGGCCCATGCCTGTAATCCCAGCACTTTGGGAGGCTGAGGCGGGTGGATCACTTGAGGTCAGGAGTTTGAGACCAGCCTGGGCAACATAGTAAAACCTCATCTCTATGAAAAATACAAGAGTTAGCTGGGCAAGGTGGTGCGTGTCTACAATCCCAGCTACTTGGGAGGCTGAGGCAGGAGAATCGCTTGAACCCGGGAGGCGGAGGTTGAACCTGGGAGGCAGTGAGCCGAGATCATGCCACTGTACTCCAGCCTGAGTGACAGAGTAAGACTCTGCCTCAAAAACAAAACAAAACAAAAACAAAACACCAATGATTTAACACAAAATAAGGTATATTCAATCATCTTGAAAAAGTCCTACTACCTCAGCAATCTAAAAATATTTTACTGTTTTAAACAAGAATTTATGGAAAGTGTAGCAGTATGGTCGTCTTCAAACTGCCCCACATGGCAGCTGAACCAATTGTGTATAAACAAGTGTGCTACTGTATAAATTAACAATATAACACAGTCATAACCAATGTTTTAGAATCAGCGCAGTCAAAAGGAAAGCATTATAGATGTAAATGAGGATCAGCTGAATTTCTCAAAATCTCAGATAAATTTATGTAAAAGAATTATTGCTTATGATAGACATCTTTTGCCTGGCAACTAAAGTACTATATTTCCAGCTAAACAATGACAACTCTCTAAAAAAACAGGTAGTAATATACCTTGTTAGCACCAGAATTCTCTTTGGCTGGAAATCTGCAACACTCCGGAAAATACAAAAGCCTGCTTTTTGCTAAGTAACTCAAAAGCACTCTGAGGGTTTTGTTGGGTGCTTTAGTTTGTTTCCATATTGTAATCCATCTCTCCAATATCTCAAGAAAATTTGCAAACTCCAATATGAATTATTAAATTTAGATCATTTATGACATTTTCCCTTCTCCATACTTTCTGGTCAATTTCTTTAGCAATTTCTAGGAGAAAGGTAGAAAGGGAAAGTACAAGAGTCAAAAACTGAAGTCACCCAGGTGTGTTAGTAAACTTATTATTTTCGTTGCCTGAAATGCCTTCCCCCTTGTGCCTGCCCATCTCAGTCTTTTGCTCTGAGTTGCCCTATTACGGACCTCCCTCTGATTTCACCACTTTCCTGGAATTGAACTTAGATGGGCCACTCTTCTTGGAAATTGTTTTGATTTTTGAGCTCCCCATGTTTGAATAGCTAACCAGATTTCTGGTCCAGATGAAACACAGAGCAGAATTAAATGAGTACAATGTATTTAGAATCTGAACTCATTCATGAGGTCCAAAGAATGAGGCGACCGCCTGACAGAACGATCATTCACTATGTTCCCCTGTCCTTGGTGACAAAATACACCTAAGCACCTTTGGACAAGCTCTCATGCCTCACAAAGAGGAAAGCTTGGTGACCTGCAGCTACCCAAGCAGGCTGGCCTCCACAGTGTGAAAACATCTGGGAACCTAGAATCCAAAGGTATCATGGGATTTTCATGACCTTCACAGATGCATCTTGAGAAGAGGACAACAGAATTCAAAACCATCAGAATCCTAATTTTTCTGGTGGCAAGTGCAATCCTATTCTTCTATCTAAAGGAACAATGTCATAAGCAAAGTAGACTAGAAATGGCTGGTAATAAATAAAAGTAGATAGGGCTAGAGCAATTCATTCATCTATTCATTCTTTTATTAATTTACCCATCTACCTACTCACCATCATGATACAGTGGGAACATTTCTGCCTGTCAAGCTGAAAGGCTCGAGTATATAGTGAAGCTCAAATTTGAACATACAACTCAACTCAAATTTGACTCTACCAAGTACCAATTGAACGACCTTGTACTAATTAGTTAATTGAAAACATCAGTTTCAATAGAAGAGAAATAATAATTGATCAGTTTAGGATTGTTCTGAAGATTAGAACAACACATTCACTTAATAGACACTTCTTAACTGAAGACTAGAACAACACATTCACTTAATAGACACTTCTTAACTGAAGATTAGAACAACACATTCACTGAATAAACACTTCTTAACTGAAGATTAGAACAACACATTCACTGAATAAACACTACTTAACTGAAGATTAGAACAACACATTCACTGAATAAACACTTCTTAACTGCCTTCTATGTGGCACTGACTCTGCCAAGGGCAGGGTATACAGCAGTGAATAAGAGAAACATGGCTCCTGACTTCAAAAGGTTTGCAAAATGCCTTCATGGCTTCAGAAGCACATGGGAAGTGCTCAAAAAATGGTCGCTGATCCTGTCACTGTTACTATTAATATTATTAATGCTATTAATATTATTTTGGGCACAGCCAAATGATGACAACACTGAGCTGAGAGCTAGGCGCCTCTCTCCATTGGGGGACATACTATACCTCTGCTCTCTACAATGTGCCCAGAAATAAAATGAGTTTAAGTGAAGATATAATTATGAGAGAAGAAACGAAGTTAACCACTGAGCAGACCCTCTGGAACCCACAAACATGGCTTGAACTCCATTGGGAAAAGCACCTTAGCCTGATATAAAGATGCAGAAGTCTTCTCTGTGGGTCTGGATTCAGGGCTGGGGAAAGATTTCTCAAGTTAAAGGTTGACCAGCAAGAAATTTATATTGCTTCAAAACCTTCAACCATTATGGCTGGTTACTTTTTCTGACTTTGTGACCTTTCTTTACCTTCATTAGATGACCGGCAAGGAGCACTACTCCCTCGTTTTTTAAGTTCTGGAGCCCAACTGATCTTTCTCAGAAAAGAGAACAAGTAGACAATGCCTCTTCATCCAATTTTCTATTGCCCGGACCAGATGCAAATTTGCTTTTGGGGACCCGAAGGGTACAGTGGAAAGAGGCACTGTGGTTGAAGAAAAGAGGGTCACAGCCTGAACAAACAGGCTATAAGCTAGTCACTAAAATTAATAATGTAGAACTAATTAAAATCAGATAGTAGTCAGATATGCGTTGAAAAAGCTATTCCATTGTGTAACAATACCAGACATTCCTGCCCCATTCAGATGCATAAGTGGGTAGTACAGAAAGGAAGACATCATTAGTTACAACAAATGAAACAAATTAAGGAAGTACTGTACTGTGAAAAGTGTTTTTATATATCTAATATTTAACTGAGTATTCAGAGTTCCTTCAACATTTAATTAACTAATATTTATTAAAGGTATATTGTATATTAGCTACTGCCAAACTCCAATAGGAGAAAGAGTACATTCGATTTGAAAATTAGAGTTCATTGCTGACATAAACAGTTTCAATAGAGAGACAATGACAGAAGTCAGAGTAAAACTGATTAAGGGAAAACGGCAGATGGAAACAGAGGAAGTAAATATTGCCTCTTCTTTTAAGAGATTCAGGAGAAGAATGAAAGACAGACATGTAGAGAGAGAGACAGAGAGAGAGAGAGACACCATGTGTTCCCTTCCCCTTTCCAAGTGAAATTCTTACGTTGTCAAGTTACTCCACAAAACAATTAAACAAATTTTTAATAAGACAAAGTATACTAAAAGCTATACAGCCTACATTGTACTAAATCCATAATCCATTTTAATCTATTATTTTCAAAGAGTTTTACTCATTCCCCTCTGACCTAATTACTACCCTTTCTTTCCTTATTATTACTTTAATATGAGTATTCATAATATAAACTCCCACTAATTACTGGAAATTAATGGAACAAGCATTTATATGTGATGAGAACAAAATTATTAATCTAGCCATATTAACATACTTCCCTCTTTTTCCAACCCATTATAGAAAGTTGTATAATTCAGAGTTTCTTATTGCTACCCATGACCCATTAATGGATAATAAAATCAACTGGATGAGTCATAACCAAAATTTTTTTAAGTGCAAGAGGATATAGTGAAAATGTTACGGTCCACTGCAATATTTTTTTCATCTCTTTTCACTTCTATGTATATTTCTCTGAATTGAAAAGTATAATGTGTTTCTTTCTATAAGTGATGGTTCAAGGAAGTTTGAAAGCCATACTAAAACTACAAATTTGATTTTCCTTTACTTCCTTCCTAAATGGGAAGAATTCTTTCTTAAATTTAAGGAACTGAAAAAGGGAGAAAGTTATATTTTTAAAAGGCAGATTGTGAAGAAGGAATTAAGGGAATGAATTTGAAACAAGAAGAGCTGTGAATTAAAGAGAAAAGGAAAGTTTAATAAATGGTGATTGTAAGGTACATATTTAAGTTCTTTTAATGTCTGTTGAAGATCAGACTAAGTTAATAATAGAATATATATTTTTAATTATTTGGGCGTACAAACTTTGCTTCTTGCATACTCCTCTGATTCACACTAATGGGTTTCTAGGTTATTAAAAGCACATATGTGCATATTTACAAATATATGCTCACTTATATAAATAAACATTTATCATGATTAGAAAAGATTACTTAATAGCTCCTTATGGAAAAAGAATTTATGTGTGTGTGTGCACGTGTTTTTAAGAGATTAACTGTAGTTTATAGTTAAGAGCATAATCTTTGGAGTCAGGCAGAGTTCAGTTAGTCCCAACTTTACTTCTCATGATATACACCAGGCTAATTATTCAACCTCTATAAAACCCAATTTTCTTCTCGATGCCCATTAGGATGTTTTAAAAATCAAATAAGATATTGAAGAACTTAGTAGAGTGTCCTAGAACCCAGAACATAGCAAGTAATCAATACATGAAAGTGTTATAGTATTAAAATGATTTTATACATTGTAAAAATGTTCTAAAGCAGATAACCCAAATATATAGTTAATCACAATCAACAAGAAATTAAAAGATACAAAAGAGAATTTTGCTGGGATAAGTGATTAGACAAAGACTAGCACCATTCAGAAATTCCATCATTACTGCCAGTTCATGTAACTACTGTCTTCATAATAATTTTTAAAATTGACATAATTAAAAAGGCTAGATTTTTCCTTGTGATCCAATTTCCAATAGTAAATGATAATTTAAGCTGTAATAAACTACATAAGCATCCACTGACAGCACAGGAAAGCTCTAAGTGTGGATCAGCCAGGTTAAATTATAAGGCAGCAAGACATACACAGGAATAGGATACCGAAGATTCAGTTTTAACTTATGCATTCTGTATGACACTCATTAACCTAACCATACCTTGGAAAAGTAAGCAGATTGGCATACACATTATTTGTTAAAGTGGAGCAATTGGGAAAATTGGGGGTTGAAAAATCTGATCAAGAAAGTCTAAGAAATTAATTGCAAAACAAAAAGTTGAAATAACTGTTAATACTTCAAGCTCGCAGTCTTGTTGTAACTTACCTAAGTCCTTTCTAATTGGCGTGTCTAGAAAATGCCTCTGTCCAAGAACTTTTTACACATGTTCACACAAGGGTCTGTCTACATGTTAGAGAGACTTCTTGGTGACCCGTGATTCTACCCAGGTGTCCTGTAAAAGGTGAGGTTTCTGAGACATCTCTGAGTTATCCAGTAAGTTCCATGCTCCAATGGTACCTGATTCTAGATAACTCATAGATATTATGAGCAAAAGGAAGTCTGTGAGAAAGATACTCTCTAGCCTGGTACCTGACACACAATAGGTGCTCAACAAGTGTCTGTTGGAGGGAGGCAGGAAAACAGGTACAATAAGACATATAGTCTTATACAACACCTACTCCGTTGCATTCTGTAATAGACTTTTCCCCAAATTCTAAAACACAGATCTGTTTTAATAATTAGAAAATAAACTACAAACATCTATTGCTTGTATAAAAAGGTCCACACTAAATACTAGAGTCTCTTGCATTTAAAAGAGTGAGTAGGCATAAAAGGGCCATTAGTTTTTAATAATACAGGGAGAGGGGAGCTAAAAAAGGATAAAGGAAAAAAAGTAAAACTAATTGGAGACCATTGGAGAGTGGTATGAACATTGGAGAGTGTTAAAGCACCAACTTATTTTAATGAAAATTGATTATTAAAGAGAAAAAAATGAGATGTATGCTTCTGTTCCAATTTGAACTATATTTCACAGCAACCATGAGATGAGTCCTATATAGAAGAATTCATCTAGTAAATAGAGACAGAATGAAAGAATTAGACCGCTACTATTTTCCAACATCTAATAAAATAACTAATTCAAGCAGTCATCAATGAGTGGCAAAACCACTATATGCAAAGTTGTTAGAAAAGTTTACAATTAAGAGACCAGGCTGTCACCTGACACCATCTGAACTTCATCTCAGCAATTCTAAGTCAAAGATATTGTTTACCACCAATGTTGTGAAATGTGAAATATATAACATCACTCAGGAATTAGTCTTGCAAAAAAATACACATACATCTAATTAAGATTTTCTATCTAACTTCTAGTCTAAATGGGGAAATAGGGGAATTAGTTAAATACCTCGAAGGAACGATCAGAAAACTCTAAACTCTGAAATATGGGATTATCTACAGGACAATTACCTACTGTTTCTACAAGTCAATGGAATGGGAGATAGGAAGAAGGGGTGGAAGAAAAAAAGAGGAATGGGAGAAAGAAAGGATGGAGGACGGTTGGAGGGTAAAGGAGGGAGGGAAGGAGGTGGCTCTTAGATTAAAAAGAACCCAAGAGGCAAGAGGTAACCAAATACTAGGAATGGATCTTGTTTGGAAGCTGATTTGAAGAAACCAACTGTTTAGAACAGGATTTTGTTTTTTGTGTGTGTTTGTTTGTTTGTTTTTTTTTTAGAAAATCAAGTAAAGGTGAATTTGAATATGAACTGAGAATGACCTTAAGTATTCCTCATTTTCTTTGAAGTGATAATTGAATTGCGATTATGTATTTGGTGGCCTAATAATGACAAAGTGATAGCTCCACATGTTCTAAAGGGGGAAGATCTAACTACAGTACATGAAGATGGGTAGCTCCAAGAAAGGAAGGACCATGTTTATTTTATTTCCTGCTGTATCCTCAGGACCTAACACAGCACCCACAAATAAAACGGGCTCAGTAAGTATTTATTGAATGACTCTATCTAGGATAGTCTGAGAGGACATCTCAGAAGATTGTGTAAGAGTTTAAACAAGTGAACAATGGAACGTAACAAGACTTTTGAGTACATGCAAATTTCTCAAAATGCCTGAAATTTCATAAACACTTGAAAGGAGGAGGAGATTCAGCTAAAATGGTAAGGAGGAGGCAAGTTATTATGTATTCCCCATGTTACACTATGACCTTTGTATTTTACACTATTGGCAGAGGGCAGCCTTGGGAGGGTTTGACTACATGTAAATTATAATGAGATTATAGGAAGCTTTCTCTAGAACAGTGTTTTTCAACACCAGCACTGTTGACATTTTGACCAGGTAATTCTTTGTTGTTGGGGGTCACCCTATGCATTTTGGATGTTTAACAGCATCCCTAGCTTCCCCCAACAGGATGCCAGTAGTAATGCTCACTTGTGCTAACCAAAAATGTCTCCTTCGGACATTGGTAAATTTCACCTGGCAGACAAAATTTCTCCCAATTGAAAACCACTGCACTAGAAGTTTTGTGAATCAGAGGAGGGTAAAACTCAAAGCAGGGAGATGGTTTAGGATGCTACTGCAAAAAAGTGAAGTTAACAACGCCTGAACTAATGCAGGAGCCCAGGAAATAGAAGAAAAAATGGATCTGAGTGACATTTGAGAGGTAAATACAACATGATCAATTATGGGTGGTGAGTGAGGTTGAACCATGAATCAAAGATAATGTCCAATATCTCAATTGAGAAATTGGATGGTGAGCTAATCATTCAAACAAGGAATAACCTTGAATGAATAAATGAGCCCATAAGACTGGGCACCTTGAATGGATAAATGAACCCAGAAGAGTGGGCTCATTTATTCATTCATCTAACAATTACTTACCATGTTCCTAACCATTCTGTAAGTGCTAATGTTAGAGAACAACCACGTGAACAAATGTGAATGATGTGAACAAAACGAATGCCCCTAATCTCATGGAATTTATATTCTAATAGAGAGAGGCAGGAAAGTAAAAAATTCAGGAATAACATAACTTCTCAAAGTGATAACTGCTGGTCATGACTAGCATGTTTAAGGAACCTGAAGCTAGAGACATAGAAAGAGGTATTAATATCATATAATGGTTTTATCATGAAGGCTTGCAATTGGAAGACCTAATCTTTTATGCCAATCCTGCTATTAATTGGTTGTGCCACTTTGGAAATGTTACTTCACCTCTCTAAGCCTCAGTTTCTGCAGTTGTAACATGAGGGTAGTAGTACTTGCTTAATAAAGCTGTTACATTTTAAACAGAAAAGAATATGTTTGTATTTCTGTGTGCATGTGCATGTATATATGACTGTGTGTATGCAATCTTAGTGCAATGTCTGAGATATAAGTAAGCACTCTATAAACTCTTGTAATCATTCAGTTGTGTGAGGAAGGAGAGCACATTGATATTTAAAAGCCTTTTCCAAGCCATTCAGCACTTACGGTTTTCATGCTCTATGCCTTAATTCAACAAGTTTTCATCATATGCCCACTCTGTGGTTGATACTATTCTAGGAGCCAGGGATCCAGCAGTGAACACGGCAGACAAGGTTCCACGCTTCAGCACCAAAGCTGTTCCTGGCAGCCTTATCATTCTCAGCAGCTGGGTCTCCTTACTTCACAGCCTGTCTGGGAGGCTCCTTGATGTAAAATCAGCAAAATTCCCAACATGACCTCGTATTGGTCCATTTCAAGGGCTATATATAAAATAGCTAAAAGCTTCACCAGAGTCTGAGGGTATAGAGAAAAATTAGACAGCTGGTTCACTCTTGCCAGTCTATGATGATATTAAGTTCAAAGTTGTTTGAGAGAAAAATGGCTTGGCTCTATAGAAAACAATTCTAGTCCACAGTGGCAGCCAAGCTGGAATCTTGCTAAAACTGCATCCTGGGCCCAGTTGTGCTCTAAATAATGATACGTATATCTCCTATGTGGGCACAATGGGAAGAAAAGCTAAGAATGGAGAAGAGAATACCGCTGCCTACATATTTGAATCAATGGGTTTCAGGAGATGAAGGAATGCGAATTGCCATCCCATGTCCACCTTTGAGTGACTGCTATGTGAGGATCTGAGCCGGTGCTTTTCAACCTTGGCCATATGTTAGAGTCATTTGGCATGCTTTAAACCTAGGCAGTCCTGAGCCCTCCACTGCAGAGATGCTGATTTAATTGAAGTCAGACTGAGCCTGAGTATCAGTACTTTTACAAAGTACTCTAGGTGATTCTAAACCTTACAAAATTCTTTTGTGAACCATTAACAAGAGTGAACAGAAATCAAGGTGCAATTTTAACTACAAGGTTTGGGACCAGAGAAAGATATAAGAAAGTAGAATTAATTAGAAGAAAAACTAAAGGTTATATTCTATCCACTCCTCCCTGGATCTTCAAATTATCATTACTTCTTTTAATTCCAAGTCATGATCGAAAAATACAGATTACTGAATAACAATCTAAATTCACGAACAATCGTTTATATTAAGCTAGTAGCTATCTTTAAGAAACTGACCTTTTTAAGTACACATAAACAAGTAAAAAATGGAAATCCATTTTCAATTCCTAAAAATAAACTTAGATTTCAAAATGTATTTTCTTGATCTCTATCATTTCTTCAGCAAATTTTCTGCTAAACTGATCTCAGCCTCTAATTTAATGCACAATGGGTACAGTGTGCTATAGGATAGTTGATACCAAAAAGCAGCCAATTAAAATGGGACTGTACAAAGAATCTCTCCTTCTGCTGAAGTTGCCGAGAGAAAACGATGTAATCCTGGAATTGCTGGCAATCATTATTCCAATAGAAGAGGAGATTTTGCCTGGAAATGTGGCAATCACAAAAGAAAACACAGCTGAGCTATGAAAAGGGCAAGACTGAGTCCTTGAAATCTGGCTTAAGCCCCAATATCCAGCATGCCCAGTGCTCATTCTGCTCTTGGACTTCTAACTTATGTAGGTTAATAAATTTCCTATTTTGCTTAAAAAACAAATACATAAAATGAAACTGTAATCTCGTAATAAATGATTGAGAAAAACTGGATTAATAGCACTCCTTGAAAACAAAAACTACAAATAAAGAAAATGTTATTTTGTCATCATTTTTAAATGAACTTAAAAAGGGGTCAAATATAAATTTGAGGCATTATTTTTCTGACAAAATTTCATGAAAACATTTTAAGACATTTTTCATTTCACTTCTGATTCACTCAAAATGAGATCATTTCATTTTCCAATGGTTTACACTGTATTTGTATTATATTTCAGCAAGCAAATGCCCATTGTGGACACTAATACCACATCTAGGAGAAGATGACATCATTAAGCATAAGAAATATTTGAATGGAGCCTACTTTCTCAGGTGAATATCAGTAAATAGCTTCATGTTACAAAAATTTTTGCTCCCTACACAACTTTATAAGTGGGTAACAAGGATTCTCCATGTATTAATATTATTCTAAAATTGTTATCATGGAGCAGAATAACCTGGTTAGTCATTAAAATCATAAATGATCAAAGTAGTAAATTACTCAAAGTACCACATAAAAGATACATATACAAAATAGCCACCAGCCCAAATAAAAACTGATCTCAAGGACCAATATTATTTTGAAATCAAGTATTGATCTAAATTGGATATATATGAGAAACAAAGGCTTTTGTCTAAGCTGGAAGCATAAGATTCTACAATCCTAATTCATGCCAAATACTATTAAACTATAATTGCAAGGTAAAATTATAATGCTTTCTGTAATGTCTTACAGTTGATGTATCAAGAAGAGATCACTTCCTTAACTTTACAGATGTAGAAGTTAAGGCTTAGAAGTACAAATAACTCAATCAATGATGATTGGTTAAAGGGTAGAAATGAAATTCAAAGTCAGATCTTACTCCAAATATAAAGGTTTTGTTTTTTTTTTTTTTCTTTTTTTTTTGAGACGGAGTCTTGCTCTGTCGCCCAGACTGGAGTGCAGTGGTGCCATCTCAGCTCACTGCAAGCTCTGCCTCCCGGGTTCACGCCATTCTCCTGCCTCAGCCTCCTGAGTAGCTGGGACTACAGGCGCCCACCACCACGCCCGGCTAATTTTTTGTATTTTTAGTAGAGACGGGGTTTCACCATGTTAGCCAGGATGGTCTCGATCTCCTGACCTCATGATCCACCCGCCTCGGCCTCCCAAAGTGCTGGGATTACAGGTATGAGCCACTGCTCCCGGCCAGGTTTTGGTTTTCTAAACTGCACCACAGTGACTTTTTTTTTTTTTAATTATTATTATGCTTTAAGTTCTAGGGTACATGTGTGCAACGTGCAGGTTTGTTACATATGTATACATGCGCCATGTTGGTGTGCTGCACCCATTAACTCGTCATTTACTTTAGGTATATCTCCTAATGCTATCCCTCCCCCCTCCCCCCACCCCATAACAGGCCCCGATGTGTGATGTTCCCTATCCTGTGTCCAAGTGTTCTCATTGTTCAATTCTCACCTATGAGGGAGAACATGCAGTGTTTGGTTTTTTTGTCCTTGCGATAGTTTGCTGAGAATGATGGTTTCCAGCTTCATCCATGTCCCTACAAAGGACATGAACTCATCATTTTTTATGGCTGCATAGTATTCCATGGTGTATATGTGTCATATTTTCTTAATCCAGTCTATCATCGATGGACATTTGGGTTGGTTCCAAGTCTTTGCTATTGTGAATAGTGCCACAATGAACATACGTGTGCATGTGTCTTTATAGTAGCATGATTTATAATCCTTTGGGTATATACCCAGTAATGGGATGGCTGGGCCAAATGGTATTTCTTGTTCTAGATCCTTGAGGAATCGCCACATTGTCTTCCACAATGGTTGAACTAGTTTACAGTCCCACCAACAGTGTAAAAGTGTTCCTATTTCTCCACATCCTTTCCAGCACTTGTTGTTTCCTGACTTTTTAATGATCGCCATTCTAACTGGTGTGAGATGGTATCTCATTGTGGTTTTGATTTGCATTTCTCTGATGGCCAGTGATGGTGAACATTTTTTCATGTGTCTGGTGGCTGCATAAATGTCTTCAAGTGACTTTTGGGAAATATTTGTAAGTATTTTTAGCAAAAAGATTAAATAAGTGTCTTTTCTTATTACTTTTATGGGATGGGAACATTCCTCTCTAACTTATGAAACCAGAAGGACAACTTTATGTTTATTTTATTCTCTAGGAGGAGAAAGTGGGCTGTTTTGTCAGAAAAAAAAGTCAGAATTTTCTAAGAATTACTATTTTTAAGCAATTTCAATAGTTCTTCCATTACATCTGTCCATTCAAATTAAAACCACGAGGAGCAAACTCTTCAAAACCACTTGAAGAAACTTCATCATCATCAAATCTGTATTTCAGCTTCTTTTTACTTAGCCAGATGCTTACAATTATTCAGGTCACTCCAAAACTCCCAAACCACTCACATAAGTAATGATATTTACACATCACCCACAGTGGGAACTATCATCTATGGATTTAAATCACCCCATGCCTGGCACAAAGTAGGTACTTGTATATCTTTGTTCAACTAACATGTTGTTCTCCCCATTACATGTTTTGTATCCAAAGTTTAATTTCATATTTGTGTGATTATTTGATTAATGGCGAATCCCTCCTTTATGCTAGAAATTCCTGAGGGTAACACTATTAGTATTTATATCCCCAGAACATATTATAGCATGCTATCCGACAAAAAGCTGGCCCTTGTTCTGTTATCAAGATTTAACATATAGTTCTTTAGAATAGTGGAATAGTTTTAGGTACATGCTAAGTATCCTAAGTGTTACTGTCATACTATTGTTGTTTGTTGCATAAATGAATGATTCACTGGCAATCTTACACCAACCTAATGTAGCAGATAAGGCAGCTTTTACAGTCTATATTTTTAGACTTTTTTAAACTGAGGCTTAGAGAAATAAGATAAGTTGACCAAAACTATTTGGCAATGATGTATTATGTAATGCTATCTCATAGAAATTAAATGAATAAGAGTAAGGTCTGATTAAGAGAAGGAAGATATATCTAATCTTGGCAGCTCTTAAAATATGAACCAAATCAGAAGCTTGAGACATAAGGAAAATGAAGTAGTCTTCCAAAGTGTATCTGAATCCTGACTAACATCCAATTCCTTTATTCAGCATAGCAGAGGTGTTTGCCAAAGATGAAGTCTAATTCTCTTCCTCTTGTATTTGGGCTGACTTCAATATTTTTTTGACAAATAGAATATGGCAGAAGTGAAATTCTCAGGTTTACAAGACTAGATTATAAAAATCCTTGCTTCTATTTGGCCTCTTGGAACCAACCAGCTGAGCCTAGTCAACTCATAGAACCATGAGAAATAATAAGTTGATGATTTGTCAGTAACAATGGGGATAGTTTGTTACACAGCAAAAGATAACTTGAAGATTCAGGAAAAACACATGGGGTCATATATATATATATATACACACATATACATGTATACATATATACATATACATATATACATATACATATATACATATACATATATGCATATACATATACATATATACATACATATATACATATACAGATATACATATACATATATACACATACATATACATGCTGTGCTAACTTTGTGCTATATGTTACAAAACTGCTTTGGGTAAGGAGGGGATTCAGAGTTACCACAGTATTGACTGAAAGTGTCTGAGGGCCCCAGGTAATCATTGTCCCCTGCTCACTTCTACTGTACCCAACCTATGTGTTGCTTACTTTCCTGTGATTATTCTACAACCTATCTTGACCCTCTGTCTGGAATGTTTGGTGCATCCCATCCCCTTCATTTAGCTGACCACTCCTCAGCCTCAGACCAGTTAGTTCTCCTTTTTCAAACACTCATAATACTCTGTACTTCTCCATTGAAGTATGTAATAGAATTTTAATGAACAAATTAATTGTGTGACTAGCTAACTATAGAGTAAACAGTGAACTCCATGAAAAATGAGACTGTGTGCTTCTTGTTTATTTATAGTACAGTATCCCTACAGTGACACAGTACTCTACACATAGTAAGATTTATTTTTGGTCAAATGAATGAATAAATGGGATGTTACAGCTATAGGCCATTGGACGCAGAAAAGGGCCTTCTCTCAAATCTGAGGCATCCAAACTTTGTTTTTGTCAGAGATGACAACTATTGTTCCCAATGAACTCTGAACATTCTAAAAAGATGACTCTGGTAGGGAAATTTTTGTACAGCAAGTATAGCATGGTGATAAGATTGATAATACAATAGCCAACATTATGATCTTCCAAGTGCCTTTCTTGTAAGTTCCCCAAAGACCTTTGGTATCCAGTTCAAGATGGTGAAGCAAAAGGGCATAACCTTCAGAATCAGACGGATCTACAGTCATATCCCGATTCTGCAAACTACTATTGTCCTACTGAGAAATTTACTTCTCTAAGCCTCATTTTCCTAATATATTCTTTAAAATAGGGAAAATAAATATTGTTTCACGAAGCTATTATTGAAATAAAATACAATAATGTGTGGGCAATTCTTGACATGTAGTAGGCTGCTCAATGAAAATTGTTCAACCGTTTTTGGTATGTGTAACTGCCATTCCACAGCATTTCCTAATGGATATCACATGGCAATGCATCATGAAAATAATAAAAATACAGAGCACTGATTCCAGAATTTTGATCTATTTAACTATATATCATTCAGTAAATGAAAGAAAGCATTCATAAAGCTATGTTTAAGATGCAGGTAGGTGAGGTAACACAAGCTAACTGGTGACTCTCTTCTGTAGTATTCCAAAGACATGTCAATTTTTGCCCAAACATCTCCAGGCTGCACTCAGGATTACTTTTCATGTTTGAAATTACAACTTTGAGAAGAAGCTTATGTTCCAGAGAAAAGAAATAATACTCTCACTGACTACAAATCTGAGGGAAAAAAATGACAGCCTCATTGTCAAAGTCACAGAACCTAGAAATGGCATGTCCATCAAGAAATTAAGTCATCCTCATCTTGGTTCTATTACTACCAATTGGCATGGTCATATGAGAAAAATACAAATGAGGCAGATATACAAGGTATCAAGGGGAAAAAGTGCATAACTTTAATTTGAGTATTACCACTTTCAGGTGATAAAACTCTACAAGCTCATCAAAATGTTTCTCTACACATACAGATCTTGTCACTCAGTATCTAGCATTTTTGACTATTTACAAAATGTAGTCAACCTACTACTTAAAAAAAGAATAGATTTGAAAAGTTTTACAGTAAGAACATTTAAAACAGTAAAAGCAGTTAAAATACAAATTTTCTAAGAAAGATCAGAAGGCATTTAGAGGAAGGGAAGAGAGATCCTAGGAAAATGGTGTAAAACAATTCTGCAATTGAAGATCAAATTTAGCACTCAGCTACATTTTGTGATGTATTTTACAGTTCTCTTTGTCTGCAAGCAAGCTCATTTGAGAGGCAGATTTTGCTGGCATTAAATCCTACGAATAATGTATCTTGTAGGTCCTTTCATGTTAGAAGAATGCTGAAAATGGGATGAAAAGTATCCTTTGAATATGAGAGAGCAAAAGTATCTTTGTATGACCATTTCTTATAACAGTCTTTGATAAACACAAAGGATACAATAAATAATTTCATGAAGCTTAAACACTCCCTGAAGATACGACTTGAGAAAGAAATCAATGGAACAGATTCTCATCACGTATCTTAGACCTGTGGTTCCAATACATCAAGAATTTCTAATGAGTAAAACTGAAGGTAGGAGAGAGAAGACAACACAAGGACAAGAGGTGGCCAAGTGTCACTTTTGTCAAATAAGGCTATTTTTAACATCTATCATCATGATCCCTTCAAAAGGAAAGACTATCTTGATTAGTAAAAAAGGTGGAAATAGGCCAGGTGCAGTGGCTCATGTCTGTAATCCCAGCACTTTGGGAGGCTGAGGCAGATGGATCACTTGAGGTTAGGAGTTTGAGACTGCCTGACCAACATGGTAAAACCCCATCTCTACTAAAAATACAAAATTAGCCAGGCATGGTGGCGCATGCCTGTTATCCCAGCTACTTGGGAGTCTGAGGCAAGAGAATCGCTTGAACCCAGGAGGCGGAGGTTTCAGAGAGCCGAAATTGCACCATTGCACTTCAGCCTGGGCAACAAGAGCAAAACCTCAACTAAAAAAAAAAAAAAAAAAAAATAGCACATTAACTTAAAGCGTTAGTTCTTTAGTAGGTTTAATGAAACATATGTTGAGAACATTACATTTTTTTCCCTATTTGCCATAAACGATGAAAGATTTGCCACAGAATAGCACTAAAACACAACTATTTGAAAATCACCACCTTTGACAATTTTGCTGAAGTCAGCATCAGATTCACGGCTGAGTGACCTGTGCAGTTTCACAGGGCCCTGCACTCAGAAGGCCTCTCGCTTGGGGTTTAACACTCTGTGGTCACCACCTTGAATGGTTAATACATTTTTAACAAAATGCTCAGGGTCTTCATTTTGCACTGGGCCCTGCAAATTATATAGTCAATCCTGCCTCACGTCCTGTGAACTTCATATTTATTTCATAGGAACTTACCCAGCAGTCAATTCAGGATTTCATTTAGAGTGAGTGCCCAAAGTACAAGCATGACACTGTCCATTGAGAGGAGAGTGAACCCTTCAGAAATGAGAGAAGGAAGTGGCAAATAGATGTTTCACAGCAAAACTGTGAGGCTTGATCCATCCCCCAGTGGAAGGTTCCATAACCAGATAGAAGATTATTTCAGCCTTCAAAAGGTAGCAGAGATACCTTGGGAGAAAAGTCCAAAATTTTTCTAAGGAAATAAAAGTTTGAATCACTCCAGTGATGGGACTAGTACTTAACCCCAAGACGGCATAGTTGTCTATCAGAGAACACAAGAAAACATTTTCTTGGCCTGTAAAATGTTAATATCCTTTATTATCACTCCTCTAGCATGCAATACCACCTCTTGAAGAGCCTGCCAGAATAAATTAACCCCAAAAGCTACACTCAAGTTGTTTTCCCAGCTGCACTGTTGAAAATAATTATTTAATCCTGTACAAGTGAAATTTGGACAATTTATGCCAGAAACAATAACCTACACTTGGCATAATTGAAACAACAAGCATTTTCCCTGACAATAATTAGCCAAAGTAAGCTATGGCGTTGGAGCAAAATCAATACAGAATTAAGCCCAGCTGGATCTAACACTTCAGAACTGCACCACCCTGAGCAAGCTACTTAATATCTCTAAAAGTCATTTTCTGTAAAATGGGTCCTGGATTTCTCTGGTGACTAAATCGACAGTTTAATAGAATGGTTAATTACATCATAGTGGTTCTGGCCCTTACTGGTTGTGTAATCTCTGGCAAGTCACTTCATCTCTGTGTCAGAGGGGTGTCTATTAGTTTTGAATCTAAAATCACCTGACAGGTAGATAATCCATTACAACCCTGACTCCCACTGCATTGGGAATGTGTCCCAAATTTGTCATTGTTTCACATCTACTGGGCACCCACCTGGCTGACCCAGACCACATCTTCGGACCTTCTGTAGATGTCAAATAATGAACCTGCACTTGTTCCCACCAGTTTCTCATTGTCCAGAATCCAAATAGCAGAATATCCCTTGAGACACTGATTTTGCACAAGTTATTTAGTCCCACACACATCTATTCTGTTGAAATAGATTGTGCCTGACTAAGCCTGATTGAGAGCCAGGTGTGTTTTGCATGTGACCTTCGCTTTATATATCTATAGGTATGTGCTATGGTCTGAATATGTGTATCCCAACAAAATTCTTATGTTGAAAACCTGATCACTAAAGTGATGGTATTAGGAGGTGGGGCCTTTGGGAGGTGATTAGATCAAGAGGGCAGAGCCCTCATTAATGGAATTAGTGCCCTTATAAAAGAGACTCCCCACAGCTTCTCTGTCCTTTTTACCATGTGAGGACAGAGGGAGAAGGCACCTTCTATGAACCATGAAATGGGCCCTCACCAGACACCAACTCTGCCAGTGCCTTGATCTTGGACTTTCCAGCCTCCACAACTGTAAAATTTGTTGTTCAAAATCTACCCAGTTTATGGTATTTTGTTATAGCATCCTGAAAAGACTAAGACAGCATGGACTAATATTCTTGTGGGATTTAGATCATGTTATAACTTTCCTTGTCCACTCCCCGCTACAGTTGTAAATGCTTCGAGGACAAGGGCAGTGGCTTGGTCATCATCTTTGTTCCACCAGTGCTCATCATACAGCACACTTACCTCCCACTGTCTGCACATTCAACAGTGTCTAAAAATTAAGTAAAGATCTCAGTCCAAAGTAGACCCTCAATAACTATTAGTGCCCCTCAAATAATACCGTCCTTTTCTTCTTTTACCAAGTAAGGCTGGGCAAAGCTCTTAGCATTTGTTTTTAAGGTTAAGTATTTTACTTGATTCTGACTCTTTCAACATAGGTAAATCATGTATGATATAGATGGGGATAATTCAGTTTTGCAATACTAGCCTGAAGATTACCACTAGCACTATGCTTTCCAAATACTGGTTGCTTGATCAATATTTGACAGATAAATGAATAAATCACTGAAGAATTTTTAATCTGCTTTAATATCTCGTCTCCCCTTCATTGTAGATATGGCTAAGAATTTATAGTAAACCAGCACTTTCAAATTCAGGAAGACCAGAGCACACAGGCTGATCAATGTAAGAGGCATGCTTAACTCCAACACTTATTCATACACCCTCCCTTTGGAGGCAAGTGCCCTTTGTTTTGCAAGACCGGAGAGTAGCCAGCCTAGAGAATCCTCCCAATGTTTTATGCAAATTAAAAGATGTGTCATCTAAGCTTTAAGTCAAGAGGGAAATTATAGACCGCAACATGGAAAATTGTAAAAATCTCTGGCACTCCATTATCTTCATTTAAAAGCTCAAGTAAACACATCTGATTTGATATATTTCAACTATGGTAAGTTACTAAGCTTTTATGAAGTTTTATAAATGACAAAATCATATTCACATAAGTAAGTATCACAAAGGAGCCATGCAAAAGTACACAAATGATTGTTCATGGCTTCTAACTATGTTTGCTTTCTACTGTTTATTAATTTTTTTTCCCCTGAGCTTCCAAAACAGTTGGAAGTCCCTCAAGAGGAAGCTATGGTAAAATAGTAGAGTATTGCATAGGGCAGCAGGTCTCAAACTTCTCAATTTTCAAAGGCTTCAATATCACCTGGAAGGCTTGTAAAGATTGTTGGATTTCACCCTCAGACTTTCTAATTCAGTAGTTCTGGGACAGTGGCCAACAATTTGCATTTCTGTAAGTTTTCAAGTGGTGCTGATGCTGCTGGTCCAAGAACCACACTTTCAGAAGCACTGGCATAAAGCAGAGGCAGTATTGAGGATGCACAGCATCCTGGTTAATAGTAAAAGCTTTGGATTAGACATATAGGTTAGAATTATAGTTCCCCAACTGCATTAAATACTTGGCATGTTTGTGATCATCCACCTTCCTCTGAATAACTTTTCCACATTTGGAGGAACGCCCATGTAATCAGTTCCATGGCCCCAGTGATGAAGTCGAACTCAAATTGCAGCCAGATACATGTGACCTGTGCTTCAGTCATCAGATTCGCCCACTGAGCCATCAATGCTAAAGTGAGCAATATGTGGAAACAGGCCCTGCGGGCAGCTTCCATTTTGCTGCCTTTGGGAATGGCAGTTACCCAGTTTCCTGAGGCTCCGGTGATTACAAGGTCAAGCTCCTGACATCCAAGAGGCATCAGTGCAATGAGGTCACATTTCTGGCATGTAGTGCTTGGTGCAGCAGCTTCCTTAACAGGCCAATGAAGCAGCCTGACTTCAGTCACTGTTCTAGAAAGTTCAGCCTTGAGTTCTGTCTCCAGCTGCTCAAATGTTCTATGGGCCACCTAATATCCTATAATAAATCCCTTTCCACCAGAATGGTAGTATCTGAGAACCCTGTCTAATAATAACCACATTCCAATATCACAACCAATAAGTATCATTAGAACCTCAATTTCCTTCTTTGCAAATGCAAATATTACATAATAGACAGTGGTTCAAAAAATCTGTTATATGTTATAGATTAACAAACACACATTATTGATTCTTCAGAAGATATGTTGATTCTTCAAAAGATATTTTTAACCACAAATGTATTTTGTTATATCACAAGGCTCCAATTCATAAACCATAATAACCTTATACAATAATGGAGTTCACTTTTCACAAACAAAAATTTTTTTTTAACTAACATCACGTGGCAAGAAAAATAAATTTATATTGAAGTATTTTTTCTTTCTTATCTTTTCTCCTGTTAGAGTTTTGGATATTTTTAAATAAAATATTTAATATTTCAAAATGAAAAGCAGCTACTAGTAAATTGCCTAGAAGAAACCAAACAGTATTGGGAGTGATGTTTCCAACACAGAAGCTTTCCCTAGGCTATGTCTAACAGAGCAGGAGAGAAACTAAAATGTGTTTTTCTGCTTCTACTTTATCCACAGCCCCGAGAAGCCCTGCTGGCAAAGTTGTCACATCTAATCTTGTCTTACATTCCTGGATGCAGTTTACTAACCTCATTTGTTTTGCAGCTCACAAGTTAGAGAGTCCAATGCAGTTGCGAGTTTTGATTGCAATTTTCTTTTAACGTCCAGTCCTCAGTACAGATTCTGTTGTCATTCTCCTTACTTGAACACCTTGCGTGCAGGCACCAAACTGGACCACACGTTCACCCCTCACTCCTAGCCCCTTGTTCTCTACTTTCATTAACACCCTCCATTCCTGGAGGCCATGGCAGTATTCAGTCAAGAACCAGGGATGCAGAGTCAAATAGTTATAGGCCTATATTTTAAGAAAACTGACGCTGGGAGAGATTTTGCACATTTGCCCATTATCTCACACCTAGCACGTTTGAAAAGAGGATTTGATCTGAGGTCTCCCTGATTCCAATGCTCCCTACCCATTTTACAATACTGCCTCCATCTTTAAATGCATGTAAAATAGGAATTACACTTCTTCTGTTTACCTTTTGAGAGGCTGACTTAATAACTGTGTTTTAAATACAGTAAAGATTTACTCAAGTGGAAGCCACCTGACCTTCTACTAGAATTCCTGTTTTGATGTGAGACTGGTATCGTAGTCTTGGGTCCTTAAAAAATCCAAGTCTGAGGCAAATCGTACATGCTAAGTCATCAGTAGAAGTTGCAATTTCCAAGGCAGCAAGAATGAGGAATAAAAGGGTAATAACAAGGAAAGGAGAAAAAATATGAGATAGGGATATTGTGGCACTTCACAAGGAAGTCAGTTGCTCAGGCACGTGTGATGTCTCCAGAAAGGCCATGTGAAACCACCTTGGAACAATCAGTCAGGAGGGAAATCTACACCCTTCTTTCAGTCACTTCCTAGTCATTGGTCAGAGTCTGCCCCATGACAGGGCAACCCTCTAATATTTACTGTTTGCATTATCCTATCTTCTGCATATCTGCTGGGACAGAAGCCAGACCCTGTGTCCTGTGCAAGCAGCATGCTTTCTAAGCCTGGGAGCAGTAAGAGGGTCCTCTGTGGGTCTTGCCAATTTGGACCTAGAGTTTGGACCTGGTGTTGAGCCACTGTGGCCAACCCTCACCCCAGCAAATGATGTGGTATGAGACAAAGTGATGGCAATGGTGGCAAAGCCTCTCATTCGGCAAGTTACCAAGGCCCAGGCAGGCACAATGCTGGGTCCAGTATACTGGTTAGAAAGAGATTCTTATGATCCTTCTAATTCTAACAGCCTATGATTTAAAGAGTCCAAGTGGGGTTAATGACCTATTTAAGATCAGATAGCAAGTTAGCAGCACAAGATTGAAACTCAAAACTCTGGAGAACTAGTTTGGTATTCTTTTCACTACAGAACAGCGTCCTTAAGATTTCCCTCAAGTTCTATTGTATCCACAGTCCTTTAAGCCAGCAATCCCCAACCTTTTTGGCACCAGGGACCAGTTCCATGGAAAACAATTTTTCCATGGACTGGTGATGGTGGGTGGTTTTGAAATGAAACTGTTCTACCTCAGATCATCAGGCATTAGATTCTCATAAGAAGCATGCAACTTAGATCCCTCTCATGCACAGTTCACAGTAGGGTTCGTGCTCCTATGAGAATCTAATACTGCCATCAATCTGACAAGAGTGGAGCTCAGTTGGTAATGCTGGTTCTCCTGCCGTTCACCTCCTGCTATGTGGCCCAGTTTCTAACAGGCCCGTGGACCAGCACCAGTCCACGCCCTGAGGTTTGGGGACCCCTGCTTTAAGCCACAGGTAGCAAACAAATATCTACATGGGCCTAGATAAGTATTCCAAACTAGTAAATTGTGAATTGTGCCAGTTATTTATATATTAGACCACAACAGAGCAACTTCCCCTTTTTCTTGAAACGTGGTCATTTGATTTGTCCTTCATACTTCCAATTCTGATGGAGCAAAGAAAGGTGAAATATTTAGCATAAAAAGCAGTATGTGTGATAATAAATGAAAGCTGCCAGTGGTGTGCTAGATCCAGCTCATACCAGATATGAGTGTCCTCCATACTCCTTTATGTTAATTTGCAATTAGCCATTGTGAAAAATCATCAAACGCTACACGTCAGGGTTTTTATTTTCTGGGGAGCCAGGTCATCATAAATATCAACCAGCACACAACTGCATATGGCCTCAGAACATGATGAGGTGTAGCAAATCAGGGAGAACATGTTCCCTTTAAAGGTGATAGTGACACTGAGCCTTAAAAAGTATTGCCACATCAGAATACACATTCATCGTAGTTGATCTTCCAAGTCTTCTAGGAAGTCAGAAATACAAATTCTTAAGCTAAAACCTCCCATTTAAAAATATGAACCTAATTTTTTTTTCTAAACATCTCCCTGAGACAAACTGGAACTCTCGGCCTCAAGTTTGCAAATCCCAGCTTACACCAAGTATGATCCCAAAGGGTAGCATCCTATACATCTTCAACTAAACATCAATATGAAAGATTCGGCCTAATTTTTCTTCAGAAAAAGCTAACAAAAGATGCTCCTTGGACTTCATCCCATACAAGCCAGTCCTTTATTTAACATCGCAGCAGCATCATTCAGTATATATCTGGCTATCAGAAATACACTGACCTATATAGGAGGATGTAAAGTTTTAATTCACTTTTCCAAACTTTCTCATTCAACTAACTTTTTTCATATCACTTTACAAAGTTCCAGATGATTTCCAGGCTGCCGATTTTAATATTAAGCTCTATTTGAGCAGGGTCCCAGAGGGATAATTAGCAATACAAGAAAATATTTTTTATTCTACCCAAGTAAATATCTTTATTATCTAAAAATGACAATAGATGATGGAAAACACACGGGGGAGAAAACCTTGATTCCAAATTCTAAATTATGATCTGTCGGAAATGATGCTAGTACTTGCAATAATGTAGTGAAGTCCAAGAATCTCTTGTATTACCAACAGATGCATCCACAAGAAACACTTCTGAGGGTGGCCTCTTGCCTTGTGGCCAGAATTGCAATTTGCATAGTTTGCCATTGTTTGTAACTTCGCTTCACTGACTCCTAGTGAACTTGAAGCTTTGGCACAAAATGACCCTAGCCCTTGAATTTATATTCACTCACCTTGTTTCTTGAATTTCTGGGTATATTCTTTTTCTGAATTCTCTCCAGCTCCACAAAAGCTGCCTGGCTGGATGTCTTGCTGTCAGGTGTTCTATGTAAATATCTGATCTAGAGTTTCATTAGTAAGCACAGCTGGGGGAATCTGGAAACCTCCTATTATGAGGAGTTGCATAGTGCTGAGTAGAGCATGTAGGAAACACAGATGTAACTATATGCGCAGTTGGATGCAGAAGAAACATTCCCCTAGATTGTATCCCAATCTTACAAAATTTTTGTCTAAACCTTAATTCACTTCTACGCCACATGCTGTCTGCCAGCCCAGAACATCTTTGGAGCTAATTTTTCAAATTTATAGTTACCATTTACATGCTGTCTAAATAGAACTTATTCCTATGTTTCAACTTTGCAGCATCAAGCAACATAGTTGTATTTAAGAATGGGGTGTCTGAAAAGTCAGAAAACATAGGAAAAACTTACTTTTAAATAGTTTGTTAGTTACACTTATAACATGCTCAATGCATTTTATTTCCATTAGAAATCATTTTGGGTAAAGTATCTCTAAGTTTAAAACAGTGAGTACAATTGTCAATATACCATAGAGTGTCCCAAAAAATCTGGAAACATGAAGGGAACTACAAACTTATATTACTTTTTTTTCCGATCAACGATTGTTCAGACCTTGAGTACATTCAATGTCTTTCCTTGTTCAGTGAAAGAAAAATTGTGTGAGTGATCATACTTTTTGTCTCAGAAGGAAAATTATACCATCCAAATTTAAAATTTGGCCAGATGCAGTGGCTCATGCCTGTAATCCCAGCATTTTGGGAGGCTGAGGCATGCTGATCACTTGAGCACAGGAGTTTGAGACCAGCCTTGGCAACATGGCAAAACCTCATCTCTACAAAAAAAAAAAAAAAAAAAAGAAAGAAAAAGAAAAGAAAAGAAAACCACAAAAACTAGCCAGGCAATGTGGCATGTGCCTGTAGTCCCAGTGACTTGGTAGGCTTGAGAGGTGGGAGGATTGCTTGAACCCAGGAGGTTGAGGCTACAGTTAGCCAGGATCACGCCACTGCACTCCAGCCTGGATGACAGAGTGAGAAGTAAGATCCTGTTCTCCCCCGCCATACAAAAAAATTCTTTTCATTCCTTTCTCCACAATTGGACATGCAAAAGAAAAATATGTCTAAAGAACTGCAAATAGCCACAAATCCAACCAGCTTGAATACACTACATCCAAGACTTCAGCATCATTACTTTTTTCCCCCTGAGCTTGTAACCAGACACAGTCAGGAAGAAATAGGAGACAATAAATAAAACAAATGGGCTATTTCTCAAATGCAAATATTTTGGCTCAAGTTGAAAGATTATATTGTTTATAGACATATGATATTTTAAAATTGCAAAAGCAATATTCTCTTAAAATCTACCACATGCTGAGCAGAGAACATGTAATCTATTGCAGTATTGAGCAGAAAATATTTTCCCATGGCACATAACCATGAGCATGAGGAAGACTGATAAAAACTATTTTAACAAGGTTACTGGAAAGAAAATTTTCAACTGGTAAACTTTACAATCTAGCGTAGGATGCCCTGATTACTAACTTTCACTGCTCTTATTTATTAAGACTACTTTATATTCTACTCAGGTTCTATTTACCAAGTAAAAAGGAAAGAAATTCCTATTTCATTGAGTAACTCGTTATCTTTGACATTAAAGACAGTATGGACAGGCTTTGCATTTTATGGCTTAAACCACTATTTAAAGATGACACACATTACCTGGTCACATCAGTCTTTGTGACCACAGGAAAAACAAAATAGCTTTTCTGCTGCTCTGTCAGAGGTCGGTCTATTTCTGTGTACCAGAAAAATCTGAACTTGTTTAGTTTTGTTGTTATTAACAGAAGCTTACTTTGTTATAGCGTTATTAAAATGTATAGACTTCATCTGCATGTTTTCTTTCTTGAAATTCTACATAGTAGCTAAAAATAAAACACTATTTCACTACCCATCCCTGGGTATATTTAACCAAATATATAAATAGTGCAGAGGATTATTGACATGTTCATATATTAGGCAATCTAACAAGCCTTACCTTCCAGAAAATGCTAAGAATCTATATCTCAAAAAATTTGCAGTTAGAAAAAATATGAAAACAAACAACCAAAGAAATAATCCAAAATTTACTGACATCTTGTTATCAAATTCAGTGCATATAAATACCTCTGGAAAGTTCTGGATAGACAGCAGCTGGGTCAATTAATGCTTAAGAGAGTTGTAACAGATTATCCACATATCCTGTCTCTCAGGACCTTGTTGTTGGAGTCTTAAAGGTGCCATGAGCTTCAGACAAATCTCATGCTCATCATGGGAGAGTTAACCAAAGTTTTGCTGAGAACCTCTAGGACAGCACTGAAAAGAATCTCTTCAGGTTCCTGTTGGATTCTCATATCAAAATGAAGCAAACCCAGCATTTGAGGGGTAAAGACAATGTTAGCACAATGCTATTAGAGCTATTATTAGCAGACCTCCCTTCTCTCTGCCTTGAAATAAGAGCACCAATTCTGACTGCTCCTGCAGGAACTACCTGAACTCAGACTTCTCTGGCTGTAATTCTAATAGATCAATATTTGCTGTAAAAAATATTAGGGCCTGGCCTATTAAACCTTTCCTAATAAATCAGTACACAAACTGTCGATCTATCTAACTGATGGTTTATTTCACAGGTAGCTACTCATTCTTCTTTCCAAGCCATTATTTACACAACCACACAGGAATAGTCAGCAGAAGAGAGACTGTGAGGGTGTTAACAATGTCTAAATTATCAAGCAAACCCATATCTCTGTACATAATTCTAACCACCTTATAGCTAAATTTCTATCCATAGCCCATATTCCATGAATCAATTTGCATGCGTTCCAGGACAGGCCCTGCCACATTGGCTCTTGGACTCTGTCAATGTCCATCAGATTCAGGCATGACAGCATGGCTGAGGGGTGTGCTCTCAAACCCACTCAACCCCAGAAAATCTCAGCACTTGTGCACATAAGAATGTTTGTGTCCCTGTTTTCAACATGATTTTCAAAGTTAACCCCTCAAGTAGAATTACAGGGGGGACAAATAGCACACATTACTCTAAAACCACTTGTCATCACAGCTGTGACTTCAGCCTCTGTCTTTCATAGAAAGCT
This sequence comes from Homo sapiens, assembly GCF_000001405.40. Taxonomy (NCBI): domain Eukaryota; kingdom Metazoa; phylum Chordata; class Mammalia; order Primates; family Hominidae; genus Homo; species Homo sapiens. The sequence goes on along the minus strand of NC_000012.12, from coordinate 77,486,428 downwards.
GGAAGACACAGGCCATTTGAAGAGCCCCCTCCCTTGTGACAAAGCCCTGCTTTAGCACAGCCAGCCTGGCCAGGCTGTGCTTCTTAGCTCCGATGTCTTAAATTTTCTCTTCTTTTATTCTGTTAATTTTCTTTCTTCTGTATTACAGCTATCTTTGCTGCATTCTAATCCTTTCCAAATGGCTTTGTATTAGACTTGACTTCTCACCCTTTGATCCACTAACTGGGTTTTCACTTTCCCTTATCTGCTTTGTGGCCTGTTCTTACAACCTGGCCCTCTCTCCTCCTTCCACTCATTCTTCACAGGCACATTACCAATCCTCTCCACTTTACTATTCATCTTTCTTTGCCTGTGAGATTATCTACTTGTATTCGCTCTAAAACCTTTGTTCTCCTTTTGTATTTTCCAGAGGAAATGTCACCTGTAATCTTATTTTCAGCTCTTCACACATCTTATTTTCCCTCATGATTAATTTATGTTAATGCTGGGAGTTATTATGGTTGTCTCCAGCCAAGTCTCTAGGGAGTTTGCATCATCTAAAGATAATCAATTAACAATCACAAATTGTTAAAAAAAAAATGTGTTCCTAGTCTCTGCAATTCAAATGCAGATAATGGAATACAGCTTCTTGTCACCCCAGAATACTTCAAGGTGGGACTATTGTGTAGTTCTGACCTCTTTAAACAAATAAAATATTTTCTTGAAAACCAAAGAATGGATTTTAGAGCATAAACTAGAACTAAAAAATTGCTTTTTTCCCCTCTTCTCCAAAAAAGTTAAAACAAAAATCATATAGTGTAACCTAAACCAGACATGAAACATCCTAGATGAACTGAAGTTATTTTCGTTACAATTTTTGATTAGGTAGCCTTGGCCAGAAATATGTTATCAAAGAACAAAACTGTGGAGCATTCAGAAAAGTTATAATAGTGTGTCATTTGTAAGTTATGTAAATACCTCATTTAAAATTGTAAGGGATTAAACAGTTACCTGTCATATTTTCGTAATTAATACAATATTGTAGAATCTCATTTAGTTCATTTTGTTCATTTTGTGCATCAGAAACACAGATTCCTAATTACGTATTTGCTATAACATGTATTTAAGTCATCATGGCAGGCTTTCCAGTCAATTTTTAATGACAGTCCTGGTTTTTATTTCACCAATGTTACTTTAATATTTGGACTCTTTACATAAAGAAAAGCACTGGAAAGAGCTTAACTTTTTTGGGGGGTGGGGGGAGGCATGACCTCTTTAAGAATTGGATAAAAGACTTAACTCTCTACCCGGAAAATCATATAAGAACCTATGCAAGTACACATCATACATCACACAAGCACAGAATTTTACCTGTGATTTTAGATATTTCCCACAGCTAATTGTTCATGGCTAGGGTAAGATCCCAAGGACCACAGTGTAGCCTTAATAACACTTGGACTATTTTGTTAAAATTTCTAAATGCCCTTTTACATTAGACATTAGGAATCTTTTCTAAAATTATAAATGGCAACAGACAAATGTGAGAAATGCTCAGAAACTTTATGTATTTCCATTTTTAAGAGATAGACAAGAATACATTTAAAAAATCCAAACCTTTACTGTCCAATACAGTCATCACTAGCTACATGGAGATAGTGGGCACTTTGTAATGTCACTCCTCTAAATTGAGATATGCATTAAGTGTTAATTAACCAGATTTCTAAATCTTAGTTCTAAACATTATAGAGTATCTCATTAATAATTTTCATTTGATTATATGTTGAAATAACATTTTGGAAGTAATGTATAAAATTAATTACATGACAAATTAGTTTCCTGTTTCTATGTTTCAGATGTAGCTACTAGAATATTTAAAATTGCCTATGTGGCTTGTGATATGTTTCCATTGAAAACTGCTGGTCTAGACAATATAAATCAATAGTTATTCACTATGTACATAATCCTGTAGTGGGACTTGAAAATCTTCTACCTACAGGGAATAATTACATACCAGACTTATAATGCATTTCTTATCTATGTTTTTTTCTTGGGGGGCTGGGGAACAGCCTCTCACTACATTGCCCAAACTCCTGTGCTTGAACTCCTATGCTCAGAGTGATCCTCCCACCTCCCAGCTTCCAGATAGCTGGGACTACAGGCACGCACCACCACGCCCTGCTAACACTTCTGATCTACAGACCTAAAACAACCGCAATTGCTCCTTGCCTTGTCTCCTTCCTCCATTACTTCCACTATCACTGCCCCCTCTGCCTTCTTTTTCTCTGTCAACTTTGCATCGTCCACCACTATCTGCTCCTGACCATGTTTCCCATCAGTCACTGCCATGACTGTCCAGTACCAGAAGACTAGAAGATTCCCTGCCCACAAGATCACTTCGCATCAAGCCACGTGGCCTCCTAACACTGTTGAACTTAATATTGTTTCATTTTCTTTCTTATTTTTTTCTCACAACAGCCTGATTTGTGCTATGGAGCTTTGGCCTCAGAAAAGCAGATAATTCTGGTGATTTTTTTTATATTCCTTTCCTTTAAGAAGTTTATATTCATGTATTAGTCAAGACATTCAAACATAAAATGACAGAATTAAAAGGAAAAATGCAATTGAGTGATGAACTGTGTGGGGATGATTATAAATAACTACAGCTTCTTAAAAAATTTAAAGCATAAATTACTGCCTAACAAGTTTTCTCTCTTAAATGTCACCAACAGGAACAGAGTCAACAAGGTTATAGCTACACAGCGCCAAAGTAATTGACTGAAATGTCAGTTTCAGTCAATTGGGGAAATGTTGATTTATAAGAAAACAGAAATATATATTTAAGTTCAACATTTTGATGACTGTAAGCAATGGCTTGGATATTATCTCAGATGTCATATATTCATATACAAGTTCAATTTTTTTAATTGCTTGCAAGCAATTGGAGTATTTACATGTCAAAAATTCAAGTCCTTGGCTGGGCACGGTGGCTCACACCTGTAATCCCAGCACTTTGGGAGGCCAAAGTGGGTGGATCACGAGATCAGGAGATCAAGACCATCCTGGCTAACATAGTGAAACGCCGTCTCTACTAAAAATACAAAAAAATTAGCCGGGCATGGTGGCGGACGCCTGTAGTCCCAGCTACTTGGGAGGCTGAGGTAGGAGAATGGCGTGAACCCGGGAGGCGGAGCTTGCAGTGAGCCGAGATCGCGCCACTGCACTCCAGCTTGGGCGACAGAACAAGACTTCGTCTCAAAAAAAAAAATTCAAGTCCTTGAGAACTGTAAGAAAACAATTCAGAGGAAGCTTCAAAGCAGAGGAAACATTTAGAAGCATATGAGCCAGAGTTTCAATTGCTACTGATCTAAGTGGATGAAATATTTTTCCAGTGTTTGGTATGGTATATCTTAAAAATCGATCAAATGGTGTAGCTTCACAAACTTCTGTCAATAATGTGTATTAATCAACGCCTATGTGACTTTCTTTCTTAAGTAATGATTTTTCAACCACCTTGTTTACAATTCAAAAGATAGCATTTGACAAGGAGGCATGTCTGCCTGATATAAAAGATTTTTAAACTTGGTCATACAAATGTGTGCCACATAACATGGCAAAGCTCACCATGTCCCCAGGTCTTAAATCTTCATCCTTTCTGGAAAATCCATGTCATATAACATTCTAAATGCAATTCACCTTCCAGCTTAACCTTGGCCTTTGCCCATAATTATTAAAAGACCTGGATAACAGCAGTAATTTGGTTTGTTTCTGTTCATGTGGCAGGGCAATCAATACTGCTGCAGCATTTCACACATCATCTCCTATTTTCACTATTTTCATTCTGAAGTATCTGCAAGAGTCTGCATAGAATCTATATCCATGAACTCGGGAATATAACAGGAGTTGTCAAGATATAGTTACTCATATAAAAGGAATTCCAATAAAAGCAACAAACTACAAACACTTCAAGATAAATAAAAACATAACAGGGAAAAAAGTTCAAAATAAATTATTTCCAGTTTTTGGAATCTATAAATGTGACAATTTTATATCAATCATAACAATATCCTATGAGTACATATTGAAAAATTATTTAACAAGAAAATGTAAGAGTACATTACTTGTTACTGGACGCATGAAGTCTGTGCTTTTCTATGTTCTGTATTTCCATTTTCTGTATTAGAATTTCTGTATATTTTTCTATATTAGAATATACTTGAATGCATGTGTTTTTGTAAACTAAATCTAGAATGGGCATACTGAAATGATTTCCAAGCAAACTGTTAAGTAGCCATATTTTATAAATATGATTTTACCTACATGATGCTTGGACACACAGGTACTCAATAATTGTTTGTTGAATGAATGAATAAATATCAAAGTACAGAATCCTGGATTTTTCTTCAACCACTTCATAGTAAAAACTAGTAATCCATCATGCAATTCAGGCACAATGTAGATTCTCACATATTCCTTTCACTTTAGACAATGTGGTGCAGAAATTTTTCAAGACATACTGTTAATTGAAGATCAATGAGTATGAAGAGGGGTGGAGGCTAGAAGGATGAATGATTCATCAAGTCAATTTTATAACATCTGTTCCCTGTAGCAATGATTGCCTCACCAGCAAATCAGCTTTAGGTCTGTTGTTTCATATTTTAAATTGAATGATTAGGAAAAAAAACAAATTTTGCACATGACACCTTCTAGCCATACCACTACAAACACTAGTGAGGATCACAAAAATGAGAGGTATAGAGTCGAATATGAATAGGAAACAGAGATACATAAATCTACCTCAATTGAATTGTGGTTGAGGAGAAGAATCCAAGGTGATAAAGATAACACAAATACACACACACACAGTATTAGTCTGTTCTCGCACTGTTACAAAGAAATACCTGAGACTGGGTAATTTACGAAGAAAAGAGGTTTAATTGGCTCATGGTTATACAGGCTGTACAGGAAACATAGCGGCTTCTGCTTCTGGGGAGGTCTCAGGAAACTTACAACCATGGCAGAAGGCGTGAAGGGGACGCAACTATGTCTTAAATGGCCAGAGGAGGAGCAAGAAGTGGTGGAGGTGCTACACACTTTTAAAACAACCAGATTTCATAACTCACTCACTCACTATCACAAGAACAGAACTGAGGGGATGGTGCTAAACCACTCATAAGAACTCCACCCCCGTGATCCAATCACCTCCCACCAGGACCTACCTCCAACACTGGGGATTACAATTCGACATCAGATTTGGTGAGACACAGATCCAAACCATATCTCTCTCACACACATACACACACACACGTGCACTCTCTCTCTCTCCCTCTCTCAAATAGGAAAGGTAAAATTGGAAATAAATTTATGTATAGTCATGTAATAAATATTTTTCCTAATAGTCAGTATGGCTTACTGTGGTATTCTCCATAATTTCATTTCATGGACTGGTATTACAAAATTAAGAATACATCTACAAATATCTAGTTGATAAGAACAATATTTCTGAAGAGTTTATGTATCCATAATTCACCAAGTTTACTTTCTTTCCAAAGCATAGCTAATGAAATACGTGACAATCCTTTGCAAGCTTTTTTTCTTCAAATATCCATAACAAAATCAAAGTTATTTCCCAAAGCTTCTTAGATTCTCTAAACTAGTAAAAGAAAATTAAAGTACCATTGCTGTTTATTATAACACTGTGGCCTCAAATGATTTCTCTAGTGCTTATTCATTCAGGGAAAATTGTCTTGTGACTCATGCTTTAGAAAATTAAAACGAATAATTAGAAAGTTTATTACATAATTGAAAGCTCATTATTATGTATTGACAGCTTAATACCAGATAATTTCACATTTTATCAATATCTTACAAACTCTCTAATGAACACTACCATCAAATAAACCAAATAACAATGATACAGGGTTTCATAAGATGTTCAATAATGGCATTAAACACTTTCCAGTATAGAAAACAAAATTCACAAGGGAATAATCTGATTACAGTGAATTAATGGCTGAATTTCTGGTTTTGCACTTACTCTAGCAAAAATTGTATACAGAAAAAAAGGCCCCAAATTCTTCACTATTATTTAGTCATCAGCAGGTACAATGGGCAGCAGAACACTGTGAATGTTTTTACCATGATGGCTCTACCATTTAATTAGATATTAATCAAGAACAGGGATTGGAGAGCATCTGCTTTTCTGCTCTTTGTTATGCAACAAGTAAGATTACTGGCAACCAGATAACATGATTGCCTTTTACAACTTCATTTATAATTGCTCTTCACATGTTTCCTTCTCGATTTATTTTATATCAAATATGTCCTTTTCTGAAGAAATCAAAGGTTGAGCATTGGCTAACCAAAACCAATGCTTATGCAGGCAACAAAGTTGGACAGATTAACAAATTAATTTTCATCATTGGGTACAAAGAAAGCAGAAGAAAGCAGGACAATTCTTAGCCCTGTGAGGTGACAGGCTAGAAAGAGGCAGCTGCTGATGGTGTGGCCCATGGAATGGGCACTGCTCCCACTTCAGTCTGAGGCTAGCCTTGGTGCGTTTCCCACATGTGGCTCTAATGCCACTTCACCAAGCGCTACAGTCGTAAGTAGAGCTCTAGCCTGAAGAACGTGTCAGAATCTTGCCAAATATCTACCATAAAGAATATTTCTGGGTTAACAGTGACAACTAATTAGGATCATATAATAAGTTATTAGGATCATATCATCAACCGGGCACATTAAATTCACTGAATTTAAAAATTTTAGTAATTTTGTAAGGTAGATACCCTTTTTATCTTTATTTTATAGATTTAAAAACAGCCTTAGAGGTTAAGTAACTTGATTAAAATCACACAAATTGTAAGGCTCATGAGCAATAGAAGAGATCTCCTATTCTTTTGAAACTTGAAAGACCATCAAAAGCTAAAACTGTACCAGTAAAATAATAGTTGAGATGACTTAAGAAGGCAGCCTCAGTGGTGAGATTCTCTTTTGTCCTTTCTACGTACTTCCAACATTTCCAGTATAAGAATCGGCTATAGAAGTAGACGTGGTCCTTGCTCAAGTAAGAGCAGTCTTCCCACTCAATAAAGTGAATAAAATGCATGTTCTGACATTACCCACACCTCCTCTTAAACTGGTGGATAGACAAAAGATAAACAATCCTGTTGGAGAGGATATGGAGAAAAGGGAACCCACGTTTAATGTTGGTGTAAATTAGTACAACGTAAATTAGTACAACCACTATGGAGAAGTTTGGAGGTTCCTTGAAAAACTAAAAATAGAGCTACCATACAATTCAGCAATCCCACTGCTGGGTATATACCCAAAAGAAAGGAAATCAATATATTGAAGAAATATCTGCACTCCAATATTGTGTGTCTCTTCACAGTAGCCAAAATTTGGAAGCAATCTAAATGTCCATCAACAGATGAATGGATAAAGAAAATGTGGCACATGTACACAATGCAGTACTATTCAGCCATAAAAAAGAATAAGATTCAGTCATTTGCAACAACATAGATGGAACTGGAGGTCATTAGGTTAAGCAAAAAAGTCAGGCATGAAAAGACAAACATTGCATGTTCTTACTTATTTGTGGGACCTAAAAATCAAAACAATTAAAACCATGGAGATAGAAGGATGGTTACCAGAGGCTAGAAGGTTAGTAGGTTGGGGCGGTGGGGTGGGGGAGATAGTTAATAGGTACAAAAAATAGTTAGAATGAATAAATATGGCCTAGCATTTGATAGCACAATAGGGTCAGTAATAATTTAATTGTTCATTTTAAAATAACTAAGAGTGTTATTGGATTGTTTGTAACACAAAGGATAAATGCTTGAGGGGATGGATATTCGATCTTCCATGATATAATTATTAGACATTGCATGCCTGTATCAATAAATATACACACCTACATATATATACACACCTCATAAATATACACACCTACTATGTACCCACAAAAATTAAAAATTAAAAAAACAAAATAGAATTTGGTGGATAGTGGCTCCAAAATCAAATTTCCCAGGAAGGAATGAAAAGAAACTAGTTGCAGCATGGTGTTGCAGCAGGAATGCAAAAGAAAGGAAAGAGATTCTGCTAGAATGAATGACAATGGAGGCTATGTCAGTATGGGGCAACAACCTGCTTTAAAATGCCACTCTTGGGAAAGTGGGTACCAGGATTTTGCAATAATGACAACAATGAAGGTTAGCATTTATGGGATGCATACTATGTGCTAGGTCTTGTTCCAAGAGATTTAAATAAATTAACTCAAATAATCCTCGCAACAACTCTATTCTAACCATGGGCTACAAATTCCAAAGACTTGCCCATATGGCAGCCCCTCAGCCACATGTGATGTTTTCAGGTGTAGAACACAGAGGCCTAATCCTTGATATTGTCTACTTCCACCATGCATTGTAAGCTGTCTGAAGAAACCACATGAACCTCTTGATTTCCAGTGAGTCCAATTTCTATGTGTTATTGAAGGTTACTGATGATCATCACTTGAATTATTTCCTGTATAGGGCCATCAAGAAGTACAGTATCTGTACGTGTGCAAATCAAGCAGAAGGGGCATACTTCAAAAAGAAGGGAAAATAGGATTGAGAAATACAAAGGGGAAATTACAAATATTACTACGGTTTGCCTTGTATTTTAAGAGGCCCTTCCCTCCAAATAACTCCAAGAAATTTTTGGAAAATATCGTCTTTTCTTTCAGGTATTTAAGGCCAGAAATAAAGTAGTATATTCAACTACAGCACAGTCGTCTTAATGACAGAGCAGTTTTACAAATGTTTAAATTGAATCCAATTTAACTTAAACAAATAGTGCATGGGCGGAATGCCTTTTGAATATTTTGAGCTGTGTCCTTAACCTCTAATTTGAATAATTTTTTAGAAAGCTAAAATGAGAATTCTATGTGTAGCTAACATCTAGGAAAATAGAAGACAACCAATAAAATCCCTCAGAGTTTAGAACTCATCACATGAAACCACCATCTGAAAAGCATAATGAAGCATTCACATTTCTCCCAAAAGGCTTTAATTGCTCCAGCTTCATTATATTTAACATTTTTTCTAACTCAGATCACAACTATGAATCTTGCTACTGATCCTGGCTCAATATTCTCACAGTAGATCATTGCTAGTCAGGTTTGCACCTGCTTTCTGATTGCCTGCACCCATTTCCAAGTTGAAATCAATGAAACCTATTAGCATGTTCTCTACTCTGCACTTTAATTTTGGATAGCAATGTATTATTAATGTAATCATCCCGACAAGCCTTGTTCAGCATCAGAAGTAAAATTGAAGGGTTCGCAATAGAGAACTTTAATAAGAATACTTATTAAATTGTATTGAAATCTAAATAATTGAATGCATATTTGATATAAAATTTAAATGGAAATGAATCACACCAAAGTAGAGAGCTGTCAATGGAGAACAGAGATCCTTTATACCTTTGAAAGACAAAACATGATTCCAGCCATGTATCACTGGACTCATGACACAAGCAAGATCATTTATTTCTACATTTGAAGATGACGGCTCCTTTTTCTCTTTAATGTTTTATGCTATGCTGGGCATTTTCTATGAAAAAAAAATTCCCTCTTTAAATAAGCTAAATGGTATAGTATCTCTAGTGTGTCTGCCTCAAAGTTTGAATCACTAAATGCCAGATACTAATTTTATATAATATGCACAAACCCTAAAGAGAAAAAATAGTAAAGATGTTGATGAACTCATGCATTGCCAAAGAAGACAGGAATTTTAATGTAGCAGAATCAACAATTAAAAGAAAACATTTGGTTAATTTGTAATTTAATTTGTCTCACCACTAACCTTCTGCTATTGGAAGATTAATAGTCACTTTCCTTAGAACTTACCTTCATAAATATTAATATGGGAACATAATCATAATTAAAAATAAATTTATTGATTTCCAACATGCACCAGGTTGTTTAAGCAAATTCACTTTCTACACTCTGAGTATTGGCAATCTAAAATAGTCACCAAAACAGATATAGAAGAGTAAGCAGCAAAGGGATGTTAAGGCATAAGGTTGTCCTATACACAAGCAGCTGCCTATTTACTGTGAGTTTATCAAAGAGAATAGTAAAGGGAGAAACTTAAAAAACTGTAAGATCATTGTGACTTCACCCACATTCTTAGAGAATTCAGAGTCACTTTACTAGGCAGTGAAAATTGAGAATCCTGCATATCTTCTGATGGAGTTGGCAGTTTGGGGGTAGGGATTGATAATGTGATATAGCAATCAACTCCATATATATAAGGTGTTTGCTGTATACCTAAAATAGTGTACTTCTCCCCTCCTAAAGTTACAGCAACCTCTCCAAAGAAGCCACCTGTTTTCGGTGGGGTTTTTTTTTTTTTTAGAAGTCTGCTTACATTTTGTCATATATAAACCATCAGCAACAGAAAATATGTTTTAGGGGTATTGAATGGGGGACAAAATACTTGTAAGTTTCTTGCAGTATTTCAGGCAAGAAATTATAAGAGCCCAAACCGGGTTAAATGCAGTGAGGATGAAAAGAATGTACCTAAAATATAATTACAAGATCAAATTGATTAAGATTTGTGATTGCTTAGATATCTGCATGAGCAAAAGGGTGGAATCAAGCAAGTATGATATGCCAGTTTCTAGTTTTGGTGAATTGAAAGATAGTGGATTCCTCCAATCAAGATAAGCAGAAATAACAATTCACTAAGGAAGTGATGGGTTCAGTCCAAGACCTCATGAGATGCCCAGGGGGAGATATCCAGTAGGATTTTCATGCTTGAAATCCCAGTGAGGCATCTGGACTGGAGATAGAGATTTGCAGCTATCAGCAGCTTTTAGTGCTGTTAAACAAAAATATAAGGCAAATCACGTAAGAAATTCTATATTTTCTAACGGTAACATTTTAAAAAGTAAAAAGGAACAAAAGGAGTTATATTTGATTGTACCCAATGTCTATAAAGTTTCTTTCTAGCACATGGCACTAGCCACATTTCAAGTGCTAAGTAGCCATATGTGGCTACTGGCTACAGAATTATACAGTGCAGACTTGTGAATATTTTGAAGGCTTGAGTAGGGATGTATTACATAGAAAGTTCAAGTAGAAGAAGAGATGGGACTAAGAATAGGCCCTTGGATAATGCCAGTAGAAATGACAGAAAAACAGCTTACAATGGAGATGAGAAGAAATTGTCAAGAAAACACAAAAACGGGGGAAAAACAGAAACCAAAGAGATTTTCATGGAAAAGAGATTAACAAATAGTGTTTGTACAAGGAATTCCAACAAATTGTGTTTGTACAAGAACTTACAAACTTACACACTGATAGTTTTGACCTTTCAGTAGTCTACAGCAACAGAAGTTAGGGCGGGTCCAAGTTTTGTGGGGGTCTAAAAATCAACCAATTTTGGAGTCCCCATTTAAAAAATAAAACTATGAATGCAAAATCCAATAGGCCCCATGAAGGCCTAGGAAAGGATCTGTGCAATGAGAAGCCCTGAATTTTAAGCTTCAGTAGCTTCATGGAGATCCATCTCCAAATGGGTGCAAGATTTCAGTGGAAAATATAAATGGGGAAACTTTCTCAGACAAGTTAAAAAGAGAAGGACGATTTCATGGTATCCATAGGCATACTCAGGATTAAATGAAGGTTCACATAAAGTGCCAAGCAACACAAAATGCAGCATAAATTAAAAGGGAGTGAGGATGCCACAGAGTCAAGAACCGAGGTAACGATGTAGCTTAATGTCATTGAAAAATAGTCCATGCAGAACATCTGCAGACTGGACTTACTACTGGATATTCTAAGTACAAAAAAACTCAAGAAGTGCTAGGATCCTCTTTTCAAATAACTCAGACTATACAAAAAACATCTTCAAGTAATTTTTTTCTTTTTGATTTCAACTACTGACAAATAATTGTATATATTATATATTTATTTGATATAATGTGATGTTTTGATATAAATTTACATTATGGAATGGATAAATGAAGCTAATTAACAAATCTGTCAGCTCACATACTTATTATTTTGATGGGTTAAAACATTTAAAATCTACTATTTTAGTAACTTTGAAATATATAATGCATTTTTATTATAGTCACCTTTCTGTGCAATAGATCACTAAAGTGTATTCTTCCTGTCTAACTAAAACTGTATATTCTTTGATCAACATCTTCCCTCCCTCAGCCACCCCCTTCCCCCAACCTTTGGTAACCACCAATATACTCTCTACCTCTATGGGTTTGACTTTGAGATTCCACATAAGTGAGATCATGTGCTATCTGGCTTTCTGTTCCTGGCTTATTTCACTCAGCATAATTTCTTCCAGGTTTATCCATGTGATTACAAATGACAGAATTTCCACCTTTTAAAAAGCTGAATAATATTCCATTGTGTATATATATATACAGCATTTTCTTTATCCATTCATTTGATAATGGGCATCTAGGTTGCTTCCATATCTTGGCTACTATGATTAATGCTGCAATGAATATAGGAGTGCAGATATCTTTTTGGCACACTAATTTCAATTTCTCTGGATATATACCCAGAAGTGGAATTGCTGGATCACCTGGTCATTCTGATTTTGGTGTTCTGAGGAACCTTCAAACTGTTTTCCACAGTGGCTGTATTAATTTACATGCTCACCAATAGTGCACAAAGATTGCCTCTTCTCCACATGCTTGCCATTTACCTTTCGTCTTTTTGATAACAGTCATTCTAACAGGTGTGCAATATTTCATCATGCATTTTATTTGTATTTCCCTGGTAATTAGTTATGTTGAACATTTTTCCATGTATCCATTGGCCATTTGTATGTGTTTTATTTTGAACAATATGTATTCAGGTCCTTTGCCCTCTTTTTAACTGAGTTCCTTGTTTTTTCACTAAGTTGCTTATACACTTTGGATATTAACTCTTTATCAGATGTATGGTTTGCAAATATTTTCTCCCAATCCAAAGGTTGTCTCTTCCCTTTATTGTTGCCTTTGCTATGCAGGAGCTTTTAAGTTTGATGCAATCCCATTTGTTTATTTTTGCTTTTGTTGCCTGTATTTTGGGGGGGGTCATATACAAAAAATCTTTGCCCAGACCAAGGTCATGGAGCATTTCCCCTATGTTTTCTGATAGCAGTTTTATAGTTTCAGGTCTTATGTTTTAATCTAATCCATTTTTGATTTTTGTATATGGTATGAGATAAGTGACTAATTTTATTCTTCTATATGCAGATATCCTGTTTTCCCAGCACCATTTATGCAAGAGGCTGTCCTTTCTCCATTGTGTGTTCCTAGCACCTTTGTCAAAAATCAATTGACCATAAATGCATGGGTTCATTTCTAGGCTATTCTGTTCCATAGGTCAATGTGTGTTTTCATGCTAGTACCATTTTGATTACTATAGTTTTGTAATAAAATTTGAAGTTGGGTGGTGCTGTGCCTCTAGCTTTGTTCTTTTTGCTCAAGATGGCTTTGGCTATTTGCAGTCTTTTGTGGTTCCATACAAATCTTACAATTGTTTTCTCTATTTCTGTGAAAAATAACATTGGTATTTTGATAGGGATTGCACTGAATCTGTAGATCACCTTGGGCTGTATGGACCTTTTAACAATATTAATTCTTCTAATTCATGAACACAAATAATTTTCCATATATTTTTATTGTCTGCTGTTTATTATCATTGTTTTATAGTTTTCAGTATATAATTTTTTTACCTCCTTGGTTAAATTTTATTCCTAAGTATTGTTTTTGATGCTATTGTGAATGGGATTGATTCCTTAATTTCTTTTTCACATAGTTGGTTGTTAAAGAAACACTGATTTTTGTATGTCGCTTTTGTATCTTGCAACCTTACTGTATTTGTTTATTAGTTCTGTTTTTTTTTTTTTTAGTAAAGTTTTTAGGGTTGTTGACATATAAAGATCAGGCTATCAAAAAACAGACAATTTCACTTTTTCCTTTCTATTTGGATGCCAAGTGATTTCCTTAAATGAGACATTAAACCAGAGACATAAAAGATATTATCAGCCTTTTTCCCATGTTCCTCCTAAATACTTCTAGCACATGTAACTTTTCTATTATCCTTTTGCTTTTACTTAGTTTTCAGAGTTCATAAAAATGAATTTTTACAAAACCTTCAGTGCTCCTGAAACTGTAAATACAGGCTTATATCATATAACCCATTTGCCATATTTATTCTCAGAATGAAGCTATATATTTAATTCTGTATAATTTAGAAATCTAGCCAAGCATAGGCATCTACAAATTTTTGAGTAATGCTTGTGGGGACTCATATGATAAAATGAATGAAAGATTAAAATAAAGATTCTTTGCAATTTCAAAAAATAAAGCTTTCATTTAGTGTGGTCTTCTGCCATATGGGACCACCTGGCTGCTTAGAGCAAAATCCTATCACCATGACAACTGAGCTCAAACTTTCCATAATGTCTTTAGGATTCTTATGATATACTCTTTTTTCAGCCTATTTTTTTCTCTCCAAAAATAGGTTATTAAAGCTACTCTTCACAATAAACTATTCTAATATCAACATGGAAAACGCAATTATCAGACTGTCCTTCAATGACCTTGAGAAGCAATCAAAGACACAGAACAAAATCTCTATAAAACTCTTTCAATTGAGTTAGAATGGCTGTGGACTGCTGGGAAATTGCAACAGTCTCAAATGGGAAGATAGAATCCCAATACTGTGGAGCACTTTAGAATGTATACAGCAGATAGATAGATAGATAGATAGATAGATAGATAGATAGATAGATAGATGATAGACAGATACAGATATACATATAAAATCAACCTATTTGGACCCCAAACAACTACTAAGAGGTAAGAATAATTTTCCTTATTTTATAAATGAGGAAATAGTGATTCAGAGAAGTAAATGACTTGCCCTCGTTTTGAACAAGAGATTTTGAGATTTCTGACATCACTGCTCATGATCTTCCCTAGAATCACAGGTTTCAATCAGTCAAAGAGTGAATCAGAGCCAAAGAAGAAAAAATAACTTACTGGCTCATTCATTCATTCATCCACCAATTACTATGCACTGAATTCCAATGAGCAGGTTAGGTCCGTTTTTGCCAAAAAGCTATTATCAATGCACATGACTTGAGCCACACACACAAATGATACTGATTAATAGCAAGAATGTTCTTTACTCCAAAAAGTAAGCGGTTATTCTTTTTTTTTCTTACCCCTAAAAGTGAGCTGTTACTCTTTTTTTTCTTTACCCCTAAAAGTGAGCTGTTATTCTTTTTTTTTTTTTTTTTTTTTTTTTTGAGACAGAGTCTGGCTCTGTTGCCCAGGCTGGAGTACAGTGGCATAATCTCAGCTCACTACAACCTCTGCCTCCCGGGTTTAAGAAGTTCTCTGCCTCAGCCTCCTGAGTAGCTGGGATTACAGGTGCCCACCACCATGCCCGGCTAATTTTTGTATTTTTAGCAGAGATGGGGTTTCACCATCTTGGCCCGGCTGGTCTCGAACTCCTGACCTCATGATCCACCAGCCTCAGCCTCCCAAAGTGCTGGGATTAGAGGCATGAGCCACCATGCCTGGCCTATTCTGTTATTCTTTATTTGAATTTTCTAGTTTGTAGGTTCTCTCATTCTCCCTTTTAAAACATTCCAGGCATTTGGTCTTCAGAATGTTTCAGCTCATTAACACAAAATTTTAGGAATCCCATGTGAATAATTAACTGGGATAGGATCCTTAACTATCTCATACACATTTTTAATTTGACATTCAGTCAACTATAAAATTATTATAGCCCACCAGTTGTGACATGCAATACCTATGTAAGCTTAATCAAGAAAAACATATCAAAGTCAGCGCATTGGGCAAATTATAGTATTCAGTCATCAGAGAAAGCCTCAGATCAAAGCAAAATTAATGCCATTATTATGTGCTTTTCAAAGTGAAATTGGAAGTAAGGCTTCAATAACAGTTGCAGCAAGACAAGAGAATTGCCACAAGTAAACAATGAGAATGACACTTATTCTTATCCAAATGCCAAATATCTAAGCATATCCACAATGATAGTAACAAGAAAAAAGGTGAAAAAAAAAGATACTTTTCTAACAAATTATACATGAACACAAGTAGAAAGCTCTCTTTCTAGGTCTATTTTATATTTATCTATGGCCAGCTGGTGTTTGTGGTACTATAATGGTCAGATATATGCAAGCCTTTCCTTTTTACTATCCAAATGGAGAAAATTGCTCCTCTAAGGAATGCTATTTCTGAGGAGGCCTGAAGGTACATTGGGAGGCTCTCCTCCCACCTCACCAATCCTGCTGCTCTGATATGTGTCCATGAGTGCTATGATTCAGTATCAGTGAGGAATGTTAGCCAATTTGAATTCCTTAATTGTCTGCTATTTTGCAGAAACAAGGATGAGCCAAAATAGTATGGGAGCCACAAATGCCCCCCACCCGCCCCTGCACACACCAGGTAAAAGACCTGTGCTTATTTTGTTTCTTTGCTTTTTAGTGCTACCCAACTAATCATTTTTCTCACGATGAGAATCAGGCTCTGATGACAACAGCATTTTTGAAGAGAATCTCCTGAAACCTGCTCCAAACAATTTTGGATAGAGTCCAACCTACATATCACTTTAGATGATGACATCATCTTAGAATAGGCCTTCAAAATGGCTAGTTACATAAGATGAATGGACATAAGTCAGGCTGTTTCCTAAAATTTATCTTCTAAATGGCACTCTACTGTGACAAAAATTTGTTGAAATATTGTTTTCCCTTGCAATTTCTTATTTTGGAGATTTGGACTGACTCCTCGAAAGTAATTTTGAGAAGCCCTGAGGTGGGGGAAGGAAGAATGCCTGTTTAGGAAGAGGACAGAGATCTAGGGACTGGCATCCACTCTGCATCAGGGAGGTGGTCAGAGCCTAGTAGGGGGACTGCTTCGAGATACACAAAGGTAGAGAAGATCCTAGCTACTAAGGCTCCTGGATTGTCAACTTTGCTTAAGATTCCTGAGCCCAAATTATGGCATGGAATTAATGGAATAAGAACCCAAAGAAAACATTTGGCTTGAAAATGGTGGCATCCCTCAGTGTCACCACCGCACAATGATGAAGGAAGACATGAGGGAGCACCATTGTGTTTCTGGGTATAGATAAGCCTGGGACCTCAGCACAGCTCTGAAGGAAGGAGAGCACACAACATTTGTAAATGAGCTTGAATTTCCCACTGTACCACTGGGATCTGCAAATTGGAATTCAGTTACTGACAAAATATGAATAAATGCAGTATTATCAGTACACTTAAGTTTATAGACTGTGATTCACACAAGCTACCTGGTTTGATATTTTTCTGGGGGCCTGTCAAAATCAAATACTTGCCATGTGAAGACCCCTCACAACCTCAGCCTCACAGAAAGTTGAGGCATCATTTTGTGGGTCAACTGAAGGTGTGTGCGTGTGTGTGGGTGTTTGTGTGTGTATACATATATACACTATATATATAAACATATATACACACACATACACACACACACACACACACACACACACACACACACACACACACACACACATATATATATATATATATATATATATATATATATATATATATATAATTTTTTTTTTTTTTTTTTGAGACGGATTCTCGCTGTCACCCAAGCCGGAGTGCAGTGGTGCGATCTAGGCTCACTGCAAGCTCCGCCTCCCGGGTTCACGCCATTCTTATGCCTCAGCCTCTCGAGTAGCTGGGACTACAGGCGCCCACCACCACACCTGGCTAATTATTTTTTGTATTTTTAGTAGAGACAGGGTTTCACCGTGTTAGCCAGGATGGTCTCCATCTCGTGACTTCGTGATCTGCCTGCCTTGACCTCCCAAAGTGCTGGGACTACAGGCATAAGCCACCGCGCCGGCCGAAGGTATACTTTTTATTTTGCACTGTCATTCAAATGGAGTCACCACTATAGGGCACTACTGTGTATATATGACACAAACATGGCAAATGTCTCAACACTGAGAACTGAGAGACTTCTAAGAGAATGTTACCTTTGATTTGCTTATATGTGGAGATCACAGGTAAACACTTTTGAAAGCCCTTGACTGAACCAAATTTGACAGTTACAACAACTAAAAAGAAACTGCTAGCCAACGAAACAACACTACCACATGTATCAAAAAGTAAAGAAGCATCTTGTATAAACAATACATTTAAGCTTAAAAACTTTGCCAATAGACATGATTTATAATCCTTTGGGTATATACCCAGTAATGGGATGGCTGGGTCAAATGGTATTTCTAGTTCTAGATCCCTCAGGAATCGCCACACCAACTTCCACAATGGTTGAACTAGTTTACAGTCCCACCAACAGTGTAAAAGTGTTCCTATTTCTCCACACCCTCTCCAGCACCTGTTGTTTCCTGACTTTTTAAAGGATTATAAATCATGCTGCTACAAAGACACATGCACCCGTAAGTTTATTGCGGCACTATTCACAATAGCAAAGACTTGGAACCAACCCAGATGTCCAACACTGATAGACTGGATTAAGAAAGTGTGGCACATATACACCATGGAATACTATGCAGCCATAAAAAAGGATGAGTTCATGTCCTTTGTAGGGACATGGATGAAGCTAGAAACCATCATTCTCAGCAAACTATCACAAGGACAAAAAACCAAACACTGCATGTTATCACTCATAGGTGGGAATTGAACAATGAGAACACATGGACAAAGGAAGGGGAACATCAGACACCGGGGACTGTTGTGGGGTGGGAGGAGGGGGGAGGGAGGAGGGATAGCATCAGGAGATATACCTAATGCTAAACAACAAGTTAATGGGTGCAGCACACCAACATGACACATGTATACATATGTAACAAACCTGCACGTTGTGCACATGTACCCTAAAATGTAAAGTATAATAATAGTAATAAAAACTTTGCCAATAGACAATAGAAAACAAGAAACGTTTCATATGACTTGAACAATAAAAATTAACATTTTTACAGTCTGCCAAATGTTAAGAATATGGAAGGCAGTCTGTATGGGAAAAAGAGCCACCTTAAGAGATTTGGTCATTCAATGTAAGTGGAATTCCTAAACTATCATAGCAGATCACACTGTCAACCATCAGATATTCTTAATTACTCACATGAAAGAAAGTTCTGAAAGAAATGCTCACAAATTGTATCAAGTTCCAGAGAAAAATGCCTCAGGGCCTGGAGTACATAGCTGCGAAGGCTTTATAATCAGGCTGTCTGCATTTTAATCCCAGCTTTGCCACTTACCAGCTATGAAAGCTTTTGCCAAGTGGTAGGAACCTTTCAGAAACCTCAGTTTCTGCATCTACAGAATGGGAATAATGAGAGCATCTACATTTTCAGATTATTTTGAAGTTCACATGAGAAAATGTAGGTAAAGCACTATGCTGAGGTGTAGTGCTGGCATACAGCCCTCAAAAGATTTTAGAGTGTTGTTATTATTACTATTATTACTTATAAATAGCTATAAATGAAAACCTCGAGTTGGCTGTTATCTGCATGTCAACAGATTTATTCAATACTTATTTTTTAAGCACCTATTATCTACGTAGGGAACACAGCACCAAACAGAAAGGCAAGATCTCTCCTTCTCCATGGATCTTTCATTCTAGTGGCAAGATGGAAAAACAGACAACAGGTACACAAACAAATCAACAGAGTGACAGTGTTATCCAAAACAGCTGAGGTGATAGTGACAGGAGTACTGCTTTATTTTAATATCAGGAAAGGAGGAACCTCTGAAAAAACAGACATTTAGGCAGGTCTCCAAACAATGGAAAGGCTCCTGTCTAGAGAAGATCTGGGTCAAGAGCTTCTAGGGGAGAGAATATTAAATTCAGAGGCCTTAAGGTAGAAAGGAGCCTCAGGGGCCTCCAGAATAGTTTCTCTCTCAAAATTGTCACAACAGGACAGCAGGTACCAATAAAAACTGCTTCGCTAATATGCAACATGGATCTTCAGGGAGGTTTCTGCTTCTTGTAGCTATATGTAGAGCCCAAAGCCCTGATCAAGAACCTACATCAATTAGCATAATCATTCTTCATTACAGTGGAGTGTACAAAATGGGTCAATGTGTTTATTCTATCTCAAACCCCTATAGCAATCTCACCTCGCCAACAGTCATATACTGTTTTTTCTCATCATGGACATACACCTACCACATTTGAATTTAGGAAACTGGTGCACTGGGACTTTATCCAAACAAACACATAATGGGGAAGAGACTATTAAGATTTTCCCAAAGTTCATTGTTAGAGATGGTTGTCAAGAAGACTTCTGAGGTCAGCAGCAGAAGTCAACCTTGTTCAGTTATTTGTGGGGTAATTCTCTATCCAGACATTTTTTAAAAAGCAGGGCTAATAAAAATGGATTCTGCTCTATCTACCCTTTGCTTGGTTTCAACCCTTGGATTAGTTTTTACTCAGGACCATGAACTTGAACATCAGAGGGTCCACATCATTAAGGACTCACAGTGAGCCAGTGATTGATTGTAAAAACATTCCTTCCAGAGTGACTGCCAAGGAGTAGAACTATTAGCTGCATCACCCCAAGGCACATCAAGCATTGTGTCTGTAACCTGCATCTCACCGCAGTCCCAAAAGAACTCAATATTCTTTATGGCCAACTACAAAGTGAAATCAACTGGGATTCCTGACACATGAATTACAACATAGAGAAAGTCACAGAAGGGCGCCATATTGCTTCTGAGAGAAAGAAATTAGGCATTATATATTTGAGAGAGAATTTTTACGTAGTGTCAGTGTCTTTTTGTCTTTTCTCTTCCTGTAATTACTTATGGAAATATTTAAGGAGAGTTAGTCAGATTCATTTGACATAAAATAGGAAATGAGAGAATTCCTGAATTACTGGGTCTTTTGTTTTGCTTTTGTAAGATTTTCGTTCTTTTTTCCTGCTTCTCTTTATATATGTATTTATTATTATTATTATTATTATTATTATTATACTTTAAGTTCTAGGGTACATGTGCACAATGTGCAGGTTTGTTACATATGTATACATGTGCCATGTTGGTGTGTTGCACCCATTAACTCGTCATTTACATTAGGTATATCTCCTAATGCTATCCCTCCACCTTCCAAACACCCCATGACAGGCCCCAGTGTGTGATGTTTCCCTTCCTGTGTCCAAGTATTCTCATTGTTCAATCCACACCTATGACTGAGAATATGCGGTGTTTGGTTTTTGTCCTTGCAATAGTTTGCTGAGAATGATGGTTTCCAGCTTCATCCATGTCCCTACAAAGGACATTAACTCATCCTTTTGTATGGCTGCATAGTATTCCAATGGTGTATATGTGCCACATTTTCTTAATCCAGTCTATCATTGATGGACATCTGGGTTGGTTCCAAGTCTTTGCTATTGTGAATAGTGCCACAATAAACATATGTGTGCAAGTGTCTTTATAGCAGCATGATTTATAATCCTTTGGGTATATACCCAGTAATGGGATAGATGGGTCAAATGGTATTTCTAGTTCTAGATCCTTGAGGAATTGCCACACTGTCTTCCATAATGGTTGAACTAGTTTACAGTCCCACCAACAGTGTAAAAGCGTTCCTATTTCTCCACATCCTCTCCAGCACCTGTTGTTTCCTGACTTTTTAATGATCGCCATTCTAACTGGTGTGAGATGGTATCTCATTGTGGTTTTGATTTGTATTTCTCTGATGGCCAGTGATGATGAGCATTTCTTCATGTGTCTGTTGGCTACATAAATGTCTTCTTTTGAGAAGTGTCTGTTCATATCATTCACCTACTTTTTGATGGGGTTGTCTGATGTTTTCTTGTAAATTTAAGTTCTTTGTAGATTCTGGATATTAGCCCTTTGTCAGATGGGTAGATTGTAAAAATTTTATCTCATTTTGTAGGTTGCCTGTTCACTCTGATGATTGTTTTGTTTTGTTTTGTTTTGTTTTGTTTTTGCTGTGCAGAAGCTCCTTAGTTTAATTAGATCCCATTTGTCAATTTTGGCTTTTGTTATCATTGCTTTTGTTGTTTTAGTCATGAAGTCCTTGCCCATGTCTATGCCCTGAATGGTATTGTCTAGGTTTTCTTCTAGGGTTTTTATGGTTTTAGGTCTAACATTTAAGTCTTTAATCCATCTTGAATTAATTTTCGTATAAAGTGTAAGGAAGGGATCCAGTTTCAACTTTCTACATATGGCTAGCCAGTTTTCCCAGCACCATTTATTAAATAGGGAATCCTTTCCCTATTTCTTGTTTTTGTCAGGTTTGTCAAAGATCAGAAGGTTGTAGATGTGTGGTATTATTTCTGAGGGCTCTGTTCTGTTCCATTGGTCTGTATGTCTGTTTTGGTAACAGTACCATGCTGCTTTGGTTACTGCAGCCTTGTAGTATAGTTTGAAGTCAGGTAGCATGATGCTTCCAGCTTTGTTCTTTTTCCTTAGGATTGTAATGGCAATGTGGGCTCTTTTTTGGTTCCATGTGAACTTTAAAGTAGTTTTTTCCAATTCTGTGAAGAAAGGCATTGGTAGCTTAATGAGGATGGCATTGAATCTTTAAATTACCATGGGCAGTATGGCCATTTTCATGATATTGATTCTTCCTATCCATGAGCATGGAATGTTCTTCCATTTGTTTGTGTCCTCTTTCATTTTCTTGAACAGTGGTTTGTGGTTCTCCTTGAAGACGTCCTTCATATCCCTTGTAAGTTGGATTCCTAGGTATTTTATTCTCTTGAAGCAATTGTGAATGGGAGTTCATTCATGATTTGGCTCTGTTTGTCTGTTATTGGCGTATAAGAATGCTTGTGATTTTTGCACATTTTGTATCCTGAGACTTTGCTGAAGTTGCTTATCAGATTAAGGAGATATTGGGCTGAGATGAGAGGGTTTACTCAATATACAATCATGTCATCTGCAAACAGGGACAATTTGACTTCCTCTTTTCCTAATTGAATACCCTTTATTTCTTTCTCCTGCCTGATTGCCCTGGCCAGAACTTCCAGTACTACGTTGAATAGGAGTGGTGAGAGAGGGCATCCCTGTCTTGTGCCAGTTTGCAAAGGGAATGTTTCCAGTTTTTGCCTATTCAGTAGGATATTGGCTGTGGGTCTGTTGTAAATAGCTCTAATTATTTTGAGATACGTCTCATCAATACATAGTTTATTGAGAGTTTTTAGCATGAAGGGCTGTTGAATTCTGTCAAAGGCCTTTTCTGCATCTATTAAGATAATAATGTGGTTTTTGTCTTTGGTTCTGTTTATATGCTGGATTACGTTTATTGATTTGCATATATTGAACCAGCCTTGCATCCCAGGGATGAAGCCCACTTGATCATGGTGGATAAGCTTTTTGATGTGCTGCTGGATTCGGTTTGCCAGTATTTTATTGAGGATTTTTGCATCAATGTTCATCAGGGATATTGGTCTAAAATTCTCTTTTTTTTATTGTGTATCTGCAAGGCTTTGGTATCAGCATGATGCTGGCTTCAAAAAATGAGTTAGGGAGGATTCCCTCTTTTTCTATTGATTGGAATTGTTTCAGAAGGAATGGTACCAGCTCCTCCTTGTACCTCTGGTAGAATTCAGCTGTGAATCTGTCTGGTCCTGGACTTTTTTTGGTTGGTGGGCTATTAATTATTGCCTCAAATTCAGAGCCTGTTATTGGTCTATTCAGGGATTCAACTTCTTCCTGGTTTAGTCTTGGGAGGGTGTATGTGTCGAGGAATTTATCCATTTCTTCTAGATTTTCTAGTTTATTTGCATAGAGATGTTTATAGTATTCTCCAATGGTAGTTTGTATTTCTGTGGGATCGGTGGTGATATCCCCTTTATCATTTTTTTATTGCATCTATTGGATTCTTCTCTCTTTTCTTCTTTATTAGTCTTGCTAGCGGTCTATCAATTTTGTTGATCTTTTCAAAAAACCAGCTCCTGGATTCATTGATTTTTTGACGGGTTTTTTGTGTCTCTATCTCCTTCAGTTCTGCTCTGATCTTAGTTATTTCTTGCCTTCTGCTAGCTTTTGAATGTGTTTGCTCTTGCTTCTCTAGTTCTTTTAATTGTGATGTTAGGGTGTAGATTTTAGATCTTTCCTGCTTTCTCTTGTGGGCATTTAGTGCTATATATTTCCCTCTACACACTGCTTTAAATGTGTCCCAGAGATTCTGGTATGTTGTATCTTTGTTCTCATTGGTTTCAAAGAACATCTTTATTTCTGCCTTCATTTCGTTATTTACCCAGTAGTCATTCAGGAGCAGGTTGTTCAGTTTCCATGTAGTGGAGCGGTTTTGAGTGAGTTTCTTAATCCTGAGTTCTAATTTGATTGCACTGTGGTCTGAGAAAATGTTTGTTATGATTTATGTTTTTCTGCATTTGCTGAGGAGTGCTTTACTACCCACTGTGTGGTCAATTTTGGAATAGGTGTGATGTGGTGCTGAGAAGAATGTATATTCTGTTGATTTGGGGTGGAGAGTTCTGTAGATGTCTATTAGGTCCACTTGGTGCAGAGCTGAGTTCAATTCCTGGATATCTTTGTTAACTTTCTGTCTCATTGATCTGTCTAATGTTGACAGTGGGGTGTTAAAGTCTCCCATTATTATTGTGTGGGAGTCTAAGTCTCTTTGTAGGTCTCTAAGGACTTGCTTTATGAATCTGGTTGCTCCTGTATTGGGTGCATGTATATTTAAGATAGTTAGCTCTTCTTGTTCAATTGATTCCCTTTACCATTATGTAATGGCCTTCTTTGTCTCTTCTGATCTCTGTCGGTTTAACATCTGTTTTATCAGAGACTAGGATTGCAACCCCTGCTTTTTTTTGTTTTCCATTTGCTTGATAGATCTTCCTCCATCCCTTTATTTTGAGCCTATGTGTGTCTCTGCATGTGAGATGGGTCTCCTGAATACAGCACACTGATGGGTCTTGACTCTGTCCAATTTGCCAGTCTGTGTCTTTTAATTGGAGCATTTAGCACATTTATATTTAAGGTTAATATTATTATGTGTTAATTTGATCCTCTCATTATGATGTTAACTGGTTATTTTGCTCATTAGTTGATGCAGTTTCTCCCTAGCATCGATGGTCTTTACAATTTGGCATGTTTTTGCAGTTGCTGGTACTGGTTGTTCCTTTCCATGTTTAGTGCTTCCTTCAGGAGCTCTTGTATTGCGGGCCTGGTGGTGACAAAATCTCTCAGCATTTGCTTGTCTGTAAAGGATTTTATTTCTCCTTCACTTGTGAAGCTTAGTTTGGCTGGATATGAAATTCTGGGTTGAAAATTCTTTGCTTTAAGAATGCTGAATATTGGCCCCCACTCTCTTCTGGCTTGCAGAGTTTCTGTAGAGAGATCCACTGTTAGTCTGATGGGTTTCCCTTTGTGGGTAACCCGACCTTTCTCTCTGGCTGCCCTTAACATTTTTTCCTTCATTTCAACTTTGGTGAATCTGACAATTATGTGTCTTGGAGTTGCTCTTCTCGAGGAGTATCTTTGTGGCATTCTCTGTATTTCCTGAATTTGAATGTTGGCCTGCCTTGCTAAATTGGGGAAGTTCTGGATAATATCCGGAAGAGTGTTTTCCAACTTGGTTCCATTCTCCCCATCACTTTCAGGTACACCAGTCAGACATAGATTTGGTCTTTTCACATAGTCCCATATTTCTTGGAAGGTTTCTTCATTTCTTTTTACTCTTGTTTCTCTAAACTTCTCTTCTCACTTCATTTCATTCATTTGATCTTCAATCACTGATACCCTTTCTTCCACTTGATCAAATCGGCTACTGAAGCTTGTGCATGGGTCACATAGTTCTCGTGCCATGGTTTTCCGCTCCATCAGGTCATTTAAGGTCTTCTCTACACTGGTTATTCTAGTTAGCCATTCGTCTAATCTTTGTTCAAGGTTTTTAACTTCTTTGCGATGGGTTCTAACATCCTCCTTTAGCTCAGAGAAGTTTGTTATTACCAAACGTCTGAAGCCATCTTCTCTCAACTTGTCAAAGTCATTCTCCGTCCAGCTTTGTTCCATTGCTGGCAAGGAGCTGCATTCCTTTGGAGGAGAAGAGGCGCTCTGATTTTTAGAATTTTCAGCTTTTCTGCTCTGGTTCCTCCCCATCTTTGTGGTTTTATCTACCTTTGGTCTTTGATGATGGTGACGTACAGATGTGGTTTTGGAGTGGATGTCCTTTCTGTTTGTTAGTTTTCCTTCTTACAGTCAGGACCCTCAGCTGCAGGTCTGTTGGAGTTTGCTGGAGGTCCACTCCAGACCCTGTTTGCCTGGGTA